>NC_000006.12:127570790-130070790 GCF_000001405.40 Homo sapiens | reverse complement strand
AAAAAAAGGTCCTACTGTTACACCCAATTAGCTATCTGGGCCTCAAAACGAAAATATCCATCACCTCACAGAATTTAAAATAATTAATTTTAACATGTGTTTTGATGCCTTAATTAGAAAACTGTAATAGGTAGGCAAGTTTTATTCACCATATAGTTCACATTTTATCCTTCTTTTCTTGATTACAGACTTAACAATGAAAATTATTCACACAAAATATGCACTTAATCAAGTTAAAAATGTGCATGAGTCAGTACAAATTCACTCCCACTTCCGAAAATATCTCTCAAAAGAGTACTCTCGAAAGTAGGTCATCTTCATATATGAAAGGCTGCAAATTATTACAACTTTTACTCAACACTACAGATATATTTTATTCCTAATAGCAGCAAAAGAATTGGCTGTTGATGTACAAAGCTATTCAAAATAGTTGGTAACTTAAAGAAATCCACAGATAACCAGTCATTCAGAACATGGAACAAAAACAATGAAAGTTCTGTAAGAGTTAGTGCTTAAGGTACAGTAATATATAAAATCTCTTACAATCTTTTGTGAGGAATAATATCTTAATCTATCTATCTCTACATATTATAGACTAGTATATCTAGATACCAATTATGCAAATCACAACACACTACAAGTCATTCCTTCCCTAAAAACAAAACAAAACAAAACAAAAAACAAAAAACAAACAAAAACCTCTGTTAGACTCAATTATACAGATATTATTCTAACTACTTTAGGCAAAATAAATGCTATCTCTCATTTTACTATAATTATACAACTATCATTGCAAAAATGTAGACAGCCGTGTATCTGAAAATGTTAGAATAAGTTGTGTCTGAATGGATAGAACAGGCACTAATGCTATACAGAAATCTTTACTATGCATTTAAGTACTGAAATTTATCCGAGTTCTGATCATAAATGTTTGAGTATTCTGAGGTAATCTAGAAATGGAAAAATTAATTGTCTCTTAGATACGAAATGGAGAGCCCAAGATTAAGTTGTATGCTGGCAATGCATAGAATTTAGGAAGACCGTTCAAGGCAGTTAATCAAATCCCTGACTGAAGTCATCATCAGAGAACCAGACAGGGATTAGGAAACTTGGAGCAGAGACAGCAGGCTGCTAAGTTTTCCACCCAACTGACCTTCCTCCCTGGGATAAGTTTTGACAGAGAATACCAACTGACAATGCACTGTTACACTTTGGCAATTACACTATCCTCTCAATTAAGATGTTTTAAAATAATAAGCTGGCCCATTAACACTATTACTAACCTAAACACACATACGCATGCACACAAACACAATGTGTCAGTTCTGTAATCCAACCTGGTTTGTGTTTGATTAAATCAGAAAACATTTCAGCCATTAGATTGATGCTCTCAAACCAACTGGTTAACACTGTTTCCCAAATGAAGGATTTTTGGAGTGAGGAGGTTTCTCCTGCTCTTGATATTTATTTATTTCCATTTGAAGGGAATGCTGTTAGTGAAACATTACTGCTTCTCCCCACTGTCTCACTCACTGCTACCAGCCTGGTGACTCTGGAAAGGAGGAACTGATCATACTAGAGAGAAAGCTGGGCTGCAGGGTGCACAGTTTCCACTCTGCTCCTCAAGGGTCTAGTGTTCTCCAGGCTTGGGGGATGGGCGTGAAAGGCGAATTAAATCTCTTCCATTCTAGGGCTCAGAATCAAGCTTATTTGTCTGCAGATACAAGCCATGCACGTCCTCCAACTCAGCTCTGACCATCTGTAAAGATGGCATTTTGGTTTTCCACTGGCTTGCCCTTTATTCTTTCCAATTAGATCAGAACTTGGGAAAAGAAAAATGTCATGGATCAAGTCGGCCAATGGAGGAACATGTTATGGAAAGCAGGAATACCGGTCAAGTAGAAAAGACACGCACATCCAGATTTTGTTTTTGTTTACTGTAAACAAAGCTATAAGCTAGAGTGAAGATATGTCACAGTCTCCAGTGACCTCCTACATGTAAACTGAAACAGGGCTACCTTCATCTGGCTATGTGAATCCCATTTGAACAGCACTCCCATATAAGTGATAATAACAATAAAATATCTCAGCCAATTTAATTTTTTATGCATCTTAATTGTAAATCTCACCTGAATCTTGTACTATCTTGTCTTCTACTATGCAATAAAAGAGACAACCATAATATGGCTATAAAACATATTTGTTCATGAAGATTTTAAGCTAATTTTAAACTTTAATTAAGATAAGAGTACTCTATTTACCAAGGCGATAAAATTTATTATAGTTCCTTGTTATCACTTGTAATTGATCCTATGAGACACTCAAAAAACTTCTTCCTTTGAAAGAAAACGTGTTTCGTATGTACTTACTATATTCTGATTTTCAAATAATGACTTAGGAGCAGCTTGAGCTTTACATGTCTTAAGATAGGTCTGCCAATTGAATTCTTCTTCTTTATACCCTAGAGTAAGCACATATGAACAGATTGATTCAAATACCACAATATTTTACACTTAGTTTTCCAGTCCCACTTTTATCTCTAACATGCCAAAATCAATCAAATGACTTTTTAAATAAACAAAATTTAACTCATAATTCATAACTATGCATATTTAGACTATGTTTATTTTCAACAAACTGTATTATTATTTTCCAATTCTGAATGAATGGTAATGGATATAAAGAAAAGGAATAAGGAAACAAATATGTATTATACCCAGGACACTTATTATCAGGGTATTTGTACCAGTATTTAGGTAGAATTCCTCAGCGGTATAGATACTGAACTACAATAGTCAAAATTCTTTATTTTTCTCTCACCTAGTCTATTTTGGGAAGACTAACTTATAGGAACAAGTGGAAAGGTGGAAATAATAGAAATGAAACAGGTAAAATCTTTTTGGCCTATCACTTCAAGAAGGACAATTTAAGGTTTATGAAGTAAGGATGCTGGCAAATTACAATAAGGGAAATGTCCTCCCCTTAATTTTTACAATTTCATTGAAGTTAACATTTCCTTTAAAAAGGAAATTGAGCATCTTATTTTATCTGCGAATATGCTTTATTTTACATTCATTAAAGTCCAGAAAGCAGCATGAAAAAACCAGCTAATAATTTACCATATATAAGAGATCAATTCGTGAAAAGGCTTACAGATTTTCTTTTTCACCCTCACTTTTTCTATGCTATTTTGTTGAATCCTTCAGCTATCTGAAAATACCACTCTGCCATTATTTTTTCACTTAAAACAAAGGGATGGCTAATGCATTAAAGCCCTGAGACAGGCCAAAAATATCAACCCAGTAACCTGAATTTTTGACATAAACAAAAATCAATGTAATGATTGAAATAGAAGGGAATAAGATATTACTAAATATGGCCGGGCACGGTGGCTTACACCTGTAATCCCAGCACTTTGGGAGGCCAAGGTGGGCAGATCACTTGAGGCCAGAAGTTTGAGACCAGCCTGGCCAACATGGTGAAGCTCTGTCTCTAATAAAAACACAAAAATCAGCCAGGCATGGTGGCAGGCACCTGTAATCCCAGCTATTCGGGAGGCTGAGGTAGGAGAATCACTTGAACCTGCTAGGCAGTGGCTGCAGTGAGCCAATATCACACCACTGCACTGCAACCTGGGCGACACAGCAAGACTCCGTCTCAAAAAAAAATTAGGGAATACTTTAGGCAGACAGTGAAAAAGACGATATCTGTTATTCTTGAACTTTGATATAAACATGAAATAGGAAAATCACTGGGGGACTATAATATAAAGTACTCAAATATAAGAAAAGTAATTGCTATGAGTTCAACCCCCCACCTAAGCCAATTTTTAGTGTTACAGTCTTCTTGCCAATCTCCTAAATATTAAGATCTATACGGTCAAGCATAATTTCTCAGGATTTTCTATATAATGAAAAACTGATTTGAAAAATTAGTTTAAACCAGTTAACACTAAACTTAGTTATATAAACTAATTTAAACTAATTTTTCAAATCAGTTTTTTCAAAGATGTATGTATTTAATAATAGAAATTTGCAGGTAAACATTATTTGTAGTCAAAGTTGAGTATCATGCAAATGTTATTTTACATGAAAATAAGCATATGAACATACTTTATTTTCCTAGGCTGGATTCTGCTTTTATTTCTTTAACTTTAATAAACATGGTTTCATCATAAACAATAAGGTTAAATTTGTGCCTATCTGAATTTTCATAAAGTCTGAATTCTTAACAATTCTAATGTAGCATGTAAGAAAATGAGTTTTTACTGAATTTAAAATATCAAACAAAAAGTGACAAAACCTTTTGGAGGATGGAGTTTGTGGCCGGTTTTCTCACACCACCCAACTGGGTGGATATCCAGAGCGTCTGCATTCACCCAGAAGTCATAGCAATCAGAATACCCATCAAAGTGAAGCTTTATCCGGTATCCACAAACCTGAAACAGGTAAAATAGGTTGAATTATTTTTTTTAACTCAGAATATTCATATATATATATATATACACAAAAATAAACATGGACACCAGGCATGATATAGTCTTAATGTTAATCAAACCACCCACATTAACAGTAATAAAACAACTAAACAAATAACCAGAATCTAAAGACAAAAGCTATTAAAGTGGGAAGAGCTGAGCTGTGGCATTCTGGCAACATTCTCAGTTACATTACAACCACACGGATAGGGGGCAAAGCATAATATCCCACAATTGCAGGTCCTTTCTCCACTCCCTATGTTGTACCAAGATGTGTCCCCAGGGTAAGCTGGAAGGCACACCAGCACAGCACACTCAGCTCTAGCATGGCCCCAGAGTGGACAGTCTGCCCTGCACTGAAGGCTGCAGACCACAGCTGGTGCATATGCACAGAAGTCAAGCTTTTTTTCTCCACCAAAGCTGGGTTGGAAGAAAGAAAGAAAAGCGTCTCTCCTAGTTTATTACTTGGATGAGACAGGCTCCTAAGAATGCTAGTAAGAATGTACTCTGTATAACACATGCCATACATATGCCTACAGGGCCCCACTTAGAGACATTCTGATTTAGAAGGTCATATAGGCTTACGAGACCTGAGTTGGATCATACCCTGCCCTGGATTCTTAGAGAGAGGGTTCAGCCCCTGAGACTTCTTCCCACTAACACAAGAAGATGTGTTCAAGTAGAAACACGTATCACGCCAGACCTCTACCCGCTCCAGGAGTGTCTGTCCTGCAGAACCCTGAATGATGAACTTAGACCAGAGTGCAGAGCCAGGGCAATTAATCCTCAAATAGTGAGGTAGCTGTACAGTTACTGTCATGGAAAGTTCTCTAAAACATATAGTTAAAATTCAAGTGGTAGAACACATAACACAGAATGAGTTAAGTTTATGAGAAAATTAGACATGTGGGGGTCCACATGTATTTATGGGTATATGATTATGTATACATATGTGTATTATGTGTATATACATAAGTATATGCATTTATATACATACATTAATATACACACATATGCATACATATGTAAACACATAGTAAAAAGAAGTCCGGAGGTATATTTGCCAAAATGTTAATAATGATTTCTTCTAGGAAGTGGTAGTGAAAAGGAAGGGGCAAAATGGGAATGATGGACTTTTCATATTTTCTTTTATGTATCAGCATTTTTTCAATTAGAATGTATTGATATACCACATACATCAAATTTACAACTAAGCTGACTCCCCCCAGAGAGAACAGAGTCTCTCCATACAGCTGAGACTGGAATCCCTGGGAAATACAATCTCTCAGGTAAAGCAGGAGCTACCCCCACTCCCTACAGCCACCCCATGCAAAGAAGGCTGCTTCTCTCCTCTCTCTCACAGTCAGCTATATCTGGCCGATCCTAAGAGCTCAGCCCTATAGTAATTTACAGCCTCTAGTTCCTTGTGGGCACACCGTTCTGAGCTTCTGCTCCCTTGAGCCAAGCTCTCTCTGTTCTCCCCATAGTCTCTATCTCAGGCTCACCGGAAAGCTATGCTTTGAGAAACAATCTCCTACATCCTCACCCTCCTTGCCCACAGTCATACCTAGCTCGTCCTTCTCAAGCCTTTCCCCAAGGGTGCTCATGTTCCCAACTCTACCTCCCATAGACACAGGACGGGTTGCTGCCTCCCACCACACCATGGATCCTAGGCCAGTTCTCCCCTGCCGAGGCTCGAGCCATATGGCTGAAGCAACTCTCCTCCTCTTCTTCCCCCATGCTAACCACCCAAACACTTAGCCCTGGCTTATTCTCTTCCTTTCCATCTGAGTACTTTCGTCATCCATATGGATGACTTATCCAATACCCTGGCATTTTGACTCCCTTCCTCTCTACTTCAAGCCCTCACTCCCATGAATCTAGTCCCCAACAAGAACTGCTCTGCTTCTTAGTATTAAATTTAAAAATCCAACCCTGGGACACATACTCCTATTCCAGTCTGCAAACCCAGTTACCCCCAGATGCCTCTTCCTCAATCTCAACAGAAACTCTAGTCTCACACTGATCCTTTTACTTCCTCCCTAGCAGCTCTCCTCACCCCAAGCCTTCCTTTCCTAGCAATCATTTAAAAAACATTTTCTTGCCAACATTTTAAAATTTCTGCCCTGATATCCTTTGCAAAATATTTGCCTGGTGACATTCTATCATTTCAGGTATCCATCTTGTCTCCACCTAACCAAGTCTAGTAAATGGTGATGGGAAGGAAAAAATGACATACCGCCAGTCTTCATTATTCACATACTGTATTCCACGTTTGTGAAGTCATCTACTTGCTACAATTTATTTGTAACCCCAAAATAATACTCGCAGTGTTCGTGGACATGCACAGACTGACAACACTTTTGAGTCACTCAACATGCATGTTCCCAGCTGAAGTCAATCAAGAAGGAGCTTTACCTTCCTGTTTCAGTTCTCGTACTGGGAATAAGTGTCTTTTGTGTGGTCCATTTAGTGCCACATATTCTACATTTTTGTGCTTTTCTTGGGTGATGTTACTGTTTAAAATGGCCCCTGACATAGTGCTGAGGTGTTGTTTAGTGTCCCTAAGTGCCAAAAGGTTGTGATGTTGCCTTACAGAGAAGATACTTGTGCTAGATAAGCTTCATCAGGCAGGAGTGATAGTGCTCTTACTTGTGAGTTCAATTTTTAATGAATGAACGATATACATTAAATGAGGTGTCTTTAAACAGAAACACACATAAAACAAGGTTACACACTGATCAGTAGACAAAAATGTGACCAGAGGCTCACAGGAAGCTAACCCTCTATTTCCCCTAAGAGCAATGGTTCCACACAAGGTAATTTGTGGAGCGTAACTACTGCGAATAATGAAAATGGACCAACAAAAATCAACTCCACCTGAATGCTGGGCTTTGCCACTGCCTAGCAATTCTCCTAGATGGTCCTGTCCAACTCCCTCTCCCATTCTTCACTGTGGTCTTTTCAAATCCCCCTCCTCCTCCTTCAGCTTCTAATCCCACTTTCTCCATCCTCACTCTCAGCCAGTAATTTGCCTTCTAACCCAAAGAAGGTTTCCCAAATGTGTGCCTCCAAACAGACAAGCCTCTCTGTATCCACGAGCCCTACTTCTTCCTGCTCCGCCTTCCTGTTGTAATGCAAGAGACTCCTCCTTCTGCCTAAGACTTGGATCTCCACATATACTCTGGGTCCCATCTTCTCCCAGGCCTCTTCTCTGAATCTTCCAATACTCTACTCCCTAGTGGCTTCTTCAGAATTCAAATACTATGTTGTCTTACCATTGCATTGCAAAGGGGCGAAAAAAAAACAGAAAAAAAAAAAAAGAAAGGCAAGAAGGGAAGGAGGGAGGGAGGGAGAGAAAAAAGAGAAAATTAATATGAAAAGGAGCAATAAGCATCAAAGATTTAGATGTAATTTATATGTCCATACTTTTCACCTTGCAATTCTAGAGATAGATCCTAGACCTACTTACAGAGGTAAGAGGATGCTCACTGGACCTTTTTTTTTTTTTGAATAATGAAAAAATGAAGATCACTCAGTTGTTCAATATGAGAGCAGTTAAATGAATTAAAGTCAATTCTATAAAATGGAGAACTACCCAATGGTTAAAGAATATGTATGCCAGGTGTGGTGGCTCATGCCTGTTATACAAGCACTTTGGGAGGCCAAGATGGGAGGACTGCTTGAGCCCAGGACTTCAAGACCAACCTGAGCAACATTGCAGGACCCCATTTCTAAAAAAAAAAAAAAAAAAAAAATTTAGCTGGGCATCAGGTGGTACACGCCTGTGGTCCCAGCTACATGGGAGGCTGAGGTGGGAGGACCTCTTGTGCCCAGAAGGTTGGGGCTGCAGTGAGGCCATGTACACGTCACTGCACTCCAGCCTCAGTTACAGAGACGGACCCTGTCTCGGAAAAAAAAAAAAAGTGTGTGTGTGCGCGCGTGTGTTTGTCTGTGTGTCAAAAACAAAATGCAGTACATATTTTTATACACAGAGAAAACATCTGGAAGGCACACAGTCAACTGTTAAGGGTCATGCTCTCTGGGATATGGAATATGGGAGGAAGGAAGGGGGATCTGAAACAGGACTTTTATTAATATGCACTCTTACACTATTAATAGTTGAAGTTTTCATAATGAGCAAACATTACTTTTATAATAAAAAATAGGGAAGGTAAAATAAATCTGCAAAAACCAAAAGCTGAAAAACAGACACATATCATAAAAATTCCCTTTCTCTTCTATAGCTAAACTTCTCAAAAGCAGTCTATACTTACGGCTTCCTCACAATGATTTTGTAAAACTCAATTCTGTCCCCAAACACTCCAGTTGCCATGGCGCAAGACACAATTCCCTCATGCTCCTTGAGAACAACCACAGCATCTGACACTGCTGCTTCTTCCCCACTTAAACTGCCTGCTCTCCCTGGTTCCTACTGCAGGCCCCTCTCCTGGTTCCTTTCTCTGTCTCTCGCTGTTCCTTTTCAGGATCCTGCTCTATTCTTTCTCCTGCACCCACCTCTTAGATGATGGTATTCTTCAGGGCTAGCAACTCACGCCTTGCGCTCTTGCTGGGCAATATCATCCACTTCAAAGGACAAACACAAATCATCCACCAAGAAACTCTGACCCTCCTCTTCCAACTCAAAAGGGTCTAACAAAAACTTGAGTCCAGGAAGGAGAGAACATACAATGTCTGATCAAGTTTGAGAGTGTCAGTATTCTCACTGTAAATAAAATCTACACAAATGTTCCACAACAGTTTTCTGATATGAGTAAGAGAATCCAGTTATTTCCTTTCACTACTTATTACATTATTACAAGCTACAAGTTCCTTTAACACTCAATGCCCTCAGGTTTCTCATCTGAAAAATGGGAGGGAAAGGGTTCTGCCTCAAAAGGTTGTTTTGAGAACTAATAAAAGCTAACAGATGGGCTGGGCGTGGTGGCTCACGCTTGTAATCCCAGCACTTTGGGAGGCTGAGGCAGATCACCTGAGGTCAGGAGTTCGAGACCAGCCTGGCCAACATGGCGAAACCTCATCTCTACTAAAAATATAAAAACTAGCCAGGCAAGGTGGCACGCGCCTGTAGTCCTAGCTATTCAGGAGGCTGAGGCAGGAGAATCACTTGAACCTGGGAGGTGGAGGTTGTAGTGAGCCAAGATTACACCACTGCACTCCAGCCTGGGTGACAGAGTGAGACTCCATCTCAAAAAAAAAAAAAAAAAAAAGAGCTAACAGATGAAAAGTACTTGGATTAGCCGCTGGCACATAGTATGCCCTATGTAACCGTATGTTATCATTGACTGAGGCTGTCATTATCCAGCACATGGTACTGTGTTCTGCAGAAGCCAACTTTCTTACAAGTTCACAAGGTAATTAAAGAATAGTATAATACCTCAAACTAGTACACAAGACTATTTTATTCTTTTGGGAGGAATTTTTAAAATAGATATACCTCTGGCTCAAGGGAGGGAGCAAGGAGAAGGCTAGCATAGGAGGAAACACATTTTTTAAAGTACTCTCAGTAATATATGTATGTATAATTGACTTGGTCATTTTTTCCTGAAAAATTTTATACAGATACCTTAAAATACTAAAAAAAAAAAAATAAGTATCTGTTGGTCTGTTCCTTATGTTAAGGAACACAGTATGGCAAAGCCTATAGAATCAGACAGACATGGGTTCAAATCCTGGTTCGACCACTTTGAAGCTGTGTGGTCACAGTTTTTAAAGTACTCTCAGTAATATATTAGACTGAGATATATATTCATATATTTGGCTTGGTCATTTTTTTCCTGAAAAATTTCACAGAGATACCTTGAAATACTAAAAAAAAAACAACACACACAAGTATCTGTTGGTCTATTCCTTATGGCAAGGGCTATGGCATCAGACAGACACTGGTTCAAATCCGGGTTCTACCACTTTGAAGCTGTGTGGTCTTGTATCCATCACTTCATCACTCTGAGCCTCAGTTCCCTAACCTACACAACAGAGCTTGAGAAAAACCACAACATGCACAGGATTCTTACAAAGATTAAATGAAATAATGCACACAAAACAGTAAGCACCATGCCTGGCATGAAATACAACCAATGGCAGTTTTTCCTCATTTTAAATCCCCATAATCACCATTTTATTTTAAAAATAAAGGACGAGGCAAAGCTTACCTCCGCGACGGTGAGGACACAGTACACAGACTGATGCTCAGGATCCACGCCTTCTAATTTCATGCCAACTTTGAATCCATTTTTGTTATATGGAAAGGATTGATGCTAAAATGCAAAATGAGAGCAGTTTTAGTCCCTTATCCCAAAGCCCTATTTAAAGATGTAAATAGTTACCATTTTAAAAATAAAGACTATTTAACCAAATACATAACTTCTAAAAATCCAAAGAAAAAGAAATCAATAAATAACCCACTGAAAAAATGGACCAAGGCTACAAATAGGTCCCAGGAAAGGAAATGTAATGCCATACACCCTTTGTCTTTTACATATTTGAAAAGATGCTCGACCTCATGCAGAAGAGACATACAAAGTAAAATTACACTAAGATATGTTTCACCTATCAGGCTGTTAAAGATCAAAAAGTTTGACAACACTGTGCTGGTAAAGCTGTAGGAAAACAGACACACGCATACATCACTAGGAAGAATGAAAATTGGTACAACCTCTAGCAATTTCATAAAATCAATCAAAAAATTCTTTTTGATACAACAATTCTAACTCTAGGAAATTGTCCAAGAGATTCTCACACATGTGAAAAATGACTGGTATAGAAGATTATTCAGTAAAGCATATAGCAAAAGATTTGAAAGTATACATGCATGTATGTGCAAATCAATAGGGAAGAACGTAAATTATTACAGAACAGGCCTAAGATGGAATACTATGTATTGCTATAAAAGAATGGTGAAGAGATTCATGACTCAGATAGAAGCATCTTCAAACTGTCAAGTTAAACAAAAAAAGCAAAGTCCAAAAAGTACACAACATATGTTACCATAAGGGAAGGATCTGTGTATATATATATTGCTTATATGAACATATAATTTTCCAGGAAGGGAATATAAGCACTGGTAACACTGGTTACTTCAGGAGAGGCAAATCTGGTGCCTGGGGGGGCAGGGCTATAAGAGACATTCTTTATACTATTGTAGTACTTTTATATTTTGAATCACATGCATTCATTACTGATTCAAGGAATTAGCTACATTTAAACTTTTTTTTTAATGTGAAAAAGTCTCTTCTCTAAAGGACCAAAGCTACAGAAAATAATTACAGAGAACAAGTTTATATGTAATTACTACTATATTTAAATTAAATATTCTTAATGCAGATGTAATCGTCCTAACATTTACTAACATTTACTATTCATCACTTTTTAAAAGCTTGCTATGTTCACACCTACATAAAAATATATCTATGACAAATTAATTACATACCACGATTAAATATAATGAAATAATTTAAACCAAGGTTCAGCAAACTCCAGTCTGCGGGTCAAAGCCAGTGCACCATGAGTTTTTGTAAACAATCTTACTGGAACATAGCGATGCCCACTTGTCTACCTATTCTCTATGGCTGCTTTTGTGCTACAATGACCTAACTGAGTCGTTGCAACAGAGACCACGTGCTCTGAAATGCCTAACATATTTACTATCTGGCCCTTTACCAAAAAAGTTTACCAACCCTTGTTTTTGTATGTGTTTTGTTTGTCTGTTTAGAGACAGGGTCTTGCTCTGTTGTCCCGGCTGGAGTGCAGTGGCAGGATTGCAGCTCACTGCAACTTTGAACACCACACTCCGCTATATTTTTAATTTTTTTTTTTTTTTTAGAGGCCGAGTCTCACTATGTTGCTCAGACTGATCTCGAACTCCTGGCCTCAAGTGATCCTACTGCCTCAACTTCCCAAAGTGATGAGACTGCAGGCAGGCATGTGCCACCACACCCGGACCCCAACTCTTGGTTTAGTCCAGGGACATCAACTGCTACTCAGAACTACATCTGATATCTATATTGTTAACTGATTTTAAATCACTTATGATAAAACACTTTTATTATAGCTAATATAATATAGTGACCCATTTTTAGATGTTTTGCTGTGATAATATGTAAATCGTAGTAACTCATTTTTTTTTTTTTTTTTTTTTTTTTTTGAGACGGAGTCTTGCTCTGTTGCCCAGGCCGGACTGCGGACTGCAATGGCGCAATCTCGGCTCACTGCAAGCTCCACTTCCTGGGTTCACGCCATTCTCCTGCCTCAGCCTCCCGAGTAGCTGGGACTACAGGCACCCGCCACCGCGCCCGGCTAATTTTTTGTATTTTTAGTAGAGACGGGGTTTCACCTTGTTAGCCAGGATGGTCTCGATCTCCTGACCTCGTGATCCACCCGCCTCGGCCTCCCAAAGTGCTGGGATTACAGGCGTGAGCCACCGCGCCCGGCCAGTAACTCATTTTTAATCTCTCAAAGCCACAATGTTGACATGAAATTTCCTAACATTTTTTCTTCATCTGCTAGTGTTTCGTGGTAGTATTGGTATCTCTGTTAAAATTCATGATAGCAAGCCCATAAGATGCTGAGAGAGAAGAGCACACGTGTGTCAGTGTGCACCCACACATGGCACATGTGTGGCACATGGGAGGTACGCACAAGTCAGTGTTCACTGCCCTCCATATAAACACACGCATGAAAACTGTATGCTGAGAAAATGATCCCAAGTCAAATTTCAGTGGAAACAACAATCGTAATTCAGGCTGGTATCCCAGCTCCTGCGCCCTTACAGATCACGTCTCTAGAAGGGCCCGTACCTCCTTGAACAGCTTCGCCGGCACTGCCACCGCTTTCTCCTCTTCCAGGTAGGATGCCCAGCACCACGCTTTCTTTCCTTTAGGAGGCAAACCTGAAAGGCAAGCAAGACGGAAATGACAGAATTTCCAAATCTAAGCCAGCAGTGATGCATCTGTGAACTCACACGTCCCTGACTGATACGCTGCCTGGCTCTTCTCTGACTTCCAGGACTGGTATCTCTGTCTCTCTTCCTGGCTCGTCTTCCCAAGAACCAAGATAAAAAGTGAACTGTGGTTTGCACCTACAGTGAGGAGGGTAGAAGATGGAAGTGGAAGTACTTAGAATAAAGGAAGAAGACAGCAGGAAGTCAAAACAAAACACTACCACAGAAGCTACAGGAAGGGAGAGCTTCTAGAAGCAGGATGCTCAAAAAATTTTCTCTAAGAGATCAAGAAGTTGAGGACTGTGGAAAGGCCAGTGCATTGAGTGGCTGCTAATCTTGAAAAGGAAGGAAAACAATCAGTATAGTGAGAAGCAGATTTTTAGGTGCAAAAAGAATACATAAGTGATAAAAATAATAGAGGCAGTTAATATTAGTTTTATATATTTTGGATTAATTTGACAAATACTGGAAATGAAGGAAAAATGTAATAGCCTGATGGGTAGCAAAGCTGAGAGAAAGGTACTTTGGGGATGAGACTGGAACAGGCTAAGGTAGAGTATACAAAGAGAAGAAAAAAATCGGAAAACTTAAGGAAAAAATGTGACTGAAGGAACAAGGTCCCAGAAGAGCCAGGGGCCTGGAAGTTCATCTGAGGTGAAAAAGAAGGGCAGGGGAAATGATGGTGAAAGAAACAGACATTTGGAGGCAGAGTGCAGAGGAACTGAGGAATTTACACCCTTCATCTCAGTGATGTAAAATAGAAGGTCATCTCTGAAAAGACACAAAAGTTAAGCTGTGTGCCTAGGGCAGGTGGGGCTATTTCCAGTTTTTTGAGGAATTAACAGAACAAGGCTAGAATGCACCCCGGCACTGAGGAGAAGCACCTGGTTCATGGCCCTGGTTTGTCGGGACAGTATGACTGACTGTGCAGGCTGCAAGCTGAGGCAGGCAAGGGGATAGAGCCTTGTGGGGGACATCCCCCAGGGCCTCTATGGAAGTGACCCAAGGTCCACACAGAATAAGCAGAAAAGTACATCAAGACAAATACTAAAGGGAAGGGCTTCAGGGCCGGTTTCCTCCTGGAAATAAAATGCTGCCTGAGGAACAATGAAACAAACAAAAAAAAGGGCCAGGCACAGTGGCTCATGCCTGTAATCCCAGCACTTTGGGAGGTAGACACGGGCAGATGGCTTGAGGTCAGGAGTTCGAGACCAGCCTGGCCAATATGATGAAACCCCATCTCTACTAAAAATACAAAAATTAGCCAGGCTTGGTGGTGCACACCTGTAATCCCAGCTACTTGGGAGGCTGTGGCAGGGGAATCACGTGAACCCAGGAGGTGGAGGCTGCTGTGAGCCGAGATTGCGCCACCATACTTCAGCCTGGGTGACAGAGTGAGAATCCATCTCGAAAAGAGAGGGGAGGGGAGGGGAGGGAAGGGAAGGGGAGGGGACAGAAGGGAAGGGAAGGGAAGAGAAGACAGAAGAGATGAAAAGAGAAGGCAAAAAACAGGTTCCACGCCAGGAGCTCATGTTTTGAGAGGGAACATTAAAAACCTAAAACTGTGGGAAATGAACAAGAACAGAGGTTTTATAGAGAAGCAGAGGCAGGAAACACCTACTTGATGAGGGGAACAGAGAGAGAGAGAGAGAGAAAGAGAGAGGGAGAGAGGGATGGAGGGAGGGAGAGAGAGGGAGGGAGGGAGAGAGAGGGAGGGAGGGAGGGAGGGAGACAGGGAGAGGCGGAGACAGAGAGGGAGGGAGAGAGGGAGAGAAGGAGGGAGGGAGAAAGGGAGGGAGAGAGGGAGACAGGGAGGGAGAGAGGGAGAGAGGCAGGGAGAGAGGCAGGGAGAGAGGGAGGGAGAGAGGGAGGGAGAGAGGGAGGGAGGAAGACAGTTCTCATGCTTACCCTGAAACCACTTGAAAGTTAAGAATTTTCATTTTTTTCCTTATCCTCAAAATCTCAAATCTTTATTGACCAAACTGAATCAAAGAAAATCCTGAAGTAATACTTTAAGTGGCATGACTAAAATTTCCACCTGTGTGAACCATTTCCAATTTCATAAAGTTACAAGTAAGACTTTATTTTCATCAGCTCACCCTGCTTTAGTACAGCCGAATCCCCTCGTCTTTTCCTCCGTGCTCTCTGCGAACCCCTCAGGATTCTTACATCTTGTTTGTTCTCCTACAAAAAGAAAGGAAAATTATGACTTTAAAGTTCAAGAAATTGGCACCAGTGAATAGTTAGAGAGCTATCAGAAAGCACTTTTTCTGTTGTTCTTTTCTTCAGTTTTACTTTGTAACTTTTAAGGAAAGTAAGAATATAGTTCATCTGAAAACTGTTGCTTTTGGCCTGAGGTTATTACAAAATAAGACTGTATCCACGTGTTACCGGTTGGAAGGGCATGGACACCGCTCCCCGCTCCTTGAAACACTTTCTGCTCTCAGCTGCGTGACCGCTCTGCTCTGATTTTCCTCACGCCTTACTGGCTCCTCTTTGTCTCCTCTGCTGATGTCTCCTCCAATCCAGTTCCCTTCTCTACTCTTTCTAGTCCCTTTCCCTGGGTTTTCAAGGTCATCTTACATAGGCCAGATACTCCCAATCCACACCCTCAGCTTCCTCTTCCTTACTCCATGTGGCTGTAGACAAATGCCTACTTGGGATCTTCACCTGGATGGTTAATCAGCATTTCAAACCCATCATGGCCAAAGGACTCTGTGTTCTGCACTCCACCCTCATCTTCCCATTCTCAGTAAGAGACAGGATTATCCAGCCAATTGTTAAAGCCAAAGTTTTATCCCT
Organism: Homo sapiens; assembly: GCF_000001405.40. Lineage (NCBI taxonomy): Eukaryota > Metazoa > Chordata > Mammalia > Primates > Hominidae > Homo > Homo sapiens. Next base: position 130,054,552 of record NC_000006.12, on the reverse strand, counting down.
GATTTTTCTCTTTTCCTCACACACTCTGACAACCCTACCTCTAACATTGATTCCCAAATCCACGGACTTCCATCATCTTCAGCCTTCTTACGTTGTCTACTGCAATAAACTCCTAACTGGTTTCCCTGATTCCACTCAGGGCTACAGTGGTCATTTAAAACATACATCATATCAAAGCATTCCCTTGTCTTAACTTTCCAGAGGCTTCCCCTGACACTCAGAATACAATGAACACCCTCGACTCTTGTTTACCATAAAACCCTACATGCCCTGGACCACAGGTACCTCTTCAACTTCATCTTACTCCACCCTCTCCTAAACCAGTGACCAGACTTCCTTTTATTTCCTCGAACAAAACATGCTGTGCAAGTTCTTACCTTAAGGACTTTCCTCTGGAAGTTCTACTACCCAGAAGACGCCTCACTCTCAACTTCACATAGCTGACTCCTCTTCATTCATCAGATCACACTGTTCATGCCATCGTCTTTGAGAGGGCTCCCTGACAACCCAACCTAAAGTAGTCAGCCAATCCTAATGCCCTATTTTAATTCTCAACGTAGCACTTATCACTAGGTGACATTTCTCCTGTTCATTTTGTTTGTAGATTAACTACCCCCTAAACAAGAATGCAGTGTCTCTGCCAGGAGAGACTCTATGTCATCTATTTGTCTTATGCATCCCTGTATTCTCAGCTCCTAGAACAGTGACTCCCAAGTAACAGTTGTACAATACCGATCTCAACGGAAACACTTCCAGATCTCAAAGTTCCCTTTTCCTATAAAACCATTAATAGATGCCTTTAGGAATATGATATTTATGTTTTAATTCACACATTTTGAATGGCTTTTCCCCAAATATACCTGATATTTGTGTGCCATTTTTTAACCACTCAGATAGTTTTTTTTGTTTTTTTTTTTTGAGACACAGTCTCGCTCTGTCGCCCAGGCTGGAGTGCAGTGGTGCAATCTCAGCTCATTGCAAGCTCCACCTCCCAGGTTCACGCCATTCTCCTGCCTCAGCCTCCCGAGTAGCTGGGACTACAGGAGCCTGCCACCACGCCTACCTAATTTTTTGTATTTTTAGTAAGGAAGGGGTTTCACCGGGTTAGCCAGGATGGTCTCGATCTCCCGACCTCGTGATCTGCCGGCCTCGGCCTCCCAAAGTGCTGGGATTACAGGCATGAGCCACCACGCCCAGCCCACTCAGATAGTTTTATGAGATCTGTCTGCAATTTAAAGAAATGAGATTGGCATTGTGTTGTCAAGAGGAATTTAAGATTCATCTACAAGACTGAAGGTTTTTAAATGTTCCCTTTCACCCTAGCACTAAATTTCAGGACATCCCACTTTTTCACCCTGAGAGAAGGATACTATTGTTTATGATTCCCATTTTGAGATCAGGACAGCAAGGCACACAGAGGCCATGTAACTTACTGACACTAACACAGATAGTCCTGGAACCCACATTTGAACTCAGTGGGCTCCAGAGCAGTGCTTGTGACTGTGATGCTACCCACTAAAGATGCATCCCTGTGCTCCTGGTGTCAGGCAGAGGCACTCACCATTTCATCATCTCTCTCTTCTCCATCCTCCTTGGTGTCAGCTTTCAGAGATAATTTTGGTTTTTTCTTCCGACTACACTTAGGATCTTCTTCCTCATTGTCTTCTTCTACGTCCCTTTCTTCCTTCTGATCTCTGTTGTGTTTATAAACCCAAAATAGTGACAAGAGACAATACCTATCAAACATCTACTTGTTGATTATCAATGCAACAATCATTAAAAAAAAATCACCCTGCAAAGGAAAAATCTTTAACTACCAGGAGAAATCTGTAGGCATGAGAATATCATATATCAGGAACACTGAAAACAACTATTACATATGACATCTGTCTGTCAGGGCAGAAAATGAAAATTACCTTATATATTAATTTCAAAAGGGGGCCAGCAATATGTATGAAATAGGTTCTAACAAGTTATTTGTCTGTCACATCTACCATCTATACTAATAAAAGAATTGATTATTTAGAGATATTTGTTTTCAGGGTCAAAGAAGGATCTAGCAGTTATTAAGAATGACAAATCCAATTGAAAAAAGGCTAAGTGTAACATTGTGAAACATCAGTTATCCAAGAAAAACAAGACAGTTCCAGTTGGGCGCAGTGGCTCACACCTTTAATCCCAGCATTTCGGGAGGCTGAGGCAGGCGGATCATGAGGTCAGGATATTGAGACCATCCTGGCTAACATGGTGAAACCCCGTCTCTACTAAAATAGAAAAAACTAGCTGGGTGTGGTGGCGTGCGCCTGTAGTCCCAGCTACTCGGGAGGCTGAGGCAGGTGAATTGCTTGAACCTGGGAATGTGGAGGTTGCAGTGAGCCAAGATCACGCCACTGCACTCCAGCCTGGCGACAGAACAAGACTTCATCTCAAAAAAAAAAAAAGAAAAAGAAAACATTTCCCAAGCCTGTGCTGATTAAAATACATGGGAAATGCCACTAAAATATAAATGTCCAGTCATTTCTTTGTAGTATACAATGATATGCAAGAAAAACACCTTCTTGGTGATAAGCTGAACTTTGTCAGACTGTCCCCAAATGGGAAGGTCACACACCACTACCAGTTACAGCTGATGCCTCTGTCTCATAATCCTCAGTCCACACCTTGAGATCATCAGTGACCCAACTCACTACACTCTTCCCTATGGCCATTTCCATTCAGCTGATTACGAATCAGTGGAAGCTTTATGCCGTAGGTGGAGTTTTAACCGAGTTACCTAAGAATTCCCAAAATATAAACAAAACTATGTTTCTATAAATGTCAGTGTCATCGAAATGTGTATATAGCCCAGAAAAAACTAAATACTCTTAGCTGAAGACAATCAAATGAATGGAAATGGAAGACTGAAGGCAGAGGCAGAGGCTGTTTTGCAGGCAGAATATTAGTAATACAACTCAGACCAGGCATGACAGACGTCACCAGGTCCCATATAGGGGTTAGGGCCCATGTGGCCCTAAAGGAAAAGTCTCTGGGAAAAAGGTATCAATAGGTGATCAATGTCCGAGAGCATAAAACTTCTATATTCTCAGGCACCATGACTTTGGAATCTAAAACTCAATTTATAGATGGAATGGGGCAAAAACCTACTTATCTTTGATGTGCCGAGCACAATTCTGGCTGCAATAGTTTCCTCCAGAAAGACACTCATCTACGTTGCCATACTGACAACAGTTCTCACAGAACTGAAGCCCTTCTACTTTCACTGGATCCTTCAACCTGAAAGGCATCCCAGTCTTCTCTGAAAAGACTAGAAGATGAAAAGAAGAAATGCAAATTACAACCATGACAGAAGACATTCTAAAATACAATCAAACTTTTTCTTCTAATAATTTTGTTAGCAACACAATAAAGAATAGTGTTTGCTGAATGAATGAATGATCAAATGATAGTGTTTTCGGGGGGTATGGGCTCTGTAAAAATCACTCAAGTCATTCAAATAATGAAAAAATATTCTGCAGAAAGGATAAAAGCTTGCCCAAGGCTTTTTCTACAGAGTTCAAAGTAAAATGAAGAAAATTTCACTAGTCACTAAATTCAGAAGACGCATATATCGATCTATAGAAACTTCTTCTATATTTGTATCTTTCAGAAAATTTCAGAGGATCTTCTTTTATTTCACATTTATAATCTTTTGATGAATGATTTTGTTTTACTTAATTGGCTAAATCAACATCTCTTCTATTACGCTTTCAATGTAGTACATTTCCTGACTCATAGCTATCCAAATTGTGTAGAAACTCGCATTTCCTTTTGCCTGAATTGTTAGGCTAATCATTCATTCAGCCAGCAGTTATTAGGCACCAATTTATTCTAGACATTAATAATGACAGTAGAGACCTTGCCCAAGAGAGCTCACAGTCTAGAAGAAAAGAGAGGCAAGAAAACCAGTATTTATAATAAAATGTGATACATGCAATACTAGAGGCATAAACAAGGTCCAGAAGTAGTACAGAAGAAGTGATTCATTCAGCCTGGGGTAAGGTCAGAGAAGGATTTTCTGATAGAAAGCCTCAACAGGGTTTTGAAGGCCAAAGAGGAATTTACCAACTGGACAAAGAGAGAAATGGCATTTGAGCCAGAAAAAGCAGTATGAGTAAAGGCAAGAAAGCATGAAACCACATGATGTGTTGGGAAAATTACACGTAATTCTGTGCTGCTGGCACTGCCAGAACACAACATACAAAGAAGGAAACAGAGACTGAGGAGACAAGGCGAGCAGGTAGGTGCAGGCACCCAGATCTTTGTATGTTCTGCTAAAAAGGCAATGAGAAATCAGTGAAGTGTCAGATAAGCAATCTACGTTAAGTTCCTCTGGCTTCAAGGTGCAGGACCAATTGGAAGGGGGTAAAATTAGAAGTAGAGTGACATCTGCAATAGTTCAGATGAGAGTTGAGAAGAGCCTACATTAAGGCCATGGCAAAGATGATAGATAGAAAAGGCCAGATCTGAGACATATTAGGAAATAAAAATCAAGAGGTATAAGTAACAGGATATGGGGATGGGAAGAACAAATTCAGGATGACTCCTGTGTTTCTTGCTTGTCCACTGGGTGGATGGTGCTATTGTCAACTGAAATATGGGTTAGGGAAGAAAGAGCAGGTTTGTGGGGAGGGGAGAAAGAAATAGAAAATGAATTGCATTTCAGACATGTGGAGTTTGAGGTACCTGTGGGACATCCAGGTGGAGATGTCCAGTAGGCAGGTGGAAATACGGGCCTGGAGCTCGGGGGAGAGGTCGGGGCTGGAGATGTAGATTTAGGAGTCATCAGCATATAGGTGTTAGTTACAACCATCGGAGTAGATGAGAAAAAAAGTGGCAGGCTTTTGGCTAAATCACCTGTGTAGGCTACAACATGGATTTACTTAATTTCCAACTAACCTTGTGCTACTACAGATCTGGCATTAGGACAAAGAAGACAGTTTATAGTTATTTTAAAACATAAATGCTGGCTCCTATCAGTTTCATTATAGAAATTTACCTAACAACATGAGGCACAAAAATTACCCGGGGCCTTCAAAGTTCCAGCCTATTATAAAACTTTAGATATTCTTATTTCAAATCTTTCAAAAGCAAGAAATAAAATGCAGATGACCCATCCTTACCTTCTTGAGCAGTTGGTACCATCCAAGTGGTGGTAGCAGTTGCTTTTTTAACATTTTCCATCTCATTCTCATCTGTAATAACTTCCAGGGCTCCAAACTCATTTACCCGAAACTAGCAACAACACAGCAGAAAGGCAAAATTTAAAAAGTGCTCAGGAAAGTCATTAATTATTTAATGGCTGACACATATAGTCTTCAAGCAAATTAATTACATGGTAAAAGTTAATTTAGACAATTATATCCTGATACACCTCCCACCAATACTAAGACCTTTGCATTTTACTAATTTTGGAATTCAAGGAAGGAGAACAGAACAAAGCAGCAAGGTCTGTTGAAGGATACCAATGACCCTGCTCTGCCCTGTCCTATAGAGCTGGCAGCTTACTTGATAGGCTATCATTTCAAACACACTTTGTGTGTGTATGTGTGTGTGTGTGTGTGTGTGTGTGTGTTTTAACTAAGACTTATTTTTTCTTACGTCGTATTTTTTATTTAAAAATCACGTTTAGTAAAAGGAGAATTACTCTTTTCCCAGGAATCAACTTGTCTTGCCCAGGCTCACCCAGTTCAGAGAGAAGGAATATCCCTATGCCAGAAATAATGGCCTGAACATCCTTCTCCTTACAATCCAAGAAGTGAGCACAGAAGGCTGAAGCCTGAACCACATAACCCCAGTGCCACATTTCCTCTTTCTTTCACTGCTCTTTAGAATTCTGCATTATCTTCACTTGTAGCCCTCTAAAATAACTGGAAATTTCTCTGGGACCTGAACAAGTAGTCTACTAGCTACATGCTGATTTTATCACTAAAAAGCAACAGCATCTTGATTTCATGGACATTCCATTCCAAATACTGAAAATTTCCTTTCACCTGACAGCACACTTCAAATAAAGTATGTTTCTACAACAACCTGGTTGTACTGTGTGTGTGTGTTGAAGGCTTACCTACGTGTGGAGACCTTGTTCTCTCTGAAACAGTGAGGTTTACTCACACATTCATGGGTTTCAAGCAGTTTTCTGTATTCCTTCTGTTTTTCCATAAAACAGAATAACATTAGGGACCCACTAATTTTAGCAGGTGATGAAAAAGCTAGAAAGCTCAAAATTCAAAAGGATAGTAAGATGTTTCAGATCTTTCACAGAAATTATGAGCAAATTATGAGTATTTAAGCAAGGCCCTCCATTTGCCAATCCGAAAAAATCGATTTAGTCAACACGCCAATAGAATTATTTATTTTACTAAACTACATTCTAAACTGCAAGTTGGAAAACTCTTCAACAAAAAGTATCAATAATTATTCTTTCTATCAGGTGAAAACAGCACCTTAAACAATGTTCTATGCATAGTCCACAATTATTAAATGGTTTCTAGACTAAACGTGTGGAAATGGTTAAGGAATGTGAGAATGTCTTCGAACCCTACTATGTATTCCAGATACCAGTTCCCAGGTAATATGTGAGTACTATACCAAGTGTGTATACCAAAATGTCAATGTAGGAAGAGGTAAAAGTTTATTTAGAAGGAAAAGAGCTAAAAATAACTTTACTTTTAGAAAAAGAAATCTTTAAAAAAATGTTTTTAATGATCACTTTGAAGACAGAATATTTCAAAATAAGGCTGACAGTACCATCTGCTGGGCAAGAGCAGAAAAAACAAACTACCATGATAATTATTAATTAATGATATTAAAGAATGTGATAAAAAATCAATTTGAATTAAAATTCAAAAACAATAGGCACAAGCTTGACAATGCACTTCAGGTAATTTTACTTTTATCATATGTCACTGATGTTAATTTATGCTTATTTGACAAATACAAAATGTAAGAAATAGCATCAAACATTTACATTAAACAGAAAGTCTCCCATGGCTTAAGTTTTCAAATTGCTGTAAAACAGCAAACCACCCTCCATTTCAAAGACTGAGAAAGAAAACATCACTGAGTGAAATCTTCAAGTCAGAACTCAGAACTATGACACCTGGAAGCTTCAGGTTCAAATACTTTCAAAGTTAAAAGGAACGATTCCCACGATGCAACCTTCAATCCCAGTCAGCTTTTCTTTCTCCTAAAATGTATTGCCAGTAACTGACCTACAGTCTAAGTACAAAGTAAAGATGCAATGTCACTTCGGGGCACAGTTCACTCTTGTAAGCCAGAGATCCACAGATGGACTTTGAGGGTTGATTAATCCCATAAAATATATGCAAAATTATGATATGTGCATATACAGCTTTCTGGGGACAAGATTCATAGTTTTCAAGGCATACTATAAGCCTGAAAAAAAAATAAAGAATACCTGCTCTTATCAAAGTTGCTTATCTCAAAAATTAAATACCTCAAAACATTTTCAAAATATTCTGTCATATGCAAAAACATACAGGGATCAAATTTTTCTCTGATTTCTCAATTTGGGCTTACTGTGTCTTCCACAACATTGCTATGATAGAAAATGTTAGACCACAAAGGTTGATAGGTCCTGCTAACATTACTGAAGTCCTACAGACAGAATTCCAGAAAGACTGATACATTTCCTAACACTATGTTTTCCAATAAAACACCCAGGTTCTGAAATTAGTGATGCTTTTACAAATGGTTTTGGAATGATGGAAATTTCACCTTTGTTTATATTTCTTTAAATCATTAGTTCTTTTAACCTAGAGAGCTAAAATATGTAAAAAACTTGCCACGTGGCTCCACTCTACAACCAAGAAAGTCAAAATTATAAACTTTACAAAAGGGATTTACTATTAAGCAAACAAAACACATCTGCTAACTTTTTCTGCATGTGGATATATCCAGGTCAATCAGAAAAAAATTATGCCTGAAATATATAAGGGACTGCACATGTTTTGTTTGGCTTGAACTACCTTTAATTGATTCAACTCTCTTTTTTATTTTTGATTGTAGAGTCAAAGGATCTTTTGCCTATATTTGCCTGATTTAATAATAAATCATTAGAAGATACTGTTGAGGTTATTTTCATTTTATTACCTTCAATGCTGAGATTTGAATCGACTTACCAGTGTGTTTTAAGGGCAAAGATGTTTGATAACTAAATTGTTTTCAACATTAATCAAAGCAAGGCAAAAACCGTGTATTAAGAGTGCGGTGAATTTTACTGTTGGGTCTCTGCCTGCTACTGCAGGCAGGGTCTTGCTCTTGGCTAACTGGCAATTATTCTTACTAGATAAGATGCTGTCCTCTCAGGAGTGTATCTGCATTTTACTGAGAGACTCCGAAAGACATTATGACCCAGAGGAATAATTCTCTGTAAATTTCAGACATCATTAGAAGTTCAGGTAGGGAAACTGCTCAGTTATGGGAAGCCCTACCATGTCCCTCTGCACTGCCACTTAGTCACCTCCCTGTTCTTACAGCTGGCGCTGAGACATTAATCTACAAATACGAATTTGCATTTTAAAAGGACAAACTAGGCATTGGTGAAGTTTCCAAAGCTTGCTTAGGCAAAAGTGTTTTAATGACTATAATATTTTCAAGAATGTCAGTGGACACTTGCTGTTTCTCCCTTAACACTCTGTACCTTCTTAAGCTACTCCCTCTTCTGGAAGCCCTTCTCCTTCCCTTCCTCCCTAAAGTATTCATGGAGACTCCTACATATTTCCAGGCACCTGAAGCTCAAATGACATCTGCTTTTCAAAGCCTTCCTGATCCCTCCAGCTGAAATAAATTTTTACCTCCTCTAAATTCCTGTAAAATTTTCCTTGCATCTCTTTTGATATGAAGGTGTTTTCTCTCTTTAGACAGCAGTATAGCAGGTGTAAGATAATCCATTTTAAATATCAGAAAAGCCTGGTTTTGAGACCCCTGCCAGTAACTGACCTAAACAAGTGAATTAACTACTCCAGGCCTCCATTTCCCCATCTGTAAACTGACGAGACAAAAACTATCTTAAAAAGGGTAAAATAAAAGAATTAAATAAAAAGATGCAGGTAGAGTGTTCAGCAGAGAGTACGTTCTCTATTCTTTCCCCTACTGCACCCAGAGATGTCTGTGCTCTGTTTATATAAGCATGCGATAGCCCAGTGTGGAGAAGGGATTCCAGCAACAGGGAACAGTAACAAGGGCCCAGCGTGTGAAGGCTTCAACTAGTGGTTTGGGCTGGGGAGAAAACAAGAGTGGCAGTGGGAGTGAAATGAGACATGGCCAGAGAGGAAAGCAGAGGCCAGACCACCAAAAAACTCTTGTGGTAAACTTAAGGGGCTTGAACTTCACCAAAAAGATTCTGGCAACTGCTAAAAAATGTGAAGAAGAAGGGTGTAACTTGACTGGATAGCAATCATGGGGATTTTACAGGAAAAGTTATTTCAAAACAGCAAAAATTGAGGCATACAAAAACCTGTTCCCATGATAAGAAATTGACTTCTATAGATTTGCTGACTATATTAACTGAATTAACTTTAGCCTAGGAAATCTAGATGCCTCTACCCACTGAAACATAGAAGCCTAGGTAGGATAAAATAGGCAAAGAATGAAGTGAGAGAAAATTTCATGATTCATTCAAAGTTCTTTCTAATATCCTAATTTTGTGAAAAATCAATTTCTTAATCAGATTTCTTAAGCAACTTGGATTTTAAGTAGGAAGCAAGTGAATTAGAAATCTTCAGTGATATAATCAATTGGGTCACCTCTGAATCTCAGATAAAAAGGGTCATAAAGTAAAAGAAAATGACATTTAAATTATTTTTTAAGGGAGGTATCAAACTGTCTACAGCACATGAATTGGATACATGGCAATTACCCAGATAATTAGATGGGTCTGAAAGTCATTATCAAATAACTCAGATGATAATACCCACTAAATGGCTTAATTACCTGATTACCTTAATACAAGTAATAGGTTAATTTCTAAAACTCATTGCTTAGAAAACCTTAAAGCAATACAGATTTCTTAGGGATGGAAACTTCACTCTATTGTTAAAAGCTAACTGAAAAAAATTTACAAATTTCATCATCCACGTGACAGTTTTTTTTAAAAAAAGCCATTGAGAGGAAAATGGATAAAAACACACAAGGGAAATAAAGGAGTAAAGCAATTAAAAATGGCACTGTACATAGTAAGTCACAAAGCCAGAAAAAATACAATTTGTTAAGTGTTCTCTATTATTTTTTTCAATCCTCAAAACCACCTTATCACATAGATTCTAATGTCCTCAATTTTACAGATAAGGCTTCCAAAACTTAGGCAATTGAAATAATTTGACAAAGCTTGGGTAGCTATTATGTAGTTGACATGACCAGTTTGAGAAACAGTTTTTCTTTCTCAAAAATGTTCAGCAACCTTTCTCTGTCATATCTTATCCAGATGAATATTTGGAGAATGTCAGCGCAAGCAAAACGCTTGGCATTCAATTAATTCCTAATTTACTGCAGAGGAAACTTGACCGAAAGGGATTAACTGGCTTTTTCAAGGTCATACAGAGCTAAAACTGAAAACCCAATCTCCTCTCCAGATTCTACTAAACCTCAGTGCAACATTTTTGTTAAACTAAACTCAGAGGTGTTGGCACATTACACTTAATTAAACCCAACCCAACTAAAATCTAAGTATTTTTCCAATGACAGGCAGATTGTCCCAATCTCACCACTGAGGATGAGCTAGGGCAGGCTTGGCTAGGATACTTGTCAAGCAGCCACTAAAAGGGACTAGATTCCAGGAGGCCTAAATAATGGAGCAAGAATTTCTATTCAAGACAGCCTAGAATACCAAACATTTGAGAGGTAAGCCCAGCAATGGCCTGTTGGGGAGATGTGAAGTTCAAATACCTGAACGATCAAGTGCAAACACAAAGTCTAAAGGGCCACAGACCGGTTCAAGGTTCCAGAGATAGGATCAGAGCAAAAGCAAATTAGAAATGAGAGATGGGGGTAGTTGGTTTCCCAGATCGGTGCTTGCGCAACCATGTTTCATGGGACAACAGAAGTGGTCCTGGAATAGGTTTGGGGTTACTGGGAAAAGGAGGCAGGGCAAGGTTATACAAAAGCAGCAGACTGAAGTATTGCTCTCCAAAGAGTTCTCATCTATACTTAGGCAGACGGATTTACAGGAAGAACCCGATTTTGAACAAGTCATTATATAAAAATCCATATTTACAGTATAATTAATTTAAGAGAGGTGAATAATCCTATTTATTCAATACTTTAACATTATCCAGTTTTTAAATGAGAACTCTAGGACACAGAGATTGTGGCTATTCACTTAAAGTTACAAAGCCCATTACTACAAAATCAAAAAAGATAGCTCTTCTAAGTCTGCCATTTCTGCATTTATAGGCTGTCACGGTAAGAGTCAAAACTGAGATGATCCTTCTTGAAACTATAAATCAATTTCTGCGAAATAAGCACATACTGCAGAAACATTCCTTACTCCCCTTATCCAAGTGACAAAGGCTCTGCCATTCCATCAGCATTTCAAATTGTCTTGCAAATTTATTGTGGAGGTCTAAGCATCATCTAAAACCTACACCACTATGATTAATGCTTTTAATTTTTATTTCACATATGTATCCAATTTTAAGTAAGCATACGCACAGATGCACACACACATAATTGTATGTAATAAAGAGGGTTTACCTTTAAGTCACTTCCTGGTAACGTGCCCACTCCATCTTTCCAGTCCATAACACTGAACACATCAAACTCTTGACCACTTGTGCTAGAGGCAGATTCAGTCATGATTTATTTTTTAACCTGAAAGGGGAAAAGAAGGCATATCACTAAATATTCCACATGGAAATCTGTTTTTAATTTAGTACTCGTTAGTTCAGTTTCCCTTAATTACATAATTTTCTTGATCACAATATCCCATATCCCTGGATCTAAAAACAGCTACTTCAAAAATATTAACACTTTTTTCCTAGTACGATCCTTGGAAAAGTATAGAGAAAAAATATTAATAAAAATGTCTTAGTTAAAAAGTGTTATGGTAAACATTTTCTATTCATAAACAAAAGAAATTCATTTATTCAAGGCATATTCACTTAAAACAAAAAGTCATAATGCCATATGGATAGAATTCCTTGCCTGTAAGTAGTTTGTTTTCTGTTTTAAGACACTAGAAAAAAGTAGGTATGGATAAATGATAATCTGCCAATTTGTTATTCTAGGAAATAGGAAAACAGTCTCAAAATGTACAGCAAATACCCATAAAAAGGCTCTGTTAAGATAACCAATTTGGCTACCTAAATTGTGATAAAATTTCTAATTTTCATTTTTTAAAAAAATTGGAAAACAAATTTCCATAATCACATCATTGGTTGTGGTATTGATACTGTTGTTCTAAGACTGTTGTCTTTGTAACATGAGAAAAACAAATAAGTAATTATGTTGGTATCATAGACAACTGATGAAAGATTGATGGCTCCTAAATCTGAATGGAGGTATCAGTATGAATTCATGATGTGTTTTATCTTTAGAAATATGTGTATTTTCTAGTTTTGTCCACTGAAAGAATCTAGAAACAATCATCAATCAACAGTAATGAGCAGTCTAGCTTCAGACTGTGGTGTCTAAATACCATTTCTCACAATTCTCCCCATAGAAGAAGCTGATTTCTGCTCAATAGCAGGAAATGTCCAAGATGAAACTGAAACATCTTGTCAAACAAGAAAGCAAAGAAGCTATCAAAGACAACAGAAGTCATATCCAAAGAATTCAAGAGCCAACCTGAATAGGCCCCTTCTTCTGGCCCCTTTCTTCTGGCCAAAGAAAGGCAAAGTAGTATCCTTACTATCCTTACTAATTTTAGCTGCAGTGAACTGAAACACATCAGATAAACTGAAATCCACAAGTTCATAATGACATTCAAAGCAAACAAATAAACCAAGAACACCTCATTGATCACCTTCTCAGGATTCAAGAAAACCAACTCACTATTTGGAAAAGGAAACATGGATTTATCCTGCCTTTCCAATGTGATCTGTATGTTAGAGTAACCATATCACTGGGCAGATAAAGTTTCCCCTTAGAAAGAATTCCAGCTAATAAGTGAAGAAGGAATGATAGAATATTATAATTTGTAACCTTTAATAAATTAATGGTTCTAGGCAACAACCATCGATGGCTGCCAGGAATGCAAACCCAACACCATCTATGAAGTAGCCTTGCCAGGAAAAAACAAAATCAAACCTAATCTGATCAAGTCTATTTATAGGAGCTATCAGAGAAAGAAAGCCTGTTGTTAAATCATACCACAAAGATATAAGGAAGAAAATCCAGATTACCAGAAATTCTTTAGCAGCATTTCTCAAAGCATGCATTCCTCAAGGGTCTCTGAGCCCCTTTCAAAAGGTCCAAAAAGTCAACTATTTTCATAAAAATACTCACACATTCTTTGCCTTCTTCACTGTGTCGACATTTGCACTGATAGTGCAAAACCAAGAGAGGATAAAATTGCCGGTGCAGTGGCAACAACTGTAGTAGCAGCCATTGCATTCTTCCCCACCATGCATGCACAGTAAATAAATGTCAATTTCACTAAAGACCATTATTGATGAAGTAAAAATAATAAATGTTATTAAGTCTTGATATCTGAATATACATCTTTTTAATATTGTGTGATGAAATGGGAAGTACTTTGACATGCCAAAGTACCATGGATGCAAGCTCCTGGTTTTTAACGGAATGCCTTTTTCACTTAACAAGCTATGTTTATTCGGGTTTGGATATCTGGTAAATATTTTGTCAAAAATTAATGAAGTGGGCCTGTCACATGAAAGAAAACACTAACAGTATTTGTAGCTGCCAATTAAATTTGAACCTTCAAGAGAAAAATCAGGATTTTGTAACACTTACAAGCATCACCATGGGCTTGCCAGCTTCCAGATGGCTAAAGACTTTTCTAAGGCAGTGGATGGGTGGTGATAGTAATGGATGTGATGTTTAAAATATTTCATAATGAAATATGTCAACACTTGGGAGATCTGCCTAACTCGGTTAAGCAAAATTTTCAAAATGACCAACACATGATGGTACAAAATTATGCATAGGTAAATGATCCATTTAAAGTGCAAGATGGACCAACAGATTTTTTTTTTTTTTTTTTGAGACAGAGTTTCGCTGTTGTCGTCCAGGCTGGAGAGTACAATGGCATGATCTAGGCTCACTGCAACCTCCGCCTCCCGGGTTCAAGCAATTCTCCTGCCTCAGCCTCCTCAGTAGCTGGGGATTATAGGCGCCCACCACCACACCTGACTAATTTTTTGCATTTTTAGTAGAGACAGGGTTTCACCATGTTGGCCAGGCTGGTCTTGAACTCCTGACCTCAAGTGATCCGCCTGCCTCAGCCTCCCAAAGTGCTGGGATTACAGGCATGAGCCACTGCACCTAGCCCCAACAGATTTTAATGTAACAGATTATGATTCATAATTGATAAGGTTCATTGGTAAGGTTCCAAACTGCACACTGCAAATAATCTTTAAGAAACTACCACCACCTGTCAAGTTTTAGTGTGGTAACTAAGAATGTTCACTATTAAATGAAAAGTCTATTAAAATATTCCTTCCTTTTCCAACCTCATACATGCATGAAACCAGATTTTCTTCATATACTTCAAGCAAAACAACCCAATGCAACAAGAATGCAGAAGCAGATATCCAGCTATCTTCTATTAAATTAGACATTAAAGAGATTTGCAAAAATGTTTAAAAAATGCATTTCTTGAAACTGTGATTATATTTCATAAAAATTATGCTTATATATACTATCATGTACTGGTTTTACTGTTATTTTTAAATAGTTTAAACTATTTCTAATATAGCAAATATATATATATAAACTATAAAAACAATACCTCTTTGAGCTTTCAACCATTTTTAGAAGTGAAAAGGAACTTGAGACCAAAAAGTCTGAAAGCCAATACTGTAAACTACAAAAAAAGATGAGCAAGGAAGTATGAAATTTAGATGAAAAGGGATTTAAGAAACATATCAACCAATCACAATATTGTAATTCATAGATAATCTGTGGACCCTGATTTAAACAAAAGATTATTAGGAAGGAAAGTATGAATGCCAAATTGGATATTTTATGATATCAAAGAAATACTGTTGCTTTTTTTTAAGCAAAATGATGACAGCATGTACTTTTAAAAGAGGAGTTGTTCCTTATATTTTACAGGTACAAATTGAAAGGAATAGATGAAATGATGTAATGTGAGAAATTTGCTCTAAATTAATAAGCGGATGAAGTAATAAGATTGGCAATGTGTTGGCAATTGTCAAGACGTGTGAAGGGTCCATGATAGTTTATTCTACTACATCCTAGTTTTGTATATGCTTGAAAATTTTGTTCAAAAATTCAAGATTTTTAAAAGTGCAGTCTCCTTACATATATAATATACATTCACTTTTAAATACTTAATAGGAAAAAAAAACTTCTGTTTCTTTTAATTACAGCTAATTTCTGCTGGAATTTACTAGACGCTTCAATATTTTTTCTTCTGTTTTCCCCCTTAAGTAGAGAAAACATCAAATATTAGACATATTATTAAGCCTATTTCTGATCATTTCAAAACTTACACAATCTAAATTTGAAGAAGAATCAGATTTTACAGACCTCAAAAGCACAAGCCACAAAAGCAAACATAGACAACTGGGATTATACGAAACTAAAACGATTCTGCACAGCAATGGAAACAATCAACATAGTTAAGAGAAAACCTACAAAGTGGGAAAAGATATTTCCAAACTATCCATCTGACAAGGGATTAATATCCAGATTATATAAGAAGCTCAAATAACTCAGCAGCAAAAAAGCAAATAATCTGATTTGAAAATGGGGAAATGATCTACACAGATATTTCTCAAAAGGGGACATACAAATGGCCAACAGGTACATTAAAAAAATGCTCAGAATCACTAATCATCAGACAAATACAAATTAAAACCACAAGGAGATATCATCTCACCCCAATTAAAATGGCAATTATGAAAAATGTAAAAGAACAAATGCAGGTGAGGATGCAGAGAAAGGTGAGCTCCTGTATCTTCTTGGTGGGAATATAGAGTAGTATGGCCATTATAGAAAACAGTATGGAGGATCCTCAAAAAAATTAAAGATAGAAATACCATATGATCCAGTGATCCCACTACAGGGTACATATCCAAAGGAAAGGAAATCAGTATATCAGATATCTCTACTCCCATGTTTATTGCAGCACTATTCTTGAGAGCCAAGATATGGAATCAACCTAAGTGTCCATGAGTGGATGAATGGATTTAAAAATGTGGTTTATACACACACAGGAATATTCAACCATAAAAAAGAATGAAATCCTGTCATTTGTGACAGCATGGATAAGCCTGAAGGACATTATGTTAAGTAAAAGAAGGTAGGCTCAGAAAGACAAATATCACATGTTCTCATTCATATGTGAGAGCTAAAAAAGTCTCATAGAAGCAGAAAATAGAACAGTGGTTACTAGAGGCTAGGAAGGGGGTGGGAGGGAGGCAATAGACAAAGGTTGATTAACTGGTATAAAACTACAGTTACATAAGAGAAGTAAGTTCTAGTATTCTATAGCACAGGGGGTGAATATAGTTAAAAATAATTTACTGTATATTTCAGAAGAGTCAGACGATTGGATTTTGAATATTCCCAAAGCAATGAAATGATAAGTATTTGAAGTGAAGGATATCCCAATTACCTTGACTGGATCATTACACATGATATGCATGTATCAAAATATCACATGTGTACCATTAATGTGTACAATTATTATGCATCAATTAAAAGTAATTCTTTTTAAATCAGATTTCACTACCATTAAGACTGCAGCCTCAAAACAGGACCCAGGATGTAAAGAGCTGAGAAAGAATTAATCTAATCAATAATAGAAATATGAAATGAATTAAGACTTAGTATGACTTCTCTCTCACTAAACAGGTAACAACCAGCAATGATATCGACTGCCTATAAAGTGATGTTTAAGAGTGGTAACTTTTTTTTTTTGATAGACAGTAGAGCGACAGAATATCTTCCCCCTGGTGGATAAACTTGGTAATATCTGAGTGATCCTTTAATAAAAAAAGTTTTACTGTTTTTTCTGGTAAAATCTCTAGATAACCATTTCCATTATTTTCTTTGGCAAGTACACTTTAAGGAAATTTAGTGAAATTATCTTATAGTATAAAATTGTCAGCTGTGACTATCCTGGTTATTACAGTCTCCATAAATATAATAGCATTTGATAATAGCATTTGTTCACCAGATACTAAGTGTCAGGCACAATACATACTTTTGTAAGTTTGATTCAATCTTTCTTTCTTTCAGAAAAGGATTCAAAGTAGCAATTTACATATATTATTTCAATTATTTTTTTCAGAAAAACAGGGATTTTATCAACCCTCTAGTCTACACTGAAGAAACTGAGGTGCAGAAAGATTTGGTAACTCAACCAAAACCACAGCCAGTAGCATGGCCACCATTTGAACCCAGGTCAGACTGTTTCCAACAGTGAGCTTTCTTTGTTAACCATCGTTTAATCTTTATAGAGTTTTGTTCTCCTCCGAAAATCTGGCAAAATCTACTTTCACCAGAATATGGTACACCTCAGAACATGACAAAACTAGTTTATTAGGGCCAAAGTTCTTAATATAAATACCAAGTCCACATCAGTGCAACATGTATCTGATAAAGTACCTTCAAAGTACATGCTTACTAACAAAATGTCAGTAAGACATGCAGACGCCACAAATAGATTTTTAGTCTTTTCCTACCTAAAAACCATATATGTACAAAATTCACAGCAGCAAAATCCTGTCTGACAGGAGGAATAGAAAGTAGCAGATATCTAAAAGCTAGTACTGTATATAACCTGCAGTAAATGTTCACTATGTTTTAAGAAATACTCAGAATATGCCTTTGCTGTATGAAACAGTACTAATGATACACAGTGTACTCTGCCTGAAAACATATATCTAACCTTTGTAAAAATAGTTTTCACCCATATTTTCATTCTAAGGTTTGCAGAGATTCTGAATACAATATTATAGCATAAAAATATTTACTATGTTGTCTCTCCCATCATCTAATTTTGAAGCCTATGGGTACTTTCATTATTACAAGAAGACTGAATGGCTACAACAGATTGTTCTTCCACCATCTATTAATGAGGCAGAACAGCCAGGAACCAATATTATTTTAAGAAAAGCTGCTTCTAAGTCACCCCAAGTCTTCCTCCCTTGTTGTCACCCTCTGTAAATGTGTATACTTGCATACAAACATACAAAGTCCTTTCCCTTCAACAATTCGTGTTCCTGAGACTCGGTAAATTTTTTCAGTACTTAGAAATGCTCTTGTGTTTTGTTCTTGTAGGTATCACCTGCTGCTACACCACAATCCACCTGTATTCCACAGGCCACACACACACACACACACACACACACACACACACAAAACAGGTAGGTAAGAGAGTCACAATGCAAGTCACAAACAGTATTTCTCCTTCTGCAGAAAACCCCATCACAATTTTTTTTTGTTAAATGGTGCTGAGATTTCCTAAGGAAGTATCCTGAAAGTACACCCTGGTGGGTCCTCTGTGCTACCAGACAAGATTCGGCTTTTTCCTCCTCATCTCCTCTAACTTCTATTGGTCTCCAGCCACTACTAATGTCATAAGAGGTAAGTTTGGGGTTCAGATGTCCACCAAATGCTTCTGATTCCCACTAATACGTAATGTCATGGCTGACCATGGCTGCAACCAAAGGCATTGATGCCCAGCATGCTGCTACCACTGCCCACTGTGGATGTCAAGGAGCTGATGACTACTGAAGACCGAGACCATTACTGCTGGCACTAGTGCAAAAGTATTGCACTCTGAAAGTCCCTGCTTTGTGAAACAATTTGCTTTTATTACAATGTTCTTTCCCTCAGCCTCCAACAAAAGGGCTGGAGAACAGACTAAATGACATACGACACTTTCCTCAGAATTACCTCCTATCTCTCTCCTACACCACTCCTCATCTCCAAACCAAAGTTGTGAAACCTGACTCTCCCTTGAGATATTCTATCTGCTGGATGAACCTCCTCACTCTCTCATGTAAATAAATCCCTGGCAGCCCCAGTCTACCATGTACCACTTACATCAGGTGGTGATTAAACTAGTTAATATCTTATATTCAAAAACCCCTATGAGGAAGCAGACCACTCATATATTGATGGTGGTGAGCCTTCTTTCTGTATACTTTTTTGTATCTGTTGAATGTTTAAATAATTTTTTTAATGAATAAAAATGAGTTTTTAAATCCGGTTTCATGTTTATTTAAAAGTGTATATTACAAAAGGCATGTCTTCCCATGAAAATATTTGTTATTAATGCCAACAACTGAAGCTACAGCATAGACGTCACGAAGGAAAATCCATTTCCACAAAGCTCTCTGGTAACTTAACTAGTACTCGTTAACTATACATGCACATTCATCAGCTCAACAGATGGATGAGAGGAGGAGGTGTACGGTTCACTCCTCCACAACTCAGGTATGCATTCGCAGACTACGTATTTATGGTTCCTACCATTCCTGAGTGACACCTGAAGTTGCTGTGACATTTAGTAATTTGTCATTTTGCAGAGACATGATTCTGAATCACACATGCCATAAAGCTGGGGCAAGGGCAAGTTGTCCAGCCTGGCCGAGGCCCAGGCATGCTCTTAGTCATAGCGCTTAGTCTCAGTGCTATGAAGACTGTAAATAAAGTGATAAAAACTGTTTCTTTTTAAGAAATGAAACAAAATTAACTGCTAGTTGAGTCTAGTGTTGATGACAGAATGAAGGGAATATGGGGATGTTTATGAAAGCGATAGGCTAGCCACAAAACAGAAGTTTCAGATAAATTAAAGACTGAAATGTCAAATGCAATGATGACTCAGACACATTGTGCGAACAAAACTACCAAATGCTCCAAAAGGAAATAAGTAGAAAAGATGTGTGAATTTGTTTCAATAAGTACTCCAGACAGTAAAAAAATCAGTCATCAAGTGAGATAAGTAGATAGGGGTCTAGAGAGATCATTTAAATTTTCCAATTCTACTTTAGCAATTTTACGGAAGGAATTATGTGCTAAAATGATTTTTTTTCAAGTTGAGAATCGTGACTGGCTGCGGACATTGACCTCACAAATGTCAAGAATCTACTGTATCTCATTTTGACTAGAGATAAACAGTTTGTGTGTCCTTCATAATCTTTCCTTCCTACAACTTCTTTGCTCCTATCTGCCAGGAGTGGATAAAACAGAGGCTCAGAGTGAGGAGCAGGGACTCCTACGAGCTGGGTTCCTGCAGCATATTCAAAATAAAGAGGCTGCCTGGGGCTGAGATGAAGGGAAGATACCAGTCCTCTGAGATATAAGCAGCATAACCTAGGAGGCGCACAGCACAAAGCAAAAGAGTGGGCCCTGCTATAACCCAAAAGTCTGCACCTGCAAATAAGGGAAGAAATTTGGATTACTGAGAAAGGGTACTGACTGTAGCCCAACCATTCCTGGTCAAACCACTGTTCTCCAAATATTGTCTTTAAAAGAATGGCTAGTTAACATTCATCAAGACCAGTTAAATAGTTTTAATAATTTTACAGTTGCTTTTTCTTAAGAGCTGCATTTTATAGCTTCATAGTTAACAAGTACATTTTTCAAAAATAAGGTATAGAAATACTACGGTTATGAGTTAAGAATAGTTATAAAATGAGGGTAGACATGACCTTAAAAGCAGCATCTGAGAATCAGATTCAAATTCTGTCATTCAGATAACAGGCCTGAGATCAGCGCCTGGTGTCAAGGAACTAAACTTGCCAGTTTTTGGTTAAAAGGGCAGTGTATCTTTTGTAAACAGTGTGTCAGGAATACTAACCCTAAAATCATTACTATGAACCAAACAAAAATGACAACTATGCAGAAGATGAAGACAGCAATGAGAAAAGCCAACCTCCACTGTAGAATCCAACAGCTTGTTGCTATGATGCCTACTATATGACACCATCAACTCAGGATGATTTTTTGTTTACTTTACAGAAATCATCTTCACTCACTAACCGTTAACTGTCAAACTTGGTGCAGAATGACATACTCAAAACTCCTAAACGTCATTTTTCAGTAACATCATCTCCAAGGAGTCTCCCCACTGCTAATCACCTTATGAATGTGGCATATAAAACTGCTTTGAGCCTCCCCACCCGACTCACCCAGCTCCCGTCATCCTTTCATAGGCGCAAACCAAATGCTTCCTTGATTATCCTCAAGATTTGCCCTACTCTTACAGTTCCTCTTTCCATCCCTTACCCTTCCCTCAACTACTTCCTTCTTTTCCTCCTCTTCGTATCACTTTCCAAGGTTTGACAATTACCCACTCCATGACTTCCGACAAATCAGTCTCTCATTTTTTGCATGTTTTTGAGACAGGGTCTTGCTCTGTTGCCCATGCTGGAGTGCAGTGGTGCAATCATGGATCACGGCAGCCTCAACCTCCTGGGCTCAAGCGGTCCTACCACCTTAGCCTGCCAAGGAGCCAGCACTACAGGTGCACACCACCACAGCTGGCTAATGTTTTAAATTTTTTGTAGAGATGGGGGTCTCACTATGTTGCCCAGGGTGGTCTCAAACTGCAGGCCTCACGTGATTCTTCCACCTTGGCCTCCCGAAGTGCAGGGATTACAGGTGTGAGCCACCACGCCCAGCCTGATCTCTTGAAGTCTCAATTTCCCCATGTGTAAAATGCAAAGAATAACAGAACCTTTTTTCAAAATTCATTGAGTAATGGTGAAGACAGATGAGATAGGCCAGATAATACCACAGCATAGTACTTACCAGATAGTAAACCAGTCAATAAAATGTTAGCTTCTTGTTATAATTATCTGGTTTAACAATTATTCAAATTCATGAAAGTCACTCAGTGACCTTAAAAAAAAAATTAGGCAGTGACTTGCTTATTTATTCATAGAGACAGGATCTCACTCTGTTTTCCAGGCTGGGGTACAACAACACAAACATAGCTCACTACAGCCTCAACCACCTGGGCTCAAACACTCCTCCCGCCTCAGCCTCTAGAGCAGCTGGGACTACAGACACACAACAGCAGACGCTACTCTAGGTTTTTTAAAAAATTCATTTTATTTGAATAACATCTATGGTAGTAAGCCATCTGTGCTCAAACCTTTGTCACAAGGTGTGAAGATCACTACCTAAAAAGCAGATATGATCAGGTGTGGTGGTTCACACCTGCACTTTCGGAGGATCACCTGAGGCCAGGAGTTCAAGACCAGCCTGGGCAACATAGTGAGACCCCACACCTACAAGAAAATGCAAAAATCAGCCAGGCATGGTGTTGCACACCTGTGGTCTCAGCTACTCGGGAGGCGGAGCAGGTGGGATCGCTTTGAGCCCAGGAGTTTCAGGCTTCAGTGAGCTATGATCACATCACTGTACTCCAGCCTAGGCAACACAGTGAAGCTCTATCTCAAAAAAAAGAAAAGTAGATATGTTATTTTTATTTTAATAGTAATTTTTACTATTAGTAAAAATTAGTATTACTATTACTATAATAGTAATATTTATTTTTATAGTAATAATTCCTCATATTTACATGGCACCAGAAAAGACTGCCAATTTCTTTATAAAGCAACACATCTGAAGTAACAGTGAAGGCTTAGTCACATGGGGAAGGTACTGGACCTGAAGCTCAGGCCCTCTTTCCAGAGGATACCCTGTCCTTGGAGGAGCCTAATGAATGGTCACGATGCTGGTCTGATTGCACTTAAACAAGACTAAAGGCTAGGGCAACATTCCACAAAGTCTGCTCCCCAAAACACAACTTTTACGAGACCATTTATTCATGTCCCCTGATAAAGGGGTTTGTGAAAAGAGATGTCTAATACCCTAGCGTCTTTGGGAGACGTCCAGGGCACATCGATGTGCAACCATCTGTGGAGTGCTGTCCCAGCCAAAGTTTCCCAGAGTCACTTAGCCTTGGCACTATTATCACATCACATCAAGTTCCATGGAATCCCTCATTTGGAAGGCACTGAGCTATACAAAATAAATTCAGAAAATAACATGAAAGTAAGGTAGTGTTTTAGAGGATAGAGTTTATTCATCTTCAAGTTGGATTCAACTACAAGGATGCTACCTTCTAATCTAGCTCCCAGTCTGAACCTGCTTGTTGGTATAGTGTCTAATACCAGGGAAGGTCCTCAGGACTTATAAGTCCTTTAAGTCCAGACTTGAGAAAGTGATTCTGAGAAAGGTATGGCCCCTGTCTCCTAAGACCTCCCTACAGCTCTCAGATTTAGTTTGTGATGACCTTCTTTTACCTCCATGGTACCAGAGAAATACGCAGCCACTAATGGAAGGACTCATGTATCCACAAATACAAGGTCACATGGGGTAATCATACAAAGCCCATAAGCCTAACAAACATGAAAGGGAAACAAACATGGTGGGGCACAATAATTTCTTCAATGCTTTGTCATTTTAAAGGATATTATCAATATCAGCCTATTTGACCCTCAAACTACTTTTTTAAGACTGATAAACATTATCATCCTCATTTCACAGATGAGAAAATTGAGGTCACCCAGCTAAGAAACAGATTTTACCTTCCAAGACAGTTGCCAACACATTGTATTTTAGTCAACCTAGAAGACAACTTAATGTAACAGCAAAGGCTTTGGAGCCCCAGTGCCTGGGTTTAAATCTTTTTTTTTTTTTTTTTTTTTTTTTTTTTAGGTAGAGTCTTGCTGTGTCACCCAGGCTAGAATGCAGGGGCAAGATTTCGGCTCACTGCAAGCTCCGCCTCCCAGGTTCACGCCATTCTCCCGCCTCAACCTCCCGAGTAGCTGGGACTACAGGCACCCGCCACCATGCCCGGCTAATTTTTTTTGTATTTTGTTCAGTAGAGACGGGGTTTCACTGTGTTAGCCAGGATGGTCTCGATCTCCTGACCTCATGATCTGCCCACCTCAGCCTCCCAAAGTACTGGGATTACAGGCGTGAGCCACCGCACCCGGCCGGGTTTAAATCTTAGCTTCACAATTTACTAGCTGTATAATCTTAGCCAGGGTACCTAACCTTTCTTGAGCTTTAGCTCCTTCAACTGTAAAATGGGTTAGGTATATCCTCTCCATAGGGGTGTAAAAACTTTTTTTAAAAAAAATTATGTACACTAGAGTGCTTTGCACACAGTGAATGCTTGGTATGTAAAAGTTACAGTTATTCTAAAGAAAAGACAAGCGGCCGGGAGAGGTGGCTCACTTCTGTAATCCTAGCACTTTGGGAGACCGAGGCAGGTGAATCAAAAATGGTCAGGAGTTCAAGACCAGCCTGGTCAACATGGTGAAACCCTATCTCTACTGAAAATACAAAAATTAGCTGGGTGTGGTGGTGACTGAAAATACAAAAATTAGTTGGGCGTGGTGGTGCATGCCTCTAGTCCCAGCTACTCCAGATGCTGAAGCACGAGAATCGCTTGAACCCAGGAGGCAGAAGTTGCAGTGAACCAAGATTGTACCACCCACTGCACTCCAGCCTGGGTGACAGACTGAGACTCTGTCTCAAAAAGAGGAGGGCAGGGCAGGGGAGGGGAGGGGCTCTCCAGGGTCCACATGCCCTCCAAGAACCAGTTTATCAGATCTCTGAAGTCTCACAGGGCAGAGGAATGAAAACTGTGCGAAGGCCAATACCTTTACATCAAAAAAGGCCTATTTAATTTCTCAGGAGTCCAGAGATGAGGACAGGAAAGGTGGGCAGCAGGGCAGTCAAGAACAATGGTATGACTCAGATTTCATGGACAAGTAGACTTCAAAGTGAATTTGGGAGACCGATGTAAGGTCAATAGCTGTTAGTTTTGCCAAGTTCTTATAAAGAAAAAAAATTTAACTGCCAACAAAATAAAAAGGACGTAATTTCTGAGAAACTACTCAGGACTAGGCCATTCGCAACCTTACTGTGACGTTTTTGCTGAGGAGGCATAAAAACGTCCTCATGTACCAAATGTGGTTCCAGGACCTGCTTTCAAGAGAGCTGGTACACAGGCAAACAGAAAGTGCTGTGAGAGATTAAAGCAAGAGGCCAGTATGAAAAAGAGAGATGAAAGCTCTGCGTCATCATCCCCAAAGGGGCTACAGTGGGAGTGTTTCTCTATAGGAGCACTGGAGTATGTACGTGCAAGTAAGATGCCAGGACCAGGACATAAGTGGGGCTGGGAGGACAGAATCTATACACTGATTATAATGCTTATGACACTGTATCTTGATCATCTACTTATAGGAGGTTTTGAAGCACAGAGACCTTGATTTACCCATTTTGTTATCTCTTATGAATATCTATAGTAGGTATTGATAAAACTTACCAAATGAATCAATAAAAGAGAAGAGGAAAATACAATACACTACTGGAGGGGAATGGAAGGGGCTTGGGGAGAGGAAAAATCAGGGAAAGACCTTCATCTGTCCATCTAGCTCATATTCTCCAGTGAAAATTCTAACAACTAGGCTGCTAAGTATTTGTTTACCTCTTTGGCAGAAGCATAACATCACCACTCCAAGAAACTCTCCTTATATAAGTGTCAGTGGAGAACACATCAAAAGAAGTTAAATTCAAACCTCTTAAACAGACTTATTCAATAAGGATAAGAGAAAATCTAAACTCACACTTGAAGCATCTCTCAACAAACACACATTGCTATGAAGAAAAATATTCCTTTCAAATCAAGCATGACAGAGACCACCTTTGATATGCTACTCATCCTGCCTGATAAGTACTCTGAATCACACATATATTGGAATTAAGGTCTGTTGTGGAGAGATGTGAAATCTGTCCTAAGGACCTAAGTTCATAGATTTTAGGCAGGAAAAACTCTAGATCATTATTTCAATGTGAGAACTGAAATCTTAGCAGCATCAAGAACAAATCCTTGAGAAGTTGGGTCTTCTGTTCTCATCCATCCCTGCAGAGGAGACACCTGAGTGTGAACTAATCCATGCTGCCTTTAA
This sequence comes from Homo sapiens, assembly GCF_000001405.40. Lineage (NCBI taxonomy): Eukaryota > Metazoa > Chordata > Mammalia > Primates > Hominidae > Homo > Homo sapiens. The sequence goes on along the minus strand of NC_000006.12, from coordinate 130,028,399 downwards.
ACATGAAATCAGTCATTACAGCGGTTCCATCTTATTGATATTTTCTCAAAAACACTGTCCCTTTATCAGCTAGTCATATTTTAATGTGAATGATCCTATTTATAATGTTGCAATGGTCTCTCTGATTTGCTACCTTGTCTGCCATGGAGATCATGTGCAAAGAAAGGGTAGTCACCAAAGGTAACCTTTACAAAATCTCAACTTCCTGCCCTTCTGTGTTACTGTAAGAAGGATGAATTATTTGAGATTCTGTGGCCTAACCTACTTACTTCCTCTAAAGAAGGAACAGAAAATGAAAAATGCCTTTCAAGAAAAAAAAAAAAAAAGGTACACAGAAAGTGAAATCACAAACTGACATTAATGGGCCTATGGCATATTTAATAGACTCTCATTAAATGCTTTTATTTTAAATTCATGTTCAACGTGCAGACTATACCTCAATTTGAGTCAGACATATTTTTTAAAGTGCTAGCATATCATCAACATACTATACTAGAAGGGTAATAATAGAAATTTTACACCCATTAGAGGGATTCAAGGGCCATAAAAAGAACAAGAACCTGACACAGATATTTCTATGCATATGCTAAATATGCATGAACTAAAATTTTAAAAGAAAAACTAAAAGTACTCTCTTGTTCTTTTTTATTTTACTTCATAATTTTTAATGCTAAAAGTAGTATCTTTTTTCTTATTTTGCTTCATATTTTTATAGAACATAAAGCTAAGATTTACACTTGATTTCTCTTTTGCATGTAATGAATTAGATTTGGCTAGATTTTTCTTTCACAGAAGTCTACAGGCTTATCTTGATAACCATTTGTAGCCAACCTCCTTATCAATAGACTGAACAGCTAAGCCTCAAGTCCACCCAATTAGACCACAAACCAATACGGTGAATTACTAAGATCATTTAACAACCAGACCAGATTGACCACCTAGGAATTTCAATTCACTATTCAGGGTTCAACAGTGTAATGGATGGAGAAAAATAATCAACTGATTTTGGTACCTAAGCAATCATACCCAAAATGTTCTAGTAACTAAATTAGCTTAATTCCACAAAATTTATGTAATATAAAGCTATGGTCCAGCCTTTAAAAGGTCTGGTACATAGTATACGCTCAAAAAATGTTTTAAATAGAACTTCAACAAAGGAGAAACAGCCCATTACCTTGTAATCAATGCCTACAATGGCATCCTTCTAAGTCAAACTGAAGAACTGCCTGATCCACCGTAACTCATATAACAGAGAGATATAATTCCCATTGCAATACAAAACCACCCGATGAGTCAAAATAGACTCTTCACCTCATTTTGCAAACATGGGACATACTCTTTTGGTTACAGTGTATAACACCAGTAATTATAGCACTCTTGCTCAGGATCTTAGTCATATTCCCTGTTTTCATCTTTTACTTTGATTCTAGGACACATTTCTACCACACCACCCCTCCATTTTCTCCCCACCATTGTCTCTCTTAATTTTCTTCTTTCCTTTTACAATCCTGGCTTTAGAGTAAATTTCATAACCTACTGAGCCTGCCTTGGTAGATGCAGGTCCCATTCTTTCATTGATTGATGCTTTATATATATATTTTTCATAACTAGTCCTACTACCTTATTGGGTCTCTTCCTATAGAGAACAAATGAAATCTTTATATAAGTAAGCCCAGTGATTCCCAAGCCTATTCTGAGTAATGTTTTATCAACAGTTTGTGATCATTTCAAGGCCATGGGCTAGACCAAGGTGTTCTTTTCAGAATAATTCAATAATTGGTCTTTTCTCAATTCTTGGTTTTAAAAAGAAAAAAAAAAGAAGAAAGTAAAGCCAGTTTTTCTTCCCATCTATTTTTCTTATACCTGTTCATTATTGCTCATCTTAGTAAACCAATGTAAAAGAGCACATACCTTAATCTGGAAATGTGTTGTTTTTAAAATATTCTATGTGTTACTATTTTGAAAATCAAAAACCTAAAGACACATCAATCATATGCCAGTATCATTTTCCCTGATTCCACCCCTTTCAAACTGCATGATATGAACAAGTTACTAAGTAACTCTGAGCACCAGTTTGCTCTAAAAGACAAAAAATAATACCCAGTGCTCAAGGTTAGTGAAAGTATGAGAGGTAATAGTCAGTGCCTAGAACAGTACCTGGGCATACAGAAAGCACTCAAAGTATTTTTTGGATGAATAAATAAATATAAAGCATCTAGCTTAATGCTTGATCTTCAGAAGGCACTCGATATACAATTGCACTTAACATTGTATATCAACACTTCATAGGGTTTTTAAAAGAGCAACCCCATCTGCCGGGTCCTATCACAGGAACACATTTACCACCACATCCAGAGATGCCATCACAGTGTCTACAGCATTTATCTACCATTCACCCACACTTAACCATGGCTTTGTTTTGTTAATTGCCATCGTATGTGTATGGGTTATCTCCCCAACTAGATTAGGAATATACTGAGCCCAAGGATTGATGCTCGATGTCTTTGTAGCCCCAACACATACATTCATTCAACCCTGCTGTAATTGTTGATTTTGTGAAGCAGTTCACAACAGTAATTTAGACAAAATAGAGGTTCAATAAGTATCTGTTGGTGGAACACAAAACAATGATTTACAGTATATATGGGAGAAAGAATAATAATGCAGAAGGCATTTTACTGTTACATATAATATACATATCATTCTTATAATCACCATCCAACTAATCAATTCCAAGTCTACTCAGAAAGAAACTACAGTTTATGAGGAAAGTTCCCTCATCCAAGATCACCCAACTTAACTTTACTCAAGTTCCTCTCAAAGATCCTTGTTCATTCCTCCAAACTATCTTGTCTCCCAAATGGGAATTTTCTAAAGGTCTTTCCCAATTTTACTTCATAAATCAAGCTTAGTTATATATCAAGGATACCCTTTCTTGGTGCTTCTTTTCATCCACCCACTGCATAGCTGCCACAGTCAATACAAATCCGTTCATCATTTCCCACTATTGACTTACATCCACAACCACCAATGAAATAATTTAATACAGTAAAGAGATAATCTGAGAATATTCCTGTTAGATAATGAAGCCCTTTAGAAAATATATCTTCCATGGATCCGCTGAACTTCAAGATGTCACATATAAATGTGCACCCATATGAACATATAAATAGTTCTCTCTAAAGACACTATCTTTACCTATACTATAAGCATTCCCAAATCCTTGTGAGGAACAAATCCCTCAATAGTGGCAAGTGGTAACAGTGGAAGATAGTGTAGATCTTCACCAGAAAGTTACCTTGTGAACACACTGGTCAAAGAAAGAATCGCCTCAATCCATCTTGCTAGACTCTTGCTAGACATTCCTTGACTGTGGGTGAAGGGCTTCTTACTCATTTCTGAAGGCGAAGCACTAAAAAAGGAATGCATTATATTGTGCCATGTGTATTGGATGATATGCCATGGTCCTGCATCAGTTAGCCCAGAAATCCATGTTTCCTGGTTCAACAGCTCCAAAGAGTGCTAGAGCCCTCATCCTTTCCTAATGGTACCATGTGCAACTGTTATACTATTATTAGAAGAGCTCATTATGTCTAGTCCCAGAGTAAGGATCTCTAGAACTCCTCAAGAGCAAGGATCTCGTCTTTTAAGTGTTCAACACCATAAGAGCTCAGAAAAAAACTGGTTAAGTAACTAGTAGAAACAATACCGCAGGGATCACTCAAGTTATCCATCCTTGGGATGCCAACGGTACATCCCACCCACCACATAAAGTAAGTTCTCTCATAAATTCCCCATCCTAACTGCACTACTATAAACAGCATTGGCTGAAATATGGAATTCTTAAAAATAAACTACCAACCCAGTCAAAATTCTTTAAGAATCAACTCTCAATTACTCAGGGACTAATTAAACAGGACATATACTTCTTTTTTCCACTCCTATTGGGTTTTTGGATTCTTAGAACATTGATTGGATAATCTCCAAAGAGTGGAGATGAAGTAAAACTAAAACCTGTCAGGGTTTATTTTGTCAGGTTCAGTAGCATCAAATCAAAAATAATAATAGATAGTACTTACAATTTTTTTAATCTAGATTTTACATAGTTGGCTATAATTAGATTGCAGCCAAAGAGGTCTAGAAAACAAGGAGGAAAAGCCCTACTTGGACATTTCCTAAATTCAGTCATTCGGAGGACTCATGTTCTGGCCCCTATAGTTAGTTTAAATCATTACTACTCCAGTTACCTATTTTCTCATCCTCATCTCCCAGCAGACTCATGCAACTAAAATATTAATTACAGTACATTAATTCCCCTCACACCAACCCTTCTACTTTCATCACCCTACCATTTTCACAATTAGGCATCATTTTAAAGTATTTCTTTCATTTACTCCTTCTACTTATTAAATGACTAGTTTGGGATAAATAAATTTCCGGTTTTGTATTCCGCACCATGTTAGAGCATGGTCTCTTCCCTCAAAGAGCCAATAGTATACAAGGGAAACTACTTTTTTCTCAAGACAAGATATACTCCTAGAAATATTCCGAGAAGTCCATACAATACACACATCAGAAACCAATCTAAAAGTTTTAGCCAAGTGTTAAATCACTATATTCTGACTTAGACAATCTACCTCCAGCCCTTCATAAAGCTGGACGAAGGTAAAATGATATGACCACTATACATCTGAATAACTCTTTATGGTTCTCAAAATCTGATTTTATTTGATTCTTTTAACAAAAGATGCAAGGCAAGTATTGCTGTTCCCGCTCTGTAGATGAGGAAATGGAGGCTGAAGGAGGTAGAGTGACATATACAAGGTGATATATCTAGTTATTACATTTAGTCTTCTGATTCCTATTCTAGCATTCTATCCACAGACACAGTGACTCCGCAGACAAAGAAAAATAAGCAGTGTCTTCAACTCAGCACATTTAAACATGAAATTCACCATCTTAGGAAACTGATTTTACTCTTCTTGAACCCTAGTTGTCTGCAGGACCTTCCTATAGCTGTTCTTGCCCCATTGTCTCTGCTGCATATCCACATGGACCAGATCTACTTATTTTGCTAATTATACAATTCAAAATGATCCACAAGCAGCAAATGACAATAAACTCCTGTTAATCATTTTTATATCAATAATTAGTCATTTTGATTTCTAGATTACACCTGGCCCAATGAAGGTTGTTAGTTCTGCTCTAAAAAGGTAGGCTAATTTTGGTTTTCTTTTGTTTTTGCCAAACAAGATTTAGCGACCCCTTTATTACTCAAGACAGAGAGGGCAGGAAAACAGGCAGAAAAGGAGAGGGGAAGATTAAAGGAAGAAAAAAAAAGGTATAAACAGTAGAAAGCACTGGAGTAGCAAAAATGTACTGAAATGTTCTACCTTCAGAGATGGCTGTCCCCTCTGCCTGAGAATGACCTTTGCCCTAAAAGAAGGACCTGGAGTATTGGAAAGAAGCCAACACCCTCCAAAATTACTAAAGAGATCTTAGTAGACAACAGCTGTATTCCCTGTGGAAGTATGTTCAAAAGTTGACAAGTCTAAGCTAACACACTGAAACTCACTCATAACCCTGCAACATGGCACTTGGCACAAGTCAGCCCATCTTGGATTTAAGCCATAGAAGTTATGTGACAAATACCCCCAAAGCACCCAATGTAAATTTCATTCACAAAATTTTACCACTGGCCCCCCAAGACATTTAGAGTTCCAGAATCTTCCATATCACTGTATAACAATGTAACACTTATATTAATTTACAATCATTTTATTCCAGTTTTTCCACTTTTTCAACTCCAAAGAATAAAACATTTACTTTCAGTAGAAAACAGGTGCTAAAATGCTAATTAAGAATCTAGTAAGTAAGGCAATACAAAGATTATCCAGGACAATCTCCTAACTTCCTAATGTTTCATCCAAACTACAATTACATTTAGTGTCAATACATTCATGCATTCAAAGCAGCCCCACAAAATGATGTTTTTCTGCCAACCCAGTCTCATACTCTCCTTCCTGATCTCCAAATGCAGCTTTTTAACATTTGCAGGTATGTCAAGCAATTTATTTCAACAAGTGGGTCTTACCTTTCGGCGGTGATGAAACACAGAACTCTCTGGCGATCTTCACAATTGCTGTCCACTCTCAAGATTTCTCCTAAGGGTTCTAGCATTGGTTTAAAGAGAGGGAAGGTAAAATCAAAACACTGTCATCAAAAAGAAACCTTCAAATCCACCATCCCCAGTTAAGAAGCTTACATTCTGAATCACTTAGGCATAATTTTACACCATGCCACTCGGTAAATTAAAATAAAATAAGCTGGTTCTAGATGAGTTGAAATGGATTTTAATCATTCGTATCATTCCCATGTCCTAAATTCACCCAATAACGTCTCTCCTGTTGTATATGACAGGCAGGTGAAAGTTACAAGGATCATTTGAGTCAACTTTAATTTCCCTCACTGCTTTTATCTTTAAAATTAAAGATATTTTACAGAAAACACACTGGAAAAAGAATAGATATTACATAAAATTTTTGCCCATGTATTTAAGGACTTTAAATCACAAATTATACAAGTATTCAGAAATAATTTCGTACTCAGTGAAACAAAATTACAGTCTTAGAACCAAAAGGGACTACTTACTCGGACTATACATAACTATACAGCTAAGAAACTATATAAAATTGCCTTACACTTATCAGACAGTAAAATGAACAGCTCATATAAAAGACAAATCTCAACTAAAGGTCTTTTCCATTTCTTCAAAGTTTTAAACACATTTCAACTTAGCAGTTTTCTTAACATTCAAAATAAAGTCATCAGCTGAGACTCGTTAATTAAAAATTGATCAGAGGTACAGACACCGATAAATGCAAAAGCAAACAATTGTTTCCAATTCAGGGAGCGATCAATCTCAAATCTCTGAATAAAAGCAAAGTGTCTTTCCCATATAACTCATGTCGGATGGAAGTTACAGGGTCTGAGTCCTCAGAATTCATTGCTTCGATTTACTAAACTTTCAATTTCTGATCAGCATCCTTTCACACAACATCTGGCTGCTCGCTCAGGTCCTCTAATTACTTCCACGTCTGAACGGACTACGTAGCTACGAGTAAAGGCCAAACTTTGCTCTCGGCCTTCCGAACTTAAAAGACGCGTTCAACCACTAGAGGTCTCCCCTTGGCCAGTTTTGCACGTTCGCTATTTTGCTGCACTTGAAACTTTCCGGAGAAATGCTCTCTACTCGAGTCAGTGTTTTTCTAAAAACTTGCGCAAAAATCCACGCGACCGAGATAGCCAGCATAGAGCCTCTCGGACTCCCTAAACCAATAAAGACATCACAAACAACGCTCTAGGAAAACCAAAAGGAGAACTGGACGCACTCGCCCCGGCCGCGCCCCCCCACCCCAAATTCTTATTTCTCATCTCAGTTTCCCCTAACCTAACAATTAAAAATCTATTTTTGTTTCTGTGCACTCTGAATGATCTCGAATGCATTTTTCTGGCGGTGGCCCCGAGGTGGAGAAGCGGGCCAAGGGATGCGAGGCGTTGGGGGTGGGGGCGGTGAGGGGGAGGGCCGTGCTCACAGCGCCCGAGGAAGTTGCCTAAGGAAAGGGACTCCGTTTTTCGGGTCCCCTCAAAAAATCGGCGGGGAGGGGGAGGAAAAGGAAGCGGGGTGGTGGCAGCAGGGGGACTCAGAAGGGAAACCGAAGCAACGTTTACCTCCGTCTCCCGTGGAAGGGTGGGGTAGAGCCGCGGTCCCCGCGCCCTGGAAAGCGGCTAGTTACCCCCACCTCCCTCTGAGCGCGACGGACAGACCGACGCCCCCAGCCCTCCGCGGGGACCCGGGAGGAACACGCCCGCTTTTAAACTTTCTCTCACGGTCGCGCTGCGGGCTGTGCTTTGACCGGGACTGGGGGAGGGGGGAATCGCAGGGCCTTTTTTTCTTTAAAGGTAATTAAAGTTTTACCACCAGTCCAAAAGTTGCGCCCTCCCCCCGCCCGTGCCACCGTGCCCTCCTCCCCTTCCAGGGCTCTCAAGTTTTTCTCCCCGCCCGGCGGCCCCCACACTCCACCAGCTCGCGGGGCGCGCGGCGGATGCCTCGGCTCCTGCGCTTCCCGATCCCCACCCCCGCCGGCCTCTACTTCCCCCCGCCCCGCCGCCGCGGCGCGAGGACGGCCCGCGGGGCCCAGGACGCGAGTGTGCAAAGCCCATTATTCCGGAACCGCACACACACGCGGCGCGAGGCGGGCGGTGGCCCCGGCGCCGGCCCCGGCCCCGACCCCTCTTTTCCTCCCCAGAATAAGGCAGGCGTAAACAAGTTGCAGGAAAAGCAGCCCCGCGCCGCCCCCACCCTCCCCCCACAAGCCCGCCGCCCCGGCGCGGCCGCCGCCGCCGCGACCGCCGCCGCCGCCTCCCGACACACGCCCGCGCCCGCGCCCGCACCCGGGCCGGCGCGGCGCGGCACGGCGCGGGGCGAACGCCGCGACGGCGCGGGCTCCCGGCCCGGCCCGCGGCCCGCGCCCTCTCCCGCGCGGACGGCCGCCGCGGGCCCGCGCCGCCTCGCTTCCCAAAGCACTTTCCTGCCTCGGGCAGAAATAAACCGGAGGGTTTATTTTTGTGCAACTTTCCCAAAATGGCGGAAATTGGAGCTGATCTATATGAAATTCTCACACACTCGGTTGGGAAGAGGGAGGCGGCGAGGAAGCCACGCAAACTCTCGGCCGCCGAGCCCCGCCGCGGGTCCGTGTGTGTGCGTGCGTGTGAGTGTGCGTGTGCGCGGTGGGAGTCGGGCAGGCCTTTCCGCCGCGCACACACACAGCACACGCCGGGGAGACGCGCCTGCACATTCAACCAGTCCATTCTCCGCAGCCCGAAAGGGGAGAAAGTGGCCCGGCCTCTTTTCCCACTGCCTCGGTCTCCCGTACTTGTACTTCTCGCGCTCGCCCGCCCGCTCGCTCGCTCTCCGGTGCGCGCCCGGCACAAAGGCCACACGGGCGGAGGGGGCCGCAGGGGCGGCGCGCGGGGCTCGCGCCTCCCGCCGCACCGATCCGCGGCCCCGGCCGCCCCCGCGCCCCCCGCCGGCGCCCCCCGCCTCGGCGGCCGCGCTCGCCGCCTGGGCTGCGGCTCCGCGGCGCCCACCCGGACACGCACCCCGGTGGAGCCCGGCGCCGCCGCGCTCCCCCACCCCGCGCCCGGTGTCACGAAAGCGACCAAAGTGACAAGCTCGGGGGGCGCGGGGGAGGGGGCCACACGCATCCCGCCGCCTGCGCGCCAGCCTGAGCCCAACGCGGCCGCCTCGCCCCGGCTCCCTTCCGCACGGCCCCCCACACCCTTCCCCGTGTGCGCGCAAAGAAAAAAATACAAGTCTCTCCTCCCCCCATTTTTTCCTTTCTCTTTTCTCTCTCTTTTGTTCCTCTTTCACACTCGCACTCACTACTTCAGAGTGAGATGCCCAGAGACTCCCCCTCCAGCCGTTTCCGAGTCACTTGCCCACTTTTTTCCCCGGGATTAAGTTTTCTCCTCTTTCCCAGAGGCGCAGAGAAGTGGGGGAGAAACCCCTTCTGTCCCTCCCCTCCCCTGATCTGTTTCACAAGACGAGGGTGCGCTTCCTTCCCTCTATAGGGCTCTTAACTTTCATCCTCACCCAGAAAAATAAATGAATGGCTTTTGCACGGACAAATCTTCAGATTAATTAGAGATTAGATCCGATCAACCGCTTCTTACCCCCAAATTTTCTCTTTTTTTTTTCTCCGTCTCACGAGTAGTCCTGACAAATGGTCCAGGGCTGCGGGCGCAATGCGCATGTGCGCGTAGAGTCAGGGCTGGGGAGAGGGGAAACTGCGCTGGTGCCGGTGCCGCCGCCGCCGCCGCCGCTGCCGGGGAGGCTCGCTCTGGCTTCCCTGTTACTGCTGCTGCGCCTTCGCCGCTGGAAAGCAGCAATAAAGCCGGGTGGCAAATGCAGCTGCCCGCAGATCCTGTTTCAGGTGCATCTTTTCAATAGCCCGGTCACCGCCTCAGAGCTGGTTCAAGAACAGTCCAAACAAATAGGAAACACTGCTAAGGTTCCAGATTTCTTTGTCTATTTTTCACTTTACTTTTTTTAAAGGCAATTCTCAGAGCAGCGAATCCACCATGTGCTGTGAAATGTATGCATTCAGCCATTAAAGAGTGGGCCTTAGTCTTGCACAAACACTGCCCAAAGGCTAAATACATGCTACAGGTCATGAAAAGTAACAAAGTTGTAAGCTTTGGGAGAGTACAATCTCCCTCTCTTTGATGGCTGGAACAATGCATAATAAAGAAAGTGTGCATATAAAACTTGTGCCTTCTTTCCGCTTCCTAAGTGCGGATCTTTATTGACAGCTCCAACATGTTAGGCCTCTGTCGAGTAATAGGCTGAGATTCCTACAGTAACTTAGAACACTGTGAAAGTCCCTTGGCAATAAGCAGGTCCAGGACTACCCTCTTAAGGTATTCAGTCAAGATGGCTGAGCGGTCCTAAATGGCAAAACCTGTCTTTGTTAAAGCGTCAAAACTAGATCAAGAGAGTATTACATTTCAGTATTGACAGCTTTCGGCGCATTGACTGCGGGCCGCCGTTTGGACAGCTTCACTGGTCTTTTCCACTTAATAGGAGTACTTACAAAATAATTCGAGTAATTAAAGTTTTGATAAACATTTTGATGTCAATAGCAGAGTTTGCTGTGTGAAAAAAAAAAGCATGTGTGATTTTAGGAATGAGGGAAGCATGTCTTAGATTTTGCGGGGGGGGGGAGGTAAAAGGAAGTTCCCATCCCCAGAGTAGACTATTTTGCATCTAATAAAGGGTAAAGGAGGCCCTTTTCTGAAACTGCTGCCTGAGGCCTAGAATTTAAATATATCACAGATGGAAGTTCTATATTAAAAATCCTTCTCCAGTGTAGGGAATATTATTCTTGATTGAATTTTTTCACTTAAGGAATGTTTCTTGAACCAGTTTCAGAACATAAACTCTTAAATTCTTTCCTTAGGACCATGAAATTACCCTATAGAAGCAGACCACCCGATATATCTAATGTTGGTGTAGTGACCAAATTCTCCAAACCAAAAATCAGGCCATATGCCTTAACATGTACTCCAGAACAAACGGACAAATCCTGTGAAGCTGAAATGAACTTATAAAATGCTTCATACGTTGAACAGCCGTTGGCTGAGGGGTGTGAAGTAGAGAAGGCTGGGTAGTGAGAGCTGTAGATGATCTCAAACCACCAGTTCACTATTGATTTCACCCACCACATTCAACCCTTTTCAGAGCTGTTCCCAAACAGCTTAATTAACTGATCTGAATTTCAGCTTCTCTCCTTTTCTCTCTAGCCCTTGAATAATAAGCAGTGAAATGGCCAAAGGCAAACTGCAGGAGAAGGAAAGAAAGGGCATGAGCTATGTACAAAACTAAGACCTTGCCCCCATGGAAACTAAATTAATTTTAGATTCCTCTTTCTGAAAAATCAATTTTAGATTCCTTCTCTCAAGATAATTTCTAGATGATATTTCTGTTGTACTTATGTTTTCAGTGATACTGGTTCAACAGTCTATAAATGTGTATTAATGGCCTACCTGTGCTAAGTGCTCTGCAAGGTGCTGGGGATAAACAGGTGACCAAAACTAGGCCCCAGCTACAAGAAATTCAGCCTGGTGGAGAGACAGTGTAGTAAATTGGGCATTATGTTACAGTAATGTTATATGGAAAATGTTATAGCAGAGGTATGTAGAGCAAACACAGTTGAGCACCAGTGGCAATAAGGAAAGGCTTTACATTAGAAGTGATGGCTAAGCTGATTCTTGAAGGACAAACATCCAGGGTACATGATGCCATTCTTCTTCCCAGAAGGTGTCTGGGAACATGAACCAATCAGAGAAGTCCTGAGTAAAGGTCCGAGTGTTTCAAGAGCAAGGCTTGCCTAGAAAGTGTACTGACAGAGGTTCACTAACAGAAATAAGGATGACTTGAGGCTCTCTATGATACACTCTTTCTCCTCCGGAGATCATTATTAAAACCTCATCTCAATTTTTCTCAAGATGTGGTTCAGGATAGTAAAGATTTTGAAAGTACTCACTTGTAGGAATAATGACTTTAAAGGCTGCTGTCAAAGTTTTCTACAAAGAATCCTTTGGTGCCACTATCTAAAACAGAGGTAAAATACATTATTAGAAGCTAGGTAACATGATTTTATTCTTCGCATAAATGTGTACTATTTACCAGACCTTTCTCCGTCTGTTCACTAAATAGTAATATACTAGCAGAGGCTTCTTTGCCATCCCTTCCACCTTCCACCATTCACTCACTTGTTAATGATTCATGATGAATGCCTTCTTTCCGGCATCACTTAATCTCATCATCCTCTACCACTCTCCCACCTTCCCATCCCACCCTCCTCCACCCTGCCACATGTAAATACCAAATCCATGCTTCAGGTTCAGGTCTATAACTTCCCTGACGTCCCACACTCAGCTATGAGCTCACTCCTTTATTTTTCTTTATATTTATTTGTTTATATCCAAACTTGTCCACCCCAAAATGATTTCAGGTTACTACATTCCCAAATATTCTGAAGCTAAAGTCATTTTACATAGAAAATGTTTTAAACAAATCACTGTACTCACTCTCCAGAGAATTTTTGAAGCCTCTCATCACCCCATCCCCCACCCTCATGGATGTCATTCAAAACTTCTCACTGTACTCCATCCTGGAATGTCGATGCTGCATGCACTTCATTTTAGAAATCTTAGCTACTGCAGGATGTGGTGGCTCACGCCTGTAATCCCAGCACTTCAGGAGGCCTAGGTAGATGGATCATCTGAGGTCAGGCGTTCGAGACCAGCCCAGCCAACATGGTGAAACCCCGTCTCTACTAAAGATACAAAATTATCTGGGCATGGTGGTGCATGCCTACAATCCCAGCTACTTGGGAGGCTGAGGCAAGAGAATCACTTGAACCCAAGAGGCAGAGGTTGCAGTAAGCCGAGATTGCACCATTGCATTCCAGCCTGGGCAACAAGAGCGAAACTCTGTCTCAAAACAAACAAACAAACAAACAAAAATGCTTAGCACCCTTTTCCTAACACTATGCTTGTCCTGCATTGATAAGACAGGCCCCTCATGTCCTGGAAAAATTCAAGGATTACATTTTCCATGAGCCAGCCCTTCACAAATTGAAAGTGCCCAGGAGTGAAGTCCAAGAGACTGGTGTTCTAATCCAGTTCTGCTACCACCACTGGGAACCATTAGCCATGTCACCTCACGTTTTAGGAGCTTCAGTTCTCTCCCTACTTAGATAAAGTAAACAGAGTAATTGATTTTTTCCCTTTTTTTTCCTTTTAATTGGCCCTGCTTCCTGAAGTTTTTGTTGTTGTGTTTTGGAGGCAGTGGCTTGCTCTGTCACCTGGGCTGGAGTTTAATGGCGCAATCACAGCTCACTGCAGCCTCGACTTCCCAAGCTCAAATGATCTTCCCACCTCAGCCTCCCAAGTAGCTAGGACTACAGGAGCATGCCACCATGCCTGGCTGATGTTTTTTATGTTTTGTAGAGATGGAGATCTCGTTATGTTGCCCTGGTGGTTTCAAACTCCTGAGCTCAAGTGATCCTCCTGCCTCGGCCTCCCAAAGTGCTGGAATTACAGGAATAAGCCACTGCGCTCAGTCTGATTTCTGAAGTCTCCTTGAAAGCCATGTATCTCCCTACTCCTTCTCACATAACAGCAACACAATCATATTTTAGTACAAATAATATGGAACCGAGAAAGGGATTTTTAAGTAAAGAGTAAAGGCTCATCCAATAGGTATCATAATGTTATCAATGAATAGCTCATTCAGCTTGGCTTAAGCCTGGTACTAATGAGATGGAGGTCATGGGTTTCATTCCCTAATGGCTAGTTAGTTTTGATCTGTTTCATAGCCACAGACTGCTTTCCTAACCCCGGTCCCCCATGTTACAATGTGTGCTATTGGTCACAAGTCTTAAGGTAAAATTGAACCTTTCTATAGAAATTTTCTAAAAGAACAATTCTTGAAATCATCCTTTTAATGTATTATCTTACTGTTACATATGAGTCAAGTTATTGATTTTTTTTAGCCTATATAATTGTGTGCTCTGTGTTTTTCCAACTGTAAAAATGATGTTAACATTGATTTGGCCAAAATTCTTATCATTGATATTTGTAAGAGCTGAGTCTGGTCTTCCTGTTAATGTTCTAGATAACACTGAAATGTTCTTATAGTTCTTTTCATTTGAATACCAATCTCTTGCTTGTGATACATCTGTATCCAACACTCAGCACAAAGCTTATGATAGTGAAATGTAATTGAAATGCTGAGGGGGAAAAAAGGGGGTATAGTACTCATCAGGTGAGGAAAGGATTATAATATGTATCACATTCTAAACATCGTAAGGAAATTAAATATATAAAGATGTGATGTGAATATATATTATCATTTCATTTAGATATGAAGAAGTTAAGATAGAAATATTGCAGACATATTCAAAAGAATAGAATAATATGGGATTGTCAACTGACTTCTAAATTAAAAAGACGGTTGATAATTCTTCATAACACACTCACTTAGAACCTAAATTCAGAAGCCATATAACAAACAATATTGGAAGGAACAAGCCAGACTTCAGAACATGCCTGTGACAACAGCCGCCAGTACACTGAGATCCTGGTTCTAGAATGTTCTTTCCATTTGACCTGATCTCCTGGCCACAGCTGATTGGTCCAGGATTGGGCATGTAATCTAAGGGCTGAGTAGAATAGCAGGGGTGGCCTGTGAGTCAGCAGGGAATGTGCTTCCCCATATGAATAGCCAATCATATTCTCACACTTGGCCACATTAACTGAAGACACTGGGGACACTGGGGTTAAAAGTTAGTTGATAGCCATTACAAAAACAATTAATAAACAACTCAGAGAGAAAAAGCATGGGAAGATTAGCGATTAGACAGTAGAAACTATGCATAAGTAGAAACCATAAGTTAGAGAAAAACAGAGATAGGTGGCTGGAGGCCCAAAAGATAAAGGTGCCAGAACTGCAGTGGACTCTGCATGTCTTCTTATTCCCAAATGTCATTCCAGTTTTGTAAGGCCTGATCACTCTGTGGTTACCAGAAGGGCTACTTGTAGAGCAGGATTCCTATCTTCACTGGCATCCCAACAATAGCTCCTCATCACTTATGGAAAATTGAGGCATTTTTTGAATCAAATAGAAAAACCAAAGACGCCAAGCAATGTGTATGACTCATTCTCTTTGGCCTTACAAAATTAAAGAGGACCAAGTTAGACAGTCAATTTAGTCAATCCAGTACCCGTCATTTTTTCTCATTAGTGGAACATTCAGGCCGAATTTCAAGGTTCAAATCCCAACTCCACTACTTGCTAATGTGTGATCTTGGACAAGTTATTGATCCTCTCTTGCCTCAGTTTCTATATCTGTAAAATGGGGATACTGACACTACCTAGTTCGTGGGGTTGTTATGAGGATTTGATGGACGCATCCAAGAAAAATCCTTGGCACTTGGTTAGCAAGCAATAAATGTTAACTTCTTAAAAGGAACTTTTTCCTGTTTTATTTTTATTGAATATTGACAAATTATAATTGTATATATTTATGGGGTATAAAGTGATGCTGTATGTATATAATGTAGAATGATTGAATCAAGCTAATTAACATGTCCATCATCTCAAATAATTATCATGTATTCCTTCTGTCTAAAGGGAACTTTGTACCCCTTGAACCGATTCCTGGCCACTCCCTGGCCGCTGGTAACCACCATTCTACACTCTCCTTTTATGAGTTCAATTTTTTGCAGCTTCCACATGTAAGTAAGAATATTTGGTATTTCTCTTTCTGTGTCTAGCTTATCTCACTTAGCATAATGTTCTCTGGGTTCACCCGTATGGTCACAAATGGCATAATTTCCCTCTTTTTAAAGGCCGAATAGTTTTCCATCATGTGTATATGCCACATTTTCTTTACGCATTCACTGGTTGGTAGACACTTAGGCTGCTTCCCTATCTTGGCTATTGTGAATGATGCCACAATAAACATGGGAGTGCAGATATCTCTTCGACAGGCTGATTTCAAATCCTTTGGATATATACTCAGAAGTAGTATTGCTGGGTCGTATGGTATTTTTATTTGTAGTTATTTTAGAAACTCCATATTATTTTCCATAATGGCTATATCAGTGTACATTCCCACTCACAGTGTACAAGGGTCCCCATTCCTTTACATCAGTGCCAACACTTGGTATCTTTATTTTTTTTAAAAGAATAGCCATTCTGACAGCTGTTCAGTGATATCTCATTGTGGCTTTAATTTGCATTTCTCTAATGATTAGTGATGTTGAGTACTTTTTCATGTACCTATTGACTATTTGCATATCTTCCTTTGAAAAAGTCTATTCAGATCCCTGGCCAGGCTTTTTTCTGTTTTGTTCCCTGTGTACTCCTAGCACCCAGAACTGTACCTGCACATGGAAGCATGCAAAAAACATTTACTAAATGACTTAAAGAAGTATTCTTATGTGAATTATTACGCTGCTCTTGGACTTGTGTCTTTCCTGGCTAGTTACTAGACCGTAGGTATTGTATCGGAGTTATGTTCATGGGCAACACCCTCCTAAAAGTTCCTAAAAGCATGTAAACAGAGAGTGTTAATGGAATTCATAGGCCCTATTTCAAAGGAGCCTGCTGTTCAGAATATATTATCTTTATTTAGCATTTATATTACACTTTTACATTTTCAAAGCCCTTTTCAGTTTTTTAACTAAATATTTGTTATAACATTCCTATGTTATCTTTCATAAGGGAGATAACTGAAGCATGGTTCCAATTGCTAATACCTATATCTAGAATTGAATTTATCACATAAATACAGTAAATGTAACTATATATTAAAAAAATCTGGAACATTACTTTGTTCACGTAGAATGCCGAATGGAATGTCAATGTAAGAGAAGAAGACAATCTGTTACTTTAAATTATACTAGCTATGCCTTGCACTTGGTTCTATTTCAGAAACCAGAATCAATAGAAAGGTTTTTAAACAGAGGTTTCTCAATGGGTTTGAAGTCTTTAACGAATGAAATTTTGAAATTCAACATTGAAACATTTCACCATGTCTCAGTAATTTCCCCATACTTTTCTATGGCAGTCTCTTCAAGTAGTTCTCTCCTAGTGTCAGTATGTTGAGGGTTTCCGCACGTATGCCCTTAGAATTTGTTGACAGTGAAAAATAAAACTGGTAAAAATCAGCATACCATCAATAAAATCAGCCAAGAGTTATCTACCTTAAGGGTCTATAAATAAGGTTAAGGAGGTTTGTGAAATACCCAAACTCAATCAGGCATCTCTGTGGAGTTTCAGGAAAGTTGGAAAATGTGTTAGTGTGAAAGATACTGAGTTTCAGTCACTCTTTGAATGGGTTGCCTTCATGGTAGAGTAAAACCATCCTAACTCAAAGGAGCCCTCAGTAAAGCTAGATAATCTACTCATTTGACCCTATCTGACTCCCTCTTCCTTAGCCCAACCAGCTGTTTACCAATCTTGACACCAGAGCTTCCCACAGCCTCACAGTGTTGCCTCTCTATCCCAATGTAAACTACTTCAAGCCAGGTGTGGTGGCTTGAGGCCGTGAGTTCAAGACCAGTCTGGGCAACATAGTGAGACCCCATCTTAAAAAAAAAATAAAATTAGCTGAGCATGGTGGTGCACACCTGCAATCCTAGCTACTCAGGAGGCTGAGGCAGGAGGATCGCTTGAGCCCAGGAGTTCCTAGTTACAGTGAACTGTAATTTCACCACTGCTCTCCAGCCTGGCCAACAGAGTGAGACCCTCTCTATAAAGCAAAAAACAAAAACAAAACAAAAAAACACCAAAAACTGTCAGCTCTTCCTTTCAACTTGCAAAGTCTCTTTCTCTCCTATTCCTGGGGAAAGAATATTCCTATTTCTCCCTGCCCCTCACTATCCCTTGAAATGTGCTCTTGATCACAGCCTATCTCTAGTCCTCCATGAATTTCCATTATTCTCCCAAAATTTTCAGTTGACTATTCTCCACTAGCTTTTTCCTCACAGCCAAAAAATTATGCTCCTATCTTCCAGGTCCTCAAAAAGAAAACCTTTCCTCAAATCTACATCACTTCAAATACTGTACCATAATCTCACCTTTCTTTTGCCGCCAAACTTCATAAACAAGAAGTTTACGCTCACTTTCTTTGTTTCCTTACTTTCTATACATTCCTCAATCCACAGACACTGCTATATGTACTTTCTTCTCTGTAAAGTGTCCAATGACTTCCTAAGTGTCAAATCTAGTGGCCACAGTCTATTTCCTATTTAAGATTTTAGAAGCACTTGACAGTGTTGACTGATCACTTCTTTGAAATGGCCTTCTCATGCAGCGTCTTTGTCAATTCATTGTTCTGGCTGTTCTCTTATTCCTCAAACCCAGTCCCACTTTGTCTTCTCACACGATAGATACTTGTGCTTCCGGAATTAAGTTCCGGTCTTCTGTCATTACAGTCTCTCCTCAGTCAGCTTATTTATGTTCTTCCTCAGCATCGCTTGAAGTCATCTTTGTGTAGAGATGGACTATATTTTTATTCATGAGCATTTAACTGAAATTTACATTGCCGAGTTATTGAGAGATGAGTCCACATGGATATTCCATGTGTTTGAAGACAATGGAATAGTATGGTGTTTTTTGTTTTTTAAAGTTTGAACTTTGCCATTAGGTCTGGGTTGGAATCCTAGTTCCACCCCTTTACTAGATATTAGACAGTAACTTATTCTACATAAACAGAGTATCCTTCCATGTACAATAATCCGTCCTTCACAAGGTCATTATCAAGATTAAGTGAGATAATGCATGTGAGGTACCTAACACATAAGAGCTCAATAAATGGTAGCTATTGTTTTTGCCTGCTTCTTTTTCCTCTGCATTCTTCATCTCAGTTTGTAATGTCACCATGCTCTCAGGCACTGATTTAACAACAACTTCCTCTTCCTGCCGCCCACATCCAGTTGGTCAACAGATCCTATTAACAGTTCCATTATAATCTCTCTACTCCCAGGGAGGCACAATGGCTCACGACTGTAATTCCAGCACTTTGGGAGGCCGTGGTAGGTGGATCACTTGAGCTCAGGAATTCAAGACCAACCTGGGCAACATGGTGAAACCCGGTCTGTACAAAATATACAAAAAAATTAGCTGGGCATAGTGGTGCGTGCCTTTGGTCCCAGCTACTCAGGAGGCTGAGGTGGGGGAATGGCTTGAGAGGCCTAGGTTGCAATGAGCCGAGATCGTGCCATTGTACTCCTACCTGGTGACAGAGCCAGACCCTGACCCTGTCTCAAACAAACAAACAAACAAACAAACAAAAATAAAAATAACTCTACTCCCTCCTGGTACTATTTCCTCTGCCACTGCCCTAGTTTGTCTCCTGCCAAGATTATTACCGTATATTTCTAACTACATCTTCGCCATTACAATTGTATTCCTCAAGTATAGTGTTGGTAATGTTGCTTACCTGCTCCAACCCCTTTTAAATGGTTCCTAATAACTTCAGAAAAACTTTTTCTCCTTGGTATGGTACTTAGTGCCCTGCAACTTCTGGAACAGATCAACCTTTCCATGTGCAGCCCCAACCCATGAGTAAGCCACACCAGGCAAGCCTAGTGCATTGTCATTCTTCTTTCCTTTTGTTCATGTTATTTCCTGAACTTGGAATGCCCTCTTTCTGACCACTCTTGATCTATCCCAATTTCTAGCTCATTTGAAAAGATATTTGTACATTCATGTTCATAGCAGCATTCTTCACAATAGCCAAAAATGGGAACAATCCAGATGTCCACTGATGGATGAATGGATAAACAAAATGCAGTTATATATATCCAGTGAAAACTTTATTATTCACCCTTAAAAAGGAAGGAAACTCTGACACATGCTATAACGCGGATGGACCTTGGCGACATTTCAGTGAAATGGGCCAATCAGAAAAGGACAAATATTGTATGATTCCACTTATATGAGATAACAAGAGTAGTCAAATTCATAAAGACAGAAAGTACAATGGTGTTTGCCAGGGGCTGGAAGCAGAGAGGAATGAAGAGTTATTGTTTAATAGGTCCTGGACTTTCAGTTTTGAAAGATTTAAAAAGTTCCATAGATAGATGGTGATGATGTTTGCATAACAATGTGAATGTACTTACTGCCACTGAACTGTACACTTAAAAATGGTTAAAATGGCAAATTTTATGTCTATTTTTCCACACCTCAAGCAATTTAAAAATTCATCTTTATTGGCATCTATTAAGTACCAGGAACTGTGCTGGGAATTAGGAATACAAAAACAGATAAAATGCTGCCTGTTCTAGTGGGCATATGATTTAAAAGGGCTCAAATTCACCCTTTATATGAAAACTTCAGGTATGCGCACTTGAAATTTAAAGCTTTCTTCTGTCTCTATATCTATTTTAGCACTTGTCACATCCTGCTCTGTATTGTGTCTGGTCCTTGTAAACGTTTGTCTCTCTTTTGAGATAATAAAATACCCTAAGGTCAGGAGCTCTGTCTTATCTATTCATTTTTTAATCTATCAAAGCACTTAATACAGTTCATTGCACATAATGGGAGCTCAATAAATACTTATGGAGTAGAACAGAATGGAATGGAAGTGAACTCCAGCCGTCAGTGATGTTCTGGGCCCAAAATGACACCACCTGATAGACAGTTCTTCCTCAGAATGGTTGTACTGACCAGTGAATGGCATTCGTCAACAAAAAGATCAAAGGAAAGCCTCACTTCAACAACACAACTACATCACTCAATACCAAGTACACAAACATATTGTGGACTCTGTTCATGATCCTCAGTAAACATGACTATCATCTCATATCTGAATTAATTTTCCAAAATTTCAAATTTAAAGCCATGATTTAAGCATGGATGGATGGGTGGGCTTAGGTACCATCCAGCCCACTTACAATCAGAGCTGTGAGCCAACCATTAAGAGTTTTGTGTGAAGAGAAACAGCCACCAATAGTTGGCTTCTGTCTGTGGCCCACTGGAATTTGGAGGATTATATCTCATAGCTGGTTTGACTTTGAGTACATAGCAATAATCAGCACAAATAGCACTTTGAAATCTATACCTTCCTAACCTCTGATAACCCTTTGATTATAAATCATCTAGGTAGCAACAGACATTTAAGCCTGTCCTTTTGAGTGTCAGGGATTTTTCCCCTTATCAAATTGGGATTTTTCTTTTCATTTTCAAGAACAGAGTTCTTTCTTTTGCTTTCTAGATGAGGCATAGGCCCCTGATGCTTAATAATTATAGTTAAACTGTACTGAGTGACTACTGTGTGCCAAGAACCATGCGAAGCATTTTATATGCATTATCTCATGTTTTTTCTTGACAACCCTATGCAGTAGCAAAGTGGCTTTCTTTTGTGTGGGCCTGTCTCAAATCCCTCTCCTTTGTTTTCCTTAAGAACATCACACTTTCCCTTTAGGAGACTTCCTTTCTCCTTCCACATGGTCTTGGGGTCTGTCCATTCTCAAGCTTCCCGACATCAAGGAATGGGCAGGTGATGAGAATGAGGCCAGTTAGAGTCTGTCAGGAAAAATCTTATCCGTGGGATAAGGAACAAGGGTGGATGTAGGCAGATTATTTCAAAGCTCACTCCTCAAAATTCCTCAGTGATACCCTCACGGTCACCCTTGTGCCTATTATCCCTAAGGCCTGATGGTTTAGCTTTTCCTTCAATTCCGTGACATGTCTAATTTTGCTTTTTTTTTCTCTATCTAACATTAGCTAGAATCAGTTTCTTATAAACTATACATCTTCCCAATAAGGCAGTATATAGTTTTCTATCACTATGCAGCAAATTACCACAAAGGTAGCTACTTAATGCACATTTATGATCTTACAGCTTCTACGGGTCCGGGCTCTGGGCATAGCTAAGCTGGGCCCTCTGCTCAGGGCCTCACAAAGTTGCAATCTAGGTGTCAGCCAGGTCTCCTCAGAGGTTTGGAGCCCTCCTGGATGGCGTGAGAAAACCCAAGGTTGTCCCTGAATAAGTGCATTTTCTAGAAGACACAAGATCAATCCCAAAGGGAGGATCATAAATGGTAAAAGAGTAAAGGAGTTCGCAGAAGAGGCTATAATAAAATCTTACCAAAATGAGAGGGTGAGAGACGAAGTCTTCTCAAAGGAAGTGAATAGGATTCTGCTTTACAGAAAAGTGAGGAGTTGCCAGGGAACACAGAAGAAGTTTCCTGATGCTCTAATTTTTAGTGTTGGGGTCCCCAACCCCCAGTATGTAGCCTGTTAGGAACCGGTGCCCAGCAGGAGGTGAGCAGCAGGCGAGTGAGCCAGCAAAGCTCATCTGCATTTACAGCCACCGCCATTGTTCATATTACTGCCTGAGATCCCCCTCCTGTCAGATCAGCAGTGGCACTGGATTCTCATAAAAGCATGGACCCTATTGTGAACTGCACATGTGAGGGTTCTAGGTTGTATGCTTCTTATGAGAATCTAATGCCTGATGATCTGTCACTGTCTCCCATCACCCCCAGATGGGACCATCTAGTTGCAGGAAAACAAGCTCAGAGCACCCCTGATTCTACATTATGGTGAGTTGTATAATTATTTCATTACATATTACAGTGTAATGATAATAGACATGAAGTGCACAGTAAATGTAATGCACTTGGACCATCCCAAAACCCTCCCCCACTGCCCTCCTGCCCCACAGTCTGTAGAAAACTGTCTTCCGCGAGACTGGTCCCTGGTACCAAAAATGTTGGGCAACTGCTGCTCTCACTTTTTCCTGCTCATTATGAGCTAACACATAAGCTTTTTTATAAATAAGAGATGGTGATAAATTACCCACACCTTCAAATTCCATTTTCTTTGGTTGGCCTAAGAAAGTTTGGAAACCAAGGAAAAGAAATACATTTTGTTCAAACTGTAAATCCCATCTCTACTAAAAATACAAAAATTAGCCAGGTATGGTGGTGTGTGCCCTGTAATACCAGCTACTTGGGAAGCGGAGGTGGGAGGATCACTTGAACCCAGGAGGTGGAGGTTGCAGTAAGCCAGGATCACACCACTGCACTCCTGTACTCCAGCCTGGGCAAAAAAGTGAGACTCTGTCAAACAAAAAAAAAAAGAAAATAGTACCTTAATAGTACCAATAGTACCATCACTGGGCTACAGCGTGTATAAACCAGTTTACTGATCACTACTTTTCTTATGTGATTAATCCTATTGCTTCTTGGAGAATTCATTATTTCTGTTAGGCCAAAGGTGCCATTGATGGCCAATAAGGCAAATAACATCAGGGTCATGGGAGAAGGTAGAGAAAACAGAGGAGAAAATAACATTGTACACTTTATCAAACCATAGTATATCTACACCAGAAATACTATGTGTACTAGTATTACTAGAAATTGTATATGAAACAATAAAACAAATATGTGAAGACAGAGGTACTTAAAGTAGTTGCTAGGAGATTTGGGATTTTTTTTTTCCTTTTTGAGACGGAGTCTCATTCTGTCACCCAGGCTGGAGTGCAATGGTGTGGTCTTGGTTCACTGCAACCTCCGCTTCCCAGGTTTAAGCAATTCTCCCACCTCAGCCTCCCAAGTAGCTGGGACTACAGGTGAGTGCCATCACACCTGGCTAATTTTTGTATTTTTAGTACAGACGGGGTTTCACTATGTTGGCCAGGCTGGTCTCTAACTCCTGACCTCGTGATTCACCCACCTCAGCCTCCCAAAGTGGGATTACAGGTGTGAGCAAACCACACCCGGCCAAGATTTGGGATTTTTAAATTAAAATTATTGAGATTCTTAGAGCCCACATGCTAGCCAAAATTGTCCTCCTATTTTTTATTAATTCAGCAAATATTTATTGAGTACCTACTATATGTCAGGCACTAAAGTAGGTTCTGA
Organism: Homo sapiens; assembly: GCF_000001405.40. Lineage (NCBI taxonomy): Eukaryota > Metazoa > Chordata > Mammalia > Primates > Hominidae > Homo > Homo sapiens. Next base: position 130,004,388 of record NC_000006.12, on the reverse strand, counting down.
GAATAAAGCATTAAATAAGACACATAGCATCATTCTCTTTAGGATGTAAAATGTAGTGGAAATATTGTCAATAAACAGTTATAAGACATCATTATATAACCTATAGTAGATAAGTTACAGAGTCCTATGGGAACATGAAGCAAAAAAAGGTTGTTGCATATCAGGAACCAAGTGAGGTACTCCGGAGGAGATGGCACGTACGTTGATATGTGAAGATAGAATAGGAGCTATGGGATACTCTGCAATGAGCCAAAAGATTGACAAATACCAAAAAAACTTGTGAGGTTTCGCTGGGAGCAGGAAGAGGGGAATTGAGGACTATCATTTTAAAAATTGTTTGAAAATGTTAACATTCTTTTAAAAATTCATCCCTGCACACAAAGATGCTTAATGATCCCATATTTATGAGCTTACAAGCACTTCCCTGCAGCGTCTAAGCAAGAACGCAAGAATCTGTTTTGCTTTTCCTTAACAGTCTTTGCCTGGAATCCATCTCCACTGGCTCTGAAGTCTTGCCTCTGTAATGATGGTCACTGTGAACTCGGGATTTGAAAATGCTGGGACCTCCTGTTCATTAGTGCAGTTAGTGCCAGCTGCTTCAGGCCTTCCAACAAAAGTTGTCAAATTGTTTCAACCATGTACCAGACAAATACCAAAAACTTATGACTTCTCCCAAATCACACTGATATAGAATAATCAACAACACATTTTATCTATTACAATGGACTTTCCAGCTTAATTTTCATTTCAATATTTTCAAGTTTTAATCAGTTAACATTAACTTTTGATTCTAAGCATGTAAACTGCGTATGTGTATACACACTCAGCACTCAACTCTGCTGTATTCAAGTGAACACAGATTATGACACTGATGTAGCCTATTTGTATAGGGCTGTAATACATACCTTACTTTCTTAAAAAAAGTATAAGCTTATACATTGTACAACATATATCGAAATTACATATGCATTTAATCTTTGACTAGCATTTCTACTTTTGTCCTACAGATCTTACCACACATTTGACATGATATGGATACAAAGTTATTCAATGTGGCAGTGTCTGTATAAACAAAATAATTTTAACAAATCATCAGCATGACATTGGCATAAAAATTACATAAATTCTTGCAAAGAGATAAATAATTACATAATTTCTTGCAAAGAGATTTATGTAACCATAAAAAGAATAAGGAATCTCTATATGTCTTGATATGGGTCAATTCTGAAGACGTGTTGTTAAGTTAGGAAGGCAAGGTGGAGCAAGAGTAAATGCAATGTGTTTTGTATAAGAAAAGAATACATAAAGGATATGGGCCTGGTGCGGTGGCTCATGCCTGTAATCCCAGCACTTTGGGAGGCCAAGATGGGCGGATGGCTTGAGGTCAGGAGTTTGAGACGAGCCTGGCCAACATGGCAGAAACCCCATCTCTACTAAAACTACAACAATTAGCCAGGTGTGGTGGTGCACACCTGTAATCCCAGCTACTTGGGAGACTGAGGCAGGAGAATCACTTGTACCCTGGAGGTGGAGGTTGCAGTGAGCTGAGATCACACCACTGCACTCCAGCCTGGGTGACAGAGCGAGACTCTACGTAAAAAAAAAAAATTATATATATATATACACACACACACATATATACACATAAATAATATGGATGTAGCATAGATATGAAGAAAGTTAATATACGCATAGACAAATGGTTGTTGGTCTCAGGACCAGTTTACACCCTAATAGGGAATTCAAATAACTTTTGTTACGTGGGTTATATCGACCAATGTTTACCACATAAGAAGTTAAAATCCTGTAATCCTAGTACTTTGGGAAGCCAAAGCAGGGGCATCATTTGAGCCCAGGACTTTGAGACCAGCCTGGGCAACATAGGGAGACTCTGTCTCTAGAAATAATTTTTTAAAAATTAGCCAGGCATGGTGGCATGTGCCTATGGTCGCAGCTACTGAGGAGGCTGAGGTGAAAGGACTGCTTGAACCCAGGAGGTTGAGGCTGCAGTGAGCTGTGGTCATGCCACCGCACTTCAGCCTGGGCAACAGAGTGAGACCCTATCTCAAAAAAAAAAAAAAAAGACATTAAAACTGAGAAAAAATTTAAATATTTATTTCAGAATGGCAATGATAAACTTATTACATGTTAACACAAATAACATATTTTTATAAAAAATAACTGGGTTTTCCAAAATAAAAAAAAAGTTGAGTGGTATATTGTTATATTTTTGCAAATCACTTGAAGGTCTACCCTAATAGAATACATCTGGATACTTATACCTGCCTTTGCATTCAATTTATTGTGCTATGTTGTCCTGGTTGAAGTATACAAAGAAATATTCATGCAGATATGAGGCTAGGAAACGAAGAAGTATTTTTAGAGCCTTTTCAGATAATTGTGGATATTCTTTGATATTACACAAAACTTGACAACTAGTAGTTTCTCAAAGGTTATAGTATCTGATATATTATCAAATACTTATTCATACTCTGTTACATTAAAATATATTGTTCCCTTCCATTTTGAGTGGTTCTTTTACCTATGCATGATTTTTTAAAGATCTGGAAAAATACTGATCCACTGAATTATATATCTTCCAAATATTAACACATTTTATTCTACAATTTCAAAAAATTGCATATGTTTTATCACTATCAATTACGACAGAAAAGTTTTTAGGTATTGAGAGCTGTTGAGCTCAAAGTGGTAGATAAAAGCTTTCTAAAATTCTAATTTTTACTTAAAAGTTCAAATTTTATCATTTGCAATTCATATTATCATTCATTTCTTTCTTCCAAGTAACAGGCTTATTTTATTCATTTTTGAAAAAATATTTGCCAAACAGTCTCTGACTAACCGTGGTTTGCTTGTCATTCTTTCAAGTAAACATGGTGCTCCTTGAAGTAGAAAAACAGGAAACTATATGTGACTGCAACCGATTAAGGACATCCAAGAATCCCTGATTACCATTGACTTTTCTCCCTCCAATAGTCCCATCTCCATTCCCAAGCAATAAATCTGCACAACAAAGGTAAGCACTTATCACATAGAAGGAGCTGCCCTTTTCCATAAACTGTCATGCTTTCCTGCATCCTTATCTTGGTCTACCTGACTCACCTTGCCCTTCTATTATCTATAGCAACAGTCATAAACTCAGTTGCTCACAGGTTCCCGGCGGGTAATACCAATGAATAAAGCAGGCCATGAAAAAGAAGTGAGTGGCCCTCCATGTGGCTTGCATATTTCTGCTTATGGTAGAGGTAGACAGTAGAAAATATGTCACATTCCTCCTCACTCTATCATAAGAAAAACAAAAAGTTCAGGTGTGATAAGAAATGGGACCTGACATCTGCCCTCTGAGTCAGAAGGATAAGAACAACTGGAGGGGATGCTGGCAAGCTGGAGAGCACAGGCCTGGGTCAAGAGGGGACCTGCTCCTCGGCTCTCCTCAGCAGCTCTGGATCTGCTGTTGCCATTGGAAATGTGCACTCAGTGTGATGGTCATATATTTCACTTTACAAGAAAAGGTGGAAATCTGGATTTTTATGGGACATTTTCTAACTTTTAAAAATCAGCAACTACTTGGAAAAAAAGTCTTCTAAAAGACTATGCAGTCTTTGCCTGCAGGCAATCACTCTCTTTGTCAAAGAAAATGAGCCTGGGGGCTGATTTCAGACCATAGGCATATAGCTTGACATCTCTGATCTAAATTAACTTTCTAATATCTTAGTGAATACCAGCTGAGCCCAAAGAGGATTTCAAGGCAGCTGACCTGTTTCTCTTCACCAGGACTGCTTATTCCAGCCAAGGCTAACTTCCCAGTGAGGGAAAAAGAACTATCGGCAATTAAAGGTATCTTGGCTATACACCTAATTAAAGAGGCTCAGCACGCTGGGATAGGTGCACACTCGAAGGCTGTGAGTAGTACAGGCAAACTTGAAAACTGTTCACATCAGAGGAGGTGGGCTCTGTTGTCACTAATGAGAGACAGGAACTCAAGCAATCACACAGACACCCTGCTCTATAAGCCACAATATGAGCCCATCACAAGTGATATTCCAGTGCCAAAACTTTGGGATCTTTCAGCTTCAGTCAGATTTAGGGAAGGTAATCCCAGGGAAGCCAATTAATACCTATATGCACAGCACCTGGGCAGTATTCAGGGCTGCCTTATGGTGGCCACCAGTGGAAGGAGGCTACCTAACCAACCCTGCCAGATCTATTTCTTGGCATCAGATGCACACACACAAATGCTGTGTTTCTTCCATACTGGGCAGTTGTGGTCCACTAAAAATATTTGAAATGGCCCTTGGGAATTTCTGGTGACTCTGCCTTTTCATGTTAACATCCAAAATGCAAACTCCTATATCACATGCACACAGGCAACATACATCTGGGAAATAATTACTTCAAGCCCTCTTGAGCTCCAAGCACCTCTGAGATAATAACACCCTGTATTTTATCACTGGCTTCTCCCCTTTTCCTTCTGAAGATACAATATCATTCTGGTGGAAGTAGATGCCCTCAGCAAAATGACATGCATAATCTCTGTATGGGAAGTCCAATGCTTCTTTATTCATCATAGAAATATTTTACTTCCATACATTACAAGCCACTTCATCTACCCACTCTAAAAATATTTTATTCAGACATTTAAATCCATTTATCTAACTACAGTAAATAATAGACCAGGCAGAAGAAATACAAAACAAACAAACAAACACCTCATCTTCCCAATAATACACCTGGTCTACCACACTTGCTAAGTGCAGAACTCATTACAAATCTCCACCAAAAGCATTATCCTCTATAGTAAAAAAGAAAAAGAAAAAAAAATTCCTACTCCTGTAACTTCTTTGCATCACCATCTTTTTAGAGACTGTTGAGTGCATGGAATCACTTCAAGCTACCCAAGAGGAGTTACAGGACTTGCTTGAATATGACAAAGACACAAAACCAAAGATATTGGACCTAGAAGACAAAGTCAGAATTGGAGGGACCATTTGTCATTCTTCTCCAGGCACATTCATTCTCTCTAGCTTCTCAAAGTTGTTAGAAGACTATTTCTCAGGACTGCCAAAATTGTGAGAGTAATCACTGAACCTCAAATGGTCATTAGATTATCAAATAATTAGATACGAACTGCTCAGCCCTAAGATATCTCCGGTTCGCTTACTCAACTTGAAAGTATAAAAATAAATTAGTCCAATATCTAGACAGAAAATCAAATCACCTACAAAAAAAAAAGATTAGCATCACACTTTTCTCCACAGCAGTACTTAATGCCAGAGACGATGGTGAAATACCAAAAGTATTCTAAAGTAAAGAAAGTAGGACCAAAGAACATTTTCTCAGGCCTACTGTACATTAGCAAAAATGAACATACTTAAGCAAGAAAGACCTCAGGGAATATAACGCACCAAGCTCTTCTTGCAAAGAAAAATAAATTCGATTTCAAAATCCAGTTGATTAGAAAATGAATCAAAATTAGAAATTGAGGACTAGATAAATAGTGGCAGAACAACACATGAGGTGAGCAATTAATCCATTTCCATATAGGAAACTACTAGAAAATACCCAGCTTACTGGGTATATAAATACAGTAAGTCTTGACAGCATACAAATAAAACAACTCGCAAACATGGCAAAGTTGAGAGGCAGATGACAAGAAGCATGACTGCTGAAGTCTTCATCTTTCATAGCAATAAATCAATTGATATTGTCTAAAAGCAAAGCATTTAGTTGAAACAAATAACAACTTTGACCTCTTTCTTTTTAAATAAACTCTTTTAAGCTTTTTGAATTTTTTAAAATTTTATTTATTTATTTATTTATTATTTTAGAGACAGGCTCTTTCTCCATTGCCTAGGCTAGAGTACAGTGGCATAATCATGGCTTACTGCAGCCTCAAACTGCTGGACTCAAACTATCCTCCTGCCTCAGCCTCCCGAGTAGCTGGGACTACAGGTGTGCACCACCATACCTGGTATGGATAATTTTTTTTAAATTATTTTTTGTAGAGATTGGGTCTCACTGTGTTGCTCAGGATGGTCTCAAACTCCTGGCCTCAAGCCATTCTCTCACCTTGGCCTTCTGAAGTCAGGCAACTATATGGGGTGAGCCTCCACACCCTACTGTTTAATTTTTAAAAAGAAGAAACAATGGGCCGGATGCAGTGACTCATGCCTGTAATCCCAGCACTTTGGGAGGCTGAGGTGGGTGGATCATGAGGTCAAGATATCGAGACCATCCTGTCCAACATGGTGAAACCCCATCTCTACTAAAAATACAAAAAAATTACCCGGGCGTGGTGGCAGGTGCCTGTGGTCCCAGCTACTTGGGAGGCTGAGGCAGGAGAATCACTGGAACCTGGGAGGCAGAGGTTGCAGTGAGCCGAGACTGCGCCACTGCACTCCAGCCTAGTGACAGAGCGAGACTCCATCTCAAAAAAAAAAAAAGAAAAAAAAAAAAAACAGAAGAAACAATGTGTTTTGTGCTGAAGAAAAATATTTGAAGTCTAGCAATTCTTTTCATTTTTCTTCTATTAAATAAAATTAAAATTGTTATTTTTCAAATGAGATCATTTTACAAAAGTCCATCCTTCCATCCATCCACCCAGTTGTCTTTCTTGTGTGCTTTCTATGTGAATAATGGTGAATACCGGAGGGCAGTTCAGATGCTTCCGTTTGTACACATGCATAGAAGGATGGTTAGAATAAAGTTGCCATAGTGTTAATGCCTATTTCTTGGTTGTAGAATTTGTGATTGTTTAAACTTTCTCCACATTTTTCAGTATTGCTTACAAATTTCCAAGCATCCACTCTTTTAACAAAATTGGGTTTTTTTTGTAAATAAAAGCAAAGAAATCAAATTTAATTTATATTTTTCAAGTCTTCCTCACATAGCATTGAGGAAATAAAATATTTAAGTAAATGAATGACTTAACCTTGAATGGCCCCATGTACAAGGCGACCATCCAGAAACTGGGCTTGCTTGCAGTGTTTTGCTTCAATTCCATCTCCCCAGCTACATACCCTTGACTCTGCAATCCCAAACTTGGGTCCCACCCTTGGCCTCTCCATCCCCAGTGTTTGACAACTAATTTCCCCCTATGGACTCCATTCATTCTCCAAGTGTCCTGGAGGAATCCATGCTGCAATTTTAGTTCCCTCAAGACAGCAGTGCCTCCTCCCTTCTTTGAGTCTGATTTCAATCTACATAGCGAGCATTTATTCTACTCAAATTAATTTAACAGAACCCTAGGGTTTGTTCACAATTGTAATTTATGACTTACTAGAAATTATTTATTCTGACTTTCTGCTGAGTATCAAGATTCTAATACATTTTACCATTTTAGTAATACTATATATAATATTGGATAAAATTAGAAACAACTTTATTTTAATTAGCTATCCAGCATCCAAACCCCTGCCTTTGTTTGAGGGATTTTCCAAGGTATGGACCTTTCCTTCACCTGTTTTTGGCTATTGACAAGTTGAGAAGTCTGTAACACACACACATACACACACACACACACACACACACACACACACACACACATCTCATGTACATCCAGACCTAGACATGCCCAGTCACTTGAACCAGTTTAAGATTAGAATCTGGAGGGAGTGAGTGAGGCAGAGAAATAGGATGAGTGGAAAATTCATTTTGGTGGCAGCAGCCATAGCAATAGTCACTAGATGCAGTGCCATCGGCAGTGTGCGTGTCCCGTGCTGGTGGAGACAGGTGGGTGAGCTGCAGCCTCTATTGTTCAGCCGTGGCTATGATTCCAGCTGCTTAGCCTTCCTTTGTTCCTGCCGGTTTTCAAAGCCTGGCAATTTTAGTCTTCCTGGTAATTCTGTGGGCTACCGAACAACCTTTCAATAAATTCCTTTCTGTTTCAAGCAGCTTGCATCAGTGTCTATTGCTTGCAATTAAAAACCTTGACTGATACTGTACTTGCATTCTGTGTATATATATGTATATTTTAAATTATTGGCTTAGGACCTCCTACCTTAAATTCAAATTCTGATAGTTGTCTGTATTGCTAATTCTGCCTATTCTCTTGATAACCTATTTATCTGTGTTTTGTTTGTTTCTTTAACTATGGATTCCATTTTTGTTTTCTAGTAATTCATTCACATTGCACTCAGTGTTGTGCTGTTACATAAGGATAAAGAGAAAAATGATACTCTGTCTGCCATTGAAGAGTTCAAATTCTAGTGGGGGGAGGATCAGCCGGGCACAGTGGCTCACACCTGTAATCCCAGCACTTTGAGAGGCCCAGGCAGGCAGATCACTTGAGGTCAGGAGTTCGAGACCAGCCTGGCCAAGCTGGTGAGACCCCCCCCCCATCTCTACTAAAAATACAAAAATTAGCTGGGCGTGGTGGTGCATGTCTGTAGTCCCAGCTACTTGGGAGGCCAGGCAGGAAAGCAGGAGAGTCACTTGATCCCAGGAGGCGGAGGTTGCAGTGAGCCGAGATTATACCACTGCACTCCAGCCTGGGCGACAGAGGCTCTGTAAAAAAAAAAAAAAAAAAAAAGAAAGAAAAAAAATTCTAGTGGGGAGGATAAACAAGGAATCAAATAACAAGGTGGTAATCATGAAATAGGGGTGGACCCGAGGTGTAATAGAAGCAGAGAAGAAGAGTTCAGAGGAGTGGCACCTCAGGAGTCAGGAAACCCCACCCTGTGAGGGGACTTTGAGGGATGAGTAGAGATGAACACAGGGAATCAGTGCAGGAGACAGTGAGGTAGTGCAGTATGTTCAGGAATCATCTCTAAAGTTGGGTTTCTGAAGGGACAAGTGCAATGGGCGTGTTTGAGGGTTGAGTTCCCAATCTTCTGTGATCAGAAGAAGTACTTGGGGCTTGTAAAGGTTTAGATATCTAGGGCTCCTCCTCCAAGGTATCTGACTCAGTAGGGCTGAACTGAGGCCCCAGGTGACGCACATGAAAGGGAAAATGTCTTGAGGAATGAGGCCAGAGGCAAAACCCATGAAGGGCTTTGCATGCTAAGAAGTTTGAATTTTATCGTAAAAGCAAGGACCTCTTGAAGGATTTTAAGAAGAGTAGTGACAAAATCAGATCTGCATTTTAGAAAGTTCATTCAAGCAGCATTAAGAGTTAAAGAAAAAGGAAATTGGATAAGGAAGGCCAGTTAGGTTATTAGAAGTTCAATACTCTGGCTGAGAGGTAATATGTGCTCGAACTAAGGCTGTAATCTGCAAAACAGAATCAACAGATGGAATTACCACCAGATCTGGTAGCTCTCTGTGGGGTTAAGAAGGGAAGAGTCTAAAATGACTGCTAGCCTTAGGGTTTGCACACTTTGTGGATAAGTTTGATATTATCTGGATGACACAGAGAAGAGAAAAACAATACAAAAACAAAATGATGAGTTCAATTTTGGCCATGTTGAATTTTAGGTGCATGTGGGATGACCATCAGTCAAATGTCTTATGAGATCTTATACACGGGAGTCTGGAGCTAAGAACATGCATCTGCAGAGAAACAACAGACCGATTGTTTTCCAGATATAGAAAAAAGTTTTGTCGGTGCCATTCAAAGAGCTGAAAAGAAGGCCATGGTGTCCCGGCCAGAAAGGTCCACTCCAAGTTGCATACATGGCGATGCATCCCAATATCCATTCACCTAGAGACTCATGAAAAGCGAAAATTCCTAGGCCGTACTGACTGAGTTCTAAGGTAGGGCCCAGATATCTGTATTTAAAGAAACTGGAAACTCCCTAAGTGATTTTGTTGAGTAATTGGGTTTCAGAACCCTCATATAGGATGGTAGTTCCTGAATGTGCTGCAGATTAGAATCACCTGCTGCACATTGGCTTTTAAAAAGTCTAATGTCTCAAGTCTTATCCCATACCAATTAAATCAGTATGTCTGGGGTGGCCAGGTGTTAGCTGCTCTTAATGAACCCCAAGTGATTCCAATGTGAAATAAAATTTGGGAACCACTGATGTCCATTACTGTTAGCTAGATTAGGCCAAATGAAGTGTTTACACACAGCAGCTGAAAGACATGTAGTCAAAGTCCTGGGCATGATTATAGCCAAGGAGCAAGGCCAGATCAGAGCTGAAGAGGCAGCACCAAGCATCAGACCTACTGTGAAGAGGAGGTAGATAAAGCTGACCCATGTGACCTACATAAAAATAAGTGCGGGACTAACACTCTATGAGTGCTATAAGATTAATGATGTTCTGGATAGAAACAGGGAAATAAGTAAAAAGGTCCAGGTTCTCTTATTTCTGTGAACAGATAGCTGAAAGATTCTAAGTAAATTTATTTGAGATTGTACTTGAAGCAAACAGGGATGGAATTAAAGAATGCTGAGCAAGCTCTGAGGTGCAGGATCCTTTCAGAGGCATCAAAGGAAGTGATATCATTATATTTAGGGAAAATGGAAAGGCACATCAGAAAGGTAGAAGGAAAACAGCAAGGGTGATACTGCAGAAGTTAATGGCAGAGAGAATTTCAAGGATGGAATAATCATAGGGTCCAATGCTGCAGGGAGAAGTGGTAGGAGAACTGAAAAATGCTCATTGGAAGTCCGGGCATGGTGGCTTATGCCTGTAATCCCAGCACTTTGGGAGGCCGAGGTGGGCAGATCACCTGAGGTCAAGAGTTCGAGACCAGCCTGACCAACATGAAGAAACCCCATCTCTACTAAAAATACAGAAAATTAGCTGGGTGTGGTGGCACATGCCTGTAATCCTAGCTACTTGGGAGGCTGAGGTAGGAGAATCACTTGAACCTGGGAGGCAGAAGTTGCAGTGAGCTGAGATGGTGCTACTGCACTCCAGCCTGGGCAACAAGAGTGAAACTCCATCTCAAAAATAATGCTCATTGGACATTTCCCTTCATTTATGTTAAAAAAAAAAAACTGGAGGATAGGATGCCTTTTCTCTTGCATCCTACTTGCTAACCAATATCTTAACCTCATGGAATTGGTGCATTACTGAGGGATGGAGAAGTACTATTTGAACTGCATAGCCCATTAGCATCATCTTTTCTTAAAGCCACGCTGCACAGAAATGATGACATTTCTAACAGAAGCATCCCGAAACAGGTCCCTAAAATAAAAGGAAAGGAATACTCCAAACACTGTGAAACCAAGGAAAAAAAAAGGGAAAGGAATAAAATGCTGGCTGGCTGTGACCTCTGACTAAAAGGAGTCAAACGCTTTAGTTTAGAGAGGTAAAGGCTGAGGGCTGTGATTGAAGCATCCAATTAGTCATCAAGTCTTCTCTATTCTCCTCTGCGACGAATCTCATTTACATCCACTTTATGCCATTCTCTCTCCCACTGGCTTTGTCCATTCTCCAGTGAACAACTCTGTTACTAGTCTCTGGGCTTTAGAAGCTGGTTCATCCTACCATGTCTCACACTGGCTGGGCTCCTGCAGCTCTTTCCTCTGAGAATGTACTTTCTGCATCCCATTCCCTGTCTAACAAATCAAGAAAGGACAGATGAGCTCTGAGTCAGATTGTCTGGGTTTGTGTTCCCTGCCCTGCCATCTACCTGTCGTGTGACCTCAAGCAAACAATGTAAGCACTCTGTGTATTATTTTTACCCCTGTAAAAGGGGCAATGACAGTGCTTACCTGATAGGAATGTTATGAGAATGAAATGAGCTATACGTGGAAGGTGTACGACGAGCAGTGTAACATTAAACAATTCATCCCACTCAGATTGTTTTCTCATCTATAAAATGCCTACAAAAATCATATCCACCTTATATTGTTATGGAGGTTAAATTAGAAAATGCACCTGAATCAAATCAGCCTAGCGCCTAGTACATACTAAGCATCAACAGATAGCAGTGGATAAAACTATTAGATCCCAAGTAAAACAGCTATGAATGCTTTCCTATTCCCAATTTAAATAAATCATTTCTTACTCCATATTCTGCTCTTCATTTTAGTTTTAGTATGGCCATTATTTCTGTCTTTTAAAAAAAATTTTAATTTTTTTAGAGACAGGCTCTCACTCTGTCACCCAGGCTGGAGGGCAGTGATGCAATCATAGCTTACTGCAGCCTTGAAATCCTGGGCGTAAGCAATCCAAAGCCTCCTGAGTAGCTAGGACTACAGGTGTGTGCACATCATGCCCAGCTAATTGCTAAAAAACTTTTTTAGAGACAAGGTCTCTCAATGTTACCCAGGCTAGTCTCCAACTCCTTGCCTCAAGCAATCCTCCTGCCTCCACCTCCCAAAGTTTTTTTCTTTTAATTGTTAATTATTTACATCTGCATCCTCTCCTCCAGCTGATTAATCTGAGAACAGAGAACCATATTTTGTTAATGTATGGTTATACATTATAGAACCATGCCATGATTTTTAAAAATTCACATAGTAGGTGCTCATTAACTGGTAGGGGAATTACTTTACTTACATTTTTATAATTTTTTTCTTGTAAGTTTATATTGTAAATTTTCATGATACTCAGTATGGATGCAACGAGAACACGGGAAAACCTTGTAGGTTGCAGTGCAAACTGGAACAATCTTTTGGAAGAAAACATGGCAACCAGACTTTCCAAAAATAGGAGACTGATTAAATAAGTTACGGTGTATTGATATGATGGAATAATATAGAATATCACTATTTCTAAAATGTATCATAAGAGTAATAAAAGATATATAACAATGGAAATTGTTTCCTTTTGTGTAAAATTAAAGAGATATGATAGGCATAACTTTATGCATATTTATGCTTTTTTAAATTGGAAAGTATGATAAGTAATTATGTACTTGGAGAAGGTGGTAGGCCAAAGGAAGAAGGGAATGAGGCCTTTCACTTTCCATTTTGTAACTTTTTTTTTTTTGAGACGGAGTCTTGCTCTGTCGCCCAGGCTGGAGTGCAATGGCGCGATCTCGGCTCAATGCAAGCTCCGCCTCCCGGGTTCACGCCATTCTCCTACCTCAGTCTCCCGAGTAGCTGGGACTACAGGTGCCCGCCACCACGCCTGGCTAATTTTTTTGTATTTTTAGTAGAGACGGGGTTTCACCGTGTTAGCCAGGATGGTCTCGATCTCTTGACCTCGTGATCCGCCCGCCTTGGCCTCCCAAAGTGCTGGGATTACAGCCGTGAGCCACCGCGCCCGGCCTCCATTTTGTAACTTTCTACACTGTCTAAATGTTTTCACCGTATACATGTGTTATTACTCTTTTTTTAAATGTTTTAGAGAAAGGAGATTAGGGCATACACTTTTTTGGTTGTTTTATTCTTTGTACCTCAGTGTATTTTTTTTAAGCATTGCAAAAAATTCCCCATATTAAATGCTTTCCAAAATCATATTTTAGTAGTCCGGTAACATTCTACCATGTAACACATATCATGATTTATTAATCCCTTTTGTTAAGTATTTAAATGTACAATGTTTTGGCAGTTATAATACTAAAATGAGTATTTGATATCTTGAGATAAGTTCTGGAAGTGGAATTGCCGAGGCAGTAGTAAAATTTTGCCATTGATAACCCTTCTAAGAACAGCAGGTATTAGAGTACTCTCCTGGGTACCTTGAAGGGTTTGGTATCAACTCTGGAATACGAAATTTGAAAGAGCTAAAATGCTCTGCGCAACACAGAATTTTGAACCCCCAGAGGCAATTGGGGGAAAATAAGGCAGGGAAATAAGACATAAAAATGTGTGCTTCAAGGATGCAGGATGCGGCCCCCTCCCTGTGAGTGGATTTCTATTGGAGACTTGTGAAGAAGATGAACTGTTACACAGAGAAACAAAAACAGCATACAGCCTGAGGCCAATTACACCATCGAGCATAAACCTGGGAGTTAACAGGAACCATGGGGAGGACTTGAGAGTGTCACCAATCAGGGAGCTGGGCATGGAGTTGAATATAACTGACTTGCTTTCTCAGGCCAGACTTTCCACTTCTCTTTACCATACACACCCCTCCTCTGAGGACCTCTGTTTTACAGGTTGGTAAAATCTTGTGATCTATATTACCAAATTGCCTTTTGTAGGGCAGGGGATGTACACATTTATGCTTTCACCAGCCATGGAGAAAGAGGCCTGATACACCCCACCATCACCAATACTGGGTATTACAGTTTTTAAACCTTCAGCAATTTAATGGAAATTTTTTTTTCTCATTGTTTACTTATACATGATTTTACATTTTAGAAAGGTTGACAATTTTTTCATCTTCATCTCATTTCTTGGAGAAAATAGAAGCCATCAAACAGGACCCTATTTATCAAAACACACTGATATAATAGATACCACCTCTATGACACTTGGTATGTGTTGGACATGGTTTAAGTGCTCTTATAAATATTAACTCATTTAAAAATTCACATGACAAATCTATAACATAGGTGATACTTTCCCTGCATTTTATAGGTGAAGAACTTGAAGTCTAGAAAGAGCATAACTTGACCACACTTACAATAAATGGAAGAAGTTGGATTCCAGCCTGGTTCCAGCTCCTAAACTCTCTGACATGCTACCTCTTCTTTCTTTCTCCATCCTTAGCAACTTAGCTTCATCATGTCCCCTCCACTGCTTTTAGGCCCTTTCAAATGTCAAAGGCCAATCCTTCCGTTCTGCTTTGAGAGCCAGTGCTCCTGCCTTCTAAGAGTCCTCTCCATCCATTCTCTTCCTCTCTCTTGCTCATCTTCAACATCCCTTCAGTCCTAATATCACTCACCTTAAACAAAAAATAAAAATGAAACAATCACAGTAAAAAGGAAACAACAACAAGAACAAACCTGTCAAACCTATATTTCCTTCCCTCTACCACAGATTTCCTCTGTATGATTATCTGCACAGTCTCTAGGCTTTCACCCTCCATTCCTACTCAATCCACTCCAACCTTGTCTCTGCTTCAACCAGCACACTAAACTGCATTTGCCAAGTGCATCAATGACGTTAGTTTTTTTCAAATCCAAGGGATTTTAAAAATTTAATTAGATACACTGGACCATTCCCTTTTTTTGATATACTTGATAGACTACACACTTAGGATTTTTATTTTATGCTCTGTGTAGCAATCTCAGTGTTGTTAGCTCCTCTTCCTATGCCTAACCTCTAAATCTTAATTTTCATGAAAACTTAGACCTTTTGTCTCTTTCCTTCTCACTGTACTCACTCTCTCAAGTTGACCATATTCAGTCTCATGGTTTTAAAAACTATTGTCTAACAGGTGATGCCTCCCTAATTTATTTTACGTGCCAGTTCCACTGGGATGTGTCTCAGGCATCTCAAACTTAACCTACCAAAACTGAATTCTTTATTTTCCTACCAAATCAGAAATATTCTTTCCTACCCCCTACACCTAATAAATTCCATGATGTCAGGGGTGAAGTTTGTGTTGATGTCTAGAACCTAGCATAGTTACTTATATAATACATAGGTGATGCCAATCAATGAGTTTAATGAGTGAATGAATGAATTGAAATTTTTTGTTTGAGATAATTTGGAACTCTCTTTATAGATCTACATTATAGATCTATAAAGAATTATCTTTATAGATCTGCATTATTAACCAATTATAGACTTACAGATCTGTAATTGGTTAACAATGCACATTCAAAATTAGTGAAAGAAAGAATATATATAGTGAATGACTGAAAATTAGGAAGGGACTTTAGACATTTTTTAGTATATAAGGTTTTAGAATTGAAAGGAATCGTAGTTCAGATGTCTTGTTTTATAGATACAAAAATTATTGTTTGTTAACTTGCTTGTCCAATATGACATTAGTCTTGTTAGAGCTGGCATAGAACCTAGAGTCTTGTTACAAGATAGTATATTGTGTATAGATTTATTATACTTAATTTGTGTGTATATGTCTGTATATTTGTGTGTATGTATGTGTATATATATGTGTGTGTGTATATATATATATTCATACAATGAATTCATACAATGATTATCTGTATCACTAACTGAAAACATCTTAGTTATTTCCTACCTACTCCCCAACAGTATCCCCAGAGCCCAAAGAAGTACCTGACACATAATGGATGGTCAATAAATATTGTTGACTGAGTGACCTGCAGACTTTTAAATCTTAGTAACAACTGAAATAAACCCTAAGCTTGTTTCTTTATAAATGTAGTCACCTATTTTCTAAACAGCAATAACAGTGGAACCCAAGATGTATGGTATGAGAAGTATGAATGAGATTACACGGTCGATAAGACATTTGGAATTGAGCTTGTGTTTTAGAATCTGGGGTCTGTAGTTCTTCTAAAAAGAGGACCAACTACTTCTTCCAAATTTTCTTTCTCTGTCAGGTATTTTATAAACCTTGTCTCATTTCATCCTGGCAGCGCAGCTATTAATAGATAGGTGTTATAATCATTTTACATATAAGGAGACAAACTCAAAAGAATAAATAATTTTCCCAGAGTTGTCTAACAGGTAAATATCATAGATGCAGTTTAAATACAAATCTGAAGCCACAGCATAGGCG
Organism: Homo sapiens; assembly: GCF_000001405.40. NCBI lineage: Eukaryota > Metazoa > Chordata > Mammalia > Primates > Hominidae > Homo > Homo sapiens. The sequence continues at coordinate 129,987,928 of NC_000006.12, read as the reverse complement.
ATTTCACCTCTGATAGGCTGTCTTCTCCCAGACTGAGAAAAACTGTTATTTTTCACTTATTAGACTACTAAGTTCAAATTAATTTTAGGTGGGATGGGGGAGGAAGAGAGGAATTATGCCTGTTTCTTTTTTTCGTCTAAAAGAAACCCCAACAAGATAAAAAAAAAAAAAAAAAAAACAAAACTTAAGAGTTTGTGAGAACCAAACTCTAACTCAAGCTTGTCTACTCTGCACCCCATGGGCCGTGTGGAGCTCAGTAAGGCTTTGCATATGACCCAACACAAATTTGTAAACTTTCTTAAAACGTTATGCGATTTTTTTTTTAGCTCATCAGCTATTGTTAGTGTTAGTGTATTTTATGTGTGACCCAAGACAATTCTTCTTCCAGTATTGGCCCAGGGAAGCCAAAAGATTAGACACCCCAGCTCTGACTTATTTTTTCATGTTTAAATCAATTTTGCTGAGGATGATTTACATAAAAAATGCATCCATCTGAAGTTTATAGTTTAATGAGTTTTGACAAATATACAAACCTGTGTAGTCATCACCCCAATTAAGAAATACAACATTTCTGTCACACAAAAGTTCCATCACCTCTTCCTGGCTCCAGGCAACCACTGATATGCTTTCTGTCATTTTAAATTAGTTTTGCCTATTCTAAAATTCCATATAAATGCGACCGTATGGCATTTTTTGGTGCGTGTTTGGCTTTTTTATTTACTCAGCATAATGTTTTGAGAATCATATAACCGAAAATATCAGGAGTTCACTCCTTTTGATTACTTGGTAGTATTATAGTTAACGAACATGCTATATATGTTTTTATCCATTCACCTATTTTCAAACATTTGGGTTAGCTCAAGGTTCAGGGTAATATGAATAAAGCTGCTGTGATCATTCATGTGTAATCTTTGTGTAGGCATTTGATTTCATTCCTTGTATTTAAATATCTAGGGGTAGAACTGATAGATCATATAGTAGCTATATATTTAATTTTACAAAAAATTGTCAAACCATTTTTCAGAATGGTTATATCTTTGTGTGTGTGTGTGTGTGTGTGTGTGTGTGTGTGTGTGTGTGTGTGTGTGTGTGTGTTTGAGTTGGAGTTTAGCTCTTGTTGCCCAGGCTGGAGTGCAGCGATATGATCTTGGCTCACTGCAACCTCCGCCTCCTGGGTTCAAGCGATTCTCCGGCCTCAGCCTCCCGTGTAGCTGGGATTAAGATGCCCACCACCATGCCCAGCTAATTTTTGTATTTTTAGTAGAGATGGGGTTTCACCATGTTGGTCAGGCTGGTCTCGAACTCCTGACCTCAGGTGATCCGCCCGCCTCGGCCTCCCAAATTGCTGGGATTACAGGCATGAGCCACCGTGCCCAGTTGGTTGTATCATTTTTACAAGAGTGTTCCAGTTGCTGTATATCTTTCTCAGTGTTTGGTACTGAGACATTCTTGATCACTTTAGACATTCTAGTGTATGGATTTGTAATCGTACTGCATTGTAGTCTCAATTTGCATTTCCCTAGTGACTAATGATGGTGAGCATTTTTATTTGTTTATTTGCCATCTGTATATCTTTATTGCTAAGTAGTCTTACACTGCATGAAGATACCATGAGTTTTGTATGTTGATATATTTTGAAGTTCTGTTATTAGGTACACACCATTTACTTCTTCCCAACCAGTTGTCCCTTTTATCATTAGGAAATATCTTTCTTTATTTCTGGTAATAAACTTTGTCTTAAAGACTACTTACTTGCGGTCAATATTAGCATCTTGGTCTTCTTTTACTTATTCTTTGAACAGTATACTGTTTTCATCTATTTGCTTTTATACTAACTATGTTTTTATACTTAAAATGTATCCCTTATAGGCAGCATATTTGAGGGGACTTCAAAAAGTTCATGGGAAAATGGAAGTAAAAGATAGAAATATAAACTTTATTTCTCAATATAAGCTCCATCAGGTTCAAGACTTTTCTAAGTAATGATACCAGCTATTTAGTCCATTCTTACAGAACTGAGAGTTCTGGGAATGTAACCGTATCAGTGCAGTATTTTTTACATTATTAACTGGAAAAAAATGGGTTTCTTTTACAGATCTTTTTTTAGTTTAGGATACAAAAAGAAATCAGAAAGAGCCCATTGGGACTGTATGGTGGATACTTAATGATTTCCCATAGAAATCTTTTCAAAATTGGCCTTGCTTGAGAGAGGAATGAGCAGAAGTATTGCTGTGGTGAAGAACTCTCTGGTCAAGACTTTCTGAGTGTTTTTCTGCTAAAGTTTTGGCTAACTTTCTCAAAGCACTCTCTTAATAAGCAGTTGTTACCATTCTTTGGCCCTCCAGAAAGCCAACAAGCAAAATGCCTTGAGCATCTCCCCAAAACTATTGCCATGACCTTTACTCTTCACTGGCTCACTTTTGCTTTGACTGGACCATGTCCACCTCTTGGTAGCCATTGCTCTGATTGTACCTTGTCTTTTGTCTGATTGTGCTCTGATTGTGGCTTGATCATACTGGTCAAGCCACATTTCATCTCCTATTACAATTCTTCAAAGAAATGCTTCAAGATCTTGGTCCTACTTGTTTAAAATTTTCATTGAAAGCTCTGCTCTTGTCTGTAACTGGTCTGGGCACATTGGTTTTGGCACCCACAGAGTGGAAAGTTTTCTCAAATTCAATTTTTCAGTCAGAATTGTGTAAGCTGAACCAATTGCAATGTCTACGGTGTTGGCTATTGCTTGTGCTGTTAATTGTTGGTTTGCTTCAATTAGGGCATGAACAAGATGAATTTTTTCCTTGCAAATTGATGTGAATGGTCTGCCACTGAGGGCTTCATCTTTGATATCGTCATGTCCTTTCTTAAAATGAGTTATTCATTTGTAAACTGTTGATTTCTTTGGGGCATTGTCCTCATAAACTCTTCATAAAGCATTAGTGGTTTCACCATTCTTCTACCCAAGCTTCACCATAAAGTTGATGTTTAATCTTGCTTCAGTTTTACAGAATTCATGTTGCTCTGTTAGGAGCTCTTTTCAAATGGATGCCTTATCCTTCTTAGTACCTCAAACTAGATCTTGTTCAGATTTTATAACAAATTAGTGATTTTACTTTGGTATATAAACATTTTGAAATTTATGCATAGCTTTTTGATAATACACATTTCACATGAATTTTTTAAAACCCTTGTAATTGAGGCTGTTTTGTCCAATTTGACAATTTCTTTTCATTGGGATCTTTAGGCCACAATTAACATTTAATACAATTATTGATATGATTGAATTTAGTAACCAGTTTATTACTTGTTTTCTGTTTTTCCATCCTCTTTTTTGTTCCTCTCTTATCTCTTTCCTACCTAATTTTGGATTATAGTATTTCAATATTTATTAGTATTTGATTTTAATGTATCTACTATAGACTTTTAAGATGTAGTTTGTATTTTTTTAGTGGTTGATCTAGGGATTTATATACATACATACACACATACATACACACGCATACTCTTAATGTATACTATTCTTTACACTTTAAATTAATATTGTACTAGCTACTTCATGTACATTATAAAAATCTTTCAACAGTATAGATTGCTTTCCTTCCTCCTGCCATCCTTTATTTTGTAGATGTCACATATATTATATCTATATACATTGAAAACAACATGTGACAATATTGTAATTTTCACTTTAAAAAGTTAAATATATTTTAAAACACCCAAGAGGAAAAAATAGATATTTATGTTCGTTCAGATATTTATCATTTCTGATGCTTACTATTTGATCCTGAAATCCCAATTTCCCTGTAGTATCATTTGCTTCAAACTAGAAGGCAATTTCCTTTAGCATGTTTTACAATGCAGGGCTGTTGGCAACAAATTCTTTTAGTTTTCCTTTATATGAAAGTCTTTATCTTGTTTTAAATCTTAAAGTATATTTTGTCTGGCTATAGAATTCTGGGTTGATGTTTTTTTTTCTTTCAGCACTTTAAAGATACTGCTCCATGTCATCTGGCCTCCATGGTTTCTGATGATAAATTTGCAGTCATTAAAATCATTGTTACTCTGTGTGAATGTGCCATTTTAAAAATGACTACTTTCAAGATCTTAAAAAATCTTTGGTCATTTAGCAGTTTGATTATAATGGGTCTAGGCATAGTTTTCTTTGAATTTATCCTATCTGGAGTTCTTTGAGCTTCTTAAATCTGCTAATTTATGTCTTTCAGAAAATTCAGGACTTTAAAAATCATTATTGCTTTAATTTTTTTCTGTTTCCATCTTTTTCATACTTCTTGGAAATACTTTGTAATTACATGGACATAGACCTTTTGATATTTTCCCATACGTCCCTGAGGTTCCAGCTTTTTTATTTTTTTCCTCTCCATCCTTCAGATAGGAATATTTCTATTGATTTAGTTTAAAGTTCACTAACTTTTTTTTTTTTTAAATGCAGAATCTTGCTCTGTTGCCCAGGCTGGAGTGCAGTGGTGTGGTCTTGGCTCACTGCAACCTCCGCCTCCCAGGTTCAAGCAATTCTCTGTCTCAGCCTCCAGAGTAGCTGGGATTACAGGTGCCCACCACCACGCCCAGCTAATTTTTGTATTTTTAGTAGAGATGGGGTTTCACCATCTTGGCCAGGCTGGTCTTGAATTCCTGACCTCGTGATCCACCCGCCTCAGCCTTCCAAAGTGCTGGGATTACAGGCATAAGCCACCACGCCTGGCCTTCACCAACTTTTTTTCTCTGCCATCTATATTCTGCTATTGAGCCCATCCAGTGAAATTCTTATTTCTGTTATTGTATGTTATAATTCTAAAACTTTTTATTTATTTTTATATAATATGTTTTCTGATGAGATTTCCTTTCCTTTATTCATTTCAGGTATGTTTATCTTTACCTCAATGAAAGTTATAATAGCTACTGTAAAGTCCTTGTCTAAAAACTCCACTATCTTAATAATCTCAGAATTAGCATCTGTTGATTGTCTTTTCTTCTTAGAATTGGTCATATTTTTCCAGCGCTTTTTATGACAAGCAATTTTGGATTGAATCCTGGACACTGGCATTCTTTTGATATATAGATTTTGGGTTCTGTTATAATCATCCAGAAAATATTGATATTTTTGTTGTAGTAGGCAATTAGCCTAGGCAGGTGCAGATGAAAACCTCTTCTTGCCTTCTTTGAGTGGTGGTCCAAATCTCAATTTATTTCTTTGAGCTTTCGCTATTTTGAGTCTGTTCCATGCATATGTGGTTCTGGGATTGGCAGAGTTTGTGTTCATCTACAGAAGTAGGTGGAAAATTTCTGTTGATCTAGCTTAACGTTCACTAACTTTTTAGCTTAAAGTTCACTCTTTTTAGGAAAGAGGGCAAGAAGAGGTTATCATCTCTTCATCATTATGTTATCATTCTGTTCATCAACAGAAGTAGGTGATGAACACAAACTCTGCCAATCGCTAGAACCACATACGCATGGAACAGACTCAAAATAGCAAAAGCTCAAAGAAATAGAGATTTGGACCACCACTCAAAGAAGGCAAGAAGAGGTTATCATCTGAACTTGCCTAGGTTAATTGACTACTAAAACAAAAATATCAATATTCTCTGGATGATTATAACAGAACCCCAAATCTACACATCATAAGAGTGTCAGTGTCCAGGATTCAATCCAAAATTGCTTGCCATAAGAAGCGCTGGAAAAATATGACCAAAATCACTGGAAAAACTAAAAAATATGAGTTAATTTTTGTATTATGGTATGAGATAAATATCTATTGCGTTTTAATTTTGCTTAGTTTTTAATTTCTAGAAACTCCATTTGGTCCTTTTTTGAATCTTCAGTATCACTTATTACACCTTTCTCTTCTCTACAGATATCTCAAGCTTGTTTTATTTCTTTAAACATAGTGAGCATTGTTGCTTTGTATTTCGTGTCTGATAATTTTAACATCTGACATCTTCGTGCATCTGTTTCTTTTGTTTGTTGTTTCTGTTGGGGTCACAGTTACAGAATTTCATTTCCTCACTTGCCTCTTTATTATATATTGTGTGTTGGACATGGGTTTGTGGAAATAATCTAAGACCTGTAATGAAGGTAGCTTCTTCCAGAGATGATTTACATTTTCTTCTGTCAGACACTTGGGGGCACTGCCCGACTAAGACTATATTAAAACAATTCAAGTAATTTGAACTTGGGCTTTAATTCTACTTCAGGATTTTGTTTTAACTTCTTTGTCACCCTCACCTTGGAAGTATAGCCCATTGGGGTTACCTAGCTTATTTCAGGGACTGCTCCTATCTTGAATGAGTTTAGGGTTTTGATTTTCTTTCCCCTCATCATGTGGGTTGTCAAACTAAGGTTCTACCTTTCATAGGCCAGAAAATGTTCTCTGGGTAAAAGCTCTTTTGTGTAAATGAAACTATCTGGGTTCTTATTTTCTTTCAGCTTGGGCCTATAATTGTTTTTCTCATTATCTTCTTTGCATTTAGGAAGATATTTTTTGCATTTTTCTTTAGGCTCTTTGGTTATTTCCATCAGGAGTTGATCTGAGTTGATCTGAATAGCCCAGTCTGCTTGGGCCTATAATTGTTTTTCTCATTATCTTCTTTGCATTTAGGAAGATATTTTTTGCATTTTTCTTTAGGCTCTTTGGTTATTTCCATCAGGATTTGATCTGAGTTGATCTGAATAGCCCAGTCTGCAACGCTATTTACAAGTTTGATTCCCCACCCTCTACCCCTACCAATGATTAACCACTTGCCTAAAAACATTTGTTGAAAAACATATGTCACATTTATGTTTTACCCAATAAATATATTGGTCTGTTTCTGACCTATTTTTCTGTTCCATTCATTTCTCATTATTCACTGTGATTAACGGTTAGACACCACCACAAGAAGGCTGACTATCCTCATTTCCTTTGTTGGCCTCTGTAACTAATAGCCTTGATTTTCAAATGGTGGCCTAGAACATGCTCATGCATTGCTCATCAGAATGTAAAATAGTACAAGCTTTATAGCAAAACATTCAGTTACATCTAAAAAAAACTATGCATTTATCCTTTAATGTAGAAATACAACTTCTAGGAATTTATCTTGAAGTTACACCATAAAAAATCAAAATTCATACATAAATATTATTTATTATAGCATCTATAGTTGCAAAATATAGAAACAAACTAAATGCCTAGGAAATTGGTTGAATAAACATTATATGTTTACACAACAGAGCATTGTGAAGCTGTAAAAAAGAGTGAAGAAGGTGCATATGAACCTATAAAGATTTCTAGGAAACCTAGTTAAATGAAAAATGTAAAGTGCAAAAGAGTTTGTATAATATACTGCCATTTGTGTAAGAAACAAGACTACACGTATGTATCTGCTGAATTTTGCAAAGAGAAACACAGAAAGAATAAACCATAAACTTATAAAATTGGTTTCCTTTAGAGGTTGGTGGGAACAGGGCAAACCATTTAGTATTTCAAATATTCGGAATGTAAAATTAAATATAAAAAGACAAGAAGTGAATCATTAACATAAGTAAACCAAATGTGAATTATTAAAACAATAAAATAATCACACAGAAATAATACGAGTAAATTTGAACACAGTACTCTGTATACTTTCAAGAGGATATAGTCTAAGGAAAAACAACTGTAAAGGATTCTTGAATTTACTCAATAACTAATTGTTGCTGCTAGTGGTAATAGTATGGTAAATCTAAAACTATATTGTTGGTATTTATAGGATAGAGAAAATGAGTAAATATCTTAATTTTATTGGAAACCAGGGTTCTTACTATAGGAGAACAGAGGTATAAAATATGACATTGGGAAAGGAGAGGAACACATAGTCCCAAGATATTTTTCCTCAGATTACTTATTAATTGCATAGGGGGAAATAATAACTTTATATGGAGAACCTGACTGACACCACTTTAATTAAGGGATCAAAGTCAACATCACCAATATTAGGACAAACTGACATCATGTGCTTATAATACAAGGCACTGAAAAGAACACAAGATCATTTCTGTAATATTTCTGCCAAAAATGCATGGCCTGCATCTAATAATAAGGAAACATCAGATATACTGAAATTGAAGAATAGCGTACAAAACAACTGCCTGTATCCTTCAGAAATACCAATGTCATGAAATGCAAAGAAACTGAGAAAGTTTTCCAGATTAAAGGAAACAAAAGAGCCATGATAAGTAAATGCAAATTCATAACCTATCATAGATCCTAGAAAAGGGGGAAATTGGGACAATTTAAGTATTGATTGTATATTACATATTGAAATGTATTATTATTTAATTTTCTCTACTTTATAAATGAACTGTACTGTGATCATAGAAGTTCTTAGGTTATGCACACTGAATATTTGGGGGTAAAAGGGCAATAATGTCTGCATCTTATTCTTAAGTGGTTCTAAAAATAATATATGTATGTATATATTCACATTATGTCTACATATACATATATACATGTATGAAGAGAGTGTATATGCTAAAGAAAGTATGAGACAATGTTCACAATTGGTGAATCAGAGGTTTCTAAAATGTAGGCCATAGGAATCTGAAAGAGTCTAACATAGTAATCAGATTTGGGCCTAGAATCTTTATGAAGAAAACACCTTACTGCTTCAAGGTACTTTGTGTGGCACAGTGTCCAGAGAGTGACCAGTTAAAGCCTAGAGGAGCCAGGCCTCTGCCTGGTATGGCAGAGCCCAGTGCAGATAATGCTTGAGGAGACTGGTTAAAGGGGGCTCAGGATCAGGAAACACCACATTAAAACTTCCAGGAGATACAATTTCAAACTCATCAAACAGGCAACCATTAAAGATCTTCTAATTCAAAGGACTGATGAAATGAAAACTCTCATACACTGCTGGTATAAAATAGTGAATTGGTATCATCATTTTGGAGGTTAATTTGGTTACATGTCAGTCTGAGTCCAAACGGGATACAGAAACCACACAGTTATTTTAACAGAGAAAGTTCAATAAAAAGAATGATTAATTCCAATAGAATATTACAGTAACAAGGGATCAGTAATAAGAAATGAACTCTAAACAATGCAGAAATAACAGATATAAGCAGTAGCCACTACCTTTGTGGCTTAGCTGGACGCCCATGGAAGAGCTCCCTCCCCTCAAGGCTGAGATCCCAACCATGTTGGAGAGGGCATGACATAGCTAACCAGATGGCAGATAATTGTGACGTCATACCAGTACAACTTGCTGAAAATCTTCCAGCGAATGAAGGCTGCTGAGGAAACCTATTCACAGGGATATATCTCACCAGAGGCACTTTGTGGCAAAACCACCTAAAGGGTGTTCCAGGGGCAGCTGCCGGCTGCTGTGCACTGCAGAAGCCTAATGCTGCAAAAGCTGCACATGATCCAGAAGTGAAATACTGGAGGAGCTGTGCCTGCTTCAGGAGCTTTGTGCTGGGGAAACTGTCACACTATAGGGCTTTCCAGGCTGACACACCAGCACCAGCAAGCAAAACCCTTTCCTTCTGCAGTGCTTCTCCATTGCCCTCAACTGCTATAGCTTCACATTCTACCAGCTGACAAAAGAAAAATATTTAAAGGGCCCAGATGCATTTTCATGGAGCTGGCAAAAAAGTACAAATTTAGATTTAAATTCTAATAAATAAACTGGCATACGTTATAGCTAGGAAGGTTTCAGATGTGTATACCATATTATTGCAAGACAATTTTCTACAAAGGAATTATCTCAATGCCTCCCGGATCTAGGAAGCAGAACTACTGGACACTGTCTTTTGGGCGCCCCCATGGGAGAAACTGGCATCATAAAACCTTAGGTCACTTTATCAAAGAGCCAAATTCCTGAGAGAGAATACATGATTGGCCTAGCTTGGGTCATATGCCTACACTTCGGTCAGGATATCGTAATTCATGGCCCCATTATGACTTCAGGAAATTGAAACCATGGTAGTCTCCCTCCACCATCTCCCCCAAAATGAAGGTGTATTTATGGGACAGTGAAATTGATTTTGGGCATAGGAAACTAACAGATTCTCTCTGGAGCAGGAGCTGGCAAACTAGTGCTTCTGGGCCAAATCTGGCTCAACATGTATTTTTGTGTGACTTGTGAGCTAAGAATGATTTCTACATTTTTATTTTCTTTTATTATTATTATTATTATTATTTGAGACAGAGTCTTTCTCTGTTGCTGAGGTTGGAGTGCAGTGGCATGATCTCAGCTCACTGTGACCTCCACTTCCTGGGTTCAAGCAATTTTCCTGCCTCAGCCTCCTGGGTAGCTGGGGTTACAGGCACCTGCCACCATGCCTGGCTAATTTTTGTATTTTCAGTAGAGATGGGGTTTCACCATATTGGCCAGGCGGCTCTTGAACTCCTGACCTCAAATGATCTGCCTGCCTCAGCCTCCCAAAATGCTGGGATTACAGGCATAAGCCACCCTGCCTGGCTGATTTTGACATTTTTAAATGATTGAGAAAAAAATGAAAGCAAAGTTATATTTTGTGACATGTAAAAAATCATATGAAATTCAAATTATAGTGTCCACAAATAAAAGTTTATTGAAGCATAGGTACACTTCTTTATTGTCTATGGCCTTGTGCTTTCATACTACAATGGCAGAGTAGTAGAGTTATGACAGAGACTGTGTGGTCCCTATGATGGTTAATATTAGGTGTCAACTTGATTGGATTGAAGGATGCTTGGATAGCAGGTAAATAATTGTTTCTGGGTGTATCTGCGAGAATGTTGCCAGAGGAGATTAACACTTGAGTGAGTGACTGGGAGAGGAAGACCCACCCTCAATCTGGATGGACACCATCCAATTGGCTGTCAGTACTGCTAGAACAATGCAGGTGGGAGAAGGTGGGATAAGCTGGCTTGCTGAGTCTTCTGGCTTTCATCTTTCTCCTATGCTTGATGCTTTCTGCCCTTCATCAGACTCCGGGTTCCTTGGCCTTTGGACTCTTGGATTTACACCAGTTGTTTTCTGGGGGTTCTCAGGCCTTTGACCACAGACTGAAGGCTGCACTATTGGCTTCCCTACTTTTGAGGTTTTGGGACTTGGACTGGCTTCCTTGCTTCTCAGCTTGTAGAAGGCCTATCCTGGGACTTCACCCTGTGATCGTGTGAGTCAATTCTCCTAAATAAACTCCCTTTCATATATACAACTATCTTACTAGTTCTGTCCCTCTAGAGAACCCTGACTAAAATATTTTAGATTTTAGTCCCCAAAATCTAAGATATTTACAATCTGGCCCTTTATAGCAGGGATCTCCAATGCCCAGACCACGGACTAGTACCTGTTGGGAACCCTGCCACACAGCAGGAGGTGAGTGGCGAGCAAGTGAGCGAGGCTGAGCTCAGCCTCCTGTCAGATAAGCGGTGGCATTAGATTCTCTTAGGAGCATGAACCCTGTTGTGAACTGTGCATGCGAGGGATCTAGGTTGGGCATACTCCTTATGAGAATCTAATAATAAATGAAGATTCTCATAAGGAGGATGAATCATCCCAAAACCATCCCCCGACAACTATCCATGCAAAAATTGTCTTCCATGAAATAGGTCCCTGGTGACAAAAAGGCTGGGCAGTGCTGCTTTATACATAAATGTCCATATTCCTCTCTCCCTGCTCTAGAGTCTTTCTATGCTAAGTGTAGCGTGCAGACCAGCAGGCAGGAGGCAGGGCCCCACTCCAGATCCACTGAATCTACACTTGCACTGGATTCCCAGGTGATTCATTTGCACAAGGAAGTTACGGAGGCACTGTTTTAGAGAAGGTAAGTCTGAATCCTGGGAGGAGCCCATTTTGTTACTCTTTGTTACTATTTTTGACCTGCCAATATGTGTGAGGCATTGTGATTTACTGCCATTGTTCATCCATCAGGTCCCTTCTATTTTCAAAGGTCACACATATGTTAAATCTACCTTAGACAATAGAGGTTTATTGTAAGAATATAAAGGAAGGAAGGAGGGAGAATAGGCAGGAAGGAAGAAAGGGATGGAAGAAGGGAGGGAGGAATGTCAAGATACTATGTCAGCTGGCCTCCCTCTTGAGGATCTGTTGGAGGCATTGATTTCAGTTGAAACTCCAGCAATAGCCCTAGTGGTCCCCAGAAGCTGTAGTGATTGAAAAGCCGCTGTAGATTGACATGAGCTGGGATTATAGGTGCCTGCCACCATGCCTGGCTAATTTTTGTATTTTTAGTAGAGATGGGGTAAAAAAATTTTGCATTTTTAGTAGAGACTAGCCATGTTGGCCAAGCTAGTCTCAAACTCCTGACCTCAGGTGATCCACCTGCCTCGGCCTCCCAAAGTGCTGGGAATACATGTGTGAGTCACCACACCCAGCCAATTTTTGTAATATTCTTTGTTGTTATTTTAAGATAGTTTATATGTCTTCACCAGATTAGATTTTATCTCAAGAAACCACTTTCTTTGTTCATCCATAAGAAGCAACTCCTCATCCTTGAAAGTTTTATCAGGTTGCAGCAATTCATTCACATCTTCAGGCCTTAATTCTAATTCTGGTTCTCTTTTTATTTCCACTACATCTGCAGTTACTTCCTCCACTGAAGTCTCGGCCCCTTCAAAGTCATCTATGAGCATTGGAATCAACTTCCAAACTCTTGTTAAGGTTGATATTTTGCCCTCTTTCTATAAATCAGAAACGTTCTTAATGGCATCTAGAATGGTGAATTCTTTCCAGAAGGTTTTTAATTTACTTTGCCCAGATCCATCAGAGGAATCACTATTTATACTATAGCTTTATGAAACTTATTTCTTAAATAATAAGACTTGGAAGTTGAAATTACTCCTTGATCCATTGGCTGAAAAATGAATTGTGTAAGCAGGCATAAAACAACATTTATCTCCTTGTACATCTCTGTCAGAGCTCTTGGGTGACCAGGTGCTATCAGTGAGCAGTAAGATTTTGAAAGAAATCTTTTTTTCTGAGCAGTGGTTCTCAATAATGGACTTTAAATATTCAGTAAACCATGCTGTCAACAGATGTGCTGTCATCCCAGCTTTGTTGTTTCATTAGTAGAGCATTGGCAGAGTAGATTTAGCATAATTATTAAAGGCCCTATGATTTTCAGAATGGTAAATGAACCTTGGCTTCAACTTAAAGTCCCAAGCTATATTAGCCCCTAACCAAAGAGTCAAACTGCTCTTTGAAGCTTTGAAACCAGGCACTGACTTCTCATCTCTAACTATGAAAGTCCTACAAGGCATCTTCTTTCAGTTTAAAGCTGTTTCATCCACATTCAAACAGTTTAGTGTAGCCACCTTCATCAATGATCTGAGCTAGATCTTCTGTAGAACTTGCTGCAGCTTCTACATCAGTACTTGCTGCTTCATCTTATACTTTTATGTGATAGAGATGGCTTCTTTCCTTAAACCTCATGATCCGACCTCTGCTAGCTTCCAATTTTTCTTTTGCAGCTTTCTCACACCTCTCAGCCTTCATAAAATAGAAGAGAATTTGGCCTTTGCTGTGGATTAGACTTTGGCTTAACGGAATGTTATGGCTGAGTTGATCTTCCATCCAGACTACTCAAACTTTCTCCACATCAGCAATAGGGATGTTTTGCTTTATTATTATTATTATTATTATTCATGTGTTCACTGGAGTAGCACTTTTAATTTCCTTCAAGAACTTTTTGTTTGCGTTTACTACTTAGCTGTTTGGTGCAAGAGGCCTCGCTTTCAGTCTGTCTTGGCTTTTGACATGCCTTCCTCACTAAGCTTAATCATTTTTAGCTTTTGATTTAAAGTGAGAGATGTATGACTCTTCCTTTTACTCAAATACATCAAAGCCATCGTAGGGCTATTAATTGGCCTAATGTCAATATTATTGTCTCTGAAGGAATAGAGAGGATTGAAGAGAGGGATAGAGACAGGGGAGCAGCTGGTCAGTGGAGCAGTCAAAACATGCATAACATTTATCAAGTTCATTGTCTTATACAGGGGTGGTTCATGGTTCCTGAAAACAATTACAATAGTAACATCAAAGATGACTGATCACAGATCATCATAACAGACATAATAAGAATGAAAAAGTTTGAAATACTAAGAGAATTACCAAAATGTAACACAGAGACACACAGCAAGCACAGGCTTTTGGAAAAAATGATGGCGACAGACTTGTTCAACACAGGGTTGCCACAAACCTTCAATTTGTAAAAAGTGAAGTATCTGTGAAGTACAATTAACGTAAAGCACAATATCTGTGAATAACAATAAAACCAGGTGTGCCTATAGTTAGAATAATTTGAAAATGCTAAGAGACCATCAAGTCTAAATCCATAAAGTTCTATCTTACCACACAGACTTTCTAGATTATCCTTCATTATCTCTGGGATTCTTATCTGCATATGAGTCTCTAATTTTGCACAGTCTTCCACCCTCCCAGGCCAGCTACCCATTTTGCATTTTGACACTCATTGCCTGTCTCAGTTAAATACTCTATGTCTTTGAATTCTTCTCTAAACCTTTTTCCTCTCACTGTAGCCAGACTCTCCCTTGAGGGCTTTGCTACCCCTATGATCCTTACAAGTGATGATTGTTATTCTCCTGCATCCTACAGAACATTTGGTCTTGGGATGCAGGAGAATAACAACCATCCCTTGTAAGTCTTTATCCATTCTTGCCATTGCCATTCCTAGAAAAAACTCCCCTTCTTCCTTAAAATAAACAAAAATACAAAAATTTCGGCCGGGTGCGGTGGCTCACGCCTGTAACCCAGCACTTTGGGAGGCCAAGGCAGGCGGATCACTTGAGGTCAGGAGTTCAAGACCAGCCTGGCCAACATGGTGAAACCCTGTCTCTACTAAAAATACAAAAAATTATCCAGGCATGGTGGCGGACACCTGTAATCCCAGCTACTTTGGAGGCTGAGGCATGAGAATTGCTTGAACGCAGGAGGCAGAGGTTGCAGTAAGCTGAGATCACACCACAGCACTCCAGCCCAGGTGACAGAGCGAGACTGTATCTCGAAAAAAAAAAATCAGAAATAGCTTATTTTGGGGGAAACAAATGCCATCCTCTTCAGGGCTACCATGCAGTGATGTGGAGGCAGAGCCTATAGAAGGCTTTGTGGATGCTGGCTGTGACCAGAAGAAGGGTTCCATTTTCTAATTTGCACAGAGATATAAACCATTCTCCAAGCCACGTTTGAGCAAGGCTGCATTCATCCAGAGGGTGATTTTCTATGACTTTCTGTTAAGGTACTCACTGTAGGAAGGAACACCACCTTGATAAGAATATACCACCTTCTTATTGTAGTCATCTACAACACTCTTCTCACTCGTGGGAGGTTTTATCTCTGATTTATTACCTTTCTACCACTACCTTGGTCTTCATTCTTGGTGACATCAGTATCAACGTAGGGACCAATTACCCATAATGTTACCACTTCCAGAATGTCAATTTTGCTGTTGTGATAAGGTAGCTGAGTGGTTAAGTTGATAGACTGCAAAATTTCAATTTCAAGCATCTTACTACCAAACTCCTCCTTTCTACCTTTTCAGATCATACCCCTACTATAGAGATTTCAGCAATTCTTCAAGTCCACCATGATTTCACTTCAGCATTCTTACCTTGAATGAAATCCAACCCCTAGTTAAGTCTAATTTTCTGCCTCTTCTCCTTTTATACCCCTGTTGCCAAAAGTGGCTAGAGAAAAATGAATGACCATACAGACCATTGGTACTCTATAATTATGTCCAAAAATCCTCACATATGCCCCCAGTATGACTTGGCAGAGCTATGTCAAGGACTGAATGGTCTGAGATTTTACCACATATGTAAGTTAACAAGTTAGCCTAATAGGGTTTCATGAATGCTGGCAGAAGACCCAGGACTCCTGGGTCAGAGACAAATAACTATATTATTCATTGCACAGAAAGCAACATGAGCATCAGCATATTTACCAACCTTTCCCACTCCTCCATGTCCCTGACAAATAAGTCCCAACGGATCCTTGCTGATGCCATAGGCTGTGTTCAGAAGAAGAACCCTGAGACTAGGGACTCACATCTTTTATGATGGGCAGAGAACAGGTCTCCTCTTTGCTCCAGAGGGAGACAGGATCTCTATCTGCCAAGGCTATTTATTATACCAACATCTTTAAAGAGGTACTTGGAAATAAAAGGAGTCAGTGCCTTTGTTCACAAGATATGCAAAACCCTGAGAGGCCCATGGCGAATTGTCTGTTAATATGACTTGAATCTGGACCATGATCACAGACTTTTTAAAGCTCTTATACAAGTCTTTCACTTGTTCATTGAATCTCCTTGCTTTTTGTCCACTCTTGGGTTATTTTCTTTCCAATATTTTATCTCTGTTGGGTTGCCCACATTATCATCAACAACACTTAGATCCTGTAATAATTTTCATTATTTAAAAAAATGCAGAAAGGAGAAAACTTTTCACATCTCCCCCCAGCATCTGACCCGTTTCTCTTTCCCCGTGAAAAAGTCACCTACGCTCTGTCTTTCCTCAGTCTCACTGTCTTCTCCTTCTATTTTCTCTTGAATCTACTCCAGTCTGGTTGTGTATCCACTTTTCTACTGAAAGGGCTCTGTCAATGCCATCAATGACCTTTACATTGCTTAGTCCAATGCTCAATGCTCAGGTCTCATCTTAACTGGCCTGTCAGCAACATTTGACACTGCATTAATTAGTTTCACCTTCTCAAAACACTTTCTTCACTTGGCTTCAAAATACTCCTGATTTCTCCCCAATTCACTGGCTGCTTCCCTCTTTCACTCTCTTTTACCCACTCTCCCATGGTGATCTCATCCTGTCTGATAACTTTCAATACCATCCATACTCTGAGGACTCCTAAATGTATTTCTACAGCCTCAGCCTCTGCCCTGATCAATGAGTCTTATATTGACTGTGTAGTCACCTTTTCCTCTTAGATGTGTAACTTAGGTAATAATTCCTTTCCTTATGCTCTCTTCAAGGCCTTATTTTCCCAGAGTCATACCTTTTTCAATGAGGGATACCACCATTTAATAAGGTATACAGGCCAAAAACTTTGGAGCCATCTTTGATTTCCTTTTCTCATATCTGCATATACAACCCATCCATGAATCCTGTGGATTTTACCTCCAAAATGCATTCAAAATGCAATCATCACCTCCACCATGAATATTCTAGTACATGCTGCCATCAAGTCTTCCACGGACTATTGCAATAGCTCCTACCTTGCTGCCTACTCTGTTCTTCATGCAGTATTTAGTGTTGAAAAATCCCCAATGACTTTCCATCAAACTAAGACTAAAATCCAAAGTCCTTGCCATAGTCTCCCAGGTCTCCCATAATGTGTATGTACCTCCACCACTACTTCTTGGACTTCAGCTAATATCACTCTCCCCCTCATTCACTGTGCTCCAGCCACAGGAAACTCTTTTCTATTCCTCAGACACTTCATACATCCTCTCTCTCCGGAACATCTGCCTTTGCAGTACTTCTATGTGGAAAAGCCCTCCCCCAGACATCTGCATGGTTTACTTTCTCAATTCTTATAGATTTCTGCTTAAATGTCTTTTTAGTAGGAAGGTGTTCCTTGAATACCACACCTGAAAACAACACAATCTTCCCATTACTCTCTATCTCCTTACCTGCTTTATTTTCTTTATGGCACTTAGCATGGACATTATATAGCTGCTGAATTTCATCAGTTCTGAGATGTTATCAGTTGAAATATGTGCTATTATTTCATACACCCATCAAGAAAGAGAAACTCTGACAAAATTCACATCATCTTTCTTGTCACTTAAAATTTTTATTTTATACTCATTGAAAGAGCTCTTTTAGACTTATTTAGACATGGTTTTTAAAAAAATCATATCTCCTTCCCATAAAAAGGGAAATGTAAGCAAAATAAATCAATTTAGTTATACATAAAACATCTTTACATTCAGGTTAATCTTCTGATTCATTCCTCAACTCATACTTGTCAATGTCTGTGTTTTTCCACACAGTATCTCACTAATAAAATGCAATACAGCTTCATCCACTTGTGAGCATCTTCCTTTCTTAGTATTAATAAAGCAAGAAATATAAACTTGTGGTCATTCTTCAAATGGTAATACTTGGTATTCTAACATCAATTTATGTCCCATTTCTCTATTTCTGAGACTGTTTAGTCTACATTTTCTTTTTCAGCCACATAAGAGTGCTATCCTTTGAAGGCATTTTAAGCAGTATTTAAATTCCAGCAATGCACATAATTTAATTGTGTTTATAGTTATAAACAGTTATATCTAAGTTCACATAGAAAAATGACTGGTGTGCTTGTAAGATGCCAGTGACTATAAGATGTATTCCCTTTTCCAGAGATCTAAAAATGTGAAAAGATGCGTGTCTTTGAATCAATTAAAAATAGTATGTGTTTATTGTTTTATCTCCCACAAGAATGTATGTAAAGCACTAGGAGGGCAGAATATTCGTTTGTTTTCTGTGTTAGCTATTTGTCATCTTCTAGAAGAGTATTTGGAAAATAGTTGAGACTTAATAAGTGTTTGTTGAATAAATAAGTGGATGACTTTCTGCCTGCATTAGTAACCGTTGACTCTTTAGTACTTCATACTTGAAATCCCTATTCAAAGGATCTAGGTGGCTAAGTCAGTCACCATCAAGGATAATGTGCCCCTGCTGAGGGGAAATACAGCTCCAGGCACCTCACAGACTATTGACTAGCTGCCTAGTCATTTACACAAAAAGGCCATCTGCAACATCATCACCTACCTCGGAACCTTGCCTTGGGTAACCATGGCTTCTGGGGAAGCCTAGAAAAAGACAGACAGAGAGCCCTCAGAAATCTGTGAGATTTTATTACAGCTGTGAAGCCTTCAAAGGGGACCCTGGACAAGGGAAGCATGTCAAGGTCTCAAAAAAAAGTACAGAGGAACCAGAAGGAAACTTGCCTGGTCTGCCTAATAAGCACTTGTGTTTTTCTTTTTTTCCTTTTTTTTTTTTTTTGAGACGGAGTCTTGCTCTGTTGCCCAGGCTAAATTGCAGTAGCGCCACCTCGGCTCACTGCAATCTCCGCCTCCTGGGTTCATGCCATTCTCCTGCCTCAGCCTCCCGAGTAGCTGGGACTACAGGTGCCCACCACCATGGCTGGCTAATTTTTTTGTATTTTTAGTAAAGACGAGATTTCACCATGTTGGCCAGGATGGTCTCCATCTCCTGACCTTGTGATCCTCCCGCCTTGGCCTCCCAAAGTGCTGGGATTACAGGTGTGAGCCACTGCGCCTGGATTGTGTTTTTCATTTAAACCCTATTACAACCTTCTGAGACAAAAAAAAAACTCCTTTCAATACTTTAGAGATAAGAAAATTAAGTCAACAATATCAACAGGTCTCTTATTCTATGCAAAACAATGGAAGATTCTAATGGAGAAGTTGTGCATTTCTACTTTACTATGCACCTTTTAGGTGCCAAGGGCTGGACTAAGGGATTTAATGGTGAATGAACACAACCATGGGTCCTAAACTCATTGAACTCAGAGACAAGGAGTCTTAGTGCACATACCCAGGGTGCAACAAATGTCATCATTCTTTAAATCTACTTAATTTTACTCCCAGCATCAGTCCTACTAGGCTTAGTCTCTTTGGTGTCTCTTTTCCTTGACTACACGTACTCATGCCCTAAGTTGTATAAAGATTTTGGGGTCTTAGATGACACCAATGCACATGAAAACCCCTTTCAGTCATTAGGCCATATTGGTTTTTGTTCCAAATATTCATTATTACTGTATATATGGTTCCATTCTCTTCAAAAGTTCTACTCTTATCATGGATGAAGTAGGCGCCTTTGCCTAAACCAGAAAACTATGCCTGAAATCCCTCCTCCCAAGGTACACCTTGCAAACTCTGTTTCTCCAGACTTTCACCTCCTCTGAGAAAACTGCCAGGGTCCCATAGGCCCCTCACTCCTCCACAACTTATAGAATTCCCTGCCCCTACTGTTAGCCTCTCAAAATCACTCTCCTCCTATCCTGTAGTCTCACCACAAAATTTATTCAATGGGTGTTACTCAAAAATTGTTGACCTCCAGCATATTCTGCCAAAATCCTTCATGGAGGAAGTAAAAAGCCTGGCTAACTGCATGAAATAGAGTAAGAGAAGAGTACAGAAGAGCAAGCAAATTATTATGTCAGTATATTATTCTGGCAGTCTTCCCTCAACACAGTGGAATCTAGGACAGTGTTTCAAATTGGGTTCTTCACATTCTCACGCTCAAAGCAGTACCTGGCTGGAGACTAATGACTTGACTTTGATTCCTAGCTGCTCAGGTATGAGGCTGCCCTGCCCATTGCTTTACTTTCCTATAGGGCATGGATATCCCCAGAAGTGTGTAAGAAAATCAGAGCAGGAAGGCCAAGGGTACAAGGGCTACTACCTTCCATTTCCTATAATTCTCAATATTAAATTAAGCTTCCTACAATCCATACTAAGGCAGAAAAGGAAATATATTTTAATTTGAGTTCGTTTATATGTTGCCTGATTTCAAAAGGAATTTAAGGCAGCTAAGGAATTTAAGGAAGATATTTAATAACAAACAGTGAAACAGAAAGGGGTTGCTGCTTAACCTGAAAATTCAATTTAGCAGAGTAGTTTATTCAAAATATTCCAATTAAGCAAGATTTAATTATGCTTTATGTTTGTATTTACTACTACAACATTTTGTTCTTACTCATACAGTGGAGCGAGTTCCTGAATGAGTTGACAAACAAGGGAGAAATAAGTTTTTGTTGTTCTTCTTTTGCAATGAGATGATTAGCATTCTCCTGTTACTCCTCTAAATTTACAGTCATTTACTAAGCTATAAAAACTATAGGGGTAGCAGGGAGGCAGGCAATAATGGTAGCTCATGATTTAAAATATATTACCTGGGTCAATCATTTGTAAAACAATATAAACTAATATGTTTTACTTAATGTGGAGAGAATTCGTGTTAACAAGTTAAAAGGATTTTTAAGTCTGAGTTTTGGTTGAGGTAACAAAGGCCAACAACAAAATAATGGTTTCCCAAAACCCTGATGTTTTAAGAAGAGGTGCTAGACCACCACTGTAAAAACAGAATACTTAAACCCCTACCCATTTTCCTCTCAAAGGCATAAATTTAATGAGGTTAAAGATGCAGAGTAAGAGAGAGGATTTCTTTGGAGTATGTTGCTGGAATACTTCGGGGTTTTCCTGATCATATCTTGTAAGGGGAGGGGTTGGTGATTGTCAGTTCTCCATCACCTTAAGCCAAGCTAGAGAAGGGCTTCAAGGAAAACACTCTGAGAGCTTGACCTATGCTTCCTGAAGTTGGGGAGCATGAGGGCTGGTGGAGAAGTTCTAGCTAGAGTAGCCCAAGATGGCAGAGCAAAGGAGTGGGAAAGGTCTGTACTGTGAGTGCACTGCTTGCTCAGCAAGGGTGGCAGGAGTGTGTAGTGGTTCTTGGACTCAACTAGACTTAGGCCACATAGGAAGAATCTGGCTTGGAGCCCTGTTGAATCAAGTTCAAGAGCACTGCCTGGAAGGGAATTCCAGTGGTGTGCAGGGGCAAAGGGATTATGTATATGTAGCCTGTCAATTAGAGGCATTGCTTATATCTAGGGGACTGCAGAGGGAGGCCTCCAGTGAGGAGCATCTTTAAGGAATCCATGGAATCATTCCATCAGAGGAAGAATCAGCTCTGGGAATCTGCTCCAAGCCTGGGAACCAGGACCTGATGACATCACTGCTGGTCCAGCAGGGTCCGCCCTGTCCCTTACCTCTTCTACCTCTCGTCATTCTCAGCCTGCAACTCAGTAAGGGCAAAGGAAAGGAGAAGGAAGGCAGGAGATTGGAAGCCTCTGTGACCCAGTGGGTCCAGGCTGGGGTCAGGGAGAAGTTCTAACTTTAAATGAAGCTTGGAAATGTGTTACATTGAACTGCACATTTTGTTTACTAAAATGGGTTGCTCTGGTGACTAAAAATGACTTGAGTCACAGCAAAAGCTAAGAATTGGTTTGAAGGGGCAGAGGAATAGCCTTGTTTTCTGCTCCCACCCAGTGGAATTCTGCTTATACAGACATTAGAATTATCAGGGCCTACTGCTGTCAAGACCTAATATGAATCATGCAGAGTCCTAATAGTCAAGACATACTGAGAGTGAACTTTGCAGGCTAGCAGGAAAACATGTTCTAATCCCACTCTTCTTTTCATTCATACCAGGGATCTGACATTATCTCCCTCAAACAATGTCCAGTAGCCTTGAATGACTATGTAACTGCATAATTACTTTCCTTTGTTCTTTTTTCCAGTTAATTGTTTCAGAGTAGCTAAGCTTCTTCCTACATATATTTCTGTCCTTTGTGGTCCTCAGTTGTATATATTTTGCCAAAAACAACCTAAAGTTTGGATAAATTTTCTTTTTTAAAAATAGACTTTATTTTTTAGAAAAATTTTAGGTTCATAGCAAAATCAAAACAAAGTACAAAGAATTCCCATATACTCTATGTTAATTATATATATATAAAATGTATATACAGGTAAAATAGATATAAGAAAATTTACCATTTTAACCATTTTTAGGGGTGCAGTTCAGTGGCAGTAAGCACATTCACATTGTTGCGCAACCATCATCATCATCCATTTCCAGACTTTCTTTATAATCCCAAGTTGAAACTGTACCCGTTAAACAGTAACTCCCATTCCTCAATCCCCAGCCTCTGGTCCTACTATTCTACTTTCTGTCCCTATGAATTTAATTATTCTAGGCACCTCATGTAAGTGGGATCATACAATATTTGCACTTTTATGACTGGTTTATTTCATTTAACATAATATTTTCAAGATTCATCTGTGTTGTAATATGTTAGAATTTCCTTCCTTTTTAAGGCTGAATAATATTCCATTGGATATATATACCACATTTTGTTTATATGTTCATCTGTTGATGGACATTTGGGTTTTTCCACTTTTCGGCTACTGTGAAAATTTTTATCACTAGAATTGATAGTCTTCCACTGACTACTTCCCCTAAAATAAAACCTTCTCTGGCACTTTCATTCCTCATTACCCCTATTACTGGCTTTGTTTCTCTTCACAATACTTATCCCACATGACACTTATTTGTTCTTTACTCAGAGCCTATTTTCTTACTTAATCCAGAGAACAAAATCTAAAGCTTTACTTTTTCTGAAAAGTCCATACATCATAGGACCTAAACCCCAACTGTACATATGAATCATCTGGGGAGTTTTCAAAAAGATATCCATGACTGGACCTCACCCTAGACCAATTAAATCATACTCTCTCTAGGTGGAGCTCCAAAGGTGGACCTAATGTGTGCCGGGGTTGAGCATACCTTGCATTCTTTGTCTGTAGCTACTTCTCTGTCTGCAGCTACTTCTCTGCCTTCACCTTCACCACTTTCTGCCTTGCTCATCTGCTCTAACCCTCCGGGTTTCCTTGCAGTTTTCACTGCAGGGTCATGCAATTTGCTGCTGCCTCCATTTGAAAGTTTTTTTTTCTTTTTCTTTTTTTTTTTTGAGATGGAGACTCACTCTGTTGCCAGCCTGGAGTGCAGTGGCATGATCTCAGCTCACTACAACCTCCGTCTCCTGGGTTCAAGTGATTCTCTTGCCTCAGCCTCCCGAGTAGCTGGGATTACAGGCACCAGACACCAAACCCAGCTCAGTTTTGTATTTTTAGTAGAGACAGGGTTTCACCATGTTGGCTGTGCTGGTCTCGAACCCCTGACCTCAAGTGATCCACCTGTCTCAGCCTCCCAAAGTGCTGGGATTATAGGCGTGAGCCACTGTGCCCGGCCTGAAAGTTTTTTCTTCAAAATCCACATCGCTCCCCACCCCCACTTCTTTCAGGACCCTACTAAAGGAAGCTCTCCCTGACCCTCCTAAATTAAATAGCATGACAGATCCCACATGCCCATTCCCCTTACCTTGCTTATCTGCCTTCATGGGACTTACCATACACCTCCAAGTATACATTGTTTTGTTTATTTTCTGTCTCTCCCTTTTAGATGGTAAGTGTCAGCAGAGCAAGGTTTTTGTTCATAGGCATTTCCCTAGTCACTAAAATAGTGCCTGGCGAAAAGCAGATGCTCAATAGATACGTGTTGAGTGAGGGAGTGATTCTGGAATCTTCAGAAGCAGAATGCCAAACACAATTCGAGGAAATCTGGGATAGAAGGATGTACAGAAATTAATGGCATAATACTGTACACAGTGGGACTTTGGGAAGAAATCAATGCTTCCAAAATGACAGCCATCGAACATTGCCCTTTATTTTTCACAGTCTATAAAGAAGTCATTTGCTGCTTTTCCAGGACAGAAGGATTCTGCTCTGCCTCACACCACCTGATGCTCCCCAGACCTAACAGCCTGGGTGTGCATGGGTGCTGAGGGAACCCAAAACCAAGATCAGGCAAACAACTCACCTAAGGCTACATTTACTGTTGAGAAGCAAATTAGTAGTGCAGAAATTCCATAGGGAAAAGATGTCAGATCACAGAGCAAAATACCAAGAGGTGGAATTAATAAGGAAAAAGAGAAGAGCAGGATGGATCTAGGAGACCCAACGAGGGATTAATTCGACATGTGCAGCTCCTTCTGGAACTCCAGAGGAGGCAAATTGGAAGGAAAAAATTAAATCATGAGAGGAAATTCCCCTGAGTAGCAAGAGACTTGAGGATACAAATTAATAGAGCTCACCAAATTTTACAAAAGGTTACTTTAAAAAGAGACAAACAAACTTTCCCTTCTGGCAATGTTGTAATTAGAAGGACTAGATTTACCCTCCCACATTAAATAACTAGAAAACTAGTCAACATGTGTCCAACAACAATCAGCACTGAGAGAAAGGAACCAAAGGAGGTGAGCTCTGTGAATGTCCCCACTTACTGCCCAGATAGACTTTGGGTATTATTGAAATTCTTGAAGTTTAAGAATAAAAAACTGCAAGACAGAAAGAATAGAGTATGCAGGAGAGTGAAGAAGTAAAAACATTGTAATTTTCAGGTACGGGGAGAAGAGACATGAACAAATAAAATATATAGGATTCAATATAGTTGTTATTATATTCTGATATTATAATAGATAAGAATAGATTTAACTGTAGATTTAACCACAAGAAGAATTTAAAAGAGAGAAGAAATTTCAAATTACCAAATTTGAAAAAGCAACGAAGGAAAAATTGACATAAGCAGAAGAAGTAATAATGGGAGAAAACACAGCAACAGCATAATAAAAATAAAGAAAACATATAATATAATGGAAGGAATAAAATAGAGTATATCAGTTCTCACTACATTTTTTAACCCGGCCAAACCACAAAATGATTTTGAAATGACACTCATCTAAAATAAAGTAGCAAAGAATCATTGAAAATGAATACGTGAGCAAAGATACACAGATTGAGTACCCTGTATCCAAAATGCTTAGGACAAGAAGTGTTTTGGATTTCCTATTTTTTCAGATTTTGGAATATTTGCATATACATAATGAGATATCTTGGGAACAACAACCAATTCTAAACACAGAATTCATTTATGCTTCATGTACACCTTATATACATAGCCTGAAGGTAATTTTATACAATATTTTAAATAATTTTGTGCATGAAACAAAGTTCGTGTACATTCAACCATCAGAAAGGGAAGATGTTACTATCTCAGCCATACATGTGGACAATCTGTGGTTGTCTGGCAACACCATCACTCCTGACTCTGAATGTATATGCTACCAATAAGCAATCATTTTCTTACATTTATTCACAAGCAAGTACTTAACACTAAAAAATATGACCTACCATTAATACAGTGAAAAACTAATGTGTTCAGGGTAACTAAGCAGCATGGAATATCTGTTTCAGCTGTAAACAACAGCAACAACAAACTATGGCAGGCTTTCAGTCTGCAACTGCAACTAAAATGCTGTGTTTTGATTAAAGGTTGTTGTACACTGCATTCTTCTTCTGTTTTAGGTGAGAATAAACATCAGAGGCAGGTGAGGGCCTAGAAGTGGGTCCTCTGTGGATAAGGAGGTGTTCTGCCAGATGGCTTTTTAAAATGTCTGCTCCAGAGTCATCTGCCTCATTAATAACAGTTTTTGTTTTAGAAGTCTCTTTGAGTTTATGAACTGACATAATGCCCTGTTCTCTATGAATGCATGCTTCTCTATTCTTTCAATAAGTCCATCACACATTTTCACCATGTCATCTATAGGCACTTTTTCTGCAGTGTTAACAATGTCATCTTCATCGTTTGCCTGCGTTTTGACTGCAACCCACACATGAGGTCAGGTGTGGAATTTTCCACTTTGGCATCATGTTGGCACTCAAAATTTTCAGATTTTGGAGCATTTCATATTTTGAATTTCCAGATTAGGGGTGTTCAACCTGTACCAGCAAAACAGGCAAATAGAAAGCAGCTATGGGCCAGGTGCGGTGGCTCACACCTGTAATCCCAGCACTTTGGGAGGCTGAGGCGGGCAGATTACTTGAGGTCAAGAGTTTGAGACCAGCATGGCCATCATGGTGAAACCCCGCTTCTACTAAAAATATAAAAATTAGCTGGGCGCAGTGGTGTGCGCCTGTAATCCCAAGTACTCGGGAGGCTGAGGCAGGAGAATCACTGGAACCTGAGAGCCGGAGGCTGCAGTGAGCCAAGATCAGGCCACCGCACTCCAGCCTGGGTGACAGAGTGAGACCCTGTCTCAAAAAAAAAAAAAAAAAGAAAAAAAAAAAAGAATGCAGGTGTGAAAATATCAATAAGCAACAAGGCCAAAAACATTAAACAGAACTGAGAGAGGCATTGTTTAATGGTGAGAGATGCAGTTCACCTAGACTCAAGAAAGTTTTTTTCCATAGATTACGCATAAAATTTAATGCACAAAATAGTGTAGTCATCAAATACGTACAAAGGTTCTATAAGTGCAGCTAGATCTTTAAAGAAATATAGTGAAATAATTTAATATACTTTTTCTAGAATTTGATAGATCAAGTAGATAAATAATAAATAAGAACATAGATTATTTTAATAGTACAATCTACAAGGTGTATAAAACTATGTCTTCCATCAGAGAACATATATTCTGTACTGAAATCTGTGGAACATTAGAAGAATCAATCGTGTTCTTGGCCACAAAGAAAACATTAAATCAATTCTAAAAAGTAGAAACTTTACAGGCCACATTATCTGATAATAATTCAACATAAAAAAGATATAATCATCAAAAAATTTAATTCCTTGGAAATGAAAATGTGCCATTTTATTTTTAAAATCCTAAATTAAAGAGAAAATCAAAACATCAAAACCAAAGGAAAATAGTGATCTAAAAAGGAAAGAAAATGAGAACTGTTAAGACCAAAACCTATGGAATACATTAAGGCTGGAATAAATTTTATAAAATTCAAAGTTTTTATTAAAAATTAAAAAAAAAATTTAAGGCCAGCGCGGTGGCTCACACCTGTAATCCCAGTACTTTGGGAGGCTGAGGTGGGCAGATCATGAGTTCAGGAGCTCGAGACCAGCCTGGTCAACATGGTGAAACCCCGTCTCTACTAAAAATACAAAAATTAGCCAGGCATGGTGGCGGGTGCCTGTAATCCCAGCTACTCAGGAGGCTGAGGCAGGAGGATCGCTTGAACCTGGGAGGCGGAGGCTGCAGTGAGGCGAGATGGTGCCATTGCACTCCTGCTTGGACAACAAGAGCAAAACTCCGTCTCAAAAAAAAAAAAAATTAAAAGTCATCTGATTTATATAAGAAACAACAAAATAGATTGAACAAAAGCAGGAGGATAAAAATTTTATGGGAGCAGGAACTTTCTTTTGCTTATCGCCACTAATTCATTTATTTGGAATAGTACAAAGACCAATAGACAGATGTCAGGTAAGCCAGATAAGGGGAAAAAAGAGAAAAAAACTATACAAAATTAAGAATGACAAAGAAGATATAATTTGAGATAGGGATACAATTAAAATGATTATACATTATACACAATTCTGGGATCTTCGCGGTGTCACTCTGCCAGCCTGAAACCTCTATGGCCGGTGGGTGCACCTTTGACTGAGTTTTGCTCTGGCCTGCTGAACTCATTCCGCCCACTCGGCCTGGCAGCCTGCCCTTGGCTCCTGCTACTGGCCTAGACCCCACTACCGGCCTGGATCCCACACCTGCCAAGGGCAAGCCAGGCACTGAGAGGTGAGGGGGTGCGTGAGCGAGTGTGGGGTCCGGCCACTGTGCACAGCCAGGCACACTGGCTGCGGTGGTGTGGGCAGCTCCAGGTGCTGGCCTGGGCACCAGCTCCCGGGGAGGCTGCAGCTGGACCAGGAGTACCATAAATCAGCTTCCACAGCTGACACTGGGGAATGTGATTGTGGCACCCGGAAGCTTGGAGACGCCAGGAACCGCAGAGCCCTAAAGAGGGTTTCACAGCCCTGGCTCCAGGAGCTCCTAGGTCTGGGATACCTGAAGGGCCACAGCTCTTCCCTCCTTGTCTCTTCTCTCCTTGACACCCGCAACGTGGCAGGCAAGGGGAGTCTCTCAGCCTTGTTTGTGTTGCAGCTCTTTTAGCCCTGCTGAATGGGTCCCAAATTCTTGTCCTGCATCAGGGAAGAATGAGGTACATAGACAACTGGAGGGTGAGCAAGACAAAGAGGAGCTTTACTGAGAATAGAACAGCTCAGAGGAGACCCGCTCCTCTCCATAGCCAAGGTGCCCCCATGAGTGTTCAGCTCTCAGCAGAGGGGGTAGCTCCTCTCTGCTAGGCAGTTCCTCCCAATGAGTATCCAGCTCTTAGCAGAGAGGGTAGCTCCCATCTGCAGCTGGTCATTCTGTCATCTCCTCAGCTCTCAGCAGAGAGGAGACCCTGAGGTGGGCAGTTCCTCTCTGCAGCTGGTCCTCCCATTGCCTTCTTGAGTCTGGCCGAGTCTAGGACTTTTATGGGCCTCAGAGGGGAGGAAGTGTGCACCAATTGGTCCATGGGCATCCAAGGGCGGGCCCAGAAAAGGCACCACAGTTTCCCACTCTGGTCCCCACGGGACCAGAAGCCTAGCCCCGAGGCTTCAGGTCTTCCCTGGTTTGAAGGTGGGGCTTCACCAGGGACCTGCTCCTTCTGCCCCTGTCTGCCTCCTGCTGCTCTTCATGGTGCCCAGGCTGTTTGTGCCAAGGGGTGCCTGCAAGCCAGAATCAAGCTGCCTTCAGCACCCCCTTGGCCTCTCTCCTGTGCTCACTGGTGCGCAAAGTCTGGAGGGGGCCGAGGTGGCTGGTGCCTGGTATGTCAGTGCTGCTCCCAGTGTGCACACATCCGACCAGGTTGCCACGGCACCCGGGATTGGCCTCAAATTTGCTCCATGATCTGAGTGGGCACTGACAGTGAGGAGAGGCCAGGCAGCAGGAACAGATACTTCCGAGCCTTCAGGGGCAAGGGAGTACCTTCCCGGGGCCACCTGACAGTGCAGAGATGCCTAGGTCCACAGCCGCAACCTGGGTGGCTACAGCCATGCCAGGAGGGGGCCTCCTACCTCCTCCTCACTCCCACCAGCTCCATGGAGCACAGCATCGCCCTGGGCCCAGCTTCACCTCAGGGACCCTCTCTGCCTGCACCCCCATGCCCGACTGCACTGCTCCACTGCTGGTGGGCAACTCAGCCCAGCCCCATTGCAGCAGCTCCCAGGATGGCATCCCTGGCCAACCTTGTACAAAGAAACCACCTCATGCTCCCAGGGTGGGCCCCGCGGGCCCCAGCTTCGCCTTCAGCAAGGTGCTGCGGGCCCCTGGGACACAGTGGAGGAGTGAGGTTGAGGCTGCGGTAGAGGCTCTGGACCTAGGAGCTGGCCCTGCCCAATCATGCAAGGGTGGGGGTGGTGCAGTTGGCTGCCTTGGGATACAGGGCACAGGGGACCCACCACCACCACCGCTGCTCCCACAGCCATTCCTGCTGCCACCACTCACGCCTCCCCCCTGCAGCTGGCATGATGGCAGCCGCTGCTCCAGATGGCCCACCACTGTCATCAATTATATGGCAATGAATTTTAAAATCTAGGGGAACTAGATAATTTCCTGGCAAAATATAACTTATATGGTAGAGAGATGCTATTTCATTTTCTCACTCTTTCTTCTTACAGGCACTGAGGCGCCTCATTATTAGGCTAAGACCATGAGGAAGGGATCTGGTGAAAGATGTGAGAATATACAAGTGATACAGGGTACTTTCAGGGCCTAGGACCTAAACATAGCCTGCTCATCCCTTTAGCCCTTTTTAATGATGATTTTAGAATATTCCGGATAGCATAGCTATAAGTTGAAGGATGGCTCTTTGACGACCCATCTCAGACTGTGATGTGAACTAGAAATAAATTTTTACTGTGTTAAGCTTCTGAGATTGCATGTTTTGTTACTTCAGCTTAGCATAACCCATCCGGACTAATGCATCTACAGCATTTGACCACAAAGAAAAAGAAACTTGACTAAAAAACAAAAACAAAAACAAAACCTTTATAAGCATTTGGAAAGATGACAAAACTTAACCATTTAAAAAGCATCAGGCCCATATTGATTTTAAACTGATAGTGATGTTGGAAGAATAGATAATACTTATTTTAATGATGCCAACTCATAGGGGTGGAAAGGAAATCTCCCTAGCTCATTTTATAAAATCAATATAGCCTTAATACCAACATCCAATACAGCTAGTAGAGCAACAAGAACAAAAGCTATGTAGGCCAAATTTACTAACAGATATATATGCAAATTTTCTAAATAAATTATTAACAAATAGAACAGCAGTACATCAAAAGAAGGCTACACAATCAGGTAGGTGGTTCCAGGAATGTGTGAATGATTCAAAACTAGGAATTCTTTCAGTCTAATGACTACATCAATAAACTAAAGGAGAAGAGCCATGAATATATCATAGATACCAAAAGTGTTGTGATAAAAAATTCTCTTAATGCTAAATGTAAAGTAGAAAACAAAGGAAATTACTGAAATATGATAAAGGCCATTCACCCAAACAAACATGATCACCATATTAATAACGAACTATGAATGCTGATGGAAAAATATGGGAACAATGTAGGAATAATCTTAATCAAAAGGCTGGTTCTTCCATAATCAACAGATATTCTAAAAGCTCAAAATCTTAACTAAAAACAATATTCTTAATGTGGTACTCTTCTAGACAAAGACTGTGAGTACTTTATATATAGTAAATGCAGGACTTTGACAGCTTTAAAATACAAGTTATTAGTATCCCATTCAAATTGTCTTTGTCAAATTTTGTAACTCAGAAGATCCATCTTTCCCTTCTCCTCCCCTTGAAACCTTAATGCATTTATCTTATATCACATGAAACTGCTGTTGTGTCAGACATGGTTCCCTGATATATGCAAAAGCATCATTTTCATATTTCAGCTTCACTGAGAAATCCAAAACAGTTTAATACACTAATAGCTAAAATAAAGACAGAGCCACTTCCAGATATGTGAGGGATTGAAAAGACTGGCAGAAATAGAAACAATTTAAGTAAATTATTTTATTGTTTTTTATTGTTATAGATATTTCTAGCTGTTGGATCTCTTATGTTAATATTTTACTTATTATTATTTATTTAGTTTTTAGAGTCAGGGTCTCACTCTGTCACCCAGGCTGGAGTGCAGTGGTGTGATCATAGCTCACTACAGCCTCAAACTCCTGGGCAGCATACCTTCTTACTTGGCCTCCTAAATCCCTGGGATAATGGGTCTGAATCACCACACCCAGCCCCTAAGAATGTACTTAAATCAATGGTCTCCGTGACTATTTTAGTGAATTCTACTAGGAGATAAAGAGAATTTTGTGAGCCAAACGCAACCTGTACAACAGGAGTTATTTATTATACATTCATATTCCTAGATGAGTCTAAGATATTTAATTATGGACCTATAAACATTTTCACAGAATTATAAAATAATATAGAATATTTGACCTAAAAGGGAATGGAGATAGCATATTCAATATTTTCCTAATAACAGTAGTAATAAACATCAAATCTGCTTTCTTTTTCTTCAGAGTAAAATATCTTAGAGTAATCCTCAGGCCTTCAGTGAGCCAGAAACCTGGGGCTTTCACCATAGTGATCATAGAACACTCACCAGAAGGTTTTCAGGAATGCTCCGTCATATCTGGATCTCAGTGGTAGAGATATTTAATCTTAAACTGATACCATCACAACCCACACAGAAATGAGAAAAACTAAAATCACCTATAATAAGAACAAATAACATTCTGATTTATTTTCTTTGGTCATTTTCTGGACATATATACATATATGTGTAATGTGAGTTTCTTCAAGTCATCCCATCTGGAGTTAAACACAGGGTCACTTCGATAGTGTCACCTCTGTTTTACTGGCTTGTAAAAATGCAGGACCTTAGTCCCCTGGAAAATCTTGCCCTGCTCCCAACATGTTTCTGTGGTTTCTAGAGAGTAATGTACAGGTGCCCAGGCACTAGCCCAGGCGGATCCCACATGGCAGGCCCCTGGCTGCTTTTTACAATCAAGAATGGCCCTCACACACTGAAGCGTTCAAGGTTCCAAGCTGGGCACAGGCCAACAGAAAGGCAGCAAAGAAAGCCCTCCTTCACATCTGTGTTACATTCCGCTGTGGCACACCAAAACACGGTGGTGCTCTGATGTGTTGCAAGGCTTTTGGTTTAAGCAGCTCTTCCTGCCTTTGCATACCGTCCTCTGTCTCCCAAGACCAGCTCCTATCCTAGATCCCAGAGGTTGAGCCCAGGCAGATGCAGGATTCAGACACCCCTGGACTAGAATTAGGGTAGTCTCTCATCCCAGGGCCTAGTCTTACAGTCACACTGTTTTCTACAACTCCCTTTTTGCTTAGAATGAGTTATTTTCTAGGAGGTTCCTTCATTCCCCCAAGCAAACTGAGAAAAGCCCGGAAGGCCACCTACCAGTTATTTAGGCCTGCCCAGACTTGCTTACATCTCAGAAGGCAGCACACAATTTCAAACTGAGACAGCCCTGCCACCACACTCACGCTCAGATGCTGTTTATTGTTTACAAAGATGGAATCATGCTATACGCACAGTCTTTATCTTGCTTTTTGAAATTTAATAATATGTCAAGCATATTTTCCATGTCATTAGAAACATGACTCTTTAATTCCAACACAGAATTCTGTTTTATGAACATACCATCATACATGTATTAACTACATTCTAGTGTTAGACACTGAAGTTTCCAATTTTCCTGTAAAACAGAATTGCAATGAACAAACTTGAATATAAATCTTGTGATTCTCTCTGGTTATTTCTATGGAATAACTACCTAGGAATGGAATTACTTTGCTTTGTACATCAGGTTGCCTTCCAGAATGTTAGAAAATAATTTTTATTTCCAGCAGTGTGTAAGGATATCTAATTCACTATGCCTTAGCCAGCACTGATTATTATAATGTTTTAATCGTTTCCAATCTGCTGGGAAAAAAAACAACATGGAATCTTATCTAAATTTGTATTCCTTTTAGCTAAAATTCCTAATAGCTAATGGTTAGCTTTATTTTTTTCTTTTATTAAAAAACATGTTTTTAGGCTGGGCACAGTGGCTTATGCCTGTAATCCCAGCACTTTGGGAGGTCAAGGCAGGCTGATACCTCGAGGTCAGGAGTTCGAGACCTGCCTGGCCAACATGGTGAAACCCTGTCTCTACTAAAAGTACAAAAAAGTTAGCTGGGCCTGGTGGCACATGACTATAATCCCAGCTACTTGGGAGGCTGAGGCATGAGAATAACTTGAACCCGGGAGGCTGAGGTTGCAGTGAGCTGAGATCGCACCATTGCACTCCAGCCTGGGTGACAGCATGAGATTCTGTCTCCAAAACAAACAAACAAACAAACAAACAAAAAAACAGAAACAAACATGTTTTTCTATTTTTGAAAAAAAATTGGAGACAGAATAGTTTAAAAATATCTTTTCATATAAAGGAATAACAAAGATGCACAAAATAAAATAAAAAATAATATAACAACCACCACTTTATGTTTTGCCCAACATAAGAAATAAAAAAATTAGCAGTAGAGTTGATGTCCCTAAGGACCCCTCCTTGATCACATTCCTCTCCTCTCCCCCTTGGCAGGTAGGCTTTACACACACACACACACACACACACACACACGCACACACACAGAGAACACACTTCATGCATTCATGTATCTATGTAAACATATTGAATTGTTTATTCATCATCCTACACAGTATTACGCTTTTTGTTTTCCTTCTGTTATGGAAGATTTTGAACACTACACAAAAGTTGACAGAATATCGAGCCCATCATACATATTTAACAATTATCAACTCATGGACAATCTTCCTTTAGTTTTACCTCTAATCCACCAACCCCACCCCTGTATTATGTGGAAGCAGAACCCAGATATCATACCATTTCATCTGTAAATGACTGCGAATGTATCTTTAAAAATTAAGGATGCTTTTAAACACATCTACAGTACCATGATCATACTTGAAAAGATTAGCAATAATTCTTGTTTTCAGCAGATATCGTGTTAAAATTTCCAGTTGTCTTATACTTCTAATTTTTTTTTTGCAGTTTGTTTCTTGGAATCAAGATCCATATCAGGTCCACACACTGTGATTGGCTTTGTATTCTTTTATTTATTTTTATAATGGTATTTTCATCCTTCTTATTAGTTTTTAAGAATTGTTTATATAGTATATATATTTCCCTGCTACATTGTTAAAAATGCTATTGTAGTATTTGCCTTTATATTTTAAGTTTTTTATTTATAGAAGTTATTTTAAAAATTTTGATAACTCGATTTTCCCTTTTCAGATGTTTCTTGCGATGTAAGAAATTAAAAAACTAACATTAGAGTTGATGTCGCCAAGGACCCCTCCTTGATCACATTACTCTCCACTCCCCCACGAGAGGTAAGCTTTACACACACACACACACACACACACACACTTCATGCATTCATGTATTTATGTAAACATATTGTTTTGAATTGTGTATTCATTGCCCTAAACAGAAAGACCTTTCTTATGCCATATCAGATATTCATCTATGCTTTATATTAATACTTAAATAGTTTTACTCTCACATTTAACTCTTTAAATATCTAGAACTTAAAATTGTATGTTATAAATTAGTGCTCCAACAGAATTGTTTCCTAAATAGCTTCTTTGCAGGGACACCTTCAATTTTCAGATGAGGAAACTAAATCTCAGAGACTTTCTTTTACGCAGCCAAAGAAAGCCTAGAATTTAAACCTTCTACATCTTAAGCCAAGCTTATTACTTTTATCTCCTCTCTGTTTTCTTTCCAAACCATAAGGAAATGGTTGTGAATCTAGACAATCATCTGAAGAATTTTTGAAGCTACAGTGATCTCAAAAACCACTTGTTGAGGGTGAATCTCAAATACTCCTGCCTGAAAGCAAAGACTTTTTTAGAATAAGCATACAGCTTTTATCCAAAGGAAACCAAAGGAATATTACTATGTTCTAGATCAGTGTTCATAACAGAGCCAAATATAATACATACACTTTTTTTCTTGTAAACTCTATTTTAGTCTTCAGTAAAACAGAACAAAAGTCTCTCAAAAATCTGGTTAATAATAACTACAATAGTCTTTGCTTATACACAGTTTCTCTTTCCATGGTTTCAGTCACCCAAGGTCAACCATGGTCCGAAAATAGGTGAGTACAGTACAATAAGAGATTTTGAGATAGAGAGAGAGAGACCACATTCATGTGACTTTAATTACAGTTGTATTAGTCTGTTCTCATGCTGCTCATAAAGACATACCGGAGACTGGGTAATTCATAAACAAAAGAGGTTTAATTGACTCGCAGTTCCACGTGGCTGGGGAGGCCTCACAATTACGGTGAAAGGCAAAGGAAGAGCAAAGGCATGTCTTATATGGCAGCAGGCAATAGAGCTTGTGCAGGAGAACTCCCCTTTATAAAACCATCAGATCTCTTGAGACGTATTCACTATCACAAGAACAGCATGGGAAAGACCCACCCCTATGTTTCAATTACCTCCCACTGGTCCTTCCCACAATGTGTGGGAATTATGGGAGCTACAATTCAAGATGAGATTTGGGTGGGGACACAGAAAAACCATGTCAACAAGATATTGTTATAATTGTTTTATTTTATCATTAGTTATTGTTGTTAATGTCTTACTGTGCCTAATTTATAAATTAAAACTTATCATAGGTATGAACAGTAAAAACCACAGGATACATAGAGTTCAGTGTTATCCACAGTTTTGGCATCAATTAAGGGTCCTGGAACATTTCCCCCTAAATAAGCAGGGACTGCTGTAACCCTAATTCAGTGCTTACAATGTGCCAAGTACCATTCTGCAGGCTTTACATGCACTAATTCACCAAAGCCTCTTAGCAACTCTGTGATGTAAATTTTTTGTTTTAAATCTCCAATTTTATGCATGAGGCAACTGAGGCATAGAGGAAAAGTAACTTACACACTACTTATAAACAGACTGCAATCAGTAGAGCTAGGATTTGAGCTTTGTTTTAATTTTGTACAATGTGCTTTTTATAATACTTGCAATGTGTGGCCACAAGGCAGTGGTCACAGGTGCTAATCTGGCAGAAGTAGATTTTGGGGAAATCTTGAGACTTCTGCTCCTGGCAGATGTATTTCATGGTGCCATGACAAGGGGACATATTCTGATTTCACACTCTATGTCCTCATGCCTGATGAACTTATGCCACTCTCTTAGAATTAAACATAAAAAAATTCAAGGACATCATACGACAACCTCTACAGAAAGCAGATCTCTAAAAAAACCAACCAGAATTTAGAAATCATTAGCTACAAAGTAGGTGAATAATGAGAGCAAAAGTGAGGGAAAGGGAGAAGTGAGTGAGATCCAGTGACACATAAAGCTGACAGTTTTATTATGACCCTAAGGGACAAAGATTATTATAGGCAATGAAATATATATATTGGTTTACGGTTTGAATTTTATTTTGATCAAAAGCAGATATTTTCTCAGGCAATCCTCAGCCACAGCCTTCTTGGCTGCAAAACCAAATGGCTGGCTACTCATGTACTGTTGAATGTCTGAGTATATTTAGACAACTGAGTGCAACTGCAAAAATGTCACAAGTCAGCCTTTTTTGCTCCTGTATCAGCAGAAGAAATAAGCTTACATAATGAGCCTGTGAGATCGATAGGAAGAACCCAAGTTATAATGCCGCAGCCCAAAGCCCCATTTTGCATCATTCCTCTACTGAGCTGGTAAACTAAAAAACAAAAACAAAAACAGAGAGGATTACTTATCAAAAGGAGGGATAAAGCAGTTATACTTCATGTAATGCTTTTTAGAACTTTCTAATCATGAATGCCAAGTGGCGCCCACTGAATTTCAAGCTTGCACTAAGTTGCATATTTCAGAAGGGTCCCTCTTCCCTCCAAAGCCTGTGGCTGAATAATATGGGGAGGCTCTGGCAGCCAACAGCCCCAGAAACTGTGATGCATCAATTTCCAACCTGCCATTTCAAACCGAAGTAGCAAAGCAGTTTCAACACTGGTTCCTCCATGAACTTGCAGAAACATGCAGTCGCTTATAGCCAGATGTAAGGTGAAGGAGTGGGAAGTGGGAGGGATAGGGCATCAGATAGCATCTTATTCATCTTAAAGGAGTGTTCTGGGAAACTTGAGGAAGCCACTTAACTTTTCTGGGTCTTGGCTCCTTACATTCAAAGCAAGATAGTTTAACGAAAATTAGTTCGTGTCTGTTCTTACTGATATAGAATAATCAAAGGAATAAAAGAGTAAATTTCCTAGTACATAATGTCAAGCTTTTGTGTTCTGGGTTTGTTGCCCAAAGAGAAAGAAACAGCTTTGTGTGTATTTTAAAATCCTTCTTGAATATATCCTCACTCAGGTCTTTGTTGAGAGGTAGTTGGTTCTGCCTAAGGTGTCAGAGTTGAGGTCGGTGGAAAAGGATAGATTCTAATGCTTGGATATGAAGGTGTTGGTTGGGGCATGACTCAACCTTGGGGAAGAGCTGGATTCTCAGAGCCTGAGAAGGTAGAAAAGTAGTGAGACCCCAAAGTGACACAAATTAGAACTCTGCCATCACATGGCCTCAGGATGGAGCAGGACCTCTGGCGAGGCAGCATGTGGAGTCCTGGGACTGAACCTTAAGGGCTGCTGCTTTGACGACCAAAGCAAGCATCACAGGGGCAAGGACTTACCAAAGAGGGTGAGGATGTTGAGAGCAGCAGAGTGGTCCAACTTTGAATGCAACACGTGGCCAGTGAAGAGCTCAAAAGGGAATGTATTAATCAGGGTTCCCCAGAGAAGCAGAACCAAAGCAGAGAGATTTATTTTAAGGAATTAGCTCACATGATTGTAGGGGGCTGGTAAGTTTGAAATTTGGAGAGCAGGCCCACTGCCTGGAAATTTATGGAAGAGTTGGTATTGCAATCTTGAGTCTGCAACCTGAAGGCTGGAAACTCAGGCGGAATTTCTATGTTGCAGTCTTGAGGCAGAATTGCTTCTTTGGGAAGTCTCAGCTTTTGCAATTAAGGCCTTCAATTAGATGAGGCCTCCCTATATTCTGAGGAGCAATTTGTTATATTCAGTCTACTGATAAATGCTAATATCTAAAAAATATCTTCCCAGCAATATCTACACTGGTGCTTGGCTGAACAACTGGACACCATAGCCTAGCTGAAGTGACAAATTAAACATCCCAGGGACCTTGATAGCAGGCCAGAAGATCACTCCCAGAGTTCTCTACACTGTGTATGACCCTGGGTTTTTACAGGGCTCAAGGAAAGGCCCACCTTTCCAAATGAGGAAGAACAGATTTTCAACAATCCTAAGAGGTGAGGGCCTAGCAAGATTTGATTTGACTCAGAAAAGTTAAGAAACATTATTTTTTCTTATGTTCAAGGGTCATGGAGCAAATTCACACCACTGTACATATAAAAGCAGACTAAAAGATCTTCAAAGTAATTTCAATCTGTAGCATTCCATGATTTCATGATACGATGCTATTCTGACAAGCCCAATCTGAGACACTGTGGCAGGTTGCCCTGTTTTCTATAGAAGTATTTTCTGGCTAAACTGAAATTGCATATCCTATCTTTTAAAATAGTTGATCATTTTTTTTTCATGTACAAACCATTCTAAATAGAAACTGGTGAATGCCAATTTAAAAATTTTATTGGTAACTATTTACTTAATATAAGGTAGATATATTTAATTTTATCGGGACCTACAACCTGAAAACATCCCAGATTCCATAGAAATGACTGTATATAACAATTAACATTTTATTCATAACATAAGCCTTTTCAGGAACAAGCTCAGTAGGGCCTTATCTATATTATAATAAGTGTTTTGGTAAATAATTCTATGGTAATAATCACCTTCATGTTAATCTGTAGAAGAAAAAAATTAAAGCACAAACTCCTAACAAAAAAACTATGTCCAGAGTTTACCAGAAAGTAAGAAAACAAAAATTACAATAAAAGCAAACAAAAATATTTTTGCTATGTCCAGCCCATCGTTCACATTAGACATATAAGCAGCATAATCACTGGCAAGAAAAATAACATCTATTTACCTGTGGTAAGCTGTTGGTGGACAAATGGATTATATCAAAGTGTATTTTAGAAAGGTGTTCTGTGATTACCACAATTTAGCTATTAGGTTCACAGATCCATGGTTACTGTGTTGCTAGAACAAAATCGAAAAGGGCCAGTTTACTCTTCTCTGGAAAGAAACAGTCTTATTCTAGGAAACCAGTGGCTTACCAATTCATTATTCTCCCTAACTCAGATGTTAAATTTTTAAAACAACAAACAAATGAGCTCTATACACCCACCCTCTCATACCCACACTCACCCACCCACACACCCACACAGAGTCTAACCACCATCTTTTCCTTTGCAAAGGCATTAAAGGCCAGAAATGCTAATAAAGTTTACAACATAATCAGAGAGGAGATATGAGCTTCAGTTTATTATTCTAATAAGGGACACAATAGCAGGGAAAGAAGGGATGGAGCTATTTGAGCTGATGTCCTGAAGTGCTAATGTAGGAAGTTGATGTTTATGTTAGTTATTCAGCAGAGTGATGATTTCTGCCATTGTCAGCTAAAGTCAGACTTCTTTTCACTTGTCTTTGTTTAAGTGATGATTGGAAGAAAGGCATTAATAAAGCAAATAGCCCAAGAAAGTCAGTGGAAAGAGCACCCGAGGAGGAGTCACATGGGTCCTGGCTCTGGTCCTGTCACTAGCTAAACTTGCACCAAACCCTCCAGAGATCGTGTTAGTGATTTTCTCCATTTTTGGTTTGTGCATGAAATAATCGATCCACTTCTCCATTTAACCAGTATTTATGGAATGCTTAGTTTGTTTGAGGCAACGTTGTGCACGAGGGATACAAATGACACACGAGACGGATGCAGTCCTTGTTGTCACCGCGACTTAACAATTACACAGGTTTAACTGTTAAGAAAGGAAGTACACAGTGAAATGAGAACACAACAAGGGTTCCTAATTCAGTCTTTATTTTGATCATAACTTATTTGGACTATCCTCTTTAGTTCGGTGTAAACAAACTCTTAAAAGACAGACTAAAAGTTGTGGAAGAGTGCACATGTATACACCCTTTCTCACTTGCAAACCCTTAAGGAAATGGCAGAAATGCTTTTATTTATTTGTTTCTCAAGAGTAAATCTATATCAGTGCTAGAAAATGAGAAAGAATGCCCAGAAAATGAAATTTGCTGGGAAGATAAATAGAAACCAAATGAAATCAGGTTGACGAAGAAACGAGGTTAGAGAAAACCTCAGGCTAAAACACGGGTAAGAGAAAATTTTACAGTGTTGAAGGAATTTCAGTGATTATCCGAGCTCAGAGTCAACACATTCTTGAAATAGCTAGGCCAGTTGGGCACCTTATTCCTTTCTCCCTTTCCACTTAAGCTGAGTGGCGGGGATTAGCAGTGTTTGCCCCTGGATAAAATCAGAAAAACCCTCTCTGGAGGGTGAATAATCTGCCATGGGAGGCCGAGGTCCCCTCAGAGAATTATCCTGCCCTGGAGAAGCTGAGCAGAGCTGGGGATGACTCCCCTGGAACTCCACCACAGATACAGAGGGGAAAAAAAAAGGAAACATATGATCAATAATGCCAATGGGCTACACCCCAGATTAAAGCCCTCTCGATTTTGGTAACTGGACAGGGGAGGTCACCAGCCTGCCTGACTTCTTCCTGCTCAGAATGGAACTTGGCGGTCAGAATGCCCTGCCGACTTTATATAGCACACAATTAGGTCTTGCTTTGGAGAAGGGACTACTTGGGGAAGCAAAGCAACACAGTTCAGAGGAGACCTTATCCACATGGATAAGGTCAACTAATCTTTGTCATGTCCAATTAAGAAAAAAGTAAAAGAACAACAACAAAAAATGTGAAAAGAGAAAATTACCAGCATAAGAAATGAGTAAGGAAGACTATTTTATATAAAAAATTTGAAAATCTAGATAAAAGGGAAGGATTTCTAAAAAATACAAATGATTGTGTTTGAATGAAGCAGAAATAGAAAACCTGAATAGATCAATAACTACCAAAGAGCCTGGAAGATAGCCAAAGATCAATCTCAGAAAGGCACCAGTCCCAGATGGTTTTACAGGTGAGTTTTCCAACATGTGGGAATTTTTCCTATAGGAAACTGGAAGGAAATTGGAAAGACATCCACAAAAGACACCCTGTGGAACTTCACTGGAAGATATTTAAACTCATCCAGAAGAAAAACATGTGAGAACTTCAGGAAAAGTGAAAAAAAAAAAAGAAAAACCACATATTAAAACATATATCAAGTTAAGATAGCTGAAACAGTATAGCACTGTCATAAGAGTAGTGATAGATAAGTAGAAAATAAGATCTGGAAGCAGATCAATTATATATGAGAATTTAATTTATAAGAAAGGTAGATTTTCAAATTGCTGGGTAAATATTAGTCATTTACATAAATAAGACAATTGGCTATTTAGAGTAAAATAGCTTCCAATTTACAATACGAACATACACAAATAATTCTAGATAGTTTTAAAAGCTGGACATTTAGAAAATATATCAACTTATTTACAAATTAGACAATACATTATAAAATTGGTGTGGTAAAAAACTTTGTAAACATTACAGAACATCTAGAAACCATAAGGAAAAAGACTAATAGTGTTGACTGCTTAAACAATTAAAACTTCATATGATGAAACACCATGAACAAAGTTAAAACTGGGAAATATTTGCAAAATATATGACAGATCAACAAATTATTCCTACAAATTGATTTTTTAAAAATAGAGTAAAAACTTCAAGAGAAAAAAAGAACATATTAATATATCAGTAGGCAATTCAAAGAAGAAAAAATATACATGACCAACGAATATATAAAGAAATGCCCATTCTCACTAATTATCAGGAAACACAAATTATAACAAAAGAAAGTTCAGCTATATATTTTTAACTCTTTAGACTGGCAAAAATTAAAAAGGATTGCTGATACCCAAGACTGGCAAAGTTGTGTGGAAATGTGCACTTTCATACACTATTGGCAGAAATGAAATGTTTACAGCCTTTTCTGGAGTATCCTTTTGTAATATTTTTGTTTCTTTGATGTAGAAAAATATCCTCATATGGCTATGAAGAAATATATACAAATAGTTTCATCATCACGATATTTTTAATAGTGAAAAATGGAAATGATAAATATCGACCAATGAAGGAATAGTTAAATTATGAAACATCTATGATATGGAATGCTTTGCAGAACTTTATAAGTTGTCTACAGATACTGACATGAAACCATCTTCAACACAGATCTGTAAATTTCTAATAAACAGAGTTCTATTTAATCTCTACACTGTGATCCCAATTATGTTAAAAAATCCCCAACTGTATATTTTTACATGGATGTGTGTATTTAAATACGTAGAAAAAAAATCCAGAATACACATCAAACTGTTAATAGCAATTTGGGGAAAGTAAGTTGAATTCTTGTAGAAGGAGGATGTTGAAAGAGGATTTTGTTTTTTCCTCTGGACATGTATTTTAAGTACTGTTTTAAAGCTATGTATTGTTAAATAACGAGTATATATTTATACATTAATTCAAGTTCCAGAGCAATATATATAAACCACAGTCCTAATAAGGTAAAAAATGATAGTCCAGGTGTGTGAAAGAGAACTTTGACTTTTTCATCCATATGATCTGTATTCCTAGATTTTAACAATAAAAATGCATTCATGTATTACTTGTATACATCTAAAAATTAATTCATTAAAAGTATGTAACTCTAATATGTATGACATTTTAAGCATCAAAACAAAAACAAATTGCAGAACAACACCTACACTAAGATCCCCCAAAGAAAAATTTGGTCTGGAAGTTTATACACAAGATACAAGGAAAATTTATTCAGCTACTATTAATACAATTCTCAAAAATTAAAAAATAGTAAAAGGAAAATCATACTTTGTATGAATTCAGAACCTACGGTTCAGCCACATGATGACAGCAGAAAAAATCAGGAGCGTCATACCATCTCCTGCCTTCAATAATCAGTGGGAAATCAGAGCACTGAGGCTTTTACAAGGTGACTCTGCTCCCTGGTCACAGCCGATGGGCACAAAATTGGGCACCTGAGTCAAGCTGAGACAATTACCTCGTGAACGGGAGCGAGGGAGAATCCATTC
Source organism: Homo sapiens (assembly GCF_000001405.40). Classification (NCBI taxonomy): domain Eukaryota; kingdom Metazoa; phylum Chordata; class Mammalia; order Primates; family Hominidae; genus Homo; species Homo sapiens. Next base: position 129,944,145 of record NC_000006.12, on the reverse strand, counting down.
CTGGATGTACAGGGCGTGAATCTTCCCGTGAGTCCCAGACCTGTGGGCAGCCATCTTCCCTTGCCCTATGGACCCAGGAGCAGAGAAGGCGCTCTCTAGGCAGAGGAACAACCACACATCAAGGGATAGAGAGCGGCTGACATGAGACTTCTGGGGGAAAAAAAGGACTTCCCATTTTCCCAAATCTTTCCATTCCTAGTTCCCACAGTTCCTGGTCCCCAGCTGCGTTTCTCCTAATGGATGGAGGCCTTCTTCAACTTAGTGTAAATTTATCTTCCTTGCTGCTAGTTGCAACCAAAAGGCAAAGTCAGCATTTCCCTGGCTGACCATGAGGTTACATTCCAGTAAATTGGGTCTGTCAGATTTTACGGTCCCTGTGCTATTAAATGGACCATGATAGGACAGTTATAATCTGTGTGTGTCTGGTATTTGACACTGTTTCAAAGTTAAAATTATGGAAATCAGATGTATTTAATAACAAAGAAGTCCTCGTGTAAGGCATTTTCTCTCCCTAAATTCTCTTTCACAAGTTAGGTTGTTTAGGTTGGTTGTGTTCCTACAACATTTCTCAATTACTGTATTTTAGACATAGGAAATGTGTAGTGAGGGCTAATTAGTCTAAAACATCCTTAGTCAATTTTGAATGCTTATAGAGATCACCTGATAAAATCAGTAAAAAAAAAATGGACATAAAGAAATTTAACACCATTTTAGTCATTATTTTTTGAGGGCATGGAGTATGACTTCGCAACTCCAAGTATTAGATTTATTGTGGACAAGACTAAAAAACAAAAATGACTGAAGCAGGAAGTATATGGTTACATTGTAGAGACTATCATGAATCTACCATCTATAAAGCAAATTTTAAAAATAACTGATATGGGAAGAAGTAACAAATGAAGGCAACAAAACTAAATTGATACTCTGAACCAAATTTTGTTTTTAAAACTTATAAATAAAACAACATACAAAAATGATTAAAACAAAGATTAGTGGTTCTCATCTCAGGCTTAATTATTCTTTTGCTATTTTTTACAATTTATTTTACAGAAAGCATTTTTACTTTTATAATCAGAAATTGGTTATAAAAAATTAATGCAAAATTTAAAAAATATGATTTCTAAGGAGATTTCTGCATCCCTTATCAATGGAATTAATGTGTAACTTTCACACAACTACAGACATGTTTTTATTTATGAGTTATGATTTAAATATTGAAAGTTATCTGTTTTATATTCTGTTAGATGTCTTGTTACCATGGGAACATTCAGGTTAATAGTAATGTTACTGGAAAATAATCTGTACTTAATCCATATTTAAGATTCATTTTTAAAGAAGATTGACATAGTATTTCAAATATTTCAGCACACTTTTTGATTCTATAGAATGCAAAGTATTATTATTAAAATTGAGTAATTATTGGTATTTTATTTTCCAAAAGCTGTAGCATACCAAGTGAATGTTTAATACTTAAGTGGTCAGCAGTTTTTTGTATGTTTATATTTGCAGTGTAACTGTGTGTTTCAGAAGAAACCAAATCGTTTCTCTGTATTTAATTCTGATTAAAGTGATTTCAAAAAACAAAGAGAAAAAATCATTTTTCTGAACTATTTAATTCAAATCAATGTGATTTAGAAAAATATCTGAGGGAAAACCATACTGTTTCGGGAGCCAGATGTATTTTGCTGTTGCTGAGTGGAAGGAAAAAAGATTGTACCATGTACTAGATTGACTATGTCCTCTCCAAAATGATGGGGACAACATGCTAAAGCATACAGTAGGTGCTCAGTAAAGGTTGGATAGTGAGCAACCTGAAATACCTGTATGTTGTGGCCATCGTCCCATTCAGTTTCTCATTCCTGTCTCTGTGTTCATTGTCCTTTCTGCCTGGAATACCTTCTTCCTCCCTGTTGCCCCTTCTCCAAGGCACCCCCATCTCTCCAATCCCCAGGCCATGTCCCTTCCCACAGGAAGCTTTCTCCTCCTGGAGTTTTCCTCCTGTAAAAGCTTCTGCTTACTTTTTCCCTGATGCTTAGTTGGTGGGATAATTTTATTTTATTATTATTATTTTTAACTATTAAGTTCAGGGGCACAGATGCAGGATGTGCAGGCTTGTTACATAGATAAAGATGTGTCGTGGGAGTTGGCTGTACAGATTATTTCGTGGTGTGATCATTTTAATACGGGTATTTCGAAGCTTCAAGGGACTGTGGATACAAAGGGGAACCCATTATGAGATTCCTGTCCCATTATGCCCAGAGATGTCTACAGAGCATCTCACATGGGCTCCAAGTACATGACATTTTGATGGGGCTGTTTTGACAGTCATTTTCATACCACGATTTTGAGGCAGCCACTAAGATGCAGCTGTTTTGACTTCAGAGACTTGGAAATGGTCACTTTGGCAAAGCATTTCCCAAGGCAGGGACATTTTGATGAGACATTTGAATACAGCCTTATTCCAGTTTATTCTTTTTCTTTTAACAATTTGTATTGCTAGGTAAGGGGAAAATGAACTCCTTTGCCCTGCTTTTGAGAAAAACTCAACCTATTATTTTTACCTTCACGGATAGAGTGGTAGTCTAAGAGGGAAGGGGCTTAGAGATGAGAGGAGAACTAGGCTGGAGCCTTTGGCAGAAGCACAGTCATGAAATCAGCTTACTACACTCACTCATCTCAGAAAAGGCCATCAGTCATTCCAAGCAATACATCTGCTCATGTCTGAGAGTTCACCTGCATCTTCAGTGAAACACCTCAAGTTTTCTCATCTATGCCTTAAAGACACTGAGAAGGTGACTATTTGGTCCACCTGTATGATCCCTTGGTCTTAAATCTGGACTGCATAGTAAGGCTCAATTAAATTTCTGACATGTCTCTCTCACGTCAACAATATTCTTAAACTATGATTACTATTTTGAAGCTTTTTTTTAAAATAAAGCACTGTTATTTTCTTAGCAGTTAACCCAATTCTATCAAATTATGAGAGATTTTTATTTTCAGTTTATGAAAGTAATACAGACCTATAAACATTTAAACCATGCTCAATGAAGTGAAAAACATAAATCTCTCATAATCATGGTGTACCTAGAAAGCAGAGAAAGGTTCAGGGATGTCATATGCACTGCTTGGGAAAACAAATCAATAACTAACAAAGCAATGCTTACACACTTTTGACAAGGCCATCAAAGCGTCCCCCACACTGAAATAACCTTTAAGCTGTATCAACACACCCAGCATCATGAACAGTTCCCAGAGAGTATCTTCTAGGTTACACTTATTTTCTTGATCCATGCCATCCGTACCCTGATTCCTCCCAACATCTCTCCCTCTTTGTCACTATCCTTGGGCTTCTGAAGTTTCCAGAGAATGTCTCAGGGCCACCATTGTTCCAAATGATAATGGTATCCATTCTGAGATGTGTGGATTTCAGGGCTCCCGACCCCGTCACTCTCAAGGAGCGAGGCTAGATTCAATCTCCGACTCTAGGTCACCTGTTGCCACCTGACAGACCTAAGAAGCACTGTGTGCACCCCACACTCCCCTCTTCACTGATTCTACCTGTCTCATGAAGCCCTTTGGAAAAACAACTCCTTCTGCTTGTGCCTGCTGCTCCCCTCTCCTTAAAGCTCAAGTAGTGCAGACCATTATTAGAGCAGGAGGAAGGCTCTGGGGCATGCTGCCTGGGTTTACATCCTGGCTACAACACTTGGGGATGCATGATCTTAGTGAAATTATGTAAACTCTCTGTGCTTCTGTTTCCTTATCTGCAAAATGGAAATGAGAGTTACAATGCCTACTCCAGGCAACACAGAATCTGTCTCAGTGCACCAAGTGTTGTGACGAGCTGTTGTGAAGAATGAAGTATTAACTAAGAACACACAAAATATTCAGATCAGTGTCCAGATTTGGGCAAACACTTGATAAATGTTAATTGTTATTTAAAAAGAGAAGACAGAAAAAGAAAAACACTAGTGCCCAGAGACAAGACTGCAGGTTGTCTCAGTTCTCACCTACCCCGTTTGTTGTACACTTGTGCACAATACTTTATCTTTGGAGGCTATCTCATACAAACTCTTATATAACCAGACTTCAGGTCATATCCAGGTCTCATGCTCTCTTTCACTCAGCTAGGACCATCCTACTACGTTATTCAGTTTCTTTTTCCTTCTTCCCTGCGAATTGCTGAGGTGATGAATCTCTCTTTCCCACTCATGTTTTCTCAGCACCAGGATGGCAACAGACACACAGATTTTTAATAGGTGGATGAATGAATGAATGGATGGATGATGGCGGTGTTTATATTGAAACCCTGAGTGCTGTCTCAAAATACTTTCATTCAAGATGGCTTGGTTCCTGAATTATATTTAAATGAATTTCATTTTATGAAATTGTACTGAATCTAGAGTAAAATTAAAATAGAACATACAAGAGAATCTTCTTTTAAGTGGGAAATTGGAAGTAAAAATATAAGGAAGATAAAGAATAAAAACACACGTTTTCCACAGAAAGACTGAACACCAAATGAATAACTTTTTCCCTCTTTAGTGTTTTGTTTCAGCATCATTATCCCACCATTTAGAGGATACGATGACTTATGGTCTTAAAATGAAGCAGTATATCATTAAAGCTTTATTTTCATGAAGATATTTTCTTCTAATTAAATTCAATACCATCCGGGGGAAGAATAGCTTATTCAACACAATACATAGAAATGCTTTTCCATGTCATAAAGAGCTCAAATAAAGGGTTCATGTTTTACTGTGAATCAAGGAAAAGCACACTCTGGTTTTACAGGCTTCTTTTGGCCAAGCATTTTCTCTTAAATGAGCAGTTTGGGCTTTATTTTACCAGTGAAGAAGAAGCCTAAAACTGTGATTAATTTACCATGGCTCAGATAAAACAGTATCAGAGAGATGAAATCAGTTTCTACCAAAAAAAAAAAAAATGTGATAGTGACCACAATTTCTTTAACTACTGTCACTGAAGCCTTCCTAAGCAAAAACAAGCAGATAAAGTACAACAAAAACTTATCACAAAAAATCCCCCCCAAAACAAGAACAACAGCAACAACAACAACAACAGCAACAACAAAACAAACCCTGAGATGCATTTAAATGATTGATGGTAAACTTCACCATGTTCCAGGGGGCTCTGCAATTTATTCGGCAAACCTTTAGGAAACCTCTGGAATGTATCAAGCATTGAGCTAAGCCTTGGAAATGTAAAGATGAAGAGAACACACAGGTGTTGCTTGCAAGTGAATCAAAGTCTAATAATTTTGGCAGATTTCTTCTAGCAATGTGCTCCAATAAGAAGCCTAAAGGGAAACACCTGTATGCATATGTACACACAGCTCTGTTTATTCCCTTAGAGACACATATTTGTTGGCTGCTGATTTAGTGAAAAGGAATGTAGTGAGGAAAAGTGCGTAAATAATTCATATATTTTTCTCCAGAAAGCTTTTATCCGGAATTCATATTTGAGAGTGACAAACTTTACCATTAGTGGAGTAGTGGTGTTAACAGTAGCAATAATTGAAACAATAGTTAGCAAGAGTGCAAGAAGTCTTATTGACTAAACTATTCTTAAAAATTTCAAAGCTCTATTTAAAACAAGCTCAGTTTTAAGATGATCAGGACATGGAGAGGAAAGCGTTTATGTAAATACATACAGAGGGAGGATCCAAAGTCAACAAAAGTCACGCCTCGTGCCCACATCTTGGTTGGTTTCTAATACCATTCTCAAATGAAATGAACCAGAACGTGAATAAATAGCTGATTCTAAGACTGGGGCAGGAAATATACAAGATGAGCTTGGAGCATCTTGTAGTGTCAGGAAGTAAAGAAGTGCTTCAAAACCAAAACGATGGGAGTGTGTCAAAGGGAAAGGAGAAGTCAACCTCAAGGAACACCCAATGGCCCAAACTAGAACAATTTGAGCATCAAGATAGATAGTGTAGTAACGGATTGTAATCCAAAGTATAAAATAAATATTCATGAGTTCTTCCAATATAAATAGCTGAATAAATAAACAAATGTGGAAAAGAGACAAATATACGGAATTCTGGGTAACTTATGCTCATAGTTCCTACTTAAGGAAGTGAGTATAGCTCTCTACCTACCTCTTAAGTGTGGGTTTTGCATAGTGACTTCCTTCCAAAGGGTATTACAGGCAAAGTGGGAAAAAGAGTAACTTTCCAATGGAGAAATCTGGAAAACATTACGTTGGCCAGATGATCAAGGTTAACAGAAGATCATGGTTATTAATAGTAACAGGTCATGTTGACAGTATGAATACTTGATGTTCTGTGAAGAGAATGGTACGTTACCTCTGTTGTCTTCCTTCCAAGTAACCAGAACCCCAGTCCAATCATGAGAAAAACATCTCACAATCCCATATTGAGGAACGGTCAACAAAATACCTGACTAATACTCTTCAAAACTGCCAAAGCCTTCAAAAATAAGGAAAATCGGAGAAATTGTCACAGCCAAGAGGAACACAAGAAGACATAATGTCTAAATGTAATATGCCATCCTGGAACAGAAAAAGAACATTAGATTAAAATTAAGCAAATCTGAATAGAGTACAAATTTTAATTAATAATAATGTATCAATGTTTGTTATTTAGTTATGACAAATGAGCCATGGTAATGTTAGATGCTAACATAGAAAATTGGGTACGGGGTATATGGAAATTCATTTCTTTGCAAATTTTCTGTGAATCTAAAACTGTACTAAAATTAATAATTTACTAAAAAAACGAATCAAATATCTAAAAGCAGCAAGAGTTGATACAGTTATTTCAATAAACGACAATACGTATGTAAATATTAAATAAACAAAATTGATACTCTATTTTGATTCTACTTACTATCTCACTACTAGATTGTGTAATGTGCTTCAGTTTAGTGTAAATCCCAAATATTTTGAAGTCTAAACGATAATATAATATTAACAATAAAAGTTCTTGAGGTACTCTTGTGTCTTTTCACCCAACTCTGCGCTTACCCCACTCACTAAACTAATTTCAGGAACTTTAGGCATTTTGAAAAGTTTTTTTAACCATATGGCTATTAAAGATGTTGTATATTGTTGTTTAAAATATACTTTCTGATGTGAATAATTCTTCTATTATCATATTTTCCCCATTTTTAAATGTAGTTGGTTGTTACTCTGTGTTACAGAAACAATGTTAGATTTCAAAACTTCCCTGTCTATACAGTGTAGTCACATTTTATGCAAATTTCAAATAGTGAAAAATAAACATATTAATAAAGTCTCAGTTTATGCACCAAAGTTTAAATAATCTTAATTCCTCAAATTAAACATTGATGAATCATGTTTAAAAGCTGACGGATCCAATACATTTTAAATTGTTTACACTATTACCACGTGGTGGCGCCATGTCAGCTGGTGAATGCAAAGCCTTGGCAAACCTTGGATTCCTCCTAAATTGCCTTGAGGAACTCTGACCTCGTCGGAAGAGCCGTCTATGTCCTGACTCTATCCTCCATTTTACAGGAGAGATAACTGAAGTCCACAGAGTGAAATTATTCCCCCACTTCCACACAGTCTGTTACTGAGCCAGGAATAGAGTGTACTTCCTATCACTTGGCTCTGTTCTCTCTGTCTCTCTCACTTTCTCTATGTGTGTGTATAGATATATACACAATATATAGTATACACATATTACACATATATAGTATATGCTTATATATACTATACATTTATGTAATATATAAATATATATTTACCTCATATAAGATATATAAATAATATAAATAAATATCATAAATATATAATATATGATAGGTATCTCTAATATATAAAAAATATATTTATGTAATACATATACAAAATTATATATAATATAGATACATAAGTATATAAGCAAAAGAAGTACATATACATTCATATATTTAATTTCCACAACAACAAATTTTATGGAGTAAAATGTACCTCTTAATGTCACTTTAAAGTTCATGCATATACATATCCAAAATATATTTATAAAATCTTGACTAAGTACAATTTTCCTTCTTTAGGTCCCTGTAACTTTCTATGCTGTGATTTTTGCTTAGCAAAATTTTTGTTGATACAACAAAATTTAGGAGCCATTAGAAAAATGAGTTAGAATCACACAGTTTTACTTAGAGGTATTTTCCCAAAGTATTGTTAAATGAAAATATAAAAAGCAAAAAAAATTTGTATTAGCATAATTGCATGTTTATAAACCAAATAATGACAAAATTAAAATATCCTGCAGAGTATGTACATAAATGTACAAGTCGTATAGAGGCATTTGAATGCAGTAAAAGTATGGAATAATTAATGTAAAGTTTATAATATGAGTTATCTTTGTAGGGGGAACAGGGAAGCCACATGAGGGGAAAAGTAGGAGAGACTAAGGAGAAAACCACATAAAAAGTGGAAAAACATTGCACACATACAAAATGCCTATATGTGATCACATTTATATAAAGTTATATTTATGTAAATATATATAAAATATATAAATTTAAATAGTTGGTTTTAAAGGTACTATAAATAAGGACACAAGAAAAAAGAAAATCTAGAAAAACTATTGATGGTAAAAAATGATAGTTAAGGTAGCAGGTACCTAATCTCCTAAAATAAAAATCTTTCTACAAAGCAATTAAAAATAAGACAAAAAACAATAACCTAATAGAAAAAAATGAGCTAACACCACAGCAGGTAGTTTACATAAGGAAAAACACAAATGGCTTTTACACATCTGTGAAGATGTGTAGTCTTATTCATAATCAGGCATATGAAAACTAAATCTGTAAGAAATTTTGTTTCAAATGCATCCTATTGGCAAAAAATTAATATTTTCTAAAGCCAAGTTTGGCAAAACTGTGAAGCAAGAGGACTCTTCTATACTGTTGATGAAAGCATACATTGGAACAGTTACGTTTGAAAGCAACTTGGCAATATGTAGTAAAGCTGAAGAATCCAAACCCTGTGACCCAGCAGGTCCCAGCAGGTCTGCTCCTATGTCGATGAAGAGATGTTTACAATGATGTTCATAGTAGCATTGTCACAAAGAGCAAAAATTGGAAACAGCCTAAATGGACCATCAATAGTAGAATAAATAAATGGTTATATATTCATTCAATGGATTACTGAGCAGTAGAAAGTGAATGAATCTGAGCTGCATAAATATCATGAGTGAATTATCACAAAATAATGTCGAGGACAAAAAGCACACTGCAGGATGAATACTTGCAATATGACACTATATGAAATTTAAAAACATGCCAACTACTTATATGCACACACATATACACAAATATATGTAATTTGGGAGTAAATAAATGTGTTGCAAGATCTACATAAATACCTGAAAATGATAAATGTTAAATTCAAGGTAGCAAATACTTCTGAAATAACGAGATAGAGAAATTCAACTAGGGAAGGGTATACAGTGGCTTTCATCTGATTGGTAATGCAATTTTTTTTGACAAATAGTATATCTTATATTACTTATTTCATATTTATGATAGATTTATTGTGTTTATAATCATAACACTATATTAGTTATACTCATATTTTTGTTAATATTATTTTATAGTATTTTTAAAAGATACTCAACCCCCTCATAAGAATAGTCCTTCTTGAAATGACAACAAGAAACTATTTTTCACCAATCAGAATGCTAAAGATAAACATTGTAATAATAAACCGTTCTGGCAAGAGTTCAGGGGCACAAGCACGTTCAGTAATTGTTGGGAGAGTACATTTGTAGAACTTTTAACTATGGGATGATTTGGCAATGTTTATCAAAATTAAACGCACATTTGTACCGTTTTACCCAACTCACTTAATAAAATTTTCTCTTTAAATACACTCCAGCAAGAACACAAAGGTATGTATACAATGCTGTTCATTGCAATGCTGTCTGTGATAGCAAAGGGGCAGGTAAGATAAATGTGCTTCATCCATGCAGGAATGTTATGCAGGATGCAGGACATTAAAAAAAATGTGGTACCCACTCGATAAACTGATATGAAATAGTGACTAGGGTAAATAGTAAAAAAAAAAGCGAGGTGAAGAACATTTGTTGGGTAGTCTAACTTTCTGTAACATGGGTTACCTGTACAATTTAGAACTGGGGCTTGGGTAGCGGAGGCCAAAGAGATGAATTTTTAAAAAATATTTCCATTCATGTGTTTTCAACCTTGTATCTCTTGTGTGCATTACCATTAAATAAACTTCAAAAGAAGCAAATAAAAGAATAAATAAGATTTAAAATGAAAATAAAAACAAGAGATGCAACTCCTACATTTAATTTCAAAGATAGTATTGTCACTGTAACTTTAGTATTTTAATGAAGTCACATTACTTGCTTTATATCCAAGGCCTAAGGCTTCAATTAATTTACGGGTAATCTATTGACCAAAAGAGGAAAGTCTCATTAAAAAGTAGCATTTGTTGAGAGGTCCTAGGCCCAAAGGAGGGGCTTTCTTACCAAGACAACACACTTCCAGTTCCTTCTCAGAAGGGGATTAGGGACCATGATGATAAATTTTAATAATTTAGGTGAGGTCTCACTATTAGAGTTTTAAAATCAATTAATTAAGCTGTATCCCTGTTTGTCCTAAAAAAATTTCAAACCAACTAACAAATGAGCACAAAATACAACATAATTCAGTGAATTAAAAACAAGTGAGAAAATGAGGCAAATATTCATTATTTTTTATTTCTCCTTGTAGCTCTTGTTAATTTTTGTTTTATATACTTTGAGGCCATGTAAATATTATAGGTACATATGAATTTAGAATTGTTAAACATTCCCAGTGAATTGAAGCTTTCTTGTTATTAATTCTACTACTGCCTTTTGGCTTAAAGTCTGTTATCATTGCTAGTACAGGCTGAGTACCCCTAATCTAAAATGCTCCAAAATCTTAAAGTTTTTTAGCACTGACATGACACCGCAAGTAGGAAATTCCACACCTGACCTCATGTGATGGGTCACAGTCAAAATGCAGTGAAAAGCTTGTTTCATGCACACAGTTATTAATAACATTGTACAAAATACAATGTGTATAAAGTGTATATGAAACAAATAAATTCTGTGTTTAGCTTCAGGTCCCATCCCCAAGATATCTCTTTATGTACATATAAATATTCCCCAATTCAAAAAAATCTGAAATTTGAAACACTTCTGGTCCCAAGCATTTTAGATAAGTGATAATCAACCCGTAGTAGAGTTACACCAATTTTCTTTTTATTTAATTTGTGTGATTTTTTTCCCATTCTTTCAACTTTTCTGTTTTGTTATATATAGGAAACTACATATGGTTGCTGTTTTCTTAATATACATTGCATTTATGAGGTATGTTGTTATTGTTTCTTAGTCCATTCTGGAAGTCCGAATTTTTTTTTAATATTCGGTCAATTACCTTCATTTAATTATTTATATTTGTATTTACTTTTGCCATCTTACCGTATACATTTGATTTGCTCACCTATTTTACATTTATTTTTTTCTCTCATTTATTGAAGCCCTAGGATAAACCCCTCTTGGTTATAGTGTATCATCCTTTACATGTATTTCAAGATTTGATTTACTTATATTTTAAAAATAATTTTGTGTCTACATACATGAAGAATATTGGTCTGTAATTTTTTTGTTTCTCTTTAATGTCCCCCTCCCTCCCCTTTCCTTCCTTTTCCTCTCCCTGTTCCTTCTTCCCTTTCCTTCCCTCTCCTCCCCTCCCTCCTCTTTCTTTTTCTCTCTCTCTCTCTCTTTCTCTTTCTTTCTTTTTCTCTCCTTCCTTCCTTCCCTCCCTCCCTCCCTCTTTCTTTCTTTCTTTCTCTCTTTCTTTCTCTCTCTTTCTCTTCTTTCTTCTTTCTTTTTTGAGACAAAGTCTCGCTCTTTCGCTTAAACTGGAGTGCCGTGACGTGATTATAACTCACTGCGGCCTCAACCTCAGGGGCTCAAGTGATCCTCCCGCGTCAGCCTTGCAACTAGCTACTACAGACTTATGCCATCACACCTGACTTATTTTTGTATTTTTTGTAGAGATGGGGTTTCACCATGTTGCCCAGGCTGGTCTTTGCTCAAGTGATCTGCCTGCCTTGGCTTCCCAAAGGGCTAGGATTGCAGGCATGAGCCACCAGGCCTGGCCTCTTTTTTTCTCTTTTGAACATAATTGTCAGATTTTGGTATCACTGCTTTGGTAGCCATATAAAACAAGTTGGGAAGTATTCTTTTCCTCTATTTTCTTAAATAGTTTATGTAAGAGTGTTGTTATTCCTTCCTTAAATGTTTGATAGGATTCACCAGTAAAACTGTCTGGGCCTTTGTGGGAAACTTTCTGATAAGTAATTAAAAATTTTAATAGATGTAAGACAACTCAGATATTATAATTATTATAACCCTATATTTGTTATTATATTCATGTTGTTTGTTACTATTATTTCATAGTATTTTTAAAAGATTTTATTTCATATGGTATCAGTTTGGGTAAACTATTTTTGTCAAAAAATCCATCTATTCCATCTGAACTACTGAATTTATTGGTGTAATGTTATTTATAATATTCCGTTATCATCCTTAAGGTATGTAGGATCTGGAGTAATGATATTATCTCTTTTACTCCCAATATTAATAATTTATCTTTCTTTTTTCCTTCAACAGTTTGGCTACATGCAGATTTATCAATTTTATTTGTCTTTTTAAAGAACCAAATTTTATCTGTATTAATTTTCTTTATTGTTTGTCTGTTTTCTATTCCATTGATTTTGGCTTTCTATTATTCCCTTAAGAAAGTACTTCGAATCGATTTGTCTTTATATTTAAAGTGCATCTCTTTCAGCCCGAGGAAGCTAAAAAGTAATAACAATAAAAATAAATGAATAAATAAAGTACATCTCTTATAGGCCATATATAGTTGAGTCTTGCATTTTTTTAATTCATTCTTACAGTTTTCATGTTTTATTAGGTATGTGTAGTCCATTTAAATTTAAAGTAGTCCAGATATGGTGGCTCACACTTGTAATACTAGCACTTTGGAAGGCCCAGGCAGGATGATCTTTTGATGCCGGGAGTTCAGGACAAGACTGGGCATTATAGTGAGACTTCACCTCTACAAAAATTTACAAATTAGCAGGCATGGTGGCACAATCCTGTAATCCCAGCTACAAAAAAAAAATGTGATTAATGTTTGGGAAATGTTCACCATTTTATAATTATTTTTTATTCCTTCTTTTCTTTCTTCTTTGGGATAATTAAATGTTTTTCATCATTCAATTTTAAATTATTTATAGGCTTTTTGGCTCTCTTTGCTTTTAAATAAAAAATGCACAGATTAAAATTTATCTTCTAACACATCCTTGAAGTTTCTGTGTAGTTCTGAACACTGCACTAGAGATCCATGGCCACGACAGATGAAAGAATTGGGCTTAAGACTTGCCTGCTGAGGCAGGTCTATTGCTCAAGCAAAAGCTTCTAACCCATATTTTCTTCAGGTGCCAAGTTAAGAGACTCCTGGGTTCTAGAAGGAGTTCCTGGATGTAGACAATGGTTTGCTGCCATCTCCTAAGGTGGCCCTTCATTTCTATGTGGGACTGTATTACCTCTAAGCTCTCTAGGGGCACAGTTCTCCTGGATGTGTTGGCTTTTGAAGACCCCAGATATTCATCCATATAGGAGTATAAGACATCAACTTTGTGGTATTGACAGTCTAGCAGTTGGTGATTTGAAACCCATCTAAAAGAGCAGGTTGCTATATGCTCATTATGATTCAGTTGATCTGAAGTGAGAAGCTGCTGTAGACTCTGCTGGTCCTAAGGTTGCGTGTCTACTCATTATCTTAATACAAAGGCAGTTTTTCTGGTTCCTTTTCTGAAAAGACTTCTTAATAGGTGGCATTCCTAGTTGGCACCCTGGGCACTGATAGCATGGCCTGAGAGACTCCCTATATGGCACTTGGGCAACACTGATGGCCGTAAACCAAAATGAATGCTATGTCTCCTTAGCTCCCATGACATTCTCAGGGATGGATGTTGTGCTGATCAGGGTTGAATACCAAATGATAATGTGAGAAGCCATTTACTTATAGGAAAGGCAGTTTCATATACTTTTCCATACCAGTATTGAAGGGTATAGTCTTGTGTGATGGTCTTTTCCAGCAGCAGCCACCAATAGATCATTTCCAAAATGATTGTCCAGAGCTTGGAATAGCTTTGAAGTTGAAATTGTTAGATGAAGAATCAGTAAAAGTCCTTGGTGACCTGAAGTGTACCACAACCTGGACTTACAGGTAAGTCAAATCATGACCCCGACAGCTCAGTAAGCAACCTACATATGTCTAGGCAAGGAGCAAAGTAGAAGGATAGATCAGGGTAATATTCATTCTGTTCTCATTACTAGAGGCTAAGACATTGCTTGGCAGCAGGTTCTGCTTCATCCCATCTGGCATATGAATCATCCTTTTGTTCAGCATTTCCACACTGTAGATGCTGCCTGCGCATGTCACTTAGTAGCTGGCTGGATAATTGGATCAACTGTTGTGACATCACAGCACTTGTGTTCAAGACACCCTTACTTAACTTCATAATGGCCTCAAAGCACAAAAGTAGTGAAGCTGGCAATTTAGGTATGACAAAGAGAAGCTGTCAAGTACTTCCTTTACATAAAAAGATCAAAGTCCTTGACTTAATAAGGAAAGAAAAAAATATTGTATGCTTAGTTTTCATACCATAGATTTGGATCTATGGTAAGGACAAATCCTCTATCTGTGAAATTGTGAAGAAGGAAAAAGATGTTTGTGCTAGTTTTATTCTGCATCTAAAACTGCAAAAGTTATGGCCACAGTGTGTAATAAGTGCTTAATTATGATGGAAAAGGCATTAAAGATGTGGGTGGAAGACATGAATGCAACATGTTCCGATTCACAGCAATGTGTTGTGCCAGAAAGCATTGAGCCTGTAGGAAGACTTCAGCAAGGGATCCCCAGAAACAAGTGACATCAGCCATTTATTGCGAGTGAGGGGTGGTTATACAGACTCGGGAATATGTTTGGGCTGAAAAATATAAAAATTACTGGAGAGG
Source organism: Homo sapiens (assembly GCF_000001405.40). Classification (NCBI taxonomy): domain Eukaryota; kingdom Metazoa; phylum Chordata; class Mammalia; order Primates; family Hominidae; genus Homo; species Homo sapiens. Next base: position 129,929,063 of record NC_000006.12, on the reverse strand, counting down.
CTGAGTCTGCCGGTGAAGAAACTACTGTCATGTGAATAGAGTACAATAAGATATTTTGGGAAAGACTACATTCACATAACTGTTATTACAGTATGTAGTTATAAATATTCTATTTATTATTAGTTATTGTTAATCTCTTGCTGTGCCTAATTTGTAAATTATGTATGTAGTTCCAGCCATTCGGGAGGCTAAAACCAGACGATCACTTGAACCCAGGGCTGGAGACCAGCCTGGGCAAAATAGCAATACTCTGTGTCTAAAATAAATAAATAAATAAACCTCATCATAGGTATGCATATATAGGAAAAAGCAGCATATATAGGGTGCTGTACTATCTGTGTTTGGGGTATCCGCTGCGGGTCTTGTAAGGTATCCCCTGCAGATAAGGGAGGACCACTGTACTTAACTCAATGTAGACATTTTTTTTTAGTATTCTTATCTCCCACTAGCTTGTGAGTTCCAAGGAAGGCAAAATTAGAAGTTATGCATTTTTGTATTCATGGTGCATAGCGTAGTAGCTGGCAGATAGTGGTATTTAGTAAATGTTTGTTTAATGACTGAATGAATGCTAATCTGGTAGAACATGCAACATAGGTGGGCAGAGAGGCTGGCTGTGTCCAAGTATGCAGTTTTCACCAAAATATATTTTCTTTTCCTCTTGGGCACAAAACTAGACTGCATTTCCCAGCCTCTCTTACAGTTAGGGGCAGCCATATGACTGACTTCCTGCCAATAGAGTGTGGCAGGATCCACGTATGCCACCTTCAGGCTCTGGCCCTGAAAACCTCCTGCACAATTGTCCACACACTTTCTCATTTCTCATCTGTCAGCCAGAGGCAGAGGATACAGTGGGGAACTCTGAGGCTCCAGGGGGGTGGGGCCATAGATATATAAAGTCTAGGTCCCTGAAGGACAACATAGACAATTTTTGACCCTGCCCTACCCCAACTCATACCTTGTATTAAACTATGATGTAATTGTGAAATAAAGCCTTATCATATTATACTTCTGAGATTCAGGAGTTGTTTTTCAACAGCTAGCCTATCGCGCCTCCAGGATGATGGAAGACTACCACAGGAATTTGGAAATGAAACAATAAAATTCTAAACTCAGAAGGAAACCCTGGAAATAAAAAGTTGAGAAAGAAGTCAGGAGTTTGAGACCAGCCTGGCCAACATGGTGAAACCTCGTGTCTACTAAAAATACAAAAAATTAGCCAGGCATGGTGGCACGCACCTGTAATCCCAGCTATTTGGGAGGCTGAGACAGGAGAATAGCTTGAACTTGGGAGGCAAAAGTTGCAGTGAGCACAGATCAAGCCACTTCATTTCAGCCTGGGTGACAGAGCAAGACTGTGTCTCAAAAAAAAAAAAAAAAAAAAAGGGTAGTAAGACGTGTTTGGTTGGATGTGAGAGAGTACACAAGAAAAGTCTAATAAACGAGGTTGTTATTAGGATCAAATAGAAGTGCACAAAAGAATATTGAAAATGCAAGATGGTATTCAAACTTCAATTAGAAAAAGGAGAGCAGTGCAGGGAGAAGGAAGACTCCATGGCTGTCTTAGGCAGCCCTGGGCTGTCACAGTGTCATCCATCTGTTCTGTCCCTTCTGGTAGCGCCTTTGAGTGAATAAATATCCTGACTGGGAATTTTATTGGATAGATATAAGCCTCCCTATGAAGCTGTTTTCCTGGTTTTGTTTAATTTATACTATGGAAAAACAAAAAGTACCATGACTTATGTTTCATAATTTATGTCACTGAAGCCCATGTTTTTTATTTAAGCACTTTCCCAACACCTACTAAGTTATTTGCTTCCCTGGAACACCAAACCATTGTGTGGTGATGTTACAGGGACACATTCTGATGAATGTGTAAAGAGAGGCTCTATGACATGGGAAATGTGTATCTCCCCAGACTCTGAACTCCATGATTATACTTGTTGTCACCCCCATCCCCTTCTCTAGGACTCAAGTAATTGCTTGACTAATAACTATCCTTTCCCGTTTCCAAAACCTAGGCCCACGACAATATCTGGAACTCATTTATCCTAAGATAGAAATGATTATTAACAGTTTCAATATGTCTCTTTCTAAGAATATTTGCACATTAATAAGAATTACAGCTTTAAGATAACAAAGATGAAGATTTAGAAATAAATGCATTAGGAAACAGAAAATACAATAGAAATACTAAGTATATCTAAGAGTCGATTATTTGAAAACAAGGAAAGAAAACAATAAAACAGAGATGCATTCGCTAATCCAACCAAGATAAAAAAAGGGTGGAGTTTGTCAATTAGGAATGAAGCTAGGAAAGTAACCTAAATACAGAGTGCATTTAAATAATTATAAAGGATTATTTTAATCAACTGTATGACAAATAATTTGATAAGCTCTGTGAAATAGATAAAGCTAATCACAGAAGTAGAAAATATAATAAAAATAGCAAAAACTCACAAAAAGCAAGTTCATCCCCACTCTCCTCCCTAAAAATGTACAGGGCCCAGGTATTTCGCCACTGATTTTCTGAAATTTAAAAGAACAGAGAACTACAATGCTAATTAAACTGTTCCAAAACAAATAAATAGGAAAATTCCTTTTAAGAAACTAGAACAATGCCAAGACTAAAACCCGAGAAAGATATTATGAAACCAGGAAACAACAAATCTATTTCACTATGAGAATTGATTTTTTAAATTATAAAAAATGAGCCAGTAAAATTGATCCTATCTTAAAAGCATAATATAATAGATTTGGACTAGATAAGGCTCATATCAGAAATGCAAGAATGTTTCATTATTAGGAAATATAATATATTTGACTACGTTAATAAATCAAAGGAGAAAAGTGGTATACTCATATTTGCAGATGCTTAAAAGATAGTTGATAAAATGCTAAACATATACTGTGAGACTTCATCTCAAAAAATGTTCTTAATAAAATAGGATTAGATATATTAAAGCATTTTACTTGACAACATAATTTAGTAAAGTCACTGGGCTATTCTATAAACAAACAGTAACCAGTTTGAAAATATAATAGCAACAGAAAGATAGAATACCTGAAAATAAATGTAAGAAATGTGAAAACCCTATAAAGGCAAATTTAAAATGCTACTAAAGGACAAAAAAGGCATTACCTCAGTACAAGGTATGTTATAAATACCCAATCATGGCAAAATTAATCGGTATTTTTTTCACAATCTCAATAATATACCAATAGATTTTTTTTAACTAAACACATTTGTAAACATCACATTTAAAAATAAGCATATGGCCGGGCATGATGGCTTATGCCTGTAATCCCAGCACTTTCGGAGGCCCAGGTTGGTGGATCGCTTGAGCCCAGGAGTTCGAGACCAGCCTGGGCAACATGGCAAAACCCCATCACTACAAAAAATACAAAAAATTAGCCAGGCATGTGGCACGCATCTGTAATCCCAGCTACTTGGGAGGCTGAGGCAGGAGGATCACCTGAGCCTGGGAGGTCGAGGCTGCAGTGAGCCAAGATCGGGCTACTGCACTACAGCCTGGGTGACAAAGTGAGACCCTGTCTCAAAAACACAAAACAAAATGAAAAATAGGCATACAAGAATATTCAGGAAGATTCTGTGAGAAAAATGCAGCCATGAGGGACTATTCATTCTACCATTTGTGGTAATTAAAATAGTGTTGTAACGGCACATGTACATACAAATAGACTAGTGAGATACAAGAGTGGACTTATAAACAGAATCTCCAAATAAAATTTAGCAAATAATACAGGAGAAATTTAACATCATTGGAGAAAAATAGAATGCTTAATAAATAATTCTGGAATAATTAAGTAGCTGAAAATAAGTTGAATTTTCACCTCATCTTTTACCAGAATAAATTCCAGATGGATCAAACATTTAAAGACTAAAATGAAACTATAATTATTACTAGAAGAAAATGGACAGCTTTTTATGTATGCTCAGAGATGAGAAAACTTTTCTTTCAATATATTTTAAAAATCAACACGTCCAAAGTTCTTCAGCCAAGTCCAAAGATATATACAATCTGGTGGTGATATTTATGTTTTGCTATATACTGAATGTTAATAGTTTCACATATAAAAATTGCTAGAAACAAATTTTTATAAAGACCATTAATAAAATCGTAAAAGGATACAAACAGTCCAGAAATAAAAAGGAAGTACAACTACTAAGCATTTGAAAAGATGTTCAACATCACTATAAGAAAAATGCCAGTTAAAATGAAAGTGATATGCATCTCATCATATTTCACCTTTATTCTGTCAAATATCAACAGATTTGGTAACAAACTGTTTTGGCAAGGGTATGGGGGAAACTGGCGCTCCCCCCTACACTTGGTGTATGTTCACTGGAAGTTAATTGGCATCAATTAAAATTTAAAATGTGCATGCTCTTTGGCACATCATTTTCATTATAATTTGCACATGTGGGCAGAAACATATGTACAAAGATATTCACTGCAGCACTGTTGTTACCAATAAGATGGAAACAACCAAATACTTTAAGAAGGTGAGCTGTTAAATAAACTGTGATAGCAGAGTACATTGGATATATTGCTACAATTTGTGTATAAAAAGTTTAATTCATGTATGCAAATTGCATACAAGATCACATATTTATAGACTGTCTCTGGAAATAGAAGGGTTTTTTTTTTGTCCTTCTTATGTCAAACCACAAACAGTAACTGTCAACTTTCCCTTAGTTCCTGAGGAGTTGGTGTTAGGAATAAGACTAGTATGGCTTGTGCAAATAGGGATGGGGGAAAAATGTCAGCTAGGAAAGGGCTTTGGGAACTTTGGAGATCTACACCTGAGTTAGTTGTCATTGCCACCATTATTACTTTTTGATAAAACATCTAATGGTTTTATCAAATTATAGCTAATGATAAAAAAGCTATTATTACATAACTTTTAAAAAGCCAGTTCCAGTCTTTCTTAACTCTTGAGTTATGTAACTCTAGTCTATTGTGTTTGTAAGTGTTACTTGAATCTTCTTCAGAGCACATTAAGAAAGCAGCAAAACCAGTCACCAGTATATTCAGAAGGGTAAGAAAATGTGAGGGATCTGAAAATCATGTCAGATGAGAAATGGTGGAAGAACCTGACCCTTATTCTGTATGGCTTCAGAGGGAACAACTTGCATCAGTGAGTGTAGTCAAAGGAAGCAGAATTTGACTTACTTTAGGGAAGACATTTCCAGTGATGAGAACAATTTGAAAACTTACTGGGCTCTTTTATTGTGATTTAAGTGTTCCTTCTCTAGAATTGCTCAATCAGACCACATTACTGCAAGAAATAGCCATGCACACTTGAAGTATCATCAGCCCACAGTATGACTGTATCTTTTAAGATGGCTTTAAAAATAAAGTCTACTTCCTGCCCAGAGTTTCTTATTCCATTACCTCATCTTCTAGGTCAAGGTATCCAGAATTATAGCAGTTCCACAATGAAGGAAATGTTTATCTCTTGCAAATTTAATTTACTCCTTTGACCTAAGAGATGCCTGGATAATGCTATTATTATTATTATTATTATTATTATTATTTTGAGACGGAGTCTTGCTCTGTCACCCAGGCTGGAGTGCAGTGGCATGATCTCGGCTCACTGCAACCTCTGCCTCCTGGGTTCAAGTGATTCTCCTGCCTCAGCCTCTTGAGTAGCTAGGACTACAGGTGCCTGCCACCATGCCTGGCTAATTTTTGTATGTTTAGTAGAGACGGGGTTTCACCATGTTGGCCAGGCTGGTCTCGAACTCCTGACCTCAGGTGATAACACCTGCCTCGGCCTCCCAAAGTGCTGGGATTACAGGCATGAGCCACTGCGCCTGGCCTGATAATGCTATTATTGAAACACTATAAATTCAAGAATGTGATCAGCACTTTTGCCATTTTTGTGCTATAACCAAAATTTTAAAATTAATGGGCATCATTTACCTGAAGTTATTTGGCAATAAGACGGATTTTAGTTAATCACATTTGAAATTTAATTAATAGGTAACATTTTCAGCAACTGTTTAGCTACACTTGAAAAAGGAAGAATGTGCTGAAGATTCACACATATAATTTAGTCATGTTTCAGGAAGTTTATCCATTTATGAGAAAACCCAGAGAAAGAAGATCTCCACATTATTCTCTAAAAATCAATATCATAATAACATTATATCCCACAAAACTGGCTTCCCCATGTACTTTCCTTATTTTGGCTAATGTCACCATTTTTCTTCTAGATTTCTAGGCTCAAATTCTGAACTTCCATGTAGCCAGTTGTCAAGGTGACAATGAACCACAATTGATAGGATATATTTTGAGGCATCTGACCCTTTCTCCCAACCCATCACAACCTCTGAAGAAAGGGGTAGACCTTGACTACCATGTTCTGTATCTTGTAGCTTGTACTGGCTCTATAATATCCCACCCTGTCACTGACCTCAGCTATTTAGAGAAATGTGGTCCACTCCATCAAGGAGAGCCCATCCACAGATTGGCTGGTGATCTGGGGATAAAAGACCATCTGAACCAACCACATGTTGCTTGCAGAAATTTTGGAACTAGAAAGCTGAAAGACTATTGCCAATTAGCCAAAGAAGTTGAAGCTGAGGTCTCGCATGACAGAGTTAGGATTGTAGATTGCTGGGTCAAACAGAGCCACACGCAAATGGAAGTTATGGGCTGAAAAATCCTGAGTAAATATAAGAAGATGGTCAAGAGGGCATGGAGAAGGGAGCAGACCTGCAGAAAGATGCAGAGATGAGCAATGAGGCATCTCTTCAGAGCCATGGGGGACATGTCCCAGTTTTGGTTTTCTACTCCAATATGAGTCTTGGTGGCATTTTGCTAGTTAAAGAAGTTGATGCATCTACATCTCCAGAATTAAAATATACTACATAAGTAAAATGTGCATACCAACTAATGTCAGTTATAGCACAGAGCTTTCTAAGTATGTCCAAATCTTCACATGGTACTGAGAAATATTATTTGGCATACTGGTGCATGGTAATCACATTTTTCAAGTCATATGTAACTGTCAGTAAATAAGAGCAAAGTAGATTCCAAAGAATATGATCTAATCAACAGAGAAAAAGATAAATTCCAGATACCTCCTCAAAACTTTGCAGAGAAGTGCTTGCTTTCACTGATTCCAGAATTTGCATTTTGCATGCAAACAGACCCCATTCTTTTGTGTGCACCAATCAGGGTAGTGAGTTCTTTGACCATCAAAATATCTGCAAATTTGCATCATTTAAGAAATAGTTATTACATAGAAACTCTTTACAAAGCATTGGGTTAAATCCTGTGCATTATACAAAACATTTAAGACACTGGTGTGCTAAAGAAACGTGGACTCTAACTGGGCAAACAAAATAGAGATTTCTGAAAAGATTGCAATATAGCATAGCTGTATTGTTCTGGTTATCTATTGCTGCGTAATAAAACCACCTGTCATATACATGATCCCAAGGATAACCCCTGTATATTGGCCCACATGTTGTTTACTTCTTCACAGTAGGCTATTAACTCAAAGCCCATAAGCTCTAAACTCAAACTTTTACGCATCCAGTTTTTATATAGTGCAAATAAGCATATTTTAGGCCATTTAGAGCCTGCCTACTTTGCACACTTCAGAAACTGCACCCAATATCTGCTAAGCATAGATAAGAAAAACTCTGGGGCTATAAATGGCTGCTATGGCCTTCTGAGGTCTCTGTCCCACAGTGCTGCTGAGCAGCAGCATCTAGACATGTGAGCCTGCTCTCTGATTCCCATCCCCAGCAGAAGTTCTTGTGCCCTCTTCCCCTTCTGGTGATGGCTCCTCACTGCTGCCTCTGGGAGGTCTTCTGCTGTGAGGGACCTCCCCTCAGATGCAGCCTGAGAGAAAAGTAGAGTCCAAAGAATATGATCTAATCAACAGAGCAAAAGATCCATTCCAGATCCCTTCTCAAAACTTGCAGAGAAGTGCTTTCTTTCACTGATTCCAGAGTATTTGCATTTTGCCTGCCAACAGACCCCACTCTTTTGTGCCTAACAGGGAAAGCTCGTTGTATGCTACTGCCCATCATAGTCTTGTTTTTCCCTCAATATACCTGAAATCCCTTTATAGCTGATACACCTGAAGTCCTTGAACTCCCTACAACACCTTAAAAGCTAATGGCTTAAAACAACCATAGCAGCATTTATTTGGGTCAGTTAGGAATTCAGACACAGTGAGGTGGGGGTGGTTTGTCTCCATACTACTTGGGCACCAGCGGCAGAAGCTCAACCTGGGATCCCGTCCAAGATGGCTTCCTTATTCGCATCTCTGGCACCTTGATGTTCTTTGCCTCTCTCTCTCTCCATAGGATATTTCATCCTCCAGGGCCTTGCCACGTGACTTGTACTTCTTAACTACACGACAGCCTGAGGGTTGTTGGCCTTGTTAGATGGTGGAGGCTTCTCTAAAGCAAGCATTCCAAGAGGCCCGAGAGGAAGCTATGAGACTTCTTATCTAGCCTCAGAAGTCCCAGAATGATATTTACACAGCATTCTGCTGGTCAAGGAAGTCACAAAGGACAACTCTGATTCAGGGAAAGGGAACTTAGACTCCACCTCTCAGTGGAAGAAGTAGGAAAGAATTTGCAGCTATATTTAATCTACCATAATGATTATTTATTTATTTATGTACACTGGGTAAGACAAACAAGAATTGTTTATACTCTATCCCGGGGTCAGCAGACTATAGCCTGTGGGCCAAATCTAGCCCACTCCCTGTTTTTGTAAATAAAGTTTTGTTGGAACATAGTCATGCCTATTTGCTTACATATTGTCTATGGCTGTATTTGTGTTACAGTCACAGAGTTAAGCAATCTCACTGGAGACTGTGTGACTTGTACAGAATAAAATATTTACTATCTGGTCCTTTATAAGATAAATTTGGTAACCCTTGTTAAACACGTAGTTATGTTCTGCTAATGCTTGATTTTAATTGCTTTTCTTAAAAAATTTAAATTGTCTTTTAAAAGTACACTTAACTATAGAAACTCCTTAGAAAAATCAGCTTACAAACCTGCAACTTACACACTGCCATAGACTAACAACAGAGCTAGCCTCTGGGGCAGTAGAGAGTCACTTCTGCCTGCCACCCACAGATGGTATCCACAATTGTGCCATTTATTTATTTATTTATTTATTTATTTATTTATTTATTTAGAGACAGGGTCTGGCACTGACACCCAGGCTGGAGTGCAGTGGCATGATCATAGCTCACTGCAGCCTTGAAATACTGGGGCTTAAGTGTCTTTCCACCTCACCCTCCCAAGTAGCTGGGACTTCAGGCACATGCCACCATGCCTGGCTAGTTTTTAAATATTTTTTGCCACGGTCTCCCTGTGTTGCCCAGGCTGGTCTTGAACTCCTGGCCTGGAGTGATCCTCCCTCCTCGTCCTCCCAAAGCGCTAGATTACAGGCACTAGCCACCACACCTGGCCTGTTCATTTTATTCTTGGCTACTGTACTTGAGAAGTGACTGTGTTTGCTGAATGTGTGCTTAGTTTTAAAGTGTTTTCAAACAGTACTTACCCTATCGAGAGTGATAAGTATAAAAAAAGAATGTTTAAAAGTGTTAAGTAATAAAAGGCAGAGTACAATTATGACAAAAAGTAAAGATAATTCAAAAAGTGAAAATGGTATGAGACTGTGCTTTTTATTTGAGTGCATGGGTTAAATCATTAGAAGAATAGATTCTGAGAAACTAAAAGTGAATCATGAAAAAATGAAACGGACAATAATCATCAGGAAAAATATAAAAATAACACAATGAAAACACACATGTAAGGCCAAAGGAGCAATCTCAGAGGCTTGTACGGCTTAGATCCTGATGTTTATTTAGGAGATAATTTTCAGAGTTTGAGGACTCGAAGGCCAAGTCCTCAGTAAATGGATGGTCTTGGAACTTTTGGCGAAAGATGTATTTCCATAGGTTCAAGGCCTCAGTGATCCGCACAATATCAAAGTGAGAAGAGTGTGAATACCAAAAAAACAATTCCCTACACTTGCAGAGATCAACAAGGAAGAATGTTTTCCACCTCGGCAGACAAAACTGGTCTTTTTATAGAAAAAGATGTTTGACAGTGTACATAGGATTGAGAAAAAAAGAACGTCTAGTTTAAAGCTGCAAAGAACCAACTGACTCTCATTTGCTGAAAATCTTTCCATGAACTAAAAAGCTTTTTAAAATCAACCTGATCTTAAATATTTTAAAAATATATTCGTGAATATTAAGTTCTATAGTTAAAAGAAACAAGGATACAAACAGAGAAGCAAATCAGCACCCACACTCAAATGTGTAATCTATCACTTTTTAACACAGTGACTTCTACCAACACATTAACTTTTGTTGCAAACATTGGGGTAAACTTTTTATGTAATTTTTGATTCATTGTGATTTAAAGCTTAGCTATTAAAAAACCTTTTATTAACATCATCTGCTTATTTTTTATAAATGGAGATGTTTTTCAGTTCTATGTAACCAGAATAAAATATGGAAATATATTTGAATGCTGAAGACTTTCAGTTTCAACCATAACACTCGATTGTCTTTCTGTGTGTATCAAAATAGCCTCATGATTTTTATTGATGGACTTTATCATAAGTTCTAATAAAACACTACTGTCATCTGTTTTATTCATAGGGATTCCACATAAGTATTCTTTAGGGCAAGAAAATGTTCTACTGTCTAAAAGCTCGAAAATCATGACAATAAATGAGAGAAACTATTGGAGATTTTTGAGCAGGAAAGTTACATAATGAAAGTGGTGTTTTAGGAACATACTAATCTGGCTTTTTGTCAGATGCATTGCCCAGAGACCAGTTAAGAAGATACTGTGAACAGCGTCCTGTGAAAATAACCATTATAATACAATAGAAAATGGAACTAAGACCTATTATATCTGTTGGAAATCATGAGAGGCATAAAACAAAGTGGTTGAAAAATTATGTTTACATACCAAATAGATATTTTGAAAGGCTTTTCACCTTCAAGCTCTATGATTTCTTCTATTTTGTCTTCAAATAAAAAATGTAAAAAAGGAAGAAATGACACTACAGAGAGTGTTGAGAGAGATCACTAATATAGAAAAAAGCACCTAGCAAATTGTTACCCTACCTCTTTTAAAATGCTTCTGGTTGGTTGAACAGCATTGACTAGATACGAGAATTCTTTGAACTGAACTTTTGGCAATGAAAGTCTCCCTCCAGTCCCATCTTTAACCTCAAAATATTTTTCCGTGATTTTACAAAATTATTTGTCAAAGATAATAAATATTCTTTCTGGAAAATTATAGAAATTCATATGAGCAAGCAAAAAATTAAAGTTACTTGAAATTCTACAACTTAGATGGAATTGTTTGAAAGACTATCCACTTTTAATGTATAGTCTCTCCAATATTATTCTATACAAATATCTACCAGTAAACACACAAGGTTTCAGATGAAACAGGATTGTACTATACATTCAGCTAAATGTTTCGAAAATGTGTCTATTACATATTATTAGTTAAATATTTAGCATCCAGGGGATAGTTATTTAATAAATATCAATGGCCCGAAATCTAATGTACAATTTTAAGCAGACTAGCTTGAAATTTAAATTTAATTAAAATTATGGTCATAAGATATGCACGATCTCTAAAACATAATAAATTTAATCTGTATCCAATCATAGATTTTGAGTCAAAGTATTTACAAACACCAGTCCCTTTTAAATTCAGTATTGGCTTGGCCCCATTGTAACCAGAATTTAGTATCCCAAAGGTCCATCTGAACATTTCACCATGTCGGGTCCATATGAACATCTCAACATGTTGGAACAAAATAGACTCCAGAGTATAACTATTTTATTCTACCCAGATCATCACAAGTCCAATATTTCCAATTGATGGTATCAGTAAGGCACAATTTTGCTGCCTTAAATTGGTGTTTTCTCCCATCCTTCTCCTTCCTCAGCAAGAGTCGTTAAAACTTTATCTCATTTTTCATTATTCTGCTTCCCGATACTTTCACCGCATAAGGATATTGAACCTTTAGTGATTCAATGACTGGCTCAAAGGACATAATCAGTTACAGGAAGGTCTAGGACTTGACTCCTTGATGCTTCATTTTTCTCTTGGCTTGAATACAAGGGCTCCTGACACCATACCTATTGCCTTATGTCAAAAGGCATGATATATAAGTCCTGGAAGCCCTCATTGACACAGTTCCACTTATAGCAGTGATTTTGTGACACAGGACTTCAGGATAGTGTGTGGCAGACACAGATCGTATGAAAAACAAAAATCACAACCACAAAAAGTCTTTCACATTACTCGAAATTGCATGTTATCTCTCTGTGAATTAAAGCCAGATTCACTAACCAACACCAGTTTTTTACTTATCAGATTGGCAACAGTGAATAAGTTGAACAAAATTCTGTTTCTGAGGCTATGGGGTAATAGGTACTCTCATACATTGCTAGTGGCAGAACCCAATGGCACAACCCCATAAAGGACATTTTGGCAATATTTTTAATAGTTACAAATGTATTTACCCTTTGACCCAGCAGTCTCACTTCTGGGAATGCATCTTACTGACACATCTGCACACATCAAAATGATTTATGTCTAAGGTTATTCATGATGGCATTGTTTGTGAAGGCAGAAGATTAGAAACAACCCAAGTGTCTATCAGCAGAGTGGTTAATTAAATTATGGTACATGCACACAATGGAATATTAGGTAGCTGTGAAAAAACAATGAGGAAGCATAAGATGTCCTGATAAGGAAAAATCTCGGGGAAATATTGTTAAAGATAAAACTCAAGGTGTGGAGTAAAGTGATGATAATCTACATTTTATACAAGAAGTGGAGGAAGCAATATGAACAATTAATACAAGCAGTTATTCATAGGGGGAGTAGGAATGAGATAGATAGTGCAAGGTAGGACGGAGCCTTCTCAGTGTTTACTTTGTTCAAGTTTTTTAAAAAGTTTTAAATAAATCATTTGAATATTACTTATTAAAACAAAAACTAAATAAATGTTTCGAAGACATATATTTACTTTCATTGTTCTAGTTAAATAACAGGCCTAGAGTGCCCTAAATCCTTTCTGGCTTAATCATTTTGAATGGGAACATTAAAGTATCTTCTTCGATGAGCTCTCTTGTTGCAACAAAAAGGTTAAGAAAAATATTAAATCAATGTACTCATCATTTCGCTTGATAATCACCTAGTAGTTTGCTGCTTTATGGCAATAAGCTATCTAGGAATATCCTAAGTAACACTGTGGGCTTTTCTCACTTTCCCAACTCTGCCTTTTAGGAAGAGTGATAGGACAGCAGCACGTCCCTATTCCAAATATATCTATGTCATGACTGAGAGGAAAATGGAAAAACTACACTTTGATATGGATAATCATTTGTTTTAATAAATAACACAAAAGATCACAGGAAAGTGACATGATTAAGCTGAGTGCAGAGAATTGTCAAATTTTTTTTTAAAAAGCTTGTGTATGCAGCAGAGTCAAATAGTAATTTGATTAGAATAGAGGGCCCAGTTGAATAAAACAGATATAATTCATTAACTTGATAGGATCATTTTCAAATCTTCACTTTACATGTCATTACATGGGCACATTTTGCTCCTCAAAAATCAGGCTTTCCTGGCCGGGTGCAGTGGCTCAAGCCTGTAATCCCAGCACTTTGGGAGGCTGAGGTGGGTGGATCACTTGAGGCCAGGAATTCAAGACCAGCCTGGCTAACATGGTGAAACCCTGTCTCTACTAAAAATACAAAAATTAGTCAGGTATGGTGGTGGGCACCTGTAATCCCAGCTACTTGGGAGGCTGAGGCAGGAGGCTCGCTTGCACTGCGCTCCAGCCTGGACAACAGAGCGAGATTCCATCTCAAAAAAAAAAAAAAATTCAGGCTTTCTTAGGATTATGAGTTCTGCTTCAAAATAAGATTTCTGTAATAAAGTTGAAGCAGGAAAACACAAAGCTCTTAGGGTTGGAGTGAAATTTTGCATTAATGCTCTATTACCAGAATTATATATCATTATTATACATATTATTATTTTTAAAAATGAAATGAACACTAGCTGTGGGATTTTAGAAAGGGCATTTAACCATCTCTGAGCTCCAGTTTCCTTACCTGTTCATAGGGATGATAATAATATCTTGATCATAGGGTGTTGTAAGAAATAAATGAGTTAATGGATTTGAGAATGTGCTTAATACCATGCCTGATATTAAATGCTCATTAAGTGGTGGCTAATATTTTGATCTTTTTGAATATCAACATTCCTATAAGAATTTATTAGTTTTACTATACATAGTCACGTTCTCAGAAATGTGTTGTTAGGTAATTTTGCCATTGTGTGACCATCATAGAGTATACTCACACAAACCTAAATAGTGTAGCCTACTACACATGTAGGCTATCCGGTATAGCCTATGCCCCTAGGCAACAAACCAGTGCATCATGTTACTGTACTAAATACTATAGGCAACTGTAACACATTGGTAAGTATTTGTGTATGTCAACATAGAAAACATACAATAAAAATACAGTGTTATAATCTTATGAGACCACCATTGTATATGCAGTCATTGACTAAAACATCATTTTGCAGTGCATGACTATACACACACACACTCACCCATATATAACATTTGTGATATAAATTCTAATAACAATAATGCTTATGATATGCTAATTGTAAAACAGGGATGTGAAATTCAATGAATATTATGATTTAACAACAAGAAATATACAAGTACAGGCCAGGCGCAGTGGCACATGCCTGTAATCCCAGCACTTTGGGAAGCTGAGGCAGGTGGATCACCTTAGGTGAGGAGTTCGCGACCAGCCTGGCCAACATGGTGAAACCCCATCTCTACTAAAAATACAAAAAATTAGCCCGGCATGATGGCGCAAGCCTGTGATCCCAGCTACTCAGGAGGCTGAGGCAGGAGAATCGCTTGAACCTGGGAGCGGAGGTTGCAGTGAGCCAAGATCGTGCTATTGCACTCCAGCCTGGGTAACAAGAGTGAAACTCCATCTCAAAAAAAAAAAAAAAAAAGAAATATTAAGTACAATAATAGTGGAAGTATTGGAATAGTAAAACTATTAGTGACTATTCTTTTCTCTATTTCCCAAATGTTTTCTAAAAATTTTTCTAACTTTATAATGACAATAAGGATAATGTAATAAACTTGGCAAGGGAGAAGAAATGAAAATAAATTGTGAAAAGGAATAAACTACCTTGATTGAGGTTATAATTTCTCTCCAACCCTAAGAGCTTTTGTGTTCTCCTTCTTCAGCTATATTACAAAAATCTTATTTTGAAGCAGAACTCATAATCCTACAAGAAAGCCTGATTTTTTTTTTTTTTTTTTGAGGTGAAGTCTTGCTCTGTTGCTCAGGCTGGAGTACAGTGGTACAATCTTGGTTCAATTCAACCTCTGCCTCCCTGGATCAAGCGATTCTCTTGCCTCAGCCTCCCAGGTAGCTAGGATTACAGGTGCCCACCACCACACACGGCTAATTTTCATCTTTTTAGTAGAGACAGGGTTTCACCATATTGGCCAGGCTGGTCTTGAATACCTGGCCTCAAGTGATCCACCCACCTCAGCCTCCCAAAGTGTTGGGATTCCAGGCTTAAGCCACTGTACCCATCCAGGAAAGTCTGATTTTTGAGGGGCAAAATATGCCTATGTAAAACTACCTTGATTGAGGTTATAATTGAGGGTCCACCCCAATCCCAACTTCACTTTCAACTCACAAATACTCTACATCTACTACTGCAACTGAGAGTAAACTCTTCTTTCTGGGACGGGTATGTAAAAAGTGCTTCTAGGGACAGAGAGTGAACTGCATCAGAAGAAGGAAGAAAATATATAATTGAGAGCAAGAAAAGAAAAATTAAATTTTTAGCACAGATCAGACACTGCTAGTTGCCTTCCCAAGCTCTTCTTTTCTTCTGTAGTAACAGAACCCCAATTTTGTCATGATAGTTAGGGACTCTGTTAAAAATATCTTCCCAGAGTCCCTTGCAGCTAGGGCTGGCCATGGAACCCAGTTCTGACCAATGAATGTAATCAGAAATCTCTGGGGAAACTCAGCCCTTTTGGCTTTCTGCCCCTTTCCCCTTCCTCCTGTCAGGAATGCAGATATTTACTTGGTCTATAGCAGTCATGTTATAATTGTGCTTATGAACGTTACAAGGTAAGCTTGGCAGGACAAAAAGTGTGAGTCTGGGTCCCTGCCTGGCTCATCAAGTAGCTGCACCTTCCTGGACAAGTCTTCTTGTTAGGTGAGAAATCTGAGTTCTTCTATGCGAAAGCTACCATGAGAATATTTTCCTTTTTGCATGCGATCAAATTCTAACTGATACACACCAACTTCCGGTTATGCCTAAAGCTAATTGAAGAGAAAGACACTGTTTTCGAATCTTCAGTTGATACAAATAGGGTCAGAGTTCAGAAGAACTGAAACAGGCCACACAAACTCCACTTGCTCATCATGCATTCATTTAGCTATGGCCTGATTAAGCTACGTGGGCTCTGTTCTGGAAGGCCACCCAGAGCCTGTGTATCGGTGACCTTGCGTGTTTTTTTTTTAATGTGGAAAAGTTACATTAAAAAGTCACATATGTGGCATGCCTTCTGATATTGTTTGGCTCTGTGTGCCCACCCAAATCTCATCTCAAATTATAATCCCCATGTGTCAGGGAAGGGACCTAGTGGGAGGTGATTGGATCATGGAGGCGGTTTCTCCCATGCTCTTCTTGTGATAGTGAGTGAGTTCTCACAAGATCTGATTGTTTAAAAATATAGCACTTCCTCCATCGCTGTCTCCCTCTCCTGCCACCATATAAGACATGCCTTGCTTTCCATTCACCTTCTCTCATGATTCTAAGTTTCCTGAGGCCTCCCAGCCATGCAGAACTGTGAGTCAGTTAAACCTCTTTTCTTTATAAATTACCCAGTCTCAGGTAGTTCTTTATAGCAGTGTGAAAACAGACTAATACACATTCTTTTACACCCTGAGTTTGTGTGTCTAAATACAGTCCTTGAATTATATGTATGAATGCTAATCAGCAGCAACTTGGATTGCTTCGGGCAGAGGATGTGGTTCCACAGTGAAATACAGGAAGTAACACAGCAACAGTGATTTCTGTCAATAGGAGGGAACACTTCCAAGGAGTATTCTACCTGGAAGGTGTCTTCTTCCCCCTCAAAATTCAGCCTGGCCTGTAAAACCCCTCCCATCACCACAGCAGAACAGATGCAGCACAAAGAGACCCAAAAAATGAGAGGTCATTTCTGAATATAAGGTAACTGTGATCTGCCTGTCACAGCGTGGACATCCTTCTGTTTTAGCAGAGAGAGTGTTAGTGTTGGTGTGTGGCCATTGTTAGCACATCCATGGCAAATGAGACAGTCAGGACTTAGATCCAGGTATATCTGACTGCCATGATCTCACCATTACACAGCATGGCCTCATTTTCAAATTGATAACTGCCTGAAGTGTGAACTTCAAGTAGTTGTAGACTGAGATTAAGAATTCTCAGCACTCAGGGGAAGGGAAGGATGAAGGAGGAAAAATAGTATAAATGTATTTATTATCACTGAACTGTACACTTAAAAATGGTAAAGCTGGTAAATTATATATGTACATTTTATTTCAATAAAAATAAATTTGAAAAAAGGGAAAAAAAGAATTCTCAGCATAACAAGAGATGGCTCCAATACTGACCCATAGTCTATACAACCCTTCCCTTTAGCACAGCAGAGCAGATAGAGCACAAACAGGTAGCCCAATGTGATGCTCAGAAAGTTCAGTGGATCCTGAAGGACAAAAACCTGCATTCGGAGAATCTCATGTAAGGCGGAGCTGCCCCATCTCCCGTTCTTTTCACAAGTATGTGTTGTCCAAGTTTGATTAAGTCACGATTGCTTAGTGAGAGAGGAAAGTATTGGAATAACAAGCACAATCCTTTGCATTGAAATAAACTAATATGCACTGACAGCTCACTGGAGAGGCATCATCTGATATGGCAATGGTTGAGCCTCACTGCATTTGCCAGTCAGGGTCCTGGAAGGTAACACGTGGCACAATCAAATTGAGTAATTTGGAGAGTTTAATAAAGGGACTATATGCAAAGATGTGCACAAGGTTTGGGAAAAGCAACACGTGATGGAACAACACCCTGTAACCTGGAGCAGCAGAGAGCTTTCAATACCTCAAGATCTGAAGTGACAAGAGTCAAAAGTACAGACTGGGTATAAGAATGAACTTCCTGACAGGAGCTAAGAAATGGGATAAAGGCATTCAGTTTGAGACAACTGACAACTGAAGAGGGAGAATGAATACCCTGACTTGATGTTTCTTTCACCCTCTAATTTCCTGCTGGTATTTCTTTTTAGCTGAACTCTACTGAAAGACTTCGGCTAATGGACTTCATTGGTCAAGTCTAGATGGTTTAGCTTCCTGGTACACAAAATATGGTGGAGAAAGGTGGAAAGTGGATCTTGAAGGGCAGGCAGAAGACAACCTACATATTCCAAATGGTTCCAATAGAGAGACTTTCAATAAGAGGCTACTTATGGAGGTTTGGTCACAGTTAAGAGGCCTAAGAAAAATGTTAGAGCACCCAGGAACTAGCAGTATCAGGAATTACCACCCCTAGAACTGAAGGGATGAGCAGTAGTAATGCTGTTACTGGAACTTGGAGAATTGCAGTCTTGGGGAAGAGGAGGGAGAGACTATCATTTCAGGGAAGTTCAGTCTTTGTGAGGAAGTGGTCTTGAAGCAAACAGGAAATGGAGAAGAAATACTGTCCTCTCTCCCATTCTTCAATCTTCTTGCCAGTTCCCGCTACTTACTCAACCCAACCAGAAACCAACTAGGAAGGAACTGGAATGTTGAAGTCTACAGGGCTCAGCTTCCTAAGACAGAGCAATGCCAGGAGGGGTGGACGTTGCATCTGGGGGAGAATAACTGCACAATTTAACATGTAAATTATTCTATCTCTTGTGTTATCTCTCTTTTTACCTTTGGGAATTATTCATTCATTTGTTTTCAACAAATATTTGCTGAGCACCTATTATGTGCCAGCCACTCTTCTTAATTTAGAGATAGAACATAAAAAAAGACAGAAAAGGTCTTAGGTTTCAGGAAGTTTATTACACACCGAAAGGGAGGACGAAAATAAACAAATACTATGCTATGTATATATACAAGATAATTTTAGATGCTGATATGGGCTATAAAGGAAATAAAACATGATGGGTCAATTGAATGGGGAGGTGGGAGGGCCCATCTCTATAGAGGGGCCATTTGAGCAGAGACTAGGTGAGAACGGTAGAGCCAGCCACGCAAGGATCCAGCAGAGGCAAAGCATTCCAGGCAAAGCAAAGGGCAAATGCAAAAAAGACTGAGAGAGGGGAGTAAGTTTGATATGTTCAAGGATCAGAGTAAGGGACACCTGAGCTGGAGCATAAAGGTAGAAAATGAGGTTGGTGCTGGGGCCAGATCAAGGAATGTCCCGTAGGCCATGGTAGGTAAATGGAGGAAAAATTACTAGGAGGCTTACTGCAGTAGAGACATGCTCTGATTCCTCTTCTAAAAGATCACTCTGACTGCTGTGTGGAAAAAAGGTTGGGCGTTGGAGTAGGAGAGGGGGAAATGCAGCAAGAATGGAAGCAAAGGGACAAGCTAGGAGGCTTATTGCAGTGGTCAGGTGAAAAATGTTGTCAACTGAGATGGTCAATGGAAGTGGCAAGATGTAATTGTATTTGGATATATTTTGCAGGGACAGACATCAGGACTCACTGGCAGACTGGATATGGAGCTCAAAGAAAGGTAGTACATGTGAAGTATACCTAAGCTTTTGGTTTGAGTAGGTGGGTGCATGGTTTTACCACTTACTCAACTGGGAGAAGAAACAGTTCTCATTTAGAAACTTCTACACAGACACACAAAGACACACTCTAACATCCTTTGGCCACTCATCTCTTTTCTGGCTGGAAAGAGATGAGTGGCCAAAGGATGTTATTTCACTCTTTGAAATTAATGAGTAACCTACTGGGTGATATTATACAAGCCAAGTTCTACCACTTCCCATCAAACTTTTAAAAAATGTTTTCTATATCCACTCTTTTCATTTCCTTTGCCTATACTCATTTGATGCTTCCACCCACAACGATTGGCCAGTACTGTTCTTGCTAGCATCTCTATGTAATTAATTCAGAGAACACAAATTAATCTTAGGGTTTTGGATTACTGAATTGGCTGGAGTGAGGAACGCTACTACATGATAGGGGCAAGGAGGAGTATGTCTGGAATACAAAAGATTCTCTAGTGGTGTCTCCTAGCATTCCCTTGTCCTGTGATTAAATCAATGGAAAGCTACATTAACACAATACAGGAAAGCTAATGGCCCACACCCTTTATGAATGACGGTTTGAGTCACCCCACCATGACCATCAGAGGTCCTTGCTGAGGGTGAAGGGAATAGGGAATGGGTACTGAAAGGAGGTAGTTATAAATACCAATTGCAATCATGTGACCAGTTGCAAAAACAAGAACTATAATAATGTAAAGTGTTTCTTCCTTATTTAAATTATTTTCTTCCCTGCTACCATTCCTGTACCTTCTAAAATAATGTATTAATAGTATTAATCTTATACCTCAGTGTTAAATTATAGGATGCTAAAGGGAGAGTGTGGCATAGCTAGAAGAGAAATGAATATCACACAAAGGTGGAAAAAGGGACTTGGCCTCCTCTTTTGGGAAAAAGAGTCTTTCTTAGTTCAGACTGCCACAACAATGTAACATAACTGGGTGGCTTATGAGAAAAACAGAAATTTATTTCTCACAGTGTGGGAGTCTAGATTTATGAGATCAGGGTGCCAGCCTGGTTGGGGTCTGGTGAGGGCTGTCTTCTGGATTGCAGACTGCTGACTTCTTGTATCCTCACATGGTGGAGAGAGGGCAAGAAAGCCTCTGGAGTCTCTTTCATATAGACACTAATTCCATTCACAAGGCCTTCATCCCCATGACCTTCTAATATCATCGCACTGAGAGTTAGGATTTCAACATATAAATTTTGGGGTGACACAGACATTGTCAGTTGCAGAGTCCTCATGTTTTGATGTTGCATGGGGAATATTTTCATCAGGTTAGGCCAAAGCACGATTTTGTTATTGTCTTTATTCAGAAGACAAGTACAATCAAAAGAGTTACATATTGATGGGAAGCTGGCAAAGAGTAGACTGTAGTTGCTTTGCACACTTTTAGACTTAGTTAAGATGGAGCTACATTTCTCAGAATTCTCTTTCCTGCATGCTTCTGATTTGGCATTGCCCATAAGAGAAATTTGCATGAGATTGGGAAGGTAGAAGTGAAGCTGCAGGCATCTTGTCACACTCTGAAAGTCGCTGCTGAGCACCTGGCACCGTGGCAGTTCACACATGCTCTCACTGCTCTGCTAGCCCACCTTGTTGGTATGAGATAACATCCAGACCCTCCAGCTCCTGCTGAATCTCCTTCAGTTTCCGGAAGTCCTGGCCAAGTGCATGTGCAGCTCCATGGGAAAAGGGGCAAGCTTCTCTTGTAGGTTTCCCACTGCATTGAGGTTGTTGGTAGTGAGAACAAGACTCAGTCCTGGTTTCCCTTTGCTCTCATCACGTGCACCCTTCTTTCCTTACTGCTTGTCTGGCTGACCTAAATCAACTTTAGACTTAATACTAGAAACAGAGGCAACAGCTTGCATAGATTGCTCCACCAGCTTCTACAACTGCATCCCACCCAATCTCCACAATAAATACCATATTCGGTTTCACTTACAGCAGTCCTGCTTCTTTGGTCAAATCCAAAACCTTCCTAGATGTCCGGGCATTTGTTTTTAATCCAGAAACAATCTAAGATCATGCAATATATTAGTTTTCACATATTTTTCATCTCCTCAGACTAGAGCAGTTCTCCAGCCCCCTCCACAATCTTTTTGTTTCTTTCATAAAGTTGACATTTTTTAAGAAATCTAGGCCATTGTTTTGTAAATCTTCAACTTGAATATGTTATTGTTTTCTCGTGATCCAATTTTGGTTAAGGGTTTTGGCAGGGGTTCCGTGACAGCTTTTATTTCCTGCTCAGTGCTCACCTCCAGATACTCTTGATTTCAGTTTGTTTCATTATTGCTAACGTTAAGTTTGATCTCTTTGTTAAGGTGATATCTGAAAGATTTCACCTTTGAGAATGTAACTTTTTTCTTTGAAATTAATGAGTAACCCACTGGGTGATATTATAAAATTATATGCACATCCTGCTCCCCAGTAATCTCTCACCTAGTGATTTGAGCATTCATTGATGATCAATTACTACTATAGAGGTTGCAAAAGAGTGACTTAAAATTTTATCATCCCTTTAACATTTATTAGTTGGCATTCTTTTGTAGAGAACTTTCCATTCTCTCACCTTCCTTTTTAATGCTTTTGCTATCAGCATGAACTCATAAATTTTATTTTTTAATGCCGTGCATTTAATGCCATTATCTCATTTTTCATTCTGATGCTCAAATTGTCAAAACTTCAACCAGTGCTCCTTTAAACCAGCAACTATGTTCAATAATATTCTATAAAAGTTTCCTACAGCTCTCTTAAACATAGTTTAATATATTCTAAATACCCATAATTTTGTTATTAAAATTATATCTTTTAATTTCACTTTAATATGTTCATTGCTACATATAGTTATATAACACAAAATTTTGTGTATTTATTTTGTATTCATCAACCTTGCTATATTCTCTTATTAATTTTAATAATTTCTATTTAGATTATTTAAAAGTTTCTGTTTACTCAGTCGTATCGCCAGCAATTATGGCAGTGCTGCTACTTTTTTCCCCAAAACTTATATGTTTCATTTTGTTTTTGCCTAGATGCACTGGTTTAGATCTCCAGTAAAAAGACGGAATATAAGTGGTGCTAACAGGCATTCTTATATTATTCCTAATATTAAATAGAAAGATATTAGCATTTCATCATTAAGAATGTTTGCTGTAGGCGTTGGCAGATAGCCTCTATTGGATTAATGGATTTCACTTTTATTATTAGTTTTTTAAGAGGGTATTTAAAAAAAGTTATAGATAGATGCTGAATTTAAACACTTTTTTATTCTATTGAAATGATCATGTAATTTTTATCCTTCAAATTGTTTTTTGTGATAGACTATATAAATGTTGACTTGTTTGTGATCTGTTGTCCTTTTGAAGATTGTTGTAACTATATTCATGAGTGGAATTATCTTTAATTTTCCTTTCTGGTAGTGTACTTGTCAGGTTTTTGTATGGAGGTTAGGTTAACCTACTAAAATGATTTGAGGAATGCTCTCTTTTTCATATGTAAAAAAAAAAATATGGCCAGCATGGTTGCTCATGCTTGTAATCCCAGAACTTTGAGAGGCTGAGGTGGGAGGGTCCCTTGAGGCTAGGTGTTTGAGACATGCCTGGGCAACATAGTGAGACCCCATCTCTAAAACAACAACAACAACAAATTAGCCAGGCATAGTGGCACATACTTGTAGTTCCATCAACTTAGGAGGCTGAGATGAGAAGATTGCAGGAGCCCCGGAATTCAAGGCTGCAATGAGTTGTGATTGCACCACTGCACTCCAGCCTGGATGACAGAGTGAGACCCTATCTCTTTAAAACAAACAAACAAACAAACAAACAAACAAAACAGTAACAGTAGCATGATTTCTCTGTTGAGCATTGAATAGAACTCAAAGTTGAAGTCAGTTGGATGTGGAGATATTTTTTCCTTATTTTGGAAAGGTCTTTACTAATTCAAATTATTTAAATGGTAAAGAATTACTTAAGTTTTCTTCTCCAGTCAATTTGAGGAAAATGCATTTTTTCCAGGAATTTGTCTGAAATTTCAAATATATTGGCATAAAATTGTTTATATTTTATTAACTTGTTTTTGCTTCTAGTAATGTCTCTTCATTCCTGATAGTAGTAATTACTCTTAGTTCTCATTCTACCTTTACACACACACACACACACACACACAGACACACAGACACACCCACATTTAGTAGTACTAGAATTTTGTCAATTTAGTTACACTTTTAGAGAACCAAATTTTGGTTAAATTGTTCCTCTCTGTTGTATGTCTTCCATTTAATTATCTTCTGTTCTTATTTTTATTGTTTTCCTTCTTCTCTATAAGTTCATTTTGCTGGTTTTTTTCTAACTTCTTGCAATGGATGCTTAGCTCACTAAATTTCAGCCCTTATATTTCTAATATACATTTAAGATTATACATTTTCCTGTTAAAACTACTTTACCTATCCCACAAGAGTTTGTTAGAAGTGACTCATGGGTTAGTTAGTGTACTATTCTTAATTTATAAGTGTGGAACTATTTTACTTACACTTAAAAAAATAATATCTGGTTTAATTGGATGTGATAAGAAAATGTGCTTTATCTTACTTCAGCCCTTTGAAATGCAGTAAAATTTGCTATGGCTCATTTTACAGTCAATTTTTGAAGATGCTATATCTGTGCTTAAAAAGACTGTGTATGCAACAATGGTTGAATTTGTACTTTACATCAATTGTATTAATTTTATTTTTCAAATATTATGTAGTCTTAGTAATTTCCAATCTTATATGATCTTACTAATATATTCTTACTTGTTTCTCTATAAACTGCTGAGAAAAGTGTATTAAAATTACCCATTGTAATTGATTTTTTTTCCCCTGTAGAAACAGGCCCTCAAACTCCTGGCCTCAAGTGATCACTCCGCCTCAGCCTCTCAAAATGCTGAGATTACAGGTGTCAACTACTGCATCCAGCATACTTGATTTTTCTTTATTTTTATTTTTATTTCATTGAATTATTGTTTTGAATAATAGAGTTTGAAGCTGTAATATGTGAAGACAAATATAAAATTGTTATATTGTCCTGGTAAGTGAAACCTCTTAATCAATATATAGGAATTCCTTATTTTTTTTTTAGTAATGCATTTTACCCAAGAATGTTTAGTGTAAGTATTTCCATGGTATTTCTTTTTGCATTCCCTCATTTTTGATCTTTTGTATACACATATTTGAGTTATGTTTGTTACAAATATCATGCAGTTGTATTTTTTATCCCTTCTGACAATATTTGTTCTTTGGTTCATTTAGTCTGTTTACATTTAATGTAACTTACTGCAGATTGTGTAAATTTAGCAACATATCTGGTATTTTATATTTTTCCCACCTATTCTACTTACTTTTTCCTTTTCACTGGTTGATTGTGTATGTGTGTTATTGTTTTTAATTACTTGTTTTAAAATTTATCACTTTTTCCTCTTTTTTAGTGGCTACCCTAGAAATTTTAAACTGTGTACTTAATATAAACAAAATTCCAAAGTAATCACTACTTTCACTTTTTATAAGATCCTTAGAGCATTTTTAACTCAACTTACCCCCTCCTGATTCACATATTTTAGTTATTTACTTTACTTTTACTTTTTAAAAATTCTACTGTTATTATTACTATTTTATACTGTTCATGCTCATGTAGATATACTCACAATTTAACTTGTTCTGCACTCTTCATTCTTTTTGCCATCTAGTCCTATTTCCCTTCTGCCTGAAGTGCATTCTTTTGAATTTTCTTTAGTGAATATCTACTGGTTGCAAGCTTACTCTGTAACTGTCTGAAAATGACCTTATCTTGGGTCTGTTTTAAAAATATGTTTTCACTAGGTTAGAAGTCACTTTCTCTCTCAGTATGCTGAAAGTAGCCTTCACTGTTTTTTAGTTTCTATTATCACTACTGAAAACCAGTCTGCTGTTGCTCTTCTGCTGGACCTGTATTGGGTTCAGTGATGTTCCCCCAAAATTAATATCCATCCAGAACCTCAAAATGTGACCCTATTTAAAAATAGGGTATTTTCAGATGTAGTTAATTAAAGATCTCAAGACAAAATCACCCTGGATTCAGGGTGGGTCCTAAACTAATGACTTTTGTCCTCATAAGAAGGGGAGAGGACAGACAGAGGCACCTGGGGGAGGATGCCATATAAAGTAGGAGGCAGAGATTTGAGAAATGCAGTTTTAAGCTAGGGAATGCCCAGGATTGCCAGCAACCAATAGAAGCTAGGGAAGAGGCATGACGTAGAGCCTCCCTCATTGCCTCCAGAAAGAACAAACCCTGACAACACCATGAGTTCAGACTTCAAGCTTTTAGAAATGTAAGAAAAAATGTTTGTTATTTAAGTGGCACAGTTTGTGGCAATTTATTACAGCAACTCTGGAAGCTAATACAGATTTTGTTACTGAGAAGCAAGGTGCTGCTGTAACAGATACCTAAACATTTACTAAAATACTGTAAATAAGTATCTAAAAATGAAGAGTGGCTTTAGAATCGGTTAATGGGTGGAGACTGGAAGAATTTTAAGGTGCTTATTAGAAAAAAAAAAGGCAGGCTACTTTGGAGAGGCCATTGGTAGAAATATGGATGTTAGAGATGCTTCTGATGAGTTCTCAGAAGGGAATGAGGATATGTTACTAGAAACTGGAGGAAAAGTAATGCTTGTTATAAAGTGCAGAAAATGTGGCTGAATTGTATTCTGTGGCTAGGTAGAAAACAGAACTTATAAGTGATGAATTTGGATATTTTGCTGAGGAGCTTTCCCAACAAAGTGTGGAAAGTGCAGCCTGAGTTTTTATTGTTGCTTACTGTAAAATGTGACATGAAAGAGGTAAATTGAAGAAAGAACTGTTAAACAAAAAGGAACCAGAACACTGTGATTTGGAATATTCTCTGCCTATCCATATTTCAAAAAATGCTGAAGCATGTGCTAAACAGAACACCAAAGGTGTGGCTGGCAACCTTTTGCTGGAGAGATTAGGTTTATGACTCATAGATCCAGCCAACCATCTCAGCAGAAACCAGAAATAGAGATGAGGTTATTCAGGCAGAATCTGTGGAGAATACTCATGTCTCAAGGAGGTGTGGACCTCCTTGAGATATATAAGTGACCAATAAGGTTTTTGAAAATGGTATAGCAGCAAAAACAATGCCAGCTTAGACTGAGAAAGACAGACTCAATAAAATGAAGGAAAGCTGTTGGATTTCTGAGATTCTACACACAAAAAAATAGACTGATAGAACTGCTGAACTACAAACATCTGCTACCCTTTAAGAAAAAAGAATGACTCCAAAAGCAGAGCTGTGGATGCAGAGACAGAGACTAAAGAAGTGGGCCCTGAGGCCTCTGCAGGCCCAGAGAGTGGATTGATCCACACAGGTTCACTCAGGCTTTGAAGACAAATGGAGTTTTCCCTGCTGGAAGCTTGCTCCGAACCAGTGACCCCATTTTTTTTCACTTTCTGTCTTTTGGGATGGCAATGTTTATCCTATGCCTGTCTCATCATTGAATTTGGAAAGCAGATAATTTGTTTTCTAGTTTACAGATGGACAGATGGAGAGGAATTTTGTCCCAGGATGGATCATACCCAGCAGAACACCACGTGAAGTCAAAGGCAGAGATTGGAAGGAGGTATCTACAACCTATCTCTCTCAAATTTTCTTTTTCGATCTTAGACTTCCATCCTCCATAACTGTAAGAGAATAAGTTTCTGTTGTTTTGGGGCACCCAGTTTGTGGCCATTTGTTATGGCAGCTCTAGGAAATGAAAACGTTATCTTTTATTTTGCTGATTGCAAATTCTTTGTTTTTCGTGTTCCATAGCTTCACTCTGATATATCTAACTGTGGACTTCTTTTGATTTACCCTGCTTAGAATTCATTTGGTTTCTTGGATCTCTTGGGGTTCCTATTTTCTATTTGGTTTTGGCCTGGAAGTTCCTTATTCACTTTTGATTTTTTGATGCTTTAAATATATTTTAAAAATTATTTTTATAGAATTTTTATTGCTTTTAGTATAAGGAGTGGTGTAATTAACTCAGGCTAACTTTATTAGAGAAAGAAGTCTCTGCCAGAGTTTCTTGTAATAACCAAATAAAATCATGGCAATATTTTGCTTAATACTCTCTATGGCTACTTATTATGCTTCTGATCAAATCCTAAGTCATACACCTGACCCTGGTGATCATGCCTGGATAAAACTTTTCATTCACCTTCTCCTAGATCATTCTCTCCCTTGAAGCTCCGCTCCTTGCCATGTTCCTGCAATGTCTGCAGTGTTGTTGCAGAGATTGTTCCCACTGTAGGGAACAATTTCTCTCCTCTCTATTATTATTTTCCCAGCTAAATCTTAGTGATATTTCATTTTTTAATATTAGGATTCTAAGAGATGCAAATGACTCTATCAAATAAATTAAGGATGACTTTGAAAGTTAATATTTCAGGGCAAAAGAGTTTTCTCCCTAATCTTTCACATCACACCATGCAAATAGAATTTTTTCACTTCATTCTGTAGAGTTCATTTCTGTACGTATTTATTGAGCACCTCTATATATCAAGTATTGTGTAGGAGTTTTGGGGAGTGGGGGTTCAAAAATGAGTATGACATGATCCTTTCACCTGAAAGACTTCATAGTGTGGTGAAGAAGACAGATAATAAGAAAATAATTTTAATGTATTCTTGTTAGATAAAAGTCTGCAGAGAGAATTATGGTTGCCCAGAAGAGGGAAACTTTGCCAAGCCTGAGATTTCATAAAATTCCTTCTCAGTACCTTTTCACCAGGTCCTGTACAGTTCAAAATCCCTAGAGTCTAGAAAAGAATTTTCTCTGATTAAACTGGGTACCAGGAAAGGTAATTTTAGAACTAAAGATGGTTCTGTCTTTTGGCAACAACATAATCATTTATATAACTTAATTTAGCCAAGAGCTTTCTTTTCACACACAATAACAAACGAAGAGTTGTCCACCTGTCTTAAAAGAGTAACTTGTAAGATAATATTATTAGGTCTATTGACTGGGAAGTAGATTGTGATAAACTTGTAAAGCAAAACCCCCTTCACTCCAGAAAAGAATTACTCTCCTGACAATAGAGCAGTACCTTCAAATTGGGGTTTATGTACACCTGGGAGCACCAGGAACCTTTCCAAGGCCTACACAGGACCATGATTTTAAGGAAATCAACTTCCAGATCTTCAACTTTCATATGTATACTCTCGAAAACTACTAAAATTGTCTTCTGTGCTTTCCTAATTTCCACATTTCCATTTATAATCCCTCTTCTCAAACTTTATAAAAGTGAACAACTCACCTTTCCTGAATTGAATTTTACTTTATCATATTCTTAATGTTTGAAAAAACTTCTGAGGCACCAATAAAAGGGCGGTGGGGCAAGGAGCAGTTCCAAGTATTGGTATCAGTATTGACAAAGTGAATAACGCAAATGATTGGTTAGCAAATTTTTTTTGTTGAGAGTTTCCCTTTTCAATTATTTTCATCAAAATCCAGTGAGGATCTAATAGAGTTCTTAACAAATAGATTATTAAAAACTAATTTTCGATGATAAATCACTATGGAATTTTTGTTATATGTCTCAAAAGGAGTTCAAAGAATTGAATAACAGAGCCACAACAAACTCCATCCAGTTCCGTCTACTTATTTAGGTTAACTGTGTTTCTCAGGGCCTACATTTGTAAAAACGAAAAACAGAAGTGCCATTTTTAATTTTAGTAATGAGTAATGATCATACATAGATACAGCCCCATTTATTTCATTAAAAGATGCATTGCCAATAAATTTTATTCAACACATATTTATCAAAGTTTTAATAAATGTTTGGATCAGTTGTGCACTAATAAAAACGATAACTCAATCCAGACTGAATTTTTTTAATGCTTAGAGCCTCATGTTCACAAAATTTTTAAATTTCAAATACTATACTGAAAGTGTTATAGGCTAATAAAAGACTTTTAAGCATAAAAATGTATCATAAATATATAGGTAAAATTCTCGTGAAGGCATGGATTAGAAGTATGTGTAGAAAGAGTCAAGGAAAAGCTTGTTTATATATTTGCATTTCTATAGACAGATAAAACTGTTATGGTAACAAAATGTTTGACTGGATATAATTTAAAAACTGAAGTTATTGCTTTATTTTTAAATGCTGGTGTTTTAAACATATGGATATGACATATTCTCCATTTTTATTTTTATTATTTATCTTATTTTATTTTACTTTTAGACAAGTCTTAGTCTGTCACCCAGGCTAGAATGCAGTGGTGTGAACAGAGCTCACTGCAGCCTCAACCTCTCGGACCGAAGCAATCCTCTCTTATCCTCCTGAGTAGCTGGCTCCACAGGTGCACACCAACACATCCAGCTAGTTTTTAAGAAAGTATTTTGTATAGATGGGGTGGGCGCATCTCCCTTTGTTGCCCAGGCTGATCTCGAACTCCCAGGCTCAAGTGATCCTCCAGCCTTGGCCTCCCAAAGTGCTGGGATTATAGGCATGAGCCACCCACCATGTCTGGCCAGAACTGAGGCACTGAAAACAATGCCCTATTTCTTACTGTGAGTAAGGAACTAAGGTTTATATCTTTTGGTTCTATCCAAATTCCTCTGCCTGTGCTTACGGGCTGATCCCTAGAATTGCATGGTTGTCTAATTTTTTATGGAAAAACCATCTTTTCTTTTCTCATACTGGAAATTAAATTGTAATTTGATCTTATTTAGACCAGGTAGCCAATAAATATTTGAATGCTGTAACCAAGGCAACTAACGAGCCAGCCAATTGACCAGTCAATCAATTATAGATGAATACAGATTTCCAGAAACATTTCAAATTTTATTTCTGTCATCAAAGTGCCTACAATACAGCATGGCAACTGTACTTACAATTCAAAGAAGTGAGGTCTAAAAGTCATTATTTGAGTTTGAAATGCAGACAGCAATATTTGGTACAATACACACTTTAACCAATAAGTATACACAACATATATGTATATGTGATATATAAACATATGTATGTGTATGCATATATAACTGTGTGTGTGTGTGTGTGTGTGTGTGTGTGTGTGTGCACGTGACCCTTGAACAACACAGGTTTAAACTACTATGCAGGTCCACTTATATGCGAATTTTTTTCAATAAAAGTTACATAAAGTGCGCCTGCCTCTCCTGCCTCCCCTTTCACCTCCTCCACCTCTTCTGCCTCTGCCAGTCCTGAGAGAGCAAGACCAACCCCTCCTTTTCCTTCTCCTTCTCAGCCTATTCAACATGAAGATAACAAAGATGAAGACTTTTATGATGATCCACTTCCAATTAATGAATAGTAAATGTATTTCCTCTTCCTTATGATTTTCTTAATAACTAATAACCTTTTCTCTAGCTCGCTTTGCTTTAAGAATACTGCATATAACACATATGATATGCAAAATATCTGTTAATAGACTATGTTTTTGCCAAGGCTTCTGGTCAAGAATAGCCTATTCGTAGTTAAATTTTGGGGGGAGTCAAATGTTATCTGAGGGTTTTCAACTGCAGGGCATTAGTGCTCCTTGCCCCCAAGTTGTTCAGGGGTCAACTGTATGTTTTTATTAAGACAATTATCCTCTCTAAGGCTGGCTTCAGGGTATGGTTAGCCACTGGTCCTGCTAAACAGTATAGGTAGTAGAACAAATATAATTCATATCTCAGGTGATCTGCTTACAGGGTAACAACCTCCAACAGAGGAAAAACCTTACACAACGGAGGAGACCAGCAAACAAATCTGTTTCTACCACTTGCTTGTTGACACATTCAACGAGGAGCAGTTAACTCATCTTACTCAGCAGATATAGAACAGTTTAGGTGTTCTTGAAATCACATGATGAGTTCTACATGTACTCACGCTACATGGACTCAAAGATGCCTACTAATTGTCTGCAGCAGAACCTTTACAACACAATGTCTCAAAGTTAGTTTGCCAATGATAACCCAAAAGTGCTCAATCTAGAATTTATTTCCTTCATTAAGAAATAATTTGAACTTAACTGTAACTTTACAGAGTAAATTATTGAATTTGGCTTCTGATAAAAATAGAAATTCTGAATATACAGCATCATTTGTTTCATTTTGGATAAAAATTTAAAATGAATATCCTGAGATTGCTGAAACTGCCTTAAAATCTTTTGTTTCATTCCCATTAACATAGCTTTGTGAGACTTGTTTCTCTACTATCAGTTGTTAAAATTAAAGTAGGTCTGGCATCGTGGCTCACGCCTGCAATTCCAGCACTTTGTGAAGTCGAGGATGGCGCATCATCTGAGGCCAGGAGTTCAAGACCAGCCGAGGCAACAAAGTGAGATCTCTGTCTCTCCGAAAAAAAAAAAAAAAAAGCCAGACATGGTGGCACACGCCTGTGGTCCCAGCCATAAGAGGCCAGAGAATAGCTTCAGCCCAGGAGTTTGAGACCAACCTGGGCAACATAGTGAGACCCCCAAGACCCTCATCTCTACAAAAAATAAAATATTAGTGGGGTGTGGTGGTACATGTCTGTAGTCCCAACTACTTGGGGTCTGAGGTGGGAGGATCACTGAGCCCAGGAGGTCAAAGCTTCTGTGAGCCATGATCGCATCATTGCACTCCAGTCTGGGAGACAGAGTGAGACCCAGTCTCAAAAAAAAAAAAAAAAAAAGAAAGAAAGGGAAAAAAAAAGAAATTAAAGTAGATTAGATATGTTAACAAGTAAGAAGCAAGCTTACTTGTCACATTAAAAACTGTATGTGGGTAGTTTAATGTATGTAAATAGTGTTTAACTTGGGAAGTTGCTTTTCATTCATATTTTTGTTTAGTTACAATTGTGAAATGACAAAAAGTTATTGGCAAAACAGTGATTTTTCTGTATTAGTTGTCTACATACATATTTTCACTGAATAATATGGATAATTTTTGTAATTCTTTCATTTTTAACATTTGTTCCAATGGCATTAATTAAAATATAATTTTATGTCTACAGGATCTAATAATAAAAAATTGGAATTATATCTTATATGTCTTTTAAACTTTGTTCATTTTATTTATTTTTTAATAACTCAATGTTATTCATATTTTCTAAAACCATTAGTTCATGACTGATTCAGAGTAAAAAACATACACACAAAAAAACTGGAAGTTAGCCACACTGAACTAGGAACTGAAAGTCTCACTGAACTAAGAGACTTTCTGAGTCTCTGTTTTCTGTTCTATGAAACAGGAATGTCAATACTTTAGAAAGATACTGTATAATTGAATAAAATCATGAGTAACACATTCCTGGTCTCTATTAGTCATTCAATATATGTAATCTTTTATGGCATATGCATTTAGACTATTTTAATAATAATATCTAGCCTCCATAATGTTATGTACTATTCTACATTCTTCCTGTGTATTAACTCATTCAATCCAAGTCCTGTGAGATGAATAATATTATTAGCTTCATTTGACAGGTTAATAAGCTAAGGGCCATAGTCAGTTTTCACTAGGTAATGCTGTAATAAGAAACAACGTCAAAATTCCAATAGCTTCTAACAATAAATACTTATTTCTCACATATATTATTTTGGTGGCTGCACCTCACTTTCCTTAGCTCTTCTCTGTGGGTCTTCTCATTCCAGGCCCCAGGCTGAAGGAGTAGCCCCCTCTTCTGAGGGGACACATCATTTCCTTGGAAGAGGGTAAAAGCAAGAGAGATGGTGGAAACCCACTGCAGATCTTGAAGCTGCTTGCTAGATATAGTATACACCATGTTTACTCACATACCACTGGCCAGAGCACACTCATGGCCAAGAACAAGGTCAATAGAACAAAGAAGTATCATCCCCTTAGAAGAAGGAGAAATGATTATTCAGGAGCAATAATAGTCTGTCACAGTTACGCTGTCTTTTTTTGTCCCTTTTGTTCTGCTATAACAGAATACTTGAGATTGGGTAATCTCTACAGCACAGAGATTTATTTCTGAAAGTCTTGGAACTAGGAAGTTCACGGTCAAGGGGCCCACATCTGGTGAGAATTGTCTTGCTGCATCATCCTATGATGGAACGCAGAAGGGAAAGAGGGCATGTGCATGAGAGAAAGTTGGAGAGTGGGGGAGAAGGGACTGAACTTATTTTATCAGGAACCTACTCCTGTAATAGTGGTGTTAATCCACTCATAACTGCAGGGCCCTTGTGACATAATCACTATTTATTTATTTATGCATTTATTTATTTGAGATGGGGTCTTACTCTGTCACCCAGGTTGGAGTGCAGTGGCACAATATCGGCTCACTGCAACCTCCGCTTCCCAAGTTGAAGCAATTCTCCTGCCTTAGCCTTCTGAGTAGCTGGGATTACAAATGTACGCCACCACACCCGGCTAATTTTTTTATTTTTTTATTTGTAGTAGAGACGAGGTTTCACCGTTGCCGAGGCTGGTCTCAAGCTCCTAACCTCAAGTGATCCACCTGCCTTGGCCTCCCAAAGTACTGGGATTACAGGCATGGACCACCACACCCAGCCCTAATCACTTCTTAAAGGTCCCACCTCTTCAGGCTGTTGCTTCCAACACATGAACTTTGGGGGACACATTAAAGTCACAGCACACAACTTGTGAGAAATTATGCTAATATTCAAACCTAGCAGTCTAGCACTGAAGTCTATTCACATAGCATCATCTCTCCTATTCCCAAGAAGGTTGCATCAGATGGAGAAAGAAAAATCCCAGCAGTGCTTTCTCTCTCCTATATCCAACATGGTATAAAAATTGATGACTATATAGAATCCATGAAGCCAGACAGAAAGCCCAAGGACAAGAAGTTCAAGGTCTCTCAGGCCTATAGAGTTTCATCATCAGTGTATTTTCAACCATAGAGAGAGATGCCTAACTTGGAGAGCACAGATGAGATACTTAATAAATGTCCATGTTCCAGTTCCAAATAATGACAAATGTTAGAATTTAAGGTCAGTATCTGCTATTCTCATTCTGTTTTCTCTTTTCTTTTAAATGTTACTTAAGACAAAAGAAAGCTTAACTCCTCAAAAAGTACATTTGGCACTGTACTGTTAGGCTTGTTTCCAAGTAGTAATATTATTAACAATATGCTGAAGATACTGCATTAACCATCTATTTTGCACTGTCTCATTTAATATGCATATATGATATAGTGCATTTATAATTTTCTCTTTTGTTTAAGTCTATGTGTAGATTGTTTGCCACCTAGTGGCAGTTGTTTTCAACTCAAACATTAATATTCATGACCAATTCTAATTAGTTTGGCAATGTGCTTTTTTTTTTTTTTAAGGAAAGATTCCAAAGTCATAAAGTGTTTAAAAGTGTTGACAATGACATTATTCTGCTCTAGCAAACTTTAAAAAAAGTACCTTGCAAATTTGGTTCATATTTAATCCTTGACAATGATAGATGAGGCAGTGTATTCAGAAGTCATTTCCTGTTGCAAGAAGAATGTAGAGAATGATAAAATGAACATTTCAATTTTTAGCAAATAATACTAGGATGTTCTTTGGATGTGTTGGTTTTCGGTTTTACATTCAGTATTGCTTGGCAAAATATATACACATAGCTACTAAATTGACTTATCTCATGCGTATGTTCACCTATGTAACTTAAAAGAGTTAATCAGTTAGTAGTGATGTTTTAATTGTTAACATTTTATTAAAAGTTATCTAGTCAAAATCTCATAAGAGCCTAGGCAGCAGGACTGAAATAATTTCCACAAATAATATAAAAACAACATTCCACGTTTTACAAAAACATAAAATCCCAAACTTCCGTATTTAATGTATTTGAATATATTAGAATGGTAGGAGGAAAGAGACATGGAATCATGAAGTGGATATAAAAGGGAACAAGTGAAGGAATGAATTAACGACTAAGCTAACAGAAAGGAGCTTAGAGGCAGGGCGCGGTGGCTCACACCTGTAATCCCAACACTTTGGGAGGCCGAGGTGGATGGATCACCTGAGGTTAGGAGTTCAAAAAGGGGCTTAGAGGATAATGTGTCTTGAACTGAAAACTCAGTGATGATGAAGATCAACTAAATCTCTAAATGTGAGGTCCAAACAATAATGAGGGTGGTTTTACATTCAGGAATCAAATTTAAAAGTATTTTTTTCAAAAACGAAATTTTCCCTTTCAAGCAAAGGAGGTATTTCTCTGAAGTACAGGAGATACTTATTTTAGTTGGATGATTTGGGGTTTGGGATCGTTGTAAACAGTCTGAGGTTATTTATATTTCAAGTTCACCAGGTCTTGAGATTTTGAATATACGGTTATTAAATGGACAAAGTTTTGAACTGAAAGGTAACTGTCTGATACAAACACTTGGTAGAAATAGAATAAAAGAGAACAGAGATTTAACAACAACAATAACAAAAACCCCAGAGATATTTAAGGAGAGAAATAGCTGGCCCACTTGGTTTGGGTCAGCATTTCTCAAATGTTGGCTGCTTCCCCCCTCGTAAAAAAAAAAAAAAAAAAAAAAAAAAAGATGTCGGGCATTGCTCCATAGGAAAAGATGGTGTTGTTGTAGGGACACCACCTACTCTCTCCATTTTGCAAACTCACAGAGAGCATGAGCACATTAAAGTCTCAGAGATGGCCTGCATTAAATAAATAAGCCTGCTTGACTTCACCGAACTTCGTATTTCTTAGACTTATTTGACCAAATGATGTTTGTTCCTGCAAAAGCCGTTAACATCCTGAGTTTTGCAAACTTAGCCTTTCATGGCCGTTTCGCAAAACAGTAGTTTAGGCAGACTCCCCTCTGCTATCCTTTTGCGTTAACCTCCATTTTTCATTTCACAGGATTCTTTGTGACGCCTGTAACTATACGAATTTCCTTGAAAATACTCACAATCGTAAAAATAGCATATTCTTGAGAAATGGGACCAATAGGATATACCTTATAAGAGAAAGAGACATATAGGAAGCAATTTATTATAAGAAGTTGGCTCACGTGATAATGGAGGCTGAGAAATCCCAGGATCTGCGATCTGCAAGCCAGTGGTGTACTTCCGGTCCAAACCCAACAGCCCAAGAACCAGACAAGGGGAGCCAGTGTCCCAGTCTGAGTCTAGAACTGGGGTTGGGGTGCTGAGCAGGCAATGGTATAAGTCCTGTTCTGAGTTGGAGAATCAGGAGCACATATGTCCCAAATATATATATGCTTATTGAAAAATTTTAGACCATAGAGATTTTTAAGTAACACATTTTATTTGAGAAATGAGATCGTAGCACACCTCCCAAGCTATACCTCCCCTTCTTCATTCAATAATACACCTTAGACATCCCTCGTCAGTATAGTCACATCATTTAACTTGGGATTTTTTTTTTTTTTCTAACCGCCACAGAGTATTCCAGCGTAGGGATGAACATGAGATCTGGGGGCAGGTTTAGAAGCAGGATTGAGGAACAGGACACACCCAGCCCACGCAGGCACCCAATTGGAGTAGGGACCCAGGAGAATGTGGCAACAGGCGAAGGAGCCTGTGGTCCTGGGCAGTGTGAGGGAGTCAGGAATCCATTTTAAACATGAGAGGAATGAGGCTAAGGCAGGAGATAAAATGAGCAACCATGGAAGTTAAGAATAGACCAGGCAAGACTGGGCTCGGTGGCTCACGCCTGTAATCCCAGCTCTTTGGGAGGCCGAGGCGGGCAGTTCACGAGGTCAGGAGATCAAGACCATCCTGGCCAACGTGGAGAAACCCCGTCTCTACTAAAAATACAAAATTAGTCGGGAGTGGTGGCGCTTGCTTGTAATCCCAGCTACTCGGGAGGCTGAGGCAGGAGAATTGCTTTAACCCGGGAGGCGGAGGTTGCAGTAAGCCGAGATAGTGCCATTGCACTCCAGCCTGGGCAACAGAGCGAAACTCTGTCACAAAAGAAAAAAAAAAAAATACACCAGGCAGGAAAATGACATGTGTCTAAGGCAAAACAATATTCAGTACGATTTTTGAACATTTACCATATACCAGGCACTAGAATAAGTACTTTACTATTTTTTTAAATTGTCACTAAAACAAAATCTTTTGAGAGAGATATTATTATCTCCATTATACCTATGAGGAAATCAAGGATTAGGAAATTCAAGCACACTAGCAGAGATGAGAAGGCTAGCAAACCTCAGGGCCATGTGTCTGACTTGAACAGTCGAGCCTCACTTATCACTACAGCTCACGGTCCAGGGTACACACTAGGTGAGAGAGGCTGTGATGACTCGTATGTAGGGGCCTGGTGTGACCACATGACTCAGGACAAGCCGTTTACCCAAGATTACCAATATTTTTAGTAGCATAGGAGGTAGGGAAGGTGTCAATGACAAGGTGAGGAAAATGCTGCAATGCTCTGTTCTTTTCCTGAATGTAGATGTTTTCTCATCTCTTTCCTTCTAAAGCCACCTGAAGAATGTCCCAAAACCATGTGGCTTGACATCTTTTAAACTTACATTGTCCTGGTGCCTTCACTACATTTTCTGACCAGCTTTCTCACACTTTGTCAAAAAAATCATCCCTGGCTCTCCCTGCTCACTCTGCATTTGGAGGAGGACTTTCCCTTCTCCAGCCTCCTCCATGTCCAAGTCAGCCTCACTGGCTCCACCACCCAAACTGAGCTTCTTCTCATTCAATTGTGAGCTCCTGGAGAGCAGAAATAGTGACTTCCTGTCTTTGCACATGCAGTGCCTCGTGTTGCTCTGCCTGGAACAGACACTGGCATGAGAACAGGAGCTCAGACATGTTTATTGCATGGAGGGTGAGACATTTGGCCACAATTGAGGAAGAAGAGAAGACAGGTGTGTAAGATTCACTTTCTTGGTTTCCGTGGGAATGACATGAATGAGAAAGACAAAATAATGTGAGTGGACATGATGTTAAGATGATTCACCAGGAAAGTAGCTAGAAAGTGTGTGGCTTACTTTACAAAGGGAAAGAAAAGGAATTGAATGTAAATTTTTTTCAAATGTTTTACTCAATTTTCCCTGTCTATCATTCAGGTATAAAGTAAGAGTCCAACCATATATTCTTTACATATACATATACACACATATATATCCATCATATATGTATATACACACACACATAATTTTTTCTTATATATGTGATATCTATATAAATATCTATAAACTTTATACACATGTAAAAAGCTTAGTCATCTGTACCTAAAAATCCAGCTATCATTGGGATATACACTTATAGGCATTGACATATCATGCTTTTATTTTATGAAACACTTCATCATAAATTAGTTCCTTCCATATTGAGGAAAGATTTGCAGAACAAAAAGTTCTCACAATAGAGATGTTGGTGAGTCACTCCCACTTTGGTGACTCATGCCATTTTGGTTTTATAACCATTTAGTAATATGATAATAGTAATTCTTGAATTCCATGTGCCTCTACAGACCTCTAAAGATCACATAGGCAGTGTGAAGCAGCAGATAGAGGCCTTAGAATTTTAATTCTAGCTCCACTGCTTCTGAAGTGTGTGCGTTGGGGTAAACTCTAAGCTTTCATCTCTCTCTGTGTAAAGTATCTACCTTAGACAGCTACTTTGAGGAGTAAAGAAGGTAAGCAACAGAAAAAGCTAACTCATATTATGTTCTCAAAAATGTTAAATGTATTTTTATCCTCCTGCTGCTTCTCCTAATGGCAATAAAAATGTCAGGTAATAGGCCCAACAGACATTAACATTCATTTAAGTTAAAGCATATATTTATATATTTTAGCCTATTTTTATCGATTAGCAAAGTGAGCTAAGATTAGTTGCCTGCCTAGATGGTAAGTGTTTGAGGCAAGACTTGCAATCATGTTTTTTGTCAAAGGTGTTGTATTCCACCTACTGTAACATTCTCTCTGGGAAGAGAGGAAAGGGAAGGATGAAAGTAAGAATCATGGAATTGAATATTTTGAGCATTCACTTCTCACAATCTTTCTAGGGTAGACCATATTGTGTAGTTGATAAAAGTGAGACACAGAAAAGTCGAGTAAACTTAACCAAGGTAATAGCAAAGCCAGAAACCATGAGTGGGCAAAATTGGAAAATTAGTATTTTATATTCCAGGGGTCTCTGTGGTCTCTTGTTATTATTGTGACTTGTTTGAGTGGCTATGGTTTCTATGCTGTAGCAATTTGCAACAATAAAAAAGATGACATATTGAAGGCCTATTTGTGCCAGCTTCCAAATATTTCAATTCAGCCAACATCTACCCAGTCTCATCTGCAAATGCTACATTTAAATGTTTCTTCCATCCGCAACGTTTCCCTTACTCGTCTTGCTAATAAGTGAAAACCTACCATTAAAAATTAAACCTTTGGATTAATGGTCTGCTTCTTGTTAAAATGCAGAGTGTTTTTTCCCCATATCAGTATCAGTATCAATCTTCCCCATATCAGTAATTTGTATCTTAAAGTGAATTAGCTTGCCAGATCCTTGCCTCCCACGTTTTATAACAATGAGGAGGAATGCCATACAGCAGTAAAAAATGAAGACTGTGAATACATTGTGTAGGCTGACCTCACAGGAACATGAACTTGATTCTCTGCTCCACTTGGCCCATTTAGTTCTGTTCAGAAAAGGCTGTAGTGTATGTACATAATAGAACATCATGCAGTTATTAAAATCATATTTTTGAAGAAAATGGGAAAACTTCCCTAGTGAATCATTAACTAAAAATAATAGGGCTGGGCATAGTGGCACACACCTGTAATCCCAGCTACTTGAGAGGGTGAGGCAGGAGATCACTTGATTCCATGAGTTCAAGACCAGCCTGGGTGATATAATGAGACCCCATCTCAAATACTACTACTACTAATAATAGAAATAAAAGTTGTACTTACCACATGATCCTAACTTTTTAACATGGGTATGTGTGTGTGACACACACACACACACACACACACACACACACAAAGAGATAGGAGACAGTATTTTGGTCAAGTCAGAGACAAGATGATGTGAGCCCAGCTGCTTGCAGCATAAAACCTACCATGCTGCAGAGGTTACCTGTGAGCTCAGGGTGAAACAGCCTCTCACCTGCCGTGAAATCTTCCAGGAGCTGTTGCTGCCGCTGCTGCTGTGTCTCCTTCCTCTTCCCCATGAAATAAAATTAAAAGAA
This sequence comes from Homo sapiens, assembly GCF_000001405.40. Taxonomy (NCBI): domain Eukaryota; kingdom Metazoa; phylum Chordata; class Mammalia; order Primates; family Hominidae; genus Homo; species Homo sapiens. Next base: position 129,887,991 of record NC_000006.12, on the reverse strand, counting down.
CTTCAAACAATACTGAAGGGTGAAAATAAAAGGGCCTTAAGATCATGTAACTCCTTACCATATCCTGGAGGTAAACTCTTCATTTCTTATTGTGGCTTCCAGAAATATTTTATTCATATGGAAGTATGTATCTCACCTCTATCATTTCGTTTCCATATATGGATATACTCTTCTGCACCAGTTTACTTTCTACTTTAGAAGTCTACTTCTAAACGACTTTCCATGTGAGTATTTATTATATTTCACAAAAACTTATATAGTGCTTTCTATGTGCCAGACCCTTGTCTAAGTGCCTTGCAAATATTGTATCATTTTATCTTCATAGCAACTTCATAGCAAGATGTCCTATTCTTGTGTCCATTTCATAGACAAGCAAAGTGAGACATATGGATATTATGATGCTTGCTATAGATAACCCCAGCTATAAATGGTGGTGCCAAGTTTCAAACCCGGGTATGATTCCAGAGTCTGCACTGAGCCTTCAGAATCTGCTCACTAAGCTGAGCTGCTGGTTTGCATACATAGTATATATAAATCTTGGTGGATAAATAGATGTCACCTTTCTTAACAGCTGAGTGATATTCCCTTGCATGAACGGCCACAATCTATCAATCTAATCTCCTATTTATAAAACAGATTGCTTTCAATTTTTTTATAATTACAATAATTATTACTATAGATGTTATTGCACTTATCTGTCTCTGTGTAAATGTGCAAGATAGACTCAGGATAAATGCTCAGTAGTGGAATTGCAAAATAAAAATCACTTAAACATTTGATAAGTAATGCCAAATTATTTCACAAAAGTTTTCACCAATTTTTCCTATAAGAGTGCTTATTTCTTTCACACCCAGAAGCTTTTTGCTTGCCAACTTATCAACAGGGGAGGGAGGAATCTGAGATTCGTCTCTCATTATTTCTATTTGCATTTTTAAAATTAAGAGTAAGATTGGGCATACATTTATGTGTTTATTGGACATTCTATTTTGTCTTCTAAGAGCTGCCTTTCATGCTTTTTATCCTTTGCCACTTTGTCTGGTAAGTTAAAAAAATTGATTACCAAGTGCTTTTCATTTTTTAGGGATGTTAGCTTTTGTCTGTCATATGTTGTGCATATCTATTTTCCCAGGTTAGAGGAAGTCTGTATCAGCCAAGTGAACATTGTGAGGTAGGATTTTCAGATATGGCAGTTCATGTAAGCATTTCCTTCCTTCCTTTCCTTCCTTCCTTCCTTCCTTCCTTCCTTCCTTCCTTCCATCTTTCCTTCCTTCTTCCTTCCTTCCTTCCTTCCTTCCTTCTTCCTTCTTTTTTTTTCTTTTCTTTCTTTCTTGTGATGAAGTCTCTGTCACCCAGGCTGGTGCAATCATAGGTCACTACAACCCTGAACTCCTGAGCTCAACCAATCCTCCTATCTCAGCCTCCTGAGTAGCTGGGATTACGCGTGCATGCCACCATGCCCACGTGGGCATTTCTTGAAAGTTCTCTCAGTGAAAAGCAAGGTAATAATAAAGCCCAGTTAAGACAATTTCATGGGGCAATAAAACAACATGGCCCCAGTACATAGCTTTGGATGATCACACATGATTAGAATTAGAATACTGAAATGGAGACATTGTTTTCCTTCAAAGAAACACACTTTTTTTGTCTATCTATATGCCGATATTTAGATCATTATCTACATTAAACCTAACATATAATAAAGATTTATTTCATAGCAATGGAAAAAGAATGGACTATAAAATACATGCTATTTCTGACAATTAGAACATTTGGGGAAAAAAAAGCCTAAACTTCTTTGTAACCAACAAATAAAAATAAGTTATCAGATTGGCACTACATTTTTTGGGATCATATCCAAAGGAAAATAGACCTTCACATATACTGAAAGTGTAAATCAGTGTAGGCCTTTTGGTAGTCTCTATCAGAGCTGAAAATCTGAATCTCTTTCTCCAATGGTTCTACTTATAGCACTCTATCCTTTAGAAGTAGTCATATTTGTGTAGTACACAATATGTGTTGCTTGTATTACCAAGTAAACCAATCAACTAAACAAAGCAACCCATAGAGGAAACAATCTCAATACACACATGTAGGTGAATTACTAAACAATTCATGGTGCATTCCTGTTACTCAATAACATGCACCCTCTAAAGAAATAACATGGCTAATATCAGCCAACATTTATTAGCACTCAGTACATGCCACATACTGAGCTAGGTGCGTTGCATATTTTTTTTATTATACTTTAAGTTCTAGGGTACATGTGCACAACGTGCAGTTTTGTTACATAGGTATACATGTGGCATGTAGGTTTGCTGCACCCATTAACTCGTCGTTTACATTAGGTATTTCTCCTAATGCTAACCCTCCCCCAGCCCCCCACCCGATGACAGGCCCACAGTAATACTTGCATCTTTCTACTCTTATTGAGATATTGGCTTAAACCATACATTTCACGTATGGTTGGATTATCTTGAGAACACAGATCATATTTTCTAATTTCTTTTCTATACACACATGTGATACATTTGGAAATTTAAATTGCACTAACTGGTTTGATCCAATGCCACAAACATATTCCTTTTCATCTTTAGCTGTCAATACATGAATTTCATATGTAATTTATTTTTATATTTAGTTTGGACAAAATTAGTTAGATACTTCAAATTATATAAGGCTTTATGAGAAAACATTAAAGCTAAGATCCTTTTATTGCATGGAATTCAGAAATGCTTTATGTCAAAAATTGGGGTTGAAATGCTCCTTTAACTTACATCTTCCAATCACTTTGCATATTTGGAAAACACTTCAAATTGATGAGGTGCTTTCTTCATCAGAATGTTTGATGTTAAAATCCAGTTATTGCTCTGATTTCCCTGCAATGTGTGTTTTAAATCAGAAACTTAAAATAAACCCTAAGCTTACTTAGGTATGATGAAAAGGTAATTAAAGATACACAAAATCATTCCCCTTTTATATTAGGGCTACATAAGATAATAATCATAAACTTCAACTACTTCAGTAACCCGTCTCAAAAATTAGCATTTCAATATTTTTAAAAAATCTATTCTTCCCTAACAAAGTGTGGTCTGGAAGGATCGATTTTTCCAAGAGTTGTCAGGTTTTTTTTTATCTTGTTTATTTAAATTCAGGAAAGACTACAACTTCCTAAAGTATCACAAATTTGCGACATTGACAGGTTTATCTTTTTATCTCTGGTATAATTATATAGATCTCTTTTGCATCGGTACTTGCCACTCTTTCATTAACTCGAATAAAGAAATCTTTTTATGCCTTGTATTGTTTTAACATATTTCCTCTTGACATGAAAGACTATTTCATTGTCAAATTATTATAACCTGTGCGGTGCCATATCTGCATTTATGTTGAAATCTTATTTAATTTTACCTTTGTCATATGGGAACTGAAGTAATTTAAGATGTGATATTAAATTTTGGATACTAATAAAAAAATTTTTTTACATTAATAAAAATTCTTTTTATACTAAAGGCTTGCTTAGTATTCCAGTTGCCCTCTGGAAACAGCTGAAGGACCTCCTTAGGGTGAATCATGTTGCACTGAGGATTTTCTGCTTTTCTGATAATTAACCTCCCTTGGCAGACCAAGAGAGAGCCACACAATGCCAAATTTCAACACTGTCTTTGGTCGTATAGTCAAAATTTTTATTTAACAGAATGACTGATGTGATTCAAAATAATTTTTTAAAAAGCTAATGTACAAATTTTAGGATCTCATAAAACTTGAAGCATATGTTGAAAGCCAATCGAATATAATCATAACAATATTAGCAACTCTTTCAGTGTTTTTCTGAAAGCAGGTTTGAAACAGGAAGATAAAGATAAAATGAAGGCCTTTCTAAGTATAAAAAACTTATTTAGAAAATGAAGCAAATTTCATCATGAGAATAAGTCATTGCTGCCAGTGAAGATACTGAGCTAAATAGTGCTCAAATAGATTCAATAAAAACATTAATCCCAAGGTTTCCTAGATTAGATGAATTGAAGGATCTCATGTAATACATTTCTATTGCACTTATAAGGAGTGTTATACTATTGGCAGCTAAGATTTAGTGGGTACCTACCATATGTCAGGCAAAAACTGTATTACTGAGTTCTCATATGAACTCTCAGAGGTAGTTGCTATAATTATTCATGTTTTGAAGATGAAGGGACTGATACATACAGATAAGTTAAGCAAATCTCCCAAAGTTATGTGATTATTAAGTGGTAAGTAGCTGGGATTTGAATCTATAATCAGGCTCCAGAGTCAAATATCTTAACCACCACATCAACTCAACTGGGTCATATCTATATTTTAATAGTAGGATTTGCTTATCATCAAGATAAGTCATTATATGACAAATGAAGTAACTGCAGATCAGAAAGTTTAAAGAAATGATCCCAAGTCATTCAGTTAGTAGGAAAGCCAAGAATGAATCCTGGTTTCCCTGTCCAATGTGCCCCTCCAAACTGCTGCCTCCCAGTTATATAATATGTTAAGAAAACCAGAAAGCAAATTTAGAAATAGAGTCTGTGGCAAAATGACCACAGAATAATGAAACATGACCAAAGCGATTTAATCATTTCGATTTACATAGCCTGTCTAGGTGCCCCCTCCCAACTCCCACTCAAAGTTTTCTATTCATCATGGCATTTTAAGAAGCCTCAATAAATTGATCTGACTGAATTTCTTAGACATATATAATTCAGCCAGTGTCCTGAGTTATGGCCATGAAGATGACACAGTTTTAGCTCATTTGTAAATGATGTTATTTAAAGCATGTTATTGTTTGGATTGTAGATTAAGAAGGTAGGAGCTTTCTGAGCTATTCATCTGACATCTTTTATTAATTTTAAATTAACCTAGAAATTAAACTGAATTACTTTTTGAGGATGAAAAATTGGTTTGGTAATTATTAGCTTGCATTTTATTCTTAGGTCATGCCTTGAGTTGCTTATATAACCTTCAGAAAGTCAATAAATCTCTCCAGTGATCCACGGAGGGGAAGGAAGAGTAGTGTGGTTAGGTGGCCCGCCTGAGAGCCACAGTGGGGCAGGGGAGCCCCCACACCCCAGCCAAGGGAGGCTGTTGGTGCCCCTCGAGGTCAGAGATCCCAGAAGAAAAAGCAGGCACCCATCTTTGCCGCTCTCCAGCCTCCTTGAGTGACATATCCAGGCACCAGAGTGAACCAGATGAATAGGGCCTGAAGTGAACCCCCAGCAAACCGCAGCAGCCCTACAGAAGAGGAACTGAACGTTGAAGGAAAAACAAACAGAAAGCAACAACAACGGCAACATCAACAACAAAAAGTCCCCACAAAAACCCCATCCAAAGATCAGCAGCTTCAAAGATTGAAACTAGACAAAATCAAGAAGATTAGAAAGAATCAACAAAAAAACACTGAAAACCCAAAAGGTCAGAGTGCCTCTTCTCCTACAAATGATCACGATGACTCTCCAGCAACGGTGCAGAACTGGCCAGAGGATGAGATGGACGAATTGACAGAAGTAGACTTCAGAAGATGGGTAATAAAAAACTCCACTGAGCAAAAGGAGCATATTCTAACCCAATGCAAAGAAGTTAAGAACCTTGATAAAACATTAGAGTAGCTGCTAACTAGAATAACCAGTTTAGAGAGGAATATGAATGACCTGATGGAGCTGAAAAACACAGCATGAGAACTTCATGAAGCATACACAAGTATCAATAGCCAAATCGACCAAGTGGAAGAAAAGATATCAAAGTTTGAAGACCATCTTGCTGAAATAAGGCATGCAGACAAGATTAGAGAAAAAATAATGAAAAGGAATGAACAAAGCCTCCGAGAAATATGGGACTATGTAAAAAGACTGAACCTACAATTGACTGGAGTACCTGAAGGACACTGGGAGAATGGAAAAAGGCTGGAAAACACACTTCAGGACATTATCCAGGAGAAATTCCCCAACCTAGCAAACAGGCCAATGTGCAAATTCAGGAAATACAGAGAACACCTCTAAGATACTCCCAGAGAAGATTAACCACAAGACACATAATCATCAGATTCTCCAAGGTCAAAATGAAGGGAAAAAATGTTAAAGGCTGCCAGAGAGAAAGGCCAGGTCACCTACAAAGGGAAGCCCATCAGACTAACAGCGGACTTTGCAGCAGAAACTCTACAAACCAGAAGAGATTGAGGGCCAATATTCAACATTCTTAAAGAAAAGAATTTTCAACCCAGAATTCCATATCCAGTCAAAACTAAGCTTCATAAGTGAAGGAGAAATAAAATCCTTTCCAGGAAAGCAAATGCTGAGGGATTTTCTCACCGTCAGGCCTGCCTTGCAAGAGCAAACTGGAAAGGAAAAACTGGTACCTGTCACTGCAAAACAACCCAAAATATAAAGTCCAATGACACCATAAAGAAACTGCATCAACTAATGTGCAAAATAACCAGATAGCATCATGATGACAAGCAAGCTGGATAAAGAGTCAAGACCCATCAGTGGGCTGTATTCAGGAGACCCATTTCATGTAGAAAGACACACATAGGCTCAAAATAAAGGCATGGAGGAAAACTTACCAAGCAAATGGAAAGCAAAAAAAAAAAAAAAAAAAAAAAAAAAAAAGCAGGGGTTGCAATCCTACTTTCTGACAAAACAGACTTTAAACCAACAAAGATCAAAAAAGACAAAAAAGGGCATTACATAATGGTGAAAGGATCAATTCAACTAGAAGAGCTAACTATCCTAAATATATATGCACCTGATACAGGAGCACCCTGATTCATAAAACAAGCTCTTAGAGACCTACAAAGAGACTTAGACTCCCACACAATAACAGTGGTAGACTTTAACACCCCACTGTCAATATCAGACAGATCAACAAGACAGTAAATTAACAAGGATATTCAGGACTTGAACTCAGCTCTGGATCAAGTGGACCTAATAGACATCTACAGAACTCTTCACCCCAAATCAACAGAATATACATTCTTCTCAGTGCCACGTGGCACTTATTCTAAAAACAATCACATATTTGGAAGTAAACCACTCCTCAGCAAATGCAAAAGAACTGAAATCATAACAAACAGTCTCTCAGACTACACTGCAATCAAATCAGAACTCAGGATTAAGAAACTCACTCAAAACCACACAATTACATGGAAATTGAACAACCTGCTCCTGAATGACTCCTGGGTAAATAATGAAATTAAGGCAGAAACCAGGAAATTCTTTGAATCCAATGAGAACAAAGAGACAATGTACCAGAATCTGTGGGACACAGCTAAAGCAGTGTTAAGAGGGAAGTTTATAGCATGAAATGCCCACATCAGAAAGTAGGAAAGATCTAAAATCGACAACCTAACATCACAATTAAAAGAGCTATAGAAGCAAAAGCAAACTAATCCAGAGGCTAGCAGAAGAAAAGAAATGATTAAGATGAGAGCAGACTTGAAGGAGATAGAGATACGAAAAACCCTTCAAAAAAATAAATGAATCCAGGAGCTGGTTTTTCAAAAAAAATTAACAAAATAGATAGACTGCTAGCTACACTAATTAAGAAGAAAAGAGAGAAGAATCAAATAGACACAATAAAAAATGATAAAGGGAATATCATCGCTGACCCCGTAGAAATACAAAATACCACCAGAGAATACTATAAACACCTCTACACAAATAAACTAGAAAATCTAGAAGAAATGGATAAATTCCTGGACACATACACCCTCCCAAGACTAAACCAGGAAGAAGTCAAATCCCTGAACAGACCAATAACAAGTTCTGAAATTGAGGCAATAATTAATAGCCTATCAACCAAAAAAGGCCCAGGACCAGACAGATTCACAGCCAAGTTCTACCAAACCTACAAAGAGGAGCTGGTACCATTCCATCTGAAGCTATTCTAAACAACTGAAAAGGAGGGATTTCTCCCTAACTGGTTTTATGAAGCCAGCATCATCCTGATACCAAAACCTGGCAGTGGCACAACAAAAAAAGAAAACTTCAGGCCAATATCCCTGATGAACATCAATGCAAAAATCCTCAATAAAATACTGGCAAACTGAATCCATCAGCCCATCAAAAAATAGCCACCATATGGATCACCTGAGGTCAGGAGTTCAAGAGCAGCCTGACCAACATGGTGAAACCCTGTTTCTACTAATTATACAAAAATTAGCTGGGTGAGGTGGCGAATGCCTGTAATCCCAGCTACTCAGGAGGTCAAGGCAGGAGAATTGCTTGAACCCGGGAGGCAGAGGTTACAGTGAGCCGAGATTGTGCCATTGCACTCCAGACTGGGCAACAAGAGTGAAATGCAGTCTCAAAAAAAAAAAAAAAAAAAAAAAACAAAAACACCAACTTAGCTACCATGATCAAGTCAGCTTCATCCCTGGGATGCAAAGCTGGTTCAACATATGCAAATCAATAAACATAATCCATCACAAAAACAGAGCCAAAGACAAAAATCACATGATTATCTCAATTGATGCAAAAAAGCCTTTGACAAAATTCAATATTCCTTAATGTTAAAAACTCTCAATAACCTAGGTATTGATAGAACATGATAAGAACTATTTATGACAAACCCACACTCAATATCATATTAAATGGGCAAAAGCTGGAAGCATTCCCTTTGAAAACCAGTATAAGACCAAGAGGCCCTCTCTCACCACTCCTGGTCAACATAGTATTGGAAGTTCTGGCCAGTGCAATCAGGCAAGAGAAAGAAATAAAGGATATTCAAATAGGAAGAGAGGAAGTCAAATTTTTTCTGTTTGCATAATTCTATATTTAGAAAATCCCATCATCTCAGCCCAAAAACTCCTTAACCTGATAACCAACTTCAGCAAAATCTCAGGATACAAAATCAATGTGCAAAAATCACCAGCATTCCTCTACACCAACAACAGACAAGCAGAGAGCCAAATCATGAGTGAACTCCCATTCACAATTGCTACAAAGAGAATAAAATACTGAGGAATACAGCAACAAGGGATATGAAGGACCTCTTCAAGGAGAACTACAAACCACTGCTCAAGAAAATAAGAGAGGACACAAACAAATGGAAAAACATTCCATGCTCATGGATAGGAAGAATCAATATCTTGAAGATGGCCATACTGCCCAGAGTAATTTATAGATCCAATGCTATTCCCATCAAACTATGATTGACATCTCACAGAATTAGAATAAACTACTTTAAATTTTATATGGACTCAAAGTAGACCCCGTATGGCCAAGACTATCCTAACTAAAAAGAACAAAGCTGGAGGCATCACACTACCTGACTTCAAACTATACTACAAGGCTACAGTAACCAAAACAGCATGGCACTGGTAGCACAACAGACATGTAGACCAATGGTACAGTACAGAGACCTCAGAAATCATACTACACATCTACAACCATCTGATCTTTGACAAACCCGACAAAAACAAGCAATGGGGAAGGAATCTCCTATTCAATAAATGATGCTGGGAAAACTGACTAGCCATATGCAGAAAACTGAAACTGGACCCCTTCCTTACACCTTATACAAAAATTAAGATGGATTAAAGATTTAAATGTAAAACCCCAAACCATAAAAACCCTGGAAGAAAAGCTAGGCAATACCATTCAGGACATAGGCATGGGCAAAGACTTCATGACTAAAACACCAAAAGTAATTGCAACAAAATCCAAAATGAGAAATGGGGTCTAATTAAATTAAAAAGCTTCTGCACATCAAAAGTAACTATCATCAGAGTGAATAGGCAACCTACAGAATGGGAGAAAATTTTTGAATCTACCCATCTGACAAAGGTCTAATATCCAGAATTTACAAGAAACTTAATCATATGTACAAGAAAAAAACAAGCCCATCAAAAAGTGGGCAAAGGGTATGAACAGACACTTCTCAAAAGAAGACATTTACATGGCCAACATATGGAAAAAAGCTCAACATCACTTATCACTAGAGAAATGCAAATCAAAACGACAATGAGATACCATCTCATGCCAGTCAGAATGGCAATTATTATAAAGTCAAGAAATAATAGATGCTGGCAAGGCTGTGGAGAAATAGGAATGCTTTTACCCTGTTGATGGGAATGTAAATTAGTTCAACCATTGTAGAAGATGGTATGGCGATTCCTCAAGGATCTAGAACCAGAAATACCATTTGCCCCAGCAATCCCATTACTGGGTATATACCCAAAGGAATATAAATCATTCTAATATAAAGATACATGCACACATATGTTTATTGCAGCACTATTTACAATAGCAAAGTCATGAAACCAACCCAAACGCCCATCAGTGATAGACTGGATAAAGAAAATGTGGTACATATATACCATGGAATACCATACAGACGTAAAAAGGAATGAGATCATGTCCTTTGCAGGGACATGGATGAAACTGGAAGCTATCATGCTCAGCAAACTAACACAGGAACAGAAAACCAAACACTGCATATTCTCACTCATAAGTGGGAGTCGAACAATGAGAACACATGGACACAAGGACGGGAACAACATACACCAGGGCCTGTTGGGGGTTAGGGGGTGAGGGAAGAGAATTTAGAGGACAGGTCAATAGGTGCAGCAAACCACCATGGCACAGGTATACCTACGTAACAAACCTGCACTTCTGCACATGTATCCCAGAATTTAAAATAAAAATAAAAAATCAAATAAGTCTCTCCTACTCTTAAGATAAAAATTATGAAGCTTAATTTTATCATGCTTTCTGTCATTTAGCACTGGCCAACAATTCTCCTATGTGTAACGTGTTCCACTTACAAGATTACATGGAATAAGCAGATGAAGTCAAAGAAGCACATTTACACACATGTTTAGCAGGGCTTTCCCCTCTCTCTCCCAAATTCTAGGCCTCAGGCCCCATGCTTTTAAGACTTACTGAGACAAAATTGCAAGGGCTGAGACGGAAGACTTGAAAAGAACCTCACCTTTCCTACATGGTTGGTTATCAATCAGTATAACCTTTCTGGAGGAGCATTTTCAATACACAACAAATGCCTAGAAAATGTGCAAATTACCTAGAACTTCCACTTTAGTAATTTACTTTATTCAAATATTTATTCACAATCATAAAAGAATTCACATCACAGCATCATTTAAAATAGTAAAACAACAGCAACAATTACAGCCAAGCCTGTGTATGGTAAAAGTCTGGCAATAAGAGATTTGTTAAATAAAATGATACTTCCATACTGTGCAGTATTCATTCTACAGCCATTTTAAATATATAATAGTTATTGACACATGGAAATGTCAATTAAAAGTTAATAAAATATGACCTCTTTTTTTTAAAAAAATTTATATTAATAGTCTAAAATTTAACAAGGATTATATCTGAGGAATGAAATTAGTGTTTATTTCTTATTCTTCTTTGTGAGTTTCCATATTCTCCAACTTTCCCTAAACAAACTTGGAACATTTCCTGGTCTGATCTCTTTGTAATTACTGACTTTGGATTACCATTAAATTTGGGGTATTTCTAATCTGAATGCTCACCTTGGCCAGGTGCAGCTTCCACGGTATTTATCCTCAGCAATGGTGACACATCCATCTCTTTCCCAGCATCAGTTTGGCTGTTTTGTTTTGGTTTTGTTTGCCTTTGTTCCATCAATGTTCTGTTGGTAAGATCAAGGGGAAGCCCTGGTAAGAATCTCTTTTTCCTTTCAGTAATCCTTGAGCATCTTACTCATCACTGTGAGCTGAGCAATTAATTTATTCAAAGCAAAACTTTAGAGTAACTGACAAATGGGAGGAATCTTTCTCTAATTAATTTTACTGATGCTATTTATGTTAGAATAAATAATGCCCTGGGGATAACTAGGCTTGCGAATGAACATTTACTTAAACATTGACAAAGGGAGTGATGTGTATGATCGTAAGACTTTCTCCAAAGTCTCTATCTTACATAATAAATGTGCTCCCCAAAGTAACGGGGCATGAAGAAAAAAATGCATGACCTTGCAACTGAAAAGAGAAGGAACAAAGAGCTTCCTATAAGACAAATATTCATTCTGTAATTTTCTGATTGGTAAGTTTAAATCCGACATAATATAAACAGTTAATGTCTTGAAAAGGGCAAGGCAAAGCTTTCTTGGAGGAAACTTTGTTTATCTGAGTAACTTCAGTTTTGTGTGGGTTTGGTTTCATGCAATTAGGTTTCACTTCCTGTAATAGATCATTATTTTTTTAACCCATGATGAAGAAAGTATGTCAGTTTATATCATAGCAATTTGAGCAAGCTAGCATAATTTAATTAATGTATCAGGTCTTATCTCACACGGGGTTTTTCTGCAAAACTTCAAATTGTCCAAGAATGCCATTGTTATATGCAAACATAAATATTTTCTGTTGGCACAAAACTTTTCATGTAAATTTGTCCATATTCAATTATGCTTAGCTGAATCGCCAGGCTCAAGAGTCATTGTGATTGAATTTCACAAGAACATTGGGCTGGAAATGCAAATATAGAGCTTATGGACTTATTTTCGGAACACCTGTCTGCGTTGTGTGATCTGCAACAGTATTATCGAATGGTTCTTTTTATAAATGTTCAATATGCTCAATTCTGTAACAATATCTTCTTTTTTGATTCGAAAAACACTTATTTTACTGTCTTAAACAAAAACATAAAAACCAGATAGGCAGGGGAAGTCTAGACGACTTATGATTGAAGCAGCTCTATACAGAAATGAAGATGGTACAATGCTGTGACTTCAAATAAAATGACTAAAACAAACACTCACAAACATCTTCATGTTTGTAATAATATATTAATGCACAAAATATCAAAAACACAAAGTCTGGTTTTTTTCCCTGTAGGTTTATGATAAACTATCAGACTTCTATTTAACACATTTACTTTTACAAGCCTTCAGTGTTTAGAAGTGTACACTGCACAAGTACACACATGCTGGTATTTTACCATGAAAATTTTAGTTTTAGTTTTAGTTTTCATCTCATACTAGTGACTTGCCTTTTTACCCATACTTATATACATTTCACTTCCATTGTAAGACATGTAATACCTTTCTAGTGGTACATTTTAATCAACATATATTTTAAAAATCTTGATTTTTAAATGAGTTATTGTAGTGCTGTGACATGACAGGTTTAGCAGTTGAAGCACAATATGGTAACTACATTGTACTGTTTAAGCTAATTCACAGCTGTAGGAAAATGTTTGGTTTTTAAAATATAACCCAGATGAGGCTGGATAGTAATAAACACTGAAATACTAGAAAACAGTGAATGAATAAGTAATATGATTTTTCATCAATGACCATTGATTGTTTTGTTTTTAGGGACCTGGAAGAAATTGTCTTGAGTTTTAAATGTTCTGGTGAATTGTAACAGTATCTATTAAAAGTCCAGTGGTAGTTTAGACTCATTTATTTCCAGACACTTCTCAAATACTTCAGGTTTGTTCAAACTCAAAAGACCTTCATCTAACATCTCCTTCCTACCATCCATTTGAAACTGTTCATGCCCTAGGGGTAAGTGAATTCTAGAGAAACGTGCAAAGTTAACAACCAAGTTATCATGGTGTCATTTTCTCTACCCTTTTTATTTTCTAAAAGCTTCAGAAGTTATTTCACAAACTGCTACTGCTCTTTCTCCTCCTCCTCCTTTTAAACTGCTGGAAAGATGCACTACCTAGTGCTAGGCAAAGCAAAACCCAGAAAGAGCTGGAAAATTCAGTGTATTCTAAACTTAGATTCCATGAAGTTTTAAGTGGGTCTAAATTTGGTAAAACCTGTTCTCTCATTTTTACTGTCAGCTTGTTTTAGATCATCTGGACTTGATTTTCAGAGAGAAGAAACTAAGGATCAAAATTCAGCTGCATAACTTATTGCCAAATCAATACTTTAATGGGCATATGCATTTAGGATGTATGTGTTTGCATGTGTACATGCGTGTGTGCTCATATATGCCTTTAAATAAAAGACAAGCTATACATTGAAACTAATGATTAATCAAATCAAGTTTAAGGTTCCTACTCCCATCCCTGGTGCTGACTGTGGGTTTGCATTGGAAGGAACAGTGGAAAGCTATCAAGAAATGGGTCTAAATAGTCTAAAACTTTTTTTTTGGAATGTTTTTAAGGCAGCAATCAATGTAGAGAGTTGTTTTTTCTATAATTTATTGGTCAAACAACTAATGCCTTTATTGACCTATGTTACATTTGAAAAGAGGATGTCAAAATTCATACTTTTTTCACAGGTTTCTTCACGAGACCCTGTATATAGCAGTTATTCAATACATTTTAGTGAAATGAATGTTTGGATAAATGAATCAGTGAACGATCCTGTCTACAAAGGTATATAGAACATTCAGTGATTAAAATAATTTTATGTTTTCTTATGAATATGCTATAATTATGCATCTTTATTTAAAACTATACTCATATTACTGATGGCTATAATCAATTCATTTCTCTTAACTTCTGTCGTGTAAAAATCCTTGTTTGGTCCTCAGGCACCCTCTAATCATATTATCTACCCAAGATGTTAATATTTAATGATATTTGTGTTAGCCTCCAAAATGACCCCCAATGACCCACACCCTTATATAGCCCCCTCTGGATTTTGTCGATGAATCAAGGCTGGCCCTGTGTGACAGAGAGAGTACAAAAGTGATTGTATATGGCTCTCGGGGGTGTCAAGGTATTTTATCTATCACCCCGATCTCTTAGATTGCTCTCTCTGGGGGAAGATAGCCACCATACTATGAGGGCATTAAAGTGGCTCCTTGAAAAGGAAAACTGGAGCAGCTAATCAACTTCCCACACGTGTAGGGAAGGCACCTAGGAAGAGGATTCTGAAGCCCCAAAGCCTTCAGATGACAGTCACCCCAATCAAAATCTGACTGTAACTACAAGAGAGCCCTAAGTGAGAACTAACCAACAGCGCCCTTCTTGAATTCCTGATCTAGAATTTATGGGCATAAAAAATCATTACTTTATGCCATCAAGTTTTCCGTAACTAGAATAATATTTAAAGGTCTTCATAGTTGGCAAATTTATGAATTAATTCTCACTTTTAAGAGAATTGAAAATCAATAGTGATTCTAAGTTCAAGCACATGCTTAATTGTCCAACAATCATCTATCAAATTTCTCTTAGAAAAATTTCTATGTTGAGTGTATTCAGTTCTGAGTCATTAAGTTCCTCGTTGGTTTTGTTACTATTTAACATTGGAAAGCTGCAAAGCAGCCAGTTCCAGGTCCAGGTTTTCTAGACTTTAACTGCTTTGGTGGATTTACTTCTTATCCCTCTCTGAAGACATGCAGACAGGGATAAGAAGTAAATTTTATAGTCGATATCTACAGCTCCTCTTGGGATTGGTGAGCTAGACCTGTTGAGTGAATAAATTAAGGGATTAACAAATAATAAGTGATAAATACATAAACCAATGAACAGATTTTGGTGCCTAATATGTGTTGGGGACTGTGTTAAGTCTTTTCACACATTATGCTCTGTGTTTTCACCCACATTACCCCTTCTATGTGTGCAGTGAGTTTTGCAGTACCTCACATGCATTTGATCTTTCCAATTAGCCTGCGTATTCAGAAAAAAAGAAATCTCATGGACGAAGGGAGTTTGTTAGCATTTGGTATCTTCCTGACATAATTTTCTTGTGAAGGATGTAATCAGCTTTTGATTTGTATAAAAAAAAAATCTGAGAATTACCCATTAATTGAGAGCTTCAACTTCCTCCAAGAGTCACAAGACCCCTGCTCTCTAAGGTCTTCATTCTTTTAGAGAAAATGACACTAAACAAAAAGAAGAAAATTACTAAACAGCAATAAGCTCTGTGCAGAGATGTAAAATAGAATGGTATGCTAGAGTCACTGGATGGCTGTTTTAGAGGACAGATAACCTGAGATTTGAAAGAAGTGACAAAGATGAAGGGAAGGGTATCAGAGGCAGAAGGAGCGGAAAGTAAAGGCCATACAAGGTGGGAAAGAGTTTGGTGTACTTGGGATGCAACAAAGGCAAATAGGTGGCAGAAAAGTGTACAAAAGTGTACAATGGGCAGGAGAAGAGTGTACTTGTCAAATGAGATCAGACAATTCAACCATTCCAGGTAGGGAGACCTTTCTATGATAGAATAAAAAATTAGAATCTTTAAGAAAAAAAAAAAGCACTAAGAAGCCAATGAAGATTTTAAGCCAGTGATTTGACTTATAATTTAAACTGCTTCTGGCTGCTTTTTGGTAAATGGGTATTATATGGTGGCAAAAGTAAAAGCAGAGAGTTGTTAGAGTGGGCGCTAATCCAATCCGACTGATGTCCTTATAAGAAGAGGAAATTTGGACACACGAACAGCCACCAGGGATGTGCACACACAGAGAAAAGACCATGTGAGGACACAGAGAACTAGTATAGTAGTATAAGGAAGGATAATGGTGGCTTGACCGCTTCACCATGGAGATAGTAATAGAAAATGAGAGAAGCTGATATATGCAATGTACACTTTGGAGGAAGATCCAGAGGAACTTGATGGATTGCATGTGGGGAAGCTGTCTGCCAAACCTCAGCTCTTTTGGCACTGTCACCTTTCTGGCCGGCACAGCTCTGTTTATACACTCATTTTAGTTTTTACTGCCCTTTCCCTTCTTATTTTGTAAAACAATAAAAATTGGAAAAATGAAAACGTTGGTATTAATGATAAAAACCATGGATTTCATAAGTGTGATATCTCAAGACAAAGACAGATATCATTAGGCATGCTGAAAAGAACAATTTTTAGCTTCAATCTGTTTGTTAAATAGATCTAAAGCAGTCAACGGTGTATTCAATGCTGAGGAATGAAAGAAAACTAAAGGTTGTGTAAAATGAGGGAATGTATGGTTTCTGTAAGAAAAAGCACACTTAAAAATGTTTTTTAAATCTCTCTGGCCTGGAAATCTATCATGTTTAAGTCTGTTGTTGAATTTTTGCACACTTTTGCTATTCTACTATTCATGTTTTCACACTTTCAAATGTATATAGTCCTTTAGTAGGTACTGTATTCTACTTAAAGTAAAGGACTGTAGATATCCGAATGTAGCCCACGATCCATTTATTTATCTGTTAATATATGTATGGATGTGTGTGTATGTGTATATATATACGTATGTATATATGAATGTGTGTGTGTGTGTGCGTGCGTGTGTGTGTCTTGGACATTTTCTATGTGCTTGGGTTGCAGAAATTAACAAATCAGGTCAGACACAATACCTGCCTTCATAGGGTTTATAGTCTAGTGGTTATAAAGATAAGTAAATAGGCAATCACAATGGAAAGTGACAAGAGCTATGATGGGCGATGTGCAAGGTGCTGTAGAAAC
Source organism: Homo sapiens (assembly GCF_000001405.40). NCBI lineage: Eukaryota > Metazoa > Chordata > Mammalia > Primates > Hominidae > Homo > Homo sapiens. The sequence continues at coordinate 129,870,636 of NC_000006.12, read as the reverse complement.
ACATAGGTAGATGCACCAACTAAGGCGAATGTGTTGGGGTGGGGAAGAGTATTGGAAAACACCCTGAAGGAAGTGAGTCTCAGGCTGAGGCTCAAGTTTGAGCTCTGTATGCTGTGGAGCTCATCCATAAGAACTGGTCGCCTCACTAAGGTAAGAGTGCAGTCATTCATTCATTCATTCAGTAGCCACACCCTGGAGCAGCTTCTTTTCCCTCTGTAATATGGCACATGCAGTAAATCTGGTAATGAGACAAAATTGCTCTTATTTTAAAAAACAGGCCCTGGAAAGAAAGACAATTGTTAAGGCCAAAGATGGAAGTGAAGATGAAGTAACCAGTATAATAAATTAATGGCTTTTAGCCATAAAAATAGAAATCTATGATCTATTGAATTGTTTTACAATAGCTCCGCTCTATGAGGCAACTGAGCTCTCTTGTGTGTTCCGTATGGAAATAAATAAAAGCAGATTGAAAAATTGATACAGCAAGTACCAGAGCCAGTAAAAATGTACTTGTAGGTGAGAGAGATCAATCACCATGTGTCTGAAGAGGTGCATAGATCTTCACTTGTGGTTTTGCTTTTGTTTTGTAGGAAAATAGTGTTTTATTGTGGCATTCACAAATTTGGAAATTCACAGAGGTCTCTGGACTTCCTTTCTGCCAACATGAAGGCCTATCCCCTTCAGAGAGATAAGATAGCTTCTCTAAAGAAAAACTTATAGAAGTCAAGCATCCGTCTCTTGGGTCTCTTAGCATCTTCTGAGTAAACCCATCCACTTTTGCATGGCTGTTTACCCTCTCCAAGTTCTCCTTCCCTGCATATGATAGGATAATGCCAGAGGTAAGAAGTCCATGAGACTGACTTTCAAATATTTTAAATGTTATTTACACAGCTAATTTAGTTTGCCCAAGTAAAAATGTGCACACCTAACAGGATCTATAAATGACTCCCTAGTTCAGCTCAGATTTCACTTAAAAACTGCTCCTATTATTAGCTTATTAGCTGTAAGTGCTTATGATAGGTTTCATGCTCAAATGAACCTTCCTTTTGAGAAGCTAGAACCCACCTGCAAAGTAAAAAACAGTGAATTCACTTACCCAGGGTCAAGAGCAAATTCGGGGTAAGTTGAGGTTTCTAATATTCTTGCTTATGTCCATGGTATGTTTAAATTTTAGGTCCCTGGATTAATACTACAAAGATTATCATACATATCCAACCCTATAAAAGCTCTCACCATGCATTCCATTCCTCTTCTCTACCTTCCTTTTCAACTAAACACTGAAAAGTGACTATTTAGAAAATCTCTTTATAACTACTTTCTAAGCTATTACATGAATATAGTTATTGAATAGGATCCTGTATGAATAGGATGCTAGTTTTTGATCCACTAGAAAAAAGGCATGGAAAAAATTGTTAAGCTAAGATCTTTGCTAGTGCTGAACAATATTTAGTACAATAAAAACAGTAGAACTGAGATTTTTTTAAAAATATATGTTTTCTTCATATATCATTTTAATAACCTTTTAAAAGCTTATAAAGCAACTTGAAGCTTACTTTTACTTGCTAAAGCACCAAGATTAGTATAAACCTGGCTTTGTCTTACCTGATACTAGAAGTCCCAGAAGGCCCTTGCTGTAGTGTGGTCACACCCCAAGAGTGATATTATATAGACATGTTGTGTACTAAAACAAACAAAAAAGCCTAATAATGCATACACATAAGCATCACTATGTGTTTTTCTTAAAGTGACATTTTAGTTATTATTGTTGTTTATTTTAGTTTCATTTAGGTTGAGGAAAAAAAAGCAAATGAAACATTCTCTCCACAGCATCAGGTTGTACTCCTGCTGTATCTTTGGGCATTGAGCATTTCTTTGTAGTCTGTGAAACTAATGCCCATGTTTGATTTATATTTGTGCTTAAATGCCCTCAGCCCAATCCCTTAGAAAACTAATGCTTATCTGTGAAGCTTGGTAGTTGCTGTACAAGCAGTATTCCACGTCTTCATTAAATTACAATTAGGTGACTTTTATTTCTTTTTTTAGTTCAGAGCAGTTTGTAAAAATGAAAAAAAACTTGGTACAGTTTTGCATCCACCCAGGAACCTCAGATAATTTCTCAAATGTTTTTGGTCCAGTAAAATCCCAAATGCATCTTGCCAAGTGCCCTTTTCTCCATGACTTCCAAATCCATGCAAATTTCAGGGAAAATTTAATCCATATGTTTCTGATTCATTCACTCTTAACTTATCATATTGTTGTCTTCAAAAAACAATTTTATGTCCAAGAAACCCTACGGGCATTTTATATATATACACACACACACACACACACACACACACACACACACACACACATACATACACACACACACACATAATCTGGCTTTAGTCAAATTTTTCCCCAGTTGGAGCCTGGAAGCTGTACATTTTCAAGTATTAAGGATTGCTTGAACTTTCCCCCAACTTCATTTTAACTTCAAATCATTCTTGTAAGAAGTAAATTCCAATCAGGATACAGAGAATGTGAAATGGCTGGACATTTCTGCCAGCAGCTGCCTTGCCAGAACCAAGGCTGATACAATGAGCTTGAGCCTGCTAAACAAAGCCAGGTTTGCCCCTTAATCGCCTTCCGTGCTCTGGAGTCTCAGGCGAACTCCCCTCCACTGAGTCATCCTTTAAAAAGTTAAGTTCAGGGATCTGAACCTGCCCGTTTGTAAAAAGTGTAAGCTCAGACAGGTCTGAGCCCTTTGGGAACAATGTAGTATCACTTTGTAACCATTATTTCTGAAGGGTTGAGGGGAGCCTTTGTATAAATGGTATAGTCTGCATCTACCTCAATATTTCCAAACATCATTTTGGGGTCATCAAATCACATTACACAGGACTTTAGTTTTCATGCAAAAAAAAAAAAAAAAAAAGAAAAAGGCCAGAATACATCAAGATACTGAACACATTAACAAGTAAATAACAAATACATGTTTATGCATTGGCTTCTAGTTGAAGCAGTCTGGTTGGCATTTTCTCAAGGGAGTTATTTAAATTTTAAATGGAACAACATCTTATTTAGATTTCTACAAATATGCTAGGGCACAGAAGTAATTTATATGTACATGAAACTCTTCACTTAAGCACCTGGGTACTTGACAATAATTAAAATACTAAGTAGACTTATTAACTTTTCCTTTTAAATTTCCATCTTTTTGCATCTTTGCAGAGGGTGAGAAGAAATTTCTAGAGTAGATTGTCAAGTATCTAGTCTTTTTTCCCAGTATCACATAATGCCTGATTGCAATTCCCTCCTGGTTCTCTTTCTGTTGCATCCTTCAAAAGCGATGCTCTGATCTTCCCTTATACACTCATTGTCTATTTTCAGAATGCTTTTATTTCTTAAACTTTCAGTCCCTTTTACTCCCAACTGCCAGAGAATAAACATTCATTTCACTTCAATATGAGCATATAATTAAGGAAACAGTTGATGGAAGGTATCAAAATCATAGAAAGTGCTGTAAGTCAGAAATTTCCACAACAAAATTTCAACAATAGCCTGGGTATAGATAATTCTCATACTTATGTCATTGGCCCAGACTTCCAACCTCATCTTCAACCATCATGAGTTGTCTTAGAGGACATAATTTAAATAAGTGCTTCTCAAAATATGGTACTCAGAAGTGCAAACACTAGGTCCTCCCAAGACCTACTGAATTAGAAACTCTGGTTTGAGGCCCTTCTATCTGCGTTGTAACAACTCCTCCAGGTGATTCTGATGCCCACTGATGTATGAGCTGACCCTGAAAGTTAATGTGTTGAATCCCACAGTTCGCTTTTCATTTCCTGTTTTCATAACCTATTCTTATCAATAGCACTGTAATCCCCTTAATTTGTTGGCATTAAAATCCTGATGTTATTTTTGTTCTTCTTTGTTCCCCCTTCAGTTTCTCATCAAGAAGGCTGTTATTTCCAAGGTGTTCTTAAAAATCTAATTATGCTCAGTTATTCTAGGCCCCAAAATCAAACCTCAAGCCTTTTCAATATGCTAATATATATCCACTTTGTAGTTTCTTCTCCTATATTGCTGTTAAAATAATTTTTCACATCTGCTGATTTTGTCTTTCATGCTGCTGCTCAAGAACAGTGCTGTTTTATTTTGAACCAAAATACAATGCTCCTTTTGTCCTTTGAGGCCTTCACCAATCAACATTCCAATCCTGCATTAGTCTTATTTCTCATTCTCTAGCAAAGCAGATCTCATTGACTTGTTCTCACTTCCTTTGTACTTCGTATTTATCTTATCCAGATGCCCTCTCTCTCCTTCTTTCCACTCTATTTTCTCTTCCTATTGAAGATACAATTCATATTCTTTGAATTAGGGCTCTAACTTTATCTTTCGTATTTATTTTTACTCTGTGATGACTGTATTGAATTGCTCTAACTTGTATATTTCTTTCCCAATATTAATTCAAGTTGATACAATGTATATCTCCAGATATTTTCTATATCCTCTTAAAGATGATCCTTTACTCTGTACTACCTATGATAAGATGCAGCACATGGTCAACTGGCTTAAAAGTAGGTAAAATTAGATACCAAAACTCAAGTGTCCAGATTTGCAGTCATTGGTAACCCTGGTTTAGGTTTATGGGAGGGAGTATGGAAACTACTATCTAATAACAGTTTGGATATTCATAACTAGTCATCCATGCCAACTGTTTTATGATGTTGTGCCATTCATTACCATATAGGGCACTGCTCCTTATTGTGCCTTATCTTTCAAGACACAATTTACTATTCAACAAATATGAAGCAGTGAAATCAGTGTGTGCTCGTGTGTATACATGTATCTTTGCCTTAACATGGGCCTAAACCTAAAGGAAATTCCATAAAGGCTGTAAACAGAAAAAAAAAATTACCCCAATTTTGACCATTATTTTCATGGCTCCCTGAAATAAAATAGAGTCTGTTTGTTCTTAATATTTTTATGATTTCATGATATCCTATAGAATAATTCAATTTCAAAAAGGCAGTGAACAATAGATGTGGATAGAAGGGCCTAAAGGGAAGAAATGGGTTAGAGAGAATCAGTAAAACTAAAAATATAACACCATCAGACTTCCAAAGCAAAGCCAACTATAATGGAGCAGAAGGCATCAGGGGAAATCTCTTATTTCATTCTGGCACTGAGGGCAAAGAAATTTTACTTTTTAATTTCTTGTGGACAAATTGACTTTGTCAACACAGCGTCTTTATTTTTACCACATCATTTAAAATTGTATTTACAGTTTTAAATGAAAAACTTTAGACAAATTAAATTTAGGAGAGTTTATTTGAGGAAAGACTAATTCATGTATTGGGCAGCCCTCAGAACCAGGAGAGGTTCAGAGAGTTCCACCCAACACGGGGAGGCAGTATTAGATAGGAAAAGGAAATGACATACAGAAACAGCTTGATTGGCTACAGCTTAGTATTTGCCTGATATAGACACGCTCTAATTGGTTGGCAGTCTGTGATTGGCCAAAGCTCAGCTGCTGTGATTGGCCGAGGCTCAGCAACTTGTTATAAGAATATGCTCTTAAGTTAGGCTGCAGTTTTTTAATGTGCAGAGGCTGCTTTAGGCCAAATTTAATTTAATTTAGCAAGAGTTCTATTATCAATGCCAATCTGTAGATTCTTATAATTAAATCTGTGTTTGTCCACTACTCCTTTTGTGAATCCAAAAATCTAAAAATCTGTGGAAACTATTTTATTATTTATTATCCTTGGGTGACAGAATAGTACCAGACGTTAATGAATTTGGTGATGAAACCAAATTGACAAAATTATTTAGTTTTTATTCATCCCACTCATGGCAAATATTTATACATTTTGCTGCTCAAACAATGTTTGGATACAGAGGGAAGTTCTAGACTACTTGGACATGGGATATAATATACTATATGGATCCTATTATTTAAATAAAATTCAAAATTTTCTGAAATTAGAAGCCTATCTGGCCCTAACGATTTGCAATTAGTAATTGTGGATCTGAGCTCATTTTCTCCTTTGATTTTATCAAGGAGAAATTCTAAATTATGTGCTACAATCTTGGAAATATTTCTTTAGGACCTTGAAGTTTTTGTGCCTCTATCATGAAGGAAGTAGCTGAGTCCAATTTTAACAAACAAAGGAGAACTCTAGATACAAATTACACAAAGGGACTGAAAATAATTTAAAACATGATGAAATATCAAGGAGAACAATTCAGAACTAAAGAATGTGAAGAGTTTTATGTATTTTATTCTTTATCATAAGTATGTGCTGAATGAATACATGTACACACAATATATATATATACACACACATATACATATAAAATGTACACATGTAAATATTTCATCAGCCTAATGACAGACTTGGAAATCAGAATTGTAGTTGCTAAATGTGTATGTGTATGCCTCATGCCTTATTCTCGCAATAGATCACAGTAGCAGTTCAAAAAATAATGCTTAAATCCAGTGCGGTGTCTCTGATGAAAAAAAAAAAAGATGCTTATTATAGATGTAAATACCCATACACACATAATCTCTACTCATTAGACTATTGGTCATCAAATTTTTTTCCAATGTAATTATAGAAAATTAGTACTTTTCAGTATTTTATCCAATAGAGTGCTGGAGTATTAGTTCCCAATGTATGGTGCCAACTTCCTGAGAGGATAGTTTTTGGGTGGTTATTGTTTACCTGAGTAACTCAGAAGGCATCTGAGTTGTGCACAAAGCAGCCTGTGTTGGGAGTAGAGTGAGTCAGGCACAAATCCTCTGCTTTATGCTGTGCTATGACTCCCAGGAAGTTCCACTTGCCCCCCTTTTTTTTTGAGACGGATTCCCTCATTGTTGCCAGGGCTGGAGTGCAATGGCGCGATCTCGGCTCGCTGCAACCTCTGCCTTCTGGTTTAAACGATTCTCCTGCCTAAGCCTCCTGAGTAGCTGGGATTACAGGTGCCCGCCACCATGCCCAGCTAATTTTTTGTATTTTTAGTAAAGACGGGGTTTCACTATGTTGGCCAGGCTGGTCTCGAAATCCTGACCTTGTGATCCGTCTGCCTCTGACTCCCAAAGTGCGAGGATTACAGGCATGAGCCACCACACCTGGCCTCCGCCTGCCCTCTTTAAGGAGAAATTCTGGGTCATCACTGTTACAAATAGGGCAGGGCATGGGATTTGGACAATCAGCATTTACTGAGGGTCCACCGTGTGCTGAAATCTGAAGACAACACTGGGAGCTGTTACAATGTTACCAGCAGGCAGAAAAGTCTTTTTCTGCAAGAACTCACAATATAAGCAGAGAACAGGGCAACCACACATTAAAAGATTTATCTAAGGTATATTAATAAAAGAGCATTGACAGTGTTATTAATATGCATTATGAATGTCAAATTCAATAACATATTCAGATGAAAACTATCAAGGCCTGGACTTGCTGAAGGCACTCTTTTCACCTTTGCTTTTGGTATGCAGGTAGATATTGCAGAATGTGCTCTTTATAGCGGTTAACAAGATGCTGTAATGGAAAAAGGATTACAGGGCACAGCTAAGTTCCCATCTAAAGTTGGTGCCACAGCAAAGCAATCAATCAACAAAGTGAAGACACCAACCCGCAGAATGGGAAAAAAAATACTCAAACACTACCCATCTGACAAGGGGCTAACAACCAGAATATATAAGGAGCTCAAACAACTGTAGAGGAAAAAATCTAATAATATGATTTAAAAATGATCAAAATATCTGAATAGACATTTCTCAGAACAAGACATACAAATGGCAAACTGGTATGTGAGAAGTGCTCAACATCATCGATCATCAGAGAAAGGCAAATCAAAACTACAAAGAGATATGACTTCACCCCAGTTAAAATGGCTTTTATCCCAAAACAGGCAATAACAAATGCTGGTGAGGATGTGAAGAAAAGGACACCCTCATACACTGCTGGTGGGAATGTAAATTAGTACAGCCACTATGGAGAACAGTTTGGAGGTTCCTCAAAAGAGAAAAATAGGACTGCCATATGATCCAGCAATCCCACTGCTGAGCATATACCCCAAAGAATGGAAATCAGTCTATCGGAGAGGTATCTGCATGCCCATGTATATTGCAGCATGTTTCACAATATCCAAGATTAAGAAACAACCTAAATGTCCATCAACAGACAAGTGGATAAAGAAATGTGGTACAGGTACAGAATAGAATTCAGCCAAAGGAAAGAATGAAATCCTGTCATTTGCAACAATATGGATGGAACTGGAGGTCCTTATGTTAAGTGAAATAAACCAGGCACAGAAAGACAAACTTCATATGTTCCTACTTATTTGTGGGAACTAAAAATGGAAACAATTGAACTCATTGAGATGGAAAGTAAAAGAATGGTTACCAGAAGCTGGGAAGGGTAGTGGGAGAAAAGGGGGAGTGTGGGGATGGTTAATGCATACAAAAAAGAGAGAGAATGTATAAGATCTAGTATTTGATAGCACAACAGAGTGACTATAGTCAATAATAATTTAATTGTACATTTAAAAATAACTAAAAGGGTATAATTGGATTGCTTGTAACACAAAGAATAAATGCTTGAGGTGATGGAAATCCCACTTACCTTGATGTGATCATTACATATTAGATGCCTATATCAAAATATATCATGTACCCCATAAACTCTATGGGGTATATTACTATATTACTATGTAATCACAGCAATTAAAAATTAAAATAAAAATAATAATAGAGTTGGTGCCAGTAAAAAGATGGGAGAATGAATTGTAAATGAAGGATTGGTTCTGGAGCCTCAGGACGCAGAGAGACAGAGCTCCAATACTGCCTCCTGGCAGTTCTTGAAAACATTCTACCCACAATATTGTGGCCATTATTTTAGAGTATGGGAACCCTTTTGTTTCCTAACAAAAAGTCATAAGTTTTACATTTCTTTGCCATGATGTGAAAGGAACTGATGATTTCTTTCTCAGAACTCTGTGGCCCTTGTGAGTGAAACAGAGAGGACAGGCCACGCTTCAACATGAATGCAGCAGCATCCTTTGGAAACAATCTCAAGACCTAACTGAAAACCCATGTTTCTAATTTAAGTATGAGACAGTAATTACTCATACAGCCAGAGAGGATTCCAAGTCCCTGCCTATTTGCCGCACTATCTAAAAACAATCAACTCATCTTTCAAATCTGACCAAACTACAAATGGTATGAGAACTCCATCGTTTAATAAGGATGTTCATTTTGGCACTTAGCAGCTTACGCGTGGCTCACAGATGGCATCTGTCTCGTTTTGCGTAATCCAATCATCCTGCACTACTGCGTCTCACACTTAGTCTCCAGGAGTAATTGAAAAGCTCACGGTGACAATTGTGTCTTCTTCCAGATGTCATCGCTATAAGGAGTGGGGCTTTCATCACCTCCTTGACGTAGGATGTGTACATGGCTCTCCAGGTCAGAGTTGCTCCAAGCAAGGTAAAGAGAAATTACTTCTTTGCATTGCCTTTCAGTTGCTGCCTAGCACTGGTGTAAATGAATATGTTCTATAAATGGCCTCTCTGTCAGTGGGCAACTTGTTTCACTTTTGGCTGGGTACCATACAGAAAACATTCTGCTGCACGGCTTGCATCTTGTGGTAATAGGGCAATATAAAGGCACCCATGCCCAAGAAAGGATTCTAAAACATGTAAATAGTCGCTGTTTAGAAGGCACCATTTTATTCGGAGGTAAGCTCTCTGGTATTAGCACCTGCACGTCTGCTATCGTTTTCTGAAATCATGACAGTTTGTTCTCAATCTTTTTTTCTTTTTTTTTTTTGCAGGGAGTGGCTTTTATTTTTGTAACTTCTAAAGGGTGCGCAAAATTTTAAATGCAAAGTGTTGAAACATTTCAAGCTGTAGGTTTGTTAGTTTCTTTTTCCCCCGAGGCTAGTGTTAATAGTTGTGTTTTACTTCAGTGCAAAAATACCCCTTTAAAAAAAAATCAAACAATCGAAAACAAGGAAATATGCAAAGCCTCAAAGCAGCTGTGTAAATTCATACAGGCTTTAGGCCTATAATGAGCCAGACTTAAGGGAATGATAGTGGAAAATCAGATTTTTACTTAAAAATTAAATTACAATTATGAGTGAGTGCTACATTCATTTTAGTAAAATATCAGCACCGTGTGTATTTCCTCAAGCTTTTTCTTTACACTACCATCATCACCACATATGTCATCAGTGAGAAATGTTGAGCATGACAACAGCTAAGAAAAATTTTCAAGGTCAGTAAAACATTATTTCAGGAAAAATATTTTTAAAAAGCTTATTTTTAAGGGGTTATTAAACTTCGTAATTTATGTATAGATTTGGGATTGAACTAGCAATAATAACTTCTGCTGAAGAGATAAAAATTAGAAGATAAAATCCTTTCTCTTAAGTAGCTTACACAAAGAATGGGGGCTCTATATTTAGTCGGGGCTTACACAGACCAGACAGACAGACACACACACACACACACACACACACACACACACACACACACACGCATTGCAGAGAAAATATCCAGATAGTTGCTGCAGTTCCTCACTATCTTAGAATCATCTGAGCTTCAAGTGTAGAATTAGAGCCTTAGAACATTAGAAGAATAGTGAATATGTTCAAAATAGATAGGTTGTTGACTATCTGAATTCTCATGATACATCCCTATAAGTTATGAGTTAACTTTTCTTTTAAGTGCTTGTTCACTGTCAATATTATCAGCACAAGAATTACTGATATGCTTATAAATTAATAGTAATAGCAAAAGTGACCTTCATCTAGAGATAACTCGAATACTCAACAAACATTTATTGAGTGCATGCAATGTGCCAGGCATTGGGCTAATTAAATCCCCCCTATCTGTACACTTTAAATGACAGAAAAGCTGACTCAAGGGAAAGAGTCATGGCCAAAGGCCATTTAATTAATTTGCTGTCTGGGAAAATAGCACAAGAACTGGGAAGAAAGCCCAAGTATGAGGACTGCTAAACTGTTCAGAATACAATGTATTCTACTCCAGTAGACGGCATGTTTCCTAACTATGTTAAACTAATGTAAACTTTCCTCTGTAAAACAAATGTTGTAAAAATCTCAGAAGCACAACACATTCCTGCATATCCTCAGAGTTGTTCACCTGAACTGGAGAATTTCATTCATTCAGGCAATTTCAGAGGGAACTACTTACCAGTAGGACGGAGCCTTTGCTGTGATTCTACAAGTGAGAGAGTCATATCTCATGATTTCTCCAGGAATTGTCCAAAGAACTACAATGCAGTCTTTCCTATGGGGAGAAGTAAGAGAGAAAGTATTATCTATTGGGAACATACAGTACTTAATGTTAAGAATTGTATACATGTTCAGAATACAAATCCCTTATGAAACTTTACCTGTAGATGAGTAGAACAAAACTCAGAAAGTAACCAGCCAATGTCACACACTTGTCAGTGATGAACTGGGGGAGAAACTCCAGTGGATCTGACTTAGAGTCCACATACTTTATTAATAGACTATGGTTCCGGCCAGGCGTGGTGGCTCATGCCTGTAATCCCAGCACTTTAGGAGGCCAAACCGGACGATCACTTTAGGTCAGGAGTTCGATACCAGCCTGGTAAACATGGTGAAACCCCATCTCTACTAAAAATACAAAAATTAGCTGGGTGTGGTGGTGCACACCTGTAGTCCCAGCTACTCAGGGAGGCTGAGGCAAGAGAATTCCTTGAAGCCGGGAGGCAGAGGTTACAGTGAGCTGAGATTGTGTCACTGTACTCCAGCCTGGGTGACAGAGCAAGACTCTGTTTCAAAAAAAAAAAAGACTATGGTTCCTACTATAGTGGTCTTGTCTTCCATTATTTCTTTCCTTCCTTCCATGATTATTATTCAAAATATATTTATTGAATACCTATGAAAGCCTGACCAATATTTTGGGGGCTGAAGAATTAAATGTGGTCAAATCAGTGTCTGTCTTTTAGAGACTGGAGAAAGAAATGTATACCTCCAAAAGTAGGTATGCTACAATACAAATTTGATGAGATCTATAAGACAAATATAATATTATGGAAGCAATTAAAATAAGATAGAGATTGATTCTGTCCTGCAGTGAGGGGTGGAGTGAGAAGATGATATATGAGCCAGACCTAGAGAATATAGCTACTTGCTCTGTAAAGAAGAGTGAAGCTACTGTAGGCAATGGGAACATTCTGCTTTGCAAAATCACACAAGGGCTTCCAGTTTCCATAGACTAAATGGAGAAGGCTATTACAGAAGGACTAGGCCTAGATTTCACAAAAGAATTCTCCTAAGTCTTCAAAGATCATATACTCCCAATGCTACTTAAATCATTTGAGTATAGAAAAACAAGAAAAGCCACAAGAAAGTTTTATGAAACAAGAAATATGTTGTCACCTAAACCATATAAATATAGTACAAAAAATAAACTATAGATCAATCTCACTTATGAATACAGAAAAATCTAAACATATTAGCAAACAGAACCCAAGAACTCGTCATAAAAATAAAACATCATGACCAAGTGACATTTATTCCAAAAATGTACGGATGGTTCAATATTAGGTAATCTACTAACATAATTTAGATGTTCATATATCTAAGCAGAAAATCATATGACCATCTTCACTCATCTTCATAGACGCTAAAACTGCCTTTGACAAAAATTGGCAACCGTTCCTGAACCACTCCTGATTTAAAATACTGAATAAAATAAGAACTAATGATTTTGTCTGATCAGATATATATATATACATATATATGTACATATATATACACATATATATATGTGTGTATATATATATATAAAAAACCACACATACACACACACATTACAATCCTAAAGCTGGTGTATTACTTAATGGAGAATACTAGAGGCATTTACAGAAAGGCCAAGAACAAGGCAAGAATGTCCACTAACTCCACTACTATCTAAACATATGTTAGGGTTGGGTGCAGTGTCTCATGCCTATTATCCCAACACTTTGGGAGGCCAAGGCGGGTGGATCACCTGAGGTCAGGAGTTCCAGAACAGCCTGGCCAACATGACAAAACCCCCTCTCTACTAAAAATACAAAAAATTAGCCAGGCGTGGTGGTGGCATGTGCCTGTAATCCCAGCTACTTGGGAGGCTGAGGCAGGAGAATTGCTTAAACCCAGGAGACGGAGGTTGTGGTGAGCTGAGATCTCACCATTGCACTCCAGTCTGGGTGACAGAGCGAGACTCCATCTCAAAAAAAATAATTTATATATGTATATATATATGTGTGTGTGTGTGTGTGTGTGTGTATACACACATATAAAATATATATGTTAGAGATACTATTCCATTCAATCAGATCAGAATAAACAAAAGAGTCATGAGAATTAAAATAGAAGTAAAACTATCTCTATTTACAGGTGATATTGTAGTGTATCTGGAAAATCCAAAACAATCAATGAAAATACTAACACAAACAATTTTAAAAATTAGTAAGGTAATAGACTATTAAAATACAAAAATCAGAAGCCTTTCTACACACAAACAATAGCTAGTTAGATAATGTAATGGAAGAGGAAACTTCAGTTGTATTAGTAGCAAAAAGAATTTATTTAATCATAAGCTTAACAGGAAGTGTGTAAAATCTATATGATTAACACTTCTGTTAATCATATATTAACACTATATGATTAAAAAATTAACATACTCCTGAAAGATACAAAAGTGGACTTGAATAAGTTTGGAAATTTTTCTCATTTTTGAATGGTACTCATAAACATAATAAAGCTATCATTTATTCCCATCTTAATAAGTTTGGCATAATCTCAATAAAAATAACAAAGTTGTTTTTATGGAGCTAGTCAAGTAGATTTTGAAGTTTATATGAAAAAATAAAAATAGCTATGAGAACCTTAAAGAAAAGAAAAAGGAGAGATGACTAGCCTTACTAGATATTTTTAAAGCAGCTTTATTGAGGAATAAATTAATATACAAAAAGTGCACTTATTTAATATTTACAAGTTTATACATTTGAACATTTGCAACACCTGTGAAACCATCACTGTAATTAAGATAGACTTATTTATCACCTCCACAAGTTTCCTAGTAAACATTATAAAGTTTCCTTGTGTTTCTTTGATAGTTTCCTGTGTGTGCATGCATGTGTGCTAAGAATACTTAATGCAAGCTCTATCCTTTTAACAAATGCCTGCCAGATATTAAAACATACTATAAAGCTTCTATAATTAAAACAGTGTGGTATTGATTCATGAGTAGATAGCTCAATGGAAGCAAATAGAAAGCTCACAAATAGACAAAAGTGTATATGAAAATGTAGTAATGAAAAAGACAGTATCCCATTGGAATGTCATAAAGCAAGGAAGTACAAAAATGATGGGGATATGTAAAAAGAACACAGGCAGTATCTGGTAGGTGCTCAAATTGGTCAAACTTGGGATAATTTGAGCATCAACAGGAATCATGATGTTAATTAATTATGGCACTCAGAAAATAAAAAAGACCATAGGTTATAAAAAATAAATGAATAAATAATAAATACATAAATTAATAGGTAAGTTCAAGGGTAAGAAAGGAAATCTCTTTATGGAAGAATATCTACTGAAATGTAGAAGAAAAAATAAATAATAAAACCATCAGTTTACAATACCAATGTAAATAATTGATTCAGATGAGATATGTTAATGAATGGCTAAAAAATTTTGGGGGAACAGGATATTTATATAGTCTCAAGTGTCACCCCACAGATTACTTATTAATTACAAACGATGAACAGTGCAATGAAAATAGATCTAGTAGATATCACCTTTACCAAGTGATCAAACTGACCATCAGTAATAATGAAAGTCATATTATGCATCTTCTCATAAGATACAATGGGAAATGCACAATATTACCTTTGTAGAGTTCTTCTCCGAAGAATCTGATCATGAGGAAACCATCAGACAAATTCAGAGTAGGTTACTAAAGAGCCATGACAACCAAATGTAACATGTGAAAATATGATTGATTCTAGAATTCTCAGATTTTGAGAACAATAGAGGAAATCTGAATATAAACTCTATGTCAATGATATTTTATATCCGTGTAGGATTTATTGTGTGTAGTAATAGTTTTGAATTATAGGAGAATGTCGTTGTTCCTGCCTGTGAGAATTTGGGGAAAATACTTACTAAGTTCTTTGGAAATTTTGTCTTCACTTTCTGTCATTGAGAAATAAAAGTGTTATAATGTCACATTAGCTTGACACTATACCCCGTCATCTTTAGCAAGGCTGTCTAGAACGGTGTGCATTTCATTCACCAGAACAAGTAATTCATTTTTAAAAAAAGAAAAACTATCTTCGCTAACTTGATAGAACAATAGTGTCTATGAAGTTTGGGTATGTGTTTCTTTATTGTTAGTGAAGTAAAAGATTATATTTGCTCGTTTTAATTGGAAATTTGTCTCTTGCCCATTTTGCTCAGGAACCCAGACCTGTGGCTGTCCCATGTGGAAATCCTGCCTGAGGGGAAATACTAGGACAGGCCTAGGTTTCTGTTTGTCACCTAGACCAGTTCCTATATCCCCAGTAGCTATTTGCATTGTAATCACCTGAGAGGTTTCTTAAAATGCAGTTACCAGGGTTAAGAATAATAACCTTTGTGAACCACTTAAAGGCCATGTATGTGAGCAGATATTGAATATGAAGAGTATGGACCATTATGATTGTTCCTAAGAGCCTAGATCTTCATGAAACCTAGCTTATCCCTTTTCTTTGAGGTAGTTTTGCAATTACTTTTAGCAATTATGGATGCTCCTTGACTTACAGTGGGATTATGTCCCAATAAACCTGTTGTAAATTTGAAACATTGTTAAATTGAACCATGGTAAGTCAGGGACCAGCTGTAATCAGAACCACAAAGCTTACTTTCTGACCAGGATTCAATACATTTTATATACAATTGTACCTCTTTCAGTGACTAGCTTTGTGAAAATCACTTAATTTCTCTGGGCCTCTGTTTTTTCATCTGTAAGAGGTGACTAACCCACATGTTTATTTGGATGAGTGAGCTCATCTAGACAAGTACACAGTAAAGAGTCATATAACTGTTGGGTATACTTGCTTGTTCTAATTATTTTCTGTGTGATTATTTTGTCTCTTCTTACCTCTTCCTTTTTATCCCCAGGAAGTCTGAAACAGTTTTGGGCAGAATGTCAACACTTGATAATTATCTCCTGATTGGTGACTCTCTCACTGTGCAGCAAAGATTGCTTTTATCTGGGGTACTGTTCAGTGTGGCCTGGACTCTGACCAATCATAACTGATTCTCCTTTAATAACCAGAATGTCCGGTAGGGCCAGCCTTCTATTAATTCTAAAACTGTAATGAATCATCCAACAACTTATATTCTTTGAATACCTACTGTGTGCCAGGAACCACACCAGACACTACACATATATTAGGGAGCCAAATGGACACATCTCTTCCTCCCAGTCCCTTCTTAAATAAAATGAGGTAAGTAGCATAGAAAAAGTAGACCTTGTATCTTTTAGCAATTACTTGCAGAACCATAAAACGATATCTAGAAGACATCCCACTAGGGTGTTGTTAAATGCGACAACAAGAAAAACTCAAGAGCTGAATGAAGAGAGGTGGCTTTCAACTCCAGGAGAGTGGAATGAACCTGAGCTTTCCCGTTTTGAATTATGCCCCGTCAAGCCAGTGTAGAAATTGGCAAGTTAGTTAAGTGAGTTACACTGCTGAAGTACTCAGGCTCCACTTAAGCTCTGAATCCTTAGGGATGCCACGTGCACATGCTCATATTCTATCCAGGTTCCAGCCTAGCCCTAGCAAAGATAGTGCTCATGCTTTTGGGAGATTCTAAAAGCGCAAATCAGTAGCACTTTCCTCTATCCTTTTTTACACAGGTATAGTCTTTTCTTAATTTCAACTTATTAAAACTGCTTTATTTTTTAGGGCAGTGGAAGGAAGGCTGGTATCAAAATATTTTGATCAAAAAAGATGACAAAGATGTAAAGATCAGTTGTAGCAGACCGTTTTCTGAAAGCAACTTGGAAAAACATTCATTACATCATAAATGTGCACAATTTGCAGACTGGTGCACATTTATTTCACTTTCAGAATAGGAGTGTAAAAAAAAAAGGTGGAAGCTTTTTAATGAAGAAATTGCATTTATAATGATATGTGTTTGAATATTATACGGAGAAAGAGAGTGTTAGGGAGCATACAGTAGAGAATAAGAAGTCAGGGGAACTTCTTGGAGGAAGTGAGGTATCAGTTTAGACCTGAAAAGATGAGTGGGAGTTAGTTTTCCAAAGAGAGGAGCCGTTAATTCTACACAGGGGGAACAGCATTGAATTTTTCCAGAAATAGGAAGTACTTAAGTATGGCTGGAGCACCAAAGAGGAGAGTGAACACAAAGGAAATAACAGGACCCACGGGTGATCTTATATACACAAGATAATATATTGTGAGATGTTCTTGTGTTTTCCTTTTCTACCAGTTCCTCCATTGGAGGTGATGTGCCAGATAATTAGATTTGGTATAGTAGGAAAGCAATGAAGAGGAACATTCAATGCTGTGGGTGCTCATTTGTTTTTTCAACTTCCAAAATGAGCTCCATCAATAGACTGGAAAGAGAATCCCAGAGAGAGCTTGAATACCCTCTGCAGGGATCTACCTGAGGAGCACCAGGTCTTGAGGGAGAAAAGAGGGAGATGGTGAGGAGGTGGCTGGGGGAGAGGCTGAGACTGGATTGCAAGTTTTGGGGCACGTATGGAGAAGAGCTGGAGAAGTCAGGAGAAGATTACCTAGAATGGTTTGTGGCTGGCACCAGGGAGCTAAAAGGAAGGTGAGGCGCTGGTTGCAGGCAAACCCCCAGTAGAACCCTGTTAACCTGCTGCTAATGGGGGAAGGTGTGTTTCTCCTTGCCAGTAGGCATAGCTACCTGCCTCTTCATTGCCCTTGTACAGTCCAGCAGAACAACACATCCTCTGGTCCCTAGGACTTTGCTGAGTCCAAGGACTTGCTCAGTGATCCTCTTCTCTTCATGCGAGCCCCATCTCAATGGGCCAGAGTACTTGTAAACCCCCTGAAACTATGTCCTTGACCCCAGAGGAACAAAGAAGGCGAAGTGCCAGCTTCTGTGCTCCAATGATAAAGATGAATCATACTTCCTGTCTGGCAGTGTTGTTGTGAGGATTAAAGGAGATAAGGTTTGCAAAGTGGCTTGCTTGGCGTCTTGCACATACAGGTATTAAGCAAAGCTTACCCCTTACCACATCCCCTAGGGATGTTCCTCAAAATTGTATTAATCAAAGCATGCTTTAAAAGTTTGTGAAGATGCTCACCGGTTGAATAAATTTATTTTTTAAAAAAAATTATTACCAAAAAAGTAAACATATGCAAATTTAAATAAAATGGTATAATGAATCCCATTCATCCCTCACTTAGCTTCAAAATTATCAACTATTCAATCTTGTTTCATCTTCATTTCCAGCTATTCTCTTACCTTTTTATTTTGAAGCTAACCCAAACATTATATTATTTCAACTGCAAATATGTCCTTATGCATCTTTAAAGATAAGGACTTAACAAAAACCACCATACCATTATCTTACCTTAAAAACCTAACAATAATTTTTTAACATTATTAAATATCCAGTCAAGTTTAAATAGCCAAATGTCCCATAAATGTCATGATTTTTTACAGTTTATTTGATTCAGGATCCAAATATATTTAAAAACGTAATAAAAAGTTTGGCAGTAGCCAAATATCTAGACTGCTACAAATTCTGAGTCTCACATATTGGCTTTTCCTAGAGTGCAGCAATAATATTGTATCATAATAAAATAATGTTCCCTCATTTGGACAGCATTATTAAGTGCTTTTACTTTGTTAATTCAATATAATTATTTTCCTATTCTCGACTTGGCCACTAAATAAAGGTGTGTCCTTGGGCTATTCACTCAACTTGTCTGAGTCACAGTTTTCATACTTTTAAAAAGAGAGTGTTGAACTAAAATTGATTATTCAGGCCAGGCGCAGTGACTCATGACTGTAATCCCAGCACTTTGGGAGGCTAAGGCGGGCAGATCACTTGAAGTCAGGAGTTTGAGACCACCCTGGCCAACATGGTGAAACCCCGTCTCTACTAAAAATACAAAAAATTTGCTGGGCATGGTGGCAGACACCTGTAACCCCAGCTTCTTGGGAGGTTGAGGCAGGAGAATTGCTTGAGCCTGGGAGGTGGAGGTTGCAGTGAGCCAAGATCAAACCATGGCACTCCAGCCCAGGCGACAAAGCAAGACTCCATCTCAAAATAAATAAATAAAGATTATTCAGCATGCTTTCATTGTGAACTTCTGGGTGGGAGGCGAGGCAGGACAGCACAGGGTTGAGAGGAAACATCCAGCAGATCTGGTCTGGAGCCCTGCCACATATAGGCCACATGAGCTGGGATTAGTTCCTTAATCTCTCTTTGTCTCAGTTTCCAAGTCTGTGAAATGCAAATGAAAGACAACCAAACCCAGAAAGTTTTTCCTGCAAGCATATAGTGGTGAGGTACAGGGAAGGGTGAATACAATGAGAAAATATGAGTACAGTGATGGTCACATAGGAATCCTTCAATAAAGAGTCAATATAGTTAGACTATCAACAGGGGCAGGGGATGAGAAGATGAGGCTGGAGGACGGGCAGAGGTGAGAACTGTCTTGTCCACCGTGGCAGCCACTGGCCACACATGGCCATTTAGCATTTGAAATGTAGCTAGTCTGAATTGAGATGTCTTGTAAATAAATTACCTTTTGTACTTCTAAGACGTAGTATGAACAAACAACATAAAACATCTCTATTTTTAATGATTCATTTATGTCAAAATCTTAATATGTTGGATATATTGTGTTAAATAAATATTAGAATTAATTTTACTCTTTCAAAATTTTTATAAATGTGGCTATTAAAAAATTTTAAATTACATATGTGGCTTGCATTGTGTTTCTGCTGGACAGCACTGGGCTAGATCATCAATTGCAAATTCCAATCATTTAGAACTGATCCTGCTCCTCTTATTGTCCATCTAGTTGATAAAATTGGGTTGGAAAATTGGGAGATAGAGTCAACAGTTTCCTCTCCCTTAACCCCCCACAAGTTATCCATTCTGTTTTCTTAATAGTTCACATACCTGTCCTCCTCTCCATTTCCATTGCAAATCCATTTAAATACTTTCCCGACCTAATGGCCCCTCTCTAGTCTATAATACTCCTTAAATCTTTCAGTCTCCCCAGGGCCTTCAGAGACATGCAAAATTCCTCATTAAGGCATAAATTTCCCTTCACGTCTGACTTCAGCTCTTTAAACCTCTCCTACCAAAACCCCTCTCCATCAAGGTTTGGCTTCACCTAGGTCTTTGCAAGTGCTTCTTGTGCCTATGGCAACCCCTGCCACTGCCTCAGCTCATCATAAGTAGCATAAGGGTTGAGTCGGAGCAGGGCTTGAGTCTCAGCTCCACAATTTATTGTTAAATGTTCAGAAAGTTACAAGACCTCTCTGAGCCTCATTTTCCTTCTCTCTAAAAAAGGATTCTACCACTCAGAAGTTTTATAAGGATTAAATGAGGTAATGCAGATGCGATGCCTTAACTCAAGAAAACCTAAAATAAGTGTTGTCAAGGATTTTCTGGGGAATGTTCATGCCCCCTTCACACACGTGCACGGAGGCACACATACACACACACATAACCCACCCATTCTCTGCTGGCGTCTCGCTTGGGCTTACATAGCACTCTGTACCCTCCTCAATAATACCTCTTCTCCTTGCATTGCAGCCATTTCTTGACTCATTCTTGCCTCCAGATCAGTAGTTCTCAAAGTGTGGTAATAGGTACAGCTGACTCAGCATCAGCTGGGAACTTGTTATGAACACAAATTCCTGGAGCCTGTCCCAGAATTACCAAATCAGAAACACTGGGACTGGGGCCCTGCAATCTGTGTTTTAACAGGAACTTAATGTGAGTCTGATGCTTGTACATTTGAGAACAACAGCTCAACTGCATCCTACGGCTTGGACCACATCCAATTTACCTTGCATTGCCACCCTGCCCAGTAACTATCTGTCAAATGAAAAAAATGGAGGAATAAATCCTGATAATGATGTGAGGGCCTAAAAAGACATCAAGCAGAGGAAGTGATGGTCTGATTGCTTTTTAGAAAATTGTTATGTTCCATAGGCTCTGTAGGGTGTAGATTCGAGGAAGAAAATACTAAAAGCAAATGAATTTGCTTATGAGAAAAGTATTATTTGAAAATCTAGATTTATAATTCAGGTAGAAAAATTGTTTACAAAAATTATGCCTTGCTTTTCCAAATATTTCCTACAAATGATTTTTAAATATATTATTTTGATATTATATTTATATTTAGTGTTATATAAATTTGTCAGAAAAAGTAAGTGTATCTCTATGTAAAGTTTGTCAACAAATATATTGTCTCGCAAATTATAATTTAATTAAAAAATGGTTCCAAATGTCTTACACAGATTTACTATTTGTAGGTTTTCTGGGTTTGTAGTACAATCCTCATGTTTGGATTATACAAGGAAAATTTTATAGTAAGTGAATGTATTAAAAAATTAAAATGTTATTTGAAGTTTAATACTAACAGAGATAAGAAAAGTTTAATGGTTGAAAATACATACTAATATAGAGACTATGTATTATTCATCTTATTTTGGATTGAAATGAAAGCAATCATCTAGAAATATCTAGAGGCTATTAATGTTCAAATTAAAAGAAAAACTAATTGATTTCAATACATGGTAGGAAGAATAAAGCAAACCCAAAGACACATGACTCTTAAAAAAATTATAGTGCTGAAGAAGCTCCAAGATGCTCCCTATTACATACCCATCTCCCAGCAGCAAATTCTCATCCCAGCAATTGGGGAAGATTTGAACCAGTTGATGTATGCGCACAATGTTTGGGCCTTCAACTCAGGCAACACCTCTACATTTTTTTTTTGATCTTTGAAGACTCTTCTCTACAAAATGAGGGCTTTTAGCTATTTCCAGATTGATTCCTTCCAAGTGGAACACGTAGTTTCCTGCCCCAACTCCTTCTTCCCTGCTAATAGAACTCCAATTTTTCTTTTATTGAGGCAGTAGGTGCCTGTCCCCGGAAGCGCAGTCATGATGTCATAAACCTGACATGTTAAAACCCTTTTACTCTTTACCTGTGATTGTTCAGTAATGGGCACGTGGCCCTGTGGCGGACAATGAGACATAATGGGAAGTCTGTTTGCGGCTTCTGGAAGGATTTTTATTCTCTGATAAAAGACAGCTGTGGGAAGAATGTCTCTTTTGCACACATCCTTTTATTCCTTTTTAAAAATCATGTTGTGTCAGCTATCATGGAACCACAAGCTATGCAAGTCTTAGGGAGAGAATGAGGAGCATGGACAGGAGGGGACCAAGGGTTGAGGAAAGAGAGACTGAAGGTCATAAGGGAGGAGAGATTAAGAGACAAGGAATGTGAAGGCCAGGTGCGGAGTGGCTCATGCCTGTAATCCCCGCACTTTCTGAGGCTGACGCAGGCGGATCACCTGAGGTTGGGAGTTTGAGACCAGCCTGACCAACATGGATAAACCCCGACTCTACTAAAAATACAAAATTAGCTGGGCTTGGTGGTGCATGCCTGTAATCCCAGCTACCAGGGAGGCTGAGGAAGGAGAATCGCTTGAACCCGGGAGACCGAGTTTGCAGTGAGCCGAGATCATGCCATTGCACTCCAGCCTGGGCAACAAAAGCAAAACTCTGTCTCAAAAAAAAAAAAAAAAGAAAAAAGAAAAAAGAAACAAGGAATGTGAGATCCTGAGAGTGAACTGGGGATGAGAATCAGGGCAGAGAGAGATGAGACTTGGTGAGCAGGGCTAGGGGTGGACATAGGCAAAGAGTAGAGGGTGTTGAGGATGGTGTGGGAGCAAGGGATGGGGGAAGATCCTGAAGGTCCCAGAACCTTGGAGTCCTGTTTTCTCATGGCCCTCTTAGGCCTCACATCCCACCCATTTAAAAATAGTTGGAAGAAGCAGGTTCTTGGTAGATCTGTAAATTTGGTCCATTCAGCCAATTCGTTGTGGTATACTCTCTGCTAACTACCTTCTCCTCTTGCCTCTAGCTGTGGACTCCTTCTGTACCTAGGCAAGTGAAAATATGTGGTCAGTTTGGTGAATTGGTCATTCAAGTAAAATTAATAATAATCCTAAGGTGTTGGAGTGTGGGCTAAGCAAAAATGGCTTTAAGATTCTAAAATACAAGAATAAACTGAGTAAACTGAGCATTTCTCATGTGAAATGCTGGGACCTTTATTATAGTCATAAGGATATCTTTGAAAAGGTTAACAGTGAAGTGTGGCACATTTTTTATTTTTATTGGCTCTTTAGGTGTTTCTTCATGTGAATTGCCTATTTACATACTTTGTCCATTTTTCTATTGGTTTGTCTTTTTCTAACATTTGTGTGAGTTTATATATTACAGATATCAATCCTTTTCCTGTGATATATATTACAAATATTTTCTCCCAACCTATTCCATGGCATTTAAGCCTTTAATCCCCTTGAAATTTATTGTGGTGTCTGGTACAAGACTGGAATCTAATGGGATTTTTTTGTTTAGAAGTTAGACTATTTTCACAGCACCATTTGTCAAATAATCTTTCTGATTCTCATTAATCTGCAGTGCTTCTTTCTTAGGTCTCAGCTGTGGAAGAGTACATTTCAGGGCCATCTATTGTGTTTTACCAAATTGCTCTGTAAATTCTTGCATAGAGGTTTAATTATTGTGCTATTATGTGGGTTTTTTGTTAATATTATTTGGAATTTACCTGTTCTCATCTTTCTATAGGTTGGTGCAAAAGTAACTGTGGTTCTTGCCATTATTATTATAATTGGCAAGATTATATTATTATCACAGCTGAGGTTTAGAATCATTTTGTCAAGTTAAAATACAAATATTGGCATTTAGGAAGTTTGTTCCAGTGAATGGAGGGTAAGAGATATGGATTTGTATATTGCATTAATTCTTGGTGCAAATGTGTAAGATGGTAACCTCTTCAGGCAGCAACACTTTTTTAATATGTAGTGTTTTACACATTTGTCAGGAAAAGTAAGTGTATCTCTATATAAAATTTGTCAACAAATATATTGTCTCACAAATTATAATTTAATTAAAAAGATAGTTCCAAATGTCTTACACAGATTTACTATTTGTAGGTTTTCTGGGTATGTATTACAATCCTCATGTTTGGATTATACAAGGAAAATTTTATAGTAAGTGAATGTATTAAAAAATTAAAATGTTATTTGAAGTTTAATATTAACAGAAATAAGAAAAGTTTAATGGTTGAAAATACATACTAATATAGAGACTATGTATTATTCATCTTATTTTGGATTGAAATGAAAGCAATCATCTAGAAATATCTAGAGGCTATTAATGCTCAAATTAAAAGAAAAACTAATTGATTTCAATACATGGTAGGAAGAATAAACCAAACCCAAAGACACATGACTCTTAAGAAAATTATACCGCTAAAGAAGCTCCAAGATGGGCACTTTGAAGTCATTCCCATTCCATGGGTCCTTAAGCAATACAAGGCTAGCCAACACTATCTAGTAATCATTCATCATCTTTTGTCAAAATAGTTACCAAAGACCATGTGAAAAATCCCAGGCTCTTGGACCTCATGCCTGTTTTCTCCACAGGTTGTTTTGCAGAAGTTTCTTCTATGTGTCATTCTTTTCTACACTGTGTACTATGTGTCCCTGAGCATGGGCTGCGTGATGTTTGAGTAAGTAGCACATTGTCTTCAAATAGAATTAAAAAGCTAACATTGAATAGGAAAGATGTTTATATTTAACATTTCATATGTCTTTATGGATTAGAGGATGTGGATTTTTTTAAAGACATAGTTTCTTACTTTTATTTATTTTTTATTTTTGGTAGAGACAAGGTCTTGCTATGTTGCCTAGGCTGGTCTTGAATCCCTGGCCTTGAATGATCCTCCTGCCTTGGTCTCCCAAAATGCTAGGATTACAGGCATGAGCCCCTGCATCCAGCCTACTTTCATTATTTAAGTAAAAATAGGCAAATGTTCTATCTGAAAATGATAAAAGTAACAATCATGAAATGAAGTGGATAGAATCACTTAGGACTGTTTCTCTTACCTCTTCAGAGGATGCTCATGGAAAGAAAGCGAACCCATTACTCCCTGGTCTGGTATTGAATCAGAGAAGGTTTGAACAAGAAAGGAGCTTAAAGATCATCCACATCCAATTTAAATAATTTCTGTTATATTGGAAATAGCTTTTGGGAGGCAAGAGACCTACATTCTGACCCAAGTTCTTACTAACTTTCTGAATCATCTTGACCAAACGACAGTGTATCTCCTATTTCAATGCCTTCATTTGTCAAATGGAATCATCCAAAAAAGAGTTATTATGAGGACAAAATGGGATAATACGTGTATTTTAATGGTATCATTTTTATGTAAGTGTAAAACATTATTTTTCAGGTAATTTTTTGTCTTGCTATGGTTGAATTTTGTCTCTACAGATTTTGGCTGCCAATATATTGGTTGCCTTGAGATACATTATGTATATTTACAAATGATTTCTTAGAAATTGAGTGCTTACACAATTTAATTTTATTGTGCAAGCAAGGAATTCTATTTCAATATGCGAATTAATACCAATATGCAACTATCAAAAAATAATGATACCAATGTTTGCAATGGAAAGAATGTTATTCAGCATGCTTGCAGGCAAGCCCACGGAGGAAGTATCTGGCGCTCACGTGCAGCCTCAGCCTCCTCCCTGGGACTGGAGACAGTGAGGCTATGCCTGGGGAAAGGAGAAGGCAAGACTCTCTAGGATTCTCTGAGCACCGGATTTTAAGGGTTTGTAGTTAACATGAGTCAGAGGTGAGGAATTTGAAGTAATTAGACCTTAAAGCTTCAGGAGGCAGCTAACTGGTTGGCCAGCTGCACACGACTACAAACTTGGGTATAATATAAAGTCCAGCTGTATGCTTTAATAGACTCAGATTTTAGAACAGGAAGGGAACTCAGAGATTAATCTCTTCAATTTATAGGTAGGAAATTTGAGCCCAGAGAGGTTAGGTGACTTGCCCAAGTGCACGGTTATAGCACCACCAGGATTAGAACCTGTATCTTGTTGTTTTTCAAGCCTGCGCTGTCTCCATGGTATTACGTTCTCCTTCTACGTTTGATGGCAGGAACTATCAAGATTCTAGCTGAGACATCAAATAAAATTAAGTCCACTTGGTGGACAAAGTGGAACTTAATTGGACAAAGATGACAAGGTGGACAAAATGTTATTTGGCTGTCATCCAAGTCAGCCAGTTTTTAAAAACTCTTTTTAGCTCACTTCACTTTTTTCTGCTTAGCAGGTTTTTTTAATACAAATGGTATCATATAATAGGTGTCATTTTGTAACTTTTTTCAACATTACATTTCAAAAATATATCCATGATGAGATGTATTTAGCATTTAATTAATTTATTCTAACTGCTACAGTAGCTCACTTAATGTTAAAAAATATGTTATAGCACCATTTAGGTGAACCTGTTTTACATCTGAAGAACTACTGGTTTGGTCATGAAGTGAGTTTACATTTCGTAACTAGACGTTGCCTTGTCCCTTGTTACCTTTATACCGTCTCACCTAATGACTGATCTGAAATTTTGCTGTAACTGTTACCACAACTTGTAATTCTAGCAAGAAGAGTGAGATGTTTGAGTCAGAAAAAGATTCTATAGAGATTATTATCTTCATTGCTGATTCCTTCACATTCCAGCCAGTTTTGAAATGTGCCACAATGTGGGTGAATCGCATAGCTTATCCTTGTATGAAAATAGTAACGTGTGTCACTTTGATGTGCTGTTATGAACTGCCTCATTCAGAGTAAACTGTTTTCACTTATAACATCTTTAGGGTGCATGAGTTGAATGTCCTGGCTCCATTTGATTTCAAAACAAATCCCTCATGGCTCAACATAAACTATAAAGGTAATTGTTTTAATTTTAAATTCTTATCAATTAGTGAACTAAATGCCACTAACCCCATAAATTTTTTAATAAAAAAATTTTAAATATCAGGCCTGTCTCGCAGTCATCTATGTATTTTATCTGATTTCAAAAATTAATTAGGAAAAGTGCCATCAAAAATTTTAAAGTTGTTATTCCATGCAGGTGGAGTAATATGGAATAAGTGGAGAAAAAGAATGAGAATTCCTATATAAATTTTCATTTCATTGTATTGGGGGTAAATTTTTGTTGATTATTTTTAAAGAAAAGGAAGAATAATGACTTAATGTGCTGATGTAGAAAAATATTTGTGAGATATAAAATAGAAAATTAAATACAGCAAAAGAGTTCATATAATACAATTTCATTTTTGTAGCATAAAATAAAATACATGGTGTCAGTGATAAGAAGTCTGGAGAATTATGCAACAAACTGTTATCTCCCATCTGGGATGACAGAGAACTTTCATTCTCTACTTTGTACATTTCTGCTTGGTTTTATTTTTCTTCCCAAAATAGTATAGAACTTGCTGCAGAAGAAAAACAATAAGAAAGAATACACTAAGGCAAAATTTCTCTCTTTTAAATTTGGCATTTTTGTTGAATAGTTATTAATTAATATCTAGTATGTTTGTAAACCTTCACACCTATGTACCTTGAATATATGTAAAACATTCTTGTTTGGGGGAGCTTCATGGTGAGTTTGCCCCATCTTCAGAAAAGTAAAATTTGAATGTTTTCTATCATAAAACATATTAATTAATGAAAGCTTAGAAAATATCTACAAGCAGAAAGGAGAAAAATAAAATAAATCGCATACTTACATTCTGTATACAGTAATTACTCTTAATATTTTGTTAAGTTTTTCCCTATTCTTGTTTTTTAATGTACTGTCAATTCCTTAAACAATACAATTCATTAGAAAAACCACTGGAGAATATTTTTGGGGTACAAATATGCAAATATAGAAAAATTGCTGGAGGCCAATGAAACAGGATTTCTACTATAATTTGTATAGGAAACTTGGTCAGTTAGAGTTACTGAATTCAAATAAAAAGCTTTAGTACAGCCTTGTTTGGTGCCATTATTGATTCAATTTTGGATAGCAAAGCATATGTGAGAACAAGATACTTCGATTCTGAGATACAAGAGGTCTAAGACTTTATCTTAACTTTCTTTCAGGCACTTCCCTAGTTTTTGCCAACACTATCCACAAATGATTAAAAAGAAAATAGTCCCAGTAAAGAGTCAAGTATGGGCCATGTGTGTGTTTTGGGTAGAGGGAGAGATTGAACACTCAACTGTCATTATTTAATTCTAGTCTTTGGGTCAGTCAATAAAGAAAGGGCAATATCACAGGCTTATGGGAGAAGGCTGTGTTTTTTCATAGCAGAGATTAGTGATGAACTTTTACATAGCAGGGATTAGCGAAGATCTCCAAAATGGCTGGCAGAGTTTACAGTCGTCCTTTCCTCTCATGAAACACAAACATTTGTACAAAGATATCAATAAAACCTTAGCGTATTAGATCTTTAATTTTGGGTTTGGGGAGATAAATGTCATAACTCTTCAAAGTTGTTGCTGTGAGAATCTATACCTGTCTAATCTCAGAGATATTAATAAAATATAAGAGTAACCTCAGAGACTTTGGCATGTATTTATTATGGTCAGGTTTTGTGTAGGTTTCAATAATTTTGTCACCCAGGAGATCAATTTTAGTAAGGACACTGGAAAGTGTGAGTCCAGTTAAAACACTCCAATTACTAATATCTTTCCTTTGCATCGCAGAGAATAGTTTGCAAATTCCTTTCATTTTACATTAAAATCCTCCCAACAATTTTTTTGAGATAAATAATACTCCATATTCCAATTTATGGAGAAGAAAACAGACTGACCTGAAAGTTAAAATCTTGCTCAACACCTTATAACTCTTTTTTATTATTATTATATTTTAAGTTCTAGGGTACATGGGCACAATGTGCAGGTTTGTTAAATAGGTATACCTGTGCCATGTTGGTTTGCTGCACCCATCAACTCGTCATTTACATTAGATATTTCTCCTAATGCTATCCACCCCCAGCCCCCCACCCCCCGACCGGACCCAGTGTGTGATGTTCCTCGCCCTGTGTCCAAGTGTTCTTTGTTTAACTCCCACCTATGAGTGAGAACATGTGGTGTTTGGTTTTCTGTTCTTGTGATAGTTTGCTTAGAATAATGGTTTCCAGCTTCATCCATGTCCCTACAAAGGACATGAACTCGTCCTTTTTTATGGATGCATAGAGTTCCATGGTGTATATGTGCCACATTTTCTTAATCCAGTCTATTATTGATGGACATTTGGGTTGGTTCCAAGTCTTTGCTATGTGAATAGTGCCACAGTAAACATATGTGTGCATGTGTCTATATCATAGAAAGATTTATAATTCTTTGGGTATATGCCCAGTAATGGGATTGGTGGGTCAAATGGTATTTCTAGTTCTAGATCCTTGAGGGATCGCCACACAGTCTTCCGCAATGGTTGAACTAGTTTACACTCCCACCAACAGTGTAAAAGTGTTCCTATTGCTCCACATCCTCTCCAGCATCTGTTGTTTCCTGACTTTTTAATGATCGCCATTCTAACTGGCATGAGATGGTATCTCATTGTGGTTTTGATTTGCATTTCTCTGATGACCAGTGATGATGAGCATTTGTTCATATGTCTGTTGGCGGCATAAACGTCTTCTTTTGAGAAGTGTCTCTTCATATACTTTGCCCATTTTTTGATGGGGTTGCTTTTTTCTTATAAATTTGTTTAAGTTCTTTGTAGATTCTGGATATTAGCCTTGTCAGATGGACAGATTGCAAAAATTTTCTCCCATTCTGTAGGTTGCCTGTTCACTCTGATGATAGTTTCTTTTGCTGTGCAGAAGCTCTTTAGTTTAATTAGATCCCATTTGTCTATTTCAGCTCTTGTTGCCATTGCTTTTGGGGTTTTAGTCATGAAGTCTTTGCCCATGACTATCTCCTAAATGATATTGCCTAGGTTTTCTTCTAGGGTTTTTATGGTGTTAGGTCTTACATTTAAGTCTTTATCCATCTTGAGTTAATTTTTGTTTATGGTGTAGGGAAGCCATCCAGTTTCAGTTTTCTGCATATGGCTAGCCAGTTTTCCCAGCACCATTTATTAAATAGGGAATCCTTTCCCCATTTCTTGTTTTTGTCAGGTTTGTCAAAGATCACATGGTTGTAGATGTGTGGTGTTATTCTTGAGGCCTCTGTTCTGTTCCATTGGTCTATATATCTGTTTTGGTATCAGTACCATGCTGTTTTGGTTACTGTAGCTGTGTAGCATAGTTTGAAGTCAGGTAGCGTGATGCCTCCAGCTTTGTTCTTTTTGCTTAGGATTGTCTTGGCTATGTGGGCTCTTTTTTGGTTCCATATGAACTTTAGAGTAGTTTTTTCCAATTCTGTGAAGAAAGTCATTGGTAGCTTGATGGGGATGGCATTGAATCTATAAATTACTTTGGGCAGTATGGCCATTTTCACGATACTGATTCTTCCTATTCATGAGCATGGAATGTTCTTCCATTTGTTTGTGTCCTCTTTTATTTCATTGAGCAGTGGTTTGTAGTTCTCCTTGAAGAGGTCCTTCACATTCCTTGTAAGTTAGATTCCTAGGTATTTTATTATCTTTGTAGCAATTGTGAATGGGAGTTCACTCATGTTTTGGCTCTCTGTTTGTCTATTATTTGTGTATAGGAATGCTTGTGATTTTTCCATGTTGATTTTGTATCCTGAGACTTTGCTGAAGTTGCTTATCAGCTTAAGGAGACTTTGGGCTGAGACAATGGGGTTTTCTAAATATACAATCATGTCATCTGCAAACAGAGATAATTTGACTTCCTCTTTTCCTAATTGAATACGCTTTATTTCTTTCTCTTGCCTGATTGCCCTGGCCAGAACTTCCAACATTATGTTGAATAGGAGTGCTGAGAGAGGGCATCCTTTTCTTGTGCCAGTTTTCAAAGGGAATGCTTCCAGTTTTTGCCCATTCAGTATGACATTGGCTGTGGGTTTGTCATAAATAGCTCTTTTTATTTTGAGACGCGTTCCATCAATACCTAGTTTATTGAGAGTTTTTAGCATGAAGGGCTATTGAATTTTGTTGAAGGCCTTTTCTGCATCTATTGAGACAATCATGTGGTTTTTGTCATTGGTTCTGTTTACATGATGGATTACGTTTATTGATTTGAATATGTTGAACCAGCCTTGCATCCCAGGGATGAAGCCAGCTTGTTCATGGTGGATAAACTTTTTTATGTGCTGCTGGATTCGGTTTGACAGTATTTTACTGAGGATTTTTGCGTTGATGTTCATCAGAAATATTGGCTTGAAGTTCTCCTTTTCTGTTGTGTCTCTACCAGGCTTTGGTATCAGGATGATGCTAGCCTCATGAAATGAGTTAGGGAGGATTCTCTCTTTTCTATTGATTGGAATACTTTCAGAAGGAATGGTACCAGCTCCTCTTTGTACCTCTGGTAGAATTTGGCTATGAATCCATCTGGTCATGGACTTTTTTTGGTTGATAGGCCATTAATTATTTCCTCTATTTCAGAACCTGTTATTGGTCTATTCAGAGATTCAGCTTCTTCCTGATTTAGTCTTGGGAGGGTGTATGTGTCCAGGAATTTATCCATTTCTTCTAGATTTTCTAGTTTATTTGCACAGAGGTGTTTATAATATTCTCTGATGGTAGTTTGTATTTCTGTGGGATCGGTGGTGATATCCCCCTTATCATTTTTTATTGCATCTATTTGATTCTTCTCTCTTTTCTTCTTTATTAGTCTTGCTAGTGGTCTATTTTGTTGATCTTCTCAAAAAACCAGCTCCTGGATTCACTGATTTTTTTGAAGGGTTTTTGTGTCTCCATCTCCTTCAGTTCTGCTCTGATCTTGGTTATTTCTTGCCTTCTGCTAGCTTTTGAATTTTTTTGCTCTTGCTTCTCTATTGTTAATTGTGATGTTAGGGTGTCAATTTTAGCTCTTTCCTGCTTTCTCTTGTGGGCATTTAGTGCTATAAATTTCCCTCTACATACTGCTTTAAATGTGTCCCAGAGATTCTGATACATTGTGTCTTTGTTCTCATTGGTTTCAAAGAACATCTTTATTTCTGCCTTCATTTTGTTATGTACCCAGTAGTCATTCAGGAGCAGGTTGTTCAGTTTCCATGTAGTTGTGAGGTTTTGAGTGAGTTTCTTAATCCTGAGTTCTAATTTGATTGCACTGTGATCTGAGAGATCAGTCTGAGAGACAGTTTGTTGTGATTTCTGTTCTTTTACATTTGCTGAGGAGTGTTTTACTACCAATTATGTGGTGAATTTTAGAGTAAGTGCGATGTGGTGCTGAGAAGAATGTATATTCCATTGATTTGGGGTGTAGAATTCGGTAGATGTCTATTAGGTCTGCCTGGTGCAGAGCTGAGTTCAAATCCTGGATATCCTTGTTAACCTTCTGTCTTGTTGATCTGTCTAATATTGACAGTGGGGTGTTAAAGTCTACCATTATTATTGTGTGGGAGTCTAAGTCTCTTTGTAGGTCCCTAAGGACTTGCTTTATTAATCCGAATGCTCCTATATTGTGTGCATATATATTTAGGATGGTTAGCTCTTCTTGTTGAATTGATCCCTTTAGCATTATGTAGTGGCCTTCTTTGTCTCTTTTGATCTTTGTTGGTTTAAAGTCTGTTGTATCAGAGACTAAGATTGTAACCCGCTTTTTTTGCTTTCCATTTGCTTGGTAGATCTTCCTCCATCCCTTTATTTTGAGCCTATGTGCGTCTTTGCACATGAGATGGGTCTCTTGAATACAGCACACTGATGGATCTTGACTCTTTATCCAATTTGCCAGTCTGTATATTTTAATTGGGGCATTTAGCCCATTTACATTTAAGGTTAATACTGTTATGTTTGAATTTAATCCTGTCATTATTATGTTAGCTGGTTATTTTGCCTGTTAATTGATGCAGTTTCTTCATAGCGTCTAAAGTCTTTACCATTTGGCATGTTTTTGCAGTGGCTAGTACCTGTTGTTCCTTTCCATGTTTAGTGCTTCCTTCAGTACCTCTTGTAAGGCAGGCCTGGTGGTGACAAAATCTCTCAGCATTTGCTTCTCTGTAAAGGATTTTAATTCTCCTTCACTTATGAAGCTTAGTTTGACTGGATATGAAATTCTGGGTTGAAAATTCTTTTCTTTAAGAATGTTGAATATTGGCCCCCACTCTTTTCTGGTTTGTAGGGTTTCTGCCAAGAGATCCACTGTTAGTCTGATGGGCTTCCCTTTGTGGGTAACCCAACCTTTCTCTCTGGCTGCCCTTAACATTTTTTCCCTCATTTCAACCTTGGCGAATCTGACAATTATATGTCTTCGAATTGCTCTTCTCGAAGAGTATCTTTGTGGTGTCTCTCTATTTTCTGAATTTGAATGTTGGCCTGCCTTGCTAGGTTAGGGAAGTTCTCCTGGATGATATCCTGAAGAGTGTTTTCTAACTTGGTTCCATTCTCCTATCACTTTCAGGTACACCCACCAAATGTATATTTGGTCTTTTCACACAGTCCTATATTTCTTGGAGGCTTTGTTCATTTCTTTTCACTCTTTTTTCTCTAATCTTGTCTTCTCACTTTATTTCATTAATTTGATCTTCAGTCACTGATATCCTTTCTTCCACTTGATGGAATTACCTATTAAAGCTTATGCATGCATCACAAAGTTCTCATTCCATGGTTTTCAGCTCCATCAGGTCATTTAACATCATCTCCACACTGTTTATTCTAGTTAGCCATTCATCTAATCTTTTTTCAAGGTTTTTAGCTTCCTTGCAATGGGTTAGAAGATGCTCCTTTATCTCAGAGAAGTTTGTTATTACCAAGTAGGTTTCTGAAGCCTACTTCTGTCAACTCGTCAAACTCATTCTCCACCCAGTTTTGTTCCCTCACTGGCGAGGAGCTGTGATCCTTTGGAGGAGAAGAGGTGCTCTGTTTTTTAAAATTTTCAGCTTTTCTTCTCTGGTTTCTCCCCATCTTTGTGGTTTTATCTACCTTTGGTCTTTGATGTTGGTGACCTACAGATGGGGTTTTGAGGTGGATGTCCTTTTTGTTGATCTTGTTGCTATTTTTTTCTGTTTGTTAGTTTTCCCTCTAACAGTCAGACCCCTCAGCTGCAGATCTGTTGGGGTTTGCTGGAGGTCCACTCCAGACCCTGTTTGCCTAGGTATCACCAGTGGAGGCTGCAGAACAGCAAATATTGCTGCCTGATCCTTCCTCTGGAAGCTTCGTCCCAGAGGGGCACCTGCCTGTTTGAGGTGTCTGTCGGCCCCTACTGGGAGGTGTTTCCCAGTCAGGCTACACGGGGGTCAGGGACTCATTTGAGGAGGCAGTCTGTCTGTTCTCGGAGCTCGAATGCCATGCTGAGAGAACAACTGCTCTCTTCAGAGCTGTCAGACGGGACGTTTAAATCTGCAGAAGCTGACTGCTGCCTTTTGTTCTACTATGCCCTACCCCAAGAGGTAGAATCTATAGAGGCAGTAGGCCTTGCTGAGCTGTGGTGTGCTCCACCCAGTTCGTGCTTCCAGGCCTCTTTGTTTACACTGTGAGCTACTCAAGCCTCAGCAATGCAGACGCCCATCTCCACATCAAGATGCAGCGTCGCAGGTCTATCTCAGACTGCTGCACTAGCAGTGAGCAAGGCTCCGTGGGTGTGGGACCTGCCGAACCAGGCATGGGAGGGTATCTCCTGGTCTGACGGTTGCTAAGACTATGGGAATAGTGCAGTATTTTGTCAGGAGTGCACTGTTTCTCCACATACAGTCTGTCATGGCTTCCCTTAGCTAGGAAAGGGAAATCGCCCCACCCCTTGTGCTTCCCGGGTGAGGCAACACCCTGCCCTGCTTCAGCTTGCCCTCCATGGGCTGCACCCACTGTCCAACCAGTCCCAATGAGATGAACCAGGTACCTTAATTGGAAATGCAGAAATCACCCATCTTCTGCGTCGATCTCACTGGGAGCTGCAAACCAGAGCTGTTCCTATTCAGCCATCTTGGAAGTGACTCCATAACTCTTTTTTTTTTTTTTTAAGAGACAGAGATTCACTCTGTCACCCAGTCTCGAGTGCAGTGCAGTGGCATGATCATAGCTCATTGTAACTTCAAACTCCTGCACTCAAGAGATCCTCCCATCTCCACCTCCTGAGTAGCTAGGACTATGGAGCACACTATTATGCCAGGCTAAGTTTTTTTCAATTTCTTTTAGAGACAGAGTCTTGCTATATTGCCCAGTGTGGCCTTGAACTCCTAGCTTCAAGTGATGCTCCCACCTCGGCCTCCCAAAGTGCTGGAATTACAGGTGTGAACCACAGTGCCCAGACAAGGTCTTATGACTGTTATGCTGTAAAAGCGAGACTAGAATGCTGTTATCTTGACTTCAAATTTTGTATTACTTCCTTTAAGTCATGCTTTCTTTCCTATCATGAACAAAGCATAAGTATTCTCTATTAATATACATGAATGCAGCTTGTACAAGACTAAAATCACTATCTCCAAGCAGCTGCAAGTTAACCTATAAAATCTCTAAATGCTAACAAAAGAGGCATCTCTGTTTCCCTACAATAATGTCGTGATTCTGTAAACCAGTAGGGGAGGGAGGAATGAGATGTGATGGAAAGAGATGGTGTCAATATGACACAACAGGACAGTTCTTTCCTGGATATTAGGTGGCAGGGCATGCTGAACTGATCTCCACTGATCAAAGGAATTCCTGTGCAATAGAAAAGGAGTTAGTATGAATTCTGTATTTAACTTTTGAAACGTGTTAAGTTAAATTAAATAGAATTGAAGAGGAATATGTGTGAGGCCTTTAAAAAGATTGCACCTGGGGCATGCTTCCTTGGTGTCTCGCTTACCGACTGCAATCACTGGCTTGCTGGATAATAAATTACTTCTGCACAGTAGGACATAAGGTGATTATTTTATTTTTTGCTTTGAAAAATATAGAGTTTGCTTAGATTTATTTATTCCTGAATTATATGAACATATCACTTATTTTCTGTGTTTTAAGAGGAAAGAAAGGTAATTTTTATGGAAAGTGGTATCATTTACAAAGGGACCTTGGTGGTATATCACATATATTTGTCACTTTAAAGTCTGATGGATCTCTCTTTTGAAAACATGCTAGTCTTAAAGATCCATATCAAAGACAAGAGGCAAAAGATTGACCCATCACGTGTTCAGGGCTCTTAGAGATTTGTGGTTCTCACCTGTAAATATCTAGCTCTTTATACGTGTTCAGGTAAACTACTCTGTCACTACCAGTGGATTTAGAAGGGTGTCTCCATCCATACCTGTCATTTATGAGACTTTCTTTCATCCATGGTTATCAGTTATGTTTCCCAAGTGACGATCTGAACGAACCATTTTATTACAAAAACACAAAGGAACTCATTTCCAAGTTAGGCAGTGCTTGGTATCAGACAAACGTTGTAGTTCAATAAACTCTTACATTTGGTTTAATTTTTTTTCATTTCTTAAAACTCAGAACTGGATTTTTTCATTAGTTTTTAATATATCTTAAAATGAGATTTGCAATCCAATTACAGATTTGCACATATTGGTTATATTGTAACACTTCTTTATTGTATTTCACTTCTAAAATGTTAAACACAAAGAATGTGAAACAGAAATGATATATTGTGGTTTTCTATAAATCTTAAAATTGTTAAAAGATAAAATATGTTAATTGTTTTATCCAAATTTGAGGATTGTTAGGAAATGGAACATTTAAAAAATTCTTACCAAAATTTATTCTCAAAGTAAGCTTTCCTGGTCTTGTTACTAGTTGTATTTCAGAATGTTCATTGCTCTAGTCCTCAATAATTATATTCTTCCTTGTATTTGCAGTTCTTTTAGTTTCAACAGAGGTCACCTACTTTGTTTGTGGATTGTTTTTTGTTCCAGTTGTGGAAGAATGGGTTTGGGATTATGCTATTTCAGTCACTATTCTTCATGTTGCCATCACTTCAACTGGTAAGCAGAATAAAATAACAGAAACAAGGAAAATGTATTAAAACAGATGTTGGACATAAACCACTTCCTGAGTAGAACTTTGTTGTCTGCATATTCTTGTATGATAGCTAGATGATAAAAACTGAAGATGAAAGGTCTTCATCCCTCTTTCCAGCCAAATTTTTTTGTACCACTCTTCTCAGGGAGGTTTTTTTAACTTTTTTAAAAGCGTTTTATTTTGAAATAATTTTAGAGTTACAGAAAAGTTACAAAAATATAACTGAGAGTTCCCATGTACCCTTCACTCAGCTTCCCCTAATGTTAGCATTTCATATAACCATAGCACAATTTTCAAAACTAATAAATTAACATTGGTATAATACTATTATTAGCTAAACTTTATTTGTATTACCCTGGTTTTCCCTGCATCATTTTTCTTTTTCAACATCCAATCTGATTCAGAACTAAACTGAAATAGAGATGCTTCCCTTTCACATTCAACTTATCACCAACTGGGCAAGGTTTGCCCTGTAAGACATATTTTTCCTCCAAAATCCTTCCCTGAGGGCAGAAACTGTCAAAGACTCGGGGGATGCACGGACGCCTATCCAACAATAGTTATTTTAAAATAAATACCAGTTCTTAGATTAAGTGGTTTTTATTTCTACCTGTGATTTTTGGAGCCAGAAGAAAACAGATACAAATTCCAGTCCTACCTTTTACTAGGTGGGTAGTTGTGGACAAGTCACATCTCTTACATTAGTTTCCTTCTCTACAAAATGGGGGAAACCTGATGAGGTTTCAATTAGATAATGAGAAATTGTCCGACATGTGTCTAGCAGATAATAATTACTCAGTAAATGAATATTTCATCCATTTGTTCACCTATCCACTCAAAATGTACTCATCCGCCGTATTTTCTCCCTTACTATACCGCCTAATTTTTTTTTAAAGCATGTCAGTCAAAATATGAGTGATAACCAACCACAGGTTATAATTCAAAGTTTATTATTATTTATGACTGTCATATAAATCACTGTCATATTTTCAGTGCCCTGATCTATTGATAGTATAATCTGTCTCCGCCAGGTGCCGTGGCTCACGCCTGTAATCCCAGCACTCTGGGAGGCTGAGGTGGGCAGATCACCTGAGGTCAGGAGTTGAAGACCAGCCTGGCAAATGTGGTGAAACCCCATCTCTACTAAAAATACAAAAATTAGCCAGGCATGCTGGTGGGCACCTGTAATCCCAGCTACTTGGGAGGCTGAGGCAGGGAGAATGCTTGAACCCAGGAGGCAGAGGTTGCAGTAAGCCGAGATCACACCATTGCACTCCAACCTGGGCAACAGAGCAAGACTCTGTCTCAGAAAAAAAAAAAAAAAAAAAAGTACAATCTGTCTCCAACTGAAGAACACACAATTTCCAAATGAACTACAACTTCCTAGCTTCGCTGCTATTAGAGAATGCCTGTATATTCATCACCTAGTATCAGTTTCCACAGACACAAACCCTCCCTCAGTAACTCAAACAATCACTGGACACCCCGCCCCCAACACTCTGCTTCTGAAGTGCTCTATTTTACTTTGGGGCTTAATTTTTTCTGCAAGACAGCCACTGATATTTGCAAAAGGGCTTGGAGTATAGCTGGTTCAATCCTCAGGGTTGAAATGAGCTATAGGTTCTGGACCTAGAAAAGTTATGAGTTAATGATCTAACATGTGGCACTTAGAAAATGTTAACAAATGACTACTGGACAGAAGTGACTTCAGAGTGAAGTGGTTTGGAATTCCTGAGGGAACTAGGCATTGAGGATTCAGGACGGCCCGAGGATCATCACTTAAAATCAACTTTGGGAGCTGATCTGAGAACCTCACAATTCATAGCATTATTTCTAGGAGAAGAGTTGTAAAGGTTTGACTTAACAAATGACCTTTTAGACCAGGACTGAAGTACAACTTGGGGCTACCTGATTTCATGAACATGGATAAACCTTCTCTTGTTGAGTGGATATAATTTGACCAAACAGACGTATTTCTTCTTGAGCAAAATATAAAAACGCATGTTTTGAAATTAAACATTTTTTTTCTATTGCAGTTATGTTGGAATTCCCCTTGACATCACATTGGTGGGCTGCTTTAGGTATATCAAAATTGCTTGTTTAGATTCTCTAATGCACAGAAATAATGTTAAATAGAATAACTGTGGAAATATATTTTATTTTCTCATAGATTTTACAATTATTGTCTTTCTAAGATAATAATAATATCTAAGATAATTAAAAAACACACAGTTTTACTGAAGATGGACTCCACTGGTTGCCTCTTTTGGCCCAAATATACTCTCAGGCCAACCCCGATACCATCCATGGGAGAGAAGCTGCCATCTTAACATGTATTTAGAAACAAAAATACATCCGGTAAATACAAATATAAGAAGTATAGTGGCTGAGTGCGGTGGCTCATGCTTGTAATCCCAGCACTTTGGGAGGCCAAGGCGGGCAGATCACTTGATGTCAGGAGTTCGAGACCAGCCTAGTCAACATGGTGAAACTCCATGTCTACTAAAAATACAAAAATTAGCCATGGCATGGTCGTGGGCAACTGTAATCCCAGCTACTCAGGAGGCTGAGGCAGGAGAATTGCTTGAACCTGGGAGGTGGAGGTTGCATTGAGTCGAGATCGCACCCCTGCACTCCAGCCTGGCAGAGACAGAGCAGACTCCATCTCAAAAACAAAACAAAACAAACAAACAAAAAGTATAGCATACTCTACTTCTCCTTTTGGTAAAATTTGAGCTTATAGAGGAATGACAGATGTTGATGTCAATAATAAAGGAGCCAGAGTGAAAGTCAGTAAAGACTGTATATTCTGGCAAAGTCTTCAACAAGCCATGGATTTTCTTAGCTTGCCTCCAAGACTGATCTGTACCGGTTTTTTCTCCCTTTCTTCCCCTCTCATTTTTCCATTATAGTAGGAAATAAGGACTGAGTTTCCATGAGGAGCGAAACTAGAGCAGATAGATATAACTTTCTTTAAAAAGTGTTTTTTTTTTTTTGCACTTTTAATGGAATCTACATACACACTTGATTATATTCCCACGGGTGCATCAAAGATTCTACTGTAAAAACAGGCCAACTGGGTAGACTCAGAAATAGTATGAGTTACAGGTACACAAAAGAACTGATGCCAAACAATACAGTTCCTCTTCTTTCCTTCTCTGACATTTCCTCATCTATTCACAAAGCTTCATGCTCTCACATCTTATTATGGGACTATATTTTATTTATTCCTATGTCCCAAAACACAATTTTCTCTAACTTCTTATTGTATACAACTTATCTAAATAAGCCCTCTCATAATATTTATGGATCCTCAAAAGGTTGAATTTTCAGTAGGACAAAGAGGTTGAAACCTGATTTATAGATCACTAGAGGGAACTGCCCTCTGTAGAAGAATTCAAGTGAAATAGTCAAGACTCAAGCCATACTTCAATGAAGACAAAATTATGATGAAGGAAGGGGAAACAACAACAAAAATGAGTGTGTATTGAAACTAGCAAAGTATGAAAAGAGCTTCCAGGTAAAGAACTAGGAACATAAGAATATACAAAGATAAATTAGCCTCCACGCTTTTTTCCCACAGTAATACAAAGAGCCTAGAAGTATATCTCAGAGCAGAATTTATCAAATTGTAATGTACATAATGCGTGCAAGTCACCTAAAGATCTTGTAAAAAGGCAGTGAGTCTGGGTAGGGCCCAGGTTATTCCAGCACTGCTAGTCCAGAGACCATACTTGGAGCAGCAATAGCGCAGACATTGTTCTGAGCCTTTTTATTCCTTTATACAACCCATAAGTTGAAACAAAGTCAATAAATTTTATGTCTTTATAGTATTTTCAAGTTCTTAACAATTGAGAAGTTCTTCAAGGTGTCTAACTTTAATCTCCCCTGTTGTTTTTTAAAATCATCATTTTCTAGAATTGAAGTAGCCAACCACATTTAGCTCAGTCTTACTTTTAAGAAATCCAATCTAAATTGGATTATGTTTTCCATAGAATTCTATTTTACGAAATAGGAAAATCAAGATACAAAATAGCAAACATACAGGAGACGAGATTACACACACTTTTACTTATTTTCTTCCTTAATCATATTGTGTGACAGTAATTAGAAATTTAGGAGAGAAACAGAACATTTCAATATTAACAGTTATTTGTGTTAATAAACTGCTACACAGGCCTGGCATGGTGGCTCATGCCAGTAATCCAAGCTACCTGGGAGGCTGAGGTGGGAGGATCTCTTGAGCCCAGGAGTTTGAGGCTGCAGTGAGCTATGATGACACCACTGCACTCCAGCCTGGGCAACAGAGTGAGACCCCATCTCTAAAAAATAAAAAAGTAAACAAAAGTTAACGTAAAGGAAAGTTGGATGCTTCTATGCTTCTAAACAGATTTCAACATTTGTCAAATATGAAAACCATTTAGTTCTAAATCTGTTGCATCTGGCTTTCAAATATAAAGGTCATAGAATCTTTTTTTAAATCACTCATTGATTTGGCAATAATCTTATATAATATCTTCAATCTGTTCTGACAACAGCATGCATACCCAAACATATTCTGGAACTGCCTCTCAATTTTAATGGCCTACACAATATTAATAGTACTTACCATTCATTGATATGCATAATATAAGCCAGGGACATTGCATTTATCTCACTAACCTTTATTACAGTCCTGTGAGATAAGTATTGTTTTCCAATTTAGCAAATGTAAAAACCGAAGCTTATAGAATTGGATAATTTAGGAGCATTTTCGGAGTCACTAAGGTGTGTCCTCTAACTAGCCTTTCCTTCAGCATAGATGGCCACACAGAGACACTTCTACATAGAATCCTGAAGCTGCTACTGCACTGATGTGATGGATACTGCCTCTATAGCGGGTACACACTCTAAAATAAAGAATATACAGGGTTAAGAGCAGAGCTTACAGAAACTGAGAACACCATTTAGACAATGTGAAGAGTAAAAAGAAACGGAAAAGAAGATAGACTGATCGGTTAGTATCACAAGCCATAGTAGGACTTCCCTGTTGCTTTCTAGTTCTGTGACTTTTGCTTTCAAAGCACACAGAGGCAAACATACAAGACATGACTTGGGAAAGAACATACAAATGGTCAAAGGAGTTGTTTCTAAACTCAACTGGAAGATAGCAAATGTTGCTTAACCTTTTGAAAGGAAAATTATGGAATGGCTTAACTTTCATTTTTAAGTGTTAAAAAAATCTTTTAAGAGCTAAAATGTCCATAATAAAATATTCAGTCCTCAGTGCCGTGCCTGGCACATAACAGAGCATTAATAAATATTTGTTGTGTCAGTATGGAGAGAATTAAATGAGATAAAATTAAGGAGCAGAGATTTTCCTGGCATGTAATGATATAATTTGTATATTACACAAATTTGTATATTATATATTATATATATTATATATTTGTATCTTATATAAATTTGTAATGTATATTTGGGGTCCTGACAGAGAACATACTCCAGTGGACTATCAAGGAAAGCTGTTCAATCTTCACCATGGGAGGTTCCCAAAAGGATGTAGACAATTGCCTGTTGTAAATAATTATATATATATGTGTGTTGTATATAATTATATATAACATGATAAATATATGCATATTACATAATAGTTATATAATATAAATATATATTTATATATAAAGATGGGGGAAATATTTTTATGTGGGTCAGGTAATTAAACCAAAAGACTTCAAAAGCTTTATCATTCTAAAATTACAGAGAATAATACACTGGATATATTTGTGACACCTTCACTTTTCTTCATGTATGACATCACTGTCTTTATGGTAGTTGTACAAGAAGAAATTACATTTTTTTCTTACAAATTGAACTGAATTCATCAACCATGTACCCAGTAAGGAAATTAACCAAGTGAAAATGAACTTTTCTAAAGCTTTTTGTTTAGCTTAAGCCAGATACTGACCACAATGATCACACTATCTAGTCACATTATATGTTTAGAGTACTAGTATTATTTATGTTACTTATTGACTCCTTCACTAGAGTTTAATTCTCCAATTACCTTGCATGTCTGTTAAGTCTTAGATGTGTAATTTCCTCCAGTATTATTTAGTGTGTACAGAAAACACATGTAGAAAGTACTGAGGTTTTATTTTGTATGTCTTTCAGATGTAAATTTTTAATAAATCAGAAAAGGTACTGAAAGAAATGCTATGAGCATAAGTGAAATGACGTTTTCTCTCCAAAAATAAGAACTTACAACTTTTGGATTTTATTTGTAATATCACAGAATTTACCGTGCCTTAGCCAGCTCAGTCACATGGCATATGCCACCTTGATGCCAAGAAGAGTCAAGTTAGGTATAATGGAATGGCCAATTCAATTTGCTAAAAGAGTTGGATTACTATTTTTCTTCAATAATTTTGGTTGGATTACTCAGAAGACAGTTGCTGTGGCCAGGCGTGGTGGCTCTCACCTGTAATCCCAGCACTTCAGGAGGCCTAGGCAGGTGGATCACTTGTGGTCAGGAGTTCGAGACCAGCCTGGCCAACATGGCAAAATCCGTCTCTACTAAAAATACAAAAATTAGTCAGGCATGGTGGCATGCACCTGTAATCCTAGCTACTCAGGGGGCTGAGGCAGGAGAATCACTTAAACCCAGGAGGCGGAGGTTGCAGTGAGCCAAGATGATGCCACTGCACTCCAGCCTGGGCAACAGAGCAAGACTCCATCTCAAAAAAAAAAAAAAAAAAAGTTGCAGTGTGACATTTGAGTTAGGCTTTTTTTTTTTTCCTTTGAGTGAAAAATTTAAATGTAAGAGAACAGTGGCTACACATTTGGGAAATTCTATCTCATGGTCTCACTCTGGACATGTGTCTTTGTGTGAGGAAGTTGTGCAGTCCTGTCAGAGTTCTTAACTCAGGAAACTTTACCTTTATGGGAGTTATACTGTTACTGTCACACAAAGAACAGCAGATTTATGAAAACTGTGTAAGGCCAGATCAATATTTTAAAACAAACAAGAATCACTGGGCCAATGAAATCAGAACTAAAGACATTTTCATAAAACCAAATAGTTTAGAATCTCAGGGAGGTGAGATTCTGTTTTTTAAAATATATTTTCTATACTTGAAATATTTCCCAGGTTAGTGGACACGCTTTCCTTTTATAAT
Organism: Homo sapiens; assembly: GCF_000001405.40. Classification (NCBI taxonomy): domain Eukaryota; kingdom Metazoa; phylum Chordata; class Mammalia; order Primates; family Hominidae; genus Homo; species Homo sapiens. The sequence continues at coordinate 129,826,265 of NC_000006.12, read as the reverse complement.
TAGAGGGAAAGCACTTTAGAAAAAAATGTATTCTAAACAACCACAACACAAACAAAAGGCAGATTGAAGAGCTAAAAGAATTGAGAATCGTGAATTCCTTGGCATGTGCTTTGACTCCATTGCCTTTGATTTCTGAGTTTTAAGAACTCCTTACTATCATTTGACAGAACCATGCACCTATTCCCTGAAGGAAGTTTTAAATTGCAACAATTTACCATCCTCAGACTATATACCTACCCTGTCTTAGCTGAATCTATAAACTATTCTATTTCAAATGCTATGTCAGTTTCAGAAACATTATTTTAGTCATGACAATTGTTCTTATTCATAATCTCACTAATGAATTATTCATTATTGATAGTTAACCAAAACTTCCCTTTCATTTACTTGCAGGATCCGGCTTAATTTCAATGATATGTGGAGGCCAGACTTTAGCATACTATTTGTTCAAAGACAACTTTATCTATCCAGATCTGGATAATTTTTAACAGAACAGTTGAATTAATTTGCCTCAGAATTTCTATAATATTACATACATTGTGTCAGAGCTAAATTTTATTATTTGCTCAAACTTATATTCAAGGTTAAATATATTCACCATAAAAAGGCAAAAAGCTAATGGAGTGCAGAACAACTCTAGTAAAAAACTTCATAAGCAAAACGTTGCAAACTCATAACATGCAGTGTCTCTCAAAGTGTGTTCCATAAAAGGCTGGTTCTCAACGATGTAATATTGCTGTGCAAAGGAAAAAACAGTTTCATGTTTATTTGTGAAATCCTGGGTTTAAGTAAAACAGATTTATTTATTTCAGGATTTCTCCAAATGTTTATTTACTTGTTTTGAGACAGGATCTCACTTTTTCACCCAGGTTGGAGTGCAGTAGTATAATCAAAGCTCACTGCAGCCTCCAACTCCCGGGCTCATGCAATCTTCCTGCCTCAGCCTCTTGAGTAACGGGGACAACAGGCACCTGCCATCATGCCTGGCTAAAATCTTTAACTTACTATTATGAACAAGCCATCTCTAAGCTATAGTGTACATTATGCACTGTTTCTCAAATGTATTTGACCAGAGGCATGCTTTAGAAGCTGCTGATGTATCTTGTGGAAAGTATAATGTAGTAAGGGGCAGATTCAAAACTACTGTGAATCCCTGAAGCCAGAATTATGTTCTTTGATTGACCTCTGGTATTTGTTCTCTGTTAGAGTATTTCTTATGAAATTACTTCCCTTTTTTAGGCTGTGGTCTTCTAACACAGTGCTTTTCAAAATTTAATGTGTATTTGATTTATCTGAGGATATTGTTACAATGCAGATCTTGGTTCACATGGCAGGAATTGGGGCCTAAGATTCTGTATTTCTAACAATTCCCAAGAAATGCCAGTGCTTGGACCATACTTTGAGTAGCAAGGGTCTAAGCGATTGGGATCATATTTTGTTAAGTTGGTATAGCTCTGTATAACCAGTCCTATGTTTTTAAAAATATCGTTATTATGCAATAAATGCTTGTTGAATTGGATGTAAACTGAGATAAGTATTTATAACTGTATTAAATATTTACCACATTTTAATAAGTTAAAGTATCTCCTGATATAAAATAAGTTCCTATTATGGTTACAACTAAAATATAAGCATAAGAAAAGGGACAGGAAAGTAACACTCCCTCAAACACGCACCCACCCAAATGAGAAACTAAACTAAGCCATTGCCTAGATTTTTTTCCTGAGTCTTTTTGCCCTAAAAATGCATTTCTTCCACAAAGGCATTCATTCTCCCAATAAGAAATGTCATGCTGATTTTATGTATTTTATGTGTCCATCCAAAAACTGCAATGTATTGATCAGTTACTAGTTTAGAAAACGTAAACTTACCATGTACATGTAAGCATGAAAATATGGCACTGGCTCCTTTGCTTCTTTCTCACATTACTTATCACACAAACTTTTGTATCCCATCCATTATTCCCATTCTTCCAGTTAATTTCTTCTAAAATGTTTGGCCATGGAAGTAACAAAACCTGGAGCTCACCTGATCAGTCAAGGGGCTATGAGTTCCAATTACTAACAAAGATTTTTTATCTTTTAAGGAAGGCAGCATAGGGTAGCTATGAAAGTGCCCGCAATATGAGCTTTGATTCTGCAATTAAAACCCCCATTGACAGCACACAGGAAAAAGTGCCTTGCTAGAGAGACAAGAAAACTCAATTCTGCTCTGTGCAAAGTACAGACAGTAAAAAAAAAAAACCATGAATATACTGATGAGGAAGTGTGCCCCTGTAAAACTCACACCCTTGGAAGAAATTTACAGAAATACTAAAACTGCCTAAATATATTTGTTAATTAAAAAAGATTTGGTTGATTAAGCACTTTTTAATATAATGAGAATTAAGTTCTACTGGTAAATTAGAATAACAATCTCTCCAGACTCAGAAGACCTTAATATCTTGTCATTCTGTAGTGTAGCTTAATTAGCATGTTTATCTCAAGGATTAGAAATCCATCTGCTCAGGTAATTACTATTGTGTTACTCCTTCATTTTATTTCTTCTGATCGTAGGAGTAATCTGTGGTTTTCCTCTTTTACTCATTAAAATGATTACCATTGTCTATTTGATGACATCTCCTGACACAAAAAAATTAAAAATTCAATTAGAATGCATATTTTAGCAAAAAATATTGTATATCAAACATATCAACTAAATATTCACTTTAGTTTTTATTGCTTTAAATGATAAATAAAACCTTCTCAAAGGCCAAGAGTAACGTTTATTTAACTAACTTTTCCAGTGTCTCATATAAAAGCATAAGTTGGTAGAATGCTACCCAGTATTTTGATGCATATTTTTAGGATTAATATTTTCATATTTTCAAGAAGGATAATACTTTTATGTTATGCATAACTTCTTCACAAATATGCTTTAAAGTTATGATACCATGGTGTTATTTTATATTTAAATCCATTTATATACTCCTTTAATAATGTTTTACTTAAAAAAATTATGTCCCAAATGAATGAACAGTATATTTTCTTTTGCTGATAATAATCCCAAATATATATGAGAACTATTTTCACGTTTGCAATATAAAGATCAGATTCCCATCTAAAATTTTATGGGTTTTGTTCAACCAATTTACCTTAATAGCTGAACTGATAAATTCTAAAGCTCTTTAGTATCACTAAAGCTGTAGAGATTATCCTATAAAATTGCAAATATGTATATTACGAGATAGGGAAGTTTGTTTATGACAAATATCTAACAGAAGAACAAAAGCACTTCTCAATGTTGTTGCTTTATACACTTTAGAAACATGAATTGCTAGGTAAGTAAATGCATAACAAAGCATCCATAGATATAGCTTTGGTAAAAATTGTCAAAAAAGGAAGAAAATACAATATGGTTCATATGAAGATAATGTAATTCTTCTATAGAAACTTTCAACTGTATAAACAGTTCTCATAAAATATGAAAAAATGTGGGAATATTTCACATTTGTAATAGAGGACAATAAAATTACAACTTTTCCATTTATTATTTCTTACTTAGCTGTTTCTTTTACATTTTATTTTATTCTGTAAATGTTTTTGGTAGTTCAGTAAATGAGGCTCAAATACATCCTAAAAAACAGTTAATTACCACTTGACTTTCTTCTTAGTGAAAAATATTCACCACCACCATTCCCACATACCCAATAATTAAACAAACCAAAAATATTATTTCAACTAAGTATTTTAAATGACACCTTTTTAAAATATCAAACTGTTAATCTAAACAATATTTTAAAAGTTGATATAACATTTCATTGTCTAAAACTGAGTTTGTATTTCTTTATTATGCCTGTATATTTTTGTACATTAACACCCTTAGAGATTACCACAGTATTATGTTCTTTATTGTTTAAAAACAAAAAAAATGCAAAAAGAAGAAAACCAAGATAACTCATAATCTTACAATTCAGAGTCGAGATAATCTCAGCCAACATTTGTGTGTGTGTGTATATGTGTATGTATGTGTGCATTATTTGAATACTTTGGATTATACTATAGTTTTAAATTCTGCTTCTCTAAAACTTAACATTATATTCTAAACAGGTTATTAAAGATAATTCGAATGGCTGTACATTTTTCTATACTATAAATATTATAATTTATTTAGTCCTTAATATTGATGCTTGAATTTTTTGGCTTTTTTTCCTCACATTAAGTAGATAGACCTTAGATAGGTCTTCATTTGCATTCTTGGATATTTCTTTTAAATGGATCACTAGAAGTAGAATTATTAGGTCATATGGTGTGACAATTTTTTAATTATTGAAAAATATTTTCAAATTGGTTTTCAGAAAGGTTGTACTTATTTATTCTCCCCTCAGAAGTTTGAGCATACCCACTTTATTATATCCTTCCAACATTAAGAATTATTATTTTACACTATTAATATGCATCTAATAATTATATTTTATGAAAAAAATACCAACTCCTAAGTTGTTGCAAAAAACTGATTTGCATAATTGAAACCTAAATGAAGGTGGTTAGTAAGCCAAATCTAATTCAGGAGAATTTAATTTTATCCTACTTCTGGAGTAGCCTTTAACAACAAATATGGATTAAATGCCTACACTGCACACGATGCCATTTTCCCATCCATTTATGTAGCTATTTATTTAACCAGCCAACAAATATTTATTGAATGCCTCCTACATGTCAGACAATTTTGCTAGGTTCTGGGATATCATGCTAGGCACTATGGGAAATATAAAAGCAAAGGACACATCTGATTTTTCTCCCACCTCCCATCTTTGGTTCACCTACGCATATAATGTCTCAAGAGGCGGAAAAGGGAAGAGAGAAAGGGGAAAGTTTGTGTTGGAACCCTACCCCTATCTCTTAATAACTGTGTGATCCAGATGAATCTTTTTACCTTACCTTACAAATGAATGGTAATCTTTAAATTAAATAATGTTTAGCATGCTCAAGTGTAACAGGTAAAGCAGTGTATCTAGTAATTGTCGTATCTGTAACTAGCTGTTTTTGGGTAGATGATAGGGCACAAAAGGAGAAGAGATTTAAGCTATTTGAGGGCAGGAATATGATTTTGTTCACTGCTATATAACCAACTTCTAAAACACTGTCTGTTACATATCAAGTGTGCAATACATATTTGTTAAATAAGGAGAAAAAACAAATTCATTTTTCCTTGCTTCAAAGCAGTCAGCTATAATCCATCAAATTAGTTGCAAACTGGAAGACTCCAGGGAAATGTCAAACACTGGCACACCTGGGAAGGGACTGATCATTGAGCTGATTCTGCCAATCAAAAGTCTTTAATGTCCTAAGGAAAAGACATGCACAGATTGCCTTGGAGAAAGAAGATACTAAGTAGCAAGGGAGTAAAATGTTTAAACCCAATGTAATTGGACACATTGTACATTCCCAATACTCCTTTTGAGAGCAGACTCAGCAAAAACAACATTTTAAATTTTCAACTAATTAGTGAGTAAAGAATATTTTACACAAGGTTTTTCGGGGGAGATAGAGGAGGGATTGCATTGCACTTGACAAAGCATACTGCTTTATCCCTTCATTAGACATCCTGGCTCTCTCCCCTAGCCGCTAATTGCCAGATCTCTTTTCCCTTCCTTGCCTTCTCTCTACACAGCCTCTAAAAAACACCTGTATGTTCCAAGCCAATCAGATTCAGACCACAGCTAACTTACACAGGTAATCAAAGCAAAATCCTTAGCTGACGGAAGAACAACTATCCTTTGTTCTCCAATCTTGTTCCTTCAGGGTATCACTTTGTCATATCCCAAAGGACCTTCTAAGATAGTCACCTTATCAAAAGATATCAAGTATCTTCTCAGCGCCAAATTTTGCTGCTGAAATGGAAATATTCTATGTATGTTGCAGAACAGTTCTATCCAATAGCACTTTCTGCAATGATAAAAATGTTCTATATCTGTGCTGTGTTACACAGTATCCACTAGCTACATGTGGCTATTGAGCTCTTGAAATGTGGCTACTTGACTGAGGAACTGAATTTTTAATTTAATTTAATTTAAATTTAAACCAGTGGCTACTGCATTTGCCAATGCAGATCTAGAGGATCTCCTTGTCATTTTACAAGGAAAAGATAGTAGCATCTGCAGATATTAGAATTCCCAATCAGGCTGAGCTCGAGGCTGAGTTTTTAAGGGCAGAAAGATCCACCCCAGAGAAGAAGCATCGGCGGTAATCAACGTGCTTCCTTCCGTGGTCAACGCTAGATCTAATCTCCCTCTTCTCTGGGCACCTACTTACTGTTTGTGATTGCGGTGGAAAATGAGAGGGAAAAAATCCATCAGTTACACAGTGACAGAAAAGAATCCAGATGGAGATGCCCCAACTGGACACTGTCTTGGTGTGGGGGCAGAGTCCATTCCATAGCATGGGGTAGCATGGACACACAAGCACTTGAGCAATCTCAAAGTGGCTTGTAAAAAGTCATTGTCTGCCATGGATAACATTCACCAGAGGACAATCAAATGGGCAAAAACCCAAGTGGGACTAGGAATGAACACCATTCCAGCTTTCCAGAACTCAGGACATTCCAAAAGAAAAAGTACACAAATCTCAGAGACATCGTGCATAAAGGCTATGTGTACATTGTGCAGTAATGTACAATGTGTTGGTGTCTTTCCTTTCATATTAAAAAAAAAATGTGGCTGGGCATGGTGGCTCACGCCTGTAATCCCAACACTTTGGGAGGCTGAAGTCGGCAGATCATTTGAGGTCAGGAGTTTGAGATCATCCTGGCCAACGTGGTGAAACCCCATCTCTATTAAAAATACAAAAATTAGCCAGGCATCGTGGCGCACACCTGCAATCCCAGCTACTCAGGAGGCTGAGGCAGCAGAATTGCTTGAACCAGGGAGGTGGAGGTTGCAGTGAGCCAAAATCAAGCCACTGCACTCCAGCCTGGGTGACAGAGCAAGACCCTGTCTCGAAAAATAATAATAATAACAATTTTTTAAAAATTAACTTCTACCTTGCAGCTAGGACTGAAAGTTGTTTTTTTCCCCTCTTTCGTAAGTGTTTAGTATCAGTGGGTCTTAAATGTGAAACTGTGCTGGCCATGCTTTAAAAACAAACCAGAAACAATCTCAGAAATATTTAATCTTACAATCCAGCTCCTCTTTCCCTTTCCTTTATAGGCCTCCCAGTTGTCTCCTGGAACTAACACTATGTGTACAGTCTAAGTGGAGTATTAAATGGCAGTGTGTTCCAAACCATCAGCAACCAGTTGGGTTAATGGCATCAAGGAAAAAGGATAAGTGGCAATTGGCTGTAGTGATGCCTACTATGTTATATGACTATTTTTATGGTCACAATGGCTTTCACCATCGAGCACCATTCTATATCTTGAATAGTTTGAGAACATGAAAATAACTTATGATTTTCAGTAACCCTGAGAATGAATTAGGTTTTAAGTGGTCATTTCCAGAAGATAATGTCAAATATATTTCATCCTATAATAGTTACCCCTTGTCCTTCCCCCCAAAATGTTTTACAGTCTTTTCTTAATTTGCTGTGCTTTTATTCTCTGAAGATTACAGGTTTTCATTCTTTTATTCAACACTGAAAAAATGTAGTAAATTAAGATTTATATAGGAGTTATTGAGTTAGACTTGCGGTTAATTTTCTATCAAATTTAAAGTAGTTAGCAAGTCTTCTAATGAGCATATCAGTAGTACCTGGTTATGAATCATCAGCATCTCTTTCTAGGAAGCTGCTGTCACAAAATGACTAGGATGCAGATAAAATGAGAGATTGGCCTTAGGCAGAAAAATTACTACTTGGTGCCCTCTGAAAAACTTAGAAGTTTTTTTGATAACCATAGTATGGTACAGTATGGTAAGCACTGAATAAGTATAGCATGCCATTGTACAACTGAGTAATTGAGACACAAGTATTTGTTTATAGATTGGCACAAAGAACTATGGTGAGGTTTCTGCCCCTACTGTTAGCATCCTTTCACTACGGAATTGTTCTAATCCTTTGGCTTCTTCTCTCACCTCATTTTCCTCCATCCTTGTGTGCCAAGTGTTCAGGAAAGATTATTCCTTGGAAGGTAGTGTAATGCCCGCTTTTGGTCTTGCCAAAGGCCAGGAAGCTTTGTGCTAAAGCTAGCAGCAGATCTCAGCCACCTGGAAGCTATCACTCACAAAAGAGAACATTATCTCCAGGAGCAGAGCTTTAAGCAAACTCCCCTCAGACCAAAGGTCTCAGGCAAATGTCACAGGCAAAGGTCACAGGAAGATTTCATATAAATCCAATTGCCTCTCATCTCAACAGCATCACTTTATCTAGAATGTGGGGACCTCCTAGGTGCTGCTGTGAGCAGAGAGTCTCTGAATGGCCTTGACCTGCCTCCCTGCCTCAGTCCTGTGGAGGGGCTGATCTAACTCCTCCCATTCCCATCACCCCAGGTCCCAGCCCTGAGTGTTACCTGGCAATTCCCCAAGGACCTAACGTGAATAAAGGGCTTTCAATTTTCAAGGAGCCACATAGTTTGGAAGGAAATAAGAGTATACAGGAAGTAGTGAGATCTCAGATGTGGCCTCCTGGGAAAGGAGTCCCTAAGGGGTGTCCCCTTGCCTCTCTCTGATGCGATACCACCCCCATCCCTCTCAACGAAGAAGAGCCATCTCAAAAAGCTCTAATGAAAGACTTGGTCTGACCTATGTAACACAGAGATACGGTCCAAGGAAAACACAAAGCCACAAATCAGAGCACAACATGCACAACATTTTTTTTACACAACATAGTTCTTCCAAAAATGACAAATCAATTGAGCAAACATACCTCTATGGAAGAGAGCATATTCAAGATATGGAAGAATTTCAACCACAGAGAGAAAAAGAAGGCAGCAATTTTAAAACAAATATATACATAGTCCATATTTTCCCTCAAACAGAAAAATAGGAAACACCATTTCTTCAGTGAGAACAGTTGGTAATCATACAAAAGCAACAGATTTAGAAATCATGGAAATGAAAAATATAGTCATTGCTATAAAAAGCTAAGTGGACAAGATAATTAGTTGTCTAAATATGGCTGAAGAAAAAGATTAATGACATGAAAAAAGAATTGAGAAACTCAGAATTCACTACAGAAAAAGAGATGGAAAATATAGATAAGTTGAAACATGGAAGCTAGATTGAGAAGCTTCAACACCCATTTAATCAGGGTGCCAGTAAAAATAAAGAAGAGAAAATATGTGGATGTAATAGCTGAAGGGTTTCTGAAACTACAGAGGCATATGTGTTTCCAGGTTAAAGGGTGTACCAAATGTCAAGTCAGATTAATGAAAGAACCTAAACCTGATCAAGACATACAGAAATTGAGGAAGAATGCTGATAAAGATAAAAATCTTTAAAAACAACCAGATATAAAAAGTTATCCAATGGAGGAAAAGGCACTATTCAGAATGCTAGTCAACTTGAGGCAAATATATTGTCCAAAAATATCTGGGGACTGACTCTGCTTTCTCCTGACCCTCTGCGTCCCAACCTCCCCATGATCAGGTGAGAATTTGGCCTTGCTGACACTGAATTTGGTTAATAAAACAGAAAGTCTGGTGTTTATAATTATTTCCTTAAAGGAAGCTAATAGACTTAGTGTAAATTTATAGTGAATAAACCAAAATCTCTTAATATGAAAGCAAAGTGGCATTAAAATAAATTCATATTTCCAGACCTGTCAAACCCCTACCTTGTGTGGAAAGTGCCACTGCTGACCAAGAAAAAGAAAAAATGTAAACAAACAATGTTTGGAATAAAATAGTAGATATAATTCAGATGAAGTAGAGGATTTTAGAGTCATATAATTAAAAATTGAGATTTTGATAAAATAGACAATTTTTTTTAATAATAGAATATTAGAAAGTCTAAGTAATTAATAATTATTAGGGGAACTTAATTTGGTAGTAAAAATAAAAAATCTTTTCCCTAAAGCACATCTGGTTCAGATTGTAAATTGTATGAAATGATTAAGGACCAGGTAATCTCTATCATAATAGAAAAAGAGAAAAAGTTGTCTAATTAGTTTTCAAGTTTGGCCTAACATTGATACCAAAATTTGACAAATGTAAGTGAGAATAAAATAATAGACCAACATAACTTATAATGATATATTTAAAAAATATAAAAAATGAAATATTTCCAAATGAATCCAAACTGTGTACTTTTAAAAATGTTAACTCATTATCATAAACTTTATCTTAAGGATATAAAAATAGTTTAGCATTTGACAGTCTCTCAATACAAGTCAACATATAACAGATTAAAGAAGAAAACTGCTCATTATAAAAAGAAGAAAATAACAGACACCTCAAGATTCATGTTTTTTTTAAAAAAATTCATTCTAAACACAAAATAAAATCTATTTATCTGGTATAAAATCCTAATGTAAACTATACATTTAATGGTCACTCACTGATTTGTAAATAATAGTGTCAATAACAAAATAAGTAAAGCTAACATCTCTTGCCCATGATTCAATATTCTGTTGAAAATCTTAACCAATTGAATAAGAGATAAAATAACAAATAAAGGGTTAATAGGCTATTATTGAAAGAGTATATGATGACATGACATATAAAATAAAAATAAATAACTATCTAATTAAAATCAATGAAATAATATAGAAAAGTTTTGGGAAATAAGATAAGCACACAAAATTTAATAGTGTCCCTTTTTAATAAATAATTAGAAAATATCCCAAACAAATAAAGATCTTACTTAAATTAGCAACAAAATCTTAAATTATCATGATAAAACTAAGCAATTATATGTGGAAAACTTGTTAAACTATGTTGAAATATGTTAAAAAGTCACTGAATAATTGCAGATGTCCATAGACTAGGAGATGTAATGTTGTGAAGTCAATTCTCTGTGAATTAATTTCTTAAATCAATATTTTTTCAATGAAAAAAATCTACCAAACTAATTCTAAAATTGATATTTAAGTAGAAGTCCAAGAATAGTCCAGGTAATTTTCAAAGGAGTTCAGGGGAAGGATTTGCCTCACGTGATGTCAAGATTTAGTATTAAGCTACAGTAATTAAAATATTGTGATCTTGGTTTTGGAAAAGATAAATAGATCAATGGAACAGAATAAAGTATGCACAAACCCAAGCAGGTTCTGGAACTTAGTGTAAAGACAGTGGTAATATTAAAAATTGGTAGAGAAAATATATATTATTCGATAAGTGACTTTCCATATGGAAAATATAAATTAGGGTTCTTTACATCATTAAAAACTTACAAGTGGCCGGGCGAGGTGGCTCACACCAGTAATCCAGCACTTTGGGAGGCTGAAGCAGGCGGATCACGAGGTCAGGAGATCAAGACCATCTGGCCAACATGATGAAACCCCGTCTCTACCAAAAATACAAAAAATTAGCCGGGTGTGGTGGCCTGCACCTGTAGTCCCAACTACTCAGGAGGCTGAGGCAGGGGAATCGCTTGAACCCGGGAGGTAGAGGTTGCAGTGAGCCAAGATTGGGCCACTGCACTCCAGCCTGGCGACAGAGGAAGACTCCATCTCAAAAATAAAATAAAATACAATAAAATTACGAGTGGATTAGGAACATAAACTTTTTAAAAGATTAAGCAATATTTTATAAGAAGAAGAAAGTTTCAGACCAAAAAGAACAAAGACATCATAACCAAAGTTCAAAGACAAGCAATACAGTGTGAAGCTACTTGCAATTTATATAAATACACAAAAAATTATATGAAATAATAGCATCCTGAATATAGAAAGTACTGTTACACATGAATAAGGAAATACAAACAGCCTAACAGAAAAGTTAACAAAGGATACAAACTAGAAATTATATTAAAAAAGAAATACAAAATGCCAATATGCCTGTGAAGAAAAGTTAATTTTCCATAATTATAAAATACTGCTTTTTACCAAATGAATTTGGCTGAAATAAAAACTCAATACAATCAACGTGTATTTTTTGTTTTACTAGATGTGGTCAACGGTACACCAAAGCTTATATAGCAATCAATTTGTACTCCCATCAGAAATACGTAAAAGTGATTGTGTTCCCACATCCTGGCCAATACGTATTCCTCTTCATTGTTCTGTTAATTGTACTCCATGGAGAATGACCTTTGGGGGCTTACACAAAAGGTTGTACAAGCCTAACTAAAGTTCTGTAGTGACTAGATTTATGATATTGGACTGAAAGTATTTGCCAAAATTTGGTGATGGGATTCTGAGAGGAAGTTTAGCAGTTGAATATGGAATTAGAATCTTTAGTTCATTAAAATTGACTGTGTGTCATGAAGGTGTCTTGTAGCAAAGAGTTTTAGTAGAAATTAGCCAAACACTGCTGAGGCATCTAGGGGCACATCAAATTATCTTGCAGATATTTTGGGGACTTGTCAAAGGTAGCTTGAGATTAAGGAATTTCAAGTTGAAAATGCAGATGAAACTACTAAATGTCAAGAACGTGAAGAAAAGAGAATGTTCAAACACTGCTAAATTAGCCTGTCTTTGGAAAGCAGTATCTAGTAACTGCGCCTCTGTGGTATCCCATAACCAGCAAGTCAACTTATAGGTCAATACCCCAGAGAAACACATGCACAAGGACACTAGTACAAAAATGTACATTACAGCATTGTTTCTAATAGAGATACATTAGAGCAACATAAATGTCCATTGATATGAGGTAGATTTTAAAAACGAATCAATAGGTGAAGTACTATATAGCCCTTAAAAGAAATTAATAAGGAGTTGTAAGTGAACATGATATATCTCAAAAATATGTTGGTGAAAAAAATCAAAACACATGTTTATCTCTGTATGGATATTTTAACATGTACATAAATATTACTATATATTATATATGGGTACATAGATGTATGGCACGACTGATACAGTGATGTGCATCAAATTCATGATACGAATGGCCTGGGGTGCAAGGTGAGAATGGCTGGGAATGGAACAGAGAAAGATTAAGCACTGGGCATGCTGCTTTTGAGCTGACAGTAGGATTTTCAAATAGAAATATCCATTTATGGCAGTGGAATGTACAAATCGAAGAATCAGGCAGCCTGTTTTTCACTTTATTTTACTATATTTTATTTTTTGACAGGGTCTTGCTGTCACTCAGGCTGTAGTGCAGTGGTGCGATTATGGCTCACTGCAGCCTCAATCTCCTGGGCTCAAGCGATTTTCCCACCTTAGCTTCCCTAGTAGCTGGGACTACAGGCATTCCACATTTCCTGGCTAATTTTTTAACATCTTTTATAAAGACAGAGTCTCATTACATTGCCTAGGCTGGTCTCAAACTCCTGGGCTCAAGTGATCATCCTGCCTCAGCCTCCCAAAGTCCTGGATTGAGGCAGCCTATTTTAAAGAACATTTCTAATGCTGCTTGTGAACTTAATGACTGATCAAACTAGTGTAACAAAATGACAATTTGTAGGTATCTATTATAATTTGAAGAGTTAACTAAAGTTATAAACTCACCGAAGAATCTCATCTTTAGAAATTTCAGTTCTAAATGTAGCTTCAAAATGTTGTGGTACAAATAAGATGGATTATATATCAAACTATATAAAGTAAACATGGGTGAGATTCATTTTCTGAAGCTCAGTCAGTATTGCATAGTTCTTTTGTGCTGTGAGGACAAATGCTCTGTTGAGCAATATACTTGATCTTATGAAGTCAGGCTTAAATATACTTCAACTTTTACAGGATATATTTGTATATCAAAGGAATATAATGATGTTAAAAGAATCTGCTATTTTTCTTACCACTTAACAAAATCAAAACTAAATCTAATTTGATAAATATATAAAAACTTAATGTTTATTTTTCTTTTCATGGTTCTATTAATATAGTAAACAAGATTGGGCAAGTGGTACAAAGTTCTGGTTTTGTAATTTGGACTGGTAATGTGCGTTCATTATCATAGTCATTAACATGCTTTTCTACAAATGAGTTCTGTTAATCACAAGGGGAAGCATCTCTGAGAAATATCAGACTAGCACATGGTAAGTGCTGAAAATATTTTTGTTGAATTGAGAGAATGAATGAATAAATTATCATTCATAGAAAGCTCTAAAAATCTTAAAACACTAATGGCACATTTATTTTACATTAATAAAAATATTAATGGTAGTTCACATATATTTTTCTGCATGAAAAACTGTCACCCAGTGGCATTGTAGATGCTTAGTAAGTGTGTATTGAATGAAGAAATGAATGGCTACACTGTACTACATTTATATTCTCACAAAAACTCAGTACATGATTATTTGCCTGCTTCCTTACTATTAATGAGATATATCAGATATATACAGCATGTCTATTTTATTGTGTTAGTTTTAAAGCCTTTGGTTGAAAATGGCAGAAACTGATTTTGAGAATAAAGCTATTTATTGGCTTCTGTGCTTGAAAAGTAAGTCTGCTGGCTTTAGGTGCAGCTTAAAATGGTGGCTGAAGATTTGGTTTATGTCTAAAGTGAGAAGACAAGATTAGAGAAAAAAGAGTAAAAAGAAATGAACAAAGCCTCCAAGAAATATGCAACGATGTGAAAAGACCAAATCTACGTTTGATGGGTGTACCTGAAAGTGATGGGGAGAATGGAACCAAGTTAGAAAACAATCTTCAGGATATTATCCAGGAGAACTTCCCCAACCTAGCAAGGCAGGCCAACGTGCAAATTCAGGAAATACAGAGAACACCACAAAGATACTCCTTGAGAAGAGCAACCCCAAGACACATAATTGTCAGATTCACCAAGGTTGAAATGAAGGAAAAAATGTTAAGGGCAGCCAGAGAGAAAGGTCAGGTTAATCCATCAGGTTAACAGTGGATCTCTTGGCAGAAACCCTACAAGCCAGAAGAGAGTGGGGGCCAGTATTCAACATTCTTACAGAAAAGAATTTTCAACCCACAATTTCATATCCAGCCCAAACTAAGCTTCATAAGTGAAAGAGAAATAATATCTTTTACCGACAAGAAAATGCTGAGAGATTTTGTCACCATGAGGCCTGCCTTACAAGAGCTGCTGAAGGAGGCACCAAACATGGAAAGGAAAAACTGGTACCAGCCCCTGCAAAAACATGCCAAATTGTAAAGACCATTGATGCTATGAAGAAACTGCATCAATTAACGGGCAAAATAACCAGCTAGTATCATACTGACATGATCAAATTCACACATAATAATATTAACCTTAAATGTAAATGGGCTAAATACCCCAATTAAAAGACACAGAGTGGCAAATTGGAGAAAGGCAAGACCCATCAGTGTGCTGTATTCAGGAGACCAATCTCATGTGTAGAGACGCACATAGGCTCAAAATAAAGGGATGGAGGAAGATCTACCAAGCAAATAGAAAGCAAAAAAAAAGCAGGGGTTGCAATCCTAGTCTCTGATAAAACAGACTTTAAACCAACAAAGATCAAAAGAGACAAAGAAGGACATTACGTAATGAATGGTAAAGGGATCAATTCAACAAGAAGAGCTAACTATCCTAAATATATATGTGCCCAATACAGGAGAACCCAGATTCATAAAGCAAGTTCTTAGAGACGTACAAAGAGACTTACTCTCCCACACAATAATAACAGGAGAATTTAACACCCCACTGTCAATATTAGATCAATGAGACAGAAGGTTAACAAGGATATCCAGGATTTGAACTCAGCTCTGCACCAGGCAGACCTAATAGACATCTACAGAATTCTACACCCCAAATCAACAGAATATACATTCTTCTCAGCATCACATTATACTTATTCTAAAATTGACCACATAATTGGTAGTAAAACACTCCTCAGCAAATGTAAAAGAATAGAAATCACAACAAACTGTCTCTCAGACCACAGTGCAATCAAATTAGAACTCAGGATTAAGAAACTCACTCAAAACCTCACAACTACATGGAAACTGAACAACCTGCTCCTGAATGACTACTGGGTACATAACGAAATGAAGGCAGAAATAAAGATGTTCTTTGAAACTAATGAGAACAAAGACACAATGTATCAGAATCTCTGCGACACATTTAAAGCAGTGTGTAGAGGGAAATTTATAGCACCAAATGCCCACAAGAGAAAGCAGGAAAGATCTAAAATTGACACCCTAACATCACAATTAAAAGAACTAGAGAAGCAAGAGCAAATACATTCAAAAGCTAGCAGGAGGCAAGAAATAACTAAGATCAGAGCAGAACTGACGGAGATAGAGACACGAAAAACCCTTTAAAAAAATCAGTGAATCCAGGAGCTGGTTTTTTGAGAAGATCAACAAAATAGACAGACCGCTAGCAAGACTAATAAAGAAGAAAAGAGAGAAGAATCAAATACATGCAATAAAAAATGATAAAGGGAATATCACCACCGATCCCACAGAAATACAAACTACCATCAGAGAATACTATGAACACCTCTAGGCAAATAAACTAGAAAATCTCGAAGAAATGGATAAATTCCTGGACACATACAGCCTCCCAAGACTAAACCAGGAAGAAGTTGAATCTCTGAATAGACCAATAACAGGTTCTGAAATTGAGGCAATAATTAATAGCCTACCACCCAAAAAAAAGTCCAGGACCAGATGGATTCACAGTCGAATTCTACCAGAGGTACAAAGAGGAGCTGGTACCATTCCCTCTGAAACTATTCCAATCAATAGAAAAAGAGGGAACTCTTCCTAACTCATTCTATGAAGCCAGCATCATCCTGATACCAAAGCTTGGCAGAGACACAACAAAAAAAGAGAATTTTAGACCAATATCACTGATGAACATCAATGCGAAAATCCTCAATAAAATACTGATAAACCGAATACAGCAGCACGTCAAAAAGCTTATCCACCACAATCAAGTTGGCTTCATCCCTGGGATGCAAGCCTGGTTCAACGTACTCAAATCAATAAACATAATCCAACACATAAACAGAACCAACGAAAAAAACCACATGATTATCTCAATAGATGCAGAAAAGGCCTTCAACAAAATTCAACAGCCCTTCATGCTAAAAACTCTCAATAAACTAGGTATTGATGGAGCATGTCTCAAAATAATAAGAGCTATTTATGACAAACCCACAGCCAATATCTTACTGAATGGGCAAAAACTGAAAGCAGTACCTTTGAAAACCGGCACAAGACAAGGATGCTCTCTCTCACCACTCCTATTCAACATAGTGTTGGAAGTTCTGGCCAGGGCAATCAGTCAGGAGAAAGAAATAAAGAGTATTTAGTTAGGAAAAGAGGAAGTCAAATTGTACCTGTTTGCAGATGACATGATTGTATATTTAGAAAACCCTATCGTCTCAGCCTACCTGATAAGCAATTTCAGCAAAGTCTCAGCATATAAAATCAACATGGAAAAATCACAAGCATTCCTATACACCAATAACAGAGAAACAGAGAGCCAAATCATGAGTGAACTCCCATTCACAATTGCTTCAAAGAGAATAAAATACCTAGGAATCCAACTTACAAGGAATGTGAAGGACCTCTTCAAGGAGAACTACAGACCACCGCTCAATGAAATAAAAGAAGACACAAACAAATGGAAGAACATTCCATGCTCATGGATAGGAAGAATCAATATCATGAAAATGGCCATACTGCCCAAAGTAATTTATAGATTCAATGCCATCCCCATCAAGCTACCAATGACTTTCTTCACAGAATTGGAAAAAACTACTCTAAAGTTCATATGGAACCAAAAAAGAGCCCACATAGCCAAGACAATCCTAAGCAAAAAGAACAAAGCTGGAGGCATCATGCTACCTGACTTCAAACTATACTACAAGGCTACAGTAACCAAAACAGCATGGTACTGGTACCAAAACAGAGATATAGACCAATGGAACAGAACAGAGGCTTCAGGAACAACACCACACATCTACAACCATGTGATCTTTGACAAACCTGACAAAAACAAGAAATGGGGAAAGGATTCCCTATTTAATAAATAGTGCTAGGAAAACTGGCTAGCCATATGCAGAAAGCTAAAACTGGATCGCTTCCTTACACCTTATACAAAAATTAACTCAAGATGGATTAAAGACTTAAATGTAAGACCTAACACCATAAAAACCCTAGAAGAAAACCTAGGCAATACCATTCAGGACATAGGCATGGGCAAAGACTTCATGACTAAAACCCCAAAAGCAATGGTAACAAAAGCCAAAATAGACAAAAGGGATCTAATTAAACTAAAGAGCTTCTGCACAGCACCATCAGAGTGAACAGGCAACCTACAGAATGGGAGAGAATTTTTGCAATCTATCCATCTTACAAGGCTAATATCCAGAATCTACAAAGAACTTAAACAAATTTACAAGAAAAAAGAAAAACTCCATCAAAAAGTTGGCAAAGGATATGAACAGACATTTCTCAAAAGAAGACATTTATGCAGCCAACAGACACATGAAAAAATGCTCATCATCACTGGTCATTAAAGAAATGCAAACCAAAACCACAATGAGATACCATCTCACGCTAGTTAGAATGGCAATCATTAAAAAGTCAGGAAACAACAGATGCTGGAGAGGATGTGGAAAAATAGGAACACTTTTACACTGTTGGTGGGAGTGTAAACTAGTTCAACCATTGTAGAAGATAATGTGGAAATTCCTCAAGGATCTAGAGCTAAAAATACCATTTAACCCAGCAATCCCATTACTGGGTATATACCCAAAAGATTATAAATCATGCTACTATAAAGACACACACACACGTATGTTTATTGTGGCACTATTCACAATAGCAAAGACTTGGAACCAATCCAAATGTCCATCAATGATAGACTGGATTAAGAAAATGTGGCACATATACACCATGGAATACTATGCAGCCATAAAAAAGGATGAGTTCCTGTCCTTTGCAGGGACATGGATGACACTGGGAACCATCATTCTCAGCATACTATTACAAGGACAGAAAACCAAACACTGCATGTTCTCACTCACAGGTGGGAATTGAACAATGAGAACACATGGACACAGGGTGGGGAACATCACACACACACCAGGGCATGTCTGGGAGTGGGGGCCTGGGGGAGGGATAGCATTAGGAGAAATACCTAATGTAAACGATGAGTTGATGGGTGCAGCAAGCCAACATGGCCTATGTATACCTATGTAACAAACCTGCATGTTGTGCACATGTACCCTGAACTTAAAGTATAATAAAAATTTTTAAAAAGATTTGGTTTATGTCTATTTTTCTATCTGCTCCCCTGTAGGAGCTCCATTTGGGGCAGGTTTCACCTCATGTATTTTCTGTCTGGTTCCTCATGTTTCTTGTTAGAGCCAATGAAAAAAGGGCAAGGATGTGTCTTTCCCAAAAAGTTCTGTTGTTACTGGCTCACACTGGATCCTCTGCCCATCACCATACCAGAGCAGTGGAATGTGTTGGTTAGTGTTGAGACAATCTGAGCTCACCTGTGACTAGAGAGTGGAAGGGTGGAAGACAGTGTCAGCTTCCCTTGAAACCCATGAGCTCTTTGAAGAAGCAGAATGCAAGAATAAAAATTAGGTCTCTGTCAACGAGGAGTTCGAGCAACAAATGTCTACTTTATCTATCAAAGTGTATCACAATTTTACCTATAGTTTAGTTGTGAAGATAAAAGATACATAAATGAAGTAATGAATGGCCAGTATGTGATCATGCAAAACAACACTAACCATTGGTAATAAATGTTTAATTGCATAATACACAAAAATAAGACAGGAACAGAAGGAAGGGTAAATGAAACAAAATCAATTGTGGTTTTGTATCAGTAGAAAATGCTCCAAATATTTATCAAGCACCTACTCTCTGTGTCTGTGCTAGGATCTGTTACTTACTTGTGAAGTCATTGCCCTCTCTGACCTTAAGATGGGGATAATATCTATCCTACTGTATTAGTCTGTTTTCATACTACTGATAAAGACATACCTGATACTGCACAATCTGTAATAGAAAGAGGTTTAATGGACTTACAGTTCCACATGGCTGGGGAGGCCTCACAACTATGGTGGAATGCAATGAGGAGCAAGTCACATCTTACATGAATGGCAGCAGGCAAAGAGAGAGATTGTGCAGGGAAACTGTCATTTTTAACACCATCAGATCTTGTGAGACTCATTCACTATCACAAGAACAGCTCATGAAAGACCCATACTCATAATTCAGTCACCTCCCACCAGGTTCCTCCCTTGACAGGTGGGAATTCTGGGAGTTACAATTCAAGATGAGATTTGGATGGGGATAACGCCAAACCATATCACCTACTATCCTCGAAGAATCAAAGAAATAAATTTATGTCAAAGTGTCAACTGGACATCACTACATGGATATGGTAAATTTTGCAATCATAAGCTTAAATATCTCCACTGAAGCTTTTTCTTTAATCTGGAATATTTACTTCTTGGGTCAGTAAAATCCTGCTCCTCATTCAAAACTGAACTAAAAGATAATTGCTATGAAACCTTCTCAGTATCTATCTTTTTCCAAATTGAGAGTGATTTAATTACCCATTCTGCACTACATTTTGTTCTTGCCTCTGTTACAGTAATCAACACATGACAAGAGATGTGCTGTTTGTAAAGCACTTCCAAGTCCATCAACTGAATTGTTCTGACAACTCCCTAGAAGGAAATATTATAATTGTTCCCATTTTGTGCTAGAGAGACTGAAAATCACTACCAAATCTTCAGAGATCAGATAGTCCCAACGCTCTCTTGTTACATGTTACAGACAATTGAAAATGAAGGAAAACATCCTCATTTTTCATGAAGCAACTATAAAATTAACACTTCACCCTGGTATAGACAGTACAAAAAGAGAAAATTGCAGCCCAGTATCACTTATTGTTGGAAAAATTCTAAATATTAGCAAAAAGAATCCAACTTCACATTTTAAAAAATACAGCATGACCAAGTAGAATTTACCTCAGGAATGCAAGCTTGCTTCAAAAATAGAAAATTCATTAGTATAATATGCCATGTTGAAATTTTAAAGAAGAAAAATAGTATGATTATCTCCATAAATGCTGAAAAAAGCCTTTGAAAAAAATCAATACCCTCTTCTGATTTAAAAAAAAACTCAAGAAAATAAGAATTGTTGCATACATTTTTAACATGATAAGATATACATATTCCTTAGTCTTAAAGCCAGTGCCTTACTTAATGAGAAAACACTGAATAAGAGGCACAATGCAAGGATGGCCACTACTTTCACTATTCTCAACATTCTACTGGCAATGTCAGCCAACGCAGTCAGACAAAAGAAATCAATTAGAGCCAGGAGAATTGAAAAGAAGAAATAAAATTTTTCTATTTGCAGATGTACCATATACCTGGAGAATCTTAGGAAATCAATGGCAACCTCAATCAAAAACTTTATAATATTGCAGGCTATTAAATTGACATACAGAAATCAACAGCAATTTTTTTATTTTTAGAAATATTTTTTCTTTTATAAAACAATTTAGTGTTTTTCAAATCATCTTCCAATAGATACATAAAAACTTTTCTTATGCTACAATATCAGTTGATTTTTGAAAAGGAAATTTGTGCAAACATTAAGAAACACATTGATTCCAGGTGAAAGTGCCAGTCTAGAACTCTCTCAAAAGACCATAAACCTATTGCTAAACCTTGGGGTTCCTCAGAGTTACACTTGGATGATCATTTGCCTATTGTATTAGTCCGTTTTCACATTGCTGATAAAGATATATCCGAGACTGGGCAATTTACAAAAGAAAGAAGTTTAATGGACTTACAGTTCCACATGGCTGGGTAAGCCTCACAATCATGGCAGAAGGCAAGGGGGAGCAAGCCACATCTGACATGGATGGCAGCAAGCAAAGAAAGAGAGAGCTTGTGCAGGGAAACTCCTGTTTTTAAAACCATCAGATCTTGTGAGACTCATTCACTATCATGAGAACAGCATGGGAAAGACCTGCTCCCGTGATTCAGCTACCTCCCACCAGGTTCCTCCTACAACATGTGGGAATTGAGGGAATTACAATTCAAGATAAGATTTGGGTGAGGACACAGCCAAACCATATCCACTATCACTCTGCCCCTGGCCCCTCCAAAATCTCATGTCCTTTTTACATTGCAAAACCAATCATGCCTTTCCAACAGTCCTCCAAAGTCTTAACTGATTTCAGCATTAACTCAAAAGTCCACAGTCCAATGTCTTATCTGAGACAAGGCAAATCCTTTCCACCTATGGGCCTGTAAAATCAAAAATGAGTTAGTTACTTCCTAGATACAATGGGGGTATAGGCATGGGGTAAATACAGCCATTCCAAATGGGAGAAATTGGCCAAAACAAAGGGCTACAGGCCCCATGCAAGTCTGAAATCCAATGGGGCAGACAAATCTTAAAGCTCCAAAATGATCTCCTTTGGCTCCGTGTCTCACATCCAGGTCATGCTATGCAAGAGGTGGGTTTCTATGGCCCTAGGCAGCTCCACCCCTGTGGCTTTGCAGGGTATAGCCCTTCTCCTGGCTGCTTTCATGGGTTGGCATTGAGTGTCCGCAACTTTTCCAGGTGCATGATGCAAGCTGTCTGTGGATCTACCATTCTGGGATCTGGAGGATGGTGACCCTCTTCTCACAGCTCCACTAGACAGTGCCCCAGTAGGGACTCTATGTCGGGGCTCTGACCCCACATTTCCCTTCTGCACTGCCCTAGCAGAGGTTCTACATTAGGGCCCCACCCCTGCAGCAAACTTCTGCCTGGGCATCCTGGCATTTCCATACATCCTCTGAAATCTAGGCAGAGCTGCCCAAACCTCAATTCTTGACTTCTGTATACCTGCAGGCTCCACACCACATGGAAGCTGCCAAGGCTTGGGGCTAGCACCCTCTGAAGCCACAGCCTGAACCATGTCTTTGTCCCTTTTAGTCATGGCTGGAGCAGCTGGGACACAGGCCACCAAGTTCCTAGACTGCACACAGCATGGGGACCCTGGGCTTGGCCACAAAACAATTTTTACCTCCTGGGCCTCCTGGCCAGTGATGGGAGGGGCTGCCATGAAGACCTCTGACATGCCCTGGAGGCATTTTCCCCATTGTCTTGAGGATTAACATTCAGCTCTTCATTACTTGTACAAATTTCTGCAGCCAGCTTGAATTTCTCCTCAGAAAATGGGATTTGCTTTTCTATCACATTGTCAGGCTGCCAATTTTTTGAACTTTTATGCTCTGCTTCCCTTATAAAATGGAATGCCTTTAAGAGCATCCAAGTCACATCTTGAATGCTTTGCTGCTTAGAAATTTTTTCCACCACATACCCTAAATCATCTCTGTCAAGTTTCCACAAATCTGTAGGGCAGGGACAAAATGCCACCAGTTTCTTTTCGAAAACATAACAAGAGTCACCTTTGCTCCACCTTCCAACAAGTTCCTCATCTCCATCCAAGACCACCTCAGCCTGGATTTCATTGTCCACATTATTATCAGCATTTTTGTCAAAGCCATTCAACAAGTCTCTAGGGAGTTCCAAACTTTCCTACATTTTCCTGTCTTCTTCTAAGCACTCCAAACTGTTCCAATCTCTGCCTGTTACCCAGTTACAAAGTTGCTTCCACAGTCTCAGGTATCTTTTCAACAGCACCCCATTCTACTGGTACCAACTGACTCCTGATAAAAACATACCCAAGACAGAGCATTTAACAAAAGAAAGAGGTTTGATGGACTTACAGTTCCATGTGGCTGGACAAGCCTCACAATCATGGTGGACGGCAAGGAGGAGCAAGCCGTGTCTTACATGGATGACAGCAGAGAAAGAGAGAGAGAGAGCTTATGCAGGGAAGCTCCCATTTTTAAAACCATCAGATCTTGTGAGACTTATTCACTATTACGAGAACAGCACGGGAAAGACCTGCCCCTATGATCTGATTACCTCCCACCAGGTTCCTCCCATGATATGTGGGAAATGTGGGAGTTACAATTCAAGATGAGATTTGGGTGGGGATACAGCCAAACCATATCAGCTACCCCGAGTTTAGACACTGCTAATTCAAATCCTGTTATCTTGCTTCAGATTGACAAGGATCACCACAGAATTCCTTCAGTTTCCACAGTTCTGTCAGCTCCTGCGGAGAATACTGTGGGGAAGACAATATTCCTGTCTGACAAGTCTTCTCACACAGTCACATGCTGTGCTGGTAACTGTTAGGTCCTGTGGCTGCCATCCAAGTGCTTACGCATACATAGACATACAGGTCTATAACCTCCTGGAGTTGCCTGCCAGCCAGTTGATGATGTCCCTGGAGATCACATACCCCGACCCACATGCAAAGGCAGGGTAAGCATGACCAGGGTGCTCCAACTCCTGCCACTTCCTGGTTCTGTCAACTACCCAATTCAGTCTGAAATATCCCCAACAAAATTAGACCTATTCAGATTCTTTTGAGAAATTCTATTAAATACAGCTTTCAAGCCTATGTAACAGTCATCATCTGTCTTTAGCAACAAATCAAAGTTGGTTGTTTCCATAGTCCATCTATAAAGTTCAATAATTTTGCAGGTATATTTCAATGAGTGTTGACAACATCCACAAAAACAATATCATCATAGATGATGTTTTCCTCCTTCAATAAGGCATCTAAAACCACTCCAACTCCCTCCATACCTTCCAATAATTCATGAGGCAATGCACCCTCCCCAGCTGTAATGACTCCAAGAATCCCCCCTCCATATTCAGTGTCACTTTGTGAAGATTTCTTAACACAAAGTTGTGGAGGTCTTCACTCTCCCATACAATTGTACCTTCAAAGCTCTCTGGTAAGATGAATTGTTCCATGTGCTTGTACACAACTTGTTCACCTGCACACCATGGCTTGGAGGACTCTAGTGAACAATGAAGGGGGCCTCTTCCCGTTCTGCCTGAGAAAGCTTGAGAGCGACGTTCCTCTGGAAACCCACATCATTGGCATTGTAGAACACCCCAAGACTGGTAATAAGGATCGTGTAGAGAAGTTGGAAACTCACACTGACAACTCGGTCCTCAGCGAACCCTGATGAAGTGTCTTCAGAAAGACTGAATGCCTCAATTTCCTGATTCAAAGCTGGATTTGTGATGTTGAGTAGTAGGGATCCTCCTGGTCTTCCACAGGCCCTTAGCAGCCATGGGCATCTATTATGAATTTGACAAGCACACGTTGACTTAATGCAGGATGTTGTATCCAATGATCAGCCAGCTGCTTATCACATTTTGAAGTTTATGGTTATAGCAAGGTGACAACACGCCAACTACCACATCATAGTGACTAGATTTCCACTGAAGAAATAAGGCCAACTGGTCCACAGGGCCAGCCTCGGAGGTGTGGGCAGGCTGCAATCATTTACATAAAGGATAATCAGTTGGAGAACACAGAGCAGACAAAGCCCCATTAACATTAGCAACAAAGAAGATAAAGTACTTAGAAATAAATTTAACAATTAGTGTACAAAATCTATAGTGCAAAACTTTAAACACTCTTGAAAGATATAAAAATAGACTTGAACAAACAGAAAAACATCCTTATTTTTGGATTGGAAGACTCAACATCACAAAAATGAGGATGTCATTCCTTTAAGCAAATTTATAAATTTAATGCAATATCACTAAAAAATTTTGCAAACTTCATATGGAAAAATAAACATGCAAGAATATCCAGAAAAACACTTTTAAAAAAGCTTTGAGGGAATACTAGCTCTACTAGATATTAAAACATACTTGCCTCATTCTATTCTAAAAAAAAAAACAAGAAAGAAAACATATTATAAAGCCTCTATAATGAAAAAAGCATATTACTAGTAGATGTTGACAGATAGGTTGAATAGAACAAAAGTCCAGAAAGAAATCCAAGCATATTTGAAACTTTAGTATATGATAAAGGGAGCATCTTACATCAAAAAGGCAAAGAATGAATTTTAATAAATGGTTCTGGGGCAACTGGTAGCCATTTGAAAAAAAGATAACATCAGATATATAACTCACCTGACAGAAAAGAATAAACCCCAAACAGATAAAGAACCTATTGTTAAAAAAAAAAAAAAAAAAAAAGAAAAGAAACCATCAAGTACAATAAGGAAATCTGGATAAATTACTCTTTAAGCTGGAAAAGGCCTAATGGATTCTCCAAATCTGGACGTAATTTAAAAAAAAAAAAGGATGATTTTAACTATGTAAAAATGAAAAAGAAAATCTAGACAGCGAAAAGCATCATAAACAAAGTCAAAAAAGCCACTGACTTACTGGATGAAAACACTTCTATCACACAGAAAAAGGGTGAACTTCTGTAATATATAGAACATTCTTCAAAATTGAGAGTGAAAAGATTTTAAAAATCCAAATGAAAAATGTAAGGAAATGTAGAAACAATTCGCAAAAGGGTATAAAAATGGATGAAAAAAGGTTTAACTTCACTCATGATAAGAAAAATGCAAATTAAAACTACACTGATATGTCATTTATTATTAGATTAGGAAACATTTAAAAATACATAACACACTCTATTTGTTAGGCTATGGAAAAACAGGAACTCTCATATGTTGCTAAAGGGAATGCAGCCTTCTTGAGGAGAATTTCACAATACCTAAAAAACTACACATGTATTTACCTTTTGATCAAAGAATCCCACTTCTAGAAATCTACTCTAAAGACATACCCTCGCCAATACAAAAATATAAATGCACAAGGTTATTCATTGCAGCATTGTTTGCATTGAAAATGCCTAAATGCCCACACATAGGAGAATAGTTGAAGAAACTATTCTTCAAAGTGGACACGTCTACACACAAAATGGATTTCCCCACAATGTACACACAAAATGCCATATCTACAAAATGGACTACTATGGAGCCATACAAAAGAATGAATAAGATCTGTGGGAAGTAATATAGAGTGATTTCCAGAAAAAAATAAAAACATATACATTGAACTATAAGCTTGAGTGAAAAGAAACTCAAGAAGAAAAAATCAGAGACTAAGATAAAGATATCGGTTGCTACTGGGCATGGTGAGAGTTGGGTAGAAAGTAAAGAAAACAATCGGAAAGGGTCATTTCTCTGAATACACCTTCTTTTTATAGACCTGACTTCTGGAACTATATTAATCGTATTAGGTTTTTAGGGCTGTCATAACAAAGTACCACAGACTAAGTGGCATAAACAGCAGAAATTTGTGGCCTCATAGTTCTGGAGCCTAGAAGTCTGCATCCAGGCACTGGCAGGGCCATGCTTCCTCCGAAGGCACTAGGAAGAATGTGTTCCAGGCCTCTCTCTTAGCTTCTGGTATTTCCCGGGCCCATAGCAGCGTAACACCAGTTCACATGATGTTCTCCCTGTATGGATGTCTCTGGGTCCAAATTCTCCCTTTTTATAAGAACACCAGTAATACTGGTGTCCCACCAGTCATATTGACCCACCTACTCCAGGATGACTTCATCTTAACTTATTTGATTACCCCTGCAGCTACCCTATTTCCAAATAAGGGTGAGTCCTGAAGTACTGCGGCTTAGGAATTCAATAATGAATTAGGGGATGGGAGGTGGGACACAATTTAACCCATAATATTACTGTTTCTCACATTCAAATAAATAAATAAATAAAAATGTAAAAACCCACAAAGAAGGGGAGGATAGCCTAAAACTAAATACAATTGGAAACAAATGAATTGATCTACATAAATCAAATGAATAAAATAATCACACTCAAGAAGGGAGAAAAAATTAACTCAAGCAAATGTTGAACACAATACCTAGATTACTTGCCTTCAGGCTAAAGGCAAAAAGACCTCTAAACAAATATTGAACTCCAATTAGTAGACCTCTTTTTTATCCAGAAATATAGGTTAGTAATTCTGGAACTACTTGTATATTCTAGAATTGAACAAATAAATAAATTCGTACATTGTTGATATTGGGATCCAGAATTCTCACTGTTGGAGAAGATAGCGATAATCTGAAGAGGGGACTAGAATTGTAGATATCAGTGTGACTCATGGGGACATAGACAAATTGGTACAAATGGATATAGATATGTGTAGGTCTGTATATGTGTGTGTGTGCCTCTGTGCATATAACTGCACAGTATATATAGACAGAATATATACAAACAGTAGAGAGAGAATATATACATACATATATGCATATCTGTATACACATATATACAAAGTAGATAGAATATGCACATACAAACATATCTGTGTATATGTATACAGTAGATAGAATATATATTCATACACATGTATGTACAAAATATATACATATATGTATGTATATAGACAGAATATATACACATACACGTGTATGTACAGAATATATGTATGTATATGTATATGTTATCTGTATATATACTGCGCACAAAGACACACACACATATACAGACCTACACATGTATGTACATACATATATATGTATGTATATATGTATATGTATGTATGTATATATTCTGTCTCTCTCTCCCCCAACTCCATGACTCCCCCTTCTCCTTCCCACTCAGGTCTGTCCTCTGAGAGTACCTAGAAAAAAATGAAATCCCACTAACAATGGGGTTCACCTCTTAGCACTAGATCTTGTTTTCTAAATACCATTCTTCACTAAAAACAGCCAGGTTTCTCTGAAAATAAAAATGGCTAAGCAGGGGTAGTTTACAGAAAGAATAAGATAAACCTGGGACATTTCATCATACCAAAGGATGATGAGGACATACCAAAAATATGAAAGAGCTAGCTCGAAGGGGCTCCCATTGGCAAAACCAGGGACAATTTGAGTATCAAAATAAAAATAGTAAATTAAAGGATTTTACTCTATTAGTAAATTAAACTTCATGAGTCTCGAGTAAAACAAGCCAATTGGGGGACAAGGTAAACTCTTTCTTACAAGGGACTGCCAACTCATACATCTAGAAAGAGTGTTGGAATTATAAAAATCAACCTTTGCCAGCCAGTATAATAACTGATTCATCTTGTTTAAGGAGTAATGGGCATCCCCACAAGATCTTTCTTTAAATACAAAGGGTAAAATATAGCAGTTGAGAAAACTGCAGAACACCACATTAGAAAATAGTCAAAGTTAACATTACTAGCAATGGGACTAACCAGCAGCATATACCTTGATATAGTTTGGCTCTGTGCCCCAACCCAAATCTCATCTCGAATTGTAATCCCCAAAATCCACATGTGTCAAGGGAGCGACCAGGTGGGAGGTGATTAGGTCATGGGGGCGGTTACCTCCATGCTGTTCTCATGATTTTGAGTGAGTTCTTATGAGACCAGATGGTTTTATAAGTGTTTGGAAGTTCCTCCTTCGCTCTTCTCTCTCCTGCTGCCTTGTGAAGAAGGTGCTTGCTTCTCCTTCACCTTCTGCCATGATTGTAAGTTTCCTGAGGTCTCCCCAGCCATGTGGAACCACAGTCAATTAAACCTCTTTCCTTTAGAAATTACCCAGTCTCAGGTATTTCTTTATAGCAGTGTGAAAACGAACTAATACATACCTCTTACACAATGCACTGAGAAGAGCTCAGCAACACCTCTGTGTCATTCTGCCAAAAGTGAATAATCTAAATCTATTCTTTTTTGTGGGGATGAAGTCTCCCACTGTCTCCTGGGCTGGTGAGCAATGATGCGATCTTGACTTGCTGCAACTTCTGCCTCCCAGGTTCAAGTGATTCTCCTGCCTCAGCCTCCCAGTAGCTAGGATTACAGGCATCTGCCACCAAGCCTGGCTAATTTTTTGTATTTTTAGTAGAGATGGGGTTTCACCGTGTTAGTGAGGATGGTCTCTATCTCCTGACCTCATGATCCACCCGCCATGTTCTCCCAAAGTGCTGGGATTACAAGCGTGAGCCACCGCGCCCAGCCTCTGAATATACTCTTGAGGGTACATCAGACAAACCCAAACTTACAGGCATTCTACAAAATCACTGTGCTATACTTTATAAAAATGCCAATATCATGAAATTCAAAGAAAGACTCAGAAAATGTTCCAGATTAAAGGAGTCTTTAAAAACATGACAACTTTCTCTTTCAGCAGAAGAGTGGGGGGGAAAAAAAAAAAGAACATGACAACTGAATGAAATGCATGATCTGGGATTTTCTTTTGCTATAAGGGACATTTCTGAAACATTGACAACACCTTAACAGGTCTGTAGATTAAATAATAGTATCTGTTTCAATGTTAATTTTCTATTTTGAAAACTGTACTCTGGTTACTTGAGGAATTCCTTGTTTTTATAAATACATATTGAAGTATGTAGGGGAAAGAGGGTGTCTGCAACCTATTCTTAAGTGGTTCAGAAAAAAATTGAGATGCATGGTATATGTGCACACAAGCACCCACAGATAGTGACTGAGGAAAGGATGAAGCAATTGCAGAAACAGTTGCCATTTTGGGAATCTGGATGAAGGGTTTCTGGGAATTCTTTTTACTATTCTTGCAACTTTTCTGTATGTTGCATATTTGATATGTCAAAATAGGGAAAAAATAAAAAAGAAGGGAGAGATGGGGAACCAGAGAATTAAGGTGACTTGCCCAAAGTCATACAAAGGAGGCAAAGAAGCTGTCTGGGTCTCAAGCTCATGCTCCTACCACCACGTCCCTCTCTTTATGATGACACTTCAGTGTTCCTAGTAACACATGCTAGAAAGCAAATGAGCTGGGCTAGTGGCTGGATTGTTAATTCCTAGAGAACTTGTTTGAACATCCTGTGAACCATACTGGGACTCTAAGGCGGGCAGCACAGGGGCAGGAGTGTGGCTGGTGCTAGAGGCATTCTCCTGGCAATGTGCCTTGCCCTCTAAGAGCTCAGCCAGCTGTCAAAGATACAATGTCTAATATGTTGCAATTGAGACTGGCATTCATCTCTCTAAGGACTCTGACCTGGTAGGTGTGATCTGACCTGGTAGGTATGAGTGCCTACCTCTCTGGTCAGGAGCAATATCCACTCGTGGTCATGATGGTGGCAGTGCCTCAATGGCAGAGGGGTCCCAAGGGACCTAAGATGAGTGCCTTGACTGAAGCTACTGGTTTAAGGTAGAGTGACATGGTTCTGCTTTATGGGTAGACAAGTGTGGCAAAGGCTGGCAAGTCAGCAGGCAGATTTTGATTCAGGCTTGTGCTCCAATGCTAGTTGGGAACCAAAATACCAAAAAAAAAAAATCCCCAGGCTAAGGAAGTATTCCCCTTCTGTGCTTCCTATGAGCTTCCATAACAGTACTTGCCATGTTATACTGCAGTCGTCAGTGTATATGCTTGTCTTGTACACTGGATTCGAGAAGACAGTCTGTGGCATTCATTGAAAAAATACTTATCAAGACTTGCATTGTACCAGGCACCATTTTAGGTGCTGGGGATACATCAGTGAACTGTTTTTAGACAAAAATCGTGTCCTCATGGAATGTGCTTTCATCATCATATATTTAGCATTTAGCACAGCATCTGGAACATAGCAGGTGCTCAACAATAAGTGAGACAACGCCACTTGGAATGGGCACTTGTGGTGATTTGGAGGAAAGCTGCAGTGTTGTGGGCATCCAGGGAGTCCCAAGGCTCAACTCAGACACTCTGGAAACTAAGCAAGGGTCAGAGGCCTAATTCCAGTCCCCACCCTGGAGACTATGCAGTTTTTAGTTCTGAAATATTTGGGACTGCTTCTGGATCTGAAGGCTGGATCTGCAGGATGAAATGTTAACCACCAGCCAAAAGGAATCAAGAGGGATGAGACTCAATACATAACATGCTTGCTGTAGTTTGCAGGGTTGAATGTCAAGGACAGAAAGGGACATTAGAAAGCATGTGGTTAATCCTCTGTTTTCCAACCTCCAACCCTGCCATCCCCATTTTACTCTTTACTCTTTCTTAAAGAAGCTACTGCCTCTATTTCAGTCATACCAGTGACAGGGAACTCGCAATTTACTAACACAAGCATTCAATTTTAGTAGCTATAATTATTAACAAATTCCTCCTTAGGTAAAGCCAAAATTAATCTTTGTCG
Organism: Homo sapiens; assembly: GCF_000001405.40. Lineage (NCBI taxonomy): Eukaryota > Metazoa > Chordata > Mammalia > Primates > Hominidae > Homo > Homo sapiens. Next base: position 129,794,263 of record NC_000006.12, on the reverse strand, counting down.
GTCCTGTCTCTGTCATATAAGACAACTCAAGAATTCGAATTGCTCCAGCCTGGGCAACATGGCAAAAACCCCTTTACCAAAAATGCAAAAAATTAGCCAGGCGTGGTGGCATGCACCTGTCATCCCAGCTAATTGGGAGGCTGAGGTGGAAGGATCGCTTGAGCCTGGGAGGTGGAGGTTGCAGTGAGCTGAGATCGCACCACTGTACTCCAGTCTGGACGAGAGAGTGAGACCCCATCTCAACAAAATAAAAATAAAAAAGAATGCAAATTGCACTTTCTTATAATTTGGATATCAGAGGGTCATTCTCTAATATTTGAAGTCTTGCCAAAATCTTTTCTTAATGAAAATATAAATGCACCCATCTTTTCCTCTTTTCCTTCTCTTACAGTTGAGCATTTCCCTTCCCTCATTTGAGGTTAGTGCTTCCACCTGTGCTCTGAATTGCATCCCTTATCACCAGATCTCAGTTCCCAGTCACTTTCAAATCTCGTGGTCACCCTTCTGCCCCCATCACACTATTGGAACTATTTGAGTGAAGATCAAGACCTCCTTCTGTACTACATTCAAGAGACGTTTTCTGTGATCATCATATTTAACCCTCCACGGCACCGCATCTGGCTCTGCTAACCACTTCCTCACACTGGACTGCCTTTCCTCCTCCCTGGCAGCTGCTCCTCTTCGGCCTCACGGTGGCTTCTCTTCCTTTAGTCCTTTATTCTTTGGTTTCCCCAGAATTCTGTCCTAAACTCTCTTCCCATTCTACACCCTCTCCCTAGGTAATTTAATTCACTGTCTTTGCTTTTGTCGTTGTTGTTTTGAGACAGGGTGTGGCTCTGTCACCCAGGCTGGAGTACAGTGGCATGATCATGGCTCATTGCAACCTCAACCTCCTAGGCTCAACTAAGCCTCCTGCCTCAGCTTTCCCAGTAGCTGGGACCGCAGGTGTGCACCACCACAGCAGCTAATTTTTTTTTGATAGATACGGGGTCTCACTATGTTGCCCGTGATGGTCTCAAACCCCTGGGCTCAAGTGATCTTCCTTCCTTGGCCTCCCAAAGTACTGAGATTATAGGCATGAGCCACCATGCTTTGCTCTACACTTACCAGGCATAACTTGTTACATTACACTTGTTATGCTTGTAACAAGTATAACAGGAATGAATTGTAATTTGTAAGTCTCTAGCTCCATCCCAAATTAATTTCTGGGCCTTCAGATCTATTTATGCATCGATTTACTGGACCTCTCTGAGAGAATACCCTCCTCCAAGTTCTCAAACTCAGCTTCTAGGATAGAAGTTTCCTAGGTTACCTGACAAGAATCCGGGTGTCTTTTTTGAATTTCTCTCTTCCTGCCACATTCCCTATATATCCACTCATCACCAGGCCCTGCCAAGCGTGTGACCTAAACCTCTCTTCCAGTCATTCCCTTGTGTCTAGATCCACCAAGATGAGCTTTGATTCCTGCAGTAGCCCCCTCACTGCTCGTCCCACCTCCAGTACTCCTCCTTCTCATCTGTCCTCCTCATTCTGGCCAGAGTAATTCTTCAAAATGCAAAGGAGGCTCCACCCCAGACCTACAGGGCTGCCTGGACAAGATGATAAACCGGAAGTACCTTTATAGAAACAGCAAGGCCCCTCAGAAGCTTCAGCCTCACTTTCTTCCATTTTACCGTGGCATTCTGTGCTTCAGCCATGCCAAACTGCTTCTGGTTCTCCAAATTTACCCGACTCTCACTTTTAAGTTTTTGGAAATGCTGTTCTTTCAGTGGGAATAATTATCTGCATTCCACCCTCTTTCTTTTACCCAGTCCCTTCCTCTATGCCTGCACTGGGTCATTCTAGGCTGGGTCACTCTGCTTGTTCTCAGCTTGGACATCTTCAGGAAGATCTCTGTTAACCTGCTCCTCACATGAGACCATGGACAGTACCCGTTCTGTTCATCTGCACAGCTCCCTACTCTTTCCCTATCAATCAAAACATTTGTCATGTTACACTGGAATTGGCTACATTCCTTATTGCACTTTAATCTTTCCCTACTCTTTCCCTATCAATCAAAACATTTGTCACGTTACATTGGAATTGGCTACATTCCTTACTGCACTTTAACCTGTGCTGGGGCGGGGGTGGGGAGGTGTGGGGTTGGGGGAGGGAGAGTAAGTGTGTCTTGTATACTGCTGTGTTGCAGAGCCTAGCACAGTATAGCGTCCCTGAAAATAGAAAAAAAAAATAGTACTTACCAAGTTAAAAAAAAAAAAATACTTACCAAAGCTGGGCATGGTGGCTCATGCCTGTAATCCCAGTATTTTGGGAGGCTGAGGCAAGAGAATTGCTTGAGCCTGGGAGCTTGAAACCAGCCTGGACAACATAGCAAGACCTCATCTCTACTAAAAAATATACATATATAAAAAATTAGACGAGTGTGGTGGCATGCACCCACAGTTGCAGCTACTCAGGAGGCTAAGGTGGGAGGGTCACCTGAGCCTAGGAGATCCAGGCTGCAGTGAGTTACGATTTTGCTGCTGCACTCCAGCCTTGGTGACAGAACGAGACTGTCTCAAAGACAAAAACAAAAACAAATTTACCAAGTGAAAATAAATGTTTGTTTTTAAGATCAGATTTACTAATACATGCTCAAATTTTAAAGGAAAGCTTGTTTCATTTACTGAAGGAATAGTTTTCAATCTGCTTCTTGGAACACTGGGTGCTCCATGGAGACACTTGGAGTCTAGGGCAGTGGAGGATGGGGAGCTGGAGTGGCCTGCTCAACACTTTCTAAACCACTTTATTGATATATGATTGACATAACAAAAAGTTGTAAATTTTTTTCTTTTTTCTTTTGGAAACAGTCTTGCTTTGTTGCCCAGGCTGGAGTGCAGTGGCGCTATCATAGCTTACTGCAGCCTTGAACTCTTGGGCTCAAGTGATCCTTCTGCCTCAGCTTCCTCAGTAACTGGGACTACAGGCAAAAAGTTGTAGATTTTTAATGTATATAACTTGATGTGTTTGGAGATAAGGATATACCCCTGAAACCATTACCAATAAGCAATGCAACAAACTTATTTACTGCCTACAAAATTTCCTCCTGTTCATTTTACTTTTTGTTAGTTTGTTGTTCCTTTTGTGGTAAGAGAATTTAATGTGAGATATATCCTTCTAGAACATTTTTAAGTATACTATGTAATATTGTCAATTATAGACCCTATCTTGTACAGAAGAGCTCCAGAACTTATCTATCTTGCATAGCTGAAACTTTGTACACTTTGACCAACACTTCCCCATTTACCCCTTCTTGCCTTCAGCCTCTGGGAACCACCCAGTCTCTGCTTCTATGAGTTTGACTATTTTAGATTCTGCATAGAAGTGAAATCATACAGTATTTGTCTTTCCATGTCTGGCTTATTTTGCTTAGTATCCTGACCTCCAGGTCTGTTGTATTGCTCCAAATGTGACCGGTTCAATGTTTTTCTACTTTGTGTACTAAAGGTTTTTGGTTTTCTGGGTTTTGTGGTTGTTGTTTGTTTTTTGAGATGGAGTCTAGCTCGGTCACCCAGGCTGGAGTGCAGTGGCACCAATTTGGCTTACTGCACCTCCTAGGTTCAAGTGATTCTCCTGCCACAGCTGCCTGAGTAGCTGGGATTACAGGCATGCACCTCCATGCCCAGCTAATTTTTGTATTTTTGGTAGAGATGGGCTTTCACCATATTGGCCTGGCTGGTGTCGAACTCCTGGCCTTAAGTGATCCTCCTGCCTCAGCTTCCCAAAGTACCGGGATTACAGGCATGAGCCACTGCACCTGGCCAGCTTTTGGTTTTCTAAAGCTGTGCTCTCATACATTCTTACAGAGGGCATGTGCCCACATAGCTGAATCTTCATCTGGGATACATGAATGGTTTGTCTCCTACTGCTGCTGTAGCAAATTACCATAAACTTAGTGACTTAAAACAACACACATTTATAATCTTAGCTCTGGAGGTCAGAAGTCTGGTGTGAGTTTCACTGGGCTGAAATCAAAGGATTGGGTTGTGAACATTATTGGCTGGCCATTGTTCAGTCTCCCAAAGACATGCTTCCTCTAAAAATGTGTACACCTCAGCACTTTCTTGAATGCACATCATCAGAAAAATGAGAATCTACATCTTTCAAAACTTATCACAAAGGGTCATGAACCCTGCTAAAGCAAATCATATCCCTAGTGAATTTAATTTAAAAATCTATTTCAAACAGATCATTTACATACATGTTTTCAGAGCCATACCCAAATGCATTAAATACCACTGTAGTAAATTAATGCAAACTTTTTGGGAGGGTAATTCAGCAAAATATACCAAAGTAGAAAATACACATAGTTTAATCCAGAAATTATACTACATTAGGACATTTCCTAACAGACATAATTGCAAAAAAAAAAAAACTGCAAAAGGATGTTTATATAAATTGTAGTACATGTATACAATGGAATATGATACAGTTATTATAAAGAATGAGAGTGATGTAGATGTGTGGATAGAGAAAGCCATTCAAGATAAATGTTAAGTGACAAAAGTGCAAACAGAGGGCAAGGTCTGATTGCTCTGCATGAAGCTTCAGAAAGGATCATATATAAGCTGGTTCCTAAAATAATTTGAGAGACGATACATAAGAGCCATTAACAGAGAGGTGGGTGGTAGCAGTCAGAAGAAGACTCTATTTTGTGCTTCTTTACAATCTACATTTTTCTATTGTGAGCATTGTATTAGTCTGTTTTCACACTGCTGATAAAGACATATCCAAGACTGGGTAATTTATAAAGAAATAGAAGTTTAATGGACTCACAGTTCCACATGGCTGGGGAGGTCTCACAATCATGACGGAAGTTGAGGGAAGAACAAAGGCACATCTTACATGATGGCAGTCAAGAGAGAATGAGAGCCAAGCAAAAGGGGAAAACCCTTATAAAATCAGCAGATCTCGTGAGACTTACTCACTACCACAAAGAGTATGGGGGAAACTGCCCTCATGATTCAATTATCTCCAAGCGGGTCCCTCCCACAACACATGGGATTTATGGGAGCTATAATTCAAGATGATATTTGGGTGGGCACACAGCCAAACCATATCAGGCATGTATTATTTTATTTTATAAAAGTAAATCAGAGTCAGTTAAAAATAATGAATAATAATAATAACAGTGGGATCAATAATAACATCCACAAGCTTGTCTGTGTGCCTCACACAATTCCAAGGATTTCACACAGATTAATTTATTCTCACATCTCTAGGAGATAGGAGCTACTATTACACCCATTTGGCAGATGACGACATTTAGACGAGTGAAGGTTAAGCCAGTTGTTTTATGTCCCACAGCTGGCAAAGGGGGAGCTCAGATTAAATTGAAGTCTGTTTGACCTAAGCCAGTGCTCTTCACTGTTGCTGCTATTTGCGTTTTCTTGCAGATATTTTTTTGTGCTCAAATAGGAATCCTAATGAAGACTATAACATATGTTTTAATACAGGTAAAAACTTTCTCAAATGTCAAAACTAAAAATATCTTCTTCCCAAATCTGTCACAAATCTAAAGAATTATATCACAAAGGCCACATATTTTTGATGCTTCATATGTTCAAAAATGTGAAAATATTTTTAAATTTTTAATGAGAAGCATTACTCAAAATGTCAACGTGGGGAAACACTTATAAGGCGGACAATTAAAGAAATAAAGAGGAGGGGAAATATAGACAGGGAGAAGAATAAAAAAGGAAGGAAAAGGAAATTTACTCAATTGTGCTAACACTGGTGATTTACAGCTTTAAGGGAAGCTTTCTTCAAGTAGTCTAGGCTATCATTTCTGACAGTTGTAATTTTTTTCATTATATGCACTAAAGAAATACTCTATTTCCATTGCAGATAAGATGAGGTTGGGGTATTTTTTCAATGAGAAGATGATGCCACTAAGTCATATCTAGAGTATTTTATTGCAATTGCTTCCACACATTAGAATCACTATTTTTTAAGAAAAAAATAATAACAAAAGTAAACCAGCAACTCATTACCACTCCAGTTTTGCAAATAGTCTGGAAACTATTTGGCCAAACCTTTTCTGGGTGAAAAATTTTATTAGCCCTGTCTACTCTATTCAATGTTTCGTGAAGGTGATTCTGATGTGAACCAGTGATTTAGAAACCATCTTCCTTTCATGCATCCTTTCTCTCTGATTTCTTTCACCCTAGCTGAATCACTTCAGGTTAATTTGCTTGCATTATTGCTTGCCAAATGATCCCAGTGAAGTATTAAGGGTGGTTATCAGGTCTACAGTATCCTCCGGTTAAGTTAATGAGTCCACACCTGGTTAAGTTAATGGGTTCTGATTTAGCAACTGTTGACCAGTCTCAAGTCCATTGCTAACTACTAGATGGTCTGTGAGAGAGTATAAACAGAGGCCAAAATGCCATCTAATAACTAAACACTTAAAAATTAAAAAATACTACTTATGTTAAAATTAGGATTTTCTCACGATTTGTATTCTATTAACATTAATGTCAAATTAGGTCAGTGTAGTTCTTAGACTTTTTAATTAATTTACATTTGGTGAAGCCGCTTAGCTGAGGAATAGTAAATGAAATTGTTAATAAAAGTCACAATATATGGCCAGGTGCAGTGGCTCATGCCTGTAATCCCAGCACTTTGGGAGGGTGAGGCTGGAGGATTGCCTGAGTCCAGGAGTTCAAGATCACCTTGGGCAATATAGTAAGACCTGTCGCTACAAAAAATAAACGAAATTAGCTGGGCATAGTGGCATGTGCCTGTAGTCCCGGCTAGTCGGTAGGCTGAGGTGGGAGGATCACTTGAGCCTTGGGGGGTTGAGGCTGCAGTGAGCTGTGATCGTGCCACTGCAATCCAGCATGGGCAGAGTGAGACCCTGTCTCAAAAAAAAAAAAGAAAAAGCCACTGTAAGTATATTTGGGAGTGAAACAATAATTGTACAAAGTTTAAACATAGTTATAACGTATTTTTTATTTTATTTTCAGCATATGTCTGTCACTTATGTTGCGATTTTGGCCATCTCTTACAGTAATATCTTCATTAAATCTTTATTTATATAAAATTGCAGGGATTTCATTTGACTTAAGTTGTGGACTTGATAAAAATAATTTTTTTCATTTTCATTATTTTGGTCAGTAATTAAATCTTTATGTATTACAATAAAGAATATGTAATATCTTGTTTACAATTTTGTGGGGTTTTTTTGAGACAGGGTCTAACTCTGTCATCCAGGCGGGAGTGCAGTGGCATAATCACTGCAGCCTTGACCTCCTGAGCCCAAGCGATCCTCCCGTCTCAGCCTCCCAAGTAGCTAGGACCACAGGCTTGCATCGTCATGCCCAGCTAATTTTTAAAAATTTTTTTCTAGAGGCAAGGTCTCACTTTGTTGCCCAGGCTGGTCTGGAACTCCTGGGCTCAAGAGATCCTCCTGCCTCAGCCTCCCAAAGTGCTGGGATTACAAGTGTAACTCACCACGCTCAGGCCCTGTTTACAAAAGTGTGACTCACCATGCCCAGGCCGGTTTGCAATTTTTATATGGGTCATGCTCAGTATAAATCTTATTTTTGTTGTTTCCAGTTTTTAATAACTTAAGCAGACTGCCCCATTGAACATTTATTTCCTTATGCTTTTTAGTTTTCCCCTGAGCTCTACTTTTATATTTTCTATTTCTCAATTTAAACTCATTCTTACTAAAGGATTAAGAAATAAAATGCAATTATATTTAAAGTGAGCTTAACTTCATTGAATATGAAATGACTGTATTTTCATGAAATATGTAAATTAAAATTTTGTTTATATATTTTCAAAAAAGTTATATTCTAAAATATTCAAAATGACATATAAATGTTAAAAGGCAAACTAAATTATAATTATTAATATAAATTTTAATATAACATTATTTAAAGGAACCTATTTGGGGGAAAATAAAATCTCACTAAATACTTTCATAACAATAAAATCATTTGCCATAACAGCAGCTGTGGAGCCTCTGATGTTAGTATTTTTAGGACATTTCTTCTGAGCTGAAAAGGTTCTTTAAAGGAGATCATTCCACATTCTTGCCTTATGAACAAAAGCTTGGCTTTTAGCTGTCCAGGAGTGGAGAATTAAGTTGCCAGGTCTCAGTACCGGTCTGTTGACAACATCTATCTTACTCCTTCTTCTTGGCCATGCTTGGGTGTCCTCTAGTCCAGAAACCTCCTTTCCAGAGAATAAGCCTTCAGCCTTTCCCCAGGATGAGTGAAACACAGTGGCCCAGCTACATGGAACAGAGACTGACTGCTTCTTAAACAGACATTAGACCAATGCTCCTGACTCTGTTGCTTTCCTTGGACCCTGTCATGTCTACATTTAGAAGCAGCTGGTGGCAGCAGCTGCTGAGCTTTGGGGGATTCTAATGTATAAATCAGGTTGGTTCTCTGCTTTTCCACTGTTGGTTTGGTTTTCTTGGGCCTGTTAAATCCTTTACCACTTGGCCATCTGCTCTCCAGCTTCCAAAATCTTATTGATGGGATCACTTTTCCTCTTCTCCTTGTCATTTAGGATTTCTGCTTTCTTAAAAAATACCTTTACTGCTATTTTAGAAAGGACTGGGGGAGCAGTTAGAGGTGTACACGTTCCATCTGCCATATTTGAACAAAAGTGTCCTATTCTGCTTATTTTATCCACTGTGTTAGGTTAGGAATGTAAATCTAATCATGTTACTCACCTGCTTAAAATTCTTTAAATTCTTTAAAGATTCCCTTGTTTTTCAAGATAAATTAAATTCTTAACAAGACCCCAGAGGCTCCCAGTTCAGTATCAAGCTTACCTTTCCACCTGTTTACCACCCCCCCGCCAACCCATTATCCCTGTTCCAGACCACCACCTCCATCCACCCTCAGTTCACCCAGTATTCCAAACTCTTTCTTAATTCTGAGTCATCGTGAGTTTTATTTCCTCTGCCTGGAATCATCTTCCCTCACTCTTCACTAGGCTAAGTGCCCTTCATTTCAACTTACAAGATTTTCATCACCCACTAATTCAATGTCCATGTGCCTTACTGAAGTGTATGTTCCAGTAAGGTCTAGATCTTGTCTACCTTATTCACCACCATACTCCCATTCCCGGCTTCTGCCTAGATGCTCAATAAATATTTATAAAGTTAGAATTTAACCAAAGCATGTGCTCAGATCAGCTGTCACTGAAGTCATCTGCCTCACTTATGCTATTCTGCTACATCTTTTCTTGCTGACTTAAGGTGAAGGAGTTAATCAAGCTCACTAATAGACTTTGGCTTTGGCCAGAGGAGAAGCACTCGTTCTGAAATGTTATAAGCACTGTACTGTCCATAGATCTACTTTTCTCACTGCTGAGTTAGAATTCTGTGGGGGCTTAATGGATGTTTATTGAATGAACAAATGCCTCTTGCAGTCAGAAAAAAATATAGCAAAGGGCTAGTCTGACCTGGGAGGGGCAATATTAAGGAGTATCTATGAATAAGTCAAGACAAAATACTAAAGACAAAATACAAGACAAAATACAAAGATGTGCCATACTTCTGAGTCAGGAGACATGAAACTGAGAGACACAGGGACAAAATCATAGAATGAACAGCAAGTCAGATAGGGAGAGAGGGAGAGAGAATCATAAGACTCTTGGTGCAAAAGGGATTAAGTATTTGCATTCTGCCATAAGGAATATCATAATATAAACTTTGTAGAGATGTTATAATTACAGATTGTGTATATGGCCTGTTTTACATCTTAGATTTTTAACAAATAGTATTATCTTATTTTTAGTTAAGAGGCTACCCCATTCTCACTTTTTTTTTTTTTTTTTTTTTTTTTTTTGGAAATTGGCATGTTTTTAGACTACAAGAAGAACATACCTGCAAAGTACCCAATGAAGAGAGCCTACATACTCCTGGGAACAGGTACCAGTAGTACATTTTAGTGGAAACTCATGCACACCTATATCTGAAATGAGTCACTCTACTTCCTTTCCTACCTATTGTATCTCCACAGCAGATTCAAACACCCAGCACAAAGAGATTCATTAGCTTAGGTTGGGTCTTTGTGCCCACCTAAAAAGGGTGTTTTCCTGATTGTGCTGTGAGGAAGAGAGGTGGATTTGTAAACCCTGGAGCAAGGTTCTGTGTATCCTAGGCTGGTACCTACTGTTCAGAGGAGACCACTGAATGAAGCCACCATCACCTTGTCTGACCAGGAGACAAATTCTTTAACCGAGGAGTTGGGGAATAAGAAGGAAGGAGAATACATTAAAGTCAGATAGCCGTAAGATTCACTTCAAAGTGGAAATGGCAACACATCTCAGGAAACCCAGAGAAGTATACTGCCAGTGTTGGGAGTTCCAGTGAATTCACTCAGATTTCTCTTTGAAGGTCAGAGAATTGCTGATAATCATATCCCAAAAGACCTGAGAATGTGTGTTCACAAAAGATTTGATTCAACTTTATCAAGAACAAATGGGGATTGGTTAATGGATACAAAAAAACAGTTAGATAGAAGGATTAAGTTGTAGTGTTCAGTAGTATAATAGGGTTACTATAGTTAATAATAATTCATTGTATATTTCAAAATAGCTCAAAGAGAAGATTGGAAATGTTCCCAACACAAAGAAATGATAAATGTTTGAGGTGATGGATATCTCACTCTGATTTGAACATTACACGTTGTATCCATGTATCAAACTATCACATGTACCCCACAAATACATGCAACTATTATGTATCAAAAACAATTTTAAGAGAAAATGAAGGGCTCAATCAATGGGTTGACATTCCTTTTCTTTTTCCCTCACTTTTATTTTTAAAAATAGTTCATTTTTAATGTGTTGTTCAGAATGTAATGAAAACTGGTACCCCATCTCTTTGAATTCTAGGGCTCATTATTCATCATTTTCATTGTGCTGACTTTTGTTGCACATTTCAGCCCTCTTTGTGCTGATTGTTCCCTTTTCTATTGCACTCTTTTTTATTTTTAATTTTTATTTCTGTAGAGACAGAGTCTTGCTTTATTGTCCAGGCTGGTCTTCAACTCCTGGCTTCAAGTGATCCTCCTGCTTCAGCCTCACAAAGTGCCTTCTCCTTTTTAAAAATTATATATGTGCATAAGGAGGCCACCTTTTCTAGAGCTGTGTGTTTTCAGGCTTGTGATAATAAATAAGATCAACTAATGCAAGTGTTCAGACTGACTTTACAGTTAGCCCTGAAGTCCTTGTATGTGATGGCTTCACTCTTAGACTACAACTTTCAGTGGGAGATGGAAGTTTTTCAGAGACCTGAACTGTGGAAGAATGACCTCCATTTTTGAAACCTATTTTCACTGAGTAAAGATTCTAGTTAGTAGTACAATTTTTCCTCTGCATTTAAATTACATTTTTAGTGATTTTGTTTTTCTGTCTGCTTTCTTCTTTCGGGGACTCTAATTACGTGTTTAGCCTGATTCATACTGTTCCACATGTTACTCTGCTCTGTTTACTATTTTCTGTCTTTTGTCTCTGTACTTCATTTTGAATAGATTCTGTTGCTAGGTTTTCAAGTTCACTAACCTTTTATTTTTTTTGCAGTGTCTAATATACTGTTCACCCCCTCTAGTGTCTTTTTCATTTCAGATTTTGTGTTTTTCATCTTTAGGAGCTACGTTCCATTTTTTTATATACTTTAATTTCTCTCCTCATCATGATTCTACTATCTTTCACATATTTGAGCACATGTACCATATTTATAATAGATATTTTAACATCATTTTCTGCAAATTTCATCATCTGTCATTTCTTTCGTAACTGATTTTTTTTCTCATGATTGTGAGTTACATTTCCCTTCTTCATATCTAGTGAGCTTTGATGGGATGCTAAATGTTGTGAATTTTACGTTGTCGACTGCTGGATTTTGTATTTTAAAATACTCTAGTTATTTTCTGGAAAGCAATCAAGTTTCTTTTGATTAGCATATTGCCTTTGAGATTTGTTTTTAAGCTTTTTTTTTTTTTTTTAGACGGAGTTTCGCTCTTGTCGCCCAGGCTGGAGTGCAATGGCACAATCTTGGGCTCGGTGGCTCACGCCTGTAATCTCCATGTTGTTCAGGCTGGTCTTGAACTCCCGACCTCAGGTGATCCGCCCGCCTCAATCTCCCAAAGTGCTGGGATTACAGGCGTGAGCCACCACACCTGGCCATTTAAGCTCTTTTAAGTTGTGTCTAGAGTAGTCATTATTGTAAGTTTGAAATGAAGCTCCTTCAAGCCTCATGTCTTCAATGAGATCTCTCTACTTGGATTGTGAGTGCTTAATTCCTGGCTCTGTGAACTCTGGAAATTTTGTTTTACAAGTCGTAAGTAATTATTCATTTCTTGAAAGCTGTTTTTGTCTGGGCTTATGGAGTATTCACTCTATGTAAAAACACTTTGGTATTTAGGTAAAAAGTCAAGGGTTCCATACTTAGATTTCTGGACATTTTATCCATGTACCTGTGATTTTTGGGTAATCTGCCCCATGAATTCTAGTTGGTTAATCTTTTTATATCTTCGACACTGGTCTATTCAACTCAGAATAATTGTCAGACTGTTTAGGTTTTCCTATCTACACTATAAAGAATTGCCTCTGGGCAGAAAGTGTAGGTGATGGGAGGTCTAATATCAATATTTTCACCTCAGAATTCACAGTCCTGTGTGGCATGTTCTCCAATGTTGAAAAATAGTTTTTCCCCTATTGTCCAATGTGGTGACTATAGTTAATAACAATGCATTACATTCTTGAAAATTGCTAAGGGAGTAGATTTAAAGTGTTCTCACCATAAAAAAAATGACAGTTTGTTAATTAGCTTGATTTAGCCATTCCACAAGGTATACATATTCAAAATATCATGTTATAATCAATGAATATATATGTTTAAATGAAAAATAAATACTAAAAGATATTTCTTAGTTTTCCATTATTTAGATATCTATGGTTAGAGGTTAATTGTGGACTGTATTACTCCCTCATAGAAGAAGTAGACTGACATATTCACTATTCATGTTACCATTATATTTCTTTGTATTAATATTGAAGGAGCTTATGTGAAAAAAAATGGCCGTAATAAACTATCAAGTTTTAACATATATTTGTAGATAATGCATGTCTTTGGGGAACAGGGTGGGAGTGTGAAAGTAGGAGGAGAAGTGAGTTACACAGTTAGGTCTGTGGTTTCTCAAGGGAAAGAAACATATCTGAATTATCTTTTTATCCACAGAATAATCATAATGTTTGCCATACAAACAGCTTCCTAAATACTGTTGGTCAATGAACAAAGGAAGAAAAAAACAGATGAATAAAAAGGAAAGCTGTATACACAAAAGTAGAATTCTTTTTGTCAAATGATACAAATATATTTTCAAGATCTTGTTACATACTTCCCTTTTGCTTTTTAGAAAAAATGGCACCAATTTATATTACTATCAGCCATAAAAGAATTTACTCATTTCCGTGCAGGCCTGCCAACATTGTGCTAAATCATTTTATGTCTCTAAGAATTGATGAACAGCAAACATCCAAAACCATTAATTTGTACAGTAGATGTTCAAAATCCTATGTCAATTTTCTTGCTAGAATTAGGATCTATTAGTAAGAGATTTTGCCTGTGAAGAAAAGTTACTTACACAATTATCCCAAGACAAGTTATTTATGCAATTATCCTATTGACCATTTCTGTATTCAGTGTTTTCTTCAAATTGGTTGTAAAAATTCTAGATGACTACATTGTTTATTAACCTGTGATTAGGATTTTAGTCTTTTAACATGAACCATTTATTGGCCATGTTATGTAATTTTTGTCCTGAGCTGAAGCCATTAAAATGCCTTCAAAATTAATATCAAATATTTTGTGTTTATAAAAATGTAGGCAAATTAATATATTTAAATATAATGTAAAAAGGAAGTTGAAGGTTTTCTGAAAATAGGGCAGTCTACATAAACTAAAAATCTTTCATATAAAAATACATAGAAGTGATGGATAAAAGATAGCATATATAATTTAAAAATACATAGCTATCCTAACAAAAAAGTGAGAGAAATCTCCAGAAGACAAACATGTAAAGAGAACTGTACACAACAAGATTAAGGGTGAGTTGATACTTCAGTCTTCTGAGAGGGTCATGTGAATCTTGATAAACTAGAGGCTTGGAAATTAACTGAACATAATTTCATGCTGAGATAGCATGTAAGGAACTGGGTCTATAGAAAGATAAGCAATTGAAGTTATACACATACATAGAGAAGAGTAGACTAAAAATTATCTGTCCGTAGCACAGGTAGGTGATGAGGAAAACTTTTAGTCTTAGCCAGGGCTGTGGTTGAAAAAAATCAAGAAAGAAAAACATTTCTTATAAATTTATGATCATGAACCCAATTACACAGGTTTCAGGTTTGAATTTCCATCATCTCTGTAGTCTGGTAACTGTATACGTTAACATAAATTTTATTCTTGGATTAATTAGAATCCTGTGGTATGTCAAATCACATTACATAGGATTCACACTATAAAGTCCTGGGAAGATAAGTTTATAATCTACAATTCTAAAACACACAGGAAACAATGCACCACAAAAAGAGTCAGCAGAGAAAAAAAACGATATGATTAAACCCCAAGAATAACATCAAGAATAAGATTATCAGGCACAAACTATAAAATGATTATGTTTAAATAATTAAAGTAGTATAAACTAAATAAACAAGAATATGAGAAAGGTATAAATCACTATGAAAGTTACCAGGTAATTTTAAGAACAAAAAGAAATGGATTTGTAGAAAATAAATCTATAGTCACTAGAATTTTTAAAATATTGAATAGATTAAACATATGATTATATTTATAAATAGAACTAGTGAATTGGTAAATTGTACTGAGAAGATGAAAGCAACACAATATAAAAAATAGGTAATGTGAGAGAAAAATGAAAAGACATGAAAGACAGAATGAGAAAGTTCAACATACATATAACTGGTTTTACATAAGAAGACATTAGAGAAAATAGAAAAGAGGAAAATTTTATAAATGACATAAAATAGAAGTTTTCAGAATTTAATAAAGATAGAACCCAACATTCATAAGTCAAATCAAGTACTCAACAGGATAGCAAAACTACGTACACACTTAGATAAATGACTGACTATCAGAGAGAAGATGTTAAACAATGTGGCAAAATAATGACTTATAAACAGCATCAATACCAGTGAAAAGACAGTGAAATAATATATTCAAAATATTCAGAGAAAATAACTGAGAAACCAGATTTTATACCCAGATAAACTATCATTCAAATGTCAGGTCAAAATGAATGGCTATTAAGATAAAAAAAACATGAGAGAAATTACAAATGGAGCTGAGTGAATTATTAAGAAAGGTACTTCAGGGAGGAGAACATTAATTTCAGGAAGAAATGAGATGCAAGGAGTAGAAAAGAACTTTTTACATCTTGATAAATCTTAAAAACAAAAGATTAAAGGTATAAAATAATAATACATGTGATGACTGGTTTGCAGCTATAAAAACAAGGGAATATGAAAATGCTGCCACAATATTAATATGTAAGATGGGAGATGCATCAATAGAGTTCAATCATTCTTCAGAAGCATGAAAGAGAGTAATTAAAAAAATTATTAATATTTCTTTTTAAATTTACATAAAGTAAATTCACTCTATTTGTTATAAACTCTAAGTTTTAAAAATTATTATTTTATTTCTTAGAGACAGAGTCTCACTCTGTCACCACGAGTGCAGTGGTGTGATCACAGCTCACTGCAACCTCGAACACCTGGGCTCAAGCGATTCTCCCATCTCAGCCTCCCAAATAGCTGGGACTGCAGGCATGTGCTGCCACACCTGGCTTGCTGTACATTCTGAGTTTGGACAAATGCAGGTAGTCATGTAATCACACCAACATCAAGATACAGAACTTTTCATTGCCCCCCAGATTCCATTGTGACTCTTATGGTAGTCTGTCCCTCCCCTCATGCCTAACTGTAAACATCCACTGATTTAACAGATCACCATCTCTGTAGTTTTGTCTTTTCTGGAATGCCATATAAGTGGAATCATACAGAATGTACCCTTCTTAGTCTAGCTTATTTCACTTAACACGTGCAACTGAGATTTAGCCACTCTATTGAGTACATCAACACTTCAGTCTATTTGATTCCTGAATAGTGGGCTTTGTCCAGTTACTCTAGCATCTTGTCATCTCAGAGTTGGCATCTGTAGATGAACATTTACTTTAATTGGTTAGATTTTTGTGATACTTTTCATACATTTGTATTTTATCACAGGCATTTTGAATATTATATTGTGAGACTCGGTCCTGTTAAACTCCTGTGGAGAATGTTAACTGATGTCAGCAATCAGTCAATGTTCAGACTAAAAGTTCCATCTTAGACTATGGTTCCACTGTAAGTTCATTTCTCAAAGCTGTGCTATGCTGTATGAATCCACCCTGTGCATGGGCCAGTCTGTGAATTTGTCCCTGTTTTATATCATAGTTCCATTCCCAAAGCCTTTGCTGTGCTTCTTTGGGTATGTTCTGCACATGCAGAGATAAGCTATAAGTGGGGGCTTGTGTCAGATTTTTTTGTATAGTTAGAGAATTCTCTTGCCCAGCTCTCTCATTTCAGGGATTCCCCCACATTCTCAGACTCCTAAAGTTCCCTTTTCTCAATTCCTCTGGCCAGAAAAATGGTTCTGCTAAGCTTCTGCTATGATAATTACATGTTCAATTTCCATTTAATCTTTCAATCTATGTAGGGATTTAAACATATTTCCTAATATTGACCCAATTTTTCATTCATCCAATGAACTCCACTTGGTCATAATATTTTATACCAGTAATGCTTTGTTAAATTCTATATGTTACTATTTCCTTTATTATTTCTGCATGATATGATTTGAATTTTTATCCCTGCCCAAATCTCATATCTAATTGTAATCCCCAATTTTGGAGGAGGGGCCTGGTGGGAGGTGATTGGATCAAGGGGGTAGAGTTCCCCCTTGCTGTTCTTGTGATAGTGAGTTCTCATGAGAGCTGGGTGTTTAAAAGTGTGTAGCACCTCCCCCTTCACTCTCCTCCTCCTTCTTCAGCCTTGTTAGATGTGCCTGCTTCCCCTTTGCCTCCCACCATAATCATAAGTTTCCTGAGGCCTACCTCTAGCCATACTTCCTGTAAAGTCTGCAGAACTGTGTGAATCAATTAAATCTCTTTTCTTTATAAATTATATATTCTCAGATAGTTCTTTATAGCAATGTGAGAACAGACTAATACACTGCGCTAATAGTTTCTCTCTGTCTCAATTATCTTTGTCAGCTTTTGGTGTTTTCATTGCTAAGGTGATTTTGCAAATGAAGTTAGATGCTGTGATGATTAATTTTATGTGTCAGCTTGGCTAGGTTATGGTCCCCAGACATTCAGTCATCAATCTAGATTTTTCTTTTTAGATATGATTAACATTTAAACCAGTCATAGACTTTGAGTAAAACATATTACCTTTCTATAATGTGAGTGGGCCTCATCCAATCAGTTGAAGGCCTTAAGGAAAAAACACTAGCTGTGCACAGTGACTCACGCCTGTAATAGCACTTTGGGAAGCCAAGGTAGAAGGATCACTCAAGCCCAGGAGTTGGAGACAAGCCTGGGCAACATAGTGAGACCTCGTCTCTACAAAAAATAAGCAAAATTAGCTGTGTGTAGTGGTACACACCTGTGGTACCGGCTACTCGAGGGGGCTGAGGTGGGAGGTTCACTTGGGCCCAGGAGGTTTGAGGCTGTAGTGAGCCAAGATTGCGCCACTGCACTCCAGCCTGGGCCACAGAGCAAGACCCTATCTCAAAAAAGAAACAAAGAAAAACAACAACAACAACAACACTGAAGTCTCCCAAGGGAGAAGGAATTCTGCCTCCAAATTGAGATATTAGGTATGAGTCTCTGGCCTGCAAGCCTGCCCTGCAAAATTCAGACTTGTCATGCCCCACAATTGTGTGAGCCAATTCCTTAAAATAAATCTCCCTGTCTTTCTCTTTTATTCTTATTCTATCTACTTGAGGCATTTATTTGATGCTTGATATTGACTAAATAATTTCATCTCTCTATTCTTCAACTCCCAAACTCATTCAAGTAATTCAACCTTCAACATAAATTCAGTCCTTAAATCAAAATGTCGAAGAAACGGGTCTTGTTGATATATATTTAAGCACAATAAACTTTTGTTATATATTCCAGTAGTTTTTATTTTGTTTCATTTTTCCATGTTATTAAAGTTTGTGTGAAATGGACATCATTCAGCTTACTAGTATAACTGCTTTTTTCATTTTCACAGTACATTTCTGAGTAGAATGTACTGCTGCTCAATAAAGGAGAATTTTTTCCCCTAGAGATTTATGGAGGATTTCCAATCATTCAACCCTAACTGAAATTCCTAGTGACTGAAAAAAATCCCACTTTTAGAAAATAGTGACTCTACAGGTGTGCTATGTGTCAATCACCACTGCTGCCATTTTTCTTCTATGTACAAACAATGAAAACAACAGCTTCCCTTTATGCCATCTAATTTGTACAGACCTAGTGCTCTCAGACCAAGTGAATCTTTTAGCACAGGAAGCAATATTTATGTATTCAGTACAACATTTTCACAAATGTTTGGTAAATACATAATATGTGCCAGGAGCTGTGTTACACATGAAATATAAAAAGTATCCTCACTTTTGAAACACATATCACCTACTAATGGAAGAGACAAGTGAGAAAGAGAGCATTTTAATACAAAGTTGTGATTTTGACAAAAGGACTGTGTCAGTTATCAATTTATTACCTCTCAGCTCCAAATCCATTCTTTTATCGCCTGACACTGAAGAAGCATTCCTCTTGCCAGCAGGCATGATGCTAGGCATTGTCAGTAGAGGGCGCTAGAGGGACACTGCGGGAGGATGGGATGTCTCTTCCTGGTTCCGGTGTTTTTATTCCAGCATTCTTGCTTCTGCAGCGCTGGACTGGCATTCAGGACACCCAGTGGCGCTCACTTCCAGGGAGTTTCAGCAGCACCGCTGTAGAAGTCTTGCAGTGGTTCCAAAAGTGCTCCAGCAGGCTTTCCAGTAATGAATGAGATACAGCAGTACTTCCCAAGGCAGTTTCCAGGGGAGGGCTGCAGTCATCTTAGCAGGCTCTCCAGGCATCTCATTCTCCTAGCAGCAGCTTCTGGATGAGCTCTACAGTCACCCCAGCTAGCTTCACATCAGTATGTTCAGTGGCACACTGCTGCAGGTAGATTCTGGTGAGTTCTGTGGGTGCCCAGACAGTTCAACAAAACCTCTTGCAGGTGACTCTGGTTTTCTGGTGATTCCAGTCAGTACCCAGCCAGCTTCTTCGCAGCCAGTTCAACAGCAGCCCAGCAGGTAGCTCCCCACAAAATCTCATCAGCATCCCAGAAGGCAGTGTCCTGCCTACTAGCTTAGCCCATGAGCACCTCAGCAGGAGACTTGCAGCTTGTGATTATCAGCCTGCAGATTGTGGACCAGCTCTGGCCTGGGCAACCCAGTGAACTTCTCCACCATCCAGGGGACAGCAACCACACCAAAGAGCTCTGAGTCCCAGTGTTGGAGAGGGCCTCCTTCCTTGGGTAAACTCACTCAGTCTTGGGGTATTCTTGAATTTATCTTTATTCCCTTTTTGTAATTTTCTCTGTAAATAGTTAATGATTCTTTATATTAAGCATTCTCTTTTCAAATTACTGTGTGGTTTCTGTCTCGTTATTGGACCATTACTTATACAAGCACTATTTATTATATCTTAACCATAGATAAATTGATTGACCCTAAATTGATAGTACATAGAACATTACAAAGTATAATGAAGTGACAAAATACCTGTATTTATGTGCTTTTCCTCCTTGCTTAATAATGCATATTATACCTTAAATAATCACAGATTTTTCTAATCTCCTTTATTCCTCAGTGACCACTATTAATCTTCCTTTTATCTGAAAAAAATGTACCTGAAAGATCCACTTTCATGTCGCCTAAAAATGAATGTTGAAGAAATAGTAGAGTGTATCATACCAGTCTGAAATAATTTTCTCCAGCCCAAACTAAAGTGCATTATAAATTTAACTCCAAGTTTAATCATCCACTTGCCTTGGGGATTAAATTTGTGAAAAATTGGGTATTAATCAGCAAATGCTCTACTTCACTACTTCATCAATGCTGAAATTTCAAAATCAAACTTCTTTGTGGAGACACATTGATCTGTAGGAGAAGACAGGTGAGTATGACTGAATTAAACTTTTTAAAACTATTAATCATGGAACAATATCTTACATCTTATGAAAGCAAGTTCTCATTGACTTTAGGGGGTGTATTATTCCTATTCTTTTTTTAAGGAATTGCAAATATAGAGGTCTGAGGCAATATATTCCAGAATGCACTTCAGTAACACAGCAGCAGTCTACTGGAATCATACTATGGAAAACACACAGTGGGACAAAAAAATGAATCCAGGTCCTGCCCTTAAGGAGTTTATATCCAGCAGGGAAGAGATTCATGTAAATAACATGTAGAATTTAGGACAGGCTGAACGAGTAATAAATAAAGAGTATGGCAGCCATGAGCAAGTACCTTCCTACCCTCCAGCTGCAGGTAGTGTAAAGCTGCAGGGAGTATAAAGCTGCAGGGAGTGAACAAGGTCCCCTCATGACAGGCATCACAGCTTTTATACTGAAACCAAGCTTCCTGTAGCCTGCTCCCAGCCAACGACTGAGAGTGGCAGCCATACTAGGGCAGCCTGTTTCTGGAAGAAGCCAGACTCTTCTGAAGAAAGGCTGGCTTGAGGATTTACCACCACCCTTGCTGAACTTTCCTGATAACTATACTGCATCCAGCTTCTTTCCCTTTTCTCTCTTCTTCACTGCATTATAGTCTGATAGTTCCCCCAGCCTCCCTTGGCTGTCTTCATGTTCTCTCCCACACATTTCCTCAGACATCATTGCTGCAGTTTAATTCCATCCTGGCTGCTCTGGCTCCTGGAGGACCCAGATTTACACACACAAGTACAAGCAACATGTATGAATATATAAAAAGAAGCAATACTAATTTTGAAAATCTATCTCAGAGGGAAGTATCTTTTACTCTAGATCTTGAAGAGTTGAATTTCAGTAGGAGAAAATACAGGACAAGCAGGGGCCTGTGGGATAGCAAATGACATGGTGAGATCAAGCAGCCAAGCATGTCCAGAGTGTCAAGTGCATAGCAGAATATAATGGGAGACAAATTTTCCAAGACAGAAGGGGCCAGGAACAAACTCTCAAATGCTATACCACAAAATTTAGTTTATTCCTAATCATTTCAGCATTTTGAATAGGAAAGAAAAAAATGCATATCTCAGACAAGAGGCTTTGTGACTGTAAGTAGAAAACCCAATTCAAGTGGTTCTAAGCAGATTCTATTGGCTCACAATCCAACAAATCAAGAGATGAGGTAGGCATTTGGGTGGGTAGATCAATTTAATGGTATCACCAGTAGCCCTTTTTTAAATCTCTGCTCTTCACTTTGTACAATGTTGACTTCTTTTCAAGGTGTAAAGATGGTTTCTAGTAGTGTTAGGGGCTGTACACTTCCTTGTTTAAATGTAAGACATAAGAGGGAATCTCAGAAATCCACTAAAGAAAAGGGAAGAAGCTTTCTGAAGCCTGCCACAAACTTTCCTGGCCTTTTCATCAGTTAAAATTGGTTTACATACCCATTCCTTAACCAATGAATGGCAAGAGTTTGGCGTTGCTATTAGATCAATGAGAATCAGACTAGTGAACTTTTCCAGGAGCAAATGGACTGTTTGGGGATATGAACAGATAAAGACTCTTAATTTGGGATCTATTAGAAGAAAAGCCAACTCTCTCAAGACAATCAACAATGTCCACTGTGTCAGCTGAAGAATGATGAGGTTTGTAAATTTAGAAAGGAGAGCTTTAGTTTTCATAAAGGGCTGTAGCCTGCAGGTGGCCATTCTGACAGGCTGGGAAGTGTAGCCTCTGGTCAGGAGCTGGAGACAAATACTTGAGGGAGGGGCAAAGGGAAAAGGAGTTTATGCTGGGTGGGGTGAGCAAATATATTCAATATAAATATATTCAATAAACCATAGGAGTCACGAATACTTATGAAAGGAGAAGAATGTGCATATCCAGTTGAGCTTCATGCCTCTTCATGGGTCCCATCTACAAAAAATGGCAGCATTAGCGTGATCCGAGCGTAGAGTTTCTGGCCCTCTGATGTCAAAAGGTGAAGCAGAGAACATCAAAACCCTCATCGTGCATCCTCTGTAGACTGGCCAGACCACTCTATAGATGGTTGTCTCTTATCAGGAAGACATGCTAGTCTGTTGTTTTGTGGAAACCACAAAGGGCAGCTCCAGGCATTTGGCTGATATCAGTGGTAGAGTCTTTTGAGAGGGCTGGCTTCTTTTTCACCCTTAGGGATGAAAGCCTAATGGCAGTTAGTGAGGGAGGGGATATAACAAGGTGTCTGACCTCCCATCCCATCATGGCTGGAAACTCAGTTTTCAAGGTTTCTTTGGGGTCCCCTTGGCCAAGAGGGGGGGTCCATTAAGTCAGCTGGATGACTTAGAATTTTATTTTTATTTCTCAATTGTAATGGTAAATGAAATTTTAGGAGACTTTGGGGTTTTTTTGGAAGAAGGATTGAAGAGTAAGAAATTAAAACAGGGTGACTGGTTAGACAGAAATGCAGAAGTCACAAGAAGTGATAACTATTGTTACAAGTAGCAACAATGAGATGAATGAATGAATGGGAAGGAAACCTTAACTTTTTTGGAAAAACAAGAAAGGCATAGAATTAGAAAAGTGTGACGTCAAGGAATTCAAAAGAGGAAAGAATTTTGTAGAGGAGTGGGACAGAATAGCAGAGTTTAAGCCCAGGTTTGGCATTGTAGGGGCCAAGAGAAAACAGACCCTTTGCCCATGAAGGTTCACTAAAAAAAAAAAAAAAATCAACTAAAGGAAGGCAGATTAGTTGGAGAAGAGGCATCCAGAATTTATTAACATGTACACAGGAGAACCACAGCTTGATTACATACTATCCAATGGGTTTCAAAGCTTATATACCACCCTGACAAAATTGGTTATGGGAACAGGATGAAGAG
Source organism: Homo sapiens (assembly GCF_000001405.40). Lineage (NCBI taxonomy): Eukaryota > Metazoa > Chordata > Mammalia > Primates > Hominidae > Homo > Homo sapiens. Next base: position 129,771,077 of record NC_000006.12, on the reverse strand, counting down.
GAATTCTGTTAAGAGGCAATAGGATTACTAGAGTGTATTAGTTCTGACACTGCTATAAAGGTACTCCCTGAGACTGGGTAATTTATAAAGAAAAGAGGCTTAATTGACTCTCAGTTCCACATGGCTGGGGTGGCCTTAGGAAACTTACAATCATGGTGGAAGATGAAGGAGAAGCAAGGGTCTTCTTTACATGGTGGCAGGAGAGAGAAGTGCAAGCAGGGAAAATGCCAGACGCTTATAAAACCATCAGATCTTGTGAGAACTCACTATCACGAGAAAGCATGGGGGAAAGAAAACAGCCCCCATGATCCAATCACTTCCCTCCCTCGACACATGGGGATTATAATTCAAGATGAGATTTGGATGAGGACACAGAGCCAAACTGTATCAGAGGGAGAATGAATGACTCTGAGGACAGAAATTAACCTGTAAATAGTTCACTTTGGAATCGGAATGATCTTAGGAGGCAGACATTATCTTGCGATGGGTCTGTTCAGGTGTGTTTACAGTTTTGGTCTTACGCGGGCAGTGGGTGGGGAGGTGGAAATAAAAAAAACCCACTATTCTCCTTGATGGATCTGGATGTTAAACAGATAAAGGAACTTCAGATCCATCCTGTGCTTTGGGAGAGATGGTTAGAGGTGGGGTGGGAAAGGTCAGACCTTGAGGCTCTTTCGGTTCAGCATGTTGAAGTGCTATATTTTGAAGTATTGGTTTCTGAGCCCCAGTGATATCAAGTCAACTTGGAATTGGCCCCTGCCTTCAACTTTAGCCATATTTTCTTGGAAAAGTTACTCTTGTGGAGCAAGGCTATAATTTAGACTGGTTAAGGACTGTTGAACTTTGGCACCAAACAGGATGGAATTCATATCGTGCTCCACCTATTAGCTATCTTACCTTGGGCTCTCAAAGCCTTGGTTTCATCAGCAGCTAAAGATAATATTCTCTGTCCTTATCCATTACCAATTATTGTTTGTGTGCCTGTATGGTTTGGATGTTAGCAAACACATTATTGTATACTATAAATTCAAAATGTAAGATTGTGATAAATGCTGCTAAAAATGCTTCATGTGGTAATTAAATGTGATAGTTGTAAAGATTTTAGTGGTGCTTGGCAGAGAATAAGGTGCAAATAAGTGATAATTATGATTTTTGTCATCAAAACTGAGAAATTCTTGGCTTTGGTGATTAGAACACCTTGGGCAACCCTTCAGAACCAGGTTCATTGCAATATAATAAATAGCAAGAAAAAAATGGCAGATGGTAAATGAGGTAGATGGAATAAGGAATCTCTGCTATGAATTTGAATGAGTCCATGGGGCCCATAGCAGGAGCAGTTGTGTCTCCCCACTTCTGTTTCTATTTTTGTTCGGGACAGAGAAGTAGGGATTAAAACCTATAAAACAGCCCCACCTTAGTTATCTGCTCTTAGCAGGTCTGCATCTTCCTTTCCAGTTATGAAATCTTTGATTTGGTTATACTGAGAAGGTTCTTTCTCCTCCTGCAATCACTTCCTTTAAGAAATGTCCCTAGACTAACTCTGTCCATTTTCTAAGTGGTCATTACAATAGAAGGACTTCCTCCTGTGTCTCCATGTAATATTGACAACATGTGAAAACCAGTAACTGCACAGATGTATACAATTATACAATTATAATTGTAATTATATATGTACAATTATACATAGAGATCCAAAAAACCAGCATTGTCTCTACCCTTAAGAAATTCAAAGCTGCTGGTATGGTGGGGTATGATTCAACTAAAGACAATGAAGAAAGTATCACTGAAAAGCTACAGAGAAGGGGAGCCAGAGTGGGCCTGCTCTGGAGTCAGGATGTACTCAGGTAGCACTTGAGTCCTAAAAGGACAGAAAGAAGGCTAGGTATAAATGGTTCACACCTGTAATCCCAGTGCTTTGGGAGGTCAAGGAGAGAGGATCGCTTGAGCCCAAGAGTTTGAGATCAGCCTGGGCAATATGGTGAGACTCCATCTTTACAAAAAAAAAAAAAAAAAATCAGCCCAGAATAGTGGTGTGTGCCTGTAGTCCCAGCTACTTGGGAGGCAGAGGTAGGAAGATTGCTTGAGCCCGGGAGGTTGACACTGCACCAGCTAGCACTTGTCTCAGCTGTGTTTGTGCCACTGCACTCCAGCCTGGGCAACGGAGCAAGGCCCTATCTCAAAAAAAACAAATAAAAGAGCCACAGGATGGGGCAGAGAAAAAGGGAAGAAAGAGAGGACTTTCCTGCCCCAAGGAACTGGATTCATGGGCCAGGCCAGACACCTGCTAGGGATTCAATACCTGACTTCCCCTCACCTGTGTCCTGTGTGGGCTCTCACAGGCCCAGCTTTCAGCTGTGAAAGCCTCTCAGATTAACCCTCCACATACTTGGCAGAGATGACTGGCTAAAAGTTTTTCAAAATGAAATAATTTTGTTATCTGCAAACCATGGAGAGTTAATGTTGCTGGTTTCAGTAGTAGCTGAGACGGCGTGCTCTGAATGAGGCTCAACTTGGAAAGTAGCATTTTAGGGGGCCGAAAAAAGAAGAAAAGGAGGCATAAGAAAAATAATAAAATGTAAATAGCACCTAAAAGCCATTTGCTTACGTATTGCACACCTAATGTATAGTGTATTTCTATCTTCAAATAATTGACCAGCCCAAAATAGCTGAGAAGGTCAAGAGTTAGTATAGGGGTCCATAGCAAATTCAAGAACTTCAGCTTTCCTGTAAGCGCCACTAACAGATGATCTAACCCATCAGTTCACCAATTCATCGTCACGGGAACATTTATGGAGTACTGGCCGTCCACCAAGCCCCCAAGAAAAGATTTATGTTTACAGTCATGAATCAGCCAGGCATTCTTTGCTTGCATTTTGCTTACCATCTGGAAGACTTAAATTTTAAGATGTATGTTATAATATAGGTTAACATTTCCATTTCAAAACTAGCACAATTACTTTATAAAATATTTAAGAAAGTTGTTGTCTAGTAGGAGGCAGATTATGATGGTACAGAGATAATTAATTTGTGGCACATTGCCTAGATCTTCAAACACAAGGCAATTCTGTACTTAATCCTCGAGGAACAGTGATCTGTTAGGATTAAACCCTTTCGCAGTTTACACCACAAGCTTGATCCCGGAGGCAACTTAATTGGGCAGGGAGAAAGCTAAAGACTAAAAGCTGCTGGTAGGTTTCAAACATCTCTATCATCCTATCAATAAAAAATTTCCTAAGTGCAGAGCAGTGTATCCTTACTCTGTTTTTTAAATTTTATTTTTGCGGTGGGGAAGGGGCGCGGGGATACGGAAGAGATCATTTCCAAATTTAAGGTATTTCCTTCACCGAATCGCACCCTCGTGCCCACTCCTTCATTCTCCCTTTCTCAAATCAACAGAAGTCAACAGTTAAGGGGCTCTGATAACAGCAGCTGGGAAGAAGCCGAGCATGCTCAGTAGCTGGGGCCGCTTTCTGAGCACATAGCAAGCTTTGGTTTGCACCAACACCGGCTAGCACTTGTCTCGAGATGCTGCCGGGCTCGTGCACAGCTGATGCCTGTTCCTGGAAAGCTGATCTCTACCCAATAACATGCGGCTTTCGCACGGTCAGCTGCAGCGGCGCAGCAGCGGGGGTCCGAGGAGCCCGTGGGCTGCAGCCGCTCTGCCGGCTCAGCGCTCGCACGGGTATCCCCCTCCTCGTGGCCACGCTTCAGCCCGGTCCTTCCGGCAGCTGCTGGATGAATAAGCCGAAATGACAGGATTGTGGTTAGCCGTGAAGAGCGCGTAGATGCCACAAAGTAGGTGTGTCACGGAAGAAAGTGCTTAGGGAAGATTCTTGCAGGAGATCTAATTATCGCTTTTCGTCACTTCTTGGGACCCTGGCGTTCCCTGCTCTCCACTTGCGGAAGATGGTTATAGTAGTGACAGAGCTGGCACAATGCTTTCACCTCCGGTAAGGAGAGCATCTTTGCATGCTTTTCTCTTTGCAACGCATATCAGCTTTGAAATATACAGCTGGGAAAGGTCTTTAAACTAGCCTTGCCCTCACTCTACTAGTTTGTTCTTAAGGAAGACTGGGGAAGAGGACTTTTTGTGTGATTTTTAAAAAATCTTTTCAGGTTGGGGTTAAAGACAAGCATTAGTGTTCTTACTAACCTGTCTGTCTTGCCTCTAAAATTTACTTGGTAGAATTTTGCCTTGAGCCTAACATTTAAGTCTCCATTTGCAAGATGAGGTTAGGGGTACTTTCTTTTCTCTTTTAAAAAATAATTCCTGGGATATTCTTGTAAAAGGTACATTATGCTTGTAGGTAAACTGATAATCATAATAGCCTTTTCGAGATGATTGTGATTTCAGTTACAGCCAAGAGAGAAAAACTAATCTTGACATTCACATCAACCTTGGTCAGCGTTGAACTTACACTGAGTAGAGGAAATAGTCGCACTATGATTATCTGGTTATTTGTTAAGAAAAAACAACACAACCCCAAACGTGTTCAGGGTTTACTCTTGGAATAAATAGGAGACACAAGTTTAAACAAAAATTTAAAATTAGTACTCGTCATTTTTGGGTGCTGAAAAGGATGGCTTCTCCAATCAGGCATTGGTTTAAAAGTAAAGAAACATTTTCAAAGTGTAGTTTTGTGTTTGCAAAATAACATTTTTGATAGAAATTGTGGAAAGTCAACATCTTCATATGGCTCCTCATATAAAAGAAAAAAAGCAAAAGAGGGGTCTGTAGGAACTGAAGCCAAGAGCAGCTGCATAAACATATCTAACTCTGTGCCACCAAAGAAAACCTGTCCAAAATGTCATGTAATCATAGCTACAATTTCCATTGCTATTAATTTGCCATCCTCACAGATTTAGCAGTTTTAAGAGAAAGCACTTTTCCAAGTAAATCCCAAGTTAATAAGATAGTAGTAGGTCTACAAGTATTGTCTAACATTTAGCAACTATAATCAAATGGGGCAGAAAAATGTCTTTTTCCTAGTTTGGTATTAGACTTGTTTCATGCTCAAATATACACTTACTAAAAACAACTCATTTAAAATAATAACTGTATTCTTTCTCTGAGGCATCAAAGGATTTTTCCTTATCAAAACAAAAATAAAAAGAATAAAAATCTTTCAGTGATGCAGAGGAAGAAAAAAGACAAGGAAATACTTGTTGAGTGGTGAATACTTCACTGGAAAAAAAAGTTGGAATTTCTGGATAGTTGATTGCTTTTAAAGCCTTCTTTTAAACATAATTTAGTATTTGTGACGCATACCCTGGCAGGCCCATTTAACCATGAATGAGTGACAGTATCTTTATAGACAAACTGTAAAATATGTTCAAAATTTGCCTTATAACTGGTAATCCAAGCCTTCGCTGATGTACTTGCTGATTTCCGTAGCTTGCCGTGGCAGATCTGCACAGGTCTATGAAGGTGTGCCTGATATATGAAATTCAGGCAGGTACATAAGGCAAGGGAGGTGCGTCTTAGCCCTGAAAAGAGTTAAAGATGATTGGAACCAGTCAGGAAATTCTAACAAAGCTAGAAGGGGACAAACCTGAGGACACATCCCCTAGTAAGAAAGGGTGAGGGGTCAAGCTTGTATAGGGCTAGAAATTCCTATTTCTAGTTTGTTCTGTAGGGACTAGAACCCACATACAGTCAACAAGCTTTGTTCTACAAAAGGGATGAAGTTCTTTGAAGTCTGATTACTTACCCAGAAGCTTGGAGAAACCCATTTCTTCCTTTTTTGTGTGTCAACACCCCAGCATGATTAGTAGCACTCCACTTCCTGAGCCCTCAGTGGACTTATGGGAAGACAAAAGCTGTCTGAGTTCTCTGGTGTTAATAGTTTGACCTCTGATCTTTGCCTGTTCATGCTGCTAGCCACTCAGGTCCCACCCAGGTGTCCCTTAGTGAAATTAACGTAAGAAGTGCCCATCTCAGAAGCTCTCAAAGCCCCAGGATTTTACTGAGGAAAACCTGTCTTCCATTCCCTTGTCTGTGCTGGTCTCATTGTCTGAGATGGTAAGTCCCCAACCAGCGATGATCATTCCTATTCTAGTTAGACATAAAATGTGTTCTAATGCTGAGTACCACACTCAGCAGTGACCCAGAGTAGTGCCGTAATGATCAGTCATAAGAAGAAAACAGGAAAAAGTGATTTCTGCATCTGAATATGAGAGAGACTTTCTGTTCCTTTCTCTCCCTCTTTCCTCTGTCACCCAACTGTGACACAATGAGGAGTAAAACTATTCCAGGGCAAGTCATTATATTTCCCATTTTAAGGGGTGAGAATTGTGGTGGGGCCATCGCATATTGTGTCCCTAATCTGTCCCAGACCCCACTATCCACCCTCCATGTCTCTTCCATATCAGTTAGAAAATAACTGAGATTTTATAAGCTCCCTTAGAGGCAGTTAGTCTGTGAAGCACATGGTTGAAATATAATGAATTCCCTTTTAACAATCAAATAGTCCTAGAACTTCTGTTCTAATGTGTTTTCCCTGCCTTTTGCTTCATTAAGAACTTTTGTGTGCCTCTTTATTTCTCTACTACTATTTTAGAGATGGACTCAGCTAGTGCTTAGGATCTGAACATAGTTCAGCTATATAGCTTGTTTATTCTCAAAACTGGGACCAGCATATATCCCAAGAACATTCAGTAGATGGCTACATGATCAGAAATGTTTTTATCTTACTATAAAAGTTATATATTATTTTTCCTATAAATTATACCTACTATAACAAAATAACATAAATATAGATATTCAGTGTATTGATGAACTATAGGGTTCATCACTATAGGGTGTGACGGCTCACACCTGTAGTCTCAGCTACTTGGGAGACCAAGCTGGGAGGATGGCTTGAGGCCAGGAGTTTGATACCATCCTGGGCTATATAGATCCCATCTACAAAAAATTTAAAAAATTAGCCCAATGTGATGGCACATGCCTGTAGTACTAGCTACTTAGGAGGCTGAGGCGGGAGGATCCCTGGAGCCCAGGAGTTCCAAGCCGCAGTGAGCTATGATCTTGCCATTGCACTCCAGCCTCGATGACAGAGCAAGACCCTGTCTCTAAATAATCATCATTATCATCATCATCATCACCATCAAATAGAGAACTTTCTCAGTTATTCCCTCCATCAAATTTATAACAGTCTAAAAATAGCTATTCAGCTATATTTGTATAGCATGATAGGTTTCAGTCCTAGTGCTAATCACTGATTGGTTTTGATGTAATAAAGGAATTTTCCATTACTTAAATGATTCCTAGCTTTGGTTTTAGCAATTTAATGAAAAGATAATTGTACCTACAGAGAACTGGAAATACTCAAACATTAACTATGTGTAGTCTAGGCAAGATGCCAGAAAAATGAAATTAGTTCTAGGATTGATATATTCATGCCCCAAGTTCCAGGGATTCTGTGTCATCTTCAAGGGTATAGTTAGCTTCTAGCCCAGCCAGTGACTTTCAGATTGTCACTGCTAGGAATACAATTTGAGAACACAGACACATATTGAAGTTTGAGGCAGAGCCTTGTATTGTTTCTCTGTGATATTGTTTCTGCCAAGTAGCTCAGCAATGGAGGTTAAGTGAGGGCCATGGCAGACACCTTATCAAATGTGAAAGTCCAGTTGGAATCTGTATATTTGCATTTCTTAGTGCTATGAAGAGCAGACAAAGAAATAGTATAGAGTGTGACCTCTGGTAGGGCACTGAGGGAAGCCCTCTCTGAGGAAATGATGTATGATTTGAACCTGGAATGGAGCTGAAGTCTGGGGACATGTTTCTGGTTGCTTGGTTTGCTCTAGCAATGGATATATAGTAGTGTGGTCAGACCGGAGGGGGTGTGTGTGGGGGGGGGGTAATGGCAGGAATGGAGTATGGGGGTGGGAGTGAGGTAGGGACTAGGGTGTGGGGGAGATGGGGAGGAAGGAGATAAGTTTAAAAAGATAGGCAAGGGCTATAGAGACTGAATTTTTAAAGTGCAGTGGAAGCCACTGGAGGATGCATTTTAAAGGAGCACTATGGCTGCTATGTGGAGAATGTCAACAGGGAAAGCTGGGAGATCAGGAAAGAGGTCATTGCTGTAGACAGGAGACATTGGTAACTTGCACTAAGGAGGTAGTAGTGGAGGTGGAAGCCAGCACATAGACCTCCTTCTCTAAATTATGTTTTATTTTTAATTACAAACATAATGTACTTTCATTGTAGAAAACCTAGAAAATACACAGACATGTCCCCAAAGAAATGAAATCATAACCCCTCCACCCAAACTTAATTGCTGTAATATTTTTGGTATCCTACAGAAAACTTAGAAAATACAGGGATCTGTCTTCAAAAGGAATGAAGTATTCTATAGTCTTAGCACCCGAACTTACAGGTAATATTTTTGGTACCTGTCCTGTGAACCCTTTTTGACACCAGTGTTGTCATTTTCCGAGAAACTGGTTTATTCTGACAAAACATCTCTTCTGGCTTAAATAAACTGGAAAATGTCTGCTCTAAGACTGGATGAGAAAGTGAGTGTATGTGCCACAGAGTCACTTCATTTATTTATTGAATATTTTACTGCACGCCAGATGCTGGGCTCTGTGATATGTGGTGTCTGTTTTTCTCAATTAACCAACTCCTTTCACAACCTAAATTGTTAGCACTACATTCCTTGCAGTTAGGAAGGCTGAATTTTCCCCTTTGACCTTCTATATAAGTTGTGCTTGTTCACTATCCTGCTTTAGCAGAGACATGGGTATTAGTACTCTCATGACATTGGCGTCTTTTCACTAGAGATAGACTAGGAAGAGGCTGAACTTGGGAGGACCACTCTGACTTGGAGTAGACCAAAAGAGGTCCAAAGGCTGAGAGGACCAAATTTTTTGTTGTTGTTGTTTTGCTCATAGGTCTTCATCTTTCCAGAAGTACTTATCAGTAAAGGAGAAAGTGGGCTTCCTCCAGGCCCCCAGACAGGGGCTACTTAAAACATAGAAGGGAGAAATCTTGCAGTAGTCTCCTTATAACTCTCTAAGAATGTATTCATTTGACCTCTTACTCTGGTTTCAAATACGTTCCATTTAATAGGTGTGTAATAACTTGATTATTAAAAATACTAGTAGGGTTTGCATTCTATTTCCAAGCTTTTAGAGTGATTTCATGCAAGTTACTTTATGAAATAAACATTTAAGACCACTTCTTTATCTGTCCCCAGACATCTGAAATTCAGCATACTGATAACAGAATAGGGTTTATATTTGTAATCCAAGCTTGCTCCTCCTGCTGTATTTCCTGTCTCAGTTAAGGCTGACCTTTTCTAAAGTCTCCCAAATGATCAAGGAGAATCTTTTTTAGCTCTTTCTCTTCCATCCAGTAGGAAAGTATGTCTATGCAAGTTCAGAAAAGCCTTGTAAAACTTTTCCTCTCATCCATTCTACCAGTCGCTACTTTGGTTCAATCAACTTCTATCTTTCACTGGGTCTGTTAAGCATTGCAGAAGGCTGTGAAGGGAAGGTTCTCATGCTTGTATGCCTGATTTAAAAAAAAAAGTTACAAAAGACCAAAGAAATCACAAGTTTGCACAAAGGCCATTAAAACCTTCTACAAAAAATACCTCTGCAAGGACATCTGCCCAGCAACTGCCAGTTCAAACTTAGACTGGCATCACCCTTGTTATTGATCTTTGTAGCCAAGGATAATTATGTCAAAGCAATTATGTAATCCTCATTCTTTCTTTTAAAACTTTGTCTTTCTTTACCTCCCTGAATATAAACATGGTTTACCATGGCAGTGTATTCCTGTTGCAATGCTCCATTCTAAAATATCTTTCTTTTTTTAGAGAGCCTCTCTCTGTTATTTAGGTTGACCTATATTTGGTCAATTAATATTGTAGGAAGTTACAGTGCTCTATCTGGTCCTTTATGCTACAGCCAGAATGATCTATTGGGTGTTTTTTCCTACAGGTTTTGATTATGACAGTCTCCAGCTTTTACAATACTGCATATCCACATAAACTTCAGACTTCTTAGACAAGGTACATCCCGATTTGCCTATGTTCCAATTTCCCTATTTTCCAATTTGCCTATGACTCCCCTCTCTCACCATTGTCACCTGTAGTCCAGCTATGTTGATCTTCTCTTTGTTCCTTGAATGTATTAATCCTGAGCTTTGTGCCTCTGCACTTGGTGTCTCCCCATGGAATACTTTTCTCCCTTTTTTCCAAGAGGCATCATCCTCTTCATTCCTGAAGATCCAGGCCTAATGTGACCTGTTTCATGGCTACTTCAGATCTTGTCAATCAACCCTACACTCTCAGAACAATTTGATCAATATTAAAGCATTGTTTTTTTTTATTCATCTCCAATCTATATTTTTCTTCCATTAAACTTGGGTCTGTGAGGGTAGGGCTTTGGTGTTTGGTTCCAAACATTAGTGTGCACTTAATGTTCACCATGTGGATAAGTGAGTAAATGAACCACTTTCTCCTTCTCTCCTTTCCCTTAGTCTGTCCTTCATCTGGAAGGAAGTCTGTCCTTCCAGATTGGATAAGTTTTGTGCTCATAGAAGAGTGTGCCTTCATGGGTGAGGAGTGGTATGTTGTGTTTTGTTTTGCATTCCCGATGAGTCTATCATCATTTCTTAAATCCAGGAGTTTCTAAGAACTACAGCCCTTGGGCCAAATCTGGCCGGACACCTGCTTTTGTAAATAAAGTTTTATTGGAACATAGCCACACCCATTCACATATGTATTGTATATGACACTTGTTTGTGGCAGAGACCGTGTGGTCTGCAAAGCTGAAGACATTTTCTATCTAACCCTAACAGAAAAAGTTTGCTGACCTCTGCTCTAACCCCGAGAAAGAGCTGGAGGCTAAGATCCTAAAAGTGATTGCCTGTAGAAACATTTCCAAAGTAGCAGCTGTTAGGCCCTTATATGGAGTAGTAAATGTCTAAGATTGATTTTGATTTGTATGATGAATATAGAAACTATCTAAGAAAATCTGAAGTTCTGGTAGCTTTGTTTTAGTAATTATAAGACAGATGATTTTGACCTAACTCATCTCTAAACAGCGATTCTCAAAGTTGAATCAGAATTCCATGGAGGGCTTGTTAAACTCCTCCTTCTCCACAGTGAGTTTCTAATTTAGTATGTGTGGGAAGAGCTGCAAAAGTTGCATTTGGAACATGTTCCCAGACGTGTCTGGTCTAGGGACCACACTTTGAGAACCATTTGTCTGCAACAGTGTTCTGAGCCTTAGCTGTGTTTCAGAATCACCCAGAGAGTTTTAAAATTATTTTAAGACCATGCTTGGCCCTTACCCCAGGCTCACCACTTTGGAAGTCCCAGGACTTGAATGTATTTTTAAAAGAATGATTCTGAAGATACTTCCCTGTCATGGTTTATAGAACTATCATATAGGCTTTGCTGGTTAAGGTATGTATGAGATGTTTTGATAAGTTCGAAACAACAACTCGACACAGGTTTTGTTATATTATCAGTATTCAGAAAATCTATAAACTGGAATTTTGTTATCGAATGGATATTACATTTGTCAGTGGACTGCAATAAAAGTATATAGTCCAAAAAGTATAGTGTTCAATTCAGCAAAATTATTTTTCTTTATTAAATTTGACAAGTACTGCATTCGTTTGTAAATTTGTTTTCAGTGTGTAAAATTGTGATTCTATACCTGATACTTCCCTTTTCTACTTTTCCTTGAAAGTCAGTGAGATTTTCTTTTGACCGCACAGTCACATGTGAAGGCCTCACATTTTGCTACTCTTACATGGTGTCAGAGCAAGAAACTTAAATGTACAAGTGCCGTCTAGAAATGGCTGCGGCGCTAGGGAGGTTATCTTTCCTGGCTCTTCCTATTCTGTGTGCAAGGAGAAAACATCCCTTAATATCTGGGTAAGGTACCTTTTAAACATTATAAAGCCCTTATTACTCTGTGTGTGCTTTTGTTTAGAGAACTTGTTTCCCCTCTACCACAGTTTCAACATACTGTATGCTGGCTGTGCTCATTTTAATTTTGTTGATTGCTATTTATAATGTTCTGAAGCCAAGTATTATGTCTGAATACAAATAAGGCAAAACAACAATGAAACAGTAAATGTAGAAGAACCAAGCCTTTGGCACTTTGGCAGCTAATATAATAACCTCAGCAATCATGATCCATACAAAAAACTGTTAAGCACTGTGTTTATGAAGAGCAAGCATTTCTGTCACGCTTTTGGCATGCATCCTTTATTTTTTTTAATTCTTTAATCTTAAAAGGATAGGAATAAATACCAAGACTTGGGTTTATAGATCCCCAAATCCATACAACAAAATAGCCATCAACTTCTTAAACTACATAATTCTGTATTATAGAATCACGATGATTACTAATGTGAAATGTTGGCATATGAATTTGACAAATGGCTTAACAAGAATAATGTTCTGTAGTATGAAAGAGCTCATTTATTAAGTGTCTTTGGATTAATTCGAGTTTCAACCTGGCTGTCTTCAGTGAAATTTTTCATACTTCTTTTGCGTATTATTAAGATTAGAAAGGATATTAGAAGCTATTGTGAGTTAAGTAGAAATGAAGACCTGTTGTTCTTTCCTTTTCATGGATATCACCTGCATATCCCCTGGTCAGCTCAAAAAAGAGGGAATTTTATTTCTAAGGATTTATTGTTATAGCTTCTAGAAAGCTATTGTACCTGGGAAAACCGCAAAGTAATGGAGAATGCTAATTTATTATTCTGTTGTTGTTATTTTAAGCATACTCATTAGAAGTACAAACTCTAGTTCAACTAGGAGAATTGATTGAGATGGAGACTGTTTCTTAATGATCATTAATTTTTTTTTTATTGGCTCATCACTTTTTGCCTGCTAGTGGAATTTCATTTCTCAGGTGGGAATGTTCTAGATTCCTTCTTCCTACACAGGCTGGGCCAGCATTATGGACATAGTTCTAAGAGATCTCCTTGTTCTGAGAGCAAAATGAAGGACTTCTTGTCTTTTCTATTGCTCCTAGGAATGTAGTTTAGATAAGTGGATTCTCAAAATGAACATGCTTTGCCCAAGGTCAGATGGGCCCCATGCTTGGTTTAATGCTCTGCTGTTGCTGTCCTGAAATTCTTAATATTTCTTGAGCCCTATTTTATGGGGGAAAAGGCATCTTAATTTCCCTGGGCATAGTTGCTCACACCTGTAATCCCAGCACTTTGGGAGGCTAAGGTGTGAGGATCACCTGAGGTCAGGAGTTCGAGACCAGCCTGCCCAACATGGTGAAACCCCATCTCTACTGAAAATACAAAAATCAGCTGGATGTGGTGGGACATGCCTGTAATCCCAGCTACTTGGGAGGTTGAGGTGAGAGAATCACTTGAACCCAGGAGGCAGAGGTTGCAGTGAACTGAGATCACGCCACAGCACTCCAGCTTGGGCAACAGAGTGAGACTCTGTCTCTTAAAAAAAAAAAAAAAAAAAAAGTTATTGGACAAGGGGCTTCACATTTTTATTTTTCACTGTACCCTATAAATTATGTAGTCAGTCCTGCCCAAAGGAACTGTATTTTATTATTGATTTCGCTATAGATTTTTAGCATGTCTAATGCACAAATGAATGAATGAATGAATGGGTCCTTCCTTATTCTGAGAACAAGATGAAGCTTTCTGCATTGCTCATAGGTGTGCAGTTTAGGTCAATGAGCTCCTAACATGAATATACTTCAGACATAATGAGGTGGAGAGTTGAGTGATGGTTGGGTGGAAGTGCCAGTAGTAAATGAACTTTTGAAGAATATAGATTCTCAGGCCTCACCTGAATCTTCCTGAATCAAAATTTCTTGAGACTGGAGCTCAGGAATCTGTATTTTAAAGGCACCTTAGGTACTACTGAGCCTGTGCCTGAATGACAGTCTTTTCCCATAGAGCTCTACAAGGCCCGCTGGTCTGTGCCTAGATATAGATTTCTTTGGGGTAAGGTGGGATTTGTCAAAGTTGTCAAGAAAAAGGCCTATTTCAAATGATCTCAAGCGAAATTTAGGATACGGTGGGGGGATAGCCAGGCTAAGAAGTATGATAATCCAAGTCTAGGGTGATCCAGTATGATAGCAACAGGGCTACCATTTGTCTAATGGCTCATTCCCCATCAAAGGGATATGATACTTCGTGTACCTTGTGCTCACAAACTCCCAAAGTATGAGGTCAAGGTTGGTCTTAGGAACTATGCTACAGCATAAAGTGTCAGCTTGTTGCCATCTGGTGCCCTCCTCACAGATTTAGCACAATGGGATCTACCTCCAAATGGAGGGAAACAGAGGCGTTGTAGAAAAGCCTGATGGTAAGCCTGGTACCTTCATGTGCAGTTTAGATGTGGGCCTTGCCAGACCTACTATAGGTTTGTGCAGGGGCTGGAGGGGTGTGGTGAGGGTGACATCTGAAGCAAGTTGTGGATGTGGGCTTGTCCATCTCACAGTACCGAATGACACCCAGGTTTTCATTCAGAAAGCAAAGATTCAGGGTAGGAGGACATCTGACACCTGTCATGGTGCACATTGTATGTATCTCCTAATGAGAGGTAAAGATGCTTATGAGACACAAGTCTCTCAATCCATAAGGAAACTTGTAACTCTAAGCATGATGGAGATGTGCACAGTTCATGTTGCCAAATGAGAGCATCTGCTCTATGAGAAGACAGGAAATTTCAGAAGGAGAGGTAGAATCACCCTGAAATGCCTTTTGCGCAGAAGGAAGAGTGTGTGCATGAGGGCAAACATCCGCCAAGCTCAGGAGCAGGTTAGGTTGCTGGATACCAAACAATCATTGTCCGTCATTGTCTAGAAGAGGTTTCAGATCAAGATACACTTGTAAATGGAGGTAGGAGGAGATTCATCTTAGTGGTGGAGAGGTAGAAAGGACAATAACTATGAACAAGGTGTTAGCAATAAAATTTATCCAGACAGAGAAAGTAATTTATTTTTAACCACTTGCACGATCTCATTCATTACTCAGTAAATACATCCTGCACAACTCTAATGTGTTAGGTACTATTCTTCTAGACACTAGGTATGCAGGTTATTTACTAGGTCATATGCTAGGTATACAGGTTAAGACAGGTTAATTCCTCCTGTTATGGAACCTGAATTTTGATAGATGATTAATAAACACATCATGGTTGTCATGTAAATTAGTACAGTCATTATGAAAAACAGTTTGGAGATTCTGTTTTAAAAATTAAAAATGGAGCTATGTTATCCAGCAATCCTACCACCAGGGATATATTCAAAGGAAATAAAATCAGTATGTCAAAAAGATATCTCTATTCCCATGTTTATTGCAGCATTATTCACAATAGCCAACAAATAGAATCAACCTTAGTGTCTCCCAATGGATAAATGGATAAAGAAAATATGGTGTGTATATACCCAGTGGAATACTGTTGAGCCTTAAAGCAGAAGAAATCCTGTCATTTGGGACAACATGGATGAACCCAGAGGACATTATGTTACATGAAATAATCCAGGCACAGAAAGACAAATACTACATGATGTCACTTCAATGAAGAATCTAAAAAAACTCAGATTCATAAGTAGAGGGTAGAATGGTAGTTACCAAGGGCCTAGGAGTTGGTGGGCAGGATTGGGGAGGTAGGTATTGCTCAAAGGACACAACATTTCAGTTAGATAAGAAGAATAAGTTGAAGAGATCTATTGTACAACTTGGTGACTATAGTTAATAACAATGTATTGAGTTACTGAAAATTGCTAGGAGTAGATTTTCAGTGTTCTCACCACAAAAATATGTGCGATAATGTATATATTAATTCAGCTATTCCACATGTATTCCACATATATATCTATTGTGTACAATGGATATACACAATTATTATTTATAAACTAAAAATTAGGGAATAAATAAATATGTCAGAGTTCTGAGTCCTATGAAGAGAATGCAAGTAGTGTATGTGAAAGATTATGAACCTTACAATGAATGGCCAGAAATGTGGGGATATCTTCCTTCTACATTAAGTGTCACTACTACCCTAATGTGCTCATTTGTTAAGAGCTCAGTTCCCATATCTTGGCAGCCACTACCAAATTCACATTCTTGGCCAGACCATTGCAGGCTTGGCTGTATAGGATAATTTATGGGGCCCAAGACTGAATTCAGTGCTGTCTATTATGTCAGTACCATAATAGCAAGTAATCCCTTCCAACTGTTGCATATGTGTTAATTGAATGCTAAAGAATGTAAGATTGTGCCAATATTACTATCTTCCTATTTGTTATACGTGTTTGGTTGACTTGAAGAAAATAAAAACAAAATGCCAACGATGTTTAGTGTTGCTAATACCTAGGTTGACTTGTGGTACATTTCCCCTTTTTTTTACACTTACTAAAATAAATTGAGACTGGCTAATAAGTAATTAAAGTGATAGTATTTTTAATATAAAATGTTTAAATATTACAGAATAAGAGAAAATTAACAAAGTAAGAGAAAATTAACCAGCAAGTTGTCTGATTTTTGTGTGTTTAAATACAAATGTAATGAATTGCATATTGTGATACTGTGATGTTATTTACATAAGGATAAATATCCTTATACTTTTCAAATTTTGAATTAGATAATACCAAATCTAACAATTTCTCATACTGATATAGGTGATTTATAATTGTTAGAATATGAATTAGAGAATCCAGTAGAACAATCCTGTTATGGTCTGAATATTTGCATCCCCCCAAAAATTCCTATGTTGAAATCCTAACCCCCAAGGAGATGGTATTAGGAGGTGATATCTTTGGGAAGTGATTAGGTCACAAGGGCAGAGCCCTCATTATTGGGATTCATGCCCTTATAAAAGAGACTCCAGAGAGCTAGCTAGTCCTTCTATCATGTGAATATAAAGTAAGAGGGTACCATCTATGATCCAGAAAGTGGGCCCTCACCAGACACCGAATCTGCCTTGATCATGGACTTTCCAGCCTCCAGAACTGTGAGAAATTTCTTTTTATAAGCCATTTAATTCATGATATATTTTTATGGCAGCCCAAATGAATTAAGACAAATTAAGACAATAGACTTATTTTTAAATTCTAAATAAGTAAATTCCTAGATTTACCAATCAGACTTATGAAGTAAAAATATTTGCTTTAAATTCTAGAGTTTTCAGCATCTTGGACCATCTGATCCACTGAATCTCCTTTTACATCTAAGGAAAATGGAGGCTTAGAGAAGTTAAGGTATTTGCTATAGGAGCTAGGGATTATCTTATGTTTAAGCATTTACAGGACATCGCGTCAACCATTTATAAGTGGAGAGGGCATTTAACATAGCAGTTATAAACATTCCTGGATTTGGAGCCTGTTTGTGTTTTTCACCTATATGTACCAGTTCTGAACTTGAGTAAGTTCCTTAATTTCTCTAAGGCTTCAGTTCCTCATCTGTACAGTCTGGAAAAATGGTCAGGCTCTCCTCCCTCAGAGTGTGGTCATAGGAATTAAGTTACATAATAACCACAAGCATGTAGCACAGTAGGGGGGCAGAGAAGAAGAAATCAGATAAAATTAGTATTGTTTAAAATAAAAATGCTTCTATTTAAAAGATCTTTCAAGGTGACATTTTTAACAATGTATATTAGAAACACCAACCTATGTATTGTAGCAGCCTTTTTCTCGAAAATTTAGGTTTTGTTAAATATCACTTACCTTTACAACAGTGTTATTAGTACTTGTACCAAATAATGTTTTCTTTCTTTTTTTTTTTCAGAGAGACAGGGTCTTGCTCTGGTGCCCAGGATAGAGTGCAATGGCTGATCATAGCTGACTATAAACTCAAACTCCTGGGCTCACTCAAACAATCCTCCTGCCTCAGCCCCCTCAGTCCCTCCAGTAGCTGGTGCTACAGGCTACGTTTTCCTTTTTTTTTTTTTTTGTTTTTTTTTTGCATTTTTTTTGGAAAGACGAGGTCTCCCTATGTTGCCCAGGCTGGTCTTGAACTCCTGGCCTCAAGTGCCTCAAGTGCCTCCTGCCTCTGCCTCCCAAAGTGCTGGGATTGTAGACATGAGCTACCACACCCAGCCTGTAAACAGCTTTTATTTGCTTTAAATTCCAGCTAATACTTAAACGACAACTTAATCATATAGCACTTGCTAGGTGCCAGGTACACACAGCAACACATTAATCCTCGCAAAAATCAGTGACATAGGTATTATCACTATCCCTATTTGACAGAAACTGAAACTACACTGAAGAGAAGTCAAGTGGAAAGTCTAAGGTCACTTGGCTGGTAAGTGGAGGAGCTGGGGTCTATATAGCTCTACCTGTGAGCACTAGAGCCACTGCGGTCACCCATTCCACTGTACTGCATACATCATGGGGGAAGAACTGTTGGAAGAAAGAATACTCTAGTAATTGCACAAGACCATATCTGATTTATCCTGGTGGGTGCTGATCCAATGGAGTGTTGGCTTCTGAGAACTCCATTTTATAGGAATACTTGTTCAGTATTAAAAACGGCTGTCATTAATTGCTTCTGTGGATCATAAACTCTACTAGGGACTTTGAAAATTCTTCCCCCCCCCCATAATAACCCCCTAAGATAGATTATGTTGGTGGTAATATATACAATGATGCCCATTTTATAGGTGATTATTGCAGGTGTTATTGAGTCTGAACGAACTCATTCTGAGTCTGAATAAAGTATATACCTTGTACCAAATCAGTTATTTGTCTAATTTTGAAGTCACTGTAATATTTAATTTTCTTTAATGAGCACTGTGTATATCTCAATTCTGTGCTGCTGAAACACTTGGTAAATGATGATTATGAGCAATAAAGTGAGTCAGCAGGGTATAACGGAGACTGTTCCCAGTATCCCAGAATAAAATCTAATTTCAGAATGATCGGTGATTATCTGTTTCACCTCTGGAAAGCAGTGACTCGGCTTTCAATGAAAAACGAAGGCAGGGTATTGGACTAGTTGATCGCTCTCCAGACTAAGGCCTTCTTTCCAGCCCGGATTGGGCGTGAGAATTGTAGCTAAGTATTCCCCTAAATAACACTAGATGGCGCGCAAGAACAAAAGAGATGGGGACATTTGTAGGATACATGTAACCTTCATTTCAATTTGTGATAGAATGTATTTTCTGAAGTGAATAATTGATTTTAGGCTACTGATACCTAACGTAAGGAATACCTGACCTTATATTTTTCCAGTGTAAAATTCTGCCTTATCTCCCACTTGGAGTCCTCCTTTGAAAAGTCTGAGCAGAATGCCAACTCTTTATGTTTGGCAGAACATTCACCAAACAGACCTCCTGGCATCATTTCTACTAAATGACTCTGGCCCTAATCATAGCAAAAATAAAGTAAATTGAGTAGTTGAAAAAGATGATAGACTCAAGGGATAGTTTTATGAGCTCTATAAAATGAATTTCTGTGCTTTTTTTGGATTAAAATTTGTTTTCAGAAACGCAGGCTTGTGACATTATACAATGCACAAAAAAAATCACCAAAAAGCAGACAGATGTATTCTCTAGAGGTCTTTGTTTTTTAGGTCATGAAGCTCCCAGACTTTGGGCTCTAATGTAATTTTTTTGTATTTTCAACTATTATTCATAACTTTTTTCACTTTTTATCACCTGTGCCTCCTTTGAGGAAGAGAGCCAAGTGAGGCAGAGTAAGAAGCAACAAACAAAAGGTAGAAAACAAAAGAAGGATATACAAGGTAGAGACAAAGAATGAAGTATTCAGATTAGATGCTCTAATATGACCCAGGTCAATACAATTTCACCGCATTTTCTGTATGTCTCTAGAGAAAAAAAAAATAATGGTGGTCAGAAGGATTAGTTGAAGTCTCATTCCTTCAAACAAAAAATTCATTTTAGGCCAGGTGCAGTGGCTCACTCCCGTAATCCCAGCACTTTTTGAGGCTGAGGCAGGAGGACTGCTTGAGCCCAGATGCTCAAGACCAGCCTGGGCAACATAGGGAGAACCCTGTCTTTACAAAAAATCAAGAAATGGCATGTACTTGTGGTCCCAACTACTCAGGAGGCTGAGATGGGAGGATCGCTTGAGACCAGGGAGGTCAAGGCTGCAGTGAGCCATGGTCATGCATTGTACTCCAGCCTGGGCAAAAGAGTGAGACCCTGTCTCTCATATACACACATACAAAAATATATATATATTTTAAAACAGCTTTTTAGGGGAGAAGAAAAATAGCATCATGAAAAGAATGCTCCATGAGTATCTCTGTGCTTCACAACAACATAAACCATTAACAGCCACTTGGAGTAAAGATGGGCCAATTGTCTTGAAGCAAGTTTGAGTGTATTTATTGAGTACTACTTTCTGATGACTAACATCACCATTGTTTATATATTATCTCATTTAATTCTCCCAACAGTTCTGTGGTGGGGGGCAGTTATCCCACTTTATGGATGAGAAAACTGAGGCTTAAGGAGGTGAAATAACAAGCCCAGGGTCTCATGAGTGTCAAGTGGAGGAGCCTGTTCTGATTCTCAAGGCCCAACTTTGAACTATGTCAGTGTGGTGTTCCCTTGAGATAAGCATTGCATTTGAAGGCTGGACCTCTGCCATATTGTGAATTAATAAGAAATATTCTTTAGGCACCCCCTCAGTGATTTCCTGTTTCTTTCTCACCCACAATCATTCTTTTATGTCGTTCCCACACCGCTCAGTGGCCCTAGAGAAACTTAGGTACTGTAGGTGACATTAAGAAAAGAAGCTATTTCACCTGTTTTTGCTATCCCTCACAGATGGCATAATGCTTGAACCCAGGTTTTAATGTTTTAATGTTACTAGCTAGATAAAGTGGACTTTTTAAGGTTTAGGGGCTGCTTTCTTGCATTTGAACACAGTTCATCTCATTCATCTCCAAAATAACTTGCCATGTAGAGATAATTAACCTAATCTTGATTGCCCGAATTTTAGCCTATATCACAAATACTGAAAATTTCAGGAAGGGAAATATGTTTCACGTAAGTCCTCAGATCATCTTTAAATGGCAGCAGGCATTTCCACCTACATGCTGGCCTTGTGTCTGAGGAAGTTATCCATAAATTACTTTTTTAAAGTAACTTAGGAGGTGAGTGGTTACAAGACTATTATGAAATATGTTATTTTGGCACAAGCTCAAATGAGGCCTTGGAGAACAGGATGTGGTTCATTCTAGGCTAAATCTGTCTCTTGATTAGCTGGGTGAAATCGGGCAAGTCTCTTAACCTCTCTAGTCTCAAAAACTGTAAAATGTGAGGGGGATCGGTCCGGATGTACTTCAACATCTTTCCAAACTCTAACCTTCTGGGATTCCTTAGGCTCCACACCTGAAGAGAGTAACTAAAAGTAGGACACATAATTTTTAATCAAAGCCAAAAATTATTTCAAGACAGTGTTGTCATAATTAATACTCAGAAGTTCTTAAAGATACTTAGATGAAAGCTCAAAAGGAAAGATGATCATGGCTTAGAAAATTCAGTGAGTAATTAATTGCAGATGACTAATATTCTTCTGCCTGTTCCCCTCTCCCTTCAGGAGCACAGGAATAAGAAAAGCAATAAAAGTGACTCAAGTTCTTCCTGGCGTACCTAAGAAAAACAGCCAAAAGACATTTCTGATGTGATTTAGCATGTCGTTTTCTATCCTTGTTAATTACCATGAAATAGAACCTGCTTAATATCTAACACTACCTCTAGCCTAATTTGTAATTCCAAATAGTGTAATAATGTCCTTTGTCAGCAGCATCAAATAACCACAAGTTTCATTTCGCACAAAAGGTGGTAGTGCTCCATTTCTCCTGCTTCTTCAGTTCTTTTTTTGCAAGATTAGAGCAGATGTTTGGTCAGTCTTGTAACCAAGTGATTGTTTTCTCTAATGGAGGTGTTGGGCAATGATAATGAAAGTTCACAGTTCAAGTGAAAGGTTAAAGTAGGGAAGCATTGTCAAAGGTGGGATCACTAGTCTCCAACGAGGGGATTAGTCTGCAAGGCATCTTAGAAGCTGGTTGTTCATCTTTCCTCCTGTTTCCCATATCAAGAAACTAAGGCCAGAGAAGTTAAGGCCCTCGCCCATGGTAGCACAATGACAGTTTAGTGGGAGAGCCAGACCTAGACTCCAGGGCTCCTGATGGTCAAGTTCAGAATCCTTCTACCATGCCGCATTGCCTGTTTTTACGGTAACTAGATGTAGAGAAGAAAAATGGAAAGCAGGTAATTTGCAAACTATGCCATCCTGCTAATAAATTCACTGATTTTTGTGTGTTTGATTTCTGCTTTTGACATGAGATTTAAAGGTCTGGTTTTGTATGTTACAGAGTATACAGCATCTAAACAATCTAATTGTTACTTTTAGGAGAAAAAGAAAAATTTGTGGAATTAGCCATATTTTCTTCACAGAAAAAGACATTTCCATTTTTGGATGAGCTCAGAATACGTGCTCTTGACATTTGTATTAAGTATACTAATAACAACTCCTAGTGATACACTGGTGTGGTGTGGGTGTTTGTGTGTAAGTGAAAGTAAAACCAAATGAATTATTAAGACAGGATGAGAAGAGCCAGGAAGCGAAACAGGCCAGATCAGTGTCTGTCAGGACTCTTGCATCAGCCAAAGGCAGCTGCATCAAGGTGTACCCGGATTCCTACCGCTGGGAGTGTTTTCATGAACCAGTTTCCCTAATAGTCTGGTATGAACCTAAAGGCCACATCAGGAGGGCTTCTCCCTAGTTATGGTCCTTTTAACTCAGAATGAATGGAAGTGGTTTTTTGCAGGGAACCCAGAAAATTGATGCTACCCTGCAGTAGCTTTAGAATAAATTTTTTTTTCTCTTGACCTTCCTGGAGAAATTTGGAGACAAACAGTTCTGGAACACAACTAAGGTGCTGGAATCCCTCCAAAGTAAACCTGATCTTCTAAAAAACTGTTAAAAATGTATTTATTTTCTAGGACTTCACTTTTTTACGCAGTGGTTCCAGATTAGTAGAGATTAATTTCATACTTTTTTTTTTTTTTTTTTTTTTTTTTACTTTGAGTAAACCTAATCTTATAAAATTACTCCTAAGGTAGCTTTTGACCAATTGAGCCAATAGCAAAAGTGGAGGCATTGGTGTGCCCCTGTCTTGAGTATATTGTACCTGCTCTCACCCAGAATCCAGGGTGAGATGTATCTGAATTGCAGTTTTATCACTTCCTATTTGTATAGAAACATGGCAAGTTAGGTAATTTCTGTGAGCCTTCATTCCCCCATATATGAGTTAATATTATTTGGTTGGTGCAAAAGTAATTGCGGTTTTTGCCATTGAAAGTAATGGCAAAAACCGCAATTACTTTTGCACCAACCTAATGGGTGAAGAACCTGATGTACGGAAGATACCATACACCTAAATGGTAGCGGCTATTCTAGCCTAACAATTCATAGAGAAGAAGGAATAGATTGAGGTGTGTAGATTTTTCTGAGTAGTACTGTTTAAAGGTTGAGATGTATTGGAAAGGAAAAAATGTTAAAAAGGGTTAAAAAAATACATATATGTTCACGTCCTAAAATCTCCAAAGAATTGTTATGACACCATAAGTAGACCTGAATTCTTTTTTGGGGACTTTTCTTTGTAGAGATGGGGTCTCATTTTGTTGTCCAGGTTGGTCTCAAACTCCTGGCCTCAAGCAATCCTCCCGCCTTGGCCTCCCAAAGTGCTGGGATTATAGGCATGAGCCACTGTGTCCAGCTTGGAGCTGGATTCTTATCACTGGTCCCAGATGTTTTGAGTTAGTAGTTTGCACTGTAGCAAAGTTGTTATTTTTCTTTTAGAATTTGTTCCCTATTGCATTTTTTCTTTTAAGTCAACTTTTAAAAGAATCAAGATGTCCTTAGAATTTGTTTTCCCTATCTACATGGAAATGCATCATTAGAACTTAATGTCAAAGTCCCCTATCCCTTGCAATTAACACAAAGCACCTTCCAATCGGATGTTCTGCATCTATTGGGAAGTCAAAGGATAATGAGTGCATTGCTCTTTCAATTAAATTATAACGTGTGATAGGCAATGCTTGAATGATGCACTGGCCCAGAGTTAAATATTGAAAATCCACCAGAAGACAAGTTGACTTAGAATTATAAATAAGTCTATGGGCTCTAGTTATAAACAGGCAATGTTAATTTTCTACTAAAATACTGCAGGTAAACGTGGACAAGAAAATGTCCTGCTAAAAGCTGAGCATGAGGTTTGAAACGACTGATCCCTTCGTTCCCTGAAGTATGGAACATAAGATTCAGAAAATTAAATGATAGAGATTGTTCACTATAGTCTTTCCTGTCTGGTATAATGGTAGGTACTCTGTCAGCAAAGATCAAAAGTAATTTTCCTGCAATATCTGGGCATTGATTCCCCGCTTTCCCCCAAAAGTTAATCTCATGGTTTCTGTTCTCACTCTTTTTATATTAAAAAAATTCAAAATGAAAATCAGCTTCCTTTTCTTATGATTATATAAAATAATGTTCATTGTAAAATATACAAACGGTGAAATGTATGAAATTAAAATTGTTCAACAATAACTACCACTGATATTTCAATAATCATCCTTTCACGGTTATCTTTATGATGTTATTTATTGTGTAATTTTTTTCTCACATTCAGTCTTTTCCCCCTCACCTTGTCTCCATAGCCACTTTCCAAACAATAGTACAAAAATAGGAAATCCATACTTACAACTTGGTGTATACCTCTTTGTGTCTTTCCCCATGCTCATATAACATATGGAAACATAAGGACATAAATGTATTTTGAGTTGTATTGTTCTATAAATAATAAAAACCATATAGTACTATAGTTTAAAACCTCTTTTGCCATCACAGTAGAATTCTAGATTTTAATTTTTTTTAATTTTTTTTAATTTTTTTTTTTTTTTTTTTGGAGATGAAGTCTCACTCTTCTCCCCCAGGCTGGAGTGTGATGGCGCGATCTTGGCTCACTGCAACCTCCGCCTCCCAGGTACAAGCAATTCTCCTGCCTCAGCCTCCCAAGTAGCTGGGATTACAGGCATGCACCACCACACCTGGCTAGTTTTTGTATTTTTAGCAGAGACAGGGTTCCACCATGTTGGCCAGGCTGGTCTCTAATTCTTGACCTCAGGTGACCCGCCCACCTCAGCCTCCCAAAGTGCTGGGATTACAGGTGTGAGCCACCATGCCCGGCCGAATTCTAGATTTTTATAAATTTCTCTCTAGTTTTTTTATAGCTGTCTAGCTCTCTCCTAATTCAACTGCAGTTTTTCTTGGCAACCTGCCTTTTGAAGGATTCATGTGGCATTCACGTTTGTTTTTATAGAAGCCATTCTTTTTGAACTCATTTCATCAGTTTGATATAAAATTTATCTGATTGGAATAATAGGTCCAACTAGCTAATAGCTTGCCAATTCTTGGTAAACAT
This sequence comes from Homo sapiens, assembly GCF_000001405.40. Lineage (NCBI taxonomy): Eukaryota > Metazoa > Chordata > Mammalia > Primates > Hominidae > Homo > Homo sapiens. The sequence continues at coordinate 129,745,657 of NC_000006.12, read as the reverse complement.
ATATAACCAGAGAAAAGCTCCCCCAACCTAGATAGAAGCCTGCAAGTTTCCAACATTCTGCTTCTGTTGTGGGTTTTACAGAGGGTTGGGAAAACTTTTATTATATACATAATTGTTTCCTGCTATTTGTACCTGGATGGTAGAGACTGCACGTGCTTTTCTGTGTCTCCTCCACTATTACTCCTGTAATATTATCCAGAGATTCTTTTATATCTGTGGTTATGTGGGAAAAAAAGGATTTGTTGAAAATGGCCAAACTTACTCTTACTAACTTTGCATATAATGTACTTTAAAGGATGTTCTGATACCTTTCTCTTCACTTATATTTTGAGGTAAGCTTATTCGATGTGTCACATATTACAGTTCTCTGAAGCCTCTTGCATGTTTCACATTGTGCTGACAAGATGTAGTTTTTCCCTTGATATATGTCTCGTTTTTGAATCAGAGTTCTTATTATCAAGTCTTAGTCTTTAGCTGTGCAAATGTGTCCCTTCTCCCACCTCCCCAAATAGCTTGGGCATTACTGCCAAATATTAGATTGGTGCAAAAGTAATTGCGGTTTTTGCCATCAAAAGTAATGAAAACCGCAATTACTTTTGCACCAACATAATAACTTCATACTCTTTATTGTATCGAGTATGCAGTCTACAAATTACAGTGAAGTAGCAGGCCCGGGGTGCCAGTGTCTGGAATTTGGTCAGCTAGAGAGCAGGTTGGTTGATATCGTAAGTCCAGCATCTCTGAAGACAAGTATAGGGAAAGTTAGCTAAGTTGTAAGGGATGGGCTGGGACCACAGCCCAAGCAGATCAAGTGTCAACTCTGGGAAAACACAAAGGGATGAGTCAGAGATTCAAGTGTAGAATTCCGTGGAGAGAGAGAGGGTCATGGGACTAGGGAGAGAAGCTGCAGAGTGGGGAGGATGGAAGCTTTGTTTGACAAAGCTATATGTCAAGGTCTAAACACTAGGCCTTAGAAGTAGATCAAGTAGCAACAAAATAATGGTATTTGATACTGGAATCATTTGGGGGGAAGTTATGTCCCCAGGATGGTGAAAGGGCATGGCAGGCCATGCAGAATTGATAACTAGCTTTTACTTTGTACTCCTCTCATAAGTTATTTAGGTTTCTACAAAATGTACCTACTTTGTCCGAACCTTTAAAGAGGTCAGAAGCAAAAAACAAGTGAGAGGTAGTGACGATGTTCATTTAGAGTCTGTACAGCTCGTCTGTTCAGTAATTGCTCAGTGAAGTGGAACAGGAAGAAGCTGATGGCCACTTGGCTGCACTCAGTCTGTGTGAACTGGTTTCTTCTATTTTATGATCCTGGATTATCTGTCTACAAGAAGTAGTGGAAAAAATAAATCCATTAACTCCATGTGGCCTATGGCAGATACTGGGGATTAAAAAGTACAGGGATTCCTAGCCTCATCTCAAGAAAAAGGTGACAGAAAATACTAACCTTATTGTTTGCCACCACATCATCAGAGTCAATGGATAATACTTTTTTCCCTTATCTTTTTCACATTTGATTAAGAAAAATAACTACAAGAGGTGCACAGAAAATTCGGGAATTTGTTTTTAGAAAGTTGTTACTGCTCTTTATCTGGTATGCTTTGACTATTTCTAGGAAAGTGTTGTTTCTGTGGTTGGGCTGGCACTTTTTTTTATATGATTAACTATTTCTTCACTGATGATTTTTTTCCTCAGAGTTACACGTTACATAATATATAAAGGAAACCTGGAAAATCTTAGTTAAAGCAATTTAAGAAGTGCTTTATTTTTGAGAATGGCAAAAATAAAAGAAGCAGAATGTGTTTGATCTGTATATCTATAAGTCACGTGAATGATGGACTGAGTTTAAATGTAGTTGCTTTTTCTGTATATATTATAAAGACTAGAGCTTTTGATTAAAGTTCCAAAATAAAGAAGCAGTTTGCCTATAAAGTCACTGCTGATTAGTCTAAATCAAAGCAGAAACATTATCCCCTTTGAAGAAAATTTATGAGTAAAGGGCTCAAGGATCTGTTATTACAACTTGTCCCTCAGATGTCAAAGTACCCTAGGAACCCCTATACCGGGATGTCTTTTGGAATAAGCTTATGAACCACATAAAAATCTCACTCATAGACAGTTCTTAGACAGTGTTAGAATGTGTTTTATTGTAAAACCAGTTAACTTCATAGTCACACGTGAGCTGTAAGCTGTCCCTTGCCATTTAAGTAGTACTAATGGGGATGTCATTTACAGTAATAGCTCTCTGTTTTCTCTAATTAAGGGGCTCTTTGTGGTTTCATTTTATAATAAAAACATGGATCTATGCTTTCATAACTTCATTTCACTTGCTTTGTTTCTACCCTTAGATTTGTTTTCAATTTCAGCTCAACACATTTAAAAATTGTCCATTCAAAGAAATTGGTTAAAAAATTGTAGGTATTGTATTAGTTTACTAAGTATGTTTCCCTCTCCCATAACAATTAGAAAATAATTCTTGTTTCTATTTGCTTTTTTATTGTGGTAAAATATACATAATATGAAACATAATTTTACCCATTTTAAAATGTATATTCAGTGATATTTAGTCCTTTTTTTTCTTTTTTTTTTTTTATTATTTTGAGACAGAGTCTCGCTCTGTTGCCCAGGCTGGAGTGCAGTGGCACAATCTCGGCTCACTGCAGCCTCTGCCTCCTGGGTTCAAGCGATTCTGCTGCCTCAGCCTCCCAAGTAGCTGGGATTACAGGCATGTGCCACCACATCTGGCTAATTTTTGTATTTTTGTAGACATGGGGTTTCACCATGTTGGCCAGGCTGATCTTGAACTCCTGACTTCAGGTGATCCACCCGCCTTGGCTCCCTAGAGTGCTGGGATTACAGGTGTGAGCTACCACACCCAGCCTTTTTAATTTTTTTACAGGATAACCCATTACTGACAGATGTTTTTTCACTGGATAATAAATGGAGAGATCTGAGGTTACTCAGAAATACACTTTTAATAAGACTTTGAACACCATATGTTAGTTGATGAAATAAGAATATAGCAAGGCACCTTAATCTGCTATTTCATTTTGCTTTCCCTCCCTGAAAAGAGCTCGTATCATAATTTACTGTTCATTGATTCATTAATTTAACAATATTTAAGACTCTCTTATCTGACAGTCTACCTTAGTAAAAAAAGGAAAACGACCTACCATCTAGGGATCTTACCTTTAGACTTGTGTGTAGGGTGTTACACAAGAAGACAATCAATTATAATATATTGTGGAAATGTCTAGAAGGGTGAAAACTGGAATGTAAAATGGAAGTCTAGAAAACTGGAATGTAAAATGTCTAAGCCTCTCTAGCAGAGACGAGCAAGTTTTACCAGAACTTGGTGAAGAGTGAGAAGGCATTTACCAGCTGGGAGGCCTAAGTGGGAGCAGACTAGTCACACTGAGCAAATAGCACGTCCCAAGGGGTAGCATTTGGAGCCACCAGGGTGTCAATGGTGAGTGGCAGTGGGTTTTCAGTGGTGGTGCTCTGGTGTGTGTGTGTAGAAGAAGATGGCGGGCAGGCTAGAGGGCAGCTGGGAACTTCAGGATGGACCTGGTGCCCCTGATACACTGATGTTTCCGAAGCGTATCCTTTGAGATGTTCCCAGTTGTCACTTAAGATGGGAGTAGGAGGAGAGAGAGCAGTTTGGACAGCCAAATAAGTTTGAGGGAATGTTCAATAAAAACAAGCTTTCTTTCTGGCTGTAGGACTTCTGAGAGCATCACTTTACTATGTGTATTCCCGATTTTCCTAGGGTGAGAAAACACATGAACTGTTTCCTAAATGCACTGACCGCAGAACAATTAACCACTCCTTCCACCCTCATTGGAAGTGTTGCTGCAAGCCTTGGCGACCCATTAAAACATTTTACTCTTAAGACTCTGGATCTACTTTCACCCCATCCTCTCTATAAGGTTATGAATGTTTTTAATGTGTTAAACATTTCCAAAAATCCTGATGATATCCAGTGACTGAAGTCAAGGATTCTTAAGCCTATATAGTCTCCTCAGACTTAGTTTCAATCACATTAAAATATGTACTAAATGTACAAATGTCACATAGATCCATACTCCCTTTATTGTGAAATGCTGTAAATAAAACATATCCTAGCTGTTTCTTGTTTTAAGTTTGTTTTTTTAATGGCTGATGAATCAATTAGAATGGATTTTTTTTTAATTTAAAAAAGAGATAGGGTCTCACTACATTGCCCAGGCTGGTCTCAAAGTCCTGAGCTTAAGCAGTCCTCCTACCTTGGCCTTCCAAATTGCTGGGATTACAGGCGAAGAATGGAATATTTTCAATGTTGAAAGGATCTTGAAATTTATAGTTAAAAACCTTTGTTACTATTGGACATAGTCCAATAGTAGAACAAATAATTTATTTAGACAATATAAAAACATATCCTCTGTGGTGGGATTATGGAGAATTAATTTTCTTCATGCTTATTTGGATTTCCTATATATATTTTTTACAATGAATACTTAACTGCTTGTGTATTATAAAAATGTATTAATAAAGACATTAAACTGTAATAAAAATGGGAAACCAGCATGAAGGAATGCTTCTGGAAGGTTGCAATTCAAATTATGTTACTAGGCATATATTTTGCTCTGGTCAAAAGAAGTTTACAATCACAATATACTATTATTTTTTTCTCTTTCATATCCCAGTGTTTTGTTTAGTGCTATATCTTCAGTTCTTAGAATAATGCCTAGTAGTAGACTTTCTTCTATATGCTGCAGCTTTTTATCTTTTTGTTCATCTCTTTTTGAGACAGGGTCTCACTCTGTTGCCCAGACTAGAGTACAGTGGCATAATCTCTGCTCACTGCCACCCTGACCTCCTGCGATCAAGCAATCGTCCCAAGTAGCTGGGACCATAGGCGTGTGTTACCACACTTGGCTAATTTTTTATTTTTTATTTTTGTAGAGACAAGGTCTCCCTATGTTGCCCAGGCTGGTCTTGTAACTCGTGGGCTCAAGTGATCTTTCTGCGTCAGCCTCCCAAAGTGCTGGGATTATAGGCATGAGCCACTGTGGCTGGCCAGCATATTTTCTTTAGTGTTTAACTTTATTAAGGCATAATTTATCTACAGTAAAATGTAGACATCAGTGAATGTGCACAAATGTGTACACCTGTGTAACCACCAACCTAGATCAAGAAAAAGCACATGTCCATCATCCTAGACAGTTCTCCTGTGCCCTTTTCAGCCAAGTCCTGCTCCCATATCCTCCTATCCTGATTTCTATCACCATAGATTATTTTAGTCTGCTATTGAACTTCATTTAAAATGAAATACATGTGTGCTTTTGTGTCTGGCTTTTAAGTATGTATATCTGTTTTGTTTCTTATTGTGATGTTTTTGAGGTTCACCTGTATTGTTTCTTGTATCAAGCTAATTTTTTTATTGCTGATTGTATGAAAATACCACAGTTTGTCAGTTTTTCTATAAATGGGCATTTGGCAGCTTTCCAGAATTGAGTTAACATAAATAAAATCGAGATCTTATCTAGATTTAGATTTTTCTAAAGAAAAGAGATTAAAACAATAAAAATGAAATGTCAATTTTTTATTCACTCAATTGATCTCTAAAGGATGAACACAATTAAAAGGTAAGAGTTTTTAGATACAAAATTACATAATTTCAACAAATGTTTATGGAACATCTATTGCATTCATACTCATGAAATAGTTGAGTAAAGCTCTAAACAAATTTGTTATCTAATAATGTCGATATGGCTGGTATACAATATAATGCAAAACACAATACAATAAATGCAATAAGAGGAATATAAGAGGAATAGATTACTATTTGTATTTGGAGAAGGTAACAATCCTATTCCTTAAGAAAATGATTGTATCATTAACTAAAATAGCAGAGTTGGTAGAAAACAACACTTAAATAGGAGAAAGACTAGGAATTTATTTTTATTATAAACTAAAGAATAATAAATGGCAAGAATGAGGAAGGGGGAAGAAAATACTGAATGAGAATGGAATAAACAGGAGCTAGCAAACTAGAGGTGAGAACACCATTAGAGAACTTTATAAAAGGTTGATTTGGCCAAATACAGTAGCTCATGCCTATTATCCCAACACTTTGGGAGGCTGAGGCAGGAGGATCGCTTGAGCCCAGGAGTTTGAAACCAGCCTGGGCAACATAGGGACTCTCTGTCTTTACTTGGGAGGCTGAGGTGGGAGGATCCCTTGAGCCCAGGAGGTCAAGGCTGCAGTGAGCTGTGATTATGTTCCTGTCCATCAGCCTGGGCAACAGAGCAAGACCCTGTCTCAGAAAGAAAAAAAAAATTAAAACCTAAACTTAAAAAACCTAAAAGGTTTATCTCTGATTTGACAACCTGAAGCAGAAGTTGTTAGTCTATTGTCCATGAACATGAACCTCTTAACAGATAAAACTGAGGGTGCCTGTGAACATGGACAGAAACAAAATTGCATATTTATTTTCACTGTCTCAAATTGAATATTTCTTTAAGAATATAGGCTGTAAAGGCCAGGCACGATGGGTCACGCCTGTATTCCTGGCACTTTCAGAGTCTGAAGCAGGTAGATTGCTTTATCCCAGGAGTTGAAGACCAGCCTGGGCAACATGGCAAAACCTCGTCTTTACGAAAAATACGAAAATTAGTTATGATAGCATGTGCCTATAGTTCCTGCTACTCAGGAGGTTGAGGTGGGAGGATCAATCAAGCTGAGGAGGTGGAGGCTGCAGTGAGTTGTTGATCATGCCACTGCACTTCAGGCTGGCCTAGAGAGTGAGACCCTGTCCAAAAAAAAAGAAAAAAAGAATGTAGGCCATAAACCATAGTAGTATTAGCAGAAATCTGTTACTTTGTCACCAGTGGAGATCACAGATATTTTCATATCACAGAGCAGTTGTTGCAAATATCTTAAAGCTATTTGTGCTTATAACTAATTTGAAATTATAGAGGTCATGAGAACTACCATTTGATCTTGTTATTGAATGTAACAGTAAAGAAACTCATGTGTTACAATATCACAATTATTTTTAACATATTGATAACAGATGAAGTTAACTCCTTTGAAATGGTTATCTTGATTATTTTATGCATTTAAAAACTTAGTGTCTACCAATTTCCCCAGACTGACAAAGGGGGTTCAGGGTATAAAGTTTGAGAATCCTTGACCCAGAAACATTTGTGGGGATCCAGAGGCCATGATACCTTCAGAGTCTGAGTCACTGTATCTAAATTACACTCATGGAAGGCTGAAGTAAAGACCAGAATGTCAGTTCATTAATTTGCAATAAGAAATAACTGCCACATAAAATTTATGGAACTACAAGGAGAAATAAATCTTTAACCATAGTGAGGGATTTTTAACGTACTACTCTGAGGAACTAATAGAATAAGCAAGGTAAAGCAAACCCCCAAAGATGTGGAAAATTTGAACAGCATGATTAGTTTGATTTGAACATCACTTAGCAAATGTGACTTGATGAGCACATAGAACTTGACAACTGAGCATATACCTTCTTTTCAGCATATGTAAAACATTTATTAAAATAGGCTATATACTGGGTCAAAAAAAGTCTGAACAAACTTCAAAGGATTGAAATCCTACAGAATATCTTGGAGATCAAATTTCAAATAAGCTACAAATCAATAAATGGAGACTTAGAGAAAACCCACATGATTGGAAATAAAGACATAACTGGCATCCAGTAGCCTTTGAATCGAATCTAGAATTATAAAATATTTTGATATTTTCAGCACATAATATTGATTAATATTTGTAAGATGAATTAGCCAAGCCTAAGCCCCGTTTAGAAGGAAATGTATGACTGTATGTTAGAAGAAAGTCTAAATATCAGTGAGCTGAGCATATGATAGGAGAAAGTAAAAAGACCAGCAAATTTAGTTAAAAATAGAGGGGAAAAAAGAAATGACATGAAAAAATATAATAAAGGACAATCATATATTCTAAAAGCAAATTCTTTAAAAGAACAAATAACCTTTTGGTGAAACTAAGATTAAGAAAAAGGGAAGTCACAAATACTAATCTCAAAGAAGAAAACATGACATCCCTATAAATCTTAGACATTAGGTAAGGGGATATCATGAAAACTTCATACTGATATGTTTGAAAATTTAGTTGAAATTAATGAATTCCTAGTAAATATAAACTAACAAAACTGATGTAAGAAAAAATAGAACGCTGGAATCATCCCGTAACTATTAAATAAGTTGAGTTCATAATTAAAACCTTTACTTAGGAACACCCTTGGCCCAAATGCCCGCATTGATGAATTCTACAAAACACTAAAAAATGAGTGTTTTTCAAACTCTTTGAAATAGTAGAAAAAGAGGGAATGCTCAGCATTTTTAAAGGAAACCAGAATAATCTTGATATCAAACACTGAGAAGGTTATTACAAGAAATTGAGAATTCCTTACTTTTTTGGTAGAATTGCCACTTAAGCACATGTCATAGTTTTCTCTTGCAGCTATGACAAATCACAACAAACTTTATGACTTAAAACAATATGAATGTATTATCTTACAATTCTATAAGTTAGAAATCCATGCAAGTCTCACTAGGCTAAAATCAATGTGTCAGGAGGGCTGCATTTTTTTCTGGAAGCTCTAGGGGAGAATTCTTGCCCTTTCTAGCTTCTGGAAGCTGCCAGCATTCATTAGCTGTGAAAACTCTTCCTCTATCTAAAAAGCCAACAGCAGCCTAGTCCTTATTACATTGCATCGTTCTGGCCTCCTCTTCTTCCTCCTTCCACTTTTCAAGGCTCTTCTGATTACCTTGGACCACTTGGCTAATCTGGGGCACTCCAGATTTCATGGTCAGCTAATTGGCAACCTTAACATCCCTTTGTTGTAGAATATAATGTATTCACAGGTTCTAAGGATTAGGATCTGGACATTTTTTGAGGGGGGGTGAGCACTGTTCTTTGTATCACAGCATACATTCCTCTCTTATTTATGAAGCTAGATGCAAAAGTCACTAACAAAATACATTCCAACTCTGGTAACATATGAAAAAATAATATGTAACAACCAAATTGGGCTTAATCTAGAAATATAACATTGGTTTAACATTAAAAAAATATAACTTAGCACATTAACAGAACAAATGAAAAAACTTGATTGTCTAAATAGATGCATGTAGTGTTTGATAAAATTAACTCTATTTGTGATTTTAAGTTTTTCCACCCAACAGGTTGAATCCGTATTAGTCAGGGTTCTCTAGAGGAACAGAACTAATAGAATATATACATATATACAATCAAATTGACACTCAGTATTAACCATTGCATTGGCTAAAATTCAAAAGACTGACAATGCCAAGTGTTGACAGTGGTATGGAAGAGCAGGACCTCTCCTGTGCTGCTGAGATAATATATAGGTCCAATCCCTTTGGAGAACTGTTTGGCATTATCTGCTAAAGTTGCAGATATGCAGACCTTATGACATGGCAGTTCAACTCCTGCGTATGTACTCAGTTGAAATGTGTTCACAAGTGAACCAAGAGACATACAAGAGTATTCATAGCACATTATCTGTATGGATAAAAACTGCAGGGCTGGGCATGGTGGCTCATACCTGTAATCCCAGCACTTTGGGAGGTCATGGTGGGTGAATCTCCTCAGGTCAGGAATTTGAGACCAGCCTGGACAACATGGTGAAACCCCGTCTCTACTAAAAATACAAAAATTAGCTGGGCATGGTGGTGGGTGCCTATAATCCCAGATACTCAGGAGGCTGAGGCAAGAGAATCATTTGAACTCAGGAGGCAGAGGTTGCAGTGAGCTGAGATCACACCTTTGCACTCCAGCCTGGGCAACAAGAGTGAAACTCCGTCGCAAAAAAAAAAAGTAATAATAATAAACAACAAACCACAAACAGCCCTAGCTTCTGCAGTAGAGTAGATAAATTGTGTTCTATCCGTAGAGCACTATGAAGCAATGAGAATGAATAAACTCCAGTTATCTGAATAGTCTGAACAGTATGGATGGATCTTATGAGCGTAATTAGAAGCAAAAGAAAGCCAGGCAGTAGAGAATACATATTGTATCTTTACATTTACAGAAAACTTAACAGATAAAACATGAGTTTCAGTTTTACGGGTGTGTGCGTAGGTGGCAACTCTACAAAAAAAAAAGGCAAAGAATTGGTTAGCATGTTAAGTTCAGATAGTAGGGGTAGACATAGAAAAGCAAGTGGAGTGGGCATGCAAGGTTTCTGGGCCTGAGTATCTTATTTCTTAATTCGGGACGTGTTTACTTGAATTTGCATTGTGATAAATCACAGAGCTGTATTTCTGTTTCGTACATGTTTCTTGTATTATATTTGACTTGTCAAGGACAGGAGTATTCGGGTGGGCATGGCCAATTCATCCTCTGTCAAGTAAGTTAGAAGCCATTTTATTGATACATTATCAGGGACCAGTGACACAGAAAGGTGAAATTCCTTTTTTTTTTTTTTTTTTTTTTGAAATGGAGTCGCGCTTTGTCGCCCAGGCTGCAGTGCAATGGTGTGATCTCGGCTCACTGCAATCTCCACCTCCTGGGCTCCAGCAATTCTCCTGCCTCAGCCTCCCGAGTAGCTGGGATTACAGGCGTGCACCACCACGCCCAGCTAATTTTTGTATTTTTAATACAGACGGGGTTTCGCCATGTTGGCCAGGCTGGTCTTGAACTCCTGACCTCAGGTGATCTGTCTGCCTCGGCCTCCCAAAGTGCTGGGATTATAGGCGTGAGCCACTGCGCCTGGCCTGAAATTCTTGAGTTTGGCTGGTTTGCATAGTACTATGTCTACTTTTGGGCAGAACATGCGAAGCCATGTTATGAGAAAAAAACAAGTTTGTAAGCAAAAACAAGGGTTGCCAGATAGAATAGACTTGGGATATTTCTCTCAATAATGAGGTCTAGTCAGTGTCCATGTCAAGCTGGTAAGGTCCTTGGCCTCTCATTTGGAGAGATGCCGCCATTTCCCATGCATGTATCTGCTTTTCCTGTCTTGGCTATGCTTCTTTTCAGATCCACATGATCTTTCATTGGATATGTTAACCCAGTGGGATTATAAACCAGTCCTACTGGCATGGTCCTGCTGGCTTGATAGTTGGTCTGCTCTTCAGGTTACATTGGATGAGATACTGAGGACTGCTCATTGCTGACATTTCATAAAGTTCTTTTAGGGACACCTTTCTGTAATTTCCACAGGCTGGCAAGATGTGCATTCAGAGTTGAGATGTTGAAGGGATGCCCAGCAGAGATATCCAGCAGGTAGCCAGAAATGCAAGACCTAGCATTAAATGGAGAGAAATTGAGAACAGAAATCAAGACTGCAAATCATCCCCATAGAAGTAATAAGTTAATTTTTAGAGTAGAATGGCTAGACGATATGGATTTTCTCTCAATATCTTAAATTTTATTTACCGTAGCCTTAGTTTGAAAGAAAAATAATTAAATTCATCTAAAACATTTATATTTTAGAATGGATTATTCTGACAAATATGTCAACATGTTTTTTTGGTAGATTATAGATGTTTTAAAACACTTTTCATTAGCACTGCAAAATTACATTTTAACTGCCTCAAATTACTAAAATCATTTTAGCATTTAAGATATTCAGAATTTAATTTTTTTGAAAGTCACTGCCTCAAAGATAGGAAAATAATTAGAAGGTGCACAGAATATAATTTTAGAATTTTATTTTGTAAAATTTGAATTCAGGGTAAATTTTTGGTTCTACTATACCATTATTAGGAAATATATGAAAATACCGCTAAAATGTAAATGTATTTAACATTGAAAGAGTTTGGGACTTATATTTTTATTGATTCTCTTATTCTGTATGTTTCTCTGTTCCATTTTATTCTATAGAAGTGCCAGAAAAATCCATGTGTTATAGACAATCAGTTTCTGTATAAGCCCATTTCTTCTGATTCTGCCATCTGGAGCAACAAAATTCATTCATTTCCTATTCAATACATTTTCAAATATTTGGAGTTATAGAATCTAAGTAATAAAAATCTTTAATGATCATCCAAACTGCTGCTTTGTAGATGAGGGGACAGCAATGTATTGAGATGATAATTTACCTAAAGTCATATTCCCAGGTGGTGGCAGCAGTGGTACTAGAACCTGTCTATCAACACGGTCTCTACAATACAGGCTGGGCAATTGTTTCTTACATTGCAGCCATACAGCAGATTGAATGAGATGCTAGGCTTTTACATAAGGCAGACCTGCCGGTAGGTTTTACCTTCCCCATTTGTGAACTCATGATCTTGGATGAGAGTGAGTATTTCTAATCCTCAGTTCTTCATCTGTAAATTGCAATAATACTTACCTTATGTGGTTGTTGTAAGGATTAAATGAGATAATACATGTAAATTGCATAGCACCATGTCTGGTATATAAAACACATTCAGTAAATGTTTGCTATTATTATTTCCGAATGGTTTTTTCCTTCTCAAAGGCAAGCATTCCTGTTTCTTTCCACTTTTTCTCATATATATTTTGAGAATTTCATACCATTCTGATTATCCTCTCTAGATACATATTTTTCTTGAAATGTTACACTAAAGCTCAAATTCAGTTTATTTAGCTCAGGGGCAGAGCAGGATATAAGTATCTTCAAGCTATTGGCAATGATTATAAAGTATTTTATAACAATGAATATTATAATTATTATAAAATTCTCTGTGGAATCTCCTACATTTTCCATCCTACTTTTTTCCTTTCTCTACTTGCATTTTTTCCCCTTCCTCCAATAGCCCTCATAAAGGAAAACACGTACACATTATATGGTGGAAAAAAATTTTTAAACTATAGTGCAATACAAGCTTTAGTGTCCTATGAAATTGAATACATGTAATCAAGGTAGAAACACTCATCAAATTCCTTTAGGTCTACTCACTGGTGATCATCAGTTTGTGATTTTCTGTCCTTAATTCTGGACCGGTTAAATTCCTGATCTATCTCATTAAACACTGCCTTCGGTGTCAATATTTTGATTGGTGGTAAATGCTAGTTATAACTATATTCCCCAATTATCGTGGTCTTAGACAAAGTGAAAAATGATTGTTAAATGATAATTATTCCTCCTAAAACTTCCAAGTAAAATTTCATCTGAGGATATGATTTTGTGTGGGTGTTACTTTCAGAGTAGTGGTGTTTGGAGTGGATTGTAATTTTATTCTCTTTCCAATTGACGCTAGAACATAAAGCTGACATTTGAATTTGCCCCAGAAGTTGATGATCATTCTAATTTGATAAACCATATAAATGGAAGTTCACATGCTTCCTCCAAGTACAGGGGTTATCTGTGATGTCTAATTAATCACTTCTCACTAACAGAATTGTTTCTTCGTGCCAGGCCTCTCTGTGGAGTAGAGCTGGCCTCCAAGATAACAGAGGGTTCTCAGCCTGATGGGCTGGGTCTGGAGGTAACTCCCAACCTCCAGCAGCCTTGCTGGAATAAGCACATTCCACCATCATTACTACTGCAGATTCTGTTCCCAACAACCTGACCCTGAACTTCCTTAGCATGTCCTTAGCATGTGTATGTTCTTTCTGCTTGTTGTGTCATTATTCTTATTTTCAGAAGCAACATGATAGTAATAATAGATAACTGGACTGACAAATCGTTGGAGAATTAGTTCCACTTGTGGCCTTGCTGGCTTCTAAACTGTACAACATATGATAAATCACTTGATCTTTCTGTTCCTAGTCTTCCTCTGCGAAACCAAGGCGATCATGATTCTCTGAGAGGCCACGTAAACTATTTTTTAAAGATATGAATTGTGAAACAAAGTGCCTCAAAGTGCCTAGATTTGAACACTGGTTCCATAGCTTAAGAGATCTGTGTGATCTCAGGCAAGTTGCTTACCCTCCTATCTATGGAAGAGAGATTAAAGATACCAGTTATCTCTTACCATTGTGTGAAGATTAAGTTAATATATTAAAGTGCTTAGAACAGTGTCCGGCACAAAGTTATCACTCAAACACTAGCCGTTGTTTTTTCAGTGGTAAAGGCTCTCAAAGACAAAAGGAGATGGTAGATAAGAGTGAGAGAGGGGCTCTGAGCACCTCTAGCACGAAAGCCTTCCTTTATATTTGCCTGGCCAACAAGATGGTGAGCTCTTGGTGGCCAGGCGCTGGGCCATGTGTGTGCTACACAGCACCAGTACCCAGGGACCCCCAGGAGATGGGTGAGCAGATGAGTCTTTCCTAAATGGACCAAAGAAAAATACCCAACACTCCTTATTTTCTTTTTTTTGTTTTTGTTTTTGCTAAAGGACTGAAGGTTTGTAATTATTCAAGTCTTTTTTCTCATCCCCTTATGTTGCTTCTGTTGATGACTTTCACAGTCTTCTCGTTCTACCTTTGACTAATTGTTGCTGGCTCTCCCTGCTAATGTTTTGAGGTATTTATCTGGCCTGCCTCTGCTTCCCTGTGAAATATCAGGAAGGCTTTGTGACTCTACAGTGAATTATAGCTCTGCTTCTTAGCCTCAGCTCACCAATATTTTCTGGATAGCATGAGATTACTAGGGCATCCCATGGTAGGGTGGAATCATGGAATCATGGAATGAGGATATGCTGATGATGAAGAAAAGTTGTCTAGGTGAGACCTAGTTTCGGATTGTTGCTGCTTTTTGTTTGTGTGATGTGAAGGCAGTTGCTTGTTTTTCCTTCTTCAAAATGGTGGTATGTCACATGGTTTGGAACTGATTAAATGTAATAATATAGTAATCTGAAGCACCTAGCATAGCACCTGACATACAATAGACACATTAAATATTAGTTCCCTTCCTTTTAGAAGACAACCTGGTAGAAGTGAGCGCTGGCTTTGCTAATGATATGAATTTCATTTGTTTGCATTTATCCTTCTGAGTTACCAAGCAGTTTTTGCTGCGGAAGGAAGGTTGTGTCTTTTAGCCAGCAGGTGGCAATCAAATTAAAGCTAAAAGTTCACCTCATTATAACAGGTAAAAACGTTGCCTTTTTTCATATTAATACTTGATGGAAGTGGCAGGTGAATGACAGACATTTGGCACTGAAGTGGAGTCACCCCTGACGAAGGCATTTTTAACACGAGGCCCTAGATACGGAAGATTAGTTTTCCTAAAGCTGCTTTTGATTTCAGTACCTGCGTATCATTGTCATACACCTTCTTAGAGGTTTGTCAGAGGAATCATCTAGATTTATGCAACACTGTGTTTAAAATAATGAATCTATTCACTTGATTTGGCAGTTTAAAAAAGCAGAGTAAAAAGTGAAGTCATCAGTTGATAAAATAGAATTGTTAGAATAATACTATTTCATATTCGGTCTGGTTTTACGTGAATTTTTGTTGTTGTCTCACTGAATTTGTGTGTGATTTTTAAACAAAGAACACCCTTTGACTGAAAGGTATAAGCAGGGAAGAACTCTGTAAACTCCATTTTTGAGTCTTAAGGTTTTTTGTTTGTTTGTTTTTGAGATGGAGTCTTGCTCTGTCACCAGGCTGGAGTGCAGTGGCGCAATCTCGGCTCACTGCAACCTCCGCCTCCTGTGTTTAAGCGATTCTCCTGCCTGAGCCTTTCAAGTAGCTGGGATTACAAGCACGCACCACCAGGCCCAGCTAATTTTTGTATTTTTAGTAGAGACGGGGTTTCACCATGTTAGTCAGGATGGTCTCGATCGATCTCTTGACCTCGTGATCCGCCTGACTCGGCCTCCCAAAGTGTTGGGATTACAGGCGTGAGCCACTGCGCCCGGCCAGTTTTTAATCTATAAAGTGAGGATAATGTCATTTTCCTCTCTTTTTGCAAGGATTAAAATAGATGATAAATGAAAAGCACTTAGTATGGTGCGTGGCACACAGTAAGCAATCATAATAAATGATACCATTTGGATAACTTATATTATTATCAAAGAATCACTGAAGATGGAAGGGAGCTGAGAGCTCATATGGTCTAATCAGCCCTTTCATTGTTTAGGACATGGAGACAGAGAAAAGTTAACTTGCACAGAGCTAATTAGTATCCATATCAGTTCTGGAACCCAAAATTCCTGAAGCTGCTGGTCTTTTTCACACTGCTACCCCTGAATTATTAGTTCTGGCTGGAGGTGGATGGTATGAAGGCATGGCTGTCAGGGACTAGAGTGACCCTCTTTTTATGGACGGTAGGCAAGGCAGTGGGAAGACCACGTACTATGATGACTGCATTTAGATGAGGTGTCGTGACTGATCCGCTGTCACATGATATATGCTGCTGACATCCTTTGAGATAAAGTCAACTCTAAACAGTAAAGATAAACTCCTAATACTAGCTTCCTTTTCCAAAGCCAAGTCTCTACTAGGCTGCCTCTGTCTTAACGGGAAGACCATACACATTAGCCGTTGTACTTCATGAAGTTCAGCATCATGTGATGATCAGGAATGACTAATCATCAGCACCACTGTGCGATTTTCAGGGTAAAAAAAAGTTACTAGCATTCACTTGCTAAAGCTGCTACCCTGTAGCTTTCTTTCTTTCTTTTTTTTTTTTTTTTTTTTTTTGAGATGGAGTCTCGCTCTGTCGCCCAGGCTGGAGTGCAGTGGTGCGATCTCGGCTCACTGCAAGCTCTGCCTCCCGGGTTCACGCCGTTCTCCTGCCTCAGCCTCCTAAGTAGCTGGGACTACAGGCGCCCGCCACCATGTCTGGCTAATTTTTTTTGTATTTTTAGTAGAGACGAGATTTCACCATGTTAGCCAGGATGGTCTCCATCTCCTCACCTCGTGATCTGCCCGCCTCGGCCTCCCAAAGTGCTGGGATTACAGGCGTGAGCCGCTGTGCCTAGCCCCCTGTAGCTTTCTCAATGATTTGCAATTTCCTATAGAAGGCCGCTCAAGGAGTAGGAGGCCAGGGGAGCAAACATTTTTCCCCCATTTGTTTTGCTGCTTAGTACTCTTGACTGTCCAGTATCTCCAGAGGTCAGGAGTTTTGGGACACTGTTCTTTGAATCAGTTGGCGACTGTCATCATCATACCTATATGACCTGCCCATGTACAAAGTGTGGTCCATCACACTGCCAGTGAAATTTGCGCCATAGATATATACCATAGACCCATCATGTGGGAGCTTAAAGGTGTGCGGGGGTCCCCAGGAGCAGCACAACCCCTCATTTTACAAATCAGAAAATTCAGCGCGATGTCACTGGCCCATCACATCTTGAAGGACCACAGTGGTTTTTGCCTTTCTTTTTTTATGCCAGTAGTTACACCTGGTAAAGATAATACTTCGGTTGTCCCAGTTCTAGTTGAAAATGTTCAACACCCAACAGAAACATAGTTGGTGGTAGTTCAAAGCTACAAGCAAAAGGCTTATGTTCTCCATGCACGTGTGTATATTCTGGGACAAATTAGTCCCTTCCTTTCTGGGATTTCTTTTCCCATTTCAGGGATCTCCTTGACTCGCGTCTTTGTTACATTGATAAGGGCTTGAATTTACCACATTTCCTGGGACCAGTACCTTGGGGGAGCGATTAAAATAAAATCTGAGGCCCAAGGGGATATTTCAAGTATAAGGAGAAGAGAGATTTGGGTGGGTGGCATATAATTGCCTTCTCAGAGATGCTCAACTCATACCAAATAGATGGCTGCTCTGACCCCTAGAAACCTGAAGAAAAGATCCTGATTACAGGTCTGTTTCTAGACCAGATACATGCAGCAAGAATGTACAAGGGATGTTTCCGGCCCTGGAATAATTTCAAGGAGCTAAGTTAATAATGTCTCCAGTGTCTAGGATTTATAAAGCAAAGATCTTCTAAAATTAGATACTTGTAATTTATAATTAGGCTAAATTATGGTTGTTGATTAGTGATTAAAGTAGTGGTTTAATGCTGTGCTGTAGAGAATCAAGGACTTCATATTCTTCTCTTGGTGCAATTTTATCATGTATTCTGAAGCTCAATAAGATAAAGACAGGTTGTGACTATTGAGAAATCAGTCATTGCTAATCTGACAGTGGTTCTGGTTTCTTTAGGAGAGGGGAGGTAAAAGCATAGAGTGAAAATGATTATTTTTCCTTGCAATTTCAGAATTTATAGTTGATGTTACTTTTCCTTCACAGGTGATATAGGGTTGTATTAATAACTGATTCAGTGCAACAGCTTATTCTTACCACAGACTTCCAGCATTTATTAACCAGATAACTATTCTAGCAAGGATTTAAAGCTACCTTATTTCTTGATTTTGCTGTTCTCAGGATTGACACTGACCCATCCACCTCCTTTGTGGGGATGCAGAGCTCTCGAGGCATTTACTCGTGTCCTTGGGCAGATCAGTGGCTTTTACTTTGGCACTTCGGCATATTTGCTCAACAAATGCTAATGAATGACTGTGTGCCAGATGGCATATTGAGAGTAGGGAAATGGATGGAACTTCCTGCCCTCAGGAAACAGAATCCTATGGAGTCTGTGTGCATATGTGTATGTGTGTGCACAGCAGAGGAAAGGGGGTTATCGGAAGTATAAATAACTTCAGTATAGCACAATAGTAGAATAAAGAGTGAGACACATTCCATGTCAACATGTTATAGGTGTCATACCTTGAAGTGTTTTTCATACTTCAGGTAATTGGGCCTTTCTAGAGAGTGTCTAAGGGAGATCTAAATTAATAACCAGTTCTTTCCCATGAGAAATGAAGGCTGTCACTTTTTTAAAATGTTAGGCTATTGTATGTGTTTTAGCAGTGCATGTTTAACTAAAAATAGCTAAAAGAACAGCCTCATACCCCTCTTATGGTGAGACAGAGTACAGAGAGTACTCTGAAAGTAAGCAAGCTGGCAAGTGCTTTGCTACTTAGTGGACTCCAGTCCAGGGGGATTTAGTTATTGGGACCAAATGTTATTTCAACTTAAGAGTGGGTCACCTTTGGAACAATCCTTTGTTATGGACCTGGAATTCATTATAATGAATTCCAATGAATCTATGGACACTTATATGAATACAATATAGATCCATGATATTTCCTTGGTCAAACGTAAACAAACAAAGGTGTCTTGTTTGTTAGTTGAAAGACTAGCATTTGAAATACTGTAGCTCTAGCTGCTAAGTTGTTCTCTAAGGTTTCATTAATGACAACCAACACAACACAAATCTGCCTGAGCCTGGAACGTCTAACTATACCATAATACCCCTTTTTGAACAGATGTCATGAGCAGCATGTTTTAGTAAAAAGTCAGATGATTGATTTAGAGTCAAGAGACCTGGGTTCAAATCTAAGCACTGTTGGCTTTATCTCTGGCAAATTGTTTAATCTCTCTGACTAATCTTTCAGTTTCCTCATTTGTCAAACAGAGGCAATGGGGTAGAAACTATTTCAGAAAACAGAAATGAAAAATAGTACAGAATAGCATATAATTGACATTTTAATAAATGCATATTGTTTTCAGCTCAAGGATTTAAAAATCTGAGCCCACTAGCTTTTTGCAAGTTCATTATTCCATCTTATTCATCAATATATTACCATCACTGTGAGTATCACAGTGCCTTTCACTAGTAGGTACATGCCAAAAGTATTTGCTGAATGAATAAACTGCGTAGACAAGGAACACATTCTCATAGAACAATAAACAAATGAATTGGCAATATTTATGCCATGGGTGATATTTTAGAGCTAATTTGGCAACCCTCATGTTAATCCAGGAAATAGAGAGTTAAGAGACAATCCACAACTATCAAAAGATAGTTAGGGATTTTCTTCTTTTATTAATTAACTTGAAGTGTGCTGAATCAATTAACGTGACAAGTAAGTGGCTTTGATATTCGGAAATGAATGACTGTGTTTCTAACACATGTCTTTCAGGCTACAATAAATTCATTGATTGGTGCAAAACAGAAACTTAAAGGATGTAAACTGAGTCATTGCCAAGTGATCCAGGGCATAGCAGGTGGTCTCTGGGGTTTGTTTAGGTCTTCAGGTGTACTCCTAGAAGACAGAAACTCATCCCAGCAGGACTGTTTCAGTGAAAATGCTAAGGTGCAGGTCAGCCAAGGGACAATCCCAGAGTCTTTCCAGGAGCCCAAAAACCAAGCCAAGGAACGTGACGGGTACAGGTGGTGATGTGCAAAGTCTGGAGGAATCCAGGCCTGGGCAGGTTCCAATAACCCATGTCCCATTACAAAGACTTCTGTGCCAGTCGGAAAGGTGACAAACCTTCCTAAAGGTGACAAAGGATAAACAGATGAATCCAGGGTAGGGGCTTTCATAATAAAATTGATGCTTTGCATTTGACGTCAGTTACTTGTGTGTAACAAAGATGATGAGGTGGTAAGTGACTGCCTGCAACTAACTTGACCTTTGTGTTTGCCATGAAAAAATTGACAGCTTGTTCTGTCCCTGGGATAAATAACTACTCCATGCTTTGTGTACCCTCTTATCTTTGCAGTCTTCTATCGTCATATCCAGAGCTATTTTTTGGTATATCTGCTGTCCTTGAAGGTTGAGACAATGCTACACACAGAGTAGGTATACAATGTTGACTGAATAAATGGCTCTATCTCTATCCTTTATTAAAGATTTGAAAGACCTGGTAAGCCTTAAAAGAACCAAGTTTGTAACTTTATGAAATTTAAAAATTGGTTCTACTTGGGCACTCTGTTTCTGTCTCCCATTGATTCTAAGATTATATTTGTTTCATTCACATTTAAACTTCTCTGAAATTGCAGTGCAACCTTACAGTTGGTTCATAATATTATTGGCAGTGGTTTTTTTTTTTTTTCTTTACAAGCTGTTGGCAAAATAATGAATGGTGGGTCTAACAAGTGATTGATTTCTTAGATTTGGTAAACTAATAATAACAAAACTAAGCTCATCTTATATGGTGCTTTATATATAGGAAAGAATAATGGGAAAAGCATGAATTTTTGAATCAAAGAGATTTTATTCTGAATCCTAGCTCTGCTTTTTTTCTTTTTTTAATCTAAGCAATTTGAGCAAAGAGCTTGTCCTGCTGTTAATCTTTGAGTTGCACTGTTCTCGTCTATATGATGGGAATAAAGCATTCCATATTAGGCTTCGGCACTATGCAGACATTCAATGAACAAAATTCAATGAAAGCCTGTTCTTCTGTACCCCCTCAACAAGCTTATTTGTACCTTAGAACAGCCCTGGTAGGTAGGAACATGCATTTCCATTTTATGGATTCAGAAACAGAAGTTTAGTGGCATGAGTGAGTTAAGAGAGAGACCTCCTCAGAGCCTTTGTTTTTTCCAATATTTCCTAGAGTTCCATTAGGCCTCTCACAGGTATCTATTGACATAGGTGAGAGCTTAGCTACTCTTATGTTGAATAAATCTCCTTGGGCAGCCAATGTAGCAGTTTTACAGAATAACTTAATAAACAATGTCATACACTACATCCTTTTTGGAAAGGATTTTACCTCTTGCCCTCATCCTGTAAACAAGGATGGGCCTCTATTTAAAGAAGAGGAAAAGGAAGAGGGGGGAAGGATATTATTCACCTGGCCTAGCATTTTTTGAGCAGATGTTTTCCTCCTTTCATTGTTCACAGAAAATTGGTTTGAGGTCATATAAAGCAAATGTTCAAAAAAACTGTGATCCATAAATCAATTCATACTATTCTTTTGCTTGGATAGAGCAAAACTATGAGGATGGATTGAAAATTAAAGATCAATACTAAAACCTCAGACCATAGTGTCAACCCAAAAGCAAAGCAAGTTATCAGTATTATATTGTTATAGAGCAATAGACAGTACGTATTAGACCTTCAGGCCTTAAACATCCAGGGTGGAATCACTGGTAATTTCCTGTGGAAATTGCTTTTATATTTTCATGGTCTACCTGGAAAATCTTCAATTATGACCTTTTTTAGCTTTAGCATTTTTTTTCTGTTTAGTAATCACATTTTATTTAGGTTGCAAATGGATCAAGTAACAAAGAAATAAACTTATTTCAGTAATATCAAATGTCCAGGCCAGGCACGGTGGCTCACGCCTGTAATCCCAGCACTTTGGGAGGCCGAGGCGGGCGGATCACGAGGTCAGGAGTTCGAGACCAGCCTGACTAACGTAGTGAAACCCTGTCTCTACTAAAAATACAAAACTTAGCCGGGCATGGTGGCACATGTCTGTAATCCCAGCTATTCAGGAGGCTGAGGTAGGAGAATCGCTTGAACCCAGGAGGCAGAGATTGCAGTGAGCTGAGATTGTGCCACTGCACTGCAGCCTGGGTGACAGAGTGAGACTCCGTCTCAGAAAAAAAAAAAAAAAAACAAAAAAAAAGTCCTCAAACCTAAATGAAGATGATATGGATGCCTGTTCCTGGAAGTTGCAGTTAGACTTCCAAGTGAGCCTGGCCTCCTTCCAGCCTCTACCAAAGGCTGGCTATACCATCTTGGGCAACCAAGTCACTGACACACCTTGAAGTATCATCATCCCTCTGTTGTCAAATGGGGGATTAAGAGAGAAAAAATATCTTAAAGAGCTCAGCGAGTGTCTAAAACTTGATGCTTAGTAAGTTCACCTTTCTGATCTATCTTCTCCACCCTCCTTTGCTCTGCCCTTAAACCCTGTATCCTTAATGAAAAACTTCCCTGAAGTTTTGAAGTTTAAAGCACCTATGTGGGCTCCCAGTGTAGAAATTAAGCATCCCTGGGAAATGGGTAAATGCAGCACTCGTGAATAAGGCAGACACAGAAAAAATCCTTTGGACAACTAGTTCTCTTGGGGAAGGCTGCCTAGAGATCAAAAACCTCAATTATGGGCCAGGAGCAGTGGCTCACACCTATAATTCCAGCACTTTAGGAGGCCGAGGCGGGCAGGTCACGAGGTCAGGAGATCAAGACCATCCTGGCTAACACAGTGAAACCCATCTCTACTGAAAATAAAATAAAAAAATAAAAAAAATAAAAAAAACATTAGCCAGGCGCGGTGGCAGGCGCCTGTAGTCCCAGCTACTGGGGAGGCTGAGGCAGGAGAATGGTGTGAACCCAGGAGGCGGAGCTTGCATTGAGCCAAGATCGCACCACTGCACTCCATCCTGGGCGACAGAGTGAGACTCCATCTCAAAAAATAAAAATAAAAAATAAATAAATGGAACCTCAATTATGAAAAGAGAGTTTTCAACACTGTTTCCTCACCTACTGACTTCTGCCACACACTTCAAAACTGTATGCCCGAGGCCTTCCTATTGTGGGGGACTATCAGAGTCTGTCTTCTAACCATTTGTTAGACATCTCCATTCATCTAGCGTAAAATCCATAGGATAGTTTTGGATTCCCTCTTTCATTCCCACTTCCACATATCTATGAGGTTCTGAAGATTCTATTGCTGCAGTGTGTCTTTGCATTGGCCCTGCTGTGTGTAGCACGTGCTGGGGGAGATGATGAAGCAGAGATGGATCTGCCCCTGTTGTCCTATCATTGCAGCCTCCTTACTGATATGCTCACCGTGGCAACCTCCTAGCCATCTTTTCCTCCTGTTCCTGGCTATTTATTCACAGCCACCACTGTGTTTTCTCTTTGTGTAGATCTGATTATGTTGCTATCTCTCTCGGTTACCTTGGATTATTCCCCACTGCTATGGAATATAGATGAAATACTTGCAAAGCACTGGATGTCCCTTAACATCTGGTAGAAATTTATCTATTTCTATGGCGGATCTCCCTATCCTGCCTCCCCTTCCCCATCCTGCATGCTTCACAGCACTTTGTGAACATACCTTGACCTAGTGTCAGCAGTCAGCCTTGGCTTCTTTTGTTCCCCCTCCTTATGAACAGCCCTGCTCTACCCACCCTAATTCAAGATATAGTACGTTAGTACCTGATGTATGTTTACTAGCATTTTCTCTAGTTATAATAAGTGTTGAATACAGAAAACTTACGGGAAAATCACATATGCCCACTACTTTAATTGTTAAACTTTAATAGATTTTGGAAATATTTACAACTAAAGGTCCACTTAGCAATAGAGTATACTTATTTTTGCATTTATGATTTAATGCTTGATGTCATAAATAGGCACACATGTGTCCATCCTAACTGAATATAAACACCTGGGGGCCCGATTGTTGTATCTGATTCATCTATTCTTCTTACAACTATTTGATTGAAGTGAATCAGTGACTCTGCAATATAACCCCATATGTGACTTTGATGGTGGAACTGCAGATTGATAGGGAATTATTTTATTGGAGGCAGGTCTACTTGTCCCCCTCAAAACACCGGAGGAGACCATTGCTGGTGCCTGGTACCTGCTCTTGGATGAGCTGAGGAGTCTCAGACAGGATCATTTTGTGCTTCTTGTTCACACTGAGATGGTAGAATTTCTGCTCTGGACTGAAACCTTTGAACAAGTCTCTTTTTTAAATGTTTGATGGTGACTCTACTGAATTTCTTTTTTATATGCCTCTAATACATGAATGCTCCCAATAGACTGCATAAAATACTGTAAAGGCAGTCTATCTTGAAAGAAATGAAATCATGAAGGCCTCTGCCTATTTCACTTTGTTTTCTCCAACTGATGTATTCATTTGCCCACTACAGTTTTATTTTGATGATCTTTGTAAGGTTAAGACAAGTATTACTTTTGAGCCTGGCAGACATAGTAAGGAGAATTCTGATATATGTCTCATTTTTGTGACCCCAAATGTGGCTCTACTGCCTTGATTTGAATGCTTGATAATTTATAGTGATATAAATTTCCCAGAACATCACAGAGTATGATTTAATCTCAAACACTTGGAAGGTTATAGTCACCTTCTGGAAAAAATATTAAAACTACTTCAATGATCTACCTTTGTCACACCAAGGCACTCTCTCCCTGCTTTTCTTCACTCTCATGCCAATTGTGATTAAAGCTTTTTTTTTTTGATGAATATATCTAATCTGCAGTGTTTAGAGGTATTCTCTCTATGTATAAAATGTATTGTGATGTCCTTAGAAGGATGATGGCTAGACAGAATTTTATTATGTTTATTGTTATTAATCCTTACTTGTAGGAATATGACATATCTGTATTAAAAATGTAGTTTTATTGAAAAAGGAAGCTGGGCGCGGTGGCTCACGCCTGTAATCCCAGCACTTTGGGAGGCCGAGGTGGGCGGATCACGAGGTCAGGAGATCGAGACCATCCTGGCTAACATAGTGAAACCCCGTCTCTACTAAAAATACAAAAAAAAATTAGCCGGACGCGGTGGCGGGCGCCTGTATTCCCAGCTACTCGGGAGGCTGAGGCAGGAGAATGGCGTGAACCCGGGAGGCGGAGCTTGCAGTGAGCCGAGATCGCGCCACTGCACTCTAGCCTGGGTGACAGAGCAAGACTCCATCTCAAAAAAAAAAAAAAAAAAAAAAAAATGTATCTTATAGACTTTTAAAGAAAAATACCAAAAATGAAACATAGTTACTGGGAAGACGGGTTGATGGAAAATAATATATTTTTTACTCTCTGTAGTGGAATTTGATTTTTTTCACTGTTTGAAGTATAGACAGTCTTCTGAGTTTTTGGTGTGGTTTTTTTTTTTTTTTTGGTGGTGTGTGGGGCGGGGTGGAATAGAAATTTTGAAGACGTTATTTATGAGTGATTCTTAAGGCTTTGGCATCAGTTCTTATAATAGTTATTTTGATAGAGCCAGGGACTGGGTGTTGAGGCAGTCTCTGAACTGGAGCAATTTACACTGTAAGAAAGCGTTTTGGTTTCAGGGTATGGAGTTTTCCTCAAATCTTACAGTCTTGGCTCTGTAACCATTTGCCTGACCAGCTGTTGCCTAACCTTTGTTTCCTTAGCAGCTGTTTCTATGAAAAAAGATATTTGGACTACATATAAACTCTGGACAACCTCAGCCCTGTAATTTTAAGTCTCTGTTTTAAAATTTCAGAAGGCCAAGGTCCTTGTGATTATAGCTGTGTTCTTTGAGCCATTGTAACGAACCAGCTAGCCAAATTATTAAATAGAATTAGGGAAAATAACCTTTCCAGCTATTTGCAGAGCATATTTCAGGAGTACAAACCATTTTGGTGCTAGGATATTATATAAAGAGATCTTTCTCAATTAGAGTAAGGTATGGGGCATTTGGGTGAAAAGCCTTTACAGTAATATCTACACAGTGATTGTCAATCTTTTCTGAAGGCACGGAATCAGTTGAAAATTACGGATCTTTGCTCCAAAAAAACATATCATGAACGATACTCAAAATTTTGGATGTGATTTACTTATTTTACTAGAAATTTATTTTTGCATAAAGAATATATAACCAATGAAGCAAATACTTTATACCCAATGAGGTAGGTAAGTAAATTACACCAAAACTTGCCAGAGACAGAGTACATTATTTCTTCATTTTAGCTTTCTATTAATTGTAAGATGAGTCAAGTCAATTGATTTTTGGGAAATAAGTCTTGCCACCGTATCAAATAATCTGAATGATTTTAAGGTATATACTAATTTTGAATATGTTAAAATCTGTTTCTTAAAATTGAGGGGATACAGTACAAAATTTGTTTACCTATAGCTCACTTATATGAAAAAAAATAATGGTTATTTCTGGAAACAAAAATCCCCAATGGTCATAATGGTCATATAAGAGACAAGGTAAATTCTTCCCCAAATAAATTTTAATAAGATTCTATTTTTCCACAAAATAATGTGTGAATATATATACACACTTATATGCATATATACACACATATATACATATATATATATACACACACACACACACACATATATATATATATACACACACATATTAGTTTTAGTTTTTGAGACAAGATCTTGCTCTCTCACCCAGGCTGGAATGCAGTGGCTTGATCATGGCTCACTGCAGCTTGACCCCCTGGGCTCAAGGGATCTTTTCTCCTCAGCCTCCTGAATAGCTGGGACTACAGGTGCACGCCACGTTGCCTAGCTAACGTTACATATATATATAATTATAATATAATATATATGTAATATATATATATATATTTTTTTTTTTGTAGAGACAAGGTCTTGCTATGTTGTCCAGGCTGGTCTCAAACTCCTGAGCTCAAAAAATATATATATATAATATATATAATATATAATATATATAATATATAATATATATAATATATAATATGTATTTTATATATTATATATAATATATAATATGTATTTTATATATTATATATGATATATAAGATGTATTTTATATATTATATATAATATATAATATGTATTTTATATATTATATATAATATATAATATGTATTTTATATATATATAATATATAATATGTATTTTATATATTATATATAATATATAATATGTATTTTATATGTTATATATAATATATAATATGTATTTTATATATTATATATAATATATAATATGTATTTTATATATTATATATAATATATAATATGTATTTTATATATTACATATAATATAGAATATGTATTTTATATATTACATATAATATATAATATGTATTTTATATATTACATATAATATAGAATATGTATTTTATATATTACATATAATATAGAATATGTATTTTATATATT
This sequence comes from Homo sapiens, assembly GCF_000001405.40. Taxonomy (NCBI): domain Eukaryota; kingdom Metazoa; phylum Chordata; class Mammalia; order Primates; family Hominidae; genus Homo; species Homo sapiens. Next base: position 129,718,127 of record NC_000006.12, on the reverse strand, counting down.
ACATATAATATAGAATATGTATTTTATATATTATATATAATATAGAATATGTATTTTATATATTATATATAATATAGAATATGTATTTTATATATTATATATAATATAGAATATGTATTTTATATATTATATATAATATAGAATATATATATTTTTTTGTAGAGACAAGGTCTTGCTATGTTGTCCAGGCTGGTCTCAAACTCCTGAGCTCAAACAATCCTCCTGCCTTGGCCTCCCAAAGTGCTAGGATTACAAGAGTGAGCCACTACACCTGACTATATATTTTTTAAATATATAATTTATTTTGCTTTCATTTTGCTAACAATAATTCCTGAAAACCTTGGTTCCCAGAGGTCTATATATAGTAGCAGAGGAAATTAGAATTCATATAACCTGCTGTGCATGGTTGCTTCTGCCTGAAATACTAGCTACTCAGGGAGACTGAGGCAGGATCACTTGATATAAATAAATAATAAATAAATAAGGAGTTCAAGACCAGCCTGAGAAACGGGCGAGTCCCTGTCTTTAAAAAAATAAAAATTAGATGGGCGTGGTGGCACATGTCTGCAGTCCCAGCTATTCAGGAGGCCGAAGTGGGAGGATCACTTGAGTCCAGGAGTTCAAGGTTACAATCAGCTTTGATTGTGCCACTGCACTCCAGCTTGGTGACAAGAGTGAGACCCTGTGTCAAAAAAAAAAAAAAAGAAGAATTTGTGTAACTTGCTCTGCTAGACACAGATCAAGGCTGACTCATCTAGAATCTTCACAAGGCCCGGAGTTGAAGTCATGTCAGGAAGCCAGGAATTGTTACTTTCCCATTTATCTGAGTAAAAGCAAATTTGAAAAAAAGTTATATTCAGTTTCTGGAGATTTTTGCTTGCAGAGACATTAAGAATTTGTCCCTTTCTGTGCCAGCATTCAATTGTGGCATTAAAAAAATTTTGGCTAGTATTTGTTTCCAATCTCTGCTGACACAGTGGCTGCTTGTGCAAAACAACTCTGCATGTTCTGAATCTTTAAGAATGAAAATATTTAATCATTCAATTGACCAGAAAAAAATTACTGTTAAATAAGCCACCTCCCATGCCCATTAAATTCCTCTTTGAAATTATCTTGAGGGTGTGTTTTCCTTTTCTCTGAAAAACTAAAACTTTTCTGTGAAATACAGTCACATATATCTAGATATACTCTAGAAAACTAATGAAGCTTTGTCATAAAAGAGAATACTAATATTTTTCTATTGTTTCTTAATACTCCATTTTAAGATATTAGTAATTAAGGCCCAAGTTCTGATGATACTGATAACTTACATGGCCCTAAAATAGTTGTTCTTGCTACTAATTTGTGCACTTGTAGAGGGCAATGATCCATGATGATATGTGAATCTCATCTCTTCACCAGAAAAGCAAGTACACTAGTGAATATTTAAGATGCTCCATTTGTAAGTAGGGTACTAGGATTCCTTTTTTCCAGAAAAACTTTGCTTCACCATTTCTTCCCCTCTACTTTCAAGAAGGGAAGCAGAAAGCTTTGCCATTTTTGAGGACATTTCTAGGACTGAAAATTCCCCAATGGGCTCAGAATATAGAAATTATTATTTAATGACATTTGTGCAGTTTTATCAAGTATTTTGATAAAAAAATATAATACTCCAGGGACTACTTTAAAACATTAGAAGTACTGCCTTCATTTTGGAGTGGATAACCACCATTAATAAAAAAAGGCCGGGCGCGGTGGCTCACGCCTGTAATCCCAGCACTTTGGGAGGCCAAGGAAGCCGGATCAACTGAGGTCAGGAGTTTGAGACCAGCCTGGCCAACACAGCGAAACCCTGTCTCTACTAAAAATACAAAATTAGCCAGGTGTGGTGGCACATGCCTGTAGTCCCAGCTACTCGGGAGGCTGAGGCAGGAGCATCACTTGAACCTGGGAGGTGGAGGTTGCAGTGAGCTGAGACTGCACCACTGCACTCCAGCCTGGGCGACAGAGCGAGAGACTCCGTCTCAAAAAAAAAAAAAAAAAAAAAAAAAGAAACATGGCTTCCTTCCATTTTTCTTTTTCTCCAAGCCATGAATCAACTCATCCCTTTCCTTAGATCTGCAGCTTCACCATTCTTCCCCACTCACAGTGGCTGCTTTTACATAACAAGGGGATAAGCATCATTTGTAATCCACTGCAGGACAAGGATTTTTGTATTTGACAAATCTAATATTGATACAATTGTAGACTTTTAAAATTGAACCTTATATTCATAAACAAAATTCTACTTTTCCAGTACGTATTAGCCTCCAGAATATACTTCATCATTCCAGTTGCAAGTGTTTGCAACATGTATCTCCATTCTAGTTGTCAATGAAGAGAAAACCAAAAGAAAATTTAGGGTCATGGCACTTTTTCTTGGATAATTTCCAGCTTAGGCTAGTTTTGATATGAAGGGCAGATTTCTCATGAAGTTAAATGAGATTGAATCTTCAGAGTCTGGCTCTTGCATAAGGCCTCATCCAAGGCTCCATAGCTAACAAATTCTATAAGCTTTGGGTTCCGCACATCGAATCTGCTTTTTTAAGAAAAAAAAATTCATAATCATAGTGATCAGAGTACTTTTTTTCACTTCTATCAGTGGAAACAATTTTAGATATGATGGCACAATGATGATGACCTTTTAGACTAGTGTATATATTATGCCACACTACCCCAATAATTTGACATAAAAAAACAAGTTTCAAAGTACCAGAAAAGAATTGAGTGTAAATCTCCATAGCATTGTATTTATATCAATATTCCATTTGATTAAGGACCTTAGGTTTGCTGTAGATTATTTAACTTTGTTATTCATATGATTCTTTTCAGAAATAAAATGATGTCAATTCTAGGACTGCTGTAACCTTTATAATGCTTAAGAGCTCAGGCTCCAAGGTCACATAAACCCAGGTTTACATGTCCTGGTTCTGCCACCTACTAACTGGATGACCTCATATTCCTCATCTCTAAAGTGAGCGTAATTCCAATTTCTATCCCTGGTGGTGATTGTGATGATTAAATGATAGACCATGTATACCATGTCTAGCGAAGAGTAAGGACTCAATATTAGCTATTGTTATTTATTGGTAATAAACTATTTGTAAGAAACATCTTTTCTAAATGATTGCCGAAAAGCCTAAATTAGCCTCTGGCAATAGCAGTTACAAATTATCCCAAGCATGGCTAGTATTTTCTCGCAGGAGGAGCAGTTAAGAAAATAACTTTGAGAATAACGTAGACATTTTTAGAGCTGTCCAGAGAAAGGGAAAAGGGTTATTTCTTGTTGTTCCAGAGACAGAATTAATAACAATGAGTGTAATTCCCAAGGAAATAGTTTGAGATTCTGTATATGGAATAATTTTCAGTCATAGTACCCTAGCACAGAGGTAGCTAACTTTGTAAGCTGACAAGAACTATTCCTACGAGGTCCTGATAAAACATGAGGTAAGGGATGTTAAGAACTCTTCCTCTTCATTAGTCAATCCTGCTTCATATGTCTAGCCTTTATCACCTATGTAAAACTTTAACTTCACAGTTGATTAATTTATTCAAGTTCTTGTTATAATATTGAAAATTGGGTTTAATTTTACCATTTGGAAGGTCATTTTCACATGGCTTTTGTCCCTATGTAGATTTTCATCATCATATAGAGATTGTGTGTACATATTCTCCTTTAATTCTTTTTTTTTTTTTAAGAGAACTAGACCAATTCAGGAAAAATTTGATAAATTATATGCTGATTCCATTGCATGGCACTCTTCTAATACAATTCCTTCTAATACTAAATAGGCTCCTAAATCAACATATAAAAACCAGCTAATAAACTCTTTGCTACCACTAGCACTGAACTGAAGAAAAATTTTTTCATTGTTTTTGAACATGGGTGTCAAATTGTCAGAGACTGCAGTACCATCTTCACCCTATTTTTAACAACCTATTTGGGTACATAAATTACCGCTTCCTTTTCCTTTCCTGTGTCATCTAGTACACCTCATTTAAACAGAATGAATGAAATGAATGTTTAAACTGTCTTGATGTTGTTAATTACTTTTTAAGATGTTTCATAACAGGAAAGTGTTTGGCACGCACTCAATAGCTGGGAATATTAACATCTTCAAGGTCATGAGGTTCTCAGTGTGTGTTTAAAATGGTTGCGGAAAGGAGTAAAAAAGTGTTTTGTTTTTTTTCATAATATTTGTCTCTGCAAAAGAGCGATAATGGTATAAGGGATGGACATGAGCTAAACCTTAGTACAGTTTACAGTGTGAAATAAGAACAGGTTTTTTTTTTTGTTTTTGTTTTTGTCGTTGTTTTTCTTTTTTTCTTTTTCTTTTTTTTTTTTTTTTTTGAGACGGAGTCTCGCTCTGTCTCCCAGGCTGGAGTGCAGTGGTATGATCTCGGCTCACTGCAACCTCCGCCTCCTGGGTTCAAGCAATTCTCCTGTCTCAGCCTCCTGAGTAGCTGGGATTACAGGTGCCCACCACCACGCCACCCGGCTAATTTTTGTATTTTTTAGTAGAGACGGGGTTTCACCATGTTGGCCAGGCTGGTCCTGAGCTCCTGACCTCAGGTGATCCACCTACCTTGGCCTCCCAAAGAACAGCTTTTTAAGAGACCACACTGGTAGTTAGGTTTGCTTCTTTGATGACATGGGAAAATTCTGAAAACTGTTTTTAATCTACTTGAGCATGTATCTGAGGCTATGAACACCAGGCCACAGTCCTACCAGCTCTCTGCCTGTGATAGGTAATACCCTTCGACCAGTAGCAACAGGGCTTGGTGGGAGGAAAGGAGAAAAAGCTCAGAGGATTTTCAGGTATTTGAGAGCTAAATTAGAAGGATTCAAATTTTATGTACTAAGCTATGTAAATCAATTTGTATCACATTTGGTTTTCTGCCTCACAGAAATTAAAAACGGTGGATATTGCAAACCCAAATATTATTTTGACATTGTAAAACAATTACATTTCAACCTGTACATTGTGATTTGTTATTAAACAAGTGAAAAGACCATAATTAGGCAAAAATATAACTAAATAATTGTTTTGGCTATAACTGGACAAAATCTTCATCGCAAACTGTCACATGAGAGATGCAGTGCCCGTGGCTGCCAATGGGCATGGATGACATTGACAGGCTAAAGACATAGCAAAGGAAGAAGGAAAACTAGAAAAAAAAGGAAGATAATAAAAAGGGAGGTAGAGGGAAGTAAGGGGGGAGAAAAAGGTGGGAGGGAAACAGAAAAGAATTTCCAAAAGATAATGTAGTGATTACCATCAATAATTGTATAAGATAGTGATTCCCATATGTTTGCATTTCAGAGTAGCTACATAAAAAAGGAGGGGTGGATGAGCTGGTTATTAACATTTTTTCCATGTAAGGACACTGAAAAGACAAAACACATATATTCTAATTTACTTTAATCTTTGCCTCCCTCTCTTTATAGTTTTTGTTTTGCCTGAACTGATGAACATTTCCTCATAGGTTAGCACTGGTATGTGCATGGGAACCGCTTATCTAATATTACCAATTTTAATATAAAGATTTAGTAGAGTTGGCCGGGCGCGGTGGCTCATGCCTGTAATCCCAGCACTTTGGGAGGCCGAGGTGGGCGGATCACCTGAGTTCGGGAGTTCAAGACCAGCCTGACCAACATGGAGAAACCCAGTCTCTACTAAAAATACAAAATTAGCCAGCGTCGTGACACATGCCTGTAATCCCAGCTACTCGGGAGACTGAGGCAGGAGAATCGCTTGAACCTGGGAGGTGGAGATTGTGGTGAGCCGAGATCATGCCATTGCACTCCAGCCTGGGCAACAAGAGCGAAACTCTGTCTCAAAAAAAAAAAAAAATTTAGTAGAGTTTTAAAGGATACTTTCAATTCATTCAGGTTTTCCTCCATTCAGTGTTTACTGAAGGCTCAGTAGGTACAAAATTTAAGTTAGCTGTCAGATGAAGAGAAAAGAATCATAGTAGGACCTGAAAAGATTGTGTCTAGCAGATGGAAAGACTTGTATGTATAAGGTAGCAGGAATGCCCAGTGATCTGCTCAAAAGCCTGGAACTGGCTCTGTTAGCAATAGAGAGCCAATGAAGGTTTTTAAGCGAGGAGAGGGATCATGAGTGCCAGGGTGTGATCATAATGTCAAAGCAATTTAAAGGAGGTGACAGGGAGATGAGCTAAAAGGGCTGTTGTAATATTGGAGCTAAGACTGCATTATAGGATCCAGAGGTGGTTGAGGTCATGGGGATAAAAAGGAGACAGCAAGTAAAGTCCTATGGAAGTGGAAATGGGAAGGTTGAGCAGTTGTGCAGGGGGGAGGGAGGAAGATATAAATTCCTTTTAAGGAAGACTTTTGTAAATTATAAGAAAGAGGGTTCAAAAATAAATTTCAGATACTTCTAGAGTATGTAAGGAGGAAGAAATTATTTTTCATGACTGTTTTAAATAATGATAAGGTATAAGCAATAAGTTTATGTAATGATGGAATTGGAAACTTGTTCAAGAGGAATTCTAGAGAGTTGAATGAATCATAAAAATCTAAAAAAACCTTCAGACTACTGGGTATGTCAGAGTAGAAGCCAGGCGTGGTGGCTCATGCCTGTAATCTCAATACTTTGGGAGCTTGAGCCAAGAGGATTGCTTGAGCCCAGGAGTTCAAGACCAGCCTGGGCAACACAGTGAGACCCTCCCTCTCCACAAAGCATAAAAAAATTAGCTGGGCGTGGTAGTGCATGCCTGTGGTCTTAGCTATTGGGGAGGCTGAGGCTGGAGGATTTCTTGAGCCTGGGAGGTTGAGGCTGCAGTGAGTTACAATCACCACTGTACTCCAGCCTGGGTGACAGAGTGAGACCCTGATTCAAAAACAAACCAAAAAAGTGATTTTTTTTTTTGGAGGGGAGATGGGGAGAAAGAACAGAGCTGTCTTTTGTGTTTATGATAATTTTGATCTTGTTTCTTAATCTGCAAAACAAAGAAGAGCATACTGGTGAAAAATAAAAGGAATGTAGCCTAGAATTCTGTTCAAATCCAGCTTCTGGCACTAGCAACTGTGTTATCTTAGTGAAGTTACTTAACTCGTCCCTCAGCCTTACTTTCCTTGTGTTATGTATAACACAGATGATAGTGATACCTATCTTGTACGGTGTGTGTGTGTGTGTGAGAGAGAGAGAATTGAATGGAATGAGATAATACATGTGAAACCCCCGTCCATGAGAGCTTGGCATATAGTAGGTGCTCAACAAATGGCAGGGACTTCTCTTGTTCTCAGCAATAACACTTAACAGAGCATTGGTAGGTCTATCCCTTTTTGGTGCTGAAAAATATTTTGCTAAAACAAGACGTATATTTGAGATTGGCTTTATGTGAAAGACGACGACATTCCAGGACACACAATTTTTATGAGGGCATTTTTAACCGGACACAAGGATCAAGCCTTTCTCGTCGTCTGGATTGCAGAGTTTTGCCGCGGGTTCGTTGTTTTTTACTATGGCTAATTTTAACGCTGAACATGAAGGGGTTAAGAAATGCCTTTACTCATGTTACATTAAGTAGCAGAAATTATAAGATAGAGGAATTGGGGAGGGAAAAAAAAAAGCCTTGGCAGCAACTCATGGTTTCCTAAGTAAGACGGCTTGTAGTTACAGTGATGAGTTGAATATACGTTCTGGCAGTTTAATCTGATCAGACTAACTTGGGGGTGGGTGCAACCCGTCGCTTCCACCCTTCGCCTCCTTTAACCAAAGCCGCCCAGAGTGCAATTGTCCAGAGTTGAAACCATGCTGTGAGTTGCAGCTTCTAATTGGAGAGGCAGGAAGCCCTTCCCTGGACAGACCCCGCCCCTCCCCGTGTGAATCGCCAGCCTGCGGGGAGGAGCTGGCCAATGCTAATGAGCGAGTTGCCAGGCGAGACAGGAACTTCTTTCCCCTTCTCTGTGTCAGGATCGCAGAAAGTATGTCCCTTCTCTCACCATGAGCTGGCTCTCCAGTTCCCAGGGAGTGGTACTAACAGCCTACCACCCCAGCGGCAAGGACCAGACCGTCGGGAACAGCCATGCAAAGGCAGGGGAGGAAGCCACCTCGAGGTAAGCCTTCGGAAGCTGAAAACAAAACAAAACCCTCTTACCTGCTCCAGGAAGAAAGTGACAGGGAAGTTGGCGTGGGGAGAAGGGAATTCCATCTGCACGTCGAGCCTGAGCTCGTGCAGCAGCAGTAGCAACGTTTGGCGTGATTTTTATGTACTTTTCATCTCACCTAGTCCAAGTCTGAAATAACCCATATGATTACTGGTGAAGACAGAGAAGAAGGAACTGGGGAGAGGGCTATATGGGCTGTCAGACTAGCTATTTAGCAGGTGCATTTGCACATGCTGAAAGATCAAATAGGTCTATCTGAAACACTTCCTTTCCTATGAAATGGAATTCTTGAATGGGCTCAAGGCACTGCCACTGGAACTGTTCGCTGGGAAAGTCTGCCAAAAAGCAGGGAGGCTGTTCACTGTACTGTACAAGCTGTTGTTGTTAGAGTGTTTTTTTTCCCCCCTCTCTTTGCTGAAAGCAAACCTCTTAGGCAAAAAGCCCAAGACACTGGCCTGTGGCAATATGTTTCACATTCTTTTGTGTATGTGGATTTTTTTTCCCCCAGGCTTTCAAAAAGGAGTTTTTGTCAGGAGATAGCACTCTGCTGCTGGAGTGAAATGTGGTTAATGTTAAATCACTTTATAGGCAGAGAGGGCAAATGTTCTATAGACCACTGAGGCGCAAAGGGTACCTTTCTCCCTATCTGTGTACTTTGTTCCATTTTCCAAGGGCTTTTTTTTTTCTTTCTCTCCTTAATGACCTTCTCACTAGCTGAACATTTTTACCTCCATCAAGATATAAATAGTAAATATTGGCCTAGAAGATTGCAAGAAGCAAATACTAACCTAATAGCCTAGAACACTAAATTAGTTATCGGTAAGCACATTTCCTCCTCAATGCTTAATGTGATAATAAAACCTTCTTTGTTCTTATGTGACTTATGCCTGTGCCTTAAGCTGAAATAATGCTGCCTTTCATTTGTTTTAAAATCTCCAAATATGAGGGAGGGAGAAAAATCAAAGGAATGGCTGTAATACTCAGTGTTAGACTCCCAGCTGACGGGAACTGTTTCTCACATAGCATCCACAGTATGTATTTCATTGAATGAATTCATTTCCAAAGATAAAAAAGATTTGGTGCTTGTGCCTTAGCTGTGTTACCATTTCATTTTCCATCATTTTAAATGACTTAATGTTAAATCATTAAATCAAGAGATCTTGAAGTGTTTTCATCCATTTTTCTGTAATGTATTAGTAATCATTAAGCAGTAAAGCAGCCTGCAACACCAACCCCATACCCAGCCATAACTTGGATTCCACATGTCAGTCAAAATTGCCAAAATTATACAAGCTCAGGACATTCTCCGACTTTAGGCTGAATGGCCTGAGGACCTGAGCTGAATCTTGGATCTTGATTGTGAGAATGGAAAGGACCTTAAGGACTGAGTCCTAACCTCTCATTTTCACGTAGGACTCAAACCCCAGGGATTAGTTAAGTTTTTGGAAGGTCTGGAGTTCTAGGCCTTTGTCTGGGGCTGCATCTCCAGTTCTGGAGACTCATTATTCTGTGTTTGCAGTGTGGGTGGCCCATACTTGAGTGGGTTGAGAGAATAAGAGAGGATCAGATCATTCTCTGCCTAGGCTGAAGCAGAACCAAGAGGCACTAAGGTGGCAGGGTGGGCAGCTGCCCACACGGCAAGTGCCCTGTGTGGGGCCACAGCTCCAGGTGAGCTCCTTTGCTGGCTGTCACGTAGCCTGCCCATACCAGACCCAACTTCCCACCACTGAATTAGTTCTAGGGATCGTTCCTGATATTGACCGGAGAAGATGGGAGCCTGGTTTGAGGGCAGGGAGGAAGGAGGGAGTAGGGCTAGTTTTCAATGGCTTTTACCCTTAAGGGCTAACGAATCAGATAAACTTGTTGTTGTTTTGGGAGATACCCTGTTTAGCCTGAAAGGATTGAGATACTGTAATTGCTATGGGGGAGGGGATGGATAGAAGGAAGGAGGATTTGAAGGTGGGATGGGGTCCTCGGTGACCACCTAAGAATGGTGATAGTGGTTTCGGGGCGGTGAACTGGACTTTGGCTTTGGCTTTGGCTGGGTTGGTCAGGTGTTGTTTTAAGCCCTGGGAAGCTGCTCCAAGGTGCAAGGTTGATGGTTGATGCCTATTTAAAGAAGTTCTCCAAAAAGTAAAAACAAAACAAAACTCTTAAAAAGGCTACATTAGGCTGGGTGTGATGGCTCACACCTGTCATCTCAGCACTTTGGGAAGCTGAGGTGGGTGGATTGCTTGAGCTCAGGAGTTAGAGACCAGCCTGGGCAAAAAAAAGACCCCCGCCCCCACAGCTCTACCAAAAATACAAAAAAAAAAAAAAAAACAAGAAACCACAAACAAACTAGAAATGGTAGTGCATGCCCGTGGTCCCAGCTACTCAGGAGGCTGAAGTGTGAGGATCACTTGAGGCTGGTGGAGCAGAGATTGCAGTGAGCTGAGATCACGCCACTGCACTCCAGCCTGGGTGAGGGAGTGAGACCCTGTCTCAAAAAATAAATAAATAAATAAAAAATAAAAGCTAAATTAGATTCTGCATTTCCTCCTACCCATTTAAAAATTATAGAAGATAGCACGGAAGTATAACTTTTCTTATCACAAGATTTTGTCTGTAAGTAATATGTTCTTTGAAATATTTAATCCAATATTTAGTTCATGAGATGAATTCATGTCTTTATAATGCCATTTATACATATGTGTATGACTTAGCGTATTTATTGAAAATTGTTTCCTTTTTTTTTTCGAGATGGAGTTTTGTTCTTGTTGCTCAGGCTGGAGCACAATGGCGCACTCTTGGCTCACCACAACCTCTGCCTCCCAGGTTCAAGCTATTCTCCTGCCTCAGCCTCTATAGTAGCTGGGACCACAGGCATGCACCACCACGCCTGGCTAATTTTGTATTTTTTTTTTTTAGTGGAGTCGGGGTTTCTCCATGTTGGTCAGGCTGGTCTCGAACTCCCGACTTCAGGTGATCTGCCCACCTTGGCCCCCCAAAGTGCTGGGATTACAGGCATGAGCCACTGCGCCCAGCCTGAAAGTGTTTGATTTTTAGCCTAGCCATACCAAGTCTTTTTTTTTTTTTTTTTTTTTTGAGACAGAGTCTTACTCTGTCACCCAGGCTGGAATGCCGTGGCACGATCTGGGCTCACTGCAACCTCCGTCTCCAGGCTCAAGTGATTCTCCTGCTTCAGCCTCCCAAGCAGCTGGGATTACAGGCGAGTGCCACCACCCCTGGCTAATTTTTGTATTTTTAGTAGAGACGGGGTTTCACCATGTTGACCAGGCTGGTCTCGAACTCCTGACCTCAGATGATCTGCCCACCTCATCCTCCCAAAGTGCCGAGATTACAGGCATGAGCCACTGCACCCGGCTCCATGTCCTTTTTTATTACCATTTGGTCTTTTGAAAAGCTGAGATAGTAGGGAATTAATATTTTTGGAAGTAATTTGTTAGCTAAATTTTCTCCATTCCATTATCCCTCTTTATCAGAAAACAGTCATTGAATGTCAGATTAAGGAATTCCTCCCACTCCTGGTTAGAGCCTCTCCCTTTATAGAATCCTGTTTTTCTTTTGTATGTTTCCTCCTCAAAACATGAGGATTTGAAGAAATATGTTAACATTAGTTGTCATGGCCGACTTGTACACAGTTGAATGTTTCCAAAGGAAACCACTTTTTATGAGTAGCTATATTTATAAGACTTTGTTTACTTGTTTTTCAAGCAGGCTTCTTAATATTTAGTTTTGAAAAGAATTTTTTCGAAGAATATTGTGTTTTGTCTATTCTTACTGTTCTCTCTTACCTTCCCATTTTAAGAGAAATGGTTGTTTGCTTTGCATATTTTTTGCTAATATTTTAATATGAATGTCAAGTAACCTTTTTTATTGGGCCTTTTAATTCCTTAGCTAACTGAATGGACTGATGAGTGAGATATTTTTATGCCTTCTCTGAATAAATGTATGGCATTCATCATGTAAGGTCTTGTTGACCCAACTTGCCATTGGTATTGGGTAGGCAGAAACAAGAGGCACTACACAGGGGTGACATAAACCCAGAAACCCTGGGTTCTGGGGCCAACCTGTCTGGGGTCATATCCCAGCTCTCTCATTCATTAGCAGTGTGACCTTGGAGGAGTTATCTCTCTACCCATAAATTGAACTTCATAATATTACTCACCTGATTAAGACAACTGAGTGGGATGACCTCTGTCAAGCCCATAGAAGAGTGTCTGGTTTGTAGCTAGCTGCTACTTTCCTTAATACTAGGTAAAGAAAAGGAAAGAAAGGATTGAGTTTTGCAGGATATAGAATATTCTCCCTTGTTTCAGAAGCGTTTTTCTGAATATTATTTTGTCATGTGTTAAGAAACATGGGCATTATCCATATGCTTAAAAAATGACATATTTGAGAATGAACCATAATGTAAAAGTTTAGGCCTTTGAAGTTTGAAAGACCTTGGAAATATCATCCTGATCCATAGCACCATTTATGATTTGAACTGGTAACAATTGCCTATACCAGGCCTTTCTTGGGGGGTATTGATGGGCATTGAGGTCTGCAAATATTGACTCTATGGCAAGATAGAATGTGGGTGGATCCTCTTTTGGCAGCTGGACTCACTCCTGTCTCCATGCTTCCTTCCTCTGCTTTAAGAACTACTACTGCCCAGCATGCCAAATGGAAGAGGACTATCATCTTTATAAGCTTATCTCAGTTCTTGACTTGTTCATGTCTCACCCATTCCTTGGTTCTGCAAGCATAATCATTCAGTCATTCCACATATAAGAGCTCTCTCTTACTGTGTGTCAGGCAATTGTTTAAATACTGGGGTTGTAATGGGGGGAAATAAACCAGACAAACATCTGGGTGCAGGGAGGGTAGCCTGGAGGGGAAAATAAAGACCTGAGCAGGTGACAGGTGAGCCCCAAAATATCTGGGGGCAAGAATTAGAAGAAGAGTTTTTAAGGCAGATAGTGGGTAGAGAGTGTAGAAGCCATAAGCCTAGATAGAGTAAGTCTGAAACCAAGCACCCAGAGAGCAAAGAGCCCTGCATGACTGCAGGGGTCAGGATAAGGAGGAGGGAGGAAGAAGAAAGCAAGGTGGGAGTTGATAACCTTATAGAACATTTGAGGACTTGAGTTTTTGCTGAAAGTAAGATGGGAAGCCATTGAGGGAGTGGGTTTTGAGCAGTGGAGGAAGAGAGCACATTTAAAAGGTCCCTCTGGCTGTTATATTGATTATAGAGTGTAGAAGCAGTGGTACTGCTTAATAGGTTAAGGCAGTGGTGGTTTGGGCCAGGGTTTCAGTTGTTTTAGTAATGAACGGGGTGAGCAGTGGAATCTTTTGACATTAGGGCCTGTAGGAGATGGACAAATGAGAATACCTGAAGATTCAAGGTTTTTGCCCTAAGAAACTTGTAATGTTAAAGTGATCATTAATTTAGATAGGGAGGACTTGCAGAGGGGCATAAGGGGGCTGGGGTAAGTTGAGCGAGACATGAAGCTCAGTTTTTTTTTGTTTGTTTTTTGTTTTCAGATACTGAGTCTCGCTGTGTCACCCAGGTTGGAGTGCAGTGGGGTCATCTTGGCACACTGCAGCCTCCACCTCCCAGGTTCAAGCGATTCTCATGCCTCAGGCTCCCCAGTAGCTGGGATTACAGGTGCCTGCTACCATGCCTGGCTAATTTTTGTATATTTAGTGAAGATGGGGTTTCACCATGTTGGCCAGGCTGGTCTTGAACTCCTGACCTCAAGTGATCCGCCTGCCTCGCCCTCCCAGAGTGCTAGGATTATAGGTGTGAGCCCTCACGCCTGGCCTGAAGCTCAGTTTTGAGAAATATCTTTTTGAGATAAACATTAAAGTAAGAACATGGCTGGCTGTCTTGATTAGTTCAGTGTTTTTACATGAATCTTCACAGGATTTTAAAAACCTATGTAGTATACCATTTAAAAAGTTTCTTCATTCTGAATTAGTGTATTATTACCTGATCATATATATATATTTTTTTGTTGTTGAAAAAAAGGGATGGTAATGAGTTTTTATAATGCAATTGTGTAATATTTAAATTTTATTTTTTCTAACCTTAGCTTCTAAAGCGTATTTCCTCATTCTAATTTCATAGAATTTAGTGACTAAATGGATTTAAACCTGTCCATGGGGATAATTGTTTTCCAGATCAATCTCTTCTTCAATTTCATGACATAAGAGTCCTTTGTAAAGGCATTTTCTTCACTGTGGTTTAAAAACCCTATCCATAGTTTCTTCTTGAATTATTAGAGGTTGCACCCGGTGTCCAACTGGGGAAGTCTTAGGTTCATTCACAGACATGTGATATTTGCCTTTTGATTCCTCTCATTGACGAGACCTGTGATTTTTGTGGGCCTATTAAAGTTATATTATCTTCATAGAACTTTTAATTAAGTTTATGCCTTTCGAATATAAGGATTTAGAGATTATCAGAACCATCCCCACCCACACCTTCCTAGAGAAACTTGTTGAACATTTGCTTTGTTGTCCACGGCACATTTATTACTTCTGCATTGTACGATTGCACTGTGCTGCCTTGTCTCTTCTAAGTGGGGCTTGCTTTCATATTTTATGAATTTTCTAATATTTTGAGTTCTGTTATTATTTATCATACTTCTACAAGTGTTGAAGCAATAAAGACTCGTAACAATTGATGCATTTAATGATGCACATGATTGCTACTGGACTGCATGGGTGTTAGGCTTAACTCGTTTTTGATAATTGGACTCATTGCCAGAACAAATTATCTGTTTCACTCTTCTGTTTTAATTCCCCACTGGCTGTAAACATCTGTCTCACAAATTAGAAAAAGAACCCAGCACCCTAGAGGCCAAGGCTGTCCCTGGCCACAGGGATAGTTCCCTCTACTCCTTGCTCATGAATCTGTGAGGTCCATGCCCTGTGGCTGTCTTCTTTCTCCTGCCTCTTTTTCTTCTTCTTTTTTTTTTTGTTTTGGAGATGGAGTCTCGCTCTGTCACCAGGCTGCAGTGCATGGCGCAATCTCGGCTCACTGCAATTTCTGTCTCCTGGGTTGAAGCAATTCTCCTGCCTTAGCTTCCCCAGTAGCTGGGATTACAGGCGTGCGCCACCACACCCGTCTAATTTTTGTGTTTTCAGTAGAGACGGGGTTTTGCCATGTTGGCCAGGCTGGTCTCGAACTCCTGACCTCAGGTGATCCACCCGCCTAGGCCTCCCAAAGTGCTGGGATTACAGGCGTGAGCCACTGTGCCTGGCCCTCCTGCCTCTTCTTGATTCTGTTCTGTCCAAGAGCCCTGAGAAAGCTCTGTCATCATCCTAGTGGTGTCACTGTGATGAGGCCTGTAGGCTGTGGGTCTCAGTGGGAGTCACTAACAGCATGGATCACTCTGTAGGTTTGGGGTTGCTAGACCAGGTATGACAACAATCCTCTCCTGAACCCTGCTGTAGGTGCCCTCTGTCCTGTGCCCACCCTTTCATTTCATACGAATATTTTGAGAGAGATGGTTTGTTCTAAATGTTTTATTCAGTTGATATTTAATGGGCTTTTCTATTTTCTTTCGATAAAAAAGGGATAGAGAATAAGAACTCTCATTATTTGAGGAGAGTGGGGATGAGTCAGGGTATTGGGCATGGATTAGGGCAGGAGGAACGGAAGGGATGTCTAGATCTTTCTGAAGGCACATTCTTTTGACTTCCATGTTTGTTGCTGTGAGCTGGCCAAGTTTATCCTTTTTTTTGCAAGAAATAAACAGAAACCATGGAGACCCGTGTGACCAGTTACTACCTGTAGTTTTTTTCCATACTTAAGTCCACTAAGTATCTGAATTTCTGTGTTGAAAGAGAGTATGAAACCTCATCTCCTTTTCATATGCATTTGGTAGTTGCCTTTTGGCTGCAAAGAACACTGAGGTTTCCTTATGGGAAATGAGGTTTGTTACAGGGATCTGGGTCATAGGGAAAGGAGGCATCTCTTCTTCCCTCAGCAGCTGGTCATATGGGGACACTCATGGCATTTCTGTTCTCTTGGAGACTCTCAATTCTTTTCTACCCACTGGCTTTCTAATCTCATCATTTCAGCTTGAGCTTTTGGCTCCTGATGGATGCCCAGCCTGGTTACCTCCTGAGTCATCTTACATTTCATAGCTAACTGACCCATCTCTTTATTTCCTAATTTCAGTTTTTTGTTTTTTGTTTTTTTTTATTTGAGATGGAATCTCGCTCTGTCACCCAGGCTGGAGTGCAGTGGCATGATCTCAGCCCACTGCAACCTCCACCTCCCAGGTTCAAGTGATTCTCCTGCCTCAGCCTCCTGAGTAGCTGAGATTACAGGCACCTGCCACTACGCCTGGCTAATTTTTGTATTTTTAGTAGAGATGGGGTTTCACCATGTTAGTCAGGCTGTTCTCGAACTCCTGACCTCACGATCTGCCCACCTCAGCCTCCCAAAGTGTGGGGATTATAGGCGTGAGCCACCGCGCCCGGCCTTAATTTCACATTTTTGAAAGGACATCAGATTTTTCCAGTTAATCTTTTTGAACAGGCCATAGTACAACCCCAGGCAGCTTATGATCTGGCTTGTTCTGGATCTTTTTAGAAAAGCAGGGTCTGTGGGTAGTGAGATTCCTGGACAAAGGATGTGGCATCTTTGCTAAGATATTTAGGACATGACACATTTATCTGTTTCCTCATTTATGAAATCATATCGTGTAATGATGCCCTTCCTGCTTCGCAAAGTTAATCATGAAGATCAAATGTGTAACGTTTGAGAATGTTAAAAAATTATGCAGATGAACATTATTACTAAATCCTTTTCTGTACAGTATCTTAAAATTTCCCCAGACATTTCACTTCATTTCACTTAACCAGAGTTGTCATAGTAAACTTTTGAGTTTAATTTGAATTTTACTTTTTTATTATATACTCAGATGTAAGTTCATTGAGGGTGAGAACTTTGCCTGTCTTTTTTTTTTTTTTAAGGGAGGGGTGTTCCTTTATACCTAAGCCTTGGCAAAGTGCTTAGTTCACTTTAGGTAGTTACTAAAAGATTGAATGAATGAATGAGTGTAAGTGGGAGGAGGCGTAGTGATTGCATACACAGATTTTGGAGCTAGATTGCCTGGGTTGAAGTCCTGCTTCTTTCATGTAGCAGCTTGTGACTCTGGGCTATTTAATGTTTCAGGGCCTCAATTTTTTTGTTTCCTTCTGCACACTGGGAATAATAATACCTAACTCAAGACTTATTTTAAGGATTGACTGAGTCAACATATGTAACATACTTACATGAGTGCTTGACATAAAGTACGTGTTTTCGATGATGATAAAGGGCAGTCAGACTGTTACCTGTTGGTGAATTAATTTGGAAATAGTATAGGAAAGCATTGTTGTGATTAATTTGTAAGTCATTTGGGAAATGAATGTTTGCTTCTAATGCATATGCAGTATAATGCCTTTATTTTAAAACTAATAGTGGGATAAGTTATATAAATAGCTCACATTATTTCAATACTACATTTAATATCCAAAAAGTACCCTAAAAAAGTGTTTAAAGGTATTGAACTCTTGTTAGGCCCAGGTGACTGTTTTGAATACCTTTAATGCTTCAGTTTGGGTAGCTATAAAGTTGCAGAGTGTTTGTTACTCTTAATAAGATGGAAAATCATCTAGTGTAGAGCAAGGAAAAGTTATTTGCACCTGTTCCTCAAAGAGCAAATTGACTTTAGGTTATCTCAATACTTGCAGGTAAAAGTACCAATGTATCATTATAGCTAAGTATTTGAGAAAAGAATAATTGTTATACATTTGTGCCCTTAAAATTTATTTATATAAAACAGCTGTTCTTGATTAGGCTGTTCTCATAACCAAGAAGTGATGTTTCATGGGGCAGAGTTCAGCTGAATGTATATCTGTGGCAGAGATCTGGGGGATGTGTTCCCTTCACCCAGTTCTTCTTAAGCTCTGTGCCCCATCTCCTTCCCATTTAGTACAAAAATTTGAAAACTGTACTGTTAGTCTTTCTCCTCATCTATAGAATACATAATAAACTTGCTTACATGCTCCAGGCTGTAGGCTAGGAAGCTATGTCCTCCTAGTCAGTTCTCCAGTTCCTCCCTACACTTGCATTTCAAGTTCTTATCAACACAGTAGTTCCTGCTTACAAAAGGCTCATAAAAGCAGGCTGCTTTGCTTCCACCTCTAAGAGACTGGGGACTTTTTTGGTGGGTGTGGACGTAACTAGCGAAAGGATGAAGTAGAGGGGAGGATAGAGCTGTATGCAATTAGAAATGCAGAAGCCATTTTTCCTAGGGGAGAAATAGCAAAAATGATATTTAAATTCCATGGAGATATTCATTCTATAATTCTACCATATTATGGATTAATTTCTTTTTACTAGCCAGAAAACTTAAAACAGCATTTATTTGTAGCACCATTGCTGTAGGAAAATGGATTCCAAGTTCCCAACTACAGGTTTGGAAATAAACTTTTCCAACCCAAATAAAATCTTCAACTAAGTTGGGGGTTTCTGTTGTTTCTTTGTTGCCTCTCCAGACTTTTGTGATCTGAGATGTAAAAGTTCTGATTTTTTTCTGCTTCTAGTTTTATCTTACTTTAGTACAATGTCCTTCCCCAGGCACCTGGGAGCTTTGTATACTCCAATAAATATGCCTTTGTCTCCTAAACATGTGCCTGTCTTCTATTAGGGATTATGTACTTGTCTACATTTGTCATTGATTTGGGAGTATTTAGGAAGGTGGAAAATGACATACATTCTTGTGACTTTAGATGAATCAGATTATAGCTGTATAATGTAATTAATTTAGTAAAGTAAGAAGTGCTTCGGCTGGGTGTGGTGGCTCATGCCTGTGAATCCCAGCACTTTGGGAGGCCGAGGTTGGTGGATTGCAAGGTCAGGAGTTCGAGACCAGCCTGGCCAATATGGTGAAACCCTATCTCTACTAAAAATACAAAAATTAGCCAGGCCTTAGGCCGGGCGTGTGGCTCATGCCTGTAATCCCAGCACTTTGGGATGCCAAGGTGGGTGGATCACCTGAGGTCAGTGATTCAAGACCAGCCTGGCCAACGTGGCGAAACCCCGTCTCTACTAAAAATAAAAAAATTAGTCTGGCATGGTGGTGCATGCCTGTAATCCCAGCTACTCGGGAGGCTGAGGCAGGAGAATTACTTGAACCCATTAGGCGGAGGTTGCAGTGAGCCGAGATTGCCATTGCACTCCAGCTTGGGTGACAAGAACAAAACTCCGTCTCAAAAAAAAAAAAAAAAAAAACTGGGCGTGGTGGTACACGCTACTCGGGAGGCTGAGGCAGGAGAATGGCTTGAACCCTGAAATGGAGGTTGCAGTTAGCCAAGATCTCGTTACTGCACTCCAGCCTGGGTGAAAGAGCAAGACTACGTTCCCCTCCCAACCCAAAAAAAAAAAAAAAAGTGCTTTAACACCATGCTGCTATAAAATTAGAATTCTGTAGAAAAATCTTGCAATTCACACTAACAAGAATTTTGAAATTTTGGTGGTTTGGCTGTAGAGATCTGGCTTATTTCTGAATGCTAATGACTGTCAGATACCATCTATATTTGAGGAAAATAATAGGAATTATTGATTGAACAGCATAAAATTAAAATCATATTTAGAGATTTGGGTAACTCAGAAAGGCTTTAAGGACATGTAAACATGGGATATCTTAAATTTTAAATTATTTTTTGAAAATGAATACATGTTTAAACAACAGTGAAGGTCTTTGCTAGGTACAAATGATAAGCCTAGAAAAAAATAAGTGTACAAATTCCTGCTCTGAAGGAGTTTGCAGTGCATCTCAATTGGGTTCTAAAACAACTTTTTTAGTATCATATTTAGGAAGTCTTGCATGGTTCTTTCTTTTGAGGAATAAAACTTTCAAAGAATTTGTAGTTGAGTAATTGAGATTAAGTTTGAGTAAGAAAAGGTAAGTTGGTAACTGAAAGTTGAAAGCAACTCAGGCTATTTATAGGTGGGCTAGAAACATGTAACTCGATCAACGTATTCTATAATTAATGTTTTTACTAAGGTTACTAAGTGTGTGCCTGTTATTTCTCATTGTCCAAATAATACAAAGTTATGGTATATCATCTGATGGAATATTTTTAGGTGAACTTAGGAATAAATGTATATAGTGTCTTTTTTAAAGATAAATTATTGGTTGTTAATTTTTTATTTATTATTGAAAATGGGGATGTATTTTAATGTTTCCAGACTGAATTTCTTTGGAATTACAGCATTTCTGAATTATTTTCTATTATAGTGTAATCACACAGTGTCATCACACTGGATATATTTAGGCAATTGTATAAGTGCATTATTAATCCTTTGTCTCCTGTTATTTTCTTAGAACAAGGTTTATTTACAGAAGAATCAATAGAGGCCTGACAGGTAGTAAATGAATGAAGTGGATGACTAGAAATTGCAGGCCTCAGAAAAATGTGGGTTTTGGTAGAAAATGTTAGCTAGAATTTCCAAAATACTGACTAAAAAAAAAAAAAAATCCCATCTGCAGGATGGATCTGACCCAGGCACTACCAGTGTGTGACCCCTATCCTGAAGGAGAAGGTGGTGGTTTCAGTTGTCTGTTTCTGTGAAACATACCATTCCAAAACTTAGGGGCTAAAAATACCAGTTTTCTTTTCTGATTCTGGAGGATCACAATCAAGTTCTTTCTTGGGCTTTATCATGCAAGATGGGGTCGTCAGAGCCTTCTTCATGTACACCTTTGTTTGGCACTTGTGCTGGTTGGTTATCTCCTGCATTTCTCCTCCTGCATTTTCTGGATGGCTTGGGCTCCCTGAGAGTACAGCAGTAGCCAGGTAATCAGACTTCTGACATTCTTGCAGGTTTACCCCAGAGCGAGGATTTCGAGAAGTCCAGGAGGAAGCTACCAGGCTTCTCATGACCTCAGAAGTTACTCATTGTCACTTGGCTGTGTTCTATTGGCCAATTAATCATAGGCCAACCTAGATTCGAGAGGATGGAGGAATAGGATACACTTCTCAATGAGGGAATGGCTTGCACACAGAGGGAGGGGAAGGAGTTGATTGTGGTTATCTTTGGTGAAAAGCTACCCAGATGTCATTCTAGTCTCTTTGTATCTGGCCTTACCTGCCTTTCCTGATCTTCTTGCTTGCTTCTCTTATACAGAATCCCCTTACCCTGGAGCTTGACTTTAAAATCTCCATCTGTATATAAATGCGTATCCTATGTGCATTTATCTCTTAGCCTTGCTTTGTTGGTAACTTTATATTGGATAATCTTTTCGTTCATCACGAACATAAATGCCTCATGCAGGGGCCCGGTATTATTCTTTATCCTAAGCACTATATAGATTCAATTCCCCATATATAATAGAACTCAACAATATTTGTGAATTGATTGATACTTGATATTTTCGAAGGATTGGGTATTTATTGTTTGCAGGACACTTTATTATACAGTCTTTTTTTCCCCTGCTAAAAATTATGCTTGATTCTCAAAAATGTTTTCCAAAAAGTATGTAAATTTAGATTTTAGACACAAATGCCAGTTTGAATTTGGGAAGAATAGAGTACTGAGAAACGAGACACTCTTTTAAAGTACCTAACAGGGTCTATAGGAAGTTCTTGTGAAATGTTAGTTAGCTATTATTCTGTGTAGTGTAATAAATTAAGCTGCTGCCTTCATTTGTTGGCAGCCAAGTTGCCAAAGGCCCTTGTTTGTTTACATCCAGTGATATTTACTCTAAGGGACTATGGGACACAGATGCAGTATTTTAGAGTACTATTTTTTTGAGATCACATGTTACCTGTGAAAAACATCCCAGAGGCTATACAAAAATTAATTGCCAGTATTTAAGTTACTTGGTTTTTCTAATCCCAGTACAGTAGTTACATTTAGCAGTCATCTAATAACTGTTATCATTGAGACTTCACATACTTAAATAGCATCAGTGTAGGATTTCCTTTCTTTCTTTTTTAGAAACTTTCACCTCACTATACTTATTACTAAAATCTATTTGCTTTTTGCCACACTTCAAAGAAAGGGAGAGGATACGTGACTAGGAAGCCCTCTGAGCTGTAGGTGGGTGGGGCGGGTGGTGGACAATGTTTTTCCCTTAAATGAGGGAACTTTCTTTTAACAGTACTTTCAGATAAGAACACGTTTATATTTCTTTAAAATACTTTGTATCTTCAGCTTAGGACTGCCACTGTTTTTGTGGGGACTTAATGCATAAATTTAAATCATTTGTCTGTAGAAATGATGGGATGCTTTGTCAGATCACTGAATTGCTAAGATTTTAGTGTAATTTAGGGAAATAAACCTTCACTAATTTTCCCATCCCCTATGTTATAGATTGAAAATTGTGTCATCTCCATTTTGCAGGGAGAGGAAAAAGACTAATCCCCTTTTAAACTTAGCTTGAAGCCTGAGGCTTGAAGGCAAAGTCCAGGGTAGCAGCTCTTAAAATGAAAGGCCCATTCTTATAGCTATTTACACATCTCAGGAGAGACTAATACTTTGTTAATCCACTTAAAGCAAAATTTCTTCCATAAATTGGGTTTAGATCCCTGTTTCAAAATTGTGTGTTGGACACTGTTAACAGGTGTTCCATTAAAAAGAGTTTTGTGGTTCAATATTTGGTGTAAACAAAGTTTACTGCAGTTAGCAAGCGATGAGTTTCTGGGAAAAAAAAATAGTTTACTGCAGGACTTCTTGTAACATATAATATCCTGGTGAATATTTTGAATCTCTAAAAGAGAGATGCAGAGACTTTGTAGCAAGTAGCATATTCCAAATTTTTTTTGACCTAGAAGCCATTATTTTTTTTTTCAGAATAGTTATTACCATTGTTCCAGGGAGCACAATTTGTGAAATTCCCAAACATGGCTGTCGCTTTATATGTAGAAAAATGTTAAAAATTGTACATTTTGGAATTAGTCAGATATTTTAGGCTTTTTTGTAATAGTCGCAGTTGTTAATTTTTTGTAGCTGTCTTTCTTGTGCTTGCTACCATATGCTTTACAGATATTGACAAGCTTTGCAGAATCTCCACCTTGGTGAATGTATTTCCATAGTAAGAATATTTCTTTTTAATACTTAAGCTTCATAGAACACAAGTCTTTCAGCAAAACATTTTTTACTTAATATCTTCTATAGAGAAAATTAATATTTATGTCTTCAAACCCAATAAAACATTTTAACCTAAATGTGGGGGAAATATCTCAAGTGACATGTTGAAAACAATACACAGTGTCAGCTAAGAGGATATATGCCACTGTCACTGCCTAGAAGCAACTCATAATCTTACTAACTGGTCTTCAGTTAATAGCATTTTAAGCGTTTTGTATTCCAACATGATAGTTTCTTTATTCGACATGGGAGTTTTGTTGTGTATGTTTTAGAAACTGGTTGAGTATCTTGGTAGATGTGTTACAAGTTTTTCCACTTAAAAGTGGCACAGTTTCAGTGTTTTCTTGCAGAAAATTGATTTTTAGGTAAGGATCACTGCCACTGAGTTGGAGAGGCTATCTTACCTCATTTAATCCTCATAGCAACCCATTCAGGCTGGTGGTATTATCCTCATTTTACTGATGATGAAACAGAAGCACAGAGGTAAAGTAACTTGCCCAAGGTCACACTGCTATTGGCACGGCTGAGATTTAGACCTAGGCAATTTGTTGTCAGGGTCTTTACCAATGTGCCATTCAGAAAAATTATTTTGTTTCTATCTTTTGTGAACCGAATGCTATTTCTTCAAGTGTATACAGAGCAAGTTAAAAGTACAAGGGAATGTTTGCCTGTCTGGTAGTTTGTGTTTGTTTTTGTAATAAAAGCTCTACTCCCTTTGGTATTTGGAGAAAGTTATGCCAGTCTGGATTCTAGGCAATTCACTGGTAGTAAAATAGGTACTTTGGGAAATCACCTTAACTGCTTTCAGGCGCCAAGATGCTATTTACTACAATGAAGTAGTAAATACTTCTACAAAATTCTGCCATTTAGTAAATAATTTTGTGCCGCCTTGACGTCGACTGGCATTTCATGGTCAGCTGTTCGTATAACTGGGGCAAATTGTATCATCACAGAAAAGAAAAATATATATTGAGCACTCTCTAATTCTAAGTACTTTAAGATGGAATTTGTTTAATCCTCATAAGATGAGAATTATTATCCTCATCTTAAAACTCAGGTACATGAAATAACTGGTCCCAGATGACATGACCTGTATGTAGATCAGCTTTGGTTTGAACCTCAGTCATTTTCATTGTACTGAGAGGTGTACAGTCAGTGCAGTTATTGTTTTTCTCTCTTCAGTGTGCCTGTGTCTGAGTGGCAGTGGGGCCTCAGTTCACAGGGAGGACATTTTCTATGGCAGGCTGTGGTCTGGCTCTTCCTAGCAGCATTTGGGGTGGGCCATGGCTGTAGTGGGGGCCACAGGAACCAAGGGGGAGGTAAGAATTCCTGTAGATAGAGCAGAAGAGAAAGCCCTAGGCTGGGGCCTTCTTCTCTCCCCATTAGTAATCATTTGAAAACTGGAAACTCCATAGATGCATTAAAAGTCTTCCGGAACCAGCATGACACAGAAACAAGATATGCTTTGAGAACACCACTGCCACCACCACCATCACTGCTGGCATTAATGGTTGTATTTTTCTTTAGAAGATGAAGAATCAGATCTTCTTAACCTTAGAAATAGTATAGTAAGATGACTGTGAGTCTCCTTATCTCCAGGTCTTCCCCAACAATCTAGATTGTTTCAGTACCCTTGCTGTTGCATGAGAACTTTCCACTGAAATCCAAGTGACAATTCTCTTTGGGTGTGAAACAGCTTGGAGTTCTCACAGTTACCGATGAACAGCTCTTTTTCATGTAGTAAAGCCATTTATATATTTCAGGGGGACAGAAGGACATTAAAGTCTTGGCCTACCACAGACCCAAAGGTTCTAAAATAAAATGACCTATTTGGTGGTTCAAAAGTGCCTTTGATTAAATTACTGGATATTTGAGAAGGTGATGAATGAGGGCTGGCTGGTGGGAGAGAATATACTTGTAATAATCTTTTAGTCATGGATCTTTTTCATAGCATGTGGATTTTCTTGGTTTATAAATATTAGCCAAGTGATCAACTCACTGCAGCTCTTTGAGGAGCTTCTCCATTTTTAGGCGAAGTAATTTGAAAGTTCTCAGGAAGCCAAAGGTACGGGGATTGCCTTATTCTTGGTCCTAAACCTAGACCTGTTTTATAAATAGATGATTTCCAGGCCAAGGTGTCCCTGTATGACATGTTCCCATAAATGTCCTGCTGCCACAAATTACAAATCTTGGCAAAAATAGAATTCTGTGTCCACTCAAACTGTTGCTGCTTTCCTAGGATGCCATCCCATGCTGCCTTTTCCCTGTAGAGTTCTGTGGGTGATGTCTGTATGTTTTTGTCTGTATGCTTTCATATTTATCCCCTAAAATTCTGTGCCTGTTTAACCACCTTGACATGATATCATTTCTCCGTACCCAGGCAAATGGTTTGTATGGAGGGATCTTCCAAAGTCAGCCAACCTAGTGCAGGGAGGACAAGGAGAGGGAAGGAAAATATGAATGAACTCTGTGTTACTGGGGACCCAGGCATGATGGAATATTCTTGAGAAAAGGGTCTGCTCAGGCGAGCTTAACTCCCTGGACAGCCTGCCTTTGAGGAGAGGAAAGGAAGGAAGCATGCATTTTGTAAAGAGTAAAACATTTCACAAGATACTGAAAACAAAATCCACAGAAATGCCCAGGCTGCCCAGCCTTTGACTTAGGCCAGTAGGCCCAGAGGTTGTCATTCAAAGAAAGAGGGGGTCTTTGGGTTTCAGGGCCAGGAACAGAAAAATGGGCAGGGGCCTGGAAGAGGAGAACAATTATGGAAGGAAAGGGCAGTTGCTCCTCCTCTGTCACTTTGCAGAGGTGCTGGCTGTGTCAGTGCTGAGGAAGCCCCAGGCCAAGCCCAGGTGGCCCCTGAGAGGATACTGCCTGAGGCACTCCTGGCAATGGAGGTGGCTTGCAAGAACAGCCAAGGACTGGAGAAGCCAGTGTGGGCTGAGCAGGAACGGGGATGTCAGATGCATGGACATAGCACTTCCTGGAGCACATGGCTGCAGGGAGGAGTAGATGTTGCCCCTCAGAAGCCTTTTGGGAACCAGAAAACAGATTGGGCAGTGGGTGGGTGAGGACTTCCACAATTATGTGAATGTAGTATCAGCCAGAGACCTTTTGTTTATTGCCATTGTTGGGTAGTTCACACCTCCGAGATTATGCTTCCTGGTTAGGTGGCCCGAGAAGCACTTGTTTAGGTATACTTTTAAAAAATTTTAATTGATAGCGCTCGAATACAGAATGTCACTTACAAAACTTTGTTCTGTGAACCCTTGGCCAGTAAGTTTTAACGCTTAGAGAGAGCCACTCTTCAAATTTCTACCTGAAATCGTAATAATCTAAGCATCTTGAAGAAATGATTGGAAGTGAATTTTATTAGGAAAAAACTGCTTACTCAGCAAAATGTTAAAGTGCACAGAATTCTTTTTAGATTAAGATAGATCTTTCCATGGAGATGCTAAAGCATTTCTGCATGATTCAATATTTTCCCACCCCCGAGTACTAGTTTTCTTTTTCTGTAAGTGGAGTTCTCTAGGCTTCTAAGGGCCCCATGCTGGTGAGAACTGGGGCCAAAGTCTGTGTAGTCTTTATCAAGGCATAAGGTTAGGGAAAGTGTGTGTTTATGTTGGAGGTGACTGTTTGGGGGTCATTCACTTCCTTCCTTCCCCCATAAACATACTACCTGCTTCTTCCCCATCTCATTTGTATTAGTGGACTAAATTAATGATTGAATAACCAGTTGAATTGTGAGGATTTTGTGCAATAATATTACATGCATTGTATTACTCAAAGGATCAGCTTATATTGAGCCCAATATATAAATTATTGAGATGCAAAACAATTGTTATGGGGTGATTTTGCATTCGAGTAGCATTTAAAAAATACAATTCAAAGGTAGTTTGTATTGAATAAGTAATGATAGCATTGAAATGAATTTTCAATTTCAAAGATTTTAAGAAAATCTTTGAAAGCATATAAATTTTGCTTTATTCAGATGTTGTGAAATATTGTGAATATTTGAAATTGTGAAAGCATATAAAATTTATTTGGTCTCACATGAATCTTCTAGATTGTGACATACGTTATTAAGCTGGTGAAATTATAGTATGAAATGTTTTTCTTTTCACGGGGAGGAATATGAAATGCTAGAAATCTATATATGCTGTATTATTGATATGTATCCTCTAATCCTGAATATCTTCAAAGTGAATATTTATAGTATTTAATATTTTATTTGCATTACATATTGGGAAAAAGTAAATGAAATATTATTTGTTTGAAAATGAACCTTATCTATAGATTCTAAAATTGTACTTGTGAGTAATGTAGACAATCAACTCTCTTTAGTCTCTGAATTGTTATGTTTTATTGTATTTGCAACATGAATCATTTTGCATTTGGAGAAGTTATATGTTGTATGTAATAATTGATGACTTGAGATGAGGGTAATAATCTACCACTTTTGTTTAAGCCACATCAGATATTAATTGTCACTATCTTAAGCATAGCATTTGTAGGTTTCTCTCTGATAAACATATATTTAGTTCAGCAGTGGTTTTATTCATTTTTGTGAACGGTTACACTTTAGGCACTGCATGTATGTGAAGATAATATAAGTATTATGAATACATTGTTGGTGCATTTTTACTTACAGTTTCCATACAAATCATTACACACACACCACATACACACACACACACACACACGTTTACATGGGCAGAACATTTATGTTGATTTTGTAATGAATAAAACATTATAAACGGACTGTTTGGCCAAAGTGCTTATATGTCTGCTTATTAACATAAGATTAACATAAGACTCATAATTTAAATAGATGTAATTACTTAAAAATGAATCAGCCTTCTTTAGAAATTAGATGACAAGTTTACTTACATGGCCAAACCTCTTTGTAGTTTTGGAATTCAGAATGGAAATTTGAAGGCTGGATGCCAGGAGTGTGGGAGGTACACAAAGAATCGTTTTTCCAGGAATGCTGTTTTCCAGGTTTCTGTGAAAAGCAAATGCGTGCCTTTTCTGAGTGATGAAATAGAGGAACAGAAAGGTGTCAATATATATGTATTCTGCTTACACACTCACAAGGATTCCTGCAATTATGCTGAAAGGGCATTTTAATGCGAACCTATAATGTTTAAGTGGATTCTTATTCCTGTATTCTTGAGGAAAGTACTCTGGTGAAGTTTTCAAATTCACAGCAATGTATGCCTGTTTCTCCTTCTTGGGGTAGTTAAAAAACAATACATGCCCATTTCAGCACTTTGGGAGGCTGAGGTGGGCAGATCATTTGAGGCTAGGAGTTGGAGACCAGCTTGGCCAACATGGTGAAACCCTGTCTCTACCAAAAATACAAAAATTAGCCGTTCATGAAGGTGCATGCCCATAATCCAAGCTACTCTGGAGGTGGAGGCAGGAGAGTTGCTTGACCCGGGAGGCAGAGATTGCAGTGAGCCGAGATCACGCTACTGCACTCTAGCTTGGGTGACAGAGTGAGACTTAGTCTCAAAAAAGACAAAAAACAAAACCATCCAAGCAACCAAAAAAATAATACATGCTGGTTTCTCTTATCCTCATGTGAGAGGGAAATCAGAGCTTCTCAGCTGTCAGGTTTCTCCTTGGTGTCTTTCAGGCTGGAGACTGGTAAGTTTGTTCCCAAATGCCTGACAAGGCCTCAGAGATGATCATTAGTGGCAGCACCCATTTATTCCTCCAGAAATTTCAGATTTGCTCCCTTGATTCTGCTTGTTTAATAAATTCCAGACAAAGAAGAGTAATAGCACATACGTTTTGCATGCTAAAGAATTACTTAGAATTTGCCTCTTGTTGGCTCTGTGACATTGAGATTCTCAAGGAGACAGGAAGAAAATAGAAGTTTTTATATTAGACAATAGTTAGATGCAGTGCTCTTAGCATCAGTCTATTGAATCTCCAAAATATGGAATCATTGTCACTGGTAGCAGCTATATTTGGATTTCATTAGCCAGTGTAGTAGCTACCAATGATAAGGCATATTTTTTTTTTTTGACTTGGAGTTTCATTCTTGTTGCCCAGGCTGGAGGGCAATGGTGCGATCTCGGCTCACTGCAACCTCTGCCTCTTGGGTTCAAGTGATTCTCCTGCCTAAGCCTCCCAAGTAGCTGGGATTACAGGCATGTGCCACCATGCTTGGCTAATTTTGTACTTTTAGTAGAGACAGAATTTCACCATGTTGGTCAGGCTGGTCTTGAACTCCTGACCTCAGGTGATCCACCCGCCTCGGCCTCCCAAAGTGCTGGGACTACAGGCATGAGCCACGGCACCCAGCTGATAAGACGTGTTTTTTAAAAACTGTGCTGTGGTAACTCCTTGGAGTTTGTTAACAGGTGCTTTATGTACTATCCCATGTTTTCTACTAAGGATGATAAGCACTGTCATATCTGTGTTACAGGACTGGAAGTTATAATTATTATAATGTTACATCATTTTTAAACCTTGCTATAGGTGTTTACAGAAGAATGACGTCTTACATCCAACTAAGAAGATCAGAGAAAGTTTCAGGTTTCATCTTGCTGGAGCAGTTGGATAGGATTGGGTTTTAGGGGAAAAAGGTAAATACATTCTGAAGAGAGAGAAGTTTGGAAGGGAGCTGATATGTAAGGATGCTGACGTGGCTCTTGGGGAGGAGAAGAAAAGACTGGAACGAGAGGTTGAGGCCACTTTGTGGAAAGTCTTAAAGGTCAATCTTGACTGAAGAATTGGGATTTCTTTTCATCCATGTCTGCTTGTGAACTGCCCACTCTTCAGAATACCCAATTGCTCCATCATGGATCACTGGGTCTACTGAACTGGAACTGTTCTGATGGATTGACACTGTAGTGGGAAGAGGGAGCTCTCGATGACGAGATGGCATGGTTTTGTATCTCAGATCTACCCTTATTGGTTAACTGACCGTGGGTGAGTTACAAAACATCTCTGTGCCTCAGTGGTGTTGTGAAGATTTAAGTGAGCTAAAGCACACAGGCCCACTGGAAATAACTTAAAAAAAAATGTTTGGTTACTATTGAACTTCTTATGCTATCTGAGACAGTTACCTCCTCTGTCGTGTCATGAACATAGTTTTCAATAAGTATGTGGAAGAATCTAGAGATATTGTGATGAGAGAGGGAGATGGTCAACACAGGTTAAGGTGTGGGTTAGAGGAAAGAATGGCACCTTGTATGAATTGTTGCCACTTCCTGTCTGAAGCCTGCTTTCCTAGAGCAAAGATCCTCTCCTATTTCCTTCACTTGTTCTGGGAAGAGAATGAAGGTGCGTCCTCAGTACAGCCCTGCTTTGATAGGGTTTGAGCCTGAGCCCAGGTGTCCTGATGAGTCCTGCTTGGTGCCTGAGGAAGAAGAAAAGGGTTGTTGTGGTTTGTCAGCCCCAGACAGGCAGGAAACGCTTTCTTAACACTATGTGGGTGAGGTTTCAGCTATATGCTGTGTCAGTAGATCCTCAGACTCTTGGCATTTCCAAACATTTGTAGTTTCTGGCATTTGCAGTAATTTGGAATGTTGGAAACTGGTAACTTACAACTTCTCTGAGACCCGTGAACTAGAGTTGCAAGTCCTAAAGGTGGGGTGCATAGAAACTGGTCCCTGCATACCTGTTCAACATCTGTAGCCAACTGTCATCTCAAAGGGATGAAACTGTGCTTGCAAAGAATGGTTTTATGGCCAGGCGCAGTGACTCACGCCTGTAATCCCAGAGCTTTCGGAGGCTGAGTTGTGTGAATAACCTGAGGTTAGGAGTTTGAGACTAGCCTGGCCAACATGGTGAAACCTCGTCTCTACAAAAATACAAAAAAAAAAAAAAAAAAGAAAAAAAAAAGAAAAAAAAATTAGCCAGGTGTGGTGGCCGGTGCCTGTAATCCCAACTACTCCGGAGGCTGAGGCAGGAGGATCGCTTGAACCTAGGAGGTGGAGGTTGCAGTGATCCGAGATCGCGCCATTGCACACCGGCCTGGGCCACGAGAGCGAGACTCCATCTCAAAAAAAAAAAAAAAAAAAGGTTTTATTAGGGAGGGAATTCAGTGAAAGATGACGGGATGACTCCCCTGACTCCTGAAAAATATATCAATCTGGAGAAAGACAAATCCATATAACTTATAACTTGTAACACTTAAACACTTCTATAGTTGCAAATCTGAGGATTCTGGAAGTTCAGCCCATATTTCTCTGGAATATCCAGGTGGGTGGCTTTCTCAGTATCCTAGGGAAGAGACTGAACTTTGAAGAAGTCGGTGCCCTGTGAGGAGCCAAGGCAGCTCTGGGTAAGCGTCTGGTCTTTGCCAGCTTACCTGCGCAGGGAACCTCTATCCTCATATCTTACTGGTGGAGTGGTAGGCTGGAGGCTCCTCTGATTGGTGAGATTTGGAGGTGAGGTAAGCTTTCAGATGCTCCCTGAACATCACTTGTAGAATGTGCAGAGAGTCTTATGGGAATGGCTGGGAAGGCAAGCTCACTAGGAGATGAGCAGCCCAGCCTGTAGGGGACAGTGCAAAGGAGAAAGTGGCTGAGGAACACAGGGCAGCCATGGTAGGAGGGTTTGGGAGCGTGGGAGTTCATATTTTACACTATGTTGGTACTTACCATGCAAATGAACGGCCCTGCTGGGAAAAGAACCTTTATCCAGAGAGGGGATCCGAGGAAATAGTAAGAGTTGGGTTCCGAGAAGCTGTGCTGCATCACGGGAGAGCTCGGTGTTAGGGTCTTTTGCAAAAACCCAAATTTATTTAATTTTCCTTTAGCACAGACTTTTCCTTTTCTTTTCTGATTTTTCTGCCCCTCCGCCCGCCCCCGGCAATGTAAGGGCTGAAGAAGCATTTTTCTTTTACAGTGGGGTCAACTTGCTTTTGATTTTGAAAGTTGTTGCCAACATACAGGCAGGGTTGTTGCAAAAAGACTTCTTCGTTTCCTAGAGGAGGGCTTGAGTAGGGAGAAAACCATCTGGACTTCTCACTTCTGGGAACTCAAGTATTAACTAAATTCATTTTTGTGTGTAGATCAGAGGGGAAAATAAGAGGAAGTGGGAGAGGAAAAAAAAAAGCTGCCTTGTATTTTTGAATATGGAAAAAACTATCAAGTGATCACCGTGATCAGCACATTTAATGGTTGCATTTAAGTCTGAATAGAATTTTTGAGAAGGCTGGGCTTTTTTGACATCTCTTTTTAATGAAAAATATGTAACAATAACCTTTATACAGTACCTTCAATTTGCCTGGTATTGTGTGCTTTATAATATCCTATATTTGAATATTGACTCATTTATATTTCACAATTTTTTTTTTTTAGACGGAGTCTTGCTCTGTTGGCCCAGGGTGGAGTGCAGTGGTGTGATCTCAGCTCACTGCAACCCCTGGCTCCCAGGTTTAAGTGATTCTCCTAGCTCAGCCTCCCAAGTAGCTGGGATTACAGGTGCCTGCCACCATGCCTGGCTAATTTTTGCATTTTTAGTAGAGATGAGTTTTTACCATGTTGGCCAGGCTGGTCTTGAACTCTTGACCTCAATTGATCCGCCCACCTCGGTCTCCCAAAGTACTGGGATTACACATGTGAGCCACTGTGCCCAGCCCTATATTTCATGATTCTATGAGAGTAGGTATAGTTATGGTCTCTATTTTATAGTTGGGGAAACCGAGGCCCAAAAGTGAAGAAAACTTGCTCAAGGTGACATGCTAGGAATGTGGTGGAGCTGCTTTGAAACCCTGGCAGCCTGGTTCCAGAGGCTGTCCTGTTAATTACTACGCTGTGTCCAGTGTCCACCGCCGGAGTCTGAGAAAGCAGTAATGACGTTTCTCTATTTCAGTGACCTTGCATATTGGATTTGCCCAGTTTACTTTGGAAGTACCCATTCCACTTTTCTAGGATCATGAAACACTGTATTTAATACTCAAATATCTTAGTGCTGATATCTTCTCTGATTCTAGAGGGCATTTCACAGATCTTACTGAAAAATTCCTTGGGGTAGTATTAGGCTTCGGGTTAAGTAATTTATTTATTAGACAAATTTCTTGGCTTTCATGATTTGGGTAAAGTATGGTCAATCTGTGTACTTCTGATTATATGCTAAACACGTGAAAGTCACCAGATGGCCAACTACGATGATTCCCATGGACTTCTACGGATATATTAATGCTGTTTTGGAGGACCCTCTGTGTGCCGCAGGCTCCATGACACCTAATGTTGGTGGATGCGTTCTGGTGTGTATGTGTTTCCATGAAATTTACAAACTAACACACAGCATTCTAACATGTTCACTTAGGAACTTTCAAAACTTTGCCCTACAAGACAACATTCTCAATAGAGAAAATTTAGAAAAATAGCAGCACAAAAGAGGAGGCAAAAGTCACTTATATTATTAATATAATACTACTCTAGAGCTAACCACAATTGAATTTTATTTTGCCTCAGTATTTTTTTCCCATGCACATTCCTAGGCATGCTATCTTAAAGCAACAGTTTGTGTAGTTAATCTGTTGCTCTCCCCACAGTTATATTTTAACTAGGGTACTGAATACAGAACGTTTTGCACATGCATTTTTGCTGGAGAAACCACAGATATGTAGCCATTTATAGTGTTTCTTAGCTATCGCATGCATCATTTCCTCTCCTACTTCCTCCTGTCACTGGCAGTCCTGCAGCTGGCCTGCCTTGCCACTCCTGACATCTGAGTCATCACTGACATCTCTCTCCCCAGGCCTGCTCAAGGAGCTCTTACTAAGCTTTGTTATTTTTTTCTCTCCAAGATTTTTCAGATCTGTACTTTATTTTTCAACGCCCCAACTCAATCCTAATCTGCACTTCAATCATCTCGCGCTGTCAGTGTCAGTTTCTTGGCTTTGAGCTCCTTCTCTTTTCAATTCACATTTTCAAAAGCCATTTTCTCCCAAGTGTTTTCTCACCTTTCCTTTCTTAGCAGAACTCCCCCCCGCCGTGGTTACACCTCCACGTTACTTTCCAGGTATGCCCACATCATTTTATGATTCTTGATGGTGTTCTCATTCACCATATCCACTTTGTGCAAGGCAGAGATACACCTTGCTGCTTTGTTATTGCATTGTTGTGAAAGGTAAATTGGGCTGGCCCCAGAGAAAATTGTGAAATAAGGAAAGATTTTGCCATCTCCAACCTCTATTTTCCATTACATTTTTGACTCATCAGGGCTTTTTTCTTCTCTGACTTGTTATCATTCCGCTCTGTAATTCATACTGCTAATCAAAATATGAAAGGATCTGATATTGGTTGTTTATACGTAAATGAATTTGATCACAAATTATTAACGTGTGATCAATGTTTTAATGAAATGAAGCTAATGCAAGTAGATATAGTTTTTCATTTCTACGGGAAAAAAAGCCCGTACTTGGCAGATAAAAAAACCAACAACCCTGTGCTGGTTCCTTCCACCTCAAATTAAAAGAAAAAACAAGGCCGGGCGTGGTGGCTCACGCCTGTAATCCCAGCACTTTGGGAGGCTGAATTGGGCAGATCACGAGGTCAGGATATCGAGACCATCCTGGCTAACATGGTGAAACCCGGTCTCTACTAAAAATACAAAAAGTTAGCCGGGCGTGGTGGCGAGTGCCTGTAGTCCCAGCTACTCGGGAGGCTGAGGCAGGAGAATGGTGTGAACCTGGGAGGTGGAGCTTGCAGTGAGCCGAGATCACGCCACTGCAGTCCAGCCTGGGTGACACAGCGAGACTCCGTCTCAAAAAAAACAAAAAAAAAAACAAAAAAAAAAAAAGAAAAAACAAAACACATTTCTCACTTTTTTTTTCCTGAAGTATATAAGTCTGTGAATAACCATGGTGGTAAAAACAGAAAGGAGAAACAGAACGAGAAAGAAAGAAATAGAACAATCAATAGAATATAGTAATATTATCAAGCTATGTCTTTTGATTAAAATGTATTATATGGTTTACCTTGATTAAAATGCATTATGTGTGCAGTTTTCTCAAAAAAATTCTTATTGTGTTTTATTGTTCAGTCCCTTGTTTATTCTCAGCTGTGTGTCCAGTTACTCTATCCATCTTAGACTATAAACTCATCAAGGCATTAAACATGTTGTTTTCTTTATTCCTGAATCTCAACATCTAGTTAATGCCAGGCAGGCTGTGGACAGTCAATAAATGTTTGCTAATTATGTGATGATGCTTTGGGACATAAGAATGTTGCTTTGTGTCTCTAGGGTTTTAGTTTATTTTTACCAGATCAAACTTTAGAATTCGACTAACACTAATGTCAGAAGTCTGTGTTTCAGTAACCATCTACAGATAATGGCACCCAGTTGTCCATGAGGAGATGCCATTTGCATCCTGTGTGGGTGACAGCTATGCTTTGATTCCTCTTGGATCTGTAGGACTACTTGCCTGTAAGACCTCATGTATTGTTCTGGGGGTCTGCCAGAGAGGGAAGCTAGCCTCAGAACACGGGGAAATGAGGCAAGGGGGCTTCAGAAGTGGTCATGTCAGGATTCTGGCTTGGCAAAGAGAAAGGCGTGGGTTGTTTTATGTTCCAAAGCTGGAGTTATTTCTTCTGTGACCCTGGCATGTCTTCATACTTAACAGACACCAATATTGTCCTTTCCTTGGTTTAGCCAAAACCGGGGGTTAGGGTGGGTAGTAGGAGGTGAAGGAGCTTTTCTTCAGTATGTATGAAGGGGATTGACGTAATATCTGCTTTCATAAACTGAATCTCCAGTGAGCCTTCCTTTAAAAAATAATTGTATGTAAAAACCACATAATGATTCTGTAATTACAGTGTGTTGGCACAGTTGTTAAATTATAAATTTAATAAGCTAAGATGAGCTCAGTAAGAGTATAGGCTTTTCACTGGAGTGAAAGGACATTACTTGATGAGATACAGCAGAGAGGAAACAATAGACTTTTTGTGTAGCTGCCTGAAACTTCTGCTAGGTGAAGGCAAGCCAATAAATGAAGAAGAAGGGATAATGGATTGCCTAACCTGTGAACTTGGTCACCATGTTCTTTGAAAACAAAGTGAAATGCAATGTGTTGTCTTTGGACTGTCTCACAGTGCTTACCCTACATCAGACAACCCTTGTCTAGTATTTCACGGATTTTGATTTGCTATTTATTTTGCATTTGCCTTCATGTTGCTATGTTTTAAGCCATGAAATGAATTATTTATTCTGTTTATACAAGCAAAAAAAAGTTAATAGCTCAAATAAAATGGGAATATATTTGTAATGGCATCATAGTATATGATGTGGTATTTTTATTCTTGCTTAAGAGGCTGAAGATTGAATTTGTATACTAATTCAGATCTGGAGAGAGAAGAAAGTAGATGGGGCTTATATACAAGCAGTCATTGAATTATTGATTTATATGTAGGTTTTCTACCTCAGGATGTTTTCTTTTTTGGAGGACACTGTTAAGTATTAACAATGTTAAGAAATACTTCTAGCTGGGCGCGGTGGCTCACGCCTGTAATCCCAGCACTTTGGGAGGCCGAGGCAGGCGGATCACGAGGTTAGGAGTTCAAGACGAGCCTGGCCAACATAGTAAAACCCTGTCTCTACCAAAAATACAAAAATTAGCTGGACATGGCAGTGCGTGCCTGTAGTCCCAGCTACTCAGGAGGCTGAGGCAGGAGAATCACTTGAACTCGGGAGGTGGAGGTTACAGTGAGCCGCGATTGTGCTACTGCACTCCAGCTTGGGCAACAGAGTAAGACTTCGTCTCAAAAAACAACAACAACAGCAAAAAAAACTTCTGATTAAGGATCTTGGCAAGTGGATTCTAGAATGGCAGCAATTCTCCATGTCCAGGAAACTAGAGAAGGAGGCGAGTCAGGATTATGGTGGGCTGTGTTACAGTTCTACTCAAAGGGTTTATCGGGAAGGCAGAGATTTGGCCCATCCTCCACTGCTGTCATTGCTGAAGTACAAAGTCATAATGCCTCCTCACTGTTTTCCTTGGAGCCCTGAGGTCCATACATACTCTCTGGGTTATCCATATAATTTTGCCTTTAGGCTTTTAGGCTCTCTAGCCAAGAATTCCTTTTTCAGTTAAGGAAAAGCAACTATAAGGAGCATGTCCCCTGGATGAATGCCATGTTACTCTTCCAGTTCTGGAAACGATCTGGCTCCAGGGTACCACCAGACCAGGCTTCGGCCTTGCCCAGATTTACCTCTGATCCTAAAGGCTCCTGAGAACTGGCCCTGTGTAGGGGGCTGCTTGCTGAGCTTTCTTGGGCTCTTTCTCCCAGGATTAATACAGTGCAGTGTCAAGCCAGAGTTCTGAAATGGGTCAGTAAAAGTTACAGGAGCTGTTCGAAAGGAAATTTGAGGTTATTATTGAGGAGGAAGGAGAGGGGGAGAAAAGAGGTATAATATTAGTTTTAATTTGTATGGTACTTCCCAGTATAATTTAATTAAATTCTCACCTTAAACGCCTTAAATAACTTAGGAGTAGAGAACCTTGCTTTTGGGGACCTATTCAGAAGCAGAAAAACTCTTCAGATATGTTTGGAGCAGAACTGTAAATGCTCTGGCTTAGTAAATTTGTATTTTTTTTCTTATTACCCTTTTTCATTCTTAGGCTTTCTGTGTAGGTATGATTGTCTGATAGTGGCTTCCAAAAATTTTTAAAAAGGTCCTAATTCACAGAAGTTGTGAATGTGAACTTATTTGGAAAAAGGGTCTTTGCAGATGTGATTAAGTTAAGATCTTGAGATGGGAAATTATCCTGGATTATCCAGTTGGGTCCTAAATGCAATTACAAGTATCCTTTTAGGTGGCAGAGGGAGATTTGATATGCAGAGGAGAAGCATGTAAAGATGGAGGCGGAGATTGAAGTCATGTGGCCACGGCAAGGAAATGCTGGTACTGCCAGATAGACACTGGAAGAGGCAAGGACTGGATCCCTAGAGGCTTCGGAGGGAGTGCTGCCTTGCTGACACCAGGATTTCAGCCCAGTGATCCTGCTTTTAAATTTCTAGTCTCCAGACTTTTAGAGAATAGATTTCATTTGTTTTAAGCCACCAAATTTTGGTAATTTGTTATAGCAGCCACATGAAACCAATGCAGGAGGGAAGAGAAATAAAAACGAAATGGAAAGCAACTTGTTCAGGAGGACCCTACCACCAAACTTAATTTTCATGAAAGAACACCCTGTTGTTTACTTACATGTAATATCAGCTTTTACTACAAGCCAGGCTTAGTTGAATTCTGATGGTCAGATTAACTTTCCAAAAGCAGCCCTCTAATCGTGTCATGTGTGTTTGTCTGTATTCCCAACATAACTATAAATCTGGGATCGTGTTTGGCTTGTGTATAATTGTATCCACATTACTTGGCATGTAGTAGGTTCTCAATAAATATTTTCCAAATGAGTACATGCTTAAGTATGAACATTTTAGAAATCAGGACTCCAATCTGCTTTTCCGGCTATGTTTCTCCCTATTCTTTTTATGTTCTTGCCAGGGAAAAATATCAAGTTGGTGATAGATAAATAATGAATAATAACTACAGTTTTGCTATGAATAATAACTGTCCAGATGACAGATGGCACTAGTTTAGACTGATTGAAGAATCAATATTAATTGGAACATTTTTGTTGTATCTCTTAAGAGAAAGTGGCAAATTAGGACAAATCAGATGAATAGTAAGGATTTATTTTAAAATGTACTTTAAAGTGTGTTTTTAGGGTCAGTAGAGATAAAACCCAAATGGATCCTATGCCTACAGTATTCTATAGAGACAATTGATATTCAGAATAATGTAAGTAAGGCACTGGACTTCAACTTTTAAAAACATTAAAAAATAAGCATTGAAGCCAAAAGAGTTTATTCTACAGTTTATTAAGCTACTTAGTGAATTCCTAAACATTTCCTATCATCTGAAAGTAGTTTTCTGTTTGTGATATGCTGAATTTTGTACCTAAGATAGTATCTTGTCTAAGATGATCACATGAGCAAGATGGTTAATATTGTTTCCTCAACTTTTTATTTTGAAAAATTTAAGCACTTAGAAATTTTTACAATGGGTTAATGAATACATGTAAATCTTATGTCTATATTTGAAGTTTTAAATTTAGAAAAATTTAATACTACAAAGCTCAGATCACACTCCAGATAAATTAATCTCAATCCCTGCATGAGTCACAGGCATACGTATTTTTTGTTTGTTTGTTTTTGGTGAAGCTCCCAGGTGATTCTAATGTGCAGGCAAGTTTGAGAACCACTGCACTGTACCATTATCACACCAAAGATAATTATGGTCTAATATGAAGGCCATATTAAAATTTCCACAATTTTCCCCCAGATACCTTTTACATGGTTTTGTTTCCAAATTACAATGTATTTGGTTGCTATATCTCCATAAGTACAGATGCCAGCGGCTCCTGCACTTTGCCAGGCATCCGTTGAGTGTGTTGTATATGTTTGAGCAATATTTTTGCCTGTACAGCTTTTCTTGAGCACAAATGTTGTATCAGCATGGATTTGGAAAAGAGATCAATAGAGAACTGCAACTTTCTAATCCATAATGCATTTAAGTTCAGATATGTGCTCAGAGATGTAAGGGGGAATTTTATTTCATGTTTTGTGTAAATATTGATCGGAGACCCAAAAGGGCCTACCTTACAGACCTCTGGGGTTCAATGGGGCATGGTGTGAAATAACACACACTTGAAGTTTGCACCTTCCCCAGGCTGAGCTGGTATAACTTGTGTGCATGTAATCATCTCTCTGTTATCTGACAACAACAAGGACAATTCTACTTTGGTAGAAATGTAAGGCAGAGCTGATAAAGAAAATATGGATGATACTCATAGGCAAGTTTTGTTTTTTACCTTTCAAGTATTGCTATCTTGCATTTCCTTTCCCTTTCCCACATTAAAATTACTCATAGCTTTGGTGGTAATATTATTGCTGTATGGGAAGCTTAAATACCAGCCAGTGGTGGGAGTGCTGAAGTTTGGGAGCAAAGGTTTCTGTGCAAGGACAAGGAAAAATGATGATAGGAAGAAGTGACTTGTGAACAGTGTTGCTATAATAAAAGACAAGAGGGTTGGGGATGTGTGGGAAAGAGCCAACCAGCTTTTCAAGGTACCTTAATGATAACAGAATTCTGAGAAATAGTGTAGCCATTGTTATTTTACGTCTTTCATTGAATGTTCTGTAAACATCAATAAGGACATTTCCTGGAGTTTGTTGAATAGCACACACAAATATAACCAAGAGATACAATCTAAATGCTTTAAAACAGTGTCTCATTTCTTCTAGAGTCAGAACTTTAAATTGGTATACTCAGTGAAAGTGAGAGTGCACCAAACTGGCTAAAACTAGCTACCCATAACCATAAGTTAGTGTAATTATTATGAACAAGGAAAGAAGGGTAGATGGAGGTATATTAGTCAACAAAAGCAATTTTTTTTTTTTTTTGAGACGGAGTCTCGCTCTTTCGCCAGGGCCGGACTGCAGTGGTGCGATCTCGGCTCACTGCAAGCTCCGCCTCCCGGGTTCACGCCATTCTCCTGCCTCAGCCTCTTCAGTAGCTGAGACTACAGGCGTCCGCCACCGCACCTGGCTAATTTTTTGTAATTTTAGTAGAGACGGGGTTTCACCGTGTTAGCCAGGGTGGTCTCGATCCTCCTGACCTCGTGATCCGCCTGCTTCGGCCTCCCAAAGTGCTGGGATTACAGGCGTGAGCCACCGCGCCCGGCCAACATAAGCAACTTTTTATTTAAACTTGACCTTTGGCACAGGACTCTGACAGTCTCCCTGAATTTACGTTTTAGATCTGGCATTGCCATTTATCTTATCTAGGCTTAGTGATACAAAAATTCAGCGGTGTTACTGTCCCGGAATCCTCTATTTTCCTTCCTTAAAAAAAAAAAAAAAAAAAAAAAAAAAAAAAAAGAGGACAAAAAATTTTTCATCTGTTTTCAGATAAACCACTGATTGATAATTTTCAAGGATATTACTTTTACCTTGCAGTTATAGATTTTTGTGTTTAAGGGACTTTGAGTCTCGTTTGGTATAACTTTTTTTTTCCACACCCAAGGAAATGCAGGTTGGAGCGGTAAAGTGACTAGTTGGGGAGCTCGTGTCTAACTGGTGATGGAAGGAACAGAACCTAGAATCCCTGATGAGTGTTATGCAGTGAGTGCTTGCTCAATGCATCACACTTTGCAGGCGCTTTAAAGAGTATTATTGTAACATTTAAAAGTGAAGCTCTATAAGGGGTATAATATTAAGCTCCATGAGTAGATTGAGTCTTTCCATTCCATCTTCAGGATGGGAAAGGAATGTTTTCCATGTGAGCTCTAACTGTGGAGATGCCAGGGGTGTGAGGGCTCATAAACCACCTACAGTTGATTTTTGGACAGTTTGATGGTTTCATATACTAGTGAAGATTCAGTTTCTGAATACCTTAAACCCCCTTGAATAGACTGACCCTGTGATGTAGGTTCTAATGGTGTTATTGGACCTGTTGCCCCCCCTCTGCAACTCATTAGGGTAATTTAACCTTTGTGGGTGGTTAGAAAGCAGAAATAACAGTCCTTACCACTTTCCCTCGTTAGAAGACATTGACTACTTTTGCTACAGATTACTACTTTCCCATCTATTAAAGGAATACTGACCAACTGCATAAGATGTGAGGAAGCTTGGCCAGTTAGCAGCTCTCCTCATTCTCTCCCACCTTTCTTACCATTCAGTAGCCTCTTCTGGAACATAGCCAGGAAAGAATCAGAGTCTGACACTTGATATAATGGATCAAGTGCCTGGCCGCAATGGCACCAACCAGGTTTTTTGGGTGGATCTGTTTTAAACATTGAGCAGAAATAAGAGCTGCCATTTAAAATGACCCAGTGGCCCCTTATTGATCAGTCCTTACATGTGATTCAATTGCTCCTCCAATTGCGGACAAGAATGGAGGAGGGTGGGGTGGAGTACGGTGGAGTGAAGTGGCTCTTGGCTAAACTTGGTGTAGGAATTGGTCTAAAAATGGTAGCTATTTGATTGACAGCTCAGGTAGACATAGGGACGTATGGAGGGGAATTTATTACCTGCATCTCTAGGAACAAGGAAAAACAATTAAGTCTCTATTTCTTATTCCCTCTGAGATACTCTCTCATAATGTCTTAGGGCTGGGAACCCAGCTGTTTCCTTGCTCTTAGGTCCATTTATACTAAGCAGGGAAAAGGCAGGTGGCTGTGCTGCAAGAGATGTTCCAGAGAGAAGTATCCATCTTTTTTAGATGTCTGTGGTAAATGCTTTTGTGGGCTTTCCAGATGACATTGCCAGATAATGGAATGTGAAGGCTCCTCCAACACCCGCCCACACCTTGCAGATGTGAAAAATGGGTGTTAGGGTTATGTAGCTCATCAGTGTGAGATTGAACTAACGTCCACCTATTGCCACTCAACCTCTTTTTTTTTTTTTTTTTTGAGATGGAGTCTCGCTCTGTTGCCCAGGCTGGAGTGCAGTGGCGCGGTCTCGGTTCACTGCAAGCTCTGCCTCCCGGGTTCCCGCCATTCTCCTGCCTCAGCCTCCCGCCACTCAACCTCTTAATTAGAGACTCCCAGGTGAGGGGGTTAGCCACCTGAGTGAACTGAAGGTGGATTGCCTGGGGTCTAAGTCCAGATCTCCCACTTACAATGTGACATTGGCCACGTTATTTCACCACTTGTCCTTCTGTTTCTCAACTGACACATTGGAATGGCAAGATTGTAAGGAGTAAACGCAAAAATACCTGTGCAGATGTTTAAGAGTCGCTGGCAGATGGTAAGAGCTCAGTAAGTGTAAGCTGCTGGTATCATTTCATTATTATTGTGTTCCCTCATGGCTGTTTTGCTCTTTAGCAATTTTGTCAAAATTTTTAAAATGAAGAATGGAGGCGACACCTTATAAAAATGAAATTTGTGAAATAATCATAGATTCAGTTGGCCACACTTAATATGTGATAGCGAACTGATGTCACAAACATCAGGGATTTATAATTTAACTCTTGGGGAGGGCCTCTGCTGAGGGGCTAACTAAACATAAACAGTCCTCACTTGGTATCCATGGGGGATTGATTCCAGGAACCCCTGAGGACACCAAAATTCACAGATGCTCAAGTTCCCAATATAAAATGGTGTAGTATAACATATGCACATCCTCCTGTATAGTTTAGATCATCTCTAGATTATTTATAATACCTAATACACTACCCATACATCACTTTACTTGCATAGATTCAACATAATACTCAGTGCACAGCACATTTAAGTTTTGCTCTTTGGAACTTTGTGGGATATTTATTTTTCCTGAATATTTTTGATCCATGGTTGGCTGAATCCACAGATGTGGAACTCATGGACGTGGAGAGCTGACTGTTTATATAAGCTGTTTAATCAGTCGTGTCACAGAAAAATAATTCAGTACATTTTTTGTAGTGTCCTAGAACCATAGAATTTTAAAGTTTAAACGGATACCATGTTCATATTCTCCCTTGGTTTTCAAGGAAGGAAGGAGGCCAGAAAGATTAAGTGACATTCAAGATTTCACAATTAATGATGGAACCAGGCAGGCAGCCTATGGTGTCTTTTTTAAAGTTGTGGACATGTATTACAAATCTTCCTGTGTGCCTCCTTCCTTGCTAACATCTTACACTTGTTTCTTCAATACCAGGTGGTTATAATAATGAGAATTTTAATGAATACTTTTCATGTAGATAAAAATTGTTAATTGAAATTTTAAGACAGTTTATAAAATACTATAATAAAATATATTTCCTTAGTGATGGGGAGAGGTAGAGTTGGGAAGAAGCTTAAAACAAATCAGTTTCTATCTTTTTCAAAGAGGAGGAGTGTGTGTATGTGTGTGTGTATGTATTACTCTGTGGGCCTAGAGATTAAGGCAGTGAAATTTGAGCCAGTACTTTTGAAACTTTCTCTATTTTGTCACTCAGTTTAGAAGATTTGAGATAATATATCTACTTCCTTTTCTGCATTGCAGTTGTATTTAAAATATATTATAAAATAACCTAAAAGAATAGAAATATCAGATTTT
The DNA here is from genome assembly GCF_000001405.40 of Homo sapiens. Classification (NCBI taxonomy): domain Eukaryota; kingdom Metazoa; phylum Chordata; class Mammalia; order Primates; family Hominidae; genus Homo; species Homo sapiens. The sequence goes on along the minus strand of NC_000006.12, from coordinate 129,673,777 downwards.
CAAAGTTGGTGAAATGAGTTGTTATTTTGGATTTTTGACTGTGGTCTTTTCTGCAGATACCATTAAAAAGAGTTAACTGATGTACATTAATTTAAGAAGCAAATGGTAAAAATAAGTGCATGAAAAGAATAGAAATAATTGAATCTGATCATTCTGATCATTCAAGGCATTTACCATATAAATAGTTGAGATCTGAGAAGTTTCATTGAGACAGATAAGAGCTTAAAAATGTATGAATCATTGTTGACTAATAGTTAAGGCATGCAGGCACACTTAGAAATGTGATTTCCTTTACTCTATCCTTCCTATAAAGAGAAAAAACACTTTTAAAATAAACCTGGTTTGAAACCAAAATGCTGTACAACTTAACCTTCATTTGGGACATTGATTTGGCTACTCTATTTAAGACTTTTTTTTTTTTTTTGGCATGACTATTTTGTCCTGGGAAGCAAGCTGCAGATGGCTTTTGACTTGGGGAAAAAAAAATGAGAAAGAAATTAACAAGGGAAATAGGAACTGGATATTTGTATTAATTTCCATGTAGTATGAAAATACGTAGCAAACAAAAATATTTCCATTTTTAAGCACTAGATGAAGGACATTGTGAAGCATAATAGACTTATCTTTCTAAAATTTATGCAGAAGCATATTTTTAAAGAAAAACAATTCTGATCTTTTGAAAGGTCTGTAAATGCTATGAAATGAGTCATTGGTGTATTCAAAAGAAACTGGGCAGGAAGTGGAGAGACCCATGTTTCAGCTTTCTCTGCAGACAACTGGTTATATCACTGGAGACTGCTTGCTCCCTTCTCTGAGTTCCAGTTTCTCCATCTGTAAAATAAAATGACTTGACTAGGTAATCTGTAGATTTCTTTCTTCTCTGAAAGTCTGTCGTTGTTAATAAGTTGAGAATTCAGAGATTAATATGTGCTAAGGTCTTGAAAGCTTTACTGAGGATATTAACAAGAACCAGATTTTGAAGGAAATATGTTTTTTGAGAAAGAGGGCATTCTTCTTAGCCATAGAGCATGAACAAAGACATTATTGGAAGGAGCATCCTCATTATTTATTGCCTAATTATTATAAAAGCAAAGTTGTTTCCTATAGGTTGATTGAATTAGGCATTAGCTCAGCATACTGGGGACAGCCATTGGAAAAAAATGTTTAAACAACTAGAACTACACTGAATAGAATCGTACTGTGTTTGGTGAGTAGGAAGTATTGCAAGCCTGTGTAGATATGGAACTTAATATACGTCACACTTCTGTGTAGTAAGGACTAAGGAAAAAGCCAACAGTGGGTGTCAACCAAGACCCATGTTACACATAATGGGTAATGTTGAGGGAGCAATGCTGAATGAGTTCTCTTGGGTGCTGAGTTGGGAGTGGGAAGGAAGGAACTGACATAAAGGGATGGAACTGGAAGGTCCCAGAGACAGTGAGGAGGCTGTGCTAAGTTAGAGATCTTTGTGATCTGAGTTAAGGCCAAGGTTGTGGCCACATTAGTGAGACTTGATGTACCGTGGAGAGTAAGGTTGGCACACACAATTCAGAAGAACCTGGGATGGGTGGGGTCAGAGGGACACAGACGGTTAAATTTGAATGGCGATGATTGCAGAGGACATAGATGAAAAATCTGAGCCAGGAGTAGAAGAAAGGGGAGAGGAAGCGTGTGTGTGTGCGCGTGTACGTGTGGGTGGTGATATGAGACTGGTTTCTGGAACCCACTTTGTCATGGTTTGTGACCTGTTCCTGCTGTGAGTGTTGTAATCACTTAACCTCTCCGAACTTCTGTGTTCTCAGAGGCAAAATGGGGTGAACTAGATCAGTACTTCTCAGTAGTGCCCTCTAAAGGGTATTTTGAGAATTTGTGGGGGTGTTTTATGTTGTCCCATCATTTGCAGGGCAGGTTCCAGCTGTGTTAGACATTCTACAATTTCAGGACAGACTTGCCAAACAAAGAATTGTCTGGTGTCTAGAATGACCTATTTGGCATTCCTGAGAAGATGTCATGTACAAGTCAGTCTCACCTCTGCTTAATCTAACTCAAGTTTTTTATTTTTTATTTTTAGAGACAGAGTCTTACTCTGTTTACCCAGGCTGGAGTGCAGGTAAACGATCATAGCTCACTGTAGCCTCTAGCTCCTGGGCTCAAGCAATCCTCCCACCTCAGCCTCCCGAGTAGCTATTAATAGAACTATAGGCTCACATCACTGCACCTGGGTAATTTTTAATTTTTTTTTATAGAGATGAGGTCTTGCTTTGTTGCCCAGGCTGATCTTGAACCCCCAGGCTCAAGCAGTCTTCCCACTTTAGCCTCCCAAAGCACTGAGGTTATAGGCATAAGCCACTGCGCCTGGCCCTAATTCACATCTTCATTTGTGAAGATGAACACACGTGTCCCTTTATCCTTTTAATTTTTGTATTTCTCATGCAGAATGTTTTCTGATCTTATTTTTTTCCAAATGTGAACTCATTCTATAGGTAAATATAATAAACAGTTGACCACTTCATTTTATGTCTGTTAGTGTCCAGGCACATATTGAGAAACCTATTTTAAATTATTTTCCTTTATTTCTCCTTAATATTATCATAAAGGGCATATGCATACACACAGGATTATGTATAGATAAATTACTTGAACTTTACTTCAGAATCATAAAGGTGAAGATTATAAAATAGGTATTAGGTTAAAGACAAGTGTGTTAAGGTTGACAGCCACTGAACTAGAGGGTGTCCATGGCTTCTAACTCCTGACATCTCTAAGATACTGTAACTGCAAATGTTATGATTTGAAGAGGTAGGTTTTCTATCTTGGGAAGGGCTTAGTACTGGGAAGTGTTAAAAACTGACATCAGATTGGGAATTGGGTAAAAGTCAGCTACTTCTTGGGACTCCAGGAAGGCCTGAGGAAGTAGAGATCTGTGTGGAGGGGAGGAACCTGAGGGGGTCTTGACGGGGAGCTGGGTTCCTGCTGATGCCAGCAGGTGAGAATAGGGGAGCAGAGCATTGTGATTTGGCAGCTCCTAGAGGAGGGGAGTAGGCTGAGAAAGTCTTGGTGGGGGGAGGCAGTAAAAAAAAAAAAAAAAAGAGTTACGACTTCACATACTTTTGGTGAATCTGAATGAGTCTCCTTTTGATGCGAAGTAGGTGGTATAAGAGACTTTTCAAATAATTTAACTGTCCACCAACGTAGCCTTCTCTTCAGGCAGTTTGTTTTGCTTTTAAATTATGAGAGGGTACCACCCTCCATCCTCGGTGTGAATATTCTCTACCAGAATGCAGGAAAAACGTTACCTGTGATATGTGATCTTCCTTTTCATTTTAATGGGCACATTGTTGCCACTCAGTTCTGAAATAGAGAATTTCTCCATCTTCCACTTCGTTAACTTTGCACAATATATTGAAGAATATTTAAAATACTAAAACTCCAGGTGACTGTAGACACCTACCATATAAGAAAGTGGGAATGTCAAAATAATGAGATATCCATGAAGTGATAATGTAAGCTCTCTTAGGTTTATTTCCTTTTTTAAAAAAGTTGAATTTAGACCAGAGAAAGCTTGAACCTGATAACCAAATTAGCACACACTGTAGTCACAAATAAAATTCTGAGGAGGTGTTTTGGAGTTGAATTTAAGGGGAATTTTAATAAAAACTGTCTTTATTTCAGTCCAGCAAAGTAGCTTTATGCAAGCATAAGTGCCTGAGGAGAAAAATTATACAAAGTATAAGAGATAAATAGATACAAAGTTGATGTAATTTCTACTTGCAATGTGTAACAGGGATTATAGTGTGCCAAAATTATGGTGTCATAGTGAATATATTTAGCATAACTTTTATAATATTTGTTCACTCTAGAAAATTAAGGCAATACTGAAAAGTACAAATAAAACAATAAATTGCCTATAAAACCATTGCTTGAATATAGCTTCATTAACATTTTGATCTATATTATTTTAGTTATTTTTCCTGAATTTATTTATTTTTTTTTTTGAGACGTTTCACTCTTGTTCCCCAGGCTGGAGTGCAGTGGCATGATCTCGGCTCACTGCAAACTTCGCCTCCTGGGTTCAAGCGATTCTCCTGCCTCAGCCTCCCAAGTATCTGGGATTACAAGCATGTGCCACCATGCCCAGCTAATTTTGTATTTTTAATAGAGACGGGGTTTCTCCGTGTTGGTCAGGCTGGTCTTGAACTCCCGACCTCAGGTGATCAGCCCGCCTTGTCCTCCCAAAGTGCTGGGATTACAGGCATGAGCCACCGCGCCTGGCCTATTTTTCCTGACTTTAAAAAGTGCATGTTAGGGCCGGGCGCGGTGGCTCACGCCTGTAATCCCAGCACTTTGGGAAGCCGAGGTGGGCGGATTACAAGATCAGGAGATCGAGACCATCCTGGCTAACATGGTGAAACCCCGTCTCTACTAAAAATACAAAAAAATTAGCCTGGCATGGTGGCGGGCGCCTGTAGTCCCAGCTACTCGGGAGGCTGAGGCAGGAGAATGGCGTGAACCCGGGAGGCGGAGCTTGCAGTGAGCCGTGACCTCGCCATTGCACTCCAGCCTGGGCGAGAGAGCGAGACTCCGTCTCAAGAAAAAAAAAAAAAAGTGCGTGTTAGATGCCAAGCACAGCAGTTGGAGTACGGAGACCACAGAGGAGAGTAGTGCCTGGCTCTGTTTTCACTGAGCACACAGCCTGTCCTACAGACACCGCGTAATTGTTTTATTTCTCTGGAGTTGAGGCAGTCCTATTTGGCCCTTTATGTGAATATTTCTAGTCCTCTTAACAGCCATGCAAGATGATAGGTATTGTTCTTTCATTTTACAAATAAGGAAACAAGTGTTCAAAGAGGTTAGATATTATACCCAGAGTTCTGTGTCCAGTCAGCAGCAAGGTTGTTGGACTTCAAAACCTGCAATTCTCCCTGCAGCCTCAGACTATCACTAAAGGGGTCTCATCATAATTGTGGAGTCATTCAGTGAGTGTTGGAGAAGAGCAGTGCACAACATGGTAGACGTTTAGAGATCGAGTGGAGGACGTTCACTGCAGTGTGGGCGTTAGGGAAGTGTGGAGGGTGTCAGACAGAAGGGGACGGTACAGGCAAGGCTTCTGGGGTAGGAAAAGTGCCTGGTGGGCTCCGGCAGCTGGTACTGTTTGGCCATAGTGGGGGACTTGAAGGGAGAAGTGGGAGAGGAACCCGACGAGGAATGGAGAAAAGCTGGGCAGAGCTCATAGAGTCTTGAACATCAGGCTGAAGAATCGGGACCAGATGGACCAGGCTGCCCTGGGACTGACTTATGGTTTAGAAAGATTTAAAAGAGATTTTGGAGATGTTGAAATGTACTGAGTCCATAGACTGTTTTTAATGGTGTGTGTGTCTGTGTGTGTGTGTGTGTGTGTGTGTGTGTGTGTGTGTGATTATTTGGGTAAATTGATGGTTTGGGGACTAGGGGTTGAGGATGCTGTATTTATATTGCACATGTGCTCCATGCACTGATACCCTTCTTCAATGAAAAAGGTCATCTGAAATAAATATGGCCAGAAATAGTGGGTTTATATCATGTCCTGGCTTGGGAAACATTATCTCTAGAGAAGAACTATTTGAATGAGGGAAATTAATATAAACAAGACCAGATAAGCTTGTTACACGATAATTCCAAATGGATGGCAGGTAGCTGACTAGGGAACTTTACATATCTATGGTATCTTGAAGTTGCAGATTTACTTGCATATCCAAGGGGCATTTGACATACAGAGGGAGAAAGAGTTGGAAACTATTGTCAGCCTCTTTCCTCACTTCCATTTTACTTCCTTTTGATAGATGTGCATGTCTTTCCTTTCCTTTGATGAAAAAGATACCACTGATGCTTTCTTCCCTTGCTTTTCCATTGTTTCATTGTTTCATAACCCTCCTCTCCCTTCTTGATTTTCAATTCTTTTGTGCATGCATATTTCTAAATGCTCAGTAACCTTCCTCCTCTTGGCCAAGAGCCCAGGCAGATATTATCAGACTCCTGTCCTTGGCCAAGAGCCTGCTGGGAACCAGTGAATTTCTTGTCAGTTTCTCCTTGCCCTCCATGTATGTATTGCCTTCTGCTTGGCAAATCCTGACCTGAAGGGAATAGCCAATGCCTTACTAGACACTTTGGATCTCAATATATGTTTCCTGAATGAGTTTATTACTCATGTGAGTAGAGAATCCTTTCACGGCAGGAATTCTCTTTAGGTACCCGTGAATCTAAAGATATATATGCATATATATCCACATACACAACACACACACACACACACACACACACACACACACACATATATATTTTTCTTTTGATATAGACCTGGTTGATGCCTGACTCATTATAGATTTTGATTATATTAAATTTTTGAATGCTTTGTGCAGAAAGCATTTATTAAAGATACAGGGAACTTTTGGCTTATGGGCCAAATAGGGGTTGTAGTTCAATTCTATCTATCCCTGAGAAGTATTAAGAGATGTCACTGTTCTAAAAATGTTGCTAAGATTTTTGAAAACATTGAACAACAGTGCCCACAAGATGGGGATATTATTCCATGGGAAAAAAAAATATATTTTTTTCTTAGTAAAATTGGGGCAGTGTAGGTTCCCCTACTTCCCAGAGTGGGAAGATATTTTTACTCCCTTTAGATTAAAAAAAATGAGTTTATAAAATGAAAATGTATTATAATTTGTAAGTGCTTCAATATTGTGAAACAATATTGACTGATTACTTTTCTCATTCCATATAAGACTTTGAATTTTTTTTTAACAAAGGAGTATTTGTAGATGAATTAGACATTTGACCCTCTGTATAAAAAATCTATGCTTCATCCCAGATTTAAAGGAAGTGCTATTAAGCATCAACAAAGAATAGGAAATAGCTTTTAACAGGTACAGGAGAAAAGAATGGTGTTCCCAATCAACTAAGACTTGTAACCTTATTTGTGGGATGAGATATACACAGAAATGTTTAGTAAACCAGGATGTGGTATTTACAACTGTATATACACTTGTTTTTGATCTCTACTTCTAAGAAGCATTGGTGTCTGTATGTGCAGGTATAGTCAGGATGTAAATCAGTTTATAATAGGATACTTTGCAAGAGAAGTAGCTGGGGAAGGGTGGAGGCAGGCCCTGGAGTCAGGTTGAAGGCATCCCAGAGTGGGGGCCTCCAGGATGTGGCTGAACGGTGTGGAGAGGGCCAGGGGCATTCTTGGTGACGGAAGTAGCATGAGCAACTAGTAGGTGCTCCAAAGGTGGTTTGATGAGGATACTGTATACCATTGGCCCTGTGAATAAGAACCCACAGAAACAGAGGGCCAACTCAGTGACTTGAGCATCCACAGGGCTTGGTATCCACAGGGAGCCCTGAAGCCAATCCCCATTATATGGAGGGAGGAGGACTGTATTGCATTAGTGGTGTGGCTAGACACTTGCCGTTCTTTTGGCTGCCCAGCATCTGAGCGCTCATTCTGGTGTGGGGAGTTCTCTACTTTCGGAGCTTTGCTGGGAGGCAGAATAACCCTCTTTTCCACAGAAAAAGAGGGCAGTGTCAATTGCTACAGGCATTGCTGGTGTGAGCATCATCATCTGCTGCTCCCTGGTGCTCCTGGATCAGTCCATGGCGTGATCTGAGGCATTATTCCTGGCTTTTGGACATTCTGGGAGCCACCTAGTAAGCTTTTAATAAAATTCTCTTCTGCTTGGTTTCATCAGAGTTAATTTTTTTCTATTTTAATTTATATTTTTAATGTATTTATTTTGCCAGTAGACTAGCAGCAGGCAAAGATATCAGAGTTGATTTCTGTAGCTTGTAATTAAAAGTCCTGATAGAAAGAGATGCACATCATTGAGCACTTTCCTCTGTGCCAAGAAAATTGCATGTGTTTTATGTACGTATCTCATTCAAGTTTCTCCTGAACTCTGAAAAGAGGTAACATTATTGGTCTCTCATTCACAGGTGAAAAAACCGAGGTTCAGAGAGGTTAAGCAATTTAATCAAGGTCATGCAGGCAGCAAACAAAGCTGGGATATGATCCAGGCTTTTCTGATAGGGAGACTGTGATCTTAACCTCTTCTGCTCTGCTCTATGTTGTTATTAACTACCTGTTTGTATTTTAGAGCATTTTATTATGAAAGGTTCTTTCGCAGAACATAGTGGAGGCAAGACTTGGCTCTCTTACTTGATTATTTTTTATTTATTTATTTATTTTTTTGGAGACAGGATCTGGCTCTATTGCCCAGGCTGGAGGGCAGTGGCACGATCTTGGCTCATTGCAACCACTGCCTCCTGGGCTCAAGCCATCCTCCCACCTCAGCCTCCTGAGTAGCTGTGACTACAGGCATGCACCACCACACCTGGCTAATTTTTTTTTGTATTTTTAGTAGAGATGGGGTTTCATCATGTTACCCATGCTGGTCTCGAACTTGTGAGCTCAAAGCGATCTACCCGCCTCAGGCTCCCAAAGTGCTGGGATTACAGGCGTGAGCCACTGCACCAGCCTTTTTACTTGATTATTAAAAATAGGATTTGACAGATGTAGATTGTCATTGGTTAGAATGTGGAATTAAACCCTTGTTCTACTTTGCTGTATTGTGTTTGGGGCTGATGTAAAGGCAGAGAGTAGATCCTAAAGACAAACAGGCATAGAAGAGGGAAAGTGGGGAATGAAGAGGTGGGAGGAAAGGAACTTATCACACTTCTAAAAAGTGCTAAAGGCTCTGTCAGAGTTCTGCTTCTCACATCATCAAATTTTCAATAATAACTATTCACCTAGAACAGTCTATACCCGGATATCTGCATGGCTGAAACTCCCTGCCCGCTATCCCCTTCCCCCATTTCATTCAGGTCTCTGCTCAAGTGTCATCAGAGAGGTCTTCTCTTCCATCTATAATAAACTGCTCCCTGCTACCCACCCATCCTCTTAACCCACCTAATTTATTTTCATAGCACTTCTCACCACCTGACTGGTTATACATCTTTGTGTTTACTTTTTGTCTCCTTGCCACTAGAATGTGTAAGTTTCATCAGACCACGGACTGTTTTGTTCACTACTAAATCCCCAGCATTTAGAGTGTATCTGATACATAGTAGATGCTCAAATTCATTTACTTCAATCTTGAGTAAATGAATGAAGGTGAGGAAACTGAGGCTCTGAGAGTTTTAGATAACTTGCCTTTGATCTCATGGAAAATGATGAAACCAAGTTGCAAATTCTAGTCTAGGTGACTCCTAAGACACCACATTTCTCAGGTTCCACTCTTTACTAACATCTCTATTCCTGGGAAAATTCCTCTATTTGTACACAATTTGGGTAAGAAACATCTCATGGGATTTCAAAGTTGAAAAAAAAAAACCTTAAGTAGCCAGTCTAACTTTCCTATTTTACAAATGAGGAAATAACCATGATCCATTGAGGGTAGGTGACTTGATCAAAGTAATACTGCTATTTACTGATAAAGGAAGGACCACAATCAACCTACCTGGTCATCAGTTCAGTCCTATCTCCCCATCCCCTGCTATGTTTATTGCTGTCTTGATAAAGCAAGCCCTATTTGGTGCAGAATTCAGATGCCAATCATTGGTGATGGGTTCGAGATAATGAGTCATGCCATTTTAATCCCATAATATTAACGCAGTAAAGCAGAGGCTGCAAACCCAGAGGCCCACAGGGACCCATAGATAGCATAGCTTTCAGATGGGATTGGTGGGGGCTGTGCCAAACTGGGAGGTAGATAACCTGTTCAAAGGGGCCAGCCCCACCACACCTGCTGCCTGCTCAGAGAAACATGTTACAAGAAAAAAACATGGTAAACCAATTTAAAAATGTTTGAAACACCCTGCTGGCCAAACAAAACACTTCTGGCTGCCAGGTCACCCTGGTGGACTTCAGTTTGCGATTGCTAAAATCTTAGTATGAACAGCTCTTTCCAAAGGAGATTTCAGTACGTGTGGATATGGTGGAGAATATGTGAAGTGCTATCATTGTGGCTAATTGTTCTTTAGCCAAAAGATTAGTGGGTTGGACTGTCAAAGTTCACAGAGTGAAAATAATTAACAATAAAAGAGTATTTATTGCCTGTCTTTATTACCCTGGTGATAAAGTTGAAGAGTAATGTGTTTCCTCTGTCACGATACAATCTGTCCTAATGGAGGATACTTGGTTATGCTGTTTCCTGACTGGGAGTCAGGAGACCTTTTTAGATGTTTGGTGCAGCTATTAACTACCTGGATGTTACTGGGCAAAGCACCCAATTTTTCTGTTCTGCCATATTCACATTTGAGTAATTAAGGACTGGACTTAATTATTGGGGCGTAGGAAACAGGATGCAGAGGATTTTATACCAGACTTGAACCTTGTTTTTTATCTTCATCTCTAGAAAAAAAGAAAAAGCCTGTGTTGTCAGAGCAAGATAGGGACTGGATCATTCGTATCTATCACATATGTCTTTGAGCACATTGATAATCACAGTGTATTTGCTGCTCTTCTTCAGATGAGTCAGCTGTGAAGCTTAGATAGGTTGAGAATGACTGGACTTAGTGATCTCTAGGGTCGTTTCAGCTCTAAACCCTGTCACAGCTTGTGTTACCCTTGCTGGGGACAGATTTCAGAGGCATTTATCATACAGAGTCTTGAGCATGGGTTTTGTGGCCACATGGCCTGGGTTGCATCTTCACCTTCCTGGCGATGTTGATTTTCTCTAAGCCTCAGTTTCCTCATCCTTAAAATGGGGGGTTATAATGACAACTGCCTGGTAGTCTCGTTATTGTGATAATTGCCCCTGACAAATTATTAAATTTAATTCTTACAGTGAAGCAACTGGGCAGCATAAATAATAAAATTTTAATTAACATTTACATTTCAAATGCATGATAATTCTCTTTTTCTGGCAGATTTTAGGCTTTTAAGTTTCTTATTAGGAATTGAGATGTGTTGGAATTAAGAGGTGGCAGGCTTAATCAGTACTGTTCCTCACTTACACATTCAGTTTAGCCTAATGTGCCTCTCTATATTTAAGCAGTACCAATTAATTAAGGCATAGAGAGCAGTGAATCTTGTATCAATGTGAGCTGTAGGTACCCTGATTTTAACCAAACAGCTAACTTTGCCTGTGGCTACAAGGTCATGCTTGTGAATCCTTGCACAGTGAAACAGAAAGAAGGCTTCACATGGGCATTCAGTATCACTCGAAGGAGGCCATCTGACTACAACTTTGCTGTAGAGGGAAGCATGTATTACAGGAGAAGAACTGCTTTAGTAGTGTTCACGGGCTAATGTGAAGGACTTCTGCACTAGAAGAACAAAAACACCTCTCCAGATCCATAGTGGAGCATAATTTAAGGCAAGAGGATGACAATAGACAAATTGCACCCACTTCAAAAGGAGAGAGTGTGTTTACACTGAGTATTTGTTCCAAGGAGCTGAGAAGCAGGCACCATGCCCTGATGGGCCCTTCACACTGGGTTGCTGTCACTGCTGAAAGAGCAGCCTGTCCTTGTCTGCTGTACTTTCATCTTCTGCCATATTTGTATTCATGTGCGCTATCCTCCCACATAAAAGAGCACAGCTTGCTATTCCTGCCTTTGCTTCTGTGACCTGCAGTAAAACCATTAAAGATATATTTTAAGGCTTTTTACATGGAATGGTAATTATGCACAATGGTTTTTAATCATTTGGCATCTAGCATGGAGCCTTCAGAGAGTATTATGCCTCAGAGAGCTGCAGCTTGCGTGGATCTTGGGAGGGGCCCTTGGTTTCAGGGGCTTTGTGTTCTGTGTGTGTGTGTGTGTGTGGCAACACCAGGTAGTGACAACAGTGTCACCTGGGAAACAGAGGACACAGATGACTGCTTGGTGGACTTGAAACCAGCTCTAAACAGCTGTTGGGTTCTGAACAAAACTCCAGGAAAATTGTTCGCTGGGTGAGCTGGTGGGATGAAGAGACTGGGATGGGCTGAGGGTGGAGGGCCGAACGGATACCCTGCACGTTATTTGTGGTGTTGTCAAGGGAGAGTTTAGAGACATCACATGAATCTCACCTTGCTGCCAATTTGGTTCATAGAAAGTCACAGCTGGAAATCTTCTTAGAAGAGAACATCTTGTTCTCAAGCCCCTCATTATACAGCGGAGGAGACTGTGGCATGCAGAGGTGAAATGACTTGCCTGAAGTCAGTTAGCTGCTTGGTAAAACTAGCCAAGAATCCAGGCCTTCTGATTCCCCCACCCCAGCAAATAGTGTCTTTTTTTTTTTTTTCATTTAAAGAGAAAAAGGGTGGATATTTATTAAATAGGGGGAAAGAAACAGTAAAGTAGAATGAACAAAGTATAATCCTATTATCAAGGCAAACCACTGTTAATATTTTTATATTCATCATCCCATATATTAACTTTTTTACAAATTATTATTAAACAAATTATCCATATTTTGTATCCCACTTTTTTTTTTTTTTTTTTTTTAAGATTCTTGCACAGGCTGGACTTGAACTCCTAGGCTCATGCAATCTTCCTGCGTCAGCTTCCCCAGAAGCTAGGACTACAGGTGTGTGCCACCACACCTGGCTGCTTCCACTTCTTTTTTATAGTTTCCATTTATTTCTGCTTCCACTCGTATCAAATTTTTGTTGCCTAGCATCCCTGACTATTAAGGAACATTAATACGAGTTTGTCTTAATCATAAAAAGAAGTTCTTTATAGCTTTAATGTTAATTCACCATTGTGATTCTTTTGGTTTTTTTTTTTTTTTTTAAAGGTTTTGTGTCCTCTTTTTCTCCTCCTCCTCTTCCTTTTCTTCTTGGTTCCGTTTTTAATGTACTTAACAAGAAAGTCATTGTAGACCTTTATGATGATTCTTTATTTCAATTCCAAACATGCATACTCCCTCACACCACACACAGATTCTTTCATCCTAAATTTGTTTTCGTTGAGCTCTTTCACTCCTATCATTTTAACCCTCATGGATATGCTAATTATTCCAAAATTATCTCCAGCCAGTAACTCTTTCATGGGCACAACCTAGACTTCCAGATGTCTAGATCAGTTCTTGTCTATTTTGACTGTGCACAGGCGTCACCTTGGGATTTTGTTAAAATGCAGATTTGAATCCAACAAATCTGGAGTGGGGCCTAAGATTCTGCCTTTTTGGCAAGCTTGATGCCTGGTGCCGCTGGTCCGTGGAGCACATTTAGGTAGCAAGGGTCTCCAACATACCTCAGATTCAGCAGGTCCAAACTGAGGGTGTCACATTCTCTGCCAAACCTGCTCTTTTTTTTCCTATCTTCACTTTCTCAGTTAATGACTTTGCCATCTACCCTCCTGTCCAAGAACAAACTGTGGAATCATCTTTGTTTCTTCTGTTTCCTTCATCTACTTTATCTAATTGGTCACCCAGGCATTCTCTTTGGGAAAAGCTTCTTGAATGTGTCCTTTCACTTTTGTTTCTACCAATGCCCTTTGGATTCAGGACCTTATCATCGCTCAGCGATCTGTTTACGCCACAGCATCTTGGCCCCAGGCTGTCTCAGGATGTGCCTTCTCAGAATTATCTTTCTAAAACAGGAATTTGATAGTGACATTTGCTTGTTTAAAAACTTTCCATTGTCGTACTGCCTGCATTCCAGGGTTCTTAATTTGACAAGCAAGGTCCTGCAGGATTTGGCGGCAGCCTTATTCCCTCCAACCCCAACCCCCTATCTGGTGCCTTCTCCCTCCCCCAGGGGGTTGTACCTCCCTGAAAATGAATGCAGTCTGTCTACATCACCGCACTCACGGTTCTCTAAACCCACTGTCCATGCTTGCTACTCTGTCTTTGCTTGTGTGGTTGCCATGCCTTGAAGGCCTTTCTCATCACGTTCTACCTGGTAGACTCCTACTCAACCTCCGGCTCATGTCACTCTTCTGTGGAGCCTTCAACGGATCCCTTCACTAGAGCTTGTGACTTCCCTAATATGTGCTTCCATAGCACTTACCACTTAGGATATGGAGTTGCACATGTCTTTGTTGCCTTCTAAATTCTAGGCCCAGGCCGGGCATGGTGGCTCACACCTATAATCCCAGTACTTTGGGAGACCAAGAGTTCAAGACCAGCCTGGCCGACATGCCGAAACCCCATCTCTACTAAAAATACAAAAAAGATTAGCTAGGGTGTGGTGGCGAGTGCCTGTAATCCTGGCTACTACAGAGGCTGAGGCAGGAGAATCACTTGAACCCAGGAGGTGGAGGTTGAAGTAAGCCGAGATTGTGTCATTGCACTCCAGCCTGGGTGACAGTGAGACTCTGCCTCAAAATAAAAAATAAAATAAAATAAAATAAAAAAAATTCTAGGCCTATCTTGTCTGAAGTACACCTGCGTTCCACAGTTTGGCATAGTGTGGAATAAAGTAGGTTTTCTCTGAATATTTGCTGAGTCAATGAGAAAATAAATGTTTTGTAGATAAACAGGCATTAACTTGTACATGTTAGCAGTGAGAAGGAATGACAGCAATTGTCTCTGCTGGGCTCTACGAGGAGAACCTGCCTACTGCCTCATTCATTCTAAAGCTACCCTGTCAAGACAGTAGTCATCAGCAACCTGTGGTCATTGAACACTTGGACTGTCTGCTCCAAATTTAGTTATGATGGAAGTGCAAATTATGTGCAGGATTTCAAAGACATAGAATGGAATAAAAAGGATTTCATTAATAATTGCCATATTTATTACATGTTGCAGTGATGATATTTGGTGTATATTGCGTGGGTTAAAATTAACATTAATTTGATCTGCTTTTCACTTTTGTAAATGTAGTTACTAAAAAAAAATTAAATAACTTTCGTCCTCACCTTTTATTTCTATTGGCCAGCACTGTTCTAAAATATCAATTTATTTCTCATATTTGAAGCACCTCCGGAAGGTTTCCCATTACCCCCACAATTGTGCTTTTTAAGATTCCATAAAGTGATGTTTAGTTGTTTTCAATTCTTATGAGTTACTGACTTTAAATTTGTTTCAGTGAAGACTCTACCAGTGAACTCAGTTCAAGTTGTGTTTTTGAGATGATTCTCTTGATTCTTACTGAATCACCAAACTGAAGAACTTTATCATATGTCAGATGTTACTGTTACCTATAAATAGAAAACTCAAAATATATTGTTTTTCTTTTTACCATGACCTAGGGGATTAGAAATGGAAAGTGAAAAATTTTAGCGTAAGATTTGTCTGCATCCTCAACCCTGATGTCCACACAGTTTCTCACTAATTTTGCTGATTTAAAATTATACACATTGCATGCCATCATTGATACCTTCTGCTTAATCAGTTTTTCAGTGTTTAAAGCTTAAGGATTCTATCACTTTTATGTTTTTTTTTTTTCCATTTGAGGTGCCTAAGGCAATTTTATTTTAATTTTTTTGTAATCATAAAATTCTTTTCCAGTGCATCCTTAAACAGATCTCCAAATAACAAAATCAAGACAAAGATTCTGTGGTTGAGGTGTAAGTTGGGACCCAGAGAGGTCCTTGCTTGCCACTTCCAAGGCAAAGTGGCAGGTGAAATTATGGCTTTATAGGTGAAAAATCACTACTAACAAGTTAGTGCTATATGATTTTTTAGAAGGAGAAGAGACAAGATATTGTCATTCCTTTTGTAGGATGTTTCTTGTAGGATGTATCAGCCATGCTCACACGGTGAACAGTAGACCTGAAGATATGCCACCTTCTCTCTTCCAGTAGTAGTTCCTTCCCACACTATACAGTGATAATGGTGTAAGAAACACTTTTTCTGGAAACATTAGTATGGGCTAAAAATGATGACAACACTTCAGGTGGGAATAAGAACCTATTGGAGATAAGATGAGTGACCGTATACTATGATTCATGGAGCAATAGCCCAAAGTAAGGATTAGGTGAATGCTTAGGAGGCAGCTAATAAATGTCGGTCTCTTTTCTGTCATGCATACTCCATCGCTTATTGCAATTCACTGATTAGGGTTTAAAATGGCATAATGAATTATGCAAAAACTGTTTCTGCAGGAGGGTCTGTGTTGCAGCCTAATGCAGCACAGATGGAAAGATCCTCTTTTAATCATTGTTCTCACAGTACTTGGAAGCTTTTTGAGGAATAAGCACTCAGAAGTGGAAGTGAATGGCCTTCCACAGTAAATGAATTCCTTCTGCAGAGAGGAACTGAAATGTATTTTGCGATGCAGATGGTTGCCCTGTGTTTGAATACTCATCCTTGTCATTTGGGATTCATGCTTAGAAGCAAAATGTCTCTTGAAATACTTGAGTTTAGATGATTCCATTGGAGAAATTGCTCCTGTCCAGTCTGGCCCAACATGTATTAAGTTGTTTTTTTTTTTTTTTTAATTTCAAAAATGGTGACAATGAGTGTGTAAAATGCCAGCTCACTCCAATTAAGAAAACATGCAAATTACCTCTCTTTGATCAGTAGTTACTACTGAAGAGACTAAACTAGTTACTATCCCCTTTTATTAGCATAATATTAATGCAAATGATCAGCAAAGCCTTTCTTAAAAAGAAACAAGAACCATGGAAAGCAATTAATAACAGTGCTAATTTCCTCAGGAAGCAAAAAACATTTATGATTAGGCTTTTAACTTTGGTATCTGTGCCAAGGACTTCCCACCTGGGCCTAAATATGTACCTGTTTATAAAATTAATGTCAACTTGGAGCTTTCATTTGCAGAGTAAGAGCCAATCTGAAAAAGGCCCAATGGAAAAATTTCAGAACAAAGATGATATGCTATTATCTGTAGGTACTTCATGATTTGGATGTCAATAAGAATGTGTACTTCAGGTTGTATTTATAAGACATTGCTTTTTAAAATACAGGGGAAAAAAGTAAAGGAGTAAAACTCATTGGCCAACTCAAGGTATGATAAAGGACTGCCTTAAACTTTTCCCAGGAGGGGATTAATATAAAGAGGACACTGATTACTTCTTTATTTGCTCAGAGGAAATGGGCTTAAGTTAGAGGGAAATAAAATTGAATCAAACAAGACACTGTTGGCTCTGGGAGAGCTTTATTAAATTAAAATGAGGCATAGCAAAAGACTGGAATCTCCCTTCTCACCTCCTCTTACTGTGCTATTGATATTTTTTTTTATTTTTTATTTTTTATTATTTTTTTGAGACGGAATCTCGCTTTGTCGCCCAGGCTGGAGTGCAGTGGTGCGATCTCGGCTCACTGCAACCTCCGCCTCCCGGGTTCTTCAAGCGATTCTTCTGCCTCAGCTTCCCAAGTAGCTGGGATTATAGGCGCGTACCACCATGCCCAGCTAACTTTTGTATTTTTAGTAGAGACGGGGTTTCACCATATTGGCCTAGCTGGTCTTGAACTCCTGACCTCGTGATCCACCGCCTGGGCCTCCCAAAGTGCTGGGATTACAGGCATGAGCCACCGCACCTGGCCTACTGTGCTACTGACATTTTTAAGCACTTTTTGGCATCTTGTCCTTGCCTATGTTTAACTAGCAGTGAGCACTGCAACACCTGTTGTTTGTCCCACTCATATGGTGTGAAGCCAGGCTGCCCTGTATTACTGTTTCCCTACATATTTTATCTCCTCTATCAAAATGTAGATTCAGAGATCAGTGGTAAAGCCCTGTGCTTCTTTGGACTTCAAACATCAGCATGTATAGTTGCCTTGCAATTAATAGGGAGTCAGTAGTTGTTGAATGAATGTGTGAATCACAGCTTTAGTGATCTGTTTATTATTAACAAGCAAGAACTCAAGTTCTATAGTATCACTCCATCAAAACATTGAATCATTGACTTCATTCCAGTTTCACTGTTTTTTTCAGTGTCTCCTGTGTTACTTGAAATGGAAAATGTATATTATGTGGGTGAAGTTCTTTTTAAAACCATAACTGCAATGATTTTTATAATAAAACCTAAGTGCATAATTCTGATTAATATCTGTAATGAGAGAAGACCAATGAATAAATGTAGGCATTGTCCAGTAAAACTGTATTCATAAAACTATTGCATTAAGAAATTAGCATTTCTCTATTAGATTGGTTGGCGTATGAAAGTTTGTTTAGAGTTTAACAATATTTGTCTTATAAAAACTGCATTTTACTTTACGGAACTGGCTTTTGCAAATAACTGAAGTCATTCATGAGGTAAGAGCCTTTAACAATTGGCCCTCAAACACCTGAGTTAAAAAAAAAAGAACAAGAAAAAGTTCTAAGTCTTTGATCTTTACCTTAGAGTATCTGACAACCTTGATCTTTCTGTAGACTTATTCTGGCAAGATGGTAAAGGAAGTTCTATTTTTGATGCTGTCATCTACACTGGCTTCCATGGCTGTGATACAGCATAAATACTGACTTCTGCCCTGGAGGATATTACATGCTCTTAATCCTTTCATCATCTTTTATAACTTTATGGTCTCTACAGGCTCTGTTTTCTTTTCTTTTCTTTTCTTTTCTTTTTTTTTTTTTTTTTTTTTTTTGAGAGAGTTTTGCTCTTGTCACCCAGGCTGGAGTGCAATGGCATGATCTCAGCTCACCGCAACCTCCATCTCCCAGGTTCAAGCAATTCTCCTGCCTCAGCCTCCCGAGTAGCTGGGATTACAGGCATGCACCACCACACCTGGCTAATTTTGTATTTTAGTAGAGATGGGGTTTCTCCATGTTGGTCAGGCTGGTCTCGAACTCCTGAGCTCAGGTGATCTGCCCGCCTTGGCCTCCCAAAGTGCTGGGCTTACAGGCGTGAGCCACCGCACCCGGCCGAGCCTCTCCTTTCCGTTCAATAGCTCATTAACTAATCTCTTCTGAAGTGATGGATTTCTGACACAACAGTTCTTTCTTCCACCTCTCTTTCCTGACAAGCAGGGGCATGGGTAGCTCAGACCTCTGCTGAGGTTCAGTCGAGGTCCTGGGAGCCTTGGCCGGTGCAGAATTTAGGGCTCAGGAAAGTGATGTAGCAGACAGCATTTTGGGGAGAAGTAGAAATCAGTCAACTTGGATCATTTCTTTATAGGAACTGGGCAGAGAGGAGGATCCAGGTGTGTAGCGATGGGAAAAGTAGAGGAGAACCAGAGGGATGGAAATGGAAGACTAGAGGCGGAAGTCCTTGAATGGGACACTGATACAGAATCAGCTTTCTATAGAGTGCCAAGACAGCGTTGGCTGTAGCTAGCGGGGCAACGCTTGAGGCCATGAACTACTTACGCTCTTCTTCAGCTGTTTCAGATCCCCACAGGGAATGACATTTTGGAACCTGATGCCATATTGCTTTTGGTTAAGTGGGAATTTTGCTACTCCATGTGAAAAATAGGTAAGCAGTAGGCTAGTGTAAGCCTGGTAATGAGCCCGAGACTAAGGGTTGGAAAGTAGAGATATTTCTTAAGGATCAGGACAGAAATTAAGCTAGGACAGGGTCATAAACTTCCAGCTTCTGGGGTTTAATCCGCCTAGAATTTGATGTGTCTGTGGGTGGCATTTGCTGGAGCTCAGTATGCCCATATTGTGCTAGATGATGTGGCATTGCACAAGAATGGCATTAACTGTGTTTCCTTATTAAAAGTGTTTTTCTCTACCGTCTACCTCTCCTCCCCTCACCTTTTTCAGGTTCCCACAATCCCTTCCTGTAAAACCTTTGTCCGTCCCTCATATTCATGTTAGGCCTCACTGCCCTATGAGCTCTGTTCCTATCCTCTAAACAAAGCTCAGTGGCTTTTACTGAAAATGCTTGTTTTTGTGAGGTGTGTGTGTGTATGTTTTTCCAGACAGGGTCTCGCTCTGTCACCCAGGCTGAAGGGCTGTGATATGATCATAGCTCACTGTAGCCTTGAAGTTCTGGGCTCAAGGGATCCTCTCACCTCAGCCTCCTGAGTAGCTGGGACTACAGTCACATGCCACTGTGCCTGGCTAATTGTTTTATTTTTTGTAGAGACAATGTCTCACTATGTTGCCCAGGCTGGTGAGTCGGATTTTTTTTTTTTCTTCAAATGTTAAGGTTAAATTCCCTGCCCTAACCCACAAGTAGCTTTTTGCATGTGGAAATTGTCTTTAGTTCTTGTTTTATATTTCATGTATCTTTTAGGCTGCTTGCATTCACATCTGTCATGGGCTCAGCATTTCAAACATGCTAAGAAAAAAGTGGCTTTAGATAATCTCACTTAAGAAAGATTGTTTTGTAGTAGTATTCACATATTCTACTTTGTTACTGACTGCTGAAGACATTTAGTAGAAAACATAAATGAATTGTTTCTAAGCTTGGCTAAATTATTTGCTTGGCTGGAAGTTATTTCTCCATCCTCTCTGTCCCCCTAGTAGAGCTGACTTTTAGTACCTTGCATATAAAAACACTTCCCGGCCTTCTATACTTACCAGTGGAGCATTGTAATGTTTGAAGTTGATTTTGAGCTACTCATAAAATTACAGTTATAGCATAAAGGAAGCAGTTTTCTTTTTTCCTATCTAGGTATTTACCACGGAAGTGCTGCTGTTTTTAATTGTTCTATTACTATTTACCAACATTACTTTATAAATATCTTCTCCATTTATATTTTCTAACATAAACACAAATCTCCTTTCACTTTTAATATTTTCATCCAGTGTTTGTCTGTGTTTTTTCTTTTGCTGGCTGGTGGAATGTTGGTTTTATACTCCCCTACTCTCATTGAGATATGAGATGATTTCTCTACCTTATTGCAGTGGATAATCACAAAGAACTGAGAAGAGTTTAATAATAATGCCCATGTCTCTTTCATAATATGGTGTGTATGTAGCTTTCGTTATTATCAGATTTTTTTTTAAATTCACCATTGCCTTGTGTTGATGTTTTTATTAGCATAGAAAGTTATATGAAAGTCCTACTGAAGGGCAATATATTTGCTATAGGAAATAAGGAAAACCACGATTATATTCAGTACTATTCTAACATTAAATTTCAAAACATTGTTTATAATTTTGTGTTATGTCAACAAGTATTTTGTTAGTGCTTATTTCATGACAGGTATTATGAATCAATAGCAACTTTTTATGAACTGAAGGGATATCAGAGCATTATAATTTATAAATCTGTAGTGAGTCAGCAGCCAGAATGAAATTCCTGGATGATATTTAAATACTTTTCTTGGATCCCAGATCTTGAAGCATATTAAGTCTTATATGTGAGGGAATTTGTATCTTGGCGTAAATTTATCTGTATTGCATGTTTAAGGTGTGTTGGCAAACTGTAGTGATGAGATTCTGAACTAATAGAAATTATGATGGGGGAATTTTGAATGACCAGTTCAAGAATATGAGGGGAGGTGGAAAAACCTTTAATCTTCACTAGTGAATCTTTCTTCATTTCATCCCTGAAAATGTCTTCAGGACTTGATAGATTTCTCAGAAAGGAAACAGGAGCACAGCTTTGAAACTGAAAAGGTGAAGAATTTGATTTGGCGAGAACAATAAAAATGAATGGGTAAAGGTTGACAAAAATTTAGATGTGATCACTACCTCTGAAGCTACATGATTGCTGTGAAACAAGAACTGAGTACTAGACAGTTGTTCTGAGGAAGCTGGCCTCCATCTTGGGAAAGAACAACTTTAATAATGGACTGCGAGGGGGCTTCAGGCAAACCCTGGAGAACTTCAGAAACAGACCAGGGGAGGGGCAGGGATGCCAGGAAGGGTGTCTCAGTCTGTCTGTGCTGTTGTAACAAAATGCCATCAACTAGGTGGCCTATAAACAACAGAAATGTATTTCTCACAGTTTCAGAAACTGGAAAGTTCAAGATCAAAGGGCTGGTGGATTGGGTGTCTGGAAGGGCTGGCTTTCTCACGGATGGCACCTTCTCACCATGTCCTTCACATTGTGGAAGAGGCGAGGCTGCCATCTGGGGCCTCCTTTATAAGAGCATGAATCCCCTCCCTAAGGGTTCCATTTTTCTAATAGCATCTCCTTGAGAGTTAGGATTTCAGTATATGAATTTGGTGGGGAATAAGTAGCATTTAGGCCAGAGCAAGGAGCTATAGATGTTAACCTCAAATTATTGGTCTAAATCTCAGGAATTAATTGAGCAGGGGATGACTGGAGAACGAGTGGATAACAGTGGCAGAGAGGAGATGAAATTCTTACTGAAGAAGGAATGGTGAACCACCGCAGGGCCTGAGGAGTGTTAGGGACAATCCTGAAGTAAAGGCCATGACCTGGAGGCCTATGCTGGAAAGAGTTGTCTGGGCCACTAGTTCAGTGAGGAACTGGAAAATTCCACCCATCACTGGTGCTGGTGTCTTTTGTCATCTACCTCACACTAAATGTTTGAAGAGCTTGGTTAAAGCAACATCTGTGATAAGGCACCCAACCAGAGAGTAAGGCATTCAGTAAATATTTATTTGTTTTAAAGATTAAAGTGATGAATGGAATTATGGAATGTGTGCTTAAAAAAACTCTGAGCCGAAACTTGTTTGTAATTTAATATTAGTTACAATCTCATATGCAACCACAGCCCTTCCTTTTGTATGTTTCTGTTTCCTTTAGGAAACCTACTTGTAGACTAAACATCCACAAGTAACATCATGGAGACATAGAACATTTACCTTATTAATTTTAGAGTTTCCTAATGACTGATTTCTTTACTATCTGCTTTTCATCCCTCTCTTACTTCTTTGTAGTTTTGTGCAATTAAATAAGAAATGCCTTAGAAATTATTTTAGAGGCAGTAGTACTTTAATAATTGAACAGTTCACCAACATCTGCTATGGCAGTTTGCTCGAAGCCAGGGATACTAAGAGGAAAAAAAAGAAAAAAGAAACATAGATTCTTGCCCCCAAGGAACACATAATTTAATGGTGGGGACACACGCACAAGCAGATCATCACAGCGTAGGATGTGGTAAGGAATGCGGGGAGGCTGCAGAAGCAAGCTTATTCCAGCCCCACAGAGAAAGGTACTGAGATATGAAATTGAGTAATGACAGCTGGAAAACAGATCAAACTGGAGAGCCTATGCTCCAAGTGCAAGGTAGCTACTGGTGTTTAATTTCCAGGTGGCTCTACAGCTGGGCAGAACAAGAAAAAGATAGAGGGTCCTGGAGAAAGAACATCAGGTCCAGGGTATCAGGTGGATGCAAGTCATGGTGACAGATAATAGAATGAAGTGGATATGCTTTGAACTAATGTTCCAAGATCCTGAGATTTTTATGTCAAAGTCCCACTACAGATACCTTCATCCTTGTCTTGGAAGATGATTTTGACATTAAAATCCTAGGTTCCCATTTGGCTACTTGTTGAGTTGTATCTCCAATGGAGGAGGAAAAACTGCTTCCTGAGAGATTTGGCAAGCTCAGGAACAAAGAAGATCTCACTTCTACCCAGAACCAGAGCTCTAAAGCAAGAAACCTATGTCTGGCCAGTGATAGTCTACTATTTTCCCGTATATGTTCCTTGTGTCTGTATCTAAAAAGGAAGTGAATTTTTGAAACCTGCCTCGGCTGTCTCCTGCCTTTCCCATATTCGTTTCGTTCTAGGCCTTCCCTCCCTTTTTTCTACAAGACCTGGTGGTGGTTACTATGTCCCTATTCTTTTAGTGATGTCAAGAAGTAGAGTGAGGCAAGGTGCAGTGACTCACGCCTGTGATCTCAGCACTTTGGGAGGCCTAGGTGGGCAGATCACCTGAGGTCGGGAGTTCGAGACCAGCCTGACCAACATGGAGAAACCCTGTCTCTACTAAAAATACAAAAAAAAAAAAAAAATTAGCCAGGTGTGGTGGCACATGTGTGTAATCCCAGCTACTCGGGAGACTGAGGCAGGAGAATAACTTGAACCCGGGAGGTGGAGGTTGTGGTGAGCCGAGATCACGCCATTGCACTACAGCCTGGACAACAAGAGTGGAACTCCGTCTCCAAAAAAAAAAAAAACAAAAAAAAAGAAGACGAAGTAGAGTGAAAGCCGCAACGATAAATAACAAACAAAAAACCCAGCACCTATGAATTGGTTGTGTCATATATTTCTCTAGAAGTGATAAAGCCAAGTTTCCAAAGCTAGTTCTTAACAGTGTCATTAATGGGCTTGTCTTCTCAGTTTTGCTTAGGTAATGTGACATAAACAGGATAATCAGGTCATTTGCTTATTGTTCTGCTGAGGATTTTTTTTTTTTCTTTTCTACCCACTGTCAAAAGTGAGTAGCAAAAAACAAAGCAAGAAGTGGGTGAACACTGAAAAACTATAAAGCACTATACAAGATGTTAAGTGACTTTTTTTTTTTTTTTTTTTTTTTTTGGAGACAGAGACTTGCTCTGTTGCCAGGCTGGAGTGCAGTGGCATGATCTTGGCTCACTGCAACCTCTGCCTCCCGGGTTCCAGCAATTCTCCTGCCTCAGCCTCCAGAGTAGCTGGGACTACAGGCGTGCGCCACTACACCCAGCTAATTTTTGTATTTTTAATAGAGACGAGGTTTCGCCCTGTTGGCCAGGCTGATCTCAATCTCCTGACCTCGTGATTTGCCCGCCTCGGCCTCCCGAAGTGCTGGGATTACAGGCGTGAGTCACCGCACCTGGCCGCGACTTTTATTTTTAAAGAAAAGGAAAGCTGAAAGAAATAAGTAAATTTCATTTTTTTCCCAAAATGAAAAGGGTAAGATATGCAAAGAGGAAAAGAAGTAAGTTTCTGTGAAATTCAGTACATCCTTAAGACTATAGCATTTGAGTCAGATAGAAGAGATTAGATTCTTTCTCTGGGTTCTGATGGTTGCATGGGTGTGTGTGGGGCGAGTGATGTGGTATTGCTTTCTAATCAACTTCTTACTGCCTTCAGGCATTATCAGTGTTCTTTCTTCCTGGATGTCAGAGCCACTTCTAATAATGACTGCTTTCAGCTAAACAACAGTAGGCATTCTCTTCGAAGGGGTAAAAATGACTTGGGTCATTTGTAGGCTGCAGCTCTTCATAGTCATTCAAATTCAGCATATTCTGATGGACAAGGCCATTACACAGTATTAATAGCTTTACCATCTCACCATGATAGTGATTACAGTAGTTCTTTAATATCGCTGCTGAAATGAAAGAGATAAATCTACACATGAGAAACATGCTTTTTTTTTCTAACATAGAGATAATGTAAAGACACAGTATTAAATTTTAAAATTTCAAAATTTACAAAACAAAGTTTCTTAAAAAACAGAATATTTAAAGTTATGCCCAGCATGACACAATTTTTTTTTTTTAAATAGAGATGTGTGTCTTATTAGTTGCCCAGGCTGGTCTTGAACTTCTGGGCTCAAGCACTCTTCCCACCTCAGCCTCCCAAAGTGGTGGGATTACAAGTGTAAGCCACTGTGCCTGGCCACAAACCATATTTTAGAAAGTGCACTGGACAGGCACAGTGGCTTACACCTGTAATCCCAACACTTTGGGAGGCTAAGACAGGAGGATTGCCTGAGGCCAGGAGTTCCAGACCAGCCTTGGCAATACAAGGAGACTCTGTCTCTACAAAAAGTTAGCCAGGTGAAGTGGTGTGTGCCTGTAGTCCCACCTACTCAGGGAGGCTAAGTTGGGAGGATCGCTTGAGCCCAGGAGCTTGAGGCTGCAGTGAGCTATGATTGTGGACTGCACTTCAGCCTGGGAGACACAGCGAGACCCCATCTCAAAAAACCAAAAAAATTGAAAAATTAAAAAAAAAAGTGCATTGGAAAAGAATTCTCATCCTTTTTAAAAAAATATGGTTTGATTTTTAAATGTATTTTTTTCTTGATAAATGTAATGGTCATTTGAAAGTGCAAATTATAGACTGTGTCAACAAGATTACTTTTGCCTTGGCTATACGCAATACAAACTCAGAAAGATTGATGCATCTGGGGAAAACAAAGTAAATCCTATCCTTTTTAGTCTGTTTGACATATTAAAGTGACCACTGAAGAAGAAATGAGGGCATTAATCTCGATTCTATCACCCCTTTGCTGGGTAAAATTGGGGAAGATTTAACCTTGAGGCCTCATTATCTCATCTAGAAAATAATGGGATAGGTTTAAATCTCTGAGGTGCAATAGCATTCTAATGTTTACACTTCAATACATATGGCTTCTTCTAAAATATTCTTAGTCATTATGGTTTATATGTCATGATCTGAGGAAGAACCCCCACCCCACTGCCTTTTTTTTTTTTACACATTAAAACAGAACGAAGCCAAAACAAAAATAAATTTTATTCTTCTGTCTTATACTGTATGTATATCCCAACTCAGTCACTTCTTGTCCTGCATGGAAATAAAAGTGGGATAGGGAACATGAAAGAAAGTATATCGTTTTTAGAAAGGATCTTATAAGAAAACAAAACAAAACAGGTGCTAGGATCAGAGGTCTTCAAGAAAGCTGACTTTGGGGCACAAAAATGCCTCGAAGGGTCAGAAGCAGGAGACAGACTGGATAGAAAGCATCACGATAGGACTTTAAACAGGGTAGGGAACACAAGGTAGAAATTGGACCAGATAGTTAAATATATGAACTCAGAAGAAACATCCTACTTACAAATAAATCTGCCCTGAAGGAGTTTTAGGTAGAGGGTAGGGATGACAAAGGCACATTAAGGCAATTTTCAAATATACTGGCCAAAAGGGGATGCCCAGAGAGAACTTCTGCCCCTTACACATAATGGACACCAGCAAATGATTAACAGTATTGGCAAGGGAGGGGTTTTTTTTAAAGACATTTTAATTCTTTGTCATTATAGTATAAATTAAATATGGATATATTGGAATAAGTCCCAGTTTTTGTGAAAAGATACAGAACTAAACAAAAACAAAGAAATAAGTCCAGTCACTAGGAAAGCAAGTCTGTTTCTCTCAGAGGGCTTTCTGGAGTTTTGCCCATAGAATTGAAACGTGCATTTTCAGACCCATTATGTGTTGTTTTTGAGAATTCTTAAAACAGTGGTTTTCAAAGCGTGGTCTGGGAACACCTGAGGCTCTCCAGACCCTTTCAGGTGTCTAGGAGAGTAAAACTGTTTTCATAATAACGCTAAGATGTTATTTGCCTCTTTCACTCTCACTCTCTCATGAGAATACAGTGGAGTTTCCCAGAGACGACATGAACTGTAATATTGTAAAAGATTGAACGCAGAAGCAGATGTAAGAATCCAGATGTCTTCTATTAAGCTTGACATTAAAGGCAGTTTCAAAAATATAAAACAGTGCTACTCATCTCACTATTTTTATTTGAAAAATGGCCTTTTTAATGTTATCTATGTGAAGATGTTTATTCTTAAGTGAATAGCATTTAAAATATTTTGTTTCTGCGTTTAATATTATAAATATCAGTAGATATCGCCTACATAAGCCAAAGCTCTTTGAGGGTCTTAGAACAATCTTAAGTGTGTAAAGGAGTCCTGAGACCACAAAGCTTGAGAATATTCTAGAGGATATGTGATTCCTCTAGACCTTATTAAACAGTGGGAGGGGCAGTTAGTACAGCACAAATTTACCTAGGGGACCTTTTTCATGGTTACCTATGAGGCACTTCAGTAAGAATTTTCACAACAAACAAAGCAAGCAAGGCCATTGTTATTCTTCCCATTTTTTAGATAGGAAAAGTGAGGAGTAGAGAAAGTGAGTGATTTACCAAAGATTGCAGTTAAGTAGAGCTGGAATCATTTGGTACTTAGACTCCCAGTTCCATATGTTTCCATTTCATTTTGCTGACTGAGCTGACTGCATTGATAGCAGAATAAATCATCAATCTTCTAGCTGACCTCAGTATAATCAATGGCAACCCCCACCTCTTTGTAAAGAAAAAATGTCAGACCAGTTTAATATTTGCTATGACAAAATAAATAACAGGCATTATTACTCATACCCTGAATGATATCAGTGCCTTTGAAATTCACTGACCAGGTGGAAAATGTATCACGGGAAAATGGGATAGCATATACCTTGGGAAAATACAACAAAACAAAGCCCTCATTTTTGTAAACAGAGCATGGAGGACATGCTAGCAAGATGGAAAAGAAGATTCCAGGAAGGCCCATCAGGATCTGTAAAGTGAATATTTGCTTGTGATGTGAGTGTTCATGGTAAAAAAAGGCAAAATGATTATACTCTGGTGTATTGGAAAGAGCGTGACTTGTACAGCAAGCTAGGAAGCGATTCTTTATAGAGCAACTCTGGCAACTTCCTTTAGAGGACAGCGTCTAGTTCTGTCATTATACTTGTAAAAGGTGAGAAATGCGGGAGCTTCTGAAGCATATCCATGGCACGATTAGCACACAGAATTCTGGAGGGAGAGGGAGGAGGAAGGAACTTGGAATAATTGCTTGCTAGAAAGTCAGGGAGGGGTCACTGGTAGTTGCCTGTGGTATAAACTGTGTGTTTCTTTGATTTCAACACCATGTGTCAACTTGGATCTTTTGGAAATATAAAATATTTCTGCTCTGTACTTCATTACATCTAGCAGATGTTGCTTTATGTTTTTGAACCCCATTTGCAGAATGAACATGATATCATATAACATACTCCTAAAAACAGAAAAGAGGAAACTAGTTAACTGGCCTCTTAGCAGAACAGTTTTAGGAAGGTCCAGACTTTTAGTCACTGCCTGTCTGAAGTACAAAAGTAGAATATATTCTACAAAGAAAAGAAGTAACACAACATGTTCATTGATGTAAACTGAAGGAATGTTCACTTACATTTTTAGACAAATTAAAAAATACGTGGCAGGTTGACCAAGGAGGGTAGTCTATTACTGAATGGCTGTCTCCTTCCCACTCCTCATCCCCTCTTATTTAAAAATGAAAATGTGTTCTTGCAGTATTTACCAGTGATCAAAAAAAAATACAGACAAAAGAAAAAGAAAATTCCTCTTTTCCATGACTCAGTATTTTTAGGTTATCACAAACCTATTCAGCTTCTGAATCTTATTAAAGTCAAAATATTGAGTCAATTCATCAGCACTAAGCTATTCAATTTTTGCTTTATGCATGTTTTGAAAGCAAGGCTTGATATAGATGGTGTATTTATGTAACAATGGTGTTACTCAATGACCTTGCATTTTTCTGCACATGCTATCTTAATGGAAATTTACTGGAAAATTCTTGCCAGAATAAACACATTCCTTCAGGAGTGAAAGGCTTAATGTACTTCTAGTTCAACTGCACCTTTTTCCCTTGAGCAGATAAACCCAATTATTTGGCGTTAGTCATTATACTTCACACAGTTTACAGTACTTATTGTGGTCTCACAGGGGGGTAAGAGTTAAAGGAGACAGAAGTAAGGTGGTCAATTTCACACTATGAGAGAGAAAACAAAAGGATAAGGCATCTGTCTATTTGACATGCAATACGAAAAATGAAGCTGGCAGTCATCTGTAAATTAACATTAGCTATCCTGGTAAGGCAGAAGTAAGGAATATGAACAATACAGATAAGTTGAGCTGCTGAACCAGAAATTTAAAAATATATATTTTTTATTTTTAAGAGAGGGATGACTTTCTCATTTACATGTTAATTTAAGAATCAGGAGTGAAAACTCTACAAGAAAAATACTGGCTATGTAGTGGCCATTGGGGCCGGATATGGGGACCCAGGTGGAATACAGAGATGTAAACAGGACGATTGAGGCCAGGGAAGGAGGAAGTACCCCTTGAATTAAGGGATGAAGAAGGCAAACAATGAACAATGGAGACTTAAGGAAAGAGATTCACAAACATGTCTAGACTTAGGCTTGTTGGCCCCTGTCCTAATTCCCACCCATCGCCACCCCAAGGTTGCTACTGGGGAGAGAGTATAGTGATTGTTTATTCATGTATGCAACCAGCATTAATAAAGTTTGTAATCAAGGCAGGAAGAATCATCTTTAAAGGAATAAAACTGGCTTATTAGCATATTAAAGCTAAGTGCTCAGTTATACTGCATTTATTTGCAGCAATAAACAATTAAGTTCCTTGCCTTTTTCTAACCAGTTGGAATTAAGCTGCTGGATAGATTCGCCCAGAGTTTAGTGACCCTCTCCCTTATGTACTATTAAAATCCTACTATTTTAAACAATTTTGGGAAAGGTTAGTTTAAATGTGAATGTTCACACACTATTATTTTGTTGTAATTTTAAAATTATTTTCAATATGTACAGTAAGTAAAACCAATCTGGCAAACAAAGAATTACTTCCTGGAAGTCCTTCTTGAGAGAAGCAATCTGAAAATTAGAATAGCAAAACAGTTATTCAACTATTGTCCTCACTCAAATTGTATTCTTTAAAAAAATTTATTGTTAGTCCATTCTCACGCTGCTTGTAAAGACATACCTGAGACTGGGTAATTTGTAAAGGGAAGAGGTTTAATTGACTCACAGTTCAGTATGGCTGGGGAAGCCTCAGGAAACTTAAATCATGGCAGAAAGGGAGGCAAACACACCCTTATTCACATGATGGCAACAAGGAGAAGTAACAAGCCAAAAGGGGAAAAGCCCCTTATGAAACCATCAGATCTCATGACAACTCACTCACTATCACGAGAACAGCATGAAAGTAACTGCCCCCATGATTAAATTACCTCCTGTTGGGTCCCCCCAGGACTCATGGGGCTTATGGGTACTACAATTCAAGATGAGATTTGGGTGGGGACATAGCCAAACCATATCAACCGTATATAAAGGAAAGGCATCAAAGCTGAAAAATTTCTTCTTTTAAGGAATCGGGCATGGTCTTCTCTATAAATAATAATAAAACAAAAAATTATTTTATTATATATAGGTTTTTATTATAAGCTCCTTTAATTCAATTTTAGAAGTAGGTAAGATATGAATTATAACAAAAAACATTGTTTACTTGAAGTTATACAAATACTCTTATTTATTCAATTTATTCTTCATAGATAATATCTGAGAGAGAAATGTTTGAGGTAATTCCAAGCTATTCAGAATTGCTAATAAATGAGTTTGTACCCCAGTTTTGAATTTTTAATACATATAAATCATGGGTCCATTTATAAATAAAGATTAGAAATTTCTTTCTACAGTAGATTATAACAGCAAACTTAAATCATCCTATTTATATTTTGATTTCAAAAATAAAATGGAAATTCAAATAGTGCTTCATCGGTTGAAGATATTTGCTGTATAAGAGTTGACTAAGTTTGGTTTATGAATATAAATGATAAACACAAGAATTATATAAAATTCATTCCCAATTAATAGTCTGTAATCAAGATTTAATGTGTTGCTTTTTAAAAACAAAGTTTCAGGTTTAAATGAGTCTTATGCCTGGGTGTGGTGGCTCATGCCTTTAATCTCAGTGCTTTGGGAGGTTGAGGTGGGAGGATCAGTTGAGGATCATTTGAGGCCAGGAGTTTCAGACCAACCTGGGCAACACAGCAAGACCCCATGTCTGCCAAAAAAAAAAAAATTAGCTGGGCAATATGGTATATACCTGTAGTAGTAGCTCCTCAGGAGACTGAGGTGGGAAGATCACTTGAGCCCAGTAATTTGGAATTAAAGTGAGCTATGGTCACATTGGTGCACTCAAACCTTGGCAACAGAGCAAGACCTTGTCGCTAAAAAATATATTTGAAAAATGAGTCTTCATTTAATGTAAATGGAAAAATAATTTACCATGTTGCTATTTGTACTTCCCCATACTTTTCTGTGGAGCATGAAACTGTTTATTCTACAAGCATATTATAATCCATAGTAAACTGTTCCAAAATATATATTCCTTTAGTTTTATTAAGGATAACTTAAGGAGTTAATAAATTCTCCAGCTTGTTGCTGTGATGTCTTAGAAATTATACTGCTTCCTTTTGTACTAAAATAAACCATGGGTTCTTTTGAATTTACAGTCGCAGATATGGCCAGTACACTATGAACCAGGAAAGCACCACCATCAAAGTTATGGAGAAGCCTCCATTTGATCGATCAATTTCCCAGGATTCTTTGGATGAACTATCTATGGAAGACTATTGGATAGAACTAGAAAACATCAAGAAATCTAGTGAAAACAGCCAAGAAGATCAAGAGGTGGTTGTTGTCAAAGAGCCTGATGGTAATAACTAACTAAATAAAGCTTTTGTTGTTTGTATATGTATTTATAGGAAATGAATGCATAGAAAGGAAGAGAACAAAAAAAAAATTAAAGCTAGGACCACCAAAAAAAGATACTGCCTTTCAACTTGAAAAATACTTGTTTGAGGCAGATTTATGGATGCAACTGCCAGATACAAGTGGCATAAGTAAGTTAGCTTAGTCATAGATATGGCTGGAATGTTGTTGGCTAAGCTCACTGTATCATAGCTTTTTAGAGTTAGACTTCATCTTTGAAACCATCTAACCTCCCTTTAAATTTCTTCTGTGATGTGGTAGCCACATTGTCATTTGGTCTCTAGTGAGTGCAGATGGTGATAGAGCACTGCTTTGCAGTGAGACTGTTTTTCCAGTGGTCAGTCAGCTTGAGTTCTTTTGATCTTTGTTTTATTGATTTATAATCTGCTGTCCTCTAACTTTGACTCTCTTGCTGTAGTTATGCCTTTGGGACGAACAGAAGAAGGCTCTTCTATTTTTACATGATAGCCTTTCATATACTTGAGAATATTTATCTTGTTCCTAGCCAAGACATTTCTAGAAAGAAAATTCACATAAACCAATTTTTGTGGGTGGTTTTCAAAGACCTGTTGTGGTCCTGGCTATTTTGTCATTCAAAGTATACTTCTCCAGATTGGATGCAACGGCTCATGTTTAGCCAACTAATCTAAAAATATAGAGTTGGACAGTAGATGGTGGCATTACTGTTTTTAGCTTCCATATTTACTTCTTTCTTGTATTTGGTGCATAATTTCTGTAGAGTCACTTTCCAGCCATATTTCCCATTCTCTGCTATAATATTTGATATTCTGGGAGAAACATGTAAAACTTTAAAGTTTTTTTGTACCGTTTCTTTTAATCTCTGAAATTCAAGCAGTTGCTAAGTTTTTCATGTCCAATTCTCTTGTCTGTTGTATTAGCTTTCTTTCTATGCCTTGTGCCATCTATACATTTGTAAGTATGTTTATATAAGTTGATGTATAAATGCCAAAATGTGAGAGCCCCAATCAGTGCTTTGTGATCCACTAATAGAGACTTCCTTCTCAACACAATGACTTCTTAACTAAATGACTTAGGATCTAATTAACTAGCAAAATCTATATAAATAAGATTTTTTTCCTTGGCTACACATTGCTTGAAAAATCTACCAACATTAATTTAAAAAGAAGACTTGGGGTTTTTTCTTAATTTAATTTCTTAGATCTAAAAACACTACGGTTAACTTATTCTTTAACTTCTTGTTATTTTTCTCTCATTGTTTCCCAAATATGATAGCAATAAAGTCAAGCTTATTTGTGATAATTAATAGTATCTCTCACCCTTTCTTTCTCCATGTTTCAAGATGGAAGTAGCATACTAGTCTGCTGAATAAGGAGAGAATATGTTTGAGAAAGCAGCGTTTAAGCCTGATACATAGAAGTATGTCATTAGCTGTTTGATAAGTCTCCAACACTAATTAGAGTCATTGATTATTATGCACTATGTGATCATCAAGAAGATTGGGAATGTTTTCTACATGCCCACACCTTTTCTTAGACTTTAAATTGTTTAAGTTTTACTTCTACTTTTTAATGGAAAAAATGACTCTACATAGTAATCTTGTTTATTTTCCTTGTTGTGTAACAATATCAGGTTTTTTTTCTGGCAATCTGGTTTTATACACCAATACTGAGTTCTACTTTAAAAGCATAAATAATAATGGCTGACTTTTGTTTGTTTTTTTTTTTTTTTTTTTTTTGAGACAGTCTCACTCTGTCGCCCAGGCTGGAGTACAGTGGCACAATCTCGGTTCATTGCAACCTCTGCCTCCCAGGTTCAAGAGATTCTCTTGCCTCAGCCTCCCTAGTAGCTGGGATTACAGGCATGTACTACCATGCCCAGCTAATTTTTGTATTTTTTGTAGAGAGGGGGTTTCACCATGTTGGCCAGGCTGGTCTCGAACTCCTGACCTCAAGTGATCCACCCACCTCAGCTTCCCAAAGTGCTGGGATTACAAGCCTGAGCCACCATGCCCGGCCTTGCTGACTTACTTTTTATGCTAGTAAACTGTTTTTGTTGTCTGGTGTG
The DNA here is from genome assembly GCF_000001405.40 of Homo sapiens. Classification (NCBI taxonomy): domain Eukaryota; kingdom Metazoa; phylum Chordata; class Mammalia; order Primates; family Hominidae; genus Homo; species Homo sapiens. Next base: position 129,639,713 of record NC_000006.12, on the reverse strand, counting down.
CACAGTGCCTAGCACTGGCTTATGTCTCTTGAAGTCAAAGTTATTAATACTTGATTTCTGCCGTCAAGAAGTTTATATAGTATAGAAAGACAGACAGGTAGGACTAGGTGCTATACCATGTGATACAGTCTATCTCAGGGCTTTTCAAAGCTCCTTCCATATAACATTCTCACCTTTGGTTATGGCATAGCTGGAAGGAGGTGTGCTTTAGTTTACAGATCAGAAAACAGAGTCAACTTGAGGCTAAGTGACTTTTCCAAAGAGACTTGGCTATCAAGTTGCAGAAATGGGGTACAGATCCAGGTCTTTTGTGTCCCAATTCATCGCTTTTATTTTCCTCTATAAATATGATGGTTGGAAAGAATCCATTCTAATTATCCTTCTGCTTTTAAATAACTTTCATTAGATCTTACACAATATTTGCATGAATATTTCCTGCTTTCAGTGTTTTGAATTGATTGTTGTTTGATTATCTTCCTATATAAGTTTTTTTTGCTGGATATATTGTGCTTTTAAAAAAACATTGTAAAAATACATAATCTGATGTGCTGACTTGGAAGATTAGAAAAATTAATTTGAAATTGATTAGTTCCCAATGTTCTGATGCTGTTAACTTCTTTGCTGCACTTCCTGTCAGCTACAGTGAACAGAGAAAACAAGGCTTTCCATAAATTAGTGTTGGACTCTGAGGTAGTACTGAATTTAAGCCAAGAAACTGGGCTTAATATATAGCCCCAGCATTGACTTCCTTCTGTAACTTGATGGAAGTAAGTTATCTTTTTATTCTTTGCTTATCTCTGGAAGGGGAACAGTATCATCCTCTGGGTTAATCTGCAGGGAAGTTATAGAGGTTAATTACATGTGAAGTCATTTAAAAATTTTAATTGAGTATATATGAAATCAATCTAAAATTTGATGTCATTGTGGCTGGAGTGTATGGCAGTTGTCCAAGTTTTAGATAATGATTCTTAGCACTGTGGTTTGGTTACAATAGAAGAGTTTTAGTAAGAATTTTTAACAGCTTAAAAAATGTAAAGGTTGTTATATTTTGTGATTTAAGTACCACTTTTCTCTACTGTCTTAGAGGGAGAATTGGAAGAAGAGTGGCTTAAAGAGGCCGGTTTATCCAATCTCTTCGGAGAGTCTGCTGGAGATCCACAGGAAAGCATTGTGTTTTTATCAACATTGACGCGGACCCAGGCAGCAGCAGTTCAGAAGCGAGTAGAGACGGTCTCCCAGACCTTGAGGAAAAAAAACAAACAGTACCAGATTCCTGACGTCAGAGACATATTTGCTCAACAGAGAGAATCAAAAGAAACAGTAGGTTTTCTTTTTTGATGTTAAGGCAAAGGAATAATTGCTTACAATTAATTGGATCAATCTGGTTTAATTCAAATGATTAAAAACGTAATGATCACCTATTCTATGCCAGGCACCAAAGCTCTATGCTTGCAGGAAACAAGAGAGACTTGCTTCCTGCCTTTCTGGAAGTTATACTGATGGGGCAGAAAACAAAGCTAGTTAAAATTCAGCATGATAATCCATGTATTAGGAGAAGAGGGTGTCCTTGGAGCATTACAAGTGACTTTAACTCCACTAGGGGTGACAGGGACAGCTTCTCAGACAACATGACTACCAACAGTTACTTAGAGAAAAGTAGGATTAGGGTATTCTTCCCTATCTATTAATGCTTGTAGGAATATTTGATTTTTCCCTAGACTGGTTTGGGGATGGATGAAGTAGAATGTGAGGGAGCTAATTGCAGCTGAATTACAAAGCAGGAACTTTGAGACATGAAGTAACTTCTCCTTTGTGGTGTTAAAAGAAAGACCTTAGACAAATTAAATTTAACAGAATTTAATTGGGTAAAGAATGATTTGCAAATTGGGCAGCCCCCAGAATCACAGCACATTCAGAGAGACTCCAGTGCTACCGTGTGGTCAAAGAAGATTTATGGACAGGGAAAGGAAAGTGATCTACAGAAAATGGAAGTGAGGTACAGAAACAGCGAGATTGGTTACAGCTTTGTGTTTGCCTTTTTTGAATATGGTTTGAACAGTTGGCCACCTTTGATTGGTCAAAATTTGGTGATTGACACAAGTAGGTTACAGTCTGTTTACACATCCAGTTAGGTTAGAGTTCACTATATACAGAGAAACCCTTTAGGATGAACGGAAGATATGTAAGGAGGCAGCTTTAGGTTAAACTTTAAGGTGTCTAGCCTTAGCACAGTGACAGCACACAAAAGATTGAGTAAATATTTGTCTAGGTGATTAACTTGTTAATAAAAGCTGTGGGGTCTGGTAGAGACTGTGGGATTGATGAATGAAGGGAGGTATCAGAGAAGGCATGATAAAAGTTTGAGAGGCTGGGTGTGGTGGCTCACAGCTGTTATCCCAGCACTTTGGGAGGCTGAGACTGGAGAGTTCGAGACCAGCCTGGGCAACATAGCAAAACCCAATCTCTACAAAAAGCGCAAGAATTAGCTGGGTGCGGTGGCATGTGCCTGTAGACCCAGCTACTTGCGGGGCTGAGGCCAGAGGATTGCTTGAGCCCTGGAGGTCGAGGCTGCAGTGAGCTGTGTTCATGCCACCGCACTCCAGGCTGGGTGACAAAGTGAGACTCCATCTCAAAAAACAACAACAACAACAACAACAACAAAACAGTACAAGAACTGTGTGGCTCAGATCAGTGCTACTCAAATAAGCCAGTTGGTGGATTGCCTATTACTTACCTGTAAGGGCATCAGGAGCTTACAGAGAATATAAATGATCCTTGTTTCTTTCATCAAAAAAGTCTTGCTGCCAGAAAAAAGGTAAAAAATCAGCGGATCTAGATGGTGTTCTTGAGGTCAAAGTTGATTTACATTCTGGCTTGAGTGCAATCTCGGCTCACTGCAACCTCCCCCTCCCAGGTTCAAGCAATTCTCCTGCCTCAGCCTCGGAGTAGCTGGGACTACAGGCGCACGCCACCATGCCCAGCTAATTTTTTGTACTTTTAGTAGAGACAAGGTCTCGCCATGTTGGCCAGGCTGGTCTTGAACTCCTGATCTCAGGTGATCTGCTTGCCTCAGCCTCCCAAAGTGCTGGGATTACAGGTGTGAGCCACCGCACCTGGCCAGATTTTAAGTAACTTGCTCAGTGTCCTGTAGATAGTAAACCCAAATTTGTTTGACTTTGAAGTACATGCTTTTAACCAGTCTCTATCCTGGTATATTTGCATTTTGTACATGATTCTGACATTAAGCATCCTGAATATGAGATTCTATTTACACTATAAAAGATAACAAAAATTGAACGATTATTTATGTTAAAAAAGGAATGAAAGGGTTTATATTTAAGGTATCTTCCTGTCATGTAGACACTCTTTTGCTTTTTGTAGACATTTTATTCTTGCAAGAAAGCCCTTCTAGCTGCAGATTGCTACTCTCTTTGCATGACCAATTTCGAATCAAGTCCAGTCCATCTTACAGGAGTTTTGGGGTCATTAAATTGCTCCAGGCACTTGCTTAAGTTAAGCACTTGCTTACCACCCAGTGGTTATTTGGGATATCCACTTGTGTTAAAGGACTGGACTGGTTTCCAGCTGAAGAAAAATGAATGGTAAGGAAATTTAGTATTATGACATTTTCTTCCCAATTGGAGAACCCTCACTAAGGGAGTTAAGAGGAAGTGAAAAGGGGGAGGGAATAGAGAGCTGAGCCTAAGCAAAATATAAATTGTGGGATTTCTGCCAGTCTCCAAGAGGATGTTGCTACTTGGTGCTAGAAACAACATTTTTCCAGCAAGTTTCTGGCAGTGTCACAACCACATGGTTTGAGTCCAAGGTAATTGGTGGATTGTATCATCTGATGGAGTCATTAAGAGAGAACTAGCAAAAGGAAATTAAAATAATGTTAACTTGCTTACACTGCATGCCTTTAATTGAAACACTGCCACCCATTAGAAAAGTGCTTTATCTCCCCCATGCCTCAAGCAAACTTGGGCCAGCCATCTTCACTTGCAGTTCTTCTACTTTTGAGTGAGTGTATATTCAGCTCTTCCATGTTAAATGCTTCCTCATGAAGGCCTTGCTGACACTAGGAAATATAATGCAGAAATGAACACCATCTGTACTGCCATCTTCAATTGCTAAGGAAAATAATTCCGACCACATGCTCCAAAATATGTGTTCTTTTGTGAGACTGGAATCACTCTGCTCATTGTGCCATGCAGGGCCAGCCTCTGCCGGCTTGTGGGAGGAGGGAAGGAGAATGGGACTGCTCTGTGCTTCAGGGGATTAAAGTGATGCTGGGTACCCACGTACCACTTCTGTGACTTGGTAGTCACTGTAACACTTTCCTGGGTTTTCCCCATCTCTAAGTGGTGCATTAATAGCCTAGACGTCCCTAGCCTAGTGCTTTTCTAGGCTCTTTTTAGACTTCAGGTGGAGGATGAAGTCCTTCGTGGACAACAGCTTGAGGTGAAATGTGTGGTGAGACTACAATGGCCACTTTCTGTCTGAGATAAAATACAGTAGAATTATCAATATTATTAAAATAATTTGAATAGACCTCTTTCTGTGGTTGATCCAGACTCTTCTTCCTGACCTCTGAATTCCTTCTGAAGCCTTACCTGGAAAGGAGGAAGTACTCTCTGGCCACATTTACTGCTGAGCAGAGTCGGCCATGGTTTACCATCTCCATAAACCTTTGGAAGGCCCCGTTCCTTGGGCGTCACTGCCCCGACCCCTTGAAAACAGGAATTCCTTCAGATGTTTTAGGTCTTATTGCTGGTTTGGTAATTTAGTTACTTATCTCACATTTATTTCTTGCTTTTTTTTTTTTAACTTGAAGAATTTCTGTTTTATTAGGGACATGTACTTTTATAGTTTTATAACAGCATGATTGAGATATAATTCACATACCATATAATTCACCCACTTAAAGTGCACAATTCAGTGTTTTGTAGCATACTCACAGTTGTGCAACTATCACTACAATCAGTTTTAGCACATTTTTATTGTCTCCAAAAGAAAGCCTGTATCCATTAACAGACCTTCCCCATCTTTCCCTCCCTACTCTTAGGTGACCATTAGTCAGCTTTGTGTCTCTGTGGTTTGCATATTATGGTCAGTTGCTATAAATGGAATCATAGAATATGTGGCTCTTTGTGACTGGTTCCTTTCACTTAGCATAGTATTTTCAAGGTTTCTTTATGTTGCAGCATGTATCAATACTTCATTTCTGTTTATAGCCAAATAATATTCCACTGTACAGATAGACCACATTTTGCTTATCCATTTGTCAATTAATAGCTACTACTAATTTTTTAACATGTTTGTCCTTTCTCCTCCCCTCCATAGTAGCATTCTTGATGACAGGGACCCACTCGTGACTTTTTTAATATTTCCCACTGGGCCTACTATTGTCTCTTACAAGTTGTAGGTAATAAAATATTTTTTGGATGATTGCTTGTTGATTATTATCTTAGTGCCCCTTTTTCACTGTGATTGTTATAATTCTGAGTACATGTCTTGTACTCTAAAGATTAATAACAAAATTATTTACAGTACCATTTTCTCTGGTTTTGAGTTGGAGATGACTAAATGGCCTGTTTTCTATGTTTAGGCTCCAGGTGGCACTGAATCGCAGTCACTTAGAACAAATGAAAACAAATACCAAGGAAGAGATGGTATGTTGAACCTGTTCTCTTGTTTTTTTTTTTTTCCGCCCTTTAATTAGTATAACAGTTACAGTCTTATAAAACATTACCTTCAATTCTAGTAAGCAAATTCTATTAAAATGTTAATGTAAGGTCTCAAGTGGATCATTATGTGAGGCTGAGCATATAGCTGGCCTTCAATTTTCTTTTAATGTGTATTCCTATTTTCTGATTCAAAATGCGTATACGTATCTTCCTGAGTGCTTATCATGTGCCAGATGCTATCAGGAGATGTTTACCTCATTTAATACACTTGAAAACCATGTAATGGTTATTGTTCTTAACCCATTTTACAGATGAGTGAACTGAGGCTTAGAGCTGTGAAGCCACTTTCCAATGCAACACAGCTAGTCCCTGAGCCAACAAACTTGCAGCATCGTTCTTAAATCACAAGCTCCTAATTCATATATGGGGTAATTTTTTAGATATTGTAGGAAAACTTTTTAAAATAGTTAAGATTTTTATGGGCAATTGATTATAATTCTACTTTTCATGTTTCTCTGCTAACATTTGTTATTTCAGATTTGAATTAGAAACTCGAGGTATGGAAGAAAGTAACTTTTTTTTTTTTTTTTTTGAGGTGGAGTCTTGCTCTGTCTCCCAGGCTAGAGTGCAGTGGCGTCGTCTTGGCTCACTGCAACCTCTGCCTCCCAGATTCAAGTGATCCTCCTGCCTCAGCCTTCCCAGTAGCTGGGATTACAGGCATGTGCCACCATGCCCAGCTAATTTTTTTTTTTTTTTTTTTAAGTAGAGACAGGGTTTCACCATGTTGGCGAGGCTGGTCTTGAACTCCTGACCTCAAATGATCTGCCTGCCTGGGCCTCCCAAAGTGCAGGGATTACAGGTGTGAGCCACCATGCCCAGCCAAAAGTTACTATTAAGGCTTTATTAGTACTTACTAAGAGAGAATTTATAGCTATTTCATTTGTTTACAGAAAGGGAAAATATTCTAAGTGAAGTTAATAGATTTAAGCTTAAAAATGTAGTCCTTAATTGTTATTTAACAAACTAAAACAAAGGTGATTTAAGTTTATGTTCCTAAAATTTAGCAACTGGAGTGTTCATGCCATTAATAGTGTTGCATTTGGTTTGGAAGTAGTAGTGGGAGGGGTATTAGGTAAACTGTGGAGGACTGAGGAGTGTTCCCAACATTCCTATAAAAATCCTACATTACTCAAGATCATATGGGATCTTTTCCTTCCATACTTTCCTCAGAACTTCTCTCTGGCACCCCTGCCTTAAAGATAATATGCATGCACATGTATATACATGCATATATATTTATAAAAATACTTGCTTTTTATTATTCTGTGGATGTTTCTTCAGTTGTATGCATTATATCTGAATGAAATCACTAGGTGTTTTCTCAGATCTATGTACCTGCAGATGCTGAAGTGGCAAGCAAGCTGGCATAGCTACCCTGCCTGCTAGAGAGCTGGGTCATCAGGAGAGACAGATGGGTTTTTTGTGCCAATGTCAATATGTTTTGGGCTCTGGGGAAGAGTGACTGGCAGTTGGTGAATGGATGCTGAGGAAAACATTGTCCTTTTCTTGGTGTTTTCCTCCCTTGCCAGGGATCATGATGTAGGCTATATCAACAAAAGTTCTGGAAGACAAGTTCATAATGTGAGCACTTTCCTGCCTGGCTTGCAGCAGGCAAGTGAAATGTGACAAACTTGCTGCTTGATTTACATCTGCTTTTGCTGGAATGCTACATAGTGGGCATAGATCCTCCAATCAGAATAACAAGAGAATGTGTGATGCCATCCAAGTCACTGAGTATTCCCTATTGCACCTGTTCTGGGCAATGCCATGCTCTTTCACTAGCCAGTGAATTAACCAGTGTAAGCCAAACATTGGAAAGTTCAGGATGAAATGCATGGAAACATTGTCTCAGGTTCAAAAGTGGGGCTGTTTCTGATTAAAATTTGAAGGCATGGGTGACATAGTCTCTTTTAAATGTTTTCCCCACACTTGAGTTTTTAAACATGTTCCGCCAATGATACTTATTCTAAATGAAAAGGTTGTTAAGTTTTATAGTTGCAAGGGTTGTCACATTCCAAATTAATTCACTGTAATATGTTCATTTTTCATTCAATCATAAACTCTATTAAAGGCCCAATATTTAATAATACATTTAGAAATATTAATAATGCCCCAATAATTTTTTAAACTTTTATATTGATATGTATAGCTTCTTATTTTCTTTTGAATTTCTACAGAGGAAAGAAAAATCTTTTTTTTTTTTTAAAATAGAAGCAATTGAATCTTAAAGTCAGGTGGTTAAAAAAAATTTTTTAAGGCATTTCAGGATATTTTGGACAACTGAAAAACTTAAGGGAGATTTGCAAAATGTTTGTAACCCAGTGCTATTGTGCACTTAAAAAGAGACTAGATGACAGAAATTTTATTTATTTTAGGACCTTAAGAGCCAAAAGGTTGATCTCAGCATTCTGTTCTTATTGAGAGTAGGTAATTAAAACATCACTTATTAGCCAAGTAATCATCCATTTCTTGTAGCAGTACCCCTCTTCAACCCTGAAACTGTTTTTTTCTGTGCTGTGCTTCAACTTGATTTTCTATTTTAACTAGAACTTTGATATGCGGTATTTTTTTTTTGCATTGCTTTTGAAGGAAATGTGTGTGTTAAATGTGTACTACCTTAATTATAATTACTCAGCTTTACATTCGGCATAGTCCGTTGGTGTGGGTGTGAGTGTGGGGGTATTTATTGTAACCCTGACATGGAGGTGGTGAGAAGAAAGAGTAGTTTTGAAATTCTTGCCCACAACTACTCAGCTGCTAGAAAGGTAGCTTCTAATTTAAGAAAATGGCTAATCATTTTTTTCCTCTTAGAATAGTTTCCTAGGAAACCAGTGTACATAGTCACAGTAAAACATAAAAGAGAATAAACCAGAGGGAAAATAAAATTAAAGTTGTGCTTTGATATTCATGTTGATACTTTAAAAAATTAATCATCAAAAGGTATAGGTATTCTAATTTAAAAAATGGTCACAGGCTGTTGAGAAACATAAATATACATGGCAGCAGATGAATACTAATAATATCAACGGGCTTTAAATGTATTCTTAGTTTTGGAATTGGCACAGGTAAATTCTTACTTTCTTAACTGTGAGATTCCATCAGGACCAGCTGTGTAATTTGCAAGGTCAGGGACAAACTGCACATATAGGGCCTCTTATTTACATTTCAGGATGTAACAGCAGAGCATTAAACCAAGTGTGGAACCCTCCTGAGCCTGGAGCCCTGTGTGGCTGCACAGGTCTCATGCCTGGGAAGTCTACTCTGCATATTGAATGGGACTGAATAAGACTAGATTCATATTTACTTCTAAACTTGATTTTGATTAAAACAGGCATTTTCATTTTTAATGTAAATGAATATAAACATTATTTTTCTGAACTGCAGACTCTTAATATATGTATTTATGACATTTATCTATTAAATTTTTAAATTAACTTTAGCTTCCATCACTTTGTTGTGTTCGTATGTGAGCCTGTTATAAGCATGTGTCTACACTGCATAGATGTATTTTGTAATTCAGAGCTTCTTACTATGATTCAAAGGTCAACAGTGAGAAAATCAGTAATCTTGGTTCTTGGCTTTAGGTTTTTTTCTGTTAATTGCATTAAAACAAAAAATTTACCAAATAATCAAATTTAGAAGTATCTTCTCCAAAGCTTAAACCTGGTGTTTTCAGCAAAGAGATTTTTAAATGTAAATTCCTTTCTGGAGGGTTAACAACAAGCCAAAAAAGCCAAAACAAAGTTAAACTTACTATATCCTTGAAATCTTGATGTAAATATGTGAAAATTATTTGACTGGTATTTACAGTTGTAGGAACTTTTATACTTTTTGACATGATCAGGTGCAAACCCAACCATTCCTGTACCAGGTACGTCCTGACCTGACTCGCATAGTGATCACTTTTTGGCACTAACTCTTGTTTTGGAATTTTTACTATGATAGGTAGGTAATATTCCAGAAAGTAAATGCAGGGTGTGGAAGAAGTTTATTCCAGGAAACTGATCCACTCAGAGGAAATTAATTAAATGGTAAATTACTAGCTTTACAAGAGATTACTGCTCATCACCTCCTTCTTTTTTTGCTTTTAGTTTCTCAGTGTAGAATAAAACAACAATTAATACTTCAAAACCTTTTGAGGTTTTTTATTAAAAGTTTACTATCTTCCAGCAATGTTTTGGAATTGGAACCCAGTTTGAGGATTGTGGTCTCAAAGACTGCACAATTGAACTATGGATTGCTAGTCACCACAGTCTCCCTGCCCACTTCCCATGCACCATTGATAGGATTCTTGAGTATACTCTTTAGTATTAAAATAACGGCTAAGTATTGCCTAGAGAAAATAGTACTCTTCCCAAATGTTTTTATGTAGCGAATGCATTAGAATTTTTTTTAAAAAATAAATAAAGCATATGAATTGGGTTCTTTCCCCCCGGGCCCCTAGACGAGGCATCTAACCTTGTTGGTGAAGAGAAGCTGATCCCACCTGAGGAGACGCCTGCCCCTGAAACAGACATCAACCTGGAGGTATCATTTGCCGAGCAAGCACTCAATCAGAAAGAGAGCTCCAAGGAGAAAATCCAGAAGAGCAAAGGCGATGATGCCACATTACCTGTACGTAGTACACTCTTTATAAATATACATATATGTACATATACATATATATACACACACACATATACATACACACACACGCACACACACATATATATATATATAGAGAGAGAGAGAGACAGACAGACAGAGAGAAAGATGAGGCCTCACTACGTTGCCCAGGCTTATCTCAAACTCCTGGGCTCCAGCAATCCTCCCACCTCAGCCTCCCAAAGTCTTGGGATTACAGGGATGAGCCATCACACCTGGCTCAGGATATATTTTTCATCAGCTTTTTATTTTAAAAATGTAGAACCCACGGAAAAGTTGAAAGAATAGTATGGCAAACACCATTTGGCCTTCATAGATCAATTCAACAGTTATTAATATTTTATAACCTCTTTTTCTTTTCTATATCTATCTATATGTACTTTTTTAAAGTTTAATTCTTAAGAAATTTAAGCTGAAGTGATAATCATATTTAATATACAGTCATATCAAAACTTCCCCGATTGTCACAATATTGTTCTTTATAGCTTCTCTCTTTTCCACTCCCATTTGGGTTCCAAGCAAGAGTCATATACTGTATTTGTTGTCAGGTCTGTTTGGTTTTCTTGAATCTAGGTTAGTCTCCTGCTTTTCTTCAATATTATCAAAGAGTCCAAATCAGTTTTCTGATTGTTTCCTCAGGACTGGATTCAAGTTATACATTTTTAGCCACATTTACTGCATGGAGGATGTTTATGCCTTCGATTGCATCATCAGAAGAGATGCATGGTATCAGATGGTCCCTTTATTGGTGATAGAAGTTTGGTCACCAACTTGTCTAAGGAGAGATGTTCACTAGATCTCCCCATTATAAAAAGATACCTTTCCTATGTGCAATTAATAATAATTTGTCATCCTTGAGACTGGGCAAATATCTTATATGTCAATAAAGCCTATTGCCCAGTGGTTTCACCATCCATTTGTAACTTTGCCTGAAACAACAACTAACCTGGTGCTTAAGAAATGGCTATTTTAAAATTCTATTATTCCTTCTACACTTACTGGCTGACACAGTCTTCCGTAATTGCTTCTTCAGTTTCTAGCACAAGATGTTCCAGGCTCTCTTTGTAATTTTCTCCCTGCAGACTTGAAAGCATCCATTTCTCCAAGAAGCTCTGGTACTTTTTAGCAGCAAATTGTATTTAGAAACCAAGCTCTGTGTAGTGAATGTTCTCATTGCTACTGAATATCTTGCATTTTCTAAAAAATACATTTATTATGCAGAATTTCACACAGGCAAAAGTTAAAAAAATGGTATTCTGAACCCCCAAATACTTAGCACTCAGCCCCAACATTCATTAGCCCATGGCCAATCCTGACCTATTCATACCCCCACCCAGTTCCCTATTCTGTGTTATTTTGAAATACATCTCTGAATTATATTTTATCATCTATATTTCTAAAAGACAAAGAGGGGATTTTAAAACTCCTAACCATATAACCATTATTGTACCAAAAATGCTAAGAATTTTTAATTTCAAATATCTAAGCAGTGTTCAAATTTCAAATTGTATCACATAATTTTATAATCTTTTTATACAGTTTGAGTCAGGATCCAAATAAGGGTCATGTGTTGTATTGCAATTAGTTAATACATCTTTTAAGAATTCTTAAATCTCCTTCTCTGTTTCTTTCTCTCTCCCTCTCTCTCTTTCCTTCCTTCCTTCTTTCTTCCTTTCCCTCTATCCCTTCCTCTCTCTATTTTTCCTTCCTCCCTCCTCATTAATTTATTAAAGAAACGTGGTTATTAAATTGTGGAGAGTTTCCCCCTCTGACTATTCCCCTGGTGTAGTTTAATATGTTCTTTTGTTTCTTATTAATTAGTTGACTTTAAATTGATCAGATTCAGTTTCACTTTTTTGGGGGGGAGTCAAGACTACGTCAGATATGTGATTGTATGTTTTCTGTTGGGAAGCTCATAATATCTGTTTGCTTTCTTTTTTGTCAATGTAGCAGCTGTTGCTGATCAATACCTGGATCCATTAATTTATTAACGGTTACAAAATTATGATCTAATATTTTCTTTTTATTTATTAATTTGGATATTTCTTTGAGAACAACCTTCTGAAAGTGGTCATTTTTACTTTCTATTTGTTTTCAGAAATTGTTGACTTATTAACAGTTTTCACCTGTGACCAATTAATGTTTTAATTTGCTTTGTAAAATATAGTCTTAACTCACGGAATTATATATATTTGTAAAAATAGTCTTAACTCATGGATTTACACATATTTGATGTGATCCTGGACAAGATTTTACAGGCTTGTCTGGTATATTTTCTGTTCCAGACCTAGACTGATATGTTTCTGCAGGAAACTCTGATTCCGTTTAGTAGAAATAGACTTTTGTGACTATGATCAGGACTCTAGAAGTGTTCATTTCTCTGAGCTGGTCATTACTTTTGAGCCTTTTCAGAGGACAGACGTACATGAGCATCTTCTGTCTTCCATGCTGTGAATTGTAGTTCTCAGGAAATGGCAGATGATATATTTAGAATATCACATAATTGCATGTTTGCTTCATCCTAAGTTAATGCACAGCATTCTCAGAATATGCTAATACTACCATCAACAATATGATTACTAGAAATGGTTTAAACTTGTTTTTCTTTTTTTTTCTATTTGTCTGTGTGTGTGTGTGTGTGTGTGTGTGTATGTGTGTGTGTTTTGGGGGTACATCCTAAAAGGGATTTTATACAGTAAAATTATTGTGTTTTAGGTTGCTTAGGATTGTTACTCTTTGTATCGTTAAGCCATCAGCTGCATACCTGGTTTGGTTAATTTGCTTTATTTTATTTTCAATTTTTAGAGATTGCTTTTCTTGAAATTTCATTTTGGCTTATAAGTATGTAAAATACTTATATAGTCCAATAGTAAAGTCGAAAAACAAAGTGTATTAAAAATCTAGCTTTTATCCTTCAGCTACCAACCTATTCAATCCCTCCTCTTAGTGGCAAACTTTCTTTCCTTTTAATATCATGGTTTATCCTTCTGCTCCTAGGTAACTGGTAGCTCACTATGCACAGTTTCTTCCACCTTGATTTTTGTTTTGTTGACTTAGTGGTGTATTGTGGAAATCATACCATAGTAGTATAGAGAAATATTTCTCACTTCTTTTTATTAGATACATTGTACTCCATTGTACAGATGTATCATAATTTATTGAGTCAGTCCCCCTATGGCGGACATCTGAATTGTTTCCAGGCTTTTCTTCTATATATGTGTGTGTGTGTGTGTGTGTGTGTGTGTGTGTGTGTGTGTATATGTGTATATATATGTGTGTGTGTATATATATAGATAGCTATATTTGATATATATATTTGATATATATTTGATATATAATATAAATATATATAATATATAAATATATAATATATAAATATATAATATATAATATATAAATATCTATAATATATAATATATAAATATATAATATATAATATATAAATATATAATATATAATATATAAATATAATATATAATATATAAATGTATAATATATAATATATAAATATATAATATATAATATAAAAATATATATTATATATATAAATATATATAATATATAAATATATAATATATAAATATATAATAAATATATATAATATATAAATATATAATATATAAATATATAATATATAAATATATATAATATAATATAAATATATATAATATATAAATATATAATATAAATATATATAATATATAAATATATAATAATATATAATATATAAATATATAATATATAATGTATAATGATATATAATATATAATAAATATATATAATATATAATGTATAGTTATAATATATATGATATATAAAATATATATTATATATAATATATAATATAAAATATATATTATATATAATATATAATATAAAATATATATTATATATAATATATATTATATATAATATATAATACATATGTATAAATATATAATATATAATATATATAAATATACATAATATATATTACATATAAATATATATCATATATCATATATATTACATATAAATATATATCATATATCATATATATTACATATAAATATATATCATATATCATATATATTACATATAAATATATATCATATATCATATATCATATATATTACATATAAATATATATCATATATAATATATAATATATCATATATAATATATATCTATATAATATATAATATATATCATATATAATATATATCTATATAATATATAATATATATCATATATCATATATCATATATATTATATATAAATATATATCAATCATATATATTATATAAATATATATCATATATCATATATATTATATAAATATATATCATATATAATATATATTATATATAAATATATATCATATATATATATATTTTTGAAATGGAGTTTCACTCTTGTCACCCAGGCTGGAGTGCAATGGTGTGATCTCAGCTCACTGCAACCTCCGCCTCCTGGATACAAGCAATTCTCCTGCCTCAGCCTCCCAAAGAGCTGGGATTATAGGTGCCCACCACCACGCCCGGCTGATTTTTGTATTTTTGGTAGAGATGGGGTTTCACCATCTTGGCCAGGCTTGTCTTGAACTCCTCTCCTCAGGTGATCCACCCACCTCAGCCTTCCAAAACACTAGGATTACAGGCATGAGCCACTGTGCCTGGCCTTCTTGTATATTTTTGAAAATCTGTGTTTATACCTAATGGGAAAAGTAAAAGAGTATGCAAGTGTGGCCTAAAATGATGATCCACTCTGCCAGACTATCCTCAGGAAAAGTATGGTTTTTTGTGTGTGTTTGTTTTTTGTTTTTCTCGAGATGGAATCTCGCTCTGTCACCCAGGCACCATCTTGGCTCACTGCAACCTCCACCTCCTGGGTTTAAGTGAGTCTCCTGCCTCAGCCTCCCGAGTAGCAGGGATTGCAGGCACATGCCACCATGCCTGGCTAATTTTTTATATTTTTAGTAGAGACGGGGCTTCACCACGTTGGCCAGGCTGGTCTCGAACTCCTGACCTTGTGATCCGCCTGCCTCAGCCTCCCAAAGTGCTGGGATTACAGGTATGAGCCACTGTGCCTGGCCAATAAGTATGTTTTCAAAGTGACAGTCTTCATCACAAAATATGGAAAGGTTTTAAATTGAAGGACAGTAGAATCTAATTAAACAAAATGAAGTCATTGTTGGCTTTTAAGTTGTTGACTCAAACAGTGGAATGAAATATAATTCATCTCCACTTGAGAGCTTTCAAAACAAAACTCCCTCTGCCATTTTCTTCTCTGTTTAACTAATTTACCTTCACCTACCTTCTTAATTATATTCAAGTTGTGCCCAAAGTTTAAAATGACCTCTCCATTTCTACCCCTCTGTTGTTCCATATTTGCCAAGGAAACTTTAATCTATTCTTCAGAGACTAGCTCAAGATCAGTTTTCCTGTTCAGTCTTTCCTGATCGTGAACTTATATTAGATCAAATAAATATATGAAATCACCTTTGATTTAGGTTGCATGCTTTAGACATTATTGTTAATCTGTCCATGTATTTTTTTATGCAAATATGCATATACTCATCTATAGAAACTCTTTTTTAGTCCGTTTGTCTTCTAGAAGGTATGGACTCATTGTTAAATTTCTACAAGTCTTTCCCATGGTTGAAAAAGTAAGATTTGTATTCACTACTCTGAGGCAGGTGTCTAAGTAGATAAAACCTTAAGTTCCATTTCTGTTCCATGCTCCTCTACTTCTGTAAATAAGCAGTAGGCTTTATGTAATACATTGTTCTCTGTTGACCTCATTTCATATTCACTTCCTTTTCCTCACAGCATCGAGCAACCTTTGTCAATTCTTTATGATCTCTCATCGTGGATTCAAATTTCTCCTCTTAAATTTGGAGATCAGGTTTTATAACCTTTAATTTGCTTTAGTTTGAAAATTTAGCTACTTAGTGTATACATGTTATATCTCAGAAATTATGCTCTGTAATTATTTATTAGATGACCTCTAGGAGGTAGACACCCCTATTTTTCATACATGGAAACATGTTAGAGAGGTAACTTGACATGCTGAGGCTTGACATTAATGACTAAGCTTTTGAATCCTTTCTCTTGCTTTCCAAGTCAAAGCTAGAGTGATCTGATGAGTAAAAAAGTCAAGTTTATTATTAGTGATGAAATGCCTAAGGGGCCCCTCATGCAAATCCTACAAAAGAGCAACACGCCAGGGAAAGCTACCTAGTTAATTTATGGTAACACAAGGGAATCAATGACCTTACATTTTTTTTTGAAAATTTTTATTCTTTTCTTTTTCCTTTTTTTTTTTTTTTTTTTTTGTTTTGAGATGGAGTTTCACTCTTGTTGCCCAGGCTAGAGTGCAATGGCGCGATCTCGGCTCACTGCAACATCCACCTCCTGGGCTCAAGTGATTCTCCTTCCTCAGCCTCCTGAGTAACTAGGATTACAGGCACCTGCCACCACGCCCGGCTAGTTTTTGTATTTTTAGTAGAGATGGGGTTTCACCATGTTGGTCAGGCTGGTCTCGAACTCCTGACCTTAGGTGATCTACCTGCCTCAGTCTCCCAGATTGCTGGGATTACAGGTGTGAGCCACCATGCCCAGTCTTATTTTCTTTAAACACATTTTTCAAGAGGTAGAGAACTTTTCTCTTGCTGAAATTTCACTGCTTTCTCTTAGCCAATGAACTGAACCATTCAGTCTATTAACTAAACAAAAAACGACAGGAAACTTCATAAATATTTAAAGCTGCTGCTATGAATTAAACATTGGGATAAAGAACTAACTCCTTCATTAAGCACAATGTTTAAATAAATAAATAAGCTCATGACATATATCGCTAGGTAAATCAAATGTTTGAATTAATAATATTTCAGGATTCTGTAAACATTTACCTTGGGTAATGCTTTAAACGGCTGTATTACATGTGTTTGACTTATTAGACCCAAAGCAACTGATTTTAATGAAACATTTAGGGCTTAAAAAAAAGGTAAATATGGTTGGTTCAGCATTCAGAAAATGAAGCAATTAGCAGAAATATAGGACCAAACATGGGAAAAATGTGACCAGTTTTGTGTGATTTTTAAAAAGGAAAACTCAGTAGAAATCACAGAAAATCAGGGGAACACGAAGCCAATGGCCCTCCACCTCATTGAGTTTGATTCTATGCTCGCCTCCCTGTAGGATGTGTGTCTCCATTCATTTAGTGGACCATGACAGACCACCCATAGTGTGTCAGGTCTGTGGTACAACAGCGTTACGGAAGTGATTAAGAAGTGGCTCCTCTCCTTGAGGGGCTCACAGTACCACATCAACACCTATCAACCTAGATATCTCCCTGCCTACTCTGGTGGATGGGAAAAATGGAGTAGAACAGAATGGTTACAAAACTTACGATTTAGGAGAACTGAATTTGCATCTTCATGACATCACTGGCTTTGTGGCCATGTTTAAGGCACTTAACTGAGTCTCAGTTTCCCCACCTAGAAGATGCTGTAATAATTCTTATTAGGACTTTTGAAGGATTAAATGAACTGTTTTTCGATAAGATAATTATTATTATCATTTTTTTCTTACCTTGCCATGACACATAAGAATAAAGGAAGACCATGAAATGTTGATATTATTTTAAAAGCTCCATGAAAAAAATATAATATGTAATACTTTTTGAGTGCTATTTATCATTTGATCTTCGCCACAACCTTGTAAGTTAGGTTCAGTTGTTCTCATTCTACAGATGAGGAGGCTAAGGCACAGAAGGGGACATTGTTTGCCAAAGGTCACATAGTAAGTGATGGAAACAGCATTTGCCACCTGTAGTCTGACTCCACTCTCTTGAGCCCTGTGCAGTGCCCCATGGAGGCCATCCTGCCCCCTGCTGGAAATTTGCTTAGGCCCCATCTTCAGTGATGTCCATTGCTGTTTATTTGATGTTCTCCTAGGAAAAAAAACACATTACGAACGGTTAAGAAAGACCCCTTTCCTCTTACAGTGGACTTGAAGGCTCTCTTTTGAATTGAGTTTGCTTAAAGGGAATTAGTTTCTCACTTACTAAAAGTCATAGGTTTTACGAGTTGCTGTAGGAGACTGACTCCAACATTTTCATCTCACAACTCCTTCATACACTTAAAAATTATTAAGGGCCTCAAAAACCTTCTGTTTATGTGGGTTATACCTATGGACACTTACCATATCTGAAAATAAAATTGAGAAATTGAAAAAATATTAATCCATTTAATATAACAATATTATAGTTAACATAAATATCTTTTTCTCAAAATGGAAAATAGCCATATTTTCTAAAGAAAATTAAGTGTATCATGGTTTTAATTTTAGTGAGTCTGTAATGTCTGGCTTTAGTTGAAGTCAGCTGGATTATCATATTTACGTTTGCATTCAGTCTGTTGCAGTAGCACTCATTTACATCTGGAAAACTATACTCACGAGAGAATGAGAGTGTAAAAGGCAAAATAATGCCTCATTACTAATTATTAAAATAGTTCTGAACTTTTTGGAAGGATATTGGATACCCCCAATGGTCCCTGGACTACACTTTGAGAATTACTGCTTTAGGACATGTCTTTTGCCCTAGCATTTAGACGATGAAGTGTTAATGATAAGACGCAAGAAGTACCAAAGCAAAGGGAATAAAATAGATGCAGTAAAATCAGCTAATCAGCAATTGAATTAAATGAAAAATTCAAAGGTAAACCCAAACTGTAAGAGAATGATCAGTTTTAGTAATAGGTAAACACAATGGAATTGTAATTTGTATTAAATGTACACACTAGTGAAATTTGCCTTTTTATCTTGTGGTTTGCTTTCTGATGTTTAATGTGTTTAATATTAAAAGATGATATTTGAGAAAGGCAGAAAAACACACCATGTGCTTGTGATTATGAAGCAACATCTTAGTCCCACTTTATTCAGCAGTGAAAGTAATATACAAGTTGAGTATCCCTAATCCAAAAATCCAAAATCCTAAATGTTCCAAAATCAGAACCTTTTTGAGCACTGGCATGATGCCACAAGTGAAAAATCCCACACATAAGTACTTAACACAAAATTAGTTTCATTCAAATTAGTTAAAATATTTTGTAAAATTGCCTTCAGGCTATGTGTATATGAAACATAAATGAATTTTGTGTTTAGACTTGGGACCCATCCCAAGATGTCTCATTGTGTATATACAAATATTTCAAAATCTGAAATCCAGAGCACTTCTGGTCTCAAGCAGTTTGGATGAGGTGTACTCAACCTGCAGTAGCAACCACATAAAAGCACTTGGGCAGTGCTGGGCACTAAATCTCACAATAGCCCTCTGAATTCAGTGGCCCATCCTCTTCTTTTTGTTGCCCTTCTCCTCCTTTCCCTCCCCCTCCATCTCCCATTTTACAGAAGTAAAGGTTAAGCCATTGCCATAAGTCACACAACTAGTAAGTAGATAGGTGACTGGTAAGCTCTGAAGTCCATGCTCTTCGTTTCCCCTGTGTCCCTCTTACCCCAATGGGCTGTAGCCTTTCTGGACCAATCTTACTTGGCTTTTGTGACAATTAAAAGATACATAAGTGTATGTGAAGGGTACCTGGCATGTTCTAAGCATACACTCATGGCTAGTATTCCTCTTTCTCTCCCCCCTACTTGTCTTCTTCATGTCATCTTCCTCTGTTTCCCCCTCCCCCTCCCCCATCCCCTTCCCGTCCCCTCCCCTTCATTTTCCCTCTCCCCTTCCCTGCTCCCCTTCCTTTTCCCTCTCCCCTTGCCCACTCCCCTTCCTTTTCTCTCTCCCCTTCTCATCTCCTTTTCCCTCCCCCTTCCCTTCCCCTTCACTGTCCCCGTTTCCCCCTCCCCCTCCCCCTCCCTCCCCTCCCCCTTTTCCTCCCCTTTTTCCTCTTCTTTTTCCCTCACCTCCCCCTTTTCCCCTCCCCCTTTCCCTCCCCCTTTCCCTCCCCCTTTTCCCTCCCCCTTTTCCCTCCCCCTGTCCTCCCCTCCCCCTTTTCTTCCCCTTTTCCCCTCCCCCTCCTTCTTTCTTTCCCCCTCCTCTTTCTTTTCCCCCTCCCCTCCCCCTCTCTCTCCCCTTCCTTCTCCCCTTCCCTTCCCACCTCTTCTTCCCCTTCCCCCTCATGGATTGTGCTTGACTTCTAGCCATCCTTTTCTGAAGGTCACTTAACTAGAAGTCTTTTTCTCCTGGTTCACTGTCTCTCTTGTCCTCTGAGCCACTGGTATTAATACTCCGAGTTTGCGGTCTGTTCCCGTTGTCTGTCAGACTTTGGAAGTTGACTCCCGAACCCTCCACAGCTTTAGGGGTCGTCATCATGACAGGATCACTCTTCATTCTGACTGGAGAAATTCTGTGGCTTTTCTTATCACTTATTCTGAGTATAACTTCTTTCTGTAGTTGGTTTTTCCTTCCTGCATTACAATGGAGGTTAGGTACTGTAAGCTTTTACTATATTAATGATGTTTATTTTAGAGTTTCAGATTGCCAAAAGACAAAACGGGTACCACAAGGATTGGTGACCTCGCACCCCAGGACATGAAGAAAGTTTGCCATTTAGCCCTAATTGAGCTGACTGCCCTCTATGATGTATTGGGTATTGAGCTGAAACAACAAAAAGCTGTGAAAATCAAAACAAAAGGTAATCATGAAATGATAAACCCTTGGATTTATTTCTAAAATAGCAAGGATGGACTTGGCTTTTTTGCAGTATTTCTGGGAGACAGGGAAAACACCTGCAAAATAAACCAACACTTGAATACATCTAAAGTTTATATTCTAAGATGTTGCCTTCAAAAGTTTTATAACGATAGAGATACACTGTGTCCTAGACTATAGAGAATAAAGGCATAGTCAAAGAATTTAATTCTCATAGAAGGAAATTCTGAAGCAAGGACTCTTAACTCATTTGCTTTCTCCTTTAAAAACTATATATTTAAAAAGATACATATTTGGTACACATATTTATTTATTTCCAGAATCAGATCTTGAAAAATGACTTTAAGACAGTTGATTCTAAGTGACTACTTTTGGTTATTCATTGGATAGCAAATAAATGGGCTAGTTAGTAGTCTGCCCCTTTGTTCCTGGACATTCTAATTTTACCTATTTTGCAAAGACATTCTTTCCCCTATTAAGAAAATACCACCATTGTGACAAAACAATACCACTAGATTGTACTCATCATGGAAATATGGAGTGGTTTTTTTTTTTTGTTTTTTTTGTAAGTACCTTGCTTTACCCATTAAATAAACAGTTTATTTTTAATGATATAATAGAGAACAGATACCTCTTCAGTTTTTGTTTCTCCAGTAATTTATTGGTATTGAAATCCACATAATTCTCTGTTGACAAGGCTTTACCTTAGGAATCTTTGTCCTCTTGTTTAACCTTAGAAGTATCTCCTAAAGAGAAACCAAGAATGAGGATTATTGAATTGCTGTGGTAACATTCACAAAGACAAGTATTCACCTGATTTAGGTTTTAGAGGCAATTACTCTGTAGGACTGAAGTGTACCTTCCCTTCTGGTCCTGTCATGCTGGGCCCCAGAAGACCTCATTCTGTGCTTAGTTCCTTTGAGTATTTTAGCTTACACAAAGCCTTCTCCAAACGTAAAATAGAAATACAATTTAAACAGTTGTGGTTCAGTGCCCAAGATTTTTAAAGTGGCTAAGAGTTTTTTTTTTTAATTCTTATGTTTTAGAATTGCATCCTGGCAAAGAAACGTTAAGTTGTTTATATCAAGGCTATCACTGTTAATAGACTTTCTTTCCATTTTTATTTAATACCTGTTTGTCTTATCCAAGATACTGATTTTATGTTATACCCTAGACCCTTGGCATCCTTGAGATTGCATCTTTTCCGAATTCCCAAACTGAAAAGTTATTTACTGGGTTACTGGCGTTCTTTTGAATGGCATCTCGATTAAGTGTCACAATATCCAATGTCTGTCCTCATACCACAAGATAATCCCCTTTTTCATGTTCACAGATGATTTTCATTTCCATGCTGATGTACGTCATAAAGGAAAAAGTTATCACTTTGGTGCTAACCGTCCACTCAGTGATGGGGGCAGGGTGGAGGTGTTGGTCGAAGCCATGTTCATACCAGACTCAAGGCTATGATTTTAATTTAGAAAAATTGTAAATTATTACCATCATTTTTTTCTGGAGCTATTTCTAAGTATATACAATCACAAAGTTAAATTTAAGAGTAGCAAGTATCTATTTTCTAAAGAGAAACATTTGTAGAACAAGATCATGATCTTGTCTGATTTCTTAGAAAGCAAATATTTGTATTTTGCTGTATTGTAAAGTGTTCAATGTCTATTTAATATGGAAAAGATGAATGATATTTGCTTTTTTTGGTGATAAAAACGGTGACAGCTCTGTCACTGAGGCTACAGTGCAGTGGTGCAGTGACGGCTCACCGTAGCCTCAACCTCCCAGGCTCAAGCTATCCTCCAACCTCAGCCCCCCAAGTAGCTGGGACTATAGGAGCCTGCCATCATACCTGCCTAATTTTTTTTTATTTTTCATAAAGATAAAGTCTTGCTATGTTGCCCAGGCTTAGGCTGGTCTTGAACTCCTGGGCTCAAGCAATCCTCCCACCTTGGCTTCCCAAAGTGCTGGGGTTATAGACATAAGCCACTGCACCTGGCCAATATTTGCTTTTAAGTAAGAATTTTTAATTTGATTACATTTAGTAAATTATTTGGATATTTTGCATGCTCTCACAGCCCTCTGTTTCTCTTATGCAGCAGTTTGCACTTTTCTAATTATGTTGGTAATTATTTGCAATCATTTGTTTAGTTGTCTTTCCTTGCTACATTCCTCTATAAGGCAGGGCCAGGATTTTACTATTGGCCACCATATATATAATGTTGAGATGCTGTCATTCACTTAGTAGTTGCTAAATAAATAGTTGTCTGATCGACAGTATCAGAAATCTTATGCTTTAACATTTTTATATTAATATTTTATAGATTGACAAAAGTGAGGAAATTTCATTTTTTTTCTTGCAGATTCTGGTCTTTTTTGCGTTCCATTGACAGCGCTATTAGAACAAGATCAGAGGAAAGTACCAGGAATGCGAATACCCTTGATCTTTCAAAAAGTAGGTAGGCTTGGATTGGTCAGCATAGAGAGAACATACTTAAGCTAATAGTGGTTTTTGTATTCATATTATTATAATACAGTTTTCCAATTCATATACTGTCATGTTTTGTACTTTGATTTTCTATTCAGGAAGCAAATTGGTTTCAAGGGCTCATAAGTTTTATATTCATGGTGATGCTTTCTGTGTTATTACTGTAACTGTGATTACCTGGCGTCATTTTCCTGTCTTATATTAGCTGGCTTTGTATAATTGAGATTTCAATTCTATAATACATAGGAGTGGGAACTGCTTATAAATTTCTAGGGAATTGCATCCTCATGAATATTTCATGCCTGTGTATATTTCCTCAGCTTTTCTATTTACAGTGAGGATGTCCAATTTAATTTACCAGTGCCTATTTCCAAAGTAGGCAAAGAAACCATAAAGTAGAATTAGAAAATGATTGCTAAACTGTTAAGTCACTTGTGTAGTCAACACTCAGTTATTCATAAGGGGATTATCTGTGGCAATATAAAAATTTCCGTCCAACCTCTGAGCCATCATTGTTCAGAAATACAGATTACATTTGAGAAAAGCTAGGGAATGCACAGTGAGGAAGACAGGTCAACTCAGTTGTGAACTACCCAAGCCGTAGATTCTTTGCAGCAGCCCAGGCATATCACCGTTTCTGAAATTTCTTGGGACAGTAGAAATTGATTTGCAGTTAATTGGCTCAGCAAACTCATCCAGTACTAAGGCTCAATCTACTTGGCACTTATTCTTCCCCTCTTCCAAACCAGTCAATTAATTCCGTCTTACCTACTAACCTTTGGTGCTTTTTTCCCCTCATATCTACCACTACATTCAAACCTGCATCTCATTATTTCTCCTGACAAACTTTGTTCTATACAGTTGATCCCACCCATCAGCCTCTTTTAGCCACTGCATGCAGAACATGTATCTATGGAGAGCTGTCAGCAGTACCTGTGATTAACAGGAGGAGGCTGACAAATACAGGCTACATATTCAAATTCTTCTGTCAGTAGCAGTTGCAATTTACTATACACCAAAGCCTATACAAAGCAGGGATCTCAGCAGCATCCTTTCCTGGGGTATTAGTCAAAGTTCTCCAGAGAAACAGAAGCAATAGGATATATTTAGAGTGAGAGGAAGAGATTTGTTTTTTTTTAATTGGCTCACACAATTGTGGGGCTCACAAGTCTGAAATATGTAGAGCAGGCTAGCAGACTGGAAGCTCAGGCAAGAGTTGATGCTACCATCTTGAGTCCAAACTCTGCAGGCTGAAACTTAGGCAGTGTTTCTTTGTTGCAGTCTTGAAGCAAAATTGCCGCTTCTTTGGGAAACCAAAATCTTTTAGGCCTTCAACTGTTTGGATGAGGCCCACTACATTATAGAGAGTATTAAATAATTTTCATTATTCACAGTCTACTGTGACAACCAAAAAAAAAAAAAAAAAAAAATCTGTCACTGCAACATGTAGACTGCTGTTTGACTGAACACCTGGGCGCTATGGCCTAGCCAAATTGGCACACAAAATTCACCATCACACCACAGAAATACAGTGAGCTTCAGTTTCTGTGGAGGTTCAGTGATGCCACGTGATCCGGCTGAGGATTGCATCCAGTCTATTAAGAAAAATCTTCCTTTGTCATTTTCTCTTGAAGTTTTTTTTTTAAATTTATTTAGTTGGTTATTTTACATTTTTGGTCCCTTAACATTCTGCAGACTCTGGCTGTCTTATCTATTTGAAGGATTGGATAATGGCCCTAAAGTATTTTTGTTTCTATAAAAAATAAAGGAGCATATAAAAAGTTTACTTGTAGATAACACTCATCTGTTTGCATCCCTTGTGAATTATAAGCAAAAAATCACAGTGATCTATCACAAAAAAAGTTTTGATTTATCAGCTGACAACTCAATTAGGTCATATCTGTATTTTGTAAAATGGAAAAAATTAGAAACGACTGATTTGCAAGAAGATTCATTACCAGTCTTTAGAGGACTATAATTTAATTTTTGAGCTTATATACCCGAAAAGGACACTAACAAAGCTTATCTAATATCTATGAACCTGTACCTGTTATATTATTTTACTCAGAGGTACATTGTTTAAACCTTGTGTTCTCAGAAGGATGAGGGAAATAGAAATATTGTTAATTTTAATCTATGAAAAAAGTCTGTCTTATAACCTAATTATCAAATCTAGTGTTTTCACTGTCAAATGAATCAGCCAACTCAGCCATACTTTGTGTCAAAGAGTCTGTGTTTTCATTTCATTTTTCAATTCACATAAGTATGTAATATATATTTTGAGAAATGCTATGAAAATTACTGATAAATTACAGAACATAGATACATTAGTAACAGCATCATTAAAATGTATGAGTCAATATAGTTATTTTTCATCTCTATTTTAATCCTGATAATAAAAGGAATGCTATAAAGTATTATTTATATTTTAATAATGCAATATAATGTAGCTAAAAATGTTATTTTCAGTGAGATATATAAGAAAACACATGGCATTCCTTCTGACGATATATGTACGTAACTCTATTGGGTGCTGGTTTTTAGCCTTAGAGAATAATGAAAAGGACTCAAATATTAAAATGCAGAAATTACGCTCATTCAGTTATTTAGAAGTCACAATCACTTTTTCCTGTGTACTTAATGAAAGTGAAAGGCATATATTGCTGAAAACTAATTTGCTCCAGCAGCTAGCATACAATTGTACTTTTTGTTAATAGGACTAGAAACATTTTAAACATTTTATAAGATCAAATAAAATGAAAATTGGCTATACATTGAATATTGGTTACATTAGGTTTTAAATGCTTTATTTTGAATAACGCCCATCTGATCTAAAATAATTCGCCTAAAATTTTTGCTATGGGATTTTATCCAGTGTTACTTGAAAAATGTGGTCTTGGAAAATATTCCAGAAATTTTTTTTCTTTTCTTTTTTTTTTTTTTTTTGAGACAGAGTCTCGCTCTGTCGCCCAGGCTGGAGTGCACTGTTGCGATCTTGGCTCACTGCAAGCTCCGCCTCTGGGGTTCACACCATTCTCCTGCCTCAGCCTCCCAAGTAGCTGGGATCACAGGCACCTGCCACCACGCCTGGCTAATTTTTTGTATTTTTAGTAGAGACGGGGTTTCACCATGTTAACAAGGATGGTCTCGATCTCCTGACCTTGTGATCCGCCCGCCTCGCCCTCCCAAAGTGCTGGGATTACAGGGGTGAGCCACCATGCCCGGCCTACTCCAGATGAATTTTTAAAAATCCTGTACTGCTTTGACTGATCAAAGATGCTTCTCTTTTCCTAATAATAAATCCTTAGGAGAATTTTGAGACTGCTATGCTTAGTTCTTACTGACTTCCTCAATATCAGTGCATCTTTGGCCATAATATAACCCAGGAATAGAAGAGGTGAAGTGTTTAAAGAAAAGTTGACATCTCTTCCAGTGTCCACATACTACAATATATCTAACTTCAGAATATCCAGACAAAGGTCAAAATACCTCATTTATGATGCTTTGCTCCTAACAGACACTTTTATGTGCAAGGGAAAAACAGTAAGCTCCAGGTAGTTTATAGAGCCTTGTTTAATCATTAAAGGAGGCTTCCCTGAAAATTTTTTTTTTTACATTCTTTTGATACTCTAGAAGATTTTATGCCTTAGGGCATGCAGAGAATATTATAGTAAGACTGTGGATGAGTGAAGAATAGGTCTGTCTTTTATAAAGCAGGGAAGGCAATTGTGAAATGAGAGTGGGTGCCAGGGAGGAAAACCTATATGATGCTAGGAAATGCCTTATATTCAAACTGAGGACAGGAAAACTGATTTTCTTAAAATAGAATATGTTTTATACGGCCTTTGTGTACTGCTCAGGGAATGCCTACTCCAAGAAGATCACGTTATCAAGAATCTGACCACTCTTATTGTCTTCTTAGCCTCCAGTAGTCATTGTAATTTCTCCATTTGCCTTCTTTTTGCGGGTTTCTGCCTTTTTAAAAAACAAAAACAAAAAAATGCTTTTTGTGGGAATCTGGAGTTAGATCAGCGTATTCATTGGGCATCAGGTATGACTTAGAGGCCATATACAAGGACATTTTTCTTTGTTTAACACCAAAGACTTAAAAATGAATATTTGCAAACAGTCTTTTTTCTGCATGTCATAAATAATTCTTTCTTGGAACAAGCTAAAAATGAGATGTAAATATGCAAATGCTAGATTTTCATAAGATTTATTTGATTGCAGAATGTAGGTTTCTGGAAAAGCAGAATAAATAGATGTTCTTAGTTGCTTTTAAACAGTGAACATCTTTATTCTGTTTGTTTGGAGTACCACAGCTGTTGTGTGAAATTACACACTTCTGTTATAAAGTAGCATAAGGCCCAACTTTTTCTAAATTATAACAAAAGTTTCTGGACTTATTGTTTTGAAGGACAGTGGTAGTAAAATAGCATTCAAAACCTCATAAAATCCAGTTTACATGTCATTGTAATCAGTTTTATTTATATGTGAAACAGATGTTAAATTCGGAATTGTACCTGTTACAAATACGGAAATTAGAATGTTTCTCTGTTTATGCACAGCTGATTTCTCGAATTGAAGAGAGAGGTTTGGAAACAGAAGGCCTCTTACGGATCCCTGGAGCTGCCATTAGAATCAAGGTAATCTCTGGGTTCTACTAATGTAAACATTTTATTGTTTATTTACACTTATGCATTTTAAAAGCTAACTTGTCCTCTCTACCCCTTTTTTCCATTGTTAGTAAAGTAGATAAAATAAAACAATAAAACCTTTTACCATTCAGTTTAGTTTTTCTACAGTCCCTTCTGGTTTTTGCTAAGTTTTTTGTTTTGTTTTGTTTTCAAAATCACCATATTACCTATAATAATACTATGACAAAAGAATGTGATGAGTTAAAATATTAATGGCGTGGGGATAGTTGTGATAGATTTAGCCAGGATGAGTAGTAGCAATTGAGTTTACGGAAGTCAGGGCCGGGCGTGGTGGTTCACACCTGTAATCCTAGCACTTTGGGAGGCCAAGGCGGGAGGATTGCTTGAGGTTAGGAATTCAAGACCACCTTGGGCAACAAAGTGAGACCCTGTCTCTACAAAAAATAATTTTAAAAAATTAGCCAGGCATTGTGGTGGTCACCTGGAGTTCCAGCTACTCAGGAAGCTGAGTGGAGAGGATTGCCTGAACCCAGGAGTCCCATGTGGCAGTGAGCTGTCATTGTCCCACTGCACTCCAGCCTGGGTGACAGAGCAATAAGACCCTGTTTCTTAAAAATAAAAGAAAAAACACTTTGGGAGGCCAAGGTGGGCGGATCACGAGGTCAGAAGTTTGAGACCAGCCTGGCCAAAATAGTGAAACACTGTCTCTACTAAAAATACAAAAAATTATCCAGGCATGGTGTTGGGCACCTGTAATCCCAGCTACTCAGGAGGCTGAGGCAGGAGAATCGCTTGAACCTGGGAGGCAGAGGTTGCAGTGAGCCAAGATCGCACCATTGCACTCCAGCCCGGGCAACAGTGCGAGACTTCGTCTCAAAAGAAAAAAAAAAGAAAAAGGCCAGGATCATAGACTCCTGCAGATGGGGGACCTTGACATCCTATGCATAATTAGTCTTAGTGAGCCGGCCAGACGAGACACTCTCAACCACCTTCCTGATTCACACAGTTCCCTGTCTTGCTGCATCCAGGGTAGCCTGAGTCTGGCTGGTGAAAGAATAATTCCTAGACTTCCCAATTTGAGCCATCCCTTCTCCCTTGCCTTTTCTTCTCTCTGGATGACAGTTCCTTCCCACTGTTCCAGGGTACCACGTGTCCTCCTGCTGTCATCTTTGTGCCTCACTTTTTGGCCTGGGGGATAAAGCTTCCAATGAATGCATGATAAAGATGGAATTACCCTACAGGGGATGCATACTGCATATCCCCTCAGGGGATTTAAATGTAAAGGGGACTCATACTTGGAATTGTAGCTGTATCTGGAAGCAGCCATTAACTACTAACTTTTACCCTATCTTCCAAATTCACCTTTAGCTCTGCACTGAGATAGCACAAGTAACCACTGCCCACATCCAATACATTGTCTTCCTGAATTTGAAAATCCAAGAGAAAATAGGAGAAAAGAGAGAGAATCTCTCTTCATTTTCATAACCCCATTCTTTATGAAATCGTTAGAGCTGGATCAGGACTAAGTGTTTCTTGGGGAGTGCACACTGTCCTGGCCTGCTTCTAATGGGCTGTGGTGTTGCCAGGATTGGAATTACTCTTTATACATTTCACAGTTTGCATCACCTGCTTTTTTTGATAAGTTGCCTTGATTTAGGACACCAGTTTCGGCCTCCTTGGCTCTTACTACATAGTGATCTCATTTTAATAGGATTCGAGTAACCTGATATATTCTGATCATAATTTTCCACTTGTGTCCCCTGGGTTTGGTGTCTGGTACTTAGAGCTCCCTGAAACTGTGGTGTTTGTAAGTTTCATAGCTTGTCATTGTCTCACTTCATGTAACACCTATAGCACGTTTGCCACTAGTGGACATTGTGTGATTCTGAGACGAGTTCTTTTAAGTACATTCACTAACAAAGATATAATTCCTCAGAAACAGGTAACAAACATAACTTCATATTACCCACATTGGCAAGATAGTCCTCAATTCACCGAGTTCAAAGCACTCGGGCCCTCACTAGCAGACTGCAATGGCCAGCTCACAGGAGGCAAAAATACATTTACTTCAGTACAGAATAGTGAATATAATGCAGATTTTACTTTGCAACGAGAAGGCTGGCAGAAGGACAAGTTTAACTAAGTGTAATTTCTAAGAAGGCCAATTAAGTGGATTCAGCTGGCTCAACTCTTCAACCCAGCCTGTTGTCATATGCCAAATTATGCAGCAGCTGGTCCATTATAAATAATTTAAAAGATAATATGCAAAAATGTTGGTTGTCTCTTTTCCCCCTGGCCCCACCAAATTTCTCTGTACTATTCTCTCTCCCTCTCCCTCCATTTTTTCTGCCTCTCTTCTCTGGATCTTCCTCTGTTGTCCTTTCCTCCCTCATTCTTTCCCTGCTCATTCTTTCCCCCCTCATTCTTTCCCTCCATGCCCCCTCTCTCTCCTCTTCCTTCCCTCCCTATCTCCCACTCCCTTTTTCTATCTTTTCCTCCCTCCTCTTTTTTTTTTCCTCTTCCTCCTTTTCTCACTCCCTCTTCCCTCCTCTCTATTTCTTTTTCTGTCTTTGCCACTCCCCTTCACCTATTTCATCAATTACAAAAATAATTGGGGGTAGAGAATGGTTGTTGTGTTAGGAAGAGAAAATGTGGTAATTTGCCTTACAAGAAAACAAAGAACATACTTTGGGAGAATGGTTTCATGTAACAGAGGAAAGTGACAGAAACTTGTGATGGTTTTTAACGTGATAGGATTTATATATAGTAAAGAAGTATACAAAAAATAGTAATTACAAAACTCAATTGATTTATTAGTAATAATTTGCCTGACAAATTTTGTAGAGTTCTGAGGTAAGTGAACTAGATATTTCTAATTCTGCATGGACTCAGACTGTTTTTTGCAGCTGGCAGCAGGATGGCTGTGCATTAAAGACAGGTATATTGATGTATTTTCTTGCCTCGTTTACTATAAAATTGGGTTTTCCATTTCCCGTAGGTGACTAATCAGAGGTAGCCTTCTGTTTTAGTCCCAGAGACTGATTATGTATTTTTTTATGTAATATACTTCTAAATTTAAAACATATACTTCTTTTTTAATGATTTTTTTCTTAATTTAACGAAGATTTATAATATGTAGATGAAGCCCCCAAATGGAACAATTATTTTAACCAGTCTCTTAATTAAAACTTTATTACTTACAGTTTGTGGAATGTCCAGGAAAAAGTATAAATTTTAAAATGTTTTTTGGCCTTAGGTACAGTTTTTTGTTGGTAAAGTACATTTGGATTAGAGGAGAGGAGTAGTTTTTTTTCTGAGTAAAAGAAATATTGACTTTTGGTAGTCTGATTTGTCTTGTCTAAAGAGCAGAGTCTCTTGAAAGTGAAAATGTGTCATACTCTCAGCAAGAAAAAAAATGCACTTCTAGCTGCTTCTTTTTTTTTTTTTTTTTTTTTTCGTGCCTATCAGAATCTTTGCCAAGAACTAGAAGCAAAGTTTTATGAAGGGACTTTTAATTGGGAAAGTGTCAAACAGCATGATGCCGCCAGCCTGCTGAAGCTCTTCATTCGGGAGTTGCCCCAGCCACTGCTCAGTGTGGAGTATCTCAAAGCCTTTCAGGCTGTCCAGAGTAAGTGCTATCCCTCTTTGAAGCAGTCCTTCTGCTGGTGCCATCTATGTTAATTGTTTTAATGACATTTGGCATCACAAAGAACGCAACCAGACGTATTTGGGTGGACATATTGACTCAACTGATGTCAGTGGGTGCTCAGCTGCCATGCATTGTTTTCTGTTTTTCTTATAAATATGCATTCCTGAGTAAACAGATAACAGAATGTTCTCTTTGGGTACAGATTAATTGCACGACATTTAAGCAATACAATATATTTCAGTGTTAAAACCTGGAAACTTCATGTTTCTCTTATAATAGAATGAGTCACATAAGATCTCTGATACAATTTTCTTGCCAAGTGTTAAAAAGCAACACTTACTGGAGAAGCTGTGGATGAACAGTTATCATAAAAGCACAAGGAGAAGTGGTAGGGTCTCTGAGCATTTCTTGAAAAATTAAATTCTGAGGTTGTCATGCAGAAGTGTGGAGCAAAGCATTTTGCTGCCTCATTGGTGGAAGGTCACAAGCTGCTTCTTATGTACTGCCATTTTGTCGTCTTGGGCAAGCTACACATTAGTGTCTCTAATAGTTCTCGATTCTTTTTCCAGTGAACCTAGATCTTATAAGGTTTATCTACTGGCCTAATTATCCATTTTACACCTAGAGGCCATGAAGAAAAGTAAAAATGCCATCACTGCCTTCAAGTAACTGTATCTTTATCTTTTAAACAGGGACACTTATAAGAATGAAAAGGGGCACTATTAATAATTATGGTGAGCTCCCAGCACTTTGGGAGGCTGAGGCGGGCAGATCACTTGAGGTCAGGAGTTCAAGACCAACCTGGCCAATATGGTGAAATCCCATTTCTACTAAAAATACAAAAATTAGCCAGGCATAGTGGTGCGCACCTGTGATCCCTGCTATCCGGGAGGCTGAGGCAGAGAATCACTTGAACCTGAGAGGTGGAGGTTGCAGTGAGCCAAAATCACACCACTGTACTCCAGCCTGGGAGACAGAGTGAGACTCTGACTCAAAAAAAAAAAAAGAATAAATTGCGGTGAGCTACAGTTTCAACCAGAACTGTACCAGGCTATTCTTAACACATACAATATTGAGATGGTTTCATGAGTCATCTCGTATCATGACATTTCTTCAGAATTTCTAGGAGAGACGGAACTGAAATCTCTTCTGTTTAAAGTATTTTTTTCTTAACATGTTTCTTCTTTAAATAGAATAAATTACCTTCTGTGGGAAATATTTTTTAATGTTTAAATTGTGCTACGTTGCATACATTTCCTGGATATGGATTAAAGGACCAAATTTATTGCTGAAAAAGAAATGCTGGAATGATTCTAAATATCCATGAGTATTACTTAAATGGGGTAAGGGCTGCTGAAAATGATAACATCAATGATAATAATGCACCTCTTAGACTGTTGAGCTGCTGCTTCGTTTTCTAATTTATTCCACAGGCATTTATAAGCACCTATTGTGTTCCAGGCCCTATTTTACATATTCCTGTTGGAACTGATGGACTCTTACCATGCATTTGTTCACTCGCCATTAAAAGAAACAAACCACTGTTACGGACGCACCCTGATACTGTATCATGGAAGGTCCAATCCTCTATGTCTTTTCATTGGGGAATAATTATCACGCAGAAGTTAAAATTATTTCCAAAGCACTGTTGTGTGTCTGCAAACATAAGGCCGCACGTCATATGATCACAGTTGGAAGTGAGCATTCTGAGAGAGAGGAAGCTCCTAACAGCAGCTGCTTCTGCTGATCTCCCACAAACACACTCTCAACAAGGCTTGCAGCTCAGTCGTTGTGTCTTACATTTTACAGTCATGTTTATGCCAAATAACTTTTTTCTTAAAAAGTGAAAAAATAAAGTAAAGGAAAATGTTCACTGAAGAAAAGAGTTCAGATTTATTTAATTTGTCTGCAGATCTTCCAACCAAGAAGCAGCAACTACAGGCTTTGAACCTTCTTGTCATCCTCCTACCTGATGCAAACAGGGACACACTGAAGGTCAGCTTGGTTAATTTACATTAAATATCCCTTAGAAGTAAGCACAGTAATTTTTCATTATTTGTGGCAAAACAATAAGATGTGTATCTTGGACATGGTCATAAAAGTCTATAAAGAAAAAGCCTACTTTTAAGGACAGAGGGTGAAAGCCTTTAACTCTTTATGAGGTTGTTATGTTACTAATGTTATTAAGTTTTTGTTTTTTTTAATTTTCACTGTAACATTTCTTCTTCCAAACCAGACGATTGAGGTTCGTCGGTTAATGGAAACGTGGGTGGTTTTTTGTTTTTTTTCTCCTTCTTATTTCTTTTTTTTGCATTTATCAAATTATATTTAATAAGCAGGTAGCAGTAAGGTAAAATATAAATGTTTAAAACAAAAATCCTAAGTTTTATCAAATATAACCCACTACTACCTAAAGATATGACAGTTTGTAGTTTGAAATGGTAGATTTTGAAGTGAGTCATAATGGTGATTTGACACAATTGTTAGCCAAAAGATAGACCAACTCAAACAAATTCTAATTATTTCTCTAAGGGTTCATCCGGAGTTTCTGATTTATATCACCATTTTGAAGTGATTTGCTCTAATGTTTATATAACTTAATATCATCTACTTTAAGTGTTGTCAGAAGCTCTTATAATCAGGGATTGTGCCACACTGATTTATTTTCCTTAACAGCAGAGTTTATAGAGTAGTTGTAAAAGGTTTAATTATAAACTCTTAGAAAAAGGAAAAAAAATTAACTTAGTAAAAGTATTATCTTAAGTTTTTCCCTTGCCTTAAAAATATTTTTTATATGGGTAAAGGGCTTCTTTACCCTCTTCATTTTTTTCTATTTAAGATGAAATCTCATGACAAGAGCTTTCAAGTTAAGAAAACAAATTTACTAGTTGGTACATCTTGGAATTTTTTTCCTGTAATTCATTAAAACTCCTTGAATTGTAACTGCATGAGTGATAGTTCTTTAATGCCCATGGAATGAATATTAATACTCAACTTTTCTTGATGAAGCAGCTTATGGGGATTACTGGAGGTAAAACGCTACGTCCGCTACAGGAGAACTTCCAAAGGGTTATTCCCTTTCCTAAATCAGAAAAAAAGCCTTTTGCTTCACTGGTTGTCAAATGAATAACCCAGAAGACAGCATTAGGTTTTATTTCAATTTGCTTTTGAGACAGAGGTCAACTCAGAAAGGGTTATATTCAAAGAGTGTGTGCCCAGGGCTACTGTGTAAGTGTGTGTAGATTGTGGCTGAGACAGGGACATATGGCCCAGGACAAAGTGGGGCTGACGATCTAACATGTCCTCAGCTTGTCAGCAGTGCTCCCGACACAGGGCTTCAACTACTCAGAAATAGGGAGGAACATCTTTTTCTTACTCATTGACGACCCTATCAATGCCCAGTGTGCAGTGGGTACTGGAAAACTTATGATTTACTTAAGATACCCCTACATTCAAATGAGTTCAAGTAGTTGTAGGAGGAAGCATTCAATTCAATATGGCTGCTTTGGGTGTGGCTGAGCTGGAACTCTTCTTCGGGCTTTGCCCTCAAAGTCCCAGGCATATTCTTTTAAAAATTCTGTTAAAAAATAGTTTTAAAATTATAGGATAGTTCTTACATTTTGTGTATGAGGCTATCGGAAAGATAATTTTATAATTAAGGGGGGGGGGAGTACTATTTTTGGTAAAAAACTGGAAGATGCAAACAAGTAATTTTACATGTTTACTTAAGCTTTAGTGACTTAATTAGCCAGCTCTGCTGAAGGTTTCAAACTAGAACTTTAATAATAGAACATTTGAACAAGAATGCCATATGTGCAAAGAATAAGCCATAAATTTAGTTCTGTAAAAGGGAAGGGAAACTCCAATGCAATATAATTTCAGGAAGTCTAACGCAAAATTCCCTGACTTATCCAGTGCTAGCAGCACGCCTTCAGTTGTCATCTGAAGGACAGAATCATGTGCATGGTTGTTTGGAATATTGCTACAGCAAGTCTAAGGGTTAGGAGGCACCATGTTAAATACCACATCTTGGTGTGGTAGTAAAGTGACAGGTGTGTTTGGGCAAGCTGCTTAACTACAGTTACTTTTCACTTTGAATTATGGTGCATTTGGACCAATGATCACACCTACCTTTGACTTGGAACAATAGTGAAGACTGATTTTAAGATAGCAAGAGGGGATCCATGTTAATATAATTCTTGACATTTATCTTTTTTGTAGTTTTAAGAAGCTCATTATATACATTGTTTCAATCCTTCCAGGCTGAGAGATAAGTACTCCCATTTTACAAATCAGAAAACTTTAAAGAGCAGAGGTATGTAAAGATGTAACATCATACCCAGCTACTAAGTAATTGTGCTGGTACTCAAACCTGGCTTTTCAGAGAGTGAACCCGGTGATTGATACCACCAGGCCAGTGATAAAGTAAATATTTTTTGAAACAGGAGAAGTTCTCATGAGTGTATAAAGAAAATGTGATAGATACACACAGACACACACACATACACACATACACCATGTAATACTACTCAGCCATAAGACAGCATGAAATAATGGCCTCTGCAACAACTTGGATGGAACCGGAAGCCATTATTCTAAGTGAAGTAAAGCAGGAATGAGAAACCAAATATTGCATGTTCTCACTTATAAGTAGGAGCTAAGCTATGAGGATGCAAAGGCATAAGAATGATACACTGGACTTTTGGAACTCGGTGGAAGCGTAGGAGAAGGGTGAGAGATAAAAGACTGCATATTGGGTAGCTTATACACTGCCCAGGTGACAGGCACACCAAAATCTTAGAAATCACCGCAAAAGAACTTACCCATGTAAGCAAAAACCACCTATATCCCAAAAACTATTGAAATTATATATATATATATATAAAGGGGAAATTCTGAAGGTTCAGATAGAAAATTCTGCAGTTCCTTCAGCAAGGGCTGGGCTAACATCTCGTTAATTTTATGTCAACTCTCTCTCTTATTCTCTAGTATTCTGATAGTAGTATTTTGAGTAACGTTATTACATATGCACACCACAATTAAAACGGTTTATTACCTAATGTCTGTAATTTATGCTCATAAAGAAAGAGATACACTGGTCCCTGAACAATTATTCTGGTCTCTGTGGAACAAAATTAAATATTTTTTCCAAACTTCAATTAATCTTTTGTCCTCATTTGAGAACATGTTGTTTTATATAACTTTATGCTTGGATTACAATTTAACTTCCTGAGCACTGTACTAGAAATTAGATACATAAATCTCATTGTTAGATATTAAAGCTCTGTCCTTAATTTGTTTCAAAGTTTCAAGGTCTATATAGCAGTTATACTTGATTCAAAAGCAACCTGTTAGCACTTACAGGAATTTTTTTTTCCAGAAATTCTTTGGAAGATAGATACTTTTTTTCCTTTTTCCATTTTAGTATAGTATATTTGGCCTTTTTAGGGTAGGGATTTTAGGCTAACTCTGAAAAAATGATTCTTTTAATAGTTAAGAATTTAGAAACAAAAGCCAGATAGACCTGTAATTAAATTCTTTCTCAGGATTTGTTAGCTGTATGACCACCAGGAAGTTACTTACATTCTCCAAACATTGTTTTCTGATCTGTAAAATGGAGGTAATTACAGCATCTGTCTCCAAGTTAGGATTAAGTAATCTCTATCGTGCTTCATAAACTGCCTCATTCATAGAGAACATTGAATACCTGTGCAGTTATAGTTACTGTTGTTCTAGAACAAAAGAAGAAGGCAAAAGAAAAATCTGAAGCCTTAAGTCATGTTAGAGTAGGGTGACCTCAGCTGCATTTGCCTTTTGGAGAAGGTAGTTTCAGAGGACAATGAGTGTCTGCAATAGGGGTGGGTGTACGTGGCATCAAGCTGAGCATAACCTAACCTGTTCTGATGAAAAGTTTCTTTTCATTCATTTTAAAAAAAATTCTCAGCTGGGTATGGTGGCTTACACCTGTGTAATCCTAGCACTTTGGAAGGATGAGGTGGAAGTGTTTCTTGAACTCAAGAGTTCAAGACCAGCCTGGGCAACATTGCGAGAATTTGCCTCTATGAAAAATCAAAAAAATTAGCCAGGCATGGTGGCATGCACCTGTGGTCCCAGCTACTCTGGAGACTGAGGCAGGAGGATCACTTGAGCCGAGGAGTTTGAGGCTGTAGTGAGCTATGATCTCTCACTGCACACCAGCCTGGGCAACAGAGTGAGACCTGGTCTCAAAAAAAAAAAAAAGAAAGATTCTCTTTGGTCTTTCCTCATTTCCCCGCTTTCTCTATCACAATATTCCCTCACCTCTCTTTTCTTTTCTCTTTTCTTTTCTCTTTTCTTCTCTCTTTTCTCTCTTCTCTCTTTTCTCTTTTCTCTTTTCTCTCTTCTCTTCTCTTCTCTTTTCCTTTTTTGAGAGAGGGTTTCTCTCTGTTGCCTAGGCTGGACTCAGACTCCTAAGCTCAGATGATCCTCCCACCGATCTGGGACTACAGGTGTACACCACCATGCCCAGTGCCTGGGACTACAGGTATGCACCACCATACCCAGTGCCTGGCTCATTCTTTATAAGTTCCACATCAGCCAGATATTGATTGCCTTAAAGAAATGAGACTGAAGTTGAATGACCCTTTTTGAGGGAATTTTTAAAAATCTCTACATAGGAAAGTACAGCATTTCCTGAAATAAGCAAATGTTTGTATGATGTTTTACATTACTTTTCAGCTCTCCATGACTCCCATAGGCCAGAGGTCTGACACTTCCCCACTCCTCTCTCTGCTCCCTAGTTCAGCTATGTGCCATCTCTGCTTCATTCCCCAGCACCATGGTCCTTAGTAGAAGCAAATTTCCATCTCAGGGAGCATCAACCAAATGGAGAAGCTTTGGTAACAGGGCCTGCTGGATGTGATTAGTTGACTGTGCTTATACACAACTTGTTTTTTCAATGAAATAAAAATTGCATATGCTACAGTGCTTTAATCTTTTATCTTCATATATGACACAAATCTCAAAGAGTCATTTCTGTTTCAGGCCCTTCTTGAATTTCTCCAAAGAGTAATAGATAATAAAGAAAAAAATAAAATGACAGTCATGAATGTAGCAATGGTCATGGCCCCGAATCTCTTTATGTGTCATGCATTGGGATTGAAGTCCAGTGAACAGCGAGAATTTGTAATGGCAGCTGGGACAGCAAATACCATGCACTTATTGATTAAGTACCAAAAACTTCTGTGGACAGTAAGTATATATCATATGCTTTGGTCTTAGTAGTTTAAAAAACAAATTGCATGTTTGTTATTAGCTTTATTAATTTACATTTAAAATTTGTGAGTGCAGAAAATATTAAAAACATTTTATTCATATAGGTAAGGAGGGCCCTGTGAATTTCTGTTTTAAAATTATGTCAAAACATGCCTTGTAAGAAGTACTTTTTATTTACTTCTGCCTATTTTCCCATTTCTCAGTGTTTAGGCCTGCTGTATTTTTAAAAGCCCATGCTATCTTGGTTTCAGATTATTCAGTTCTTTTTCATAGACCCTTTATTGAAAGGGATGCATGCATTTTGTACCCTTATTAACTGAGAACATCTTCAAAAATGGTTTCCTCTGTTTTACACTTATTTTGAGCTTGTTTTGACAGCTTATCAGAGGATGGAAGTGGATGAGAGGCTTCGTTGATTAGGTGCTCATTTTCCAATGAAATTTATAATTTTTCAGGAGGCATCTTATAAGCATTTAGGAAAAAATGACCTAAAGGAATTCCAAGCAAAATTATAATATTGAATATTTCAATCTCTTATTTGAGGAGCTTCCAAACATTAATTTGTTAAAAAGACAGAGTGATGATATTTAGATCCTGAAGTCTTTATTTTTATAATCCATAAAAAGACAACTGATGTAGATGATTTCAAATGTGTTTTTTTAATAAAAAATTAATGTCCATTTATTAAATCTCAATGTTTGAAATGTCAAAATTATTTCATGGTTACATTTTGATACCTTAAAATATTTTGTTTTTGCTAATGTGATTTCTTAGGATAAATTTGTTCTGGATTTTTGCTAGCTACCTATCAGCTCTTGTTTCTTGGGGAGTTCTTTCTCTCATGACAGCAGCGGCTAGCTGGTTATTAGAAGGGGACTTGAGGTTAGCTAGCAGGGCTGTAGGTAGGAGGCTGCAAAAGGAAAGACCTACGGAGGTGGCTTCTACTGCTCGTCACCTCAGGGGGTCTCCAGTCTGGCATAGAAAACGGCCACTATGTCCTTGAACTTCACAAAGCCTCTTTTGGAACCTTCCACAGTGGGTGGCAAATTATACCACGTGGATGCCCTGTACACCTGGTAAGTGAATAATATGAAGTATTTTCTTTTCACAGATTTAATGAATAGTGCATGTAAAATGGCAGTCTTATCAAAAAGAGAAACTCTTTACTGTTTTTGAAATTTAAAAAAATATAATTTTTTTTTGTAGTTTAAAATGGTGGCATTTCTTTTTCCTCTCTAAGCTTAATTCCTTTTCTCTATAGATTCCCAAGTTTATTGTAAACCAAGTGAGGAAGCAAAACACGGAAAATCATAAAAAGGATAAAAGAGCCATGAAGAAATTGCTGAAGAAAATGGCTTATGACCGAGAAAAATATGAAAAGCAAGATAAGAGTACAAATGATGTAAGAAAATAGTGGAGATATGTATTTATTCAGATCTTAAGTATTTTTTTAATACCAAAATTTTTTATTTAATGTTTTCATAGTATGACTTTCTGCCACTTATTAGGCTGTGGTGCTACTTGTAAGTGAAAGACATCAGTAACTGTCTTCCTACTACTGCTGCTAATGATCAGTATTGACAGTTGGTCAGGTGTTGGTGACTCAGCATGTGAGTTGTTAATGGGGAACAAAGGAAGATATCAAGACAAGACTGAACACACACACACACACACACCCCTACACCCCTACCCCTACCTCTACCTCTCGTGCGGAGACTCTAGTCGCCTACTGAATATATAATCTATAGTGAGTAAATAACATCATGTGAACCACTGACATTTTTTTCTAAATTTTTCTCATCTGTAGAATGGGGAAAAATAACTAATCCAGATGGACAAATAGGTTAATGTTTGTGTTGTGCCTAGGATTATTCCTGGACTTTAATAAGTATTTGAAGGTTCTCAATTTGATCAGAAGAATTTTGAGAGCTAAATTGGAAAGAAAAAAATTAAGATGTTTCAAAAAAGAAATACCTAAATATCTGTATTTATAAACTACTGTAAGAGTATATTAAGAACTGGGTTTACAATAATAAAATATACATGGATATACATTTATGAAGTAAGTTACCAAAGCTGTAGCGTAAGTTCATGAAATGAAAGGGTTTCTATTGTTCTATTTAAGTGAATCCACCTCCTCCCTACTACCACCACCATTGAAGTTGTTCAGTTACATGCTGACATCTTGTGGAATAATGTGAAAATGCAGTTATCTGCCTTTGTCTGAATTTTCGGTTTTGGCCTGCTTATGGATCCAGTAATCATAAAAACGAAGTTTTTCTCTTAGATTTATTTATAGCTCTCACTCTTAAAAAATGATACTTTCTTGGCATTGTAAAACATTTTAAATCAAGTTTTAAATATCTTTAAAAACATAAAGAGAAGTTGTAAATATGCTTATTTTTTTAGAAAGGCCTTGATATTATCCTAAAGGCTTTTAGAAAGCCTTTTTTTTTGGCATTTGGTTAACTTTAGAATGTTCTGTTACCTCTAAGACCATTGTAAATATGTGAATTAAGTCTGTTTTGTAGCCCTTCTTATTCATATTAAGTGACTTTATAGTCTTGTCTTTTTATAGGGCATTTAGCTGTGATATTCTGAAGCTCAGGATCTACTTAAGGAAACATTTGGGGTGTACCTTTTAAATAATATTTAGAAAAACTGAAACGTTTACTTTTTGGAAATGGAATATTTTAGTAATTTTGTCATTTATGGAAAAAAAAGCATTAACTTCTTTAGTTTGCACTTTGGCATAGTTAGACATGATCTGGTCTGAGAATGATCTCTGTACTATTTAAAAACTGTATTGTCATTTTAAAGCTTGGGATTTAAATATCAGTTTCATCACATATTAGCTGTAACTTTACCTCTTTGAGTTTTTTTTTTTCTTTCCTTATGTGAAATTCAGTTACTCATCAACAAAATGCTATTGCCACCTTGGTGCTAGGCCCCCACTTTATGTTAGGTGTTCCCAGGGAGTCAGGGAGCTGGGTGCTCACCCTCGAGGAGCCAGGAGAAGGCATATAGAAGGGATGTAGCTCAGAGGTATGTGATTGAAGCCTGACCAGGGTACCGTAATCTACAAAACAGGAAGTAAGCATGAGAGAGGCTTCACTGGGGAGTCAAGCTGAGATGTGAAAAATAAATCAGTGTTGTTCAGGTGTCACTAGAGAAGAGCCATCTAACCTGCAGTGGAAGCTTTCTGACATCACAGCCCATGGTGGAGGTCTGTTTGGCCTGTCATTTTGGTAGAAAAATTCTCATCTCCAGCCTGGCCAAGACAGTGGAACCTCATCTCTGCTAAAAATATAAAAATTGGCTGGACGTGGTAGCACACACCTGTAGTCCAGCTACTTGAGAAGCTAAGGCAGGAGAATCGCTTGAACCTGGGAGGCAGTGAGCCAAGATTGCGCCACTGCACTCCAGTTTGGGTGACAGAGTGAGACTTCATCTCAAAAAAAAAAAAAAATTCTAATCAATAGCCAAAATTTAAAAAAAAAATTATGCCATTTTATTAGGGAGAGTAAATAGACACACAAAGCAATTACAGAACAAGTAGAGGTGCAAGCTAAGTTCAAATACTGTGGATATGTGGTAAGTTACTAAGTAACAAGAGTTTTTTGCATGTTGCTTCCAACTGGCAACTGCCAGAATTCTAAAGCTAAAACATTTAATGTGAAAGTTTGAACCACCGTCTTAATGACAAATGGATGTTGGGGCATCCCTCATCTTCTGGCAGTAAGAGGCCTGCTTTCCATCAGGGTAGCAATTCCCTGGATTTGAGTAGGAGCCGTTCCT
The DNA here is from genome assembly GCF_000001405.40 of Homo sapiens. Taxonomy (NCBI): domain Eukaryota; kingdom Metazoa; phylum Chordata; class Mammalia; order Primates; family Hominidae; genus Homo; species Homo sapiens. The sequence continues at coordinate 129,596,819 of NC_000006.12, read as the reverse complement.
TTTGCATGGAACATGGACCATCTACTTTGCTGTAAGCCATGCCCCCTCCTTCATTCTGTCTGGTTGCTGTAGTTTCTTGACTCTCCTCCAAATCATTTAAATATGCAATATGAAACTATAGGGCATGAAATTGCCTGGGGGTAGCTTTTGTCATTTGTTAAACAGTTACTTGATATGTGCCTACTGTGTGCCAGGAATTACTGGGTACTTGAAATATAAATTATTGGACAAAACATACAAAGATCACTGCTCTTCCAGAGCTTAAATTCTAAAAATAAAAGTAAATCTAGGAAGTAATTCATATAATGTGTTAGTATGTGATTTATCCTCCAAAAGTAATAAAAACAACAGAACAAGGGGAATTGGGAAGGAGATCCCCTGGCACTATTAAGTTGAGATGGTCTGGATATTATTCATTTAAGCAAAGACAAGAAGAAGGGCAGGGAGTTGAGTTGTGTGTATATCTCAGGAAACTCAGTCCAGGCAGAAAGAATAGTCTGTGAAAAAACCTTAAGACAGGAACTTACCTTAAGGAGTGAGTGTAGCTGGAGTGAAGCCAGCAGAGGGAACGGTAGTGTGAAATGAGGTCAGAGGGGCAATGGGGCAAGATTGCATAGGGCCTTGTAGATAGACCATCATTAGAAATTTGGATTTACTCTGAGTGAAATGGGGGTTTGAAGCAAAGGCTTGAAAATCTATACTATGTTTTAAAATGATTCCTTAGGCTGTTGTGTTGAGAATAGACTAAAAGGGAGCAAAGAAAAATAGGGAGATCATTTGGGAGGTTCTTGTAATCCAGGTAAGAGATAATGGTGGTTCAGACCAGGGTATCAGCATCGGAAAGTGGAGAAATGGTTGGATTCTGGATTTTGTTTTGAAGTTAGAGCCATTGAGATTTCCTGATGGAAATCATGTAGGAGAACAAAAGAGGTCAAAAATGACTCTGATTTTTGGCCTGAGAAATTGGAAGGATGGTATTGCTTTCAATTTCATGATTTCAATTTAGGACATATTGAGTATGATGTCTATTGGACATTTAAGTGGGGATATTTGAAATGTTTGGAGAGAAAATCAGGTCATACTAACTGGCCACTTAGGTGCATAGAGAGACAGGGGCAGAGGGAAAGCAGGAGTGAGCCTTAAGAGAGATTGATAGCAAAGTTTCTATTCTGTGCATGACAGGGAACTGCTGAAAGGTGAAGGAAAGATTTGAGGGAGTGTAAGATTGGAGGGTAGGTAGGAGATGGTAGGTAATTTCCTTGTTGATGGGAGTATATAAATTGGTAGAGTTCTTCCAGAGAACAGCAGCATGTGGCAAAGTCCTGAAAGCCATGCTCTTCACTGGACTCAGATATTCCTCCAAAGAGAGTAATAGCATGAACATGCAAATATTTATGGTTAAGTTCATTGCCATTTTCTTACACTGACCAAAATTAGAGATAATCCAAAAGAACAGAGGTGGCTAGTTAAATACATTATGGCATATCTATACAGCGAAATACCATGAAAGTGTACAAATGTGTATCTTGACATTGAAGAGATTCGTAATATGTTACTATGTGATAAAAGAAGTTACGAGTCAGTGAATGGTGTAGTGCTATATTTTTAGGGGGTAATAGCTATGATTTTAATGCTTTGCAGAGGTCAGACACAATGCTAAACATTTTACAAATATTGTCTCGTAATATTTATGGTAGTCTAATTGGGGTGTATTATTGTCTAATTTTTTTCAGATGAGGAAAGTGAGAATTAGCAATCTTAAAGTTACTAAGGTTATCTAGATAGGAATTAGTGGAGCTGGAATTTGAAACCAAATCTATATGACTTTAAATCCATGGACTCTTCACCATTATTCTCTGTTTCTCCATAGATCACAGAAGGACTCTAAGAAGGATATATACCAAAACTCTGGGCTTATGGGTGGTAATACAATGAACATGGATTACTGCTGTTATAAAATATGTTTTATATGTAGTTCTTAAAATGGTCCTGGGCTAGAGCCAAGGCCCAGTTGAGAATCGAAAGAAGTTTAGAATGTGAGCCAATAGGAACCCTGCAACATGTGGATACTGGTTGGATGTGAAGAATGTGGAAGAAGAAGGGAATCTAGAATGACTTGCCAAATTTGGCCTTGGGTGACTTTAGCATCAAGCAAAAGGGGGACAGACTTAAAAGTGAGTTTTTGACACTTTGGGTTAACGTGCCTGTGTGAGTCGGCTACAGGGGCCTGAATTTCAAGGAGCATCCAGCATTGGAGGCACACCTTTGGGATTAGCCTAGAGATTGTTGTTGAAGTCATAGAGTGGTTCATATTACACAAGGTGGATATATGGAGTAAGAAAATAAAGAGACAAAGAGAGATCTCTAGGGGATTCCAATGTTTAAGTATGGGCCATTCAAGAAGAGCTGGTGAAGGAGGCTAGGAAATAATAGGAAGTAAGAGAAAGTTGAAGGATGTATATTTTCTCTGAAGCCCAGGCAGGAAGAGTAAAGTAAGTAAAAAGAGCTTGGTTAGTAGTGCCAAATGCTGCAGAGAGACTGAGTAAGGTTAACACTGAACAAAGGTTTTTGAATTTGAAGGTTAATTATTACTTTCCCCAAAGCATTGTCAATGGTAATTTATGGAAAAAGCTAGATTGCCAGGGATTGGAGAGTGAAAGAGACTATAGATCATAAACATTCTTCAAGGTAATATTTTTAAGAGGCTTTGACTCAATGCAGTGGCATGCACCTGTAGTCCCAGCTACTTGGGAGGCTGAACAGGAGGATCACTTGAGCCTAAGAGTTAGATGCCAGCCTGGGTAAAACAGTGACACCCCTGTTAAAAAAATAATAATTTTGTATGCTATTAAAACTAACCGTTTATAATTGGGCATTTGTATTATTAAGACGTGCTAGACTACACTAGTTAATTAATAATTTGAGCCAGGTTTTAAGATGTACTCAATTTACCTCATGAGGCAAATGTTTTTAGTGACTACAGCATACTGAGTGTTTGGTCCAAATGTAGATGTTCTTAAATACTAGTATGTCTTATCCATTAATTATAGTAGGAAGAAACAGTTGGAGGAAAAATAAGAAAATTGTAGACCATTAATAATAATCATTTTCTGATAGGCTTTAACTTGTCGGGATTGATAACACACACATCTACACCCACACATACACCTCAGAAGTCATGTGGCCTGAGGATATAGCCCCAGCTCTGCCACGAGTGAGTGTGACAAGTCATTTTACCTCTGTGGGCTTCAGTTTCTTTTATAAAATGATAGGGTAGGATCAGGTTAATGGTGTTTAACCAGAAGTTCACAATAGTGGCATCTGTAATATTTAATTTTTTAAAGGTTTGTTTATTTTTGGAGATAAGGTCTTGCTTTTTCACCCAGGCTGAAGTGCAATGGTGCAATCATGGCTCATTGTAACCTCAAAGTTGCAGGCTCAAGGGATCCTCCCACCTCAGCCTCATGAGTAGCTGGGACTACAGGCATGCATCACCATGCCTGGTTAATTTTTAAACTATTTTGTAGAGACAGGGTCTTGCTACGTTACACAGGCTGGTCTCGAACTCCTGGCATGAAGCGATCCTCCCTCCTCAGCCTTTCACACCTGAGATTACAGGTGTAAGCCACTGCACCTGGCCTGGTAATATTATTTTAGAACAAAACAAAAAGCAAACCGTGATTGGGTGACTCGCTAGACCCACTGAGTCAGACTCTCCCAGGGCAGGACTTGGGCGTGTGTATCGTCTAAAAGCTGGAAGGGTAATTCCCTCTTCCTATTGGTGTGTTTGTGTGTGTGTATGCATATGTATATTTAATTTTATCATGAAACTTTTTAAACACATACGAGTAGAAAGAATAGTACATGAGCCCCCCAAAACCTTTATCATCAACAATCGAACACATTTTTCTGATCTTGTTGCATCCTGTCTCCCACATGTTTTTTCCTTTTAGAATTTTAAAGGATATCTTATAATTACCTCAGATTGCATCTCTGCCTACTAAGAATGTAGGGGGCAGCTTTGATGAACAATTGGTTGTGATTTGTTGACTCATCCAGGCCTCAGGGTTATTGTGACTTAGGTTTGTATGATGTTTCTTCTGCCATTCAAGCTCACCTCTCAAAGGGAGGCTGTTCATTTATGAGAGTGAGGGTACAGAGTGGCTGTATGAGATTCTGTCCAAAATGCCATGCTGCTCACCACTTCTGACCTCATAGGTCAAGGAAACAAAAGGCTTTCTCTCATAGGGTTAATGTTAGTGTTAACTTGGGACATGCTAGTATCACACCCTTAATTTACCAGGGAGGAACTCAAGCTTTAGAGAGCTTACGTGACTTGCTGAAAGTTCCAGAATAATGTTGTCACATTTTAAAGTGTAGGGCTATGGATGTGAAAAAGAAATCTGTTGCTACCACTGGAAGAATCCTGGCATTGGCAGCAGTGCGGTGTAGATGCTGAGTTGTTTGTGGCCAGGGTTGCGTGCCTTTATGCACAACTCTGTTTAGAATTGCATCTCTGATTTCATTTAACAGTTCTTGCTGCAAAGCATTGTTGCAGGTATTGTTTCAAGCATCTGCTTTAGGTCTGGAAATAGTGGCTGGATTTACTTGGGGACCCAAGTGGAAAATCAGATTACAATATCAAGCACAAAATCTTATTTCTTTTTATGACATTCCCTGATTTTTAATACTGCATAAAAATACCACATTAAAAAAAAATATTAGAACTTATGTCATTGGAAATTAAATTCTTATTAACTATGGAAGTTATTTTAAGCCTTTCTTTAAAATCCTCTGAATCTGTGAGTTGGATAAAAGTTTAAGGCATTTGGATAACAAAGATCCAATTATAATTAGCACATAGTTCAAGATAGTAGCGAATTCCTTTTATATCACCACTTCCCAGTATTGTCAGTTCAGACTAGGGTGATGAATATACCATTTTAGTTTAAGATACCTTGCTAAAATGTCCCTGTTTAATTTTCTAAAATATGTGTTATATCTGGCCTTCTTTTTGAAAAAGCTGTATTTCCAATTTGCCCTTTTGAAGATAAAAAGGGTTTTCTGTAGCATAAAAAATGTCAGCTTTACATTTAAATTAGCTTTTAATGAAAAAGAAAGAGACCTCTTTTACCGGTCTGACATTAAATTTCTAATCTCTAGAGTGCAAAAATATGAGCAATGCAGTGTTTTTAGATACCTTATGAAAAAATGCTAAAATTGTTATTTAACCAGATAATAATAAAATCAGGTTTAGAAATATAAACTTCAGTTCAATATGTAAAACATGTGAAGACCATATGAGGTCATTTTCTCTATTTTAATAATCTTAGCATGCATAAGAAATTAACACTCTTGAAGTTGTAAAATCCTTTGTGACTTTTCTTTGATGGAGTGTTAGTCAAATACTGCCCTTCTCCAGTCCTGCTGTACCTCACATAACTGCAGTTCACAAGCACGCTCCTCCCCTATCTCAATGGGAAAAAAAAGCAGGAGACAGAGTGACAATTTTAGATTAAAACATGTGAAAGAGAAGGGTTATAAAGATCATACTGTGTACAGATTCAGTTATTATTATGGCTCAAGTTAAGAACAGACTGGCTTAACGATCAGGCATGTTGTATCTTTTCAAAGCTTGGCAACTCAATGTAATTAGTATAGTAATAACTTCAGTATTCGATACAGCATGATTCTAGTACTTAATAGTGGTTTTCATACACCATTTAAATGATGGCTTTGGCATAATTTATTGTTTATCATCTTTGTAAATATCATTTGGCCTTCCTTGTCAAGATATCCAGCAAAAACTTCCCAGAAACAACTTTAACTCTTTAGCTTTACCATTATATATACTGGTTAAACTCGTTTCTTCTTCAGGGATAAAGAGCATTGTATATCCATATTGAGTCAAACTCTCAATCTCTGTATTGTTGTAAGAATTTGGATGGGATGAATCACTACAGAAATAAACAAGCTGAGAAATGTTCATATCCCATAGACACACAAACCACACACACACTCTCTCTCCCTGCCGTAGAATACAGGTTCTCTAGTGGTCAGAGAATGTCAGCCTAGGAAGGTTTAATGAAAACCATGTACCATTGTTGGTTTAATGAAATGCTTTCCAAGGATATTGATATTCCAGCTCTTTGTGAAATGAGTCAAAATGACTACCGTTTGTAGCTTGGGAAGGGTTCTTGCTGAGCTCAAAGGTGGCTTAACCTCATCCTCTGCTCATTGAGGGAAAGGGATGTGGGAAATGTTTTTATTTCATAGCCAGAAGGAATCTGTAGGAGAGTACTCATGCTGCTTCCCATCTTGGCAAAAACCAGCCTGTGTACCCCATAATATGTCAATTACCTAACATTACACATATACGTGAAAACTCCCAATTGCCCCCAGAAGCTAGTATCTTGGGACTCTCTATTAAAACTCTTAACTATCAGAAAGATCCTAGATTCCTGGGTCAGATGTGGTGCTTTCTGTGCAAGTCCTTTTACCACCCTGAACTCAACACCTCATTTCATAAGGAAGCATGGCATGGTCATACTCCCCAAAGCTATGGTACCTGAGCTCATTTAGAAAGCATTAAGTTGTCACTCAATATTGAGGGTCAACTTGATTGGATTAAAGGATGCAAAATATTGTTCCTGGGTGTGTCTGTGAGGGTGTTGCCAAAGAAGATTAATATTTGGGTCAATGGACTGGGAGAGGCTTGGTGGGCACCATCTAATCAGCTGCCAGCATGGCTAGAATAAAAGCAGGCAGAAGAAAGTGGAAAGAACAGACTTGCTGAGTCCTCTGGCCTTCATCTTTTTCCTGGCTGGATGCTTCCTGCTCTGGAACATTGGACTCCAAGTTCTTCAATGTTTGGACCCTTGGACTTACACCAATGGTTTACCAGGGGCTGTCTGACCTTCAGCCACAGACTGAAGGCTGCACTGTCAGCTTCCCCACTTTTGAGGTTTTGGGACTCGAACTGGCTTCCTTGCTCCTCAGCTTGCAGATGGCCTATTGTGGGACTTCACCTTGTGATCGTGTGAGTCAATACTCCTTAATAAACTCATCTATGCTATGAGTTCTGTCCTTTTCAAGAACCACGACTAATACAGATATTGGTACCGATAGAGTGGGGTGCTGCTATAAAGATACCTGAAAATGTGGAAGTGATTTTGGAACTGGGTAACAGGCAGAGGTTGGAACCGTTTGGAGGGCTCAGAAGAAGATAAGAAAATGTGAAAGAGTTTGGAACTAGAGACTTGGAGGACTCAGAAGACAGGAAGACGTGGGAAAGTTTGGAACTTCCTAGAGACTCATTGAATGGCTTTGACCAAAATGCTGATAGTGTTGTGGACAAAAAAGTCCATGCTGAGGTGGTCACAGATGGAGATGAGGAACTTGTTGGCAACTGGAATAAGGGTGATTCTTGCTATACTTTAGCAAAGAAACTGGTGGCAATTTGACTCTGCCCTAGAGATCTGTGGAACTTTGAACTTGAGAGAGATGATTTAGGGTATCTGGTGGAAGAAATTTCTAAGCGGCAAAGCATTGAAGGGGAAGCAGAACATAAAAGTTTGGAAAATTTGCAGCCTGACAATGTGATAGAAAAGAAAAACCCATTTTCTGGGAAGAAGTTCAATCCCACTGCAGAAATTTGCAGAAGTAACAAGGAGCTAAATGTTAATCACCAAGACAATGGGAAAAATGTCTACAAGGCATGTCAGAGACCTTCAAGGCAGCCCTTCCCATCACAGAGGGAGGGCTAGGAGGGAGAACTGGTTTGCTGTGCCAGGCCCAGGGCTCCCCTGCTCTACACAGCCTCAGGACATGGTGCCCTGAATCCCAGCTGCTTCAGCTCCAGCCATGGCTAAAAGGGGCCAAGGTACAGCTCGGGCCATTACTTCAGAGGGTGCAAACCCCAAGCCTGGCAAGTTTACATGTGGTGTTTAGTCTGTAGGTACACAGAAGTCAAGAATTGAGGTTTGGGAACCTCCGCCTAGATTTTAGAGGATGTATAGAAATGCCTGGATGTCCAGGCAAAATTTGCTGCAGGGGCAGAACCCTCATGGAGAACTGCTGCTAAGGCAGTGCAGAAGGGAGATGTGGGGTTGGAGCCCCCACACAGAGTCCCCACTGGGACACTGCCTAGTGGAGCTATAAGAGGAGGGCCATTGTCCTTCAGACCCCAGGATGGTAGATCTGCTGACAGCTGTTGCTATGTGCCTGGAAAGGCTGCAGACACTCAACATCAGCCTGTGAAAGCAGCCGGGAGGGGGTCTGTACCCTGCAAAGCCACAGGGGCAGAGCTGCCCAAGGCTGTTAGAGCCTACCTCTTGTATCAGCATGACCTGAATGTGAGACATGGAGTCAAAGAAGATCATTTTAGAACTTTAATATTTGGTTAGGCTGGGCATGGTGGCTCATGCCTGTTATCCCAGCACTCTGGGAGGCCAAGGCGGGTGGATCACTTGAGGTCAGGGGTTCAAGACCAGCAGCCAACATGGTGAAACCCCATCTCTATTTAAAATACAAAAATTAACTGGGCATGGTGGCACACACCTATAATCTCAGCTACTCGGGAGGATGAGGCAGGAGAATCGCTTGAACCCAGGAGGCAGAGGTTGTAGTGAGCTGAGATCACACCACTACACTCCAGCCTGGGTGAAAAAGCAAGACTCCATTGCAAAAAAAAAAAAAAGATTTGGTGACTTCCCTGTTGGATTTCGGACTTGTGTGGGGCCTGTAGCCCCCTTGTTTTGGCAAGTTTCTCCCATTTGGAATGGGTGCATTTGCTCAATGCCTGTACCCCCATTGTATCTGGGAAGTAACTAACTTGATTTTGATTTTGCAGGCTCATAGGTGGAAGAGACTTGCCTTGTCTCAGATGAGGCCTTGGACTTGGACTTTTGGGTAAATGCTGGAATGAGTTAAGACTTTGGGGGACTGTTGGAAAGGCATGATTATGTTTTGAAATGTGAGGACATGAGATTTTGGAAGGCTGGGGATGGAATGATATGGTTTGGCTGTGTCCCCACCCAAATCTCATCTTGAATTCTAGTTCCCATAATCCCCATGTGTTGTGGGAGGCACCTGGTAGGAGGTAATTGAATCATGGGGGTGGTAACCCTTATGCTGCTGTTCTTGTGATAGTGAGTGAGTTCTCATGAGATCTGATGGTTTTATAAGGGGCTTTTCCCCCTTTGCTTGACATTTCTCTCTCCTGCTGTCCTGTGAAGAGGTGCCTTCTGCCATGATTGTAAGTTTCCTGAGGCCTCCCTAGCCATGAGGAGCTATGAATCAATTAAACCTCTTTTCTTTATAAATTACCTAGTCTTGGGTATTTCTTCATAGCAGCACGAGAAGAGACTAATACATTCAGCTCTTCATGAGATGTGTTGGAGGGGAAAAGAGACTACATCCCCAAGTAGATACATGCTAATGTTAGTAACTCTGGCTTTTCTCTTTGGCTCTCTACAGAAGTAAGTGACTGAATTATCTCTTGTAACACACTTAATTCCTTTTCTCTGCTTTCTTTCCCTTCCTGTCTTTTCTTGGTAGTGGAGGGAATACCATATGGTGGATAGAGGCACCTTAACTTGTTTCTTTTAGACATTGTTCCTAAGATGAGTTTTTGCCATTAAGGAAATACCCCTTGGCATACTTTCTTTTATTCTAGAGACATTTTACTTTGTTTATGTTATCATTGTTAGTAAAAATGAACAAAAAATAAGTAATTTTGAATGATTCATTTAATCAATAAACATTGATGGGTGGCTACAGATATGAGTCAGATATGTGGCATACAACCAGAATACAGGTCATATAGTAGGACCCTTATGAAGGAGAGTCAGCGGAATGAAGAGATTCCTTTTGACTCTGTGGAGCATGGAAGGTTCCATGGAGTTTGAGGTATTTGAGCTGAGCCTTGAAAATGGTTAGCAGAGAGATATTTGGGAGGGGGAGTAGAACGTACACAAAGATAGGAAAGCTTGGAGTGCTGCTGGGCCTTTTTATCCAAACAGTAGAAGGTTCTACAAGAAATAGTGGGGGAAAAGGCCAGGAGCTGACTAAGATTGCCATATCCCTGAACTCTTTATGGTAATATATTATTTTCTCAATCATTTTGGTTTTGCAACTCATTTATTATGGACTTTCTGTATATAAAAACTTAATCCAGTCATCTTCACTTTAAATGTCAGTGCAGATTTGGCTGCCTTCTTCTAGGGCTGGGTAAGATGTGATTCTGGGAACAATTTCTGTCCCTGATAAACCTGTATATAAGGATATTTGACACTATGACTTAACCAGGATTTCCTAACTTTTAACCTCAATATAAAGTGCATGGCTATCTGTAAACTCTAGCCTGCCGTTCAAGTCCCTCCACAATAGTAAATAATATTTATTTACTATTGTTTTATAAGTAAAACAATAGTCATAATAATAGTGATAAACTAACAGAATCCAAAATACCAATATTGTTGTGCTTACTGAGTAGACAAGGTGGATTAGGGTTTTATGAGCACAGTCTCAGTGCTTCAGATGTTGCTATTACAATTTTCAGTCTAATGTTAAAGGTGTTCATGCTACTGATTATTTTCCACCTCCTATGAGGCAACAAATAGGTGAGGCCATGTGAACAGCTTAAATGGCCATAGTGGGAAATAACCTAGAGTTCAAACCCAAGGGAGAAGTTCATGGAGTCACTGAGTTGTATGTTACACCATTGATTTAATAACTGCTTTGTACCACATGAAATGCCCCATCCATTGCAAGAAGCAGCATGTGTTCCAAAGTGTTCTAAGTGAAAATAAAGCCTGTCACAGAATCAAGGACAAAGGGAAATTATACTTGTATCTTAGGGATGAGGTCAAGGTCATAGACTGAAGTATCAATAAGTCAAAAAACCAAGCCAAGGATTCAGGCTGGATGGAAAGATGAAGCAGGAATTGAGGGGTGTGGGCACAGGTTGGAATTGGGGGCTTGGAATTGGGAGGTTGGAATTAGGTTGTCCTTCACAGATTGAATTGAGCATAATATGTCCTGCAACAGAAGGTAGAGGAGGATGCTATGACCAAGGTTAGCCCAGCAAAGTCATGAGTGTAAGGCCCTGGAAGGCTTTGTCCATTTTTGTTCAGGTTTGGAGTAATGTGTTCTGTGGCCCTTCACTGACTGGTCAGAGGAAGGAGGCAGGTGGGGCACCACCCACTCTGCAGCAGGATTTCTGAGGTTGATGGTCAGGTCCTTTGTGATACCTTTGCAGGTCTAGCTGTTGTTTGCAGTCTGTGGTCTTCCACAATCCCATACTCACTGTACAGTCTTATATCGTGTTGCTTCTTTTCCTTGTTATTCCCACACTAAATCTCTGATATTACTGAGAAGCAATATTAAATCTTTTAGGGTACCTACATTTTTATAGAGCCTGATTCTAAAGGTATATTATTTGTGTTGAACTTTGAAAGAAATCAAATTAGTGGCATCTGTTGTATATCTCTGCTCAATGTTTATTTTATTTTATTTTTATTTATTTATTTATTTTTGAGATGGAGTCTCACTCTGTCTCCCAGGCTGGAGTGCGTCTCAGCTCACTGCAACCTCTGCCTCCTGGGTTCAAGCAATTCTCCTACCTCAGCCTCCCGAGTAGCTGGGATTACAGGTGGGGCACCACCACACCCAGCTAATTTTTGTATTTTTAGTACAAACAGGGTTTCGCCATGTTGGCCAGGCTAGTCTCAAACTCCTGAGATGTTTATTTTTTAAAAAAACAATTCAAGACCATGTACATTAAAAAAAAAAAAAAAAGGACATGATATTGTGGGCACAAAGTTATGCAGTAAAGGACTTATTTCTTATTTATTACTGGGTAAGTAAACCTAGTACAATATCTGGTACTCAGTAGATGCTTAATAAATTTTGGTTCAATTGAACAGGGTATTTGTATTATTTAAAGCATTATCTTTTGAACATGATTTGTGCGTGCTGTTTATTCTAAGGTCTAAGTCATAATGGTTATAAATAATAGTATTTATTTTAGCAAAACCCTTTAGGAATTAATTAAGACTAATATTTCTAACGCTATAGCTGACATTTTGGTATTACAAACCTCATAAACTTTCACTGGTATCCTCGAATCCATAAAATGTTTTTCACATCCATGGGCAAAAGATTTAGAAAGGGGTCATCGTAAGTTCAAAGTGTATAGCCAAAAAGCATGAGCTCATTAACCAAATGGGGAACAGACAATAAAAATAGAAAAGTATGTTTCTTTTTTATAAAACATTCAGAGACAAAAAAATTTTGTGAAATTTTGTGAATGTCCAGGAAGATTTTTCAAATGTACATACTGCAGTAGCACACAGAGTAACTTCTTTCTGATTCAATTTCATAAATTGCTACATGAAGAAGCACCCTCTAGTAGATAATACTCAGAAATCAGCACTTAATATGGCAGTAATGGTTATTGCTGTCATTCTTTACATCTTTAAAAATAATTAAGCATTACTGCACAGGCATTATAAAGTTCCCCTATCACCATTAAGAGGATATTTGAGGTTTGATGTAATTTTGCAAATTACATTATACAGTAGTTAAGGTTTTTATGTAGTGAAGTAAAATGCGTAGTAGTTAAGCACACTTACTATATAATGCATTGTAGAGTTACACGTTCCAGCTGCTGCCAGCTTTGTTCCAGTGTCATTATTGCTTTGCAGGCTGACGTTCCTCAGGGAGTGATTCGAGTGCAAGCTCCCCATCTTTCGAAAGTTTCCATGGCAATACAGCTAACTGAAGAACTAAAAGCCAGTGATGTACTTGCCAGGTTTCTCAGCCAAGAAAGGTAGAGGCCTGTTTTGTGTTAATTATGCCATGGCATAAGTCACTTGCTCTCTCTCTCTCGCCTTCGCTGCTGCTTCTTCTTCCTTTTTTTTTTTTTTGTTTTAATTGTGGGGTAGTATGAAATGCTTAAAAATATTGTCTTCCCAGCAGAAGAGAACAGCAGACTTAACCATTAGACTGTTGGAATGAGTTTAGTTCATTTGATGTGGCTTGTGTTCAGATTGAGCCTGATTCAAGCAGGATTTCTGAGTGTTCCTTCACTGGGCCTGTGATGGGCTTGCCAAGCGAGACCACTCAGTATTCTTTCCAGGATATGTTGATTGGAGGTTAATTACTGTTTGTAGGCTGTAAGGAAAATTACTAATTAGGATGCAGTGGCATTAAAATAAAGAAAAGACACAACTTTTTCTATGAAATATAATGGATTTCAAAATGGTCAAATTTAAAAACAAACCATAAAGAATTGAAAGAGGAAAACCAGGCCTTTGAGCGCTGAAGTCTCAAGGGGAGAACATACCATCCTCATTAAGGACAACAGGTCCTTCATCTATATTTTGGGGTTGATGGGGCAGGGAGAGTCATTTGAAAGCTGCTAGCATCCCTCTCACTATATTAGAGTATGCCCTTTCCAGAACACTTTGCAGTGTCTTCTTATATTTTAGAGATCCTAACAAGTATATTGTATTTTCAGGTTTTGCCCTTTGAATTCTTTCTTTTAGCTGAAGTCATGTTTTCATGCCTCCTCCAGCCTCATTTTCAGTCACTGAAATAAACTAAATGTTTAAAAACAGAGGGACATCCAGGGCATTGGCATCTCAGTTTACGAATACTCTGTCTTGGTCTTTCATTGAATTTAATCTCCTCATTCTAACATTTGGGGGCTTCAATCAAGCTTTCTGCTAAAGCACAAGGCCTTAAACAGAACAGAAACATGTTAAATACTTCTAGTACCATAATTGGAAGGGGAGGTATAAACATATATTTTAAAGTACCTTCCCATAGGGTTTATAAATTGGGAGAAAGGATGAATCTGTGCAGCTAACAGATGGTGATGAAATGAGAGAGAGGCTTATTGGTAATATCTAGGCTTCAATAAGCCAGTGTAAACTTCCCTCAGAACAGCACTCTGAAGTAAGTGCTATTATTACGTCTGCTTCACTGATAAGAAAACAGAGATTTACAAGGTCACACATTTTTCATAGGTGGTAGAGCTGGAATTCTAAATCTGTGGTTTCCCTCCAAAGGTAGTCCCTTAACCATTCTCCACACTGGCTGGAGGATCTACAGAGCATCATAGATCTGGGAACCACTAGTGCAGAGACTGAGAGTAGATGTGTTTTTGGAGATTATGTCCTGAGGGCACTTGGAAGATCTCAGATGTCTTTGCTCCCTATAGTGTCTTGCAGTTTCTGCAAAGTCAATCCACATCCTCTCTGCTCCCTACCTTGACTTAGTAGATACTAACTTTTGCCATTCTTCCCACCAGCCATGCTCTCATTCTCTCCCAGAACGTGTACCTGAAGACCTGGCCAGACTTCAGATATAAGCAGCTCTTTCCAGCCAGACACAGTTAATTTACATTTACTTTCAGGACCCAAGTGCTCAATTTAGTCTGTACTTTTGTTCCTCTACTTGCTAATAATATGAGACTATGAAGCTGTACCCCACATTCAACTGTGACTTTAATATTTAAGGTATAGCATGAAAACAATCATAGTCATATTGTTATAGAAAGCACCAACTTGTGACAACTATCGTCTGACAAATTTGGATTTTCTGCTTGTGGTGTTTGTATTAAATAAGCATTTGCTACCCCCAGAGCAGGGTATCTTCATCCCGCTCTTCCTCCTATTCCTTCTCCACCTAGATGGAAGTCTGGTAAACTTCTCCATTTACCTCACTTCCGCCCCCAGTCCTCAGCCCCTTTCCTTATGCTTGGGGATGTAATCTGGATTTCAAAGCTAACTATTTCTGTTTCACCTTCAGTTAGTTTTTATCATCTCTTTAAGTATCAAGTTCCTCATTTGTAAGAATGGACCAGAATAGCATCTATTATTGTAATTAACTAGGAAAATGACCATGCAGCATATAGCACTGTCTGTCTGGGCCGCATAGTAAGTGAAATTCTGAGTAAATGTTTATATATTTCTTCCACCACATTCCTGTGCTTCTTCCATTTGTATTCCACCTGTGCTGGGGCAGGTAGAAACTCTATATCCTTCCATTCTTTTTCTCCCCCACCTCGTCAACTGAAGCCAATGGACATATGAATGATATACAATATATGTATAATAAATCGCACGTTCATTCATTCTTTGGTAAAGGATTGTTGCCTTTAACGATGAATTTGTTGATTAGCATTACGCAAAAATCTGAATATACCAGGAAATCTAGTTCCTGTTTCTTTAAAGTAGAACACAGGTACTTGAGAATCAGTCTGACAGCAATATCTAACTAGATGTTTTTCTTTAAATCAAGTCTCCTGAAACATTCAATTTGGTTTTCACAGAAATAGGGACTCTCTTTAGACCTATAGTAGTTGATTGTGTTATGTACTAGATTAAAAACAAAAATAATAATGATTAAATTATTTAATTTAAAAGATAAACCTACACTGTAGTTGGAAACAAAGTGGATCAGATGCAGTGCAGCAGGTGGAACATAGCGTGAGGGCCCAGAGAGCCCTGACTGTCCAGTGTGCCAGGGACACAGGGCAGGGAGAGAAAGGAGGAGAACCAGATGAGCCATTCCATGGGTGGTGAGGAGCGCTGCTGCTGTACCATGCTCTTCCTAATGGCTTGAATACAAGTCAGACCTGATTTTCTCTTCTCAGTTCCAGAGAGTGTGTCTTCAGGGCCTTATCTTAGTGGTCCACTAACCTTGCCATGCTTCAGAATCCACTATAGAGCATTTGAAAAGCAGTTTCTTGGGCTTTATCCTAGACCAGTTAAATCTGAGTTTCTAGAGCTCTCCATCTGAATTTTTAGCAGGTTTCTCAGGTAATTCTTTTACAGAAAGATAATGACATAATTTGCTTCCACTCTGAGGGTCTGTGCTGCCCTCATTTGCACAACTGACAGAAGAGAATGGCTTATTCTTTTTTTTTTCTTTTTGGAGACAGGATCTCATTCTGTCACCCAGGCTGGAGTGCAGTGGCACAATCTCAGCTCACTGCAACATCCATCTCCTGGGCTCAAGCAGTCCTCCCACCTCAGCCTCCCGAGTAGCTAGGATCACAGACACTCACCACCATGCACGGCTAAATTTTTTGTATTTTGGGTAGAAATGGGGTTTTGCCATGTTGCCCAGACTGGGCTCAAGCGATCTACCTGCTTTGGCCTCCCAAAGTGCTGGGATTACAGGCATGAGCCTTCACACCCAGTCAGAAGCATGTCTTATTCTTCACATGCATCTTGCACACTACTGGAGTTGTCAGCACAGCAAACCCATGATAAATACTTATTGAATAAGAGTAATGTGAAAACTAAAGTGGAAACATTTAATAGTTTTATGAGGACCATTTTGGCTTGTATACAAAGTGGATAATCATATTAATAATTTGATTGGCAGCGGAAATGTTACATTAACTTTTCTTTTGAATTTTACAAATTTAGATACTGGTTTACTACTTTGCCTTCAGATGTATAATTCCATTTGTTTATTTTAATTTACAGGTGTGATACTTTTATTACCTATTGGGTACATTTAACAGATGGGAAAATACAAACGTGTAGATAATTACAGTGTGTCTAAGTTATGAATTTTCCATACCAGCCAGAATTCCCCAAGCACGTTAAAGTGATTTACTTGCAAGCTGTTTGATGATACAACTAATCGGTTTGTTTTGTCCCTCATAGTGGGGTTGCCCAGACTCTCAAGAAAGGAGAAGTTTTTTTGTATGAAATTGGAGGAAATATTGGTAAGCACTTTTTTTTCTCTTTACATTTTATATGCTGTTTTGATATTGCCAGTGGTTATTATTTATGTCTTTGGAGGAAGAACAGGAAATTAGAAGTAAAATATACCATGCTTTAGATAAGTTGCTGAATATTGTGGATTTCTTTAATGGTTTGACCTTTCTCTTCAGGCTCTGTTTGAGCGCCTGTACAAATGCCCATCTATGTTCAATTTCAGCAAAGGCAAGTTCCCTATACAGTAAGAATAACTCCTGGAATGGTTAATGATGCAAGTTTTTCAAAACTCTCTTCTTTGTAATATACTCATGTCACATAGTAAAGGAAGTAGTTGAGCTTATATAAGGCTAAGATAACACTTTATTATAGTACAGTATTAGATATTTTTAGTAAAAGCAGATTTACTTTTGCCATAGTTGATTTCCTGCTAAATTTTATACACATGCACACACACTCAAATTCACATTAGTAATTTAAAAAATGGAATGAATTAACTTTGACCATGTTTTATATTTTACCCTTTTGTAATTATCAGTGAGTCTTAACCATCTCTTTTTAAAAATTTAAAATAATCTTTTTTTCTTTTTTGACTCTTGGAAATGGTAAGGGTAAAATTATTAAGAAATAAATGAAATCATGTTAAGTTCAAAATAGTAATTAAAAATAATTTTGCAATAAATTTTGTAGGGTGTTTTTGTGGGAATTAAAAATGTTAGTAAATATTAAAAGTTAAATATAGGAATGTGAAGGTTTATTCTTAAATAGGCCATGACACTAGAAACCTGGAATTGTTAACTCTATTAGTAAAGGTTATTTAAATATTAATAGATTTGATTTCTTATTTTCCTTTTAGATCTTGGGAATTAAGTGTAGTTTCTTAGGTGGATTCAAAACCATTGCCCCTCCTAATAAGATGATTAAGCTTTTAAGGAACTATTTAAAAGCCTATCATACAAAGTATTTTCAGCTTCCTAAATTAATTTGAAACCTATTCATTTGGAGAAAGACTACCAAATTTATTTTTCCAATTGTTGGCCAATTCTTACAATATTTTGAGAAACAGGAAAGAATGAGAAGTTTTTTTTTTATTATTATTATTTGTTTTGTTTTGGAGACAGTGTCTGCCTCTGTCACCCAGGCTGAAGTGCAGTGGCGCAATCTCAGCTCACTGCAACCTCCACCTCCTGAGCTCAAGCCATCCTCCCACCTCAGCCCCCTGAGTAGCTGGGACTACAGGTGCAAGCCACCATGCCTAGCTAATTTTTGTATTTTTTGTAGAGATGGGGTTTCATTATGTTGCCCAGGCTGGCCTCAAACTCCTGATCTCAACCAATCTGCCCACCTCGGCCTCCCAAAGTAGAATAAGTATTTTGAAGTCCAAGACTTAAGAGTTAAATAATTAAGCTTAAGTTTAAAATTGCATACCAATCTACCTGCTGTATTAAACTGACACAACATCTATTTTAACAGGGGAACGCTGCCTTGATGATGACACTTACATGAAGGATTTATATCAGCTTAACCCAAATGCTGAGTGGGTTATAAAGTCAAAGCCATTGTAGAAGACTTAACAAGCTGCAGATAACCATGTGGACTTCTGTCATAATTCTTGCTGAGTCAAGAGTGTAAATAAAAGAAATGGCAGGACTCATATTATTCAGTTGTACCCAAGTATTTAAAAATGACTCTCTTAAGCCTTAAAAAGTCATAGATTTGTGCTGCTGCCAGAATTATATTAATTATTATTAATGTTATTATTAGAAAAAAAATTTCTGGAGTGAGAGTAAAGAGGCTTAATTAGTTTGTGGGCAGTTTTCATATGCTCTGTGAAATGTGTCCAGATGTGACATAGTTTTTTTTTTTAATATGTGGAAATGTCTTCTCTTCCCATTCTTTTCTCCTAAAATCATATATACTGTAATATATGCTCTCTCACCTCTATTACCTCCTCACATCTACCCTTTCCCAGTTAGGTTTGCTTTTTGACCAAAAAGATAACAAATACCAGGTATGGCAAGTTGTGAAGACAGCACATTAAAACATACCTAATTTCACAGTATTCCTGTCACGACAGAATGTTAGTATTCATCTCTTTGAATCATTTGCTCAAATAATAACATTCCACCTTTTCCTGCTGTATCACAGGAAGTGATTTGCATTTTTTTTCAGTTCATCTGACTTATGTTCACAGAACCGTATCAGCGACCAAGAAAATAGGACTGTCAGAAGCTGCCAGTTATTACTGAACCATTAAATACTTATATACTAAGAATAAATAAAATATACCCATGTGAAATAATAATTGGATTATGGATAACAAGAGAGTGAAAGCCAAAGCACTTTCTGTCTACTGTACTCTTCTAAATGGAATTTTAAAAGTCATAGCTGGCTTTACGTGTTGTCATTATTAGCATTATAAATATGCATGATAGTATAATCCAGTAATGGTTGAAGAATGTATTTTACTTAAAGAGGGATTTTTTTTTTTAAGTCCTGAATAAGTCTACTGGAAGAATTATTCTTCTGGGTGAAAAAGCTTTTGTTTGTGTTCTTATTTTAAATAATCGGAGTCAATTTATTAAAATGTTCTTGAAAGTACTATTCCCAGGGATTTTAATGCACAAACCATATTGTGACAAGAGATGAGCCTCTGTACTGTAAATAAGAAATGAAGTAGAGAAATGTTAAATATTTTATGAGTTTAGAATATAGTAAATAAAAGGTGATGTAAATGAATGCTGCACAAACGGTGTTCATGATACTTTTAGTAGTACTTTAGGAAAAACTACACATTCTCAGAAGCTCTTGATGTCTCTAATGAAGGGGGGGAATGCTGTTAATGAGAACAGTCATAAATTTTTAGCATATAATTACAAGAACAGCCTGTGGATATGATCACTTAAATGATTTTGTGGTGATTCGTGCCATTGCTTTTTTATTTAAAAGAAAATTTTGTAATTAAATGCCTTTTTCTAAATTATCTTCTCTTGGAATCATTACTTTTAATCCTATGTGTTTATGAGTATTTTTGCTTTTTTTTTATTAATATTGAGAAATGGACTTTTTTGTTATTAAAAGTCACCTCTATTTTCTATTTTCTTTGTAATTTTTAAAGTAGGAAGATGTCAGAGATGTAAATATGTTTTCGTCTTTAGTTTTTTTCCTTTTACAAATTTTTATTCTTCAGGATTTTCAAAATACAGTTTAGTCTGTTTCTTTGACAATATGTATTAATTTCCCAATTAGCAAAATGGTACTTATTAGTGGGTTGAAAACAATTAATAATATAAAAGAAAAATTAAGTGCTTAAAACATTTTAGGAGTATACAACTTCAAAAAAAAAGATAGCAGTGAGGATAATGATTTAAGTAAAAGGTTGTCTGAAGCATATGCCAACTAAATTTCGCAACGTTTGCTACCTACCTGAAAAGGAGGGTCAGGAGGGAGACACAACATATTTTTGATCATGAAAAAGTATCTTAATTTTAAAAAAGTGAAAATGCCATTTTATTTTGAATCCCTTTTAGAACTCACGACCCAAGTTCATCAATGTTGAATAATATCACGTTTAAATAACAAAAAAATATGGACTTTAAAAAATCTCAAATTTTTTAGAGACAGGGTCTTGCTCTGTTTTCCAGATTGGAGTACAGCAGTGCATTCGCGGCTAACTGCAGCCTCAAGCACTGGGGCTCAAGCAAACCTCCTGCCTCAGCCTCGTGAGTAGCTAGGACCACAGGTGCATGCCACCATGCCTGGCTCTAAAGAGAAAAAAAACTTGATACCATAGAGCCTTGAATATAAATATCCTGATGTTAACCTACTGCTTTTGCTGTGATTTTTTTTCCTTAGTGAGTTTTAAATCTCAGGCTAGATTTTTATTTGTTTTTCTGTGTGTGTATGAGACAAAATAAAAATAAATATATTTGCCTTGAGTTTAAAACATTTGAATTCTTAAAGGAGGACTGGTTGTCCTGGTAACGTTGGTGATGCTCTTTTCTGAAAGAGGCTTCATTAATCTGTTCTCACACTGCTAGGAAGAAATACCTGAGACTGGGTGAGTTATAAAGAGGTTTAATTGACTTACATGGCTGGGGAGGCCTCAGGAAACTTACAGTCATGGCAGAAGGGTAAGCAAACATGTCCTTCACATGGTGCCAGGAAGGAGAAGGATGAGAAGCACAGGGTGAAGCGGGGAAAAGCCCCTCACAAAACCATTAGATCTTGTGAGAACTCACAATCACAAGAACAGCACGGGGAACTGCCCCCATGATTCAGTCACTTCCCACAAGATCCTTCCCCCAACATATGGGGATTACAATTCAGATTACAATTCAAGATAAGATTCGGGTGGAGACACAGAGCCAGACTGTATCAGAGGTCATTGTAATTCTTTGCACTTACACAATCTTTGCTTAATGCTGCTGTAGGATTCGATGTAAATTCCTTACTAGTACTCTCTGGGAAAGGCAGATTATTTTACCGACTTCAAGGAATTTTTCATTATTGTCTGTCTTCGTTTTCATTAAACTGGTTTGGACTCTCCATCTGATTGTCCTGATTTCTCACCTACTCATCAGTAGGTGGCAGTATTGGTCAGGCATTCCTTTGAATCGAAACTACGGGAAGTTTTTAAAATGAACCCGAGTTCATAGGGAAGTTGCTAAGACTCAGTGCCAGGCATCTGCAAGGCAGCTAGGTAAGAACACTGTGGAGCTCTTGCTTTGATTACCGATTCTGAAATTGTAAATAATTTCAGAGTTTCTATGTTCAATCTGTTTGTCTGCTTTTATCCTTAATCCATTGAATGGGAAGGGCGGTAGAAGAGGACATTTTTCTAAGCTGAAATTAGGCTTTTCACAACGTCCATTTCAAGCAGAACGATTATGACAAGAAGGAAGGCAGTGAACCGGGAAAGTAAGTGAAGGGATGTCTAAGATAAGAAGGCATAATTAACTTTTTTTTTTTTTAATATAGTTTAAGTTCTGGGATACATGTGCAGAACGTGCAGGTTTGTTACACAGGTATATATGTGCCATGGTGTTTTGCTGCACCCATCAACCTGTCATATACATTAGGTATTTCTCCTAATGCTATCCCTTCCCTAGCCCCCCAACCTCTGACAGGCGCTGGTGTGTGATGTTCCACTCCCTGTCTCCATGTGTTCTCGTTATTCAATTCCCACTTACGAGTGAGAACATGCGGTGTTTGGTTTTCTGTTCCTGTGTTAGTTTGCTGAGAATGATGGTTTTCAGCTTTATCCATGTCCCTGCAAAGGACATGAACTCATCCTTTTTTATGGCTGCATAGTATTCCATGGTGTATATGTGCCACATTTTCTTTATCCAGTCTATCATTGATGGGCATTTGTGTTGGTTCCAAGTCTTTGCTATTGTGAACAGTGCTGCAGTAAACACACGTGTGCATGTGTCTTTATAGTAGAATGGTTTATAATCCTTTGGGCATATAGCCAGTAACGGGATTGCTGGGTCAAATGGTATTTCTGCTTCCAGATCCTTGAGGAATCACCACACCGTCTTCCACAATGGTTGAACTAATTTACACTCCCACCAACAGTGTAAAGTGTTCCTATTTCTCCACATCCTCTCTAGCATCTGTTGTTCCCTGACTTCTTAACGATCACCATTCTAACTGGCATGAGATGGTATCTCATTGTGGTTTTGATTTGCAATTCTCTAATGACCAGTGATGATGAGCTTTTTTTCATGTTTGTTGGCTGCATAAATGTCTTCTTTTGAGAAGTGTCTGTTCATATCCTTCACCCACTTTTTGATGGGGTTGATTTTTTCTTGTAAATTTGTTTAAGTTCCTTGAAGATTCTGGATGTTAGCCCTTTGTCAGATGGATAGACTGCAAAAATTTTCTCCCATTCTGTAGGTTGTCTGTTTACTCTGATGGTAGTTTCTTTTGCTGTGCAGAAGCTCTTTAGTTTAATTAGATCCCATTTGTCCATTTTGGCTTTTATTGCCATTGCTTTTGGTGTTTTAGTCATGAAGTCTTCACCCATGCCTATGTCCTAAATGGTATTTCCTAGGCTTTCCTCTACAGTTTTTATGGTTTTAGATCTTATATTTAAGTCTTTAATCCATCGAGTTAATTTTTGTATAAGGTGTAAGGTAGGCGTCCAGTTTCAGTTTTCTGCATATGGCTAGCCAGTTTTCCCAACGCTATTAAATAAGGAACCCTTTCCCCATTGCTTGTTTTTGTCAGGTTTGTCAAAGATCAGATGGTTGTAGATGTGTGGCGTTATTTCTGATGCCTCTGTTCTGTTTCATTGGTCTATATATCTGTTTTGGTACCAGTACCATGCTGTTTTGGTTACTGTAGACTTGTAGTACAGTTTGAAGTCAGGTAGCATGACGTCTCCAGCTTTGTTCTTTTTGCTTAGGATTGTCTTGGCTATACGCGCTCTTTGTTGGTTTCATATGAAATTTAAATTATTTTTTTCCAATTCTGTGAAGAAAGTCAATGATAGCTTGATGGGGATAGCATTGAATCTATAAATTACTTTGGGCAGTATGGCCATTTTCACGATATTGATTCTTCCTATCCGTGAGCATGGGATGTTTTTCCATTTGTTTGTGTCCTCTCTTATTTCTGTGAGCAGTGGTTTGTAGTTGTCCTTGATGAGGTCCTTCATATCCCTTGTAAGTTGTATTCCTAGGTATTTTATTCTGTTTATAGCAATTGTGAATGGGAGTTCACTCATGATTTGGCTCTCTGTTTGTCTATTATTGGTGTATAGGAATGCTTGTGATTTTTGCACACTGATTTTGTATCCTGAGACTTTGTTGAAGTTGCTTATCAGCTTAAGGATATTTTGGGCTGAGATGATGGGGTTTTCTAAATATACAATCATGTCATCTGCAAACAGAGACAATTTGACTTCCTCTCTTCCTATTTAAATACGCTTTATTTCTTTCTCTTGCCTGATTGCCCTGGCCAGAACTTCCAATATTATGTTGAATAGGGTGATGAGAGAGGACATCCTTGTCTTATGCTGGTTTTCAAAGGGAATGCTTCCAGCTTTTGCCTATTCAATATGATATTGGCTGTGGGTTTCTCATAAATGGCTCTTATTATTTTGAGATATGTTCCATCAATACCTAGTTTATTGAGAGTTTTTAGCATGAAGGTGTGCTGAATTTTATCAAAGGCCTTTTCTGAATCTATTGTGATAATCATGTGGATTTTGTCATTGGTTCTGTTTATGTGATGGATTATGTTTATTGATTTGTGGATGTTGAAGCAGACTTGCATCCCAGGGATGAAGCCAACTTGATCGTGGTGGATAAGCTTTTTGATGTGCTGCTGGATTCAGTTTGCCAGTATTTTATTGAGGACTTTCACATCGATGTTCATCAGGGTATTGGCCTGAAATTTTATTTTGTTGTTGTGTCTCTGCCAGGTTTTGGTATTAGGATGATGCTAGCCTCATAAAATGAGTTAGGGAGGAGTCCCTCTTTTTCTATTGTTTGGAATAGTTTCAGAAGGAATAGTACCAGCTCCTCTTTTTAGCTCTTGTAGAATTTGGCTGTGAATCCATCTGGTACTGAGCTTTTTTTGGTTGGTAGCCTATTAATTACTGTGTCAATTTCAGAACTTGTTATTGGTCTATTCAGGGATTCGACTTCTTCCTGGTTTAGTCTTGGGAGGGTGCATGTGTCCAGGAATTTATCCATTTCTTCTAGATTTTCTAGTTTATTTGTGTGGAGGTGTTTACAGTATTCTCTGATGGTAGTTTGTATTTCTGTGGAATCAGTGGTGATATCCCCTTCATCATTTTTTATTGTGTCTATTTGATTCTTCTTTTTTCTTTAGTAGTCTGGCTAGTGGTCTATCTATTTTGTTAATCTTTTCAAAAAAAAAAACAGCTCCTGGATTCATTGATTTTTGAAGGGTTTTTCATGTCTCTATCTCTTTCAGTTCTGCTCTGATCTTAGTTATTTCTTGTCTTCTGCTAGCTTTTGAATTTTGTTTGCTCTTGCTTCTCTAGTTCTTTTAATTGTGATGGTAGGGTGTCGATTTTAGATTTCTCCTGTTTTCTCCAGTGGGCATTTAGTGCTATAAATTTCCCTCTAAACACTGCTTTAGCTGTGTCCCAGAGATTCTGGTGTGTTGTGTCATTGTTCTCATTGATTTCAAATAACTTACTTATTTCTGCTTTAATTTCGTTATTTGCCCAGTAGTCATTCAGGAGCAGATTGTTCAGTTTCCATGTAGTTGTGTGGTTTTGAGTGAGTTTCTTAATCCTGAGTTCTAATTTGATTGCACTGTAGTCTGAGAGACTATTGGTTATGATTTCAGTTATTTTGCATTTGCTGAGAAGGGTCTTACTTCCAATTATGTGGTCAATTTTAGAATAAGTGCAATGTGCTGAGAAGAATGTATATTCTGTTGATTTAGGGTGGAGAGCTCTGTAGATGTCTATTAGGTCCACTTGGTCCAGAGCTGAGTTCAAGTCCTGAATATCCTTGTTAATTTTCTGTCTCATTGATCTAATATTGACAGTGGGGTGTTAAAGTATCCCACTATTATTGTGTTAGAGTCTAAGTCTATTGGTAGGTATCTAAGAACTTGCTTTATGAATCTGGGTGGTCCTGTATTGTGTACATATATATTTAGGATGGTTAGCTCTTCTTGTTGAATTGATCCCTTTACTGTTATGTAATGCCCTTCTTTGCATTTATTTAAATCCTCGTTGGTTCGTTTTGTCAGAGACTAGGATTGCAACCCCTGCTTTTTTTTTTTTTTTTTTTTTTGCTTTCTATTTGCTTGGTAAATATTCCTCCATCCCTTTATTTTGAGCCTGTGTGTGTCTTTGCATGTGCGATGGGTCTCCTGAATACAGCACACTGATGGGTTTTGACTCTTTATCCAATTTGCCAGTCTGTGTCTTTTAATTGGGGAATTTAGCCCATTTACATTTAAGGTTAATATTGTTATGTATGAATTTGATCCTGCCATTATGATGATAGCTGATTATTCTGCCCATTCATTGATGCAGTTTCTTCATAGTGTCAATGGTCATTAAAATTTGGTATGTTTTGCAGTGGCTGGTACCAGTTTTTCCTTTCCATATTCAGGAGCTCTTGTAAGGCAGGCCTGGTGGTGACAAACTCTCTCAGCATTTATTCGTCTGTAAAGGGTTTTATTTCTCCTTCGCTTATGAAGCTTAGTTTGGCTGGATATGAAATTCTGGGTTGAAAATTCTTTCCTTTAATAATGTTGAATATTGGCACCCACTCTCTTCTGGCTTGTATGTTTTCTGCAGAGAGATCTGCTGTTAGTCTGATGGGCTTCCCTTTGAGGGTAACCCGACCTTTCTCTCTGGCTGCCCTTAAGATTTTTCCTTCATTTCAACCCTGGTGAGTCTGACAATTATGTGTTCTGGGTTGCTCTTCTTGAGGAGTATCTTCATGGCGTTCTCTGTATTTTCTGAATTTGAATGTTGGCCTGCCTTGCTAGGCTGGGGAAGTTCTGCTGGATAATATCTTGAACTGTGTTTTCCAACTTGGTTCCATTCTCCCTGTCCCTTTCAGGTATACCAGTCAAATGTAGGTTTTCTTTTTGGTCTTTTCACATAGTCCCATATTTCTTAGAGGCTTTGTTTGTTCCTTTTCATCCTTTTTTTCTCTAATCTTGTCTTCACTCTTTATTTCATTAAGTTGATCTTCAATCTCTGATATCCTTTCTTCCACTTGATCGATTCTGCTATTGATACTTGTGTATGCTTCATGAAGTTCTTGTGCTGTGTTTTTCAGCTCCGTCAGGTCATTTATGTTCTTCTTTAAGTTCGTTATTCTAGTTAGCAATTCCTCTAACTTTTTTTCAAGGTTCTCGCTTCCTTGCGTGGGGTTAAGACATGCTCCTTTAGATTGGAGGAGTTTGTGATTACCCACCTTCTGAAGCCTACTTCTGTCAATTCATCAAACTCATTCTCCATCCAGTTTTGTTCCCTTGTTTGTGAGGAGTTGTGATCCTTTGGAGGAAAAGAGGTGTTCTGGTTTTTGGAATTTTCAGCCCTTTTGTGCTGTTTTTTTCTCATCCTTGTGGATTTATCTACCTTTTGTCTTTGATGTTGGTGGCCTTCGGATGGGGTTTTTGTGTGAACGTCCTTTTTGTTGATGTTGATGAAGCTGTTCCTTTCTGTTTGTTAGTTTTCCTTCCAGCAGTCAGGCCCCTCTGCTGCAGGTCTGCTGCTGTTTTCTGGAGGTCCATTCCAGACCCTGTTTGCCTGGGTGTCACCAGAAGAGGCTACAGAACAGCAGAGATTGCTGCCTGTTCCTTCTTCTGGAAGCTTCATCCCAGAGGGGCACCCACCAGATGCCAGCCAGAGCTCTCTTGTATGAGGTGTCTGTCAACCCCTGCTGGGAGGTGTCTCCCAGTCAAGAGGCACAGGAGTCAGGGACCCACTTGAGGAGGCAGTCTGTCCCTTAGCAGAGCTAGAGTGCTGTGCTGGGAGATCCACTGCTCTCTCCAGAGCTGGCAGGCAGGAATGTTTAAGTCTGCTGAAGCTGCGCCCACAGCTGCCCCTTCCCCCAGGTGCTCTGTCCCATGGGGGTGGGAGTTTTATAGGGCTACTGCCTTTCTGTCAGAGATGCCCAGCCCAGAGAGGAGGAATCTAGAGAGGTAGGCTGGCTACGGTGGCTTTGCCGAGCTGTGGTGGGCTTCACCCAGTTAGAACTTCCCAGCAGCTTTGTATACACTGTAAGGGGAAAACAGCCTACTCAAGCCTCAGAAATGGCAGACTCCCCTCCTCCCACCAAGCTCGAGCCTCCCAGGTCGACTTCAGACTGCTGTTCTGGCAGCAAGAATTTCAAGCCACTGAATCTTAGCTTGCTGGGCTTTGTGGGGGTGAAATCCACTGAGCTAGAACACTTGGCTCCCTGGCTTCAGCCCCCTTTCCAGGTGAATGAACGGTTCTGTCTTACTGGCGTTCCAGGCATCACTGGGGTACGGAAAAAAAAAAAACTGCAGCTAGCTCGGTGTCTGCCCAAATAGCCGCCCGGTTTTGTGCTTGAAACCCAGGTCCCTGGTGGTGTAGGCACCTGAGGGAATCTCCTGGTCTGTGGGTTGTGGAGACCCTGGGAAAAGCATAGTATCTGGGCCGGAATGCACTGTTCCTCACGGCACAGTCCCTCACAGCTTACCTTGGCTAGGGGAGGGAGTTCCCTGACCCCTTACACTTCCTGGGTGAGGCAACGCCTCACCCTGCTTCAGCTCAGCCTCCATGGGCTGTACCACTGTCTAACCAGTCCCAATGAGATGAGTAGGGTACCTCAGTTGAAAATGCAGAAATCACCTGCCTTCTATGCCGATCTTGCTGGGAGCTGCAGACAGGAGCTGTTCCTATTTGGCCACCTTGCCAGCCACTGTGAACTGTGACTTTTTAGTGTATATGTGTTCATTCAACAAATATTTATTGGGCACCTACATATATGCCAGACATGTTCTACCCTTGAGATGCATCAGTGAACAAAGTAACAAAAAGCCCTTACATTCTAGTGGAGGGAGACTGATAATGAAATATTAATGAGCAAATAAAATTCTATAGCATATTGAAAGGTGGTAAGTACAATGGAGACAAAAAAGATGAGCAGAGCAAATAGGACAAGATGTGGAGGGATAGGGTCATTGCAGCATTCCACAAGAAGTCTCGTTGAATAATTAACAACTAAGCAAAGACTGGAAGCAAGTCTTCAAGGAACTTGCCATGTAGATACCTGGAAGAATATTCTATGCAAAGAAAACAACTAGAACAAAGGTGCAAAGCAGATATGTGCCTGTTACCAAAGGTTGTGTGGCTGGAGTGGACTCAGGGCCGGTGATAGTAACAGGGCAGGGCAGAGAAGTAACACAATCATGGGGAGTGAGATCATGGAGGGCTTTGTGTTAGGGCGATTATTGTTCAAATCAGGACATTTCTGAGAGTGAAACAGGGCACTGTTGGTGAGGGCAGTAACTGTGGAGTGATAAGTACCCAGATTCTAGATATATTTTTGAAGGTAGAGCCTGTAGGATTTTTTCTGATACGAGAGGATTTTTAATCAAGGATAACCATAAGACTTTTGACTTGAGCCATTGCAAGGATGGATTTTCCAACAAGAGAAATAGGGAAGTGGAGGTAAATCAGGTACTGTTAGCAGGGATTCAGGAGTTCAGTCATGGATGTATGGGATTTGAAGTGCCTGTTAGATATCCAAGTGGCAATATTTTGTAGGCAGTTACATGAGCAGGCATTAAGGAGAGAAGTCTGGGCTGGATTCATCAGCATGCATATGGACTTTTAAACCATGACCTTGCATGAGATCACCAAGGGAGTGAGTCTGGGTATAATAAATAAAGTTACCGAGAACTCGGTCCTGGAGCTACCCAACATTAGTGGTTAGAAAAGAAAGAACTAGCAAAGACGTTGAAAATAAGTAACCTTATAGATAACTGAGAGACAGTGGTGTCCCAGAAGCCAACTGCAGGGGGCGTGATTGTAGTATCAGATACTACTTATAGTTCAAATGAGTTAAAGGGCAGAAGTTAACCACTGGCTTTACCTATGTGGAGGTCTTAGTAGACCTTAGTAGACTTACCAGTTTTGGTAAAGTGATAAGGATGCTTATAGCGGGGTTAAGAGAATGAGAATTGGGGACTGTGAGTATGGACAGCACTTATAAGGAGCTCTCCTACACACAAGGGAGCAAATAAGGCACTAGCAGAAGAAAGAGTTGGAAGTGCTTTACATAGGGCCTTTGATGCTGGGCAAAAGAGTTTTTTTAATTTTAAGCATTTTTTTTTTCAAATTTAAGTAATATTTTGAGAAGAGATGATATGGATACTGGAGCCAGACTACCTGGATTAACGAATGTGATCTTGGACAAGTTACTTACCTGGGCCTCATTTTATACTTTGGATAAAGATAATAATAGGAATATTCTTAGCAGCTTACTAGAATTAAACAACCATACAAAGGGCTCAGCAGCATACTTGCCTGATGGGATTTGATAAATGTATTTTTATTACTTGTTATTATGCTCAATATTATCAGAGCTGTACCTTAATAATTTTAAAACATATTATTCTAGGCCCGGCGCAGTGGCTCACGCCTTTAATCCCAGCACTTTGGGAGGCCAACGTGGGCGGATCACAAGGTCAGGAGATCAAGACCATCCTGGCCAACATGGTGAAACCCCGTCTCTACTAAAAATACAAAAAGTAGCTGAGCGTGGTGGTGTGTGCCTGTAATCCCAGCCACTCAGGGGGCTGAGGCAGGAGAATTGCTTGAACCAGGGAGTTGGAGGTTGCAGTGAGCTGAGATGGCACCAGTGCAGTCTAGCCTGGCAACAGAGTGAGACTCCGTCTAAAAAAATATATATATATATATATATATACATATATATATAAAATTCTGCCATATTCTATTTTTCTCATCAATACAGAGAAAAGATGTAACAGACCTATCAGTAATAGATCCTAATAAACAGATGAGAGAATGGTGGAAGAGTGGGCAGCACCTATATTTAGAAATAACCAGCCCTCCCTTGAAGGGTAATTCTGATAGCATCCCCCATGAACATTCCTTTCCCCAAGTTAGGAGTCATTTACTGGATATTTATGGAATGTCCCTCTTGATCTCATTTGGAGTTCTGGTTCCAGTGCCACACTATCTCACCTGGAAATCAGTGCTAGTAACTCTTCCTTGGAGTATCGGTGCCACTGTAGGGCATAGAAATAATTTTGTGAGAACATCTTTTTTCTACTTCTGTGAGCTCAGCTCAACTTTGAATATTATTTGTTTCATTTAAGTTAAATAAACTGGCATAAAGACAGAGTTCTCTCCCTGCATTTCAGACCAGAAGGTCTAGGAAGTAAAACTCTTATCCAGTTCATTTTCTGTCTTGATACATTGTTCACTCTTGGGACAATCCTGGGCTCTTTCAGTTGGCGTTAGCTGCTCCTGCTGGCAGAAGTTCCAATTCCTTGCCCTGGTGTTTCTGGGTCTGTGATCTCTCAAATGTTGTATTTAATACATATTAAGTGGCAATAATAATTTCCCTCCCATTTCACTTGGCCTCATATCTTGGAATCTGGACTTGGCATCCAGCTTCTCTTTTTCACTTGTGTCCTAAAGTTGTGTATGCAGTCGGTTGGCTCTGGTAGAAAGGATTCCAGATGAAACATTAGAACCCCCTCCTTCCATACAAGCATTTCTTCAAGTCCTTAAGGTTTCTTGGAAGAGTTTCATGAGTTATTTTCACATGTAGCTGCATACTGTATAGAGAAATAGATTGGTTGCAAGAAAAACTGCTTCTATGGTACTTCCAACTTAGTCAAGAAACACTGGCTTTGTCACAAGCAAGCTTTTTATCTTGAGATTGCAAGTCTTGATTTCTCAACTGAAGGAGCTCAGATAAGCTACAGAGAAAGCAGCTCCACTCTGTGCTATCTTTACTCCTCTTTTGATGTTCTCCTCTCGCTGCACCTGGGTAGCTCAGCGCTGCCTCTTGTTGCATCTCCTGTAACCTTTACAAAATAACAGCTTTCGTGTAATCTCTGCTGCAAGTCACCTTCCCCTCCAGCAAGGGCCAAAGTGAACAAGGAATTTCCCCTGGAGGGAAGTTCGTAAGGAGAGTCACAGACAGTGGCCCAATTCTGAGCAGTCAATCAGTTACATTTTTCTTTCACCTGAGTGTAGCTTTGTTACAATCACAAAAAGGGAGTGATTTAATCATTACTTGTGCCTTCACAACTCTCATTTCAATGGGGAAAATCTTGGGGTGTCTTAGCTTTGGTTGCTTGTATCACCCAGTTTGTATTGTTGACTAAACAAATACTAGATGTTTAAAGAATTAAAATTTATTTAGAGTCTTATTGAGGATTATATTTTGGAAAAATTGTCTAGAGATACGTTTTGTTAGACTTTTTTAATGCAGCTTAAATTATAGTTTTTATGTAGGGAGTGAAGATCCAGCATGTATAAAATTATATTAAAATTTGGGCCTAAGAGTATATTTGGTTATAGTTTGCGGGGGCATAATTGTTGATTTTGGCAGGCATGATTTTATGTGTAAGAACAGGTAAGGACCAAGTTCATTTATTTTTTAAGGAATGTAATGTCTTAGGCAAGAGATGTGGGGAGCTGTGTGCCCTATCTTGTTTATGTCTTTAAGGCATTATTTTGGAGATCCATACTTAGTAACAGAATCAGGGAGACTAAAATTATGTTGGCAAGTAAACATGACTTCTTATATTTGTTACTTTTTTGTCAAATATTTGGAAAAAACAAAAGGAGTTTTACTGAGAACATGAAGAATTAAATAAGAGATTGTGCATCTCCACTTGTCGAAGAATCCTGAAACATGTTCTAGGACGTGCTTCATTCATCCTCATGCTAATTATGATATTAAGAAGAGGGAAGGAGCCGGGCATGGTGGCTCATGCCTGTAATCTCAGCACTTTGGAAGGCTGAGGTGGGTAGATCGCTGGAGGTCAGGAGTTCAAGACCAACCTGGCCAATATGGTGAAACCCCATCTCTACTAAAAATACAAAAATTAGCTGGGCATAGTGGTGTGCACCTGTAATCCCAGCTACTTGGGAGGCTGAGGCAGGAGAATTGCTTGAACCTGGGAGGCGGAAGTTGCAGTGAGCCGAGACTGCACCATTGCACTCCAGTCTGGGCGACAAGAGTGAAACTTAGTCTCAAAAAAAATTAAAAATACAAAAAAAAAAGGAATTAAGATTCTTTATTCTTAAGAAACTGTTAGGTGTAACTAGATAATACATCAAAGTATACCGAGTTCATTAGACAATGTTATTTTGATAAGGAATACTCTAAATTTTCTGAAAGAAAAATGGCTATCCATTTGTTTTTCTTAGCATTTTAGTGCCTGCTATGTGCTATACCACAAGTTAGGTTGCGATGATGTAAAAATCAATTGTATGTGCATTTCCACAAGGAGATTGGATTTAGATTTGTGAATAGGATTAATGGGGAATGTATCCCTAGCAAATGGGCTTTGATTTGAGGGAAGCAGAATATGGGTACAACTGATTGTATGGGTAAAATGTAATGGGAAGATAGAGAAAGGACACTGTTAGTTGGGTAATTGTTAATGGAGATAGTGGTACTTAAGCTGGAAGTGCAGTTAGAATATTGAAGACTAGATCAGGTCAGAAATGATGAGGCTCAGAATTAGGGTTGTGGCAGTGAAAAGTGAGAACGGGGCAGACAGATGTTGCAGAATGAGGTCAAAAGGATTTGATGATTCCATTGGATGGAGAGAAGTGAGGGAGCGGAGTTTAAAGACGTTTAGAAGATGATGGTGCTTTTCACTGACTCCCAGAACTGGGAGAAGTACTGATTTGAAATGAAGGGATTGGGGCAAGAGAGGGGTAAGTATTATGGGTGTGAAAGGAGAGAAGATGAGGATATGTTGAGCTTACAGTGTTGAAGAAGCTGAACAGTTAGAACTGAGACATCTTTTAGGTAAGATTTCTTTGAAAATGTATATTTAGAAAATACTTTGCAGGGTGGTGATATTTAAAGCCATAGAAGCAAAACAAATGGTCCATTGAGAGCGAAGGGCCAAGAGAGGGCTAAGAACAACTTTGAGGAATGCCTTTCTCCACTTACAGGATGCATAAAGGGAGAGATACCTTAGAAGGAACAGTTCAAACCATAGTAGTAGTGTCAGAAGAGTAAAAATCACAGATGTCAGGGTTGACAGCAGGTTTAACAAAAAGGAAATGATCAACTATGTCAAATAATTGAGAGAAGTGAACCAGATGAAAGTTAAGTAGAAACCACTGGAGCTGAAGTCTATAAGTTCAGGGCTGACCTAGAGAGCAGGTCTAGAGTATTTTGGAGTGATGGGAACAGATGCCTATTGCCATAAGCCAACATGTAAATAGGAATTGGGAACTATGAATTTAGTTGGGATTGTTGGGGGAAAAGGCAGAGGAATAAGGTTTCTCAAGGCTTTTTTTCCCCAGTTGGATATTTTGCAGAGGGAAACTTGATCATAAAATAGTTTTCACATCTAATTTCTAATATCTGAACTATCTGTATTTCTATTTTTAGTTAATTCAAGAGCTTCTTGGTTCCTCTTATCTAAAATATTACAATGATTAACTTTTGAAGAAAACTGACTGTGCTAAAGTATCTAAAAGATCACTCAGAGTAACTTCTGAAGAAAATTGGGTTAAAGGTGAAAAAGCCTCCTTCTCCAAGAATTTTGCCAGTCCTTAAGGAAGACCAGTAATTTAAATTTTCTTTTTATGATTTTTACCTTGAAGAAACTTTTCCACATTTAAATCAAATGATTTTAAATTAAGCGTGTTTGGGAGCTGGTGTTAAAGAAGGGCTGATAACTCTGAGACACTAAAGCTTGTTCCATATTAGCAGCTTTTTTGAAAATATCCTTGGTTGGGAGCTGCTACCCTGATTCTCACTCCACATATAATAAGAGTTTTGCTCTGCCTACTATAATTTATATAGCAAAACCCAAGGAACATATACTAGATGCATTGAAAAATATGACGCCCTGTAAAACAAGACTTAGGACAAGTGTTACAGAAGGCTTTGATTCCAAATCCTAATTATTGGATGGCAAACAATACACCAAGTACACTATAATAATGTTCTTCAAAGTTTTCCACTTACATGTCCCCTAAAGTGATTATTACAAGGATGTATTATCTTGAATATTTTTTTCATTAAAATCTAACATTTTTCATCCTAAGTTTAAATAATTGCAAAGGACATTCTAATACTTTAAATTATTTCAAGAATAACATCAATACCATAGTGATTTGATACCCTGTTGTCTGTTTTTAAAAATGCATGGAAGCTCATCATTAATAGCAAGAACTTCTACGTTTTTTCCCCTTGAACTCCTATTTTTATTAGACTTTCTTCCTTAGAAGTTTATCCTAAAGTAATGTATTCAATGATACAAAGCAATTGTGTTTCTCTACAGCAAAATAAGTATATATGTTGAAGTTATTGTTGATGAAACAAAAATATATCACATATTTTGATAAAGCTAATAAAACATTTAAGTTTTATTGAAAATTAGGTTCTGAGAAAGGGTTTCAGTTTTTAAAAAATTTAGTTATCACTGGATAGATGTTATTCCTAATAAATTCAGCATCAATTTAGTCCTCTTTCTCAATTATATGTGTGTAGACACCAAGAAACTTTTTCACAATCAAATGTAAATTGCAATTATTTTAGTGATACTCAGAGATACTCAGTTTTTTGAATTTTTAAAAAGTTCATTATATGCCAAAAAAAAAAAACATAGATCTCTGTCTCAAAATTATTAGGTCCTTCTTTGTATTTTTTGAAACAATCTGACTTATATAAGGATTTATTACCCAGCTGTTACAATCATTCATTTTTTAATTTCTGAGAAGTATGCCAGAAAATGATTACTGGCTTGATGAGGAGAAAAATCTGTAAAGCTCTTGTTGCATATATTGTCAAATTGCTTTTTAGGAAAGTCATACTAATTTATACTTCCATCAATGACAGTTGAGTGATAATCTCAATGTCTTCTCACCATCATTTTCTTTAATATTCATTAATTTCATGGGTGAAGAAATGACATTTTGCTGTTTTAATTTGCATTTCATGGATAACTAATGAGGCTAATAATGTCTCATATGTTTGTTAGTGAATTCATAAAACCAGGGGAGATATCTTTTTATATTATTTGTTTCTCTGTTACAGTACTAGTTATATATACTCTATAACAAATATATAAACTGTATATTTAGGACCCTTAGATTTATCATATTTGCACATTGAATGAGTATGTATAATAGAGAATAGAAATGTTATAGAAGAGCACCTGGCCCGCAGTAAATAATGTATAAGTCAACCAAACTCAGCAGCATTGTTATTACAATGATAAATATTTCTTCCAATTTGACTTTAAATGTTTTTATTTTAACATAATGCTGCCTTTTTTTTTTGCCTTGGTGTTCCAGAGTTCTTCTGAGCTGAGAGATTATTATTCAATAAAGAAGGTGTTATGAACTGTTTTTATTTCCCCAATATTCATTTGTTAATTTGGAAATGAGGGCTTTGGGAGATAATTAGGGTTAGGTGAGGTTATAAGGGTGGGTCTCTTAGGACTAGTGGCTTTTCTTTTTAATATGCAAGATTTCATCATGAATTAGTGGCCTTATGATGGGAAGAAAGAGAGATCTCCCTTCTTCTTAATGTGTATGCATCAAGGAGGAAAGGTAAAGTAAGAAGGCAGCTGTCTGCAAGCCAGGGAAAGAGTCCTCACCAGGAACTGAATTATCCAGCACCTTTATCTCATGCTTCCTAGTCTCCACAACTGTGAGGATCAATTTCTGTTGTTTAAATCATCCATTTGGCATTCTGTTATGGTAGCCTGAGATGATTACTATAGAAGGCTTCCTTAGAAATTATGAACTATTTGTCCTTGGAAAGTTGGTATAGTTACAAATAATGTTGATCCTCATCCTCTCCTTGAACATGTTGATTTATGCATAGGAATTACTAGGCAAATAGAATTTTCTTTTAGCCATTTTTAACTTGAGATTTCATATCAGTTTTTTTTCCCTAAGAAGTTAAATGATATTTAAAAATGGTCTATTTATGTCAAAATATATACACATAAACCTTTTTTTCCATTCAAGTTTGTTTTATTTATTTTTTTGTTTCTGTTTTTTTGTTTTGTTTTTTTTTTAATTTAATTTTATTATTATTATACTTTAAGTTTTAGGGTACATGTGCACAATGTGCAGGTTTGTTACATATGTATACATGTGCCATGTTGTTGTGCTGCACCCATTAACTCGTCATTTAGCATTAGGTATATCTCCTAATGCTATCCCTCCCCCATCCCCCGACCCCACAACAGTCCCCAGAGTGTGATGTTCCCCTTCCTGTGTCCATGTGTTCTCATTGTTCAATTCCCACCAGTGAGTGAGAACATGCGGTGTATGGTTTTTTGTCCTTGCGATAGTTTGCTGAGAATGATGGTTTCCAGTTTCATCCATGTCCCTACAAAGGACATGAACTCTTCATTTTTTATGGCTGCATAGTATTCCATGGTGTATATGTGCCACATTTACTTAATCCAGTCTATCATTGTTGGACATTTGGGTTGGTTCCAAGTCTTTGCTATTGTGAATAGTGCCGCAATAAACATATGTGTGCATGTGTCTTTATAGCAGCATGATTTATAATCCTTTGGGTATATACCCAGTAATGGGATGGCTGGGTCAAATGGTATTTCTAGTTCTAGATCCCTGAGGAATGGCCACACTGACTTCCACAATGGTTGAACTAGTTTACAGTCCCGCCAACAGTGTAAAAGTGTTCCTATTTCTCCACATCCTCTCCAGCACCTGTTGTTTCCTGACTTTTTAATGATCGCCATTCTAACTGGTGTGAGATGGTATCTCATTGTGGTTTTGATTTGCATTTCGCTGATGGCCAGTGATAATGAGCATTTTTTCATCTATTTTTGGGCTGCATAAATATCTTCTTTTGAGAAGTGTCTGTTCATATGCTTTGCCCACTTTTTGATAGGGTTGTTTGTTTTTTTCTTGTAAATTTGTTTGAGTTCATTGTAGATTCTGGATATTAGCCCTTTGTCAGATGAGTAGGTTGCAAATACTTTCTCCCATTTTGTAGGTTGCCTGTTCACTCTGCTGATAGTTTCCTTTGCTGTGCAGAAGCTCTTTAGTTTAATTAGATCCCATTTGTCAATTTTGGCTTTTGTTGCCATTGCTTTTGGTGTTTTAGACATGAAGTCCTTGCCCATGCCTATGTCCTGAATGGTATTGCCTAGGTTTTCTTCTAGGGTTTTTATGGTTTTAGGTCTAAGATTTAAGTCTTTAACCATCTTGAATTAATTTTTGTATAAGGTGTAAGGAAGGGATCCAGTTTCAGCTTTCTACATATGGCCAGCCAGTTTTCCCAGCACCATTTATTAAATAGGGAATCCTTTCCCCATCTCTTGTTTTTGTCAGGTTTGTCAAAGATCAGATGGTTGTAGATATGTGGCATTATTTCTGAGAGCTCTGTTCTGTTCCATTGATCTATATCTCTGTTTTGGTACCAGTACCATGCTGTTTTGGTTACTGTAGCCTTGTAGTATAGTTTGAAGTCAGGTAGCATGATGCCTCCAGCTTTGTTCTTTTGGCTTAGGATTGACTTGGCGATGTGGGCTCTTTTTTGGTTTCATATGAACTTTAAAGTAGTTTTTTCCAATTCTGTGAAGAAAGTCATTGGTAGCTTGATGGGGGTGGCGTTGAATCTATAAATTACCTTGGGCAGTATGGCCATTTTCACGATATTGATTCTTCCTACCCCTGGGCATGGAATGTTCTTCCATTTGTTTGTATCCTCTTTTATTTCATTGAGCAGTGGTTTGTAGTTCTCCTTCAAGAGGTCCTTCACATCCCTTGTAAGTTGGATTCCTAGGTATTTTATTCTCTTTGAAGTGATTGTATACACATAAACTTATGGACACATGAGTGATAGTCAAATTTCAATCACTAATGTGGCATGAGCACTGACCCACCAGAATGGCCATGGTAATTCACCATGGAGCAGTATTGCATCATCCTGAGTGAGAGTGAAGAAGAATTGAGGTAGAGGGAAACTGATAGATGTGTTTGAGATTTTAAAATTATTTCTCAAACTTTTACACCAAAATATATCCTGGTACATGTGCAACTTCTATGGCTCTGTCAGACTCATTTAATAGGAAACTACCCACAGAAGAAAATAAGGAAAACGAATTCTGTAGGTAGAGAAATGTAATGACTAAGATTTTAAA
This sequence comes from Homo sapiens, assembly GCF_000001405.40. NCBI lineage: Eukaryota > Metazoa > Chordata > Mammalia > Primates > Hominidae > Homo > Homo sapiens. The sequence continues at coordinate 129,558,231 of NC_000006.12, read as the reverse complement.
TGTTATGACTAAGATACATGTTTAGTTGATAAAAATTAATAAAAATAAGAAACTTTCCTTCCTAGGGCAGCATAAGATCATTTCAGAATGAAGATGCTTTGGGATCTGACTTCGGACTGTAAGAATGACAAACTCTGAATGGGTGCAAAGGTAGCAGATGACCTTCAAAGGATGGTAAGTACAAAGCCATCGATTTGGGAGAAACACAAAATTTCAAACACAAAATGTGTTACCCTGAGTCTGAACCTAGAAGAGAAGCTTGGTGGATAACATATAAATTGTTACATAAAGACAAAGACTCAGTGACCTGTTGTGGACAAAAAGAAAACTGAGCATCTAGGCTTATTTAAAAAGATGCTAAAAACGAGCAGAGACTGTGCTGTATAGAGCTATGGTAAAGCAACCCATACGTATCCCATCTGGATACAATAAATGAGATAATTTACACAAAATACTTTGTAAATTGTACCCATCATTTGTGAATGTTAGTTATGATGACAGCAGTGGCCCTGATGCTGTTGTAATAGAACCAGAGCAAGAGTAGGGCTGACAGTGGTGGCCTGAGGGATGCTGTCAACTGGAAAAGATGCTGCTGCTTCAGCTGGAAAATCTGAAATCATTGCAAACCATGGAATTGTGTAAATTTTTGAATTAGTGAACACGAGGTGAACATTAAGAGTTAAAGTAGATAATGCATTCAGGAATGAGATGGTTGGCACCTTGAGAACAGGGTCTTTTTTTTTCTCATCAGGTGTCTCCAATGTTTAAAAGCCAGTAATTCGCACATAATAGGTGCTCAGTGGATATTTGTGGCTAATACACTCCTAGAACTTACCCACATGTGATAGATAGGATTCTAAAGGGATTCAAAGAAGACAAGCAAATCTAGCAACCACAGAGGCAAGTCTAGCATCCACAGATAGGTAGGATTCTAAAGGGATTTGAAAAACTCAGGCAAGTCTAGCAACCAAAGAGGGATTCAAAGAAGATAGGCAAGTCTAGCAACCTGCCAATGCTGTGTCTTCACGTTAGGCATTTGGCAAGTCTCTGTGTCAGGTGGCTGGAGGCATTGTCCTGGAGTGGCCATTTTTCTATTTAATTAATTGTTTTTGTACTTAGGTACAGGCATTGCATGCAAATAGCAGTAAGATACTGACTCTTCTCTCAAAAAATAATATTGATGTTATTTGCCTTTATTGGGCAGTTCCTTTGTACCAGGCAGCATGTTATGTGCTTTATATACATTGCCTTTTAATTTTCACAGCACACCTAAGAGGGTGATATTTTTATTTCCTTTTTCTCAGTTGGCAACTCTCTCTCCCAGGTCACATGGTTAAGTGGCTGAGCCAGGATTCAAACTGACAGCAAAGCAGTGCCGTAATGTTTACAACCTAATCCGGGAGACAAAACCCCAGTGTTCTAGTGATGGGAAGAAGGGAGATACTGCACCACTTGGAAGGATAAGGAAGAGGCTTCTTTCTGTGGGGGCACTGAGTGGGACCTGTGTGACAGGCCATGGCCAAGTCTGTCATGCTCAGTACCTCCTGGGCCCTGTGGCTCTGCAGACGAATGATCACTCATCTATGAGAACTAGGTGCTATTCTGTAGCTACAGGCGTGAGACTTAGGCAAAAATCAACTGAGACTAATTCAACCATATGGCACTGATGATCTTTTTAAGGTAATAACACTATCATTTCAAAGTGACATAGATTTAAAAGAGACTCGAAATACCCCAGTGCCAGGCTTCCATGACATGTGCACTGGCATCTACACCTGTTCCCTGGTAAGGAGCCAGCACATACCAGAGAACCTGCACCCTGAACATCCCCACCTTGGTGTGATTTTGTCACTTTTACTAAGAGCCATGCCCTTTAAGCTTAGGAAGGTACAATATAAGTTAAGATTTATGAGCCTAAGCACATATACTGACCATTTTCCAAACCTTGGCCTTGAAGTCCTGTGTCATTTATTTTTCCAACAGGTCTAATGTGATCGAGTGTAGCAATCAGGAGATAAAGAGAGGGAAAAGTAATCTGGACACACTTTAGGATCTCTAACAAATCCACAGTTTCCTTTCCCCATTGCACATGTTCTGGGAGCCATGTTTGTGGTGTGGGGCTCACTATGTGTAATTGGACCAAGAGTGGATGCTTGCCTTGAGATGGACGGTCCTTTTTTCTTGGGAATTTAGAATTTGGACTGGGCATCCTCTTGTCAGTCTTCACACACAGGTGAAATGGCACTTGGGACACTCAGGGTTTCCTTATCCCACCATAGGGACTGAACAGAGAAAGGGAAGATTTTTTCAAAACCAGGGGGAGGATCTTGTAATCATTAGGCAATGGGGAGCCATTGAAATGTTTTTTTGTATGGGCATAACCTGTAACCAATCATATCTAGTTTGCTGAAGACATCTTATACTTTATAGTTCTGAAAATTTCTAAATTCATCTTATGGCAGCTATTCAAAGTGCCTGTTCTACGTACTTTGCTGAGACAAAAATCCAAGTTCTTCCTTCCCATAGCATTAAATGTGTTCTTCTCAGCCTGAGTTCATGGGACATCAAAAGGGAAGAATGTGGATTAGGCAACTCTCCCATTCTCCTCCTGAGGAGGCTTATTTATGTAAGCCTTCTTTTCTTATCTTTGACTCACACTCCCTTGGCTTTTGGAAAATTAGATTACCTATTTTATTTTCCTAGCCATATGCAACTTATAAACCTTGGCAGTCCAAATCTATTGGAAAGCTCAGAAGTACTAGTCTCTCTTAGTCTTGATAGTATCTGATGAGATTTGTCTTCCTAATTTTATTTGTTGACAACAGCGTCTTGTTTTAAGTGGTTCTTTTTCGCACTCCAATAGGAGGCACTCAATCCTCTCTGGAAAAGACTGCAAACAGAGTTTCTTTCCCCTTTTCATCTAAGGAGAGTTAATGTGCCTGTATTTTCAGAGAAGGCAGCTGCAGTTCAAGAGTATGCCCGGTGTTCTCGTTTATCCTCCTCCTCCTCCTGTGGGCTGTTGGATTCCTGGCGACAGTAAGCCGGACACTCCAGGAGATGACCTCTTCTTGTCGATACTGTCATTCTGTCTTCCCCTTGGCTCTGACCTATATCTTCCCTTGCTGGCTCTTAGTCTGCTCTTTGCTGACACACTTCGACTGCAACACAATTCCCCATCCTTGCTTGAATCATAGGCGAGTGTGTTCTCTGCTTGGTAAAGATGACTTGATATTGACCCTAGTATTCTCTCTGCTGCTTCCTTTCTGGTCTCTTTTCTGCCTCCCTTAACTTTCAGGATGCTATTTCACAATTTCTTGAAAGATAGTGGACTGAACAACATATAAGAAAAAAAGGCTACAGCATAAATAATATAATAACAACTATTTGAGTACTTTGTGTCATGCACTGTGTTAGCACTTTGCAAGCATTTTCTCATTAAATTCTGATGAAAAGTCATTATGTAATATATTTCTGTTGTTATCTTAATTTCAGAAGTGGTAACTGAAGCTCAGAGAGTTTACATTACTTTCCCAATGGTAAGCCTAGTAAATGATAGAGCCACAACTTGAGCTCACTTGCCATGCCCAAGTCTATTCCTATACTCAATACTATTCGACCTCATTGCTTGGAGACACAAGAAAAAGCACTTCTGAGACCCTCAACATTGTTCATTTTCATAATATTGCATCTTTGGCAACCAAATGTCACTGTGGTGATTTTGTTTCTCCCTGTTTCCCTGTTACTAACATCCAGGGCCCAAAGTTCCCTCTGAGCTCGCTGTCGTCTCTTACTAATTTAGCAAGAGGTGTGGAAAGACCTATTTTCTCAACCTAATCAGACAGTGCAGAGGGTAGCTTCTTATCCTGTTGTGCTTAGGTCAATGTTTTATCGGTTTTTAAATACCTTGTTTTAGATATAATCAATACCTTATTTCCTTTTAAGCAGTAGCTCTGTAATTTTGTATTAGGAATAGATAACACAGAGTTACAATGCCAGTAGCCAGCACTGTTTATGTACCCAACATGGTGATTTATGTGTATTCTTACTGAATCATTGCAAAAGCTAGGTGAGGCTGATAATAATGTGATCTTCATTTGACAGAGAGGAAACTAAGACTCAATACAATAGCAAGCTTCTATCACCTTGACTACTGCATCATTCTCCCAAGTGGTCTTTTCACATATTCTCTTGCTCTTCACTCTTTTCCCACATTATTGCAAGAGTGATATGTTTCAAAATGTATGTCTTATTAGGCCACTTTCCTATGTAAGCCCTGTCAGTGGTTTCCAATTTCCCTTAGAACCAAGTCCAAAATCCTTTATGTGGCTTAGGAGAATTGCCGTGTTTCACCCTGGACCAAGTTCTCACTCTTGTCTCTTAGCTCTTTGATCAAAACTTCTGTAACCCAAATCTACTGGTTTTCTTTCTATCTCCAGTAGGTGCCTAAATATAAATTATATTATTTGTCTCCCAAGTTATTTGAATAAAGCTTGAACCCCAATTTGGCTATTCCTTATTGTGCCTGCTCCACTGGCAAATATAGTTTTGTAGTAGTTTCATTCACATCTGTTCAGCTGTTGTAGTTTTAGCTGTTTCTCATATTCAACCTGGTAGGTTGAATATTATCCTTCCACCCAAAAGATGTTCAAGTCCTAAGTCCTGGGACTTGTGAATGTTATTTTATATGGCAAAAGGGATTTTGCAGGTGTGAATAAATTAAGGATCTTGAGATGGGAAAGTTATCCTGGATTATCTGTGTGGGCCTGATGTAATCACAAGTCTAATGGCTCTAATAATGGCCCTACTAATGGCCCTAATCACCTCAACCATTTACTGCTTCTTTAAGATACTTTAAGAGGGAGGCAGGAGATCAGAGTAAGAGTAGTAGGAAATATGGCAACAGAAGCAAGAAGGTGGAGTGATAAGAAGGGACTATGAGCCAAGGAGTACAGGGAATCTCTAGCACTGAAAAAGGCAAAGAAACAGAGATCTGAAGTCCCCAGAAGGAGGACATCCTGCTGAAAACCTTATTTTAGACTTCCAATCTTTAGAATTGTAGGAGGATAAATTTATCTTGTTTTATGACACAAAATTACTTGTCACTTGTTAGAATAGCAATAGGAAACAAATACATGCCATGACCCAACTTTCAAGATTCTAGAAAACCGAGAGACTGAAGTCATTTATTTAACAAATATCTTCTGAGTGCCAGGTACTCTATCTGAGACATTGTCCTTGTGGTTTTATTTTTGTATACAGAAAGACAGAAAAAAAAATAAAGACCATATTGGAGTTATTAGTACTATACATTTAGAGAAGATTAAAAAAAGAATAAGAAGAAGATACGATGGATCTGTAGTGCCAGGGAGGGGAATTGCAATTTTAAATAGGATGGTCAGTGCAGGCCTCCTTCAGAAAGTGAGCAATGTGAAGGAGTTAGCTATATGGATCTCTTAGGGCATTCACCAGGCAGATAAAAAAACTAGTACAGAGGTCATAAGAAGGGAATGTGCCTGGATATTCACAGAACAGTAAAAAGGCCAGTGTGGCTGAGGCAGCGTGAGTTGGGGTAGAAGAATAGGATAATGAGGTCATAGAGGTACCAGTAGAACCAGCTCTTGTCAGGCTCTCCCTGGAGTACTGTGGGTTACCACTGGAGGGGTTTGAGCAGAGCCATGGCATATACTGATGTAAGTTTCAAAAGGCTATTGTGTATCCTATGCAATAGATGTTGGTGGCTATGACGAAAATGGTAGCTGTAGCATCAGTGAGAAGTGGTTAGACTGGTATTTGTTTTGAAGAGTAGGGCTAATAAGGTTTCCTGATAGAATGAGTGTGGAAATGTGACTCTAAAGTGTTTGGTCTAACCAACTGGAAAATGAGTACCCATTAACTAAGACGGAGAAAACTATGGGTACAGAGAGAGAGAGCACAGATCAGGAGTTCAATTTGAGATGTGTTTGACATTTAAGTAGAGGCATTGAGTGGCAGTCAGAAATCAAAGTCTGTCCATCAAGAGAGGGGTCTGTGCTGGAGATATGTATTTGGGGGTTGACAACAAGTAGATGGCAAACTGATAAGGCAAACGAACAGACAGGGATGGGCAAAGGCTTTCCCATAGGATTAGAGTGGAGGAGGTGAGGGGCGATTAGGAAATATGGTAGAAATGATTGCAAAGTAAGTAGGAAAAATATAGTTTACCTTAGAAAATTATCTATGTCTACATATGAGAAGACATTAATTCTCCATGAGAGATTAAATCACATTTACATCAAATCTTTTTGTTATTTCTCTAGTCAACACTAACAAAATGCCACATAATGAGCTTATTTTAAGATCAATATTTGTATTTCTCTTCTGAAACTCCCAGGGCTAACAGTTCCATTTTCCAGAGCCCTGGAAATCTCTACCCATTGTTTTTGAAAATACACATTCTATAAGATGTGAGAGACCAGTATGGTGACTTGAAGCAGGGATGATAATTTTGTGGTTTGGGGAATGAAATTCATGCGCTGATCCAAATTGCACATTTTGTAGCTTCCCCCTCATCTGATGAGTGGTTCTACTCTGTTATTTGGCTGCAATTGGATGATAGCACTTACCATATGTTTGGCACTTTATATTTTCTGAAATCCTTTCAAATATACTCTCATTTATCCCTCACAATAGTCTTAGGAAGAAGATAATGTCATTCTCATTTATAGATGAGGAAACAGACTCAAAGAGGCAAAGCAATTTACCCAAGGTCATTAAGCAAATTTTGAATTTGACTCAAACACAGGGCTTCCAGTTCTTTCCCTGCTTCTTTTAGGTACTCGAGAGTCTTTCAATTGATTACTTGTTTTTAAAAAATGTCAGCTCAAGGTAAGAGAGGAGGTAGAGGATATTTTCTGGGCTTGTTAGACATTCTAGCCGTTACAAAGCTCTGTAAGGTTGTATAAAATGTAACATAAAGAAAATAATTGTAAATAGTATACTCTTTGGCAATTTCTTTCTAATTTCTTGTGTGCTTGCCTCCCACATATTAGTTGGAACCTAGGGCATAAGTGTTTCTTGATTGTTCCAAAGCTGCCTTGAGATTGGTTGAACCTGGAAAGTCATGCCATGGCCATTGAAGAAGACAATTTGGGTGCCCTGGCTGGCTGACACGGCATGGGGTTTGCTTGGTTATTTGTTGCCACGAATGAGACTTTGGCTTTAGAAGCATCAAGTGTGGGACCACCTGAGAGCACTGAAAAAATAGGGGAGATTTTGGGGAGCAAAAGGTCCAGGAGAGAATAAGCTGGTCCTGATTGCTGAGTCCCCACTATGTGGAAGGCATCAGAGGATGACTGCAGACAGTAGTTGGAAAACGAAAACAATGTTTTTTTAAATAAGGTACACATATAGGTGGAGATGAAACAATATCCCCTAAATGGCAGCAGGAGTAGCAGATTTAACTAGATGCTTCCATGTGAAAAAAATGGCGATGTCAGGTAGTTTAGTCATGTGTGACAGGAATAACCCATTAAAGAGAGCAGCCTGGGAGAAATGGGCTGGTGGAGAGGGGAACATTCGGAAAGCCCACCTTCCACCCCCAAATATGGAGAGTTATGTGCAAGGTCTACGTGTTTTAAAAGAATACTGTTTATTTAATATAATCACATATACCCAATCTAAATAAAATAGGATATTCTCAAAAGCATTAGTATGAGCACTTCATTACCCTTTTAGTAACTGGGGAGAATATACCTATTTTACTAATTTTTCCCATGTTTCTATATGGCTGAAGAAAGTTGGAAACTAGTATTCACTTAGGGTAAGTTGGAAGATATTGAAAGGAGATAATGGTGACAATATGTTTTATAAAAGTTTTGTTCTGTTATATAGAACAGGAAACTAAATCTTAAAGAGGAAAATTAATTGTATAAGAAACTTTAGATTAACATTTAGAAGAGAATGAAGAGAAAGGGATTTTACCTTTATTAAATTCTTACATATTAGTTGCTTTACATTTTAGTTTAATCCTGGCAATCAAGCTGTAAGATACTATGCTCTCATTGACACACAGGGAAATTCAAAATTAAAGACCTTCAGGTCATGTAGCTGTCTAGTTGTAGGTTGAAACCAGGTCTGACAAATGCCAAAATTCGTCTTTCTTTTCATTCTGAGAGAAGATGTAAAACTCTGTTTAAAAATTCTACATTACCCTTGTTGTTTATTTATTAAACTACTTAAGGAACATACTTCAAAACGGTCTTAAAAAAGGTGCTGTGATTCTCTGTCAAGGGAACCTGTTACCTGTAGGAGTCATCTCTTGCCACTATTTAACTAATCCCAGGCTGTTTCCATCTGTTTGTAGTTGCAATAACTATAAATCGGTAAGCATGTGTATGAGGGACTAAAATAGGTTCACTAGGAAGAACACAGGCCAAATAAATCTCAACTTTCTTCTCTTTTTAAACTAGGATTAGTGGATTAAGAGACTGTCCTTGAAATAGCATTAAATTAGGCAAATATTTGACTACATCTTTCTTGTTTCCACTATAAGATTGTAAAATGTGAATTCAATTATAGTATGCTTAAGCAACCTTACCCAAACAGTTTTGATTGGTGATTGTTTTAAAAACTAGAGAGAAGCCTCACACAGGCTGACATAGCTCAAGTCAACCTTTTTTTTTTTTCTTTCTTCTTGTACTGGAAAAGACTGAACAACATTTTTTGTTGTGTTGTTCACAAGTTGAGTGGAGAAAAAAATAAGCTTATCAAATCAACAAAGTGTGGACAACTGTTTATGAGAGACAAGTTCAAGTGAAAGATTATTACAGGAGTTTTAGCAGGCTTGGTTTTGGACTGAAGCTTGCTGAAATCATAGATGTACACAGGCAGATTAGGAGAGATGGAGGCTAGAACTTGGGATGAAGCCAGGACTTAGGGGACTTGATCCAGCTGTAAGGCCACTCTTAGAAAAGGAAGACATGCAGTCCAGATACCTGTCCAAAAGGATACTGTGAACCTCAGCTTGATTGAGCAGCTATCAATATCTACGGTAGTCCAATCTGGTGGGCAGAACAGAGCCAGTGAAATTTTCATATAGAAGGTGACAGAATGAAGTTGAGATGCCAAGTGTTCTACCCAGTTAGAACATGACCCTGGCCAATAGCTAAACATAAAGAAAATCAGGTCAAGCACTTATCCAGAGGTGGCTAGCAATCAGAAAACTAAGGTCAAACCCAGTAATGCAAATGCTGATTTCAGGAGGGCTTGTGGGGAAAGTGCTTCTGTCCAATGGGTCCTACTTAGGGGACTACAGCAAATCCTGTGGGACATGAGATTTCAAGGATGGGCTGAGAAATGCATAGTTTACCAAGAGCTGCTAAGGTAAGAATAGCCCAAGCCCAGGACTTTACCTGTGGTTGAGGAAGAATTACTGTTTAGGTAAAATTGGCCTGCAAACTCGGTGTGTTTAGCCTTCAATGTCAAAAGCTATACAGAAACAATGAAGATGAACTTCAAGAAAATTATGAAGTTGTTTATTAGAATCTTTAAAAAATTGTGAGTACACAGGCTTGGTGCAGCTCTCTGGGCAAAAGTTTCTGTGAATTGAAAAAATTGTTCTTTAGCTGAACATACATTTAGTATACTCTACATGAAGCAATACATTTGGGAAAAAAAGGCAATTATTTGAAATTCTGTCAACTAAAGTTAGGGAGAGTCAAGCAAGAGAAGACCTAGCCTCTAAATCCTGCATTTTCAAATTATCCTGAGGAATTATATTAAGTTATGCTAAGTACATTTTAAGAGGACTCGTGATAATCTAATTTTTATTCAGAGCATGAGGACCAGGATGATGAGAAATATGGACATGATGTCACATGAAACATGGTTGCAAATAACCCAGAAGGAAGGAATGGGGCTACTTAGAGTAGGTATGATAGTAGTCTTCAGAGATTTAAAAAGGTAGGTGGAGTAGGGTAGGGAGGCAGACAAATATTAAACATATGGAGTAGAAAACTCCAAACGACTGATAGTAGTTAGAGCAGCCACCACTCTTGGGGGCCTGCTGCTCCCTCAACCGCCAAGCACAGAAATAAAGGACAATCTTGAGTTCCTTCAAGGAAAGTTTCAGCACCTGCCCATCCTTGAGAAGGAAATAGGCAACCTGATAAGCAAGCAAGTAATAATAACTTAAGAAAATAGCCAAGGAAGTTAGAGTCACAAGATGTTTGTTTTTCTGTAGAAACTAAAGATAACATCTTAACATATGTCCTTGAGTTGTTTTTCAGAAACCTAGACCCCACCAAATAGACAATGCCATCTGCCGGCACATAGACCTCAGATAAGGGGGAACTGAGGACTGAACTCCGATGGCGGTTCTATGTCCTAAATTTCTTCCTGAGAGGCCTGGAGAAAGTCATTCCCACAGGCCAGACACTAACATTCATTTCTGCTGACCCCAAGTTTTTAGACAAAGTTTCTCTTCTTTAACCAACAGCGATTCAGAGAATCTTTGAATCTCCCTATGATCTGTAAGCCTCCACTTCAAGATATCCAGCCTTTTTAGGCCAAATCAGTGTATAACCTCCATGTATTGATTCATGATTTTGCCTTTAACTTCTGCTTTCCTTAAATATACCCCTGCCTTTCAAAACCCTTGCTTGTAAATCACCAGGGAGGTTGAGTCTTAAGCATGAGCTTCCTGATTCTCCTTTTTTGGTGTCCTGCAAGTAAACACCCTCCTTTCTCTTGCTGTAAAACCTCTCTGTGGATGTTTGGCTTCAGTGCACTGTATTGCACTGAGTGAGTAGACCTAGCTTTGATTCAGTGACAGTAGAAATTCAGTAGATATTTGTTATATTAAATAAGAAATATCTTTCTAACAGTAAAGAATTCCAATATTGAGTGGGCTGTCCGGGAGCAGTATTCAAATAGAGGTGAGATGACCATCTTTCTGGAAGCCCCATAGCATTCTCTCATTGTGTGGACTCTTTGTTGCAAAAGCAAATAACTAAGATCTCTGGCAAAATATTGCCCCAACGTTTAGCTTTGCTTTTGTAGCAGAGATCTGCACTAAAACTTTAGCAATCATACTGTGTTAGATTATTACTCTAATGTGTTATATCCTGCTTTACAGAGATGCCATAACTCATTCCGAAGTAATTATAGCTTGTGATTATTGTGGAGAACACTTACTTGGGAATTAGAAGATGGCTGACTCCCAGTTATTAGCATGGTGATATTGAACAAGTCATTCTATCTCTTTGAGTCTTATTTTATCAGCTGTAAAACGAGGATAATAAGCCTATGTCAGTGAGTCAACCCCTTCAACAAACATTTCCTGGACAGTCACTGAGCGCCAGGCCCTTTGCTAGTGTCTGGGGATGCAAAGCACTCTCTGCCCTCAAGGACTTCAGTGTTTGGTAGGATTGTTGTAAAGAGTAAGTGTGTTGAATGAGATGCATATAACAACACTGGGCGCATAGAAAGCCACTATATAGATGTAATATAGTATTATTTGTGTCAGTGAGTAGTCATTAAGCACTGAATGTGATAGACCCTGTACAGAACATATTAAACCATTGTACCAGAGCTATAGTCTTACTTTACTTTTCATCTTTTTTCAGCTACGTGTATGTGTTTCTAAGCAAAACTTCTTGGAAGAAAAGGAAATTCTTAGAAGCAATTAGAGTATCACACCCATGCTATACCCTTTGATTCATTAGCTTGCTCTGTTTTTCTGTTATTTTGAAATTACCCAAGTGGAAGCAGAAAAACTGCCAGGAAAATGTCACAGCCACCCCTTACTGAACAGCAGAAACACCAGCAAAACACCAACTGCAACATGGTGTATTTTGAAGGTAGACCAAATAGCATTTTCTGATAATTTGGATATAAACTGTGAAAGAAATATATAAGACTCAAGGATGGTTCCAAATATTTTGGCTTGAGAGACTGAAAATATACATTTACCATCATTTATGATAGGGAAGCCTTTAGGGAGAAAAAGCTTGGAATGAGATAATAAAGATTGTAAATTTCAGTTTTGGGATATATTTAAGATGTCTAACTTCCAAGTGGAGATACTAGTTAGGCAACTAAAGTGTGTGAAGCTGAAGTTCAGGAGAGAGGTTTGGGTTGGAGATATAAATTTGAGGGCAGTCAGCATCTTTAAAGGCAGGAAGCTGGGTGTGATCACCAAAAGAATGAGTGTGGATCAAATAATGCCTAACAAAAGGTTAGGTAACAAAAGCAAAAATAGACAAATGGGATCAGATCAAATTAAAAATTCTTCTGCACAGCAAAGGAAACAATCAACAGAGTGAAAAGACAACCTTTGGAATGGGAGAAAATATCTGCAAATGATATGTCTGAAATGGGATTAATATACTAAATATATAAAGAACTCAGACAACACAATAGCAAGAAAATAAATAACTCCACTTAAAAATGGGCAAAAACCCTGAACAGTAAAGGAAAAGAAATATATTTTCCTTACTCATCACAAGGTACATGATTGTGGCTCCTATAACAAAAGACAGATTAATTTAAAAATTACAAATTTATTTAAAATAAGTTTTATGTGACTTGGGAGCCTTTGGAAATAAACTCCCAAAGAAACAGAGAATGTGTATTTTTATGCTAAATTTGATGAAAAAGCAGATAGCTACAGAGAAGTATAATTGGATAAAAGGGGTATGATCTAATGGTAATAAACTAGGAGAAACTTAACAAGGCCTGTTTGTTCAGATTCTTCTCTGTTTCTGTATGTCTTCAGAGATAAGAACATTCCTTTTCTCTGTGTATAGGATGGGTGCCTCTGGAATGAAGGCCTTATTCAGGGCAGGAGGGTGGGAGACAGTCAGAGAGACCTTCCTGCTTCTGCTGTTTTCTCAAATTGTAACTGTAATAGGTTCATTGCTTAATGCACAGTGAGTAAATATACCGAGACACCAGGGGTTGCAACAGAAAAAAAGTTTAATAATTGTAGGGCAGCTTGACAAGAAGAAACCTCAAATCTACCTTCCCAAGAGGTTTGAGGGTAGGGGTTTTAAGGGGTCTGGATGGGTAATAGGCTGAAGTGTGGGGATTGCCAGTTGGTCAAGAAGTGAGATGTGAAATCATCGGACAGGGTGATATAGAAACCGCATTCTTGTGCTGTCAGTTCCCTTGTAAGGGGAGTCTTCAGACTGGTTAGCATCAGCCATTCTGCTGGAATTAAGGATTTAAAAATACCTTACGCAATTCTTGGCTGAGTGTGGTGGCTCACGCCTGTAATCCAGCCCTCTAGGAGGTCGAGGCAAGATCACTTGAGGTCAGGAGTTCGAGACCAACCTGGCTAAGGTGGCAAAACCCCGTCTCTACTAAAAAATACAAAAATTAGCCAGCCATGGGTGGCGCGCATCTGTAATCCCTGCTACCCAGAAGGCTGATACAAGAGAATGGCTTGAACAGCTTGGAGAGCAGAGCGAGACTCCGTCTCAATAAAAAATAAAAAATAAAATAAAAACGAAAAATACCTTAAGCAATTATTGAGTACAAAAGGTTTTATAATTTTATATCACAAATCTTATCTATGGGAACAATGCAGGAGCCGGGTCAGCATGCTCTACGTAGATTCTTAGTCAGCAGCTGTAAGAAAGTGGATCTAGGTTCACCAATGCACCCTGGTTAATGCCTAACTATAATTCTGCTGAAATCTTGGCTTATAATTCTCATCAGCCTTGTAAGGGTGGTTTCAAAATGCCAACGTGTCATATTTTGAGGTATTATGTCCTGAACCCCATCAATAGACATCTTTCAAAAGAAGACATACAAATGGCCAGCAGATATAGAAGAAATCTTCAACATGACTAATCATCAGAGAGATACAAATTAAAACCACAGTGAACTATCACCTTACAGCTGTTAGAATGACTGTTATCAAAAAGACAAAAGGTAACGAGTGTGGGTGAGGATGTGGAGGAGAGGGAACCCTTGCACGCTGTTGGTGGGAGTCACAAAGTCATTATGGAAACTGGTATTGAGGTTTCTCAAAAAATTAAAAATAGAACTACCATGTGATCCAGCAATCCCATTACTGGGCATATATCCAAAGGAAATGAGATCAGTATGTTGAAGAGACACCAGCACTCACATGTTCATTGTAGCACAATTCACTATAGCCAAGATAAAGATATGGAATCACCCCAAGTGTCCATCAGTGGATGAGTGGATAAAGAAAATGTGGGATATATACACAGTGGAATACTATACAGCCTTACAAACAGAAAATTCTGCTATTTGTGACAACATGGATGAACCTAAAGAACACTATTTAAGTGAAATGAGCCAAGAATGAAATGACAAATACAACATGATCTCACATATATGTAGAAATTCAAAAAGTTAAAATGTTTAACTCGTAGTAGCAGAGGGTCGAATAGTGGTTACCAGGGGTTGGCTGGGAAGGGATTGGGGAGATGTTCATCAAAGCTTACAAAATTTTGGTTAGACAGGAGGAACAAGTTCAAGAAATCTATTGTACAAAAATAACAATGTATTATATGCTTGAAAATTGATGAAAAAGATTTTATCATCACAAATATGTGAGATAATACATATGTTAATTAGGTTGATTTAGCCATTCCACTACATATACATATGTATGTTTTCAAACATCATGTACACCATAAATATCTACTCTTTTTTCAATTTTTTAAAATTAAAAACTTTTTCTTGAAAAGTATGAATCTAAAAGAGATAAGGGCCAAAAACAGATATAGAGCACACCAGATTTTCAGAAGTCAAGAAAGAGAAGAAAAGGAAATGAGGAGACAGGATGAAGACCCAGCAATGTATTAGATAACAAGGACTGACCAAGTATATCAACCTATCAGATGTAACTCATCTAACTTACCAAATGTTATTAACAAGTAACAAGAGGGCTGAAAATCAATCATTGAATTTAGCAACATAAAGATCATTGGTGATTTTGACAAGAGCAGATTTAATATCATGGTAGGGAACAAAAACCTAGGTTCAAGAGGGTTTAAGAGAGACTGAAAGGAGAAGAATTGGAGAAAATATGTGAAAATGCTTTCAGAGAGTTTTGCTTGTAAAGAAGATTAGAGATATGGTCTAACAGCTGACGGGAAGTGGGGTTGTTTTTCTTTTTTTTTTTTTAATCATAGGAGTAATAACGGAATATTTTATTGTTTTTGGAAATAACCCAGTAAAGGAGAAATTGATGTTTAAAATGAGGGGATAATTGCTACAGAGAGTTTCTTCAGTAGATGAGAAGGAATGGGATGTAGTTCACAAAACAAGGAAGTGGCTTTAGAGAGGAACACGGAGAGTTCCTCTCTAGGTAAATGGATGATTTACAGATAGGTACTAGAAGGGAAGTCAAAGATTGTGGGTATAGACCATGGCAAGTGGGTAGATGGTGGTAGGAATCAGAAAGTTAATTTCTGGATGCTTCTGTTTAATCATTGGAATAGGAATCAAGATAATCAGTTGTGAGGAGAGGAGATGTGCTGGAGGCTTAAGGAGTGAGTAGAAGGTGTGAATGAAATGACAAATACAACATGATCTCACATATATGTAGAAATTCAAAAAGTTAAAGTGTTTAACTCATAGTAGCAGAGGGTGGAATGGTGGTTATCAGGGAAAGGATTGGGGAGATGGAGGGAGTAGGAGGATAAAAGGCCTAGGAAAGTACAATTGATTGCAAGGTGCGATCAAGGCCTGTTTCACGTTTCTGGTAGGGTGACACACTGTCCCAGTTTGCTTGGAATTCATGGGTTTTCTGGGATTTAGACTTTCAGTGCTAAAAATGGAATAGTCCTGGGCAAACCAGGGTGGTTGGTCATACTAGTTTTTAGTTGTGAATTGAGAGAATTTAATGTTTTTGTTTCTTCTGCTGCCATGAACAGCTGTAGGAGTGCAGGGTTAAATTAGGCACAGAGAGAGAGAGAGAGAGAGTGAGAGACGGGGGCAGGTAGGGGCGGGGAAAGAGAGAGAGAGAGAGAGAATTTGACCAGGGTTCTAGTTTTGCCAAAGAATACACCAAACAATTTGATCCAACCATTTCACTTCTGGGTATATATCCAAAAGAATTAAAAGAAGAGTCTCAGACAGATATTTGTACACTTGTGTTTAGAAGAGCATTATTCAAATAGCCAAAGATGGAGGCATTACAAGTGTCCTTTGACAGATGAATGGATAAACAAAATGTGGTGTATACATACAATGCAATATTATTCAGCCTTAAAAAGGAAGGAAATTCTGATACATGGATGAACCTTGAGGACAATATGTTAAGTGAAATAAGCCAGTCACAAAAGGATGCATTCTGTATGGTTCCACTTATATGAGATACCTAGAGTATTTAAATTCATAGAGACAGAAATTAGGTGGTGGTTGCCAGGTATTTGTTGTTTAAGGGGTACAGAGTTTCAGATTTGCAAGATGAAAAGAGTTCTGGAGATGGATAATGGTTATGGTTGCACAACAATGTGAATGTAGTTAATACTACTGAAGTATACACTTAAAAATGTTAATCATAAATTTTATGTTACATGTATTTTGTCAAAAAAATTTAAAAAGCATAAAAAACATAAGACCACAAACAAAGCGAGAGGAGGCAAATGATTTGGAGGGAATTATGCAATGAAATGATCTGAGCAATTTGGTTATGTATAACTTCTATGGAGGAGTTTGTTTTAGTTTTAGTTTTGGTGATAATAGGGAGAAAAAGATCAGGATTTGGGTTCTGGACATATAAAATTTGAAGTTCCTATTAGACATACAAGTAGATATGTTGAAAAGGCATTTGGATATGTGGGATAGGAGACTGAGAGGCAGGTCTGGGTTTTAGATAAACATTTGGAATGTAACAAGGACTGTAACTCATAGTTTCAGGGCCTTAGGCTTTCAGAGATGTTGGCGGGGTTTGAGAGGCTTCATTGGATCTTTATCTGTGGCTCAAAATTAGTTTTTAAAATTATTATCAAAATGATGCCTTTCAGACCATTTTACTTTTTAACAAATTAATGGCTTAAAAAAAATAGCAGTCCTCTGCACCACTCATCCCACTCTCCACATTTATCTTTGTTAAGTTCTTTTTCTAGCATTTTCTATATTTTGACTTCTCTACTCCTCAGCACCCAAAGTCTTGTTTCTGCTATCTGACTAGGGTCGGCCAGGATTAATATCATGGTGTCATTCATCTCTATATATGCTGATTACCTCCAGAGGCCCCAGACCCCAAGGCCATCCTCATCTTTAGCACTCGAATCCACACGACACTCTGCACATACCCTATATGGGCCCCATTCAGCTCTCACCCTGTTCCACCCCCTAAAACCCTTCCGCTACTATACCCTCTGAGATTCATAGTGCTTCAAGAGAAAAATCCTCTATGTCTTTCACCTCTGAGACTAATTGAAGAGGTGAACAGACCATAATGTATATCAAAATGAAAGTTGCAAGGCCAAGCACTACCTAGGCTGAGCCTCAGTACAATATTTATGCAGGTTTTGGGAACTGGGTTTTACGTTGTATTCTTAAATGAATGGGTTTCAGATATAAAATGAATAGCTCTGTACTTTGCAGCATGCTTGTGAAATGGAATCTGGTCATGTATTTCTGTTATTGGACAAAAGTCCATTGTTTGTTTCATATTTTATGCTCAGATGCTAATTTTTCAAATGAATCTTTGTTTTTGTAGGTGAGATTAAATTTACCTACACCTAGAGAAATAATTGGAGCACATGTCTATTTGGGCCAAGAGGATAAAGGCCAGTAGAGGAATCAGATCAAAGAAGTAAGTGTAATGTATATTTCAGCATCTCTAACTTGCACTTACAGTGCATTCCTTTTATTTATAATCATCATGGGAAGTAAATTTGTCACTACTCTGGTCATGCACTGGAAAATTATATAATGAACACCGATTTTCTGTGTGCCATGGTTGAGACAGATTATAGTGTCAAACCAGGCCATCGTGGCTCTGATCCTGTCCAATGCAATTCAGAAATTCTCAACTGACCTTCATATTATGAACAAATTTCTGCTGTTTCTCAGCATGATTTTCAGGAACTTTCACAAACTTGGCAGTTTGCAATATTGATCAAGTCAGAGTCTTATTCAAGTATCTGTTACAGAATATAAAGTTGGGAATTTTCTTAAAGGTCAAGGTGCAGGTTTTACTTTGGTACATTTCATGAAGAAATTAAAGTGATTTTTCTTACTCATCCCCCGAAGATTTTGTCTAAGACAGGCACAGATTTGGGGAAATTGGGAGTGAGGGAAGTAGGAGACCTTTATGGGAAGAATATTCAATGGGGTTAAGCCATTGATGACCAAGCACAGAGAGCAGGGAGGGTGTTGTTAGGAAGATGGGTAAATGGAACAGAAATGCTCAGGGGAAAAGCAGCATTTCTTTCTGTGAAGCACTGAGAACCTTTCTCTCTTCTTTGTCACTGAGGGGTTCTATCAGTCAGAGTCCAACAGGAGACAGAAATCACATAAAAATAGAGAAAGTTTAACATAAATAACTAATAGGGGATTTCAGTAATGAGGAATCGGCTAATAGAGGCATGGAGAATGCAAACAAGTAAAGAACAGTAGACATAGGGAGAGCCACAACCCTGGGGCTGGGATAGAGCACCCAAGAAAAAGGCCACTCCTCCAGGGGCTGAGATACCAACTGTGGAGGGGCATGGAGCAGTTCACTGTGGCACCGCTCTGGTGGGACTTGCTGGAAATCCTCCCCCTGGAGTTCGAGGGAAGCTGTCCTCATGAAGGTGCTGTGCCTCAGAACTCTACAGACTGTGGGAAGCTGGGGAAACTGTTTTGGGGGAGAAACCATGCTCACTAATACTCTATTATGAAGCTTCCTCAGGGAAGTGTGCAGAGAACTGGAGTGGACCTTCCCCTAGGAAGCTGCCCAAAACGAGAGTGCTGGAAAGCTGGCCGCAGTGAGGCACTTCAGATCCCAAGGGTATGCTGGGGAAGCTGCCACAGGTGGGAGCACTTGCTGCTGGACCCTAGGCACTGTTGAAACAACTGCACCATCTGCAGGAGCCCAGCAAGGTGAGTACAGCAGAGCAAGAGAAAATACTCTTTCCTCCAGTGCTCCTCCACTCACAGAGCTGAACATTGGGCCAGCTGGTGATGGGAAGGTATTTACAGAATTCAGCTCCATGGAAAGAAAGGAGGATTTGGAGCTGAGAGGCAATAAATCAATAACACATGCTGTGCTCTACATGCCTCCCCACCACCTCTCATTTCCCAAATGCCCATGACCTTGTGCTCCTTGCTTTCTGGAGAAATTCTACTTAAACTAAAACATTTGCTGTATGATGCCCTCTTTTGTGCTTAAAGCCTACTATGAGACTCAAAGTCTTTTAATGAAGCGAAAGACCTAGTGCACAGCATAACATGCCCTGCACGTAAAATAATTACAGCTCTGTGCCAGGTGTCATTACATTGGACAAGTTCTCGCAACAGTTCCTAGAGATTGATCTGAGGCTCTGGCAGAGAACGGTAAGAAAGCAATTTAGAAAAGCAATAATAAAATGGATCGTGGCAACCCAAGTCTATTCACTGAGAATTACCTTAAATATATTTGCCATTTTAGTTTTCTGGAGTGTTTCCTTTGTAATCACATGAAACCCTAAGGAACTTTATTTTCTTTATCCAGGCTTTCAAATTACATCTGAAGAAGACAAGGCAAATAGTTATTTAGGTCAGCGTAGTTTTCATCTGTGTTTATTTTCTGTGTATATTACTTAACAAACAACATAAATGAAAAGGCACTTAGTCTTAACACAGAAAAACTGAAATCTGTCTTTTTAAATCTAATTCTAGTCAATTAAAATCAAACCAGAATTTATACTTTTTCGTTATCTTGGGGCAGAGACTGAGACTTTGGTAGATTTGCTGATTTGTTGTTTGCTGAGCTAAAGATCTTTCCTCCAACACCCCGCTCCAACATACTCACATATTCACGAAACACAACAGTGACCCTGTACAAGAAATCACCATCCTGGGCAATCATTACCCTGACAAGAAATCAGCACATGAAGATGTTTGCTACCAAGGTGGGGCTGCACAGCTCAGGCACTGCTCAGCTAAGTCCCCTAGGAGAGACATTGCAGAGGCTTTGTCAGGGCTGCAGCCGACAGCTACATGGGAATTGGGATTCACTGACTTGCCCAGCCTCCTTGCTTTCTCTATTCCTGAAGAGGATGAAGAAGACAATCCAGAATCAAGGAAGAAGAAGCAATTTCCTCTTTGCTTAGGAGGGATTTTGGCTAGCATCTTTCAAACATGAAATAGGACCCATGAAGGAGCTTTTCAAAACAATCAGCATATAGTGAATCACAAATGCTAATCTTTAGCATTTTAAAGTATGATACATTTTCTGCTACATGTATTTTACAAACAAAAAACAACAAAAAAAAGTGTAGGTAACAACAACAACGACAACAGCAAAAGGATTATGGTGATTGCCAAGCAGTTAATTATTTTGTTATTTTCTGGATTTTATGATATTTGTGGTGCTGTCAGCATTTTAAAATCTATAATAATGTCTCATTATACATATTCACTTTATTGAAAGAAAATATGGGTTAAGCACACCACCAGAAAACCAAGAAACAGATTTTCCTTCTATGAATACGTCAATAAAAAATGAAGATACAATGAAGGGAAAATTTGGAATGTGGAAGGGAGCTTTTGGAGGCATGGCAGAAACATTAACACGAGTGAAGATCTCCCAAAAGAGAACTCTGATAGGTTTATAGACATTTTTTCTTTAGGGGAGTTATATAAGGGGAAATACAATCAATTCTAGGGTTTAAATATACACACAGAGGACTTTACAATTTTGAGAAAAATAATCACTTAATAAAAGAATCAAGTCTTTTATACCTGTTAGACTCATCATCTCTAGGGAGATCATTCATTTAACCAAGACTATAGTCAGAGATATCCAATGGGATAACATGATATCCCTCAAGAGCTTTTGAGAGATTAGTAATACGATGCCATATCCCTTATCAAATAATATTTTGCTAGGAATCAGAGTGTGCTGAGTTTTTAAAAGATCATTGTGTGAAAGAATTTGAAATTATTATTATGATTATTACTATTATTATTTAGCACAGAATGACAGAATGGTTTCAGGGACTAATAATCAGCCAAATAACTCTTAAAATTGCTTGTTACAAACATTCCCAGGCTGATAGTGGCCAAAACCCATTCTGATTGGACAGTTGTACAATAGACTACCGTATTTATGTTTCCCTAAACTTAAGCCTGAAACAGGAAGAATTTTCTGCCTTTAGCAGCCAACTCTCCCCATCCTTAAGTCTTCTCTTCCATAATTGTTTGCTTTCTCTAGCTACCTCTTAATTTTTGTTGTTTACTGAAGTCCCGCTGTGCTATCATTACATGTGCCATGAAACTTGATCACTTAGCAGAGTTGGTGATAGCATACCCAGTACCAGGAGGGGTTACAGAATCACAAATGTGTTAAATCAGCTTCTCCTACTGCATAAACTGCTCCTCCAAAGGGAGTTGGGCTCATTGGGAGCCTTTAATAATCCAGGCCACTGGGGTACCACTTCACAAATTACTATTTCTTCATGATAAGCTTTTCTCTTCAGTTGCAATTTCCTTGGCTGCTAGTGGTGGCTGCTTGCAATATCCAAAAAAAAGTGAGAAAGTGGGGCAATGATAGGGAAATAATAGAAGCAGGATCCAGAGCTTGAAATAGTTTTAGAACAGCACTGCTGACTGTAAAACAGTCAGCTCTACTGAGTGGAGTAATGTTAGATGTTTTATCCATCCATCCATCTGTTCACCCAGATGGTAGAATAAATATTCTAAAAAAAACCTTGGATATTATGTGGGGAAAGTTGTAAGATTAAATGTAAAAGGGATACATATAATCCCTAAATTTGGGTGTAAAAAATTAATCATACAATTACAGAATGGAGGATTCCTATGTTGAGTACTTGTGTCCACATGTGAAAAATAACAGGTGATTAAAAACATCAGCCAGTAGCTGCAAGAAAACTCTGCAATCATGTAAACAGAATTAGAATGTTGATCTCAATGGAATAAGAGTTATTATTTTTTTAATGATGTTTGGCTCACATCAGGCCATTTGGTTCTGAATACCACATTCAAGAGGAGCATTGTACACTGGAATTTGCAAACCGAAACTGGAAGATAGAAGTTTATTTCTCTCTCCAGTCATAAAGCTGTTGGAAATTGATACTGGGAGCTGCTAGTGACCATCTTTCCAGTTCTATGTGTGTTTGTGTTGGTGAGTGGTATCAACTTCTACCTCTATCCATGGAAAAATAACAATATTTATCCTCCTAAATCTGCTATTTCCTGAATGAGCAAATTATCTTACATCTGTTTTCAATAAGGGGATGGGATTTTAATACTAGTGCAAAGATGGTGTCAAAACTGCAGGCCCTGTGTATGATAAAGTGTCAGATCTGGGCTGTATTCATAAAGATAAACAGAAGAGTGCTCCATGGAGATGCCTTCATAAGCCAGGGCACATGTAAGACTGTCATCATAATTAGCACACAATCAAAACTACAAAACACCAAGGCAGTCTACTACCCTGTGATTGTTTGCCCCTATAATGATTGGAAGCATTCCAATGACTGGAATTACAGATAATAGAGCAACTTAGGATAAATTAAAATATCAGTATCTTTAAAATGTTTAGAATATAGGAAGAATAAACTGAATAATAGATATTATTTTTTGAAAATGATAGGAAGGCATGAAAAAGAAAAAACAATTTCAGAGATTTAAAAAAAGTCATTGAAGTGAAAAAGTCAATAGATGGGCTAAATGGTAGACTAACTTCATCGAAAAGAGAATTAATGAAATGCAAAATAGAATTGAAGAAATAAGAATACAGCAGAAAGAAATAAAGAAACAGGAAATATACAGAGACTGATTTACCAGATTTATAATGAAGTAATGATGCTTAAGCTCTAGGCCTCTCAATTGCATAGACCCTTCAGCATATGCTCCTCCTTAGCAGTGTGTTTATATTGTTATATGTTGCTAAAAGAATTTGCAAAGTGAGATTTTTAACTGCAATTGATGAAGACTGCAGAATTTTTTCATTCCACTTGGCTTCTGTCATACTTTTCTTATGTTAGATAGCACTGAAGAGTCCATGCACATTTTTTGACCAATGATGACTTGTGGCACTAAAAAAAACTGTCAGTAATAACCAAGCTAGAGGAGAGATTAAATATTTTTCATTCCCTCAATTGAAAAATATATTACATAATTATTGTCACAGGAAAATATGCACCCAAAGACGAAGAAGAATAAAACTATTATGGAGGTATTCCAGTAGTTAATATACATATTACAATATTTTTCTGGAGTTTATTATGTTTGTAGAATTTGTTTGTTTTGTTTCAATTTACAATTTGTGTGATTTACTTTTCTCATTCTAAAGAAATATGTACTTCATATCTAATTTTCTACTCATACTTTTGTATCCTTTCCCAGATCTTTTCTGGGAGTCCATAAAGACTCCCAGATTGTCTAAACTGCAGGTCCCAAAAAACCTGGATCTGTCTCGGGAAGTATGAAAGACAGGTTGACGCATGGAAGATAAAATGAGAAGCTCCAATTTAAGTTAACTAAGATTCAAATGAGAATAAAAAAATTTGGAAGAGACAATATTTAAAGAGATATGTTAGAAAATTTTCTCAAATTGCAAGACTTAAATCTTAAGTTGAAAAAAGTACATTAAGTTCTGAATAGTGCAAAACCAAAATCTTCACCTAAATACATCGTAGTGAAATTACAGATTATCATAAACAAAGAGAAACTCTTAAAAACTACCAAAGAAAGAAAACCTATAAAGATACTAATCAAAATAAAAGTAGGCTTTTTATTAGCGTTAATTGATGTAGAAAGACAATGTAATCGTATCATCAAATGCTGAAGGAAAATGTCCACCTAGAATTTTATACCCAAAACAATCACTCAAGATTAAGAGCTGAACAAACATATTTTCTGACACTTACAAACCAAGAAGCTCACCCTCACTAAATGAGTTATTTATCTAATTCCTGAGCAAAACAAAACAAAAAACAAACAAAATAAGCCAGATGGAAGGCGTGGAATTCAAGAAAGGACAGTAAGCAAAAAAAGGAATTAAACCAAAATAAGTATTGTCCACAAAAACAAGCAAGCAAACAAACAAAAACCCAAAAACTAAAAAAACCCCATCAACAACCAATTATGGTTAGTTTAATAGAACTAAAACACTAAACAGAAGTAATATAAGATTTGACACTCCCTGTGTCCTGAAGCACTCTCCTCTCTTAGCTTTCTTGACATCACATTTTCCTAAAATCTCATTGCCTGCTCCTTCTCATTCTCCTTCATTGACATCACCTTCAAGTTCAACCTCTGAATGTGGTAGTTCTGTTACTGGTAGAAGGTGTCCAGGTTCTTGGTGTTTTGAACACAGAATTAGACAAAATGCATAAACCAACCCAGATTTATTGAAACAAAAGTACACGCCACAGAGCAGGAGTGTGCTCCAGCAAGCGGCTCAAGAAAGCCTATTACAGAATTTTCTGGGGTTTAAATACCCTCTAGAGGTTTCCCATTGGTTACTTGGTTTACACCCTATGTAAATGAAGTAGTGGCCTGCAACCAGTCTAATAGGTTGTAGAAGGTGACCAATCAGAGGCTGAAGTGAAGTTACAAAGTTACACATGAAGACTTGGCCTATGACCAGTCTGATTGGTTGCAGGAAGGGACCAATCAGAGGTACTTTAATTTTTCATCTCCAAGGCAGAAAAAAGGTCGGGGGTGGGTTGCAAAGGGAGTAAGCTCTGATTCTTTTGTTAGTTGGTTGTGCAGAGGTGGGGTTTTCCTTTTCATTTAGTTCTAGGTAGTCAGCGTGAATCAGCCTGGGTTCCCTGACTCCAGACCCTGTCCTCCTGCCACAGTTTCTCAAACCTGGTCCTGGAACCGTCTGTTTTTCTCTCTCTCCCTAGAAGGTTAATATGGTTTGGCTCTGTGTCCCTACCCAAATCTCACCTTGAATTATAATAATCCCCACGTGTCATGGGCGGGACCAGGTAGAGGTAATTGGATCATGGGGGCAGTTTCCCCCATGCTGTTTTCGTGATAATGAGTGAGTCTCGTGAGAATCTGATGGTTTTATAAGTGTCTGATGTTTCCCCTGTTTGCACTCATTCTCTCTCCTGCTGCCCTGGGAAGAGGTGCCTTCAGCCATGATTATAAGTTTCCTGAGGCCTCCCCAGCCATAAGAAACTGTGAGTCAATCAAATCTCTTTTATTTATAAATTACCCAGTCTCAGGTATTTCTTCATAGCAGCATGAGAATGGACTAATACAGAGGTCCTACTAATTCCCATGAATTTTTGACCCCTCGCCTTCAAAATTTATATCTCTTGCCCAGGCCTATCATTTGAGTGTCAGATTCACACATTTGACTGCCTACCTGACACATTCGACATGATACTTCACACTTCAAATTCAAGATGTTTAAAAAGAAACTAGTTCTTTCCCTCACCCATTGTAGACATCATTAGCCACCTATGCAACTCTGTTTATCTTGTATTTCTTGTTGGCAGAGTCCTGATTTTATTTTAATAGACTATTTTTTTTAAAGTAATTGTAGGGGCTGGGCATGGTGGCTCACACCTGTAATCCCGGCACTTTGTCAGGCCAAGGCAGGTGGATCACTTGAGGCCAAGAGTTGAGACCAGCCTGGCCAAGGTGGTGGAACTCTGTCTCTACAAATAGTACAAAAATTAGTCAGGTGTGGTGGGACACACCTGTAGTTCCAACCACTAGGAAGGCTGAGGCACAAGAAGCACTTGAACCCGGGAGGCAGAGATTGCAGTGAGCCAAGATTGCATCACTGCACTCCAGCATGGGTGATGGAGTGAGACTCTGTCTCAAAACAAATTGTAGGTTTACAGACAAATTGAGCAGAAACCATAAACTCCTCTCCACTGCCAACCCCTACAGAGTTTCCTCTATTTCAGCATTAACTTACATTAGTGCGGTACATTTGTAACAACTGATGAACCAATATTGATAAATTATGATTAACTAAAGTCCATAGTTTACATTAAGTTTCACTGTTTGTGTTGTACAGAGTGGATTTTGACCAATGCATAATGTCATGTATCCACCATGGCAGTATCATGCAGAATAGTTGCACTGCCCTAAAAATCCTCCGTGCTCTGCTTACTCATTTCTCCCCTTCTTCCCCACTGGTCCCTTGGAGACCAGTATTCCTTTTAATGTCTTTATAGCTTTGCCCTTTTTCAGAATGTCAGTATGTTGTCTTTTCAGAGTGGCTTCTTTCACTTAGAAACATGCATGTATCACATTTTAAGCTAGATGGTTAAAAAAAGGAGAAATGTACGTTTAGGTTTCCTCCATGTCTTCTCATTGCATGATAGCTTATTTCTTTTTATCACTGAATAATATTCCATTATATGGATATACCACTGTTTGTTCATTCACCTATTGAAGGACATCTTGGATGCTCTCAATTTGGCAATTATTAATAATGCTGCTATAAACATCCGTGTGCAGGTTTTTCAGTGGACATACATTTTTAATACATTTGGGTAAATACCTAAATCCTGATTTTATTTTATTATTTGCAATTTCCTAACATATTTTGGGAAGAGAATTCTATCTTCAGTTTGGGAAAAATATCCTTATTGATACAAGAAAATATGAAGATCTCTTTTTTTCCTGCATACAGTTGGTTGGGGATAGTTATATTCTGCAAATAAGAACTGAGTAAAGACTTCTGCAAAACTTTTAGAAAATCTTTCTTCACTTATAGGAAGGAGACAGTGGTCAAGATGGCCACTTCTGTCTAAAAATGTATTGATACGTGAAAGTGTCGCAGCTGTTGTGCCTGAGGATAGACCCCTACTGAACAGGGCAGAGTTAAGAGAACCACAGAACAGTGGACTCAGAGCCCTAAAGTCCAGCACTTGGATCCTGCACTGCTATGTACCTCTTAGTTATGTTAAATGACATATTTTCATAAGATTTAAAGCACATTAAGCCTGGACTTTCTGTAGCCCAAAGCATCCTAGTTGTTACTCTCCTCTCACCTCCCTAGTTTTCGTTAGTCTTATAAATAACATCTTCATCATCTACATGATCATTCGAGTCCCGAATCTAAAAGTTGTCCTTGAAATCTCCTTCCTTGCCTATTCCTCAGATACCTCCCCTGCACCCAATCCATCTTAGGTCTAGCTCCGTCTTCAAAATATTCTTTAATGTATCCTCTTCTCTATATTTCTGCAAACACACTGTAGTCCAGGCCACTATCACCTTTTTGCCACAATTACTTGAGGGGTCTTTCTGCTTTTGCTCTCGTGCCCTTCCAATCCTGTATTCAGGTAGCAGCAACAGAAACTGAATCAGGCCCTGTGATTACATCTTTTCAGTGGCTTCTCATTGCTCTTAAAACCCATACCCAAATTCATCCCCATAACGCATAAAACCCTGCATGATGTGGCCCTGAACCTCTGTCCAGCTGAGTTCATGCCATCCTTCCACTGGCTTGTTAACCTCTGGCCACACTGATCTTCTTCTGCTTCCTAGAAGACATCTATCCTGTCCCAGCTCAGAGTCTGCATGTTCTAGTTCTGCTCAAACTGCCTTCTGAGGGATGACACCCTGCCTTGCCCACAAACATGAACATACTTTTCAGATAATTGGCTTCTTCTCATTTTAGGTATCACCCAAATGATGTCTAAAATGAGATACCATTCAGATATCACCTAAAATGAGACAAGGCTTTCCTGAGCACACATTCTAAAGTTGGTTTTCCCATTTCTCTCTGTTTTAGTCCCTTGTTTCCTTTACAGCACTCCCAACAAAGTTCTATTTTATTCACTGCTCTACTTACCTGCCTATCCCAGAGGAAGAGAAGAGACAAGGGATTCTGTCTTAATTATTCAACATTGTGTCTCCAGCACCTAATCAGTGCATTACATATAAGAGGCTCTCAAGCTTAGGTGCCAGATGAAAGATGAGTGATAACTTTTCTTGTTCTCATTTTTCATAGCCATGTCTATTGATCTCAATCAGGCGTTCACCAAGATTAGATTTTTTTTTTAAACAAGAGAGTGACATAATGGAGAGGCAAAGAAAAAGGGAGAAGACAGAGGAAAAGAAAGAGGCATTTTATAATTTATCAAGCTACTAATATTAATAACCTTGTTTTAGAATTAATTGAAAAATCATTTCTGAGAATCATAATGTTTGATCTAGAAAGCATAAATAAAGGTCATTATTTGAATTTTACATTTTTATTACACTCGAGTGGGAAAGCAATCTAGTTTAGTTCAGGAGAAATGACTGTGGATCCAACCATCACATCCCACTTGGATGTGTTTATTTATAAAGTGCTTGCAGATCATGAGAAGGAGGTCACTGGGGTTACCATTCACTCCTGAGAGAAGTTTTTGTTTAATGTTTGTCTTATTGTCTTGAGGAAAAGCAGCTTTATTAATCTTTCAGAAATACATTAGATTGAATCAATTATAGACTTTCTATTAAGAAAATTAGATATTTTTTTCATATTTGCACTACGTGTACTGCAATAGACACACAAACCAAACATTCTGAGTAAACACTAGGCCTTTAAATTTATATCGATCTATCAGGCAGATGGGGTTGTTTAGAAGCCGGGGGGAGAAAGAAGAAAGATTTAAAAAACTCATTATTATTTAATCAATGACTAATATTTTTTAGTTGTGGTGATAAAGCTTTCACTTCAAAACCAGCACTTAGTCAAGAAATTCATTTATCGTCTTGTCTTTTTGGAAGAATTCGAAGAGACACCACATAATTCTTACTACCTCTTTAGGGATATAAAAAAAGCTCCACTTTTAACATGTCAATTCATTGTTTTTTTCAATGTCTCCTTCTGTTGTTACATATTTTATTTAAAAAATGATTCTTTCATTCATTCATCAGATCACGTTCTGTTGTTCAGGTGTCAGATTTCCCTATTTGGATTACCTTCCCTTCTTCTTCCCAAATCTCTTATGACCAAGTTCAAGTTTCCCTGGGGACTCAAACCCTTACCTGACAGCCCCACAGAATTCCTTCTCCCCTGAACTTCTGTGCATCCTGAATTTAGCTCCGACTTTGTCTTGGTTTGTTTTAATGCTAATCCTATAGTCAAACAGCTTTTTGGATTTCTGTGTAGCCGATCTCCTCCTCTCCAGGATCACCTCACCTCTCAGCCACTTGAGAGTGGTTATTCGTGCCACCTGATCCTGCAGTAGTGCACGGATCACAAGAGGTCAACACTTGATTCATGTCCAGCCAATCATGCTTCCTTCTTAGGGAATTTAAAATTTGAATAAAGAGCAGCTGGTTCTTCTCCATAGACCCCTTGAAAATAACTGTTGTAATCAGAGATTGTCTATTTCCATGCAGCCAAAGCCAGGCATCCCATCTGGAGAGAGAGAAGACTGAAGCAGAAACACAATGGGAAGGAAGCAAAGATGGAGGTAGAATAGCTGCCACGAGCCCTGATAGTTTCAGGCCTTGACTGCATGTCCTTAGGATCTCAGGCTTCTCTGTTTTTCCTTTGGGTTCCATGAAAAACCCCGATATTTTGGTAATAAACACCCTTGGGTTGCTTTGCCTGGCTTGAAGATTTTGCTTACAAACTAAAGAACTGTGGACAAGATACACTTCTTGTCTCAAGAGGGCCTGTATATTTTAGGATTTAACTGCGTGTACATGGAAAGAAAGGTCAGGAACGTTGGTTTTACCTCTCTTCTCGATGAGAACAGCACTGGGCTCCCAATCACTACTTAACCTTTATCCTGCAAGTTCTAGTTTTTAAAATAATTGAAAAGTTAGAAAAGTAATATAGGATTTTACTTTTGGAAAGTATTGAACCTAATGAGAATGTTTTAAATTTAAAATGTATGTTTTCAGGACCTCCTGGCTTGGTGACTTTGGACAAGTCACTTAATTGTTTTAAGCCTCTGTTTTTTCATATCTAAAATGGGGTTGATAACAGTGCTGTCACAAAGGACTGTTGAGGGCATTTACTAGAAAATTGTGTCTGCTAGGCACAGTACAGGGCCTGGCACATGGCTCGCAGATCTATCAGTTAGAACCGAATATTGCAAGTGAGAGGAAACTCCAATATTGGCTTTAACAACACAATAACTATCCTGGTGCACGTAGGTGAAAAGGGCGGAGTTATGACAGGCTTCAGATGAGGTTTTACCGGAGATGTAGTTTCTCCATTCTGCCTTTTGCAATGTCATCTTCATCCTCAGGATGCATCCCATGGTCTTTTGGCAGATCTGGGCTCTCCCTACTTAGTAGCAAATCAGATACAACAGTTCCAACTGTCACATCCTTATGCACACTATGCTTTAGCTCAGGAGAGGGGTGCATCATTTCAAACTAGCCTTACCAAAAACTTCACTGGCTCTGATTAGATTCCTTATCACCTCAAGCATTGTAGGCAGGAGGCGGAATGGAATTCACTTATTGGATTACTAGCATCCAGTTCTGGCATAGGGATGGTGAAAGGAATAGGTCCCTAAGGGTGGCTCATGCCTGTAATCCCAGCATTTTGGGAGGCTGAGGCAGGCAGATCACCTGAGGTCGGGAGTTCGAGACCAGCCTGACCAACATGGAGAAACCCCGTCTCTACTAAAAGTACAAAAATTAGTCAGGCATGGTGGCACATGCCTGTAATCCCAGCTGCTAGGGAGGCTGAGACAGGAGAATCACTTGAACCCAGGAGGTGGAGGTTGCGGTGAGCCGAGATTGTGCCATTTCACTCCAGCCTGGGCAACAAGAGAGAAACTACATCTCAAAAAAAAAAAAAAAAAAAAAAAAAGAGAAGAAAATATAAGGAACTCTTTCCAGAAGTAAAGAGAATAGATTTGAGGCAGTTGTCTTCTACAGTGCAAAACATTCAAGAAATGTACCTTTCTTTCACCTTAAAAAGATTTTTTTAAGAACCCATACAAAATAGTATATTATTTTATCCAGTATTATAATTATGCATGAGCTACTACAATTGCTGCATACATTTTTGTGAGTTTATGTCTGAATGTGATTTTTACAATTGGATCTTAAGAAATGTCTTATTCTTAACCCAAAGGTCGATCTGAACAAATCTTTCTTTGTATTTTATTTGCCTTTAAAAAATTCTTTTATGGGGGCTCTACTCTTCAGAGTCTGCTAAGGAAATGAGATTTTGGCAATGTTTTAATTCAAAAAAAGAACTCCTAGTTTTACTGTGCTGGATCTGGTTGTCTTTAGTTTCCATTATATTCCTGTTCCATTATTCCTTCAATAACTTTGTTCTCCCATGACTCTTCTTTATTGTTACCACATTTTTTCTGTTCTTTTCAGAGATGAGTTTTTGGATTCAACTGAAGCCCTTGCTATCTGCTAGAGTCAGAGTCATCACAATTGGGGGGTCTTCATTAAGCTACACTTTTTAATGGAACATCCTAGTGAGGTTTGAGAGTACAGCTTTATGGTCTATATTACATTACTAAGCCGATTTTATTGGGTTAGTCTATACGTTTTACAAATTTGTTATTCTAATCTCCCCGAAGAAATAATTTCCTTATTGATCCCTTTCTTTTTCCCCCATTTTATTTTCCCATATTTTGTGATATCCTCTACTTCAACTTTAAAAAATTATAACCATAGAAAGAAATACATTTTACATTATGACCCAGTGTGTATACTCACAGAAACATATTCATATAGAAAACAAGTTTCACGAAACAATACTTCCTCTGTACAGTGCACTTTGGTGTTGTTATTGTGTTCTATTCTATTCATTTTCTTCCATCCTACTATGTTATAAAAGTTGCTCTTTTACAAATCTGTAATTTGATCTTATGACCCACTGACATGTCTCAACATACCATTTGAAAATTATTGCTAAACTGTACTTTCTCACTAGTGATATTGTACATCCAGGGTTTATGATTGTGTTCAAGAGAATTCTTGTCTTTGTAAGGCAAAAATGGCAAATATGTCTATTTCCATCTAAAAGAGCATTATACAAAATAAAATTATTAAGAGTTTCCACTTAATAGCTGCACTGTTTAGAGCCCACTGGAAGCACATCAAGTGAGTATGCATGCCAATTAATGAAAACCAGATAAATTATATGATTCAGTTACTCATTTTGTTAACTACCCAACACAGTGATGATGAACACCTTGATTGTTTTGACTGTTATGAAGTAATTTCTGCACATCTGCCTCACCAGATCCATAATTTACATTCAGCTCCCTCACCAGATCCATAATTTACATTCATCTCATTATATGAGGCATCATGATTACCACTAATACATTAAAAACCAACTTATAAAAGAAAATAAAATTTTAAATTGTATTCAGTTTATATTTTATTTACTGGGACTAAACACTTCATAGCAACAATGTGTTATTTTTGAGAAGTGTCTATACATAGTAGTGTAAACATTTATTTTAATTATCATTAAGAATCAAAAAATGAAGAGTATCTAAATAATCCAATTGATATTTTAAGGAATAAAAATATAAGAATTACAAACATCAGATCATGAAGTTAGTTTTGGTCCATTTTTGATTCCACAACACATTGTTAAAATGTCAATGAAAATATTAATATTCATTTGGTATAAGACCAAACAAAAGTAATTTATAAATACATTTTCTTTTATTTACATATTTAAATGAAAGGGACTATCACCTTTAAAATGGGAAAAGCCTAAATATCTCTTTCTTTCTGCCTCTTCCTCCCATCCTTCTACCCTTCTGTCCTCCATCTCCATCTGTTTATGTACAAAGAAGTTAACTGGCCTATTCTACACCTCTTGAAAGATGTATGAACCATCATTTGTTTATTTAAATGAGTCCTTGGTAGTTCTAACCCTGGAACATATTCTACAGAGTTGCCAGTGCAAAATATAGCACAATGACTCATCAGCACCTAAAATTTGTAGCATCTGCTTGGTGAATTTTGATTTGAAACTCGTACTTGATATTGTGTTTCTTTTCTGTTCACCATGTGTTAATATGTGTGGTGTATTTTCCTCCATAAGCAGTTAACAGTTTCTAATGTGGATACTTCAGTTTCAGGGATGATTGCCCATCTCCCTGAGGTGCCCATTAGGGTGCCCCAATGAATCCCATAGTGTTGTATAGTTTGCATTTTAATTCAGCTAATCCAAAACACGTTCTCCAAATTCGGTGAAAGTCTGTTCAGATATTTCTTTTATGATGTTGAAGTCAATAATTTTATTTAAGTTACCTGTAAGATAATAGACTTTAGGTATTATATAAATTAATTACATAAAATGATCTTAAATAATATGCTGACATAATTTTTTTTACTTAAAACTCTTGTTTTGTCCTATGTAATTCAAAAGTAACAAAATGATTTAAAAATTCTGTTTTTTCAATCCTTTATTATTATTCAAGAGTTTGAGTGTCAAAGTCAGTCTACACTTCTGTAAAGAAATATAAAAATCAGTGGTGTATTTGGCTACAGGTAATCTGTTCTTGGCTCCAACATTACTAAACAGATGACTGGATGTGTGTGTGTGTGTGTGTGTGTGTGTGTGTGTGTGTGTGTGTCTAGAAGCTGAGGCTAACAGGAGAGGGTAATTGCCCATAAAAGTGAAATAAAAAGCCAAAATTCTTCTCTTAAGCTTAAGCTTTTTCCCTCCTTAGCATTACTTCATAAGAAATGTAGCAGTGGAAACATAAGGTTGGCATGTTTAGAAAATTCAATCATAAATAAAAACATTGTGTGAACTGGTTTTTAGTTTTGAATTAACCTGGGCAAATTCAGCTGGTTACTCCTTTTCCCTTTTTCCCAGTTTTCAAAGTTAAAAAATTTATGACTCTCAGGCAAAGATAGTGTGAACTCATGTCAAAGATTTTATTTAACTTAATCCATGAGGGAACCCATAAAATGTTAAAACTTGTATAAGAATTTGAGAAGCTACACACACACACATACACACACATGCACACACACACACTCTCACACATTTCATAAAAGAATATTAGGATAAGATTTCTCGATACAAAACTGTTACCTTTGGGGTTATCTCTCCGCCAGAAAGAACTTGTTTGCATCCCTGCTAGACAAAAACCTACAAGTTAACCTTTGCCCGTATGGAGTTGTAAAACAGACCAGTTGATAGAAAGAGAAGCCTGGTAAGTACTGCACTGAAAGAATATCCAGACATTTATTTTGCCTATTTCTAAGTTCTGAATAATGTTTCTTATACCCATACTCTTAATACTCTTAATGTGGTAGTGTATCCATAGTCCTCCCTCTACACTCACTCCCTTAGTGATCTCGCTCAGTCTTGTGGTTATAAATAACATCAATATTCTCATAATTCCCATGTTTATATCTGTAGTTTGGATCTTTTTCTTGAAGACCCTTATGTTCAACTGCCTGTGGCATGATGCACTTAGATACCTACTGGGGAGTTTAAATTAAACATGTCTAAAACTAAATTCTGTGTTATGTTTTCCATAAAAAGCCTACTCCACTCACATCCCCCAGTAATACCTACTCTATCCTTCCAGATGATCACAAGTTATCAGTACCTTATTTTGTCGCACTCCATAGGCGATCCTACAGGAAGCACTAGTCCACCTTTGATATGCTTTGGACGTTTGTCCCCTTCAAATCTCATGTTGAAATGTGATTTGCAATGTTGAAGGTGGGGCCTCATGGGAGGTGATTGGATCATGGGGGCAGATCCATCACGCATGCTTTAGTACCACCCCGTTGGTGATACGTGAGCTCTTGCTCAGTTAGTTCATGGAGATCTGGTTGTTTAAGAGTCTGAGACCTCCGTCTTCTCTCTCTCTTGCTCCCCATTCTCGCCATGTGATGGGTTGGCTTCCTGTCGCCTTACATCGTGATTGTAAGCTTCCCGAAGCCCTCAGCAGAAGCCGAGCAGATGTTGGCACCATGCTTCTTGTACAGCCTGCAGAACTGTGAGCCAATTAAACCTCTTTCCTTTATAAATTACCCAGCCTCATATATTTACTTATAGTGATGCAAAAATAGCCTAACTCAACCTTCAAAATAAATCAGTGTCTAACCATTTCTCACTTCTTCTACTGCTACCACCTTTTCTATCTCTAGGTGCATTCCTGCAGAAGTGTAGTGCTTCAGGGAGATAACTTTTCTAAATAAAACAGGGCCTTAATTTGTCCAAGGGTGAATGAGCCGTTCTTCAAACCTGAAGATACAAAACTAGCTCTCAAGAGAGCCCATTCTACCAAAACATTCAAAAAGTGATGGTATTAATTCTCTGATTTGTAACTGAATGTAGCTATTTCTAATATCCCCAAGAATATATAAAACAACTTTCTTAAGCATGTTATGAATGTGCCTTTATTTTTTTATTCTCAAAATTTTTCTAATCATTATATAAGTGATAATGGTCACTGTTCAAAATAATGGATTTCTATGATCTATATGTCACTCTTTAGAGAACCTGAAATGTGCTGATACTTTAAAATTTTAAAATATTATTATTTGTATTTTTTTAGTGAAGAAACACTCCATATTAGTTTTCTGGAGCCATCGTTATGAAGCAACACAGACTGGGTGGCATAAACAATGGAGATTTATTTTTTCACAATTCCGGAGGCTAGAAGTTTGAGATCAAGGTGTTGGAAAGGTCAGTTTCTTCTGGAGGCTTCTCTCTTTGGCTTGTGGATGGCCGTCATCTCTCTTCACCTTCACGTGGTTTTCTCTCTATGCCTATCTGTGTCCTAATCTCTTCTCAAATTCTTACATCAGTCATATTGAATCAGAGCCCATCCATGTGACCTCATTTCACCTTAATTACCTCTTTAAAGGTCCTGTCTCCAAATAGAGTCACTTTTTGAAGTACTGCGGTTTCGAACTCTGACACATGAGTTTTGTGGGGACACAGTTCAGCCCATAACACCCTCATATCAATAATGGCACAAACATCATGCTCAGTTAGGTAACTGGCACAAAGGCCAAAAGAATGAGTCTGAGCCACCACCCTGCATGACAAGATTCCTAAATCATGTTGGAACTTAGGGTCCAGCCTGGGGCATTGCTTCCCTCCAGGTTCACTTTGGGTGTGAGGTATGTATTAATCTCAGTTGAGCAAAGGAAAAAAGTGCATATGTTTTTATATCTCTCTTAATTTAACTGAGATTAAAAGACTTTAAAAATGAGATTAAAAACTGGCATTAGCAGTTAAGTCATACCCTTTGCAAGTGGTAGTAAAAAAGACTACTCAGGGTTTGCAAAAATGGATTACGATATTGTGTTTTGTTTTCATGTTAATCATAGATTATATTATACACAAAATAATTCAGCAAATAATTCATATAACATCAAGAGATTTTCAATTTGTCAAAGTCCTCTTTTCCTCTGTCATTAAGTAGGAAACCTAGAAGAGTTCTGTAGTTGGGGACAATAGGTTAAATCAAAGTGGGAGAAAATAGTGATGACTTTTTTTAAAGCGCTAATTGAAGCCTTAAGTGTCTGCCAGTGTTCTGGTGCTTTGGGGCTGAAATCTGCTCTGTTCTTTAGTCAGTGGTGTTCACCATGGTAACTTCAATAAAAGTCCCCTCACAAATGTTTTTCTTCTAAAGTGCAAAGCACCTTTTTAAAGAAGAAGGCTGACAACCTGGTAGGAGTGGGTGTTTGGAAAATAAGTGAAAAGTCTTCTGCTTTCTTCATAATTGCTGTGGGTGGCAGGAGGTGAGGAAATCATTGAGGGGACAAGGTTGGGTAGAGGAAATATTTTATCTTGTTTTGGGATAAGAACTAATTTGATTTTTGAGGTCAGAAATTAATTAAAAAATACTAGAGAAGAAACTTTTCCCTTTCATAAAACGTCCTTATTTATTATTTATTTATTTATTTTTGAGACAGATTGTCACTCTGTCGCCCAGGCTGGAGTGCAGTGGCACGATCTTGGCTCACTGCAACCTCCGCCTCTTGGGTTCAAGCGATTCTCCTGCCTCAGCCTCCCGAGTAGCTGAGATTACAGGTGCCTGCCACCACACCTGGTTAATTTTTGTATTGTTAGTAGAGATGGGGTTTCACCATGTTGGCCAGGCTGGTCTTGAACTCCTGACCTCAGGTGGTCCACCTGCTTCAGCCTCCCAAAGTGCTGGGATTACAGGCGTGAGCCACCGTGCCCAACCAAAATGTCCTTATTTCTGACCTTAAAATGTGGACAATTTTTGGTTATCCAAATTCATGGGTCACTCTGGAGTATGAATTTTGCATGGGACAAGTTTTGTCCAAACCTAATTCAGTGAATTCTGCTTGGATCCAGATGCAACTGTCTGGACTACATTGGGAAACTTTACTAAGGTGGGACTTTGAGCACAGTTATCAAAATATCCTTGAGTTCCTTCTAGTTCCTCCCCATAAAATGTGGAGGTGACAGGAGCCCAGGGGTTTTCAGTCTTGGTTTCACATTTGAATCAAGTGGGGATTTTTAAAAAATGCCAATGCCTGGGCCCTACCCAGAGATTATAGTTTAATTGGGCTGGGGTGACACCCAGATGTCAATTTTTTTTTTCTTTTTTGAGACAGGATATTGCTTTGTTGCCCAGGCTGTAGCATAGTGTCACGATCACTGGCTCACTGCAGCCTTAACCTACCCTGCTCAAGTGAACCTCCCACCTCAGCTTCCCAAATAGTCGGGACCACACAGGCATGCACCACCAACACACCAGGCTAATTTTTTTTTTTTTTTTTTTTTTTTTTTTTTTTTTTTTTTTTTTTTAGAGCTAAGGTCTCACTGTGTGGCTCAGGCTGGTCTCAAACTCCTGGGCTTAAGTGATCCTCCTGCCTTGGCCTCCCAGAGTGTTGGGATTACAGGCGTGAGCTGCTGTGCCCAGCCCAAATGTAGATTTTTTAAGCACCCAAAGCACTTTAAACATCTAGCTAGACTTGAGAATCACTGTATTCGCTGATCTCAATTCACTTCCAGTTCTATCATTCTATCATTCTAAGGCATCTACCTACAAATTGACTGAGGCAGGACTTTATTCTGATAGGAGTGCCAATTTAACTGCCTTTGCTTTCCGTTTTGTTACATATCTTTCTGTGCAGGACTCAAGAAAGAAAGGCTTTAGCTTTTAATCTAAGGAACCCAACATCTTTATTCCTGTTTATCCCACTCAGTGTCCAGATTAAGCCCAAAAAGTCATGTCAGCGTTTAGTGCAGATGTATGTTTCCACTTTTAAAACACATTGGTTTTCAAAAAGTTTTATTTCTTAAAGTTTGGTTAAAAGATATTCACTAGATTCAATGTTTTATATATTAAATTCACTAGATTCAATATTTGATATAAAAAGATATTTCTTTCATTTGAGACAGGGTCTTGCTCTGTTGCCCAGGCTGGAGTGCAGTGGTATAATCATCAGCTCACTGGAGCTTTGACCTCCCAGGCTCAAGCAATCTTCCTGCATCAACCTCCTGGAGTAGCTAGGACTATAGGTGCATGCCACTATGCCTGGCTAATTTTTAAATTTTTGGTAGAGACAGGGTCTCCCTATGTTGCCCAGGCTGGTCTCAAACTCCTGGGTTCCACTGATCCTCCTGCCTGAGCGACCAAAGTGCTGGGATTACAGGTGTGAACTACTGCACCTGGCCTATAATATTATTATTTTTAATGGGTGTGGAAATTGCCAAGACAAAGCTAATAGTAGAATTCTCAAATGACTATAAAACTCTTTGTTGGCATGGAGGATAATGTTTCTTTTTAGAATAGTGCTTCTCATCCTTTTTTTTTCTTTTTTTTATTATTATTATACTTTAAGTTTAAGGGTACATGTGCACAATGTGCCGGTTAGTTACATATGTATACATGTGCCATGCTGGTGTGCTGCACCCATTAACTCATCATTTAACATTAGGTATATCTATCTCCTAATGCTATCCCTCCCCCCTCCCCCCACCCCAAAACAGTCCCCAGAGTGTGATGTTCCCCTTCCTGTGTCCATGTGTTCTCATTGTTCAATTCCCATCTATGAGTGAGAACATGCGTTGTTTGGTTTTTTGTCCTTGTGATAGTTTACTGAGAATGATGATTTCCAGTTTCATCCATGTCCCTACAAAGGACATGAACTCTTCATTTTTTATGCATACTATTCCATGGTGTATATGTGCCACATTTGCTTAATCCAGTCTATCATTGTTGGACATTTGGGTTGGTTCCAAGTCTTTGCTATTGTGAATAGTGCCGCAATAAACATACATGTGCATGTGTCTTTATAGCAGCATGATTTATAGTCCTTTGGGTATATACCCAGTAATGGGATGGCTGGGTCAAATGGTATTTCTAGTTCTAGATCCCTGAGGAATGGCCACACTGACTTCCACAATGGTTGAACTAGTTTACAGTCCCACCAACAGTGTAAAAGTGTTCCTATTTCTCCACATCCTCTCCAGCACCTGTTGTTTCCTGACTTTTTAATGATTGCCATTCTAACTGGTGTGAGATGGTATCTCATTGTGGTTTTGATTTGCATTTCTCTGATGGCCAGTGATGATGAGCATTTTTTCATGTGTCTTTTGGCTGCATAAATGTCTCCTTCTGAGAAGTGTCTGTTCATATCCTTTGCCCACTTTTTGATGGGGTTGTTTTTTTCTTGTAAATTTGTTTGAGTTCATTGTAGATTCTGGATATTAGCCCTTTGTCAGATGAGTAGGTTGCGAAAATTTTCTCCCATTCTGTAGGTTGCCTGTTCGCTCTGCTGGTAGTTTCTTTTGCTGTGCAGAAGCTCTTTAGTTTAATTAGATCCCATTTGTCAATTTTGGCTTTTGTTGCCATTGCTTTTGGTGTTTTAGACATGAAGTCCTTGCCCATGCCTATGTCCTGAATGGTAATGCCTAGGTTTTCTTCTAGGGTTTGTATGGTTTTAGGTCTAACGTTTAAGTCTTTAATCCATCTTGAATTAATTTTTGTATAAGGTGTAAGGAAGGGATCCAGTTTCAGCTTTCTACTTATGGCTTGCCAGTTTTCCCAGCACCATTTATTAAATAGGGAATCCTTTCCCTATTGCTTATTTTTCTTAGGTTCATCCTTGACAACACATTAGAATTGCCTGGGAATGTTTTTAAGAATCCTCATGCTTGACTGGGCACAGTGGTTCATGCCAGTAATCCTAGCACTTTGGGAGGCTGAGGCAGGCAGATTTCTTGAGCTCAGGAGTTCGAGACCAGCCTGGGCAACATGGTGAAACCCATCTCTACTAAAAATATAAAAATTAGCTGGGTGTGGTGGTGCCCACCTGTAGTCCCAGCTACTTGGGGAGTGAGGCAGGAGGATCACTTGAACTGGGGAGGTTGAGGCTGCAGTGAGCCAAGATGGTGCCATTGCACTCCTGCCTGGGTGACAACATGAGACCCTGTCTCAAAAAAAAAAAAAATCATTATGCTCTGGCTATGTCCTAGACAAAATCAGAATCACTGGACCAGGTACTAGATTTTTAAAAACTCCCTAGGCACTTTTCTAAAGCATAGGCAGTTTTTTAAAAACACTGAGCTAAGCTTGAGAATTGCTTCTGTAGAATAAAGTTGTGTGTACAAATTGTATTAAGCAACAGGACGGTGGTGAAATAGTGAGTATGTCAGCCATCACCTCAATTGGAAACAGCACCTTCCTTCCCCTAGTGGATAACAACATTGTCAGAGAGGATTATTCTTTGTTGCTAAAATTTCCATAGGAGAAAGGAGTTTCCTGTTCTTTTACATGTTCTGAATTATTAGACTGCAACCATTGTCTACTAAAGATGGCAAATGAAACGTTTCCTTTTTAAGCTGGTGAATAAAATCAAGGCCAGTCTTCTCACAGAGCTCTTTGAAGATGACTGAAATCATGGGTTAAAGGAGAACAAAACACAGAACGTTTATAGAAAATGAATTTGTTAGGTCAAATTACAGCTCCAAAAGACTCAATGAAGTATGCCTTTTAAGTTTCTGGTTTATTGTTTCCTGATAAGTACAAATGCATTTCAGCATTATTCCTCTCCACCTAGGTGTAAATTGTGATATTCACTGTAGGCTTAGAGAGCCCCAAATCTTTCTTAGTACTGTAGTATCAAATGTGTGCTTGGTTGTCATTCATAAGCTTGGTTTTGGCATCTCCCCAAAGCCCATAAATCATTATCAAATAAGAAAATCAAGTAATTAAGCTTTCTGGCCTGAATCTGGTCTATACCCTCTACCTTCAGCATAAAAAGCTATTCACTCATACGGCTAGTTAAACTCTCTAATAATGAACTTGGGTCAGGACAATGATTTGCTAATAATTCTTTCATAAATAGAGTAAGGGAACTGATTTCCTCCCAATCACACATGCCAAATTCACTTGCTGTCAGTGGCTTGGACAGAAGGCCAAAGCTGTCATACATGGTAAAGGATGATAAAAGAAAGAAGAAGTATTGATAGGAATAAGTTAAAAAAAATTGCCTCCATAAATTACATCTGAACTCTTTCCTTGAGATGACTGGAGGGCATGTTGCAAACTCAACAATTTATGGCCAGTTACCTTTTATCCTTAAAATCACACAAAACAGGCAATTATTTAGAATGAAATAATCAGTTTAATATTATTTATAGACTTGAGAAAGAACTTGAATTAAAATTCAGTCTGGAGTCTGAATTAGCACCATCTGAATACAGAAAGAATTCTATGTACATGCACAAATTAGTTTAATTAACATATATAGGTAAAATATATTTGTTTGTTTTACTTGATATACTTGTTTTGACAGACTCTTCCTGGGGTTACACTTATTTTTATTAGTTGGCTGGGCATGATACAGGTTGAACGCCCCTCAGTTCCAGGGCCTTGGCAAAATTAACCTCCAGTGGCTTGCCTGTGCCTTTGGTGAGCTTCAGGGATCTGATGCAACCTCGGAACGGAATACTGGTTGTTAGGCCAAACTGCTTGAGGTCATCTGAAAAAGGCAATGCAAGAGGGCTCAGCTTTGAAATGTCCTGCACCAAATATTAAGAGCATGTTTCAAAGTCAACTGTTAGCTTGAGATTAAATTGGAATGCTGTTTTATGCAAAGTTAGTGGTTTTGTTTTTAGCCTTACTAATAGAATTGTAGAGAAAGAAAGATCAACTTAAAATTTTTTGAGACAGGTTCTTGCTCTGTTGCCCAGGCTGGAGTGCAATGGCGCAATCAAGGCTTACTGCAGCCTCAACCTCCTGGGCTCAAGCGATCCTCCCTTCGCCGTGTTGCCCAGGCTGCTCTCCAACTCCTGGGCTCAAGAGATCTCCCCATCTATGCCCAAAGTGTAATTCCAAAGTGTTGGGATTACAGGCATGAGCCACCATGTCCAGCCTCAACTTTTTAATAGTTATAACATATGAAAACATCTAGAATTATACATCTTAAGACATGAAATAACTTGGTTTGGGATGAACAAATTTATAGTTGTGACTTAAAATTGTAAAATGTTACTTCATGAAACAAAGCAATTGATCAAATACTTTTAAGTACTGACTTACTTAGAACTTTTTGAAGGTGACTTTATCACTTTCTTACATTGTAAAAATAAATCCCTAAAGGTTAAGTAGGTTGGATATTCATGTAGAATCTTCCTCTTATTATAGAGGTGCTTGTTTCAGTAGGCCTACTAGGTGTTAATTAGGATCCCATTATCATAGACTGAATGGAGAAGTACATTACCTCCTTCATAATATCTTGGAATTTATCCTGATTGAAGCAAAAGATCTTTTTAAAACACAGAAGCCACTTTGGAAAGAGGAGCTGTCGTTGGGCCCCCATTGCATTTCTATCAACATTGCTCTGTCAACAATTGCTGAATATACATTTTGCTTGTTTCATTTAGCAAAGGAGCTTTATATAAACAGGGATAAAAGTTCCTCTTGACAAAATGATGAAAGACCATTCCAGGAGGCTATGTTATTACAGTACTTATTAAGAGGCACTTGGCTTACTTCTCATCAAGTTGGCCACTCTTGTTTATGGGCACTTTAGGTAAATCTCTACAGTTCACATGCTATATTTAATGTGCTAGAGAAGGATTCTGAATGAGGATTTATTGCTTGCGTTTCTTTGTAATATAAATATAAACTCTATAATAACATAAGGGGGAAATTAGCTATGTTTAACCCAATGATTTCCAGAACTTGAGGAAATAAGTTCCATAACATTTTATGATTGATTCCTCTGGTATATTAATTTTAAAAAAATCAGAAAGAACACCAAGTTTGGCTCCAATTGCTGTTAAATGCCTCATATCTTTTATAAGCCAAATTCATTTCCTCCAGCTTCAATCTCTCCACGAAGGAAACTTTGGGGGCTCTCATGAAAAGTTCAGTCCCATGTGGTTTATATAAGTAATATGTTCATTTTACACACTGGAAATTTTAGGTAAGGTGCAGATTCTAAGCAGATTCTAAAGCTAGGAAGCAAGTACACATAAGCACACATTCTTAGACACACGTAAATATAAATGTTTTCAAAACCAGTAACATAAGAGAGCAAAGAAATTGTTGCTGGGGTAGCCAACACTCACCTGGGAAGCCTCCAACAAACACAGGGTCATTTGTGTCAGCTGATGTAGATGCTGGGTTTGGGCTTTGGGCTTCCACCTGGTTCCCATCGACTGTGAGCTCAATGCGGTGTTTGATCTTGTTGGCAGTGACTTTATGCCATTGTCCATCACACAAATGCCCTGGAACCCCAGCATCATAGACAGCAGTGAATCTGCCCGCACCATTGTCCACATGAAACATCAACTGGAAAGTAGGAAATAGAACAGTCACAGATGGTTTCATTAAAGAAGTATCATGATGGTTCACACATACAAATGATCAGGTCTCTAGGAAAGACATCAGCCAGAATCATTTGAAATGGATGTAACTGGGCATATTGAAAAAAATTTTAAAACTTGACAAATTAAAGTATAAATCTAATCACCAGGAGCCACAAATTATGCTCTTTGCTTTGGGGCATTGTTGGGAGTTAATAGGCAAGATACGTAAAGCTGGTAATAATTCTGCTTTCAGAAAAATTTGAGGCCAGGTGACAAGAAAAGGACCTAGTGTACACAGGGAAAAATTCTACCTCACGTCTTTTTAGAATGTGAGAGTTCTGACTGAACCTTATAAAATTTTCTTAAAAGATATTGTTTAAAGTGACTCATTAATTTGGTTTACAAATTCAAAGTAAAGGATTTTTTAAATTTTAAACTTTTGATGTTTTAATTATATTTTTTTCCTTCATGGATTTCATTTTATATACAAGATTGAGAGTTACATAAATTACATTTTGGAGCCCGTTTCATGTCACAGGTGCCAAAGACCTGAGCCAGAAGGCCAGTTAAATTCCTAACAATGAAGAACTTAGACTAGAAGTTCTGGTCTAAATGAGAAAAATCTGTTTTTAGTAATGTGGAAAAGCCCCTGAAATTTGAGATGACAGAATTCTTTTGAAGCTGGTGAAGAAACGAAACATATTGAAACACTAAAAACATTAGTCAGTTTG
The DNA here is from genome assembly GCF_000001405.40 of Homo sapiens. Taxonomy (NCBI): domain Eukaryota; kingdom Metazoa; phylum Chordata; class Mammalia; order Primates; family Hominidae; genus Homo; species Homo sapiens. The sequence continues at coordinate 129,513,624 of NC_000006.12, read as the reverse complement.
GCAAGACATTCGACAAGGTAAAAGAAAAGAAATGAAGTCTTAAGAAGAAAGATTAAAAATGCAAGTAAATAGGTGAAAAGTTTGTAAACTCTATTGATGTAATTATTAATGAAATGTTTACTATATTGGGTGGAGTTTGCATAACAGGCTTTTGCATGTAAAAGGAGCTTGGTGAGAAACGCACATGATAGTGACATATCGATGGTAACTGCCCTTAAGAGCATGTTACTTGAAAAAGATGTAGTAAAAGTATGTTTGAAAATTTGGTAAAACTATTGAGTGTTACTTATTTGTTCACTCCTTTTTACCTCTAAGCTGGTGGATCTTTTTTCCTATATTACCTTTGTTGGAGGACAGTTTGAAAATTGAGCAGAAAGAGGAAGAAAGCAAGAAAAAACTATTTTAGGTCACTGTGTGATTTTTCTTCTTGGGAGGCAACACTAAGGGTGGAAACGTGAACTGAGTTGAAGTACGATTCCTATTTAATAACCAAATAGAAAACTTGTGAAATTTCTTGTTTTCCCTTCTCTGTTTACCTGCTGCCTATAGTGCAAAGTTGTCTTAATGCAGGGCTGAAAGAGGTGTTTAGAATTTGATTATCAATTATTATCAAACTGACACACTACTTTTATAAATTTGCTGTTTTTTGAAATGGTAGCTGGATGCTTTTTTAAACAAATTGAGAAACTGATGCGTCAGTTGGCTACCTTGGCTTCTAAGAGATGCCTAGCCTGTTAAAAGAGGCAGACTAATTTTAGATGATCCACCTCTCTGCCTTTTCTCCCACTGGAGTCCATAGTCTCATAGACTGTGTGTTCCTTAAGAGGAGAATAAGAGTGTGTTTATAGCAACACAGTAAGAACTCGAGATCTCAAACTATTTGGTTCATTATTAGTCAACACGATTGGCTTGCTGTACAATTAATGCATTTAAAATTTATACTGGCCTACAACATGCTGAAAACATACACAAATTGAAGTAATCCAGAAGGATGAAAACATACAATTTAGCTTTCTCCCAACAAAGAATACAGCCGGGCTTCAAAATATTCGAGTTTCCCACACATGGATGATATCTACACATCAACAATATCATGAAGAAATCAGAAATGTTTGCATTGCTGACACTCACCTTTTCATCAATCATTTCAATACCCATTCCATCCATTTTTTGACTACTGATCCCCAGAAGAACTCCAGTCGTTGTAGTTGTGCGGAATTCAAATTCTACAAGAAGGTCCAATCCCACTTTGAATCCACCAACTGTAAAATGAAGATTTTAAAATATTTTGGATTAGAGGATGGGGATTGTTAATTCAAACGTGTACAATGCATGACTTTTTATTATATTTCAATTCAAATGCTAGCTAATTCTAATGAGGGCTATAAGTTTCAGATCCTGCCTGGCCTATCTTCCACCACTGCATCATGTAACACACTCCATAGTTAGTTATTGCTTATTTTCTGGGCTACCTTCCCTTTTAGAATGTATGTGCTATGAGATCAGGGGCATTGTCTATATTTTTCACCATTTTATCCCTGTGCTTACCAAAGTATCTGGCACAACATGAGGGTTTACTATGTATTATTTGAATAAATGGATACACACTGAGATTGACTTAAAGAATCTCACTGTCAGGTATTATTATCTTAGAAGTCTCTCTGTTGGGTAAAGAAAAACATTTCAGTTATTTTTCAGTAAAGTTTTAGTGGGGCACACTAAATGGTGCCACAATCATCTGAAAGGTTTCAAAAGTTGCCACACATTTTATTAATAAAGAGAGAAACTGTAAGTACAATGTTGATGGGAAGCTTCTGGGACATAAATAGACTTATCTTGTTCATCCAGTTAATTCTTTCCTCTATGATTTTCCATATTTGACTCTTTGATTTTTTTTTTAATCTTTGAGCAAGTATTTAAGATAGATACATCACTTAGGAACAAAGTGATATGTTAAGATCTGTCTAGACCACACCAACTGAACTGAGTATCAGAGAAATACTCAGGGGAATTTTCTCCAAGTCTTCTATTTATTAGGCAAGAAATAAATGCTATGTGTAGCCACGGCTGTCTGCAATGAAGGATGGTAGCTGTTACATGAAAGACTTTTGTTCTACTGAGAACCTTGATGGGTTTGGATTGGCAAAGGTGGGTTTATAGCAGATTTTATGAATAAAAGCTAGCCAGTTGCGCCTGGGCAACATAGTGACACCCCTTCTGGAAATAAACGAAAAAATAAAGTAAAGGGTAGAAGAAGCTGAATTGCTCTGCAAAATAAAACAGAAAGGGAGAAGTAAGGAGAAGAGAGGAATGACATGAGGAAGTTCGGCTGAGGACAGAAGGAATGAAGAGGCCAAAAAAAAGCCCCAGTGATTGGGTCGCTGGAAAACTTTTAAGAACAAAGATGTCAAAGGTTAAGATGAATTGTATGTTTTCCAGTGAAGTGATCTCTTCTGACCACCCAAGTCTTATGTAAATTGTATTACACTGTGTGTTCAGGGGATGGCAAGGGACATTAGAAACAGAGGAAGTGAGTAATTTTCTGGTTTTGTTTGATCCAGAATTATAAGAGCCCAGGCAGGATGGCAAGTCAATCCATTAAGTGCAAAAGCTGAAGCTGAAACTTGTCATAAAATTTGACTAAGAGAATGCCAGCCATCTGTGAATTTGCAGAAATCTTGGGGGAAGCTTTTAGACTTTCATAGCACATGGAATTCGGGGTTCAGCATAACCTGTAACGTTTCAATATTTAACATATCCTGTGTTTTTCTGTTTTCTGCTTCCCTGTAGGTGGGGTTTCCTACCTATATTTTGGTGGAGGGTCCTACTCTTCTATCACCCACTACTTTGTATGGGAGTGTTAAAATCACCTGAAGCCTTGCTCAAATGCTGATTCCTCCATGAAACGTTTCCTGATATCCCCCAAACAAAATTAATCTTTTTTTCTAAGTATCTACAGAACTGTGCTTTTTTTGTCTTTAATCATTTTTACTTGCCTTCTTTCAATTTCTTACCAGTTGATAATATATTCTTGATAGAAAGAACTATGTTACTTATTTCTGTTTCCCATCATAATCTCCACATATTATGTGCTTATTAGTTTATTTCTAATGAACATACACGTATTTCTATGATACCACGGGACTGAATATTCTATCTTAAAGTACATTAATTGCAGATTTTAAAAATTATTATGCAGTTTTCATTGTAGAGACCTTTCACTTATTTGGTTAATTCCTTAGTATTTTATTTTATTTGTAGCTACTGTAAATGGAATTACTTTCTTGATTTCTTTTTCTGATTGTTTGCTGTTGGCATATAGAAATGTTACTGATTTTTGTATGTTGACTTTGTATCCTGCAGCTTTACTGAATTTATCAGTTCTAATGGTTTTTTGGTGGGGTCTTTAGGCTTTTCCAAATACAAAATCATATCATTTGCAAACAAGGATAATTTGACTTCTTCCTTGGATGCCGTTTACTTTTTTCTCTTGTCTGACTGCTCTAGCTAGGACTTCCAATACTATGTTGAATAACAGTGGTGAGAGTGGGCATCCTTGTCGTGTTCCAGATCTTAGAGGAAAGTACAATAAAAACTATAAAACAATGATGCAAGAAATTCAAGAGGGCACAAAAATAAGATATTCCATGTTAATGGATTGGAAGAATCAATATTGTTAAAATGTCCATACTACCCAGAGCAATCTGCAGATTTAATATAATCCCTATTAAAATACCAATGAGATTCTTCACAGAAATAGAAAAAATTCCTAAAATTCATATGAAACCCAGAATAGCCACAGCTATCCTATGCAAAAGGAACAAAATTGGAAGAATTACATTACCGGACTTCAAATTATACCACAGAACTATAGTAAGCCAAACGGCATAGTACTGGCATAAAAATAGGCACATAGACCAGTGGAACAGGATAGAGAAGCCAGAAATAAATCCATACATCTACAGTGAACTCATTTTCCATAAAGGTTCTAAGAACATACATTAGGGAAAGGACAGTCTCTTCAATAAATGGTGCAGGGAAAACTGGATATTCATATGCGGAAGAATGAAACTAGATCCCTATCTCTCGCCATATACAAAAATCAAATCAAAGTGGATTAGAGACTTGAATCTAAGAGATCCAACTATGAAACTATTACAATAAAACATTGGGGAAATTCTCCAGGACATTGAAATGGGCAAAGACTTCCTGAGTAATACCCACAAGCACAGGCAACCAAAGTAAAAATAGACAAATGGGATCACATCAAGTTAAAAAGCTTCTGCACAGCAAAGTAAACAATCAACAAAGTGAAGTGACAACCCACAGAATGGGATAAAATATTTGCAAACTACCCATCTGAGAAGGGATTAATAACCAGAATATAAAAGGAATTCAAACAATTCTATAGGAAAAAAATCTAATAATCCTATTTAAAAATGGGTACAAGATTTGGATAGACATTTCTCAAAAGAAGATATTCAGATGAAAAACAGGTATATCAAAAGGGGCTCAACATCACTGATCATCAGAGAAATGCAAATCAAAACTACAATGAGCTATCATCTCACCCAAGTTAAAATGGCTTTTATCCAAAAGACAGGCAATAACAAATGCTGACGAGGATGTGGAGAAAAGAGAACCCTTGTACACTGTTGGTGGGAACGTAAACTAGTGCAACTGCTATGCAGAACAGTTTGGAGGTTCCTCAAAACACCAAAAATAGAGCTACCATATGATCCATCAATTCCACTCTTAGATATATACCCAAAAGAATATTGAAGAGATATCTGCACTCCCACGTTTATTGCAGCACTAGTTACAATAGATTTGGAAGCCACCTAAGTGTCCATCAGCAGATGAACGGATAAAGAAAGTGTGGTACATATACATACTGGATATGAATAAGCCATAAAAAAGAATGAGATCCTATCATCTGCAACAACATGGGTGGTTCTTGAGGTCATTATGTTAAGTGAAATAAGCCAGGCACACAAAGGCAAACATCACATGTTCTCACTTATCTGTGGGAGCTAAAAATTAAAGCAATTCAACTCATGGAGATAGATAGAAAGTAGAAGGATAGTTACCAGAGGTTGGGAAGGTTAGTGGCAGGGAGGAGTAGGGATGGTTAATGATACAAAAATAGTTTGAATAAGATTTAGTATTTGCTAGCACAAGGGTAACTACAGTAAAAAAAAAAAAATAATTGTACATTTAAAAATAACTAAAAGAGTATAATCAGATTGTTTGAAACATAAAGGATACATGTTTGAGGTGATGGATACCCCATTTACCCTGATATGATTATTATGCATTGCATGCCTACATCAAAATATCTCAGGTCACCCATAAATATATACACCCACTGTGTACCCACAAAAATTAAAAATTAAAGGATTAAAAAATTATTATGTAGAGGTTATTTCCTATTTCTTTTTCCTAACTGTACCTTCATGACCAGTGATATAAAACCATACTGGAAATGTTCATTAGAAACGGAGTGGAGAAAGCCAGGAAAGATGCCAGTCATTGTCACTATCAACAAGAAACAGACATGGGTGTGCATTGTGTGTATGGGTGTGTGTTGATGGGGAGGAGATTATGAAATACAGCCTTGCAGGGAATTGAAGAAAAAAATCATATCTCATCTCCAGAAACTGGAAGGTAGAAAAACAACATAGTATAAACATATGAGTGTTCTTGCAAAATTATTTATTTTGCTGTTCTTAACCTCCAGTGAAGGAGATGGAATAAATTCTCTAAATAGACCTTTTACTTTATTTCTTCTATTAATTCTTATCAGGATCAGATACATGAATTTTTAAGAGGCATTTTTGAAATTACTTCCATAAGTTTCTTTTTGGCTTAAATAAAGGATACTAGTTTAGGACTCTAGGAACTTTTATTATTTGGTACTAGCAAGAAGTTAGTATTTGTATCTAGTTAATAATCAACAGGAAGGAAATGAAAGAGCCTTACCTGCTTTGGCAAAACCGGTTCCGTCAAAATATGTTCCCCTCTGAGCATTTGCAAAACATGTCCCAACATGGAAGCTGGAGGTGGGTTGTTCCAGATCGGCAGGGGCCTCTGCCATGTGGAGATTCCTGACGCAGCCATCAATGCTATAGGTCACCTAAACATTCAGATCAGAAGAAACAAATGTCAGGTTTTAGCAGAACTTTGCCTTTATGTAGAATACAGTCATTTGCAGGGTGCTCTATGTGTGTAGTTATCCAGTTGTCTTAGGATGGGATATCCCCCAAAGCTGCCTGGGTTCTCTGTTACCACCAGGCCTCCTGGCATGGATGCAGAAAATCCTGTGTTGTGCTTCTCAACTTGGATGTGTCTATCCTGGAATATGACTGTTCTCATAGTCTAAATACTGCACACTATGTCTCCATTGGTTTGACAGAGCTATGGGCCCCATGTTGGTATCATAAGTTTTAATTGGTCTCTTACGTTCCTGATTTTATGTTTCTATTAATAGTTTATTAACCTTACTATATACCCATTTTGTCATAGCCTATGTTCAATTTCTATTTGAAAAGGTAATTAGGTTTGGTTCAGTGCTTCTTCCTTTTGAATATCTAATGAAAGCAGCAGACCCTCCCCTAAGAAAATGCAAATATGCATAAAACTTGAAAGTTTGCATGAAACATTGGGGGTTCAAGGAATTTAGAAGTAACTCAATCACACTCTGGTCCATTATATTTTATCTGTTTTTAGAAATTCAAGTGAATTGCTTGTACCAGTGTCACTTCAGAGACTTTAGTTTTTGATAGACCTAAAAAGCATATCCAATACCTATGAAAGAAAAGTAATACTGATCATCCACAAGAGAAGCCAAATACTGAGAATTACAACTATAATGGGTGATTGTCTTTGATGAATGAACAAATCTACATTATCATGTGTTCTAATTTGAGTATAGAAATGTATCACATTTGTATCTAGTGTGTTCTCTAAAAGCACCAATCAATCCCCCGTGCTTCTCTCAGAGTAACACTTTCCAAAGCAAACTAGGATACACGGTCTAATAAAAAATTATTTTGTGAATATTGATTTACAAAACTGTGAGGGCTTTAAATTCTGAATCCAAAATTGGATAACTGTACTGTAACTACTGCACCTCTCAATATTTGCTAAATCTCTATGCCTGAAACACCATGAATACATACCATCATTTTCATCTTTCAGTGCTTTTTATATGCCTGCTACTCTTCCAATCACTTTATTTTTATTTTTATTTATTTATTTATTTATTTTTTTGAGACAGGGTCTCGCTCTGTTGCCCAGGCTGGAATGCAGTGGTGCTATTACAGCTCACTGCAACCTCTGACCCTCGGGTTCAAGTGATTCTCTTGCCTCAGCCTCCAAAGTAGCTGGGACTACAGACACACACCACCACACCTGGCTAACTTTTTGTATTTTTGTAGAGACAGGGTTTTGCTATGATGGCCAGGCTCATCTTGAACTCCTGGTCTCAAGTGATCTGCCTGCCTTGGCCTCCCAAAGTGCTGGGATTACAGGTGTGAGCCACCATGCCCAACCCAATCACTTTAAATAAATTACCTCATTTAATCTTTATGCAATCCTTTTTGTTTAGTATTATCATTACCCTGTTTTGCAAAAGAGAAATCTTTGTTAAAAAAGATTAACTTGCTCCAAAACACACAGCTAGTCAATAGTTAAATAGGTATTCAAACCAAGACAGTTTGGCTCCAGGTTCCCCACTCAGTGTTCCGTGGCATTGTCTCTCATAATCTAATCTATCTAAAAAACCTTCTGTCAGCTGGGCGAGGTGGCTCAGGCCTGTAATCCCAGCACTTTGGGAGGCCGAGGCAGGCGGATCATGAGGTCAGGAGATTGAGACCATCCTGGCTAACACAGTGAAACCCCCCGTCTCTATTAAAAGTACACCCCGTCTCTATTAAAAGTACAAAAAATTAGCCAGGCGTGGTGGTAGGCACCTGTAGTCCCAGCTACTAGGGAGGCTGAGGCAGGAGAATGGCGTGAACCCGGGAGGGAGAGCTTGCAGTGAGCCAAGATCGCACCACTGCACTCCAGCCTGGGCGACAGAGCGAGACTCTGTCTCAAAACAAACAAACAAACAAATAAACAACAAACCCTTCTGTCCCTTATCAGAAAAGATGACTTCCTATTCACCTATCAGTTTTCATGGGCCCATGTGACCTAATAAGTCAAAATATATCAATAAATGAATCAGCCATATATTTAAGTAATAAAGAAGAAATCAGATATTTACTGGACCAATTCTTCGGGTAGTGTAGTTGATGGGTAACCCACCAACATACAGCATTCCCACGACATCCAGGATGTCGGCTTTTTTGGGACTGATGGTTCTGTTGGAAGCCCCATCTACATAAAGAATTCCTTCTTGCTTACTTCTCATTATCTTAATCTACAAAAAAGAAAGGAGTCATTAATGCCAATCCTGAACAAATTTCACATATGCAGAGTATAAGACATAAGGACTCTAACGATGTTACCAAGAAAAATTGAAACAATGTACACAGTGCTTAGTATGCGCTAAGCCCATTATATATGGGAAAGTTAAACCCATTTTACAGAATATCTCAAATTCTGTCTTTTCCATGACTACTATCACCAAAAGAATACCAAATTTTCCTGGGTCAGTTTTAGGTCGAAGTCTCCTCGGTAGATTGCCAAATGTGGATATGTGTGGAGAGGGAGGAATGTTGTAAGGAACCCTGCAGACTAATAGCACTTTCATAAATTAAGTGGGTAGCAAAATTCATGCACAGTTTTAAAAGTGCATTAGTTTGATTGAGCAAAGAGCCTGGGCTCCCAACACAATTTCAGATACGCTACATCCCTTTGCCTAACAGGCCCTTCTTGTGCAGAATTAAAGAAAGAGTGGCACAAATAAGCTGCACTACTTTCTGCAGAACCTGATGAGTACAAAGTGGGGGAGTAAGATAGAGAAGTGACTGAGGCTGAAATTTAGGGCGGTGGAGTGAATTATCTTCTGAGACAGAATGAAATAAGGGGTGTAAAGACTGGCTGGAGTATAAAAACCTTGAGTCTGAATTTAGGTAAAGGAGCATGAAAGCCTGTGAAATGCTAAAGTACCATGATGGTTTAAAAATGAGTCTGGGTCAGGATTAGAGTAATTTCACACTTCATTTTACACATATCTATTCTGGTTTGGGAAGTAATTTTTAAAAACCATCAAAAATAAAATCCGTTATTAATTTGACTAATTATAGTATTTAAGTTCCCTTTCTTAATCCCAGCCTCATTGTGGTTCAACAATATGTCTTTTTCTCAAATGTCATATTTATTATTCTATTAGCTAGAGATGGAAGAACTCTTAATGAGAGCTCCTTCATTTGGATCTGTATTTGCTAGTCATAAGCTCCCAGCAAAAATGAAGATTCCTTTTCTTATTTCCATGATAACAAATTGGTTGGCTTCGCGTTTTTTAAGGTTCTTTGGCTTTCTAGAATATGACAAGTCAAAGTATGTTAACATTAACCAAATCTAACATCTAATAATATCGTACTCTGAAAATTAAAAATTTTATTGGTCTACCTAGGGAAGCTTTGCTTTAATAGGCTATCGCAGGTGCAGAGACAAATGTTGAGATTTTGTTTTAATCAGGCAGTATATTATCTATTTGCAGTCATGCCAAAGAGGACAGTAAGCTGGCAAATGAGCCTTCTGTGCCCATAATAGTACCAGTTTCTGGGTGTAAGGCCAACGTTTTTAAAGTTGTTCCAAATAACTGTCAGTAGAAATGATACCTTAGAGCCCTTTAAACACGATCAACCAGAGATTCCTGGATTCCTGGTTTTCACAGACCACTGTGTGGTTAGGTGGGGAGTCTTGGGACCCATTTTAGTGTTGCCAACTTTTGCTTTTGGCAAATACTATTTCATAATAGAAAGGCCTTTTAGCCACCATAAAAATGCTATAATATAATCTCAGAATAAATATTATTCCTTAAAATTGAATACATCGAGCTTGATGGTGAACACACTCTGTTCTACGTTTCTCACTTAGAGCAGTGGAAATGTCTTCAGCCACCTGGCCTCAGTTTATGGGTAGATGTTTGAAAACCACAGCCATATAGCAGTGATGGAACCATGATGAGGCATGCCAGTGGTCAAATGCAAACCTACACAGGTCTGAGCACATTTTCCAAGATTGTGGTAGTTGTATATGGCACTTATTTTATTTTTAGCTTCTGCCAGAGTCAGTGTCTGCCCTGGCAAAATATACTGGCACCAGGAGAATGCTGATGGCTGCCACTCAGTAATTCCCTTAGGGTACTGCCAATATCCAGGGGACTATTACCTTGTGCCACTGGCCATCATTGATTTTGGTGGGGATCATGGTGTGGGTGTCCCCACTCCCCAAGTCATAGCTGAAGTAGGGCAATCCATTTCTCAGCTGAACTGTTGCAAAATCAGCATGATTGATGCGAGCCATGTAAAAAAGCAAGCCGGATTCAGCTTCGGTTCTTACTTCCAACTCAATTGTGAGACTGTGAAACAAAAGCATGCAAAGTCAAACAGAAAAATAACAGCATTCTCATGCTAAAATAGAGCGGTATCAGATCGTGGCTGCATTTTCATAAAGGAGAGTAAAACCTTCTCAGAGATGAGGACTTTATCAGGCTACTGATTTCCTAAATTGGGCTCCTCAGGCTCAGACAAATAAAATTCTATTCTCTATTGTACTCAGTGAATAAAAGAAAAGCTAACTTCATTAATTAATAAGTGTAGTAGATTCAACTTGATTAAACACAAATACTCAGTTCTTCATTTATCGGTTCTTTCCCAGTGTCTCAGGATGATACATACCGGTTTTTAACTTTGGTGTCATCAAATGCAATTGCAATGTGACTGTTTCTTGAAAGCCCGAACTGCTTGCTCCCTATCAAAAGAGCTGGTTCTGATTCTGCAGCACAAGGACCCTGTAAAATACCCAGGAGAGAAAAACAGGAGATTATGGACTGTTCTTTAAAAAGGTAATGATGCTGTCTAATTGTTTCTTACATATTAGCGTAATTCTTTAAGAATAAAAACTACATTATTCATCTCTGTAGTCTACTGCATAGTAAGTACTTATTATTGAGTGCTCAGTGCGTGTGAATCAGTTTTCTCATATCACACCCTGGAATGGCTAAAGGAATGTGCTCAGACATATTTATTGATTAACTCATAGTTTCATTATCCTCTAAAAATTTATGTATATTTCTGAGAAAACTGGAATTTCCCTTTCATTTTTCCTTCACATATGAAGAGCTCTATTCTTAGAAGATCGAACAGGGAAAATGACAAGCTAGCCACTTGGGTTATAAGAGTAGCAAAATGTGTTTTTTCTTGCCCTCCCCATTTCCATCTCCCACTATATTACTTTTTCTTGAAAATTATCAGTCCACTAGAAGGTTTCCATGAATGTAGACTTTCAAGATGGTGTATCTAAACCTGCACGTCAGCCCATTCAGGCCCTTGCCAGTTGCTAGGCAACCCAGCACATTTTAAAAATGTAACCCACCATACACCATTTCAACTGCCACTGTTCAAAGATCAGCTTCCTAGGGTGCTGAGGGGGAGAGCTAGGTGCGGGGCTGTGCAGTCACATGGTTTAATGCTCTGCTGTCACCATCTTGAAATTCTTAATAATTTTTCAGTGAGGGGCCCTGCATTTTCCATTTTGCACTGGGCCTTGCAAAGCATACAGCAGTCCTGGCTGAGTAGATCACATTTGGCTACCATAACACACAGCTCCATAAATAATCAAGGCTCCTTAAATTACCAAAGCCACAATTCCTTTCCCTGTTCTCTATTTTCACAAGATAGGTCGATATACAGGCTGCTTATGACATCTCTTAGAACATGCAGTACATGAGAAAATAACCTGCACACTCTCACCAACACATCTGTTTTTAAGATCTGCACTTAATAGCTCTGGCTGGGCCGCTGCCCCAGTGAGTGCTGACTCAGCAGAGGTTCTCAAGCAGCCCAAGGCAGGCTTTTGATGCACAGTGTTCTTCCCAAAGAGTGTACCTCAGAGATGACTCATCAGCACACAGGAAATTTTTACTTGATGAGGAAAAGCCTTGTTCTCTTTTCTCTTGATCTTAGTCAAACGAAGCACTCTGCCACAGCAGGTAAAAGGCTTAAAGTGTTTTGAAATGCCGTAAAATTGGTCTTCATGGAAGTATTTCCCTTCTTGCTTCCCAGGAGATGGTCAGTTATAAAGAGCAGACTGTGGCCGAAATTCACACAGCTATGCAAAACCCCGTGGGTAGGACAGGAAAATGCTATTCATTCGCACAGCTGAATGGCCTCTTTTAGAGGCAGCATGTGGCACCTTTCTTATTACGCTGCCTGCAAAAAGAGCCCGAATGGAAAGGCCTCTGTAGCTTAAGATCTCAGTCATGAATACTTCTATTAATAGAATTGGGATCTTTTATCAGCCTCTCACGATATTTCCCGGACAGAGGACCGTCTCGATAAACACACGCAGCTTGCAGTCTTCCTCAGAAATCACTAAGATAATCCTATCTGCTGTGAGTCCACTGGGGGCAGAATTTCACTGAAACATCTTTACACCCTCAGCTCTGAAAATTGAGGGATTAAGAAAGGTGGATGGATGCTGAGGAATTAGGAAACAATTACATGTAGCTTAAAAGAGAACCACCAGTGGGTTATGTCCATATTATTGCGGTTACAGTCACTCGTCTAATTACTATATGTAAATGTCAATATAACTTCTCTATTAAAATTTAAAAAATTTTCAAGGTGGCAGTTGTACACTCCCGGTAGCAGCTGTATGTTATGGGGAACTTTTGGATTGCTGGTAGACTGGACAGGTGTATCCAAAACTGGTCCTGAGCTAAGCAGCAGTTTTTTGGTTTGTTTTTATTTTGTTGTTGTTTCGTTGTATACTATGAGATTTTCTAGATGGACAAGGCACTGGTCAAGCCATTTTAGAAAAAAACCTTTGACCAGAAAAGGACAGGGACTTTGTCAAAGTTCTTTTAAGAATCATTACAGGTTACATCCACTTGAAATTTAGGAAGAAGAACACCTCCTGGATTAGATCCTCCGTTTCTGCAACGGGCAGCCCTCAAGAAGCAGGCAGAAGCAGTGCTTAATAAAACGGTATTCTCAGATGAGCCAATGTTATGGAAAAGAGTTGTACCAAACTGATCACTCTAACATGTAACCTCAAAGTTTAAAGCCATTATGGTGTATAGTCCTTTGTTTTTAAGGACATCCAAGGTGATGTTTACTATCAATCATTGATTTGCAACAGGATGGATACTGTTTTAATAAAACTTCTATCACCTTCCTTTATTAAACTGGCAGTTGGAAAAGGACTGAGAAGTGCTGGTGTAAGAGGGTTTTTAAAAATATGTACCTTAGGATTTAAATGGGACAAAAATTCCCCACCCTCTAATTTGGTAGTGTTTTGTACAAATCTCGACCTCCCCCTTGCTTGGTTAAAGGGTGTCTTCCTTGCATCACTTTTCCTTGGGTAAACTGAAACCAAGTCTGATGGGTGTAAGGGATGGGCGTGGTGGCTCATGTTTTTAATCCCAGCATTTGGAAAGCCGAGGCAGGAAGATCGCTTGAGGCTAGTAGTTTGAGACCAGCCTGGGCAACAAAGTGAGGACCCCTGCCCCCCTCTGTCTCTCCAAAAGAACAACAACAACAAAAAAATTAAAAAAATAAAAAATTAGCTGGGCATGTTGTTGCATGCTGAAAGCCCCAGCTACTCGGGAGGCCAAGGCAGGAGAATCACTTGAGCCTAGGAGTTCAAGGTTAGAGTGAGCTATGATTGCATCACTGCACTCCAACCTGGACAGTAGAGCAAGAACCTGTCTCAAAAAGAAAAAAAACATGATGTGTTCAGGGCAGCACCAGTTTATTGCTTTGCCCGGTGTTGCTTCCTCTTCTCTTCCTTCTGCCTCATGTCCCACAGTGGGTGGAGCTGCTCATCCAGCTGCTCAAGCTTCTTTTTTCCTTCTAGCATTTTAAAGGGGGAACAAGTGAGATGGAATAGAAACTGCCCTGTGCTTTGCTCAGAAATAAAATGATCTTGTCACTAAGGATGATGTTTTCAACTCTGCTTGCCACTGAAATCTAAGCTAAGAAAAAAGGGTAAGAGAAAAGATCTAATGAGGTAATTTTAAGGAACTTTTAAAGAATGGTCATTGCAAGATGAATCATCCTTTTCTAAGCTAGTGTATACTTGAAGGCGTCCTCATCTCTATGGATGTGATGCTTTACCTGTGTTGTTTTGGACGCACTAATCTCTCAAATGTGTTAAAACAACAATAATAATAAAAAAAAAAATTCACAGTCTCAGTAGAGGCTCATCAATCTCAACGTGTTACAATTCTGCCACCTTGTGGGGACTTTTTAAAGTACTAGAAATAGATAATGGGGAAAATGGGATATGAAAGGAGGACAGATACGCTTGTTTTTCATTTGCCTTTGCTTGGCAGGTTACAAGTTGTAGGCAGACAGGACTTGGGTGGGGAGTCTCGCGTGGTGGTGCACCTGTTGATTAGAGCAGTGATGTGGTTGGGAATAATTATGGAGGAAGCCATGCTCCCAAAGCCTTGTTTAGGGAAGTAGATAGTGCACCAAATTGGTAACGGGGCCAAAACGTTTTCACCCCCACACTGTCACTCATTTAACTTCAGGTCAGAATAAAGCAATGGTCTTTTCTAACTAACTGCAGATTGGTGGCTGACATTTGGAAATGAGTTCTTAGATTCAGGAGTGCGTATGATTCGTTGATAAGCATCTCTTGAATTTCCTGGGTCCTGAGCAGAGATTTATATTACATTTATCAAAACTGGCATCTTTGTTCTTGAAAGCACCAAACAATGAATCATCATAGAAATTGCATAATTTTCTTCTTTCATGAGTCAATAATTAATTTCTCTAATAAATGTGGGCTAAAATCACATCTGGTGCTTATTTGTCATGATTTTCTTTATGGATGAATAAGTGGAAGATACTTTTTATAGCACTGACTTTAATCTTCTTCTAAAATATAAAAGCCCTACTCAAGATGTTTATTGAGAAACTGAATTATTGTTAACACTGCACTTAAGCTCTTTTGGTGGGTCTTGGGCATTTACAGTAATATTTATACATTAATGTCTAAACAAGGATTCCTTGATAAGTGGAAAATGTATGTTTTCTCTTTAAATACATATCAGTATCCAATCAGTTTATCCTTTGGCCTTGACTGTACTTAGGTCTTAAAGGTGTAGCACTAAAGCTGCTAGGGAAATCGCTTTCCTTTCCTCTATTCTTTCCTTCTGTGCTCACTTCTTTTCCCCAAATCCCAAAGAGAGCTCATCAGTACAGGAATTCTCCATGGCTACTTGTATTGTTTTTCTTAGTTTTCACATTTTAAACTGTGAGGTTTACGGCTGAACTCTTCAATAAAATTCAAGTAAAAGAATGCAGCCAGCTCATTATCTACAAATCCACACAGGCTATCCTTGTTAAAAAGACTTGGTCTAAACAGTGCACATACTTGCAGAGAACTTGTCACGTTTCCACATGTCAACAAATTTCTGTAATACTTGAAGTTCAGCCTCTTATCTACCTCTACCTCCTGCCATCCTCCATGAAAAATATCCACAAATAGAACATGTAGAAATGTTTTCTCTAGCTCTCGATGGGCTAAAGAATAAGAGAGAAGTATAAAGAGAAGACAAGCTACCATAATATCAAATGAGATAATATGCATGAAATGCTCTTTAATCTAGCGTGTTCAACATGAATTAATCATAAGATTGACATAATCCATTTCACAAGGCAGGGCTTTCTCAAGACACCCTTACATTGCCCTGTAGTATAGTGAATGTTGTCCTCATGCTGTAAGTTGCTGGCAGGATTGGGTGTGATGGGTGTAAAGAAGAAAAAGAAGGGCACTGAGAATAGATCTTTTCTGTCAACTGTGCTAGCACAAATATGGAGCTCATAAATAGGCAGTTCTCACTTCAGGAGTTAACTTTTAAGTCTTAGTTCTTAAATAACAACTCTTAAAAAGCTAAATTCTGGGCCAGGCGTGGTGGCTTATGCCTGTAATCTCAACACTTTGGCAGGCTGAGGCAGGTGGATCACTTCCCAAGAGTTCGAGACCAGCCTGGCCAACATGGTGAAATCCCATCTCTATTAAAAATACAAAAATTAGCCGGGCATGGTGGAATGCACCTGCAGTCCCAGCTACTCAGGAGGCTGAGGCATGAGGATCGCCTGAGCCTGGGAGGTTAAGGCTGCAGTAAGCCATGATTGCGCCACTGCACACCAGCCTGGGTGACAGAGCAAGAAAAAAAAAATAAAGAATCTAAATTCTGATACAAAAATGGAAAATGGTGAGAAGTGAAAATTATAGAGGACTTATTTAATAACCACATCATTACAATGTATATATCATCATTACATATCAAACCAATAAAAGGGTTTGGAATTGCTTAAAAATTGAATACTCACCACATCCCTTTTTTTCCAGCACCTGCCACCCACCCTAAAAATGTGAAAAGTTAAACTAACTAGAATAATTAAGTTAAAGAAACACAGAAGTTAAAGTTAAACTAACAAAAGAATAAATAGAGAGATGGAATGTTACTTTGAGCCAAGCATGGTGCTAGGTGCTTTGCATAAAATGTATAACTTATTCCCTCATAATAGTAATCCTAGAAGGAAGATATTATTATCCTTATTTGTCCATTAATTATTTTACATTTAGAAGGGACAAGTAACCTGCCAGAATTCATGGAATAAAAGTGGGAGGGCTATGGCAGAAAAAGCAACTCTCCCTCTTTTTCTCTGACTAGCAATGATAATATCGTATTCATCTTTGCACTTAGTAGGTGCTTAATAAATATTTGTTACAAAATAAACTGTAAAACTTTTAACTTTTAGTAACCTTTAAAAAGAAGACACCCTTTTCCCCCTACACACACAAAAAGAACATAAGAAAGGAAACAAATTAAAACAGAAGATATGTGTGGCTTCATGATCTGATTTCTAAAATATAATACAATTAATAGAGATGGAAAGTTCTAAAAAATCTAATTCTGACCACACAGTCATAACTAATTATAATGTGCAAAAGAAGGGGAAATAGGCCGGGCGCAGTGTCTCATGCCTGTAATCCCAGCACTTTGGGAGGCTGAGGTGGGCAGACCACCTGAAGTTGGCAGTTCGAGACCAGCCTGACCAACATGGAGAAATCCCGTCTCTACTAAAAATACAAAATTAGCCAAGAGTGGTGGTGCATGCCCGTAATCCCAGCTACTCGGGAGGCTGAAGCAGGAGAATTGCTTGAACCCAGGAGGTGGAGGTTGCAGTGAGACGAGATTGTGACATTACACTCCAGCCTGGGTAGCAAGAGTGAAACTCCATCTCAAAAAACAGACAAACAAACAAACAAACAAAAAGAAGGTGAAATAGCAGTTGGAATTTAGATATCTGGGTTTTAGTGCCAACTATCGCTCATGTGTGTAACCCCCTGGGCCATGCTGTAAGTTTGAGGGCTTTCTTTCCTCATGTGCAAGTTAAGAGTTGGAATCTTTAGGGTGTCTTCTAGCTCTAATGTTCTGTGATTCTTTCTAAACCAACCAATTTGGCATGCTACTCAACTTTTTGCTTCTGTCTCATCTACTAAGTGGAATGCTCTGTTTTCGGAAAAGTTAAAACATACACTGCTGAGAGGAAATGGAAATCGAAATTAGAACAGAAGGTTATAAAAAAAAAAAAGAACCTTAAATGAGTAAAAATCTCCATTCCCAGATGGGCAAGTATCTTTATTTTGAGAAAAAAGGAAAAAGTGTGATCTCTAAATACCACAGAAAAATGTGCTTGAGAGGCCCTATAAAATGCAGTTTGTGTAAGTACTTAGAAAAGTAAGGTGATCCATGGAGGCTGGCAGGGTTATCCCTAAAAATCCAAACCAGCACAGGCTGAGAGACCTGCCTGGAGGATGTTCTAGTGGTAGAGAAGAAGGTCCATGAGGTTCTGCTTGATTGAATATGGTACCCGATTTGGAATTAGTAGCATGATATATCTATTAAAAACATTAAAACATTCTTAGGTGCATTAATAGAAATATGGTAACAATTAAGGGAGGGAGGGGTCACACTGTCCCCTGAGCTGGTGACTTCCTTTTGAGCAGTAGGTGCCATATTATGAAGGGAATATTTCAAATTTAAGAATACTGATCATGGAGGGGATAGTAATTAGAAATGAGATAATACAAAGAATACCTAAGCTAGGGAAATGGTTAGCCTAGGGAAGGAGAAGACTTAGCTATTTTCAAATTATTGAAGGGATGTTAGACAGAGGACACATAAATGTAATGTGTTTGCCTATAGAAATACAATCATTACATAGAAGTTTTAGGGACTCAGTTTTAACTTAATGTAACCGATGGCTTTCTAACAACTCGAGCCTGCCTTGTCATAACACTGGAAAATCTTGTCAATGAAATGTTCAAGCAAAGGCTGTAAGTATCATGTAAAAGGAACCCATGCATTAAGATGGTGATTGGACCAGATGATCTTTAGGGCTCTTGCCAATTTTAGTTTATAATTTTAAGTTAGTCATTTAGAAATTAGGCTGTTTTCTCCTAGAAACATTTTTATAAGTGGACATTAGGATCCAAGGTCAAAAAAGTTTATTCAACTCATGATGTTTTCTAATTCTTCAACTGAAAACATGTTTATGAGTCTGAGAAACACATGATTTTCAGGTATATGAGGGTGAAGAGGAGGATCATTAACCTTACCTTTGCTAAGCAAAGATCTAACCTGTGGCTGAATTATGAAAGAGCTGAGGAAACATTCTGAAATCCATGTGGCAGATCTCAGGAATGCTTTAGGATGAAATCAACTCCTGGAACTAACCCCCCATGACTGACAGCTTTCCACTTGCTAGCTGTGTGATCTTAGGTATTTTCCTTTGTGAAATATAATACTTCTGGCAATATAAATAAATGTAAATAAAACAATAGGGTGGGAATAAAATGAAATAACAGATATGAAATGCCTGGCAGAGTACTGGACACATAGTAGTTATTCACTAAATGCAGGGATTCCTCAGAGTGTCTATGTGGGTATGCTTTTTCCAGTTTTCAGATAACTTCCGCATACATTATCCCATTTGATTTTTCATAACTCTATGTTGTAGGCAAGATAGATGAAATATCTCTATTTTACAAAGGATGAAAGGATGCTTGGAGTAAATAACCAGTTTTCTTGAATGATGGTTATCTGGCCTCTCATTGAATAACTATTTCTAGTGCAAGGAGCACATTGCTCAACCAATTCCATCGTGGACACTAAGGAAGAGAATGAGATATTCAAGAGTTTTCAAGATCTGCACTCAAGACAACATTGCCCACCCATTACTGGTATGGAATATAACCACAACACATGAGCTGTAAAGAGTGTAGTGACTGTGACCATCTTTGTTGTATTGGTGATAAGAATGTAAATTGGCATAGCCTGTGGAAGAAACAATTCAGGTATGTGTATTGAAAACCTTAGACATATTCATCTTTTGGCCTTATAATTTCCTAACTACTTATCTATTTTAAGAATAACTGGAAATAATGAAAAAGCTTGATGCATAGAGGAGCTCATCAGAGTATAGTTTCTAATAGTGAAAAACTGGAAACACTCTCAATAGCCTACCATGGTCTATTAAAAGTAGAATAAATTGGAAAGGCAGAGTGTTCCAGAGATAAGGAGTCAGACTTTGGAGTCTGACTCGCTAGAATAAAATTCTTACTCTGCCTTTTACTAGTGGTGTGAGTGGGTTGGTTGCTTAAGATAGCTAATTCTTATTAACTCGACTAAAAGTAGAAAGACTATATTTTACAGAGCCGTTATGAGAATTACATATAATATTGAATGAAAATTGTTTAGCCCTGGGCTGGTGAAAGTACTCATTATTATCATTACTACATAGTACTTATGCCATTTATTAAACGTTCAGTATATGTGAGTCATTGAACAAACATTATCTTTTAAAACTCTGATACAAAGTCTTTGATGTCTGTGCTGTTAATATCCTCATTTGACAGATGAGGAAACAGAAATAGTCTATGGCCAAATCACCCTGAAAGCATCCGATCTTTTCTGATCTCAAAAGCTAAGCAGGGTTGGGCCCGGTTAGTACTTGGATGGGAAACTGAGAAATAGATTGGACAGGTAGCTTTCCCAAATTCACACAGATGGTCGGTTACAGTGCTGGGATTTGAATACCAGCAGTCTGACTTGAGCCCATGCTCTAATCAAGGCTATATGACCTCCAATACTATAAAATAGTTGTGTGTCTCTGTGTGTATATATACTTAACATAAAATCATATTAGACATACACATTTATATGATGTTTAGATACAGTTTTTATTTATTTATTTATTTTTATTTTTTGGAGATGGAGTCTCGCTCTGTTGCCCAGGCTGGAGTACAGTGGCGTGATCTCGGCTCACTGCAACCTCCGCCTCCTGGGTTCAAGCGATTCTCCTGCCTCAGCCTACTGAGTAGCTGGGACTACAGGTGCACACCGCCATGCCAGGCTATTTTTTTGTATTTTAGAAGAGACGGGGTTTCACCGTGGTTGCCCAGGCTGGTCTCGAACTCCTGAGCTCAGGCAATCTGCCTGCCTTGGCCTCCCAAAGTGCTAGGATTACAGGCGTGAGCCACCGCGCCTGGCCTAGAAACAGTTTTAGTGGTGTATTACTAGTTTCTAAAAACAGGACACCAAATTGTATACAAGGTAGGACATCTACTATGCAGATAAAAGGGCCTGGAAACCAACATGGTTGCCTCTGTCATGGTATTATAAGTGTCTTTTATTCATGATTCTGGATATTTCTGTGTTTTCCAACATTTCAACTGAAAATGTACTGTTTTGTAAACAAAATTGAAGATGGAAATATAGGTAAGTCATTCAATGAAGATGTAAGAATAGGTTTAGATAGGTTATATTTCTTTCAATTCTAATATCAGAGTGTACTAGATATCCTGAATAATCTTCCTTCTGAAATGACTCAGAATACTGGGTAAAAATTAGAAAGCAATGGGGATAATATAAACACTTACATGTGTCAGAACTGGGGTGGGCGTAGGAAAGGCTGGGGTGGGAACTGGCTCAGGCTGGATAA
The DNA here is from genome assembly GCF_000001405.40 of Homo sapiens. Classification (NCBI taxonomy): domain Eukaryota; kingdom Metazoa; phylum Chordata; class Mammalia; order Primates; family Hominidae; genus Homo; species Homo sapiens. The sequence goes on along the minus strand of NC_000006.12, from coordinate 129,492,421 downwards.
CTATTTCAGCTGGAGCTGCTCCATCTTCATCTTCACGGAGTTTCTGATGGGCACAGCGACCAATGTCAGCATTTTTGAAGGACACAGGCCTTGCAAAGTCCATGGGGCTAATAGAATGTAATAAATAAGATTTTTTTATTTTCGTTTTTTTGCTTCCTTACAATTAAGCCCAATCCCCGCATGCCTTTTTAAGTCCATTAGTGTGCTTTTCTCAGTCTAAGTTGAAGATCCTCATTGTTTCCCTCCTCCCCTGCATAGCTGTAGACAATGTAGATGCATTGGGACCCCTAATAGCAAGAAATAAAAATAAAAAATTAGTAGTAGTAATGAGGAGATCCACTTACACAGAGTTAATAACAAGATTCCATATGCAGCCTTCAAAAGGAGGAATATTTCTGAGTGGGGAAGGTTGAAATTCAGGTGGAGCACCCCCAACGAAAAGCTTTTTAACTTCGATAGGCTGTTCAACTGTCAGGTTTTGCATGTATCTTCTGTTTTCATCCACTTGAACTGTAAAGATGCTGATAAAATATTAAAAATAAACAAGTATAAGTCACATCTGATTCAATACAGTTGGAAATCAAATTCTTTCCTGCCACCCTTCACCCCTCTCAACCATAGCTTTTAAGGGAGCCAAAATTGGATGCTTAGGAATTCTACACTAAGCAAACGCTGTTCTCAGGATCTCGTTCCATGACTCCCTCGTTCACTCTTCCTGAAAGTTTACTGAAACCAGGTCATGGCGCACTGCAACATTAGCCTCTTGTAGAGCTGACAACAGCGCTGTGCAGCCCAACACATGAGCCTGTGAGAACTGAGGCTTCTGCAGTGTGCAGTAATGTCTAACCGTATAAGGGTTGGCAGGTTTAGCAAAGCATGGGGTCTTCCTTGGGTTGTGCTGGCTATTATCTTCTTGCTAGGGAACAAACCATGCTCCTGAGAGCTTAGATTGCAGGAATCAACAGCAAACACTTAAAGCACCTTTTATAAAGAATGTAGCTGATGGCTTTTGAATAGAAGAGGCAGGCAAGGACACCCTGCTAATTGTTCCTTGCAATGATTTTCCTTAGTGGCTGTTTCATTAATTTTCCTAATTTGCTTATGAGAGAGAACTCACACACTGCTAATTGAGAACCTCATGCTACTTATTTACAACAATCCTTGGATCCCTGGGCCAAGAATCAGAAGGAGACAAAGAGTTCTGATGAAAATGACCAAAGGCATTTTCTCTTTTGTTCCGGAAGCAAGTTTTGAGTTTCGGTCTTAACAGTCATCATGGTGCTATTAGTCATAAGCATTAGTCACTAGCCTGGGGATCATGAATGGATTACTGAAAACTTACTTCATATCTGGAGAGAAAACCGGAGTACTTGGATGGAAACCTCAGTCCTAAAGTACCCTCTTACTTGACTTTATAAAGAAGTAAAACCACATGTAGAACTGGAAAAAACAATAAGCCAGGGTAAAGATGCTCTGAATTGGCACTTTACAAGTAAGATAATTCAAAAGTAAGAGAAAGGGACAAAAAATGGATTTCGCTGTGGCTCAAAAACGTCACTGTTAAGGGGGTGAAGAAGGGACCGGTAAAATTTAGTTTCAAAGAGAAAATAGGGGGAAATGACATACTTTTGAGGTTTCTTTCTTTACCAAACTATGGAAAAATGTGTTGGCAAAACCCAGGAGGTTCAGCTTCCTTGCTAAGAGTGTCGGTGGTTTCCTGAGACGAGAATTTCAGAAAACCACTCACTTCCGGGTATGTGTGACTCACTGAGAAGCCCCTCCCCTACACTCTTTTTCCCCTTTAGCTGAAAGCAGCCTCTTCTTAGCAACATGATATCACAGGGCTTCTAAGGTTTTAATGAAGGATATAAGCCTCTGTTAAAGATTGTCCAAGGAGAGTAAATCTCTGTTCTTGATTAGAATTTTAAAAAGCTAGAGGCCTTCCTCTTTCTGGTGTAGCCTCTCTCTGTAGTGTGGTTCTGCCACAAGGACCATCATAGTGACCCTTATTTTTTTTAAACCAATTCACAGGGTGGTGATGGAGAATGAGTGTGGGCTTTCAGGAGGAACATACTGGAATTAAGTACTAGTGTGGAAGCTTACTAGCTGTGTGACCTTGGGCAAGTTATTTAATCATGCTCAGGTCCATTTCATTCATTTATAAGATGGAGATAAAAATACCTACTTCAAACAGCGGAAAATATTAATTAAGGGATTGCCCTGAGGCTGTATTACTTAAAAAGGGCATTGCTAGAAAACTACAGCTAAATCCTGCTCCTATTTTACCTTTTAGGAACATCAAATCTAGATCATTTCTTTAGTTTTTATTGAGAAGGACATTGCCAATATGTCCATTATGATTCTGGTGTGTTTTCCATTTTTAAAAAGTATTTATTTAACAGCTTTTTACTGAGGCCTGCTATGTGCAAAAAGGTACATTAAACTTTGTATTACTTTAGTATTGTAATAGGTCAGCTTTATTTTTTTTTTTTACAGTTTCAGTGGCTGATTCTTAGAGTTTCATAATTACTTGATTACTTATACCCTATTTCTTATTTGTTTGGAATGTGGGTTTAAGATTTTTTTTAAAACCATATCAGTTGGATTGCATACGTGGAAGAAGATATTAAGAGAAATGTGTCCTAATGTTTGTAATTTACATAATAAATAGAATCTAATCTTTTTTCTGTTTGAACATACTTTGGATGTTAAGAAAGAAAATATTTAGGGTTCAGTGTTAAAATCTTTATCTCATTCTGGAAACCCCAAATGACTCCTAAAATATCTCACCCTACTTCCTGACCTTTAGCCTATTTCTGTACCTGTGTGAAGAAAGCTTTCCCAGAAGAAAAACTCAGTTCAGTTGCTTGTCCTATTTGCTTAAGTAACTACTTCAGGCTCTTAGGGTTTGATGTTTTTGTCCAGTAAGAACTGCTGGCCACCAAGGCGGATGCCAGGAGAAGGATCAGAGGACAAAGCAGATATAGGAGGCAGAGGTCACTGGAGTGCCAAGAAATTAGATACCAAAGTGACTAAAGGGAGATTTTTCCAGATGAAGGGGTGGAAGGGAGAGAGAATGAGGGAGGAGGAGTAAAGAGAGGCAGAGGACAAGGGAGAAGGAGCTTCTTGAGAAGCTTGGCCCCCAGTTTGGTGAAAATCCAATTATTTTGTGAGGCGGTATTAAAGCTATCATTTTGTCCAGGATTTTAGGAAAAGAAATGATGACTGACATGCATAGTCTGAAAATCTGAAAAGTGTTGGGATAATGCAAATATCTCCAAATTAATAATCATACATCATAATCAACATTTAGTAATATAAACCTTTATGGTCACACAAAAATGTAAGAATAATCTATTGGCTGTGCATAGATGGAGGTATTTAAGTCAAATATATCATCTCATTTAATACCTGGTCCTGTTATTTGTAGTACATGATTTTGGGCAGGTTAGTTAATATTTTCTCATCTGTGATGAAAGGATGTTATTACAGATCTCACATACATTCAGAACAATGAAAACAAATCATCTTTGTCTAGTATGTGACACAAATCATGCCATAGAATAGGCATATAAAGCATTAAAAATTTTTTCTGGGTGAAGTTCTCATGGTCACTTGCGATCTCTGGTCAATCAGTTTAATGTGGCACTTGCTTATAGAGTAGATTGCATTTTAACCTTAGAGTGCCGAATGAGCCATTATGGTAGCAAATGTATTACTGTTTTGGCACAGAGTTCAGTGACTACACACTAATATGTCATATATTATCCTGTAATTAACAATGAATGGCAAAACTGTTCGTTTATATGGCCAATTAACTAAATGACTGGTTTCCAGTGATGTACTATATACTGAGCTTAATCAAATAAAGGTTGGATTGATGGTCAACAGCTGTGAAGTTGGCATAATAAAATGCCCTTCTTGAAGAAGCACCTGTTAAAAGGACATAGTGGCATAGTGGTACAATAGTGTAATGCATTTGGGAATTCCAGAATTCTTTCTCAACAAAATAACACATTTTGAGTGATTTCGGTAAACTAATTTCTCAAATCTGCAGTTACTTATTGAAATTCCTTAAAGTTTAAATGTTTTTGTTTTGTTTTGTTTTTTCCGAGTTGGAGTCTTGCTCTGTTGCCCAGGCTGGAGTGCAGTGGTGCGATCTCGGCTCACTGAAACCTCTGTCCCCCTGGTTTAAGCATTTCTCCTGCCTCAGCCTCCAGAGTAGCTGTGATTACAGGCGCCTACCACCATGTCTGGCTAATGTTTTTGCATTTTTAGTAGAGACGGGGTTTCACCATATTGGCCAGGCTGGTCTCGAACTCCTGACCTCATGATCCACCTGCCTTGGCCTCCCAAAGTGCTGGGATTACAGGTGTGAGCCACCACGCCCGGCTAAAGTTTAAATCTTTTAAAAAGTCCTTTCCGCAATGAAAAGGATTAAAGTTTGTCAAAGGGCCTAACATCTAATCTAGAAGACATGTGAAACCAGGATTCTAAAGCATTCTAAGATTCAAATGAGAGCATTCAGTTTGCATTTCTCCTCAGAGACCATGACTACAATATCTGGCTGTTAGATTAGTAAAAGTTCTCAGTTTGTCCAAATAAATGATCCCTCATTTGTCTCGATCATGGTTTCTAAACGTCTCAGTAGCCATTCTGCATGAACGCTTTGTATCAATTCATCCTACAGCCTAATCCTCTACCTAATAATAATAATAATAAAAACTGAGGAAAGCTTTGTTGTTTACTTAGAAGGTAAGAAATCTTTATTGCTTATCTAAATGTTTTCCCCAAGAGGATAATTAGTAAATGTAGGTCTTTCACTGCAGGATAGTATTGGCTTGGCTGAACTACTGCTACATATTCATACTCGTTGCATTTAAAAGTATCCTCTGTGTTTTGAGGCCTCATCAAATTGGATTTCCAGTTCTTTTCTATGTCTTCAGTCTGATAAATGGATTGCTGGCTTGGAGGTCTGAACCCCTGAAGTCTCTGGGCTTCTGTTTCTTTTTTCTCTAATTGTCCTTCTAAACTAATTATCTCTCTGAGTTGTCATACAATATTTTGATGAAAAATACAGATGACTTTCCTAATAAAGTAAGTATAAAGTATTGCAGCATTCTAAAGAAAGTCATCAGTTTGTGCATGAGTAAAGCCAATTCCCTGGCCCAGGGCTGGGGCAAGCACTCTGGTAGATTTGTAAAAAGGTGGCCAGGCTCAGGGCAGCAGTCATTTTCCTCCCCTCCCTTGATTCTGTTCCCTCAGAAAGCCACTCTGCAGGGACCCTGCAAACCTTGGGAAGGGGGACAGGGACAAGATATGCACTTAATAGGCTCAATAGGTCCTGCAGCTGCTGCCACACTCTGTATCTGTGACAGCTAAGCAGCTGCCATAACTGCTTTGGAACCTGAATGAGATAGAAACCGCCAAAGCCTGCTGGCTCCAGTGGAGCTGATTTGTGAGTTTTGCTGTGTGCATACCTTATTTGAGGAGGTAATATTTAAGAGGGGCAGAGGGAGGGATTTTTCTTATTTATAGCTTCAGAAAATGCATTTGGTTTTTCCAAAGGTGGAGATAACTGCACGAATAAAAATGTTAAGGGTAGAACTCCTAAGGGCTGAGGCAAATGAGGTTCCCGAAGTATGAAAAGTAAAGAAGAGGGAATTAAGCTACGGTATCCTTTTGCAATGCATAGTAGGTCCACACACACAGAGGTTCAGGCAGATACTGATAGATACCGATGCTAGCAAAGGAAGTTCACCTGAGTTACAATAATAAATATTTTAGTGCTATTGTTACCCTCTAGTTCGCTCTACATGAACGGAATGTTCTCTTCCATCATGAAACAGATTCGGCTCTGGTCTGATCACAATTTTCCTCATTGTTCGTGCCCCTGTGGAGAGATGCACTTCCAGACGGCCCCTGTTGAGGAGTATTGCATAATAGGCCTGCAACAGCAAGTGGTTATTGAAGATTAAACAGAAGTCTCATTTATGGCTTAGCTTTAGAGATTCCCTGGCAGAACCACAGGTTCGTCTGCTCTGAGATCTTACCTGAGAAATTAAGACTTTATTTTCTCAAACGGTTTTGAAAACAGCTGGAAATATCTTTCTAATCATTTACCATTTTTGCTTGTGAGATGATCTGGAAAGTGGATATATTAATATAGCAGTTCTCTGCAAAGCAGATTTGTGATGCTGAAAGTAACAGCTGTGCTTGCGTTGGTCCTCTAACTTATAAAACCCATCAGGAGACAAAGGGTGTCAACAAAATCCCTCTCCCTTATATTCACAAGTGGACAGCTAGCTTCTGAGAATCAGGCCTGACTCCCAACCTTGTGGCATTCTGAGTATTTAGACTTCAATTTGTTCTCTGAGCTGGTAGAATAGATCGCTATCACAAACATGTAACCTGCCTCCCACATTTAGAAAGAAGGAAGATAATTTTTCATCCACAAGCATGCCTGCTTTCTTCTTGCTACTGTTACTATAGCAACCAGTGTGGTTTTGATATCCCATCATGAACCCCAGGGAGCCTGAATGCAGTCCTTGTCCCTAGAGCTGATGCCACGTGCTCTCCCTTTCTTGTGGAGTATGGGGGCACCTGCCACACAGTGATGGCTCAGTTCTCCATGAGTCATCTATGGTGGTAGAGACAGATTCCATCAAACATCATCATGTTCCAATAATTTACTAAATCATGTATGTAGTTACGTGTCCACCACAGAACATTTTGAGGATCTGGATAAGTGCTCACCATCTGTCAAAGGGAAAACACAAACTACTCAATTAAAAATTCCTTAGCTCATGGATGGTTTGCCATATCAAACCCATTTAGCAGAAAGGAATCACAAATAACTCTATGGGTATCAAAACCGTTAGCTTTGAAATATAAAACTTGTCAATTTAACCAGCACTGAATCTAAATCTAATTATGTCTAACAGACTTATACTATTTAACATTGGTTCCTCCTTCAGATAGCATATACTATGATATTTTATAAAGTAGATATGAGTTATTAAAATGTTAAAACATTAAAATGTCATTTTAACTTACTTTATACTATACTACATAGTGTTTTCTTATTGTAATTGTTTTAATAGGAATCTGTTTTATTTTAAGCACTATCCTGAAAGCTGGTGATTCACATTCATTTCTTTTATCTTGAAGAGGAGAAATTTGGAGCCAGTAGGTAGTGTTTAAATATCTGGCAATGATGAAGGAATCAAGTATCCTTTAGTGGAAATCTATTTCAGAATATTTGATCTGGTATTCTTATTATAACTAGCTTATCATTTGCAATATGAGAAAAAAGTTTATTTTTCAAGATAAACAAAAAAATTGACGAGGGCATTTGTATTTTATATTTATTTAGTGCTTATTATGTGTAGTAAGAAATGAAATAAAATAACACTTTTCTCCCTCTACTCTTCAAAAATATTTTTATTACGACTATTTGATATATTCTTCACAATATGAGTGATATACATGTAAACGATGAAGCTGCGTTAACACTGTATAATAACATGAATACCTGTAAATCTACCACCAAATTTCAGAAACAATACCATTGCATCTCTTATGAGTTTCTTTCTAATACCATCTCCTTGCTTCTCCATCTCAGAGGTAACCACAAATGTGGATTTTATGTTTATCATTACCTTACTTTTAAAAAATATTTTTGAAATTCACATGTGTCTGTAAACAATATGTTGTTTAGTGCTACTTGTATGAGAAATCTACAAAAATGGTACCATATAGCACATTTTTCATTTTTATTTATTTTCTATTTATTATGTTGTTATATTTAGTTATAATTTATTCCTTTTTCTTATTCCTTGATATCCCATTATGCAAAAGTGCCACAGTTTGCCTCTCTGTTCTCCAGCTGATGAACACTTGGGTTGTTTCTAGTTTCTCTGCTATTATAAAGAATACTTCTATAAACATTCTTGTACATGTCTTATTATGCCCATGTGCAAAAATCTGGGTCTGTACCCAGGAGTGGAATTGCTGGCTTGTAGAGAGTATGCACATGTTCAACTTCAGGAGATAGTGCCAAATTGTTTTCCAAAGTGACTTTAGAAATTTACTTTTTCTACCAGCAGTGATCAAGGGCACTCTTTGATTCACATCTTTCCAATACTGTTCTTTCTAATACTATAACAACCAGTATGGTTTCGATATCCCATTATAAACTGCAGTGAGCTTTTCCCCTTTTGGGGACAAGGACTGTATTCCCTGTAGATTATATATACTGTACATTTCCAGACTGAGGCTTGTGTTTTGTGTTGTTTGATGACCAAAGAGTTTAATTTTAATGCAGTTCCACTCATAATCTTGTTTTGTTCAATCAAGTGTTCTTTTCCCGAAGGTCAAAATTTAATCCTGGTATATTTTCTTCTAAGAATTTTAAAGATTTTTGTCCTTCCATATTTAAGACTTTAATTTATTGTGAATTTATTTTTTGGTTTGATATGAAAAAGAAATTTAGTTTCATCTTTTCCATATGAATAACCAATTGCCCTGAAATCATTCACTGAACAGTTCACTGTTGTCTTTTTTAAATGAAATGCAATGCCACTTATTGTCAAATGCTGTTTCCATCTATGCTTGTGTATTTTCAGGGTTCTCAATTCTTTCCTATTTGCACAGTTATACATGAATTAACATGATAGCTCCACAATACAAAACTTTACCTTCTAATGTGCTGATATCTGGTGGAACAGCCCCAACTACGCTATTCTTCTATTCTAGGAATTTCATCTTTGATATAAATTTTAGAATAAGCTGTCATGATTCACAGAAAAATAAGGTGATATTTTTATTATAATTGAATCTACATATCATTTTGGGGAGAAATGACATATTTTTAATATTGAGTCTTTAATATCTTCATTAACATGTTGACTATACCAATTTATTGACTATAATCATTGAGAAATACTTTGGTATCATTCAATGAAATTTTATAATTTTCTCCATATGGGCTTTATGTCTATTTTGTTATAATGATTCTTAAATTATATATTTGTTCTTATTCTTGTTCTTGTGCTATATTTACTTGTTCTTTTCTTACTATGCTAGCTAAGATCAGTGCAGTCAAAATAGTCATCTGTTTCTTGGGCTTGATTTTATAGCAAATGTTTATAATGTCTTTTTTTTAAATCAGGAATACTTGTTATAGTTTTTTTTTTATAGATGGCTAAGGAAGTTCCTTCCTCTTAGTTTACTTAAGTATTTTTTAAAAATCATGAATGACTGTTAAATTTTACCAAATGTTTTTACTATCTATTGACAAGATTATATTATTTTTAGATTTTCTTTTTTTTCTTTTTCTTTTTTTTTTTTTTTCGAGTCGGAGTCTCACATTGTCGCGCAGGCTGGAGTGCAATGGCACAATCTCGGCTCACTGCAACCTCGGCCTCCCAGGTTCAAGCAATTCTCCTGCCTCAGCCTCCCAAGTAACTGGGATTATAGGCACCTGCTACCATGCCTGGCTAATTTTTTGTATTTTTAGTATACAAATTAGACAGGATTTCACTATGTTGGCCAGGCTGGTCTCGAAATCCTGACCTTGTGATCTACCCACCTTGGCCTCCCAAAGTGCTGGGATTACAGGCGTGAGCCACTGTGCCTGGCTGATATTTTGATTTTCTAACATTAAACCACTTCTGCATTCCTGAAATAATCCAAGTTACTCGTGGTTATACATCTTTGGGTTCTCTTTGTGAATATTTTGTGTGGGCTTTGTATTTTTTAGAAAAATAAATAAGATTTGTTACATAATATGATTGATCACTAAATGTTACATACTAAAATTGATTTTTAAAACACGTAATCACAAATAACATGATCTGGTTTACAAGGGTATGTGCATACTTAAGGATATATTTGTAAAGCATTGTGTTCTTTTGGTCATGGCAGACAAAATAATTCCTATGAACCCTTTCATTGAGAAAAACTAGATTAAATGGAAAATTACGTTTTAAAAAATGTGATTGAAGATATTAAAGAATACCAAGGCAATAAGAGGTATGATGCTTAAATCTGGGCAGTTGAGGGATTGCTTTTAACAGAATCAAATGGACAGGGGATATAGATACTAAAGTTTATGTCCTTGCAAAATTGATACTCTTTTTTAAAAAAAGTTTTGAGACAGAGTCTCACTCTGTCATCCAGGCTAGAGTGTGGTGGCGTGAACAGCTGAATAGCAGTCCTGAATAGCTGGAATCACAGTTGTGCACGACCATGCCCATTTAATTTTTAAACATTTTTTGTAGAGAAAGGGTCTTATCATGCTGCCTAGCCTAGTTTCAAACTCCTGGGCTCAAACGATCCTCCTGCTTTGACCTGCCAAAGTGCTGGGATTACAGACATGGGCCACTACACCCGGCTGGTTGACATTCTTTAGGCTTTAACATCCTTGAATGCTATTGGGATAAAATTGTCCCTGTCTGTGTTGGTTGTGTTCTACTTGCTTTCTCCCAGATCCATTTTCTGCCCTTCTTTGTGTCCAGAGAGGATGGGATGAGTCAGGCCCAAAAGACTATTACTTCAGCTTGTGCAACTGGGAAAATGATCTTAGAGGAATTTACATTTAAATTTAAGGGACCGAAGCTGACTGTCTACAGATTTGGTAAGGAGTCGGACTTGGAGACAGTAGAAATTAAGATAATGTGAATATATTTTAAGCTGTCCTCTTTACATATGCATATGTTAAACCCATAGGAAATATAGGTGCAAATATGAGGGTGACTTTGCACCTACAATTGATCAACAGGAACATCCTAGAGAAGACAATTGTCCTGGGGAGATGATGTGAGTGAAATAGGAGGCCAGCATGGAAATATGGAATGTTCAGTCCTTGCTAGCCAAGATGAGAGCAGAAATAAATGATACGAAACTAAAAATACAAAAGTAAGTTAACTGCTTTATATAAGCATTAGGGAAAATGCATTATCAGCTAGGTGTGAGGGTACCTGTCCAGTCTGCCTTCGTTTTCTCCTAGGTGGTGCTGGTGTCCCTCCACTTCCCAAAAGAATGATGCCGGACTCATTCTTGGTGCTGAATGACAGGTTGATTTCTGTTCCTACATCAATTGGCACAGGGGAGAGCTCCACAAAACCAGGCTTAGGAAAGCTAACTGTGTAAACATTCTGTGAGTAAAGGAAAAGAAGAGTAGAAACCATTAGAAATGAAAATTTAAATAAGTTCTCCATCTCACTCACCCTCCTCGATGCAATTAATGTGATTATGAAATACATCATAGGTTTAGAAAGCAGGAAAACATGGAAAGTTTAAGAGCAGTTGAAGAAATATTATTTCTAGTTATATGATAACTTCAAATCTTCTGAGCAGTTTTTGTTAAAATCAGAATTATAGCCTCTACTTTTATTCTAGAGCTTTTGATTTTAAATATAGAAGATTATCACTGTTAGGTACCTTTTTTTGTTGTTGTTGTTTAAACCAAAGATTTAAGTCAAACTGACACACAAGCAGGTACATGTCTAGGGAGATTGTCCCTAAGTTTCCTTTGAAAACACTGTAACGAATATCTCTTGAATAAACTCTATCACTTAATTGTTTATGTTTTACAGATGGGTATGACCATTATCTGTGTCTGCATTTTTCCCCAGTGATAAGACCAAACCTTAAAAATAAATAAAACAAACATCGCATAGTCTAGTTTTTTCTCAATATTAAAGTAATACCATTGTCCTTGCTCAGTATAAAATTAAAACAGTTACATTTCAAGTAGAAATGTAAATAAGGTGCAAAAGGGAGAAAATCAGCTCCCCATCTCAATCTCAAAGCTGTGCAGAAGCATATAGCTTTCTATAATTCATTCATTCATTCATTCATTCACTCTTTCACAACCTTGCCATCTTCCTCTCTCCTCCTCCCTGTATTTAAAATGAATCTTGATAGACATGTTCATTCCTAATGACTTTTTTTTCTTACATATGTGGAAGATATCACTCTCTCAGTAAATGTAGATAGTCACTTTTAATGGCAGGAGGACTTTCTACTTTATGAATTTGCTAGTATTTATTTAAGCAAGCCCATGTAGTTAGGAATTTAAAGTGCTTAAAATATTCATTTTTAAAGTCCTAGATTTTGTAGGAGTAAAAGCAAAGAATCCTTTAATGTAGGCTATTTTCCTCCCACAGTGTTTCAAGACCAGTTAAATGACACAAGAGCTGGTAAAATGTATAATCTGTTTTCTATTCCAATTTTCAAATCATGGAGTTTTAGATAGTTCAGATAAAACTACTGTGCAGACTTTTCAATATTTATCCACATCAAATTTCTGCCTCATATTTTAGTTGCAAAATAATTCCTGGTTACTGCAAAGTGCCTTTAGGGAATCATAATTTCCACGTGCAGAGGCTATTCATTTTCCGGACAGTTTCCATCCTCATGTATATATCTTTTGAATGTGAATGAGAGTTAGGCTTTGAAGATTAAAATTCTCAGTAAAACTTCCTTTAAGAAGCCAGTATGGGTCCTTACAGTTTTAGTTCTTAATGTGTTTTCTCTTTTCTTATTCCCAAACTTCTCAGAGTGGGTGTCTATGGCCAATTCCAAATTGGAGCCTGTAGCTATGAACAATGAAGATCCTGAAAGTTCTGTTCCAGTCTTTAAACCTCATCATTCAAGTGGTGGATTTACTTTTTTCTTTACCCACATTTTCCCTTCATTTCCCTAATTCTATTGGAGTGGTTTAAGATAATTTTGATTAGAAGCAGCAGACAAAATGAATAATTGTATTATGATAGGATAATTAAAAATGTATGAGAATGACATATTTAACGTTTTCATTTTAAAAACAAGCTGATCACTATTGAGTTTCTATAAAATTCTTGCTAATATTTGCTGTTGACTATTGACTCTTGCTTATGGATATTTTAAGAGAGTAGAGCTATGGCCGGGGTCTTTCTCACATATGGGTCAGTGTCAACTGAAGAAACAGTGCAAAATAGTTAAACGAAAATAGGGGAATGCTAGGATGCTTTAGCATCAAAGAAGAGTTACTGAGGATATCAGCTAACAAAGGACTTTGCAGGCATGTCAAACACAAGTCTTTGCAGAGTTGATTGCCACAGGTCCCAGTCTATGTTATTTCAAAGACAAGGGGGCTAGACTTCAAGTTTGTAGACAACAGACTATGCACTAATGGCTACGGTGTAAATTACTACTTGCTACTTGTGTAAACTTCAATGGTTCCAGAAAAAATGTAAGGTTGCTAATAAAGCTATATACAACACATAAAAGTAAAATAAATTTAAAATGGATGACAAAAATAAGGAAAAGGGAAAAGTAGTGTTGGAAAAAAAGAGAAAAACAGAAAAGAGATTAGTATTAATGATATGTGCTATAAAGAGCTATACATTTGGAAAATTGGATCACAATTCTAGGACTTCATAATACCATTTTTTATCATGGTAATTTAGAGAATGCTTTAATCTTGCTTTATCGTTTAAGAGTAGGATCAGTAGAAAAGTAAAATATATTAACAAAAGACTGATCCTTGTAGGAGCAGCCACACTAAGTAAGTGAAATCTGATATAAATGTGTTTAGAGAACTATCAAAAACAGACCAACCTCCAGGGAACATCCTTTGGTAACACCAACATAATCGGGACTACTGAGTATATTGTACGGAGTTCTTGAAATTTCAATATCTTTGAGGCAGCCGGAATATTTCTTCAGATTTACTTCTGGCCTATTGAATAGTCAAATGAAAAGCAAAAGCAATATCATTAGGGTGATGGTAGTGTAGTCTCTGACTATGGGAAGGAAGCCTTGTGGAGCAGACACATGCAGGCACATGTCTATCAAACTGTGCACACGTGTACCCAGCAAACTCTGGTTTCCATTGTCTACTGGTTGGTCTAAATGGATGTTCATGTTATCCTGCAGAAGGAGTCTTTTTGTAGTCCTTCTCCCCTTTAGCAATAATCTCACCCACAGCATTTAAACATGAGGTACAGGAATTAACTGACTTCTTATTGATGCTTTATATGTGTAATGAAATAAGTTTTATTTTTTTCACCAAAGAGAAGATAATTGCATAGGCAGCATAAACAAACTATATACCAAAAAGTTTTTAAAAACCTTGCTCAAAAGTTAGAAAAAAAAATCTGAAAACGTTTATTTATTTTGAAAAAGATTTTTTTTTATTTGAGGCTTTTTCTTGGGAGATAGCTAAAAAATAAGATAATATTACATATCTCTTTAAGGCTTTTAAGTAAAACAAAGTCCAAGAAACATTCTTTTGGATTATATAGTCTAAAAAACAGATGTTTAAAAATTAGGTTTACTGGCCGAGTGTAGTGGCTCATTCCTGTAATCCCTGCATTTTGGGAGGCCGAAGAGGGAGGATCGCTTGAGGCCACGAGTTCAAGACAAGACCAGCCTGAGGCAACAGAGTGAGACCCTGTCTTTGCCCTCCCCTCCAAAAAAAGTAGCTGGGCATGTTGGTGTGTGCCTGGAGTCCCAGTTACTTGGAGATGCTGAGGAGAGAGGATCTTTTGAGCCCAGGAGGCCAAGGCTGCAGTGAATTATGGTTGTGCCACTGCACTCCAGCCTGGGCTACAGAGTGAGATCCCTGTCTCAAAATAAAAAAATGTTTTTTTTTAACAGATTAATTTAGTTTACAGATTGACCCCAAAGTCTGTATTCTACATTAGAACAATAACAAAATAAAGCAACCAAATGCAAAAACCCATACATTTTATTTTTTCAATAAAATTGAAAAATGACTTTTATACTCAAACTACACTTGAATGTTTACTTTTGCATACTACTTCATAAAATGGGGCAAGTGTGCCAGCAGATTAGGAAATGAAGTCCTTGCCCTTGAGTCCAGATGTTGCAAGTGATCTAAGTTCTCCAAGACTCAGTGTTCTTATATGTGAAATGGGCATGATAATAATAATCATAGTACCTACATAATCAAATTGCAAAGGTTTAATAAATTAAGGAATAGCACTGCACACAGTAAGTGCTCAACAAACAAAGGCTATCAGAATGTCAGTGATGATGATACTTCTTTAATTATAACAGTGCTATTCCACAGAACTTCCTGTGATGATGGATATTGTCTGTTTTCTGCACTGTCCAAATCAGTAGTTACTAGCCACATGTGGCTATTAGGACTTGAAATGTAGCTTGTCTCAATGAGAAACTGAATATTTATTGTTATTTAATTTGATTTAATTTACAATTAAATAGCTACTGTGACTTGTGGCTACTATTTTGAATAGTGAAGGTATATAGAAGTGAAAAAGATAATTCTTTATGTGGTGGTAATCAGCATCGGTAAAAACTGTCCAGTCGGCATCAATATATTGTAGTTGATAGGGTGATGATTAATTCTCTCCTCATTGTCCCATGATGCCAAGTTCCTTTTTTTATCTTAATGAAAAACACATGGCATGAGGAAAAACAGGTGGAAAAACAAATTAGACCTTGGCAGTGTATATCAGGTGATTTATTTCATGTCAGGTGTCTGTCTGTTTCCACCCCCGCACTCCTTTCTGGAACTTCTTTATTTTCATTGATAATTTTTCCTTGTTCCCAAGGTTTTCTTTTCGTTCAGTCAGTCAGCTGGTTGTTATAAAGAACATGCCCAACTGTAGGGTGAGAATTCTGCTTATATTTTTCTTGCATAATGCACAGAGAAGGTGAATTTCATTAACAGTGTTCACTTGCTTCCATATTTTCCTTTATGGAAAGACTGACTTATCACCATTTTTTTCAGAGGTCTTGTTACTAAAGTAAATCACTCCTACAAGTTATATAGTTTATTGTTTCATGGAAACACAAAGAACCATTCCAAAATATGATTTAGCAACCTCAATATTAGGACAATTACAGGGGATAAATAGTCACATAAGGTGACTGGACTCAATGGTAACCACGGGTCCCTGTTTCTTGAGGGTCACCACTCAAAGGCAAAATTACAAACCTACACAGTGCCATCCCAGAATTTTATTAACATATATTTCCATGAAAGCCAGCCTTCGCTTTTTAGCCATCTCAGCAAATGTAGCACAACTAGTGGTCTTACAACTGTATCATGATAAAACGCATGGTTTATTTTTCCCTACTTTCATTTCTGTATATTCTATTTCTCTTATTAAAAATCTAGCCTCGGTTTTAAAAATTTCTTGGATCAGTTCGGCTTTATTATCTTCTTTCCAGAAATCTGGCACAGCTGGGCTCTGAAATGCCAAAACACCAGGCTTTTAGCTCTAGCCAGAGGATACCAGCCCTGCACATCTCTGAGGTTTGTTCAGCCATTTATGGAGGCCCATTGCTCACAGCTTTTATGCTAATGCTAGTAAGAATTAAAATGCTCCTGAGAAGCTAGGAGAACTATCTCACACTTCTTTACTATTAACGCAAATACTTATTTTAAATATAGTATTTCCAGAGATTCCTTCATCTGGCACCATAGCTAGTTTTAAATAAACATGTCAATAGATAAACAGCTTTGACAAGAGGTGCAAAGGCTGTGTAAATGTTTGCATATCTGCAGGCCTGCAAAAAGCAAGAAGGCAGTGGTAAGCATGTGAGAGCACAGTTTGATTCTTCAGCAGACAGCATGGCACTAGGGAGGCCAGGGCCCGGGGTTCAACTCAAGAGACCACTTTACCGTGTTTCCCAGAACTAGACTGTGTACCAGAAATTGACCAGCTGCCTTTTGAGTGTGTGCTGCTGGTCACCAGGGGCACTGTGTGCAGATGGTTGAACAAGTGAGCAGAGCAAATCTCATCACTGCTGGTGAGACAACTCAAATTGCAGCCCAACTGATGGTGGGTAAGCAGCAGAATGTCGGCCAGCAAGGGGCAGCAGGAGAACTCTCACAGAATGCACGGCTTGCTCGTGAAACATACTATGAACAAAGCTGTACTGGTGTTGCTCTGCTTCTGCACGGCTGCTTTATCTAAGAAGCCACATTTACCCAACCCATGCACTCGAAGAAGGCATGCATAAATTTAAATTTTACCTTGCTTTCATACTAGATAACGGGAAAGAGGAAAAAAAAAACAAAAATAAAAACAATTTACTTATAATTACATTTTCATTTAGTAAAACAATAAACTTTAATCATAAATCTTTAAAAAATCATTTCACAGGGATCTACAAAGGAAAGAAATGCAAAAGCCCCAATAGAACTAAAAATAGACTTATACCCTTGACGGCAGTGAAATTAGAATCAAAATATGACCGTAGCTCACAATATCAGCTTGGAAAATTTTTACTTTGAAATATGAATTTAAAGTACTTGTTCTTATCAATCTAATAAATGGGAAAATGTACAATGTCACTATTCTGTAGTGTTCATGAATGGCTTATAAATATTGCCTCTCAAACAGCTTGAGCTTAACAATGCATGTAAAAATAATTTATGTTTACCACATCTTTTGCACTTTGTCATACTGAGAACCTGTCTGCAGGCAAAATAACAGGTAACTATGAATGTTTGGTTCCTTTATCAATCACAAATATACCTCTAATGGCTGTTTTGAAATAATGTGCCACACCATGGAAATAGTATACTGTAATTATGCAATGCTGTATCATGAAAGTAAAAACATTTTAGTGATAAAGATTCATTTAACAGATTCAGATTTTAACAGATTTTATAGAATTTAACAGGCACACCTTTATAGATAATTCCTAAAAATTATTTTATGATAATTAAAATCATCACTAGAATAAATGAAGCTAGATTTGAATAACCTTAGGTTTGGCTGTATTTAATTCACTCAATAATATATGGTTAATGATCTTGTAAAGCAAATCTTAGATTTGAACAACCACTGGATTCCTAGTATTTGGTATGGAGCCTGTCACATAGTAGATACTCAACAAACTTTTGGTGAATGACTGGCAAATGAATTTCTAGGTAATAACTGTGGTACTATTTAAATTTGATTTGTAATGTTTTTCTGACTTGACACTTTAAATTTATTTTTCTAACACAAATACATTACAATGAATGCAGAGCCAATTTATTTGCACCATGAAGCTCATCAGATAATTAGACAGTTGCTTCATCTATGAGTTTAGATTTGGGGAGAAGAAATTTCAGCCTGCACACTAGCTGTCATAGAATGAGACTGAACTTTCACTGCTCGTTTAGAAATGTGAAAATAACTGACCATCACACTTTTCAGCTATTCTGGGATTTTTCCAAACATAATCTGTCTTTTTGGAGTAGAAACACCTGGACAGAACTTTTATACCCTTTAAAAAATACCAAACTAATTAAACAAAACAAAAAATTAAAAACATGGTAGTCTGTAATAAACTCTTACGGTTTAACCAAATCAATTAATCCCATTCTAATTAGAGTGTAATTAACATTTATTGAGCACCAAGTACCATCCTTATAGACTATGTTATGTTTTATAATGAGCAGTAAATTAACTACACAGCACGTGAGTATTTTCTGACATTTTTTAGTTACTTTATTTTTTGAACTAACTAAATTAGGAAGCAAATGTGTCTCCCCATACTGCTAGCTAAAAAGCATATGTGAAATTAAAAAAAAATGTTGGCATGGGCATGAGAACAACTAATATAGTTCTTGTATTAGGCATATGGGAAAGCTCCAACACGCCATTATGATGCTAATGCTTAGCAATAAAATAGGTTATACTCATAGCATCCTGGAACACTGACTAATTTTCGGAACACTAAGCAATGTCAGAGTGCCATTATCTCCAGTGAATGTAGAAGGAGAACAGCAATTACAAGATCCACATTCAACTCTGGCTTCTACCTTTAATTACTTTCATAATTCTTTTCAGCAGGTGCATATAAAGGAAACAGCGACTCCAATCCATCTCTTCAACAAAGATGTCAAATTAGTCCTTTGGTTTCTAAATCCTGGTGTTGTTCTAACATGCAACATGATGTTTTTGATTAGGCCTTTCTGCAACCAAGGGTTATATGACATTCTTATTGTAATTAAACTTCAGAACTCTAGTGAGCATAGTGGTCATTTAATTAAAACTTAATCCTTAGCTTTACATATAAACTAAATTACCTCAAGTTTCTCAGCGTTGGCAGGCCACCAAAATATATTTTGTCATCTGCTTTCAAGTCAAGACCAAAGTTGTTTCCAGAAGACGAAGTTGCTATATTCTCCTCCTGATTAGTATCTATATCTACAATTGATATATTGGCTGTAAAGGAGAAAGAAAGTTTAACATTTTATTTGAGCAATATCAACCACATCTATATCATCATTAATACTTCAAGACAAATTTGGTTTAATTCGAGAATTAACATTGACTTTCTCAAGCACTTGCACTATATTTAGCAATTTAATAATTACAGAAATAACATCAATAAAATACATTATTAAACTATCCCCCAAAGAGCATGAAAATAATAGCTTGAACACCAGTGAAGGCAAACCAATGAAGATAAAAGAGATAACTATAACTGAACATCAAAGATCCATTTGATGTAGTTTTCTATAATCTAGATAAGTAGTTAGAAAATAAAGCAAGGTTAAAAATGCTAAATAACAAAGATATCTAATTAGGAATCAGATAATTAATTAGAAATATGCCTAATCTATGGCTCTTTCTGTAAGTTTTACTATCCACAGGAACTACTGGGATTTAGACTCATCTGCAAAGTGTCACTGTTGTAAAATATGATTGTACATGGAAGTGGAAGGGGATGTTGTACAAGGAAGTGGTGAGATCCAGGTACACTGTAAATTACATTTTAGACCAGGATGCTAAGTGTTGTGACAGAGGTACAGTCCTCATGCCTTCTTGCTTTTCTTTTGGGTCTCTCAAGGTATTTTTAATGTGATGAAGATAAGAATTCAGAAATAGATGGAAAAAAGGAAAGATGAGGCACTTCTCTGTTCAAACTGCATTGTTTAGAAAGCAGACAGGAACTCCTTATCTCATTGATCCCTCTCACTACCGCCCCCTTCTTAGGGGTCAAGCTAGGCTTTTTCTGAATTACATGCTTTTCTACCACATGTCCTTAGATCTAGCCTTTAACTACTTCATATGCATCCTTGATGCGTATTGACATCAGTCCCGTAAGATGATAGATTTGGCCTCTAAACCTTTGTCTGATGTAGGATCTGAATAAGCAAGGGTTTGAAAATGGGCATTTGAACCAGTGGGTTATAAGGGAATTTCTAAATGTTTATTCTTTAGGATGCTAGTTTCTTGGATGTTCCTGGCTCAAATAAATATGACAAATACTGGGTTATACAAAGTTAAACATGTATCTTCTTAATTTTATAGCTGCCCAGATCTTTCAGCATGCTAATATGCAATGCAATGTTCCTAGAGAAGGACATAGAGCAAAAAGTATTTCCCAAATTTATTTGACCACGAAATACTATTATTTTCACTCAACTCATCATCTTTCAGAATCAGTGTTCTTTGGAAAACAGAGAGAAACATCAAATTCCAAAATTCCCTTGAAGTTTATAGCCCTATCATTTCAAAAAGATGTGTCTTCAATAAAATCAAACACAATTGCCTTATTAAAAAAGGACTAAAATACACATACCAATGGACACCTCAAACCAGACTTTTGTAAAAACAAACAAGAAAAATACCTAAAAGAATAATTGTCCTATTAAATATAGCTAGCAAGTTAAGATTTTAAAATTGAATTACTTTCACACACCTATTTTATTATTTTTATATACATAATTAGTTTCATACACATATATCTCCTTGACTGGACTGGGGGCTAAAAGAAAATAGATTTATAAAACTGTTTTCAAGACTTTTTCATATACATTCCTTTTTATCTAGATCGGCAAAGGTATTTTCATATGGGGCTGTTGACTGGAAGATGAAAATAGTCTCTTTCTACAGACTTGGTGGGTATTTTAATGGTGTCTGAAAATGAGATTCTGCCTCTCTATCACAGGCAAGCCAGTGACTGGAGGTGGTTTTCCTCCTTATCCATGAATGAATATATGCATTTTTAGAAATCATTCTAAGAAAACATGATTAAAGAGCAGC
Organism: Homo sapiens; assembly: GCF_000001405.40. NCBI lineage: Eukaryota > Metazoa > Chordata > Mammalia > Primates > Hominidae > Homo > Homo sapiens. The sequence continues at coordinate 129,471,386 of NC_000006.12, read as the reverse complement.
AACACAATTGAATTGAAATTCACTGGCCCAAAAGGTAACTGGCAGAGAGACAGGATGGCATATTTTTACTGACTTAAAGGGAGTGCTTTACTCTATCCTTCATGAGTGATAGCGATGAAGTGGGTTCTACCAGGAAATGCTAGTAAATGCTAATGCTTGCTTTTATTTCTTACCCTATTTCTTTTCTTTACAAAATAGAAAAGTAGGCTATTGACACAAAATTTCACAGTTGATGAGTTCAGATGTGATTTATAAGTAGGTAGGGAAATAAGGATTTTATTAAATAATAGACACAGAGTAGGGACTTAAGAAATATTTTATAATCAATGCTGAGTTGTTATAAGCTAAGTGTTTTTACTTTGGCTATTATTCTTTTGTTCTCTTTCTTGATCCACTGAAAATCTAATTGAGTGTTCTCAACTTTGCATCCTACTTGATGCATTTAGGGGATAGGGCACACTTCTGTCAGGGACTGTGGTTCTGTAACTGACTCAAGAAAGATGGGGAACACTCCTGAAGGACTGTACTTGAATTTCAAGAGACAGTGCTCTTGCCAACTAGTTGAGAATAATTCATATAAAACAAATAATCTGGTCACTGAAAAGGAGCAATCATCCACATTGCTGGAGCCTTATTTCAATTCCTCTCCCACTACTCTGTCATCTCTGGTCTTGCTAAAGTCCTCAGGGACCTGCCTATACCCAAACTCAGTGGAGTTCTTTTAAACTTTATCTGAATTCATGTTTGTGCAATATTTAATGCTGTTAGCATTTCCTTCCCTATAGGAAATTTCTTCTGGCTTCCATAATGTCAAGCTCTCTGGCTTCTTTTACCTTTCATTCTCAATCTCCTACCCTGGGGTCTATTTTTGAACACTTCTAAAATGTTGATGTTTTATAATATCCCTTCCTTTGCCCACATCTCAGGTTTTAGCCATCTGGGCAAACTCAAGTTTATATCTACTTACAATGTATTGATGACTTAAATGTATGTATGCTTGGACCTGATTTTTGCCTAAAAGTCCACATTCAACAGGTGAGACACCATCATCTATATTTTCCTTGCGTACTTTAAGCTAAACATTCCAAATCAAAATAATTATCATCTAACTCCCAAATCTGTATTACTTAACTTACTTTTTTTTGTTGGTCTTATGACCCCCCCACCCAATCTACTAAACTAGAGAGTCATCCTGACTTTCTCCTCACCACATCTAATCAATCAACAGCTTCACTAATTTCTTCTCCTAAATACCTCTAATATCTGTCCTATTTTTAAAACAGTTTTACTGAGGAATAATTAACATGCTATAATTTAAACCATGTTTGTAACATGTAATTGTATACACCTGCAGAACCACCACCACACTCAATGAACACATCCATCACCCCAGAAGTTTCTTTATGCTCATTTGTAATCCCTCCTTTTTGCCTTTTCGTACATATACCATTCACAAGTAGCATCCGTCTGCTTTCTGTGACTATAGATTAGTTTACATTTTCTATGTAATTTTATACAAATGTATTTTTTTGTGTCTGCCTAAATTTGCCTTTTTTGTCTGCCTATTTGGATATTCATCCATTTTGTATCTATATTAATACTTTATTTTTTATTGCTGAGTATTTTATTGCTAGTATTCCATTGTATGAGTATACCACAATTTATGTATATCTATTTACCTGTCGATGGATATGTGATTTGTTTTCAGTTTTTGAGTAACACAGATAAAAGTAATGTGAGCATTTTGGTACAAGTCTTTCTATAAAAAATATGCTTTCTTGTGTCCTGGGTGAATAATTAGGAGTGAAATGATTGGTTTGTATGGTAGATGTATATTTAGTCTTTTAAGAAATGGCCAACCTCTTCCAATGTTATGCCACTTTATATCCTCAGCAGCAGTGTATGAGTTCCAGTGTCTCCACCTTCTGCCAGTACTGAGTATGGTCAGTCTTTTTAATTTTAGTCATTCTAATAGCTGTGTAATGGTATCACATGGTGGATTTATTCTGCATTTCTTTGATGTCAATTCCCACTGCATCTCTTACTTCAAGCATAATTTACCTCCTGCCTAGACTATTATTGAATCCAATTGTTCGCTTTGTCTTCAGTTTGGTCTTCTGACAATATGTCTTCCACACTGACACCTCGAGTAATATACTTAAATTGAAATTACCCTGTCACATCTCTACTTAAAATCAAGTTCATCAAGATGAAATGCAAACTCCTCAACACAGTTTAAACAGCTTCCTGTGATCTGGCCCTTGCCAACATGCCCAGCGTTATCTTCTATCACTCTTTTGAAATTTAAACTCCAATAATTCAAACTGATTACAACAGCTGCCCAAATAATTCATGTTTTTATACATGTTTATCTTTTCATATGATGCTTTTTGGCCTGGATCGCCTGCAACTGCTTCCACCCCTCCTACCCCCTCAACTAAAAAAGGACTTAGGGCTCAGTTAGTGCCTTATTTCTCTCCCTCCATATGTCTCCCTTGGTGTTTACTGTATCCTAAACAGATACAGTAATTTGCTACTTGTGCAGCAGGTAAGTTACTCAAGGGTAGGAACCGTATGCATCTTCACTGATGCAGCACAGCATCTGATGCATAGTTGGTATTTAATAAATGTGTCCTGTAAGAGCTAATCTTATCAAAGCAGGTAGTAAGGTTATTTTGCCAAGCCTTTCTTCTTTTCCTTTTAAATTTAGATTTTACTGCTTTAAGTGTGATCTTTGGATATTGCTACTGCAAGTCAATGACCATATGCTTGTCATCTATTGAGATTGCATTTTTCAACTTTATGTAAGAAGTTTGCATTTTTCTTTTGTGAATTATTTGTTTATAACATTTGCTTTTTCCATTGCAGCTTCGATGCTTTTCTTTTTATAAGGAAAAATTAATACATATTAACTGACCTGCTATAGTAATAAAATACTTTAAAAGTATTAGAGAAAATATATTGGATATATGAGAAGACATGTGGAAAAACAGAACAGCTATAGTTTTATTATAATAAAAAATTTCACCTGTTTAACTTGAGAAATTTGTGGTGAGACACCAGAGATAATAGAGAATGGGTAACAACCATGGGCAGAAGGTAGAAGTTCCCAGTCTAATTTAAGAATCAAAATTCTGAACAACTAAACCTCATAGGGCTTAATTTCTTTTTAACGGTGATACCATAGAGATACAATAGAGAAGTAAGGAGAATGATTCATGTCATTAATACCCAAAATAAAAGTGAGAATGACTGCTTGGTGCATTTGACAGGAGTATTCAGAAAGGCAAAAAGCAATGTGAGTCTAGAGTCAATTTGAAAGCCAAGGAGAAGACTTATAAATGAGAAGGTATCAGCCAACTGTGTCAAAGGGATTGAACTAGAAACCAGAAATGTCACAGAAGATACTGAGTAGGCTGGGATAAAGGAAAATTCTTTCTGATTTCTGGACCACAGAGTAGTAACAGTAACAGTTAGTAGCTCTAGTAAAATCTGGAAAAATTAGACCTATTGGGGGAAGAACTTTCTGAATTGATGGAATGCTGTAGTTACAGTAAACCTAAAACATATTTTTAACTACTTTCACATTTATATGATTCTGTAACTTGACCTTTGACTAATATTGATTCAGAGCACAGATCTTTTGTTTATTTGTTTTAATGGATAGAATAAAAGTTGAGATAGCAGACTGATTATGGAAATTAGCGTTTCCAAGATGACCATTTATAAAAATTGTTCTCCTAAGTTGTTGAATCATTTTATCCCTGTTTGTTATACCGTACATCTACCAAGCATATTACTATCTTTAGAGTTTATAGCATTAGCCAATTCAGCTTAGTGTTCCGAATGTCTTTATTTTTATTTTTATTATTTCACAATTTTAGATCCAGGTGGTGCATATGAAGGTTTGTTTCATGGATATATTGCATAAGAGTGAAGTTTGGGCTTCTAGTGGACCCATCACCCACACAGTGAACACTGTACCCAACAGGCGATTTTTAAATCTTCACCCCTTCTCCTCCCTCCCCCCTTTTGGAGTCCCCAGTGTCTATTGTTTCCATCTTCACGTCTTCGTGTATCCATTGTTTAGCTTCTCGCCTTGTAAGTGAGAACATATGGTATTGGATTTTCTGTTTCTGGGTTATGTCACTTAGGATAATGACCTCCAGGTCCATTCCTGTTGCTGCAAAAGACATGATTTCCTTCTTTTTTTATGGCTGCATAGTATTCTGTGGTGTATATATACCACATTTTCTTTTCTCAGTCATCTGTTGATGGACATTTAGGTTGTCTTTTTTTCTTTTATAATGCATATCCATCTTCTCCTTCTTTCTTCAAATCTGTTATTCTACTACTATAGAAGAGAAGTTGGTGGGGAGACACTAGGCTCACCAGACTCCGTAGCATCCTAAATTGTTACATATCTCCAAACTGCTGCTAAAGAAACTTTACTAAAGCACAAGTCTTATGATATCACACCCTTTCTTAAAACTCTTAGAGTTCTCGGTATCCCTATGGCTTTCAGGATAAAGCTGAAACTCACTCACTTAGCTCATATGTCCCCTTATGCACTGGTTCTGTTATCTCTTGGCCCCTACTGATAATTTCCTGCCAACATTCATTCGTGTAGGCTATGGATTCACTTGTAGTTACTAAAGCATTCCCCAAAGTGTGTTCAGCAGAATGCTAGTATTACAGGAATGGAAGGATTTCTCTGATTAAAGAAATTTGGGAAATGCTGGGTTAAACAGCTAAACATTCTTCTTACTGAACAACTAACTACACAGAGCTTCTGACATGCAAATGTGCATTGTGCCTCTCTTACACAGGAACAATGTATGCAGCAGCACTCCAAAATAAAGAATTGCAAAGCCAGTTTTTGTCCCATATGAGAGGTTTCTCTAGAGTTTCCTGTTGGAAATGCAGCTGGAAAAGGATGTGTTATTCTCTCTGATGACTCCAGGCTTTCACACAACTTTCACTACTCTGAAATGTCCATACATGCTTTTCATCCAGCTAACTCCTCATCCAGCTTGTGCCTCAGGGTCACTCCAGTGGAAACTGACCTCTCTGTTTGACTCAAGTGTCTCTCTTCTGAGATTGCTCGCTGGCTACATACATCTCTATCACAGCAATTAGCTCTCTATCCTCTAACCATTGATACTTGTCTATCTCCCCAGTTCGATGCAAGTTCCTTGAAGGCAAGAACTTAGAACTTCATTTAGTTCTTACATGGTACTTAGAAGGTGCCTGGCAGATATGTATTAAATGCAGAAATGAAAGACGGTACAAATTTAAATTTAAACGTAAATTTTCATGAAATGTCACACTGGCATTGGCAACATTAATTGAGTCTATTTATATTAGCAGAAGTAACAAAGTCTCATTTGCAGATATTGGTAATGCCATACTACACAGAATTAGAGCAATTATATACTTAAAAAGCAATAGCACTACACTCAGAATTAATAGACTTGGATTTCTGTCTTGGTTGTGAGATCTTTTATATATATGTCTGTGACCACATAAAAGTTTGAGTGTATATTTTACTTTCTCTAACACTGGAACAAAATACCTGCTTATGTGATCAGATAAAACAATGTTTGTGAAAGTGTTTTAAAATGTCCCCGAATCATAAACATGTCATGTTACTATTGATCAATTATTTACTTGCAGGCATACAAATGTTTGGCAATTTAAATGAGCAAAGAACTGATAACTATGCCCTACCACTCCTATAGATTCCACTGTGGGCCACTTTAAAGGAAACATCTTGACAAAATAGGGAGAAAAGAAAAGCACCCAACATTTTTCAAACATATTACAGGATATAATTTTGCAAGTTGTAAGACAGTTTTATGCTTTCAAATTAAGCTCTCAGTTTCAAAAGAAAATGATAGAGAAGCATTTGGCTCTTCAATCAGTCATGTCTAACCCAAATCACCTATAATCTAAGCCAAAAAAATGACTGTATAAATTTTTCACTGAACTCGTGAGTAGCTAAAATTATAGACGGAGCCTTCCTCTTGATCAGGTACATGTGCACTTTGGATTTCATGATTAAGGCCTATATTGCATTATTACTGTAAAAACTCACCTTGTTTTTGAATTCTTGACAGAGTGAATGATTTCCATTTCCCATCATTATGGTTTTGATTGCTGACAACGGAAGCCATTCCTGAGCCCAGATCGTAACTGACTTTTATGTGCCCATCAGTGAGCTCCACACTCATGAAATCTCTCTATTAATAGAGTAAACATACCCCAGTGGTTAGATACACAGAGAAGTATATGAGTGTTCACTTTTCTTGTGTGGTTTATGTTAGGGTCTTGTGGCTAAATTGCTGAATATGTCACTCTGTTGCAGAAATCCATTTTGAAAATAGAATTGGTGTTACTATTTTCTGAATTTTTGTGGCTGTGATATTATGATGCACATGGTCACAACAAAATTTCTAAGACATATCCTTTTATTACAGTCGTAAAATGTGAGTTCATTTGAAAACATATTAAGTGAACCAAAAGGTATGTTCCCAGAAAGAATTCAGTAAGAAATACTGACCAGAAAAAAATGAGGCCAAAGAATACTTATAATCACCTTTTCAACTCAGGTCTCTGAAAGAAGATTAAGGAAGCATTTTGCTGCTGTATGGCTCCATGCTGGGAAAAATTATTACCGGATGTATTGCTTAAAGGATTATGTGGGGAGTTGTATTGAAAATAAATAGTAATTAAATTGTATCTGTGATTAAAGTTATTATTGAAAATATATAAGCACTATCTGTATCACCCATTCTTGGCTGCCAGACAATCATCCCAGGCTTTTTAGAAAATAACTGATAATTTTACCAATAACTGATGATTTTACCAATAACTGATAAAAGAAGCAAACGCATTTTAGTCACGGAAACTCTGCTATGCATATGATCTTTACCAGGTCTCGTGTGGCAAGATACATCAGAAGAGCACTCGAAGAAAATGTTCTGAACTTGAACATGACAGTGGAGATGTTGGGGTACCAGCGAATGGGACGGCTGACCAATGCATAACCTTCTCCATCAAATTGAATAGTCCCCTCACTATCTTCCACCTGAGGACTGAGAAGAGAGACATTTCACATGAATCAGATCATATCTATTCAGTCTGTCATTATTCAATGCATCACTGAATAGCAATGAGACTATAGGCTGTTGTAGGGCAGGAAATACCCTAAATACATCTTCATTCCTTCCACTTATCTCCATCTCTACTGCCACCGTGCTAGAATAAGTAAAAACCACCTCTCACCTTTCATGAGGTGTGCAATAACTAAGTCATTAGTTTTTTTAAGTGCTTTATGTTTTGTAAAAGCACTTGGTAGTAGATAGTTATATTGATGCTTAAGGGTGTCTTAGTGGTATTTGGGCAAAGGGGCGGGGTTTCTGGATGGGCTGAGAATACATTATTACATTTCTTATATATAGGATCCTACTCTGAATATTTGCCTTCCAACAAATTTTTCTGGAACAAATTAGATTCAGACGATTAAGGAGGCCTGTATTTATTTTTATGGTTTCTTCTGTCTCCTTCACTAGAATGTAAATTTCATGAGACCATCTAAGAGATTATGGGCTAGGTCCTATGTCAGGCACAAACTCAAAACATCTAGTACATACAATACAGTACTTGGATCCTAGAATCCAGTTGATGTTTGTAGGATGACAAAGATTTTAGTATAGCAAATTGCCTCACAGAGAATATATGTTTAATCAATATTGGATGCATAATTAATGAATATCTAAGATAAGTCTTGTGAATACATTTAAAATATTTTTTCCAAACATGAGGCTATTTTTATGTATCTGTCTATCTACCTACCTATCTGTCTGATGTTACTGCGATTGTGGAGATACCTGCGGGAAAGAGTTGTGGACTGGGAGTGGCTAAACACAGAGCTGTAGATCCCCCCAGTTCATTTAATTCATTAGAAAACACTAGGAGAAACAAGGTAAGTCTGGCTTTGAATTGGTGACTATGGGATGAGAAATAATATGAGTCCTTCCAGGTACACTCTATAATATTTCGACATAGAATAGAATAGAGTTATCCTATTCATTCTGAATGCATTTACTAAAAAAGCCCCTATTCTTTCATAATTAATAAATGCTAGGCTTCTTAATTTGCCTTTTGTTTCTCTTTTGAACCTTGATGTCTGGTAAAGTTAGTATAGATTAATTATGCTATTTTGGAGCAGCTACGTTCTAGGTGAATATTGGGGCTAAGTCTATTAAAATATCACCATTTCAATGCTCAGCTAACTAAATTTTACTTGCAGCAGATTTTTCCCCTTACTTTAATCTTAATGTGAATTTTAGAAGCATGAGAAAAATAAGATACACTTTTAAAAATATCTTTGACAGATTACTCTTTCTAAAGCATAACAACAATTTTATCTCTTCTACTGACTATTGAATAAATGCAAATTTCTAAAACTGACATTCTAAGGTCTTTATGACATTTTCTTAGTCTACCTCTTTTAGCCTCACTTTTACATCTTCTCCATGAAATCACTCCTGCTCTTTAGTAGGAATGATTGCTCTTTATGTTCAAATGTGATAAGTGTTTTCCTGAAAGCAACAAATAAACAAACAAACAAACAAACAAACACCAGGAGTTCTATAAAAATTATTCTTACAAATAACAGGGCTTATGGGAAAATAGGGTTGGGGCTGACCTGCTAAAAACTTACACAAGTGTGTAATTAGAGAACTCACAAAACAATAACAATCCTGATCAAAGTATTAGCACAGCTCAAAAAGATACACTAAAACATTAAAAAATATAGGATTATTTCAGTATACATATCACTTCACCTTAAAAGGAAAATGTGAATATAGTTTGATGACAAGGGGTATAAGAAAGGGCTGACACTGCCAAGTGTTAGCGATGGGGCAAAAATGCACAATGACGGAAAAGACGTGGGCCACGAACATTTCCGAGATAGAGTGCTTGGCTAAATCAAGCTGAAGGCAGGCATATGGGTGAATGCACACTGTGTACAGGCTGTGTTGTGGCACAGTACTTTGAGGTTGGTGTCTTCAGCTATGTTGGTTTACTTTGGATTCAGCTACCGTTATAGGGTAGAAAAAAAAACATGATTATGCTGGGAAGAAGTGTGTATGAACCTATGTGGCCACTGCATCTTACCCGAATCATTCTCCCATTTGCCAATCTTGTATGAGTGAATTCACACTTGTTCTTTTCTAAAAACACTCCGGCTTCCCACTCTTCCTCCCTTTGCTCTTACTGGTTTCAGGAATTAGAATGTTCTTCACATTTCTTCTGCTATCTCCTCTTTTTGGACTCTTACCTCAGGTCAAGACCATTTCAAATGTCACCTCCTCTGTGAAGCAGATCATGATGCCCTTAATCTGATGTGGGTAATTGTAGTATACTCCAAATGTGCCTTTTTAAAGGGACTTTTATTATGCCTGATATTTGAACTATTTTAGTATTTGTTTTTTCCTCCCTTCCTGGTGATGTCTTTTCATGGCTAGGACTAGGCTGTATTCATTCTAGCATCAGGAGAAGTTGTAAACGTGAATCTCTGCAACCTACAAAACACCCTACGTATACATAGGAATACTCTTATAATCATAAATTAGCATAATACTTTATGTGTTGAAGTGCAAAATCTTTGCAGAATTGATAATTAGTGATGTTACAGTTTCACATGACATGCACTGCTGAATGGATATTTAAATGCCTTAGATGTTTTGTTGTTGATAATAGGCTTTTGAAAATCCTACTTAGAAGTTTACCAAAGAAACGCTTAGGGAAAAGTTGGTGTTGGTTTGTGAGTAGCAGAATATTAATGTGGGCTTCACTGTCTTTCATGTATTGAAAGAATTTTACAGACAACCTTCCATGTTAAATTTTGTTTAAGATTATTGACAAAACCATTTTAAACAATGAATGGGTCACGCTTTCAAACTATCCTCAATTTCATGTTGACAAGTCCATGATGTCAAAAAGAAACAAAGAGTTGGAAGTTAAGACTTTTAGAGGGATAACATTTTGGGGCTACTTTCTTCTATGAAACTCTAGAGATGTAGAGAAAGAAATGTGAAGTGTACTTTGCTAGGATTTGGGTCCTAGAAACGTATGTATATCCTTTAAATGGAAAATAACACAAACTCCTTAGCACTTAATGGTTTTTGAGTTGCTGTTATGACATGTTAACTTTGCAGGTATTTAAAGTATGTTTTATAGTTTTAATTTAACAAAATTGCTTTAGGCTTGGGTGATAAGTGGGCTCTAAGATTTTTATGCTGAGAAATCCTCTACTTATAGCTAAATATTTTATATCCTGTATTCATTTTTATATAAAAGTGTTTATTCTCTACACATGCTTAGTATGATAGGATGTTAAATATTTTCAAATTCCTATTCATTCTACCCTCTATCTTATAATTGAGGTCATGTATTAGGAACTTTCCTCCTGGACTATCTCGGCCCCTTGTTCTCCTTCTCTCTTGAAGCAGAATCATTAAATCCCATAGGTTTCCAGTTGAAGCACTTGTAGGATCCTATGTGTCAATTAAAAAAAAATCCTGTAAGAGATAAAACCTAGGCTGGGGTTCTAATTTTGTTATAAACATAAATATAGTGAATTCATGCTCAGCAAGACCTGAAACTTAATCAGTTTGGGGAAAGCTCTCTTTAGGAAAAAAAAATTATAACAATGAGGTACTCACAGACACAAAAAAACCCCTCGACATGAAAGAACATTGGAGTGGAAACTTAACTGATTGTAGCCAAAATCTCTTACCTTTGCAAATTTTATAAAAACATATGACTATGCAAATGTACTGCTAGTATACCTCCCAGGGCCTTGAAAAATGCCTGTGCAAATGCAGGCAGGGACTTGAAGATTCATTAGTTTTGTGGTAATTCCACCTCTGAGTATAATCCTTTCAAACCTGCTCCACATCATCCACATGATAATAGAATATTATGCAATAAAATCGAAGCTTTTATTATGCACAGGACAGACCCTGGGAGAGTTCTCATCTCAACTAACCTGACAGTGCATCCTTTGCAGTCACCTTCTTTTTCTCGGAAATTCCACAAACCTATAGGTTTGTTGTCAAAGTATGTTTCTCCCATGCAGCCAGTGAATGTAATCACACGTACAGCATCAGCCTTCTGCAGAAAGAAATACCGTTATTTGCTAGAATTTGGAATTTCACAAATAATCTTGGTTTATCCATGAGAGTTATTATCAGCAGAAACTAAAGTTATCATTATCCATTCTTTCTGATATTTTGGCATATGTACATATTCATCTTTTCATCATAGTCTGTCCGTATCCTTAGAGCTACTACAGGATGAGTCAACAACAGGGGAAAAGCTCAACTATTTAATCCACGAATGCTGATTACTTTTTGCTATACCAGTTTTCATCATCAGTAAATAAACACTTCCTAGCTTCTAACTTTAGGTGAGCTGCTGACCTTCTCCACAATTCTATTCTTTTGTCTGTAATGTGGAATTTTTGTGAGAATAAAGTTAGATAATTTATTTATGACACCAATCTCAGTGCCTGATATACAGAAGGTGTTCAATAAATGCTAGTGCTCCTACATAATTTTCTTTGGGCAAATTTGGGCCATGCATACACAAAGCTTTTTCCCCTGAGATCAGAAGAAAGGGGACATGCTGATGACATAGAAGAGATTTTTTAAAAGCACTTGTATAAATCACTCTATGGTAGTGCTGCTGTAAATTTTTAAATTTCTGTTCACAGCCAAGAAGATTTCGAGTTCAAGGGAATAAAGAAAAAGTAAGCAACTTTGTAGGAAATGAGACCACATTGGTGTCGTTTGCTTGTATACACAGCACAGGGCCTGGAGTCAAATAGAGAATCGACAAATAATCTGATCAAATTCAATCCTGGTGTCATTTTCACAGGAAAAGTCTTAGGCTTGATACACAATCATGAAGAAAGAGAATGACCTGGTCCCTCCTAGAGAAGTTTGTTGTAAATTGAAACAACTGTTTTGGCATTGACACATTACAAATGTTTTGGTAAATGACAGATCACATATATGATGGTGCTTCCATAAAATTATAATACTGTATTTTTACTGTACCTTGTTTATGTTTAGGTACACAAATACTTACCATTGAGTTACAACTGCCTACAGCATTCAGTGGAGGAACATGCTGTACAGGCTCTAGCCTTGGAGCAGTAGGCTATACCATAAAGCCTAGGTGTGTAGTAGGCTGTACCATCTAGATTTGTGCAAGTACTGTACACTTTATGATGTTTGCACATTGAGGAAATTGCCTAATTCCAACTTTCTCAGAATGTATTCTTGTCATTGAGTGACACATGACTGTATTATATTCTGGTGCCTACAACTTTAAAAACTCTGTGCCAAAGTGAACCCATATTTACTCAGATTATCTGGGAAAAACATGCATTGACTCATTTGGTTTTTAGAACACACATAAGAAAACAGTTACTGAATAGTTAAAATTTTAAATAGTAAAATCAGTTACTGAATAGTTAAAAGCATAGACTGTACAGTACTTGCACAAATCTAGATGGTATAGCCTACTACACACCTAGGCTCTATGGTATAGCCTACTGCTATGGTTTTAGGTTAAACCCATCAACATGTACATTTCCCACTGCTGTGACCATGTATTGCACAGCCGCATAGAAAGATTGTTGATCGGAGCCCCTGACTTGCACATTGGAGTCGTCCTTGCAATGCTCTGTCATCACTCTGAACCTCTTAATTTTCTAGAGATTGATTATCCTACTTGTGAATTCTGCTTGCTTTTTGCTTCTTCTTGCATCCTGAAAAGCTATATTTGAGAGATTTTCCTGCTCATTTGAATTCTCATGAGCAAGTTCATTTAGTTGTTTTCAGCTTTTGGTTCATATTCTGGTGTGGCAGTAGTCTTGAAATTCTTGGCCAAAATGATTTCCTAAGGTTTGCTATAGATTTCATTTGTTCATGTTTTCTTTCTTTTTCTGAGACTGATAGAATACTGTTTTTGTGCCAATTACATTTGCATAATAATTATTAAGGTACAATTTAAGGTGTGACTACCACATCTCAGCTATTTGCCATATATTTTATACACACACTCTATGGTAGTGTGTGTCTCACTATTCATTGTGGCAGTGAAGCAAGATGTTGAGAGTGAAGACCACTGTGCCTATTAACCTATGTTCAAATCCCAGCTCTGCTAATTACTGTGTGACCATGGTCAAGACATTTAACATCTCTCTTCTTCAGATTCCTTAACTACAGAATGAGAATATTAGTATCTGCCTTGCTATAGTGTGAATGTCTGTGTCCCTCTCAAAATTCTTATGTTAAAATCCTACCCGCCAAAGTGATGGTATTAGCAGGCAGGGCATTTGAGAGGTGAGTTTTAGATGGTGAGGGGCAGGGCCTTCATGAATGAAATTAGTGCCCTTATAAAATAGGTCCAAAGGAGCTTGTTCACTCTTTCTACTATGTGAGAACAGCAAGAAGCCTCCTTCTATGAAAAACTGGCTCTCACTAAACACCAAATCTGCCAGTACCTTGATCTCAGACTTCTTAGCTTCAAGAATTGTGAGAAATAAATGTTTGTTTATTTATAAACTACCCAGTTTCATGGTATTTTTCTTATAGCAGCCCTAATGGACTAAGACATACTTTTTGGGGTTGTTGTAAAAATTAAACAAGTTAATTCATGTAAATTACTGAGAACATTACTTAGCATATAGGAAGAGTTATAAGAATATTAAAAAATGTATTATTGTATCCTACAATATGCAAGCAAGGTAGATATTTTTATCATTCTTTTCTAGTTGAGATAACCAAAGCCCAAGGGGTTAAGTGACTTGTCTAAGGTTATATTTTAGCAAGTGGAAGAGGAGGAAATCCAACCTGGATTTGATTTCAAAATTCATGGCTTTTGTACTACTGTGTGCTATCCCTATATTTATCTATCTGTGAAGGAGAGAAAGTTGATAATATGACTATATATTACTATGTACCATATACATTTATATGAAGTTCTAAGAAACGAGGATAACTTCAGCGTGTGGTTTTGGAATAAATTCTCATACTTTAGAGTCACATCTCGTACTCAAAGTAAATAAAATAACCTCATTCTATATGAAGGTTGAGTCCTCATAAATTTGGGGTCACCCTGGCTTTTCACATTTTCTGACTAATCTCAACTCAGGATGATTCTGACAAGCCCAGGATTATCCATTATATTTGGTTGTGCTCCTGCATCTCACCCATAGTGGTTTCCCAACACCTAATTCCATTTAATCAACACAAGCTTCTTTAAAAGGCAGGCATTCTGCAATTTGAAATGCGCAAGGACTGTCATGAAGCAATTATGAATATTAAGTGCATCATCCTATAAGAATAAGAGCAACTTGAGAACTTTAAAAACCAGATCATGTTTTGAAAGCTTATAGCTCCTGTGATATTTCCCAAAGTATTCATAAATCTTTTAATTAGATGTGAGTATGAACTTTATAGCACTTCATATCTATAAATCATAAATCGATTCAGAAGATGAGGTATACTTAAAAAACACTTTGCTCTTGAGGCAACTAAAACAAGAATATACAAAAAACTGATGCCACAGATAAAGACAAAACAACAGCTGTTTAAATAAATACACATAGGCTTAAAAATATTGTGTTTCCAGGTTGAATCGTCAAAGAAGAAAATTCTTACTCAAAGTAAATTCATGTTTTCATAAATGCAAGTTAAGTAAAACGTGATCAAGTTTTACAGAGCTTTATCATACCTTCTCCTGAAGTAATTATGTCAGGAGATGTCAACAAAGATGAAATAAACAGGAGGAGGATGAACACATTACCTTTAATTTCCCAGTCAGGCCACCAACAAACAGCATTGCATTTGCATCCACATCTAGAATCGTGTACCCTGGAGGAGACGTCGAATGGTGTGTGCTGGGCACAATGCTGGCTTTGGGTCCATCCAGGGCTCTCACAGAAATAGTTCCATTTCTCCCAGTTCTTCAAGGGTACGTGTTGAAGTGAAGGGGAGGAACATACAGAAAATGAAATATGCATCACATTTCTGGTAATTCCAGATTTAAAAGATATAAAATGCGGAGACTTGTTTTTAAGAATTTAAGAGAAAACTGGCTGTTTAGTTTCTAACATTCCAAATTCATTAGATCTCGAATCAATACTCAGAGTCTGATCTTGGCTCAACACTTACATCAGTTTCAACCAGAACCAGTGAGCACCAGGTCCTGATTCTGTGTGTGTTCATTGACATGAAATGACACAGCAGCAGTTAACTGATGGAATTGCTATTGGTTAAGTGGAAAGCCTTTTTCCTATGGCTTACATAATAATTTACTATTTACCAACACATACAATTTATGCAAGTTTATATTACTTTATTCAGCATTTTGTCTAATTTAATTCAGCTAGTGGACCCCAAATGAGCCACCCTTTCATATCATAAGCTGCATGATTTCTCCTAAAATTCTTTATAATATCTTGGATCCCAGTTTGTTGAAGTAGTCTTCCTAGAATGGTATATCTTTTATTGTTTGGCACAGCATACTAATGTATACAGTACAATATCCACCCTTCAGATTTCAGTGTACAAATTGCATAGAAGTTCATTTTTAAATTCAATTAACAGAATTTTGAAAGCTATTATCATTTTATTTCATTTTCTTTTTTAAGTGATTGATTTCCATGAGCTGTTAAATATGAAAATCTGGTCTCTCTTTTGAGACAAGCAGTCATAACAAAACTTCGATGTCATATTTCCCTGACTGCTGTCTCACTTTGGTAATCTTTTTTCTTTGAGGATGCAATGTTAAGTGAAATACATGGTAACAAAAGAATGAATTTATCAAATAAGGTTCACCTTCTTTAACAGAATGTATCTTTTCTGAAAGAAGAACTGCACTTTATGAGTATAAATGTCCTTAAACCCGGTTAAGTACTTAATTCCCTCAACACCACCAAACACGCAAGCACTCTGTCACTCTCTCTCACACATGCACACACACTTTTGCTGAAAAACTTCCTTAAAAAGAACTAAAAATATTGCTTCTCATTTTTTTTTATAACTTTTTTTTTTAAGAGATGAAGTCTTGCTATGTTGCCCAGGCTGGACTGCAGTGGTTATTCACAGGCATGATCATCATGGACCACAGCCTTGAATTCCTGGGCTGAAGTGATCCTCCTGCCTCAGCCTCCCAAGTAGCTGGGACTACAGCACATGCCATTGCACATGGCTCTTTCTTTTAAACTTTTTATTATGGAAAAAATTAAGTATCTACAAACAGCATGAAACTCTATGTATCACCCAGAGTCAACAATTAACCAGTTCTTTAAGTCTTCTCTGTCTCTGATCAGCTTCATGTCTAGCCCTAGGCCCTTAACCATACCTTTCAACTGTTAGCTGCTTTGGGTTTAACAGGGAGTTGAGAATTGGGAAAACAAGAAGAGAAAATGGGAGGGAAGTGCTGAAGACAGGGATAGTTCTATAAGTAATCTATATGGTACTAGATGTTGATAATTGCATTAAAGCTCCAAAGATAGAATAACTGAATCAGTTCTCAGTTACTTCCCATTTTAAGTAGGGTGGACCTGGTATGTTACATAAGAATTTCAGTGTTTTGAAACTGCATTTTTCTATGGTGGCTATGTAGACTAAAGGAGGAGCTGTGTACAACAAAGACAAGCAATAATGGTGCTCTTATGCTTTGGCTTGTATTGCATAAGAATAAGTGGCAGTACTTTCTTCAGGCAAAATAGGAAGCCTGAAACAGCGACACCCCCAAATTCCTACCAGACACAAGATGAAGGGGTCAGAAATGGAGTTGTTCCTCTGGTCAATACCTGGAAGGTTTGTCAGTTCCTAAGAAGTATGACAAACATACCCACTCCCAGACATGTATAAAATTCATACACATGTGTTTACATGCATACACAGTTACCTTATTGAAATGGAAATAGGAGTTTTCTTATAAACTGGGAAACTACTTCAAAATTCTATCATTTAATTATCTTAATCTTTATTAAGTTGGTTACCTTGATGCTACGATACGGTACCAATATGAGTCATCAATAGTCAAATCTGGGTACTCTACACGTCCAACTCCAGATCCAACATCCCAGAGGAAGCTGACTTTGCCTTTACGCATTTCTATAGCCAGAAAGTCAATCTAGTTCAGAGAAATACAAAAACAAGAGATATCAGATATAAAGCACCTTTAAAGAGGAGACCAGCAGAGTGTTTTTCAATAAGCGCCATTTGCAGACATGTGAAATGATTAGGAGCTTCATGATAATACTTGTCAAATAATATTATTTATTATTATACATTATTAAAATAATATTTTATTTTTATATCCTTAAAGCAAAAAAAAAAAAAGTCCATAATGCTCAGGCATGTTTGTTAATTTTACCAATTCAAATTAAGTCTAATTTTGAGACCAAAGCCTTTCTCACTCTGATACTTGTGGTAAAGATAAAAACAAATATTTAAATTCAGAATCCATTATTATTTTCACCAAGGACACTGACATTTTTGAGGGGGCAGCTATGATTTTATTTCCCAAATTGACCCAGAATTCCTTACCCAAATGGCAAATATTGACTTATGCCATGAATGATTTGTTAAGAAGTCATATTCATTTTGGAAAATCCCCATGCATGCAAAGTCAAATAGTTCAAATGGAAGAAATTAGAACTTTATGGGTGGGCTTTTGTAGATATAATCTGTGTTATTTCAGTTCAGGTCATAAATTCAACACAAGTTAGAAGAGTTTCCATTGGTAAAAAAAATAGTACACACTTTGCTATTTTCATTTCATTAACGGAAGAGTTTATTGTAATTTAGTTTGAACAGTAAATAAGATAAATAAATAAGAAGTAAATAAAATAGCTTTATTCTCATTAGCATTCTTAAATCACTGGATCTGAAAGTATAATTTAACAGAAATGATGGTATACTGACAAATGAAAGTAAATGTGACTAAACACTGTAGTTTTCTTCCTTTCATTTGCCTTCTAACTTAATTTGACTCTTCAGAATTTTGTAAGGTAAGACGTTGAGGTTTTCAAATCTGAAAGCCTACGTTAGACCATTTGGGGACCATATACATTTGGGGATTCTATACATTTTCAGATTAACCTCTAGCTATACACATACAGCAGCCTAATGAAAAGTTGAATATTAGACTTACAAATTTGGCACTTCCAAGATAAAAGAGGAGGTTATCAGCAACAGCTGTCTTTACGTTGACAACAATATTATTGTAACTTCCTTTCTTGATTTCTGGTTTGTATGTTCGAATGCAGTCACCTCCTGAAGACACAGATACTTTGATCTTTAAAAAAAACAAGATACAAAGAACCAAGAGTAAATCTCTCAGAAAGTTTGAAGTAGCTTCCATACAACCACAAAGCCATCATCGTTTCTTCTTTGAAGTTATTTTCTATCATCAAATACTATCATTAAACACCCATATGCAGACACCATTATACTCATTAATGAGGGCACAGAAGAGCAGTTTTCCACTAGAATTTTGACTATGAGCTGTTCACAGTTCCATGTCTTGTTAGCATACTATTTTTTGAAGCATGCAACTAACAAACTTCTAACGTCATACATTTCTCCATTATCAATATGGGAACGTTTTAGGCAGGTGATTTTACATGGAGCTAATGAGAATGACCTTCATTAAGGTTGTTTAATGAAATTTTACAATTGAAATTTCAGCGGTTTTGGTATCACTTAAACTAAGAAACTATTTTTCTTTTAGTTTTCAAGAGGAAATTACCAACCCTCCTATACTCTTACAGTTGAAAGAGGACAAATAGATTTTGTTCTAGATGTTCTAACAATAAGAAGAATATTAATCATTCTACTCAGAACATACATTTCAGAATAAATTGTACCTTTTCATGAAGTTGTCAGGAAATGAAATGGAAATAATTTCCAATGGCTATCACTATTAATGTATTTAACAGCTCCCTTTTCTTTTGAATAATACCTTAAAAATTACTATAAATTGCTAAAAAAGGAATGCCTATATGAATAGAGTAATACTGTTCATACCAATTTTTACTTATATTTAGAGAGCCTTCCTTCAATCATAAATAACACTAGTTGATTATTTGATTTAATTTCTGTAGGGTCAGATGGAAAATCACCATCAAAGGGTTACTTTCAGGATAGCAAAATAGTTGCTTGGACTCAGAGAGAATCTGTAACTTTGTTCATTGATAGCGCTCCAGAAGGAGGCAGAGAGAGGGGAAGATGTAAAATCTCTCTTTGCCATTTGTTCAAATGCCCTCTTGGCCTTCACTAGCAGTGAATTTCCATTTTTTCATTTCTTCTAGCATTTTGTGCTACTCATGTAATTTGCACATTTGGAAGAAAACCAACTAGCATCATCATTACCTCCATGAAAGGGCTGTGCAGACTCCCAACAAGATAGCCTAGAAACCAAAACAGCCTCCATATGATCATGACACCAGGAGGTGTCTCCAAGAGCCTCATTTGTGTTTGAGTATGGGCAGAACTGTGGCCCTTCTCCAAGGGTCATGCAAGTATACTGCAAAGGTTGGGTGCCAAATTGGTTGGATTCAAAAGAGAAGGCTAAAGAGGGATTTTTGCAATAGGTAAATTCATATAGATTTGAGACCTTCTGGGGATACAGAAGATCTGTTACGTCTCCCACAGACCGCATAAGTCATTTATTTGTTTATTGTTGTTGCCTCACCTGATCTGCTAATCAAATTGTATCTCCATGAAGAGGACACTGTGTTCTGGAGAGAAACAGGGGCTGTTTCCTCCACCACCCAGAGGAGGGTGACTGCTGGAGGCCTGAGTGTGGTGGCCTGGGGCTGGACATTCCAGGAAGCCTACTGCTTAAACCACTTTCTTATTCTTGCCTTCCCCAAAAAGGTGGGGCCAGCCTGCCAACTGCTGGGTGCAGGACTCAGGGCCAACTATGGTCCTCAGAGTGTTTGTTCTGTGTCCTAGGGAGACAGTCTTCTGGATAGGGTGGTTTTCAGTTGGGAAGTTAGTTCCTGCTTCACAAATCATGGAATTTCCCTTCTACATACAGTGTTGAGAGTAGGTGAGTGAAAATGAATTGCAAAACAATGGAGGTAGGAAATGTACAATTTTTACTTGGATGTTAATATGGCAAAGCAGATGAGCAATGGGACTTGGCAAAGGGTGTTCTGTGATACAATGGCAGCTATACCAAGGGTCATCCAAGGGATTAGAGATAAAAAGAGAGAAGCAAGAGAAAGACAGCACAGTAGAGGGCAGGTGGGAAAAATATGGTCTTCAGATATTTTTAATGTTCAGGAAAGGGTGTCAGATATAGTGATTTTTTAGCAAGCTGCTGAAAGTGAACCAAAATCATTATCAGAGAAGACCTTGGCATTGAGAAAATTTAATATCTGAGGCAGGCTATACGTACCATTGACATCATAAGAGGATCAAAGTGAACAAGAAATCAAGATCTGACTGGAATTCATGAGTAGAACTGAATAGCATAGTGCGTTATCCCTGGCAGACAATCATATCCAATTCTGAATGGGGCTGAATTAGTAGTCAAAGCGACTGTATGTAGTTTACTTCATTTTTATTTAATAAATGCTTTATAGCTTGGCCCTATGGCTGTATTATGGCTAGTTTAATTCCTAATAAATCAGTTTTGTTTAAAAAACACAGTTGAGGCTGGGTGTGATGGCTCACATCTGTAATCCCAGCACTTTGGGAGGCTGAGATGGGCGGATCATGAGGTCAGGAGATCCAGACCATCCTGGCCAACATGGTGAAACCCTGTCTCTACTAAAAATACAAAAATTAGCCGGCCATGGTGGTGGCATGTGCCTGTAGTCCCAGCTACTCAGGAGGCTGAGTCAGGAGAATTGCTTGAACCCAAGAGGCAGAGGTTGCAGTGAGCTGAGATCGTGCCACTGTACTCCAGCCTGGGTGACAAAGTGAGACTCCATGTCAAAACAAAACAAAACAAAACAAAACAAAACAAAACAAAACAAAACAAACAACACAATTGAATAATATCCCTCAGTTATTATTTAGAGAAGAGATGACTCAATATAAATGTAATATGTGATCATTTGGTCACAGAATGAATTTCAGTCATTGCTTAGGTAAGCCTGGTAAAAAAAAAAAAACGGGATTCCATGATTAGTGTGTTGAAAAGGGGGTTGCCAAAGTGTAACAGACAGAGCCGGGTGCAGTGGCTCACGCCTGTAATCCCAGAACTTTGGGAGGCCAAGGCAGGCGGATCACGAGGTCAAGAGATTGAGACAATCCTGGCCAACATGGTGAAGCCCTGTATCAACTAAAAATACAAAAACAATTAGCTGGGCGTGGTGACATGTGCCTGTAGTCCCAGCTACTCAGGAGGCTGAGGCAGGAGAATTGCTTGAACCTGGGAGGCGGAGGCTGCAGTGAGCTGAGATTGCTCCACTGCACTCCAGCCTGGCCACAGAGTGAGATTCCATCTCAAAAAAAAAAAAAAAAAAAAAAGTGTAGCAGACAGAGCAGCAGCACTAAAATCTAACTGCTCTGAGAACTCCAAGTCTAAGAGAGAAGCCATTTTAAAACTGAGTATCTAATGTCACTAGAGGTTACAACCAATCTATTGTATAGAATACATATCTAACAAATATGATTCTTGAAGCAAAATGATGTTGTTATACCCAATATGCCGGCAATTAATCCTACAGAGTAACTGCTATGGCTTGAATGTGTCCAACAAAATTCATTTGCTTGAAATTTAATCCTCAGTGCAACAGTGTTGGGAGGGGGGCCTTTTGGGAAGTGTTTCGGTCATGAGGGCTCTGTCCTCATGAATGAATTGATGCCACTATTAAAAAGGCTTACAGGGGTGAGAGCTCTCTCTCTCTTGCTCTTCTGCCATGTGAGGGCACAATGTTCCTCCTCTCCTGAGCATTCAAAGTGCCATCTTGGAAGCATAAAAACAGGTCCCTAACCTGCCAGCATCTTGATCTTGGACTTCCCAGTCTCCAGAACTGTGAGAATAAATTTATTTTCTTTATAAATTACCCAGTCTGTAATACTCTGTCACAGCAGCATGAAGTGGACTAGACAGTAATCTATTGCCCAGCTCTCACACATTCATATAGAAAATACTCTTGGATTACCTGCTTTCTGTTTTCTGGTTTTGAATATACTCTCAGAAACTGAAACATTCACTTAGCCCAAACTGTTGACAGCCAGTACATAATCAGTAGTCTTTTCCTTTTGAATACTTTCTGTTTTGATTTTCAGTTATAGGTATTTCTTTTAAACAACTTAAAACAGGTAAATCAAAATACTGTATCTCTAGAAGAAATCAGGTAAATCAAAATACTATATCTCTAGAAGAAATCAGGTAAATCAAAATACTGTATCTCTAGAAGAAATCTTTAGGATATGTCACTCTTGTAAGAGGAAAGAAATTTCTGAAATTCAAACATCCTTTTAGAATGTTTGGCTCTATCAATTATTGTTATTTCTAATGCAGATCCTTAGTAAGACATCTAAAGAAAAATCACTAAGCATTAAGTATCTTTAAGGCATTTCAATACTGCAACATTATTTACCAGTTAATCATGATGAACTCAAACATTATTGAGTATCCCATTATTATATCTATTGGATTTTCACTGCATTTTTCATCCAGTAAGTAGGTCATTCATTTAAAGGAGTATCAGCCACTCAATTTCAGAATCAACAAACCCAGAGAAAGCTACTTTAAAATAAATGTCTTTAATGTTTTGGTCATGTCAAGTATGTGTTAAGGTCATATCCAGATATCCATATTTACAAATCAGAAAATGTAATATTCATTTAGTACAAAACTCATTTGGAAAAAAATTGGCTACTTGCATATTTCTAACGTCTTACAAAAAATAAGGCATTGTGTTGTAATTCCATTTCCAAAACTGATTGGGAATTTCTTTGAAATGCATGGACAATGATTACTTTTTCTTAACGTTACTTTTGTACCTTTCTTTTTTTCTTCTCTTTTTTTTTGGGGGGGGACAGGGTTTCTATTTGCCACCCAGGCTGGAGTGCCATGGTGCAAACATGGCTCACTGCAGCCTCATCCTCCAGAGCAAGTGATCCTCCCACCTCATCTCCCCAAGTAGCTGGGACTATAGGCATGTACCATGCCCAGGTAATTTTTCAATTTTTTGTAGAGATGTGGTTTTGTGACATGGCCCAGGCTGGTCTCAAACTCCTGAGTTCATGCAATCTGCCTGCCTCAGCCTCCCAAAGTGTTGGGATGACAGGCTTGAGCCACCATGCCCAGCCTATACTTTTCTTTTATTTTGTACTTTAAGACAGGTTTTATATGCTTACATGTCTGAATTTCACCGTTTTGTGAGGAGGGGAAAAGCACTCAGAAATCTTTACAATGAAGAAATAATAAAAATGTCTAGATTTCTCCACTTGATGACTAAGTCAGAAAATGTGGCTAAATGTGAGATTCACAAAATAATATTTACTCTTATTGCTTCTTCCAAGTTAACATTGCAAAATATAGGAGTGGTACATCACGTTCTTCTTTTCTCTTGCCACAGCTATAGTTGGGTCCTTCATTCTTCTTTCTTTCATCTACCCCATACACTGCTTCTGGATTTATATTTAAAAAGCACAGCTCTGATTATACTGTGTTCCATGCTCAAAGCTTTCAGCTTATCCTAACCAGTGAGGCTTATCCCAAGTACCAGTGTTGTTAAATGAAATTGCTTAACTGATTATTGAAGGCCTGACGAGACCTGGCCTCTGTTGATCTTTCTGGTTATGTGTTTCCTTTATCAATTACTCTGGGCAAACTGGACTTCTTTTTCCTAAATGGACCCTAAAACTTCCTTCTCCCACTGCCTTGGTTTAAGTCATTCCCTCTTCTCAGAATACTCTCCCTGTTACCTGACTCCACCCCCAACTCCCCAGCACTATCCCACCTCAATGCCTGGCTCAAATCCTTCCCTTCAGGAAATCTTCAGGCCCTACTAGAGGTGATTGTTCTTTCTAGAACTTTTATGTCACTTCTCACGGCTTCTATAATGTGGCATAACATTCTGCATTGTGTGACAAGGTACGTGTACATATTTTATTTTCCCTACTATTTTATAAACTTTGTGAGTGAAAGAACTCCTTTATTCGTCTTTGTGTACCTTACGGAAAGTAACACTGAACATAGTAGAGGCTTTTTCCATGTTGGCTAAATCTTACATAAAACTTCAAACCTTGAAGTAACATCTGGTTTCTTTTAATCTTGTGCTTTACATACATAATGATCACATGTCAACGATACTGCCTGGCTTTCATATTCTAGCTGAATATATGTTTTCTCAGATCTTTTCACTGATTTACTACTCTGATCTTATGTAACATCATCTTCACTAATCTTTTTGTTGTTTTCTAGGTTTTTTTTCAGTCAGTCGTGAATTCCTTTTCAATGTTCACCTTGAACTTACTGTCTTGGAGTTGTTTAGAAGTGTTAGATGTGAATAAGGAGGAAAAAGAATATGCTGTTACTGGAGCATCGTATTCTTAAATACTACTAAAAATATAAACTGATGAACTAAGAAAGGGCTTTTCTGATCATCCTAGTTCCAAAGTTGTTCAAAAAACAGAATTTTTGACATGGAAAACTGAGGTATCTAAAAAGGTTTGAGTTCAAGCCTTTCTTGTTCAAACAAGAAAACTGCCCTTCCTTCTTTCTTTCTACCACCCCTCCCCTCCCCTCCCCTCCCCTCCCCTCCCCTCCCCTCGCCTCCCCTCCCCTCCCCTCCCCTCTCCTCCCCTTCCCTTACTTCCTTCCTTTGACTAAAGTTTCACGTTGCCACTTAGCAACTCTGCCCTGGCTCATTAGCATGCTACCTTCTAGAAAGCTCTGTTTCTATCCTAGTAAACTTCTAATTGGGTAAGTAAAGAGCAAAATTTTGAGACAAATCAGCTATTTCCTATCTACTCCAAAACAAAAAATAAATGTAAAAAGTATAACCAAAGCCATTTTTATTGTTGTTTATACCAGACAAAAGAATATATATGTAAAATGTTTGTTTCTCTTTGCTCTTATTCTGTATATTGTTCCTTCATTCCTGCCATAACCCCATTAGTTGGCCTTTTTTTTTGGTTTGTTTTTAGCAAGAGGAAGGTACTCTCATCCATGGCTTTTTAGTATACAATAATAAGGTTTTCTTTCTTGCTATTTGTATTATTCTATGCAAATAGTAATAGAATATACCAGAATTCCCAGTTTTAAAACAATAAGTGGTGATTATCATTCTCATGAAATGTCTTTTGAAATTTACAAACAAAACAAAACTAACCTCTCCCCCACTCCAACCCCTCCTACCCCAAATCGCTTCGAGTTAAAGGAAAAGGACCCAAGATCATTCAACGGGGAATCCTGGGGAAAGACATTCCCTCTATGAATAATCCAACAATTACAATCAGTTACTGATACTGACGATAAAAAGAACTTACAGAATTGGCTTGTTTCCGAGCTTGGTTTATCAATTCCTTTATCTCAGAGATGTTTTTCTTTAGGTTATCCTCAAGTTCCTTGATGGGTTTGAGTTTATCTATTAGCCGGTCAGCTTCCTGTTCTAAATTTTTGACAGTGGCATCTGCATCGGCAACTGCATAGAACAAAATTAGTGTGCATGTATATGCATGCACACACGTGCACACACAGAATTAGAATAGCAGTATGCTTAACCAAACAATTTCATCTTATTAATGTGACAAAGCATGGCCATAACAGCTAAAGCAAAATGTGTGATGGCAAATGTCAATATTTTAGTTGAGACTCAAGCAGGCCAGGGGAGTAGATGTTAGGACAGAGGGCCACCACTTTTTCTTTTTGATTAAGGTAAAAATTAGCATTGAAGGTAGAGAATATGAAGAACTTAATTCAATGCTTAATTTCTAACTTCAGCCAAAAAGTTAACCTTTACAGAATAGAACTTTAGTCACAGAAGCAAGGAAATGAAAGCATCTTTAAAATGTCACCTAGTCTGTCCAAGCCAGAACTGTATTTAAATCAGGGTTTTTACACAAAATTGGTTTTCTTTCTTTTTCTCACCGTCTTTTTTTGCACATCTTAAAGAGAGAAGCTATCAAAATGTCTTTTGAAGAACATTTTGATGTTGAAAAACCCTTAGACTAAAGGCCTACATTTAATTAAATCTTTCATGGTGCAGTTCAATTTCATTTTGAAGAATAGTTGATTACCCTGTGTTACATATTAGGTTGACCTATATTAAACAGCTGTTTTTGTAGGTTAAAAAAAATAAAGGGTTACATATTGGCAATTTCAAAGTTTCAACCCTAAAATAGTTGAAGGTCATCACTGATCCATAGACTTTCAGTATGTGCTTTTCAAGGGAGGGCCTATGCCACGTGGTAAACCACTTATTCTATTGCTGGGATGCTGGCAGTCTCATCCACACTATGTCATTTATTATCTGATTAAGTGTGTATTGTTCAACTTTCTGTCACTGTGACTCTGATGAAAAAGTTAAACTGCTTAAGGTTCAAGGCTACATGCTGTGTTAGACTCTGAATGATCTGCTTTGCGGCTGACATACAACCACTGAGAACTAACCCTCAGGAACGAATCACATGTGCTCAAAGGGAAGTAAATTATCATTTTTTTAAAATTAGGTTTTAAAGTAGGTATTTTGAACTCATAAGTATGACTTATGCTGTTAGCGGCATTTAAAAAGAACATAGGTCTATTATTAAATTTAACTAATAGATTTGCTATATCAAGAACTGAGTGCAGTATTTTCTTCCTGAAATGCATGTTATCTGGATAGAAATGTTTGTTATATCATCATACAGATAGCATAAACACAGTGATCCCTTTATTTTGTATGCTTTTAATAAACCGTTTGTTCATTTTTCCCTTCCTTTAATTCTCCATTGTTATTCTGACATTCTACAAATTATTCTAAAACTGAGGCAAAATGATTTAGATTTAGATTAATGAGAAAGAGCAAAAGTAGTTAAAGACTACTTAGACTTAGGCAAATTACAGACCCTTTTATTCACAAGTTCTCAGAAGTTTTTGCCAAATGTTTCAAAATGGAACTTGGAAGTTCCTCTTCTCCCCTCTTTTTCCTCTATTCTCCGGAGCAGTTGAAGTTTTTCCAAGTGATCTCTTATGTGTTAAATTTCCTCCCTTGTCTAGTGATACCTCTTTTAGAGCTTTGCCTATTTGTCCTTTATTTTTCTTGATGAAACTTGACAATCACTTAATTTTTAATCTATATTCCTAAGGAGTCACCTTTTTGATTTATCAGGTCTAATATTTTCTGTCTTCAAATTCATTAATTTTTCCATCTTTTTCATTCTTTAAGTTAACTCTGCTTTTTCTAAAGTCAGCAAAGTTGATTGTTTAGAATTGTTATTTCAATGATGGTTTAGTAATGTAGTTGCTCTCATTTTCCGCTGAGGACACTCTTGGTCATATTTTTCAAATAGTGATATATTAAATTTTGTTATTCTTGTTATTATTTTTTGTAGCTATTTTTTTAGTTTTTCTTGACTTTCAATTTAAACTGTGGGATGTTTAAGAGAGAACATTTTGATATCCCAGTAGTTGTTCATTTGTTAAGACCTAGTTTTATTATGTGTTTCTCCAAATATAATTCTACAGAAGTTGAGAATAATTACAAGGAGAGGAAAAAGTGAGCTTCAGTGGGTAAAAACAACAACAGTGTAGACCTTATCTATTTTAATCCTCTTGCAATTAAGTCATTCGTGTGTTGGGGTGAATTTGTGTTATCAGAAACAGCATAATCTAGTTAATTCTATAGAGAAATTCAGTTTTCCACTTTTATGTGGCTATCATACAGATATTTCACTCATTTTTCCTTTTTGTAGAGATAGAGTCTTGCTATGTTTCCCAGGCTGATCTCAAACTTCTGGCCTCAAGTGATCCTCCCACCTTGACCTCCCAAATTTCTGGGGTTAGAGTATGAGCCACTTCGCCTGACCAAACTTTTTATAACACTATTAAAAACATTTTATATCACCTTTATCCACATATGACCTTTTTATAAAGGAAGATTCCTTTTACGCATCTACCATTAATACTGTAACAGTGGAAAGAATAGCTACGCAATGTTTAAAGCAAAACCAAAATATAGTACATGCAAAGCTGAAACTTTTTGCAATAGGCAATGAAGCATGAGCGTTACTAAAAGGTATATAAGTAAACATATACGTACTGATTTCTGCAGGCAATTTCACATGGAAGCAAAACAAAAAAAAATTATAAATTCATGAGGAAGTATTTTCTATAAATATTATAAAGTAGTGACTAAAAATGGTATTTTTCATAACAGGTACTAATTATAAATGCACCCCATTTTAACTGAAGCAATTGTTATCAAATAAAAGTACACAAAATATATAATTTAGTGGCCACTATTTGTATTTTAAAAATTATTTCTATGTTTTAGTAAGATAGAAAACAGACCCAATTTAATTAATATTTATAGATAATTAACTATTTCTCATAATAGAGGATAGGATTAAAACAGAGATATGACAAAAGGCCACTACCAGTTGAGAATCAATCTAAAATAGAATGGAATTCTTTTGGAGGGTGGAGAGCAGGAGGAGGGAGAGGGTCAGGAAAAATAACTAATGGGTACTAGGCTTAATACATGCGTGATGAAATAAATAATTCATAAAACAAACCCCCATGACACAGGTTTACCTATGTAACAAACCTGCACTTATACGCCTGAACTTAAAATAAAAGTTAAAAATATATCTTAAATTATGAAGTAAGCAGCAGAGATAGTAATATTTGATTAAAATTTTGTTTTCATTCATTTTTAGTGGGAATATTGTGATTTGGCATAAATCATAAGAAGTTATTATGTAAACTTTGAGCTACAAGAGAAGCCATTTCTGGGCTTACATTAAAAAATTTTAAAAAATGTTTTTATCTCCCCTTTTTCACCCTGGCTCTGAAGTTTATGTTATATGTGTTTGTACTCTTCCTTGCTCATGAAGGAGTCGTATTAATAATGTCTATTATATCATAGCATCCATAGGATTTGATTTGAGGCTAGGATGCTGAAATCAGGCTCCATTCCCCACTCAAACAGCATTTGAATTTTATGGCATATAATACCAATTACAGTGCTTTTGTTTTTATACTCCAAATATTTTGATACCCCCCCAAAAATGTTGGCATATAAAGAGGGCTAGTCTCTTGAAAGTGAAAAGCACAGATTACCCAAGCATCTCCTTTGGTGAAACCATGTAACAAGGATACCAAGATAACCCCCTTTTTTTTTTTTGAGACAGCATCTCAATCTGCCACCCAGGCTGGAGTGCAGTGGCGTGATCACAGCTCACTGCAGCCTCACCCTTCTGGGTTCAAGGGATCCTCCAGCCTCAGACTCCCAAGTGGCTGGGAACACAGGTGCAATGTCACTACCATGCCTGGCTATTTTTTAAATTTTTTGTAAAGATGGGGTCTTGCTATGGTGCCCAGGCTGGTCTCGAATTCCTAGGCTCAAGTGATCCTCTCGCCTCAGGCTCCCAAAGTGCAAAGATTACAGGTGTTAACCACTGTACCTGGCCCAATATAGCCTTGTATCATTTGACGGAAAAGGAAAAATGCATTTTAAAATCTTAATATTTTGACTATATTTAACTAATAATATAAGTTATGATATTTTCTCTCAGGTTTTCTCAGTAAATCCTTAAGTCAATATAATTTTATATAATATATAAGAGATGTGAATAGTCTTTAGAAACTAGATAAATGCTTTATTTTTATTTCCCAGAAATGTGATGTAACTGGAATCTAAATAATAAAATATCAAGATTTTCAAATTTTAATGCATTTCAAGTTGATATCATTTTCATATCCTGTTCTAACAAGTCTGTTCATGAACGTGCCCCTTAACCTCTATGTTCCATGACACTTCGCCAGTTCTGAGGATATAATTACCCAAGTACAACTGTGTTTTTAATTACACACACGGATTAAAAAGTGTTTTGCATCTCTCTGCTGAATGTTAGGCACACCTTGAGAATTCCTAATCTCTTCTCAACTGGAAAAATTTCAGAGGAAAAAAGCACCGGGGCAGAGCTAGAAGACTTGGATTCCAGCTTTGGAACTGCATGACACTCAATTTCTGAGGCCAATCTATGAAAGAAGGAAGGCAGACTACACCACCATGAGGGTCTTTCCAACTCGAGCATTTACAGGTCTGGGATACTTTTACAGTGAGAGGAAATAAATGACATCATCACAATGAAAAAGGAGATCTTACTGTTCTTGGAAGGATCTTTAACCACAGCATTCGTTTTGGCGACGCTGTCTGCTAGTTTATTGTAATTCTTCTTCAGGCCATCGAGGTTCTGGTGGAGCTCTGTAATCTGTGCCAGTACATCTTTAGCTGTGTCGTTGGCTTGTCTGGCTTTGTCCTTAACAGCTTGCAGTTTAGCAGCTGTATCTGTCAGCAGATGAGGGTATGAAAAACAAAACAAAGGGTGTGGAGTTAGTGGCTTAATCCATGCTTGACAAAGCGAGGCTGTGGCTGGCTGACCTCGGACACATTTACAAAGGGAAAAGGCTGAACTTTGTCTCATTCAGGTGTAGCAAATGAAGCAAATTTTTTTAGGTAAATTAAATTTTCTCAGGGACTTTTGCTATGAATACCTGATTAGCTCTTAAAGTAGTGACGTGACTATTCTAAATGTTCATTGTATAAGATCATATTGTGATTTGCTGCTGAACTTATTCACGAGATAAATTTATCCACATGAGCTTCATGAAAACGAGGCTTAAGATTTAATCTGCATTTCCAAAGCAGGGCAGGGGTTGGGGTGGGGGTTGGAGGGAAACTAACGTATTTTCATTTTAGGATAGAGAAACATTTTCAGGTATGTTAGGCCATGCATTTATACTTGTTTTCAGCATTGGAAATTTTCTATATACTTACTACTGAAAAAGGGACATGAAAATCTGAAAAGTTACTCAGGTTTTTAAACGTTAAAAAAGTAAAAACCACCGAGATTTTAATATTAACTGTGTTGTATAAATATGTGCATTTGTCTCCTGATCCTAATTTGTATATTGTACCTATAGATGACTACTAGTGTGTATAGGTTAGTGGTTAAGATCATAGGCTCTGAAATCAAACTGTGGGGTTTAAGTTTCCTCTGTGCCACTTTTAACAATGGCCTTCAGTATCCTCTGTCTGTTTCTCACCTGTAAAGTGGGGATAATAACAGTATCTTAACTGATGTTAAGTGTTAGTGCTAACTTATGTTATACACAGAAGACAAGTTGTCCTTCTGTGTCAGTAGGTTCTGTATCTGTATGAATACCTAATTAGCTCTTAAAGTAGTGAAGTGACTATTCTGAATGTTACCTATGTTATCTATACTTATGTTATCTATATAACCAATTGAGATAGATATATATATATATATATATATATGACCAATTGATGCAAGCAAATGAAGCAAATGTTTTTGCTCCAATTGGTATGAGGATTACATACACTTAACATAAGTATATTAAGTACTCAATAAGTGTTTATAATCTTTGTTGTTATTATATCATGCTTTAACAATATAAAAATAGTAAAAGTAGTATCTTTAAAATAACGTGTGCTTTCAGGAACTAATACCATGCAAAAATTTCCAGCAGTTCTAATAGGTAGAAAGATATTACAGACATGGTTTGACCACTAATGTTTTTGAAAGTTGGAATAGTTAAAGAAATTGAATTTTATCAAGAGAGAATGCAGTGGGCTATCACCTATTACTGCAGGTACTTTAATAAACTGTGTCTTTGTGGTGGTACATCAGTATTTTAGAGATTAGTGTCTATGTGATTTATTCTATTTCACTAATACACGATTTCTTGGGCTGAAACACAGAAGACAATACAGTTGTCCCTCTGTGTCAGTGGGCTCTGTATCTGTAAATTCAACCAACCTTGGAGAGTTGGATATTTGGATATTTAGGGGAAAAAATGGTTGTGTCTGTACTGAACATGGACAAACTTTTTTCTTGTCATTATTTCATAAACAATACACTGTAAGAATTTACATAGCATTTACATTATATTAGGTATTATAAATGATCTAGGGATTAAAGTATATGGGAGGCTATGCATAGGTTATATGCAAATACTATGCCATTTTATAAAAGGGACTTGAGTATTCAAGAATTTTGATATCTGTGGGGGGGGGTCCTGGAACCAATCCCCTGCCAATACTGAAGGATGAGTTTTATAATAATAAGATGTCTATATCTTCCTTTCTGTAACACATTCCTAAGGATACTGGCTAAAGGCAATAAAAGATAAAAAATACCATAATGCAAAGTATGGTTTAGTTTCTCATTCTCACAAAGAAGAATTCATGAGTAAGAAAAACAGTATCTAATTTCCAGATAATAGTACCAGAATAATCTTAGAAAAAAATGGTAAAAGTTAACAACAGTCTTCAAAACTTCAGGTCAACTGACACAGTTGGTAGTGTCCTGAATGCTTACCATTTGGAATAGCTGATAACTTTCCCAAAGTGTCATTCAAAGTTCTCAAGAGATCCCCATTTCTAGCATCAGCATTTTCTATCCTGGTTTTTAAGCCATTTAGATGGTCTTCATTTTCTGCGAATAAAAAACAAAAAAAAGGATTAAATAAGTTTTATCATCCCTGAGCTTATACTTGGATGTGCAATTTCAGGTTATTTTAATATAAAATTAATTAAAAGCAAGAAAATGTATTTAATTTATTGGCATCTATACATAAATATATTTCCAATCATATTTTAAAAATATGTGTTTTTATTATCATTGAATTATTGGATGCTTCTACATGTTGAACAATGACATTTTCTTCTTGGTATCTGATCTTTATCTGACTTAATTTGATATCTTCCTATAGAGAAGAAACCTCCAAAGAATTAGTCTTTTATTCCATTTGTAATTATGCCCTCTTGTTATCACTCCCATTGATTCCACTTATTTAAAAACTTTTATTACCAAAATGAATCATTGGATTAGATTTTCAAAATCTCAGATATGATTGTTTAGCAGAATCCTCCAACTTCAGTATAATAATATTTGTTAATATTTATTTGGACAAAAATACACATTAAAGAAATGGAAAAACAACATTTAGCACATATCTGATAATAGTCATTTTTCTCATAAAGAAAACAATATTTTTACAAATTGGGTCCAATAAATTTTATATAGTTTTTTTCTCTTGATACTTTAGCAATGTTATCTTTAATATTCAAAAATGCCATTTGCTAGAGATAATTTAATATTACATATATAAGTTTTCTAGCTGCTTTCCACTAGTTTTTAATATTCTCTAAACTTTAGATTAATTTATATTGTAATAGTAACTAAGCAGTTTAAATTCGAGTACAACAATATAAAGAGTAAAATTTGAAATCATTAAGGGGAAAGAAAATAAAGATCCAATCTGTTGATATAAGTTTAGAAATCTTACTCAGGTATGCATTAAACTGCAAATATATCTTAAGACTGAAATGGAGTTCATCTGTCTTCTTTTTCTTACATCATTTATTAGTGAAAATTCAAATTGAAAAAACAAAATATGAAAAATCCTATACTTCCCACAATATTATTTACCTCTCTTGACTGGATACAACAGCTCATTTTTTAGGTAAATTTTTAATAGTTTCTTATGCCATAAAAATTGTTTTGGGACATGCGTACTAATTGTTTAAATTAGCTCCACAGAAATGCAACATGTAAATACAAGACAGAGTCCCCAAGTGAGGAGGACCACTGAGAAAGGACCAAGAAAGAGAAGTTGTTCTAGTCCCTCCTGGATAGGATGGACAAGTATTTAGTAAGAGTAATGCCTGACAAGCATTGAATGTGTATGTTACACGCATTTAGTGTTCTTCAGTTTCAGTGGGTTGTTTTACTTAATCCTTACAATAACATTGATGTATGATGTATATGATGATGTATATACTACTATTATCTCCAATTTACAAATGAGGAAATTGAGACTTAGAGAAGTTGAGTAAATTTCCTAAGCTTGCATGGTTAATAAATGGCAGTGGTGGTATTCAAATCCACATAGTCCCATTCCATAAACAATGCTAACTACTGCATTCTACCAAGGATTGATAGTCAAAACTAGGGATTAGTAGAGCATTTTGGGTAGCAATGCTCCTCCCACCATCACCCTCAACCTTTTCTTCCTGTCCTCCTCCTTTCCTTTGTCTTCCTCTCATTTTCTCCTTTGTTGTCTTAAAGAAATTGGTCACAGTTACAGAAATCAGAGAAGCCTCACCTAAGCAACATATATAACCAAGTTGTAATTATTCAGAGTAGAATAGCATTGTCTATGTGCAAAACTGGCAGGCAAATATGCAAAGTGTTCCATATTTTTAAGGATAATGAGGAAAATATAAGAATACGTAGTTCACAATAAAATAAACATACATAATCATTTATGAAATTCGTAAAAAGCACTCAAGATTATCATAAAGAACTGTAAAACTAAGCAACAGTAAGATGTCATTTCTTATTTTTGAGATTGGGGAAAATTAAATGTATGATAATGCCAAGTGTTCACAAGAGTGCTAGTGGACGTGCAGATTGATTCCATTGTTTGAAGAGCAAGTTAATAAGTTTATTAGAATTTTAAATAGACATGTATTTGGTTTGGCAATTCTACTGATAGAAATTTACCCTTCAATATACCTGTAAAAGATTTATCTTTGGGGATACTCATTAGCTCTTCATTTGTAATAAAAAAAAGGAGGGGGGAATAAAAATACCCTAATAAGATTAAAGTGCTGTTTATATCCACACAGCATGTTCATACAATGGTACAGGTGCAATCTATAAAAAGAAGTAGATGAGCGGATATGGATGTGAAATAAACCTTAAGACCTTTCCATGAAAATAAGCAAGATGCACCATATATATGCTGACACATATACAAGCATTTGGCATGGTAGGGGCTGGTGGGAGCTGGGTAGAGAAGAACATGCCAAAAACCTTTACAGTAATTAATAGTGGGTAGAAACTGGGAATGAATGAGGCAGTTAATAGTGCCGTGAGGGACAATGTACTAAAACTTCTCATTTTATACCCGGTTGTGCTGGCTAAATTGCTTTCTGTGTGCATATATTTCTGTTTTTCAATGTTTTAAAAAACTTAAACCACCTAACTGGGGAAGAATGTTATTTGCTATCTTCATGTTATTTGTCAACACCAAGACTGATTTTCATCACTTTCCTGGTACCCAGAGAAGGCAGGTGGGAGAGAATACGCCCCAAAGAATAGAGCTACAGCAGTCTTGATTTGACTGTGTGCACACCCCTCTCAGAGGTTGTGCATGTGGCTCATTAGAGGAACTGTGCAGGCCATGGGCAGCTGGAGAACTATCCTCATCTTTGTTGGCCTGCATCTGTGAAGAATAGCAAAGGGAAAGGTGGATAGATGGAGGATTCTGAACTATCGGTGTCTGGATGTGAAGAAGAGTACGGGACATATTAATTAATGATTCACTCCACTTCATATAAAGGGTTTTATAGGCAGACACCTTAAACTTCTGTTATACTACAGATTATACTAATATAAGCACATAACATTGTTTAAAGTGTCTGTTGTTAAATTCCAAGCCAAAGACCTGACATCACTGAAAAACAAAGCATAAAATATTCCAGCAAAGCACGGCTCTAAAACATCAATATGTCTAGTTCAGTCACTAATATATTATTATTTTCAATTCTAAGCCCACAAAATATACTTTCCAAGTAATTGGATTTTCTCCTCTGTCAATCACAATTCATCTTTCTTATAATACTTCTGTTATTTTTACTGTTTATACTAAAATAAAATCTTTGGATAGGCTACCAAAAGCATACTCTCTGAAATAAAGCCAGTCTGATTATGACTGTGATATCTATACAAATTCTTTGAGAATAAAGGGCTGCTCTTTTGATATTAGCTTGAAAGTCTTCAACACTTAAGAAAATGGAACTGTAGAAATTTCATTTCTTAGCTTCTTGATTGGATTTAGTTTTTAAAATAATGGAGCATTCAAATGTTCTGGCAAGCAAGATATTCATGTATGGTGAGAAAGATCATTAATTTGAAGGGTATCCCTGGGTTTATACCACTTTCTGCATTCTGATAGCAAAATGCTGGCTGAACAACTGGGCCAATTATTCAGAAGACTGACCTGAAGAATATTTTTACTGCTGCCTCTCAAGTTCCAAAGCGCTAATTTTGATTCTCTGCATTTTTTTTTTGTACTAGCAAGTTACAATGTGTATATTCCAACCCTGTTCTGATTTTTTTTTAATGTTTCAGCTGCTTGACTCTGATCCTTATTAATTTGCCCTTTCTTACGCTGATCACCTTTTTCTAAAGTAGTTTCTGGAATTTCTTGAACTACATCTAAACATTTTGTAGCTTTGGTGATAGAATTAGATGAGTAGAAGCTATTCAGAGAAGAATTGCAGATTTCAAAATGGAACTTACAAAATAATAGCGAGGAAAACCTAGAAAAATAAGCACTCCTGGGCTGATTTTAAATAAAAGACAGAGGAGGCATAGTGTATCCATAACTAAAAGTAAGAAAGAACTCTTGTGATTCAGTTTGAATTGTAACAAGGGTGAAGACATAGAATTATCGATAGTTAAAAGAAAATCCAACTGAATTTTTTTACTTGTGATTTCTGGAGAATAAGAAGAAGATTTAATTTATAATCCATAGTTTTATTTTCTAGATTCCCTCTCCTTATTCCTTCAGCTCTCAAACCCAATAACAGAAGCCTAGTCATTCTACTTTCTCTCTAAAGATCACATCCACCAAAACTCAAAGGCTACACACACATACGTCTTTAAGTCTGGCTCTCCCTTTCTCATCTCCTCCTCATAGAGTAGAAGAAAAATGTGCTAGAATTAGTTTGGCAAAAGCAGGACTCACAATGAGGGAATGGAAGCAGCAGAGTAGCAAGGGTCGACTGGGAACACAATGACAGTGTAATTTTCCTTTGTCACATGCCCATTGAAATGGCACAAGATAGATATATCCAGAATAAAAATCGCAGGGCAGAGTTGCAAGTCACTTGCATTAATAATGAGCAGTTACTCTTGTTTATCATGTTTCTGACATGATGCTAAATATAAATTAGGGCTTAGTTATATTAGAACTAACTATGTACGATCTCAAAATAAAACTGCTACACAGTATTTCTCTGAAATCTAGTCTGGTACAATGAAATCACTATAGGACACAGAGTTGGAAGATGTGGGTTCAAATGTCATTTCTGTCCCTTTTTACATATGGCAAATAAAGAAAACATCTTCCTTCATGTGACTGATATGAGAAATAAACTGGGAGATGTATGAGAAAGTGCTGGATTTACCATAGGCAGTAAGTAAAAGGTAACACACTGACATTGGTTTGAAAATTGTCCTGGTGTGTTTTACCAGTTTTTATTATAATAATGCTATTTATGACTTTATTCCTTTTTTATTTAAATTACTTGGTCCAGAACCTAAGTTTATTTCGTTTTTATATTTCCTAAACATATGTATACCTATGTATATATTCCTCACTTTTCAACTAAATATCGGGACGATTTTTATAAATTTTAATGGAAATGTTTAATTTGACTATTCAAATTCCATCCAGTTGAGTTTCTCAAATGGAATTTTTATTTTTTATTAATATGAATAGGGCACAAATAAATGCCCTGAAAGAATGCCCCATTCACAAGGGTGAAATTCATGGAAATGTGATTACTTTTGAAAGGACCTGGGATTACAGGCATAAGTGACTGTGTTCAGATTTTGGCTTCTTGAGATTTCTAAAGACCCTGTCCCCTAAGTCAACCTAAATACCCAGTGCAGGATCTTGAGACCTGGGTAGGAAAGAAGAGCACCCGAGTGAGGAAGAATAGAAGTTGAAATCTACAACTGTATTTCTCTCCTAGGTCTCCAGCAAATTGATTTGATAAGGTTGCTACACCCAATCTTTGTACTTCTTAGAAAAAATCCCTCCAATTTTCTGCATTATGCAGGCAATCATTGAATTTGGTGACAATGATTCGGAACGGTATCATTTCCTGAACCTTTATATTTCTAGCCTTCTTTCATGATTGTTACTCCTGTGCTTCCCTTTCCCTAGTAGCTGTCACAAGTTTGGGATGTGCTGTATATCTGATTACTTATTCTGCACAGACAGACATACATACTAGAGTGACCACATATGGGAACCTCAGAGATGACTGTTTCACAGGGAGTCAGGTTATGGAGAAACCCTCTTCTGATCTGAAAGTAAGAAATTAGATCTTGTTCGCAATAAGCACCATGCTTGCATATGCTCTTCCTCCCACTAGGGGGTCATAGTAGGAGCTTCAGGAAAGGAGGGAAGGTGTACTTGTCTGGTAGCAGGTTCTGCAAAGATTCAGGATATTGGGATAAAAGGGAGTCCCCTCTGCAGCCAGTGGAATGAAAAACTAAAACCACCAGACATCAACACCTGCATTTGGCTCCTCTAGGACATGGTGACTGTGGGCTTGCAGGCTTGTTTTCTTTTGCCCAGCAAGAAAATTGAGTTTGAATACCTTTAAATAAGACAAATAGTCTTTGGTTTAACACAGGCCCCACCATCCCTTTATGTTATCTGTAAGTCTCTTGAAGGCATTTCTGTTTATTTCTGGTCTAAATTAACTTACTTGCAAAAAACGCCATAGAATCTCAGACTCTGATTCTGAACACACAACAAAGCCCAGATAAGTTTTTAGCTCTAAGCCCCATTTTTATTGCACAGGCCTTTGTCTCTTGCTGAGATGATATACAGGAGTGTTCTGAATGTTTGTTTCTTGTCCTCTACTCACATGGTGGGGTTGGATATGACAAGCTACGTCTCGCTCTTAGGGATAATCTTTCCAATAGAACCTGCCCCTCTATATTTGCCACTATTTTGCCACTTATTGTTTTTTCTCTAATGGAAGTCCACCCTGGTTTTATTTTTTTATTTCCACCATTCACACTCTAAAGGAGGAATCAAAACTTTGTATGAGGGATCAGCAATTTCACCTGGAAAAGACTGCTTTGTTCTCCAGACCACAGTAGGCCAGGGGACCCAGGCTTAATTTCATCCTTTTAGTCTAAAATTGTGGTCAATAGAGCAGATTTTGCTTGTCTTTTGCATGCCTGCTATGGAAAGGCTGATTCAGGCAAAGGGTAATATGCAAATTCAAAAGGAGTATATCTTTAATAATAAAAGGATCCCTTAGTCACAATTGCACTCCTATATCATACTTTGGTTTAGCAGCACTGCAGTATTCCAGTTTATTCTCTTATTTTTAAAATATAAAATAATAACACAGAATCTCAACAGGTTAGCGTTTGCAAGTGTATTACATCCATGATCTCAGAATCTTCAAGACCCACTTGTCTGAACGGAATGACTGAGTGTTTGGAGGACCACTGTATAGAAGGAAGGCTTCAACTGGTTTGATAAAACTTAATGATTGGAATAATGTTTCATACTGTTCTCTGTGTGGGACAGCACCATATGTCAAGCAATGCACTGATTCATTATTTGGGCTTGGGAATAGATTCTTTTTTTAGTTTATAAAGTTTATGTTATGAAGTTTAGTTATGAAGTTTATGAAGAGTCTAATGTTATACATGGATTTTCAACTGTGCAGGGGTCCATGCTCTCCAACCCCTGCATTGGTCAAGGGTTAACTGTAATTATATACCACAGGCTACAGTGCTATGAGACAAACCGCCTCCTTTAAAATGAGCTGTCATAGATCTCCAGGGAATAGGTCTTTTTATTTCCTGTGTTATCTATTTTATAGGTATGTTACCTAGTTTTTTTTTTTTTTTTTTAGATAGAGTCTCACTCTGTTGCCCAGGCTGAAGTGCAGTGGCGCAATCTCAGCTCACTGTAACCTCCGTATCCTGGGTTCCAGCAATTCTCCTACCTCAGCCTCCTGAGTAGCTGGGATTACAGGCACCCACCACCATGCCCAGCTAATTTTTGCGTTTTTAGTAGAGACAGGGTTTCACCACGCTGGCCATGCTGGTCTCAAACTCCTTACCTCAGGTGATCTGCCCACCTCGGTCTCCCGAAGTGTTAGGATTACAGGTGCGAGCCACCGCACCTGGCCAACATGTTACCTATTATTTTTCTAAGTAATTAAATAATTTCATTTATCTTGGGCAAAGACAAAAATTGGGGATAAATTAAGAAGGAAATAAAACTGAAAAGTTAGTCAATATAAGGTAAGATGTATAATTTTAAAATCTTAATATTCTCAAACTTTTAATAAACCAAGGTCTACTTCTTCCTTGCCTCGTACACATTCCATGAGAAAATGAAGTTGGCATTTTACTGAAAAAAATTATTTTAAATTTTTATTATTAATTAATTAATTATTATTTGAGACAGGCTCTCACTCTGTCACCCAGGCTAGAGTGCAATGGAGCGATCTTGGCTCACTGCAACCTCTGCCTCCTGGGCTCAAGTTATTCTCCCACTTCTCTGCCTGCCTCGGCCTCCCAAAATGCTGGAATTACAGGGCATGAGCCACTGCGCCCGGCCTTAAAAAATTTCTTGTCTATCTGCAAAGCAGTGTTCATTCACCTGGTGGTACTAATTCATCTTTTCACTCTTTCAGTCATCAATTTGTACCAAGCCTCATATCCATCAACAAAATACTTTTTATCTCCACAAACATTCGATCAGTGCAATGTAGACAGGCTTCAAATCTCAAACTCACACAAGGGCAAATTTACTTTTAACAGATGTATATTCAAAAATTAAAAAGCAAAACAAATTGCTCCCGGCAAGTTCAGATTCCCTCAAGGCAAGGACAGCATAAAAATGGCAGGGAGCAGTACTAAGTCATTCATGACTGAAGCTCACAAACTAACTGAACTGTACTGAATTGAACCAAGCAACAAATTAGAAATATGGAGGGTATACTGGCCTCACCATTTTTATTCCTTCTAACTCCAGGCACCATAGAGAGAGAAATGACTAAATCTCTATTTTAATAGCTGCTGTCAAGAGTTTTGCTCTGTAGGGCCTATTTCAGCAGTTCCTGGTAGTAATATATGGCATTTCCCTGATTAACAGCCATTTTATAACCTCCGTAATTGGCCACAAATCAGAGAAATGTCATAATGTAGCAAGAAAACATTCCCATCTCCGTCATAGCCTTGGCTTGGTTTTCTAGAGGAATTATTACTTGAGTAGTTTGTGGGTTTTCATTACTTTAAATAATGTACTACCTGAACTACAAAAAAAATAAATTTAAACTAATGAACATTTCTGTCTCCTAACCCTTCCTACAATGCTTGTCTTTAGATTTCTTTTTCTCTTGGAAAAAAAATGGCTGAAAATAAAATTCTTTCTTCATTTTTATAATACCAGTGTTTGTGGGGAAATAGAGGCGAGGGCACGGCCCTGGTATTATTAAAATCTTAAAGACAGGATTGGTTCTTGCACTTGCATGAATCACCTCGCTCCCTTCCTCCCTATTCCCAGCCCTGGGCAAGGGTATGAGATAGGAAGGAGTGACCGCAAAGTCACGGGATTGAGTCCATTTGTCCAATAGGAACACAGGTTTTGGCTTCTTACAGTCATTCTTCAGATTGTAATAAGAGGTACCTGCTGAGCAGAATTATGTGTGTAGGGAGTTTTATTTCACCTGTAATACACAGCCTGAAGAATTGTACTATTAAAATTTTACTTATAATCGAGATAGAACTTGTAATTTCATATCAGCTTCTACTGAGACCAAAACATGCCAAATATAAATGATTTTAAAACCTCTTCTCTTTCTAAGATAAGTAAGATAAGCCAACACCATTTATTGTAAAAAATAAGTATTTCCTCATTTGAGCTAGTCACTATTATGCATACTAGAAATACACAGTTAGCAAAACCCCATGTCTTTCCTCAAGAAGATGGAATGCCAAAAATTTATACATCTGTTATGCATCAATAAAAAAGTTTTAAAAATTGTAAAAGAAGATGGAATATTAATTAGTCCATGATTGTGGTGGTTTGACAAGCCTATGAGAAAACTATACCAGAGAGGGGGCATGTAAATCAGATGAGGTGTTAGGTTTCCTGGAAATGATGGCATTTGAACTAAATCCTGAAGGTCTGGAAGAAAGCAGTTAGGCAAAGAAGAGAGGTGAAGGATGGGGCATTCCAAGGGGAAGAAATAATACTGAAAACATGAAGGCTTGGAATAGTAGCATGTTTGGGAGGAATTATGAATACTTAGGTAAGGGTAGGGAGACAGATATGAGACAGAAAATGGTAGGGAATGAAACTGAAGAGAGAAACAGGTGGCAATTCAAATGGGAGACAAGAGATAAGTGCATAAAATAATAATTGTAATGGCTCATATAGAGAGCAGCCATGTTTAATGATATATTCTTAACATAAAACCCATAATATGGCAGTAGATATTTTGTGCATTTTGATTCCTGAATCAGAAATAAAATACAAGAAAAATGTATTTAGGGCCGGGCACGGTGGCTCACATCTGTAATCTCAGCACTTTGGGAGGCCGAGGCGGGAGGATCACTTGAGGTCAGGAGTTCAAGACCAGCCTGGTCAACATGGTGAAACCCTGTCTCTACTCAAAATGCAAAGATTAGCCAGGTGTGGTGGCATGCACCTGTAATCCCAGATATGAGGCAGGACAATCACTTGAACCTGGGAGACAGAGGCTGCAGTGAGCCAAGATCGCACCACTGCACTCCAGCCTGGTTGACAGAGCGAGACTTCATCTCAGAAAAAGAAAAATGTATTTAATTTTGTTTTTCTTTTTAGAGACAGGATCTTACTCTGTTACCCAGGCTGGTGTACAGTAGTGTGATCACAACTCACGGTAACTTCACGCCCCTGGGCTAAAGCGATCCTCCTGGCTCAGCCTTCCAAGTAGCTATGCCTATGTGCTCACGCTGCTACACCTGACTAAATTTTTAAAAAATGTTTTGTAGAGACAGGATCTTGCTATGTTTCCCCGGCTGGTCTCAAATTCTTGGCACCAAGGGATCCTCCTGCCTCGGCCTCCCTAAGCACTAGAATCACAGGTGTGAGCCACTATGGCTGGCCTGGGTTTGATACTCTTAAAAACTTATTACACTAAAAGTTACTATACATTAGATATAGGTGAAGTGATGCTATAGAAATAAGACTTACAAATTATGAGATATTACCCTACTTGAAGTGAGATAGGTAGACAACATTTTGTAAAACTAGTGAGAAAGTTTACTTGCATTAAATAGATTATAGAATCATCACAAAAATCATGCTAAAGAAATTACATTCTCCAATAGTGTGATAGAATATCTTATCAGTAACAACCCGATTAACTGGAATATAATAAAAACTATGGCCACACTGACCTTTTACATCATTTGCTAACTTCTTGGCTTCGTTAAGAATCCTGAAGCTTTTCTGAAGACAGCCTTTGGCATCTTCCTTTAATAAACCCCGAGGACCTGTTGCCTGTGGACAGAAAAACAAATGTCATACATCTAAAACCATAGAATAATGGAGTGGAGGGATCCAGAAGGCAGTTGGTACACAGAGTTTGCCTTTAGGAAAGAGCTCTGGGCTGCAGATATAGAATTGTAAATTATTAGCACATATTCGGTAGTTAAAGTTAGGAGACTGTTTATTACGGTATGAGAAGAAGATCTAGAACAGAGTTCTTAGGAACTTCAATGTTTAGGGAGTAGGCAGAGAAAGTGGAGCTGGCAAGGTGACTGGCATTCCACAGAGGAAAAGGAGAAATTAGGAGAGCATAACACTATGGAAATTAAGAGATGCAGAAGTGACTCGATGCATGATAACTGGCGGTGTTGTAAGGACATAACTGAGCAGCATTATGACGTGCTACAGAAGTCAAGCAAATTAAGAACTAAACACATCCCCTGACTTTATCCTTAAGCAAATTTCACTCTAGTTGTGGACTGAGAGGGGAGCATTTCCTGTATCTCCCAAGTGCTGAAATGAGAAAGAACACTGCTTCTTTTAAAAAATGCATCTTAAAGCGGTATGGCAAAACACAATCTTCTAAATGACAATCTCTGAGCCACAATTATCTCCAAGCAAAGATATATTTGTTTAGACTCAGATTAAAAAAGGTGACACAAAGTTAATAGAATGATATGGGAAAAGGAATGTTTAACTTGAATGTCTAGTTACCCATTTTAATAGTGTTTGCTCCTCAGCAATCATTACATAATTCATATATACCAAGAGATAAATCAAACAGGATCTTATGTGTAAATTTTAAATTGGAAAAGTATTGCAAGTGCAAGAAGGGTTGGAGAGTGCTAAATACTTACTGTTGAAGATATAAATCTGAACTCAGATTATCACAGACATAACACTCGTTAAAGGCATCTGGACTGCCTTAGTTACATTATTTTTATCAGTCACATTATTTGAACATTAAACTAGAAAAGATTACAGAACTTGGTATGGCTGTGGTCAAATTTATTTTAATGTATTATTCTAACAGCTTTCAGGTAAATAATTGATTGCTCATAGAACAGATTGATTGTACAATGCTATCATATCTACAAAAAGATATATTG
Source organism: Homo sapiens (assembly GCF_000001405.40). Classification (NCBI taxonomy): domain Eukaryota; kingdom Metazoa; phylum Chordata; class Mammalia; order Primates; family Hominidae; genus Homo; species Homo sapiens. The sequence continues at coordinate 129,426,654 of NC_000006.12, read as the reverse complement.
GAAACATCTACATAAATAAAAAAGAACACTGAACATAGTTCTTGCAAAAGACAACCTTGGCAAATTATTCTCCAGAAAACTGATGATGTTTTCTGCTGGGAAAAACAGGAATTCTCATTGCTACAGTTCTCTTGGGAATTAGATACAGTAACATCACATAAGTGTCATTCATCTTGGAAAAAAAAAAAAGAGTGTCAAAATTAATGACACAGATGCAATGTACTTTAACTCACGAAGTAAGCCTCAGGTTACCCACTCAGATTCTATATTTGTTCCAAATTTACACGTCATTTTTACTCCCTTGGTTATAGGTTTTCTGAATCAAAACAATTTAGAGACAGGAAATTACAATGAAAGAATGTGTGAAGATTCTCTAAACAAACACATGAAAACAGCAGAAGTGACAGCTGACAATCTGTCCGACAATGAGCAAAGAGAAGAGAAAACTCTAAAAAGTGGAGAGAGGAATTTTTGAAGCTCAGGAGTCTGAGTCAATTTGGAAAGGGATAAAATGTATAGAGGTAAAGTAGGTCTCAGTAGATGCCAACCTTATTGTGGTAAAATAACCAAGGATGATAATACAATCCTGAATTGTCAAGATAATATAGGCCATTTATAGTACTAGATGAAACTAGACAAAAAAAGAAAACAGCTTTCCCCAGTGCCTTGGAGTGTGAATACCTTTTTGTAAGAATGTAATCTGACAAGCATTTAAAAGTCATAATTTTAAAGCTAACTTCAGGTGTGCAAAGTGAGGCACAGGATTAAAGTGGAGAGAAAAGGTTGATTTGCTGAGCATAAGAAAATAAGGAATAGCATCAGCGGCAGACTGGATAAATAAAATGTGGTACATATACACCATGGAATACTATGCAGTCATAAAACGAATGCAATCATGTCCTTTGCAGGAACATGGATGGAGTTGGAGGCCATTATTCTTAGCAAACTAATGCAGGAACAGAAAATCAAATACAGCATGTTCTCATTTATAAGTGGGAGCTAAATGATGAGAACATATGGACACAAAGGGGAGAACAACATACACCGAGGCCTACTTGAGGGTAGCTAGTGGGAGGAGGGAGAGAAACAGAGAAAAATAACTATTGGGTAGTAGACTTAGTTCCTGCGTGATGAAATCTATACAACAAACCTCCATGACAAGAGTTTACCTATATAAAAAACCTGCACATGTACCTTTGAACCTAAAATACAAGTTTCAAAAATTAAAAAAAAGTAAAAAGAATTTAAAAAAGAAAATAAATGGAATTGGTAAGAGAGAAAAGAGGAAGATGGCCCAAACAACAGTGAAAGAGGCTAAAATCTAAGTTGTGGAAATTGTGGAGGGACTATGACCAGAGATGACTAATACTGTTTAATACTTTTATTGAGTTAAAACTGGCATAAATAAACCATGCAAACCAATTTACAATTGGATAAGTTTTGAATATGTACACCCATGAGACCATTACCACAACCATGGTAGAGAATATATCCATCATTTCTTTTGAATCTCTTTCTTCTATCCTTCCTTCTCTTCCCTCTGTCCCCAGACAAATACTGATCTGCTTTCCATCACTGTAGGTTTGCATTTCATAGAATTTTATACAAATGGAAACATTCTGCATGTACTCTCTTTTTGTCTGGCTTCTTTCACTCAACATAGTTTCAACATTTATCTATGTTGTGTGTGTATCCATATTTGATCCTTTTTATTGGTAATTATTTCATCATAGGGATATGTACACATCTGTGTACAAATTTTTGGGTGAACATATGCCATCATTTATCTTGGAGTAAATACACAGAAGCAGAATGGCTGGATCATATGGTAATTTATGTTTACGTTTTTAAGAAATTATCAACCTGTTTTCTAAAGTATCTGAACTATTTATATTCCCATCACCAGTGTATGAGAGCTGCATGTGCCTACATCTTTGTTGATACTTGGTATAACCTGTCTTTTAAAATTTTAGACATTCTAACTGGTCATCATTTTGGTTTTGCTTTGTGTTTTCCTTATGACTAATAACATTGAGCATCTTTTCACATGCTTATTTTCCACCTTCTTTGGTGACCTGTTTAAATCTTTTGTTCAAATTTTCTTGGGTTATTTGCTCTTATTTTTGAGTTTTGAATGATACATATGAATAATCTGGATATGGGTCCTTTATCAGATATGTAATTTGGAAATATATTCTACTAGTTTGTAGTTATCTTTTCATTTTCTTAAAAGTGCTTTTTTTTTTTTGAAGGGAAGAAGTTCTCAATTTTGATGAAATTTAAGTTGTTAATTTTGTTTTCCTTTTGAGGATATGCTTTTGGTGGTGTATCTAAGAATCTTTGCTTTACCCAAGATCACAAAGATTTTTCTTATATATTTTTAGATGTTTTATATTTTTATGTTTTACAGTTAGGTCTAGCATCTCTTTTGAGTTAATTTTGGAATATGGTGCAAGATACAGACTGAAGTTCATTTTTTTTGTTGTTGTTCATGGATATTCAATTCCTCTAGTAGAATTTGTTAAATATACCTTGTATTGCTTTTGTATTTTTGTCATAAATCATTTGACCATACATGTCTGGATCTATATCTGGACTCTTTAATCTATTCTAATAATCTATTTGTCAATATTGATACCAACACCACATTCTCTGATTACCATAGCTTGGTAGTAAGTATTGAAGTCAGGTAGTATAACCTTTCCAACATTTTTCTCCTTTCCAATTCCATATGAATTGTAAAACATATCTGTAAATTTTTAGGAAAAAACCTTGCTAGGATTTTTACTGGGATTGCATTGAATGTGTAGGTCAATATGTATAAACTAGGATTATAGGAATATTGAATCTTCTGATCTATGAACATGGTATATCTCTTGATTTATTTAGATTTTCTTTTATTTATCTCCAGAGTATTCAGTGTAGGGGGTCTTTTACATTTTTAATGCTATTGTAAACTGTAACCTTTTAATTTCAACTTCCAACGTATCCTTGCCAGTCTTTGAAATGACTGATTTTCACATATAGATGTTGTACCTTATAACATTGGTAAGCTCACTTATTAGTTCTAGTAACTTTTTTTTAATAGATAGCATTTTATTTTATGCTTTTTAAACTTTTTTTTTGGTTGTAGAGATGAGGTCTTGCTATGTTGCCCAGCTAGTCTCAAACTCTTGGCCTCAAGCAATCCACCTGCCTCAGCCTCCTAAAGCACTAGGGTTACAGGCATGAACCACCAGGATTTTATGCTTAGACTTCTATAGTATCTGTGAATAAAAACATTTGTACTTATTTTTCAATCTGGATGCCATTTATTTCCTTTTTCTTGCCCCTTGTACTGGTTAGTCTCTCTAGTACAATGTTAAATGGAAGTAATGGAAGCAGATATCCTTGCCTTCTTCCTAATCTTAGTCTTGTGCTAAGTATGATTTTAGCTGTTAGGTTTTTTTAAAAAATAGGTTTTTATAGTGATCAGGTAGTGAAGTTCCCCTACTCTTAGTAGGCAGTTTTTAAAAAAAAATAGACGCATTTTGTCAAATGCCTTTGCTGTATCAATTGAGGTGATTATATAGTTTGCTTTTTAGTTTGCTATATGGTAAATTACACTGACTAATTTCAAATATTAAACCAATCTTACATCCTGGCATTAATATCATTTAGTGATCATGTATAATCCTTTGAGTAAATCATTAGATTTGATTTGTTATAACTTTGCCATGAACTTTTACATCTATGTTCATGGAGGGATATTGTTATATAATATAATTTTCTTTTTTAAAAACTATCTTTGTCTGCCATTGGTATCAGAGTAATACTGGCCTCGTAGAATGAGGTTGGATGTATTTTCTCCTCTTCAATTTTCTGAAAGAGTTTATTATTTCTTCATTAAATATTTGGTGGAATTCACAAGTAAAGTCATCTGGAACTGAATTTGTGTGTGTGAAGGTTTTGAACTACAAATTAAATTCTCTAATGAATATAGAACTATTCAGATTATTTATCTGTGAGTTTTGGTAGTTTGTGATTTTCAAAGAATTTGCCCTTTTTATCCAAATTGTTGAATTATTGCCATAAAATTGTTCATAATATCCTCTTAACATCCTTTACTATCTGCAGAAGTTGTAGTGATTTCACCTCTTGTATTCCTGATATTGGTAGTTGGTGACTTTTCTGATTTTTTTCTGATTAGTCTGGCTGGATGATTATCAATGTATTGATTTTCCACTGGCTCTTGCACCTTCATCCAGAAACATGACAGCCCTGACTGAAGGCTATGTACTGATACAGACCTCCGTGTTGCTAATTTTCTATCTTCTTGCATTTCTGAATATCACCTGCTCTTTGCTTCCAGGCAATTTTTTTTTCCCTGCTTTTTAGGAAGTCAGTGATTTCTTCCTGGATCCTTAGTCAACCATTCCTTGCTCAGATGAAAGGAGACAGGTAGTATATACAGGAATGTAGAAGATATAGTAGAAATAGTATAAGGAAAGGCAGGGAGGCAGGCAGGGACTTTTGATGTGTGGATGTGAGAGCGAGTATTTCAGCTCCCTAAGTTTGTAGGGTTCGTCAAGGGCAATGTGGAGAAGTAAGGCTATTAGACAGGTCAGAGTCAATTTCTGGAAGGTTTGAATGTGCGAGTAAGGAAACTGGGCAATGAGCAATTTGGAGGCCTTGAAAGTTTCTGAGTAGGAGAGTGTGATCAGAGCTGTAGTCCAAGAAGATGAATTGGGCAGCTGTGTGGGAAAAAAGGAGCCATCAATTGGTTATTGTAATAGTATAGGCCAGAGAAAAGAGAATAGTCACCTCATGCAAGCACCGTGGAATTGAGAGGTTAAAAATCAAGAGATTTGGAGGAAAAGACATGCCTCAATGTTTCAAGAAGCTCTCTAAAATATTAAAGTAAAGAGCTTATGGCATACAACTGTCAGTTACAAGCAGTCTGCCAGCAATCTGGGTTTAAAGGACAGGCTTTTCACATGATAAGGGAATGGAAAACACTAACATGTTATGGGTGAAAAGCACCGTTTCAACTCACTGGAATTTGGAGAGAACCTTTTCCAGCATTGCTTGGTAAGTTATTGAAGCACATCAACAATATCAGGACAGGTGATGAAGCAGCATTTTCTAAGCTAATTATACTTTATACATATTCATAAGCATCACATCTGAGTTCCTGAGCTGTGTCTACAGCATATGTGAAATATAAATGAGATTCTTTGAGTTGCAAGATATTTTGTTTCTTGCTTTTTAGAGGTTTTTTTTTTTAAACAATAAATTCTTGGTATTCTCTTTCTGAGTCTGTGTACATATATATATATTCATACATATGGATATACAAGTTATATAAAAATTTCAACTATATCATGCAAAACAGAGTCTATTTTTATGTAAGTTGCTGTATGTTTTTATTAGTTAATAATTGTTTAAGAAAATGTGAGATAATTTAAAACGTCATTATAGCAGGAAAAAATGAAATTATAAAGTCTGTTAGGATTCAACAGATGACTTGGCATGTAATTGCATTTTAATACATGTTAGTTTTCCTCTTCCTACTACTTATTAGATATTCATAATTACTCTTGCTAAAGCATACTGCCATTGATTAATAGATAAGTGAATTGATTTATTTACCCAACAAAACTTTTTATTTATCTCAAGCACCAAATATTCAAAATGGAAAGACTATGCCTTCCCTAATGGAACTGGAGTGGAGGGAAGAGGAAAGACAAACAAATATAGTCACTTATAAAAAAAGACAATCATTACCATAATGGAACACAGAAATGCCTAGATGTTTGGCTGTCAGAGGAGGCTCTGCTGGAGGAGGGAGGTGTGAAGGCAAGTTAGAGTTTATCAGGCTGACTAACCTGTACCCCAGTGATTTTCTAAACAAGCAAGTTTAAAAGTTATTGTTTACATTGCTTTATATATTTTGCTTTTTTCCTAAATGTTCCCCAAATTACTTTTTTATTAGAGATGAAATTTTTGAACTCATTGAAAGAGTTGGCTGTAAAAGATGTAAAATATTTATTTTCTGTTTTTTTGTTTACTTTTTAAAGACAGTAGTAACTAAAAATTCATCAGCATGGTTTATGACTTATTCTATTACTCTCTCTCTTTATGAAATAATTTATTTTAGAAGAGAAGTCTTACACATTTCCACAGGGGTTAATGTGCCAAGATAATATAAAACTTAAAATGATTTTAAATTAAAAATATTTTCAATAAAGAAAACTGCTCAAACTGTGCAGGGATATATGTAAGGGTTGGTGACTGGCTGCAATGTGTTTATGTAAAGTGAGTAACAGAAGAAATTTAGAGTTTGGTATGTTAGACTATGAATCAAAATCAAGGATAATGTTCTTACTATAATAATGATGTAAATTCTCAGAATCTAGTTCAATATACATTTTAAAAATATATTTTTGAGAATATTTTTTAAAATACGTATGTGATGTTCATTCCCATAGTAAGTTATGAAACAGTTATATAAATATCACCCATTTGTAGAAAAACTATTTGCATAGGAAAAGATATGAGTAGATATACAATGATATTACAAAAGTAATTACTCGTATGCACATTTTATATTTTCTTCTTCTTGCTTTTCTGTATTTCCTATTTTCTATAATAGACATAAGCTGCTTTTATAATAATTTAAAAAATCATACACAATTTTAAAATAAGAAAATCACCATGCATCAATTTTTAAGGTGCTTTATATAGTACTGTACATTTTTAAGTACTATAGGTTATTAAAATTAAATAATGAGTAAAAAATGAGTCAAGAAACACCCCAAAGAGACGGCTTTGGTCAAAAATCTCTTAAAAGGCTGTAGGTCCCTGGCATCGCATAGCATACCCTAAGGGTGGTAGATGGGTCAGATGAGTATCTGTCAAGATTGAAAGCAGCTGAGCACTCAAAGGAGACTCAGTGATAAAATAGGAAATCCCCCAAATTGCTCATGATAATTTAAAATTCGTGAGTGTGAATTTTTAGCTTTATGGGAACACCAAGAAGGACAATCAAGGGAGCATTCAAAAATATAAAATGAAGTAAGGATGGTTTTCCTCAATTACAGCATGACAGACATAATTGCTCAGTACCTATGTGTACCACTAGACTGCTTCAGTGAGACAGACACTGGACTAGCAGCTGGCTACTAGAGGTGGGGTGGGCCCATACCACAAAGAGTCTTAGTTTTGAGTAAAGGTAATGGAGAGGTGTCTATTAAGTTAGATACCATTCTTAGAGGGCTTCGAATTTTCCCTCTAGTTAATGTCCAGAATCAAAAACAACATCAATCTCACCTCTTGATTATTCTACCTACGGGTAGAAATCATAAAGAGCAGGTAGGATGGCACCAAGAGCATTATTGTCTTGAAGAAAATTAGATCAAACTTAGATTGCATTGTGGCATTGTTCAAAAGAGTTCTGTGTTTCCGACTGATGACACAAACCCTGAGACATCTATCATTTTATGCCCTGAACTTTTAAATACATCTAAGGCTGGGTCAAAAAATTTATTTCTCTGCTTCCAATAGACTTTTAAAAAAATTATTGACCCAAATGAGAGTATCATGTACAAAAAAAAAAATCACTAAAGCCAGCATGGCTTTGCTAAGAGAGTAGATTTTAAGTGTTCTCAACACAGAAAAATGACCAGTATGTGAGGTAGTGCATATTTTTAAATACCTCGATTTAGCCATTCCACAATGTATACTTATTTCAAAGCATCATGTTGTACATGATAAATATATACCACTTTTATCTGTCAATTAAAATAAATAAATTCTGAAAATTAAGTTATAAACTTTGGAAACTATATTTATTATAGGAATTAAGCCAATGGAGGAATCAGAACAGACTGCACAGTGTTTCTTGAAAAGGCATTATTGGTACATTAGGTGACACAGCTAATTACATAGACAATATGTATTGAATTTGGAGCCAGATCATCTAATTCCCAAATTCTGGCCTGCTAGCATCTTCCCTCAATTTAATTAGAAGTTTCCAGAACACAACTTGAACCTAATTCTGATCAATAAAAAAAAATCCTATATGACATCACGTTCACTGATATTTACACATGATCTCAAACTAAACAGGGAAAGAAAGTAATTTTATTTACTTTTATTTTGAATTTTTTTATTCTGTTCAACTTCCGTATCTCTTAGGGTAATATAAATATCTTATCAATTCTGAAAATCTGGACTATCATAGCCATTCCTGATTTCTAGCATCAGAATTTGGAGATGGGAGGGACAACCTATATTTGGCGATCACCTGTTGTCCACCAGGCATATCTAGATAAAAATCATGGAATATTGAGTATAAAATAGTGAAAGACCGAAACACTCAAGACCTTTAGGGATATCCATATTTCTGCTCCCTGGGGAGAGGGGATCTATTGTCAGCTTAAATTTTAATTCTAAAGACTTTCTTTTCTGAGAAAAGGAAATAGGAACAAAACAAAACACCACAGTCACCAAGCAGTGAAAACAGAGGGAGCAGGCGATGAAAACTCTTCTGAGAGCAAGAGGGTCTCAGTAATGGCAGTGTCAGCCTGTCTGGCTTTGTGCTCCACAGAGCTGGTGGGAGCCAGGAACAAGTGGGAGCCATGTCCCCTTCCGAGTTGAAGGTGGGGGAACCCTGCCCTACTGGGTGCAGCTGCAGCCACCCAGCCAGCTGTGGACCCAGGCATCCCTGTGCCCTCAGCCACCTCTCTTCCCCTACAGGCTCAGAAGTGCCCGCTCCTTCTTCCTGGTCTCTCACTGTTCCCGGCACCCAGGCTGATTTCAGAGCAAAGCTGAGGCTGTTGCAACCCAGCCAGGTGTGCATATGCTCGGGGCAGCACTGACACTCTAGCCCCCTACTATCTTGGCCCCTTCTGGATTTTGGGTGCCAAGGAGCACATTAGGGAGGCCAAGGGGGAGTTGAGGGTGGCTCTGCATGGGCCTGAAGGTGACCCTAGGCATGAACAGCCTGGGTGCCAGTGGGCGCCGTGGATGGCAGGTTGGTGGTGGCAGGAGGCATACAGGTTCCTGGGTGGAAAGGGGTGGGCCCTCAGTGAAGCTCCACCTTCAAGCCAGGGACTGCCTGAAGGAAGGGGGCTGGACTGTCGGTTCCACAAACTGGAGTGAGAACTTATGGTGCTTTTTTTGGGCCAGCTCATGGCCACCCATGGACCAATCAGCATACACTTCCTCCCCTCTGAGGCCCATAAAAAACCCCGGACTCAGCCAGACGTGGGCAGACAACAGGATGATCTACCTGTGGATAGGAGCTACCCACTGTGTGTCTCACCTCTGTTGAGGGTGCTGCACAGATGCTGGAATTACCTGCCTGTGGAACGGAGCTACCCATTTCAGGCCTCCTGAGAGTTGCACTGTCACTCAATAAAGCACCTCTTCACCTTGCTAACCCTCCAGTTGTCTGCAAACCTCATTCTTCCAGGATGTGGGACAAGAACTTGGGACCCCCCCGCAAATGGTGGAAATGAGAGAGCTACAACACAAACAGGGTTGAAACACACCCCCTTCCCCAGCTCACCATGTTGACAGCAATGAGCAGGAGAGAAGGGCTGTGGCCTTTTGGGGAGCTGAGACCTATGGACTCCCTGAGCCAGGGCTGTGAGACCCTCTTTCAGACTCTGTGGTTCCTGGCATCTCCAAGCTCCTGGGTGCCACCGCATTCCCTGGTACCAGTGGTGGAAGCCAATTGTAGTATGTCTGGTTCAGCCACAGCCTCACATAGAGCCAGGACCTGGAGCTGCCCAGCCCACTGCAGCTGGCACGCTTAGCTGTGCACAGTGGCTGGAGCCCACGCTCACTCACACACCCCTCGCCACTCTGCCCTGAATCACCCTTGGCAGGTGTGGGATCCAGCCCAGTAGTGGTAGTGTGAGCCAAGTGTAGCCTGCCAGGCTGAGTGGGCGGAATGTGCCCAGTGGACCTCAGCAAAACTCAGGCAAAGGTGCCACTGGCCACAGAGGTTTCCAGCTGGTGAAGAAACACCCCAAGGATCCTGTGACATCAGAACTTCCCTTATACAAGCCCCCACATGCTGGGGCTGTGCAGTCTGTGTAGGGCCCAAAGGGTCTGGCTCTGGGCGATGGAACTGGCCAGGGAATGGCTCACCATGCTGTGTGCCCTGACATATCTGGCCCAGTGGTTACATAACTCCCACCAAGACTGCATGAGGCTCCCAAGCATATCTTTCCCATGGAGAAAGCAAAATATACAGTAAGAAAACAAACAGCTCTTCAGAAATACAGATTAATTAATTTAAAATTTGAATTCTGAGAATAGTACCAAGAGACTAAGTAAAATGGAGTGACTGTCCGGGGGAGATTGGTGGGGAATAAAACTATGACGGAGTAAAAAGAAGTTGATCAAAGAAAGTGTATAATTTCGGCCGGGCGCGGTGGCTCACGCCTGTAATCCCAGCACTTTGGGCGGGCGGATCACGAGGTCAGGAGATCGAGACCATCCCGGCTAAAACGGTGAAACCCCGTCTCTACTAAAAATACAAAAAAATTAGCCGGGCGTAGTGGCGGGCGCCTGTAGTCCCAGCTACTTGGGAGGCTGAGGCAGGAGAATGGCGTGAACCCGGGAGGCGGAGCTTGCAGTGAGCCGAGATCCCGCCACTGCACTCCAGCCTGGGCGACAGAGCGAGACTCCGTCTCAAAAAAAAAAAAAAAAAAAAAGAAAGAAAGTGTATAATTTCAGCAAAGAAAGCTTCCCTTTGGACAGGGTTGGCACTCTTTCCTAGCCACACCACCATGGGCCTTTTATTTTCTTTTTTGTGAGATAAGGTCTTGCTCTGTCACGCAGGCTGGAGTGCAGTGGCATGATCTTGGCTCACTGCAGCCTTGACTTCCCAGGCTCAGGGGATCCTCCCACCTCAGCCTCCTGAGTAGCCTGGATTACAGGCATGTGTCACCATGCCTGGCTAATTTTTGTATTTTTAGTAGAGATGGGGTTTCGCCATGTTGTCCAGGCTGGTCTCAAACTCCTGGGCTCAAGCAATCTTCCCACCTCAGCCTCCCAAAGTGCTGGGATTACCGGCATGAGTCACTGCACCCAGCCACCATGGTTATTTAGATAGTTCCTGCTCCTCAATCTTTTGCAGTTATTGTACCCACAACTTGCACTATAGGGTATATGCCAGCAAGGAGATAGAAAAAATTTGGAGAAGGCCAGGCCTCAGAAAGAACAGGTAAGGTAGAGAATGAGAGTCAGTTGTGAAAATAAAAAGGAATAATTCACTGCAAGTTATTTTATGGAATAAAATACCCCTTCTCTTCTGCACAGAGCAACTGGCAATCAAGCATCAAATGGCCCACTGAAAAAAAATCAAAGGGAGTCCTTTAAGGAATAAAATGTCTTCAGAGAAGGGACTTCTGTATTCTGCCATGGCACAATTATGGTTATAGATAAAATGTAAATGTTATTGACCATCACAATATCAAAGTTAAAGAGGTAGAAGCTGAGAGGACGAGGAAAAAAGGAAGCTAAAGGGAAGAATGAGGACATAAATAGCTTCATCTTAAAGAGTGCAGAGTCTATCATTTATACAGGAAATAATGCTCTCAGTATATTAGGTTAAAAATGAAGAATCTAAGCACAGTAATGTACCTATATTGGGAAACTGAAGGGTGGGAAAATGTGATGTGATATTCTGTAAGTGAACTACATCTCCTTCATCATAGCAGTAATTAAATAGATAATGCCCCACTTAATGAAATACGTGATGGCACAATAATATTACTAAGAGATGTAGTAAAAGAAGAATATTTGAAAGATTTGGAATTGTTGATCCTGGAGCTGTGAGCTTAGTTGAGAGAAAAGTTAGGTTAGGGGATTGTTGCTTGCAATTATCAGCCTCTGATCATTTAAAAGAAATTAAAACATGTATGCATCATGAATTTAGAAAAAGAAAGAAATTTAGAACTTCTTGCTGGTGTAAAGGATGAGGGTTGTTGTTTCATTTCCAGACCCATTTTAGACCTATTTTCTTTATTATTTTAGAACAGATTTTATTGCAGGACAGATTTTCTATCTCCTCTGAGGTTCATTTTAATTAAACTATTTAAGTAGGAAATAAGATAGATACGATTAGAAATTAATACAGACACCTCTATTCCCATCATCTGTATCTGGCAAATGTTAATGTTTTACTGTATATTTACAGATCTTTAAAATATGTACATTTGAACTGGGTTTTATAATATTTCATTTGTAGCTTCTCTATTTAAATAACTGGCCTATAGTTTTTCTTTGTAGTACTGTCCTCTGTAGGGCTTGCCATCAAGATTGTATCAGCCTCATAAAATAAGCTGAGGAAATTTTTCTTCTTTTTCCATTCTTGGGAACAAATTGCATAATGGGTCCTTTACATTTTTGTACATATTGTTATTTTGTTGTATTAACTACTGATGCAATTTATTTAACGGTTATAGTTCTCAGGTGTACTATTTCTTTTTGAGTAAATTTTGCTCTAAACTTACTGTTTACTTCACCTAAGTATTCAAATGTGTTTGAATAAAATTGCGCATATCCTCCAATATATCCATTTTTATTTTTCAATCTATAATGTATCTACAGTTATGATCCCCTTTTCATTCTTGATCCTATTCATTTGTGTTGTCTCTCTTTGCTTAATTGTTCTTGTCTTCTGTTTATTTGCTAGTTTATTCTAAGAATCAACTTGCTGTTTTGTCAACCCTGTCTAATGCCTTTCCTTAGGTCATTAATTTCTGCTTTTATTTTTATTTCTTTCTGTGTACTTTTTTAAACATCTTGAGCAGAAACCTTAGATAATTAGTATCAGTTCTTACCCTTGCCTAATATCTGCATTCCAAACTGTACATTTTCCTGTTGGTACCACTTTATTTGCACACACAAATTTTGAGGTGAAATTTTATTTCCATTCTGTTATTAAATACTTCGTAAATTTAAACTGTGTTTTTTTCTCAAGCCATGGATTACTTTGAAGTATGTTTTTTATTTTAAAACTTTTTGTCAATTGTTTTGTACCAATTTCTAATTGTATTGCATTATGATAAGAGGATGTAGTCTAGATGCTATTGGATCATTAGGATTTGCTGATACTTGCTTTATGATCTAGGTTGTGGTCCTTTGTTTGTTTCATGAGTTACTTCATCGAATGGGGCATGTAGAATTAATTATCTAGTTGACATAGAGTTCTATAAGGCCATTAAGTTATCTTGTGTAAGGTACTTTTAAAATCTGTGTCTCTTTGCTTGATCTATCACTTTTTAAGAGAGATATGGTAAAATCATTCCCTATTATATATATGAAAATGTTCTCATTCTGATATATTTATCTTTATTTATCCATAGGCTTTGTTATTATGACCTTGCAGGCTCATAATTTTTTAGTTTTCCTTGTTCCTTTTATTCTATCATGATCACTTTCTTTGTCCTTAATAATTCTTTTAAAAAAATTAAAGTCTTTTTGATTGCTATTAATGGTAGCATACCAGCTTTCTTCTGGTTAGAGTTTGCATAGTGTATCTTATCTCTCATTTTCAGTCTTTCTGTTCCCCTAAGATTTGCAGTATTTGTGTAAGTCATACATAGACGAATCCCTTTGTTTTAGACATTTTAATCCAATATGAAAATCATAGTAACCTGTCAATTTTAATGTTTGCATTTATTATGAAGACAACCTGAAGCAGAGATAGTTAGTGCTCATCAAATATCCTATGTGCCTCCTACTTTTCCAGACCTCCCTTACAGTTAGCTTGGGGCACACGGCTACTTCTGGTCAATGACTCAGACCAGACGTGGTCCAGGCTTCATGAGCCAGTATGGTAGGGGCCTACATGTCTCTTCATTTTTTCTCTTCCCTGCCTTGGAGGCTACACTGTATGGTGTCACTACAAGATGCAAAAGGTGGTATAACTCACATTGTGTTGTGATGTGAGACATAAACTTGAATTATGTCCATCATGTGAGATTTCAGGGGTTATTTCTTGAGGCAGCTGGTGATAATTACCCTGATTGTTGTATATGGATTTAATTCCATTATATTTTATATTTATGATTTGTTTCTCTTTTTCTCTTTTTTTGTCTTTTCCAGAATTGATTGAAAATTCTCCTCCCCTTCACATTTCTTTATTTTTTTCTCTCTCTGTCTGCTTGTTTGGAATGTTTAGCTGTTTGTGATCGTTAATTTATATCCACTTGGCTAGGCTATGGTACTTGGTTTTTGGTAAAACAGCAGTCTAGATGTTGCTGTGAATGTATTTTTTAGATGTGATTAACGTTTCAGTCAGTAGACTTTGAGTAAAGCAGGTCACCCTCCATGATGTTGGGGAACCTCATCCAACAGTCAGAGGCCTTAAGAAGAATTACTGAGGTCCCCTGAAGAAGAAGAAATTCTGCCTCCAAACTGCCTTTGGATTCAAGACGGCAATATTCACCTATTCCCTGCAGCCAGACCCCACAATCTCATGAGTCAATTCTTTAAAATATATAATATATCTGTGTATATATACACTTCCAATTTGTTCTGTTTCTCTGGAGAACTCGAATATTGTCAATTTTATTTTTCCAGATTTTTTTTCAATGTTTAATACATATTCTTAGTGAAAACTAAAGTTAATTAGCTTTTTGCTTTCCTCCCCAGAATTCAAGAATATTAAAAACTTTTATTAAATAACTGACTACCTGCCCCATTTTCCATTTTATTAGTCTCTTGTGTTTTAGTTCCACTTTGTTTTTAATTCCACATATTTAATAATTATTATCATTATGCTTTCCATAATGCTTACTTAGATTTGTACACATTTTCTATCTTTTTGTTCACTTTTGCCCCTTTATATCCAAGTTCTTTCATTTTGTTCACATTCCTTTTGAAGTGAATTTTATTATAGTTCAGTGAATGAAGTGTATTTATAGCAAATGAAGCGTATTTGTAGTAGTTCAGTGCTTCTTATCAGCGTGTTTCCTCCTCACTGATCTGTCACATAAGAGTAAAGTTTCAAAAGTCCTGTTTATTCCTTAGACACCTAACCCCATTGCAAGAAAAAGCTCTTTTTGAGGTTTCTATGGAGTTTTTACTCTCCTTGTATTAGGAATGAACACTGGGAAATTTGCTATAAGAGAAGTTGACATATTTAAGAATATTCTCTTTCTGTATAATGTTATTTTTTCTAGGCTTCTCCCCTTTTCTTCACTTTGTTTAAAGCTTACATCTTGCTTACACAGCACAGTTCTTTACTAACCATCCCACTATCATTTTTTCTATGAGAAATGCATTATATCTGAACTCCCCTCACTTTATTCTGTATTTTATATTATTTTTCCTAGAAATGCCTAAGAAAGGCCTGGTCAACATTTTTTAGAATGATGGTTCCCAAGAAATATGGACAACTGTAGCAAGTAAGAGAACTTGAATTTGGAGAATAAAGAGGAAGACCACATTGTGCACTGGAGTTGAAGGCCAGTGTCATTGTAAATTGTATGTGTCAACTTGACTGGCCATGGGCACCTAAATTAAACATTATTTCCGGGTGTGTCTGTGAGGGTGTTTCTGGATGACAGTAAAAGAGATTGCCCTCCTCAATATTGCTGTGCATCACCCAATCTCTTGAGGGCTGAATAGAACAAAAAGCAAAGAAAGGAGGAATTCCTTCCCTTCTTTTCTGCCTTACAGATTGAGCTGGGACATCTCATCTCATTTTCTCTCTAGTTCTTGAACTGTGGTTTGTACCATCAGCTCCCGTGATTCTCTGGCCTTTGGACTCAAAGTGAACTATATCATGGATCTGCAGCTCACAGATACTGGGACTTTGCAGCCTCCATAATCACGTAAGCCAATTCTTCATAATAAATCTCTTATTCTTTCTGTCTATCATCTAATCTATTATCTATCTATCTATCTATCTATCTATCTATCTATCTATCTAATCTGTCTATCATCCATCTATCATCTACCAGCCTATTATCCACCTATCCATCCATTCATCTATCTGTCATCTATCAATCAATGTATCTATCTATCTATCCATCTCCTAATAGTTCTGTTTATTTGGAGAACCCTAATACAACCAGTATAAACTTTTCCCAATTTCTAATACTTATTTCTAGTGAAGATCTAACTAAACAAATTGAGAAAGGAAATTCAGGATTAGAAGATATTAAGGAACATTGTGAGTGTATGTGTGAGTAAGAGAGACAGAGACAGAGAGAAAGTTTTACAAAATGACAGTCATTGCAAGGTGAAGAAGAGGAACAGAAGAAAGAGGAGAACTCCATTTGCCATGGGAATTAAAAATGTCATTCTTTTTTTTTTTTAATTCAGCATACCTAGAGAGGTTGAGGACTGCCTAAATTTTCTACATCAAAGTTAAACTAGACTATTCCACTGACTTAGAGAAAGGGAGAAAGGGAGGAAAGGAAGGAAAGAAGATAATGTTTCAAAACAGGTGGAGATTATGTGATAATTTTCCATTATCTTGAAGAATCTGAACTATGGAATTCATTCTGCATTAGTCTTATTTTATTTGTTTGTTTGTTGTTTGGATATACCTGATTGAAAAGCACTAAGACATCTAAGACATTTCCAGTGTAAATGGGCAGAGGAGGGCCTCATATCCTCGTGTCACTGAGAGTGTGCTTATTGCCTCTGGTGGTCATTCCAAGGAGTCAACGTCATAGAAAATCTATTCATTCACTGTGATGGTTAATACTGAGTGCCAACTTGATTGTATTGAAGGATGCAAAGCATTGTTCCTGGGTGTGTTAAAATGGGCCCATTTATTGAGTGACCTGAAAGGCTGCCAATTTTAAGTGGGCTCTGCAACAAGTCCAGACTGCTGTGCAAACTGCTCTGCCGATTGGGCCGTATGACCTAGCAGATCCAATAGTCCTTGAGGTGTCAATGGCAGACAGGGATCCTGTTTGAAGCCTTTGGCAGGCTCCCATAGGTGACTCCTAGAGGTGGAAGCCTCTAGGATTTTGGAGCAAGGCCCTGCCATCTTCTGCAGATCACTACTCTCCATTTGAGAGACAACTCTTGGCCTGTTACTGGGCTTTGGTAGAAACTGAATGTTTGACTGTAGGTCATCAAGTCACCATGCAACCTAAACTGCCTTTCATGAACTGGATGCTTTCTGACCCATCTAGCCATAAAGTTGGGCATACACAGCAGCCTTCCATCATCAACTGTAAGTGGTATATACATGATCAGGCTCGAGCCAGTCCTAAAGGCACAAGTCAGTTGCATGAGGAAGTGGCTCAAACGCCCATGGCCTCCACTCCTGCCACCCTGCCTTCTCTCCCCAAGCCTGCACTGATGGCCTCACAGGGAGTTCCCCATGATCAGTTGACAGAGGCAGAGAAGACTAGGGCCTGGTTCACAGATGATTCTGCAAGATATGCAGGTAGCACCCAAAAGTGGACAGCTGCAGCACTACAGCCCCTTTCTAGGACATCCCTGAAGGACAGTAGCAAAGGGAAGTCTTCCCAGGGGGCAGAATTTTGAGCAGGGCACCTGGTTGTGCACTTGCTTGGAAGAAGAAATGGCCAGATGTGTAATTATATACTAATTAATGTGCTGTAGCCAATGGTTTGGCTGGATGGTCAGGGACTTGGAAGAAGCATGATTAAAAAATTGGTGGCAAAGTAATCTGGGGAAGAGGTATGTGGATGGACCTCTCTGAGTGGTCAAAAACTGTGAAGATATTTGTATCCTATGTGAGTGCTCACCAACGGGTGACCTCAGCTGAGGAGGATTTTAATAATCAAGTGGATAGGATGACTCATTCTGTGTACACCACTCAGCCTCTTTCCCCAGCCACCCTGTCATCGCTCAATGGGCTCATGAACAAAGTGGCCATGGTGGCAGGAATGGAGGTTATGCATAGGCTCAGCAACATGGACTGACCTGACTATAGCCACCGCTGAGTGCCCAATTTGCCAGCAGCAGAAACCAACACTGAGCCCTCCGTCTGGCATCCTTCCTCAGGGTGATCAGCCAGCTTCTTGGTGGCAGGTTGATTATATCAGACCTCTTCCATCATGCAAAGGCAGAGGTTTGTCCTCAATGGAATAGGCACTTATTCTGGATATGGATTTGCCCATCCTACGCCCAATGTTTCTGCCAAGAGTACCATCCGTGAACTCCCAGAATGCCTTATTCGCTGTCATGGTATTCCACACAGCATTGCCTCTGAACAAGGCACTCACTTTACAGCTAAAGAAGTGCAGCACTGGGCTCATGCTCATGGAATTCACTGGTCTTATCATGTTTCCCATCATCCTGAAGCAGGTGGATTGATAGAATTGTGGAATGCCCTTTTGAAGTCATAATTACAATGCCAACTAGGTGACAATACTTTGCCGGACTGGGGCAAAGTTCTCCAGAAGGCTGTGTATGCCTTGAATCAGTGTCCAAAATATGGTACTGTTTCTCCCATAGCCAGTGTTCACGTGTCCCAGAATCAAGGGGTGGAAGCGGAAGTGGCACCACTCACCATCACCACTAGTGACCCACTAGCAAAATTTTGCTTCCTGTTCCCACAACATTATGTTCTGCTGGCCTAGACATCTTAGTTCCAGAGGGAAGAATGCTGTCACCAAGGGATACAACAATGATTCCATTAAACTGGAAGTTAAGATTACCACCTGGCCAATTGGGGCCCTCCTACCTCCAAGTCAACAGGCTAAGAAGGGGGTTTCAGTGTTGGCTGGGTAATTGACCCAGAATATCAAGGTGAAATCAGTCTACTATTCCACAATGAAGGCAAGGAAGAGCATGCATGGAATACAGGAGATCCCATAGGGCATCTCTTAATATTACCATCCTCTGTGTTTAAGGTCAATGGGAAACTACAACAACCCAATCCAACCCAATCCAGACAGGACTACAAATGGCACAGGTCCTTCCAGAATAAAGGTTTGGGTCACCCCACCAGGTAAAAAGCCATGACCCGCTGAGGTGCTTGCAGAAGGCAAAGGGAATACATAATGGTTAGTAGAAGAAGGTAGTCATCAATACCAGCTACAACCACGTGGCCAGTTGCAGAAATGAAGACTGTAATTGTCATATATTTCCTCCTTATTCTGTTAAGAATATGTTTGTGCATGTATACACTTGTACTAGGAAAATATCTTCATTTGCTTTCTTTTTCCTTTATCATGTGACATAAAATTTATTGACTTCATATCAGCATTTAAGTGTTGTTAACTTTATGTAATAGCATTTAGGTTAAGGATTAGTGTGCTTCTGATTGTACAAGGGATAGCTGTATTATGTTAGGTATAATTATGATGTTATTATTGTCTTTATTTGGAGATTATGTATGATTTCAGGAGATGTGTATGGGTTCAAGTTGACAAGGGGTGGACTTGTGATGACTAATATTGAGTATCAGCTTGATTGGATTGAACGATGCAAAGTATTGTTCCTGGGTGTCTCTGTGAGGGTGTTGCCAAAGGAGATTAAAATTTGAGTCACTGGACTGGAAGAGGCAGACCCACCCTCAATGTGGGTGGGCACCATCTAATAAGCTGCCAGTGTGGCTAGAATAAAAGCAGGCAGAAGAAAGTGGAAAGAGTAGATCTTCTGACTCTTCCAGCCTTCATCTTTCACCCATGCTGGATACTTCCTGCCCTTGAACATCACACTCCAAGTTCTTCAGCTTTTGGATTCCTGGACTTACACCAGGGGTTTGCCAGGGGCTGTCAGGCCTTTAACCACAGACTGAAGGCTGCACTGTCAGCTTCCCTACTTTTGAGGTTTTGGGACTCGGGCTGGCTTCCCTGCTCCTCAGCTTGCAGATGGCCTATTGTGGGACTTCATCTTGTGATGGCGTGGGTCAATATTCCTTAGTAAACCCCCCTTCTTGTATACATCTATCCTATTAGTTCTGTCCTTCTAGAGAACATTAATACATTCATCAATTTTAAAAATCTGATCTGATAGATAATGTAGGCTTTGAGTTTACTATGACCTGGAAATGTTTTAAAAACATCTAATTCTCTGTTATTTTAGAGTCTCTTATAGGATCAAAGCAACTAAGATGAGAAAAAATTACTGATGTCCATATTCCATTTTTATTCCATTTTATGAGTGACATATCTCCTTTCTGTTTTCCTTGCACCCTCTAGAGAAGTACTAAATGAGATATTTTCTTGGTGATTATATGTAGGAAAACAAATGCTTTATAGTACTTTCCTCACCCGACACCAATAGAAAAATAGCATTTGTTATTTCATGATGTCTAAATTCTTAAAATAACATTTCATTCTGATATTTAAAGAAATTAGTTATGCAAGACAAGTAGCTATTACTCTTTACAAAATAATACTGCAGTACAAACAAATCGTATTAGCTTTCTCCTGCTTATAAAGGATCCACTTCCTTCTCACTCATATTTTCCTTTCAGTGTGATTCTTGATTGTCTATGTGTGTTTATATATAGGAAGACAAGTAAATTTTTAAAAAATCAAAGTTGATTTTAAACATTGTCTTAATTATGCTTGGAGGTTATTTCTATCATTTCTTTGTTTCTTTTCTTATGGTATTTTCAATGCTTTTTTTCTTCTCAAATTGTCTGACCTCCACTTTCTTCATAGTGGTCGTTGGTTGCTCTACTACTTGACCTTTTCCTTTTCTCCTGCAAATGTATAAATTGTTTCTTTGTTTTTCCTTTTAAGTTATTGAAAACATTCTTCCTTCTTTATAGGGCTAGACTCAAAGGAGTAGAGGACTCTTCTGTATTGTTAAGCTTTGAACTCTTCTATACTTAATAATACATTTAATCTCATTCTTCTCTGTTGAGCTATAGCTTTTATATCAGATCTTATATTTATGGGATGTTAGTCCTATCTAGATAATTACTCAACGTAATGCTTTTCAAATATATTTCTTTTCCAGCAAAGTAGAACTATATTATACTGATCTATTAAACTAAAATTTTATTCATTCTGTTCATGAAAAACATTCCAACAAAATTTCTGGGACAGATTGTCTTCTTTTTCTTATCCAATAGTCATTTAATAAATCACTGATTCTCTATAGCACTTATTTTGTAATTTTTCAGACATTTAATTATTTTTAAATGATTGTGGAAAGAGAGAAGGAATAATGATAACAGCAGACATGGTGTAATGCATTACAACTCACCATCACTCTCTGTTTGAGGTTGGTTAGCCTACCATGTATAAGCATGGGTGGTAAGAAGTAAGTGCACACTTCATGTTGGCAAAAAATGATTTTTCCTAAAGGTATTAAATTAGGGTAAAATTAAACACCTCCTTATCATAAAATGTTACAAGAAATTTATAAGGATGAAGCAATTACTACAGCAAATTTTTATTGGTATAAAAGATTATGAACAGGCATAAAAGGTGTCAATTATAATGAAAAAATACACTCATTCATTTATAAGTGCCTACTATTTGCCAGGCACCATTTTAGGTGCTGAAAATAATCATACAATAAAACAGGTGAAATGAAAATGGTGAACTTGAAATTAGGGTCTTTAAAATAGAAAATTATCTAACAGAAGATGGATTAAAATTTAGTTTAGATTTGAAAAGTAGATTCATTCTGAAAGGATAACTGAACATAGAAATGCTTCTGCAATGATCATGCCACTATTTTGAATAAGAAGTCAACAGAACATATGGCATTAGTAGGGCTCACTCAAGAGAAACCAAAAACAGTACAAATTGCTCATAGAATATGATGTTTCATTATGATCACAAAATGAACCTGCTAAGACTGGTTCATTTAGGGGATATCTCTAATATCCCCTAAATCCTAGAAAGTATTTTTGCCCAACACTGAAGCAAAGAAAATATTGATCAGTTTCTTTAACACCACTGCTTATGTGTATTTCACTCACAGTCAAATGTCCAATCAGATTTCTCCCCCAAAAAATTCTCATGTGTTTGGTAGGTTCTATGTGAAACAAAATAAATAAATGATGGTTCTGAACATTTTATTCAGGATGATTCCTATGAGATTTTTTTAACCTGAAATAGTACTACCAACTTACTATCACACAACTCATGTACAAAATGTTGCTTTACATCTAAAGCATAAAGATTTGTCACCATTGAAGGCATTCAAATAATGTGATAGAACTTGGAATGCCCAAACTCTAAAATACTTGTTCCAAATGTATTACGAACAATGATTGTAGCCAAAGGTTAAGAGCTTTTTAATTCAAAAATTCATAAAAATTCATTAATTCATAAACATGGTATAAATTGTTTAGAAGCATATGATCCAGTATGTTTTTATTAAAAAGTGAATTTTATAGCCAAACTTCATATGTAACCAATTTGTGTGTGATTATATACAATGGTTACTTTTTTTTCTTTTTTACTAATGCCATTTGAGATAATGGTGATAAAATTCCCTATCCAGAGTGTTGTCTTTGCCTGTTTTATTTTGTGAGTTGGTAGCACAAACTTGCTTGGTTTCTGAGATAATTTTAAGACCCTAACAGTGGTAGTGGGTGACTGAGAAAAGAGTTCTGCTATAATTATAGCATACCGAGAATTTATTTTAGGCAAATTTTAAAAGAGGTCTTCAAAAATAACCCAAAACAAATATACCAATTTACTGGGATTTTCCAGACTGACTTACATTTGAAAAATTCAAAAAGGTTGACTTCCATTCCCAGCACATGTGCCATTTGTTTCTTACCAGTTTTGTAGCTTCATGTGCAAGATCTTTGGCTTCTTTGGCAACTTTCTCAGCTTCATCAATATAGTCCTTAATATTGCTGTAAGCTTTGAAGGCTGCAGTGGCATTGAAGGAGATGTTTTTAGCCTCATCAAGGATTCTGGTGGGATGATTCAAAAAAGGAATGTCAGGGCACTCAATGGTACTCAAATGAAGAACGTCCTAATTATATGAAATCTGGCTTCCAAATGATCATGGCCAATATATCTATGACAATTCCAAATAATAGTGAAGTATCTACTTATTATATTGTCCTATAGTTTTCTATAACCTAAACTTATATTTCTAATAATTCAGCTATGAAATACTACCAACATATCTTAAATACCCATAGCATCCTCCAAAAGTCTCTGCAACCAGGTGCTCTAGCAGGTGTGTGATATGAGACAATTCTTCACCTTATTTGTGAAGCATGCTGTGAGATTCAGAGCACTTGTACTACATTACTGGAATTAATTTCACAAAATCTTTCTGGGGTAGGTGCACTTCCCAGAAGAGACCAAGTGAATTTCAGAAGGTTAAATGGCCTGTTTCAGGCCAAATGACCAATATGTCCCCAAGTAAGGACTTAGAGCCTGGATCTGATGATACCTAGCTTTGTGTTTCATCTGCCACCCACCCTTCATTATAAAGTGGCAAAAGTTTGACATAAAATAAAATGATAGTTCATATATTGTCCAAGGTCTTCAAACATTAGCATTTTTTCTTTATAACAGTAAGTATTAAGTATGAGAACAAAGCTTTGCATGTGATGTAGATTTATCTGGGCAAATTATTCTTGGGGCTAATAGCACCGCTATTAAATTACGACAATCCCAAAATTGTAGGAAAAGCATATCAGTTATACACAGAAGGCTGTTTGTAAGTCAAATGTATACTTCCCTCTTTACTCTCCCTCCTATGACCTTTGTAATAATCCCAGCTAGAATAAGCTGCTATTTTACAGGAGAAAATGTAATGTCTCCCTGGAGCTTAAAAGAGGAAAAATAAAAAAGACTTAAAGACTACGTATGGGGCCAAATTTTCAAAAGCCATCCTTTTAACAATAAATTGTTTTGATTCCATTAGAAACATGAAACTGAAATTTGAAACAGAATGTATTTTCATATATGTTATTTAAAATGCTAATAAGGCAACCACTGTGCTTTTTAATAAAGAACAGAAAATAATTTTTTCTAAGTGTAGCCTAGGGCTATGTTCACTTCCTACTAAGCCATATTTGAGTCTACTTGTAAATCAGACTTTTGATGCTGCTGTAGCAAAGCTTTGCCCAGACCCTCCTAATTAAGCCTATCCACAGAAAGGCCATATAGCTAGTGTGTTCATAATTAACAGAAATCAGGATTTGAAAATGATTCTCTACTATTTATGCTAGTCAAAACCTTTGGACAAGCATCAAAATACACAAACATTTCCAAAAACAAATGACATACCCATCAAGGACAGCAGATGAGTCATTCAACTGAGCTGCGTGGCTCTCAGCCTGGGACACCTTCTCAGCAAGCTTCCTGTCCTTTATTTCTTGGGAGAGGTCATCTATTTTATCATTAAGCTCCTCAGACATAGGTGGCAATTTAGTTTGGATGTCTTCAACATACTGATATGTAGAGAAGAGGGCATTTTAAGCAAGTGAATTCAAGCCTCCTCTCTTTTACTAATTTCTCTATGAGACATAACTACACGTTTAGTTTAGTTTTTTTTTTTTTTTTTTTGAGACAGAGTCTTGCTCTGTCACCCAGGCTGGAATGCAGTGGTGCGATCTCAGCTCACTGCAACCTCTGCCTCCCTGGTTCAAGCAATTCTCCTGCCTCAGCCTCCTGAGTAGCTGGGATTACAGGTGCCCACCACCACACCCAGCTAATTTTTTGAATATTTAATAGAGACGGGGTTTCGCCATGTTGCCCAGGCTGGTTTTGAACTCCCGAGCTCAGGCAGTCTGCCCACCTCGGCCTCCCAAAGTGCTGGGATTACAGGCATGAGCCACCGTGCCTGGCCCACATGTTTAGTTTTAAAATGAAACTTCAAACTTACTAACATAGCAAAAAGAATAGAGAATTAAAGTCATTATTTAATGGAATAGACTAGGAAATTTAAGAAACCAACTTAGACCAAGAAAAGCCTATCTATTTAAACAATGCCACTTCATAGGTATACATGTCATTAGGATCTCTTAGGCCATTTGCATTTCTATGACCACATATCACTCTATGTAATGCATTAGACATTACATGTTAAAAGCCTGTTTGTAAATTTACATTTGTCTTTTAACTAATGTTATATAAATATTGAAGCAGATTGTAAGTGCTGCTCTAGGAACAAGAAATGTCCTTCATCGCTGTGGACAAAAACAGATATGTGTGAATGTGTGAGTACACTTACACAAACACTCATGTCCATTGGGAGAACAAAGTGATATTCCAGTTGTCACCAATAGATAGGCATGGTCACAGTAGAATAATGCAAAAATAATTTTATCTCCACAAGAAAACAAGTACTAGTATTTGCTTCTATTACTGAGCTTTCTCATCGGCTCCCATTTATTCATTATCATCTCTCTTTTGAGTTTTACCCAATACTCACGTCTATGATGGAGTTGATTTCATCTGCAAGACGGTTGGCTTCATCGAGTATGTCATTGCCCTCTTTTAAAGTGTTCTCAATTTGTCGTTTGCCGCTTTCAACAGCCTCCTTCTTTTTCTGTAGACCATTATGAACAAGACATCAAAATTGCATTTTCATAAAATCCTACCCCTTGTATTCCTGACTTTCCTGAGCTGTTTGAATAAAAGCTTAGCAAAAAAGGTACATCATGTTGAAATGTGGCTAGATGAGAAAAATATAAACTACTTAGCCAGTCCTTGAAGAGTTCTTCTATGTAGAGGCTTGTACAGGTTATTTCTTCTTCTCATTGTGAGAAAGTCATCCAAGCGAAGAAAAGTTATGCGATACTAGTTAAGGAATTAAAACTACTTTTAAAGAAAGATGGAGCATCCATTTCTAACTAAAATATAAGTGCTGAATAGTTATATTGGTACTACATATTGAATTCTAGAATCTATATACAAATGAGTACTTTGTGAGCATAAACATAAGCAGATGTATTCAATGGGAGTTCTGTGAAATTTGAAGTGAGATTTTTAAGGAAACTTAGGGAAAATACTTTTTAAGAAATAGAGAAACCATCACATGGAAGAATCAACCTAATGGACTGTTTCATGAGAGAATAGATTATAATTTTTCTTTGGAACATATAGCTTGTCTCAAAAGTACATGAAACTCAATCCTGGCCTAGAAGAGTAAAATCAGTGAGAGACAAATATTGCTATTTCTCCATTTGGGGTCTATTTTTTACTTATTTTATTCTTTATACTTCTGATTCATTCCTATTCCTGAAATCACCATTCTACCTACAGATTTAACTGCATCAATTATAATTTTAAGCTTTGACCACTTATAGTTTTTTTCTATAGACAATAATGCTAATTCATTTAGATCTCAATATGTGCCAGACAGTTTGTAAGCATTTTGTTATTCCAATCTTTGGATCCCATGTTGATCACTTTTTACATAAGTGGGAAATTGAATAAGTAAAGGGCAGTGGCCTGAATGTCTGTGTCCCCTGAAAATTCATATGTTGAAATCCTAATCCTCAAGGTGATAGGATTAGGAAGTGGGGCCTTTGGAGGTGACCAGGTCATGAAGCAGAGACTTCATAAACGGGATTACTGCCCTTATAAAAAAGACCTGAAGGAGCTTGTTCATCCTTTTACCATGTGAGGACACAGTGAAAACGGTGTCTATGAACCAGAAAGTGGTCCCTCATCAGACACCAAATCTGCCAATACTTTGATCATGGATTTCCCAGCCTCCAGAACCATAAGAAATAAGTTTTGATTGCATATAAGCCACTCAGTTTTTGGTCTCTTGCTATAGCAGCTCAGATGAACTAAGATATTAAATGATTCCTTTAAGGTCACATAGTACAGTGTGATTAAGATTTAAACCCCTGTCTACTTAATGATAGATCCTGGGTCCTTGACTACGAAAATACTATCTCTTCTATTATAGAAATCACAGTTTTAAAATTTGCACTGAGCTAGTGCTAATTTCATACCCTTCTTTCCTTCCCTTCACCGACCAATTCAGTATGTTGCCAGGTACATACAACTAGTTCCTGCCTCTAAGCCTTTGCACTTGCAGATATTCCCACTATGTGCTCTTCCTACTCTTTGGCTTGTGTCCTCCCTCCATTCTGGTAATAGCCACTCCTCTGATTACCTATCTAAAATAGCACCTATCCTTGTCTCAATCATTCTCTATGTACTAGGGCACAGTGATTAAAAGCTACATCCAAGTGACAGCCCTTCTGGTTTGGGATCACAGCTCTGCTCACTCCCAAGCTATGAAACCTTAAGGAAGTAATTTACCTTCATACAAAATGTTTAGTCCCTCCCTACTCAATGTGCAGCCCATTCACCAGCAGCATCAGCGTCACCTGGAAGCTCATTAGAAATGCATAATCTCAATCCATTCCTGGGAACTACTGACTCAGAATCTGCACTTTAACAAGAACCCCACATGATTGATAGACATTGTAAAATTGGAGAAGAATTAGCTTAGAACACTGCCTGGCACCCAGTAACACTGTAATTTTAACTATTATAATTACCTTATTTTGTTCTTCTTAGAACCCATTTATCTGAATTATATTCTACAGAGTGGTAGAAACATAGACAATATTATTTTCTTTTTTATATAGATTGATTCGTCTTGATTACTTTTGCCGGGAGTTGCTAAAAACAAAGATTAGGTAATAAAAATCAGAAATACCAATGCATCACAGATACATGTACAGGGACTAGCAGAAAGGCACAGCCTGTTGAACTACACATTGTTAATGAAGGACAACACATTGAATCTATTATGCAATATCATGCAACATACCATTTATTACATATCAGTAAACAACTTATGTTTATCAGCCCGTGCATCCAGACTTTATGGTCGTAGCTTATGCTTATTTATTGACTTAGTGACTGTCTCCTGCACTGTAACACAAATTCCATAAAGACAGTTTTATATATCACTATCTCTAGTATGTAGATGAGTTTCCTCAATAAATATTTTTTAATAAATAAATAAAAATGGGTCAGGCACGGTGGCTCATGCCTGTTATCCCAGCACTTTGGGAGGCCAAGGCAGGTGGATCACCTGAGGTCAGGAGTCCGAGACCAGCCTGGCCAACATGGTGAAACCTCGTCTCTACTAAAAATACAAAATTAGCTGGGTGTGGTGGTGCATGCCTGTAATCTCAGCTACTTGGGAGGCTGAGGCAGGAGAATCACTTGACCTGAGAGGTGGAGGTTAAAGTGAGCCAAGATTGCACCATTGCAATCCAGCCTGGGTGACAAGAGCGAAACTCTGTCTCAAAAAAAAAAAAAAAAAAAAGAAAAGAAAAGAAAGAAAAAAGAAAATGAAGTCCATTCCTGGGACTTGTGCTGCTGACACTTGGCTCATTCAGCTACTCCCATCACTAATTCAGGGGAAGTTTTGATATGTCATTCACTCTTCACAGACAACAAATGTGGGAAGAGTCCCAATGTCCCTGATTACAATCTCCCTGATTACAAGTCATATCTTATCTTCCAAGGGTCTAACATTCTTTTACACAACTGCCAATTTTAGCCCTTAGCTTTTGTATGAGCTGACTTAAAGTATAGCATGTACAGAAACACAAGAATCTTTTACAACATGGCTTGTTTGAATTAATGGATCAAGGTAATTTAAAATGCTGTGCCACTGGAAACAGGGAAGATATTTCCACACGTGTGTTAATTGAAGAGCTATATATATTTTGATTTCAATAAAGTAGTGAGTTAGAATCTTTTGTAAAAGCAAAGATCAAAATGTGCTTCTTAGCATACTCAATCAGAAATGATGATCAAGAGGTTAAATAATTTTTTTTTTTTTTTTTTTTTTTTTCTGAGACGGAGTCTCACTCTGTCGCCCAGGCTGGAGTGCAGTGGAGCAATCTTGGCTCACTGCAAGCTCTGCCTCCCAGGTTCACACCATTCTCCTGCCTCAGCCTCCCGAGTAGGGACTGCAGGTGCCTGCCACCACGCCTGGCTAATTTTTTTTATTTTTGTATTTTTTTTTAATTTTCATTTTCAGTAGAGATGGGGTTTCACCATGTTAGCCAGGATGGTCTCGATCTCCTGACCTCATGATCCTCCTGCCTCAGCCTCCCAGAGTGCTGGGATGAGGTTAAATAAATTTTAGAGGTGTCTTGTTTTCAGATTAGATACTGATGGGTTCTAGCTTTGAACCGAGAAAAGATGGAAATTTGGAGCTCACAAATATTGACAAAAGTATAGAGTATCTGGGTTTGTTCTATGGCACTTTATTTATTCACGGAAAACAATCTGTTTTGCCTTTGCTAGATACTGTTCTAGGATTGGGGGATGTGAGGAAGAACACATGTTCCTCATGGCTTGTGTGGAGGAGAGATAAAATGAATGAGTAAATTAATGTATAATATATTCTTAAAGAAAGATTAGATGAGTACAATAAAAACAAAGAGAGGCACAGATAGAAAATGATGTAGCATATAAAATACCTAAGATAGGAAACTTAGAGTATTTAAGAAACAGAAAGAAGGCCTATGTATAGGGAGAATTATTCTACAAAAAGTATGGCATAAGTATAATTGCTCAATTATTGTTTGGATATGAAGGTTGATTATATTTCTACTTTTAACTTGTAATTAATTAGATCTTTATTTATTCCAGAGCTTTGCAAATTGGACACTTTCTTTTTCTTTCTTTCTTTTTTTTTGGTGTGTTGGTGTGGTAGATTCTTCAGGAACCTGCAAAAGCTATCTTCCTGTCTATTATTGTTTTCTTTTATTTTCTTTTTCTTTTTTTTTTTTTTTGAGACACTGTCTCACTGTCTCATTGTCTCACTGTCATCCAGGCTGGAGTGCTGTGGCATGATCACAGCTCACTGCAGGCTCAAACTTCTGGGCTCAAGCAATCCTCCCACCTCAGCCTCCAAGTAGCTGGGACCACAGGCATGCACCACCATGCCCGACTAATTTTTGTATTTTTCTATAGAGATAGGGTGTCACCATGTTGCTCAGGCTGGCCTGTGTATTCTTTATGTAGCAACTTACTCTTTACTTGATCCGCACTGCCTTCTTTGGCAAGGATATAATGGTAGATTTGGGGATAGACTGCTCAATACATATTATTTTGCTTCACTGAAATATTTGTCTTCTCTTTTCTTCCCATGACGTCCCCAGTTCCCTTAGCCCTCTCTCCACTGCTGGAAATGCCTTTCCAACTCCATCACCATCTAGTTGGCTGCATCCAAAGCCTTCTATGATCTGGCTCCAAATTCCAGAGCCTTCTCTGCTACAGATTTTTACGTAGCTTTTGAAAGTTTTTCTGCTGTACTGGACACTTCCTAAGATCACCTTACACTTCCAAAGCTCTGGCTGGGGTTCCTGTTGCTCTGTCTTTCTTCCAATTCCTCTCCACTTCTGCTATGATGCTGTTATTTTTGTGAAACTTTTGCTGAATCTCCCAGTCAATATTATCATAGTATTATGTAGAGTGAAAGGTTGACATGTCTGAATTTTTCAGGAGGTTGTAAATTCTTTGAGGCCAGGAATCATTTCTATTCAACCTCAAATACCCTGGTTACCAACAGTACCTTGATATGGTAGGTACCTGACAGATATGTAGATAAATATTATCCCAGCCTACTTTTCTAGCCTAATATCACACTATTTTCCGATAAAAAACCATTTATTCAGTTTAAGTGAGCCACTCAAATTCTGCAACATTTTATTTTAACCCATGACTGCAATATTTCAATTGCTTCCTATGGCTCTCAGGATAAAAACCAATTCCTTAGCTTAGTCTCACAATGCGATTCTCTTATAACTGAAGGTCTGCACTCTGCCTATCTTCTCTTTCTTTCTATCCCTTCAGTCGTTCACATGCAGTCTTCTTTCCAAGCCTATCAAACCACTGAACTTTCCCCCAAAATGTCATTTTCTTTCCTCCATGCCTTTGTATATGTTTTTCCCAGTTTCTGAAATGTTCTTCTCTTTATTCTTCTGTGACCCAGTGCTTATCCTTTAGGATCTAGCACAAGTGTCAGGGCCTCTACAAAGCTCTTCCTAAACTCAGGGGTGACTTAGACTCCCTCCTTTGCTTACGCCTGTGATAATTATGGTAGCGTATGGAGTGGTTTGCTTATGTGTACCTCCCACTAAATACAAGTTACTTGAAGTAATCAGAGATGGTGTTTTAGTGTTTATACCCGTGGTTCTCAACCTTGAAGCTGCATCTTAATCACTGGAGGAATTTTTAAAACACGGATTTCTGGGCCCCATTCTCAGAGTTTCTGAGTTGGTCATTTAGGGATGGGGTCCAAGAATTTGTCTTTTTGACAAGTTGCTAGGTTACGCTGAGGCTGCTGCTCTAAGGGGGCTCATCACTGACACAATCAATTTTGGTGTCTAGCACGTTTCCTGAATGAATTAGAGGCTTGATAAAATTTTTAAAAAGAAAATTACATGCCACCTTAAAATAAATAAAAAGTTTTTGAGTTGGGTATTAATTGTGTTACCTTCATTGTGGACACAGTTATAAGGGAGTTATTTATTTAAAATGCAGCTTATTATTCAATCAAATAGATGCAATGTGTCAGTTTTCCTCGAACCTGTATAGGCATCAGATTAGCCCAGGGAGAGTGTTAGAATGTACACATGGGGCCAAACCCCAGAGCAGCCTACACAGACTCTCTAGGTGGGAGCCCATGAAACCTGTTGGCTTAACAAACACCCCATGTGATTTTCAGCCATTTTGGCAGCAACCAAATTATTTATTTGGTTTAAGCAACCATAAATAATCTATGCCTTATTCATATTGATTCAGTTAGTTTATCTATTTTATCCAGTAACTTTTAAACAAGTCTTTAGTTAAACGTGGCACATACAAGGAAAATCCAAACAGGACCACTCAGAATTTCAATACCGACTATACATAAGCTCCAGGTATTTGTAGGGGTGCCCAAGAATGATGACTTCTGGTTTTAAACATCACTAAAAGAAACGAATAGCTAAAGGTACTATTGACTGTGCCATATAACTCTTCTTGAAATATTTCTCAAATACTTACTATGCTTTCCACACAGGTAATTTTCATTTATCAAACGGTTGCCATAAAATAGACAGGTGCACCTTCGGGTAAGTCACACGGCTGGTGTGTCACCGAGCAGGGTGAATCATGCTGGAGCCTGTGACAGGACAGTGGCCCAGCATCCTGCCTCACAGCAGTATTTCTGGAATACTGCTAGCATGTCAGTAGACTCCAAATTGGTTAGGTGCATCAGTGAAGAAAAAAAGTAAGCCTCTTCAATATTCTACCAGAATGACAAGGCTAAGTCCCAGAAGAGGGACACGGAAATAAAATATATTAAAAAAATGTAATTCTTCCTCTTACTACTTAATCTAAAGGAAAATAGAAATGAATAGATTTAAAAAATCCTGGTTGATTGTATTCAATTGTTACTGTCATTCAACAAACATTTCTACATACATACTATATGCCAGAGGGTGCTGAGTTACTGTTGACGGTGAAATTATGTGTTAGAAGATGTATAGGTCTGCTGCTGTTTTCTGACCTGTTGGAGTCAGATACTTTGAAAACAGCAAAGGTAAATTTGTCTCTGGGGAGAAAGTTGTTGTTGTTTAAATATTAATATCACATACAGGGTGCTGCTGTTATATGTGCTGAGTTTACTCTTAGGAAAAGTGATAATTTACTATGTTAAGATTAAGAAAGAAATTGGAAAAAAAAGAAGAAAAAATAATGGAGGAATCTGTTTTAGTTCTAGTTCCATCAGAACTCTTAAAAAGATAGAGGCTGCCCATAATTTCTTGAGTTGAGAAGTAACTGTTATCTGTGTGGAAAAGGAGGAGAAAATAACGCAGACCTGATCTATTCATGTTAGTTCCTTCTAAAAGATCATTTGCATAGAACACAGCGCATAGAAAAAGAGGAACCAAAATTTTTCCAAGCTCTGGTCTCAATTCATTGAGCTATTTGTCATGTGCTCAGATTGAATTTGAAAGTGTAGGGAACTTCTATGATTTTTGGCAGCAAGATCTCTGAACAAGATTTGTGAATTAGTTTGGGAAAGCTGCAAAATAATATGATATGAATATTTGAAGATACCCTATATGTATGCTATAGTATAATGCACTTATTGTAGATTTGGGGAACTGATGCTTACAGATTAATTGACTTGCCCAATTTGTATGTCTAGATAGTGGCACAGTTGTCATTGAGACCAAGGTCGCCTGACTCCCTGTAAAGAACTTCTTCCACTGTATCACAGTGTTCTTAAATATCTTCAACAGTTTAATTTATCAAAATTTTATTTGATTCTTTGGGCGATGGTAACTGGTCATTAAAAACAAAACAAAAACAAAAAAAAGTCATTTCTTGTTCTGTTTCTTAGAAGCCCCCTTTCAGAGTTGTCACTCTTGACTTTTGTAAATGTGCATCAACTTGAATAGTCCAGCCATGTTCAACACTGCCCCCGCAGTCCCCAACCTTCTGAGATTAAGATAAAAGTGCCCCTAAGACTCACCTCCAATGCAGTCATGTTTTTCTGATTTACTGCAAATAGGCGATTAGCTTCTCTGATTTTATCTGTGGCTTCTCTCAAAAGGTCCCAAGCATCATCAACTTTGTTTTTGTAGTCAGCCAGTTTTTCCCGGAGATCCTTCTCCATTTCTTCATTTTCCCCCCGGGACTCTCCAAACAGCTTCTTCACTTTTTTCAGAAGGGCTTCTGCAGCTCTGTAACCACCCCCAGCCCAATAATAGACAATGAGCTCATGTCACTGCCTTAGGGTTTATTGGTATTAAACCATGTTACAAAGAGATGCTAACATGAAAAGAATGAGAAAATAAGAAAACATGTAAAATAGATTCACTGTGTGCTAAATCAAGTTGAAAACTGGTACCTGAGACCATTTATAATTAATTAAAATAAAAGCGAAACAGATTTTTAAGAAACCTTTTAAATTTGTAAGTAAAATAACATTTTGAATCATGTCATTCTAGGAATCTGATTGATGAAATGAGTTTTAAGATTCACTTCACATACCAAAATCAAACAATCCACTTGTTTCATTGTACTGAGACCTTTTCTCTATTACTTTGAATGTAATGATGAATATTGTTATGTTTGCTCAGAAACTGTGAACAGAATTCTAGGTCATTGTCATGCTAGTAGACTAGCATAATTTTAATCTATGTTTCTTTTTCTTCCAACTGATTGATCTGGAAGTTTTTGGATTTAACTTACCTAGTTTTTCTAAAGTGATAATTTTCGAGTCATTAAGAAACTCTAAATACTTGAAAGACAGTAATTCTCAAACTAACATGCCTCATAATCCCCTGAAGGGCTTGTTAATACATGGTTTGCTGGGTCCCATCCCCAAAGTTTCTGATTCAGGAGGTCTGGGAGGGGGTCTGACAATCTGTATTTTTAACAAGTTCTCTGGTGTGCTGATATTGCTGGTTTAGTATAAATTATTTAAGTATTAGTAATACTACCACTTTGAAGTTAGCTGACTATGAATGTAGAGATGTATCTATTTTATTGAGTGCGTTATCATAAAAGTTCTTTAGCATGGGTAAAATCACTATCACTTTTCCCAACCCTCATATTCGCAACTCTTATTTGAAAGTATTAGGTGTTTATTATTTGATGACTTTTCTTTTCAGCATTTCTTAAGATGATAAAATGTATAGGTTGGCCAATATATGAATGGTAAAGTCATAACTTTGTTTATCCAAAGGTATTTTTATTAAAACAAAAATCAACTGATAGTCCAAAAGTCCCTAATGCAGATGATTAACAAAACAAACTCATTAGCCTAATTACAGAAGGAGCAGCACCAGAAAAGATCATTTACTTGATTATATGTAGGCAAGAACATGCTTTTGATTCATTTTGGAACAATGGTAAAGTACAATTAAATAAGTAAATGAATAAATAATAGATGGTAGATAGATAAATAGATAGATAGATAGATAGATAGATGATAGATAACATAGCAAATATCTCCAGGTTGGAAAAACAAAGCATCTTTTACTTATACGTGTGATAAAAATTTAGAAAACTGTAAATTATCTGGAAATCTCAGTTTGTCAAAAGAAAAAATAATAACTCATCTACTCACACCAACTCATCTTCAGCAATTTCCTTTTGTGTCTCTAGATTTTTCCTCCTCAGTTCTTTAATCATCTGGTCAATCTCTTTCTGAAGCCCTTCCAAATTTCTCTCAAAGGCCTCGTCTCGAGTTCCTAGAGTTTCATTTAGTTTTATAGCTTTTTCATTTACAGCTGCAGGGGGTAAAACAAATTTTGTAAATTAGTAAACAAACATGCCACATGAAAACATGGTATTCAGCATCTGCTGGGCACCACCATCTCCAAATGAAGAGTATTTTGCCGTGAGTGTTCCTGCTGGGAACCACAGAGGCAGTTAAGACAACAATCAGTAACAAACAGGGAAATGTAATATGTTTCTCAATATTATATTTCTTTTGGGGGTTACAGCAATTAAAGCATGGTGTTTCTAACCTCAAAAGAAAGAAAGAATTAAAATAAAGAAGTAGGTCGAAGCATACTCAGGTAAGAGTTTAAAAAAAACAGTGACCTGTAGCATAACACTTGGAGGCTGGAAACGCAAGCTCTGCATTGCTGATAAGATAGTCATAGCAGTGGCTATCAGTCAGTTTAAAAATACTGAGTGTGGAAATACACTCAGTGATGAGATCTCTGAAAATGAACCTGCCCTTGTATTTCCACATAGTTCTCCTGTGTTCATTTTTTAAAGGAGTGAAGAAAGAAGCACTGGTCTAGACTTATAACCCTTCTAGGAGAAGGGTTATAAATTAGGCTTCAAGGACACTTTCCAGCAATAGCATCCTTCACAAGGGTCTGTGTTTATTATGCATTAAATGGGGTTTCAAACTGTACTCCTTGGAATCGTAGGATTCTCCAGGTGCTTCAGGTTTTCTACAAATGATGTCTATTCTGCCAAGAGTCTGCTTTATAGGCTGATGTTCTGGGCAGGATTTCATTTGAGAAAAGAATTCTACGTCAAATAAAAGTTTAAAATGGTGAATTGAAACATTTACACAGTTATATTATTAGTTTTAGACTAAAGTTTCCTGGAGTGTGTTCTATAGGACATTTTTTTGGTGAATTTAAGAGAGATGTTTTCTCAAACTCTTTTGTCAGCTGAATACTTATTTCTATAATATTACCTTTGAAAACTCCTAGAATGAGGGGTCTCGGTTGGCCAAGAGGCATTTTCTACCATTCAAGGGTGTATCCGAAGATCTCCTTATGACATAGAGATTCCTGAAAATTAATTTCTATTCTTGGAGAGAGTTTTGCACTGGGCAGAGCTCCTGAAACAGGTGTACATAGTCAGGACAAGCAGAGCAGGCAGAGGGGTATGTGAGAAGGTGGGTCAGTACAGTGGTTCTAAAATGTGGTCCCCTATAAGCAGCAGCAGCATCACCACCTTGGAGCCCATTAGAAATGCAGATTCTCAGGCCCTGCCACAAACCTACAGACTCAGAAATTCTGGGGGTGAGGACCAGCAATCTGGGCTTTAACAAGCCTTCTCAGAGCTTCTGATGTACCCTAGAGCTTGAGAAACACTGGGATAGTAGAAAGAATTGAGTTTCAATGTCTAATATACCCTTTCCACAATGCATCTTTATAATTCTTTTTTCGTTATATATGTCTTTGGTTTAAAAGTTCCTGTAGTCAGTACTTTAACCCTGATAGCCAATGCTGTAGATTGAATGTTTATGTTCTCCTCAAATTCATATGTTGAAACCTAATTCCCAATGTGATGGTATTTGGAGGCAGAGCCTGATATGGTTTTTCTCTGTGTCCCCCCACCGACCACCTCAAATCTCATCTCAAGTTGTAATACCCACATGTTGAGGGAGGGGCCTGGTGGGTGGTGACTGAATCATGGGAGCAAACCTCCCCCCTTGCTGTTCTTGTGATAGTGAATAAATTCTCACAAGATCAGGTTGTTCGAAGGTATGTGGCACTTCCCCTTTCATTCTCTCTCTTTCCTGCCACTATGTGAAGAAGGTCCTTGCTTTCCCTTTGCCTTCTGCCATGATCGTAAATTTCCTGAGGCCTCCTAGTCATGCTTCTTGTTAAGCCTGCAGAACTGTGGTCAATTTATACGTCTTTTCTTCATAAGTTACCCAGTCTCAGGTAGTTCTTTATAGCAGCGTGAGAAGAGATTAATACAGAGCCTTTGAGAGGAGATTAGGTCATAAGGGCAAGAATGAAATTAGTGCTCTTATAAAAGGGATGCCAGATAACCCCCTTGCCCTTTCTACCACATGAAACTATAACAAGGAGACAGCCATCTCTGAACCAGGAAGCAGCTCCTTACCAGGCACCAAACCAGCCAGCACCTTGATCTTGGACCTCTCAGCCTTCACAAATGAGAAATGCATTTCAGTTATAAGGCACAAAATCTATGATATTTTCATTATAGCAGCCCAAATGGGCTAAGACAGCCATGGTTTAATTAGCAGAAATATTTGAATCACATGTCTTAAAGAACAAATATGGCCATTCCTAGCCCTGTGGTAGAAGTTATTGTCAGGTGCTGTATTCCTAGAAGTTAGTGAGGGTGGCTCTTTCTTGACCCACTGCCTAACAGTTATACCTTGACATATGCCAAAGAATCCTCCCAATATTTCACCACTATTGTCAGTAAGATACATCACCTAGGCTGTGTCTCAATTTTGTTACAGAATCACAGTAACCATAGGCTGATTAGTTTGAAAGCTCCCTGGTCCAGCAAACTAGGTGGGAAGCCTTCCAGAGTACCAATGATTAAATGTAAGAAGCTTTCTGCTTCTTAGATTTCAAGAAAGCAGTAGCAGATTTGGCTCTACCTATGGTACTATCTCATCCTTTAGTCTGAGTGCATGCTATCTGTATAGCTGACTTTAACCAATTGTAGCATGTAAGTAACTACTGATATAATTTGTACTCACTTTTTAAAATGAAGATGATATTAATAAATGCCACTTCCCAACCTGCTAAAGCTGTATGTTTTTTCTTTGTTAAATGAATATGTGTGTGTGCGCGCGTGTGTGTGTGTGCGTGTATAAATCAGCTTTCATAAGAAATATCTTTTGAAATTTGATCTAATTTAGATTCTGGGCCTAGGCAGTATAGAGGAAGGGAAAAATGAGAGACAGAGTCTCACTATTTCTCTTGTGCTCTGGTCTCAAAGCTAAACTTCTGCAGAGAAGAATCTGGTGGAAAAAGAATGACAACAGATAGAGAAAGGGAAAAGGCAAATATGGCTGTATCTTTTGGATGGCATACATAATTTCTTTAAATTAAAACCATTTGTAAACAAGAAGCAATCATTAAGGTGCACAAAAATGACTTTAGCAAAATGATCATGTATTAAGAAAGCAAGCTTTGTTACATAGGAATACATATGCCATGGTGGTTTGCTGCACCTATCAACCCGTCAACCAGTTTTTTGTTTGTTTGTTTTTGTTTTTTTTTTTTTGAGATGGAGTCTTGCTCTGTTGCCCAGGCTGGAGTGCAGTGGCACAATTTCTGCTCACTGCGACCGCACCTCCTGGGTTCAAGCGATTCTACTGTCTCAGCCTCCCGAGTAGCTGGAATTATAGCGCATGCCACCGTGCCCAGCTGATTTTTGTATTTTTAGTAGAGATGGGGTTTTGCCATGTTGGCCAGGCTGGTCTTGAACGCCTGACCTCAGGTGATCTGCCTGCCTTGGCCTCTCAAAGTACTGGGATTACAGGAGTGAGCCACCACGCCCAGCCCATCATCTAGGTTTTAAAGCCCCTCATGCATTAACTATTTGTCCTAATGCTTTCCTTTTCCTCTCCCCACAACCCCCAATAGACTCCAGTGTGTGTTGTTCCCCTCCTTGTCCATGTGTTCTCACTGTTCAACTCCCACTTATGAGCGAGAACATGTGGTGTTTGGTTTTCCATTCCTGGATTAGTTTGCTGAGGATGCTGAAGCTTTCAGCTTCATCCATATCCCTGCAAAGGACATGATATCATTCTTTTTTATGGCTGCATAGTATTCCATGGTGTATATGTACCACATTTTCTTTACCTAATCTATCATTGATGGGCATTTGGGTTGGTTCCATCTCTTTGCATAAATAGTGTTGCAATAAACATACTGTATATGTGTCTTTAGAGTAGAATGATTTATATTCCTTTGGGTATATACCCAGTTATGGGGTTGCTGGGTCAAATGGTATTTCTGGTTCTGGATCCTTGAGGAATCGCCACACTGTCTTCCACAATGGTTAAACTAATTTACATTCCCACCAACAGTGTAAAAGTGTTTCTACTTCTCCACAGCCTTGCCAGCATCTATTGTTTCCTGACTTTTTAATAATTACCAATCTGACTGGTGTCATATGTTATCTCATTGTGGTTTTGACTTGCATTTCTCTAATGATCAGTGGTGATGAGCTTTTTTCATATGTTTGTTGGCTGCATAAATGTCTTCTTTTGATGGGTTGATAGGTGCAGCAAACCACCATGGCACAGGTATACCTATGCAACAAACCTGAACATTCTGTGCATGCATCCCAGAACTTAAAGTAAAAAGGAAAATAAAAACATGAGAATAAAAAAAAGAAAAACATCAAAACATATAACACATACCCCATAAAGTTTCTATAGGACATCACTGTGCAGCTCAGTCATGAGGTTGTTTTTTTTTTTCCAGTTGGATATTATCAATTGTTGCAATTACTGTTATTGAAATAGTCCCAGAAGATTTCAATGTGGTTAGGACCAAAAGAACAAACATTTTAGCAAATATATTGGCTGCTTATGGAATAAACTGCTATTCCATGGCCAGCTTTTTGTTGCAACCCATGTTATGTAAAAAAAATACAAGCTCCCCAAAATGGACATGGGCCTTCAGTATCTTTTTGGATTAAATGAGAGCATCTTTCAAATGGGTTTTTGGTATGTGTGCTACTTTATCTTCATTATGAAAAACAAATTTTAGATATGGGTTTTGGAGAAAAATATGGCCTCATCGGGACACAGATAAATTACACATGGCCCATTAAAACTTGCCAGTTTAATTTGGATAACATTTATTTATTATTAGTGTTTTAAAGTTTTATAGTTATTTTCCAGATTATTTCACTGCGCTTTACTTACCCTCATTTAACATTATTTTTGTATGGTGAACTGTCTAGTTTAATTTTTATTTCCATTATTTTTCTACTGAAAGTTAAATTTTAAAATGCTGTCATTTTCCATTTCTCTCATAGGCATCTATCACTTGCTAGGCAATATGATTTTCTTAGAAATCTCCCCCACCAAAAAAGGAAAGGAAGCATCATTTTAATAGAAGTCTGTTTCACTCTTTATAGACATATATAAACATACAGTTTTATGTTTATATACATATATATAGTTCCAGATCCTATGTATAAATAGGATCTGGAACTTCTCTGAGCATTCTTAAAGATGAATGTGTTTTTCATCTCTTATTCAAAAGTATGCACTATCACTTCAATATATTTTCTTTCCCACAGTATTGAAAATGATTGTAAAAGATGTATCTTTGGAATTTACTTATTTATTTCCAACTTAATTCAAAGGAGGATTTAGGTAATTTTTTAAAAATCCTAATATCAGATAAAATTAAAATAAAAGGAAATAGCACTACAGGTAAAAAAAAAAGTTGTATAAATTAGGGAAAGAATTAGTAGACAGAAAACCATGCCATAACGTTCAATGCAGTGCATCCTAAGTCCACTACTAAGCATCTTAGTAGACTACGCGTAGCAGGGAATACAAATAGGATTCTTAAGAGGCATACAGTATCTATAAAGGTAAGTAAAAATTCCTCAGGAGAAGCAAAACTGTTTTCATACTAAGACTGAAAACAAAATCCTCTGATGGGTAAATTTATTAAGAATAGAAAGTAATACTCTGATCTGAGAAACAGGAAGGAAAGGTGTCTATCATTGATTAAGTCCTATTGTATGTCAGGAAATAAACACTAATGGGTTTACCTATGTCCACTCATTAATTCTAATAATGCGTGGAATAAAACAGTTTATTTATGAACTAATCAGGAGTCATAGCACGGTAGATATTATAAAATTATAGTGAGATAAGAATGCCTTAGATGAATAGAAGGTGATTATCTATAACGAGGTCATGACTCATAATGAAAGATAGGATGAATAGTACATCTATCCAAACATAAAGCTGAAATAGATAAATGTCAGTCTGAAGCATTTACTTTTCCCACAGCAATTTATTACAACTGACAAACAAAAATGTAAAAGTACTGATGGTTATCCCTCATTATTATAGTTTAGAGAGAGAGAAAAAGAGGTGTGGATATACAGTATAACCTACTTTAAAGCCTTTGGTGAGTCCTTCCTTCCGTCCCTCCCTTTCTTATTTCCCCTTCCTTCCTTCCTTCCTTCCTTCCCTTTTCTTCTTTTCTTCCTCCCTCCCTCCTTTCCCTTCCTTCTTTCCCCCCCTTCCTCTTTCCTTCCTTCTTTCCATTTCCTTTCTTCCTTCCTCCCTCCTTTCCCTTCCTTCTTTCCTCTCTCCCTTCCCCTTTCCTCCCTCTGTTCCTTCCTCCCTCCCTCCCCTCCCTCCCCTCCCTTCCTTCCCTCTCCTCCCTCCCTCCCTTCCTTCCTTTTTCCTCCCTCCCCTCTCTTCCTTCCCTCCCCTCCCTTCCTTCCCCCACTTTCTCTTTTTTTCTCCATTAAACTGCCAAGCTTTGTATTACATCTCAATGAACATTTAGTGTTGCTCTGGTACAATTTAAATTTGACCTTTCATTCAATTTTAACAGTTGGATTAATTCTACCAAATAGTGCCTGCAGGCAAAAGTGAGTGGTGTTCTTATTTCCCTAAAGTATAGCTATCCCACATGGCACTTCACATAAATTAGAAAAGGGTGCCCTATCTGGACAGACACAATCAGACCACCTGATCTATGCATAATTTAGGGAACGAGAGACACCTTTGGTGATGGGTAATCCTTTCTCTGGTGTATAGACGTGGGATTTGGGGTGGTGAGCAAGCCTGGGATAAATCTCCATCTCCAGTCTACCCCTGTTGGTCCACAAATTGTACAAATAGTACCTAGAGGCCCTAGGCACCCAGAAGAAGCAAATATTCATATTGACCAAAGAGGTAACCATGAATATGCATCTCTCTTTGGTGGGAGATGGAAGGTTCATTGCAGAGAACAAAGTAAGCAGTGTTGATAATAGGATCTACTAAAACATATGCTAGCATTTATTCTCATACCAGTGTTTGATTGAAACAAATTGAAAATGAGTCCCCAGGATGGGCTGCTAGGTGTTGGGTGTTTGAAATGTCAATGGAAAGAAAAGGAAAGTTCCTGGAGCATTGACTAGGGCCTTTGGGGATCCGCTCAGAGTGAAGGTGCTCTACCTGCAGTGGGATTTGTTGTTGTTGTTGTTTTGGGTTGGAGGGGGACACTTCAAGTAGCATTAATGGAAAATAATACTAGGGAAAGTACAACAGCTTCATCTAGCAGAGGATAAACCACAATGAATTAACTGAGATTTTTCTGGCAGAAATAATTTCTGTTTCAGAACCTCACACCTTTGCCTCAAATTAGCTCTCAAATTAAAACCCTGTTGCTTCTTGCAGTGGTGAACATTTGGGAGTTTGTCTCTTCTTGGCCAGTGATGCCTAAGAATTATCAGTCAGAATCTGCCTTGAAGTTGATCTCACATCCTTATTTATTTGGCTACATTATGAAGCAAAGTATCTAAAATGCATAATATTGCAGAGCAAGAAAAATGTTTTACTGCTTCAAGCAAAAAACAACAAAAAGCATTTTTCCCAATTTCTAAACATGCATGCACGTTTATTATATTTTAACAGATATTTAAGGACTAGGTTTTTTTGGGGGGCGAGTGCGGATGGGGCATTATCTGTATTCTTTAAGTTTCTTAATTTGGGCTTTTGCCAAAAAATGGCTTCCACTTTCTCATTCATGTTAGTAGATGGCAAGAACTAACTCCTAGAGAATTGTGAGCTAAATGCACCAGAGCTTCTCATAAAGTAGCACATCCAAATCCCAAGCAACAGATGTTCATTAAAAACCAGTCCCCAGTATTTGAAAAGCCATTTGGAGAAACTAAAGTGCTGCTTTAATGTATCAAGTGGAATGATGACATTAGCTTGCTTGAAAATGAAAAATACTTTAAATACTTTCAAATAAAAACAATAACAAAACAAAAGTTGCCTATTCTTATGTAATTATAATAGCCATGTTACAAGAATTTACTGCTATTCTGCCCTCATTGTCGCTAATTCACTATTGTCGCTAATTTAACACTGCAGGTCACAGGTTCTCAGCAGATAATACCCTTGAATATCTTAACCACACTACTTTTTGAAACTCTACCTTTGATTTTACAGATGTCACTTATAACAAGAGAAATTCCAGTCCTGTGTCATCCCTTTCTGTGTTTTTCTGTTGGGAGAAATGATGATTAAAATGTGATTCTTTCTAATACCTTCTGCATCCCGGGCAAGCTCCTTAATGAATTCTCCCAGGGACTTTGCTCTTGTGTTGGTCCTCTCAGCATCCTGTCCGGTCTGCTCGCCATCTGCTGTCACTTTGGTAGCCTAATGATCCAAATTCGGGAAACACATAATTAATAGAGATGATGAAGCTACAGCTAGATAAGCTCCCACTGGCTGCATTTTCTTTCAAATATTACTTTGAGCCAACGGCAATCGATGAATTATTGATCAGATGTATTGCAAATGATGCCCCATGCTCACGTATACAATTAAA
Organism: Homo sapiens; assembly: GCF_000001405.40. Classification (NCBI taxonomy): domain Eukaryota; kingdom Metazoa; phylum Chordata; class Mammalia; order Primates; family Hominidae; genus Homo; species Homo sapiens. Next base: position 129,382,949 of record NC_000006.12, on the reverse strand, counting down.
CTTTATTACTTCTTCCATTAAATGGAAATCAGAGAGCTGTATTTGGTCTTTTAAAAAACGCTTGTTATATGCTATGGCAGAGAAGAAGCAATAAAGCACAATTATTTTTGAAATATCTTTAAGGTACAGATGCCAAAAGTCCTTAATGGAATCTTCAGCCTCCACATGTTGCAGTTTTGTCCATATTTTATTTACTGAAAAAGTGTGTGGAGTGCAGCAATGATCTCTTGAGAGACAAACAGGCTGTCTGCCTCAATAAGCTTGATCCTATAGATTTGTTTTAGATCAATACGTTAATTAAAGAAACAAAGAGGGAGAAATGCTTAGCTACTCAGTAGTAAATGCCTGTTTTATAACACATCAAAGATGCCAATAAAATGTTAAGGGAGAATAAATGCTAACTTTTCCATATGATAGCACCAGAAATATGCTTGTTAATCACAGAATCATGCAGCAGTGTCAGCAAAGTAAAACAGAACCCCAAAACAGCCCCACCTCCCAAAGAGTATTCTCAGGCACATTCACCTCTATTTACATTTAAAATATCATTTGACACACTGGAATGCATTCAACGTGTTCACGGTTAAAATATACCATATTTAGTCAAACAAAAATGGTGTGTGTATAACATTGTTTCTTTAAAAATTACAAGGTTTAGAGTACCCTGAAAGGTTTATACTTCATTTTTCTATGTGTTGCATATGCTAATATATAAGCCTTCTTCTCTTTTACTAAAAAGATATGGATAGTCTAACTACAGATAATGAATTAGAGAATCACAAACTGTCTCAATATAGTTTTGAATAAGGTCCAAGTTGGCAGCATATTAACACTCTAGAATCTTGTACCAGAGTGCTTGCATACTAGGCATGGCCAGAGAATTAATATTTAAAATATACGTAAGTGGATTTTAAATAGAACTAAATGTCTGGCCAGCACAGAACATGGTAAAAGACGCTAGAGGAATTGTACTGCATTTTGTGATTTTCCAAGGGCAGCAAGAGGTTTAATTTATGAAAGTTTTCAAGGTTTTGCACAAATGAAGGAATATAAAGTCCAACTATTATCATCTAACTTCTCATCCTGCAAGTGTTAACATCACAAATGAAAGGATGAAAGGATAAGAATCCATTGGAAAATTAAAATTTTTTTCTGTATAATTTGCAGTACATATACACAATAATTTGGAGAGTATTAACCAAAGTATTATAATGCTCTGGATTTATTCTTCTAAAACATTAATAATGGAATTATTTTCACTTTTGGATTTAAAAATTTTTTTGGGATAAACTGTGCATCCAGTCCCTAGGTTACTCAAATCCTTGCTTTTCTGGTGAGTGTTGTAATTATGTTCCATTAATTTCCTTAAACTTGGCTTCCTGCACGTGTTTGCACTCAAAGGTCTGATGGGTCAAATAACTTTTTACACACAGACACATATACATAAACACATTCACATACACACACACATACTCATACCCAATTATTTAAATGTTACTTCTGAATCACTAACTAAGGTCAACAGCTTGGCAGTGAGCCGAGATCACGCCACTGCACTCCAGCCTGGCGACAGAGCGAGCCTCTGTCTCAAAAAAAAAGAAAAGAAAAGAAAAAAAAAGATGTTCGTAGTCTAAACTGCTTTGGATATTTTTCTAGTCTAGACTTGACTGAACTTTATGGTACCACTCTTACTTTCACATATTACTGAACACCATAATAAGGAACTTGATCTATATTTTGGTCATCTTCCAATATCTTACCTTACGGATTAATGTATCAATACCACTAGTGTCTCTTATGGTACAGAAAATGTACATTATAATTTAAACTTAAAATATATTCTTTTTCTTCATCAATATATTTTCTGTATTACCAAAAGATCATAATTTCACACCAAGTGGACCAATTCTTATTTATAACTCAAAGTGTCTAAATTTTAAAAAGTAAATGTATATCATACACTGTCTCTTTTAAATTCTGGATGATCAAGATCATATTCATTGTCTTAACTTCCTCTGGCTTATGATCTGTTGTACAGGTTATTTCATTTACGTAGTAATGTGTAAGAGTCATCATTCACATGCATTTTATTCTTAGTATTGATTATATGATTACTTCAATACTAAATTGTCAAGAATCCTACAAACTCCATGATAAGAAAGAAGTTAAAACAATTAGCACTAAGACCCTATGCAATCAACCTCCCTGGCATAGTTTTAGTATATTAAATATGCAAAACTCATCCCTTCTTAGCACCTTCTTGTATCCCATTGTCTTTACCTAGAATGAGCTTCTCCTCAACACCTGTAAAGACTGGGTCCTTGTTACCCATCAGCTTTCAGTTTAAGTGCTTCTCCTTAGCGTGGCCATTCCCAGGGTGCTACCTAGGTTTCCACACTTCCTGCAGCAGGACGTTTCCTTCATAGCACCATGGATTTGAGAATTACTTAGTAATTGGCTCACCTATTTATTGACAACCTCTCCAACTGTAAGGTAAGCTCTAAGGGGGTGAGAACTTGGTCTGTTTTGTTTATCATATATCCAGCTCCTAGTATGATGCCTAACTTATAGTAAATATTCTCTAAAGTTGTTATATACAGGACTAAAAAACAATTTTCCTAACCAATCTTGCCAACCTTATTACCATTCTTCTTGCCTACTTCCTTTTGGAACATTCTCAAAAAAAGATTTTGTTCATACTTTTGCTTCTTAACTCTTCTCTACTTATCCAAAACAAATCCAGCTTTCGAGATTCAATTCCAACTCCATCTTCTCAGTGAAGCCCTCCTTACCTATTCTAGCACATGCTCTCTTTTCTTAGATTTTCAAAAATAATTATTATTACCACTATTCACAACTCTAATGGGTAGTGACTTTGTTAGGTGCTTTGCCATATCTCCATTAGATAGATAGATTAGAAAAGGCTAGGGATCTGTCTTACTCTTTTTATTCCTCAGAGTGCCAAGCATAGTGTCTGGCAAATTGTCGTGGGTCATAGATGTTGGGTGATTGGTGGATACAATGACAATCAAACCAATGATCCCTTGGAAGTTCTAAAGCCTATCTAATAGCACTCAAACTGACCATATGCCTGGTGCTATGCTTGCCAGGAAATGTGGTTGGCTGGGCAATTTTCTGGGCATTTTTTAGAAGCTCAGAGGAAGCTGCTGCTCAAGAGCTACAGTTGAAGCTTGGGAGAAGAGCCAGGCATGTGAATCTCCAGTCCCAACTACACTGCTTTCTAGCCACTGGCCTCACAGTAATTCAAACTGGACCTTTGAATACACACGAAGTTCCACGCTGGTGGGGTGGGAGTGGCAGTAGGGGGCAGGAAGAGGGTAGGAAGACTCTTCAGGGCCAGCACAGTGCTTACTGAAGGAGATACCTTCCCTCTAAACACAGAAGAAGAGCTTCCTCTCTAGGCTATTCCAGAAGAGGAGGAGACGTGAGGTTCCCGGCACCAAAAGCATCAACTTAATGCGGGTTAGCATGCTAAAGGATGAGTTACACAGTCAGGCTCATCTGTACCTCAGAATTACTTGTATTTTTTATATTTTTTTAACTTTTAAGTTCAGGGATACATGTGCAGGATGTGCAGATTTGTTACACAGGTTAAAAAAAAAAAACCCATGCATAATGGGGTTTGTTGCACAGATTATTTCATCACCCAGGTATTAAGCCCAGTGCCCATAAGTTATTCTTCCTAATCCTCTCCATCCTCTCATCCTTCCCATCCTCCGCCCTCTGGTAGGCCCCAGTGAACATTGTTCCCTTCTACATGTCTATGTGTTCTCATCATTTAACTCCCATTTATAAGTGGGACATACAGTATTTGATTTTCTGTTCCTGTGTTAGTTTGCTAAGGGTAATGTCCTCCAGCTCCATCCATGTCCCTGCAAAGGACATGAACTCATTCTTTTTTATGGCTGCATAGTATTCCATGGTGTGTATGTACCACATTTTCTTTAGCCAGTCTATTATTGATGGGCACTTAGGTTGATTCCATGTCTTTGCTATTGTGAATAGTTATGCCAAATTTATATACATGTTTGCAAAGGCTTACAGCACTCTCGTGTGTCTCACTTACTCTTCCTGAATTTAGAGATATATAGAAGGCATCATCCCTCTTTTTACACAGGTGAAAAGGAAGGTATGAGGAGGTTAAGTAACTTATCTGAACTTACATGTACAGGGAATTGGAGATGAAATACACTTTTTTTTTGTCTCACAGACTTATATTTTGTTTGTACCCAACACTATTTTGTGTTTGGCTAACATCCAGAAAGAGTAGTAAAATACATGAAAAACTGGAGTATTCTAGGTGAGTGGAGGACACTGCTCCAGTTAATGTATACTTTAAGTATATAAGTTTTGACTTTCAGTCAATTAACACATTTCAAAATCATATCAGAACATCATCTAGATATATTTTTAAAAATCATGTCTCATTACACAGTAATTAAGTTGAAGATTCACCCTGGTCAAAAATACCCACGAGAGACTTCATAAAGAAGCCTATGACAAATGCACTATCACCTATGGGTAGTGGTGATAGATAGTGGTATCACTGCCAAAGCAAAATTCACAAAAATCAATCTCACCCAGGACAGGCTATTGATAATGTTATGAATGAATGCTAAATACTACATGATAGGAACTATCTGTCTGATTCAGTTTGGCTCTTTCTGTGTTTTATTAAATTACCATCTCCATCTCTTAGTCATCCTTCTTCTTATTCACTATTATCTTGTCCTTTGAGTATTTGACAAATAACTTCTCATTTATCCTAATATGTTGTACAATCTTCCTTTCATTCTCTATCTTGGATTTTCTTATTTTAACATTCTCTTACCTCTATTCTGCAATCTTTACAGTGTTCCTTTGTAAATGATGCCTTACACAGTATCTTGTATCTCTCTTGCCTTTGATTACCTTTTCTTTTATGTTGACATTCACTCAACTAGGTTTTTTTTTTCCCATTTCTTTTTCTATTTTTTCTTGTTTTGTTTTTTAGAGTATTTATGTCTAGGCAGCATGCATTACCATTAGGCACACGTTAATTTACTTCTGAACAATGTAGCTGTTACTTTCCTGCTTTAGCTCAAGCAGTTCTACTGTGCCTCTTAAAATCTGCACATAATTTTCTTGGTTGGATATGACCAGTGTGTTTCATTTTCTGCCTTCTTTATGTTAAAACTAGAATCTAATGGAGCAAACCTAACTACTGAATAGATAACATTGCTTAGATACTGTCTACCTTTGCATTTGTGGACTCATATGGTTTCCTGCTAAAATTAGATTTCAGATCAAATCATTTATATGATACTCTCAAGGGTCATCTTCCAATATTACCAGCTCCATATGTCTAAGTGGTAGTGAAGCACTCATCAGGCAAGCCATAAGGACCAACAACACACAAGGAAAGAAGGAGCAACCAGCTGACCCCGTGGAATGACAATGAGCCAGTTCCATGTGGAATTTCTTCCTAAATATTTCACGTGCCAATTTTAAAAGTTCCAAACCAAAAAGATATGACTTGTTTTATATTATATATATATCTTTTAAAAATATAAAAGGAGAAATAAAAAACACTGTTAGCAGTTGAAATCTTTTAAAAACTATAAATAAAATCTTGTAAACTTATAATATTGGCACTTAAATCGTTTAAAAACTAGTTTCATCCTTTTGGAAATGTTTCATTTTCATTAAATTTGATATTCAATAGGCAATAAAATACAATATAAGTGAAACAAAATTTTAATATTTTATACAGTTCAATCTACTACATAGCATTCTCCCCTTACAGAATATAAATAGTTAAGAGGTGTTTATCAATGAAAACAAAATATTCAACAATATAATTATAAATATATGCCTGATTTTAACACATTTTAAAGAGTGCAAAATAAATGTTTATTTTGGGTTTGTCTACATTTCCATCTTGTTGTTCAAATGCTTTTAAAATCATTCACAATTAATTAAACAAATATTGACTTAACACCTATTATGTGTACAATATTGGTGATACTGTGGTAAGAAACAAAAAGGTTTCTTGCCCATTTGGAGTCTATAGTCTGGTGGACTATATAGTTATTTGTCAAATGATCATGTAGATAAATTTATAACTACAAACTAGAGGAAAAATAGTGGTATAAGATAAGCACAGGAGGAATCTTGGAACCCCTGCGATGGCACAGAGGGCTTTCACGAGCTGAGATTTGAAAGGTAAATTGGAGTTAACAGAAATTAACAAAATGTAGGGAGAGGTAGATTACCTTTAAGGCAAAATAAAGAAATGTGTGGCAATGCTTTGTGGTGGGACAAAGTGGCTGGGGGACAGTATGGCTGGAGTGCAGATGGCCAGGGGCACAAGTGATGGGAGATGTGGCCAAGGGGAGAATTTTGGTCTTTATCCTACGAGCCTAAGGGAAGTCAGGGGAAGAGTTTGTAAGCACTGCGATGACGTATTCACATTTGGAATAGCAAACATTCATTCTGGCTACGTTACGGAGAACAGATTTGGAGGAGAACAAGAGTAAAAGCAGAGAGACCAGCTAAAAAACAAATGTGGTAATCCCAAACTACACAATATGAGATTGGATGAGAGTGGGGTAGTAGAGATGAATGCCATACACACAAGTGGAAGCCCAGTGTGTGGTAATGAATTGGATAAGCAGGAGCATCATGAGGAAGAAAGAGGCACCAAAGAAAATTTGTAGGTTTCTGGCTTATACCCTCAATCCGTAGGGGTCCAGATGACCAGACCATGAGTAGTGGGGAGAGATGAGAGAGAAGCAGAGATTAGATCATGGTGGGAGAGCACTGTATGTCATCCTGAAAAAAGTGGAAAGCCATAGTACAATTTAAGGAAGAGAATGACATGATAGGATCTGCAATTTAGAATGTTCACTCTGCCATATAAATAACAACAGGTTAGAGTTGGATAAGGCTTACAAAGAGTCACCATAGAAGGAAACTGAATTTGATGAAGGATGAAAGAGGGAGTAGAGTGAAGGGCAACCTGCTAATTTCTCTTTGGGAGACTGGGCATATACTGGCGGATAAAACACTGAGATGTTCTACACAGGAGAAATAATGGGCTTTAAGAGGAAATGATGAGTTTAGTTTGAGATGTCCAATCCATAGTAAGGCACATAGGACCAAAGCATGAGAATGAAGTCAGCCTTGAAAATATAGATTTATGAATTAACAGCTTGTACATGGCAATTGAAGACCAAAGAAAGTGTTATACAGTGAGGGAAAACATGGACTGAGGCCTAGTCCCCAAGGAACACCGACTTTGAAGGGATGATGAGAGGAAGAGCCTTAGAATGAAAGGTTGGAGAATTAAGAGAAAAACAGAGAGAGGACAGTATGTTAAGAAGGAAGGAAAGATCAAAGCTGCAGAGATTTCAAGTAAAATTAATAAGTATCCAGTGGATTTAGTTACCAGATTGTCATTGGTTATCTTATAAAAACAGTTTCAGTAGTGGGCTGGGAGTGAAAATCCAGGCAGCAGTGGAGTGAGAAATAAATACAGACTTGTCTCCAAGTCTTTAAAAAATTTTGGCTCTGAAAAAAGAAAGGAGCTAAGGACAATAGCTATAGAGGTAAGTAGAGTCATCATCAAAAAGCATCTTAATATTTCACACATACTGTAGGGCAGTTTGAATATGTTAAACATGATTCTCATATGTGAGGAACTTGGGTTCTTCCAGTGAGTAAAATAAAATGGCAACAAATCAAAATGCATTGAAAGAGATATATGATTATGTAATTTTTTTACTTTATATTTATACATGAATTAAAATATATCAAAATACATTTTAAATATGAGTTCTTGGGTGGAATAATGTCTTCTTTACCCAGGGATATTAGGGAATTAGATTTCTCCATTTAAAAACAATGAGTATAAAATATAAAAGCCCTTAAAGAAGAGAGGGTAGCTCCTACAGCAGTCATGCAGGATCAACCTTGACATGTGCTCTTAAATCTAAAGACTGTATCAAGTGACTGGTGAGCCAACCAAGCAGAGAAAAAGGAGCATAACAAAGATTGGCAGTAGTGCTGGGCATGGTGGCTCACGCCTGTAATCCCAGCACTTTGGGAGGCTGAGGCGGGTGGATCACCCGAGGTCAGGGGTTCGAGACCAGCCTGGCCAACATGATGAAACCCTGTCTCTACTTAAAAAAAAAAAAAAAAAAATTAGCTGGGCATGGTAGCAGGTGCCTGCAATCCCAGCTACTTGGGAGGCTGAAGCAGGAGAATTGCTTGAACCTAGGAGGTGGAGGTTGCAGTGAGCTGAGTTCACACCATTGTACTCCAGCCTGGACAACAAGGGTGAAACTCTGTTTAAAAAAAAAAAAAAAAGATTGGCAGTACCAATTAAGGCATTTTCCAGAGGGAAGAGAGTCTTAGCTATTAGGTAACTACAGGATCACAGTAATTCTTTATCAGTATAATCTGGGGAGTTCTTGAATATCCCAGTGGTCTGACTCTACCCCAGACCAACTGCATCACAACCTATGGGTGTGAGATAGGGCTCCTGGTAATTCCAATGTGCAGTCCTAGTCTAGAGCACTGTCTCCTCTAATGTAGTCATGGGTAATTGGAAGTTGTGGCCACTGCATTTCTCATACCCTGGTCACAACTGCAGGATCATTCATGACTCTGAGATAGAGGCATTAGCGTGCTTAGCCTGATTTTGGATAATGAAACCATCTAACTCTCTAATTATAATTCCATCTGTATTAATTCACCTTTTGATTGTCATGCAGCTTGACCACAGGGAAAGAGAGAATTGGTCATGTTGACTTGAGTATTTATGGTCTGCATGGAAGATATATTTGTAATTATAAATATGGTAGGAAAAAAGTAATTAATGAGTATTTACATTTCCTCCCCCTTCTCAACCCATCAAAGTGATCTTTGCTTTCAGTAGTCCTATTTCTGCGCCTTTTATGTTACTGAATCTGAAGAATGGGCAGATAAAAATAGTATTAGAGTATGAAAAGGGCATAAAAGAGTAACTTTACAGTGGAAAAATCTGGCAAACACTATGTTAGTCAGGTGATCAGGGTCAATATCCACAGTAATAAGTCATATTGGTCACATGGGTTCTTGATGTGATGAAAATGGTACTTTACCTCTGAAGTTTTTCCCACAAAAACTCATAATTCCATTCTAATCATGAGAAAGATATGAGGCAAACCCCAATTGAGGGACAGCTTACCAAACACATGAACCTGTCCAAACTCTCAAAGTCATCAGAAACACTGTTACAGTATTTTTGACAGTGTCGTCACAGTCTAGAGGAACCCTAAGAAGACACAATGGCTAAATGTAATGTAGTATCCTGCATGGGATCCTGAAACAGTAAAAAAACATTCAGTAAACACTGAAAAAATATGAATACAGTCTTGGGTTAATGGTAATATTTCAATATTATTAGCTCATGTATATGAGCTAATATGTATATGACACATGTATATAACATGTATATGACACATGTACCATGCTAATGTAAGATGTTAACAATGGGGAGACTGGGAATGGAGTATGTGAAGGCTCTTGGTACTCTCTTTGCAAGTTTTTTGAAATCTAAAACTACTGTAAAGTAAAAAGTTTATTTTAAAATAGTATTGGAATTAACTAAAAATGGATTATAGACCTAAGTGTAAAATGCAAAACTGTAACGCTCCTAGAAGATAGCATAGGAGAAAATCTAGATGACCGTGGATATGGCAATGAGTCTTTAGATACAACACCAAAGGCTCAACAAGGAGAAACCTAATTGATAAGCTGGGCTTCGTTACAATTAAAAACTTCTGCTCTGTGAAAGACACTTCTCAAGAGAACAAGACAAGCCACAGAGGGGAAGCAAATAATGGCAAAAGACATATCTGATAAAGGACTATTACCCAAAATATACAAAAAACTCTGAATTCGACAAGAAAACAACCCAATGAAAAAATGGAAAAAGACCTAAATAGACACCTTACCAAAGAAGATATACAGATGGCAAATAAGCATATGAAAAGATGCTCGACATCATATGTCATTAAGGAATTGCAAACTAAAACAAGAATGAGATACCATACACACTTATTAGAATGACAAAATCCAAACACTAAAAACACCAAATGCTATTGAGGATGTGGAGCAACAGAAACTCTCATTTATTGCCGGTGGGAATGCAAAATAGAAAAGACCATTTGGAATACATTTTGGTAATTTCTTTCAAAACTAAATATACTCTTACCATACCATCCAGCAATCATGCTCCTTTATATTCACCCAAATAGGTTGAAAACTTAAGTCCACACAAAAGTCTGCACAAAGATGTTTACAGCAACTTGATTCATGCTGCCAAAATTTGGAAGCAACCAAGATGTCCTTCAGTAGGGGAATGAATAAGTAAACAGTGATATGTCTAAACAATGAAATATTATTCAACACTACAAAGAAATGAGCTATAAAGTCATGAAAAAATATGGAGAAACCTTAAGTGTATATTACCAAGGGAAAGAAGCTAATATGAAAAAGTACCACACTGTATGATTCCAGCTATATATTCCAAAAAAGGCAAAACTATGGATGTAGTAAAAATATGAGTGGTTGCCAGGGGTCAAGGAAGAGGGAGGTATGAATAGGTGAAGCATAGAGGAGTTTTCGGGCAGTAAAACTTTTCTATATTTTACAACAACGGTGGACACATGTCATAATGCATTTTTCCAAACCCATAGAATGTACAATACCAAGAGGGAACCCTAATGTAAACTATGGACTTTGGGTGATGAGGAGGTGTCAACTTAGGTTTATCGACTATAATAAATGTACCATTCTGGTGGGGAAGGTTGTGGGGGCAGGGAGTAGATATGAGAACACTCTGAACTTTACACTCAATTTTTCTTTGAACTTTAAGCTGTTCTAAAAAATAAAGTCTGTTTAAAAAACATAGCATGAGACAATCTGCTGGAAAGGGTAAAGAGTATAGGTTGAGACATAATAAAGATCTGACACTCTTAATGAAATACTTCTTGTGGCCAGGTGCGGTGGCTCATGCCTGTAATCCCAGCATTTTGGGAGGCCAAGGCAGGCGAATCACAAGGTCAGGAGTTCAAGACCAGCCTGACGAACATGGTGAAACCCGTCTCTACTAAAAATACAAAAAAAATTAGCCAGGTGTGGTGGCACACACCTGTAATCCCAGCTACTTGGGAGGCTGAGGCAGGAAAATCACTTGAACCCGGGAGGCGGAGGTTGCAGTGAGCCAAGATCGCACCACTGCACTCCAGCCTCGGCGACAGAGCAAGACTCTGTCTCAAAAAAAAAAAAAAAAAGAAATACTTTTTGTGTCTCTAACGTCAGATCATTAGACTATACTAAGCCAATGAGGGCAAGGACTGCGCAGTTTTGCTCACACTTCTATCCCCAGTGTCATAATTCCTAGAACATGAGAGACTCCCAAAAAGTATTAGTTAAGTGAATGAATGAATGAAATGCCATTTATTACATGAAATTTTTTCTAATTACCCCTAAGCAGATGAAATTATTCTATTATTAAATATTTCTCCAGAATTTCTTCCGACTTTATTTTATTTCATGTTTTATTATATACCTGCATGCAGTTGTCTAATATGGTCCTCCATACACTTAAATGCTGATGTACACACACACACACACACACACACACACACACATCTCAAAGTTCTTTGAAGACAGATTGAGCCTCATTCATATTTTTCATCTGCCAACACGTAACTTAGGCTTTGTATGTTATGAACATTTATGTGTGCTTGTTAAATTGATTTATTCTACCATGACCTGTTAGAAAATTCTTATTTATAACAAATATGAATTATTTCATATTAAATTAATATGAGATAAATGCACTCAATTTAATCTAATGTCTACATACATTTGGCAAGAAACTCCGTGTTGTATCTGTACATTCTATATTGTTGCTATGAGATTCTGAAAAAGTGTTTAGTATGCTATTGTAACATCAGGGCCGTTGTTTAGCATTATGTGCTCAGAAGCCTATTTGATTTTCCTGTGGATATTTTCCTAAACCGACAGCAGGCTATGTAGAAAAAGTACTGGGCCAGTGGGAATCTTGAGACTGGGTCCAGCTTAAGTCCCTGAGTTTAGCAAATTGTATGGCCATTGTTAATTCGTTTCACTGTCATGGCCCGAGGCAGCTCTTCTTTAAAATACAAAGTGGACTCGATAATCCCCAGGAACCTTCTAGCTCCAATACTCTTTATCATTTAAAGCTCTTAGATAATCAAATTAAATCCGTACTTTGCAGCCCCGTTTCTAGCTTCATGCATATTTCTGGCCACAAGATGGCGGGCTTTATGTTGTTTTCTTCATTCTCTAACTGCAAAAAGTTTTTAATACCATCGCAGTTTTGAAAATTTAAAATTTCCAATTCTTTAAAAAGCCTGATAAATGCAACATGGACTTTACATTCTGACTTTAAAAAGTGTCTTAAGCACTTTGGAGTCTCACAATAGAGAAGATTTCCTCTTTTGTGTGGAAAGACTGATTTACACTGTATTTCTATACTAATGCAAAAATCCCACGATGAGATGAAAGAGACCACAAGCATTTTCATTTGTTTTTCTTTCTCTTTACACAATCAAAGATAGTGCTTTTGGAAATCAGAACAGATACAAACTTTACCACGGAGGCTACTGAATAAAGTTCTCAAAATACACTGTCATTCTGGACTTTTTAGCCATTGACAATTTCCAGGTATCCCCAATTTTTCTGCGTGCTACTGATTTCTATGATTTGATTTGAAGCAGAATTAGCAAGTCAGAATACATCTATTTTATATACCAAATTGGGAATTAGGAAGAAGGTGATTTGCATTTCAGAACTTTGAAGTAATTTTCCTTCATTGACATAATCTATCTGCTTTCAGAAGATTCATAATTTTGCCACCTTACCCTGGTCAGCAGCTCGTTCATTTCGGTCACGAGTGTATTCAGATTGCCCTCTGCCAGCTGAATAAGCCTCTCTGGGGCCCGCTGAGGTGACAGCAAGTGCTGAAAAAGATTCCATCCCATAAACATTTTTAGTAAATGGCCTTGCAGTGATAGTGTTCGACAGAACACATTTTTGTATATAAAAGGAACTTAGCCTTCTCACCTTCAAAGAAAAGATAAGGAAACTATTTCAACTGGGCACTTACACATTGAGTGTCATGCCAAATATTCAGGCAAATAATAAAAATTGCAGTGACTTATTGAGAAATTACTATGTGCCAGGCTTTTTATGTTTTGTTTTTTCATTTAATTTTCACAACAGCTCTATGGGGGGTAAGCATTATTCCATTTCATGAAAGAGCAAACTGTCTTGAAGACAGTTAAAAATGTGCACGAGATCACACAGTCAGTAAGGGGTAGAGTTAAGATAAACTCCTTGCCTGGCCCATTTAAGGCTCCCATTCCAATTAACAGAGACACAGATCACAGGTAAAAAAGAGAACGGCAGGCCTTAACATAGAGACCTGGCTAGGCGCTAACTAACTGGCCTGTCCTCGGTGTTGCTAGGAACTGGCCTAACAGCAGGGCCATATTTTTTTCCTATGGAACATAAATAATCTCATAGGACACTAAATTAGACAAGGTCACTCTGAACCAGTGATGAATGAAACAGAAAAAAAGAGACTACCCTGTAATGTCTAAGCGCAGACAAAACCATAGCGGGTTTTGTGTAGACCACAAAACTACCCCAACCTCCCATTTCCTGGCTAATATGAATGAACACTGCCTCCTTATTAATCATAGCTTTATCCTCCCTCTGTTCTTCCTTCCCTCTAGATAGGATTCACAAAATACTCACAGAATTACTCCCACTTCTGAATAGCACCCAGTTGAGTGCTAACCTTAAGTTATCTAGCACAGCCTCAAATACTAGAAGTTATTCCTAACACCTTCTTATTGAGACAGCCCACAATTCCCCCATGGTGTTCAGTGCCCCTTGTTGCAACAAGTTAATAAATCCCACTTTGTTCCATCACATGTGTGTCCTTGATGGTCTTTGGCTGAAGCTTGGGGAGCACTGACATAGTTAAAGAAATTGAGCAAAGAGGTGAAATAACTTAAGTTTTTATAATACCAGAAGGTGATCCTCAGTATACAAATGTCAAGTGAATGATGGAAGAAGAACAAAATAAAAAATCAAGAAAGACTAGAATTTAAGGATAATCCAGGTCATCTGGATCAATATCCAGCCAGAAGTGGATGGGTCACTGAATCCCTTGGCTTAGAAGATGTTCACAAATTGGAGCCTCTTCTATAGGATCCTCTTTACTTCATCATCCATTGCTTAAGTATTAGTTTTAAAATGTTTCATGTTCAACTAAAATGTTTGCTTTTCTAGTTTAATTTATTTTTCTGTATTCTCTCCATATACAAGGAAAATAACTGATCGGCATTCTTTTCATTAAAACTCTTCACTTCCCTGAATACCAGGACCACAAGGTAAACTCAGGTTCCTCTGCCTGGCTTTCAAGGTTGTCCATCATATCACCCTGCCTCACTGAAGTCTCCAGCCTTATCTTTCACTAGCAGGTCTGACTTTTAATATCTGCCAGACAGATCTAATTCACACCACTGCCTCTGCTCACATGGCTCTGTTAAGCACAGCTGCCTTCTCCCTGTGTCCTCACACGGCAGAAGGCAGAATGTTTGTGTCCTTCTAATATCCATGTGTTGACATCCTAGTTCCCAATGTGATGATATTAGGAGGTGGAGCCTTTGGGAAGTGATTGAGTCATGAGAATGTAGCCTTCATGATTGGGATTAGTGCCCTTATTAAAGAGACCCCAGAGAGCTAGCTATCCTTTTCCTCAGTATCCAGATATTAAATGAATTAAATGTGGGGTCATAGCAAGAAGTCACCCTCTGTGAGGAACAGGCCTTCACTAGACATTGAACATTGCTGGTACCTTGATCTTGGGCTTCCCAGCCTCAGAACTGTGAGAGATATATTTCTATTGTTTATAAGCTAATCAGTTTATGGTATTTGTCACAGCAGCTCCAATGGACTGTGACAGACTTTCAACATATAAATTTGGGGAGATGTAAATATTCAGACCATGACAACTTCTTTCCTATTTCTTGGAGTTTCTGTAAAAGCTATGTATGGTAATCCATTTAAGACTTCAGTCAATTGCCTAGCTTTTCAATAAATGTTAGTTATTCTTGTTATCATCATTATTGGTTTCTTCTTCTGGAAAATAGGGATAATAATACTTACCTTAAAGGTTATGGTCAGAATTAAAGAATATATTTCCTAAAAGAATATCTACCAATGTGTAGTGAATAAATCTTAGATGCCTTCCTCTAAAGCAACAAATACTTCTCTACTAAAATTGTGTCTACACTTCAAATTCCAACAGAAATTATACTCTCAGTAATGGTACATTCTCTGGTTACCCTGAATCTTACTGATTTCTCCAGTCTCTGTGCGCTAATGTACTTTGAATGTTTGTAAAACACATGGTCATTATGTATTCTTGCTAATTGCTTGATTATTGTTTAATGATTATTTTTAAAGCACATAGAATCTACATTTCCTAAGGGTAGTGAAGATATTAAAAGAGTCATGAAATCCCCAGGGAACCAAGTGCAATGCTGAGGTATTCTATAATTTCTTAATAAATATCTGATAATTGACTGATAGTAAGTTGACACCTTTCATCTTTTTCCATCAGGTGAAACAACCCCAATTTCTTTAATGTTTTCTCCTACCTCGTTAACTACCAAAAGCTTTAACCACAATTTAGAACAGTGTTTATCAAACTGGTGCTTGTTGAAGAACTTTTAAAGGTCTACTAGTTCTAGCTCTTTAGTACAAGATTCTAATCATGTGTTTTCATTTTGATGATAACCTTAAATATTAATGTAAGCATTTCTGGATCCCAGGCTAGGCACCTGAGAGATGAATATGGCCACCTGATCTCAGTGCCTACATTTGCCTGTGTGTTTGAGCCTATGGCAGACTGAGCACGTTAGTCACATAAACTTGTCAAGTGATGCTCACATTCATTTCAGGACCCTTTGTAGGGGGCTCTCTGGTTCAAATGTGGTAAGGTAGGAGAAATGAGTTACCACATCATCTCTGGTGGAAGAACTGTGTGAAAATAGTCAATATCCTATTCTTGTTGCAAGCAGCAATTTCCATTCAGCCAAAATCATGTTACTTTATATTAATGTTTTTAATTTGAATTTTATTGGTTTTGTAAGGATTAATTTGTTTTAATTTTATAGAGCTATAAGTATAAAGAGTTTATACCTGATTTTATGTTTGCACATATTTAAGTGACATAATAAAACTGATTTAGGCCAGACACTGGGGGGTACATGAGACTCTTTTCCCTTAATAGAAATCTGTATATTATAGTTCTTGAGTTTGAAAAACACTGGTTAAGAAAGTCTCTGAATTTCCCTAACAGTTGTGTCCCTTGATTTGGGGCTGTGGGAAGAACATTTACCAATTACAGCCAATACCGCTTGTGAAGCTTCTGTCACCTTGTCCCTGGCCCTTGCTTGTGACTGCACCAACCTACCTTTAGCTCCTGAGTCATATTTTCAAGACCATACAGCATTTTATATGGCGCAGGCAGCGGACCAGTGAGGTTGATGCTCATGACCATCTGCTCCAGGCGAGCCAAGTCACCGAGAAGAAGGCCAGTGCACTCATCTCCACAAACTGTGAAAGAGAAGTGACAAAGAGTAGTTACTTCTGCTAAACATCCCAGGCAGATGTTCAAAGAATTCAGCTATGAAATATTTTATGGTCCAAGAATAATTCCATGGAAGATGAAACTACTCATCTCAGAATATTAATGCTATCAAATGGATGATGGTTGAGGAAAGATAAGAACAACAACAAAAGAACAGATATGCATGTCGCCCAGAACCTGAAATAGAGGCGATAATATAAACTGAGGGACCAAAGAGGAGGAGCAAATAGATTTGGGGAGAAAAAGTGTATTGCACAAGTATTGAAGATTTCCTTTAAGGCATAGAATATAACATTAAAAGTACCCCCTAAATCCCTACATGAGCAATCGAAAGGAACCTGTCCACAGGGAATAAAACATGCTCCAGAGTCTAAATGTGTGGTGCTCCATTAGATTGCACTGGAGAAAGTCATAGTAATTTGACCTCCACATGCTTTATGTATTACACATTCAAAAAGTATATAAATTTTTAGCTTGGTATCTATTGAGTAGAATAATTAAAAAAAAAAAAAGTCTAAAGAAGGCCGGGTGTGGTGGCTCATGCCTGTAATCCCAACACTTTGAGAGGCCGAGGTGGGTGGATCACCTGAGGTCAGGAGTTCAAGACCAGCCTGACCAACATGGTGAAACCCTGTCTCTACTAAAAATACAAAAATTAGCCAGGCGTGGTGGCGGGCCCCTGTAGTCTCAGCTACCCAGAAGGCTGAGGCAGGAGAATCACTTGAAACTGGGAGGCGGAGGTTGCAGTGAGCCAAGATTGCACCACTGCACTCCAGCCTGGGCGACAGACTGAGACTCCACCCCCCAAAAAATAAAATAAAAAGTCAAAATAAAAATAACTTTTCTTTCTATAGTGTTTTCTTATGATAATATTTATTGACTTATTTATTTGCCAACTGTTCCTCTTTATCCCTTCAGTCTATTACCACCCATGATTAGATGCAGTCTCACAAATCCCTACTTTGATGATTAACCTCTTTCAGTCTTATAGATAAATAATTGCTAAAGGCTAGAAAAACTATATTCTTTAAGTAGCCAAGAATGCTAATATTCTACCAGATATGGTTTGGATCTGTGTCCCCATCCAAATCTCATATTGAAATGTCATCCCCAATACTGGATATGGGGCCTCGTGGGAGGTATTGAATCACTGGAGTGGTTTTAATGGCTTAGCACCACCGCCCTAGTGATGTTCTCATGACAGAGTTCTCATAAGACCTGGTTATTTAAAAGTGTGTGCCACCTCCAGCCCCCACTTCCTCCTGCTCTGCCTGTGTGAAGATGCCTGCTCCAGCTTTGCCTTCTGCCATGAGTGAAAGTTCCCTGAGGCCACCCCAGCCATGCTTCCTGTACAGCCTGATGGAACCATGAGCCAATTATACCTCTTTTCTTTACAAATTGCCGAGCTTCAGGCATTTCTTTATAGCAATACGAAAATGGACTAATACACTCACCATAATATTTTTGGCCATCAAAGAGGTGCTATTCAAATTTGGTGGTAGGGGCCAGGATAGGTGGTAGAATTGGTAGAGAGACAAATGGATTGTTGACTCTTCATTATGGAATAGATCTCATAAATAGTCGTATAATTTCCAAAATTAACATATATTGAATCTTTTAGCAGATTTAAAAAACATGTATATTTTTAGTTTTGCATTGCAGAGTAATGAGGTGTATCTGCACGCCAAGGAGCAGGAACTACTGCATTTATAATATACTCTCATGTATACAGTTACAATTTCTTACATTCTGCAGATAGAGGTATCAATGCTATATACATGTTAGAATAGGGGAAAATACATAGCATGGAAAATACCGAGAATTGGAGCAGCTCTGGATCATGCCCAAACTTGGCAAGAATTCAATTAGGTCTCTAAACAGCAGTCCCCTGAGCTGCTTAATGGAGAGAAAACCATTAACTGGTGCTTGTAAACAAAGAGAAGGAGGACGGAGAGTGATTTTTTGATAGGACAGCAGCTAGAGGTGAGTTACAATATCACTTCACAGGGATTAAACTGCCCTGGCAGGGCTTTTAATAAATCAGCTTCTTGCAGGTGACACCTGCAGCTTCTTGCAGGTGACAACTGTAGAGCGTCACCTGCAGGGGCTTTGCAAGCTCCTGATGCTTCACAAGCTGAATGAACAAAGAGGCTTTGGAGGCCAGAGCAGAAGTCTGGAACTAGGGCTATATCTCTTACTCTTCTCCTAGCCAGAATGAAACCAAATTTGCACTGCATGGAAACCAAGTAAAAGATTATTTTGGCTTCATAGCCCCGTTCAATGCAAACTTCAACAGACTTGTCCACATTAAACAATTAGAGAAAACACAACATAGAACTCAGTTAAGTGCCAAATTGACTGTGTCTAAACACCAAGATCCACAGTCTGGTTCTCAAGCTTTAGTGGGCCTCAGAACCACCAGTAGGACTTTCGGAAATCCTAGAGGGCTGGTCCACACCCCCTAGTATTTCTGAATCAGGAGGTGATTTGATCACCTGGTTTCTCTTAGTCTCTGACTGAGAATGTGCTTTTCTAACAAGCTCCCAGGTGATATTGCTACTGTTGGTCTGTGCACCACACTTTGAGTAGCAATCAGACCAACAGTTTTGGCACCACCTGGAAGCTTATTAGAAATGTATAATCGGGCTCTACCCCAGATCTAGGAAATCAGAATCTGCGTCCCACATTATCTCTGCACATTAGAATGTGACAACATTGGTGTGGATCAGTGGTTCTCACCTTTGGCTGCCCATTGGAATCACATGAACATTTATAAAATACAGATGCCTGGGCTCTTTCCCTCCTCACCACCACAGAATATGATTTTTGATGGGTCTGTGGTAAGGTCTAACCATCAGTATTTCTATTTTTATTTTTTTCTGAGACAGGGTCTTGCTCTGCCACCCATGCTGGAGTACAGTGGTGTGATCATGACTCACTGCGGCCTCAAACTCCTGGGCTAAAGTGATCCTCCTGCCTCAGCCTCCCGAGTGGTTGAGACTACAGGCACATGCCACCACATCCAGCTAGTTTTTTAACATAGAGATGGGGTCTTGCTGTGTTGCCCTGGCTGATGTCAGACTCCTGGCCTCAAGTGATCCTCCCACCTCAGCTTCCCCAAGTGCTGGGATCATAGGCGTGAACCACTGTATTTTAAAAATATTCCAGTAATTGAAAAACCATGTAGCCAAAGGATAAAACCACTGGACCAGGTGATAAATTATAGGGATGCTCAATCTTCAAGGGAGCAAGGATTTGGAAGAGGTCCTTTTGCTTGCTGTCTTCTCTACCTAGAATTCTTCTCCCTTGGTCTTCTCCCACCTGGTTCCTAGGTGTTCAGGTCAAGTGCTCAAGTGTCACTTTTTCAGAGAGCAAGTCCCTGATGATTCTAAAATTACTGTTACCTGAAACTCCCCACCACCCCCAGCCCTATACCCTGCGCCAGTCACTACTGCATTTCCTTTGCTTTCTTAACACTTATGCCTGTTTGGGCTACATTATTACTTAATTTATTTATATATTCTTTCTTCCTCGTTAAAGAAGGGACCTTAAACACCTTGGTTATGGTGCCTAGGAAAGGGTCTTGTACACAGTTAATATTCAGTAAATATTTGTGGGCTAATATTTTTGTGAGAGAAGGGTATCAAAACACTTTGGACAAAGAGAATGGCAAGGGTTAATGTTTGAGCATGGCATGTGCCCAAGTACATGAAATAGTGAGAAGATCAGGGAGGTAGAATGTTAGGAGAGAAGAGAGAGGGGAAGAGGGGAAGAGGGAAGAGGTTGGGGTTGGCCGGAAGAAAACTTCTGAATGTGAGAACAAGATAGAAAACCTCACAGATGTGTGAGGAACAGGAGAATACATTAAAAACAATGGTTTAGAGACAGAAAGAGAACTATCTTGTGATTGCAGAGGCAGAGACTGTCCGATCAACAAGAATGACTATTCAGATACCTGCCTGAAGGATTTCAGTTTTGACTCAGGAAAGGGAGAGATGGACGGGAAGAAAATCAGCACAAAACTTTAGGAGGAAAGAACACCATGACTGACAGATCAAAGCGATGATCATTTCTGGGGACAATTAAAAATGGTTACTACTGGCTGGGTGTGGTGGCTCAGGCCTGTAATCCAAGCAGTATGGGAGGCTTGAGATGGGCAGATCACTTGAGGTGAGAAGTTTGAGACCAGCCTGGCCAACATGGTGAAACCCCATCTCTACTAAAAATACAAAAATTAGCCAGGTGTGGTGGCATGTGCCTCTAGTCCCGCTACTCGGGAGGCTGAGGGAGGAGTATCACTTGAACCCAGGAGGTAGAGGCTGCAGTGAGCCTAGATCATGCCACTGCACTTCAGCCTGGGAAACAGAGTGAGACTCCATCTCAAAAAAAAAAAAA
Source organism: Homo sapiens (assembly GCF_000001405.40). Classification (NCBI taxonomy): domain Eukaryota; kingdom Metazoa; phylum Chordata; class Mammalia; order Primates; family Hominidae; genus Homo; species Homo sapiens. The sequence continues at coordinate 129,361,789 of NC_000006.12, read as the reverse complement.
AAAAAAGGTTACTGTTAATACTTCTTTGCCACACCTCACATTAAGATGTGAAGTCTACTTCCCTTCCCCTTGAATCTGGGTTAGCTTTGCAACATACTCTGACCAACAGAATGTGGCAGAGCAACATATTGAAATTTGCACTTTCTGCTTTCACACTCTTGGACCCCTGCTGCCTTCAGAACAATCCCAGGTTAGCCTCCTTGAGGAAGGGAGGCAACGTGAGAGAGGAAAGGGCAGTTGAGGCCCCAATTTGGGCTTGAGGCCATCTGGGAGCCCCTAGGCGTGACAGTGGAAGATCTGTCCAACTGAGCTCAGCCCAAATTGCCAACCTACAGAATCATGAGAGTGTATGCACTTGTTGTTTTAAGCTACTAAACTTTGGAATGTATAACTGATACAATCGATAACTGACACACTTTTTCAAGTTTTGCACATGTGATTCAGATCAGAGACTTTCAAGCTGCAATTCATAGGTTAAAAACAGCAGTAGTAACAATTATAATTTTATTAGGAATTATGAAGAATAGGAAGGTTCTTCTCTCACTGAGCCCAAGTTCATCATTGTTTTAAAAGTTCCATTTGACCTCTAGTGAAGATGTATTTTGGGCAGATGTTCCTAGGATGCAAGCAAGCAATTTGCTCTTTTTTCACCTCCAAGATCTTTAAAGATACTTGGTAATGATAATAGGATGTTTCACCATGCTTTTTAGGGCAGTGTGTGCCTTTGATAGCAAACATTAAATTATTCTTTAATTTATTTAATAATATATAACCTACCTATTTCCAAGAAGGAATTGAATCAGTTTGTTGATAACAGGATGGCTAGATACTCCTTACTAGATGGTTCCAGAAATTTCCAAGGAAAGTACCTATCGTTTTCTCAGTTTTTACTTCATACAAGAATAAATCAGGGACCAGAATGCAGAACTAGAGCTGATGTACTGTAATATGCTACGGTGTACTAGAATGCCAAGAGGCATGATGAATACTGATTTTTCTCTCATTTATTCTATCCCCTGCCCATCTGTTTTGGTTCCTCATCTTCAGCTGTTGAAATGAAAATGTATTTAATTGCTCTTTCAAGGGCTCATACATTCCATTTTATGTTTCTGTGTCCAAAGGTTTATTATTATCCCATGTCTTATGGTATCTGTATTTGCTTTTTGGGGAACAAAGTACAAGCACATTTCCATAAGTGAAAGGTAAGTTTTATAGTACGCTCCAAGCAATATACTAACATCTGTCTGAATGGGTCAGAGAGACTTATGAATATGACAGCCATGGGGATTTTTTCAAAGCTTCTGTACAAGTCTAGCTCATGAAGTTATAAGGTAAACACATGGGGAAAGTGCCCTTTACATAATGGTTTGCTATTTTATTCTGACACAAAATATTTCACTTACACCAGAAGCTACTTTTATTTGCCCTCAAAAAGTCCAAAGTGTCTGGCAACAAACATTGGAAATGGAATGCAAATTAAAACCAAATGTAATTTACTATCATAGGGAAAATCTGAAGAGTGTGTAGAGACATGGAATATTCACATTCTGTAAACAACTGTTCTTTGATAAAGTGCAGTAATGGCTCAGTGTAAATGAACACCTATCTTACAATCAGGACCTCAAAGAACCTTTCCAAACCATTCTCCAAATTCAGCAATACTAATAAGGTTACAAAGTGAAATCCTGCCTAAAATGCACAGGAGCAAAAGCAAATATTTCAAGACCATGATTATATTTTACATGACTAAATGTTTCCGAGGCTTTGCCTATAAAAGTGTCAGGATAAATTTGTGTCTAATATTAACAAACACAGTACTAAATTCAGATTGTTATGGCTGGGCACATGTAAGGGGCAAATCATGCAGCCAGTATTACAGATCTTTCTGTTAGCAATTAGCACAAAATACTGCATTTCTACCAGGATTCCCCATGCATAATAACTACTGGCTTACTGTCACAAAAAAAATCACACACTGCATCCAAACCAAAGAAGCTGAAGCTAAAATGAGGACACTGAGTATTTTTGAAAGGGCGAAAGCTATTAACCAATTTTAGGTAGCGATACATAAATTCTCTGCTCTAATCAAATAGGAATAAAATGAGTAAATACACATTTTTAACAAAAGATAAAATTATGTGTTAATGTGTGTATGTTAAATTAACTCTCCTAGATGAATGCCATTGACGGTTCCCTGGATCTGAATTTTCTATTTCTCACTTCCCTTTTTCCCCTTCAAAAAGAAACTTTTACATTAGCATATATTTAGGGCTTATTAAGATGTATTTAGTCATTCTATTTTAAAATAAATATCTTCTCAAATAAAAATTTGATTCCAGAGTCATTAAGAAGACCTTTTAACCTGTCATTTCTTTGAATAGAGAGGAAAGCTGTAGACCTCAGCTGAGACTGATGAATTTGTCGACATACCAAGTAACGATATTTATGTTTTATATATATGTTTTATGATATGTGTTTTATATGTATATATTTTATATATTTTTATATATTAAATATTGATATATGTGTTTTATATATATTAAATAAAATTCTATATATAATACATGGGAAAACAAGTTCAATGTGGTTCAAAGATGGTGTAACTCTTCAAAACACTAATGGAAACTTTGAAAGTACTATAAATAATAATGGGATAATAGTTTTTATCTACACAACAGTCACTACATGACTGGCAATGTATTATACTTTGCCATCATTATCTCACTTAATATTTAAAGCAATTCTATGAGGTAAGTACCATTCATATCCTCATTTTACAGATGAGAAAAATAGTCACAACCAGAGTGTTTATGAATCTATAAATAATGCATGTGAAGGGCTTAAAGACAGGAGAAATGTAAGGTGGCCATAAAAGTGGTTTTCAGTGACTTGAAGAACCTAGAATTAGAGATAGTAACAGGAAACTGAAAGTCAGCCTAAACTAAAGAAAATATTTCATCAGAAACTGATGCGTTGCACAAAACATCAGGTCTTTGGGGAAAAAAATGGTCACATAATAACAATGATGATAACAATGCCTAGAATTTATTGAGCACCTATTATGCTTAGATACTTCACATACATGTATGTAGCATTTTACATCCATTTTACAGAGGATGAAAATGAGGTTTAGGAAATTAAATAATGTCACACAAATTGCAAGCTAGGTTTCAAACCTTCTGTAGCCACTTCATAACACCATGCTTCCTTGCATTAGGATGCTGTCTGTTTTGTGGATGTCACAGAAAAAGAGAAGGCTAGGCTAGTTTACTTATTTCTTCCAACTTTAAGATTATGTGATTTTAGTTTGTCTTTCAAGGTCAATAAAACCTCCTGAGCCTTGCCAGAGTAGAAATTGCAATCAAAGTAGAGTTTAGTTTACTCTTCAAATAAAACTTGCTGAAAACAAAGGCAACAGTGATCAGCTGTCTCTATACGATAATTCAACTGTGCAACTCCTTAATCAGCTAGCAGAACAGCTTCCTCAATAATATACAAACCACTGAGACTGATCTCTAACAACTAGGAAAATCATCTAGAATCACGGTGATAGTTGCCATTCCACACATTGTTAGCCTGGACCAATGCTAAGGTTGACAACAAGAAACTCAAATATCTTTTACTAACAAAACAAATGAGTAGAAGGTGCAAACAAGGTGAACAGAAGATGTTTTATAGATTGCCTAACACCTGGATGTGAACAACATGACACAGCTTAGACTACAGAAAACTATGACATACTTACTGTCCTTTCAAATAAGAACTTACTTGAGCAGTGAGTACGAGCAGAGAGAGGATGACATTTAGGGGGTACAACAAGCAAAGTGTTAGATCAGTAATCAGCATCTGGAGATCAACTGATGTTTATCATCATTTTTCAGAATAGTAAGTCCTGTTTTCATTACAGTGATAACCACATTCTATTTTGTTTCTGCTCCCATATATAGGGGGCAATCACTGCCATTATTAATCATTTTTGATTATAAATGTACAACAGTGTTCTAGTGATAATATATAAAGGTCTCTGCATTATTGTGATCAGATCTTTGGTGGCAACTGGCTATTAAAAACGACAATGTTGATTATATCTCTGTAGATCAAGATAGGATAAAACTTCAGACTTCCGGTTTCACCAAGTGGTTGGAAGTTGCCAATTTTACAGAGTTAAGGAAAATTACCACATTTAGCTAGGCTTATCTCAGGTTGCAAGTAGAAAACATAGTTCATGATCACTTTTGCAAATTGGCAAGCAAAGTGTATGTTTTATTTTAAATAAATATATGTTAGAATTTAAGTAAATTGTGACTATAAATAATAAAAGCTGATATATCCCAAAAACCCCACTATGCAGTGATTAAAAATAGGCAACACCAATTTGATATTTATAAAATGCTATTTCAGGCAATTTTTATGAAGTAATATCTTGCCAACAGATACTAATTTTAATTTCTGTTCTCTAGGAGAGTAATACATTTTACTATGCCACTCATAATCTATTTTAAACATCACATGGGTTATTCTGTGTTAATGATATGAGTTTACAGAAAATAGGATATGAACAAATCCAAGTTTTGTGTTTCAAAATACTAAACTTTACTGTTAAGCAAATAATGGCTTCTTTGTTCATTTTTAAGTTTCTTGAAGGCAGGTTAGTTGTTCTCATTTTATAAAATGACATGTGAACTATGAATGACAGTTGAAAGAGGAGGATGGATTTGTATTAACTTATCAAGAAGAAATCTTAATTTGGGAAATTAATAAAATATCTCTTCAGAACTCACCAACTTACATAACATTGTAAAGCTGTCCCAAATAATTCCTTTTAGAAAAAAAGAGGCTGTGAAGTTAATCTGGGCACCCAGCTAGTATCTTTTCTTCTGCATAGAAGACAGTCTCTACTTGACAATCTCTGATGAAAAGGAATCTACCATAAATGCCATAATGTTTTAAATCTTAGAGGAGTCTCAATGATTAGCAGAAAATAAATGTCATTACTGAGATTACATACACTTAAAATTTCTCATTTTGTAATTTTAGCTCGTTTTATATTTATTTTTAATCGAGGTAGAATGGGCTCTAAACATGGAAGCAGTAAATGAATAAAGGGCTGAATTCATTAATGTTGAATATACTGGCTAAACCACGTTTGCTTTCTCTGTTTATCAGTAGCCAGCATAGAGGTTAAGAAAATAAGATTTGTAAGACTGACCCATGCTCAAATCACGGATCTACTGAAAAGTCACTGAGAAAATGACTTAACCTACCTAAATTCAGTTCTCTTATCACACAGTGGGGATGATAAGGAATGGGAATGTTACAAGAATGAAAGAACCACGTGTAAAATGCTTAATATAGTGCCTGGCAAATGGTAAGTTCTCAGTCAAGGTGAGCCTTTAAATAAAATTACTATTATGATGAACCCTGTGTGGTAAAAGGGACTTTAGAGAATGCCTGGAATTTGAAGGTGAATAAATTGCTTAGTTATGCTCAGGAACTGACTCTGCATGGTGGGGCTGAATTTAGGTCACTAACTATGAGAGACTGTGATGTCTAAATAGGTTCCTAACGTGGACACAGATTATTTGTATACATTCTTCATGATAGTAGTGAAAATCCACATATAAAAGGCCTGTGTGCTGCAAAAAATTCCATTTTGGATCCAGTAAAATCCAGGGGTCACTGGCAACTGTCCCTGGAAGCTATAAGTATCTTTTAGGGACCAAGGTGTCCAAGGGAAGTCCTTTCACAGTTCCTGCATTGGCTTTGTTTTGCCTGATCTCTTCAGCAGAATTTTATATACTTTGAGAAATAAGAGCCTAAACTAAATTTACAGTGAGTGTATAGATTCCTTTCACCAATATGCAAATTACCTGAGATCACACAATGATCAGGCTTAGGTCATTTATCATGCATTTCTGTCTCTCTTTCTTTTCTTTTCTGTTTTTGAAATACACAAATCCATGATGTGGATCAGTCTAAATTATATTTCCCAGGGAAGTAACTAAAGGAAGCAAAATTAACTCTTGTACAATACATGCTACTAAACTGAGTGTTTACTTATTCTAAGCAATAGGAGAAAGTTTATTTCCTGTAGTCAGTACTATACTAACAACAAGCACTGCAGACATTTCTCTTACTACATCTAAATTCTCTTGCTAGAGCCAAGCTACCTCCCTTACTCTCACCCCCAGGCCTTATGCAATTCCACCATGATTACATGTGCTAAAACAGGTCCTGCAGATCAAACACCCCAGGTGAATCCATTTTTTGGTCTCTTGCACTAATTTAGCTTAAGGATACAGAAATATATTAAAAGGAAAATTGAGAATAAGTCAGAATTACATCCTCACTTGTGTCTTATTTTATCTGATTTCAAAACTAGGAGTAGAAGTAGAAACCGAATCCTGGGAAAGGCCAAGATCATAGAATCATGGCATATTTTTCCATAACGGGAGAAATTTTAGAAGAAGAGAAAAGATGAAAAGTCTAAAGATACTCTGTGTAACAATTCTTAGAGTTAGTTTAGTGAAAGGTGAAGAGAAAACATTCCTAGAAGTAAGTGGAAATCACTAATGCTTAAGAGCAGTATATGGAAAATCTATACAGCATAATTATAAGATAATTAACTGTGCTTTAGCAAAAGAGTCTAGATATCAAAAACAATCCTATAATTTAATATTTTTTTCTGGAATAAAAACTGCTATTCTTTTAAAAAGAATATAAACACTTCCAGTCCAGCAACTGAACTAAATACCATGTATAACCCCTGTAAATACATTTCCTTGTGGGGCAAGAATAAAGCAAATAAGAATTATAAAACTGGTGTAGCTTTGTAACTGGAGGATTGGCCCTTTTCTTAATATCACATGGGACAAGTGGAGATTAGAAACCCACATATGTGATAGGGAAAAGATGAATTACGATTTCTAATGATAAATGTATTCAAAATGTTAAAAAAGTATTGATCATCAACAATAAATGAAAAAGCCATTGTTGTTGATGGGCAGAATGCCAATTCTCTTTAAAAGAAATGTTCCCCAAATAATCCCATTATATTATCTACCCCAGATTTTAATGTACTATTGTTTAATTTTTGTGCTTAACATTAATATGATCTTTTTATTTCAAGTTTGCTTCTGGATAGTTAATAAAAGTGATGATTAATAATTCAAGGACTGTTTACATTAAGAATATCTATATATTATCTAGTTAATTATGTGCATGTTAATAATTTATTTGACTTGAAAGCAATATTATAAAATACTTTGATAGTCTACTTCTTTAATTATCATTAAAATATATCATTATACTTGGGAAGAATTAGTGTGTATATACTATCAACTAAATATGACAATATAAATGTATTTGACAGTACATTTAATCTCTCCCCTCTCACCTACCTTCACATTTATTTTCAGTGTAATACATTTTCATTAAAGATGGTTAAAATACAAAGAAAAAATGATTTTAAAATCTATTTTCCCAAATAACACCCAGTCTTAACTTTTTGGTGTATTTTTTAATCCAGCTTTAGCTTCTGAGGTTAACTCTTATAAAACTAGAACATAAACAAAAATTCTTCTATTTAAGATACTATTAAGATTTAGACTCAAACAATATGCTAAAACAAGAAATGTTGACATGCACAAATACTATTACAATAGGTAAATGTTGAAATAAAAGGTGCTAAAATAAATTTCCTTGAGGAAAAGAATACTATAGAAGAGCACTCCTTCCTTAAATTTATAAATAACCTATTTTGGATTTGAATGTATGCAAGATCCAAGAATTATATTTAGCTACTGATTTCAATGTACTTTCAATATGGCACTAGCGAATCCAGAATCAGTAAGAAAAAAGAGAGACAGCAAGAGAGCAAACTGCTCTCCACTTACTGTACGTGAGTAAAAATACTTGACTTCATTGTTACTGCTTACGGGTTTTGTAGTTCAAGAGAAAATTATGAAGCAGTATGCCCATGGATTTTCATAAAAGCTGGGAAAAGAAACATCAGTTGTCATTCAAGGCTTAAAGTATCTGTCCAGTCGATTACAAATTCAGGAGGATTCTAAATTTTTTAATACACTCACATCTTTAATCTGTCACAAAGGCAATGCCAACTTGAGGCAAAACTGTAAACCCTGAGATGGACAAATCAAATAAAATGCCTCCAGGAGCTTCATTGTAGGTCTTTCAATGAACTGACTAAAGCACACTGAGGATTTTCTCAGCTGTTCTTGGCTCAGCAGGATGGACACGCAATCAGCAGGTGAACAGCAGAAGGTGGATAGATAGTGTCAGAAAGAATGAAGAGTATAACTATTGCAAAAAAAAAAAAAAAGGCGGGCGGGGAGAGTCACTCTTTCTCATTGGAAATGAGACAGAACTGGAATCAAGGCCTCCAAAACTAACAGCAAAGTTAGTATACGTACAAACACACTCCCAGCCCTCGCGTGCATGCCAGTGCTTGCAGCCGTCACACTTCCTTCCCGTGGCTCCAGGTCGGCACGTGCAGAATCCTGTGACAGGGTCACAGGGCACAGGCAGTGAGCCATAGGGATCACACTCACATTCTTGGCAGGAGCCTCCAGGGTTGCCTGGACTGCCAGTATAGCCAGGGGCACACCTGAATTGAAACAGTGACAAAGCAAAAGAGGTTAATAGCAAGTCATGTCTCCACATTGTTGTGTGTGGTCTTTTGTTTTGATGCAACAAAACTGATAGCAAGAGTCCATACATTAGTTAACTTTTCCTGTAAAGGGTCAGATAGTAAACAGTAGGCTTTGCAGGACATAGGAAAAATCAAGATTATGCCGTGAAAAAGAAATAAAATTCTAAAGCATTCTGCTGTTGTTGATGGAATTGAAAACATTAATAATAATAATAATAATAATGTTAAATTACTTTGTAATATCAGGCTACTAATGAGAAGAATTGGATTCTTCCTGAGGTTTGAAATTATCCTTCATTTGGGTTATAACTTAGTGCCTCCTGTCATCAAATTGATTGTAAATGCTGACCTGTAACAACAGTTCTTAATTGAGTGCCATACAGAATCAGAAATGGGCCAAATTTGGCCTGTGGGTCATAGTTTGTCTGTGACTGCTCTAGATCATAAACTTTTTTGTTAAGTCCTCTTGTATAATTAGAGATGAGTGCAATTCTATATTGACTTCTGGGCTTCCCTATACTCATGAATTTCAGATCTCAAAATAACCAAATAATACAACCCATTAATTTTACCAATGAGGCAAAAGAGGCAAGTTAAGTGGCAATAGGCTACTCAGATTTTCTGTTTACTTTTATTCATCTTTTCTTTTTGCCATATCTTCCTCAAGATGGATTTTTCATGTGTATCTGTGGAAGTGGGTTAATGATATGCAAACAAAATATATAACACTGATTTGGAAAAGTAGAAAGAGAATCCAACTGGATGAACCCTAAATGCAGTCCATTAATTGACTCTTCCACGTATCTATGCATCCATTCACCTAAGTGTATTTCACTCCGTGTTATGACACTGGAAGTTTGGTAACTTTACACAATGCTAGCAGGGCCATACATTCTGGTTTGCCCAGGACAATTTCCTATTACCTGTTGTTTTGGCTTAATTGCTAAAAACACTGCCTGTTTTTAATATAGTGTCCCAGATTGGACAACAAGTTTTATATATGGTCAGTGTAAATATAACAAACAGTTAGAATTTTTGTTCAACAGGCAAGTATGTGAGGAAGTTGAGAGACAGTAGGGGATTGGAGCCAAAAGCTATAAATACTGGCAAGATAATCATAGACCATCTTTAGCTGCCTGAGACTGTGAAATCTGCATGGCTGACTGTGAAAGTTAATTCACCCTGTGCTGGTTAGAAAAGGCAAAACATGAAGAAAACGATTTGTGACATTAGGCTTTTATACATTCATGTTTTTGATTATTTTTTTCAATGAAAGAGTACAAATACTGAAAGTAGCATTTAAGTAAGTCCACTTAAATGGCTTCTTAACATTTATAGGTAAAATAATTGTATTCTAAGCAGATTCAGATTGATTAAATGTTCAAAGAGTTTATTACAAGAGTATTGAAAATAAAGTATGAGGAGAGGTTTCTATATTACAGGGATACTCAAGAAATTTAAGCAGTTTTAGACCTAACCTGATCAGTCTGAGCAGGTCGAAAGATGATTTAAATGATTTAAGAAGCTCTCAGCACTGGAACAAATTTATTTGGAAGGTTACAATAAAAATTTAACCAAGAACTTTGGTTTAATATAGCTGAATAAAGCAATTTTTCAGAGAAATATAACCTGATCATTTATATGTTAGAGATGATGAATGCAAAGCTATAACAATGTTTGAGGACTGGAAAAACACTTTAAGTCACTCACATTTGATACTGTATGGCCCTGCTCATCTCTATGCTACACAAACTGACAGCTTTTATCGATTAAATACTACTGGATATTAACAAATAAATTTTCTGTAATCATTCTGCTTTAACACAATAATTGTTATTTTAGTGTACCCTTCTAGCCTATTCTATACACATGCTTTTGTAGAAAATGGTAACTACAGTGTATAAATGTAGCTATATCATAATTTTTTTTTCATGAATTACTGTAGATAATCTTTTTGGTGTCCAGCGATGCTTTTAGTCACCATCCTACTGGTGTTTAAAGGTACAGGAAATAAATATTAGTCTAACCATGAATACCAAAGCTCACTGGTGGGTATTAACAAGTATGTACTTGTATCACCTATATCTATATCCAAAAGATGTATATATCTTCAGAACAAATGGAAATATTTTTAGATTTGGTGTTGCTATGAGTTATTTAATTGCTGCTAATTTCTGTTGGTATGGAAATTGTGAATCCACTGTTTTATATATATGCAAATATTGGATACTGTGTTTAGAGTTACCACATACGGATTTATTTAGAAATATATTTTACAAATGTATAAAAATTGCATTGGGATTTATAAAGCTTAACCCTAATTATTTAGTTACTTATTGCCATGATTAATACAGCTGTTGCTGGTTATATAAAACAAGACTCTTAAGTGGATGCTGATAATTAGTATTAGTTTATATTTACAAAGAAGCTTACCATTTAAGTGTTCCTAGGAGAATCTAGCAAAGGAGTGGGTGAAGCAGGACATGGAAAAGAAAAGCTCTAATCAAGGGTATGATTTCAGGTGATGTCCCAGTCTTAGCCTGATTCCATGGAGTGCTCTGGAGCATAAAATAAGATCTCAAAACTTGTTCCACTTAGGGGCCAAAGAGCTGGACTTTTGTACTCTCACGCTGGTTAGTCATGGGCCACTGCAGGAAGGGCGGGTAAACATTCAGGCCTTTCTGCCTCTTCTGTTGGAGAGAAGGCTTCAGTGTAGGTGCCTAGGCAGGGCACCAACAGTGTCCTTTACACACTTATTGTCACAATATTAGTGTAAAGTAGGTGGCCTATCAATGATTCCTGAGATTATAGATGAGGAAAATGGAATGTAGCTGAACTGTTGGAATTGAGCGAAGTCTATGGATCTTTCTAAAACTTTTATACTGCTATCAATTATGCTAAAACTATCATGTGTGTATAATGTTAGTAGTTAACATTAGTAACTCTCTGTTACATTAAAGATAATATCTAAAATATACCAAAAGTGGTGGTGACAAGTTTGAATATCCAGGATACTGATCTTACAGAAAATATATATCTGGAAGATATTAATTGCAACTTTTCTAGACAATCAGTTTGGAACTGTACTCCTTAATTTACCATTTGGATTACACTGAGAATTCAATTTAACAGCTGTATACATGCATTATGAGATTTCATAAGCAATATGGTAAGAGAAAACATTTAAATAATATTGTTTGCCTATTGAAAAGGAAAACTGAATAACAAATACTTTATTGTCTGGGTACTAATTAAAAATTCTTGATACTATTTATATTTTGAGTTATGTATACACTTGCTGGTGTAGTCATAGTGTTCAGAACAATGACGTGAATTCAGTTACTTCCAGACAATATTTTCCAGTGCATTAAAATAAGAAAAGTGTAGCCAGTTTCTTATTAGTAGTAACTACTGCTAAGCTTTTGAAAATTGATTTATTCTTATGAAATGTTATATTTACATATAAAATTATATATATATATATACTAAAGCATAAGTTAGATAATTGTAAATAGTTTGGAATCTTTGATAAAGTCTAAACATACGGTGGAAATAAACAACTTTCTTTGGACAAATTCTAAGATACACAAGTGGTTTTGAAAGCATTGTAATTTAAACTTCTAAAGGATATGCAAATATTGAAGTTCTTCAAATAATGAATGTTTTCCTATTGTGACCCTTTACCATATAGTCCCTACATATCATTACTCTGTACGTTTCATGGCTGTTGGTACCTTTCACAGTACTGGCCTTCATATCCCCGTGGACAAGCCGTGCAGCGGTAGTCGTCAAGTCCTTCTGCGACACAAGAGGGGCTGAAACTGAATCAGAAAGAAAAGGATTGCAAAAAAAGTTTAATCCATTTATTTTATAAAATAGTATTCCTATCCATGATCAAGGTTATTGGGACATACTTTTAGGTAGTAATAAATGCCATCTTTATAATTATTGCTGAAGTTCTTATTTAAGGCTAGGACGTCACAATGAAAAACCATTAATAACAGTAAACAAATATATATTGTTTGGTTTATGATGGATTAAAAATGCATCACACAAAGCATGTTAATATTCTGGAATTTAATAATGATGTGACAGCCATGAATATACTAAACATCCAGCAAAATTGTCCTATTGTTCACTAATCAAAAGAAAAATCTGACTAGAATTTATGCACATTGTCTGATAGTGGAATAGCTATTACTTAATATCTCTTAGGTTAAAAAAAGGGCATAAAATCTATATAAATTTTTTTTCTTGAAAACTCAGCCCAAATGGCCACTGGTGCTTCAAGACGTGAAGTGTGAATACATGTTTCACTTGGAATAAAATAATATCTTTTCTAATTTACATCCAGATTTCAAACTACATTTTACCTTGAACACAAAGTAATGTGATTCAGTGTGAGGAAAGGGAAAGCTTTTTCTATGAAAATGACTATTTTATGGTATTTTCTAATAATTAGGTCTTATAAAACTTCCCCAATGTTTTTACTACAATGCTGGTAGACCACAGCCAGTCTGTCTTGCTCCTGGATTTCTGATGATCTTATTCCATTAAAAAAAAAAAGACTCCACAAGACTTGAAAACTAAACTATATTAGCATGTAGTTTTGGGTTGTTACAAACTTCTCTCAGCTGCATTCCCGTTAGATAAAACTGAATGATGCATTGGAAACTTGGAAATTAAAAACATGTATCTGTGGCAGAAAGATAATGCTGCACACACCATTTTTCTTTTTGCTGCTTCACTAAATCAGTTGATGCTGAAAACAGGCAATAAGGTGTATAGGCCAGGCCCACAGCTCCTTTTGGTCAGGTGCCATTAGGACCTAATGTTAACTGTCTTCTAATGCGTTACATCAATAGTACATGAATGAGTAATAAGCTCTAACTTTTGCAAAATATGTGAACAAATTGATCTACTACTCACAAACGCATTATCCAACAAATTTATTTTTGCCTTCACAAAAAATAAACTTATAACTGACACACTCTGCCAAATTTTTAGCTCATTCATTTAAAGCCTGATACTGACTGCATCTGTGCATGCACACTCACGCACATGCACGCATACGCGAACACACACACACACTCTTATACATATATGGGCTCTAAGAAACAGATTTTAGACATTTCAAGAGAAACTCTAAAGAGCCAGTATGATTAAATTACATTTCGTTATAGTAAAATAATGAAATGTCAATAAAAAAATAATAAAGTGTTTACTGTATAGGAATGTAGTAATTCTTGAATAGTTGATACAATTTTTTTCAAATTATGATATTATGGTGGATTGCACTGTTTCCTTATATCACATAAAAGGTCTTCTGGAGGGAGTAGGGATTCCATCTCACTTGAAGCTTGAGTTTATTCTTTCTGTTCACAACTCCCTAATCTTCTCTCAATTATCATTTTGTCTGCAGGGCTACTCAGAAATCCTTGTGCTTTTCTCATGGTGACCATCTTTTACATTTCCCTATGGCTGCTAATTCCAAACTCCCCTCAACAGAATTTTTAAAATTTACAGAGCTTGCTCTCTGTGTCATCTCCTATGGACACTGCAGAGATAAATGGGCTTCCTGGAAACCATTTCCTTCTGGTTTTTATCCCAGTTCATTGGTTGTTCCTTTTCAGTTTCCTTTGTTGGATCTATGGCATGTCCTTGATCTCTTAACGTGCTTCACAATTCAGTTTTCTGATTTCTGTTCCCTTCTCCTCTCTCCTCTGAATGATCTCACTTAGTCCTAAGGGATTTAAATATTGTGCCTACCTTCGCAGATCTAAAAGTAAGTTTCTCCCCCTCCAAAAATACACCAGACCTTTCCCTAATTTTCCCCATCCCAGTCAACAGCCACTCCATGTTTCCATTTGCTCTGCCAAAAACCATGGTGTCAACCGTGTCTCCTCTCTCACACTCCACTTATCTCCTATCTGCAAATGCTGCTGGTGCTTCCATCAATAACACCACTGGATTATCCTGTACCAAGCCACCTCTTGCCACTGGAAGATTTTTAGCCCTCAGGAGAGTTAGATATTCATTAGAGCTTTGCTGACTTCATCTCCTAGCCCCCTCTTCTCATTCACTCTGTTCCAACCACCCTGGCCTCCTGTTATCTGCCAAGCATGGGTCTGTCTCAGGGCCAGTGCAGTGACTTTTTTCTCTGAGGGGACTGTTCTTCCTGCAGGTATTCACATGGCTCACACCATTCACATTTCTGCACAAGTCTCATCTGTTTGTGAAGATCATGGACCACCTCATCTAAAATCATACCTTCATCACTCTAAGTTCCTTGAGTCTCCTTTATTTCTCCTGGTAGTACTTGTCATTACCTGATATTACATTATATATCTATTTCTTTATCTTACTCTCTTATAAAAAATACAAGCTCCAGAAGGCTAGGAAACACAGGCCGTTTTGTTCACTTATATATTCCCAGTACGAAGAGCCATGCCTAGCATTGAGTTGGGCCCTCATTAACTTTTTCTTGAATAAAGAAAGAAATAAGACATTATGTTTACCTTCAAAGAATTTACAATTCTGTGTGAGACACAGATATGTACACATACAGGACAGGACACATATCTTTTATCTTTTATTCATAGTGTTGGGATGAAGTATATGCTTAGTAAATGTTCATCTCCTGAAAGAATGATTGAAATAATTCTGTATAGTAAAATGTGTTCGTTGTATATAAAATGTACAAAATACATTCTGTGCTATGGATAGGTTTTGTGGCAGAGGTAGGGTTTGAAAAATGCCTTTAAAAATAAATTAGATTTCACAGGGATTGTCTGAGGGAATAGCAAGAGCAGACTGCTAATGATGTCTAGATAAGTGCAAGAAATGCCAAACTTGGCATTATATAGAATGGAGTTGAGGGCTTGGAGCCTGGAAAGGTAGTCAGATTACAGAGGGTTTCTAATGCTCAAAGAGTCTGATCTTTCCTTGGGAAGGCACTGGAAACTTCTAAGGGTGTGTGAGCACTGCCACTCCGTCATAAGAGTTAAATTTCTACCATATTTGTTTTGGTAAGAGATAATGAGGAC
This sequence comes from Homo sapiens, assembly GCF_000001405.40. Lineage (NCBI taxonomy): Eukaryota > Metazoa > Chordata > Mammalia > Primates > Hominidae > Homo > Homo sapiens. Next base: position 129,346,072 of record NC_000006.12, on the reverse strand, counting down.
TTGAACTAATGCCGTGGAAATGAGTCAGTAATCACTCATCATGCCTCCATATTTCTCACTGACTGCACAGATTGAAGTCATAAATTGAGATATCTCAGCCTCCTCCATCTATTCCTCAGAATCTGTTTTTATGTCTTGGGGAGAAGTGCCTCTTTTCTTTGCCCTGGCTGGTTTCTTTGCTTCACATTTTAATTCTTCTCTTCTCACAATTTATAGGTCTTCACTTTGTTAATTAGCCTAATACGTCCCAAGCTTTAGATGGTGATATAAGTGACTCATGAAATCCATTGAGTAGGTTTTGGCTAAAATTTTTTTTCTAAAAATGTAAAATAACAAAATTAAATAAATGGCATGGTGTATAATACATATATTTAGATATCTACACACACAAGTTTTTGTGTGTTTCTGGCTTATGATATAAAAAAGTGTATCTTACAGTGGATGCAATCAATAAAGTTTGAAAGCCACTGAACTTGCCATTTTAATTTGATATTTTGATTCTTTCAGGGTCTTTTGCATAAAAATTTACTCAAATTATACAAATCATATAAAACAACAATGAAACAAAAATGAAAACACACCCTGTTATTGATCCTGCTAACCAATCAGGGTAGTATTCTATCATTTTATTCTTGAAATTTCTTAAAACTGTAAATTCAAATTCTGCTTTCATTATTGATGGTCAAAATTCATCAATGACTCTGAGAGTGTAACTACAGGACCAACCAAAACCGGGCCTACCCTGTTGATAACAAAATGTCAAGTTACCTTTTAGGTATAACAGAGCCAAAAGCTGCAAGTCATGTAGCCCAGGCATGTTCAATAGAAAAATTTTGACCTCTAACAACACCAGGAACCAACTATTCCTCCCCTTGAACCAACAAGACAGGGACAAAATCAAAACCTGGACATTGGAACTCCTTCAGAAATGAGGGGTCCATTGGCCCAGAAGATCCAGGGCTAAAATCTGCCTCAATATACCTTACTGTAAGTGATCAAATTTGAAGCCCTCCAATCAGACTCTGCCAAGCCAGCATTTCTAAATCCTTTGCCTTGCCTTCTGACCCCTTGCAACCTTCCCCATATCCCAAATTAGGGAGACAGATTTGAACCTGACTCTTGTCTCCTTGCTGAACAATTTTGCAGTAAAGCCTTTCTTTTCTCCGAAGCCAGTGCCAACGTTATTGGCTTCTATGTGCTTCAGGCGGCAAGCCCATTTATTTGCTCAATTACAATAGTCAATTGCCACCATATTCATTGGGTCTCCCTTGTGAGAGCAGCAACTGATGCTGTTCACTGCTCTTCTCTCCCTTGGTGTCAATGGCAGTGCCGCCTGGGTTCCCTCTCTTCTGACTGCTCCTGCCTTGGCTCTTCTTTTTCTCCTTTCCCAACATAAAGTCCTGTCTTTCATTCTTTCTATATACTCGCCTTGGATAACATTAGCCTGGGAAATCTTATCCAACTTTAATTCACTTATTAACATATCTCTTCCTTCATCTGCTCCTGCAATTTTCAGATTTCCATTTCCTGCAGCTATTTGCATATTTCCATTCAGACAGATATGTTCTATCAATCTGAACCTATTTGAAACATAAATTATCTTTCTTCTCTAACGGCTCTCTCCTGGTTTCTCCATTTCAGTTAATAGCACCACCATTTTTGGGGGTAACCTGCCTAAAAACCTGTCTTCAACTTCTGCCCGGACCCTCACCCCTCACATCTAATTAGTTTCCGAATCTGTAAAGCTGTATTAAACCATTTTCTCACATTCATTCCTTTGTCTCCATTCTTATTACTATTACCTACTTCTGGTTCTAATTATCTTTTGCCCATGCTAGTATACTAGCCTTTTAATTGGTCTCTATGCTTTTCTCATTTGCCTGTTTCAATTCATTATACTCAATTCTATGATAATAGTTTTCCTAAAATGTGGCCATAATCATATTAACCTTTTTTTCAAAATAAAAACTTGTAGTGTTTCCTTATTACATAGAAAATTAAATAACTATTTCTTAGACTGGTATTTAAGGATTTCTACAATATGGTCTTTATTCTCCCATTCATTTTCATCTGTGATCATGAAATTGTGTCTGAACGCCATGTTCCAAATTCTGTTACTTATTAGGTTTTGCACATGCCTTGTATTTTGTAAGCATTTGCCCATATAATTTCCTACTATTCCCACCAGTGAAAATCCTGAAATTAATTGTTTAAGACCCATTATACATGCTACTATTTCTTTTCATATGTTCTTGAAGCTTCCAGTATTAAGTGTGGTGTTTTGTGCCTTTGAATTTTCTTTACATTTAAGTTGATACCCCTTAACACACAGGTTTTACAGTGAGCTCCTCCAAAAAATGGCATGCTTCTCTTGTATATCTCCTGTAGCTTTTATTATAGTGTACTCACCAGGGAATTATCAATTAATTATTAAATTTTTCTAATCCAAATGGCTTACTTTTTAAAACAATTAAATAAATCGGGGCATCAAGGAGAAATTAGGGAAAGAGAGACAAAAATAATGTTATTTTTCATACACATACTACTTGGTCCCTGGATGAACAATAAGACCATGTATATTATCCTCTTCAATATCCAGCTTACCTAAAAATTGACATTTGACACCCTGTAAAAGGCTTGTGATTCCAGCCAACAAAAAAGAGGAGCTTTCAGAGGAAAAGGAGATGATTTACAGGAAATGTTTTCAGAATGCACACAAAGCCGAAGATTAAGAAGAAAGTGAGTAGGCACAGGTGCAAAGATCACATTGTCCAAATTGCTCTGTGGCTGTTTAACACTCAAGATAAAGTGTCCAGAATTCTAATTCTGAACAAACTGCCATACATTATTTTCAAAAGCAAATTCTTAGAGTAAAACTACCCTGCCTTACTGAAGTCTATAAATCACTTAACAGAAAGTGCAGGTAGTGTGGGCAAAAAGGTAAATGAAAACACCTAGGGTTTTCATCAATGTATAAACCAGTGCAGAATGTTCAGACAGCACTGAAATAAGATATTCCAGCTTTTGTTTCTTCTTAGGGCTGTGTTTCCATGGTACCAAGCTCAGACCATCTTAAGAAAAAGGAGGCTGTGATTCCGGGAGATGACATTTTTTGGAGCATAACAATAAGTCACCTGCTTTAATTGTACAATTTTTCAATGTTTTCTTGATAATTATTTCCCAATCTTGAATTAAACACATAAAATAAATGGAAACAGCCACAAAAATTATATAATATGCACCCGAACAATCCTTCATAGATGATATTATGGGCAGAGCTATATGCAAGCATTAGACTGGTATATTTATGAAACCATGCATATTTGTATATATATATCATTTGTTTTATAAATATGTCTTACATTAATATTGGTACTTCAATTTTAATTAATAAGTATTATTTACTTGGGACAGAGTTTCAAAGGAAAAATGAACCATAGAGCATTATATACTCACTTTTGTCATGTTTCTATATTATTAAAAATATCTCTATCTTAAATTGAGATTTTTGTCTACATGGAAAAAATAGCCAAATCATAGACAGCCCATGTGCTAGACAGATGGCGTTTCTGATTGGGAAATATGGTTATATTTCTCAATCTTACTTGTTACTGGAAGAAATCAGAGGGCAGGCACATTGCTGACAGTCATTTGGCAATCCCTTGACAATTCCATAGTATCCAAGAGCACATCGTTCACAGAAGTCACCAGCAGTGTGATGTTGACAATTCTGTAAAGGAAAAGGGAGAAGAAGTTTGTTTTTAATTTAGTGATAGTTAGAATGTAATTTATCATACAGTCCCTAGCTATGAATGTGTGTCTATGAACACATATACTTTCTTACACACACACACTCACACACACACTTTATCACTGACAGAGAACTCAGTCTTTGATATAAATATTTTTAAAGGAACTCTTTGATTTGAGAAACTAATACTGTGCTATCGTAGCTACACTGACAATAAGAGTTGCTATTCTCTTTTCCCTGAATCAATCTCTATGTAAATTTTTCTCCTACTCTAAATTGGGGAATAGACTTCGAGTCTCTAAAATTTATTATTTCTTCTAGGCATTTATGTTTCTTCATATCCCAGGTTTTAGCTCTATGAGATGTTAGAAAAAGGTGCTACAAATACTGTGGCCTTGGCACATGCCCACTAGTGGGCTTTCTGAAACCACCTCAAGGTGGAAAGCATAGATGTAGGTGGTTCTTCATAAATACAGAGGAGTCAATCTAAAACTAGCAATCTCAGATCGATATCTTCTTTCTTATGCTTGCATAATAAGAGACATTGGGGTGATACCCTTTAACACCTTTCCACAAAGAAATGAGAATAGCTTCAGAATAGTGTGCAAATAGCTTCAAATTAAAATTTTCATGAAGCAGAATTATATTTAACACAATAATCAATTATGCAATAAGGAGTTAGGAAGAGCTACATGGAATGCACTGAAACAGGCAATGAAAGAACATCCTACCTTCTAGAAATTTACTTAGACTTTGGGAAAATAATAATTTAAAAAAACCACCTGACAAAAAATAAACATGGCAGCAAGAATGCAACATTGAATGTTATCTTGTGGGAATGCGATCCTTGCATTTGAGAGTTGAGAAAAAGGAAGAAGGGAATTTGGAATTGAATTTTAGCTGGATTTTATAAGACAGGATTTGGAGTGGTCAAAATAGTGACTTACATCTTATAAACAATATCGAAAGAAAAGTTGAGAAACAAAAAAGTCAGTTACAAACTAGATGGACATGTTAGTGAATTGACTTCCTGATAATCTCAGCTGGAGCCACGAAGCCGCCAGCTTGAACTTGGATGATATCCCATAGACTGGGCTCTGCTTCATTTAGTCAATCAAGAAGAATGTATTTATGTTTCATGTGTCTTCTAATGGCCAGACAATTGTTGGTAGGGAATGTGTGGCAATTCACAACAAACAATAGCTGACGTCATTTCCACCACAGATATTGCCATGGAATTAATGTTTGTTTAAAACTTCTATTAACTCTTTTTGAGAGTTTATGCTATTTCTTGCAGTGAAACTATGACATTGCCACAGTGAATTTTAGATCATTTATTTTTTACATTTTTGGTGTTATATTTGAAATTATATTGTGACATTTACAGATTTTATAACAATGTGAAATGAATCTGGTTTTCCAATATGACAAGGTACAAGTCTTTTCTTTTCTTTTCTTTTCTTTTTCTCTTTTTTTTTTTTTTTTTTTTTTGAGACAGAGCTCTGTCGCCCAGGCTGGAGTGCAGTGGCACCATCTTGGCTCACTGCAACCTCTGCCTCCTGAATAAAGGGATTCTCCTGCCTCACCTTCCCGAGTAGCTGGTACTACAGGCACATACCACCACGCCAGGCTAATTTTTTGTATTTTTAGTAGAGATGGGGTTTCACCATGTTGGCCAGGCTGGTCTTGAACTCCTGACCTCAGGTGATCCACCCACCTCAGCCTCCCAACGTGCCCAGCCAATCTCAAATCTTCTACTTCTACACCTTACCCTACTTTAAGAGATAAGAAAGCTCTAATTTGGATGCTCCCTTGGTTTCCTGGCAAACAATTCAGTATATTGCCACATTATTTTCCATCCCTTTGACATTTGTTTCCGTCCTTTGTCTGAAGCTACTCCACTCCTAAATTGGTTTCCTTTCCTCCTGCCTCCCCATTTTCTCCACCATCTTTATTCCCTCCTTTGCAGGCTCATTCTCATTAATATTTGAAATTGGTCAAGCCTTTCCTGTCTTAAAAAAAAAATCTGTGAGGTCTCAAATTGCTTGACAATTTCTATCCTATTTTCGATAAGCTTTTAAAAAGACATTGTTTACATTCCTGGTCTCTACTTCTTCATCTCCCATTCTCCCTTTAAACAGGCTTCTGGTTTCACCATTAAACATAATACCAGGATGACCCATAAGATCTTTGTTGCTAAAGCAAAACTTACAATCATCAGGCCTCATATGTAGGTTTTCTGTAGCCATTGATAGATATTTCTGGATACTCTCTTCCCATGGTTTCTTTCTTTCTTTTTCTTTCTTTCTTTTTTTTTTTTTTGAGACAGTCTCGCTCTGTAGTCAGGCTGGAGTGCAGTGGCACCATCTCAGCTCACTGCAACCTCTGCCTCCCAGGTTCAAGCGATTCTCCTGCCTCAGCCTCCTGAGTAGCTGAGATTACAGGCATGCGTAACCATGCCCAGTTAATTTTCGTATTTTCAGTAAAGACGGGGTTTCACCATGCTGGCCAGGATCGTCTCCATCTCTTGACCCCGTGATCTGCCTGCCCTGGCCTCCCAAAGTGTTGGGATTACAGGCGGGAGCTGCCGTGCCCAGCCCCCATGGCTTCTTTAAGAGTAAGCCAGTTGATGTTTCTCCTACTTCTGCGGCTACTCGAATTCTCCTTTATCGACTCTTCCTTCCCTTTCTGTTCAATATAATTGACGCCCTTAATTCTAACTTTGGTCCTCATCTCTTTTTTCTCCTCCACATTTACCTTGGTGATTTCATCCATTACTATGACTTCAGTTAATGGTGTGCCCAAAACTCTGTATTTTATGTATTCAGCCTGGATATCTCTAATGGGTTCCAGACTTCTGCTTCTAATTGCTTCTTGAATAAATATTGTATAACACAGAAGCGTCTTAAATTTGAAATGACAACAATGAAGTTCATCTCTTGCTAAACCTTGTAATACTCCTGTATTTCTCGTTTCATCTGAGGTCACTGTCATTCACTCAATTGCCAAGGTCAGCAACCTAGAGGCCTCTCTTATCCGAGGTATCCATTAGATCATCAGTTCCATGAGTCTATTACTCTCTGTTTCTTGACTTTCTTGTTGCTACTATTTTCATCTGGCCACTGTCATATTTTATTTGGATTATTAGAATAGCCTTTTAGCTAAAGATCCTGTCTCCATATTTTCTTATCTGGTGATTTCTCCACACTGCAGAGTGATCATCCTATGAACATATCAAACCATGACCTTCTCTTGCTTGAAAGCCTACACTAGCTCCCAAATGCAGTCAGGATGAATAACAAATCATTAGCATGGCAAGGAAGAGCTTCATTACCTGCCACCCCCACCCCCGCCTTCACCACCACTGTGCTTACCCCTCCATATGTAGCTGTAGCCACTGCTTTCTTTGCATATAATGCCGTAGCCACATGGGGCCATCTGAAATTCTCAAATTATGCGGATACTCTTTATCACTGCTGGGACTTTTCATTTGCAAATCCTTAGCTCTACAGTGTATATCAGGCTAGCACTTATTCATTTCAGCTCTCATTTTAAATGTCACTTTCTCTGAGAAACATTCCCCGATGACCTAAAACTGGCTTAAATGCTCCTTTTAGTTCATCAAACATGGGAGGCATTCGATGACTATTTTGAATGACTGAATGAATGAATGCATGTTCCAGGAAGTATAGATGAAACTGGTCAGGCTTTTTCAGATGAAAAAGCCCAAATTTCAAGTGTCATTGCAGAAAAGTGGTTAGCAGGGCAAAATGATTTGTCATATTTTGCCATTGATTTAAGTGCCATAATCCTCTTTTATTCAACCATCCAAAGGAACCACCATTTTTAAGCAATAAAAGAGCCATTCCATATTTAACAGTAGCATTATGAGAGATAATGGCTCCAAGATAAAATAATTATCTATGAATTATAATTTCAAGTCATTCAGCAAGGTGTCATGCTGATGAATAAGTGTTAACTGGGGAGTGTTTTAAGAACTTATTTTATAGAGATGAATGTGCCAAAAATACATGGGATCTTCAACAATAATTTTCAGCCTTTTGCTTTTGCAGTAAAATAATTGCATAATGAATTATTTTATGTAACCTAAATATAACATTAGTAACTGAATTAAAATCCTTAAAGCCAATAATCATTACTAAAAATAAGAGATTCAAAAATATGATTTTGTTTCTCTTATACCTGTAAGTCTACATAATTTCTTCAACAGAGAAAGCAAATATTGTAATATTCTCTGGACAGTCAATCTTCTCAATCTTTCAGAGGGTTGCTGACATACTAAACTTGGTTAATTGAATCAAATGTCCTGGTTAGGTCCACAAACACACAACACATAAATCAGGAGCCTCTTTTTGAAACTTTTTTGACATACCCTTTTCATATGACTTTTCTGTCTGCTTTGAAATAGTGTACATAGTATTTTTTCTTATATAAAAATTAGCCATTAGGGGAAATTCCTATATTTTGGATGCCTAATGAGAAGTTTAATTATATTCTCAAGAGTGGTATGTGCTAGTATCTCTTCAATAATACATCAGAATATATTAGATTTGTTAAGTTTTTTTTTGCACACTGGAAAACTGTTGGTATATATTCCTTCTACAAAATCAAATGACTATAACATTAATATTATAGTATCTCAGGCCTAAGGTGAGAAATTACTTAATCTAACCTTCTTGCCATACAGGAATGCCTTCTATACTTTCCTTGAGATATCATTAAATGCATGAATTCTTATAAGACAGCTTTTTTCGTCTTGCATAAGCTGTGAAGTTTTTCCTTACGGTGAATAAAAATTTGATGCATTCTAATTTTCAGTGAGTGATCCAAGTTCTGCCTTCTGAAGCTATGAAAATTAAGTCTAATTCCCTTTTCCTAGGGAAGGTCCTCAAATATCTAAGAATACTATTACTTCCTAAATCTTTGTTTCAAGCTAAACATTTAGCAATCTTACTCAGGGTTTCTTTCAAAATATAGTAGATTATAAGTCTCTAGCTGTGACTTGCAAATATATTAAATGTACTTCCTCCCTTGATTTGGATCTTATACAAATAGCAATGCCCTGTGTTGGCACCTAGTGAATCTGCAATCAAGTAAGGACTCTTACTTCACATGAATTGCTAATATGTGTCATTTCCTCTGTTCTTTCCCCTAAACTAGAGAATAAGCTCCTAGAGGGCAAGACCCATGCAGTCTTCATATTCTTACTATCTACCATAGGCCATAGACCTGCATGTTGGAAACATAATTAACAGATGCCACAGGAATGAACAAACAAGTGAGCTTACCTGAGTTCAAATCTTTTCTATTAATCTCATCTTGTTAACTGTAATTCATAGTATCATCTGTCAGGATATTTTCCCACCATCCAACACATTAGATAATACTTTCAGCTTTATATTATCTGAATATTTGATAGATATCATCCAAAGCATTTACAGATATTTTGAACACAACAAGGTCAAATACAAAGCTTACGCCTCATCATTGGAGATATCACTAGAGTGTACTCTGGGTCACATTTTTTTAGCAACGTATATGCCCATCAACCTATCAGCTGGCTAACATCTGGCTCATATTTTCAATCTTGTGCACAAGGATACTATGAAATAGCTCATCAAACATCTATTTAAACAAACCAGCATTTGAAACATGGATATGGCCTCTGCTGTTTTATGACTTAAGCAAGTTATTTAATTTCTCTAGCATCAGTTCATCAACAATAAAAGAAGAAATAATCTTGTCTATCTCATAAGTTTATTGTAACAATAAATGAGAAAATCTCTGTACAGTGACCTGTTTTGGTCCTGGTACATACACAGTTTTGGACACATAATAGCAGTTATTATTTTTTGCTGAATTTGAGATATGATGTATCACATTGTCTGATAAACTTGATATTTTACTGGGATTTAGAAAACTAGGTTTTCAGATATTATATATACAGTAAACCTAGCACTTAGTTTGATATGTGTTATTTTGAATGAACCTATTCTTTTTTTTAATTTTTAATTTTTTGTAGACACAGGGCCTTTGTTGACCATGCTGGTCTCGAACTCCTGGATCCTCCGCTCTTGGCCTCCAAAAGTGCTAGGATTACAGGCATGAGCCATTGCCTCTGACAAAGTGAACCTATTCTGATTCCTAATGAGCACTGTTTATTTTTTCCACAGTTGACAGATATTTGTTAAGTAAGCAATACTTAAGTTTCACTGGAGATGACAATCAGTTTCCTACATTTTATTTTCCTTTATAAAACCTGGAAAGATGTTTTATTGCTTACTATCCTGCGACAAATTTTATGTTCTCACAATTTCTCAAGTGTTTTCCATACATGACCCCTAGTCACTTTTGCAGATTCTGTCCCGACTCTAAGATATAATTCACTTGAGCTTGTAAAATCAAACTCATTTAATCAGCAGAGAGTGTTTACACTCTCTTGCCGTCTGGAGAACGCAGTTTGTGGTGGATTTGAAACCTGCTTCTAATACTTTTTGTTCAAGGCTTTATAGGTTGCTTACATTTTCTTAGCATTAATTTCCAGAACTTAGTATAATGCTAACAATCTCTATTCTGGCAAGGTTGTTAGGTAGATTAAATAAGGTTTACAAAACAAAAAATAGTGAATTCTAGTTACAAATCTGTCTATTTACTGAAGATAGAGGTAATTGGTTAAATGTTTCAGGCAACAGCAATGATCAGTTATAGAGATTTATTTTTATTATTTTCTTTTTAAAATAAGAATTATGATAGAGTGAAAATAATATTTCCACAAATTATTTTATCTTTAAAAAGTTGTTTGAGCTAGCTAAGTCTTCAATATTCCCATGTGAAAAAAAAAATAGGAGAAATAATCTGACTACAGGGTGTAGCAATGATTAAATGAAAATATCTTCCTTCTGTATCTATCTATCTATCTATCTATCTATCTATCTATCTATCTACCTACTTACTACCTATGTGTGTGTACTAGTTACTGTTAGTTCACTTACCTCCCGCTATCCCCTTGGACTCAGTATTACATAGGTTTTAGTCTTCAAAAAAATTTTTTTTCTTAAGGAGCAATGTCACTGAGCTATTCATAATAACATGCCTATGTACAGGATTTATTAATGCCTAGGATGAAGCAACAATTATCTTGCAAGTATCATTAGGTATGATGAAGAGCATAGTTACAAGGTGATCTGGGTTTCTTTAAAATATTTAGTCTATAAAGCTTTCTACAGTTTTCTTTCCTATGCACTTTATATTTTCAGGGAAAGGTGTGAAGATAAAGAAAAACAAGATAAGTGAGTGCCCATCTCCAAATATCATCATGTTGGGGGTTAAGGCTTGCTATGGCCTGAACAACTGTGTTCTCCAAAAATTTGTATGTTGAAATCCTGTCTCCCAGTGTGATAGTAATAGGAGATGGGGCCTTTGGGAGGTGATTACATCATGAGGCTGGAGCCTCATGAGTGGGATTAGGGCCTTTACAAAAGAGACCCCAGAGAGCTATCTAGTGCCTTCCAACACGTGAAGACAAAGAAAGAAGGGGTCAGCTATGACCAGGAAAGAAGCCTTCCCCAGACACTGACTTTGCTGGAGACTTGATCTTGGACTTCCCAGCCTTCAGAACTGTGGGAAATAAGTTTCTGTTATTTATAAGCTACCCAGTTTATGATATTTTGTTACAACATCCGAAATGGACTGAGACAGTAAGAAAATCTAGCATAGCGCTAGACATGAATTTTTTTTACTTATTTTTTGATTAATTATCAACTGATTGGTTCTTCGACTATAAATGGTAGATAATGTGTATGGTAATTATCATCTTTATGATCATCATTATCATAATTGCTTTTATGAAGCGTACCATGCACTAAGTAATGTTCTAAGCCTTTTATTGAGTATTTCATCAAATCCTTACAAAAACTCTGTGAGTAGCCACTATTATTGTTTTCATTATATAAATGAAGAAACTAAGACCTCATTCAGGTTAAATAAATTGAGTAGGCTCACACTACCAGTAAGGGGTGAAGCCAGGATTTGAATCAAGGCACTCTGACTGCAGAGTTCATGCTTGCCACTATACCAAGGTAGAGGGCATTGCACTGTATAATGGATATGATATGAAACTGAGAGCCATATTGCACATAAAAGAGAAATCAGTATGCTTCAGTTTCCTCACTTACTGTGTGGGAGTAATAACAGCTATTTCTTATTTGCCTCATGAGGCCATTTCAAAGATGAACAGAGTTGCCTAAATTCAAAAGTTGTGAGTTCCATGAAAGAAAATATAAAAATTTGGAGCATAACGGTTTATACCAGCTGTGTTTGTTTAATGGAAGTATTTATTTTTTACTTCATCTAGGGATTCCTCAGAAAATAGACATGCTTTTAGAATTCTTAGAGAACAAAAATAGTCATAATAGTCAATTGGTCAAAAGAGGACAGTATAAAGACGGTAATTTTAATCCTAACAAAATTGAAATTAAACTGCATTATTTATAAATGCTTCTAAATTAATCATATAAAGCAAATATAACTGTGCTAAAAATGCCAGTGAAGATTGCATAAGACATATACATTTAATTCTTGCTTAAGAATGTGTATAGATTAACCCCTTCCTCTCAAATTGCCTATTGAATTTGTCAGGCAAGCAGTTGATGAAAAAATAGCATACTAAAGCAAGATAGTAATTATTTCTGGAATTCATGGATGGCTAATATTAAGTTATTTATTTAGTCAATAATATCATTTATGGTTCTGTTTAAGGTGAAAAACCTATATATGATCACCTCTTAAATGCATCTACATTCCCACTCCACTCTCCACAATTAAGCATATGAGTAATTTAAATATCTTATCCTGATTGAAAGAGGATATCTTTAAGAAGCTAGGAATAGAAAGCAGTTTTCGTAACATGACAAGAAATGTTTTTCTTATACTAACCATCAGCATCATACTTAATGGTGAAAGACTTAAGGCAATCATATTAAAATCAGTAATAAAATAGAAAGCTTATTATTTTGGGAGACAATTTAAAAACATGAAATTATTATTATAACAGATATAGCTTTTGACAAGTGAAAGCACAATTATAATATTTGCAAATAATAGTATTATAGGCCAGGTTTGGTGGTTCATGCCTGTAATCCCTGAACTTTGGGAGGCCGAGGCAGGCAGATCACTTGAGGTCAGGAGTTTGAAATCAGCCTGGCTAAAATGGTGAAACCCCATCTCTACTAAAATGCAAAAATTAGCCAGTTATGGTGGCAGGTGCCTGTAATCCCAGCTACTCAGGAGGCTGAGGCAGGAAAATCGCTTGAACCTGGGAGGTGGAGGTTGCAGTGAGCCATGATAGCACCACTGCCCTCTAGCCTGGGTGACAGAGCAAGACTCCCTCTCAAAAAAAAAAAAAAAAAAAAAAAAAAATGGTAAACTTAACAATAACTGAATCAACTGATAAACTTCTAGAACTAAAATAAAAGTTATTGGATATCAAATACATGTAAAAACACCTATTCTAATAGTTAAGGTTTACCAATAATGACCAGTTAGTACATTTACTATGTTGAAACAAAACAGGTAATGTTTACTACCATTAAAATGAAAATGTAAGATACATAGAAAGAATTTTTATATGAGAAATGCGTGCTTGATATAGACAACCTTAAAACAGTTTACTGTAAGACATAAAATATCTGAAGAGAGAAGAGTGACTAGTGTAAATATAGCAATTCTTTACAAATAGGCTAATTTAATTACAATCAAAATTCCAGTAATTTTGATTGTAATTAAAATTTGTGGAAGAGATTAAAATAGTGCATAAAAGTGTCAGCTGGAAGAATATGTAAGAGCATCTAGTTAATTAGAAGAGAAGAGAAATAAAGGACCTTGCTTTACAGATATGTTAACATAAAATGAAGGTAAGCAGAACATTGTAATAAGAGCTAAAAGGTAAGTAAAACAAAATGGATTATACTGAAACATATCTTAATATGGATGAAATAAATTTGTGTATGTTCAGATACAATAATGTATCAAGGGGAAAAGGAAATATTAATCAGTAAATGTTTCTTTACAGTGGTAATACATATCTGCAGAAAAATTACCTCCCCACACCATAGTAATGAGTGGATATAAAATTAAATCATAAACTTAATAGTAAATACTGTGGGATGTCAATATCAAAATATCTCAGTACAGAAAGCCACATGCCTGGGTAAGATCACCATCTGAATGAATGTAGTTAGAGAAACAAATTGCTCCAAGGATTGAGTCCCAGGAATACCACTATGTAGATTTCAGAGTAATGAAGAAAGCTGAGAAGGAGCCACTATGGAATTTGAACATCTCCAGAATGCCATGGGCTGGAAAGCAAATTGAGCAAAGGGTTTCAAGAAGAATGGGGTGATTCACAGTGGCAAACATGGCTGTTAGATATAGTAAGGTGAACACTGGTGGCTGTAGATTAGCCATTGAATCCAGTATAGAAGAGGAGGTGATAGCCTGTTTTTAGTAATTCAAAGGAGAATGGATGAAGAGAAATTATAGACGGGATAGACAGCTCTCCATTGTATGGAAGGAGAAGAATGAAGTGGTTACTTAGAAAGGAAATGAGTCAGGAGAGTTTGTTTTTGCTTTTAAGATGGAAAAAAAAAGTGACAATATAAGAAGGAGGAGAGATTAGCCAGAGTGATGTCATCAAGCGGGAGAGGGGTAGAATTGAGAACATAGGGGGAAGATGTGATCTTTTCTGGAAACAAGAATAATTCATCCAAAGTAATAGAAAAGAGTCATAATAATTGGGCACAGATGCAGAAAAGTGGGTGCATGCAGTAGTGGGAGCTTGTTACCTCTCTTCTGACAGCTTCTAAATTCTCAATGAAATAAGAGGCAACACCATCAACTGAGGGTAAGGATGGGAGGGGGTGAGAGGAGAGGTTTAGGCTTGAGGATGGAGGGGGAGGTATGAAATAATCACCTAGGAATGTGGAAAAGAAAAAGGATGAGAGAAAAGTGGCATGATTGCAGAGCAGCACAAAGGGTCCATTTGAAGAGAGGGATCATGAATTTAAGGTGAGATTAGATGGCACAATTGTCTTTTTCTACAGCCACGTTCAGCTTAGAAGGTGCAGGTGGCCGGGCGCAGTGGCTTACGCCTGTAGTCCCAGCACTTTGGGAGGCCGAAGGAGGCGAATCATGGATCATGAGGTCAGGAGATCGAGTCCATCCTGGCTAACACAGTGAAACCCCGTCTCTATTAAAAATACAAAAAAAGAAGCCGGGCATGGTGGTGGGCACCTGTAGTTCCAGCTACTCAGGAGGCTGAGGCAGGAGAATGGCTTGAACCTGAGAGGCGGAGCTTGCAGTGAGCTGAGATCGCGTCACTGCACTCCAGCCTGGGTGACAGAGCAAGACTCCGTCTCAAAAAAAAAAAGAAGGTGCAGGTATGGAGGAGATGGTAGGATTCTCACAGTGTTGGAGTTCACTTGAGTAAAAAATAAGTAAAGGAGTAGCCAGGGAAATGAGCGTTGCAAAGCAGTAATACCAATGAAAGATCATGACTATTAAGCTGGTTACTACAGTGAAAGCATGAGATAAGGAACAAGAAAAAAGTGTGTGCATCAATTGTGAGATTACACACATTGAAGTGGAAGTATTTAGAAGAAGTGAACTAGAGAGAAACGACACAGTGGGAAAAAAAAAAAAAAAAACAAAAACCAAACAACAACAAAAAAACGCTTCAAATGGAGACCAGAGAGGCACAAGAAACTGAAAGTGAAGAGTATGGAAGAGTTAAGTTCATGGACATTAAAATCACTAAGAATGATGACAGGAGTAGTGCTAGGGAAAATGACAATTAGACAGGGAAAATCAGCAAGGAATGATGTGGGGTATTTAAAGGTTAGTAGGTGACTTCGACAAGCAGATGGAGAGGGGGCACATAGAGGGAAGCATGAGAGTCAAAGCTGGGTGCTGTAGAGCAGCGTCTCCAATGTTTTTGGCACCAGGGACTGGTTTCATGGAAGGCAATTTTTCCATGGACTAGGATTGGGGGATGGTTTTGTGATGATGCAAGCATGTTATATTTACTGTGCACTTTATTATCTATTATTATTATTACTATCTATTATTATTACATTGTAATATATAATGAAATAATTATACAACTCACCATAACATAGAATCAGTGGAAGCCCTAAGCTTGTTTTCCTGCAACTAGATAGTCCCATCTTGGGGTGATGGGAGACAGTGACAGATCATTGATCATCAGGCATTAGATTCTCAGGAGCGCACAACCTAGATCCCTCACATGTGCAGTTCACAATAGGGTTTGTGCTCCTATGAGAATCTAATGCTGTCTCTGATCTGACAGGAGGTGGAGCTCAGGCAGTACAGTAATACCAGGAATGAGGAGCAGCTGTAAATGCTAATGAAGCTGCGCTTGCTCCTTTGCCTGCTGCTTGCCTCCTGCTGTGTGGTCTGGTTTCTAAAAGGCCACGGACCAATATCCTCCTGTGGCCCAGGGGTTGTGGACCCTGATGTAGAGGAGGATGGATAATATGAAACTGGCAGCGAGGAGCAGGAAAACCTGCCCCCACCTTCAGACTCAGGGGAATGAAGGGAGTGAAAGAAAGTGATGGCGACTGCAGCTGGGCATGGTGGCTCATGCCTGTAATCCCAGCACTTTGGGAGGCCAAGGTGGGTGGATTACCTGAGGTTAGGAGTTCGAGACCAGCCTAGACAACATGGTGAAACCCCGTCTCTACTAAAAATAAAAAAAATATCCAGGTGTGGTGGCGTGAGCCTGTAGTCCCAGCTACTCAGGAGGCTGAGGCATGAGAATCACTTGAACCCGGGAGTCGGAGGTTGCAGTGAGCCAGGATCGCCACTGCCCTCCAGCCTGCACGACAGAGTGAGTCAGCATCTCAGGGGAAAAAAAAAACAAAAAGGTGATGGCTACTCCTTAAGAGGGCTGCCGGGGTAGCAGCATGCAAAGTGAGAGTTGGGTTTCAGTCAGAGCATGATGAAGAGAACACTGAGGGAAGAGGAGGATTCTGCGGGGTATTTTGCCTGTTTTGACCATGAGTTCCACAAGGCTCAGTAGAATGGTTTCAGAAGGTGAGCAGAGGTGGGAGATGGGCTTAACAAAGATGAGCTGTGGGCAGATTACAGCTTGAGGGACAAGTGGTGACAGGGGCAACCTGAATTTCTTACAGTGACTACGATAAAAAGGGTGGAACACATGATTGTTCTGATTGTTCTAATGCAGATGGTGGTAGAGAGTGCAGGGTGCCAGCAGAAACATAAAAAAATAAGAGCTACCTCAATTCTAAGGGAAATGGGTAAATTATGGGACATCCAAACAAAGATCGTAAAGATTTTAAATAATATCTAACAACATAATACAACCTCATGATAGGTAAAAATGTAAAGGACAAGACATAAAACTGCATCCATGGTGTTATATAAATCTTATTCATAAACACATGTAAAAATTGGTGGGAAATACTTAAAACATTAAAATGTTATGTTGCATTTTGGGTGAATTTTTTCTTCTTAATTCTTTTCTGTAATTTCCAAATTTTATAGAAAGTTTATTTATAAGAAAATAATCAGAAAAAAAGGCACACATAATTTTTAAATAGGTATGTCTTCTGGTGCTCTTCTAAGATGCTGCTAAAATTCTATTTCTTGACATGCTCAGTGGTTCTCCCAGTTATTTTTTCCTTACTTTTTAAAATGCAGAATCTGTGAATATCTTTTTCCCTTACATATTTTATTTCACACACACAGTTGCATTCCCTTACAGTTTAGCTGGCCTCTGCATGCAGATGCTGAGCATGTGTAAAGAGGAATGAGCACATGGACCTTGTTCAAGGAAGGCTCAGAGGACTACCTGGCATATCGATGTTTCAGGGTCACACAGGCTGCTGTGTCCATTACATTGACATGGAACACAGGTGCCCAGGGTTGGTCCAGGGGTGCGGCCACCTGGTTGAGAACGCAGTCGATAAAATCCCGGCAAGCATGCCTGAAAGAAAAGGAAGCCAATTAGGACAGCAAAGTTAGAAATACTGCATTAGCAACGCTTGAGCTCTTCAGTGGCTGCAAAGACAGACTGGCCTTCCCCCACCTGCGGCAGGGGCAACATCACTTACAAACGCAAGTGCCGATTTTGATACTTAATGTGTATTTCTTCCTGGTCTCCAAGGTGTTCGGGCGGCATCCATGTGTAATCAGATTTTAACCAAGGAAAGCTTTTATTTGTAGATACAATTCAGCCTGAAAAAGCTCCAAAGAGTATTTTTCTTGAAAAAGATGTTTGTTTTTAAATAACATTGTCATATGGAATAAAGATAATTCCAATGTCTTTAACACCTAAAATCTGCTTTTACTGTGCTTGATGGATAACTAGCAAATGTCCAATGAAACACAGCAAAAAACTAAATAAAAAGTGTTATGGATGCATTATTTATACTGATATAATTTAAAGACTATAAAAGTAAGAAATCCAAAATAATAAAAGCTGTACATGTCTTGCGACTATTAGACCACCAATAAAATTTATCTTTCCCTGATATAATTTTTTTCTTTTTGCAATAAAAATCTGAAAGCAAACAGAAAACTTCTAGTGAAGCTGACATATGCAAAATCAAGACTTCCATCTTCATTTGGGTTTATTATGAAAATGTATCAACAAACATCTCTGGCTTTCTGGAAGGTAGTCCACAGCTCTGGCACGAAGATGAAAACCGTCTTGTGTTTCAGGCTCAGTCCTCTCCTCATGCATAGCTGCAGACATTGCTTGATTTATGAATAAAAGGTAGGAGTCAGTTTTTCAAATCCCATGGAGAATTACAAGGGGACTATTTTACCACCTTGGTTAAGTAGAATTTTTTTTTTTCACTTAAAAATCTTATGCCCATTGATGAAAGAAAAGTGATTGCTGACTAAGCCAGAAAAAATATCAGATTAAGAACTTTCTAGTACCTCCACATCCCTTTGGTTCTGGCCTAGACAGTCCAGAGACAAATATACAAAGAAGCTCCTTAAAAAGATCTAGCTTAATAGCTAGCACCCTCCTTGTTTATTTTGATTTGGATAATGCAAAAGTACTTCAATTAAGCACTTAATCAAGAGACTCTCTGCTTTTATCACAGCCTAAAATAAATTCTAATGAGATTTAATAATGTCCCAACTTTGAGCAAGCTGATAAAACTGAGAATAGTATTCAAACTATTTTGAGTCTTATTTGTCTTATGGTGGACATAATCATATAATTTAATAAAGTTTATACATATTATTTAAAAAGCAAGGTTCATTTTTGCCATTATTATTGAATAAGTCCTGGAAATGATGGTTGAAGAATTAGTTTAAGCATAACTGAAGAAATAAACCAAGATCTATTTAAAAGTGGTTCATAGTGTGGGTTATTCCAATTCTTTAGCAAGCTGACCACTGAATAAAACTGGATTTTCTGTGCATGGATTTCATCCTTGAATATATATATTAATTATATATATATAATATATAAATTATATATTATATATATAAATTATATATATAATATATAAAATATATATAATATATAAATATGTATATAAAATTATATATATATAAAATTGTTGTGTTATTGACATACTTGCTAGGTGCATGCATGTGTGTTACTATGAGAGATAGGACTTTATCTCTGTAATCTCTCTACTAAGTTATTACTGTAATTACTGTCTGTAAAAATTTGTGTAAAAAATCACACAAATTGAGAGGAAGTTTCCTTGAAGCTCAAACAAAAGTTTAAAATAAATCTTAGAAGAAAAAGAAACACAAGAAGTAATACTCCTCATCGAGGAATTGTACAGTTTAGCGTTGTAGGTCCAAATGTGAAGGCGAGCCCTAAGGTGAAGTCTACTCTAACGCACAACACATTTTTCCTATTACTGTGGTTTTCCCCGACAGGCAGCCTGACACAATAGACAAGCGCCCATAGTGGGAGTCTGTGGTCCGGTCCAGCCCTAGAGGAGGTGGAGTCAATTCCTCTGGGGGAGAGTTGAGGCCCGAGTTTGTTTTAAAACTCTTAGAAAAGTCTAACAGACAATTAGAGCGCAGCGTCACTGGCAAGCTCCTTATTCTCTGTTGTGTATGTGTGCATTTAAAAGGGCACATGGAAAAGGCGAGACATGGTGGCTCACGCCTGTAATCCCAGCATTTTGGGAGGCTGAGGTGGCTGGATTACTTGAGGTCAGGAGTTCCAGACCAGCCTGGCCAACATGGTGAAACCATGTCTTGACTAAAAATACAAAAATTAGCCAGGCGTGGTGATGCGTGTCTGTAGTCCCAACTACTCTGGAGGCTGAGGCACGAGCATCGCTTGAACCTGGGAAGTGGAGGTTGCAGTAAGCTGAGATCTGGCCACTGCACTCCAGCCTGAGTGACAAAGCGAGACTCCATCTCAAAAAAATAAATAAATACATAAAAAGTGCATACCACTCCTTGGTACTATAAAAGGAATGAATAGGGAAGCCTTGATTTTATGTTAGTTTTGTCTGAGAGATATGGGCAAGTTACTTTGAGACCCAGTTTCCTCATCCCACAAATGAGTAGGTTAACTCAGATGACTTCTAAAGTGTCTTTCAGTTTTAACATTTTAGATTAGTTTTGATTTATTTCGTATCCTGATGGATTAAATTTCTATGAGGTAGCAAAAGAGAGAGAGAGAGTATTTGACAACGCAAAGATTAGAAACTTAAAACGTGCTGTTTTTTTTAAAAAAAAAAACAGAAATTCTCTCTTTTCCTTGATTATTTTGCACTATTCTTTCAATTTAAATAATTTTTAGGGTGTTTGTCAATATTGAATGTTTTTCCTCTTGGTGAACTGAGACAAAAGTTTGTGAGAATGATTATGTTGGAATTGGAAGCAAAAAAGTTACTTTTTGAGTCCCATCTAAAATCCTTTCTGGAACACAATGGGGAATTAAAGAAAAGCAAATAAATACTTTCCTGAGCTCCTCTTACCCATTTCTACTCTAATTTAAACTTTTCCAAAGTTCTCTTCCCCACTGTTGAAATTATTCATGGCTCAATTTTCTTCTGCTCTCGTCTATCTTTAATTTATTTTCATAATATATTGTTTCATCAAAAAATTAGATTAAATTTACACAAAAATGTGGGAGGGTAGAGAGGAGAGAATGAAGCAGACTGTAGAGACCTATCCTATCCTAGGCTCAGGGCTGCACACTGCGCTCCTTTCTTTCTTCAGAGTTTAGTAATAAAAATAGATGCTTGTGCTGGAGCTCATAAAAACACTCTATCTTGTATCTTTGCATGGATTTTGCAATCAGGCAGACCCGAGTTTAATTCCTGTTTCACCACTTTGTATGTAGTAAGGTTCTGAATACTGTGTGCCTTGGTTTCCTCACCTGGAATGTAGGAATATTGTACAGTCATGTGCTGCTGCATAATGACATTTTGGTCAATGATAGGACCATGTGTACGACAGTGGTCCCATAAGATTATAAAACTATATTTTTAATGTACCTTTGCTATGTTTAAATATGTTTAGATATGCAAATACTTACCATTATGTTACAATTGCCTACTGTATTCAGTACCAATAACATGCTGTGCAGGTCTGTAGCCTAGGAGCAACAGGCTATCCCATGTAGCCTAGGTGTGTAGTAGGCTACACCATTTAGGTTTGTGTATGTACACTCTATGATGTTTGCACAATGAGGAGATCACCTAACGACACATTTCTCAGAACGTATCCCTGTCGTTAAGCAGCACATGACTGCATAATATAATAGTTGAGTACAAGTTTACCTAGGTTTTGGAAACAGATTCATTGAGGTTTGAATTGCTGTGTAGGTGTGTGATCATGGGCCTCAATTCTCTCACCCGTAAAATGGGGATCATAAATTATAGTCGATGATGTTGGTGTAACTGTATTAGGAAGTGTACAGGAGATAGTAAGCACTCAATCAATGGTAGGTTCTGCTTTTCATAGGGTGGATCTGAGGATTACTTGAGATAAAGCATGTTTAATAATTGTCATACATAAATCAATAGGTTTCTCTATCTCAAATAGTTTTTTCTATGTTTGCTGGAAATAAACTAAAAATAAAGATACCATGATTGTTTTAGGTTATATTTGTAAACAAAATTATAACATAACTTACCCATGCCATGTTCCTCAACACTTGTCTGTACATGAAAACAGAGACTTTGGGTCTCTGGTGTGCAACAGAAGTGATAAAGGATAGATGTGTGCATATGTAAGTAGCTAAGACTATTTTCACATTTTGCCTTTTGGGCTTTATGTGTTGACGATAGGTATAAATTATTTGGAGATTTAAAAAAATCAGTTTTAATAGCCACAAGGGACAGCTTCTGAGTGGCGATCCAATAGACACCGGCCATTCAACTGCAAGCCTAAAGCCCTTTTAAAATATGGGAAGACAGGATAGAAGCTGAAACTATCAAAACATGACCTAGAGATCATTGACAAATTTCTGATTTCCGTATTACTGCAGAGAGCTGCACACGCAAGGCTGAATATTTTCCATATTTAAGAAAGAAAGTCATAAGTAAGAATGGTACCTGCATATAACCTTTCAACTGCATAAAGCTCAGTTTAGGTCAGTTTGGGCAATAACCTATATTTAATGTCACTCAAAGACAGGTTAAATAAAGTATAACAAACTCAATGGCTCCAACACCAAGAAATCTGGTGAGGAAATGGTGTCCTTTGTTTGACTCCTGAAGGTAATCTGGCCCCTTCTGCAAATAGTAAATTATAATAATTAGGCATTTCTAAAACTAACATTTTTAATGACCAGGCCTGCACTGTCATAACAGTGCAGGTAACAAGCAAAGGCTAAGAGTCTTTACAACTGGCTATATTTTAGCAGTAACTGATACTTAATTTTGTTTACTTGCAACCATATTGTGGATAAAAACATGAAATAAAATAGCCTGTAGATGCAGATGTCTCTAGAATACTATACATTTTGTAAAAATATTGTAGAGGAACTGCTTTGTGTATTCATGACCCAAAGCATATGTTACTGGAATGGGATGTATTATTTCAAAACTGCCCTTAGCTCTTGCTTTGATGATAAGATTTTATGCCTGGGTAATTACACTTAGGAATCAAGATGAATTATAAATAAGAGGTATAATGGATTAGAGGCCATGGGTTGTGGAAAACACTTCAGGTACATTATTATGAGAGATAGGTCTTTATCTCTGTAATCTCTCTACTAAGATATTACTGCAATTACTGTCTGTAAATAGATGCTTAAGTGAAAGTCATGGGACGGTGAAGCCACTAATGCAGATGACAATTTGTACATATTCTTAGTTTTTCTTGATTTTCATTTATCATTTGTTTTATTTGTGCTCATTTACATTTTCATATAATGATGGAAAATGACTCAAATTAATGGGAAAGCATGTATTTGAATGTACTATTCAAAAAGTCTATCAATCATATGAAGAAAGGTTTTTAACATTTTAAATCCAGAATGGAAGGTTGGTTGCATGAAAATAATTTGCTATTCTACTAACATTTTTGTTCACAAGTGAACAGTATTATTTCAAATAAATGCAGAAAAATATAGCTGTAATAACCTTCTCTTCAAGATATCTAAAGGTCAACCTTGACTACTTACAGAATATTTTCTATAGCAAAATAATATTGCAGAATCAGAGAATTTTAGAACTTCAACTCAATCTGTCATTTTATAGATTGGATAGCTATATAATAACGAAGGTCTACAGCAATTAAGAGCATTGATCAAGTGCACACAGTTAAAAGTAAAACCAAACGCTACCTGGGATAAAGGAAATTCCATCTCTTGTCTAGAAAAATCTCACATTCTTTCTGTCCTCCATTTTAAAATCTTCAATGCTCACTGGAAAGGTCACTCATTTCATATGTGCCACACAGTCTCAGTTTTCACCCATACACTATGTGTACATATGTATATTGGAAAGAGCAGTGCTTACTGTATAAGCAGTGCTTACCAGTATAAGTTTACTAGTGTGTGTATAAATAGATGTAGGAAATACAATTTAATAAGGAGATGGATTACTTGATTATTTATTAGCTCAAAATGGACACATGTAAATAAATATTGCCCTTCAGAGAAGTCACAGGAAAGAGTAGAAAATCATTTTAAGCATGTGTCACAAAACAGTTGCAGTTATTTTATAAACTTTTTCCTTGAACTATATGGAATCCATGTGATGGTAACTAAGCTGAATGGCATGTCAGTTTGTAAAGGGATTTTCACACATACGTTTCCATTTAAATCAATCCTTAGGATGTATAGGTAAAAACCCAAGATTTAGCAAAAACAGAGCAAGTAACCTGTCCAAGTAGTGCAGCTAGGTAGGATTCACTGAAACCAAATTCCTTTTTCTTTTCATGATGCCATGTCCCTCTCAAGAAATGTATACTCATTATTTTTAAGTTGCACTTCAGTTTTGACCTAGTGGAATCATCTGTCTCATGTACCATACTTAATACAACTTCTCAAATCCTATTTACAAAATAAGATGTATAAAATTATTTATAACTGAATCAATACATGGGTATATAACTAGTGATTACATTAATAATAATATTAACCATCAAAACTTACATCATCTACACACCAGGTGCTGTGATGAATCCTTAACATTAACAGCTCATTTAGTCTTCATAAGACTCAGGCTGTAGGTGAGGGAGATTTAATAATATCTAACTGGTATGCTGTGAGCACCAGCCAGCCTGACTAATGAGAAAGAATCCCAGCTGTAGGGCTGGAGCAGTCCTGGAGGCCCCATGCATGCCAGGCTTCAGACTGTGGGGTCTGCGGGAGAGGTGAAAGTGTAGTGGTAGTTACTCAGGGACTTGGTGTTTACCTGCTAAAGCCTAAAGAGGTGTAGCACCCAGTGCAGGGTCTCAGGCTTACTGTATGGTGAAGTCGAGATTCAAACCCAGGCCAGTTTCTCATCTATTCATTCCACCTCCCTTAAGTCGTACTGTTCCTATTAATATTTCACAATTATAGAAATTAGATCCTAAGAAATTTGACAATCTTGAAGGCAGACAAGAGAATATCTCAGCAAGTTTATTGAAAAGCAGTTTTAAAATTACTTTTAAAATGTAAAAAAAAAAGATAGTTTTATAACTGTAATGACTCATAGCAGCACTGTTGGAACAAAGATATGTTTCCCTGAGAAGCTTATGTTAAAGGGAACAGCCTGCTATTTAGTGTACAAGTTTTGTCGTGTTCTATATAAAAATATTTTCAAAACCCAGTATAATCCTATCTCCTAATCATTGCAGTTTAAATGTCTCTAACTCTTCAGAAGTGGTCCAAGAAAATAGATCAGCTATAATAAATAGGCTTATTAAAACATTCTTAATTCCTGATTGTTAAATATTTTCACAAATCTTTAAATTTTTGATCAACTATTTCCCTTCAGGTATGATTTGTACTAAATATCAATAACATTATCCTCTTGCCACTGTGTCTCACACTGTGAGTGGAAGATTAAATAAAATAGATTAAGAATATGTATGCAGTAAAGGTACTTCTGGGAGTATTTCCATTTAGCTCCTGAAGTGACTTGAGATTAAGCAGGTTAGTAGGAGGTAGCTTACCTCACAGGACAGGCCAGAATAGCCCAGGGGACAATCACATTTTTCAATCAAGTCAGCTGGAGGAGTCATTGTTGTTCCACGTCCTTGTTCAGCTACCTCCATTGAGATTTCAGAAATCCTAGAAACAGCGAGAATGTACTTAGATTACTATGACAGTCAGTTAAGATCACCTAGTAAACAATCAATCCTACAGCAATATCCTTCTCACGTTTTTGTCAACCTCAAGTATGTTCTATTGTCTTTTTGTTTTTAATTGACAAATAATAATTGTACATAAGTTGACCCTTGAACAATATGGGCTTGAACTGCATGGGTTCACTTGTACGGGGATTTTCTTCCACGTCTGCTACCCAGAGATAGCAGGACCAATCCCTCCTCTTCTTCCTCCTCCTCTTTAGTCTGCTCAAAATGAAGACAACGAGGATGAAGACCTTTACAATGATCCACTTCCACTTAATATATTTGCTCTTCCTATTCTTTTCTTTTTTTTTTTCTTTTTATTTATTTATTTATTTATTTATTTGAGACAGAGTCTCACTCTGTCACCCAGGCTGGAGTGTAGTGGCATAATCTTGGCTCACTACAACCTCCGCCTACCAGGTTCAAGTGATTCTCCTGCCTCAGCCTCCTGAGTAGCTGGGATTACAGGTGTGCAACACCACGCCCAGCTAATTATTGTATTTTTAGTAGAAACTGGGTTTCATCATGTTGGCCAGGCTGGTCTTGAACTGTTGACCTCAAGTGATCTGCCTGCTTTGGCCTCCCGAAGTGCTGGGATTACAGGCATGAGCCACTGAGCCCAGCCCTTATTACTTTCTTAATAACATTTTCTTTTCTCTAGCTCACTTTATTATAAGAATACAATATATAATACCCACACAAATATATGTTAATCTACTATGTTATCAGTATGGCTTCTGTTCAACAGGAGGCTATTAGTAGTTAAGTTTTGAAGGTATCAAAAGTTATATGTGGATTTCTGACTGCATGAGGTGGGGTTGATGCTCCTAACCACCATGTTGTTCAAGGGTCAACTATATTTATTTAAACAATGTGATATTTTGATACATAGATAAGTTGTGGGATGATTAAATCAAGATAATTAACATTGTTTTGAAGCTGTTTAAATTTCTGGGGCTCATGTACCAAATCCTAATATTGCATTTTTGCTTCCTCAAATGTTAAGAGTACATATTAGCAAAATATTCACATAAATCATAAGAAGTTTAGTATATTGGATGTCTGATATCCTGTTGAAAAGTTATTATAAAGATATTCCCCCCACTTTTTAAAATGTGAGTGGCTTCAGGTAGACACGGCCAATTAATTAGACATTTATATTCTTGCAAACAGACAACCCAAGGTCATTCCCCATTCAATTATTTCGTACAGGCACTGGTGAAATTGCTTTGAATTTACTACTATCCCAAATTTCTTCTTCCCAATGCTCTGAATGACCTTT
The DNA here is from genome assembly GCF_000001405.40 of Homo sapiens. Lineage (NCBI taxonomy): Eukaryota > Metazoa > Chordata > Mammalia > Primates > Hominidae > Homo > Homo sapiens. The sequence goes on along the minus strand of NC_000006.12, from coordinate 129,319,193 downwards.
CAGGAACTTTAGAAAACCACCTAGAAAATAATGATCACGCATAATCTAATAATATTGATTTCTTTCTGAGGATAATGTTTCAAAATAATATTTTCTTAACTTTATTAAATAATTCCTTCAAGTAACTTAACTCACCTTTTCTGATGGTGAAATAGTCATTATAATTGAAAAGAAAATCATAATTGAAAATAACATATTAATACCCTTTTCATTAAAAAATAAATGTAGTCCATAAACTGGGACTATTTTATGATGGACTAACTGGTAACACAAACATGTTTGGGAAATAAACTTTAAAATGTGACAATGAATAGTTTTGCTTCAAATAAAAGTTACCTCCAGGAGTTTAAGGAGTTTGAGTCATAAACTTTATAACAAGCATAGGTAGGTTTTATTGAAACTGAATTATGAATGCATGTTCTTTGCTAGCATTGTAATCTGCACTCTGAAGATTGGTCTTGATGAAACACACATTCAATTAAAATTCAGGTTTCACTCTCTGCTCCCTGTAAGTACACACAGTGGTGGTGAGCTGTAAGCAAACCACTCCCCTTCTGCAAGAAAAACTTCTCCCTTATGTTCTCTGGGCTCTCTGTGGGAGTAAGAAGGTAACTTTGCATTGGCATCTCCATGGAATTTTATAGCCCGAGGAGCTACTGGCTTCATTCTCCTTTCTCTTGCACATGAATGCACATAACAGACCCGCAAGTGTTTACAAATCAAGTGAAGCTTGAATGGCAGCAACAACAAATATTTCTGCAATACACCATTTTTTTTTTCAGGGGATTAGAGAGCAATGGCTTTGATTGCATCAGGGATTTGGCCAAACTCCAGCTTCCATTTAAATAACTACTGAAATGCAAAAGTTGCTATTTCCTTAAATTAAACTTTATAAAAGGAAACAAAAGCAAAGAAAAAAGATAATGCCAGCACTGATACAATGTACAAAGTTCAAACCTCAAACAGAATATAAACTCTTAAACTCTCTGCTTTTGAGATTTAAATTTATAATTGAATAAATAAAGATACAAGGTTATTTTAATTACTTTAGGGGGACTATTCAAACCTTTTAAAAACCTTTGCCACAATTCCACTGCCTTACAAAATCAAATGCTGATGACAGCTTTATTTGTTCTTAGCATTGTGAGACTATGACCCCAGTTTTTACTGAGATTAGGAAAAATGTATTCTAAAGTTTCAAAAAAACGGTCACTTAAACCAAAAGATCTCATTTGGTGAGGTATGTAAAACAGTGTGACAAAAGAAAAAGACATAGGGCGGGAAAAAAAAAAAAGACAAAGTGTCACAGTGTAGGAAGGTGAAATTGGTGTGAGAGAAGCAAAGAAAGTATAATTAAAGATGAATGACAATATTGTTTCTATCAGTTCCACTAACAAGATGTTCTGTTTACTACCAAACTCTTTTACTGCAGTACAGAACCATTTGCAAAATAATCTATTTGCAAACTCACGAAATTACCTGCTATTTTCTAAGACATGCAAATCTGCTATGGCTTCTGCCACCTAATTTACATGTGATATTCTAAAATAATTAACAGTATAGATAACAGCGTTTTTTAAGTATATTTTTTTTATTATTTCATATAAAAATAATCTCCTGTTATAGTGAGAAATATCAAAAGGAAACCCAAGGAATACATATATAAAAGTGAATTTTGGTCCTTAATTTACTCTTTTACTAAAAGTCTCTACATCAATCAGAAAAGCATTATGGATCTTCTGCATGAAATAAAAGGTTTTCTGCTGTCTTGTGTGCTTATTCCAGTATAAACATTTGAAAAATAGTATTTTTATATTCATTAGTTGGCCATTGAGAGACTTCATAATTTTTCTGTTTTGCTTTCCTAGGCAGGTCTAATAATTTATTATATAAGACTATTTACAAACATATATCGATTCTATATTCTCATAGAATGTAACAGAGACTGACATGAAAGAGAAATTGAGGTCTCCTATATGAACTCAGTTCAACTTTCTGCCTCCATGGTATGAAACTTACCTAAATCTGTATGATTTCTCATTTTATCCCATTGGATAAGGTGAACCGTCTACTCAAAGAATATGACCATGAGGGTCCATGATGTGGAAGTCTCCTGGTTCCTCTATTAGTTATTCTCTCTTTATTTTATATTTCAATATTTTCCTCATTACTAATCCATTCCCATGTTCTGTAAACATACTCTTTCAAATTAAACAATCATCTTTTTACTTTTGACAATATGTTATTCCTTCTTTTTACAATTATATTCATGGAAAATAATAGTTTACACTCATAATATTGGGCTCATGTGTCACATTCTTTCTTTAAAAGCTTGAGATTAATTCTGCCCCAGGACACTGAGACCGGTATCATGAATGTTACCAGTGTGGTCCTAAGTGTCAGACCCAACAAGCCTCATTTCAGTTGGCCAATTTTGGTCATAAGAAAACACGGAATACTCCCTTGAAGTATTCCCATCATGTAGGTTCGACAACATTGCATTCATTCTTGCTGTTCTGTGTGATTTTTTTCAAAGTGATTCAGAATCATTTCTCAACATGATGCATAGGGAAAATGACAACATTGTATGGCACACTGGGGTGAACAGATTAGAATGCTCACAGTTGGAGGAGACTGGACCAACTTGGCCCTGCCTGGTTCCCCTGATGGGTGAAGAGGTCACTTTCTCAGCACTTTTATAATCCATTTATACCACAACAGTTAATTTTACCTGATCTACAGTATATGATCTCTTGAATTTATGACTGGCATCTTAAACTCACTATGTCTGCAGTGAATTCCATATTTTTTTTTCCCTTTAACGTGTTTCTCATGCTATTTTTCTTTTCTGATGAATGGTAGTAGCTTCTTCCAGGTCACAGGGAAGCCTCCATGGTTTATCTTCTATCATTATACTGCAAAACCAATCACTTTCCAATCTTTCTTATCTGATATCTGTAGGTCAATAACCTTCCTTACAGACTCTAAAATAAGAGCTTGAATATTTTCTATTAGAGTTTACCTGCTTTGTCGCATGAAATTTCCATAAGTAGCTTTGATAAGAATGTAATGAATATCATATAGTATATCCAAGAAGTCTTCTCGGGTCACAGTTCTATGGACTCGAGGATCATCCCCATAATATTTCCATTCTTTCTGTTAACAAGAAGAGAAATCACTATGACAAAACTGAATGCAAAACCATTGATTGGTATCTTTGCACCAAACAATGACTAACTTTACCTCTGTCATTTCAATTTCATGCCTTGTCAATTGGCCAATCAGAGGAGCAGCCATATGCCTGACGATAATTCTAGCATGAGTAGGTGTCCCACCTCGAATGATCACTTGAGGATTATATGTAGAGAAACCTGTTTCTTCCCGAGCCTCGAAATAGATTGCATACTTGAGTTTGCCCCCATAGGCCATCAACTGACAAAATAAAAAGAAGAATGAGGAATTGGATAAATCTCCAAATGGTGTGATTCTAAAAAGATTTTATCTTGTTCTCACTTGACATTAAAGTTCTTGTGCTTACCTTCTTTCCTTCAAATTGTTCTGGAAGTTTCCAATAAAAAGGTTCCAAATGGAGATCTTCTCTCATCAGGTCCATGTGGGCAACAATCTCTGGATGTTGAAAAACAATGCCCTTGGTGGTCGTGTGCTGCAGAGCCTCATCTACCAGGGGTAGAATGGTCTGCTCAGCCTTCAGAGTCACCTGCAAGGGGTCAAAATACAGCAGAAGGCTGAATTTACGCTTTGGACATTTCTTTAAAACTAAGTTACGAACTGCATGTCTATCTGCAGTTCCTATACCCATTCTGATGATGTTCTCACAAGCAACAGAACTCACACGCAGTGGGCAAGCATGGCAGGACGTAAATCTTTTTGACTAATTCACATAGTGAAAGCCACAATATCTGTGGACACTGGAGCCTTTCACACTAACACAAATTGAATCTAAATGTAGAAAGAGTTAAAGGAAAATGAAAAATGAACATGTTTTCACTCCAAAAATCATGATTGCCTAAGGTTGGTTGGAATGAATGTGTGACAAGTCCTGGTTCTCATTGGTGTGTTAGCTCATATCAACATTCATGCTCTGGTGCCCTCACTCTTCCCATCTCAAAACATAATGCTTCCCGGACAAGGTTCCTCTTTTTCACTTGGCATCTATTTCCTTATCAATAAGTGAACTACTTTTAAGAACAAATAAGAAAGGCATTTACTCCAACTCTCTAATGGCACGTGACCCCTTTGCTGTTCCTAAATGTTCACAGAGGAAAAGGTTACTTAAATGTTTTGCCATTTTCTACTACCCCTCAGTGCCTGACTAAAAGACACCAGCAGGAACTAACATTATACCATTACATGGCTCAGCAGTTCCCTACTCACCCACGTCCGGATCAGTCCTTTTGCTTCAGAGCACTGGGTAGTAGTGCCGAAGCAATAGCAGCTGCTGCAGCCAAGTGGATTCTTGGCATCGAGTCCGAATTTGCCAGGCCGGCATCTGTCACAGTGGATGCCTTCCACATTCACCTGAGGAAAGACAAGAGACCCTCAGAGTTTATAACGGCAAAGTTAGGGGAGAAATCACCCTGAGAATGCATAACGGGAGCATACTCTTTTTAAAAAATTTAAAACAAAACAGAAGAACACTGAGTATTAGACTCACATCTCAAATGGCACATGTAGTTAACCTCATTGTTAGGAGTTCATGGATCTTTTAAAAATGCTTTATTTTTAAATAGATATAAGACTAAAGGTATTGTACTTTTTTTTTTTTTTTTTTTTTGAGACGGAGTCTCGCTCTTTCGCCCAGGCCAGAGTGCAGTGGCGCTATCTCTGCTCACTGCAAGCTCCGCCTCCCAGGTTCACACCATTCTCCGGCCTCAGCCTTCCGAGTAGATGGGACTACAGGCGCCCGCCACCGCGCCCAGCTAATTTTTGTATTTTTAGTAGAGACGGGGTTTCACCGTGTTAGCCAGGATTGTCTCGATCTCCTGACCTCGTGATCCGCCCGCCTCGGCCTCCCAAAGTGGTGGGATTACAGGCGTGAGCCACCACGCCCGGCCTGTACATTGTTTCTTAAATGTAAGTGGTACATTTTCTACAGTTCTGCTCTGAGCAATATGAAAGACTCATGAAAATTTCAAAAGCAACATAAAAACATTGAGTCTTAAACAGTGGTGCTATTGTAAGCTGTAAGAAATAGGCAGCAGGTTAAAATATCAATTTATATAATTATTGTAATATATATACACACATAACATGTATTAAATATATGATCATAATTGCGAGATATAAGAATGCAGCATTGTACTCGGTATTGGCCGAAGCCCTTGATGGTAGAAACTGCCATTTTCCTCAATTCTCAAGGCCATTTTAACAACCACTACCCAGATTTTATCTTCCTGTTTCCTCTGTCCCTTTTTGCATAGATTTTATCTTGAAAAGATACCTCTGACACAGTTTAAACTGCATTTATCCTGGAATTGATTTTTCAGAACTATCTGAGGGGAAAAATCCTTTTTACCTTTTTAATTGGCTCTTTTTCTACATCATTTAACCATATTAATGAGGGCTGAAATTTGCACATAGTCACTGTTTGTAATGACAGCGTTTATATGTGTTGAAATTTTACTAAACTTCCACAGCAGTAAATATATTTTCTAGTATACAGCGATTGCAGATTAATTTTTGGAGAAATGGTTTTTATAAGCCTTATTATTTAGCTGTGATTTTCTCTGATGATGCTTAAAAGAACTGTCTTCCCTGCCACCCCTCCCAGATTGTCCTTATCGAAGCAAATCTAATATATTTTTTAAAAAATCACTATACCATTGAAAATAGATCATCTCCACCAACTAGAAAAAAAGGTGGGTTTGGGTTGAAAATAAGCTCTAGAAAAGCAGTGTTTATCGGTATGCCAACAAATGCATATCAATGAAAACTCCATGTCTGGCAATGAGATTTTGTCCATCTGTTTGTTTAGCTTAATGAAGCAGGTATAACAAACACTGAATGAAGTTAAAACTGAGCAATGGAAACAGAATTGAGGGAGGTTTTCCCTAGCTGCATGTCAGCAGCACATACCTTACAAGTGCACTGCCCAGTTTGATCACTACAGGAGCATTTTTTAGTCTCTGAATCACAGGTTGTGGCATCTGTCCCAGGGAGGAAGCAGTCACAGAGATTGCAGCGAGGGTAGTTCCAGTGACCTCGACTGCACTCTGTACATTTTGCACCAGAGAATTTTGGATGACAGTTGCATTGGCCTGTATTTACATTGCATTGGAAATCCAAGGATCCCACTGTGCTGCAGTTACAAGCCTATAGAGGAGATAAAAACAGCAACCATTAACACAACTTTATGGGAAATATCTTAAAATTTTAATTCTAATGTTTCTATGCTTCCATTAAACACATATTAATCATGTATCTGTTATAGGCTTTGTACTATTCTAGTTTAGTCACTTGGGAAACATCAGTGAACATAAACATTAAAATTGCTTCCTGCATTTATGGAAATATATGATCGTCCAGAAACCATAATGCTATGTGAATTAGAAAGAAAATGTGTCTTCTCTCTTTCTGAGGTAGAGAGGGGCTGGGTATGGGTTTTTTCCAACTGCTTTGTCTCAAAGATTAAATTTTAGACAAAGTTATTTTACCTTATTATCTCATAATTGTAGCATTTAAACATTTATTTGGAGACATACCTTACGGTCTAGTAGAGGGAGACAAGTAAATATGTTAGCATAACATGATAGAATAAGCATTATATAATAGGAGAAGTCCAAAATGCTATGTGAACATACAAAGGGCATCAGACTAGACTTGGGGAATCCAAGGAGAGCTTGAAGAGAAGTAACATCTAGTATATTGTTTTTTGGCATTTATTCTTGCATACAATTCTGATTTGAGGTCTCTGTTAGTAACGTTTTTCTTCGCCCAAGATGTATACACGATTTTCTCTTTATTTACATAATTCATATTTTTGCTAGAATTTTCTGAAGCTTGGGTTTGTTTTTTTTTTTTCCATCAACTTACTGGAACATAGTTCTTTCAGTTTGGGAACATAATTGTGTTTTGATTCAGTACTGTTTCTTCTTCAGATTTGTTTTTGATTTTTACATCTGTTCTAATTAATCAATTTTCTTTTTCAGGATCATCTATAATTCTTAAAGTACATCACTCTGTTCTCTCTGCCAAATCTATAATATCCTAATGTCTTCTGCAATCATTTTCCTTTGTTTTACATTTCTTGCTGTATTTACCTCTCAAATTGGTATCCTACTTTCACAGCTCCTGTTTTACAGGAAAAGTTTTATTGTATACACATACCACCAATGCTTATTTTCATTACCCTATTGCAATCTTAACTTCTTTTGAATAATTTTATTTCTCTCATCTTTAATTTCTGCTTATCCATTTGTCTTTTTGTCTTACATTATCCTTTTAAAGGTTTCTGCTCTTGATTTACAGAGCTCATATCTTCTTGCAATTTAATAAAAATGCCAAGTGAATTTCTAAAATGTCATTTAGGATCTTGGAATAAGTCATTTCAGGGACCAGCTGTGCCAATTATACATCTACTGTTTCTGAGCTCCAAATTCACCCTGCTTTGTGATACAGTAGGTAGACCCCGTAGACATTTCTCCGTATCCGGTGGCAGAATGATAGGCTTAGTCAATAGAGGCCTTGGAAGGACCCAATAAGTCCATAATGGCGGCCCACCACACTTCCAAGCTGAGTTCTGGTTCTTCATTAGGCCGGGCGCGGTGGCTCATGCCTGTAATCCCAGCACTTTGGGAGGCCGAGGAGGGCGGATCACAAGGTCAGGAGATTGAGACCGTCCTGGCTAACATGGTGAAACCCTGTCTCTATTAAAAACACAAAAAATTAGCCGGGCGTGGTGGCGGACGCCTGTAGTCCCAGCTACTCCTGAGGCTGAGGCAGGAGAATGGCGTGAACCCAGGAGGTGCAGCTTGCAGTGAGCCGAGATCGCGCCACTGCACTCCAGCCTAGGCGACAGAGCAAGGCTCTGTCTAAAAAAAAAAAAAGAATCTTCATCATTATTTTTGTATTATTTAGCACGGGAGCCCAGTGGCCCAGAAAGAATCCCAGGTGTGCCTTTAGTTGGGAGGGCACATTGTCTCTCCATAGGCACCCTTCTGACTAGCTTTGGTCTGCACACACGCTCTGACCTTGAAGTCGGCTTCTCAGTAGCCCAGCGTGCTCCTATCCTCCAAGAACGGTGGGCAGCTTCTACAGACATGCATTTGCCTACAAACTCCGACGTGTTTGTTTTTGGTTTTGTTTGACCATCCATAGGCTGTACATTCCTATGACAGCAACGCCCTCTTGAAAGATTTCTGAACCTCAGCTTTGCTGCAAGTGGGGAGAAGGAGCATGCCCTCTCTTAGCCCTTAACTCCTTCACTGTCTTTCCTCCCTCAGCCTAGAGGGAGTAGCTGCTCTTCTGTACCTGTACTCGGGACACCTTATAGCTTTCTTTTATCCTTTTTTAGTAACCAACCACCTTTTACCAGTTAACAATTCCATTTCACTGTTTAAAAAACCAGTGTAGTTTCTGTCTCCCAAGCAGAGCATGACTTGGCATTACAAAGGGTATCACCTCTCTCTGTCTGAGTTTGCCACCATATGGTGTATGCACTTTGTGACTTAACTCTTTTTGGTGCTGTTCTATTATCCTTCTCAGATCTACAGCCCAGTGGTAAAGTCATATGCATAGCACCTGGCCAAACTCCTAGATCCAAGTCTGGCTGCATCTCACTGTGTATCTCACACTTTCCCTCCTCAGCTTAATTCTTATATCCACCATTACCAGGAGTATTATGTTTCTGTTCCTGCTAACAGTAGTTTGCTTATGAGATTATCATTTCCAAGATCACCAGTTCCTCCTCTATTGTCTTTCATGCCCAAATATTTGGTTAAAAATCTTCCCAGATTCTGTTATTAAAATGATTATCGGCCGGGCGCGGTGGCTCACGCCTGTAATCCCAGCACTTTGGGAGGCCGAGGCGGGCGGATCACGAGGTCAGGAGATCGAGACCATCCTGGCTAACACGGTGAAACCCCGTCTCTACTAAAAATACAAAAAATTAGCCGGGCGTGGTAGCGGGCGCCTGTAGTCCCAGCTACTCGGGAGGCTGAGGCAGGAGAATGGCGTGAACCCGGGAGGCGGAGCTTGCAGTGAGCCGAGATCGCGCCACTGCACTCCAGCCTGGGTGACAGAGCGAGACTCCGTCTCAAAAAAAAAAAAAAATGATTATCAGGATTAGCTTTATTTCTTGTCTTTATAGGTAAGTATTTTTCTATCTAATTATTGCTAATCAGTAGAAAGGCTGCAATAAGGGCGGCTTCTAGAAGATATTTTAAACCCAAAGATCTAAAATGTGATTATTTGTATATTATAAATATGGACAAAGCTTCCAAGGCATAGAATAACCCACTAACCTCACCGCCAAGTAACTTAAAGAACATCAGATGTAGAATCAAATTTCAAAATTAGGATGTCTTACATATTCACTTACATAGTTTTTCTTTGCCAACTGCTTTGAGTATGTATTAACTCACTTAAACAAAATAGGCCATAATCGGGTATTAATAGAAAATCATGTTATCAAAACTATAATCAAATAATAAATTTAAATTATCCTGTGAGGCATCTTTATCTTTAACTAAAATATGAAGTTATCCAAATAATTGTATAAAACCAAAGCATGAATTTTTACAAAATTGTTGACAGTACAAATAGACATTGGGACCTTTCCAAATCAGGAAGTTTATTCAGGAAGTTATAGTGGAGAATAAACCAGACCATTAACCATGTGTTTAGATAGCACTATGGCCATCATCAAATTTAAATCATAAATAGAGGTAATATTTGTTTAGCAATAGAGAATTTACTCACTATTCCCCTGCTAGTGAAAGAAGGCAGGCTTCGTATTCTACTTCAATAACAGCCCAAATGATGTGTATGCTCACACCTTAGCACAGAGAAATTATCCATGACACAAAGAAAGGGAAGCTATAAATCTCAAATCACTGTTCATTTAAATTAAAGTCATCCCAGTTTTAAAAACAGTAAAACACATGCTCATAAATAAATTACTTGAGAGGTCTCTGATACAGTTGGATATGTCCCCACTAATTCTCGTGTTAAAATATAATCCCCAGTGTTGGAGGTGGAGCCTGGTGGGAGGTGTTTGGATCATGGGGGCTGATCCCTCAGGGCTTGGTGCTGTCCTTGTGACCATGAGTTCCTACCGGCAAGATCTGGTTGTTTAAATGCATGGCATCCCTGCTTTTCTCCTGATCCTGCCATGTGGAAGTCTGTCCTTGCTTGGCCTTCCATCATGACTGGAAGCTTCCTGAGGCCTTCACCAGAAACAGATGCCGCTATGCTTCCTGTACACCCTCCAGAACTGTGAGCCCATTAAACCAGTTTTCTTATAATCAGTCTCAGGTATTTCTTTATAGCAATGCAAGAATTGTCTGATACAGGCTCTATGAGTTTTGTTTTTTTTTGTAATTCTTCATAATGGTGAAGTATTTCTCGATTCAGAAGTCTAGACTTTTGATGGTGATTTTAAAGTAATCAAAAAATTCAGTCAACTTTAGTCAACAGAGTAATTATCTAATGATCAGTAAAAATGATAGTACTAAACATATAACTACGTTTTCATAGAAACTTGGAATGTATTTTATCCTGATTTATATCTTGAACATGAGGTATCAACTTCAATTTCAAGAGTTTAATTAGAGTTTGGCTATATCATAGCATTCTGTGGATAAAACGGAACTCTTGTAAGTTTCCCTAGGGCTTACTCCTGAGTCCAAGTGATATGGTGGATGCTTGGATTTGAAGCTGAAAATGCAAAAGTCAGTCATAGACACTTATAGCATTGTTCATATTCATAAGAACACTTTGAAATTCTGAGGAGTTTTTGATTTCTTTCTAAAAATGTAGCTCTCTTGCATTTTAAACTTAATAATGCTATTGACAATAGAAAAATGAATGTCCTGTCCAGTTTTTATTTTTTCTAATCACATGTCTAATTGAAGTCAGACATCTGAACTTCCTTGAAGAATCATCAATATGCTTGTTTTCCTCTAGGTCAGCATATTCTAGACCAGGTTCAAATGTTTTATCATACATGTGAAGGTGGTTAGAGTCTATTATTTCATCTGTGCTAACTCAGCAGGAAAAAAAGTTTACATCTCTATAGGGTACTGCTATAGGGTCAAACAGGACCACACTTGGTCATCACGTTCCAATATTTCACAACCCAGTGGAATCAATTGGAACGACTCCCACTAACATAAAAAAATGCCCTTATTATTGCTCTTCAATTTAATGAACAACTTCAGCACTAATCCTACTTGACCTTTGTGTTGCATTAGGCACTGAAGAATATTCTTCTTTTGAACAGCCTCTTCTTAGTTTTTACAGTATTTATTCTTCTTTGTTAAGCTGTTAAAGTACACAACCAACTAAAATAAAAATACAAACCAAGAAACAATTGTTTTTAGATATTGAATTATAGGAAGCACAGGACTGTGATTTCTGAGAGAAGGAAAAAAACATGAAGCAGTGTACAGAGGCAATTTCTAGGCTGCAACACAGAGAGGGTAAACCCAAAGCCCGCATTATAGCTGAGTTGAGAGACAAAGAGTGGAGTTTGAGGAAGCCGAGGCTGCTGAAACTTATGATGGCAAATAGAATACGTGTTCAAAAAGAAAGAAGTTAGATAGAAAGGTAATTCCAGAGATGTGCAGAAGCGTTCTCTTGAGTCATTGACTGAATGCTGATAGGTGCATGCATGGGATGAAGGAAAATGGCATTGGAAAACCCTAGGCTGCAAAAATTCTTACAGCCCAGAGAAAGCTTGGAATAAGCCATATTTTCAACAGCCAGAGTAAAGAGACATAGTAACCAACTAGGTAGTATTCTCAGAAGTTTCACAGCTTAGTAGAAGGGCTTTCAGACTGTTCTGCTGCACCTTCCCTAACAAAACTCAAAAGCAAGCTTCAAAAGAATCCAAGTGACCCGTGACTACCTAAACTGTTTGCCAGCATAAAGTTCAACATTCTTTAAAGAAATACAATAAAATCCAATACACAACAATGAAAAGTATATAATGTCTGGCATCCAAATAAAAATTATCAGGCATGTAAAGAATCAAGAAAATATGACTCAGAAACAGGAGAAAAGTCAGTCAGTAGGAATAGTCCTGCAATAAAAAAGATGGAATTTGCAGATGACCATTTTAAAAATGCTAATGTTTATAAACATTATATTTTCAAGAATAAATGAAAAAATGTGAGTATAGTAGAGAAATAAAAGATATACAATGTCCAAAAGGAAATTTAAAAGATAAAAAAATACAATGTTTAAAATAAAAAATAGACTCAATTGGATTAAAAACAGGTTAGGCTGCATTAAAAAATCAGTGACTTTGGACACTTAACAATAGAAACTATCAGAAATAAAAAATACAGATACAAAAATAATTAAAAAAATAAGAACCTCAGTGAGATGGGGGAAAATATCAATTGGCCCAACATACAAAAAATGATTTCCAGAAAGAGACAATAAGAATGAAGAACAAAAAAATATTTAAAGATATAATGGCTGACAACTTTCATTTCCAAATTTGATGAAAACTATAATCCTACAGGGCCAACAGATCTAACTAATCCCATGAAAAAATAATTATTAAACACACAAAAAGAAAACAAAAAGCATAATTAAATTGCTGCAAACCAGTATTTAGGATTACATACTCTGCAAAAACATCTTCGGAAAAAAAAAAAACACCTTTCTGGAACAAAAAAAAAAAAAAAAAAAAGGAAAAAATTATTGTCAGCAGACCTGAAACAACAGGAATAAAATGATAAAGATTAGGAAGTAGTTAATGGAAGAAGAAAAATGATATGAAATGAAAATTTTAATGTACACAAAGGAATTTAAAGCATTAAAATTGATATACACAAGGAAAAAGAGTTATAGGAGAAATTTTCTTGTTTAAAAAGATAATTGACTATTGAAATCAAAATCGTAAGCTTATATTGTCAGATGTATAATATATAGAAGTAAAAATATATGACAATATAGTACAAAGGATAGGAAAGGGGACTGGAGGTTTCCTGTTGTAAGGTTCTTACGCTAAATGTAAAGTGGTATAATATTATTTTAATGTACATTCTGGAAAGTTAAAGATGTATATTCCTAGACAAAACCAAAGAAATAAAATGAATAGGTATATTTAATAATCCAAAAGTCAAGAGAAGATGTTATACAAATTAATGCAAAAGAAGGCAGGACAATAAGGAAAAAAAAAAGGCAAGAGCAGATAAGGCAAGCAAAAGCAAATAGCAAAGTGCAGGCTTAATCCAATCATACCAATATTTACATTAAGTGGAAATGATTTAACTCCTCAAATTAAAAGGCCAAATTATTAAGATTCGTTGAAAAATAAAGATCTGAATATATGTTATTTACACACACACACACTCTCTCTCTCTGTCTCTCTCTCACACACACACACATTAAGCTAGGCATGGTGGTATACACCTGTAATCCCAGAATTTTGCAGGATCACTTGAGCACAGGACTTTGAGACAAGCATGGGCAATATAGTGAGATCTCATTTCTACAAAAAACTTAAAAATTAGCCAAGCATGGTGGCATGCGCCTGTAGTCCCAGCTACTCTGGAGGCTGAGGTGAGAGGATTTCTTGAGCCCAGAAGGTGGAGGGTGCAGTGAGCTGAGATCACACCACTGCACTCTAGCCTGGGCAATGGAGTAAGACCCTGTCTCAGAATAAAAAAAAAAAAGGCACACATTAAAATACTAAAAAGGGAGATGAAATAGATGATGGTGTGAAAAATATATACCACACAAACACCATTAAAAAGAAAGTTGCAATAGCTATATAAATATCAGAAAAAGTACACTTCTGAACAAGGAATGTTACTAGGAATAAAGAGAGACATTTCACAATGTCAAAAGGCACCAACTTTTCAAAAAGACATAGCAATCCTAAATGTTCATGCACCTAGTATCACTGCTCAAAAATACATGTGAATAAAACCTGAGAGAAGTGAAAGAAGAAACGGACAAAGTTATAGTCCAACACTCTCAGTAACTGAGAGAACATGTAGATCTAAAAACCGTTAAGGATAATTGACCTATATAGAAGTTTTCATCCAACAACTCCAGAATACACATTATTTTCAAGTGCACATGTTATAATAAACAAACTGAACACTATTCCGGGCCATAAAACAAATCTCAATAATTTTCAAAAGGTCTGAAATAATGCAGATTATGTTCTCAGAACAATTTAGAATTAAACTAGATACTAGTAACAGTAACGATACCTTGAAAATTCCCCAAATATTTAGAAACTAAACATTATCCCCAAAATAAATTAAAGATTATATTAAACCAAGTGAAAATTAAAACACAGCATATCAAAATATGTGGAGTGCAAACAAAGTAGTTTCTGGAAAAAAATGTATCAAATGCCCATATTAGAGAAAAAGGATTACAAATCAATGATCTAAGGTTTCACCTTAAGAAACTTGGAACACAATTGGCCGGGCACGGTGGCTCACGCCTGTAATCCTAGCATTTTGGGAGGCTGAGGCTGGCGGATCACGAGGTCAGGAGATCGAGACCATCCTGGCTAACGCGGTGAAACCCCGTCTCTACTAAAAATACAAAAAATTAGCCGGGCGTAGTGGCGGGCACCTGTAGTCCCAGCTACTCAGGAGGCTGAGGCAGGAGAATGGCGTGAACCCGGGAGGCGGAGCTGGCAGTGAGCCAAGATCTGCCACTGCACTCGAGCCTGGGGGTCAGAGCAAGACTCCGTCTCAAAAACAAAAAACAAAAAACAAAAAAACTTGGAACACAAGAGAAAATTAAACTCAAAGTAAGCAAAAGAAGGAATGTTCTTTTCATGCAAGTTATCACATTTATTAGGCAAAACTTGTTCCTATTACTACCATATTATTATCTTAATGTCTATAGGATCTATAGTGATGTCCCCCTTTTATTTGTGATTTTGATTGCTTGTTTCTTCTCTCTTTTTTCTTGATTAACCTTTCTAGAATATTACCAACTTTACTGATCTTTTCAAATAGTGAGCTTTTGGGTTCCTCTAAAGTATTTCTGTTTTCTACCTCATTGATTGTGAAAACGCTTTTATAAATTATGAGGAGGGAATACTTCTGAATCCATTTCATGAAGCTTGCAGTACCTCATCCCGACGACAACGCTACAAGAAAAATAAGTTCATACCAATATTTCTTATAAACGTAGATCCAAAATCATTAAGAAAATGCTAGCAAACAGGATTCAACATAATTTTAAAAGGATAATCCCCATGGCCAAGCAGGATTAATCTGAGGATTGTAAGACTGGATTGATATGTTGAAAATCAATCAGTATAATCTGTCATATTAACAGCTTAAAAAGAAATATCATATGGTCATCTCAATAGATGCAGAAAAGTCATTTAACAAAATTGAACACATATTCTTGATAAAAGCTCTTAGCAAACTAAAAACACGAGGGGGCATCCTCAAAACAATAAAAAGCACCTACAGGTAAAATATAGCCAACATCATTTTCAATTATAAAAGACAATGCTTTCCACTTAAACTAAGGAACAAGGCAAGGATATTTGCTTCCACCACTTCTAGTCAATAGTTTACTACAATAGGACAAGAAAATGCCACAGAAGTTACACAGATTAGAAAGGAAGTAAATCTCTCTTTGCAGATGACATGATTATCTACAAGAAAATCTCACTAAATGGACCAAAAAGAAACTAGAACTAATAAGTTTAGCAAGATTACAGTATAGAAGGATAAGGTATAAAAATAATTGTATTTTTCTATTCTAGTAACAAGCAATTTAAAACTGAAATGGAACACAGCATTTGCTTTTGATAAAAAATATGAAACGGATACATTTAACAATATATATGCAAAGCTTGCACATCAAAAACTACAAACATTTCTGAGAAAAAATTATAACAACCTAAAAAAATGCAGAGTTATGCCATGTTCATACACTGGGATATCTAATACTTTTAAGCTGTCAATTCTTCCCAAATTGATCTATCAATTCAATATAATTTCAGCCAAATCCTAGCAGGCTTTTTGGTAAAGAATTGACATGCTAAATTTAAAAGTTATGTGGAAATGTAAAGGAGCTAAAGTACTCAAAAGGTATTGGAAACGATGAATGAGGTTGAGGAATTTACAATACCTGATTTTATGACTTGCTGGAAAGCTACAATAATTAACATATTAACTAGTATTAACATAAGAATAGATCGGTGAAGCAGAAAAGAGTCCAGAAATGCATAAACATATATATAGTTGATAGATTTTGACAAAGGAGTCAAAGTAATTCAATGGGAAAAAGGATAGTCTTTTCAACAAATAATGTTTGAAAAATTGGGTATCCATAAAAAGTGAGCTCTGACCATTACCTGATATATAGAAAAATTAATATTCAAAATGGAATCCAAACCTACATTTAAGAGCTAAAACTCTAAAACTTCTTGAAGAAAACATGGGAGAGAAATCTTTGGACCTTGTCTTTCTTGGGTAGAACATAAAAAGTATGGACTATAGAAGAAAAAGATAATAAGCTAGTGTTTATAAAGATTAGATGATGAAACTAGGTAAAAAGCAATCTATATGAAAAGCAAGCTTTAACATACGTTAAAGAACATGTATCCAGAATATATAAATAATCCTTGCAATGCATTACTAAGGAAACAAACAACTCAAAATAGAAATGGGCATAAGCTTTGTAAACACTTCAAAAAAGATGTATAAATGACAAATAAATAAATGAAAGGATTCCCAACATTACTGGGCATTAAATAAATGCAAACAAGAGAAATACACATGCATCAGAATTCTTAAAATTAAAAAAGGGTTAAAAGTCCAAGAGTTGGCAAAGATGTGGAGTGTTCTTAAGAAAAAAAAGAGAAAACATTTGTCCATAAATATGCTTTTGACTTGTATGCTAATGTTCACAGCAAAATTGTAACCCCAAACTAGAAATGACCCAAACACCCATTAAATGGTAAACAGGTAAGCAAGTCACTGTACATTACACAAATGGAATATTATTAAGCAATTTTTAGAACAAACTGCTGATACATGCAACAATATGGATGAATTACAAAAACGTAACACCAAGTGAAGGAAGCCAAACAAAGAAACAAACAAACCCCCCCTCAAAAAAACAGACTACGATTCTATTTTTCAGAAGTTGTAGAAATTGGAAAATTATAATGCTAGAAGGCAAAACAGTAGGCACATGGGGGGTGATGGGGACTTCACTGCAATGGGGCACAAGGGATGATTACACCACTGTAATCATTGGTTAAAATTCATTACTATAAATGGGTGAATTTTATTTTATTAATACCTCACAAAAAGCTGATAAAAATGCAAAGTGATTATCTTTCCTTCCTGAACTTGCTCCTCCTCCTATAATTCCTATAGCTGCACATGGTACTTATTATCATCTACTCCATTGCAAAGCAAAACCTAGGAGTCATCCTAAGTCTTCTCTTTCTTATTCCCCAAATCAATGAATTCACCAGGCTGTATCAGCCTGAGTTCTAAAATGTAACTCGCGCCCTATATATCTTCACTGACGCTCATTGACTGGGTCCAGGCTTTTGGCATCTCTTATTAATATTTCTTCAACAGCCTTATAAATTGTTACCATCCCTGCTGATGCTAGATAGATCTCTCTGAACATGACTCTGGCCATGTCAATTTCTATGGTCTACCAATGGGAAAAAATGATTATTTTCCAAGCTAAATGTTGTTAAAATGACTCTTCAGAATGATCTCAACTACTTCCTGAAACCTAAAACCTAGTCATAATTCAGGGGCAATTTCTATAGATTTTTGGAAAATTAATTAGTTCCTCATATCCTCATACTTTGCACATGTATGTCCTTGTGCCTAGGTATGAGGTTATAGCTCTTTTCTGGTATTATTACAGAATTTTTGTTCTTTTTACCCCTCTTGTAGATTTCAAGTGTTCAGCTGCATAAATGTATATTTACTTCATCATCTTTCCTACAAGTAAACTGTAAGATATTGATTAATATCTGTAATCACATTATAGTAATACTTCTACATTATTTTGTGATGTAATATTGAATTTTGAAATGCCCAATTACAGAGCTCTACAAAACAAAAATCTCTCCAAAAAATTATCAGAGCAAAAAAGTGGTTCACTCACCTTACAACCAGTGGTAATGCTGTGGCCCCAGGTATTGGGTGCACATTTAGAACATTTCTCTCCAATGGTATTGGGAGGGCAAATGCATCGCCCAGTCTTTGGGTCACAATTATTACCCAGATGAGAACATTCACAAGCTTCACCGGTATAAGAGGGAAAACAAAGAAGGGGAAAAATAGTAAAAATTTGACACAAAGTGTTGAGTTTTATATTGTGTTGGTTTGTCTTATTTTCTTTTCAGTTCTACACTTAAGGATATTTGGAAATAAAAACTTACTTCATTCATCTTTTATATTATAGTACAATGTATTTCAGAAAGGAGCTGTTCAATAAATATAAGATGTATTTCATTTATTAATTTCAAAAGTTAAAGTATTTTTAGCTTTCCTATGAAGTTTAAGAAAGGAAAGAATTGGTGTTATCAGATTCCATGTTAACTGTAACACCTTATATTCGGGTACTACAAAGTTTACTATTTTGTTTGTATATTTATTTTAAGTTCATTTCTAATTTGTTTATGCTGTACGGATTAGTTTTTCCTTGATGAGCCCGATCTGCAGTAAAAACCAATAAGCTTAATAAGCTTCTTAAATTCGGTACATCATGTATATAGTTAGAAACGCACACAACAGAATAATCCAATTTTGCAAATACTTTAAAATGGTTGAATTATGGACACTGTTTATATATAAAGATACTTTCGATTTTTATTTACCACCTGACTTTTTTCTATAGATTTTTCATTTTTGTTGCTATCATGCAATATTCAAAGGGTACAAAGTTATCTACCTTTTGTACTTTTTCAAAGATTGCAAAAATAATGTTTGAGAATATCTTCAAAGCCATCCAAGACAAGGAATGCATGCCACATAGCGGCAGTTGACCCAGCTACTAAGAATATTTCTAGTGCAGCGTTTCATGTCAAAGAAATGTAAGTGAGGGAAGAAACCCAAATACTTGAATTCAAATGGAAGACTAATGTTATGAGTAAACTTTTAATTGGTTATATGATGACTAAATCATTTTCACTGAATATATTTAGAATATTTGACTAAATTCACTTTTTATGAAATGACAATATTCATTGCTCACAGCATTACACACCAGCTGTGGAAGGTGTTTAGAAAAATACTTTACACCGAGTAAACACTAAATAAATGTTAGTCATTGCTGTTTTGGTTATTACTGTTGTTGCTAATTTTAAGCCAAATGATTTATTTTAGATGTGTCCTTCATTAAGAAGAAAAATAGTTACCATTATGTTTAAATTTATATGCTAAAAAATGTCATGGGACAGTGCAAATCATTACTTGCAAATAGAAATTATCTTAAGTAGTTCTTCAGCGGAATCATAACACTAAATAGAAAGAAAACCTGAGTAATTAGCTAGTTTTCCTGTGCCAAAGCACAATGTATAACACAATTAATAAAACTAATAAAGATAATAATAATAATGATAAATGCTTCCATAGCACTTACATGCTAGGCATTACTCTAAATATTTTATAGCCGCTAACTCAACTAATTGTAACAAAAACCATGTGTGGTAGATACTATTATTATCTTAATTTAATAGATGAATTTTGCAGATGGAAAATGAAACAAAATTACTCAGTCAAGGTCCCAGAACTAGTTACTGAAGGAGCCATTTAGACAAATCCAGGCTATTTTGTGCAAGTCATGTCCTCAGTCATATTACTATTCTTCCTGTTTTGTGCTTTTTTTTTTCTATGGTGTTTCTTTGGGCCAGAATGCTAGTAGGTCTGCATTTATTAAATGCTGTCATCTTTCTATAATTTAAAATAATATTCTTGGTCTCATTTATAATTTGTTACTATATGTATTTAAATGTATAATACTACCTCATTAATTCATATTAAGTAAAAATGTCAGTGAGCTTTGGATTTAAAGAACAGAGTATATTTTAAAATACAGCTTTATAATTTTTAAGTTATACAGATATTGGCTTAGAGATATACAGATTCTTAGAGGATCTACAATTATAAACTTATCATTTAGAATAACTTATCAATTAGAATAACTTATCAATTAGAATAACTTATCATGGCTTAATTTATGGTAAAATCCACATATCTAAAGTGCTGGAGAATGTCTGAAAGATATTGGTTCTTTAAATAGTTTTAAATATTATTCCTACTGCTTCCTACTTAAATTTGCCACAACAGTGAATAACAATGTTTTAAAATCTTACCATGGTGCTGAGAGTATGTGAGCATTATCCAGGTTGAATCCATGACATTAGTAAACAAAGGTAATATTCAAACTAGTGATTGTTGGAATAAGGGTCAGTTCGAAATTAGCAGCATATAAATCAAGGCTAATGTTCACTCTTTACTTTCATCTGCAGAATGCTAAGTGATATTTTCTTAGCTCATGATTTGGGTGAAGGCTGTGGCTGGATGTATAAGAATACTGCTTGAGGGAATCATGGTTAGAAACCTCTGCCTGCATTTTTTGATGAACTAAATATCTAGAGCCAACCTATTTCTCTCTTAGAACATCATAGTTTTCAAGGCAGCCAAAAGTAGATGAAAAGATGTTTTTGGGGTACCAGGAAAAAAAAAACACCTTGACTTTTCTTGATCCGGATACCAATTTTGCAATAGGAAAAAGGGAAAGTTGAAATGCATTGGCGTGGGGTTTGAGCTTAAACTAAGATAAGACTGGTACCAGAAAAATCGAACATTTAACTTTCAAGCCGTAGCAGTGTTTGAGTGACTGGCTGAATCAAAGTCACAGACAGGGAGGGACACAACCAAACGAGCATCTGCTGATTTTTACTGAGTACTTGCACACAGTTATTAAGGCAGTGTTTCAAACTGACATGTATTTCATTTTTTAAGTAACGTAAAAATAAGTAGACATTACTCATTATGTTAAATACGTTGTATCAATCTGTGCTTCCTTTAAAAGAACAAACTGTTACAGAAGTCAGACCCTAAAACTATCAGAGTGAATATGTAGGACTTAAGTCATATTTACAGACCTGTGCAGCCTCCTTCTTGGAAGTTGAAATAGCCGTGGGCACAGCGGTCACATTTCTTCCCTGTGACTCCAGGTTGGCACCAACATTGTCCACTCTCTTCACAGTCGAATGACTTAGACCCAAAAGAATTGCAGTTGCAGGGAACACAGCCCCTTGCTGATTGTAGGCCAAAGGTCCCAGCCTGGCAATGGAAGAGGAGAGAAAAATTAAATTTAAATCAGTTAACTCGAAGTGAAGCAAGATGCACAATACCAAAGATCAGGTGGGAACAGAGGAACTTAGGAGTTATCAGGATTCCTCACTGATGTTATGACAATTGGGTTTTCATTCAATCAAATGGACCTTTTCTATGATATCCAAAGAGAAAAGTTCAATTATTCTGAAATTTTATCAAAATTAACTGCAGAATTAGGCGCTTCCTTTACTGTCTGTTGTATTTTCACCAGCCTGTCCCAGTACTTCTCAAGATTTCAATAGCAATATGGAAAGGACCTATAGGTGGTATTTCTAGTCTTAATTTAAAATTTTACTTCTTCATTTTTAGTAATCTGAATTGATTACTTTCAGATCTATGGACTCCTACTTGGTAAAAATACTTTCAACATTATTGACCAGCAGCCTAAAGTTAAAATAATCCTTTTTGCCCTAATATTTGATAGAATTTTGTCACATATCCATAAATACTTTTAATCATTGCTATAGTGTTCACATTATAAATATAATTTTCAGGTTATGCTTACACTGATCAAATAATTGGTTCAACAAACATTTGATTTCTTAGGTTTCATTCTAACAATTGAAATTGATTAGTGAGAACACGTATTAAAGCACCAGATCAGGTAAGTAAACTTTCATTCTCTGATGAGTTATTCATATGCATATCTCTTATCTATCTATAACAAATCATCTTTTACGGTCAAGTTTGCATTACCAGCTTCGGCTGACTTTCTTGAAATGCATGTTATCAGGCTTAAAATGAAACGTTAGAAAATGCTGATGGATTAAAAAATCACTCCGAGCAGAAAAATGAAAATCATCTATCCTGCTTAAAATACTTCAGGGTTATTTTTTAAAAATATAAAGCATGTCACATTATTATGATATTTTAATCTGGAAAATTATTCTCGGTAATTACTTCTTTGTAAAAATAATTCTTATTTTGGAAAATTAGACTTAATAATTGCTTCTTGGTAAAAAAAAATCTTGCCACTTAACGTGAGCCACCCAAAGAGAAATTAATAAGCCTCATTATATATTTTAGATATTATTGTTAGTAGTTTTAAAAATAAGTTATAAAAGTGAAATCACACTGAAAATTAGATTTTTAAAATGACCGTAGCTAAGAATAGTTTTATTTTTAAAATGTAAAATGGGTTGACTGAGTTTGACGATCATTCTCATCTTTACATTTACTGTTGGTTTTATTTTTATTTCTAGTTCTAATTCAGATTGTGGTATATGATTAAAGAAAAAAGCATGTAACAGTTCCAACAGATGACATGACTTTGAAATTAAATTCACCTATATAAAAAAAACTAACCATATAATATCATTATTAGTAAAAGAAATTCATGTAAAATTTTAGATACCTGGCTTAGAGAAATAATCAGAAATTGGAATATTATTAAAGCAAAAGCATGCCTATTACAATATTATTTATCATGGTGAATAACTATGCAGGCACTTAACTGTACAATGTTATAAAAATTGTTGAATAAATTAAAT
Organism: Homo sapiens; assembly: GCF_000001405.40. NCBI lineage: Eukaryota > Metazoa > Chordata > Mammalia > Primates > Hominidae > Homo > Homo sapiens. Next base: position 129,296,140 of record NC_000006.12, on the reverse strand, counting down.
GATGACATCCACATTATGAAATAATATGCAAGAATTAAAATCCTGTTTTGAAGCAGTTTTAATGATATAAATATGCTTAGGATATAGCATGAAATAGAAATTAAACAAAAATATGAAACTATATAAATACTATGTAAATTTCAATTACATACCCATACCACCAGACACACAAACAGAAACAGAAATACATAGACAAAAAGACTAAACATAATATATTAAAACGGTATTGAAAAATATCTGAGTCATAGAAATAATACTTTGTATTCATCTTTATTTCAGAAATTGTCTTCACTCATATATCTATGCCGATATATGTATAAACACATATATATACACACTCATATATATATACATTTACTCATATATATTTACATCTATATATCCACACTCTCATATTGATTTACTCATTAAAGGGGTGTGTGTACACCCCTTTAAATCAATCAAATATCAAATGAGATTCCAAATTATAGCTATCATTTTAAAAATTCCAAAGTCGATTATGTAAGGAAATATACAAGAAGAAACGGTTCTACCTCACTTTTCAAATATTTAAATAATGTAGCTTTAAAGGCTAAGTTGTAGCAAAATAAATACTACCAAATTTCAGTAATAAAATGTTTACAAATTTGTTCAAAAATTTGTTTCAAAGGCTAAAGAAAACCCCACTAGTAAACAAACTTAAGGAGCAGACATTCATGGTCAGTAATTGAGATTAATGAGGTAAAATAAATATGGGAGAGAGTGGCTATCCAGACCCAGTGAGAAACTGTATAGGTTCCCATAAATGTGTCTCTCTCGGGGTAATAAGAACTAGCATTCATATATTGTGCTTCCTTTTTGCAAAGCACAATTCTAAACCCTTTACAAATCTAAACTCTTTACAAATATGTACTCATTTACTCCTCAGGACAACCCTGGCAGAGAGTTGTCATTCTCACCACTTTTTTATTGAGTGGTGAAACTGAGGCACAGAAAGGTTAAGTAAGTTGCCTAAGGTCATGAGCTAACCAATTGTGGAGTCAAGATTCCAGATCAGCTAGGTTGGCTCCAGAGTCTGAGCTCTCAGCTCTCACACATACTGCTGCAGAGGAAAAAATAGTCTCGGGACAAAACCCTGCTTCATACAATAGTACTGTAAGATATGTAGGGCTTGAATGAACGTTGACTTTCTGCTAAATTTATATTTAGGAGACATTTTAATCAGTTATTATCTTTTTCTTTTATTGTAAATGTATGCATTTGTTTTTGAAAAAAAATTATTTTAAACATTTCTTCATTTAACAACATTGGTAATAATAATAGTAATCAGGCCTAACATTTACTAAAAACTCTCTATGCTCCTGCCTGATGCACTGTTCTCACTGCTACCCTGAGACAGCCTTGGAGGCGCCTCATCCGATCTACCTGCAAGACAACCTACAGTGTGGAATTTTACTGACTGAAAGCCTCCAGTTTCTTGTCTTTTGGACCCATCAGAGGTGCTCTGTAATGGACTGAATGTTTATGTCCCCCAAAATTCATATGTAGAAATCTTAACCCTCAAGGTGGTGGTATAGACAGGAGGTGGGGCCTTTGGGAGGTGATTAGGTCATGAGAATGGAGCTCTCATGAATGGGATCACTGCACTTATAAAAGAGGCCTCAGAGAGTTTCCTCCCCCAAGTGAGGTTCCAGTGGGTAAATGACTGTCTAGAGAAAGAGGGCCCTCACTAGATAGGAAATCTGCCAGCACCTGGATCTTGTACTTCCCAGCCTCTAGAATCGTGAGAAATGAATTTCCATTGTTTACATGCCACTTAGTCTATGTTATGCTCTTATAGCACTCTGAATGAATTAAGATGAGCTTCCACAAGAGTATCCTTCTCTCAGGCTGATTACTGTAAGATACTAGAACCTCCCTGACCAATTCAGGATTCCTTTAGTGGGTAAAATTTGCTTGGGTATATCCCATTGGCTTGGCCAAGAATTTAAGATTTGACAAAATGCACCAAACAAGGCTTTTCCTACCCAGTCTTTCTTTCTGTGTTTTCCCGGGAGTCAGAACCCCATTGCAGCAGAAGGCTATGCTGTCTCCCACTTCATGCTTCGTTGGCCTTTCCCCCAGGAAACCTCTTGGCATTTGCTTCTTGGAGTACGTAAGCAGACATAAACCCTCTGAAGTGGATCTTACTACAGATGAAGAAGCTGAATTACAGAAAGATTCAAGGAATTTATAGCTAGGAAGTAATGAGGCCAGGATTTGATCTAAGGCAGTCTGACATCAAAATTTGTTTTTTAAAAAATGTGTGATAATGAGCCAAGAAATAAAACCATGAATTGTTTTTTACTTCTTCTTCTTTACTTTTTATTTCCATCTCTCCTTCTTCTATGCCCTATCCTCAATTCTCTACAGGTCCTGACTCTATACTGGTAAGTCTTGTCTCCTACTCTTCTGCAGCTCAGCCTGGGACCTCTTCTTCCCTCCCTCCCTCTCTTCCTTCTTCCCCAGCATTTGTTTTGTTTTGTCCTGTGATATGAGAACCACACTTTTGTAATTAGAAACAACTTTCCCCGTTTTGGGTATTTGTCCATTTATAGTGTGTGAAAATGTGTTTCTTGCATTTGTTGTACACATAAGCACAATTGATGTGGAAATTAACAAAATTCTTAATTATGATGAAATGCCTGATAAATGGGCTGAGTTTTCTTGGACAAATCAATTTCTCTGCTAGATTTTCCTTCATTTGTTCATTTATTAAAGTTAGCTTTCCCCAAAGGTTGCCTGAAGTCTCTTCCATTTCTAAGATTATAGGTTCTCTCAAGTAGATTTTTATTTGATTTCCACATATTCATGGTTAATTGAAAGTTTGGTTAATTGAAAGTTTTATGACCCTATGAACTTGAATATGCTTTTTAAAGCATACGGATGGTTATTTTTAAAAGGGCAAGGGTTCAATTAGGAATTGTCTAATCTTTGCATTTGCAATTTGCACACTTAGCAACTGTTATTTGGTAAAATGCCACCAGGGAACTTCAGCCACAGCACACAGAACACAACATGCAGAGGCATGAGCCATGCAGCGCCTCTGGGATTACCGGAGCTGGGGCCCGATAGGCTCCCCGAGGGCACCCGCTGGAGCTGCCGATAGCCCACCTCTGAGGAGAACCCAGCACCCGTTGCGCTCTCCGCGGCTGCTCCTCCTGTTGGTGCACCTGCCTGCCGAGGTTGCACTGTTTCCCTACGAAGCCTGATTTACAGACACATCTTCCTGTAATATCACATTGCGGTGACACAGAGCCAACGGGATCGCAGTCACATAGCACACAGAATCGCTTCTCTGGATCCCGCCACATATTGGGCTTTAAAAACCAACCATAAAATAAAATAAAAACAAAACAGAGCAATGATATTATTCAAGAGACAGAAGCAGATGATATTTTCAAACTTCCTACAGTAAGGCCAGTTTGACATCGGAGAAATGCTTGCTTCTGCTTAGCTGTCTTTATCACAAATACAATGTATTTTTGTGAAAGCGCTAGAGCAAATCTGTCCACCCTCATGGAGGAATCTGAAGTTGCTTGCCATACTGAAAGCAGGGCAATCGGTATGTTCAGGGACTGAGAACAACATGCTGTATTTTAATTGAATATTTTGTTTTAGCAAAATAATGCATCTTTAAAAATATCTTGATTAACTTCTCTACTGAAACTTCCATTAGGTAGACTGCTCACAGGAAGTAGCTTTTAAATGATGGAACTAGAAGAAGGTGTTTGCTAAAAAGCAAAGGGAGTAACATTTTGGTTTGTTTTGTTTTTTGAGATGGAGTCTCACTCGGTCGCCCAGGCTGGAGTGCAGTGGCACTATCTCGGCTCACTGCAACCTCTGCCACCCAGGTTCAAGCGATTCTCCCGCCTCAGCCTCCTGAGTAGCTGGGATTACAGGCACCTGCCACCGTGCCTGGCTGATTTTTGTAGTTTTTAGCAGAGATGGTGTTTCACCATCTTGGCCAGGCTGTTCTTGAACTCCTGACCTCGTGATCCACCTGCCTTGGCCTCCCAAAGTGCTGGGATTACAGGCATGAGCCACCGCGCCCAGCCCCAAGAGTAACATTTTATTCTGCCAAAAATGTAAAGGCAAAGGAAAGAGTATCTCCACAGATTAAGATTAAATTCGCCTGCTATTTGTTTCAGAAATGTCTGAATTAAAGCGAATATAATACACATTCACTGCCAAAAAAAAATGTTTAAGGTCAAATGGTAATGTACAATGAATTTTGTTCTAGTTTGAAAAAAACTTTTCACTGATCACAGTCATTTCAATTGTAGAATTAGATAATCCCAAACCTTCCTTTTAATATACGAAGGTATACAAAACATGTCATGAAAAGCCAGTGAAAATCTGTAAGGAGAAAGTAATTTATGGGTCAGCCTCTACTCCTTACCTTGCATTTGTCACATCTCTGACCCTGAACGTTGGCTCTGCACTCACACTGTCCAGTTTGACTGTGGCAAACCTCAGAGAAAGAGCCACCGGCATTACAGCGACAGGCTGCAAAGAGAAGAGAGACCTGTGATCAGGAAAACTTTCTAATAGTCTTAATAGGCTTGTTAAATAATAATATACCCCACATGGTAACATGGACGCCTAAGTTCAGTAACAGAATGTTTTCTGATTTGTTAAGTGCCCTGTTAGGCATTCTATCATTTAATCCCTATAACAACTCTACAAGCTGTAGGGATAATTCACATAAAGGCTTTAGCATCATGTCTGGCCCATCATATGCCATTAAAATATTAATGTCATCATCATCATTCCAATTTTGAGCATGAAGACACTGAAATTCAAAGAAGCCATAGCTTATACAAGTCCACATGCCTGCTGTGTCATATAGGTGAGTCCAGAACGTGACAGGAACTTGGAGTTCTTGACTCAAGGTGTAACGCTGTTTTAGTTCTTTACAGATACATCAGGGTAACACTTAAAATACTATTATCCCATTGTAAGTAATGCATACTGACTTTAGAACTAAAATAATTTTGAGGAATTTTCAAAATTAATAGCACCCCTGGCAAAATTTTAATGTTACTATTAATCTAGAAAAATTTAGTTAGTTTTTTTGATTTAATGATTTACTGTGTGCCGGTTTTGTGTTAAGTTTAAAAAATGGTTTGAGGTGAAATATTTATGCCTTTTTTAAGATTCAGAAGTTTAAAAGACAACAAAAACATCATTTCAAGTATCTTAAGACTATAGCATTATAACATTTAAGAATCACTTTTATTTTACAGTTTATATGCTATCTCCAAACATACAAAACATATTTCATTTAAGTAATCTTTTGTCTTTTTTGCTTTGTTATAAAGCTGTCTGAGGTTATTCTAAAACGTAGAGTAAATCAGTCTAAAGCTTAAGTGACCTTTTCACAAATAGAATAGTAATTAATTGTTTACTATGTACCCTATATTTTTAATGGTACATATAATTGCATTTATATCAGAATAAAAATACAAGGAGGAGATGACATGGGAATTTAGGCTACTCATAGATGATTTTGTTAAATTTCTGAATATTTTGATTTGAACACAACCTAAAATTAAGCTATAAACAGGTACTCTATCAGCCTATGCTAATATTTTATTCTCCTGGCTCTAGGTTCTCCTTTTAAAAAACAAACAAATAAACAAACAAAAGAACTGCTTTTCTAAAAACTGCTTAATTTATCTTCCAGCAAAGTTTGTCTTCAGTGTCTGCCAAGGGGATACTAGAGTAAGGGCCATTGAGAAACTGAAAGAGCCTACGGATAGTCTATAGCTGAAATACAAGGAAAGGCTGAAAATTTTTCCTTTAAATATCCATTTTCATCTGATTTATCGAATTTGTATATACTTTTATTATTTTATGAAAGTTTCTTATGCATATCATACATTTTTAAAATATCAAATTATTTAGACTTTAGGAGTCACTTTTTCTTGGAGTGTAAACTACAAAATTAAATTTACCATAAATATGATGGTAATTAATTAATGTTATCGTAAAAACAACAAAGCAGTATAAAGTTTTGCTAAAGTGTCATTTTAATGGAAAAATATGACACCAACGATATACACAAATTTAAAATGCAAAATATATTTCTTTGTAGTGGTGTACTTTTCTTGAACAAATCTATAGGTAACCAAAATAATGTATTTCCAGGAACTTTCTTTCCTTGAGGTTTTACCACTTATGCATAGAAGTGATATTGTATCCATGAAAAATTATAAAAATAAGTAATAAATGTGCTTCTTATACTTTTAATTGTGATTATATGGCAAAGAGCATTAAAAATTATAATCACATCTATACTCACGGCAAGTAGTATGAAAACTGGTAATGGTCAAAATGTTTTTATTCTCACATTCTTTTTTATGTTCTTAAGACTTCATGCCATGGATCCCATAATAAATTACCATAATAAAATAATCCCATAATAATTTTCTACAATAATTAATTACCATAATAAAATAATAATTAATTACCATAATAAAATAATCCCACAATAAATTACCATAATAAAATTAGTGGAATAATATCCCTAACTTTATGGGGGTGGGGGTTATTGGAAGACAGGATAAAATGTCAGTAAATGACTAACTTAGCCTTAGAATTCACTGGTGAACAACTGATATGCACAGCTACTATGAGCACTGCTACCAAAGACAGCTACCATGTGTGAGCATCTCCAGGACTTGGGAACTCACTGGATACCCTCTATGTGCCAAATCCTTTAGTCCCCACAGAAAATTCATGACTCTCTTTGTAGACTAGAAAACTGTGTCTCAAGGAGGTCAAATATCTTGCTCAGGAGCACACAGCTAGAAAATGTAGATCCTAGATGATCTGTGGGAAAGGAAGAATTTCTTAGGCTTTCTATGATTTTATACATTTGTCAGGAATCCAGTGTTTAAAGGCACTGAGCTGTTGGAAATTTTGCTTTAAAAAAAGATCAATTTACAGGTTATATTAACAGCTGCCAGTTGGTCCAGAAAGTGATTTGGTTTTGATTCAATGAATTATCATTATTAAATAACAAAAAGCTAGAACTCATCTTCTAAACCTGTGATGAGAGAGACACATTTCTTAATGAAATAGGGTACCCTACTGGGTCTTTGGTGCTTACAGTAGAGTTGATAATAGGCTACATTTACAGTGGTTTCTATAATTCTGCATGTCCTGGGACCCACCTGAATAATTGGAAGAGTCTCTCACATAAATTTGACAGAAATGAATGGATAGGCTGGTCTCATAACCTACTCTGCTTAAACATTATGATAGTAAATGAAGCTGATGATGGCCAAATGCTAACATTGGATTCACTTTCCATTTGATCTTCTGCAACAAGATCCGCCTTCATATTCTAATCCCACTGACATTAAGGATTTGGAAATTCTATGTAGTATTAATACAGCAAAAAAGGTAAAGAGGGGAGAAATGTATTATACTAATATGGATGAAGCCCTAGAGTAGCTAATTTTGTGGAAGGAAAACACTGAAAGAGCATTCTAGAAATAGTCCTTAAATGACTATTATGAAACTAAAATGAGGTTAATCATTCAACAATGACAAATGCCTGTGTGCGAAAATATTGGCAGAATTTTATACCTATTACAAAATACGACACTGTAAAGTTAACATATGAAAGCATAACTGATTAACACCTTCTGATGGCTACTACTGAAATATCATGGGCAGAAAAAATTATTTAAAGCAAGTGATTAGAATTGAGATAAAAAAATGGATACATGGTGTCTATCTAATATGCAAATTCTTCTTTCCTGCTGTGGACATAAGTTCATTAAAAAAATCTTCCTTCCGCATGTAAATAAAAACATGTTTATCATTTGGAAAACAGTGATGCTTCAATACCACAGCAATTTTAAAGGTATTTACTCTATTAGTTAGTACAAGGAAATGTTCTGGAATATGCAGACTCTGTATATTCTATGCATCTATCAACCATGTATTCCACATAATTTCCTACTCTTCAATCCACACTCAAGAACTCATCAGCTACTTTGAGGTACAATACATCAATTCTGTCAGGGGCATCAATAGTTCAGGACTTACGCTGACAGTTCTTCGCATCAACTGCATCTCCAAAATATCCATCAGCACAGAGCTCACAGTACCGGCCTGTTGTACCTGGTTTACATATCAGACAGGAGCCAGACAAGCTGTCACAGCTGCCAGGGATGGAGAAGTCAAGGTTGTCATTGCATTGGCATGGCTGACATGATCCTCCAGGTACAGAGGGTTGTCCAAAATAGCCTTCTGCACACCTAAGGCAAGAAATTTCATCAGTGAGCCTTTGGGGGGACCTCAGTTGGGGCAATGTTTACATATTTTTCATTCTCCCCTTCTCCCAGGATGATGGATTTTCCTTTTAAGTGTTCCTTTTCTCAAACGCAACGTGATTAAAAAAATGTTTTTCTACAACTGCAGTGTAGATACAAGATGATATCCTGCCAGCCCACTAGTAATTAGATTTCAGCCCGAAAAAAATATATAATCTTGTCACTGGCACTGAAAATGAGACCAAAGCATAATAAGAATCTGCTGCTGGCACTCTGGAGGAATCCAGGTCCATGTTGGAAAGCCTTTGTAGTACAACACATCATATGTCTCTACTCCAATTGGTTATTTTCTCTACAAATATGTAAGGTTCACATTTTTTGTTGTTGTTGCAGCCAGAACTTGTTATGAGGAAACAGGCTCGCAAGGAAATTCAGTAATAAGAGTTCAGAATTTATTAACTAGAAACTGTGACTCAGAAGATTCTTATTAATTGGATGGGAGCTGTGGGTATATCTGAATTAATAATCTATTTGTATGTATTTGCATATGAATTCAGAGGCAAATTTTCATTGAAGGCTTTACTAAAGGGAAGTCTGAGAAAGCATGCCTGCATATTATAGGAATATGCCATAAGGTGATACTGAACTGTGCCTGCCAACTCTATTAGCAAACTCCAGGTCTTTCTCCCTTTCTTCCTTTCTTTCTCTCTCTCTCTTCCTTCCTTCCTCCCTCCTTCCCTCCTTCCCTCCCTCCCTCTTTCCTCCCTTCCTTCCTTCCTTGCTTCCTTCCTTCCTCCCTCCCTCCCTCCCTCTCTCCCTCCTTCCCTCTTTCCTCCCTTCCTTCCTTCCTTCCTCTCTGTTTCTTTCTTTCTTTGTCTCCTGCTCTTTCTTTCTTACCAAAAACTATTTATATTATATATTATATAATATATTATATATTATTATATATTATATAATATATTATATATTATTATATATTATATAATATATTATATATTATTATATATTATATAATATATTATATATTATTATATATTATATAATATATTATATATTATTATATATTATATAATATATTATATATTATTATATATTATATAATATATTATATAATATATTATATATTATTATATATATTATATAAATATAATATATTATATATTATTATATATATTATATAAATATAATATATTATATATTATTATATATATTATATAAATATAATATATTATATATTATTATATATATTATATAAATATAATATAATATAAAACTATTTATATAATATATTATATTATTGGAAAAACAAAAGTTTGTTTATAGGGCATGGCAAAGAAGATTTTTAAAAACGATAGCAGCAAATTTTCTCTGACCTAAATGTTATGTTTTAAAATGCAACTTACTGCTACAGGTGTGCAGAAACGTCCTTATAGGCAGCGCCTATTTATATTCTGCTCTGTCTTCTCTTTCAATGACATTTGCTCACACTTTATACTAAGCCACATTTGCCAAAGGAGAAACAGAACAGGGCATCTGAATCTTATGGTCAGGCTAGCTCTGTTATCTTTGCCATCTTACCAAGATAAAGTCTTTTGCAGCAAGTGTCAAAATTGAAGGGGATCAAAAACAATGTGGGAGAATATAATTTCCTCAGTAGTACACCACTTTTATGCTCATCTACTCACAGATATGCAGTCATTATTTAGAGAAAGGCTCTCTACCATTTGAAATAAAAATGGTTTAAATCCAGTACATTATATTGAGAGTACTTTAACAAATCCCAATTCTGGGGCAGAGCCATTAATTTGGTGCAGATACATTGATGATTCTAAGTTTTCTAGAAAATGTATAGGTACTTAGGTACTATAATTCATAGATTTGATGTTTTATCATAATTTTTAAAATGAAATTACTTATATTCACAAAAGATTTTATACACTTATGAGTTGTATAAATACTGCTTAGAAGAATATTGCCAACCACAGATATAATTGTTTGTTAATTCTGTATTATAAAATATGCAATAAAATTTGAGTGCACAAAATTCCCCCAAAATCCCTTCAAGAGAGGCATTTGATAAAGATAAGAAGGAGATTCTTTTGAATTTTAACCTGATTCTTCTTGTCTTATTTAATATTCAGAGCTTATGATCACATCCACATATATTCACATCTCATTTTGTTTACCACTAAGAGAGTGACTTTGTGCCACTGGAATAAGGATATACAATGATCATTATCACAGCAAACGAAAACCTATTATTTTCAGCTCACTTTCCTCAAGATGAGTTACTGCCCTTTGGAGAGATAGCTTTATATAACGAGATCTGGGAATTTTTCTTAACTTAGATAGCAATTAATAAGACTGAAATTCTCCATAATAAAAAAACTCATTTCAGGAGGAAAATAACTATAATTAAATAGAATAACTAAAGAAGCATCTGTCTTTTATTTATTTTTTCTTGCAGGACGTGTAAGGAAAATTTGTGAATATACGTGATAGAAAATTCATATGCCATGTTACTGAAAGTGGGACTATTTTCTGCAACACTTCAGCACATTACTGGTGTATGGGTGTGTGTTTCTATACAGAGAACAGTATTAGAGATTTCTGAAGGTGTTCCGTTAGGAATTAAAAAGTAATTTGAGGGTCAGAGAATATAATACTGCTAATCATATAACTTTTATTAATAAAAATAGTGTGTTAGAGTCTGATCAAGTTGGATTCACCTAATTAAAATTAGTTTAAATCACAGTCCTTTGGTTTTTCACTCCACCAAAAATAATTGTAATGTGAAATGTCAAGCCCTCTCATTTTCATATGCAAGGCAGAATGAGTGCATTTTTAAAAATAGTTTATCGAATGAATGCCTTGCTAGAAACGGATATCTTGACATAACAAAGGCATTGTTCCTTTCCACATCTGTTAACTTTTTCAAATCAAATTGCAATATTTTGAAAAAGGGCCGTTTAAATGTAAATAAGACTCCAGATAACACATGCAGTTATTTGTTACACTTGCTGCTATTGATAATTTAGGAACAATGTTAGAGGGAGGGAGGGAGAGAGGAAGAGAGAGAGGGAGAGGTAGAAAAAGAGCGGACGTGCAGACAAGCAACAATGAGAAGAAAGCAACCACACTGATGAGACTTTTGTCTCATTCTGCCCCATCATTTTTTCAGCAACTTTTGGCTAAAATCACGGCCTACATTTCTATTATCTATACACTGAAAACAATGAAACAATATAATGCTGGCTTAATCTAGCCAAGCAAATTAGAAAAGCTCTGGTTTCTCCCAACCCATTAAAAAAAATCAGCTGAGCACTTTTACACGGTACTAATACAAATAAGGTACAGTCTTCACACTACAGTCCATGGAGAATGAACACACATTTTAAAACGTAGCAGTAGAACAACTGGAGATATGCAAATGCTATTATGGCAGCACACAAAAGGGCAACCAACTCAGATTAGGCCCAATCAAGGACATTTTCAGGATGATAGTGCTGACTTTTGGGAGCTGAACAGGGATTAGTTAGTCTCGGATGGAGGAGTGAAAGGGCTGCAATCTTCCAGGCAGAGGGAACAGTATTGGCAAAGGCACAGAAGAGGGTGGCTGCTGTATAAAGAGGCGTGGCTGTAATGCTGTGTTCTTACTTCCTCCCATTTGACATAATCAGCAAAAGACTGAGGGTGTTTCCCTGCTCACATGGTGCCTTTTACAAGTTGGAAGAAATTGTCCTTTCTAGACATATGCAGAAAAAGTAAACAGACTAGACACCCAGGGACTTCATGGAAAAGAAGAGGGTAAACTGGATTCAAGCCCTCAATCTTCCCCTTCCCTGAGTGCCTTTGTGCAGTGTACAAACTGCACAACCACATATGAGTGGCCTCTTGACACCTCAACTGGAGTCACAATTTTGCTAACAGTACTACAGGTAGGTATAACTGCCCCTCCTCTGTTATTTCTGTAGCCCATGCTCTGCATTCAGGACCCAAAGGCACAAGGAGACTCACAAGTGAATAGAAGGTCCCATGAGCATAGTAAGCAGAGGGGTGATTAGACTTGATTCGAATTCAGACATTCTGAAGCAGACAAAATCTAAATGGGATTTTGGAACTGAAATTTAAGATACAAAAAGGAATTTCTTTGATATCTAGTATGAATCTTGAGGATAAAACTGTAGATGAATTTTCAAAATATTAAGCAATTAGATTCAAACACCTTCCACATTTTCAGTGGCAATTGTGAGATTAGTCCTGGCTTTTGACCCCTCTCTCATCACTTAAGGAGAAGTTGTTAAAAATTTGCCAGCTGGGGAGCGGGGAGGGCTTAAGAAGTCTATGTATCCCATTAAGTTTCATGTTGTCCTATAGAATCCACCAGATGAACTTGCCTGCCTTTTTGAAATGCCTTCTCCATAATGTATGACATGTTGCTGAGGTTACAAACTTATTCTGAAAGTAACTTAGTGTCCGATCAGGCAGGTATCCTCAGCATTTGACTCACTTTTAGCTCAACAGTCTTTTTAATTGCTCTTGATATTCCAATTGCTTACTTAATCTCTTTTAGCCCTTCAAGATTCTGTCTCTTTGTTATTTTTGTTCTCCTCTTGTCCAGATGATAAAAGTCTAGAATCTTAGCAAAGGTATCATCATGAATACCTTCTCCCCTCACTCTCTGACTCTTTTTTTTCCTTTGTTTAAATCATTCCCCAGCAAAGCAGTGATACCTCAAAAATAGTGGTGTTTTGGCCCTAAGTGAATGTTTTCCAAGCTGTAACTAGTGTTCAACTTGTGACAGAATACCAATCCATGTTTTGTTGTATCTTGTTTGGCCATTCCCCTGTTCACTGTTTCTCTTCACCCCCTCGATTCAAGAAGCAAGGCCATCTTGTGCTACATGTTTGAATGAAGGGATTTGACAGGGCAAAAGGCAGAGACATAGGAATCTGCCAGACCCCGAGCTCTGAAAGCCACCAGTTCCACAAATGTAGCTCATCCTTTTTCAAATAGAAAATGGGATGGATTTGGAAAGGCAGATGGAAAAATGATGATGGTAGAGATGTTGGTGGGTCTTAGCATGGAATGAAAGAAGCTGAATGATTCCTGTGCCTCTAAGAATGGAATGAAAGTAGTTGAGAGACTTTCTAGACCTGAAAGGAAAGGTAATTAGGAGGACGGAGAAAAAGGGATAGGTCAGCAGAAACATGCTTGGGTGAAATACTCAGTACTGGCTGGCCCTATCACATGTCCCCTTGCTCAACATATACACACAGACATTATACCCTCCCCTCTACCCTTGCATATAAGGCCTTTGGTACTAGGTAAGCTTAATAGAACTTTGATTCTAGCTGGGAGAGAGGAGAAGAAAACAACTTGAAATGGGCTCAGATTATGTTTCTAAGACCTCACAGTTCCCACATATAGAGAAAGGGGTCTCAAAATAGAAATTAAATTGTGATAAAGACTATAAAGTTATAACTCTTGTCCCACCTGAGCTGTAGTCTGAGATATATTCTTGCTATATAGTTAAAGCAGAGGGTTTATGGCCACATAAGTTTAGGAAATGCTGAGCTAAACAAATTGAACAGATTTCTTAATTACACACTGTAGGACATGCCAGAACTTTTAACATGCAAATGGATGCTTCCCAAACTCATGTGATCACAGAATTCTTTATTCCAGGAACATCTACAATTTGGGAAATGTTGATTTAGTTTTTAAATTCTGGTCTTATTTAGATGATGTGCATAAGCTGATCACACAAATCACTTACAGAATGGTTTTGATTACAAGATTTTTAATGCAACCAGTATCTCCTCCTTACCCTGACCCTTATCTTCCCTCTCTTCTACTTCAACAGGCACATCTCAAACAAAAAATGTTTCCCTCATATTTTAGATCTATCTAAGGTGTTCTTTTGGCTTACATAAATACAATGAAATTATAAATCTTAAATATTCCTGGAAAACCCTAATCTAAATTCTGGCTAGAAAAATATGGTATCAACTGTGGAAAAACTTGAGCTGGAGATAAAATATGCCATTCATTACACTGCATATGCATGTTGCCATCTTCTGAATCAGATTAATACAGATTTTAGACAGGAAATCATACTTTCTGTCAGGTATTTCTCTCCTTGGTGATTTTTACTATTCAAATGGAATTCTCCCAAGAATACAAGCAACCATCCTCACTTGCATTAAAGAAAGATGTGAGGTGCTGAGGGCAAGGATGGGAAAATGCATCTATTTATATCCAATGTCTAGCCTTGTACCCAGCACATGGTAGTTGCTAAACAGATGTTTGTTAAATAAAATGTAGGGTTTTAAATTATAGATGGTTCAGAAACTATTGTCTAACATGTATAGGGAGTATAGTACATAAAGCAAAGCAATATAAGTACATCAGAGATTATGCTCACCTAGATAAGTGGATTTAATAGCCTTGTATGACAGAGCAGCTGTCATTTTCCAGTTGCTAAAAAAAGGTTGCCTGTAGTGAACTGGGGGGTTTAGGCACTTGATGTAAATCTGTCTTGGCAATGATATGTTCTCCTATTATAGTAAGTAATATGCACATGCCTTTCTTTAAACACACACACAGACACACACACACAATTAAAGATATCTAGTTTCTTGATTGCAAATAAATGCTGCTTGTTTCATTTTTTTTTCTTTCATTCCTAATTTACAGATGCTTCCATACTCACAAATAGTACTTGTTGCTGCTAGGAACTGTCATTGGCACTTTGTCCACAGACTGCTAGTTGCTAGCTAAATTCTCTCTGGGTGATAGGCTCCTGCTTCATTAATTTTATGCATCCTGGTTGAAACAGGGGTGATAGCTGCCAAGATGACAGGAAAAGACGGGCAGAAACAGCCCTCTTCAGGGTTAGCCTCAGTGATGATGAGTGAAAGTAGGTCACTTCCTTTGCACCCCTCCCTCCCAGGAAGGGTGGCAGCAGGGACTATTTCCAGTGCTGAAACCAGAGGGAGGTTTTTGTTTTTGGCAATGATGTCAAGGGGGAAGTTTGTATCACTTTTATGCTGAGGCTGAATATATAGAAGAATTATTTCTTCAAAAACATTTCAGAAGGAAATATAATCACACAAATTACATAAAATAATACTCTTGTTTCTGCTGCAAAGCAACCCAGTAAAATCAACAGGAATTAAAATACTGGTTTAGGAGCAATTAGAAGAGGATATAAATCATGATAATAAATTACATTTTGTTTCTATTTTCAAGTATATTTAAAGTAAATTATGAACCACTTGCTGAACTATGAACTATGCATTTAAGCTACATTTTAAGGACAAAAAGCTAATTATGAAAAATAAATGGTGCCTACACAGACAGTAAGATAAATCTTAAAGTGCATGACTTTCCACTTGAGCAATGCTTTCTACAAAGATTGTAGGTTAATACTTAACCTTTAAGATTAAAACATTAATCAGATATTCTCTGAGTGAATGAAGATTTATGAAGCAATTTCTGAAAAATAAATAAATTACAAAAATATAATGCATTTGTTTGACAAGTGCGTTGAGAAACTTTATTTCACCTCATTGAGTGTGGCCTTTTTTCTCCAAAGGATGATGCAAAGGATGATTGTATCTGCGGTTTTATAACTCCCAAGGTAGAAATCATTTTGCAAGACAGTGTAGTATACTCTTACCTCTCACAGCGTGGTCCTGTGTACCCGACAGGGCATCCATCACAGATCAATCCAAGACTCCGGTCTAAATGGCACGTTGGGCTAAAGCTATGTTGATGTTGTTGCGGAAAACAGGGACAAGGAAGAAGGACATACACAAAGTCATTAGCATTTTCTCATTTCTCTCTCTCCACTACTGCTCTGACAAAAGAGTACAGGCTGGTCATTCTCACCCCAGAGACAGAGATTAGGGTCTGGCCAATGGAGGATGAAATGACATTGCTATTTCTGCAGACGTGAATATAGCCCAGTGGAGAGCAGTATCCCTGTGACATGTTATTAACTGACTTTCGACTGCTCTGAGTAGTGATCATCAGTAACAAGTGGAAATGTATAGCTGCTTTTTAGAAATTCCTCCAGGCCTGGCACATATGCAGCCTCACATACTTTCTTCTGTAGCCAAATCCCTCTGAATTTGAAGCAGCCTGGAGAAATTTGTTAGTGATTTTGGAAATCTCAGTATGTGGTAGTGGTGGTGGCAGTGCTTCCTTCTTCAGCTACTGCCATAGTGGGGCGTGCCTGTGTGCAGGCTGCGGCATGTGCTTCCTTGCAGGTATGCCCTCACACTGATGGAATCCTCAGGAAAGCTTTCAGAAGAGATCAAGTGTGCATATTCTACCTAAACTTATCATAAACCTAACCAAACAAAAGCAACCTTGCCATCTCATACCCTCTGGCATGTTTCAAAATTCACTTCTCTCTTTGCACATATTTCTAATTTGGGTCTGAAGCAATAGAGCTGAACACCAGATGAAGAACCAACAGAGAACTCAGGTGCTAGCTTTAGCTTTCAGCAACATGTTTCACTCCAGCCATGCTTCTTTGCCTTGTGAGAGGCACCTCTCATACATGAACCCCTACCCCAAGATTGACACACGGTAATGCGTTCTCGACTGGCTCTCTGAAGGGCCATCAACCATTTTGAATTCTGTAAGGTCTGTTGCGCTACCGTTTTAAAGGGAAATGCCCTCAATTAATCTTTCTCTTATTATGTTTTCCCTAAGTAGATTTGTTTTCTATTATATATGACAGGGCAATTCAATAGAGACTTGCTTGATGGCTAAATGAATTAAAGACATAACAACAAATTAAACATTCCAAGTCCTGATTTGATCCTGCTCCTGACACTTGAATTACTTTGAAATACTTTCTTAACTTTGGTGCAGATCAGATCATGAACACTATTTCTGAATAGTATTTCTCTGGCTTAACTCAGGGTAGTTCTGTAAAGATTTAATAGTTCTTCCTATTTTTGGGATACTAGCAAGGTATTAGGACCAGGTAAGTCTATCATTTTAAACATTTCAACTCAGTGGAAAGTCTAAATGAATCTGCTGGGTCAAGGAGATAAAGGCTGGTCTGGGATGCTTTGAATTTATAAATATTATCTGGATCAAAGATTCCACATTAAGGAGTTCTGGTAGCTGTGATGAACAGCAGACAAGACATACCCAGCGTGTGCACTGCGAGTAAAGAATCTCCTTTTATAAAGCATCCTGTACTTTGCTACGCATGACCCAAAGACAGTTCACTATGGGTGATTTTCTTGACGGGATTGTGATTGCACTGAAGATGCACAGGTTAAAATAAAATAAAAAAAAAGGATTTCCTCTCATCCACATCCGGTGATTTGCTGTTACTGTTTTCAGACATAAAAGTGAGAACTGCATCTCTGTAGCATATATATGTCTTCTTTGAAAATTGGCATTCTGTAACTATCTCATCATCTACTGAGAAACTGACTCCAACCAGAAGCACTGGGTTTCCCACCTCTGTGGGACTACACTGATTGAAAGAAAACCATACCAATTGTTTTTTATAATCCTAAATCAGTTTATCATAACTCTTGTCAATGGTGGTTGACAAGGCTTCTGACATTTTTAAAAATATTTTATTTTATTTTATTTGAGACAGAGTCTTGCTCTGTTGCCCAGACTGGAGTGCAGTGGTGCAATCTTGGCTCACTGAAACCCCTGCCTACTGGGTTCAAGCGATTCTAGTGTCTCAGCCTCCTGAGTAGCTGGGATTGCAGGCAGGTGCTACCAGGCCTGGCCCATTTTTGTATTTTTAGTAGAAATGGGGTCTCACCATATTGGCCGGGCTGGTCTTGAACTCCTGACCTCAAGTGATCCACCTGCCTTGGCCTCCCAAAGTGCTAGGATTACAGGCATGAGCCATTGCACCTGGCCTTGACACTTTAAAGCTATTCATAAAATAGATTTCAGATTCTTAAATACACTCACATGTCAGTTAAAACCAACATAAGTAAAAGGTGCTCACTGACAAAAATCAACACTTTTTCGAGAAAAAAATTAGGCAATAAAAATATGTTAAATTTGACTAGCTCCTTACAGTTCAGAATACTTTTACAATTTTATCACATTTTCACAAAATCCTATGAGCTGGTTAGGGCAGGCACAGTTTTTCTTAACCAAGGTCATATACAAAATTTCCAGGAGAATTTAGTATGGGATCTAGGACTTTAGATTCTTAATGTGATATTCTCTTCTTCCTATAACCAATTGTCATTGAAACCTACTGGTAAGAATTAAGTAAGTTTAAGTTTCTAGTAATATAGATACTCGACATAACGCATCCAAATAAAACTTTCTCATAAAATATATCTGTATTTGTGCTTTGATATTCTTTCAACAACATAAACTGAAGATTCACTCTCTTATTGCTGTAATTGCAGTTACAGCTATGGCAGAAGATGGCATTCAACAACAAAAATAAAATTAGAGTGAGAAATAAACATGCACAATAAAAAACATCTACAGAATTTGCCTTGGCAAATGCAGTCACTTAGCACTAATTTTGGCCAAGACATGAAGCTAATTGTTCCGTGACACAAAGAGGAAATTGTGAGATCATCATTGACCTCAAGTGATTCCAAGATTATGTCATTTAACTCTATTTGGCTAGCTCCACACCAGCAGAAAATGTTCTTCATCCCGGATTATCCAAACCACGCCACAGGAAACACAAGAAAGCCAAGAGCAGCGGGCATTTTCCACAAATAGGGGAGGAGGGGAAGCTGTTATTGGGATAACCAATAAAAAGCTGGACATGAAAATAATCCCTCTTAATGGCTGAATATATACTTTTATTTTTATAATCTACTTATAAGCATGTATATATGTATGCATATATATGTGTACATACATGTGTATACATGTGACTATGTCAACAATCTATATATGTTTATGTATGTGAATGCATACATAGAGAAACAATTAACCTTGTTCTAAAAAGAATTTAATTCTATCTGTCAAAATATGTGCATTAAGAATAAAGCAAGGTTAAAGAGAAAAAAATACTAAAAAAAAGATAAACTTAAGGGTGTATTTAGAATTCAAAATGCATGTTATAACATATGTTCATTTGATAAGGGTGGATCAACATTTGGCTTTGAGGTTTTTCACAGCTAATGCAAAAGGGAACAATCAACAGGTAAATGATTCAGAGCAGCCAGAAGCCAAAAGCAAAACAATTGCTCAATAGAAGCTCAACAATTCCTGATTATCAGACATTAGGGAAACTTCTTCTGTGGGTCCTTCTGTGGGTCCTGAAATTCAGTTCTAACGTTAAATGCTCCCACAGAGAGTTAATCCAATACTCTAAAATAAAATTAAACACATATTAAGTCAATGTGTGAGAATATTTTGTGTGTCTTTAACTGTCATGCATTTGAAATAAAATATAATGAATTGCTTCTTGGGATTGTATGTGATATAAAACAAGCACTCCTTTAATCATGGGTATAAAATTAAAACTTCCATCATTAGGGTTAGAAAATCAGGGCATGTTCTGTATTTGCATACACAACAGGGGATCAGGACTCCTTTCAACTAATTATTATCTTGAACAGTTGGGTAGGATAAGAGAAACCATTTTGAGTGGCTACACAATGTCAGTGGAGAAGCTGGAGATGAGGGTAATGAGAATATTCACACATAACTGAAAAGGGGCAGGGACTGAGAGGAAGAGGAGAAAAAGAAAAAATTCATTTACTTCATGATTTTGGTGTTAGCGTCATAAATTTCTGAAGTTTCTAAGTATTTTCTTCTTCAGTTCAATGATCTCTCCTACTTATTCTCAGGAGAATCATTAAGCAAACACTTATTTCTTTAATTACCTTTAAGTACTATGAAATCTGATTTAATCTCCACAATTGCATTTCTTAATTAGACTTGATTTATTTTCTAAGTATGTCTTTGAACGATATATTTCTCTA
The DNA here is from genome assembly GCF_000001405.40 of Homo sapiens. Lineage (NCBI taxonomy): Eukaryota > Metazoa > Chordata > Mammalia > Primates > Hominidae > Homo > Homo sapiens. The sequence goes on along the minus strand of NC_000006.12, from coordinate 129,275,871 downwards.
AACCTGTTTCCCATTCTGCAAAATGGAATAATATGATTGATTTGATAAACCCTTTTATACTGAAAAAGTATGAAAGCATATTGCCATAATAAATTATAGATACGACTTATTAATTTTTTAAAAAACTTTGCCTTTTTTTTTTTTTTTACAAATTTTTAAACAAAATAAGATATGTTGATTTAACGTGAAAGGTATTTAGTTAATAGTTAAAGAATTAAATCTGCAGTTTTCTCATCCTGCTCTAGTCCCTTATATTAACATAGCTGTTAATATAACTGTAACTATGTAGCATAATTAACATAACTCTTGCCAAACAGTGAAGATTTACTGATTTTTACAGTGAACATTTACAGTTTGTCTGACATTAAATTCTATTGATTTTTTTTTGCTTCTTTTCAATGTTTCTGTAATTGTTTCTATTACTGTAGCCCCATTGGAAGAAGCACAGAGAGGTGAGTCAAAATATATGAGTTCCAATATTGGTTCTGCCACAAGCAAGCTGTATAATCACTATCAAGGCACTTAATTTCTCTGAACTTTAGTTTTTTCCTTTGGCATATGGAACCAGGAAGACCCATCATAATCTCCCATGTGCACATAAAACAATGTGTAGGAAAGAGCACTAAAACATCTAGAGCATTCTCAATTTTCTAGAGAATATGGCTGAATTGATTGTTTCCTTAAATTTACCTATTGTCTTGGAATACATTTCTCTATATTAATTTTAACAACGTGCATTCAATATGATCTCTTGAGTGAGCCCAAAGGTCAACTCAAATTTGAGTTTCATTCTTTCAAAAACTTAAATTTCAGCATTCCTGACCCACACAAACCAGTAGTATTTACAGTGATATTAGTAGATAGAACTTATTGAGGTCCTATCTCTGTCCAGCCTTGTGCCAATAATATATTTTATTATATAACTGATGAAAATCTATAACAACTTCAATAATATTATATATTCAAACACATCCTAAGTATTCAAAGGCAGAGATTCACATGTCTCTTTCATATTTTATTTAACCTATAAGCTATGTGATGCCAGAAATTAAAGAATATAAACATTCGAAATAGTTACATTGTTATTTGCTTCTCTCCAGATAACTTTTACTGCCTAGTTACAACCTATAGCTAGAATATATACATCAACAAGATGAGAAGGCCAAGCATAGTGATCACCATAAATAGTTGATGAAGTTGATATATATGTATAATTTAAATATTATATGCTTCTCTGTATTCATACATCATAATAATTATACCAATCTATCTCTATCTTCTTACATATTTGATTTATTTAGCAATATTATCTAAGAAATTTGGAGCCAAAATGCTTGTGATCTATAAGATTTATGACCAGGGATTAAATAGATAAATCACCAAGGTAAAACTATCACTAAGCTTTAGACTTCCCATGAAGGTTGCGTCAACCTTTAGCTCCCTTTTTTTTTTTCTCTGAATAACCTGTGGAAATTAAAATCTCGTCTTCAGGATTGTATGCAAATATTCAATTCATATCTCAGAGTTTCTAGCTCACATTATAACAGTAATGTTTTTTATAAAATATTTTTAAAAAGGATAGTTTCCCTAGGTCATTAAGTGTCTTGTTTAGTGATTTTTTTTTTAAACATTTCAGGTTGTTAGATGAAAATGGATTTTTCTCATCACAGTTGTGCAACTAAACCATGATAATTTTCTAGTTGTTTTAAATGTAAAATTGTTTTAAATGTAAAATTGTTTTAAATGTAAAAGACATTATAACCCTCTCACAAAACTTCTAGGATTTATAAACTAAGTGAATTATCACTGCCCTCTCTTTCTACTTGTTAAAATACCACATTGAAAGCTGGAATTTAAAATAAATTGCTATTCTAGTCCCAATTCTACTGCTAGAAGTAAAATTATTATTTAGTAATTTGCTAATTTTAATATTTTATATTAATATTTGATAATTTGGTAATTATTAATATTTACTAATAATTATTAATTGCTTACTCTAAGTGAAAACATTTTGAAAATGAAAGAATCATTAAATACTTGGTGTTACTGGTATTGTTATCACTGTGTTATATGCATTTTTAAAAATCAGGATCAACGTAATTATACCAAATTAGAATATACATCTTTTAGGAAATAATATTATTGGACACTGGAAACCCAATCCCTTTGGCACTGATGGATTGTGTTTTAATGCTTGCAGACTTTCTTTCTTTTTCAGGAACAACAATTAGAACCCATTATCCAAGTAAATGCACAACAAATAAAGAGACAACAATGGGTCATGAATGCCTATAATTATCCAAGCAAAATTATCTCCCTAATGTTTCCTCTGCATTTATAGTAATGTTGGTCAGACTTGAGGGTAAATCCATAGGGTTTGCATACTCAATCAATTATATAATTCTAATATGTATTCAGCTGGAATTCACATGATGCAATGGGCAGCCAGCTCTGCTGGATTGATAGTGGTGCTAATGCTCATGACATCTTGGCTGAGAAGGAGATGCAATACGAGTGGCCAGATGCAATACTTCTGCTTTCCTCAAATGCAAGTTAGTCGTGAACAATGAGTTTCATGTAAATGAAGATGGTTAAGAGAATGCCATTCAGCCATGGCAAACAAGTAGGTCTTCCATTGGGTGATCTAACCCTTCGCATATATACCAAAGTGCAGGTTTTGTGTCATGTTATGACTATCATAGGCTTGAGTAGCCTTTAATTATGAAGGAATATATTTCATTTGTTCTCCTATAGTAATTATTTTCCAACAGGTTTCTCTCTTGCCTTCTTCCTCTTCTCTAACATCCTTGGTTGTTAAAGAATCTTCAGTTTTGAGCCCATTCAGGCTCATGCCTTAGGCCCTGGAAATGTTCTGATCACTAACATACATTAACCAGTGGTCCCCAAAATTTTTGGCACCAGGTACTTCTTTTGTTGGAGACAATTTTTCCACAGATGCAGGGGAGGAGTTTGGGATAAAACTGTTCCACGTCAGATCATCAGGCATCAGTTAGACTCTCATAAGGAGCATACAAGCTAGATCCCTCGCAGGTGCAGTTCGCAATAGGGTTTGAGCTTCTATGAGAATCTAATGCCTGCCTGATCTGTTAGGAGGCTGAGCTCAGGTGGTAATGCCAACCACTCACTTCCTGCTAGGCAGCCCGGTTCCTAACAGGCTATAGATGGTTGAGGACCCCTGCATTAAACCAATGTCTTATTTTCTCAAAACCTTGCTAGATAAATTGACTTATCCAATGAATTAATTACTGCTTTTAGTGTTATCACTTAAAATGCAGTGTGTATTTTTTTTTAAAGAAGTCTTCATTGTAGACCGTAGAGATTTGGAAAGCACATGGATTTTAAAACTAAAATTCCAACTCTGATACTTTAATACTTTATGACTCTGAGCAGGTTAATAACAATCAGCTCTTAGATTGGGTTCATCATATCCAGTCACAGTTTAGGTGGTTTACACATTTTAATTATGTCTTTCCCACATCAACCCTATGAGAGTCCTATTATAACTAATGATGACAAAATTGAGGCACAGAGAGTTTCAGTGACTTGCCTAAAGTGGCACAGCTGGAAAGTATGGAACCCAGCATTTAAACCAAAGAGTCTGGCTCCAGAATTGGCATCATAATGCCATTTTTCTACTAATGGCCTTCATTTCTTAATCTATACAATGAGGATAATAATATCTACCTTACTGAGTTATAGTTGAAGGTGAAATAATACCAAATACAGTGTTTGGCCTAGAATATAGTAGTCTGCTTTTATTAAATAGTAGTGCTTTCTCTTCTTTTCCAAACAATGAGTAAGGTAAAAAATTCTGAGTAAAGAAGGTCATTGGGAGGATAAGCATTTCATGTGGATTAACAGTAGGAAGCACAGTTTCAAGGAGAACATTTAAACTTAATGTTAGAATTATCTCAAAGTCTTTAGCTTATAGTATTCATTGAATCTAACAAAAGACCATTTTAATTAGGCGCATTCTGGGTAAGAGTTTGAAGTATGACCTACTTGATCACATCTACACATTAAAAGACTATAGCTGACAGATTTCCCTTAAAGATCATTGAAAATTTTTGCTCTGTCAGTGTTGTCACAGTGCCTAGAGATAGCTGGAAAGTGTACAATACGATATGAACCTTATTAAGCACTAAGCTCACCTTTAAGAGAGTTCTTCAGAAAATAATTTCCTTTTATTTAAAAGTATAGTTATTTATAATCACTTTTGAGTAAAAATTGTTGATTTTTATTCAACACAGCCTGTAGTCCAGCTGAGGCAGGAGAATGGCTTGAACCCGGGAGGCAGAGCTTGCAGTGAGCCAAGATTGCACCACTGCACTCTAGCCTGGGCAACAGAGCGAGACTCTGTCTCAAAAAAAAAAAAAAAAAAAAAAAGTATCCCAATTTAAAAACAAAACAACATTTTTGGTTGGGGTGTGCTTAGCTGTTTACTGAGAGAGGCTGCCCTGAGGGAATGTGAATTCAAGCAGCTGGATATAGCATTCCTCTAAAAGGTAAGGAAATGAGGAAGTCAAGTGTTCTTTCTTGTTGTTGTTTGTTTTTTTAAATCTGCTCTAAGAGGTGGTTGTTCTAGGTGAACAACGAATTTTTCTAAAAAGAAGGGATAGAATGGGTACTTAAAAGTCAGTTAAATCAGTCCCTTCATTTTACTTTTTGAGAGGTTTACGACTTGCCCAAGATTCACAAAAAAATAGTGTATGGGTAGAACCCAAATTAGCTGTATTTATATCCTTTTATTAAGGTATGAAGATGGGTATGTGTCTGTGTGTAGGTGTGTACATGCATGCACATGTATGTGTTTGTATAAAATATTTATGTTCTTTGGAATTGGTGTAGAAATTCTATTTGAGTTCTACTCTTAGAAATTAAATCACCAAAACTAGAGCTAAAAAAATTACAAATTCTTAGAAATCCTCATAGTTTTAAATATCTTAGGTTTGAAAAAATTCATATAATTTTCCTGAAAAAATTCATGTCTGTGTTTATTATTTATTTACATGGGATAAAAGGAAGTGTATATTTGCTATGAAAAGTGTACTTGCAGAAATGGATGCTGAGCTTATTCATGGGGTAAGTTTGTTACTTACTTATTGGATGGGATATTGAGTGGACAGGCACAGGGTTGACAGTCTTCAGAGGTTCCTTTAGTAGGCTCGCCATAGAAACCAGGAAGACATTTATCACAATATGGGCCACCTGTGTGATCCTTACAGTTCTGAGAAAGAAATGAGCATCAGAGTTTATTATTTTGGTGTCAGGGATCAACATGTTGCCAAAAATAGGTCTACGAAGTCATTAGTCTGCTCCCTGCCAGCAAGAATAATTTTTCCATGTTAAATGGTCAATTTTACAGCAGAGAAATAGCATTGAAAGTTAATTTAATATCTAGCTTATAAACAACACAGTAGTTTCAGCATATGCATACTTACAAAAAGATGATTGAAATTCATTTTAATGTTTTTCATTATGCAAATCTTACTTCATTTTTTCTTTATTTTCCTTAAGAAAATACATGATATTGCGTGTGTGTGTGTGTGTGTGTGTGTGTGTGTGTGTGTGTGTGTGTGTGTGTAGTCATAGAGCACTAATAACATATGTTTAATGGAAATTGTAGCTGATTCTAGGTAAAAATCAATTGTTCAGCTTGAAATTGCTGATTTAATGGGAACTGTGGCTAATCATAGAAATCCTCCGGGGCTATGGCCTCTTAGCTCAGACATGAATTTTGGCCTCAGTGGACTCTGATGGTTTGGACAATGCACTACTGTATTACATCTGTGAGAAGCTTGCTTGACTCATAATTAAACATGGAGAAAATTGAAAAATTTTAAACATCACGTGCCAATTTCATCAACTAAATGTGGATATGTATTTCTGTAGTAACTGGTGATATTTGAAAACAGGCTTTTCTCTAAGTTATTTAAAATTCTTTCTCAAATTTATTTTTAACAAAACTTTTTAAAAGATAGCATTAAGGTCAGCTTCACTATGAATAGTTGCCTTAATAATGCAGTATATTGGGATTTAATGTGCAAAACATGGATCCATTTGAAGAAAGATTTTTTCCCCGATTTGATTTTTGTTTTACTTCCTTTCAATTTTTAAGTTTAGCTAAACTAAGCTATTACTGAAGAATTGCTTGTTTTTTTGTAAAATTATTTGCATGTTATCTCACTGATACAACTAAAATTATGTCTTCAAATACTTAAGGGTTTTAAAAAATTGAATCAAAAATTAATTTTGCCTTAAACATGTTGAAAATGGTATTTCTAACATTCAACTGAAAATCTTGCATAATTGAGAGGGTTTTTTATTTCCAATTATTGATTTAAAAGACAAATAACATGTAGTTCTTACATTTTCTAATGTCACGTTTCATCAAATAAAAATCATCTTAAAACTCAAGTATTTTTGTAGTGGAAACCAGAAAACTGCATCAGACAACCTATATAATGGAAATAAAAAAAAAAAAAAGATGGAAGCTTCACTCTGATGGATTGGTTATTTTTACAGGTGTCCTGTTACGAAAGTGCTTTACAAAATTTTGCTCACATTACATACCACAAGAACTATGAGAAGAAGCAAGCATGAAATCTTCCCATGTGACATTGAATACTTCCTGGCTTACTTCAAATGGACTTTGAGTTAAAATGTCTTTTAAATATAGACCTACACTATTGCAGAAGTTTAGATTTTGTTCTGGTGCCAAAAATATTTTTCAGATAATTTATAATCAAATTTTAAAGCAAGTTAAGCTTTATAAATTTATAAATTTATTTTTCATGCTAAAAACCATGCTACTTAATGCTGGGTTAAAACCATGAAAAATAAACAAGAAGCTAAAATGCAGGGTCAGCTGAACAGTAAGAATGCCCTTGATGAGCAACATTCAAATATTCTCCTCTTTGTGTATTGTATCAGAACCCATATACTCAAAATGGAATATCAGCACTTAGTTATCAATACAATTTTGGAGAAAGGGCACTTGAAAGTCAGTATATCCTACATGATCACCTATTTACTAGCTATGATGGAAAATTCAGGAAACACCAGATTCTGTCTTTATCATCAAGATGTCCACTGTTTCCTCAAGATCGCTCTGTTATTTGAAGGAGACCTCCTATCTCCCTGTTCATGAAACAAAATCAGTAAACTAGGCATCATTAGTAGGGTCTGTTCTCTCCCTTCCTTCTCTCAAAATTATGCTGAATGACACTGTTTTATTAGTTAAAAAAGGCTTCTAGTTTTAGAAATATCACATCAACAAATGGACTAATTTGCTTTCATCCTAATGAATTCAGCATGAAAATTTGATTTGATTTTATCCTAATGAATTCATGAAATATGACTATATGGAACATCATGAGTTTGGTATTATGACATACTTATTTTTGTCTTCTTAGGGTAAGTAAAACAATTCCATGTCAGTTTTGGGCTGAGTATTATTTCCTACTGCATGTTAGTGAAGTGTTTAAAGGTAACCCAATATTTTTCCCAAAGTACATTTTAAAAGACTTATGGCATAATTAAAATGAAAATCACTTAGTCTTTCTATTCATAAAAATGTCATTTCAAAAATCCACTGATCCACAAATTAAGGCTCTCATGCTTCATAATGCAATGCAATTAAACAAAATCTTATATAGAGAAAAGGGAAAGAGCATCAACAAACCTAAATGCCAAATTACACTGAAACAAAAGCCCTGAATTTTCATTTTGGATTTTTCCCAGAAGCTTTTAAGTAGAAGAGAAATGGGGGAAAATGAGCAAGAGAAAGATAGAACATTAAGAATTACAGGTAACAGAATCCGCCTTAAATTCTTCAGGGAAATGAGAGTATAATATCCTCCTTAATTGGCACCATTTTAAATTGTGTTTCTGCAAGACTAATGAAAGGAGAAGTGTTGTTTCAAGCTTCATGCCATGTCAGACAATATAAAACTAATGTGCCCTTGAGTTAATCAGAATGGTCTATTCAGTGTAATTCTCCAATCCTAAGGTTTCTTAGCAGGATGGAAAGTGCTTTGCACTTTGTAAAGCCTATTTTCTGGTTAAAGCTTAGACTTAATTGCAAAGGAGAAGCAGCTCTGGTGAATATGTATTACATATTGTTTTTATTTTTAATCTACAAATGACACTATGCATTTAGTTAAATTATGAACATTTTAAATAAAAATATGTAGTATGTTTTCATTTTCAACATGAAGAAAACTTAATTATGTTTACTATAAAGGTTATATTTTACACTTTTCATATTATGGGGATATAAATTATTTTCTATTTTAAAAGTACACTGTACTTTTCATAGATTTATGGAAGAAAGTGAAACCATATATATTCATGGTAGTTATACTTCCAATCAGAAGTTATGCCTTATAAAAATATATCTGATTCTAATTTAATTCTTGATTTAATATGAATAAACACTTCCTCATATTCATTAGGGAGATCACATATGAAAGAGCATTCTCAGTTCCAATTCAGTTCAATACAAAGATCTTTGTCAAAGCACTTCTTGACTCAAGTGTTTAAGGTCCCCAGGGTAGTAGCTGAATTGTAGCATCTGTCGAGGTGATTTCAGCCTTGTCAATCAGCATCCCCAAAGAAGAGAGCACTTACCAGGCATTCTCCAGTGACGTCATCACAGGACTCCGCATGACCAAAGCACTGACATGGCTCACAGATGCCACCAAAAATAGTGCCGTTAACTCGCCTGTGCCTAGGCCAACAAGACTGAGAGAAAGATAAGGCTTTAGTCAGTCTTGGAGATTAAAACAAAAAGGTGTTTTTGTTTGTTTGTGTTTGTTTTCTGATAACAGAAAATAACAGGTAGGAAACTCATCAAATGTGCTTGTCAAAGCATTGCCATTATTGAAACATTGCAACAGAGCTATTCCTCCTGACACTGGGGCTTTGCACTGACCTTAGTGTTATTGGCAGGTATGAGATTAGAGGAAGCATTAGCTTGGTGTTTCTTCTGAAATGGTAAAATAAAGCAGAGATATAAAGAATTGAAATGTGACAGTCTCAAAGAAAAAAGCACAGACAGGAAAGTAGAAGAAAAAGTACTGTAAAAAAGGCAGCTGATATAAAAGGACTCATCATATAGTCTTAGCCTAAGAGAGTACCCGATGTCATCCCAAGCAATTTTGATTCTCTGGAATGTGTTCACTTGCCCATATACTAATTGCCCTTAACGTCATCATTTCCAGAAAATCTTTGACATGATTTGGAAGAAAGGCAGCACCCACACTTATATTTGACCACATACACAGCTAATTTCTACACATATATAATTCATGTATTTCATGCTAAATTTCCTCCATCCTATTATGCTTTCTCAAATTTACACAAAAAGTTTATGATTTATTTCTCACATTCTTGATAGCTTATTTTATGGCATTCTTCTGTAACTTTGCTTGTATTTTTCATTCCTTGTTTAAAATGTGAAACACTTTATTATATAAAAACTGAATTCTGATTAAAACAGGGTATTTTAGTCTTAGATTCCCTGTGTCAGTGCCTGCTCTAAGTTCCCCATCATCCTTAATTAAGTTTTCCATCTGTGGGGATTACTACAAAATGGATGAGATGCAAAATAAGCATGAGGCAAATACTGCTGCCCTCTAAGAGCTTATGATCACCCTCCAGTGAAATTGCATCTTGTGGGTTATTTACTATATTTCTGGATGGTCGAGTACAACATCATATATCATGAAAAGCCCTTCTTTTCCAGTTGAAAAAGAAAACAGAAGAGAAACCACTGAAGTAATAAAGGATATAGAATTGTGTTATGCTCCGTGGAAATGTTCCTTCTGCCTCAGGATATGAGGACTCTCAAATTTGAACATCAATAATGAACACATAAAAAAATTTATGTACTGATACTTTATATCTGAAAATAAAATAAAATGAACTTTCCCCTTAATTTGAACAGTACCAAAAAAAGTGTCAAATTTGTTTTCAAAATTATTATTATACTTTAAGTTCTGGGATACATGTGCAGAACGTGCAGGTTTGTTACATAGGTATACACGTGCCATGGTGGTTTCCTGAACCCATCAACCCATCATCTACATTAGATATTTCTCCTAATGCTATCCTTCCCCTAGCCCCCCACCCTCCGACAGGCCCCAGTGTATAATGTTCCCCTCCCTGTGTCCATGTGTTCTCATTTTTCAACCCCCACAACCAACCCAAAATTGTCAAATTTCTATCCTGTTCCGTTTCCATTTCTCCCAATTAAATCCCTTCCCATTTCTCCCCATTACATTTTTTGCCTCCCTAGATTCATTATAGAAGTGATTTCCTTCTGTAATATACATTTTTAAAAGCTGGTGAAGCTACATATTCATAAGGGGGTAGAAATTAAGGATGTTGAGAAAAGGGAGAGAACTAATCTACTGTTTTCAGACAGATATTCATGAAGTTTTCCTTAATAAGTTTTTTTGTTTTGTTTTAATACTCTGCAAATGCAGTACTCATACCACGTCTTCTTTCTTCAAACTTCCCAACTCCTTACACCTCTCTTTTAGCCAGTGATTTTAACTTATTACTCACAGAAAAAAATTAAAGCTGCCTTTGCACTAACAAGTCCAGAGATCTAAGCATATATCTCCAAACCTTGTTGCCATATTCCCATTCCAAACAAGTGATGTGGGGAATGTGGGGTCCTTCCTCCTAAAGAAATATTACTCCACTTGTCATCTGATTCCAGCATCTGTTATCTTCTCAATATTCACTCTCTCTGATGGATTAGTAATAACTTTCCCTTCTACTGGGTCATTACTATCAGCACAAAAAAATATGATCTAGTGTCTCCATCAAAAATAAACAAAACACAAATGACAAAACTGTCCTCTTAGCCTCATATAACTTTTCTAGTCATCTATGTTTTTCTTTTCAGTAACACTACTCTTAACAAGTATTATATTCCTCACCTCTTTTTCACACTTCATTCCATTCTAATCTGTTTTGTGTCACCACCTCTCAATTAAAACTGCTCTTGTCCTTGTCACCAAATTCCATGCAGCCAAATTCGATGGACAATTCTGCAATTGCATTTTATCCAACCTTTCATCAGCCTTGGGCCTAGCTGACTCCTTTTCCTCCCACAATTTCTTTTCTCAACTTCATGACATCACACTTCCCAAATTTCTAGCATATTTCTTTGCTGTCTCCTCTGCTTTGACCCTGCTTCTTAACGTCAGGAGCTCCTCAGGGCTTGGGCTGGGCTATTTTTCTCTCTTTTTTAAATCAATTGCACTTTCTCCTGGGTAATTTTATTCAGTTCCATAGTTTATGACGCCTTCCAAAAACATATCTCTAGACCAGACAGACATGCTGAATTTAAGACCTGAATATTATAAATACACATTGACATTTACACTTCACAGCGTTTTCAAATCGAAAATTTCTAAACTGGACTATGGATTCCATGCCCCCACCCCCCCACACACACCAACTATTCCTCAGCTCAGTAAATGACACCACAACCAACTGATCAATCATTCAAACTGGTCATCTATGACTCATTCTTAAACTCTTTATTTCTTTAATCTCTCCCCTGACATACAGTCTCGAATCAGTAAGTCCTATTTGTTCTACTATCAAAATATATATAGAATATGCTAACTCTTTTTATATTCCCTGCCATGATCCTAACAGCAACTACTGTCATTGCTGTGTTCCACTGCAACTACATATTAACCCTTCTCCTTCCTATTATTCATGCCCTCCTAAGACACATTCTTCCTACTGTAGCCATAATGCCTTCTTCAAAAAAATGTAACTCAGGCTGGGTGCGTTGGCCCATGCCTGTAACCCCAGAACTTTGGGAGGCTGAGGTGGGAGGATTGCTTGAGCTCAGGAGTTCGAGATCAGCCTGTGCAACATATTGAGATCTTGTCTCTATTAAAACAAACAAAAAAAAATAGCTGGGCATGGTGGTATACACCTGTAGTCCCAGCTACTCAGGAGGCTGAGGCAGGAGGATCACTTGAGCTCAGGAGTTTGAGGCTGCAGCAAGCTATGACAGCATCACTGCACTCCAGCCTAGGTGACAGAGCAAGACCCTGTCTCAAACAACAAAAAACACCCCAAAACCCAAAAATGTAAATCAGATTACACTACTCCACTACTCTGCTGAAAGGCTTGTAATGATGTTCCATGCCATGAGAATAAAATGCTCATTTCTTATCATATGTGCAAATCTCCTCATGGCCTTGCTTTTCCAATCACTTCTTGTCCCACTTTTCCCCTTGCTTACAAGGCTCCAGCCACGCTCCTTCTTTCCAGTCCTTACAGACTCCACGATCTATGCTGCTTCCTTAGCAGCTGGTTTTACATCGTTGTCCCTCTCATTCTTCAACACTCGATTTAGCTGTCACCACCTCAGGAAGCCTTTCCTGACAAACTTTTACAAAGTAGACTTTCTAACCTTCATACAACCACTTGCAGTAACTTTATCATAGAACCCTGTTTATTTCACCCTGTTTATTTCCTTCATAGAATTTGTCACGTTTATTTCTATTTGCTTTCTGGCATATCGTTAATGCCACCACTCAGTGCAACGTCCTTGGGGACAGGGACAATATCTGTATTGTTAATGGCACTATTTTCCCTGTGTAGGGTCTTGTTTGTCTCAAAATACACGCTCATCAAATACTAGTCAGCTAAATGAAAGTACGAACAAACAAACAATTCTATGAGGTGGTTAATATTATTTTCATTTCATGGAAGAAGAAACTGAGATTGCATAACACTCTTTTTAATAGTATATCCCCTGTCTCATCTGTCAAGTGAAATCTATGATGACAGCACTATGAAAGTAAGAAAATTTTTGAAAGATTTAACTGCAGAACACTTCACAAGAAGTCAAGTAGAAATGAGAAAAAAGATCCTGAATCAACACTATGGCCCCAAATGAAGTAAAAGAGAATGTCTACAATGGAGTCATTTGATCCTTTTTTGGCCAGAGGTTCTCAGCAAGCTGGAATTAAGACATTAATGGTCTTTGGCGTTTACTCAGCTTTTAAGGGATCCCAGGATATTAGTGATAACAAGGCTAGAATGACTGGCCTTACAAACTACACTTAATTGAAAAGCAAATGAAATAATGAAAGGATAGGACTGAATAATAGTGAATTTAGGGACAGAAAGTTTTGATAAGGAAAAAATGAATTTTAGAGAGTAGAAGAAATGAAGAAGTCAGAGAGAAAATCCAAAGTTCCAAAATTCATTGTCTCTTGATTCAATTAAGTTCTTTTATGGATTACAAAGTAATTTTATTTATCAAACAATTATTGTGTGACAGATACAGGAAGCTTTTATTATCTCTCCTTTTTTTTTCACACTCAAATGCTTCTATCTATCTGTTACCATTATTTAGCATCCAATTTAAGATTTCTCCACTCCAGGACACTTTGCATCTCTCTCCACTGCAGTAGCTCATCCCTTTGAATGATTATTGCATGTATGTTCTGTAGCACATACCTCTCCCTTAATTATACAGTGCTGAGATCCCATTTTTCATAGATATTTATTGTCTCCCTAAACAGATAGGACAGGGATTATGTTGTATGTACTTATTAATAATTTATACAGGTAAATTTACAGAATTTATCAAACATATCTAGAATGTATTGAAAATATTTTTGAAGGAGAGAAGGAAGAGACTAAAAGCATAGCCAATTAAGCAATTGTAATATTCAAGTAATTTTATATTCAGTGGGCACTTAGAATTTGTATAAAAGATAATGCAAAGGATGAGAACAAAGTATGTGGAAACAAGCCTTAAAACAAGAGTAGAATTAAGTTATTTATTATGCCAATTGAGAGAGGATCTTAAAAGTTCAAATAGTTTGGAATCAAGAGCAAAAGGCTCTTGTTTCATCAAATACATTGTGTATTTTATATGTAAAATCAAATTTGGGTTGACATAGCTAATTGATATCCATAATTATTTTTCTCTCATCTACATGAATTTTGGAAAAGCAAGTACTTCTATAAGTTATATCTAGTTTTATTTCTAGAAAGGTGAATCTGAGCTCAGTTAAAGGAAACACAGCTGTCATGAATATGACTATAATGCGTATCTCTAGATGTATGCATTATTTTAAAAGTACGAGAGAACTGACAAAGCAATGCCTAGAGTATTTCTATAAATGGCATAATGAGGTAGTGTTCTGAAGTGGAACATCTCAGTACACTCAAATGATTCCTTAAAGGCACCATTTTAAAGAAACTAAGCTCCTATTTATCTGCTAGCCATGCGCTCTGTCAAGGAAATAGTGTTCACATTTTTTGACCAGGTTTCAAGTAAAACCAGTTTCACACCAGTTTTCTGTGTAAAAGAAAATACACAGAAGCAAATAAAAATTGTTACCTTAGGATGACACACTGCGGTATTAAGTAAGAACCATTAATCTTATTATAAATCTAGGATATTGAGACAACAATAAATATCTCAAACATTAGGTGCTAAACAAATCAAAGACCTGTAGGCAGTTTTCTATATCAAGGTATTTTTTCCATATATTATATTCTTGACATTCTGAAGATTATATGCTTCAGATGATTGTGATTTGGTTGTATTCTTAGAAATGAAGTAGAGGAAAAGTGTGATACAGAATTAAAAAATGAGAGAAAAGTAAAAAAAAAATAGAGTGCTAAATTTTGGATAACATTATGATGAAAATGAAGAGAAAATATTTTGAAGTGCTATTCTGCTACCATCCAGCATACAATAGATCAAATATGTAGCAAAGACAGAAACATCAGATTTTCAGTTATAGGCAAAATATCTCAGAGAGAAAGAGTTACAAAATGAAATTATGTGGTTAATACTCTAATTGAAAGCCACAGCTTTTGGTAGATATTCAAGTTTTGTTTTTAAGTGATACACATTATTTGTGTAATTATTGATAGAAAAAAAACAGCTCTTATTAGAATAGGTTATTGAAAGCAATGTTGAGGGAACTTTGAAAGCACTAAGGATACATTCTTGCAAGCTTACTTCACAAGAGGAGCCAGTATACCCTGGTGGGCACTGACACACTTCTACAGCTGCTGCAATGCTTCCATCAGTAGGATAGGAGACAGCGGATTCAAGGTTAACAGAGCTCAACCTATGGCAGAGGAAAAAAGAGATGGTGAATAAGTAAAGTTCTTAGGTATTATACAGCTGTAGGAATCGTACAGCAACAATGACATAAATATAAGCCAATTATGCATGCTGAGAAAGGAAGCTGATGAATACCATAACCAAAAGCTCTGGTCCTTTGTCATATTAGGTCAAGTTGGCTCAGTCTAAAGTGCTCACAATCACCACCACCTCCAAATGCTGAAAAGATATGAGAATGTTCTTCCTCGTCTCTTGGCTCTTGGCTATGTGTTTTGATTTTCATTTTTTGGAGACAGACATTTTTAAAATCATATAGTTAAAGGGTCTTTTAAAAAAGAAAACATTCCAATGACTGCTTGATTTCTTTTAGTGCTTAAACAAGGAAAGCAGAAGTAGGCAATATTAATATTCCATCTTAGCTTTTAAATTGAAATAAAAGATGGAAACAATTTTGTTTTCTTTTTCTTAGAGATAAATCTGCTTGTTTGTAGTTGGTATAAGCTAAACTTTCTCAAAGTGCTCAGTTGACTGACTTAGAATGATCTCTGGAATTTGTTTTTGGCCTAAATTAAATCCATTGTTCTCTGTATCTATGGCCTTCATTTTATTGGTACTTTTGTACAATCTGGTGATTTTAGCAGAGTGATTTGGCATAACTCATTATTTTAGAGAAAAGCTGGTTTGGCCAAATGGAAAATTGGAAAAAAATGCTGTCACACACATATTTCTTTTCTTACTATGCATTCACATTTTAAATAAATGTTATTGGTATCTTACTTGCTTTTCCTATTTTTGTGTAAAAGGACATCTTAAAAGCTTAATTATTAAGAATACAGTTTTGTGAGTCAAATAGACCAAGATTTATATCCTGTCTCTGATATTTACCAGCCTTGTGGCCTAGAAGAAAATAACTTATTCTTTCTAGGCCTCAATTTTTTCTTCTATACAATGGAGATAATATAATAGTCCATACACCATGAGCTTGATTTAAAAGGAAATGAATATAAACTTCTTGGTATAATATGTAACACACAGTAGGTTATTATGAAATACTAGACATTTTATTAACCTATTTTCATTGACTGTTGAAACCAAATAAAAATTACTACAAAACATTACAAGAAATATACTTTTCACTATTTGTATCTCCAAATCATTTTAGTGCATGAAAATAAATTTTAAATAAACTCTAAGAGCACATAATTAAATGACTACTATTGACTCATAATAATCACAGTTTTAAAAATTACCGATAGACATTTTATAGCATATGATATGGCATCTTGTAACCATAAGAAAGAAGCAACTGATTCTCGCTATGGCCTGCATTTTTCAGTTCCTTTCTCAGGAGTGATGGTAGATTTTTGTTGATCAGTGATTCACAATTACCAAATAACTTGTTAGATTTGGGAATCAATGCTGGGAATTTGGGAATCAAGCCAGAGAGCAAAGCTAAAAGGCTCATTACAAGGTGTAAACATATCTTCAAAAGTGATGATCTTTATCCAAATTGTAAGCTTTTCAGCAATAGATTTCTAAAATTTTCATTGCTTTTACCCCCACTTTGCTAATCCTAGACACTTGACAGTACTTTTGAATATGTATGAGCTCATATATGATCAGGAAGCAGAAAAGGAAATTAACCCTGAAATCACCAGATATAGGCAGTTGGATGGAATCATCCTGGCTGCTGAGTGCCAGATGGCACCCTCTAAACACAAGGCAATTATCTTTACCTGTAAATAAACTCATCCAACACTATTAATTGAGTGCTATATTCTCTAGGGGCACATCTTGGACAACCTGGTAGAAGGTTCTAGATTAGGCAAATATCACTGTCCTATAGTGTTTAGGTTACATGTGTCATTTGAAAATCATTAAATGCTTTTTTCCCCCCTCACTGAGGAACCCTGTCAATGAAAAATGCAGTGTCACAGGCATTTACTTTTCTTGTCATTAGTTTAGATGAAATTCACATCATATAAAATTAAGCATTTCAAGTTGTACATAGAGAGGAACTTTGACATTTGGGGTAGGATGAAAATTTTCAAACCTATTTAAAATTTAAAAAATAAATTGTACAATTCTGTGATTTAGTACATTTACAATGTTGTGCAACTACGACATATATCTAATTCTAAGACATTTTATCAGCCCAAAAGAAAACCCAGAATCCATTAGGCAGTCATTCTCTTTTCCCCTCTTCCTCTAACCCCTGTAAACTAACAATCTGCTTTTGTTGCTATGAAGTTACCTATTCTAGATAACTTCATTGCAGCATGTATCAGTATTTCATTCCTTTTAATGACTAATGTTCACTGCATGTACATGCCACATTTTGTTTATTCATTCATCAGTTGATGAATATTTGGATTGTTTCTACCTTCGAGCTATCATAAATAATATTGCTATTCATATTCATGAACACATAATACCTATTTTCAGTTCTTTTGGATATATATCTAGAAACAGAATTTCTGGGCCTGATAAGTCTCCTTAACACAACGGGGTTTTGAAGAGTTACTAAAGCCAGTACTTATGTTGGCATGAGCTTATGGGCTACTCCTTGAGAACAGAAACCTATCTTGCCATCTATATATGCAGGATGATCATCTCCATACATGTTCATGTTCAGTAGACTTTTGTCGAATGGGTGAATTGATGAATGGATGGATGGATGGATGGGTGGACGGATGGGTAGATAGACAGATAAATGTATACAAAAGTAACTGACTAAATACTTAAATAATAAATGAATAGATGAATGGAAAACAGTTCTATTACAAACAATGACTAACAAACTCCATGGCAAAGGATACAATAAAGACTACTAGCCACATTTCAGATGAATAAAATCAGAAAAGTAAAAGACAAATTACTTGTTTGATTTGACATAGAAGATAAATGGAAACTGTTATCATTAGAACTTGAGGCCAGAGACCAGAACTCGCCTGAATGTATTGTGAAATCTAACTGCCTGGAATTAATGGACTGTCACTTGATAAACCTATAATTCTGATCCTTTTAATTTCAGAATTAGATGATTTCATGGTTGATACACTAGTTGATTATCATACAATAGATCACCACAATTTACTAA
Source organism: Homo sapiens (assembly GCF_000001405.40). NCBI lineage: Eukaryota > Metazoa > Chordata > Mammalia > Primates > Hominidae > Homo > Homo sapiens. The sequence continues at coordinate 129,257,614 of NC_000006.12, read as the reverse complement.
ACAGCAGATTGATTAACTGTATCTAGATACAGTCCAAGAATTTCTCATATAAAATTGACATGCAAAACTTAAACAAAGAGTTCTGGAAATTTCAAAATAGAAGAATGAGCAGTTGACTACTTTAAGAAACAGTTTTAAAAAAGATACAAAAACAAAAATATTTTCAGTGAACTGACAAATTTCATTTGTCTTTTGAACAACAGACATTCCTCTCCTTAATCTGTGTAACCATTCTGAGCTATGAGAAACTTCAACACTCAAACATCTTTCCCAGTAATATTCCACATTAGTACTCACTGAGCAATCCCAATGTTCATTAGGTTCTGCTATTTGTTAAATGGGATTTTAATGTGTTTAACAGTTTCAAGTGTTACTCATGAAGAAGGCTGCAGTTTATTTTTTTTTCCCCTTCAGTATGGTCATTCTCTTGATATCAAGCTGCATTCATTTAAATACATAATGTTGGCAATAATATAGTACTAAATTTTAGAGATGCATGAGCTATCAAAGAATTGTCAACTAAGTCAAATGCTTTAGCTGACTCTTCCCTCTTATTTTTATGCCTTGAAAATACAGAAAAGATGATGGATGAAGAGAGAGGACATAATTATACAAGCCACTATGAATAATATTGGAACTATTTCAGAAACGTTGTCTTGGTGCTGCCTTAAAGATTGTTCTCAATATTTTTGTTTTACTACATTTCCCACCAGAGTAAGATATGCTATATTACACTAAAACAACCAGCACAAAACATGACACTTTAAAACAACAAAAATACCCTTGATGTTACAATTGTCTTTTTTCTACCCACTATATATATATATATATATATATATATATATATATATGCTATATAATTTGTTTTTTATATATATATAGCAAGATATTTTCTTTAAACATTTTCAATCCCACATCGAGTAAGAGCAGTAACTGACAGAAACTGATACTTTTGCAGCTATTTATTAAAAGTGTATTAAATGCTAACACAAGAATTCATTGCTTCCTTCTTAGTTCTACCAGTATGCACTGCGCACACTTCTTCTGCACTATTTATATGCATTGTGCACACTTCTTCTGCACTATTTATATTATCATAAATGTACAGTATGTATATGTATATCTGTCTTCTCTACTGTACAATGCCTTCTTTGAACTGAATGATCATTTGTCCACCTTTGTATCCTTATAGCCTAGCCTAGAATGACTGCTTTTTAATAGTTACTACTTACTGTCTACTATTTTCTGTGTACTATGATACAGGCTGGAAAGACATTTCATTTAAGTATCAATAAACAATGTAACAACCCATGTCTATTCACATTTACAAATGAAGAATCTGAGGCTCAGAGGAGTAAAGAGCCTTGTCCAACATAATACCATTAGCAAAGGGTGCAGCATAGATTCAAACCCAAGCATGACTCCAAAACCAAAGATCTCCTTGTTACCCTGCATTGCCTCCCAACATATGTTAGATACTATTTCAGGTGCTTAACATACATTATGTTTTCACTTAATTGCCAATTGAAATTTAGACATTGTTTCTGCCATTGTATACAAGAGGAACTGAGATTTACAGAGATAATCATGGAAGGTGCTCAGTAAATATTTGCAGACTGAACGAATCCAACACTTATGGAATAGCATTGGGAGGTAGTCAAAGATAATGGGAAGGAAACGTAGGGTAAAATGTTGGCTGCACCTCTTACCAATGGCCGGATGCCAAGTGAGCTGCAAAAATCTTTTTAAGTCCTAGTGTTATCAGTAAAATGTCTTCAAAATGTAGTTACCCAAATCATTAACTTCAGAAGGCAGAGGTATACTGTGTACCTATCAATACTATTTCTATGATTATCAAAGACTCCTTTGTTTACAAAGGAATTTTTCTAGATTATTTATTATATAAATTCTGTATAATCTTTTTTGATCCCAAACCGCAAAATTTACACTAAAAGTTGTGTAAAAATATCTTGCCTTGAAAAGATTCTGTATTTATTTTCAAGCAATACTCATGAGTTATATCGTGATGAAGTCACGATGGACTCGGTTATGCTGTGGTAACAACTCCAAAATCTCAATGGCTTAACAGAAAACAAAGGCTTACTCATGTAAAATCCTCTACAGGCCTGGGTGACTGTTAGGGCAGCTGACCTCTGTGTGCTAAATCAGTATTCCAGGCTTTTTTTTTTTTTTTTTTTTTTTTTTTTTTGAGACAGAGTCTCCCTCTGTCACCCAGGCTGGAGTGCAATGGCGCGATCTCGGCTCACTGCAACCTCCACATCCCGGGTTCAAGTGATTCTACTGCCTCAGCCTCCTGAGTAGCTGGGATTACTGACACGTGCCACCATGTCTGGCTAATTTTGGTATTTTTAGTAGAGATGGGGTTTCACCATGTTGGTCAGGCTGGTCTCGAACAACTGACCTCGTGATCTGCCTGCCTCAGCCTCCCAAATTGCTGGGATTACAGGCATGAGCCACCGTGCCCGGCCCCAGGCTGTTTTTTAATCTTCTGATTGCTGAGTAAGCTGCAGAGAGTCTCACATTGGAAATTCAATGTTTACCTCAGGAAAAAAAAAAATACATCATTTCTACCACATTTCATTGGCTAAACCAAGTCATGTGACACATCTACCCTCCAGGATTAGAGAAATGCAATATCCCCTATAGATGAGATTGGAAATTTGGTGAACTCTACTAATGTCTACTGTAAAGTTAGAGGAAAATACACTTTGTGCAGAGTTCTATATCTAATATAGGTGCTTCATAAAAGCCTTTCTTGATTTAAAGACCAAGGATGTTACTAAATCCAAGTCTTGGATAATTTAAAGGTGAAAGATGCACAGTTCAGTTAGGTTGATTTCTCTTATATTCTTAAAAGAAGAATGAAGAGTTTTCTACTTGTGCCTTCATCTTCCTAGTGAAGACAGCGAGAAGAAAATAAATTAATTTTATCTAATGGGTCTCAGCATTCTGGATAAAAATGATAGTAAGAACTGTCATATGTATGGAAATGCCAGTATGTGCCTTTCTTTAGAGGTCTCTAAGTCTTAATGGTATTTGGAGAAAATGTGATCCTTTGGGATGAAGTAGATAAGATAGAAATGCTTCATATTTGTGTGCTGGGTTACCACTAGCCAAGTGCTTTTGCAGCTCTCTAATTCAATTCTTGCGGTGACTTTTTGAAGCTGGCAGAGCAATTGTCCTCCTCCTTATTTTACAGATGAAGTGATTGAAGTCCAAAGAGGTCAAAGCCATACTTATGTTTACAACTATTAAATAGCTGAGTTGAAAACAAAAGTCAAAATTCTTGACCCGCAGTCCAGTTCTCCTTCTGTTATACAATTCCATCTAATCATATAACTAACTGGAGGAACCTAAGCCCATTTGCTGAAAGAACTGCCATGGAAGTAAATCCACTGTAAATAAGTCTGAATATGAATTTTTGTTGAGCTTCAATTTACTTGTGCTTGTACACAAACAGTATACCAAGTCGAAAGCCTACTGTGCAAGACAAGTTGAAATCAATTCAAGTGATGTTTTACAAATATGACTCAATCTACTAGTAGATCAAAGATAAAATATAACAAGCTTACTGACTGACTCCAGATTCATGCCGACTTTCAGCTCACCTGAGTGGGTAGGAGTTTCAAATTTGACATTGGCTTTTACTTATTGAACCACAGTGCTTTAGGTAATGTAGGTGACAGAAAGTAGCCACCTACTTGGATTAGCTCTTGTGTCATTTCACAGAGCCGCGCTGTGAATGCATTCCTCCTGTATGGCGAAACCTCAGAAGACTGCAAATGAAACCAGTGATTTTAAGACGGGTAGACACTGAAACTGTCCAACATAAATCAGGGGGAAATGTCTTTGTATTAACTAGCCTGAAAAGCAATGCTGACAAAAATATATAAGCCCCCCAGACACTTTTTTTGTCAATTTGGTTGTCATTCATTTTGAAAGCTGGAGGACTCATTTCTTTGTACTGTTTAAACATCATGACAACCTCTATTTGCTAAATGTGAAAAACATAATTAATTCCTAAGTGCTGCTTCTCATCTCCATGGCATTTTAACCCAGCTTCTAGAAGAATTGCCTATGCAAAAGAGGTACATTGTTTGGCAATGGTTCTGTTTATGATTCTGCAGTTCTCTCCTTTGGGAAATGGTAATGATGATTAGACTAAGTTGAAATATTACCAGTGAAAGGCAAACTAGGCAGCACAGGGAAATGATGAGGGACAGGGAGGTGAGAGGTGGTGGTGTCAGCAATAAAAACTCCAATATTGGAGACATTGCTTTCATTAAAGGTATACCGGGTTGTCAGGCTGGGGTCACATTTGAATGTCTAACTTAACCTGATTTAGAAGGAAGTTCCTATGACACCTTGTGTTATTTATTATTAGAGTAGAAAACGAGAAGCGTAAAGAGCTCATTCAGACACAGTTGAAGTTAAAATTCTGTCAGATAAAAATGTCATTGTTTTAAAAATAAAAAAAACAAAGCCGCCTTACAGCAGTTAATCAGACCCGAGCATATTTGGTTCAAGTCAGGTAGTTCACTCTTTTAAAAAAAGGGGGCGGGGAGAACAAGAAAAAAACTGAAAGTGTTCTAGGTGATGAGTACTTTCCTAATGATCACATATCATGTTAACAAAGACCCTGAAAAGTAGGCATTACTATATCCACTTTACACTGAAAAGAAACGTTCCTCAAGGCTTAATCACTTGCCAAAGGTCACACATAAAATAAGCAATAAAGCTTATTGAATTTCTATTCAGTTTGGCTCCAAAGTTCATATTCTTTCCTTTATACCATATGGCTGTTATAGTCTTAAAGTGTTTTATAGTGAGATGGGTGGTCACTTAAATGAAAAGACTTACTTTTCTTATTACAATCTATATACTATTAAGCCAGAAACTAGTTAACAACTACTGGAAGGAAATATTTTAAAAACCACTTTCCAAATAGGGGTGCCCTGGAATTTATATCTTTTTAGCTTCCCACGCTATGAGCCATCATAAAGGAGACTTTATTTTCCAATATAACATTTCTCAATATAGGAATCGTTATTGATCACATGTTCTGACAATTGTGAAAGAATCATCAATAATAATAAAAACCGAGACAAATTTATTCTGCATATTTAAAACTGTAAAGGTTTAAGAGAAAAATCTTTCAGAAAACTAGGGCTCCGTTCTTATCTGCTCTTTGAAGACAGCAAATCCTAGGTGCCTTAAAAAATTCACTCCTGGGGCGGCTCCTGCACCTTGGCCCCAAAGTAAATGTGTGAACGTTGGAGCTGCAGTTCTTGATTTTACCTGAAGATGGCATCCATCCCAAAGCTGTATGTGATTTGTAGGAGGACTCTCTTCAAATTCGCAAGCACTGTCATAAATTCCTTTCTACGGACTGGAAAATGTGTGCCATGTATGGTAAATGATTCTTCTTTAAGTAACAATACATTAGTATGTTCTTCAGATGGGTGCAGGTACACCTCATCTTGGGCTGTGCTGATGCTCAAGTCATTACCCTAAAGGGGGAAAAAAAAGAAATAAAAAAGAGTAAAACTGAAAAGAGGGTACAAAAGTGTCAAACATATCTATATTTGTATCCTCCACCCTCAATAGACTTTTAACTTTAAAAATTTATGTTTATTTTTTATTTATTTATTTTTTTTTGGAGACAGAGTCTCGCTCTATCCCCCAGGCTGGAGTGCAACGGCGCGATCTCGGCTCGCTGCCACCTGTGCCTCCCAGGTTCAAGCGATTCTCATGCCTCAGCCTCCATAATAGCTGAGATTACAGGCGCCTGCCACCAAGCCTGGCTAATTTTTTGCATTTGTAGAAGAGGCGGGGGTTTTGCCATGTTGGCCAGTCTGGTCTCAAACTCCTGACATCAGGTGATCCACCTGCCTCAGCCTCCCAAAGTGCTAGGATTACAGACATGAGCCACCACACCCGGCCTTAGTAGACTTTTATTTTCAGGTTGGCTTTCCCTGTCATTCAGGGAATATATTTGTGGTATACATGAAGGGAAGGCAATGCAATTTCAATATTAGCCTTAGCCAAATGCATTATGAAGCATATGCTTCTTGGTTTGGCATGACCTTAGTTCCCTGTTAACTAAAATAATAGCTACCTGACAACTCATAAACATATATGTGATTACAAACACCTTGAATTGAAAAAAGTGCACGAAAGTTACATATTTCAAACTGTAGATGGATGTGGGTTGTGTAGAACAATAGGGAAAGAAACTTAAAACTGAATTAAGCTATTATTTTAAAGGAACTTACTACATGGGAAAAAACAAACAACAAAAAAGACTGCAGTCTAATTCTCAAAATAGGACAATGGCATCTAAGGAGTATATTGAATGACCTATGACACTTAGGTAATCCTTCTTGTCTTAGTTCATTCACATGAATGCTAAATAATTTCACTCAACACTTTACATTTAGAGAACTCTTTTCACCTTAAAGGAATTCCAAAGTATACATCTAGTTGCCATATATATATATATATATATATATATATAGAGAGAGAGAGAGAGAGAGAGAGAGAGAGAGAGAGAAAGAGAGAGACAGAGAGAGAGAGAAAGAGAGAGACAGAAAGAGAGAGAGCAGACCACTTCATCCAATACTGGAAAATGTCCATTTTGAGAAAAGAATTTTTCATTTTGTCATAGATTCACATGCATGAAAGTTTCAAGACAGGAAACAACAGAGCCTGGTGCTAAATTAACATCTACCCATTTGGAATAATGAACATGCATGTATGTGTGTGCCTCTGAATACGTATCAGTGTCAAGGGGAGGAGATACATTATTGGAAAGAATGGATATGATAAGAAAGGGTGGCAGAGAGCCTCTAAGGAAACTTCAGGCTTTGAGCATTTTGAAGTTGCCTATGGCCCTTCAAATCTTGAAAGCAGTTTCTCCTGTACCTTTCTTACCTAAAACAGGATTCTGAAGTCAAGATTTAACTATAGCTAAATAAACAAGTTTCCTGTTTCATTTTATTTTATCTAATATAAACAAGGGAGTAGACAATAAAATCTATCTGGAAGCAAGAGAAAACAGGAAAAACACAACCATGTAAATTAGCATGTACCTAAACACTTTCATAATATTTAAATTTTGGAAATATGGTCCTTATGTTTGAAATTTAATTTCAAGTCTGGTCTAAAGTTCTCCTTTATCATTCAAACCCAACAAATATACTCAATCTTCTAGATATGTCTCAGAGTGAAACAAAAGAGTGGCACAAAAATCTCCTAAGGTATATTTTTTTTTAGTAGTCCTGTAAGTCAGTGTCAAACCAGGCAGGTAAAAAATACAGTACTGGTAACCTTAAGTAACATCAGGAAGTAACACGGGTGAACATGCTCTCAGTACTCTACCTCTAAGATAATCATAAGCTGGAGAACACGTTCTGTATCTTCTTCCTCTTCTTCAAGGTCATATGATATGGTAAATGTCAACTGTCCTCCTACTGCTGGGAGCTACAAGACAGAAGATGCATAATCATTACGGGATAGGAGATGGGCTATTAAATCATATTTTACTTACTGTTGTATACGAATTTTATTGTTCTATAGGGCAGTATTTGCAAGACGCAGAAATCACTGGAGTACGGAGTGGGAATGATAGGCATTTATTTAGGAGTAACCTTTTATGAACCTTACCCATCAACTGCAAGCCTGACATAAACATAAATATATGTATTATTTTCCCCAGTATTGCAGGCTTGCTGAAATAGGTTAAGTTCCATGAAGCCAAACAGCAGATCCTCCTGTCATCATCTTAGTCTACAGTTTGAGCTTTACAAATCCCAAACAGAGAACGATCTTTGTCAAAATTGGGAGAGTTCTAACCATCTGACCAGAAAGTCACTCACTTTCTGTGAGTCTGGATTCTTTCAACAAAGACATCCCTCCATTTGACAGGCACTTTACATAGCCCATACACTAAGCTGAGAAATGTTATTGGTCAAAGAAAAACAAAAGGTTAGCAGCAAATTTTATTTTATATTAAAATTCAAACAAAACAGGCAAAGAAGGTATACTTTCCTCTGTGCAATTAAATAGGCTTAGTTTGAATAAATATTATCCTCTTTTCATTAAGCAAACTTCTTTCTTTCTAATATACATGCCAAGCCCCATGCAATGTACACTTGAGGTTTACATTTTCTGACATTGACAGTCACCTTGTAGAAATTCAGAAAAAAATAGGAAAGCAAGATCATTTATAGGACAGGAATCAAAATTGAAGCTGTGAGTGACAGATTCAATGCAAATGCTGCAATCCTTTTTTTAAAATTCCACTCCAGCACTGTAAATAGAGATATTCATAAAACAAAGCTGATGATCTGTATTCTGCTGCTTGCTCTGTGCTGACATGCAGAGACTTGGCTTCGCAGGGTTGGCTCTCTATGGCCTTTCACGTCCAACCCTGACCAGACAGCAATTCCTGGTTGGGAATGTACTGGATGGAGGAGGAAGAACCCTGATTCCTCTTAGTGTTCCACAGAGAATGGCACATAGCTCGCTACGGCTGATTAAACAGGATTTTAAATTGCAGCTCTGCAATGTCTTCTAAGAGCTCATTACATGGGGCTCTATAAGGAACTTAAATTCAGAAAACTCTGATTCCCCTAATCCACTGAGAAATGGCCTTATTCGAATGTCTTTTCACATATAAAATAATAAATATCTGCCTGGACTACAGCACTTGGCATTATTGTGAGTAATGAGGGGTGAACCTATGTGGAAGATTTTAGGTTCTATTAAGATAAACATTCAAAATTTCACACAGCATGCTTCTTCAGATCAGCTACACATTTTCTCAATAAAAGGATTCTAGAAAGGCAGGAGAAAAAAAAGTTTTATGTTGTATATATTTCAAACAAGGACTGAACTATTTAGAATTTTCTAAATTAATAAATACGTTTGAAAGGAGGTTTGGGAAGAATATTGGGACATAGGCCTATAATGTTCCAAAATTTTGAGCTTTCAAATCTATTTTGATTATTTAAAATTTGAATTACATGCTATTTTTCTTGAATATGGCTTCTCTAAAAAGGAAAGAAAAATATCAACTTAATATATGAAATCACCACATATGCTCAAATAAAATACATTTTGAATTAAGGATAATTTTCCATTTTGTCAATAAAAAGAGTCAAAGTGTGTATAATTTGAATGTCAAAGCTGTTACGACTATAGATGAAGTAGAAAAAGATCACCTATGATACTTGATTTGCTAATGTGTTTTTCATACCTATTTATAATAAAGTCACATATAATGGAAACTTGCAGCACTCCCCACCTTTTTGGCATCAGGCATGGGTTTCGTGGAAGACAATTTTTCCATGGACACAGAGGAGGGGTTTTGGGATAAAACTGTTCCACATCAGATCATCGGGCATTAGATTCTCATAAGGAGCGTGCAGCCTAGATCCCTCGCATGCGCAGTTCACAATAAGGTTCCTGCTCCTGTGAGAATCTAATACCACCGCTGATCTGACAGGCGGTAGAGCTCAGGCAGTGATGCTCACTTGCCTGATGCTTACCTCCTGTTGTGCCGCCCAATTCTTAACAGGCCACAGACCTGTATAGCCCGGGAGTTGGGGATCCCTGACATAAACTAAAATACTATGAGAGAGGAATTAGAGGTGGGAAGGGGGAAAAGAGGAACAAATAAATACGCAGAAAAATAGGGGCTCCTCATGCAGGTCAGCGATAATATAAAACATGAACTAAGGAATAGAAATAATTTACCCTATTCTGCTGAGGGCTAATAATAATAGCGATAATAGTAAAACATTGTTTTAGCTCATATTTCATAAAATGATTTTTTTCTAAACTCTTTTGTGTATCTCTGATACTCATGTTTGCCATTATTACAACGTATTTTGAATTGCCTGAAAATTGTCATGAGCGAAGCTGTTTTACTTCCATTTAAGTTGTGTGAAACACGGACCATTTAAACAATTTTCAGGATACTGTTACTAGATGTTTTTTTCCCAAGCCACAGTTACCCATTTACACAATATTAGAATCAATGTCTTTTTCATTTACCCTAAAGGTATGCGTTTATGATCACATTTATATAACCAGTTAGTCAAGTACTTACTTAAGTAATTCTGTCTTTCTTTATTTTTTGACCTAGAGTCTTGCTCTGTCATTCAGGCTGATGTGGAGTGGCACCATCTTAGCTCACTGCAACCTCCTCCTCCCAGGCTTAAGCAGTTCTTGTGCCTCAGCCTCCCGAGTATCTGGGACTACAGGTGTGTGCCATCATGACTGCATAATTTTTTGTATTTTTTGTAGAGATGGGATTTCGCCATGTTGGCCAGGCTGGTCTTGAACTCCTAACCTCAAGCAATCTACTCACCTCCGTCTCCCAAAGTGCTGGGATTACAGGTGTGAGCCACCACGCTCAGGCTCTTAAGTAATTCTTAAAAGGATTGCTTAAGATATCACTCTGCAATTTAGAGGATGCACCCCTAGGAATATTAACTTATTCTTTTTAAAATTTCTTTCCTTCTATTTTTCCTTCAACTCCACAATCTTTCCATAAGCTGTAAAATCAAGCTTTTCCTGGTGTTGTTTCCAGTTGTGTCTTCCCCAAAGAGTACATACCATTGTGTAAGAGACTTTGCAATGAGTCAGTTACAAGACTTCTTTTCTGAAGGATGCTATTATTCAGGGAAAAAGCTTTGAGAATATTCTGAGTATACGTTGCCCTTTCCTCTTGCTTTAGATAAAGAATTCTCTGCCTCTTCTCCATCTGTCCACTCCTCCATGTTCCAGGTGCCGCCTTCGTTTTGTGCCTCCTTGCCCTCGCTTCTGCACTCTCTTAGAATCCCTTCAGTATCCTAACGTTTACTCTCTCCTTCAAATCCATTACCAAGTAGGTTCTCATCAAGCATCTGAATTCATCTCTCTGACTTCAGTTTTTTTGATAGGGAAAGTTTAATGAGCTATTTCATATGTTGTTGCACTTCCCTAATGAAGATTCCCCAGTGGCTCTGGGATCCCTAACGTCATTCAAGTTTCCGTGTAGTTTCAATGCCTCTAGGATCTATCTACCCCTGTGTTCACAAACTGTGTGTAGAGGTGCCCCAGGGTGCTGCAGTGAACTCACAAAGGCACAGTGGAATATTGTAAACATTTGAAGGACACACAGCAATACTAAATATCTGTTGGGCACTGCAATAACTAATTCAAGGTGGTTCACAAGTTGAAACCTTAGAACATGCTATATTCCACTTAAGAATGTTCTCAACATTTTGAGCCATGTTTCTGCTTACTTGTACTTTAGGCCACTTTATATCTTTATTAAGAAAGGTTTTCAGAAGAGACTGTAATTAAAAGCAAGAACTGCACAAAAGTCAATGTGGAAAAGGAAATAAGGATAGCATTATCCAATCTGATACTCAAGTTTGAGAAGGTATATACTACCCCAAAGGTACCACATCCCATCAGTAAGTGATTCTGGTTATTTATGAAAAAAATTATTATTTTCTGTCCATTTTCTTTTTAAACAATTGCTAGGTTGTTAAAACATGAATATTTATTAAGTTGTTTGGCACTAACTACTTAAGAAATAGAACTGTGGCTTATTTCTGTTGGTCAAGGAGGCACTATGAAAAAATTATGAATACGCTATGAACATTCTGAACTGAGAATGTCTGGGTATGTCTGATCTAGCCTCTTTTTATATTTATCCATTCTGTTACTTGGATTTTTAAAAATGAATTTTCCTGCCAGAATTCTCATTCTTATAGTTCTCTGACCATTCAAACACTTATTTTCTTTGTTTGTTTAGCTGATATTTGACTAGTAAGAAGACTAAAGAAAAAACAGTTTTTTAGTGATATTTCCAAAGCCTGATGCAGAGTCAGTGGCAACCACAGTAAATAAGGGAACTAAAAGATTCCAAACAGGGAGAACTCTATATAAAAAAATTCATCCATTAACATTCATTGAAAAATTCTAACAAAATATAAGTGGTCTTGGTAAGTTATACGTACTGCAAATAACTGTAATTTTCCACATTTTTGGACTTTGCAGACTCATTTATTAATTTTACGAGTCTTTCATAAAATTGAACATCTTTGAGACTTTCAAATTAGTTCATTTTGGGGACAATATTGATTTCTCTGATTTTACAGAGCACTGTGTGTTCAGCCAATAGAACATTTCATTTTCTCCTGCTATTTAGGAACTAATCTGTCATTGTTCTCTTGGCTAGAGAAATATGGTTTTCCACAGGTAGGAGTAAGTGCAATTTTAGTTCACTTTGAGGCAATTCTTATATTACTGGATGGATTCGACTATATTTACTAGGGATGAAAATTATATCTCTTTTCAATACAAAGAGAAAGTGAATTTAGTGAGAGCGGTTCATTCCATTTCATAAGGGTCTCCAAAGGCTTGGCCTTTTCCCTCTTTCTCCATATCTACTAAGGCAAATTCTCTTCAGGGAGATTCAGATATCAAATTGAGAAGGCACTGCAGGAAAAAATTTACCTCCATTCCTGGAGATGGTTCTAGGCTAAGCCATTCACTTTCCTGTTCTTCAGCTTCACCCCATTAAGAAAAGAAGAACACAAGTAGCTGTTTCCCATGAGTACCTGTTTTAATTCTACCTTCAGGGGGAAAAACCAGCTTGTTTGCAAGTAATATTATAGTTACTATGCAATATATAACCTAATGTCACAAATAACAATACAGTGTGCATGGTGCACATTGCATTAAAGATTTAATGAGGCAGGAAAGTTTTCCCACATGACTGGAGAAGGCTAAAAGGTAATTCATAAAACTAAGCTTCATAAAAGAATTTAGCAGTAGGCTACTTGTGGTCTGGCCTCTTTTTTTTTCCCTCTCAATCTCAAGAAATATGAATTGAGGAATGAAGGATGGGATAACCTATTGAGGATAATGTTTCTGGAGAGGAAATCCTTTTCATGAAATAAGCCTGGAACATTTGGTTCTCTGATGTCAGATTATCATCACTGTTATTTCACTAAATGGAGTGTAAAACCTAATATTTGCTTTTGCTTACCAGAGCAAATATTTCAGGAGGGATACACAAAAATCAAATGAGAAAAAGGCTTTATAATACTGAGCAGGATAAATTAAACATATCTGTCAATTTCCATTTAGGATCACAAACAGGGCAAGCGATTCATCTTCTTAGATCCCAAAGCCCGCGAGCCTTAAACTCTGAAAAGGTATCCCTCCCATAGAAGTGTTTATTCATGCATCTATTTGTAGAGCTCTCTTTTATCATAGAAACAGTGTTTTACTTCAAGGTTTTGTTATTTCCTTCAGTGTATGTATAAATTTGAGTTAAGAACAGATTTCTCTTCTTTAAAAGCTCGATAATTATTAGAATAGAACATAAACAAGAGGATTGTAGAATTAGAAAACAGGCAGAATTTACATGAGAGGTTTTAAAGTTACATCATCCTTAATGCATAGAAAATGAACCAGAGTTGTAGGTGTCGAACAGAGACAACACATTCTAGAAAAGTTGGTTTAGAAGGGAATAAACTGAGTTATGCAGTCCAGGGGATATAAATAAAAAACCTCGAGGAAAACATCCTGCCTGCCTGCATTCATTTCTCTCTTCCACCTTTTTTTTCCTTCCTATCTGCTTTTCCTGCCCTCTTTTTTTCCTGTTACCCATCTTCTCCTTAGCTTTCTTCTTCATCTCCTTCTCCTCTTCCTCCTCCTTCTTCTTCTTCTTTTCTTTTTCTTCTTGTAGCCATTAGACTGTTTTGATAGCATTTCTTTTCACAATAACTATGTCCTTTCACACGTGCATTAATTAGAACTGGTTGGGAAAAGTCCTGAATTTGGGATTTTTTTTTTCTTTTTCAATGTGACCACTACAATCAGTTTAACCTGATAAGATAACCTGTATTGGGTGACCTAAATTGCAGAAGTATAAAAAGTAGTGATGAAAAGTATGAATGTGACAGAGTCAAGGACATAGTTCTGGAACAGACCACCAGAGATACTGCCTCAAGTGTAACTAACACTGATTGCTTATCAGTGTCCTAGAAGCTCAGCCCGTCCACTGCTCACAGGATTACTCACTCATATTTTTTCTTCCTACATTTCATATAACTCCACATTCTCATAAAATACAGCCTAGACAATATTTATATACAGTGTTTCTTATCGTTAAGGCCAAGAGATATTCATTATAGTGTTTTGATTGGCAAGGGGAAAAAGAGTAACTGTGAAAGGCATATAGAGAGGAATGAGAGGCCAACATGAATTTCTCATACAAATTTTTGTTAAAATGTTTATTCACTGGAATAGCACTGACCTATCTTGAGCATATGTTTTGTCTGCTGTGTAACAAAGTAAGGCCCAATTATACTTTCCATGTACTCAGCTATAATTCAAAGTAAATAGAATTTGAAGAGTTTGATCAGGTAAGAATGCTTTTGGCTGCAATTGAAAACCAGACAATTAGGAGTTCTCATATAACAAGAAGTCCAACAAAATGTGGTAGGCAGACAAAATTTTAAAACAAATGGATTAGCTTTTATTTTCTTATTTCACGTATCTTTCCCCAACACAGATCCATTTGAGCACACTTGAAAATATAAATCTCCTATGAATAGATTTGCAAAACATCACATAGAAGAAGATGATGTGCTTAGAAAGGCAACATTCCATATAGGAAATGAGTATTTAATGTTTCCTTTAAGTTTTCTGACTTAGCGTACTACTTGTTACTTTATGACATACACTGATCAAATCTTGAGTTGAAATAGTACAATCTCAACAGATGTGAGTAAATGGTAGTGGTGAAATTCTCTGAAGTGCTTCGTGCTGTTAGGCCCAGACCCAAAAACAGGGTCTTTGCAACAGCTGTTTGTTTTCCATTTACTAACTTATGTTTGGATGAAACATTCCATTAGCACTTTTACTATGGGCTAGATTAATTTGTGTGTAAATATTCAGTGCAAAAAATACATGTTATCCATAATTAAACATTGATCTAATCAAATAAACCATAAGTTATAGTTTTATATTAATACAGAGATTTCTTATTGACTAGGGTTCAAAATTTTTTCAAGGTCTCTGCCAAGAAAACAAAAAGCCACACGCTCATAATATACAACATCAATGCTGATTAAAATAACAGAAAAAATTTTAATCCAAGTTCCTTTAAGCTAAAGAGAAACAGGCTTGCTATTGTCAAATAGATAACAAATGAATAAAAAGAAAATGTATAATCCTTGTGGAAAATTTATGTAACAAAGAGATATCAGCAATGCAATTTTCTTTTTAAATGAGAATTGTAGTTAACCTTTCACTTACTGCTTAAAGATTTTGTCTTTAAGGATATTCATCATGTTGGACAGTAGATGGCTATGGTATGGCCCTTTCTACTTCTGTTGCAAAGGGAGGAACAATAGAAAGTATAGAAAACAGAGTTCTCATCTTGCCTTGTAGGCAATCCTCATTGCTTACGTACACCTTCCACAACCCTGGATATGGCCTAAAGTGCTAAATATGAGTTGAATGAATTTCAGGTTACATTATTCAGATGGAGGGCATTTTGAAATAGCAGACAACGTATTTCCCAGAAAAGCAGAAGCCAGAACACCAACCTTGGAATACTATTTTGATGTGATGCCAAGTGGTATTGATCTGCCACTATTCCCTTTTCACTCTTCCCTCATTCGTGAACTCTGCAGGTGATTCTTTCTTACAGCAGTAGAAAGTGGTTGTGAATTTTAGAAGATAAGAATCCCAAAGGTGCAATGGATACTAAGTCACACTCCAGAGGAGAATCAACAGGGTAATAAAATACATTTTAAGTGTCTTCTTCCAAAATAAACAGGTAAAGGGTTGTGTTAGTTGTTTGACATGTCTGTTAATATTGGAGTCATATATAAATCACACAAAAAATTAAGCTCATTTCTGGAGATTTTCCAGAGCTGGTTGTGGATTTTGATTCTGCCTTTAAGCACTACAAGGCCCTTGGGAAAGTTAATTTTGCTTTCAGAGCATCAGTGAATTTTCACTAAAATGAGACGAATCACACCTACCTCCGAAGTTTGCTCTTAGGATGAAATGAGAAAATAAACATAAAACTCCCCACTTGGTACCTAGCACATAACATGTATTCAATAAATGTTGTCATACTGTTTTAATAAGTATAGTTTTCAAAATTAAAATACTGTAAACATTTCACACTAAAAACCTAGTGGTTTATTTCATAATTCTAAATGCACTTGAAAATCCCACGTTTTGGGGAGAGATCATAGTGATGGCCCAATTCAGATTTTATTCACGTCTTAATGTTTCCCTATGGAATTTTGCATAAGCATCTTATAGATAGTAGATCTTGCATAAGTATCTGCTGAATTTTAATCACATTCAACACCATATATCACTTCAATGTATTACACATAGAGAAGGCATAAAAAACTGGGATAAATTTGTACTACCCCATGAGATACCCTGCCATCATTAAAATATGTCTTTATTGGTTTCTCTGTTCTTAGCTTTATCAGTCCTAAAAATAGGCTAAAGGAGATGTATCTATTTGAGCTTTTCTGTGATTTGAGCTTACCTATAAAAAGCTTACTGTACTGCAGACTGGTGAACCACAAATGCATTTGTTTTAAAATAAGGAAGCTTTAGTGTTTGGGAAGTTTGATCTGCAGTTGAAGGAGAAAAATCAATATTTAAGTCACTTAGACATTTACACACATAAATCAACTCTATGGCATTACTTTTCCCAGCTTCTGTATATTAGGATAATAGTGTAAATTCTAGCACCTAGTAATATATACTTTATAAGTTATAAATGCATTTTCAATTTGTTATGATATATAGGCAAACAACATACTCTCTGTATTAGGAAGACACATAGTGTATAGATTAAAGGAAACGGCGATCCAGGAGCAGTCATAGCTAGTCAGAGCACATCCAGAGCACTGTGATCAATTCATGACACCACCATTTAAGAGAGTAGTTGACAAATTAGACTTCATCCATAGAGGTGTGACCAGGATGTTGATGGTCCCAACAGCTGAACAAAAGGTTTGGAAAGGTAATGGGAGTATTTAAAAAGAGAAGACTTAGGAAAAGCATGATTGTTTTCTTGGAACATTTGAAGGCCTATCAAGTATACCAGAAAAAAAATCTCACTGTTCATAGTGGAGAAATAGAACCTGTATGAGAAAGCGTTGGAGAATGTGGTGATTAATATTGACTGTCTACTTGACTGAAGTATGCAAAGTATTGTACCTGAGTGTGTCTGTGAGGGTGTTGCCAAAGGAGATTAACATTTGAGTCAGAGGGCTGGGAAAGACAGAACCACCCTCATTCTGGGTAGGCACCATTTAATCAGCTGCCAGCGTGGCTAGGATAAAGCAGGCAGGAGAACGTGGAAGGTCTAGAATTGCGCAGTCTTCTAGTCTTCATCTTTCTCCTATGCCGGATGCTTCCTGCCCTTGAACATCAGATTCCAAGTTTTTCAGCTTTTGGACCCTTGCACTTACACCAGTAATTTGCCACGGGCTCTCGGGCCTTCGGCCACAGACTGAAGGCTGCACCGCTGGCTTCCCTAATTTTGAGGTTCTGGGAATCGAACTGGCTTTCTTGCTACTCAGCTTGCAGATGGCCTATTGTGGGACTTCACCTTGTGATCATGTGAGCCAATTCTCCTAACAAACTCCCCTTCATATATACATCAATCCTATTAGTTCTGTCCCTCCAGAAAACCCTGTGTAAGAATTAACTTCTAAAATCTGGAGCTAGATGCAGTGGCACACAACTATAATTCCAGCTACTTGGGAGGCTGAGGCAGGAGGATTGCTTGAGCCCAGGGGTTTGAGACCAGCTTGGACAACACAGCAGAACTTCATCTAAAATAAATAAATAAAATAATATCTAGAGCTGTTGAAAATGGAATGTGCTGCTTTGTAGGGTATCCATTTCTCTGAAGATACATGAGTAGAGATCCACCTGTCTGGGGTGATAGAAAAGGAATTCCTATATCTGCTGAGACATTGGACTAGATCTGATCTCACTGGGAAACATGCAATTGCACCATGCCAGTTTATTAACAGTGGGTTATTTAAATATTAGAGTTAGTCCACTGAAATTTCTATTGTAGGGTAATAGAATAGCAATTAGCTTTATCCACCTGCTTCCTGCTCTGCAATTTTAGAGCTAAAGCTTATATAGGGTACAGCAATACATTTCATTAGGAGAAAATTTCTTGTACAGATAGTATTAGGAAGATGGTATAGCATAGTGGAAAAGAGTACAGTTCTAGAACTGGACTACCTGGGGCAAAACACTCAGCTCTGCCACTTTTTAGCTGTGTGTGACAGGAGTGAATTACTTAGTCTCTCTTTGTGTCAAGTCTCCATCAGGGAAATCAAAACAATATAACAGTAACTACCTCATAGCGTTGTTGTGATGATTCAATTGAATAATCTAGAATAGTATTTGACATTTTGTAAATGTAAACAAGTTAGCAGTTATCATTGTTCCTGTTATTGTTGCTATTATGTAAAACAATCTCCAAAATATTGTAACTGCCCAGAGCAAGATTCTCTGACTACTATACCATGGCAACAAATCAGTATGATCTGGATTTTTAAAATTTGAAAACAAAAACATCTGGTATGTTATTTTAGCAAGCTACAGATAATACAAAAAAAAAAGGTAGATCTCAAAAAATAAGGAGACCCAATTGCTGAACCATATGTAATCAAAGCTAACATTTTCATGGAACTTTAGAATTTCAAAAGTACTCTTTATCCTCATTTAATCTCCGGAAATTGTATAATGTAGGTTTATTATTATTATTCTATTGTATAGATGGAGCAATCGTGGCTCTAAGAGGTTAAATTGTTCAAGTTCACACTGTTACTTTGGTGATACTATAGTGCATCCTTGATTTATATATTCCTTTTAAACACTTCTCCTCAAGACAAACTCTCACTCTTGGGCTTTCTCTCTCTCTCTCTCTCTCTCTCTCTCACACACACACACACACACACATGAACACGCTCAGTGGTTTCATGTGACTATAATGCAAAAGTATATGTTTAAGAATGAGACTTACCCACTTTCTAATTGTAGTCTATATATTTGCTGTGTGATTTTGGGAAAATTAATTCAACTCTGAATTATACGTTATGTTATGTCTAAAAGGGCATGAAAATACCTACTTTGAAGGGTTTTAAAAAGAAATTCATAAGAGGAACACAGAACCCATTCTTCATGTTCTATAGTAACAGGCAGATAGAATTTATTTAAACATTATTTCTTTTCCTCTCCTAATTATTCTTGGGATTCAGTAAGTTCAGAATAGATTTTTGAATTAGATTTTAAATGCTTGTGTGGAAAAAAATATAATTGTCTCTCTTCCTTTTTTTTTTTTTGAGATGGAGTCTTGCTCTGTTGCCCAGTCTGGAGTGCAATGGCACTATCTTGGCTCACTGCAACCTCTGTCTCCCAGGTTCAAGCAATTAAGTGATTCTCATGCCTCAGCCTCCCAAGTAGCTGGAATTATAGGTGTGCACCACCATGCCTGGCTTTTTTTTTTTTTTTGTATTTTTAGTAAACACAGGGTTTCACCATGTTGGCCAGGCAGGTCTCGAACTCATGGCCTCAGGGATTCGCCTGCCTCAGCCTCCCAAAGTGGTGAGATTACAGGCGTGAGCCACCACACCCAGCCCAAAATGTCATTTTTCACCCATTGGATTGCCAAAGACCCAAAAGTTTGATAATATACTCTATTAGAGAGGGGTTTAGGGAAACAAGTACTCTCATGCATTGGTGGTAGCATGTCTAAAATATATGGGTTCAATTTGGCAATATCTGTTAAAATTATAAATGCATATATACTTTGACATAGCAGTTTCACCTTCAGAGATTTATCCCACAGTTATAAGGGTGCATGTGAGAAACAGCTGGGCACATGGCTATTCACTGAAACACGCTTGCAATCCCAGCACTTTGGGAGGCTGAGAAGGGTGACTCATGAGTTCAGGAGTTCAAGACCAGCCTGGCCAAGATGGTGAAACCCTGTCTCTACTAAAAATACAAAAATTAGCTGGGCATGGTGGCAAGCACCTGTAATCCCAGCTACTCGGGAGGCTGAGGCAGAGAATCACTTGAACCCGGGAGGTGGAGGTTGCAGTGAGCCGAGATCACACCACTGCACTCCAGCCTGGGTGATAGAGCAAGACTCCATCTCCAACAACAACAACAACAACAACAGAAAAACAATGTATAACAACGTTTGTAGTAAAAAATATTGAAAATGTCCGTACGTCCATCAATAGGGGTTGCAATTAAACATGTTAAAAATGATGATGGAAATGACAACTCACACTGACATTATGCTTTGCAAGTGCTAAGCACTCTACAATGTGGCTTTGGATATGTTCATTCATTACATTCTCAAAACACCACACACAACCTTATGTGGTAAGAATCTTATAACTGTTACATTGATTTTAAAGATGAGGGAATTGAAGCATTGAGTACTTACATAACTTGTTCAAGGTTACAAAGATGGCAGGTGGTGAAAGCAGGATTTGAACCTTCACAGTCTAGTACTAGAGTCAATGTTTAACCTCTGTGCTGATTGCTGAACACGTTTGAGTGCATTCATTCAATGAAATACACAATCATAGATACATATGATATATTACATATACTTACACATATAATGAAGAAACTATCCAATATGGAATTAACTTCAAATTATATTACATAAAAATTATACTGTGCTCTTATAATGTGTATAGTATGTTTCCACTTGTATAAGATGAGGAAAAATAAATATATATATACTTATATGTGTGTGAGTGTGCATGTACATATATACACATGAGTATATATTAATCTATTAAAACATGGAAGAATAGAAATAGGGAAAATAAGAGTTAAGTCCAAAATACATGCTACTTACTATTTCAATGTTATTTATTCTTAAATTAATTTTGTCAGATGAAATGACTCATAAAAATATCAGCCTTACTACCTGGAATATCTGAATGAGGTGAAATATTTGTGACTTTGGCACCTGCAAAATGAAACATAACAAAGCAAAAAGTGTTTTATAAGGGGTGCTCTTAAAACGTATTCAGATATTCAGAGGTTTTTATAGAAGGGTGACATTGAAGAAAACAAGGGAAGGGAGTTCTGAGCATTAGCCAGCACTGCCGAAACCAGATGTTTCATTTTAAAAATACTTGTTTCTTAAGAACAAAATGAAAACCAAAATATAGAATATGAAAGTGAAAAAAGCTGAGATTATGTCTCAGTTGAGTATCTCACAGAAATAGAACTTTGGACAAATTATTTACCTCGGTGAACATTAACAGCATCGTCTCTACTGTGCAAATTTCAAAAATTTTCTTGCTCATTTTACTGTGTTACAGTATTTTGAGATTCATATGAACTAATGTTTAACACATTTTGGAGGCTATACATATGTACAGTTTTATAATTGACACATTTAGTTCTAAAATTCCCTGACTTAAATGATAATAAAAATCAGATCATATGACTTTAATGAAGTGTTCAAGATTTCTTGCTTAATAGGGAAATTTTCTAACATGAGAACTTACTGCTTTCAAGTAAGTACATTGCACAGTATTTCAGATTTGTCTTCACTTTATTTCTTTTTATCTTGAGTAGATAAATCATTAGAATAAATAGCCTTGGCAGAGTCTGCACATTTCATCACACATATAAGTAGGTCAGACTGTGGCCTTTTTAACCCAAAAGAGGAAGGAGAAGAAGAAAGAAGAAAAAGAAAACAATGGCCAAAGTTTCCAAATAAAGCTGAGCATTTTTTATGAGAAACATGAGAGCGTTGGTGATTTTTCTACTAAGTTCCCCAATTCCCATAAACTATAGGTACCCTTTAGAACAAAGGAGTACAAACTGTTCTTTACTATTTTCTAAGAAAACAGAGTTCCTGCCATACAAAGGCAGACAGACCCTCAGGACATTCCAAAGTTCCTGCTAAGAGTTCAAAGTGGGCCATGAAAGTTGTCCTATCAATCACAACATAAAACACACACTTTCTCATACTCTCAAAGGGGTGCAAATATTTATGCAGCTTTGGACACTTATTTTCTTCATATGCTTTCACATCAGAGGAGCAATTGTATACTTCTTGTAGGGGACCATTATTATTGGTCTTTTGAAGAGGTGCTGACCATGCAGAATAAGTGAAGGGAGACACAGGGGGAGCACCAGTGTCTTTGAGTCTTCTTGTTAGAATTCATTCACTTTTCACTAAGGCTTGGTAAAAGCAAAATTGGATATTCTAGTAGCATAGTAATTGGTAAGAGCCTATTCTTTTTGTCCACAAACTCTACGTACTGAAATACCTAATGTTTATTTTGTACCAGTTCAGTTGGTTCTAAGCCCCTTGGCCCCTGGAAGTTTCCTGCTTGTCTTTCACATGGGCATTCACTAGTGAATGTAAAATTTGCTCAGATAGGCAAACTAAGTTCTTGTACAGGTTTGAATTATAAAATTATCTTCTTAACATTTCAGAAATATGTGTAAGATTTTACTCCCACTTTTAAAAATCATACATTTCCATCTAAAATAAACTAGAATAAGACCTGGTGAACTTAATTTACTAGATTTCATTCACTCAAAAACATAGACCTCAATTTACAGTAGGCTACTAAGATGAAACTGGCTGAGTAATTGACAGATTTTTCTTTGCTTTATCTAGTTTCATAAAGACACAGAGTCGATAATATGTTTTATGCCCCCTGTTATATTCCTAGGTGGTTTATCTATTGAATACTTGAAACACCGTACGTGTAATTAAATTTTCTAAATAACATAAAAGTACATACACAATTGATAATGAGCATATTGACTTACTAGCATCAATATGGCTTACATTTCAAAAATGCAGTTTTGATTTTGCAGCTATTTATAAAATGTACCCCCAAATAAATATTTTGTTTTTAATGAAATTTACTTATTCAATTTAAACTGTATTTATGCTAATGGATTTCTTATTATGAAAAAATTCCAATTCCAAGATAACATGTATATGGTAGAAGAAATATCACTAATAATTCTTTTTTCAACTTACTTCTCATCTTTGTTATACTTTGAACATCCTGATTCTGTGATATAAGTAAAAAACTCAAGAAATTCAGCAAAATGGGGTGCCCTCTGAGGGGCTTCTATATAACAACAACTAGATTGGAAGAATTATTATAATGAATGTTTGACTTTTTGGATTTTCATCTATGTGTGGTATTATGTAGACATCATTTAAATTGGTTGCATATTTGGACATTAATTACTGGAGGCTTTTCTAATTACAAATACAGTCTTTTTATCTAATGCATATATCTCCAGGCCTTGCAAACCAATGGATAGAAATAAAGTCTCATATTGGAGTCCAGTAAGAATAGTTCTTAGTTCCCTTTACGTCTCCAAAGCAAATTTGTTCCGGCCTCCCATCAAGATAACTCTTCACTACTCGGCTGCAACTTCCCATAGTGAGAACTTTGCTTCAGGCAAAGCCGCTCTTAACCTTCAGGATATCAAGCCTGCCCTTGGTCAGATGCGGAAAAAAAGAGTTCCTCAACCCTGTGTCAAAATTTGTCTCACAACATTTTTCACAAAAATATCTTCTTAACTTTCAGTTCTTCTTTTTGCTCTACTGGAGCGGAGTTTCAGACCAGTTTTTCAAGACCCTTAGTGAAGGGGAAAAGGAAAAAAAGGACAAATACCATAAAATCTCTATGATATTTTTATCCCATTGCTTTCTCCAAATCTTGGGCACAAAATACTTCCTTTCTGTTTAAAGAAGAAAGCCTTCATATACAGTTGACACCTGAACAACACAGGTTTGAACTGTGCAAGTCCGGTCCATTTATACGCGGATTTTCTTCTGTCTCTGCCTCCCCTGAGACAGCAAGACCAACCCCTCCTCTTCTTCCTCCTCCTTAGCCTTTTCAACATGAAGATGATGCAGATGAAGACCTTTAAGATGATCAACTTTCACTTGATTAACACAAATATATTTTATCTTCCTTATGATTTTCTTAGTATTTTCTTTTCTCTCTAACACACTTTATTATAAGAATACAGCATATATACATATGAAATACAAAATATGTTAATAAATTGCTTATGTTATCAGTAAGGCTTCTGTTCAACAGTAGACTCTTAGTAGTTATGTTTTTAGGGAGCTAAAAATTATAAACAAATTTTCAACTGTGTAGAGGTCAGCATCCCTAATCCCTGCATTGTGCAAGGGTCAACTGTACATTGCATTAGTTTCCTATTGCTACCGTAACAAACTTAGCAATTGAAAGCAACACAAATATATTATCTCATGGTTCTGTAGGTGAATATTCCAACATATGCATCCTTGTTGGAATACAGTTCTGTAGGCGAATATTCCAATATGGGTCTCCTTTAGCTAAAATGACTAAAATGATGGTGTCGGCATGGATACATTCCTTTCTGGTGGCTCTAGAGGAGAATCTATCTCCTTGTTCATTCAGGTTGTTGGCAGAATTCATTTCTTGTGGTTGTGGAACTGAGGTTCCCATTTCCTTGCTGTTTGTCAGCCAATGCTCTTTTCCAGGTTCTAGAGGTCATTCACATTCCTTGGTTCAAGGGACTCTCCATCTTTAAAGCCAGAAATGATGAATGAAATATTTTTCATGCTTCAAACTTCTCCTTCCTCTTCTTCCATTGTTTCATCACTCTGACCCCCTCTTCTACTTTTAAGGTCTCATGTGACTGGATTCGGTCCACCTGGATAACGCAGGATCATCTTCCCACCTTAAGGTTCTTAAACTTAGTCACATTTGCAAAGTCCCTTTTGCCATGTAAGAGGGAACATATTTACAGGTTCTGGAAATTCAGCTATGGGTATCTTGGAGGAGGGCATTATTTAGCCTACAACATACAAATCAGTCAATATAAAGAAATACCTGAGGGATTCACTAGCCAGAATTTTAATTTGAAATCCATTGCTATTATTATAATTTTGAAATAATAAAATTAAAACATTTGGGGGAAGGTAAATATGGAGAAAAAAATCAGGAATGTACGTATCTATATTTTGTTCTAAGATATAGGATGGCCCCACAGTCTTCAGAAATTAATAGGAGTTAGAAGATTAAATTATAACACCTGGGAAAGGAAGGCTTACATTTAAAATTCTGACAGCCTTCTAACAACAGGACTGCAGCCCTGGCAGACACTGCTATAATAAGAATATATACCTTTCTATCTATGTAATGTCATTTAAGCAGGAAGAAGCTGAGATCTCCTTAGAATATAAATCATGTCAAAAGTAAGAGTTAAACTCCAAAATAAATTTAGTAAAACTTAAAGTGAGTTTTCTAAGCCTAGCACATATCGACACAAATTAGGACCATATTGTACATATGCTGTATGATGATAATATTCTGCCAAACAAGAAAATGTCTTCTTTAAATAGACAGCTATATTTTTCAGGTTATTGTGCTGAAAGGAAAGAACTTCGTATAATGCAGTTTCAATCAAAAGGACATAAGTGATCACTACTGTATCAACATTACTTTTTGAAAGGTATTTGGAACTCCATATATATTGCATGGCTATATTGATAGTAACTACATAGAGGTTGAAGACATTTATTTGTTTATAAACAAATGTCACTAATATCTAATGGCATGCCATTTCAGAAGCTGGACATTTTCTTCAAGCAGTTAAATTGTTTTATGTCTAAGATGCACTAAATGATATTTTGGAGGGCATATGTTCCTCCAAATAATAAATAATAAAAAACTTAGTTGGTTTTTATTTAAAAAAATTCAGGCTCACTATTTTAATCATCAATGTAAAAAGAAAGAGGAGGAAAGTGCATGGGTAGTTTAAGGAACTAAAGGACAAAGGAATAAAGTGTGTGTATGCCTAGAAAAAACGTGGCTTCTGACAGTGCTGCCTTAGCAGCCTAGAACAATTCAATGTCAACATGAATGGAAGGGAAGTGAACAACCAGAATGTAATATTGTAAAACATTTTTCCATTCTCCAAGTCATAGACACATTTTTATACTGTTTACTATATAATAGTGATAATGATAATTCATACTTCATGGCACTGTGGGAAAATCAAATCAGATAATGCAGGCAAAACAATTAACTCTGCGCCAGGTATACACATGAACACTTAATACATTCCAAATATATGCATGAATGCTCCATACATTTCAGTTACTATTTGTCTAAGAAATAAGGCAACTATTTAAACGATTGGTAGCAATTCCTATGTGTTCAGTAAAGCATAATTTCAAAATAATAACCTATGCCTTCTTTGTTTCTATGTTTTGTGCTAGATATAATAAATAGATGTTCAGATTAATTTTTGCATTTGCATAAGTAATTTAATGTTATATAAACTAGCCTTGCTTTGGGGAACATATAGAAAAAAATTCCATTCTAAAAAAGAAGGAAATGCAATGGAGTTAAAGCACTGTCAAGGATTATATACTGTTCCTTTAATTTGTGGCAAAGTGCTACTGATATTTAGTGTACAGCACACTAAATGTGTACTGTACCACTTTACCTTTATCCTTTAGGCCAAGGATACTAAATATCCTCTAAGGCCTTGTATAGTCCTATAAAAGAAAGACTTGTCTTGGCTACAGTACTAATAGCATTTAGGGAGACAATGGGAAATCGCTG
Source organism: Homo sapiens (assembly GCF_000001405.40). Taxonomy (NCBI): domain Eukaryota; kingdom Metazoa; phylum Chordata; class Mammalia; order Primates; family Hominidae; genus Homo; species Homo sapiens. The sequence goes on along the minus strand of NC_000006.12, from coordinate 129,230,870 downwards.
TAGCTTGAGGGTTTCTCATCACTGTCTTAGATTCCATGGTCAATTATTTTAATCTCTAGTTTTACTGTATTCACTTGGCTTAACCACAACGTCAGTTAAATCTAACCTCTATCTTCTCTGTACCTGCAACTGCTGAGCTGGATACATCTGAAGAAACTCATAGTACCTGTTGACTGACCTTGCTTCAAATTCATGATTACTAAACTCACATAGATCCCTAATGCTGTCTGGTCCATGTTCTTTGCTATGTTCCTGGATACTTTTTCATACTTTCTCTTTTCTCCTTGAATCTTCAGCATTTTCCTCCCATGTTCTCATACTCAATTATTTTCTATTTTCTAAGAATATACAGACCAATAGAAGAGACTTCCACATGTCCCAGCACCATTCCACATCCCATAAAAGTATCTATGCCCTTATTTTCTTTCTAGAAAAAGACAAGTCTACACTTGCTATCTCCATATTCTTTCTTCTTATTCTCTCTTAAATCCACTCTAGTTTCCATGTTGCCCTTCATTCCACTGAAATACTCTTCTCAAGGTCATTGGTCGAATGCATTGCTATATCCAATGGTCAATTCTCATTTCTTACCTTATTTGGCCCATCAACAGTATCTGACAAAGTTGATCACTTGATTCATTCAAATGACTTTCAATACATGACTTCTGTGGTTTTCCTTCTACTTTTTTGGTCACTGATTCTTAGTCTCCTTTCTAGTTCGTCCTCAGTTTCCTAACCTCTAAATGTTGGGGTGCTATAGGGCCCAATCCTTAGATCTCATATTTTGTCTCGTTATTCATTTTCTTGGTTATCACATCTAGTCTTCTGGTTTAAATGACATATGGATTGATGATTCAAACATTTTACATCTTCAGTTCAGATGTTCCTGACCCAATGAACTTCAGACTTGTATACTAGCTATCACTTTAACATTTACACCTCGATATATAATAGGCATCTCTAACTTTATATAATTAGCTAAGCTGAGTTCATGATCTCCTGTAAAAAATTTGTTTTTACCACAGTCTTCCCCATCTAAATCAATGACAAGTCTTTTAGTTGCTCAGGTCCATAGTTGGGAAATAATCCTCAACTCCTCTTTCTTTCATGTTCCACAGCCAAACTATTAGCATATCTTTTCAGCATTACCTTCAAAATGTATCTGGAATCAAACCACACTTGATCATTTTCACCATTATCACTGTGGTCCAAGACTTCACAGCTAATGACTGGATGAATGCCAAGTCTCTTAACTGGTCTATCTGTTTGTCCTCATTCAACCAACTCTCAAAGTAACAATCATACTAACCCTATTAAAACATAACTCAGATCATTACATGTCTGTGTTTCTCATTGCATTGCAAGAAAAATGTGAAGACATTAACTACAGTGTGCCAAAGACCTACGATATTTTCCCCTTCCCCATATCCTTCAACTCTTCCCCACTCTTACCCCATCCTTGAGGGTCTTTGAACATGCCAGCCACATTCATATCTTAGGGCCTTTTCACTTACTTTCTCTTTGTCCTAAGATGCTCTTGCTCCAGATACCCACATAACTTTTTCCTAGTCACCTTCAGATCTCTGACCTAATATTCTATATAAAATTAAAGTCTATTCAACCACTATCATCCTTCCTAGGCCCTCCATGCTCTACTTTTTTTCTTGTCATTTATCACTATCTAACACATGTATATTTTATGTGCTTATCTAATTAATATTCTCTCTTCTAACTAGAATGTAAGCTTCATGAGGTCTAAGTTGTATTCACTGTTTGGAAACTAGAAAGTTTCTGGCAAGTTAATATAACTGGAATCAAACCACCAATCAAATCATCAAGTATATGCAGGATCAATGAATACATACATTGAATATTGAATACATACAATGAATACACAAATTCAATACATACACACAATGAATACATAAGAGGAGCATCAGTCAATCAAATGCTCCTCTTAAAATTACTTTTGTAATAGTTATTCCTTTCAGTGTCTATCCTGGATGTCTAAAACCATATAATGGATTAGCTGAGAGCAGTAAAGAATCCATCAGGACAGTTAGAGCCACAGCTGGAGAAAGGTGTTATTGTGCATGAAAGATTAACGTCATCTATTTCATACATTTTTCTTATGCCTACATTTACTGGACTAATCAATTACCTAGAACAGGAGTCTTTAGAGTTTGGTTTTACAATATTATAATTAAAAATGCCTTCAGGGTATATATGCTCTCTCTTTCTAGCTGTATTATACACATGTGTTATGATACTAATATATTATTAAAATGTAAATAAGTAATTTGAAGTATGAGAAATGAAATAAACAATATTTTAAAATAATTTAATTATTGATATAAAACTCCCTTCACTCTCAACAATATATTACAATCTTTTTTAGAAACCAGTATAATTGGAATAGGAACAGCTCCAGTCTACAGCTCCCAGCATGAGCGACACAGAATATGGGTGACTTCCACATTTCCAATTGAGGTACCAGGTTCACCTCACTGGGGCTTGTCTGACAGTGGGTGCAGGACAGTGGTTGCAGCCCATCAAGTGTCAGCCAAAGCAGGGCGAGGCATCACCTCACCCGGGAAGCACAAGGGGTCAGGAAATTCCCTTTCCTAGCCAAGGGAAGCTGTGACAGACGGCACCTGGAAAATCGGGTCACTCCCACCCTAATACCACGCTTTTCCAATGGTCTTAGCAAACGGCACACCAGGAGATTATATCCCACACCTGGCTCGGAGGGTCCCATGCCTACGGAGCCTTGTTCATTGCTAGCCCAGCAGTCTGAGACTGAACTGCAAGGTGGCAGCAAGGTTGGGAGAGGGGCGCCCGCCATTGCCGAGGCTTGAGTAGGCAAACAAACTGTGGCTGGGAAGCTTGAACTGGGTGAAGCCCACTGCAGCTCAAGGATGCCTGCCTGCCTCTGTAGACTCCACCTCTGGGAGTAGGACATAGCCGAACAAAAGACAGCAGAAACCTCTGCAGACTTAAATGTCCCTGTCTGACAGCTTTGAAGAGAGTAGTGGTTCTCCCAGCATGGAGTTTGAGATCTGAGAATGAACAGACTGCCTCCTCAAGTGGATCCCTGAGCCCTGAATAGCCTAACTGTGAGGCACCACCCAGTAGGGGCAGACTGACATCCCACACGGCCGAGTACCCCTCTGAGACGAAGCTTCCAGAGGAACGATCAGGCGGCAACATTTGCTGTTCAGCAATATCTGCTGTTCTGCAGCCTCCGCTGCTGATACCCAGGCAAACAGGGTCTGGAGTGGACCTCCAGCAAACTCCAACAGACCTGCAGCTGAGGGTCCTGACTGTAAGAAGGAAAACTAACAAATAGAAAGGACACCCACACCAAAACCCCATCCGTACATCATCATCAAAGACCAAAGGTAGATAAAACCACAAAGATGGGGAAAAAACAGAGCAGAGAAGCTGAAAACTCTAAAAATCAGAGCGCCTCTCCTCCTCCAAAGGAATGAAGCTCCTTGCCAGCAATGGAACAAAGCTGGATGGAGAATGACTTTGAGGAGTTGAGAGAAGAAGGCTTCAGACGATCAAACTTCTCTGAGCTAAAGGAGGAAGTTCGAACCCATCACAAAGAAGCTAAAAACCTTGAAAAAAGATAGGACAAATGGCTACCTAGAATAACCAGTGTAGAGAAGTCCTTAAATGACCTGATGGAGCTGAAAACTATGGCACGAGAAGTACCTGACAAATGCACAAGCCTCAGGAGCTGATTCGATCAACTGGAAGAAAGGGTATCAGTGATTGAAGATCAAATGAATGAAATGAAGTGAGAAGAGAAGTTTAGAGAAAAAAGAGTAAAAGGAAACGAACAAAGCCTCCAAGAAATATGGGACTATGTGAAAAGACCAAATCTATGCCTGATTGGGTACATGAAAGTGGCGGGGAGAATGGAACCAAGTTGGAAAACATTCTGCAGGATATTATCCAGGAGAACTTCCCCAACCTAGCAAGGCAGGCCAACATTCAAATTCAGGAAACACAGAGAATGCCACAAAGATACTCCTCGAGAAGAGCAACTTCAAGACACATAATTGTCAGATTCACCAAAGTTGAAATGAAGGAAAAAATGTTAAGGGCAGCCAGAGAGAAAGGTCGGGTTACCCTCAAAGGGAAGCCCATCAGACTAACAGCAGATCGCTCGGCAGAAACTCTACAAGCCGGAAGAGAGTGGGGGCCAATATTCAACATTCTTAAAGAAAAGAATTTTCAACCCAGAATTTCATATCCAGCCAAACTAAGCTTCATAAGTGAAGGAGAAATAAAATACTTTACAGACAAGCAAATGCTGAGAGATTTTGTCACCACCAGGCCTGCCCTAAAAGAGCTCCTGAAGGAAGTGCTAAACATGGAAAGGAACAACCAGTACCAGCCACTGCAAAAACATGCCAAATTGTAAAGACCATCGATGCTAGGAAGAAACTGAAACAACTAACGAGCAAAATAACCAGCTAACATCATAATGACAGGATCATATTCACACATAATATTAACCTTAAACGTAAATGGGCTAAATGCTCTAATTAAAAGACACAGACTGGCAAATTGGATAAAGACTCAAGACCCATCAGTGTGCTGTATTCAAGAGACCCATCTCATGTGCAGAGACACACACAGGCTCAAAATAAAGGGATGGAGGAAGATCTACCAAGGAAATAGAAAACAAAAAAAGGCAGGGGTTGCAAACCTAGTCTCTGATAAAACAGACATTAAACCAACAAAGATCAAAAGAGACAAAGAAGGCCATTACATAATGGTAAAGGGATCAATTCAACAAGAAGAGCTAACTATCCTAAATATATATGCACCCAATACAGGAGCACTCAGATTCATAAAGCAAGTCCTTAGAGACCTACAAAGAGACTTAGACTCCCACACAATAATAATGGGAGACTTTAACACCCCACTGTCAACATTAGACAGATCAACGAGACAGAAAGGTAACAAGGATATCCAGGAATTGAACTCAGCTCTGCACCAAGTGGACCTAATAGACATTTGCAGAACTCTCCACCCCAAATCAACAGAATATACATTCTGCTCAGCACCACATCACACTTATTCCAAAATTGACCACATAGTTGGAAGTAAAGCACTCCTCAGCAAATGTAAAAGATCAGAAATTATAACAAACTGTCTCTCAGACCACAGTGCAATCAAACTAGAACTCAGGATTAAGAAACTCACTGAAAACGGCTCAACTACATGGAAACTGAACAACCTGTTCCTGAATGACTACTGGGTATATAACGAAATGAAGGCTGGAATAAAGATGTTCTTTGAAACTAATGAGAACAAAGATACAACATACCAGAATCTCTGGGACACATTTAAAGCAGTGTGTAGAGGGAAATTTATAGCACTAAATGCCCACAAGAGAAAGCAGGAAAGATCCAAAATTGACACCCTAACATCACAATTAAAAGAACTAGAGAAGCAAGAGCAAACACACTCAAAAGCTAGCAGAAGGCAAGAAATAACTAAGATCAGAGCAGAACTGAAGGAGATAGAGTCACAAAAAACCCTTCAACAAATCAGTGAATCCAGGAGATGATTTTTTGAAAAGATCAACAAAATTGATAGACTGCTAGCAAGACTAATAAAGAAGAAAAGAGAGAAGAATCAAATAGATGCAATAAAAAATGATAAAGGGGATATCACCACCGATCCCACAGAAATACAAACTACCATCAGAGAATACTATAAACACCTCTATGCAAATAAACTAGAAAATCTTGAAGAAATGGATAGATTCCTGGACACATACACCCTCCCAATACTAAACAAGGAAGAAGTTGAATCTCTGAATAGACCAATAACAGGCTCTGAAATTGAGGCAATAATTAATAGCCTACCAACCAAAAAAAGTCCAGGACCAGATGGATTCACAGCCGAATTCTACCAGAGGTACAAGGAGGAGGTGGTACCATTCCTTCTGAAACTATTCCAATCAATAGAAAAAGAGGGAATCCTCTCTAACTCATTTGATGAGGCCAGCATCCTCCTGATACAAAAGCCTGGCAGAGACACAACAAAAAAGAGAATTTTTGACTAATATCCCTGATGAACATCAATGCAAAAATCCTCAATAAAATAATGGCAAACTGAATGCAGCAGCACATCAAAAAGCTTATCCACCACGATCAAGTGGGCTTCATCCACGGGATGCAAGGCTGGTTCAACATACACAAATCAATAAACGTAATCCAGCATATAAACAAAAACCACATGATTATCTCAATAAATGCAGAAAAGGCCTTTGACAAAATTCAACAGCCCTTCATGCCAAAAACTCTCAATAAATTAGGTATTGATGGGATGTATCTCAAAATAATAAGAGCTATCTATGACAAACCCACAGCCAATATCATACTGAATGGGCAAAAACTGGAAGCATTCCCTTTGAAAACTGGCACAAGACAGGGATGCCCTCTCTCACCACTCCTATTCAACATAGTGTTGGAAGTTCTGGCCAGGGCAATCAGGCAGGAGAAAGTAATGAAGGGTATTTAATTAGGAAAAGAGGTAGTCAAATTGTCCCTGTTTGCAGATGACATAATTGTATATTTAGAAAACCCCATTGTCTCAGCCCAAAATCTCCTAAAGCTGATAAGCAACTTCACCAAAGTCTCAGGATACAAAATCAATGTAGAAAAATCACAAGCATTCTTATACACTAACAACAGACAATCAGAGAGCCAAATCATGAGTGAACTCCTATTCACAATTGCTTCAAAGAGAATAAAATACCTAGGAATCCAACTTACAAGGGATGTGAAGGACCTCTTCAAGGAGAACTGCAAATTACTGCTCAACAAAATAAAAGAGGACACAAACAAATGGAAGAACATTCCATGCTTATGGATAGGAAGAATCAATATCGTGAAAATGGCCATACTGCCCAAGGTAATTCATAGATTCAATGCCATCCCTATCAAGCTACCAGTGACTTTCTTCACAGAATTGGAAAAAAAACTACTTTAAAGTTCATATGGAACCAAAAAAGAGCCCACATTCCCAAGTCAATCCTAAGCCAAAAGAACAAAGCTGGAGGCATCATGCTACCTGACTTCAAACTATACTACAAGGCTACAGTAACCAAAACAGCATGGTACTGGTACCAAAAGAGAGATGTAGATCAATGGAACAGAATAGAGCCCTCAGAAATAATACCACACATCTACAACCATCTGATCTTTGACAAACCTGACAAAAACAAGCAATGGGGAATGGATTCCCTATTTAATAAATGGTGCTGGGAAAACTGGCTAGCCATATGTAGAAAGCTGAAACTGGATCCCTTCCTTACACCTTATACAAAAATTAATTCAAGATGGATTAAAGACTTAAATGTTAGACATAAAACCATAAAAACCCTAGAAGAAAACCTAGGCAATACCATTGAGGACATAGGCATGGGTAAGGACTTTTTGTCTAAAACACGAAAAGCAAGGGCAACAAAAGCCAAAGTTGACAAATGGGATCTAATTAAACTAAAGAGCTTCTGCACAGCAAAAGAAACTACCATCAGAGTGAACAGGCAACCTACAGAATGGGAGAAGATTTTTGCAATCTACTCATCTGACAAAGGGCTAATATCCAGAATCTACAAAGAACTCAAACAAACTTACAAGAAAAAAACAAATAACCCCATCAAAATTGGGCAAAGGATATGAACAGACACTTCTCAAAAGAAGACACTGATGCAGCCAGCAGACACATGAAAAAATGCTCATCATCACTGGCCATCAGAGAAATGCAAATCAAAACCACAATGAGATACCATCCTACACCAGTTAGACTGGTGATCATTAAAAAGTCTGGAAACAACAGGTGCTGGAGAGGATGTGGAGAAATAGGAACACTTTTACACTGTTGGTGGGATTGTAAACTAGTTCAACCATTGTGGAAGACAGTGGGGCGATTCCTCAAGGATCTAGAACTAGAAATACCATTTGACCCAGTCATCCCATTACTGGGTATATACCCAAAGGATTATAAATCATGCTGCTATAAAGACACATGCACATGTATGTTTATTGCGGCACTATTCATAATAGCAAAGACTTGGAACCAACCCAAATGTCCATCAATGATAGACTGGATTAAGAAAATGTGGCATGTATACACCATGGAATACTATGCAGCCATAAAAAAGGATGAGTTCACGTCCTTTGTAGGGACATGGATGAAGCTAGAAACCATCATTCTCAGCAAACTATCACAAGGACAACAAACTAAACATCGCATATTCTCACTCATAGGTGGGAACTGAACAATGAAAACACTTGGACACAGGAAGGGGAACATCACACACCGGGGCCTGTCGTAGGGTGGGGGGAGGGGGGAGGGATAGCATTAGGAGATATACCTAACGTAAATAACGAGTTAATGGATGCAGCACACCAACATGGCACATGTACACATACATAACAAACCTGCACATTGTGCACATGTACCCTAGAACTTAACTTAAAAAAAAAAATGCTATGTACCAGGCATTATTCTAAGAATTTCAACCTTCATAACAACCCTAGGAAGCTAAGTACTCCTACTAATTCCATTTTAAAGATGAGAAGACTTGATTTATGATATACTATCATCATTGGTCTAATCGTGACTCTATTTTATTTTTTCATTTACCCATTGTATTCCCTGGCTTATTACTTTGTTAGTGATAAAAGCCAACTACCCAACCCAAGAAGTTGAACATGAGCAATGTTTGCAACTATCTATACAATCCTCACCACCCCGTTACCCTGCAGCATAACCCTGACATGCTGAATTTTGTGTTTATATTATTTTCTTACATTTTTAAAAAGATAATTTCAGCAAATATATGTTTGCTCAAAAATGTTATTGCTTATAAAGACCATCATGCTGTGATCATCTGAGAACCTATCACTAAGCATCATATTATCACGTATACCTGTAGTTCATTTATTTTCATTGCAACAAGTTATTCCAGATATATTACAATTTGTTTACCTCTGGATAGGCATCTGCTGTCGGCTCTTCTTAATATAAACAGTACTTTTATGAACACTTTTATGTGTTTATCTGGGTGCACAAATGTAATAATTTCCTTTAGTATATACATCTAGAAAATTGTTGGGTCATAGGGTGTGTGAATATTAAACTTTAAAAGATAATGTCAAGTGGTTAACCAATTTATATTAGCACTATATAAGAAATCTGGTTGATTCAAATACTTTTCAATATTTCTGTAGTTTAAATTCTTAATTATTGCCAATAAATTGAGTATAAAGAGATATCCATTATCTCTTTGATAATGATACTGATTTGCTATTCTACATATTGATTTGCTCATCAATATTGCTATAAGACTCAAGATCCTTCCATATGTTTTTAGCTGTATATGTTTCTCTGTTTCTCCTCTGTAAAATGTTTATTGTTGATTTTTTTTTTTTTGGTCTATCAGGCAGTTTGGCCTTTCCTTATTATTTTATGAGTCTTTACATATGCTTGATACTAAAGCTTTCTCAATTATATGTTCCAAATGAAAAAAAAAAAAAAAGAAACCAGTATAATCAATTATGCTTTTCTTATTTTTGGAAATCTTGGCTTAATAATTAAAAATATTACTAAGTATTGACATTTGTAGGTCCGTTTCTAGGTTCAGGCTTTTTTTTTAATTTTTATTTTTTTTTTGAGATGGAGTCTTGCTCTGTCTCCCAGGCTGGAGTGCAGTGGTGTGATCTTGGCTCACTGCAACCTCTTGTCTCCCAGGTTCAAGCGATTCTCCTGCCTCAGCCTCACGAGTAGCTGGGATTACAGGCATGTGCCACCATGCCCGGCTAATTTTTGTATTTTTAGTAGAGACAGGGTTTCACCGCGTTGGCAAGGCTGGTCTTGAACTCCTGATCTGAAGTGATCCACCCTCCTCGGCCTCCCACAGTGCTGGGAATACGGGCATGAGCCACCGTGCCTTGCCCTCAGTTTGTTTTAATACTTAGTAATAATAGTTTTCACAGCTGAAAAGAGATACAGCACAGACAAAAAATACACAGGTCCCATTATAAGCATTACATCAGTGGCTGAGCATACTAAATTATGGTACTCATTTTTCAATTCTCTCACAAATTAGGTTCTTGGTGAAATTTGGCTAATAAATTTTCTGATGCTAATTGGTTATAATTGGAAACTATTTGGAAAGTATGACATTTTAACATATTTAACAAAAAGCTTCAAAGCTCACTGAAACTTCATGTTTAGAAGACTTTAAAAATAAGTTAGATAATTATATTTTCTAGCTATATTATGCAGAAAATAGTATTTGTGATTGATAGACCAACAATAATTTGAGCTACAAATCATATACTGATAGAAACTTTCTGAATAACTGCTTTCAAAATGGTTTCTGTATAATAAAAACTGCTTTTGCAAGGCAGTTAATTCCTCACTTGTTGACCAATTTTCATCCAGTTTTACCTTGTCATTACTTTTATCTCATTTTGTGCCTGAAGGAAAGCTCTTACCAAGAGCAGTGGTAAGCACTAGTGTTTTTTTGCTCATTGCTTATCTTTGTGTAGTTAATATTATTTCACTATATGTTTTTTGAAGGAATATATTAAGTCATGTATTTATTCAGCAAAGCTTCATTTAGTTAAAAATATGGTCATATAATCTGAAAGCCAACTTAGTTGTGCAAAAAATATAATATTTCATATGTCTAAATCAATGAACAAGTGAAATCACCACTATAAATCCTCCCACTTGGTAAATGCAAATTTTTTCCTCAAAACATCTTGAGCTGGTACTCCACCAGGGAGCAGCCCAGTGTCAATCCATACGATGAACTTTTTTTTAATGGTCTTATTTTATTTTATTTTTATTTTATTATTATTATACTTTAAGTTTTAGGGTACATGTGCACCATGTGCCAGTTAGTTACATATGTATACATGTGCCATGCTGGTGTGCTGCACCCATTAACTCGTCATTTAGCATCTCCTAATGCTATCTCTCCCCCCTCCCCCCCACCCCACAACAGTCCCCAGAGTGTGATGTTCCCCTTCCTGTGTCCATGTGTTCTCATTGTTCAATTCCCACCTATGAGTGAGAACATGTGGTGTTTGTTTTTTTGTCCTTGTGATAGTTTACTGAGAATGATGATTTCCAATTTCATCCATGTCCCTACAAAGGACATGAACTCATCATTTTTTATGGCTGCATAGTATTCCATGGTGTATATGTGCCACATTTTCTTAATCCAGTCTATCATTGTTGGACATTTGGGTTGGTTCCAAGTCTTTGCTATTGTGAATAGTGCCACAATAAACATACGTGTGCATGTGTCTTTATAGCAGCATGATTTATAGTCCTTTGGGTACATACCCAGTAATGGGATGGCTGGGTCAAATGGTATTTCAAGTTCTAGATCCCTGAGGAATCACCACACTGACTTCCACAATGGTTAAACTAGTTTACAGTCCCACCAACAGTGTAAAAGTGTTCCTATTTCTCCACATCCTCTCCAGCATCTGTTGTTTCCTGACTTTTTAATGACTGCCATTCTAATTGGTGTGAGATGGTATCTCATTGTGGTTTTGATTTGCATTTCTCTGATGGCCAGTGATGGTGAGCATTTTTTCATGTGTTTTTTGGCTGCATAAATGTCTTCTTTTGAGAAGTGTCTGTCTTATTTTTTAAAGAAAATAAAATATGTACACTCCTATGGATCACATACTTCCTGGGTTCTTGGAGACTGCTATTTTAGAGTGTCTTTTTGACCCATGTATTTTGACATATATACTGCAGGACATTATTACGGTGTCTTAACTCAAACTTATACAAACCAGCAAATTGTCAGATATTCTTTAAGGAATAAAAAGAATTGGCAAATCTTGGTGATACATGGGTACTTTTATCACAATACCATCATTAAGGTAGATGAAAGTTTCAGGTTTTACATATAAATATTGAATAATAAATAATAGCTGCTGTTTGATCAAAATGATTACAGTATTAAACATGTATCTAAATTTAAGCATCTGCAAATGAAAACATTACATTTCCATATTACTTTTTTCAATATAACATATAGAAAATGAACAACACTGAAATGTTTTAGAAGCACAATTTCAGCTGTTCTCTAATTTAAATGCTTTCTATATTTAGATCACCATAATTCTCTCATTTATTCTACCTATGAGTGGATGACAATTTTATAATGGCCAGGATTTCTTTATTATAGTCAATTTTCAGAAAGTACAGAATTGTATCAGGCATTTAATGAATGTTACTGAAAAATGAGAAAAATGATTATTTTAACTTACAGCCTACTGCTATCTTATATTGTAGAGGTAGTTCACATCTAATTTACATTTTCCCCTCAGAATTTTAACAACTAAATATGTATTAGCTCATTCTCAGGAACAGCTTTATAATTTGCCCAAGTATGTTTCATTGTATATCAAGCTTTTTAAACCAAGATTTATATAATTTCATTGAATACTGTAAACATTTTTGAATAGTTATTATGTCTCAGGCAACATGTACAGGGAGGGTCACTACAAGATGAGTAAAATGCGTTCCTTCCTTCAAGAAATTAAAAGTCTAGAAGAAGAAAAATATTGTACAAATGAATCATTTTCACAATACACTGAGATGTTAATGTTGGAATATCATGATCAAATGACTGATAATATATGAGTACACTCACATTTTTGATATATTAAAAGTTAATTGTGATGCCATCTGTGGTAATAGCAAAGCTGGTCTTAATGTCATCTGATTTAAGTTTTGATTCATTACAGATAGTTTCTGCACTTATGTTAAAAGATGTCATGACCCCTATGGCAATGAAAATCTGATGTTTCTGTATTTGAATTTTTTTTAAAAGCCTGGAATACAAACTATTGGCTACAGGCCCAAGTTTATTTTTCTCAAAGGACTTTGAGAAACATTTTTTGAAACTTCACAAGACCCATTTGTATTTGATCTTCAAAACTCTCTTCAAGTTGGAGAAGCTGAACTGTCCCAAGCCTATAAATAGGAGGTGTCTTTGTCTATGAATGACTATCCACAGTAGATTATATCCTGGGGTTCCCAGCAACTCTGATATTTGTTTAATTTTTTTCATTTTTCTGTATGTGAAGTATTCAAAAAGGTCTTATGGTTTAAGATAGGATATCTTAACCACATAAATATAAATAACTTGTTTCAAAGAAGGAAACAGCTCTTGTTTTAATAGGAACAGAGTATTCCAAAAGAGAAAATATTTGAATTTACTGACAACATGATAACAGATTTTCTCTATTGAAAGCACTATTTATAGGAGAAATATCCTTTGTACAGAGTAATGCATAGCTCTCTGGTAGTCTTACAGAAGGTAGCCTGTTGACACTGATTTCTCTGAGTTGAAGGGAAAGCTCAATCTAACCTGGAGGAGAGTATATAATTGCTAAAAGAAATTCGAAGATTAACCAAATAATTTGGTATTCATGTGCATTTACATAATTAATATAATTACACATCTAATAGACATAGACTGATTATAGAAAACATGTTGGGACTTATATATGGAAGAAAGTAACTCATGGGTTTGAGATTCTAAAAATAGATATTTTGTATTCAAAACACACTCCTTGTATTTACCCTTATTATTATTATTATTTTTTTTTTGAGATGGAGTCTCGCTCTGTCACCAGGCTGGAGTGCAGAGGCACGATCTCAGCTCACTGCAACCTCCGCCTCCTGGGTTCAAGCGATTCTCCTGCCTCAGCCTCCCAAGTAGCTGGGATTACAGGCACACGCCACCATACCCAGGTAATTTTTGTATTTTTAGTACAGACAGGGTTTCGTCATGTTGGCCAGGATGGTCTTGATCTCCTGACCTCGTGATCCACCCGCCTCAGCCTCCCAAAATGCTGGGATTACAGGCATGAGCCCCCACGCCCAACCCTGTATTCTAAGAACGTAATGATACAGCTTACCTTCTTGCTCCAAGATCTAATTTTTAAAACAAGGTCTTAATACATGTTTAGGTATAATATGTGTTTCTGATCATTACAACCCTTTCCAACTATTCTCAAGAACTTAAGTATTTTCTAATTGTGCAACAAAAATCATGCATCATAAATAGAATATTACAAATTGCACTTCATATTAGTTTTCTTTATTATTTACTGAGTAAATATCCACCATATTAATAAAAAGATATAATAATTTTCTTTAAGAATGAAAATGGATCTCATATAGCCCTCTGTGATTCAACATTGACTAGCATTTGTCATGATAAATTCCTTTCACTGTGATGTAGATTATCATATAATTCAAGGAAGATGTTTTTGTACTTCAACCATTAATTAATACTTACTTGTAACATAGCATGATTCATTCATTACATATTCTAGAATAGTAAAAATCTACTTATTGCAAAACTAGCTTAAGGCAATTCAGATAACTATGTGTCTCCATCCTCATTCCAAAGAACATCAGTTTAATTATAGGAATTATTTAATATTTATATAATGTGCCAGACTATGCTCTAGGCAGCTCTAATGTATGAAAGGCATGTTTTGCCCTCAAGGATATTCTTCTACTCTCAAACTGACATAAAAACAAAAGAGAACAGTTTTCATAAAATATAAACAATAAAGTTTCCATCTCTACTGTGGTGTTTAATCTGCAGAATGTAGCTATAGACTGCAGTTGTGTAATCAGAGATTGTATGTCCTAGTTGTTTTGTGGCTATCCATCATTTGTAAAACGAAATTCTCTTTCTGATTCATGACTTTGATAATATCTTGAGCTCATTTTTGCCTTGCACAGTAAGGCACAGTCAACCATTATTTTCTCTGTTAATACTGGATCAGTACACAGAAATTTGTTTATAGTTACTGATTCTATTTCTAATGATACTTTTTAAAAACCAAAGAAGAGAAGAAAAGTGACAAATACATCTTCCCTCAGATTCACTTAGTCTAGTGGGATCTGTTATATAATCTTAGATACTCAATCAAGTTTTATTTTCTGGAAATGTCAAGGGAAAGCAAGGGGGTTAAGAATTATTCAGTTCCTATTACATATCCAGTGTCTCATGAGTTATTAGATTAAAGAATCATGATAACTCTAAGAAGTAGTATTTACACTCTCCATTTTATAGATAAAGTGACAAAGGATACAAGGTGAAGAAATCTCTGTAAGATCTCACAGCTACTAAATGTTAAGTTCTAAAAAATTAAATCAGATTTATTTGACTGATAAATAAATAAATAAATATTTATTTATTTGACTCCATCATTCATTCTATGATATCACACAGCCTTGAGAAATAGATATGAGCTGGGCTTAAGAAATATATATCTCTCTGCAGCATCCTTCAGAAATGCATTTTTGTGGCATGGGATGGCAAAGCAGTATCTGCAGTTATTTTTCAACTGTTGAGGGAAACCTCCTTAGATATGGGGGAGTGGAAGTCAGAAGCTTTGATATAGGATTAGAATTGCAGCTAACATAACATAGCCCTTTATGACTCTACTGGGAATCAACAACTCTGATTTTGAATAATCTCTTGAGGCCTTATTTAGTCTTTTAGACTGTAAGCATTACAAGGATTTTGTAGGTAGCATTTTATCTATAACCTTGAGATATGTAGGTTATGGTTCTCAGAAGGAAGATGAGAATTTTCAAGATACTCAGGCAGAGCAACAAAGCCAATTTCTAAGTCACTTGATTCCATCTGTCTGAAGAAAAAGGTGGTATAAAAGTCAATTGCTTTCCTATATATTAGCAAAGAAAATTGGAATGTGAAGTTAAAAACACAAGACCATTTATACTAGCATGCTCCACAAAACACTTCAATATAAATCTAACAAATTATGTACAAAATCTATATGAGGAAAACTATAAAACTCCAGTGAAAGAAATCAAAGAAAAATTAAATAAATGGAGAGGTATTCCATGTCCATAAATAGGAAGACTCAAGGTAGGATGTCAGTTCTTCCCAATTTGTGTAGATTCAAGGTAATCCCAGTCAAAATCCCAGCAAGTTATTTTTTGGATATCAACACACTGATTCTAAAATTTATATGGAGAGGAAAGACCAAGAACAGCCAACACATCATTAAATAATATTGAACAAACTTGTAAAGCTAACACTACCCAACTTCAAGACTTAGTATAAAACTATAGTTATCAAGACAATATAGTACTGGTCAGAAAAAAGTCACTTAGATCAATGGAACAGAATAGCCAGCCCAGAAATACACCCGCATGAATATGGCCATCTGATCTTTCACAAAGGAGCAAAGGGAATTCAATGAAGAAAGGAAAGTGTTTTCAACAAATGGCACTAGAAAAACTGGACATCATTTGTGTTATGGTTAGAATATGGTTTGTCACAATCAAAATCCATAGTGAGGTTTGGTTCCTAATGGGGTGATGTTGAGAGGTGGTGCCTTGGAGAGGTGATTAGGTTTTTAAAAAGGAATTAATACCTTTCTTAGAGTGAGTTCTTGCTCTTGTAGGACTGGATTAGCTACCTCGAGGGTGGGTTGTTAAAAAGGAAGGCTCCCTCTTGTGTTTGGTCATTTTGCACATGCCCACTTTTTCTTCCACTTCTCCACCATGTTAAGATGCAGCACAAGACTCTCACCAGAACTTGACCAAATGCACCTGTCCTAACTTGGATCTCCTAGTCAAGCTCCCAGGATCACAAGCTAAATAGAACTCTCTCCTTTATAAATTACCTAGTCTCAGGTATTCTGTTATAGCAACAGAAAATTGACTGAGATAACTTGTGAAAAAATACATAAATGCAGATATAGACCCTCACAAAAATTAACACAAAATGGATCATAGACCTCAAAATGGATCATATAAAATGCAAAACTATGACTCTTGGAAGATAACATAGAAGAAAATCTAAATAACCCTGAGTTTGCAGTAACTCTTTATATATAACACTAAAGTCAAGATCCATGAAATAAAAATTCATTTTAGATTTTATTAAAATTAAAAATCATCTTCTCTGTGAAAGACACTGTGAAGAGAATAAGAGAAACTACCATTTGCAAGAAAATATTTGCAAAAGATATACCTGATATGGTCCAAAACATACAAAGAACTCTTAAATCTCAACAACAAGAAAATAAATTTAAAAATTGGAAAAAATCTAAACAGATACCTCAGCAAAGCTTATATACAGATGGAAAATAAGCACATGAAAACATGCTCATCATCTTACATCATTAGAGAATTTCAAATTAAAACAACGATATACCACTACATATCTATTAGAATAGCTGATGTCTAAAACATTGACAATATGAAATGCTGGTGAGAATGTGGAGAAACAGGAACTCTTGTTCATTGCTGGTGAGAATGCAAAATTATACAACCATATTGGAAGATAGTTTGGCAGTTTATTACAAAACTAGCATGCTCTGACCATATGATCCAGTAATTGCACTCTTTGGTATTTACCCAAATAAGTTGAATATTTATATCCACACAAGACTTATCACATAAGTGTTTATAGCAGCTTGATTCATATTGCCAGAACATGGTAGCAAGCAGGATGTTTTTCAGGAGGTAAATGGATAATTCAACTGTGGTTATATCCAGACAACAAAATAGTATTCAGAGCTAAAAAGAAATGAATTATCAAGGCAAGAAAAGACATGGCGGAACCTTACAGGCATATTGCTAAGTGAAAAAAGCCAACCTGAAAAGACAACACATTGTATGATTCTAACTACATGACATCTTGGAAAAAGCAAAATCATGGAGACAGCGAAGAAGAAAATGGTCAACCCCACTTTTGTCACTTCTGAAAAATTTTAGATTATGAGAGTAATATGTCTATCAGAAAATATGTGCTTCCAAAGCAATGTCAAGTCTGCTCAGGGTATGCACAGCAACAGAAAGACAGCCACCTCTAGGACATCATAATAAACATTTGAAATGCTTTAGAATGTGTATGCTTCTCTTGCAGAGAATATTTTGGAATCCAGCAAACTAAACAACATTAAATCAAACATTTAAATTAAAAGCCACAGCTGACCAAATATTATTGTATCTGTTTATTTTATTATCTTGAAAGGCAGCTGCTTCCTAAGTGAAAGCAAATTAAACTCAGTTAAGTGAATTTTTTAATTTGATGGCATGAACCCGAAATCGATGTTTGAAAACAAGTGGCTTGATTTTAACCCACCTTGACTAGAAAGTAAATAGCTGATTCTTTTTTTATGACTCTCATAGAAAAATGGTAAGAGATCTGCAGTGGAAGTCAGGAAATCATAAACCTAGTGTCTGCCTGGTCTCTGGAGAAGCTGTATATCTTTGTTCAAGTGACTTAATCTTTCAGGGTCTCAGTTTCCACATTCCATTCCATGGACTCTCAACATATAAAACTGATTTTAAAAAAAACATCCGGTTTAAGAGGAAAAGAGACTCCCTATCTGCTCCATCCTACCTCCTGCCCCTAGCATGGAGGAACCACAAGAACACAGGGTGAAAACCATCTCACACAAAACACATTTAATAGAGTCCTGCTCAAGTTCTTTCCAGTCTTCAAATTCTTTGTTTCTATGTAAATATCCAAAACATCTAACTTCCTCCTGATCCACAGAGCACAAGACTTTTACCCACACAATGCAACTCAGGCTCATAAAATTTGAGGGCTGGAAAAGAATTTGGCATACTATTTCGGTCCTCCCCTTGGTTCTGAACAGATGAGGCCTTAAATGATCCCAGAAAAAATCTTTTAAAAATATTTCGGAAATCCAGACAGACAAAGGAACTTAAATCCAACACTTTTTGTAAGTTTCAAATTTTTTAAAATTTAGGATAATTTTACCTGTATTTTCTCTTATCTTTTGTGTAAACAGAAATAACTGCTGTCCACAAAAAGCATCCCTTTATTCACTCAACAAAGAATTATTAAGTTCCTAAGGTCTCCAAAGCAATCTGCTAGGTTCTAGAGGTTAGAAGAAGAATAGAATCCAGTTGTCACTCACCAGGAATTTGCAGTTTAGTGAGAAAGTCAAAGAGGGATATTTCTGCCTGCTGGGTGGTAGGTGCTTTCATGGGAATTGTGCAGAGAAGGCCTAACTCAGCCAGAGCTGGGGGATAGGGTGATTAGAAACATTTCCTATAGAATTCAATGCTTAAATGCTTTTTGAATGATGACTAGAAGGTAATTACTCAGGAAAATGGTAGAAAGAAATCCCGTACTGAAGGGACATTGTGAGAAGAAAAGCATGAGAGAGCATTGAACACTTACCACGGGCATTTTAATTACTGGACCACGGGTCCCTTCTGAGCTGCAAGGGAGTTATAAGTCCAGAATGGTCTCTGAGCTTTCATTGAAAGACACTGAAATTTTAAGCAGAGGACTAAGGTAATCAAATTTGAGTTTTATAAAGATTCTTCTCCACCAGGTATGTGAATAACATTTCAGAGGAGGGAGGTTGGAGGTAGAAAAAGAGTTAGATGGTTTTTTCCTGTAATATAGGTAAGAAATTACGTAGCTTGAACACTGGCTGTTCAGTGTCTTGAATCATTCTAGTTGCTTTGCTCTGACACATGCCACATTTTCTGTGGCTGGGTTTGTGTATCATCAGTGCATCTAGATATGGACAATAGCTCAGCTGAGTGCAATTATTTTCTTTTCAATTGTTGTCATGGAGTCACTTTACCATATTTTGTAGGGTTATTTATTATTAGTAGTCAACTGAGTGTAAGATTATATTTGGCATTATATTCATAAAATTTTAAATCTGCAGGAGACCTTCTAATTCACCTGATCTGTTTGTATCATGTTTTCCCAAAAGGTAGTTTTCTTATGGGGAAACCACAGATGAGGCCGTGGGGACATAATGTAGGTAGAGCTCCTAACTCTGCCATGTGCTATAACCAGAAACCAGGCCTACTGGCCACTGTAACAAGCACCAGCCCTACCTTCTGCTTGAACTAAAATGAACTCTGTCGACCACTGTAGCCAGCATCTGTTCTGTTGCCCACCGTAACCGGCATCTGTCTCATACTGTAACCAGGACTGGCCATGTCACCCATTTGAATCCTTTATTTTGTTTGTTTTTGGGTGTTCTAATTAGGATTTTGTTTGAAAAACAGGTTCTGTTGCTAAAAAATTATAACCTCTTCCCAACAGGCCCTGTGAAGTTAAGGGTCTTACCTGTGTTTATAACTGGCTAGTGGGTAGCAGAGCTCAAACAGCGAAACTGTTAACACATATTCAGAAAGAGCTAGAAACTCTTCTAGAATCTGAAGCTATCTTCAATCCTCACGCAATATTCTGGTTCTGCCAAGTCTCCTTTCTCTCCCATTCCAAATTAATGGCAGTACATGTTAGACTTCCTGTTTCTTTAAAAATAGCTGCTTTCTAAGATTCATTTTATTCCAATGTAAATGTGTGGTTGGTGTGGTGTGTGTGTGTGTGTGTGCGTGCACATGCGTGGTTCGGTTTCTAATGAGATTGATAAATAAATTTGTATTTACATAGTCTTTGGTGGTGGCTAACGAGGTTATTTTAGGGTTCCCTTGTACAGGATAGACTATTGGATAAGAAAGTCAATCCCTGAATTCAGACTAAAAGCATACTGCAGGTTTTTTTGTTTGTTTGTTTTTTTAAAGCCTTGGAAAGTCAAAGTCTAGGGAACTATCTGCAGATAATTAATCATCAGTAATTTAAAAAAGTAGTCATAAAAGAGTGCCCCCCAAATTCTTATGGGTAAATAATCACTTGGGGAGCTGATTAAAAACGTAGATTTCCCCAGATCTTCTGGATAAGTGAATCCAGAGTAAGGGTCAATAGTAAAAATTTTTTTTTTTTTTTTTTTTTTGAGATGGAGTCTCGCTCTGTCGCCCGGGCTGGAGTGCAGTGGCGCGATCACGGCTCACTGCAAGCTCCACCTCCCGGCTTCACGTCATTCTCCTGCCTCAGCCTCCCGAGTAGCTGGGATTACAGGTGCCCGCTACCCTGCCTGGCTAATTTTTATGTATATTTAGTAGAGATGGGATTTCATCGTGTTAGCCAGGATGGTCTCGATCTCCTGACCTCGTTATCCGCCCGCCTCAGCCTCCCAAAGTGCTGGGATTACAGGCGTGAGCCACCGCGCCCGGCCAATAATAAACATTTTAAATAAAGACTCCAGATGACTGATGCAAAAAAGCCTGAGCACCGCACTTGAGAGACTTTCATAGCAATAACTAGATTTTTAAAGGAGTTAATTTAACAGTTTTGCTGAACCCCTTAACCTGGCTTATCTCCTTTAAATAAACATACTGTACTATATAAATCAGGGATGCAGAGTCAAACCTCATCCTTGCTGAGTTTTATGGGATCAAGCTGTCACGAGTTTCATTCCCTGCATAGTTAACATTTTCTTTAGCCTAAATATCTTTCACCATGCATGAAGCTCATGAGCTTTGTACAACAGAAATTATTTCTTGTGTTAAGCCCTTATTCTATCCATCACCCTCCAAATCTCTGCTAGATTGTGAGACACATTAAATTGCTCTATCATTTTCTAGGTAAAGTTTCAAAAGAGTTTCGGATCAAGAGCAGACTTAAGATTAGATATTAACATATTTACATTTCATCCCTGTACTTGTCTTGAACAAAAAAAGCAAAATAAAGCATTTTTGCTTTTATATAAAACCATCACATCTTAATTTAAAATTATGTGATATAAGAACACCACCTCCCTACTCACTCTTTTTTTTCCTGCAGTATGAGTAAAAACGAGCTTAAGGCAGTAAATGGCCTAGGGGAACTTCAATGGCTTGCAAAGCTTTTTGTCTGTGGGTTATTTCCAGTTCCATTTCATTATAAATGACTTATTTCCAGAACACTGAGGCTGATGATCACTTCAAACCCAGTCCCAGATGAAAACTGGAAAGAAAAGCCATTTACTGTCCTACCAGATCATCTCTAAGACAGGTCCTGACAGTCAGTTACTTTGTATATCAAAATACCCTAAAAATTAGACAGATATGAGCAAATTCTTCCTATTCTTTTTCCTTTCCTGCTGCATTTATTTCTTTATTCTTTCCATTGTTTTCCTTTCCTTGCCCTCCCTGCTTCCTCTTCCTTCCTTCCTCCCTCCCTCCTTCCTTCCCTCCCTCCCTCCCTTTTCCTTCCTTCCTTCCTTTTTCTTTCTTTCCTTCTCTTTCTCTTTCTTTCTCCCTCTCTTCCTTCCTTCTTTCTTTCTTCTTTCTTTCTTTCTTCCATTCTTTCTCCCTCTCTTCTTTCCTTCCTCCTTTCTTTCTCTTTCTTTCTCTTTCTTTCTTTCTCTTCCTTTTCTTTCTCTCTTTCTTTCTTTTTCTCTTTCTGCCTCTCTCTATCTCTCTCTTTTCTTCTTTCTTCCTCTCTCTCTTTCTGTCTGTTTATGTGTGAGGGGAGTCTTTCTAAAATTTCAACAAAATAATGCCTGACCTCAAATTAAGCCCAGTTGGAGTTAATAATAATAGCTAATACCAAATGCTTATCATTTTCAGACACCATCTTGAGTACTGCATATGTGTTAACTCATTTAACCCTCAAAATAACACTATAAAGTAGGTATTCATATTATTTTCATTTTATACATTAAGAAACAGTGTCACAGAAGATTAAGTAAATATATTGTCTGTAAGAACTAAAGCAAACACAATTTCTTCTAACGCTAACACAATTTCCTTTCCTGTGCTAAATAATGCTGGGAGTAAGAAAAATGTCCACCCCCTATTTTAAGAATGCTGTGAGCAATCTCCAAGAAAACCTTGTCTGCTCTGTGATCCATCTAAGCTAACTTCCTTATAGACTCATAACATGTTCTTCAATGTTTGTTCACTCTGGTGACAAATCCAAAACTATTATATAATAAACCCTGCAGAATCCCAACCAGTTCCCTCTCACTCAAGATTTGCCTTGAAATCAACCAGCCTTTTCCCTAAAGCCTGTAAATATCTTCCCCTGACCCTCACCTTCTGAGACATTACTAAGAATATCAAGGTGATGTTCTTGTTTACTGTAATAACTTCGTGAACTTTCTTGACCAACAGGTTTTTTTTTTTCTCAGGGGTATTTTTGGGAAGTTGGCAGCTAACAGGTGTCTAATACTTATTAGGAACTGGAAGATTGTATTTCATTATAAAAATAACCCTTTTGCTCCTAATTCTTCTAAAACAAAATGTATCAATATAGCAGCACATGGAACTTACCAAATTTCAGTAACTACTTAAAGAATTTTCAAATATTTTGAAAAATTAAAAGGAAACAAAACTATTTACACTTGTATGATTCTTACACTATTGATCTCTACAAAACTTCTCTACAAAGAAAAAAGAATCTCTAAGGGGCTCCTCCAACCCACATCAAATATAAAATGTGAAATGTAATAGGATGAAATTAATTTTTTAAAAACATACTTGTTTTGATATTACAAGCATCTTTACTATAAAACAATATTTTTATTCTGAAATTTTACTTAACCAGGAGTTGAGTTATTACTCACAAGAATGAGAAATTAAAACATTGTAAACAATAAACAAAAAGTGAAGAAAAAAAAAAGACCTTCAAAATCCAGTTATTTCAGAATGCTACAGCCAGGGAGGGGTTCTCTTCCTAATGAAGGAAACGTCATATGGTAACTATTTCAGATACGAATACACAATGCAAAAGAAGGGCCCGTTTCTTTGGAAATAGCTGTAAATATATTCATCTGAGTAAAACAATCATCTGTGTC
The DNA here is from genome assembly GCF_000001405.40 of Homo sapiens. Classification (NCBI taxonomy): domain Eukaryota; kingdom Metazoa; phylum Chordata; class Mammalia; order Primates; family Hominidae; genus Homo; species Homo sapiens. The sequence goes on along the minus strand of NC_000006.12, from coordinate 129,207,117 downwards.
TAGTCATGCATGCTCTCTGCTCCTGTGGCTGTCACTGCTGTCGATCTGAAGTTGAGAGGCAATGGCCTCATGATTCAAGGCAACTGCTGAAGTGTGTACTCAGGCTTCAGTTTGAGAGATGGGTTCATTTATCATCATAATAAGCTATTACCATTGATAGGTCACAACTCATTGAAGAGACAGTCAGTCTAATTGGCTCAATTCCGTCAGCTTTCGATGTGCCTCAAGGAGATAAGCACTCTTTCACAGGTAATTTTCAATCACCCAACAAACTACCTGTTTAATAATTCATCACATTTCAGTTGGAGGCCCTATCACATAGCCCCTTTTTCAGTGTGCCAAATGTTGGATTTTAACTGCCTGCAATCTCAGACACAGCTAATATAGAGGGAGAGCTTTAGAAAAAGTAAGGAAAGAGAGCAACTGCTTTGACTCAGTGGCTACTGTTGGAAGTGATGAGAAGACATCAGGAATAAAAAATGTAAGCTTTATGTTTCCTCAACATGCCCTGCTGAAAATAAGAATTTCTTGAAGATACTTGAAAAGATAAGAGTGCTATTCAAATCCTTGTGATCAATTAAACATGCCAAACAATTTTTAGCAGATAGGATTGGGGCATTTAATGCTTATTAAGTGATCATATTAAAGCAATAATTTTTACAACAGCTTAGAATAGAAAAGCAATAGTTTGTAATAGATTAAATCAGCAATAAAAATCAAGTCTATTCCAGTTAAAATATCTTTTACAAATTTGACAATATCTGTTCTTGAGTGGGGCACTAGAACAGAGCTTTTGAGACAAACTCACCTTGATGCAAATGCTAGATGTGACTCTAAATAGCTAAGTCACCTTATAATTACAAGGACATATTCGTTTCTCCACTTTAAAAGACAAATAGTAGTCATACATATAGATTAGATAGATAAACTACTTTGTTCCTAGGTTTAATTTCCTTCCTTCCTTCCTTCCTTCCTTCCTTCCTTCCTTCCTTCCTTCCTTCCTTCCTTCCTCCCTCCCTCCCTCCCTTCCTTCCTCCTTTCCTTTCCTTTCCCTTCCCTTCCCTTCCTTTTTTTCTTTTCCTTTCTTTTTTTTTTGAGATGGAGTCTCAGTCTGTCACCCAGGCTGGAGTGCAGTGGCACAATTTCAGCTCACTGCAATCTCCGCCTCCGGAGTTCAGGTGATTCTCATGCCTCAGCCTCCCTGGTAGTGGGGACTACATGCACACACCACCACACCCGCTAATTTTTGTATTTTTAGTAGAGTGGGGTTTCACCATGTTGGCCAGGCTGGTCTTGAACTCCTGGTCTCCAGTGATCTGCCTGTCTCAACCACCAAAAGTGTTGGGATTACAGGCGTGAGCCAGTGCACCTGGCCTCCTAAGTTTAATTTATTTAAAATACACCTTGGATCATTCCATATTATTATACAAAAATCTTCCTTCCTTTTTTAATAATTTTATAGTGTTTGATGGCACGAGTGTACCAAAACTCATTTAATCAGTCTCTCAGTGATTGGCAGCTTTGTGGTGACAATTACAAACATTTCTGGAATGAATCACTTTGCATATATGTCATTTCACACACGTGTGTGTGTGTGTGTGTGTGTGTGTGTGTGTGTGTGTGTATATATATATATATACTTACAGAATAAATTCCCAGAAGAGAAGTATGTAAGACTGTGCATTTATAACTTTGGATTTTTTTTTCTTTTTTCTTTTTTTTTTGAGATGGAATCCCTTGCTCTGTCACCCAGGCTGGAGTGTAGTGGCATGATCTCTGCTCACTGCAACCTCTGCCTCCTGGATTCAAGCGATTCTCCTGCCTCAGCCTCTCAAGTAGCTGGGACTACAGGCGTGTGCCACTAGGTCCAGCTAATTTTTTGTATTTTTTTTAGTAGAGACGGGGTTTCACCATGTTAACCAGGATGGTCTCCATCTCCTGACGTCGTGATCCATCTGCCTCAGCCTCCCAAAGTGCTGGGATTACAGGCATGAGCCACCCTGCCCAGCTATAACTTTGGATTTTTTTTTTGGATTGCATCAATGTATATTCACACTACCAATTTAGGAGGACCTTTGTTCCTGAAGAAGCCACAGGAATGGCATGTGTTATTCATTTGGTTGACTTTCCTATATGTTAGAAGACAATGATTTCTCAGTGTAGTTAGCATACTATGAGTCGGGTTGAGTACCGTTTCATACATTTAAGAGCCATTTAAATTTCCTTCTCTATAAACTGCTCATTCATTTCTGTTGGACTGCTGGCCTTTCTGTTATCAATTTCTTTAACTTCTTTATACATTAGAGAGAGTCACCTTTTATTTGTTTTATATATATATAACAAGAATGAAAATTATGAGATTTTAAAAATAATTGATGTTTTATGATTTGTATTGGTTTGCTAGGGCTGCCATAATAAAATACCATAGACTGGGTGGCTTATACAACAGAAATGTATTGTTTCACAGTTCTAGAGGCTACAAGTCTGAAATCAAGGTATCGGCAGGGTTAGTTCCCTTTGAGGGCTAAGAGGAATCTGTTCCAGGCCTCTCTCCTTTGCTTGTGAATGGCCATCATCATGTTCACATGGTGTTTACCCTGTCGGTGTGTTTATCTCCAAATTGTCCTTTTTTTTTTTTTTCATAAGGATACCAGTCATATTGCGTTAGCGCCCACCTTAAGGATATTATTTTAACTTGCCACATTGTAGCCACAGAATACTGACTAGTTATAACATTTACTTCTCTAATTAGTTACTGATGGGCACAAACCTCAAATCCCTTTCACTGCCAGGTTGTCAGTGAAGCAGAGATAGATATTTGTCATGTAATTTTCTTGGGAAGACATGAAGCGATGCATGTTAGCTCTAATTTGGCACCTTCAAAATAAAGTCTAAAACACTCTGCGGGTATTTCACAAATCTGGTTAACTGATTTATTTATGTTTTGCACTTTGCTGCAAAGCTGCCATTAAAGGCATATAATCTACGTACTTGCTAAAATTAACTCTCTCTGATTGTCAATTTTTATTTTTAATGATGTCTTATCCTTACTACCACCAGATACTATGTCAGACAGGTGACAAAGTGTTTTTTAACAAACGTCTTTTACTGATATAAGGAAGATCTCCAAAATAAATTACTGCAGCATACAACTACAGAAATTCATAAAGCAATTGGCATTTATCGGACAGCTTCTGTGTGCTAAGGACATTTTCGAGAGCTTTGTACAATTCTGAGGGGTGCTAGAAGCCTCATTTTGCAGATAATGAGAATCTGGCTCAACTAGATTAAGGGATATGTCCAAGATCACAAAGCTAATAAAGCAGAGATCCAGCATTTGAATCAGGTCTGTGAAACGCATAAAGACCAAAACACTAATCAAAGGTAACCACAAAAATGAGAGAATCAGGTCATCCGCTTATATGAGTAATAGCTTTCACCCAATTCTCATGGAAATCAAGGAGGAAAAAAAGTCATGTATTATTTTGCTATGTGAGATCAAGCTGTCAGCAGGATTGGTTCTTTATGAACACTACAAGGAATTAAGCTGTTGCAGCCCTCTCTCCTTAGCTTGTAGATGGCTGTCTTCTCCTTGTGTCTTCACACTGTCTGTGACCTATTTTCTTCTCCCACTACCAACAACACTCAACAACAGTAAACAAAATGCCAGGTTTAGAATTGACATAATACTGCCTCACTCAACCACAAGGGGTGGGTCTGATCTATTGCAAGTGGCAGGGGCCAGCATGTTGGGGGTTGCCCCATATGCACGTAGGCTAGTGTGTCAGAACCAACAATCCACTGGATACAGATAGTTCCCCACTGAGCCGCACATAGAACATGAGTGTAAGAAGTTACTGAAAAGCTACAGAAAACAACGTGAAGTTTTACATTGAGAGTTTATTGAAACACTTTCAAATTGGTGCTGGTTTTCTTTCTTTAAGTTTGAAATGAGAAATGAGAGCTGGAGAAGCAAGCCTTTTTTATACTCTTCTTACAACCCAGTCTTTCTTTTTAAAACTTCAGAGGGAAAATTTTATACAGGAAGTATTTGAAGTTCTACTTTAAGTTTGTGTATTTAGGTAACCATTCCTTAACCATGGTGTTAGGCCCTACAGCTGAAAACATGACTGGCTAGAGGTCTTGTGACAGCTAGCACTAGTGACAAAGCATTGCTATTCACCTGTTTGATACACTTAATTTCTATTTGTAGGAGTAAATTTCCATCTGGTAACATTTTTCTTTTGCCTGAAGAACTTTCTACATTTCTTCTTGTGTACATCAGTCTGTGACACATTCTTTCAACTTCTATTTCTCTGAAACAATCTTTGTTTTTTCTTCAGTTTTGGAAGACATTTTTGCCTGGTAAAGAATTATAGACTGATAGTATTTGTTTTGTTCATTTGATTGCTTGCGTTGTTTTTTCCTAATACTTTAACATATCTCTGTATTGTATTCTGGCTTGCAAAGTGTACTGATGCATTCAGGCTGCTACAACAAAATAACAGGGACTAGGTAGTTTTTAAGCATTAAAAATATACTGCTCACAGTGCTGGAGACTAGGAAATCCAAGATCCAGGCATCAGCAGATTTGATGTGTGGTGAGGGCTTGCTCTCTGCTTCCAAGGTGGTACCTCCTTGCTGCCCCTTCACGTAAAGGAAAGGGCAAGGCAGCATCCTCAACCTCTTTTGTAAGGATGTTAATCCCATTCATGGAGATTAGAGCCCTCATGACTTAATCACTCCCCCAAAAGCCCCACCTCTAAATACTATCACATTAGGCATTAGGTTCCAGCATATAAGTTTTAGGGGGACACCAACATTTGGACCATAGCATATAGGGTCTGACAAGAAACTATTCTTCCTTATCTTTGTTCCTCTGCACCTGTTGTGTTTTCTTTTCTTTTCTTTTTTTTTTTTTTTTTTTTTTGAGACAGACTCTCGCTCTGTTGCTTAGGCTGGAGTGCAGTGGTATGATCTCGGCTCACTGAAACCATCGCCTCCCAGGTTCAAGTGATTCTCCTGCCTCAGCCTCCTGAGCAGCTGGGACTACAGGTGTGCACCACCATGCCCAGCTAATTTTTGTATTTTTAGTAGAGATGGGGTTTCACCATATTGGCCAGGCTGGTCTTGAACTCCTGACCTCGTGATCCACCTGCCTTGGCCTCCCAAAGTGCTGGGATTACAGGCATGAGCCACCGCGCCTGGCCATGTTAGTTTTTTTCTGATTGCTTTTACAATTTTCCAGTTATCTGTCTTTTTAATAATTTGATTCTGATATATCTTGACATGATTTTCTTGCCATTTGGGGTTCTGTTTCCATTGATTGATTTTCCTCCTGGTAGTGGCTTATATGCTCTGCTTGTTTATGTACCTGGTAGTTTTTGATTTGATGCCAAACATCATGAATTTTACATTGTTGAGTGCTGGATTTTGTTGTAATTAAATAGTATTGGACTTTGTTCTGGCATGCAGTTAATTTATTTGGAATAAGTTGACTTCTTTTAAGGCTGTTTTCAAGATTTGTTGGGGTGAACCTAGAGTAGCTTGTAGTTTGGAGCTAATTTAGTCCCTCTTATGAAGACATTCCACTTTGGGTGTTAGGAAAATAAACTATTAGCAGCCCTGTATCAGCTCAGGAATTGTTTCTCTTACTACTTTTTAGTGATTCTTTCATTAGCCTTAGGTAGTTTTCTTTCACATATTTGCAACTCAGTACTCCGGTTTCTCTTTGCAGATAGCTGCAGCTCTCTCCTCGTCTCTCTCTCTGTGCAGGTCAGGTTCCTCTTCCCTTGTATGCTGCCTCACAAATGCTAGCTGCCTTGGCCTCCATGAACCCTAACCTCTGTCTTTCAATTTGGCAAGGCCAGGCTGTGTTTGGCTTTTTTCTCAATATACCAATGCACTTCACCCTGGAGACTGTCCCCAGGCAATAATCTTGGGGCAATTGTAAACCTCACCCCATTTGTTTCTCTTTTTCAGAGATCACAGTTTTATGCTATCTGTGGAAGAGTGTCTAAAAACTGTTGTTCCACATTTTTTCCCCCTCAGGCTTTGTTGTTGTTTAAGGTAGATAAGGAAATCTAGATACTATTATTCAATTATGGTCAGGAGCAGAAATCTCAATGTGTTGTCTTTATAAAGGTTTGTCTTTAGCATAATTTTTGAAAATTTATGATTTGTTTCAAGGGGAGTTTATTTTTATGTATAATGTGGAGTAAGGATGCAGAAATTTTATTTTTTTTCTCTAGATAATCAGTGGTACCAGACCATTTACTGTATAGGGTCTATCCCATTGTCATTGATCTGCAATGCCTATTTCAATAAAAGTTAAGTATTCATCTATGTATGTGATATCTATGGGCTATTTTTTCAGGTCTATTGGTTTATTTTCACACTGATAGCATTTTGCCTTAGTCATTATATCTTTTAAAGTAAGTCCTAACTCTTTATATCAGATAAGATTTTCATAAGGGCATTAATTCCATTCATGGAGATTAGAACCCTCATGACCTAATCCCTTTCCAAAAAGCCCCACTTCTTTCCTTTAGAATTTCTAAATATATATATATACACACACTCACATATATACATATATGCATATACACACACATATATATGTGTACATACACATATATATACATGTATATGTGTACATGTATATATATACATATATGTATATGTGTACACATATACACGTATATGTATATGTGTACATGTATATACACATGTATATGTGTACACATACACGTGTATATGTATATGTGTACACATATACGTGTATATGTATATGTGTACACGTATATATATACACACATGTATATGTGTACACGTATATATATACACATGTATATGTGTACACGTATATATATACACATGTATATGTGTACACGTATATATATACACATGTATATGTGTACATGTATATATACACATGTATATGTGTACACGTATATATATATACACGTGTATATGTGTACACGTATATATATACACATATATATACGTGTACACATATACACGTGTATATATATATTTTTGGAGAGGGTCTCGCTCTATGCCCCAGGCTGGAGTGCAGTGACCCAATCTTGGCTCACTGCAGCCTCTGCCTCCTGGGTCCAAGCAATTCTCTTGCATCAGCCTCCCGAGTAGCTGGGATTGCAGGCGTTTGTCACCACACCTGGCTAATTTTTGTATTTTTAGTAGAGACAGGGTTTTGCCATGTTGGCCAGGGTGGTCTCGAACTTCTGACCTCAGGTGATCCACCTACCTTGGCCTCCCAAAGTGCTGGGATTACATATGTGAGCCATCGCACCCCATCTATAATTTCTTTTGATTATTCTTGGCCATTGGCTTTTCCCTACAAATTTAATCCTTGGTACTATTTATATGTATTGCTATTATACATGGCCTCTTAAAAATTTTTTTTGAAAAGTGTTGTTGATATAAAGAAACATGATTGACTTTTGTATATTAATTTTGCATATAGTCTCCTTATTGACTCACTGATTAAGAATTTGTCTGTAGATTCTCTTGATTTTACAAGCAGATAAGTATATCATCTATAAGTGAGTTTTATTTCTTCCTTTCTGATCCCTATATATTTTATTTCCTATCTACTGCACTGTCCACATCTTCTAGCACAATGTTAAGTGGGAGTCGTTATAGTGAGAATTGTTTCATGTTTGTGATCTTAAACAATACTTTGAACATTTTATATTAAATAAGATATTTGCTATTGATTTTTATGTAGATAGCCTTCATCAGTTAAAGTGCTTTTCCAATTCTAGTTTTCAAAATTTTTCAGACATGAAGAATGTTTAATTTTACCCATTTCTTTTTCTGTGTCTATTGAGATAATTGATTTTTTTCTCTTTTAATCAGTCAATATGGTCAATTACTTAAACTGGTTTTCTAATTTTAAAGTAACCTCAAACACGGATGATAAAATCCACTTGGCCAATTTAGCCTGACTATTTTTATAAACTGATGGATTTGGGTTGTTAATATTTTATTTAGGATATTTTCATCTACGTTCATGAGTGACTTTGGGTAGGGGTTTTCTTCTTCATAGTCCTCTTGTCAAGATTTTATATCAAGCCACATAAAATTATGTGAGGAGTACGTCCCAGTTGTTCTATTCTCTGGAAAGTTTGTATAATTTTGCATTTTTAAAAATTTTTGAATTTTGATTGATATTACTTGCAAATCAATAGGCTTGGAGTTAACTTCATTGGAAGGTTTATTTGACTGCTGATTCAATTACTTTAATGTTTATCTGACATTATAGATTTTTTTTCTTTGAGTCAGTTTTTTTAAGTTGCATTTTCCTAGAAGGATATTCCTTTTTCTAAATTGTATTCTTATTGTGTGTAAATTTTCATAATACTCTTAATTTGTTTATTTTCTGATACTTCCTTATTTGTTTATTTTTGAAGTAATTGCAGTTATGCCCATTTTTACATTTCTAAAATTGTTTATTTGTGTTTTACCCACGTTTTGCTTGATTAATCTTGCCAGAGCTTTGAAACCATTTAAAAAACTTGTTGGATTTGTGTCCCCTCTATTGACATTTGTTATTCATCTCATTCATTTGTATTTTTATAAATTCATATCTTTGTCGTTCCCTTTCTTTTGAATAAGCTGCTTCAGCATCTCTATTCCAAAGATCAATGCCTTGCAAGAACTAATAAACTTAACTGATTGAAAAAATGCTTAACTGGAATGGGCTATAGACACATCTGGATTGTAATCCTGGCTCTATTTCTTCCTAATTTGGATTTCTTGGTTTATTAGCTGATGACTTGGGTCATGTATATTAACAAAGATAAAAAGAGAAATTCACAAGTAAGCTAAATATTAATAATATTTAATAATATTTAATAATAATATTAGGTGACATGCGTTTTGTGCAGAATCTGTATAAACACTACCTCCTTTGTCCTGACCAGTAAATTCCTGCCAATGTAGCCCTAGATTACGTAAGTTTTGTTGCCAACCACATCACAAACCAACTCACATTGAAATTACTGTTAAGTAAGCTATTTTATTTTTCTCAAGAGTTTTTATTAAATGGAACATTCTCCTATCTAGTATTCATTCAGTTGACGAATTATAAACAAAATGTAAAACACTGTAGACAGATGCATGTGAATATTAAAATGCTTTTTATATAACAATTTTTAACATTAGAACTAATGCTTTATAAATTTAATTAGGAAAAACGTCAAGAGAATGTTATGACGGATATGTAAGACAGAGGTTTCTATGTTTGACCTTGAGCTCCTGCATTTGTGTTACTTTTACACAGCAGATTCTATCATAGCTATGGGAAATAAATGAGTCCTTGATTTTTTTTGTTTTTTAATACTTATTTTCTCATTTATCCTTAACAATTTGTAAACCAAAAAGTATCAGAAACAGGTCTCAATCAATTTAGAGGTTTATTTGGCAAGGTTAAGGACCATGGCCTGTGACACAGCCTTAGGAGGTCCTGAGAATATGTGCCAAAGATGACTGGGTTACAGCTTGGCGTTATATATTTTAGGGAGACGAAAGTTGCAGGCAAAGACATACACCAGTACTAAGTTACACATTGGTTCGGCCCAGAAAAGTAGGACATCTTGAAGCGAGGTGGGGGCTTCCAAGTCATTGATGGATTCAAAGATTTTCTGACTGGCAATTGGTCGAAAGAGTAAAATTCTGCCTGAACAGTTGAAGTCAGCTTGAGTTAAGAGAGTGGGTTGTGGAAGCCACGGTTCTTGTCATGTAGATGAAGCCTCAAGGTAGTAGGGTAAAGTAGCAGGCTGATGGTGAATGTCTCTTGCCAGACCTTAAAAGGTATCTGACTCTCCAGAAAAGACTTAGTAAGGGAAGGAGATTCTCTATAGAATGCAAATTTCCCCAAGAGACAGCTTTGCAAGGTCATTTCAGAATATGTCAAATAAATATATTTTGGTATAAAATACTTTGATTTCTTTTAGGGCCTGCTATCTGTTATGTTATGCTATACCAGAGTGAGGTTAGAATTTGGTATCTTGTTGCTGTAAAGTGTCTGTCTAGTCAGTTTTAAAATCTCTGTTTTAATGTTACTGTTGGTCTGTGGTGTCTAAACTCCAAAGGGAGCAGGGTATAATGAGGAATGTGTAATCGTCCCTTCCCATGATGTTCAGGTTTCTTTAGGTTTCTTTGGGATTCCCTTGGCCAAGAAGGGGGTCCGTTCAGTCAGGGGTCTTAGAATTTTATTTTTGGTTTACAAATTCATTCAGTTTATTCTAGGCAGCAAACCTTCTTCCTGGTTCTACTCCATTGCCAAGTTAGTCTTGATGGGATCTGATTTATGGAATAAAAAATCAACCACAGTTGATTTATCCTATTTACTTTTATAGCCATACCATTCTTCACTTGCATAATGATCTTCTTAACTAACCCATTTAATCCAAGATTTAAATAGGAGGAAGTTATGGATGGCGAGGAGGGGTTTGAACTCCACTTCTGAATAATTTTGAGGACTATGGAGCAAAGAAGTCACAAAATATGCTGCTCAAAGGAGAGTGGAACATATTTGTTAGCGAGTTTTTAATTATTTTGTAAAGCAAGACAGAATTCATCTTTCAACTCCCACAAATCCAACTCAATGGGCATTTCTGAGCAACCTAAAAAAAACAATTTCTTAGAGTTTTGTTTGTTTGTGTTAAGCATGTAGCATCAATTACAAGGTATTTGTTGAGCTTCTTTTATATGATGAGATCTACCCTGTCCTACAAATCTCAAATATCAGTTTCCTTCTTCAAATCTATAGCTTTAATTTGAGATCCGTGAAGTAGAATGGAAAGTCAAGCAAGAACAACAAAACAAAAGAGTTTACCAGAGATTACTTTTAGAAGCCAGATGCTATTATGTCAGCAGACTCTCCTAATGTGCATCTTAAACTAGACTATAGGTATTCTTGGCAACTATATGAACAAATTTAAAGGCTTCTCTAAGCTAGAAACAGAAAGATAGCATAATGCTGTAGAAAATAAGCAGGTTTTGGTAAAGAACAAATCACATAAGATTAATTTAATAATATTCAGAGAGAGAATTTCAAACCTTAATGGTAATGCAGGAACAGCAGACAAGCCAAGCTAGCTTCTCCCAGAACTTTACAGATGCAAAGAGAATTGCTTTTGGAAGCTGCCTCAACTATTTCAGACCACTAGGGCAACCTTAAGCAAATGACTGTTGCAATGTTCCAGTAGCACTTAGTTTACTAGGGCAGTAAATTATCCCAACTCTGAAATTCCCAAACTGTTTCTGAATAGCTGTAGCCTGCAGCAAACCAGCAGGATTCTTTGTCCTCTAGCTCTTTCCACTGCTGCCTAGTTGCTTAAACAAATGCCCTAAAACCAAGCATTAACATTTGCCAAGCATTTTGAAAATGAAATGCACCTAGGATAGCCCTGTGGGTGCCTGATTTAATTCTCTTTGACTATCAAGAACGAGGCGGGAAAATTAACACTTGATTCTGCCAGTTGTGCCAAATATTCACTGGTACATAGGGGAAAAAATTGGAGGAACAACTCCTAGCTGAGACTGTGGGAATTTCAAAAATAGAAAGTATAAAAACGTGCTAAGTTTTCCTAGGCCTCATCCATTATCCACACATACACTTATAATCACTTACTTATACTTCATTATTCCAAAACAGTAAAAATGTGAAAAATGTTTCACAGGATACAAAGCACTCCTTTGCTAAATTGGCTAGTATTCTTGAGTTTTATTACAACCAGGCAGACATCCATGTTAGCAAAAATGTGTCCCATGTGAGCCACTTTTATTATTTGGGATTAGGCTCCTAAAAAAAGAATAACAGCATGTGGCATCTCCATTATAAGAGAACATGCACAGCATATCGCCCTTCTGTTAGAAGAAGCCTTATAACCAAGCAACTTGGAAAATGTTTGAAAGTCTGTATATAAATATTTAGGAAAAGCTAATAGCATCTCATAATTTTTTCCAATTAGGAAATAACACTAAAAAAGCAGAGGAAGGATTATGTACCATAGACTCCTGGTCATGGATGTAAATAAAATTCAATATTTAAGCAGATGCACTTGTATCTTGATACGCTATTTCTGTCAGATTCTGGCAATGGTTCTGATTCGAACAGCAATTACTGGTAAAGAATTTAGCCTCAACTATTTAGAAAAGTGGCTTTATTGAATTTACCAACAAGGCCCTACAATTTTCCACTTCCTTAGCAAGATATTAAATCAACCAAGCTAAGCATGTCATCATGACTATAATTTACGTGATGTGACATGACAGTTAAGATGTACTGTGGTAATTTCTGAGAGCTTGCAGTATTATTGTAGTATCAAAAATTTACATGGTTCAGTTATTAAGGCAAATTGTTTCATTCATACTGAGATGCCTGACAGTAAACCACCAAGGGCTTCCACGTTACATTAAAAATGTCCTCCGTATTCAAACAATTTGCACACCCTGTTAATGTTATTTTGTTCACTGAATGGAAACGGCAGTACAGGCAAGAACAGTGTTTTGATGTGAAAATGATCGGTAGGGGAATATGAAGAGCTTCACTGTGGGTTATAAGAAAAATATTTCAGCCAGGATAAGGGAAGTTATCTTCGGGAACCAACAACTACTAATGGGATGTCCAAATTCTTTGTTCTGATTCTACCGAATATTCCATTTGCTTGCTTTCCTTCTGTCAGTTTGATTGTCAGCCAACAGAAAAAAAAATGCATATGACCAAAGAAGAAAGGATGGAAAATCTGGTAAAGAATATTTCTATTATAAGCTACTTTAATTAAGTGTTGCCATCATATAAGAAATAAGGCCTCTGAAATTCATCCAATTTTGACCTAAGGCTCTTCTTGGAGCTCTCAGTTGTTTTTTTTTTAAATTGACAGTATATTTTTATATTTTTTTGGCAATTTTAAGCAGTAGAAATTCAAGTCTTATGTGCTGTTTTGTTCTTTTGGGAATACCAGAGTTTCCTAAATAGAATAGGATAAAATGACTTCTTGCTGTAAAGGGCCTTGCAAATAAAAGTTTAATTCGATTTTTATTTTACAGCTATTGAATTTTATGCAACATACTCTGTCTCTTAAAATACATGTTCATTGAAAATGTCTTTTAGACATTTACACATTTTTTGTAATAGCATTCAGAGTTCTGTTAAATATAAGAAACTGGCCATAAGTTAAAAGTGTTTCAACCAGCCAACACCACCAGTTCCCATTCACTGAGTAGCATATGAGATACTAAGTTTTTCTATTTCAATACTCACATGTCATGCAAGAAAACCACTGACTATAAACATACTTTTATTTGCTTAATCAATTATGATTTCTTCATAAATAATGCTATATTTTGTTAGGTGTAAACTAGGCTTAAACAACATTAATTTAGGAAGGGATTTTCCCATCACACCTTCTGGTGTGATCAGGTATTTTAACTATCAGCTGAGAAGGTATTAACTTTCACAGAACAAGCAAGTATTCACGTTTATAAATAAGTCACCAAATTTTGTTTCCAACAAAGTATTAGGCAAGATAAAATAAAATTCTAAACCCCAGGATATCTATCTAGATAGAAGTAATCCACAACAGAAAAAAATAAGCCTGTATTTCTGAGGCTGCTACATTTGTTTATCTGTGTATGTTTTTACATATGTGTGGGCTTTAAAACAAACGTGCTTCCAATCTGGCACTTTTAGGGTAGTTTCTGCCTGAGCTCCAGCAAATATGTTGTTTACATAAGCCTCATGGCAAGCATTTAATTAGTTATGTAATACATTTCTTTTCCAATTAACATTCATATCAGGTAGAAGGAAAAGTAAATCTCCTGAGTATCAGTTTTGAAATGAAATAGAAACCGATGAGAAAAACTTTAGTAAGTATCCCACCACAGACAACTCCAGAAAACAGCTCTTTTCACATAAACACAACACAGTTTCTTCCAATACCTATAATTTGCTTTACGAAAATACACTAGCGGCTTCATTAATTTATTTGCCCATTCAAAAAGTTTACATAGAACATCAGCTATACAAAGTTGCATATTAAGGATGCCGTGGCTCTTTAAGGTCTTGTGCAACATGGAAGAAACGCCCAACTCAATGTGATTTAGCTGGTTCTGGCAATCCAATTCAGTGTGTATTTGATTTTGTCTTTCTTTAAAAGAATTACCAACTAAAACCCATTCTCACGATCAGTCAGTTAAAGCAGAATAGCGGGAAGCAAGCGTGGACTTACTTTGTTTCCCAGATAGGGAGCCGGCGCGCTCCAGTAGTAGCTGTGCGGCAGGGCTTGCCGGGCCTCCGCGTTACTGATGCTGATCTGCTGAGGTGAGTCCAAGTCGTCCTGCTGGGGAGCCACTCGAATGCGGCCAGGAAGGTCAGTCAGATACCAGCCACTCATATCTTGTATCTTAGAGAAAACACACAGTCATCATTAATTTTTAAAAAATATCTATCAGCTGCTTTTCTCTTTCATGTTCCTGGTCGTGTCCACTTTTGGAAATTAAAAACAAAAAAAACCAAACCACAAACATTTAGAAAAAAACCTGAGCATTATGAATATCATTAGACATATTATATGTACTCACATAGGCTTCCATTGTTTATTTTTTTTCCTTGATGTTTCTAGGAGTTTCCAAGGTATTCTATAATAATCTGTTTTCATTGAACCTATGCTTTTTAAAAAATTGTGGTTCCAAATACCACTTTCTTAAAAATAGAAATTCACTCAAAGTCATACAATGGTTATAACATACACTTAATCAAACAGTTGGACTTTCAGTTCCGTATTTTTTACTCCACTAGTAGTTTATTGTTGCTTTTGGAAAAAACAACCTGAAAAAGTATTGCGTATGTATTTGTAATGCAGAGGGAAAAAGAAAGAAACTATGCAAGTACCTGAAAGGTGGTGTTTCATTCAGTATTTCCACCCCTCCCACTTTTTAAAATTTCTACTTTGAGGCTTAAGGATATTTGAACCCACCAGCCTTGGTGCTATGACAACACCTGGCAATACTGTATGTATTCCTTCAGATAGGGTCAGAAGTGCTGTGGGGACCTACAGCCTAGATCCCTGGCCCAGAAATGGAAGGAACCTTAAAGGAGGAATCTGGGAATGCATAATGATTTGTTTTTACATCTTTATGCTTCAGCCAAGGTCAGGCCTACAGCTACACCTCTAATTTAAAGCATCCTACCTAGTCAGGACAAAACACTGATTACTGAGGGCTTAGGGTACCAGCTACCAGGAACCTACTAGACATGCATGAGCTGCTTCATGTTGTGGGTGATGGGAAGCAGAATGCTAAGGGTGACTCTATGTGGCTGAAATATTTTTTAAAATTTCTTCATAGACTATTTGACTCTGCTTATCCCAAAGCTGTGGAATCACTGCAATTCCCTTAGTTAAATGAGAAATAGAAACCAGGTACAACCTGTTGACTTTCTGGACAACAAGTAATATATTCCTTGCATTTCTTCCCTTTCTAACGTCACCCTTGAGGCATTGTAAGACAGTTGAATGGGATTCTGTGTCTCTAGCATCTGATGATCAAAGCTTGAGTACCAGCTCTGCCCCTTGGCTGGCTATGAAACTTTGATCTATCAGTGGGGCAGTCTGGAGGGTGGGGTGGGACTTTATAAACAAAAGAGGAAGTTAGACTAGATGTCCATCTGTGGTTGATTCTTTGAAGTCTGCTCTGAAAGCAATACAGTTGATAACGTATAGATAATATTTCATAATATGAGGCTTGACTTAAAAGCACTGCAGGCAGAGAAAATATTTTATAGCTCTGTTCAGGATTAGTTCACTGATTAAAGTTGAAAGGAAGAAGTGTTTAGGAAATAGTTTATCTAAATAGTAGTCTTTATAAAACACAACTCTGATAATGTCAGTCTTTAGCTTAAATTTCTTCAATGACACTCCAAGTAAAATATCTCAAATTCTTAGTATATTCAACCCTATAAGTTCTAGATTCTCATTCCCCCGTCTAGACTTCTTTCTCTCTCCAGCCCATTTCCTACCATTCTGCACTCTTAAGTCCAGCCACACAGGCTGTGTGAAATTCCCAGAAGGTCCCATTTTCCTCTGACACTTTTCTGTATAGGGAGACAACATGCTCTTTGCACAGATTTGAAAAGGCAGTGGGTAGTGTAGGCAGTGAAGTTAGAAAGGTAAACACATTTACGTTAAAGAAAGAAAATTTCAGTTGCTATTAAATAGTTTAAGTAATAATTTTTCAAACCAACTCAGAATGAAGGTATTGCCTATATTTAATGTCCCCTTTTAATAATGAAAGAGCCTAGGCAACATCAAATAGTAACTAAAGCGTTGGTGGATAATATGTATTATGTATACAGATGATACAGAGTTTTTCTCAACTTGCATACGAACATACTAGTAATGGAAAATATAATTCATATCACAATGTAGTGTTTTCTCTCTTAAATCATGCACCCTTGGAGTTGAAACCTTAATTGCATTATTGTTTCATAGAGTAATCATGGACACTAAAAAGACTATGTCTACCTATTCTAAGAAATTCCAGTCTACACAATATTACAAATACAACCTCAAAGGCTTTGAGCAAAAATACACAACAGCATTTGAAGAAAATTCCATTACTTCTTCCTGTAACTTTATGTAGAAGTTCACTATCAGAAACTGTTCATACAAAAGAACAACGATGAAAGCAACAAAGAAGGCTGCTGGGGCAGCAAACAGAACCAAATGGTGCTTGCTTACTTTGCCATAGGTCCAGTAGGAACTCTGACATCTGTTTGAAACCCCTGAACAGAAACACTCATCGCAGCCTTTCCAATTATCCTCTTGCAAATTGAAGAAGCCGGATTTGCAACGACTACAGTCTCCTCCTTCAACATTTTCCTGCAAATAAAGAGATGTATCAGCAACAGAGGTATCCTTCAACATTATGAGCTGCGTCCATGTCTGTATAAGGAAAATATTAACTGTACATTCTTCATTTTACCCTCTCAACTATATTTAACGTATAATGATATTTTTAAAAATCTGCTCAAAAGCTATGTGTTAAGCTGTATCCTTTCTAATTACACTGGTGAGAAAGATTATTGGATGGATGCAAATCTACTCTCGTAAAAGTGACTATGTTGATCTTCATGTAGGTTGAGTGTAGAGTAAATGTCATGATAAATACCTGTGCAGGAATGCATTAGATTGACTAAAATGGGGCCAGTTAGGTTCACTGTTCTGTTATTGAGCTACTTCATTTAAAGTTCACTGTTCTGTTATTGAGGTACTTCATTTAATTTCATGGTAAAATTAAAGACATTAATGCATGGATGTATAATAGAACATTGATATTACACCAGTTATAAATACTTTTCACATTTCAGATTAAAAATATGTACATTTGAGGCAAGCATAGGAATTTGACAGGTAGAGAAACTGGGGTAAAGATCAGATAAAGTAGAAAGCAAAGTTTTCCTCTGGTTAACTTTTTACAGTGTTTTCTGTAACACATCAGTACAATCAGTTAGTCACATAGTGATACTATGGGAAAGATCTATTCTCATTCTGTGACTGCTCTCCAGACTGGTTTCATTAATCCTACTCTCAGTATACTGAAAAATTATTTGTATATAGTTGAGCTTAAAATGTGGACTCAGGCCAGTGAAAGCTGACCATATAATGAAAAACAGGGAAGGATATAATCTCTCAATTTAAAGAGTGGTTAATCTTAACTAATAATTCTAAAGGAAGGCATCCTGCTTTCCAGGAAACAGATTTGTAATATTCCCTACATACGCATTTTCTCTACATTTCCCCTCTTCCTTGAATTCCCTTATTATCAATACTGAGGCTTTTTAAAAAATTCCCTTGGACAACTAACTTCTCTCTCCATGTAGTTTTCGTGGCCCTGTATACATTACCCTATCACAACCACAAAAAAGTATTGCTCAAAGATTGTTCTCTCTAGCTATCTACCATAATCTATTCAGAGGTAGAAATTCTGTCTTACTAACTTTATAGTCTGAGAAAATAACATGGTTCCTGGTACAGCACTGAGCATTAGCTTCATAAAATTTATTAAGTTCAAATAAATCTCTTGGCAGTCATGTTTTTCATGCATAGCAAAGTGCTATACGCATAGTACGAGCTGAATAAAAACACTTTAAACAAACCCAGATTGAGCAGAAGATAGGGATGATAAAATCTGAGAACATATAAGGAAAATCAGAAGAGAAGAGAAAAATAGCATGAAGAAGTAAGGAGAAAAATTTAAGAATAAACAAAGCAGTCCTCCTTATATCCAAGAGAATAATTTGTTTTAAATTAACTTTTTGATACTGAATTTCTATGACTCATTTACAAACTCAGCCACTTCTATGTGGGAACCTTAATAAGCACTGCCCCAAGATTTGTGCCAGCTTACTTTTTAAGGCAGATTTCAGACATTTTGAAATGATAGATATCAGCAAAACTAATCAAACTAATTTCAGACTTACAGTGACAAATAAATCCCCAAAGCACTGAAGTTGAGAGCATCTTCAAAAGAGTATAAAGGCAAGAAAGATGAAACATATCTGTAATTATGATTTAGTTTATCCCGTTGAGGACACAGTACAGCTGTTCTGTATACTGTGTTCTTATGCGCTTGGTCTAATCTACTTTTCATTTACTCTAATTTGAAAGCTTATAATGCCACTATTCTGAGATTCAGACTAAGTTCAACAATTAGAAATTTGCAGACATTAGCTACATTTTCCTTAGCTCCATTTTAGCCTAGTAAAATGACCTTGAAAAAATATGATTAAATAATTTCACATTCAATTTTATTTAATAACCTGAAGCAACACATTAGGGTAGGAATTCTAGGCACTATGAAGATAAATAAGTCAAGGTCTGTCTTTAAATAAGTCTGTCTTTAAAGGCCAATATCTAGTTGGGTAAAAAGATATACTCACAATCAACTATAATGCAAGGTGGAATATGGTAAGTGCATCTGAGAAATAAATAATTACGGGAACATAGAGGAAGCACTAATTTTTGCTATAAGGCTTAAGGAAGCTTTATGACAGGAGTGGAGTTTGACCTGATCCTTGAAGCATGGTTTAAAAATTCAACTTGTGGACATAGATAGAATGAGAGACCGATGTTAGCAAAGACATTGGGAACAAGAATTCATTTTAAAAGTTGGAGGTTTATTCATTATTTATTTTTCAAGACAAATGTGCAGGTTGAGCATCCCTAATCAGAAAATCCAAAATCTTAAATGTTTCAAAATTTGAAACTTTGGGGGCACCTATATGATGCTCAAATGGAATGTTCACTAGAGCATTTCAGATTTTGGATTTTCTGATTAGGAATGATCAGCCAGTATGTATTCTGCAAATATTCCAAAATCCGAAAAAATACCAAATCGGAAACATTTCTGGTCTCAAGCATTTTGGATAAGGGATACTCAGCCTGTATTTAATACTTCCTGTATGCTAGAACTTCACTTGGTACTTGAGATCCAGGGCCCTGCCCTCAGAAAGTCCATCCTAAGAGATATTCCTTAGGAATTGGTAAGTCATTAGCGGTTGTTCATTAGGAGATAAATCAACAGAACTATACTTGAGTAACTTAAGTTGACAGTAGCAGGTAAAATGTCTATAAAATGTGAGACATTGGCATAAAGAAATCTTTCTTTACTACATTATAGAGTATATTTTATATAATTTAGAGTAGCACAGTTCAAACACAGAAGTATAGTGTTCTGGGACTTTTGTGCACATTTTCATAGAGACCAAAATTTCCCGCCTTCTATTAGCTTGTTAATATATATGATCTTGACAGTCTAGTTCCAATTCTTTCTATGTGTCCCCAGGGACATCATTGTTTTTTCAAAATTTCTTTGTGACTCATCGACCATTGTCATCCATGAGTCAGCCCCTAATTGCATTCCTGGCTTATTCTTGGAAGATCCTCTTGACATGAATATTCTAGCACTTAAAGTTTTTTGATTCCCAGCTTGAAAGTGAAGCCATCTGCTTTATGGTTGAGCTCTTTGAATAATTTAACTTCCTCTGTTATCAATATCAAATTATTAATAAATGCTCTGCTCATTATTTCTTATCGTTGCTTTATTCTTTATATTATTCGTTCATCAACTCATAGCTGAACTACTATATACAAGACATATGAGATATCACAGGGAATATAAAAATGCCCTCAAGAGGATTATAGCAAAGGAAGTAGGAATTTTCTTTTTTGCTTTAGTTCCCTTAGCACAGTTTCTACTTGGAGAAATAGAGTCACGATAGTTTCCCTATGTACTTTCTGATGAGGCGGACTTCAGATAATTATATTACAAGGTGGAAGAAAATCACTGCTGTAAGAGGGGTACAGACAACATGTTCTGGATCTGACACCAAATTCATCACCAGTGTCCACTATGCCCCGAAGAAAAAAATAAGACAGAAAAACCAGGGAGTTGAGCAAAAAAGATGTATCCCAAGATTTTCATGACAAGATTAAAATAGGCTACTGTTGCAGTGTCCTCTTCCAGATGTGAGAATGTCTCCAGATGTAAAAATATCTACTAAAGGGCATTTATTGAAATAAATAAATAAATAAATACACACAGTAAAACCATAATTTTGTTCTTTTCTTGCCATCCATAAGATTGGCACAGACCATATATTATACCTTATTACCACCATCCAATTCAGTCCCTAAAGCATAGATGGGAATATAATTGAACCTAAATATCGAATGATGAAGGTAAAAGTTTTGTACCTTCCAGACTGAATGTTATTTTAATCATCATGAGATTTCTATTTTCCTTTATGATTCTATAATTTATTTGTACTGATGAATTTTAAAAAGTTATTAACATATAATTAATTTTTTTCTTTTTTTGTTTATCTATACTTCAATGGTTGCAAAAACATAATTTAATAAAAATTTTTAAAGTTGTTTTAACTGTTAATCTAAACAAAATGGAGTCTAATCTATTAAACCTCTCAGCATTCCTACTGGGAAGCTCCTATTGATCCAATAAATTCATTTTAACACTTTATTTGTATAGAGTCCATTAGTGATTCTTTTCAATTTGCGTATTTAATGATAATTTTCACACTACAGCCTATAAAACACGGTAATTTCTAGAACGCTACAGACTTCCACTCTAGAAATTAATATTCATTCCCTTATATCACCATATTTTCTTAAAACCAAATATTCTGCTTTTGCTATTTCTATACCATTATTCTAATCAATTACATTAATAAAATGAAATATGAACTATAATAGTCATTTTTCCATTGTAAATAATCCATACGTAAATACTTTTATATTCTCACATATTATGATATTAAAACACATCACTTCACTTTAGACTAGTGTTTTCAATCTACTTAATCTATTTTTTATCATCATGTCCCTATGGAGCCTATATAGTCATTTTTTCATAATCATCCCCACCATGAAACTTTAATACTCCAGATATATTTTATGTACAGATGCACCATGTGAATGTTTGCCTTTACATAAAATCAATATGATATTTTTGTTCCCAAAGAACCAATTTTCATTCTTTTAGGAAGAAATGTGTGCTTTAGACATCTATTTCCTTTGAACATAGCTCAATGTTGTGGCCTACGCTACAAAAAATCATGGCTGTCTTTTTTTTCTTTAGTTCTCTTTTCCCTTTAAAAACAAAGTTGAATTAGAAAAATTTTACTAAGTTCTTTTGTTTTTGATTTCTTGAAGTGAGATACTATTGTGTTGACATCAATTTTCTTTTTGCTATAGTTTCCTCAGTACAGTTTTTCTCTGGAGAAATAGTCACCGTAGTTTTCTTGTATTCTTTCTCATAGAAGCTACTGCTTTATAAACTAGGTACAACTTCAGCAGTACATATTGAACTGTGATTGTTAGTCAGCTGGGAGTACTACTGACAAAGTTACCAGGAATAGCTCCAGTGACATTTAAGTTATTTTTTTTGTGTGATAATTGCTTCAGGAATTTCTCAGTCATGCTTGGTTTTTTGGTAGTTTGTAGTTAATTACAGGTTTTCTTCTGTTATGACCTTTAGACTAATGCATCCTAGTATTAAAATAAGTTAACAAAAGAAGGATAATTAGTTAATTAGCAGTATTTGTTGAGGACTTACTCCTAAAACACACTTTTCCAAGGCTAGATAATAGTTGATGGGTTAGGGAGGGAGAAGGAAATACATAAACATTAGTTCTCAATTTTCACAAGTTCAGCTTTTAATATTGTGAAAGAGAACCAGAGCTGGACAGTAGTTAAAACGATGAAAATAGGCTTCAGTGAGAAACTATGGCAATAGAGAAAAAGCAACCTTAGTAAAGAACTAGCCTCCATTCCCAATACAACATGAACAAGTAGGGATTCAGTGCCAAGGAAAAGGGTAGAGATTTATAGCCACGAGCAAGGATCAGGGGCGAACAATCATTAAGAGGAGACATCAGGGGTAGGTAGGGGGGATTCTTGCTAAACCAAATTAACAGGATTCTTGTTGAAGACAGGCCAGAGGGATCAGATATCAAGGGTAAGGTGTTCTTAACACACTGACTTAGCAGAATTCTTGCTTTAACCAAGCTAGGTTTGAGGACAAGGGTCAACGATGAGGCCTCATCAAAAAGAGGACTCAGAGAAGACTTTCCAAAATTTGGTCAAGGAGAGAGTCTGTCCATGTAAAAAATTGACTAACATAATATTATTTGAACTGTAGGGGTTGCAAGAGATAAATTCATTCATGCATGAACCTTTTATGCCAAAAATTCTACATCTGTAATTTAGATTCAGGATTAAATGTACACATTGAAGTCCATTTGTAAAAATGCCCAGGAATCAAGTCTACAAGTTAATGAAGTGACCATTCCTGTACACAAATGAAAAAGAAGAGGGAAATCCAAAACCAATAAAAATGTTAACACACCATAAAAATCCTTTCAGGGAAAAAGAACAGAAACTTATCTCTACTTGGGAAAAGCAATATAAACAACAACAAAAAGTAATCCAGTAGGTATTTATGGTTATACTTTATACTTGTACAGGGCTTCAGTGTGATAATTATACCTACTGAGAGGCAGAAAAGATTCAATAACACCATTTCATAGATTATAAAACAGAATCGGAAAGGCTAAATGACTGTCAAAGCTTCACGAGATTTTAGTTCTCTTCCTTCCTTCTTTCTTTTGTATGAGTCATTGTGTTATCTTCTTATTGTGCAATGGTAAAGAAAATATATAGGGTCCATATCATCACCAGAGGTAAGATAGACATAAAACAGAATTACTCATTATGAGATCATAAAAGAAAAGAAAAAGGTTTGAAAAGTGATTATGCCATGAGAATGATATGACTTGAGGATGCAGGGGCAGCTTTCCTGAGAAAGTTGAAGTTAAGCCGAGCCATTAAAAATGCCTGGCTAAGCAAAGGAATAGGGCTAGAAATGAGGTATCCCAAGAAATCTGAATAGAACTTATAAAATTCCAGATGCTACAAACAACTAAGAGACTCAAGAAATTTAAGCAAAGCTGAAAAACAGTGACTGAAACTCAAGAACATTCTGGAGAGGTAAGCCAAGGCCAGATCACATAGTCTCGTGGGCCTGTAAGGACTTAATGGAAAATGCAATAAAAACAAAGCAAAACAAGATGAAAATACAGACTTTGATTTCTAGTCTTCTACTTCACTATTTATCTTTCTATTATAAGACTTTGATAAAAATAAAAGCACATGTTCCTAACTAGATCAATGTCAATTTATATTATGTGTGAGATTCTACATACCAACTGATTTTGCATAAATAATATGACACCAAACTGCAAAAGAGCCAATTTCTAGCATATGGTACTTGAAATAAACAAATACTGAGAGTCAGACAGCACTTATAGTCAATGACTTGTCATATATCTGAGATTGACTTGCCTCTTGTAATTCGTGAGAGAAATTTCAACATTTTTAACAATGCAAAAATATTATAAACATTTGAGTGTCTTGAGCTAGCACTGCTTTCACATTTTGAAATATAATGATGATAATATTCATTAACATCATTGTTGAAGAGAAAATCTTATGTGTAAAATGTAATAATGTAGTTGACATTGTATTAAAAATTTCATTCTCCTCTTTTTAAATCTGGAATTCTTTTTTACATTCAATTAAAGAAATTTTAAATTAGAAATTATATTAAGACATTCAAAAAGCACATATAACATGCATTACCCATGCAACCTAGAGGTAACAAAATATTTATATTTTATATTTGCCTCAGATATATTTTTAAAGCAATGATACTTAGATACAAATGAATCTCATTTCACTTCTGTTTTATTCCCTTTCCTGTTTCTCTAGAGGTAACTACTATTCTGAAATTAGTACTTACCCTACAAGTGTATTTAAATTTTTTAATTATAATATATGTATTCACAAACAATGTAGCATTGTTTTATGTTTTACAACTTGATATAAATAATACCATAATGACATTGTTTTTTCCACCTGAAGTTTCTGAAATTTATCATGGTTTATACATGAAGATCTATTTCAACCACTTTAACTGTTTCTTTTATCAGATTAAAGGAAACACTACAATTTATTTTTGCTATTTATTTTTCTCATTTTCATCATAGTAAGTACATTTACGTTGAGCACATTTTAGATGGTTTTTCTCTATACATTGTAAGAGTTTTTTGGGGTAAATGTTTGGATGTGGAATTGCTGGTTGACAGGGTTTTATCACCTTCAAAGATACTAGATAATACCATATTGCCCTCCTAAATTGTGGTACTAATTAACTCTATTAATAGAAATGGTAAACATTTCAAATTTCACAGATTTTCACTGGTACTTGGTGATCCTCAGCTGTCTCCTCATTTAGAATTTTATGTTCTTCAATAACCTTTAAAAATTATCTCAATTTTACAAACACTTATTTTTAGGTATCATGAAGTTTTTCTTGCTATTCTAAGTATTTTTATTACATTTTTTATTTGCTTGTCACTGACATATAGAAATACTACTGCTTTTTATAGATTGATTCTTCTGGACTATAATCTAGTGAAACTGTCTTATGGGTTCAATATTCTTACTAAAGGACATATATTATTTAATATTCTTTCCATGAAGTTGGACTGTGAGTGGTAAACACTCACAATAAAGATATTTGCCCCCAGTTTTAATATTTTTCTCTTTGTCTTGCTGGTTGACAGGTTTTCTACTAGGGGTAGACTTATTTTTTATCATCCTCAAACTGAGGATTTATAATAGTTTTTAACTCATGATCATTCTTCTCTCCTTCATTATTTTTTTGAATATTGTTTCCCTCAACTTCTTCTAATCTCTTCTTTGGCAACTTCTGCTAAACTTCTGTTCAATTTTACAATTCTGTGAGTCAGTTAGCATCATATTTATTTACTTCCCTATGTCAATTTATAGGTAATTTTTTCAGGCCTATATTTCTGATTTTCTATCCTGCAGTTTCTCATCTCTTGTTTAACCCAATCATTGAATTTTTAATTTCAATGACTGCATATTTTTTTCATTTCTGGAAGTAAATTATACATGTTTCTTTTCCAAACCTGGTTACTTTTGAATTTTAATATAGCGTCTATTTTATATTACTTTTTTCTATTCCTTCTTTGTTTATTCTTCAATCTTCTAATCATGCTTTTATAATTGTACATTTTAAACATATTTTTATGATTTATGTGATAAGAATATGATCACAGATTTTTATGAATACAAATTTATTTCAGACTACCCTTTCTAGTTCTTTGTGTACAAATATCCTCATTTTTGTGGCTACTGGTTTCCTTTTGTAGTTATTTTCCTTTTGTGTACTTTACTTGCTTTGTGATGAGATCATTTTCAGTTGAGGCTGTATTATTTTTCCTATGGGAATATCATTTCCTTGACTTGTTGAAGAATGCCAGCACATAAGGGGAGAATAAAAATGTATCCCATTCCCACGTGGCACACAGGTTTGGGGATTCGGTCCTACACAAGGTAGTAACTTTTACCCACCCAGAGCCCCTAAGAGAAAAATTTTCTAGCTGCCTCTGTAGGCTTGCAGGAAGAATTTTCTAGCCCCCATTTCACTGTCTGAAAGCATTTCTAGTGTCCCTGCTTCAGGGAGTTCAGCTGCAATTTCCGTCTGTGGGTCCAAATCCTAGTGTCAAGTCCTAGTGAGGGCATTAAAACTCCAAACTTTAGCCCTGATCTTAGAACTAAGACTTGTCTCCCACCCTCCACCCCATGACCCCAGTTGCTCAGTTTAGCTTGAGCTTTTGCTTATGCTTAACTTAGATTTCCCTCTTTGGTCTGACATCTAGGAATTTCCCTTTCTTTCTTGAATCTAAATGTTTATAAATCTATTTGCTATGTTTATGCAGCATATCTGTATTTTTAAAATAGCAAAAGTGGGAGAAGTGATGTCCATATCAGCTCAGTATGTCATTTTACCCACAGGAAAAATAATACAGCCTCAACTGAAATGGGCTCATCACAGAGCAGTCATTTAAAATTTATAAAACAAAAAACAATTAGGCCCAAGACTTCCTAATGAAGCTCTTTTTAAAAATGTCTTCACACTTCAGTAAGATATTTCTTTCTGATAAAAAAAAACTATTTAAAAACTCATATGTTATAGTATAAGAGAATAAAGGTACAAATGTTTAAGGTTAATAAGCATTTTGGAGATGAATACTTATATACACATTATTTCATATGTGATTTATATTATTTCTATTTACAGATAAATACTTATTTAAAGTTACTAACTTGGATAGAAATATATGGACACTTATGTATATATTCTTCCCCTTCTGCTAAAAACCTGTCATTTAATTTGAATTTATATCTCCAATATTTTAGTCTTTCAATAAAATTTTGCTTCTTAAGCAGCATTTTGATCCATGCTGTTTTTACAATCAGTTGACATATCTATGTCAAATCATGTTTTTGTGAAACAGTATGAACTGTTACATTAAGTGTCTTTTCAGTATTTAAATACACTACACTAAGTGTCTTTTCAGTATTTAAATACACTACACTAAGTGTCTTTTCAGTATTTAAATTGTATGCATATTTTGTTGAAATGCTAGGTTATTAATTATTTTTTAAACAAGAGACTGTAGGCACTTAATTGTAGTACATTGCATGCACATTTTGATATAACTCATCGTGGCATATTGTGATATTATTGTGATATATAATTCTGTGATGTAATTCATGTTATATGCATATAATTTGTGATTTTTATAATTATGTAGATGTTTTATGAAACTTGCTTTCTGCAAGTTTTTAATCCTGAAACAATTTAGTTTATAAGAACTTACAGTTTTCTATTTAAGATATCACATGGTAGAAAGGCATTTATTTTAATAATGCTATTTACTTAATTTTCATTCTCTTTTATGATTTCTTAATTGCTGTTTATTGTTGCATTTTAATTGTCTGTGTAGAGCTTCAAGTGTCTACACAGGAGGCATCTTTCTTATTAGGATTATAATAATTCTCAGTACAATATTGAGTTCGGCTGAGAGCAGGCAGTAAGTAGCTCAAGGGGCTTTCCCTTGGAGCCCTGCTAATCACTACAGCTCTCTTGCTCCAGCCTTTCTCGCTATATTTACCAAAGAAAATTAACTCGCTTATTACTCCCTTTCCTTGCAAATACCAGACATCACCACTGTATGAGTGGTAGGTGTAGAAAAGCACTTGTTTTTCTTCCCTGTTTGATTTTATATATTCTAGAAACTCAGGAGGTTTCTTTTCCATTTTAAGCTTAGTTTTGACTGTCCTTTATTTGAGCAAGTGGTAAAGGTTAGAGATTTCTGTGGAGTTTTGAAAAGAGAATAAAGCACACACAAGACATGTTTTGATAAATACTAGAGAAGATGCACTAAGAGCCTGCAGGATTGCCCACAGAGACATACAAGATGGAGAGGGGAGGTGTCCTTAAGCAAGCAATCACTCACACACTGCTACACAATCTTGGTCAACTCAAGCAATTTTTCATTTCAGATAATATTGGAATGAAATGTAATAGATTAGAAAATTTACTACATTCCAGGACATGGCAACTTTTTACTATGGGCTTGTGGACTTTTCTGCTTACTGTGTCCACAGGAGTTTTATTATTTCAGTAGTTCAAAATAGGAACCTAAATTGCCCCTGATGTAACATATACCTATTATGTAACTATTATTATTATATTTAGCTTGATATTTCCAGACATTCTTGTCCCAATTCATAAACACTTCATTAAAACTAATATTTACTACTTATATTATGGCTTAATGGTTGTATATGTACACATATGCTCACATGTACCAAATATAACTATATAATATTTTATAGCTGCCAAGATAAGACTAACAGGTTAATAAAAATATTTTTAATAAGGGTCCCTCTTTAATTGAAAATAAAGAAAAAAGTAGTAACTTTCATTTTTACATAAGTATGGTATGCTAACTTTTTCAAAGAATGGTTCATTCTCTCAGCTAATGTAGTTATACACCGTCTGGTCAGAATGTTATAGAACTCATTACTATAGGTAAAGTAAATCAGTCTTTTCATTTTTCACTTGTGCATGCCTGTATGCTTCATAATGTTTATAAGCTGCAGAGGTAATGCATCCCTTGGTGTTAACATGATTTGTTATTAGGTGAGCATGTACAACAAATAAAGTTGCATTTCTAAAAGTAATCTTGGAAGAAAATATTGAGCCTTTAATTAATTCCATTAGGGCTTTGTACTTTTTTATAATTGAACAGAAAAATTTGAATATAATGAGTATTTTAAGGCTTATCTGGGTTCAAACTTTAGAAGATTATTTAAAAATTCAGAATAAAACCCTTGACAGAATTCATTACTGAATTAGATGCAAAGGTAGATTTGAATGCACTTTAGTTTTAAAGGGTTGCTATTTCTAGTGCCGTATATTTTTAAATTAACACACTAGTTGGGCAATGGGGTGAAAGTGTTTTTGTTATAAAATAACAAGCCTTTAAACGTGGTTTATCCTCCGTGCATTTGTAGGCTTTTAGATAAGTGCCTTATAAACATCCTGCTACAGTGAACCTGGTGGGTCACCACACGTAGAATAGATTATGGATACTTCCAGAAGTCATTAAAATTGCTTAATGCCAAGGAAATCAACAGAGAAGCCAAGAAAAATAACCTTCTGTCTTGACAGTGGGACATTACTGGAATAAACAATGTACCTTGCAGATACAGGGGCCAAAACAAGGATCCTCATTTTTGCTCCCTAACCCACTGCAGTTACAGGCTTTGCAGTCCGGGTAGCCAGTGTAGCCCCTGGCACACCGATCACAGCTCACACCTCCAAAACCAGTTTTGCAATGACAGGATCCAGGTGCCAAACCTAAAGAAAGATGAGCCACATATCAACATTTCTAAAACAAGTACATAATTTAGTTGTTAAAGTTTTAATGACAGTAACCTTTAAAATGCTATTTTGACACAAAAATAGATTTTTTATATATATCAATAAAGAAAAGTTAAAACCAAAGAGTAGAGGGTTTAATTAAAAGCTTTCTATGATTACGTGAACATAGCATCTTCTAAGTGTCAATAGAAATATTAAAAATGTAAACAAGAAAGATGAAATCTCAAAGCATCTACCAAACTATGGCTATAGAAAACAATGACCAAGGAGAAATTTCCACAAACGCTAATGCTGATGATGCTACATTGAGAAGAATAAGCAGTAACAAATGCAAAACTAGTGGCTCACGGAACAAGCCTGCTCCACCAGACTATTACAGGTGCAAAGTAGCCTTGGGAATAAAGACATATTACTTAAAATAACAGTTTAACAATGATACTCTAAGAACATGCCACTGGCAGTATTACTAAAGAAAATAAAGGTGTTCATTGGAATTGATATTTTGGGGATAAGAAGCAATAGATGAGGGGAATGAAAAGTTTAAATTTACTTTTTTAACATACAGAAATACAAAACACAATGTTTATTCATGTCTTTGATTAAAAAATAGAAATAATACAGGATGAATGAATACAACTAACAGACCTTCAAAATCTGGAGAAAGATAAAAGCAAATCAGTAATATATATAGTCCATCAGAAAGAAGAAAGGAGGAGGGAAAAAAAGGCAAGGAAACATTAGGGAGAGAAAGCAAAAAGCAGAATGACAGAATTAGTGTCAGAAATGCATACTAAATACATACTAATGAGTTAAGCAGTCTTACTGTTCTTATTAAAAACATAAACATGTAATGTGCACAAGAGATAAACAAAATGAACAGGAATATTGCAAATAAAATATTACAAGTAAAAGAAAATGAATGTGTGTCAAGAAAGCGTATGGAAAAGAAAAAAAAGTTGTGAAATATTAAATAGGGCCAAAGTAGAACTCAAATAAACTAGGTTCAGTAAGGCAAGCTCTCATTTTACATTGATAAAAATATAATAAAAACATGATTTAAATTATTATGTTTATGCTTCAAATAAGCACTAATTATCAGTACAAAAATATGTGGACAACAAAATATATTGGAAATAAAAACTTTAAAAGTCAATGGCTGAAAATGATGCTAACTTACTCATCTTAAGTATTTACAGATGAAGTAAGAAAAAACAGAAAATTTGAATAATCTAATAATATCAAATTACATATTATGTGGTATATAACTAAATATTTACCATAGTTTGTGATTGACTATAAAAAATACTCAATTATCAAAGCAGAAATTATCTAAGGCTTATTTTCTTAACATAAATTACTACTTTTAGATGTGTATCAAATGCCACAAAAATTAAGATTAAATTAGTTCTGAATATCAAACATGATGAGAGAATTTTATGCAAAATTCAACTGTTCTAAAAATTAATGCCTAAATATTTCTCTTTAATAACTCTTGGGTTAAAGAGAAAATCAAGACTTCAATTAAAAATAAATAGCTATCTAGGTAGAATATAATAGCAGTAAAAAAGGAACTTAATTTTTGTTGAGTATGGAAAAACTGTACCCAAAAGTAAACTTATAGGCTTAAATAGTCCATTATTTTAAAAATAGATAAATTAAAATTTAATTCATTTAAGTATAAAAAAGAGAAAATATAAACACCACAGGAAGTAAAGAGATTTGAAAAAAAGAAAAGCAAGCAAAAGGAAACGGTAAACAAAGCTAATCAAGGGTATCAAAAGAGGACAAATTATCAAAGAACTACCACAAACATGTTTTAATGATAGTTAATTTTTTTTATTATTATACTTTAAGTTCTGGAATACATGTGCAGAACATCCAGGTTTGTCACATAGGTATGCACGTGCCATGGTGGTTTGCTGCAGCCATCGACCTGTCATCTACATTAGGTATTTCTCCTAATGCTGTTCCTCCCCTAGACCCCCACCCACTGACAGGCCCTGGCATGTGATGTTCCCCTGTCTGTGTTCATGTGTTCTCATTGTTCAACTCCCACTTACGAGTAAGAACATGCGGTGTTTGGTTTTCTGTAATGCTAGTTAATTTTTACAGACTGTTTTCAAAACTTGAAACTCTTATGGTCATATAAAAATGGAGAGCTATGTAATTCAATTTATGAAGCAAATTCTAACTTGATACCCAAATGCAAATGATAACCCCAAATAAACAAAACTTCTAAGACTCAAATAGCACTTATCTTATGGTAGTCATTATACTTAGCATTACACAAAACACAGGGGTTAATTCAGTTAGTACTCAAAACATCTATATGAGATAGACACTATTATTTTTCCTGTTTCACAGATGAGGTAACTAAGGCATGGAGAAATTAAGTGATTTGCCAAAGGAGCACAACTGGTGGGTGTCTGAGTCACAGGCAATTAACTTATGAATCCAGATGAGCAAAACACCAAACTGAATCCTAAAGTACATTAAAAGGATCCTCTATGATGTCCAAGTAGAACATACTCTGGTAAAATAAATATTGTTTGATATTAGTAAGTTCGTTTCTAATAGATTACCCAATAGACCAAATGGGAAATAAATCTGATAATTTTAATAAAGTTTGCAAAGGCATTAAATAGTTTAACATTATTTCTGATGTTAAAATTTCCAGAAATTGAGGCTAAATGTAGAAGTACTTCATGTATTAAACAATGTCTATCTTAACTTTTATTTCTGGAAGTATTGTAGACTAGATGTCCAAAAAACCCCTCCTGTTCAGAACAGTTGAAGATACAGAATAAAATTAAACGTAGAAAAATAGATAGGTAGGTAGGTAGGTAGGTAGGTAGATAGATCGAAAGACAGATGGCAGATAACAGAATCGTTGCGCTGGCAAGAAATAAAGAAACCCCTTGGAGATGAGAAACTACAAAATTGACTTCTAGAAAGCTTACGTCATTCTTTAAAACAATGTCTTTCCTGGAGTTGACTGGCAAATTCTGATGACTAGACTACAGTTCAGGGAGCATGGTTTTACAGAAGAACAACAAAAAATTCTAGGTCCTATATAAGGTAGGTCATTATCACATAACTTCATGTAAATTCAAGGCTTCTGAAAGAATAAACTAAGAAATACATATGCACGCATACATCCACAAAACACACACATACACACACACACACACACACACTTACGAAACATAAGAAAATGAAGTCCATATGAATAAGAGTTAGAAGAGAAATAAAAATGCAGACTCAGACTCAATAACAGAGTGCTTCTAACAGATTCCGAAAATAAAATAAATATATTTAATATGTCTAAAGAGCTGAAAGTAATATTAAATGTAGATGAGTAAAAAAGAGTATTGGAAAACAAAATGTAGTTTGAAAATTTCCTTATGAAATATAACAAAATAAATTCTAGATGGAATAAAAAATTAAGTATTATAAAATGAAATCATACAAATGAAGAAAACAAATACATTTTTCTAATCTTGGGATAGATGAGAGTTCTAGGATTATAAAGCATGTAAGAAATACACAAAAAAATCAAAATATATAATAATCATGGGTTGGTATCATTATTATAAGTAAAGAATTTTACCTGAACTTTGACAGCTGATTACATAAAATTTTTGAAGTTTGTGCACTAGAAATTATCAACAGTAGTGAGACACAAAGCAAATCTGAAAACTGATTATTAAAAAATGATATACTATCACTGTTTTTAATATTTAAAGTGCTCTTACAAATCTACAAGGGAGAAAACTTCCTTCTACTAAAAGAAAATGAAGAAAACTAAAAGAAAAATCAGAGAAGAAATACATCGTATTTCCCTCGTAATCAAATGAATGCCAGTAATACACTAAAATATCCTTTTCTACTATCTGGTTATGTAATCTGATGAAGAAGTGCAAACCATGAGACCACATCTTACACTCTTTCCTAAATAAGTTATCAGAGCAAGCATGAAGATAAAAATGACCTACAAATATGTGTCCAATTTTGCAATTCGAGCCTGTATCAAATAATATGTATCTAATTACAGTATTACAATCTTGATTATTATATTTCTATTTTTGAATTATAAGCATTAATTATTGGTCCAGAGCTGAATGTAACTGTGAAAATCTTTGAAAAGATTTCAAAGATATGTAATTGACAGACACTGACAAGTGGTGAAGAATGTAGGGATGATAGTCTTTATCACATCTTATATAGTAGGACCTCAAGAGAAAGTCTAAATGTAGTCATTGATGAAATAGACATGTAAGCTCTCTTGAACATGATAAAGATATCGTAGAAGAAACACATAATAAAAATGTATGGATGGTGGAATGAAGGAGGGAGGTGTTGTGAATGATACATTTCTTCACCTTTCAAGACGGAGAGTCAATAGGCAATATGTAATGGTGATAAAAGTACTGATAAGAATATTATTTAGATACTAAAGGTAACTCACTAAAAAACTGAATCGGGGAGAGGAGCCAACATGGCCCAATAGGAACAGCTCCGGTCTACAGCTCCCAGCGTGAGCGACGCAGAAGACGGTGATTTCTGCATTTCCATCTGAGGTACCGGGTTCATCTCACTAGGGAATGCCAGACAGTGGGCGCAGGTCAGTGGGTGCGCGCACCCTGCGCGAGCCGAAGCAGGGCGAGGCATTGCCTCACTTGGGAAGCGCAAGGGGTCAGGGAGTTCCCTTTCCGAGTCACAGAAAGGGGTGACGGACGGCACCTGGAAAATCGGGTCACTCCCACCGGAATACTGCGCTTTTCCGACGGGCTTAAAAAACGGTGAACCATGAGATTATATCCTGCACCTGGCTTGGAGGGTCCTACGCCCATGGAGTCTCGCTGATTGCTAGCACAGCAGTCTGAGATCAAACTGCAAGGCAGCAGCGAGGCTGGGGGAGGGGCGCCGCCATTGCCCAGGCTTGATTAGGTAAACAAAGCAGCTGGGAAGCTCCAACTGGGTGGAGCCCACCACAGCTCAAGGAGGCCTGCCTGCCTCTGTAGGCTCCACCTCTGGGGGCAGGGCACAGACAAACAAAAAGACAGCAGTAACCTCTGCAGACTTAAATGTCCCTCTGACAGCTTTGAAGAGAGCAGTGGTTCTCCCAGCACGCAGCTGGAGATCTAAGAACGGGCAGACTGCCTCCTCAAGTGGGTCCCTGACCCCTGACCCCTGAGCAGCGTAACTGGGAGGCACCCCCCAGCAGGGGCACACTGACACCTCACACGGCAGGGTATTGCAACAGACCTGCAGCTGAGGTTCCTGTCTGTTAGAAGGAAAACTAACAAACAGAAAGGACATCCACACGAAAAACCCATCTGTACATCACCATCATCAAAGACCAAAAGTAGATAAAACCACAAAGATGGGGAAAAAACAGAACAGAAAAACTGGAAACTCTAAAAAGCAGAGTGCCTCTCCTCCTCCAAAGGAACGCAGTTCCTCACCAGCAACGGAACAAAGCTGGATGGAGAACGACTTTGACGAGCTGAGAGAAGAAGGCTTCAGACGATCAAATTACTCTGAGCTACGGGAGGACATTCAAACCAAAGGCAAAGAAGTTGAAAACTTTGAAAAAAATGTAGAAGAATGTATAACTAGAATAACCAATACAGAGAAGTGCTTAAAGGAGCTGATGGAGCTGAAAACCAAGGCTCGAGAACTACGTGAAGAATGCAGAAGCCTCAGGAGCCGATGCGATCAACTGGAAGAAAGGGTATCAGCAATGGAAGATGAAATGAATGAAATGAAGTGAGAAGGGAAGTTTAGAGAAAAAAGAATAAAAAGAAATGAGCAAAGCCTCCAAGAAATATGGGACTATGTGAAAAGACCAAATCTACGTCTGATTGGTGTACCTGAAAGTGATGGGGAGAATGGAACCAAGTTGGAAAACACTCTGCAGGATATTATCCAGGAGAACTTCCCCAATCTAGCAAGGCAGGCCAACGTTCAGATTCAGGAAATACAGAGAACGCCACAAAGATACTCCTCGAGAAGAGCAACTCCAAGACACATAATTGTCAGATTCACCAAAGCTGAAATGAAGGAAAAAATGTTAAGGGCAGCCAGAGAGAAAGGTCGGGTTACCCTCAAAGGGAAGCCCATCAGACTAACAGCAGATCGCTCGGCAGAAACTCTACAAGCCGGAAGAGAGTGGGGGCCAATATTCAACATTCTTAAAGAAAAGAATTTTCAACCCAGAATTTCATATCCAGCCAAACTAAGCTTCATAAGCGAAGGAGAAATAAAATACTTTACAGACAAGCAAATGCTGAGAGATTTTGTCACCACCAGTCCTGCCCTAAAAGAGCTCCTGAAGGAAGCACTAAACATGGAAAGGAACAACCAGTACCAGCCACTGCAAAAGCATGCCAAATTGTAAAGACCATCGATGCTAGGAAGAAACTGCATCAACTAACGAGCAAAATAACCAGCTAACATCATCATGACAGGATCAAATTCACACATAACAATATTAACTTTAAATGTAAATGGACTAAATGCTCCAATTAAAAGACACAGACTGGCAAATTGGATAAAGAGTCAAGACCCATCAGTGTTCCGTATTCAGGAAACCCATCTCATGTGCAGAGACACACATAGGCTCAAAATAAAAGGATGGAGGAAGATCTACCAAGCAAATGGAAAACAAAAAAAGGCAGGGGTTGCAATCCTAGTCTCTGATAAAACAGACTTTAAACCAACAAACATCAAAAGAGACAAAGAAGGCCATTACATAATGGTAAAGGGATCAATTCAACAAGAAGAGCTAACTATCCTAAATATATATGCACCCAATACAGGAGCACCCAGATTCATAAAGCAAGTCCTGAGTGACCTACAAAGAGACTTAGACTCCCACACATTAATAATGGGAGACTTTAACACCCCACTGTCAACATTAGACAGATCAACGAGACAGAAAGTCAACAAGAAGTCAACAAGGATACCCAGGAATTGAACACAGCTCTGCACCAAGCGGACCTAATAAACATCTACAGAACTCTCCACCCCAAATCAACAGAATATACATTTTTTTCAGCACCACACCACACCTATTCCAAAATTGACCACATACTTGGAAGTAAAGCTCTCCTCAGCAAATGTAAAAGAACAGAAATTATAACAAACTATCTCTCAGACCACAGTGCAATCAAACTAGAACTCAGGATTAAGAATCTCACTCAAAACTGCTCAACTACATGGAAACTGAACAACCTGCTCCTGAATGACTACTGGGTACATAACGAAATGAAGGCAGAAATAAAGATGTTCTTTGAAACCCATGAGAACAAAGACACAACATACCAGAATCTCTGGGACGCATTCAAAGCAGTGTGTAGAGGGAAATTTATAGCACTAAATGCCCACAAGAGAAAGCAGGAAAGATCCAAAATTGACACCCTAACATCACAATTAAAAGAACTAGAAAAGCAGGAGCAAACACATTCAAAAGCTAGCAGAAGGCAAGAAATAACTAAAATCAGAGCAGAACTGAAGGAAATAGAGACACAAAAAACCCTTCAAAAAATTAATGAATCCAGGAGCTGGTTTTTTGAAAGGGTCAACAAAATTG
The DNA here is from genome assembly GCF_000001405.40 of Homo sapiens. Taxonomy (NCBI): domain Eukaryota; kingdom Metazoa; phylum Chordata; class Mammalia; order Primates; family Hominidae; genus Homo; species Homo sapiens. The sequence continues at coordinate 129,170,084 of NC_000006.12, read as the reverse complement.
ATAGACCGCTAGCAAGACTAATAAAGAAAAAAAGAGAGAAGAATCTAATAGATGCAATAAAAAATGATAAAGGGGATATCACCACGGATCCCACAGAAATACAAACTAAAATCAGAGAATACTACAAACACCTCTATGCAAATAAACTAGAAAATCTAGAAGAAATGGATAAATTCCTCGACACATACACTCTCCCAAGACTAAACCAGGAAGAAGTTGAATCTCTGAATAGACCAATAACAGGATCTGAAATTGTGGCAATAATCAATAGCTTACCAACCAAAAAGAGTCCAGGACCAGATGGATTCACAGCCGAATTCTACCAGAGGTACAAGGAGGAACTGGTACCATTCCTTCTGAAACTATTCCAATCAATAGAAAAAGAGGGAATCCTCCCTAACTCATTTTATGAGGCCAGCATCATTCTGATACCAAAGCCAGGCAGAGACACAACCAAAAAAGAGAATTTTAGACCAATATCCTTGATGAACATTGATGCAAAAATCCTCAGTAAAATACTGGCAAAACGAATCCAGCAGCACATCAAAAAGCTTATCCACCATGATCAAGTAGGCTTCATCCCTGGGATGCAAGGCTGGTTCAATATACACAAATCAATAAATGTAATCCAGCATATAAACAGAGCCAAAGACAAAAACCACATGATTATCTCAATAGATGCAGAAAAAGCCTTTGACAAAATTCAACAACCCTTCATGCTAAAAACTCTCAATAAATTAGGTATTGATGGGACGTAATTCAAAATATTAAGAGCTATCTATGACAAACCCACAGCCAGTATCATACAGAATGGGCAAAAACTGGAAGCATTCCCTTTGAAAACTGGCACAAGACAGGGATGCCCTCTCTCACCGCTCCTATTCAACATAGTGTTGGAAGTTCTGGCCAGGGCAATTAGGCAGGAGAAGGAAATAAAGGGTATTCAATTAGGAAAAGAGGAAGTCAAATTGTCCCCGTTTGCAGACGACATGATTGTATATCTAGAAAACCCCATTGTCTCAGTCCAAAATCTCCTTAAGCTGATAAGCAACTTCAGCAAAGTCTCAGGATACAAAATCAATGTACAAAAGTCACAAGCATTCTTATACAACAACAACAAACAGAGAGCCAAATCATGAGTGAACTCCCATTCACAATTGCTTCAAAGAGAATAAAATACCTAGGAATCCAACTTACAAGGGATGTGAAGGACCTCTTCAAGGAGAACTACAAACCACTGCTCAAGGAAATAAAAGAGGATACAAACAAATGGAAGAACATTCCATGCTCATGGGTAGGAAGAATCAATATCGTGAAAATGGCCATACTGCCCAAGGTAATTTACAGATTCAATGCCATCCCCATCAAGCTACCAATGCCTTTCTTCACAGAATTGGAAAAAACTACTTTAAAGTTCATATGGAACCAAAAAAGAGCCCGCATCGCCAAGTCAATCCTAAGCCAAAAGAACAAAGCTGGAGGCATCACACTACCTGACTTCAAACTATACTACAAGTCTACAGTAACCAAAACAGCATGGTACTGGTACCAAAACAGAGATATAGATCAATGGAACAGAACAGAGCCCTCAGAAATAACGCCGCATATGTACAACTACCTGATCTTTGACAAACCTGAGAAAAACAAGCAATGGGGAAAGGATTCCCTGTTTAATAAATGGTGCTGGGAGAACTGGCTAGCCATATGTAGAAAGCTGAAACTGGATCCCTTCCTTACACCTTATACAAAAATCAATTCAAGATGGATTAAAGACTTAAACGTTAGACCTAAAACCATAAAAACCCTAGAAGAAAACCTAGGCAGTACCATTCAGGACATAGGCATGGGCAAGGACTTCATGTCTAAAACACCAAAAGCAATGGCAACAAAAGACAAAATTGACAAATGGGATCTAATTAAACTAAAGAGCTTCTGCACAGCAAAAGAAACTACCATCAGAGTGAACAGGCAACCTACAAAATGGGAGAAAATTTTTGCAACCTACTCATCTGACAAAGGGCTAATATCCAGAATCTACAATGAACTCAAACAAATTTACAAGAAAAAAACAAACAACCCCATCAACAAGTGGGCGAAGGACATGAACAGACACTTCTCAAAAGAAGACATTTATGCAGCCAAAAAACACATGAAAAAATGCTCATCATCACTGGCCATCAGAGAAATGCAAATCAAAACCACAATGAGATACCATCTCACACCAGTTAGAATGGCAATCATTAAAAAGTCAGGAAACAACAGGTGCTGGAGAGGATGTGGAGAAATAGGAACACTTTTACACACTGTTGGTGGGACTGTAAACTAGTTCAACCATTGTGGAAGTCAGTGTGGCCATTCCTCAGGGATCTAGAACTGGAAATACCCTTTGACCCAGCCATCCCATTACTGGGTATATACCCAAAGGACTGTAAATCATGCTGCTATGAAGACACATGCACACGTATGTTTATTGCGGCATTATCCACAATAGCAAAGACTTGGAACCAACCCAAATGTCCAACAATGATAGACTGGATTAAGAAAATGTGGCACTTATACACCATGGAATACTATGCAGCCATAAAAAATGATGAGTTCATGTCCTTTGTAGGGACATGGATGAAATTGGAAAACATCATTCTCAGTAAACGATTGCAAGAACAAAAAACCAAACACCACATATTCTCACTCATAGGTGGGAATTGAACAATGCTATCACATGGACACAGGAAGGGGAATATCACACTCTGGGGACTGTTGTGGGGTGGGGGGAGGGGGGAGGGATAGCATTGGGAGATATACCTAATGCTAGATGACGAGTTAGTGGGTGCAGTGCACCAGCATGGCACATGTATACATATGTAACTAACCTGCACATTGTGCACATGTACCCTAAAACTTAAAGTATAATTAAAAAAAATAAAAACTGAATCGGAAAAAAGGCTCAATATTTTTAAATTTGGAAGTAAGACTGGGATAAATAGGTTGAAGAGGACACTTATTATTTTATTTCTTTACTATTAAGAATTTATTTTACTATGTATTGTTTTTACAATAATTGAAAAGTAATTATATGGAATAAGTATTATTAAAGGATTGGTTAAAATAAACAAAAATTTGAAACAATCTTAATGTCCATATAAAGTTGAGAGGGTAAATAATTATGGCACGACCATATAATAATGTGTTATTTAGGTGCTGAAGCCAGACTTCAGAGAAAGTTTTCATAGATTTTTGGGGAAACTCATCACATAAAGTTAAGAGGAGCAATATCAGAAATTTTTGTATGCATTATGACAGAAATATATGAAAATGTTAATAGTGGTATCTCTCCTGAATTACCACTGAATTGTATATTTATTTTTCTACTTTTCCATTTTTATTCTGTGATCATATACTCATTACTCAAAAAGGGGTAGGGAAGAGTTAAATGATATTAATGAAAACAACATTGTGATTTACTTGTAAACACAAAGAGAAAAGGCTTAAAACGAAAAGTGAGCTCAGTAATTCATCATTCGACTATCAAAACGTATCCGTTTTTTAATATTTCAAAATTTAGTCTACATGTAATGCTCAGATTGATAATCCTACAGTTTTATAAAGAAAGCAGGTAACAAGAATTGTACCTAAGAAACATTGCTGGTCTTTTAACGCTAAAGTCATTAGGGAAAAAAACACTACATTGTAGCCTTGATTAATTTTAGTCTTTCTAGAGAAGAAGCGTCCCAGTGCATTCTATGAATTTCCTACTTAAACTTGGCGAGCAACTGCCCTGGAAGTAGCTCCCAAACGCTTTTATATCAAGGAGTTATGTTGGCATTTGATTTCTTAATGTTTGGAGTTCATGAATTTCATTCCTCAAAGGAAGGCTTTAGCTTAAATTAGTGTCAGCCTCTTTCTGTTCATTAATTCATGACTACTACCTTCTTAGTCCTTTATGAACACTTCTTGCTTTCTATATTATTGCCTACATCTCAGTGTGTGAGTTCTTCTATTTGCTTTTCCCACTACAGCACACACATTCCTCAGTGAACGCTGGCATTTCATGCTAGAACTCATAGAAGCTACAAACAATCTAATAAATAACACGATATGAAAAAATTACATATACCACAGATTTGTGATTGACTCTCTCTCTTTCTTTATCTCTGTGTATGTGTGTGTGTGTATCTCAAAATACATAATTCAACTCTTCTTGCTATGAAAACATTATAATTAAACATGAAAGTAATTATTGAGATGAGTTTAAAAACTACTTCCTGGAGGGAACGCTAATACACTGATAGATTAAAGAATAAATTTATTACATGAATAACATTTACTGCAAAATATTCTTCTGAAAATAATCATATTTGGCTTTTAGTTGTCCTTTTATCAGAGCAGTGACATTCTGCTGCAGCTCTCACCTCGTCGAGCATGTTTCTCATCCTTGACACAGACTTCATTTAAGGAACCAATTGGATCGCAATGACATGGCTGGCATGGCCTTGGATAATTTGGAGATACCTAACAAAAATATTAAAATGAATTTAACGAAGTGTAATAGAAACAGCAATATTTTTCACTTCAGCAAACTTTTATAGACAAAGTAGTTTTAATAATACAGAGCAGCAAATTATTGAGAAAACTATAAGAATTACCTTTAATACATGTTTATAATTTCTAAAATCCAGTTCTTTTACATGCTTACACAAAAGTAAAGATAATAGAATAATAAATTCCTATATATTTGTTACTTAGATTCAATACTTATTGATATTTTCATGTTTTATTCCTTTTTATCTTGTATACATAGTATATCAACAAAGCTAGTTTACTTAAACAAAACTACACTGTGTTCATATACTGTATATACAAGATTTATTTTCCAGATGTAATAGGAAAAAAAAAAAAAACTAAATTATTTGCCCAAGAAATGCCCACCTATTCAATATAGTTCATATGTATATATATCTAGGCTTAATTTACAAATGAAAACTTGTTTGCTACTATAAATCAGAGTGTTAAAATTAGACTTATTTATATACCTCACTGAATCTCAATTAACTAAGTTCACAGGTCAGTTTCAAAATCATCATTTGTTTAAGATACATTCATTCATTCCCCCATTATGAAGTTGGGACTGTGCACAGAATAGGTAAGGCATATTTTATATACACATATAAATTAAATGTCATTAAGTGGAAAAATCTAAAATCAAATTTTAAGACAATAATTTTATGAACATCATAGAGATAAATTCTTTAGCTGTTAAACTGCAATTCACAAAATTTGCATAACAATACCCTTCCCAGCCTTAACTGATCCCTTTATTGTATATTCACTCAGGAGATTCTAGGAAATTCAGTGGAAAGCAACCGCTGGAAACTGAACAAGGTGAGAAGAGTTTTCAGGTGCTACCAACCATAAAGTAAAGAGAATTCAGACTTTAAGTTAACTACATTAGAAATGTTTGATGAATACCTGGAGTTTTCCACTAATCTGTCCTAACAAAGTATGAAAGTAAACTTTCATGACTTCATGGTGATCACTCAGCAAGTTTATTACTAATTAGAACCAATTCAAACTCTTCAGAGGAACATAACAGAAACCAGTGTCTGCATTGTATTCTCCGAAATGTCCTGTAGAGATGATAAATTACAGTAGTCCTCACCTCATCTGTAGTTTTGCTGTCTGAGGTTTCAGTTATCATGGTTAACCACAGTTCGAAAATATTAAATGGAAAACTCCAGAAATAAATAATTGAAAAGTTTTAATTTGCATGTCATTTTGAATAGTGTGGTGAAATCTCGGGCCATCTTGCTCTGTCGCACCAGGGATATGAATCATCCCCTTGTCCAGCATATCTATGCTGTATAGACACTACCCTCCTGTTAGTCACTTAGTCCCATCACAGGTATCAGATAGAAAAAACATAGTATATATAGGTTTGGTACTATCTGTGATTTCAGGTATCAACTGGGGTTCCTGGAACATATCCTCTGTGAATAAAGGAGGACTACTGTATTAGATATACAGGAAAGAAACAGGAAAATGTTGACCTTATTAAAAAAAGAAGTTGATAAAAGCAGATCCTGAGGTGACCCAGATATTGAAATTAGCATACAAGGAAGTCAACGTAAGTTCTGTAAATATGTCCGAGAATATAAAGGAAACAATGTTTATAATGAGTGAAGGTATGGAGTATTTCAGAGAAATGGAAGCTGTAAGGAACATAAGAACTCCAGAAAGCTGAAAAGTAAAATACCTCAATTTAATAATTCACTGGATATGCTTAACATCAGGTAGAGATGATAGGAGGAAGAGTAGTCAACCTAATGACTACTTTTGTAGTCATCTGGCCATAGGCCAGGATTTGGTCTACAGGCCAAAGTTTTCTCAAACATGATACTATTGTTAAAAGTAAATATAATGAGAATTTATTTATTTATTTATTTGTATTTATTTTTGAGATAGGGTCTCGCTCTCTTGCCCAGGCTGAAGTGCACTGGTGCAAGCTTGACCCACTGCAACCTCACTTCCTGGGTTCAAGCTATTCTCCTGCCTCAGTCTCCTGAGTAGGTGATATTACAGGTGCCTGCCACCATGCCTGGCTAAATTTTGTATTTTTAATAGAGACAGGGTTTCACCATGTTGGCCAGGTTGGTCTTAAACTCCTGACCGCAAGCGACTTGCCTGCTTCGGCCTTCCAAAGTACTGGGATTCCTGGGGTGAACCACTGTGCCCGGCCTAATGAGAATATTTTAAAATCAGCTAGTAAATTAAAGATACATTATATGTAGACCAAAGTATAATGACAGATGAATGGAAATGATCCAATCTAAAGAACGGAGAAAGAAAAAAAATTACTTAGCACTGCCTCAGATACAATGAACGCCCTAGCACACATGCAGCTGGAGTCCTAGAAAGAGAAGGAAAAACACTGGTCAAAAAACAGGTTTTAAACAAAAGCCTAAAAAAAATAAGTAAAAATAAAAAAAATAGCCTAAAATTTCCTAAATGTGGAATAAAATCTCAATTTATAGTTCCTAGAAGCTTTGTGAATCAAGCAAGGTAAGCTTGAAAGCCAAACATAGACACATCATAGTTTATTTAACTCTGAGGTTGGAAAACTTTTCTGTAAAGGGCCAGATAGTAAAATAAGCCATATAAAGACTCTCTTCATTCTTCCTCCTCTTCTTCCCCCCCCTCCTAGTTCTCTTCATTCTCCCCTTCTTCTACTTCTCCTTTTAACAAACCTTTACAAATGTAAAAACATCCTTTGCTTACAGATCATACAAATATAGGCCATGAGTCAGATTTGGTCTACGGGCCAAAGTTTTATCATACATGGTATAAGTGTCAAAAGGCAGATATAAAAAAATTTTTGAAATCATCTAGTGAATTAAAGATATATATATATAGAACAAAGAAACAAATAATGGCTATGTTGTCATAAGGATGAATGAAATCCAGAAAATAATGGTGCCACATCTTTAAAGTGCTAAACAAAGAAGAAAACACACACCTCTGTAACTATGTGGAAAATATCCTTCAATAATGAAAGTAGATTAAAGACATTTTCAGATAAAGGGAAGTTGAGAAAATTTGTCACCAGCAGCTCTGCACTACCAAAAAAAAAATGTTAAAGGAAATTTTTCAAGCAGGAGGGCAATATATATAAGCTAGAACCACAGAGTATGGAAAATGGGAAAGGTATGGTTAATGTAAATTTTTTTCCTTCTTTTCATTTCTTTAAGATTGTTTTCATAGTTTTGTGACTTCAAACAAAAATGACAACATTGTATTGCTGGCTTACAAATTATGTGCAATATATGAAAACAATAGTCCAAAAGATAGGACTATATCACTATATCATGAGCTTAAAATACTACCATCTCACACTGGTCAGAACGGCTATTACTGAAAGTCAAAAATAACAGATACTGGTGAGGTTGCAGAGAAAGGGAACACTTATACACTGCTGGTGGGAAAGTAAATTAGTTCAGACACTGTGGGAAGCCGTTGGGAGATTTCTCAAAAAACTTAAAACAGAACTAGCACTCAACTCAGCAATCCCATTACTGCGTATATGCCCAAAGGAATATATATCATTCTATCATAAAGCCACATGCATGCCTATGTTCATTGCAGCCCTATTCACAATAACAAAGACATGGAATCAACCTAGGTACCATCATTGGTGGACTGAATAAAGAAAATGTAGTACATATACACCATGGAATACTACACAGCCATAAAAAAGAATAAAATCATGTCCTTTGAAGCAACATGGATGGAGCAGAAGGCCATTATCCTAAGTGAATTAATGCAAGAATAGAAAACCAGATACTGCATGTTCTCTCTTATGAGTGGAGCTAAACATTGAGTACACATGGACACAAAGAAGGCAACAATAGACACCAGGGCCTGCTTGAAAAGGGTGGGAGGGGGGTGAAGATTGAAAATTTTATTATGCTTATTATCTGGGTGACAAAATAATCTGTACACCAAATCCCATGACACATAATTTACCCATGTACTACCTGAACCTAAAATAAAAGTTGGAATGGAAAATTATACAAAGAGGTACTGCTAAAAAGATAATAAAGGAAATAAAATGGAATACTGAAAAATATTTGTTTAACATAAAAGTAGACAGAAAAGGAAGAATGGGAACAAAAATTTTGTGACACAAATGGGAAACAAATAGCAAAACCCAATCATATTATTAACTATATTAAATTTAGGGACTAAACACACAGTAATTGTCAGGATAAAAAATCCATCTATTTTACTCTTTATAAGAAATCTTTTAAATGAAAATAAAGATAGGTTGAAAGTTAAACAAAATCAGAAAAAACATACCATACAGAGTAAGCATATGAAAACTGCTGTGGCAATGTTAATAAAAAATAAAGTAGACTTTAGGACAAAAAGTGATATCTGAGATTAAGTGGAGATCTTCACAGTTATCAAAATATTAATTTATAAGATATAAAAATCTAAAGATTCAAAATATTCTAAATATGTATGTGCCTCATAACAGTGCTTCAAAGAACAGGAAGAAATACTGAAAAAAATGAAAGAAAGGTAGGAATCCATAATCGCAGATTGGAAAAATCCACATTTATTTGTTTGCCAAGAGAGACCATGCACTGAGCCATAAGTTAAATTTCAATAAACTTCTAAAGTTTGACATCTTAGAGAGTATGTTCTCAGATCATAAACATCCAGTGTAGAAATCAAAAATATAATATTTAATAAAGCTCAAATATTTGGAAATTAACAAAAAATAAATCACAAGAGAAATTAGAAGTTATGTTAAATAAATGACAATGAACATAAAGCATTCCTGAATTCATGAGAAACAGCTAAAGAACTGCTAGAAGGAAATCTATATTTAAAAGTTTATATGATAAAAGAAGAAAGGTGTAAAATCATAATTTAACTTTCCAAATTGATAGGTAGAAAAAGAAAATGAAATTTAAAACCAAAACAGGTCAAATGAATAATATAATAAATAGAACAGAATCAATAAAAACACAAAAAATAAAAAGGCAGAAGTTTTTTTGGAAAAGATTAGGAAAATTGATAAACCCCTAACATAAGTGATCAATAAAAGGAGAAAAGCACAACTTAATCATTTTAAAAATTACACAGGGGATATCTATATAGATGCTATAGACTTCAAGAAGATAATAAGGCAATTTTTAAAACTGCCAATTGCCAATGATTTGACAATTTAGATGAATTGAACAAATTACTTGAAAAATACAATATATCAAAAATTGACCCTCCCTAAAGATATTAATACAAAACCTATCTAACCCTATGTCTAATAAAAAATAGCCAATACAATGCACGAAGAAAACTAGAGACTCAGATAGTTTCACTAGGAAATTTTATCAAGCATTTTAAAGAGAATTAATTTTAATCTGAAGTTACTTTAGAAAACAGAAGAGGAAGTGCATTTCCCCGATCATTTGTTGATGCCAGTATACCCCAATAAAAAACCTGACAAAAACATTATAAGAAAATAAAATTATAGACCAATATATTTTATGAGAGGATGTCAAAATTCTTAACCAAACATTAGTCAATTGAATCATCCAATATATAAAAATGATAATATATCATAACCAAATGGAGATTAATTCACAAATGCAAAGCTGCCTTCATATTTTAAAATTCAATTTGCATAAATTGTCCCCGTTAACAGAATAAAGGAGAAAATCCTTATGTTCATTTCAGTAGGTTTCGAAAAGCATATGACAAAATGCAAAACCATTTTGTTATAAAAACTCTCTGCAACTTAGGAATAGTAGGGGACCTACTGAATCTGATAAAGGGTGTCCATAAAAAAATATGCAGTTCACATCATACTCCATAGTGAAATATTAGGTTTCCCTTTAAAATTCAGAACAAAGTGAAGATGTCAGCTCTCGCCATTTTTAGTTAACCTTGGCATAAAGATTGCAAAGGAAGAAGTAAGCCTGAATGTACTTGCAGGTAAAATGATTGTTTATGTGTACGTTTCTAAAGCATGTAGTTTAAAACTACTAGAATTAATAAAGAAATTAAGCATGGTGGGTGCTCCCGAATCGATGAGGAAAGCCGCTCTCCCCGGCAGATCCTCCCGGCCGGGGCGCCTCCATCACCCTGCCTGCGCCTCGGCACGCTGGCAAGGAGCCCGGGAAGAGACGCCGGGAGCGACTTATGAAAATATGCATCAGTTTAATACTGTCTTGGAATTCATGAGATGGAAGCATAGGTCAAAGCTGTTTGGAGAAAATCGGAAGTACAGTTTTATCTAGCCACATCTTGGAGGAGTCGTAAGAAAGCAGTGGGAGTTGAAGTCATTGTCAAGTGCTTGCGATCTTTTACAAGAAAATCTCACTGAATGACAGTCATTTAAATTGGTGAAGTAGCAAGACCAATTACTAAAGGTGACAGTACACAGGAAACATTACAATTGAACAATGACTCAGCTATACATTTACATCAGATTATTGGGAGCCTATTTGTTCATCATTTCTCGTGTTCAAGGACAGAATCTGGATAGTATGCTCCACGGCACTGGGATGAAATCAGACTCCGACCAGAAAAAGTCAGAAAATGGAGTAACCTTAGCACCAGAGGATACCTTGCCTTTTTTCAAGTGCTATTGCTGAGGGCACTGCCCAGATGATGCTATTAATAACACATGCATAACTAATGGACGTTGCTTTGCCATCATAGAAGAAGATGACCAGGGAGAAACCACATTAGCTTCAGGGTGTATGAAATATGAAGGATCTGATTTTCAGTGCAAAGATTCTCCAAAAGCCCAGCTACGCCGGACAATAGAATGTTGTCGGACCAATTTATGTAACCAGTATTTGCAACCCACATGCCCCCTGTTGTCATAGGTCCGTTTTTTGATGGCAGCATTCGATGGCTGGTTTTGCTCATTTCTATGGCTGTCTGCATAATTGCTATGATCATCTTCTCCAGCTGCTTTTGTTACAAACATTATTGCAAGAGCATCTCAAGCAGACGTCGTTACAATCGTGATTTGGAACAGGATGAAGCATTTATTCCAGTTGGAAAATCACTAAAAGACCTTATTGACCAGTCACAAAGTTCTGGTAGTGGGTCTGGACTACCTTTATTGGTTCAGCGAACTATTGCCAAACAGATTCAGATGGTCCGGCAAGTTGGTAAAGGCCGATATGGAGAAGTACGGATGGGCAAATGGCATGGCGAAAGAGTGGCGGTGAAAGTATTCTTTACCACTGAAGAAGCCAGCTGGTTTCGAGAAACAGAAATCTACCAAACTGTGCTAATGCGCCATGAAAACATACTTGGTTTCATAGCGGCAGATATTAAAGGTACAGGTTCCTGGACTCAGCTCTATTTGATTACTGATTACCATGAAAATGGATCTCTCTATGACTTCCTGAAATGTGCTACGCTGGACACCAGAGCCCTGCTTAAATTGGCTTATTCAGCTGCCTGTGGTCTGTGCCACCTGCACACAGAAACGTATGGCACCCAAGGAAAGCCCGCAATTGCTCATCGAGACCTAAAGAGCAAAAACATCCTCATCAAGAAAAATGGGAGTTGCTGCATTGCTGACCTGGGCCTTGCTGTTAAATTCAACAGTGACACAAATGAAGTTGATGTGCCCTTGAATACCAGGGTGGGCACCAAACGCTACCTGGCTCCAGAAGTGCTGGACGAAAGCCTGAACAAAAACCACTTCCAGCCCTACATCATGGCTGATATCTACAGCTTCGGCCTAATCATTTGGGAGATGGCTCGTCGTTGTATCACAGGAGGGATCGTGGAAGACTACCAATTGCCATATTATAACATGGTACCGAGTGATCCGTCATACGAAGATATGCGTGAGGTTGTGTGTGTCAAACGTTTGCGGCCAATTGTGTCTAATCGGTGGAACAGTGATGAATGTCTACGAGCAGTTTTGAAGCTAATGTCAGAATGCTGGGCCCACAATCCAGCCCCCAGACTCACAGCGTTGAGAATTAAGAAGACGCTTGCCAAGATGGTTGAATCCCAAGATGTAAAAATCTGACGGTTAAACCATCGGAGGAGAAACTCTAGACTGCAAGAACTGTTTTTACCCATGGCATGGGTGGAATTAGAGTGGAATAAGGATGTTAACTTGGTTCTCAGACTCTTTCTTCACTACGTGTTCACAGGCTGCTAATATTAAACCTTTCAGTACTCTTATTAGGATACAAGCTGGGAACTTCTAAACACTTCATTCTTTATATATGGACAACTTTATTTTAAATGTGGTTTTTGATGCCTTTTTTTAAATGGGTTTTTATGAACTGCATCAAGACTTCAATCCTGATTAGTGTCTCCAGTCAAGCTCTGGGTACTGAATTGCCTGTTCATAAAACGGTGCTTTCTGTGAAAGCCTTAAGAAGATAAATGAGTGCAGCAGAGTTGGAGAAATAGACTTTGCCTTTTACCTGAGACATTCAGTTCGTTTGTATTCCACCTTTGTAAAACAGCCTATAGATGATGATGTGTTTGGGATACTGCTTAGTTTATGATAGTTTGTCCTGTCTCCTTAGTGATGTGTGTGTGTCTCCATGCACATGCACGCCAGGATTCCTCTGTTGCCATTTGAATTAGAAGAAAATAATTTATATGCATGCACAGGAAGATATTGGTGGCCGGTGGTTTTGTGCTTTAAAAATGCAATATCTGACCAAGATTCGCCAATCTCATACAAGCCATTTACTTTGCAAGTGAGATAGCTTCCCCACCAGCTTTATTTTTTAACATGAAAGCTGATGCCAAGGCCAAAAGAAGTTTAAAGCATCTGTAAATTTGGACTGTTTTCCTTCAACCACCATTTTTTTTGTTGTTATTATTTTTGTCACGGAAAACATCCTCTCCTAAGTTGGAGCTTCTATTGCCATGAACCATGCTTACAGAGAAAGCACTTCTTATTGAAGTGAATTCCTGCATTTGATAGCAATGTAAGTGCCTATAACCATGTTCTGTATTCTTTATTCTCAGTAACTTTTAAAAGGGAAGTTATTTAAAAAAAAAAAAAGAAATTAAGGATGGCTATAGGGCATAAAGTCAATATTCAAAATTCTTTAACAATTACATTAAATAATTGGAAAATTATTTAAAAATTTTTTTTACAGTCATGCAAAGCAAAATTCTAAAGATTAATTTAACAAAAGACATGCAAGATCTCTGTACTGGAACACTGACATGAATAAAGAAGATAGAAATAAATGGAGAGATATGCTATGTTCATTGGTTAAATGATTCAATATTATTATGATGTTATTTTCCTCAATACTTGTTTGCTTTTAAAGTTTAATTTCCTTTTTGACAAAATTGTATATATTTATCATGTGTGACATGATATTTTGAATATCATTGTATATATATATTATATATATACAAATTGTGAAATGGTTATATCAAGCTAATTAACATATTACCTAACATAATTATCAATTTTTTTGGTGAGAACACTTAAAATCTACTCTCAGCATTTTTTAAGAGTAAATACATTGTTATTAACTACAGTCACCATGCTGTACAATAAATATCTTCAATGTATTCCTACTATCTAACTGAAATTTTATATTCTTTGACCAACATCTCCTCAAGCTCCATTTTCCATATTTGTATATAGAGTCTAAGCAATAATCCTAATATTTTCTGTAATTGACAAGTTGATTCTAAAATTGTATAGAAACACACACAAAAAAGCCCCTACTATAGACAATCTTGAAAATAAAAAATAAAGTTGGTACATTATATTACCTAAATTCTAGACTTACTAAAGCAATGAAGATAGTATGGTATTAGCACGCAGAGGGAAAAATAGATGCTAGGAAAAATAGATAACTGAGGTTCTAGAAATTGATCCATGTAATATGATCAATTGATTTTTCAACAAATGGTGCTAGAACTTCAGGTTAACCATATAAATCTGGTTACTTATTCACACCACACACAAACATTTACTTGATATGGGTAATAGCTCTATAAGTTAAAATTTTGGTTTTTAGGATAAAAAAATATTTAGACTTTGAACATCTACTTCATAAGAGAAGATACAGGAATGGTCAATAAGCCCTTACGATTAAAATTAAATCCATAATCAGATGCCATTTCACACCCACTAGATGACTAAAATCCAAAAAGATAGTCAACATCAAATATTAGAGATGATATAGAATGACTGAAACTCATATAACTTTTTGGTGAACATTTTATACATTATTACTAATTTGGCAAAATGTTGACGGTTTCTTATAAAGTTAAGCATCTACCTATCCTATGAAAAAAGCTTTCTATTCCTAAGTATTTACACAAGGTAAATAAAAATATGACTATAAAATAACTAGTATAAAATTATTTGTAGGAGCTAAGCTAAAACTGGAAATGATCCTAATTTCTATCAACAGGAGAATGGATTTAAAATTTTGATATGTTCGTGCAGAGAAATACTACTCAGCAATTTCTTTCAAAAGAAAAAGAACTACTGATGCACAAACAACATGGATAAATCTTAACATATTATGTCGAGTGAAAAAAGACTCACTAGTATGTACTGTATGATTTCATTTTTATGAAATTCTCTAAGAGGCACAACTAATTTACGTTCTAAAAATCAGAACAGAGTTTGCCTAGGGGTCCACTCCTTGACTGGAAGGAGCCATGATAAAACTTTCTGGAGTGATGGAAAAGTTTTATCTTACATCCTCAAAGATTTAGGTCAGTTTCAACTACGAAATGTTCCTACTTACCTTTTAATTTGAAGTTCAACTGTTTACAGAAGCTTTCAAAATTATTATTTTTTTGTATAAAACATTTTTGTATGAAAAAGCAAAAAAATAACTCTTTATGAAAGAAAAAGCATACTTTACCCCTTTGGGTCTGAAGAAGCCATCAGTACATGTCTCGCAGTTTATACCAGCAGTGTTTTGGGTACAATTAATGCAGACACCCCCTCCAATGTACTTTCCACGTATATTCAAACTCAGATTTCTTCTGGCAACATTTTCATCATAATAGCATTCTTCAGCTTTTCCATGACAATTGCATGCTGCATTAAGGAAAAATAAATTAATAAACATCAATTTGATTTCAGATACATTTAAAAATCATTTCTGTTATACATAATAGATTTTTTTTTTGAGACAGAGTCTCACTCTGTCGCCCAGGCTGGAGTGCAGAGTGGCACGATCTCGGCTCACTGCAACCTCTGCCTTCCAGGTTCAAGCAATCCTCCTGTCTCAGCCTCCCGAGTAGCTGGGGACAACAGGCATGCACCACCACACCCAGCTAATTTCTGTATTTTTAGTAGAGATGGGGCTTCACCATGTTGGCCAGGCTGGTCTTGAACTCTTGACCCATGATCCACCCGCCTCAGCCTCTCAAAGTGCTGGAATTACAGGCGTGAGCCACTGCCCCCGGCCTAGACTTTTATACCATACGGGAAATTACATTTAGCGTACACACACACAAACATATCCAGAAAGTATCTGGATGTATTGGAGGTATTAATAAATTCACACATTTTAATAGAATTTGAAATGATTAAAACATATAAATTAAGCTCAATCATATGCAATTGCCAATATTTGGTTTTGACTAACGTGCAATTTTATATGGTTCAACTTACAATTTCCTATTATAACAAATAATAAATTATTCAATGATGGCACTGAATGATTAACAGCTAGGTAATCTGTAATGAATTACTACCATATGGAAATTTCTGTATTAGAGCCTGTGGGTAAAGAAAAGTATGTATAATATAATTCCTTTCTTTTAATACTAATAACAACTAAAACATAGGTTTTCTCAATGCCAGACACTGTTCTAAATGCTCCATATTTGTTGCTACTGATTTTAATCCTCAAAAATGCTTTTAGGAATTAGGTATTATTATTATTAACCTATTTTTGTATACTAGAAACCTGAGTCCAGAGAAGTGAAATAACGTGTAAAAGATATTCTAATCAGTATTGGAAACCAACCTCTGAAGCCAGACTCCAGAGTCTGCACTGCTAAAGACTGCCAGAATCTCTTCACATCCTACCCGGTGAATGAAATAAGATACATGGCAGGTGCCAAGGAATTAAGACAAACCGAGAGCTAGTTTACTGGTGGCTAAGATCATGCTATTTTGCAACCAACTGTCTTGGATGTGGGTGTGCTCTCCTCTACTTAGCAGTCATATGACATTGGAAACTTCTTAATTTCACGAAGGCTCAGTTTCCATATAATACATGGAGTGGTCAATAGTAATTACTAGATTGGGATATTTAAAAGCACAAGTGAGATAATGCATGTGAAATCATTAGCGTAATGTCTTATAAAGAAGTTAGCAATTGATTTTTCTTCTTTTCTTCCTCCTTGTCTTTTTCATGTTACATTAGAAGAATTCCAAGAAGTGAAAAATCACTTTCTCCAGAAAGGATTGGGTAAGACTCTTCTAAATATGAAGAATTTATATTAGGATAGAACCAGGGAAATATATCGATGCAGTCTCCTTCCTACCTGACATGTTGAGTTTCTTAGGAGTACTTACATTTATTTCCACGTGTGTGTGTGTGTGTGTAGGTGTGCTTGTATGCATACAGCTCAATCTTTTTATTTATTCTACAAAAGGGAAGGGGCATTTGTATACTGTTTAGAACCGGTTCTTTTTACTAACAGTAAATCATGGAGCCCTTTCCATATTAGCATGTGTATCCCCTAAGGGTACACAGGGTACTACTTGAATGAAGGTATTTATCAGGTCCCTATTAATGAACAGTTACACAGTTTCCATGTTTCTCCCTTTACAAATAACACCACACACATACTGGGAGGACAAGGATGCCGGGTGGAGGGAGGCGCTCTAATGTTAGAAAAGTTTCCTATTTGCCAGTTGAGTGACTTTGAGGCAAAAACTCGAGTCCTAGCATCACTTTAGTACTTGTCTCATACATGTTTTGAGAATGCTTAGCAGAATGCCTGAAACATACTAAATACTGAGCTCAATAAATGTTAGTAGCAGTAGTGGTAGCACTTGTATAATAATGACGAGGATCATGATAATATGCCTGTACATCTATATGAATATATCTATAGGGTAAATTCCTGGAAGCATAATTTCTAGTCAAAGGATATGTAAAATTTAAATTTTAATCGCTTAAAAAATTCCCCTCCAGGAACGCTATGACAAATGACTTTTCCTCTAGTAGATATGATAAAACACTTTCTCCATAGCCACCAACCTTGTGTGTTATCAACCCTTGAATACAATTCCTGGACATAATAAGCATTCAAATATTTGTTGAGTAGAAGAATAAACACTTTGATAGGTGAAAAATAATATGTCATTGTTTTAATTGATACTTCCTTCATTATGAGTGTCATTATCTTTTTACAAAGTTATATGTCATTTCTGAGGAATACCTGTTTTGATCTTTCTAACAGGTTAACTTTTTTCTTATTGATATGTAAGATCTCTTAATATAGAAAGGTTATTATCCCCTTGTCATGTTTGTTGTAAATACCTTTCCCAACCTGCTGACATTTGATTTAGAATATAGTAGTTTTGCTATGTTAATGGAGAGTTTCAAACTTTAGGGAACACATAGTAATCAATACAAATCACTAGGCATTGTAAGCAGTTTTATATCTTTAGGGCAACATACAA
Organism: Homo sapiens; assembly: GCF_000001405.40. Lineage (NCBI taxonomy): Eukaryota > Metazoa > Chordata > Mammalia > Primates > Hominidae > Homo > Homo sapiens. The sequence goes on along the minus strand of NC_000006.12, from coordinate 129,151,897 downwards.
GAATTCCTTTTTTTTCTTCAGAAAGACAGTGATATGGTTTGGCTCTGTGTCCCCACCCAAATCTCATTTGAAATTGTAATCTCCACGTATGGAGGGAGGGAGGAGACTGGATCAAGGGGGCAGCTCCCCCATGCTGTCCTCATGATAGTGAGTGAGTTCGTACAAGATCTGATGGTTTTATAAGGGGCTCTTCCCCATTCACTTTCTCCTCTCTCTCCTGTACCATGTAAGATGTGCCTGCTCCCTCTTCCCCTTTGATCATAAGTTTCCTGAGGCCTCCTAGCCATGCAGAAGGGTGAGTCAACTAAACCTCTTTCCTTTATAAATTACCCAGTCTCGGGTAGTATCTTTACAGCAGTGTGAAAACGGAGTGATACAGACAGGGTCTCACTATGTGGCCCAGGCTGGCCTCAAACTCCTGGGCTCAAGAGATCCTCCCACCATAGCTTCTTTCCAGTAGCTGGGATTATAGGAGCATGCCACTGGACCTGGCTATGAATTCTTAAAAGCTTTGTTGTAATAGTGTATTTCAAAAAACAGTCAAAACTTCTGCTGCCAGTATAAGCAGAGGAAAACATAAAGTAACATAGACTTATTCTCACACTATTTAGAATTCGTGTTGTCAAGAGTGTTTAGAACTATGAGCTACTATATGTAAAACCCTGATGCCAAATAAACGGTCCATCACACACTCTGTGCAGCCAGGACCCTACACCTACAGCCCCACTTTCTGTCTGTAGGCTGCAGCCTACCCCGCTCTGTCTGTAACCTTCAAGAATATGGCTAGTAACTGATCACAAAGCCATGTTTTTTCTCTATCATCAGCAACTTACTATTTCACAGAATGTCCAAGATATATCATATGAAACTGTTGTTTAGTAAAGGCTCAGCAACTGAATGAATATTCTATGCTTTTTAGAGATATTATCTTGCCTTATGTAAGCTAGATTGATGAAAATCCAAATTAAACTCAAATGAATTAGAATGTGATTATTCATTTTATGGAGGGATTTGTCATGTCATGGAAGGATTTTTCTAAATATTAAGGTGATTGGAATATGATTCAACTTGGAAAAGAAAATTTTTACTTAAGCTTTCAGGAATGTACTCATTGCTGAAAGTGTGATTTTTATGTATGGCTTTATGGCTAAGATCCCCATCTTGAATTTCTGCGTTTTTAAAATGTTTGTTTTTCAGTTTGGAAATACGACCTCCCCTCTTCCCTACAGGGAAAGAAAAAAAGTGTTTCACAATTCCACTATTTTAAAAATGTGTACAGTAGCAGTTTGAAATGTCTTGCCTTGCTTAGTCTACCTCTATTGCTAACAAGTTGCTCGATTGTTTTTGTTTTGTATTTAAACGTAGAAACACAAGTAAAGAGTGGTAAAGGATTTTGCAGAGCCACTTAACATTACACAATTATCACTGTGTGAAGGCATGTCAGTGGCAACAGGAAGACCCCTACCTTCAAGTGCTGCTCCCACTTATGATTACTGATATTCTACAAACAGAAGAGAAATTTAATTAAAATTTAAAGGAGCTCGAGAGCAAACATCCCTGGGTGGCATTACATTTAAAGTCACTATTAAGAACAAATGTCTGTTCTCTATGGAGAAGCTGTGGAGAACTAAGGGATTAGCCAGAACATGGCTGGAAGTAGTTGAAGGAAACAAAAGGCTGGGCTTCCAATGGTCCCCTACCATGCATGGTGAGTGATGATCCAATGGTGGCTCATGCCTCCAGATATGCTTTTGTAATAATGGGAGATTTCTAATCCATAATATCTTTATAAACAGGCAGACACAAATCCAAAAGCAAATGAAGTGAGTGCAGAAAATAAGGAGAGCTAATAGCATATATGCAGAATCTCAAACTAAAAAGAAAATACAGCCATCCCTCAATATCCATGGGAATGGTTCCAGGACCTCCCTCAAACACCAAGATTCAAGGATACTCAAGTTCCTGTTATACAGTGGCATAGTACTTGCATACAGCCTATGCACATCCTCCTGTACACTTTAGATCATCTCTAGATTACTTATAATACCTAACAAAATGTAAATGCTATATAAATAGTTGTTATATTGCTTAGGAAATAATAATAAGAAAAAGGTCTTTACAAGTTCAGTACAGATGCAACTTTTTTTCAAACATTTTTGATCTGCAGTTGGTTAGACCCATGGATGGAGAAACCATGGATATGGAAGGCCGACTTTATATCTTATAGGTGGGGAACATTTTGTGATTAAGGTGTGTTATGATTCAATAGTTTTAAAGACCTGTCATGTCTGACACATTGTACATGATAAATGTGAGTTGAGTTAATTTGTTATTCAAAGGATATATAGTGTTGGTATTAATTTAAAATGTCTATCAAGCTGTTTTTGAAGGCCATATATACTTAGTGAGCTGAAAAAAATGTGGTTAGGGCTGATTTACTGTAATATTAATATTTGCATTCAGTTGAATTGGACTTCATACTAGTTTAGGTTTGCAGTTCAGCCCAAGACTATTTTTAGGTCTTTTCTTGGGTTGAGAAAATCTCCAGAAACACAGGTTTCTCCATGATACCTGTCACCTAAAAAGACCAGTTGTCACTATTAGGCTATAAAGTCATCTGCTACATTTCTTAGATATTTCCCTTTAGGAAAAGCTAGACATATGGGTTGTCTTCGAAGTGATAATATAAATGAGTATTTGTTGACACATTTGCATAACCAGCCATTTCACTATTTTTCATTACTGGCTTTTTTTCTTGGAAAGGAAGAATGACATATTTTGTTGGCTTCTAAAGAACATACCTTCACATTCAGTTTTAGTTAGAAAAGTTCCAGCTCTCCAGGGTTTCTGATGGAATCCTGGACAGCACTGATCACAGCTATCGCCACATGTGTTATGCTCACACTCACAGCGAGATTTCTAGTCAAAAAGAGGGAGGAAGCACAAATTTTAGCCTCATTTAGAACCATAAAGGAAGCCTCTCTCTAAAGGTACTATGAAGAAAAGAGAAAACATCTGGACTGTGTACTAAAATGTAAAACTAGCCAGCCTGGGAAGAAAGTGGTGCCAGGCTTGAAGTGGGTATATTTGATCAACATCACCTTAAGGAAGTCCAGGCTGGTTCTTTAATCACTGGGTTTAGGCTCAGAAGAAAGCAGGAAGGCCCAGCTGGGAGTGGTCTTGAAGACTGAATTCTCCTTCTCTGATGCCTGGGATCTATGTGTTTTTTGGGGGTCGATTAGCTTGTTTTAAGGCTCCCCTCAAAATGTTGTTAATATTTTTGGATATGGCAAGAAGGAGGGAGTTGATTCCTAGGCCTCTAGGGGTGCAGGTAAACCAGAAATCTAATGTCTCTAGGACTAAATCTCCTGTCTGTGCATGCTCTGAATACAGTCTCAATTTACCACCTGGAATTGGCCTTCCAAGCCTGTCTTGTGGACTTTTAAAGCCTGGGAAACACTGATCATCTGTACACCTGATAGAAAGCACCCTGCATGCATTAGCTGTCTGTCCTGATGTTCTCCCTCCCTTTGCCTCCCTCCATCTGATAGGCCCTGGTGTGTGTTGTTCCCCTCCTTGAGTCCATGTGTTCTCATTGTTTAGCTCTCATTTATGAGTGAGAACATATAGTGTTTGGTTTTCTGTTCCTGTGTTAGTTTCCTGAGGACCATGGTTTCCAGCTTCATCCATGTCCCTGCAAAGGACATGATCTCATTCCTTTTTATGGCAGCGTAGTATTCTATGGTGGCATATGCATTTTTTCACTTCCTCCAAATAAAATAACAGTAAAGGGATTTTTAAAATGCAGAAAGCCAGTGAGACAAAGGGACTCTGTAAAGCCTGTGGAAAATTATGCCTAGGTGATGGGTTGATAGGGGCAGCAAATGACCATGACACACATTTACCTATGTAACAAACCTGCATGTTGTGCACGAGTATCCAGGATTTAAAGTAAAATTTTAAAAAATGGAAAACAAAAAAAAGAAGAAAGCACCCATACCAGGCAGAAAGCAGCACTGCAGCTTTGCCCATAAAAATATGTTAGTGTACTTTAATCTTCCTAGGAGATAACATTATAATCCAATCATCAGAAAACTAGCTTTGAGTATAATGTCATTTGCATTACAATATTTGAGAAAAAAAATCTGTGGCCCGATTTACATTCACTGATCTTACTATTCAATGTATTTTTCCATATACTATACAGGAGATGAGTTTGAATTTCACCAGTTTGTCTATGACAGGAAAAATAGATGCTCATTCATCTTCTCCTTTAGGTTATGTTCACTTAATTCATTGTCATTAATGAAAAAATTCTATCAAAAAGCATTCTGGCATTTTCCGGCTTGCCACTATCAGTACTCTCTTGACTCTCTCACCCACTCCACCCCCTCCACCCCCTTATTGCCCCTGCCCTATTTTATCCTCCTGTTCCATTGTCACTTATATATTTACTTCCCTGCACATTTTTTTACTCATTTGCATTAATTTTTTGATTAGAAACTTTAAAAGAAATGGTCAGGTTGATTGATGGCAGGCGTTCTCTAAAGCTATATCATGAGGCAGGCTGTCATAGCTAGAGAGATTTCAAAATAGACCAGTTTGGAGCCTTTTTGAAAAAAAAAAAAAAAAAGGAAAAACTAATCTGTTTTCTTATACTGTGATGGCTGATTTCAAAGTCTATCATCCTAACTGCCAGCTCTTATTTCACCCTGGCATGGATTTCTGTTACACTGTCTAAGTGGGGACCTGACTCCCATTTACAGCGTTCTCTGTCAGCAAAGACTGTCATGAAACATTTTACAGCTCAGGGCTTCATTTTGCCTAAGCATCCTATAAATATACATACATTTGTCGCTGGATCAAGTGGACAAGCCCTGGCATGACCATAGCAGATGCACATCCCTCCAACTGAAATATCCTTGACCGAGTAGTAATACTGCAAAAAGCAATCCAGAGAGAAATCCTGTTAAGATGACTGCAAGGTCAAAGTAACAAAAGGGGACATTCAGTAAAAACTTTATTTTCTGCTTTTATCCTTAGTTTGAAGGACATTTGTGTTTCTTGAGGACAAGTGAGGACTCACAAAACTGACAAAGTAACTCTTAGCACTGTGATCTTAGCCCAAAGGAAGAGTGGCCTTTAATTTAAGCTAGTTGGGCATTTTAGAAATATCTTTTTCCCAGTCAGCACCAAGTCCATGCTAGAGTACCTGTGGCTGACAGTAGTTTTTATCTGGGGCTAAGGACAGCTATTCTTCATAAAAGTTGTTTTACATAGTTTCTTGCAAGAAACCCTCTTTTATTGTGATTATAGCAACTGCAGTATTCACAAATCATACGCACACTGTTTTACTTGATGGATTTGAAAAGAACCAACAAAATCTGGGTAGAAATTGTGCTCATAACAATATATTCCTTAACCATATTAAGAAGAAAATTAAAAAGTCATTAACTGTAAGTTTATTGTGCAGAACATTTGCATTTTTATATTACTATGTAATATAGTCCATACAATTACCTTTGTATATGAAGTTAACATAGAGCTATGTTACTAATTATTTTAATCTACCCAGCTATTTTTTAAGGATAATTATGGAGGCTAGACTATTTTTAAAATTTTAATTAATGTGTATATAACATTTTATAATTGTCAGAGCACTTTACATTATCATATTCAAATAATCATCTTAGCGTTAGATAGTTCTATTATTCCAATTATACACACACACAAAAAAAACAGATTTAGCTAGAATATGTAGGTGGACACATATCTGAGTTCCTTGACTAAGAATCCCCTTTTTCCAATTTACTTCTTTGTTTCTTTTTCCTTCTATTTGTTTTTGTTACATACATATAGTGTCTTTGAAAATATTTTTGTTATGTTATCTTATTTGATATACCTAGACCTTGAACTAATGGAACTGGCTAGGGAGTTTGGATAGTATAAAAATATTTTTTCCATTTAACCTCATCACTTAATAATATAGACACAAATAGAGATATTTGCTTAAAAAGCTGATACAGTAGTATTTGTAAATGCTTTTAAAACTGGGAAATCTATTTTAAATATAAATGTATAATGCTTTGCTTTTGAGTCATGAAGAAGAGCTGAAATTTGCTATCTTATTTTTATATATTTAAATGAGTGTTTATTGAACTTGAGTACTTTCAAAAAACATATTTATATGTTGACTTATACTGCATTATTTTAAAGACTCATGTACGATAAAGTTATAAATAATAGATGTGTACCCCAACCCCCACTCTACCTCCTGCAAGAGATGATAGAAAGAACACTAATTTATTTTCATTGATTTTTTTTCTCTGATAGACATACTGTCAAGAAAGATTAAATTTCACTCCAATTTCACACCAGTCTTCCTTGGTGTATATTTTTAAGTCCCGCCAAAATTAGAATTGAAAATGTTTTCTTAAACAAGTGAAAAATCCAAACATTGCTATAAAATAATGATTAGTTTTGCATGAGACAATTTACAATATGTTGAGGTATAATACAAGGGGAAATTATTTCAAGTTTGGAAAATACAGGGCACTAAAACATCTGACATATGTTGCATGGGACTAACTAAAGCCTTAAAAGTTATCTTGTGATGATGGAGAGGTTGGGTGTGGGAAGTTAAGTAACGAGGAAAGAAAACATGTGAGGAGTATTTAGGATCTGTAACTATTAACCCTAGTGATTCAGCAATTTTGCAACCGATGACGGTGGTCTTACCTTAGTGGGATCATTCTAGAATTAAATGCTTTGTCCTACAATATTAATTTCTCCCTATAGTCTTTTTTCTTAGCTATACCTCTAGTCATACAGTAGATACTCTATTCACAGGAGTTTACTTTATAGAGTTATGGCTGAATTGACTTCCCTGGTAATAATGCCTTGGTTGTGTAGCAGCATATGTGGGAGGTGCCATAAACCAGTGAATATGGTAGAAGGTAGACAGGAGGAAGCACGGTTATCACTCATAGCAATCTGGGTTGATCATCTATCTTGTAATCCCACAAATTCCTGTTTAACACTGGAAGACAGCACTTCTGTTAGCTCTTGTGTTCAAAAAGCTTTTGAAAAGATGCTTTAAACTTTTTCCCCTAATATTTTATTTGTAAAGGAAAATAAAACAGTATGTAGAATCAGTTTTCTCCTATAGCACTGCATTTTTAAAACTATGGCTTGTGATTCATTAATCAAGCATAAAACCAAATTATTTGATGGCCCACAAACCGGCAACATCAGCATCACCTGGAAAGTTTTTGAAGTGCAGCGTCTCAGCTCTGCCCTACTGAATCATAACCTATATTTCCACAAGATCACTGGCTAATCCCATACACATTAAGGTTTAAGACATACTGCTCTCTGTATGTGTGCATGTGTGTATACTGGCTCAGTGGTGGCAAAAAAATGTTTCAAAGCCCCTGCACTTCCAGTAGTAACTCGCCAAAGCCAATTATAATAGTAGTATAGATCCCCTAAGGTGACAAAGGCTAATTTTATTCTGAAAAATAAGATTATTAAGTAGACATTGTGATTCTCATTTTACAAAAGAAGAAATTAAAGTTTGAGAAGGCTAAAATGTTTGATAAATGTTACACATGTAATAAGCGGCACAGCTTGGATCTGAACAAAGGAAAGTCTGTCAAATTTCAAATAATAATAATAATAATAATCTACAATTCTAAAATAAAAATTTGATAATAACCACTCCTACAAATCACTGAAAACATTTTTAAAGTATTTAACAGACAAAAAGATAAGTGGGATATCATTTGTAGGCTCTAATATGATTCATCATAACTTACTCTTCTGGTGACAATGGGGTCAATTTCTCTTGGGTCTTTGTGAGCAAACATCATCAAGTCAGCATTCAGTGTGCGGATCCTCTGAAATCTCAGGCGAATATAGCGAGCGGAGGTAAATTCTAGCAGTTCTGGAGAAGGATCATCGGCACTTGGTCTCCCATTGATTAAAGAGATGTGAATCTACACAATATGAAAAATAATTTAACAATTATGTTTTCCAAAATTTAAATATTGATTTTGTTTCTTTTTCTTGGAAAAATAAAGTTAACTTCCCATTCTCCCAATTAGTTACGCAGATTCAGGTACATGCCTATGCACTGGCATCTAGTGAAGTAACTGATATATGTTATAGTCTTCTTAATACATGTACATGCAATTTGTTTGTTTATATCATAGGCATTTCTCCTTATACTTCAACTACCTATATTTCTCTCTTCCAAGGCACTGCGTCAATTCGACCTTCCTAAGATTTCCATAAATTCTTAATCATTCTTTCTCTGAAAATTATTGTGCCCTAAATTACTTAAGAATCTGGGGTATGGTGGGAAACCAGAAAACTTGGGGAAAAAGTTATAAAATATCAGATTAAAAAAGGAACCCATTAGGAACTTAAAATAATTCTGTACTTGAAAACATCACATTATATAGCCTTAAAATATGGAGAACAAAAATTACAAGGAAAACTAGACAAATCTATCATCACAGTGAGATATTTCAATAGGTTGTTTTAGGTTGTCGTTATCTGTATTTTTTTTTTTAGTAATTAATAGGTCAAGAAGATAAAAATTCATCAAGAATGTAACATACCCTATGAAAATCACACTCTAAAAAATATGTTAAACCTGAATGGAATGGTGAATTTTTTAAGACAATAATTCAGCACAGTTGACATCAAGAGAAATAAAATTCAGTCAGATCATTTTCTATGTGAAAGAAAAATTGAGAAATTGCCAACAAACTGCCCTCCAAAGGTGTAGAAGGCTGGCAGGCTCTCACAGGGACTTCTCAAGAGCAAAGAATTCTGATGAAGAATAAACTGTGTGACAAAATAAAAGGTACTGTTGGCACGGATAAAGGAAGGATGTTCCTAATACTCAAAGAACTCTTGTAAATCAATAAAGAAATGCACCAACACCATAACAAAATGCACAAATATATGAGGGCCCTATTCAAAGAAAAGAAAATTAAAATGACTGTTAAAAGTTTATAAGATACTGATCCTCCCTCATAATAGGATAAATGTTAATTAAAAACACACTGATAAACTTCCCATTTTTTCAGGTTGGCAAACCCCACAAATATTGGTAATACTCTCTGATGGTTAGACTAAGAGAGTAGATACATACCTCTTACATTTACAGGTATAACTGTAAAATGATACAAATTTCAAGAAAGTCAATTGAGCAGTAACTATCAAAATTAGAAACACACAGTAATTCTGAGCTAGCAATTCCACTTCTAGGAATTATTCTACAGACATAAAATAATACAGATACTATATTACAGGTGAACTGAATATGGCTAATGGACTGAATGTTTGCCTCCCCCCTACTAAAATTCATATGTTGAAACCCTAATCCCAAATGTGATGATATTTGGGGGCAAGGCGTTTGGTAGGTAATTAGATCCTGAGGGTGGAGCCCTCCTGAATGAGATTAGTGACCTAATAAAAAGAGGCCAGAGAGCTAGCTAGCTCTCTTTCAACCATGTGAGGCTACAAGAAGTCAGCAGTCTGCAAGCCCCGAAACAGTCCTCACCAAAGCATAACCATGCGGACACCCTGATCTCAGATTTTCAGCCTCCAGTACTGTGGGGAAATAAATTTCTCTTGTTTACAACCCACCTAGTCTATGGAACTTTCTTATGGCCGCCCAAACTGACAAAGACAATATTATTCTTTCAGCATTTTTTATTATAATCTTTTTTGGTCACATCAAAGGACTGGAAATAACCTAATATCCATCAATATGGGACTGGTTAAATAAATTGTATATCTGCATAATGAATTATCTGCAACCATAAAAAAGAATGAGGAATCTCTCAACATACAGATAGGAAGAAGCACATACTTACACTATTTTTGTATTCTGTAAATGGATTATTATTACCTATGCAACAAATTGAACCAAACCAAAATTGTTAAAGAAAGTGAAATTGAGTGGTAGATTTTGAACTGAAAATACACATACACACTCACACTCACACACACATACACACACAAACATGCACACAGTGCTAAAGGTACAGGGATGCAGGAAGTGGGAGTTCTGTGCTATCTGGGAGATGCTTGGGTACAGGACAGTGTGTGCACTGAGGAGCTGTGACTCAAGGTCACCCACTGGAATTTTCATCCACTTTGTAAGATGATATATCATGTGTGTTAATTACATTTTTTGACAGGAGAGGCAATGATACATATTTCCATTCCTAACGTCCTGCATTTAGATAATCCCAGGGAGCCTTTTACAAACTGACTGCCAATAAACTACTTGAGTCACCAGAGAAATACAGCAAACTCTGAGATGAGAAACTAATTCTGGTGTCACAAAGAATAGACTCAAAATGCCTCATGATAAAAATATGAATATGTTCCACCTAATTGAATCTACCTGGGATGCTTAGTAAGGAATAGAATGCAATGTCTTCTAAAATATGAATCTGAAAATACTGAATCCTCTCTAATGCAGGGATTCTAAAAGAGTGAAGCAGATCTTGTATATTCCTCAAGATCCGCATTTCTGGCACCTAGCAGGTGAGCCAGAAATGTGTTTAGAATTGAGTTATATTTTTGGCTTAAGGAGGTTAGAGTTAAATGTTAAAAGAATGGATAAATATATGGATGAAGCCATTAAAACTAATTTCCCTCTGAGATTAACCTTGGCACCTAAAAAAGTCACCAGTGCCATTGAACTCAGGCTTACATTTCTATCAAATTCTCTCTTGACTGTCCCCAAAAATACTACTTGAAAGAAAGGAGGAAATCGCTACATGTCTAGGATTATAGTTTCTGAACATTATTAGAGTTTATTTGGTGTGAATGCTGTGGTGAATCATGTTTGTGCCGTATGAAGAATCAGTAAGTTTCTCACTTAAACATACAAAGGACCTTTTTGGAAAAAAGGTGTACATATTCTCATTTAGGTTAATAAACCGTGTGATAGCTACATGAAGGATTCAGCAAAAGAACACTTCTCACAGCTTTGGTATTTTCATCAAGCTACTCTGCCAAGAGATCTTGTGAATATAGTTAGTCCCAAGCTGTTTCTGGGATATAAAACAAGCCAGCTGTTTGGCGATGTTGTGTGCAGCTTCCTTCCACCGTTTTGTGTGTATTTTTTTTTCCTTTCTCCTTCAAAATAAATCATAATGTTGGATAGGATATTTCCACTAGCACAGCACAGTGTAATTCCAAGTCCACTGGATAGCTTAGCATACTTCCTGATTTCCTATGGGGTGACAGCCAGAGGGTGGTATCTGTCTTCAAGGAAGATGAAATGTATCCATCCCCAAGACCACCACTGTCTTGCTGTGAGGACCTGAGAAATCTGTGGCAGCCTCTAGTGTCTTCCAAAGTGGTTTCTATTACAGACATGTTGGTGGGTGTATGTTCATGCTGTCACAGGAATTCATTCCAACTGCAAATATCAGACTATGGTTATCAACTGGTTTTTTAGAGTTTAAAATGACACTCTTCTTTGAAATTTGTTTTCCAAGGCAAATAAAGGGGGGGAAACCTTATCAGAAACATCTCTTTTTATAACCAAATAACTATATCAATATTATACTCTGTTCACCCAAATAATCCTGATTTACTAATGTAAGCATACTATATAAATCATGTTTGCTTTACAGATTAGTAAGACCTCTGTGCCTCAATGGCATTTTTATTTTAGAATACATTTTAAAAAATGATTTGTGCCTAAAATAATTAGATTTCTCGTATAGACGATTTTCCATTATTATGCTTGTCTATTTATGTTGCTACATTTGTTTTGGAAAGCTTGAAGAGCTATAATTCTAATACATTCCCTAACAATACAAGTTTCTTGAGTGAATGGATGGATGGGAGAATGAAGGCTACTGAAAGATCATGAATAAGTATCAGAAACTTTGAAATAAGTAGCAGAAGTGGATGAAGTTGACAACTTGATGTGTGGTATGCTCTCTCCTAAAACATTTTTGTATTATCAATCTCTACAAGTGTGCCAATGAAACAGGTAAAACAAATTGAAAGTAAGCTGACACCAGGAGACAGAACAGTAAATCCATATGTGTAGCTTGAGATTAAGGATGTACAGATATGGACAAAGAATTTTTATGTAAATGAGTGGCTGAGACATCTGGGGACCTCTTAAATCCAGTCATGCTCAATATGGCATTATTTGGGGAGAAATAACAAAAACAAGCCTAATCTCTTTTATTTTGACTGTGTAAAAAAAGAAGTACCATCACCCCTCATCAGTTATAGTTTCAGGGGATTTGTGGGGATTGGTTCCAGGACCTCCTGTGGATATCAAAATCTGAGGATGCTCAAGTCCTTGAAATGAAATGGCATAGTATGTGCATATAACCTATACACATATTTCAAAATTATTTAAATCACATCTACATTACTTTAAATACCCAATACAATGTAAAGGCTATGTAAATAGTTGTTATACCATATTATTTAGGGAATAATGACAAGAAAAAAGTCTGCACATGTTCGGTACAGATGCAGATTTTTTTCTAACATTTTTCTTCTGCAGTCAGTTGAATCCATGGATGTGGAATCCACAGATTCAGAGGTCTGATTGTACATGTTTGAAGAAGCGAGGTGAGCTGTAGAAAGCTCAAGGAAAGGGAACAATGCAACAATTGGTCATTGTGTTTCTAGCACAGAGTAAAGGCTCTGAGTCTGGCTCTGGATGGTAAATAGGTACATTTTGGTTTATTCCTCCACAATGCTCCTATTATTCCATTGGTCTTCCTCCATTCCACTGAAACTGCTCTTGGGAAAGTCACCAACGTCCTTCACATTACTAAATGAAATGTCCAGTTCTCAGTTCTCACCATATTTGACCTATTAGCAGCATTTGAGACAAGTGATTACTCCACTGACTTCCAGGACACACTGTTCTTGTTTTCCTTCTACCGCTTCAGCTACTCCTTCTCAATCCCCTTCAGTGCCAACTTTAATCCTTCCTAACTTTCTCATAATAGAGCACCACAGTGCTCAACCCTTGGCCTTTTCCTCTGCTCTGTCCTCACATACTCATTTAGTAATCCCATTGAAGCTCAGTTTGTACTAAGTGTATTATCATCTTTATGAATTGTCAGTAGCTTTATTATATGTATCAGCATAATTACTGAAAAATAATCTTACCATACCTTATCAGAAAGCTTTCACTGTAATTTAAAGAATCTTATTCAAATCAATGGAATATTGAAATATTTTTAAATGTTATAAAATATGAAAGTACCATGAATATATGAAACAGTAATGCACGGGTAATTCAAATATACTGGATAAATGACAAGAGTTTCATAAGATATAATTTATTATACAGATTAATAAAATCTTTAGACCTTTCAGACTAGACATTTCCTTACCAAGAATCTTCCTGGCCTTAATGAACACATACAGGATTATGGACTCAATCTGTTTCCAGGCATTATTTCCAATTATATCAGGCACAGTTTTTGAAGTATTCTGTCAATTTTCCTTTACTTCATATTTTGTTATTTTCTCCAACCAAGAGTTCTCATTTTTAGGGTTATTTTTATTAATTCTAATACTGCTCATTTGCATATTCAGAAAATTAGGTACTCTGAAGTCTTAAAATATATGCTTACCTTTCAGAGCTTTATCTCTGGCCTTCCTCTTTATATTTCAATATTTCCCATTCATATAGTCAGTCTATCACTCATTCACTCAAATATATGTATTGGATATCTACTAGATGGTCACTGAATCATTTTTACTTTCCTTTCTGTGTCATGGTCTATCTTATCTTTAGGCCCTTTCCTCAAACACCTTTTCTGTGTTCTCACTGCTTGCCATTTACACAGATGTACTTTATATATCTTTAAAATCTCAGCTGTGTTGCCAATTCCATCCTCCCACAAATACCTCCATGGACTGTCTAGGAGCTTCTTCTATAATTTATCCAAACTCCCTTGACTCCCCCTATTTTTATTGCCAATTTACTTGCTTGTGTCTGCTACTAGATTTAAGTTCAATGAGGTTATACATTTTCTTATTTATTGTAAACCCTCAGTGTTTAGCATAATGATTTCAGTACATACTATATTATCAGTAATTATTTGTTGAATGAACATATCAATAGCAGTCCCCAAATACTATAGACTGGACTAGAGCTTCCAATGAATTAGCTCTTTCCTCAATCAAACATTTACAATTTGTGCATTGCATGTATCACTTAAAATTTGTATATATTTTAACTGTATTTTACCTATATTTTTAATTCCATTTATTGACTGTTCATCATAAATTCTAGTATAAATTTATTTATTCTAGTCTAATAAATTATTTTAGAGCTACAATAACTTATTTTTAAAAATATTATATGGGTATCTTCATACGTTTAGGTAAATCAATGAAGGATTATTAAATATACTAGTAGAGCCATTTATATTTTTTAGTATACTAGCAGAGCCATTTATATTTTTATCACAAAAAGAAAAATAATTTTATAAATGGATTTGTCCCTTCAGGTGCCTTAATATTCCTTCTACTCAGAACTGGAAAGTCCTCATTTTCATGCAGCATGTAGGGCACTGAATTAGTTTGGAAGGTCTTTAATAAAGGTCTTTTTTTTTTTTCCTACTGTCACTAGAAATTTACACGACCAAATAGAACAACCACTCTTACATGTCCGATGACTACTGAGTGGCTTGAAAGGTAGTGCTGTAATAATAAAATGTCAAGAACTGTGCACAACCTTCTTTAACTTACCTCTTCCAAGAATACAAGAAATGGCAACTTGAACTGTTCAACAAATATGACTGTATCGTTGACAACTCTACCCCTAAGCTTAGACTTAACAGGTCTTTCCTTCTTAGATAAGAAGGTATTATGCTTTCGATACCTAACACTGTGACCACAGGTCACGGATGGGTGACCTGTAACCCATAATAACTGAATGGAAGATCCTGGTATCCTTCCCACTGGTCATAACGCATAAAAGGAACACTGACCACTAAGTGCCTGAAAATTTTAAAAAGCTGTAAATCATTACTGCTTGATTCCAATTGTCCCTGAACTTAAATTGCCATTCTTCTTTTCTTTAATTTCTTTAGAATTACAGTCCTTGCACTTGTCATTCCTGAATGAAAGCTTTGCCTTCCACAAAATATTTAAACATATTCTTCAGTCAACACAACAGTCTTTAATAAATTTCAGCATAATAAGAAAATCAGTTTTCTTTAAAGATTATTTGCTATTTTATATTTTTATTTTTCTTTTCTGCTAGTGAAACTAGTTAAAAGGTTTGTGCAGCTTTTTTTTTTTTCCTGCTGGTCAAAGAAGAACATGTCTCTTCTCTCCCTTCTCTCTCTCTCTCTGTCTCTCTCTCATGTTGTATCAGAGTTGGCTGTAACATTTTCTTTTTCTACCAATAGCAGATTTCATGTGGCAGTGCTTTCTAACTACTATGGAACTACCAAACACCAGAAGAACTAACTTTTTAAAAATGATCAAAAATAGAAGCAAAGCCTTAGCTGCTTTAGGAGTTCCAATTTTATCAAAGTCTCTATGATTCTTTTTCTTAGAAAGCCTCTGGTGGTCGTCCTGCTTTGTACAACTCAAAGCAACCAACAAAGCATTTACTTCTAAGCCCCTTACTCAAGATGAGCTTAGGTTAGTTTCATCTGAAACATGCCCAGGTGGGTGACCTGTAATCCACAGAATTGAGTGAAAGATCCTGGTATCGTTCCCATTGGGCATGACGTACAAAAGGAACAGTGATTACTAAGTGCCTGAAATTTTCAAAAAAACAAAAAAAATTACTAAATGCAAATTTCCCCCTTCCCTCTCACTTTTTTTTTTCTCTGAAAGGAATTTGACATACAGGAGTTCATTTTACATCTATTTTTAAATGCTTTCAAATAATTTTTAAAAAGTACTCGAAGTTGAAATATTGTATTTATCTTTGTGTTTTTCTTTCTTCAGTTAAAGTATATAATAATTACACAGATAAAAGAAGAGTTGTCAAAATAGAGCTTCTCAATCTCTTTTGGGAGCTTCTCATTTACATTTTATCAAATGCAGACACCACTGTTAAATCTTTGTGCTGTTAAGCTAAGACTATATAGGAATACACAGCTAGGAAAGAATCTAAGAGGAGTAGCTTCAGAGCAAGTCATTAGAGAAAAACACCAGAAGGAAGTTCTCTCACTCTCCTCGAACATTTGCATTGCTCCAAATTTTGTTTTGGGTGTGCCCCAACCAGAGATATCATAAGAGGATAAAATCATTAGTCATGTATTCCAACCTCATTGCTATTTCAGAAATTACAATACACAAGATCTTGTACACAAAAACAATAGTAGTTATTCTTGCAAACTTACTGGATATGAGACACTCTTGCATGTGATCTGTATGTATGAACTCATATAAGATTAACTCATTTAATGGTTACAATGTGTTCGATTCCAGTCTGAATTCACTGAATGTGCCCATCACTACCCACAGAGGAAGGGTTCAATAAGCATTTGTTGGATGAAAAAGAACTGGTCATCTAGGCCCCTTTTGAAGACTTGTAGTGACCGAAAGCTCACCACTAGTGAGAGTCTATTCCATGTACCTTCCCTTCATTCTATCATCTGATTTGGGATTCCATTCCAATCCTGTCTATGACAGACCCAGTATTTTAACTCCATCTCCTCTTTATCGTCCTCCTGTTGCTCTTCTGGAATAGTCTTTACTGTTTGATTTTCTGCAGATCTTGGCTTTTCTTCATGAATTTGTGTTGGATGAATTTGTATTCTATCCATTCTAGGCTTCCTGGGGTAGACTTTTTACCGTGCCCTAGGTCACCATGTAGGACCTGTCATGGGATCCGACGGTGCCCAGGTCCCCTGAGAAGGGGCAGGAGTGAGGCAGATTAGAGTACAAATGTCACTAAGCCAAAGGATAGTTCCAGACCCAATATCACCTCCTGCCATTGATCCATATCAGTAGAGACCCTCCTGGTAAATAGAAGGAAAGCTCTATGCTGACCAAAATCAGAACTGAAACATGCCTAAGAGTTGAGGGCTAAAGCAGGGGTCCCCAACTGCTGGGCCATGGACCAGTACTATCTGTGGCCTGTTAGGAACCAGGCTGCACAGAAGGAGGTGTCTGAGCTCCACCTCCTGTCAGATCAGCAGCTGTGGCATTAGGTTCTCAAAGGAGCACAAGCCCTATTGTAAACTGTGCATGTGAGGGACCTAGCTTGCAGGCTCCTTATGAGACTCTAACTAATGCTTGATGATATGAGGTAAAACAGTTTCATCTGGAAACCCATCCCCACTCCCCATCCCCCCTGTCAATTCCATGGAAAAACTGTCTTCCACAAAACCAATCCCTGGTACCAAAAAGGTTGGGGACTGCTGGGCTAAAGCATTATTCTCCGGAAAAGAACCAACAACTCCTAAAGTCTTACTAACATCTTAATAAATGAAATTGGTTATGATAGGTTTAGTACTTAAGTACTTTAGTAAGTAAAAGCTATTCCCTAGTTTTCAAAAATACGTATGCTTTATGGTAAATTCTACAAAGAAGAAAGTGCTAAAACCTCAAATTATAGGGAGATGAAGAAAATATGTTAATAACAAAAATAAATATGTGAAATAACATGATCTCCCTTAATGTGGAGAGCTGCTAGAGAAAGTTCCGATAGAAAACAAAGTAACTGAGAGTACAATGACCTACATTGGTGAGACGGAACAATCAGTACACTTGAAAGTCAGATAACAGCAGCTCAAAGGAAAACTTAAGCAACATTTTCCTGTTTTGTTTTCAGTCCCCGTGTGGGAACACTTGTTTAAAATAAAAATAAAATCTTGGAGCAGGAGGTCTAAATACAGTGCCAGATCCTGTGTCATTAGATTGGAACAAAACCTAGACAGGAACTTAAAAGAGAAATTCAGTCTCCTTCATTCTCATTCTCTGACTCAAAGGTTCTTCAGAGAAAAGTTGAATTGTGTGTGCGCGTGTGTGTGTGTGTGTTGAATTGTCTCTGTGTGTGTGTGTATTTTACGAGTACACAAATGAAAAGCTGTATAAATACATTAATTTGGATTTTTACTCATATGTATAGAAGCAGCATTTCAGGATAGCTACTAGCAGCCTCCACTGATTTAATGTTCAGAAAGCTTAAAACTCAAGATGTCAGAGACTTTAAATTTATGGAATCATACTAATGCATACAGGAGTTTAAGCAGAGACACAAGCTCTTCAAGACTGAGCATTCCATTGGCTAGCTAATTTCTAATGTTCTTAACATTGTGTGTATGCAAACTGGAGTTCCTAGTGACTGTCACCATCCTCCCACACTCTGACACTTGCCTACCAACTCCCTATTCTCACCTCTCAATATATCAACATTCTCTGAATGTTCCCTTCTTTTGCCACCTTTCCCTCTCCTCTTAGTTTTGCTTTCACATGACTAATTTTTTGGTGTCTCTTTCCATCACTTTACCTAGTCTCCATTCTTCTTTACTTTTGCCCCGTTTAATTTTATTTCATCTGTAGAGTGAAATTGCATATTCACAGTTGGTCAAGTTTCTCCGCATTCAAGTAAAATCATGTGTTCAATTACTCTAAATACAGCCCCTGGCCTAGCTCTGTAAAAGGAAACTGTAGGCCTCTCTGATCTTTTCTCATTGCACAAGGAATTTTAAAAAATTAAATTATTTTGCAGAACAAAATTGTATATTTTCATAAATGATGAGTCTTCACTTCAGTGGGTTTATAAACCTGAGTCTATGTGTACAACTGTAAGGATGTTTGTATGTATATGCTTTTCTAATATTGTCTATCCCCATGTGCCTGATACTTTGTGTGATTGCATGTACGTATGTGTGTTTGTGTGTGTGTTCAGAGAGTTAACCATAGTTTAAGATCAAATTTGTTGGAGACAAATTGCTTGTGTTCAAATTCTGGCTCCTCCACTTACTATCTGTGTGAATTTAGACAATTTACTTAATCTCTCTATACCTCAGTTTTCTCTAACAAAGGTAAATAAAAATAATATCTATCTTATAGTGCTGTTTGGTGGATTAAAAGAAATAATTTATGTAAAATGATTAGAACAATATCTAGCACACAGGAGAAACTATTGTTAGTTGCCATTACCCTTGAAAGAGTTAAAAAAAATGTAAATGACACTGGATCTCTCCATTTAGCAGGATGTGCTCCACCCTTTATAGCAGTTACCTGTTACCAACCTGGACAGCCTGAGACAACATGAATAAGTAAGTTTCCATCCACAATAAAGAGGTGCTTCTGGAAATGCTAAGGTCACTGAACATCAATAGGAGAATGTGCATCAAGGAAAGCAGGACATGTTCTTGGGTTTGCATTCTTATCCATATCCAATTTTCATGCAAGCAATTAAGAGTAAGGTCAGAGGCTGGTGCGGTGGCTCACGCCTGTAATCCCAGCACTTTGGGAGGCCGAGGCGGGCCGATCACGAGGTCAGGAGATCGAGACCATCCTGGCTAACACAGTGAAACCCCGTCTCTACTAAAAATACAAAAAATTAGCCAGGCGTGGTGGCGGGCGCCTGTAGTCCTAGCTACTCAGGAGGCTGAGGTGGGAGAATGGCATGAACCCGGGAGGTGGAGCTTGCAGTGAGCCGAGATTGTGCCACTGCACTCCAGCCTGGGTGACAGAGCGAGACTCTGTCTCAAAAAAAAAAAAAAAAGAGTAAGGTCAGAGTTCTTTCTAGCTCAAATCCCCTCCAGATCTGTGCTGAGGTGCTGAGGCTGTTGCTCTGGGGATGGCCTATAGTCTCATCCCCTGACTTTTGCGGTTGAGATCAGAGTAGACGACTAAGGACCAACACGAAGGTTGTAGGAAGAGGAGATTGTAGAATTATTGACATCTGGGGAGTAGTTTGTGAGAAGCGGGAAATGAAAAACAGAAGAACGTGATGGAGAAGGGATCCTCTATACATCTGACTTCATACTTAAAATTTTGTTAGAGCCACCACATTTGTAGCTCAACATTGTGATGTACACAGATGGTGAGATATCATTTAAAAATATCAAAGTTCTAAGAAAGTGTTTCATTGAGGAGATTTGTAGTTAATTTTACATGGCTTATAGGACAACAACAATTTTGATACAAGTAAACAGTACCCCAAGGTTTAGGTTCCTACCATTATTCTGTACAGAGTTGGATCCTAATCATCTATTTACTAGTTTTGTAGGATGTTGGCTCTGTGCACCTCGACATCTGTACAGCACCAACAGATCCCTAGTTCCTTCAAAGAAACAGAGTACACAAAGGGACCTCTCCTCCCACACAACCAGAAGATGAAGTTTTCTGTAGATTTAGCAAGCACACAGTGTTCTTGTTCCTTTGCTGGACTCAGACTAATAACTGACCACAGGGAGCTGCAGGGCCATGCCCTCAAAGAAGCTCAGATACAGCTTGTGTTGATGGTTAGCTGGCAGGGAGTTGGGGACAAGCTAAAACTCAGGACCTTATTTTCTGTCGGGTCCATGCAGGATAGCTAATATTAAGAAATATTACAACTCAAGAAAAATGAATAAACAGCTGATGAGAAGTCACTGATCATTATTGTAAGTTATTTGTCTAAAGTGGACTTCATTTCACAACATTCCTTTTCTCTTTCCTCTTGACAAACACAGCATGAATGAAAGGTAAAAAGAATAAAACATTTAATCAATCATCCAGGGGCCAGGGCTGAATTGCTTTCTTTTATACATTTGCTGCCAAGTTCACAGAATCAGGGTTGTTTTCAATTATTTGTAATATGCTTTCCCAGAAGAATTTATAATAGGTTGTTTAGGCACTGTTCCCTTTTCTATTAAGGACAAAAATACAACCGTTCTTTCTTAGCAAAAAGAAAAGGGAGTGTAATTAGGAAAATTATAATGAATGTTGCTGTTGGGCTTAAGAGTTGTTTTGTTTGTTTGTTTTCATTTCTAAACTGGCTCACAATGAGAGATGGCAACAAAACTGTTTCATTTATCCTTCCCTCCCATTATCTTATTTCCAAAACAAGAAGCTAACATTAATCTCTTTATAGAGATAGTTTATAAAATGGCACCTGTAAAAATTAAAAATAAGCATTATTTTTATGCTTATTTGATGTCATGATTATGTAATGTTGTGCTCTTGTAGTTCTAACAACTGTGAACTTGGTTCCTTAAAAAAAGGAATACGCTGTAAGTCCAGTGAATATTTATTGCCCAGAATGCAGTTCTCCCAATCTACTTCTAAAAATTACCCTTTCTCTCCTATCTCAGGCTTCTTTGTAGGTTTCCTCTACATCTTCCATGTCTCACCACTATCAGCATCACTGCCATCTTCAGTATCTCCCAGTTTGATAAGGTGCAAATAAAGACACAGGCTCATTAAGAGGAGATGCCATTCCATATCAGATGGCTAAGTGTGGCAGTCTTTTAAGAAAAAGAAAAGTGAGTCTCTAAAATCTTGTTTACAGGCAGCCCAATCAGCTCTATTGCTTATGTGGAGAGATGATATACAGACTTCTCTTGTCTCAATTATCTCACTCCATGGCCTAGGGCCAGAGACCACAATGGTCACACTCTATGGCCCACTTATATTCACAGTGAACCAGAGTGCACCAGAAGAGAGCTAGCTTTGACAAATCTCAGTCCTATGACTAGTGCTAGTATGTGGTGGGGTTTGTTTGCAGGTTTTTCTGAAAATCTGATCAATATTCAGTCCCTTCTTTGACTTTATTCCTGATAATCCACCTTCTTTTCTGTTTCTAATCCTTTCTGCTCTATTATAATTAAGCTCTTTCACTGGAATACCATATGCTCTTCCTATCCTCCAATAATGTGCTGTAGCTGAAATAATGCTTCCTCCTAACAGCTACATCTGTACTTCTGCCCCTTTAAAATTATTTTACTGAGTCTCTAAAATATGTTATTTTTTTTTTTTTTTTTTTTGAGACGGAATCTCGCTCTGTCGCCCAGGCTGGAGTGCAGTGGCGGGATCTCGGCTCACTGCAAGCTCCGCCTCCCGGGTTCACGCCATTCTCCTGCCTCAGCCTCCCAAGTAGCTGGGACTACAGGCGCCCGCCACTACGCCTGGCTAATTTTTTGTATTTTTAGTAGAGACGGGGTTTCACCGTTTTAGCCGGGATGGTCTCGATCTCCTGACCTCGTGATCCGCCCGCCTCGGCCTCCCAAAGTGCTGGGATTACAGGCGTGAGCCACCGCGCCCGGCCAAAATATGTTATTTTAAAAGATAAAATATGCCTTATTCTCAATTTGTAGGATATGCACCACTCTGGTTTTACTTGAGTCTCCTCCCTTATACTTATATATCCCTACTTCCTAACAGTGGTCTATTTGAGAAATGATGTAATGGCCCTGATAAAAAGAGAGGAAATGATTCTCTTATGGCATAAACATCATCCTCAATGTGTACAATCTGTATGTACAGAAGCACATGTGCACTACCAGCAATGCTGCTTTTCCTTCAAGTAAAAATACAAATTTGTATGTAGGTTAACACATTAGTTAATTTTAAAATAAGCATTCCAGAGTTTATAAATTCAAATGAGTGCATCTCTTTCAAAATAATTATTTTGGGGTGCTCTGTTTATAACAATATTGATGTTTCTCCATTTTAATACTCCTGTGTTTTTCCTTATTCCTGAAATTTTTCTTTAAATGGCATGAGGAAGACTAGTTCAAAAACAAATATTATTGGGGAAAAGGAAATTAGATCACAAAAATTAAAGGTCAGAGTAGAAGTATAAAATTCAAGTTGAAAATTGAGGAAGATACGGACAGCAGAGCCTGGCCACGTATTTCCTCCATCACCCAGAATTGCTGGGCTCCTTTCAGCTTCAGTATCCTTAAGAGTCAACCACAGGAAGTTGCTGGGAAATATTAAACTTTTAAGAAAGAAACTGGCAGCCAAGGATAGTTTACTTAAGAAATATTTCACTTATAAAATCAAATCTTTGTATTTCACTTAAGACTAATAATCATTCACCATGGAAAAGATTTTACTATATAAATGCCATTTACAGAATAAAGGATTTTACTGTATCAATGCCATCTATGAAATATACTTGGAGTTAAAAAATCCCATTTACAATAGCTATAAAAAAGATTAAATGCTTAGGAATAAATTTAACCAAGGAGTTGAAAAGATCTGCATACACTGCAAACTGTAAAATGTTGATGAAAGAAATTGAAGAAGGCATGAATAAATGGAAAGATATCCTGTGTTCATGGATTGGAAGAATTTAATATTGTTAAAATGTTCATAATACCCAAAGCAATCTACAGATTTCAGTGCAACCACTATCAAGATTTTGATGTCATTTTTCAGATATAGAAAAAACAATTTTAAAATCGCACGGAACCACAACAAACCAAGAACAGTCAAAATCATCATGAGCAAACAAAACAAAAATAAAGATATCACACTACTTGACTTCAAACAATACTACAAAGCTATTGTAGTATTAATTAAAATAGCATGGTACTGGCAAAAAAGAAATATAGGTCAATGCAGCATAATAGCCCAGAAATCAACTTATGCATGTACAACCAATTTATTTTTGACAAAGATGCTAAGAATACACAATGAGAAAAGGATAGTCTGTTCAATGAATGGTGTTGGGGAAACTAGGTATCCACATGCAGAAGAATAAAATTGGCCCCTTATTTCACATCATATACAAAACTCAATTCGAAATGAATTAAAGCCTTAAGTATAAGGCCAGCAACTCCAAATTGCTAGAAGAAAACACAGGGGAGAAAGTATATGACATTGATCTGGGTAATAATGTTTTGAATTTGACCCCCAAAGTATAGGCCACAAAAGTAAAAACAAACAAATTGGGTCATATCAAACTAAAAAGCTTCTGCACAACAAAGGAAGCAACAATGTGAAGAGACAAACTATGAATGTGGAGAAAATATTTGTAAGCCATATATTCAATAAAAAGTTAATATCCACAAATATATAAAGAGTTCCATCAACTTAAGAGGAAGAAAAAAAAATTAAAAATGAGCAAGGAAGCTGAATAGACATTGCTCAAAAGAAGACTAACAAATGGCCAAGAGATAAATGAAAAAATCACTAATCATTAGGGAAATGCAAATTAAAATTACAATGAGATATCATCTCACACCTGTCAGAATAGGTAATATCAAAAAGAAGATAACAAATGTTGGCGAGAATATGGAAAAAACAGAATCCTTGTACACTGTTGGTGGGAATGTAAATTAGTACAGCCATTATGGAAAACTACATGGAGTTTTCCAAAACAACTAAAAGTAGAATCACGATGCGATCTAGCAATCTCACTTCCAGGTATTTACCCAAAAGATGTGAAATCAGTTTTGCCGAAAAGATATCTGCACTCCCATGTTCACTGCAGCACTTCACATTAGCCACATTTTGAAATCAACCTGTCCATCAACAGATGAATGGATAAAGAAAACGTCGTACACATACACGATGAAATACTATTTAGCTTTAAAAAAGAAAATTCTGTCATTTGGAAAGATTACATGTTCTCCCTTGCATGTGAAATGTAAAACAATCAAATTCTTAGAAGGAGTGAGTGAAATAGAAGTTACAGAGGCTGAGGGCTGTGGGAATGGAGAGATTATGTCAAAGGGCACAAAATCTCAGTTAAAAGAATGGGCTTTACTTTATATTTTTTTACTTTTAGTGCACAGCATGGTGAGTAAAAGCCAACAAACTAGCATATGCTGTTTTATGGCCCTGAGGACCCATATTCTAAATTATCATATCAGATTTTTCTTTTTTTCTTTTGAGACAGGGTCTGCCTGTGTCATCCAGGCTGAAGTGCAGTAGCACAGTCTCAGCTTACTGCAACCTCTGCCTACCAGGCTCAAGCAATCCTCCCAGCTCAACCTCCGAAGTCGCTGGGACTACAGGTGCACACCACCGCACTTTGCTAATTTTGCATTTTTTCTGGTGGCGTTTCACCATGTTGCCCATTCTGGTCTCAAACTCCTGAGCTCAAGCAATCCATCTGCCTCAGCCTCCCAAAATGCTGGTGTGAGCAACTGTGCCCAGTCCCTATCGGATCTTAAATATATATTCAAGGATATGTCACTATGATATATGCTTGAAATAACATCTGAGGGATAAACTCTGAATTTACAAACTTATTTTTTTTAAAATTTGTATTGATGATATATTCAGTTTCTGATATTCATATTTAACACTTGATATTCAAAATTGGGTTTTGATTCTGGCTTTCTTTGTATTTGTAAAAGTTTGAAAGACACTTATTTTAAAGTACAATTTTATTTATGATATTGTAAAAGTCTTACCAGTAGAATTGTACACATTGAGAAAAAAAATGAACCATTCTGCTTCATTCATATTAGTTTCCTCCCCATTATGATAAGCCAGACTCAAGAAACATTTTATTTTTATGTAAAACTAAGGTGGTATCTTACGTGATGCCAAACATCTGGCTGAAACTGAAAAATATAGTTAGTCATCAACGTTTATTACTATCTGGATATTTGATGTCATGGAAATGATAAATCATAATTAGCATTTCAATTTGTCAAACAGATGTTCATTGAAAAACAAACACAACCTACTCCACAAGCTGGAAGGACATTTTAGATGGCCCATCTAAGTATAATTGTTTTTCTGGTTCTCAAAAAAAGAAACAAAATTTGTCAGCGTAGTTCATTTAATAATGTGTAAAGATATGTTTGTTTTATTCAAAATATGAGATTTTATACTGAAATGATACTGTGTTGAAATTTGATTTAACCTGTGCTTTCTTAATGATATTAATTACTGAAAACAGCAGCAGGCAGAATTATAAATTTAAATATAATTTATGGTGTAGGTTTAAATATGGGTATAAGTATATCACATATTTTTGCCTGGCGTTTTTTGATGGCTTTTTATTTTTTATTGTAAATTGACAATTTCTAATTATGTAAATTTATGGGGTACAAAGTGATGTTATAATATATGAATGCAATGTGGAATAATTCAATTAAGCTAGTAACATACCCATTCCCTCAAATACTAATATTTTTTATGATGAGAGCATTTGAAATTTACTCTTTTAGCAATTTTAAAATCTGCAATACACCATTATTAATTTTATTCACCATGCTGTGCAAGTTTTTCTTTATGGACCTGGACTCCTTGCCCTGACGCTGTTTATTTAGTAACATTTCATTTTCTTAGGAAGCAAATAGAATTAGAAATTTGTCCCTATGCATCACATCAAGGTCTAAGCACACATTTCCCAAAAGATTATTTTCACATCCAACAAAGAGAATATGTAACGTTTGCAATGCTCTTATGGGAAATCTCTGTGTCCAAAACTGTGTGTGCTTGCTCCTTGGTTTTACAAGCTCTACTTCATCTCTCTGACCTCTAAAGGTAGATGTTCCTTAGAGCTCAGTTCTCAGACTGTTACTTTTCTAGGTCTTCTTGTACTTCCTGGGTGATATTATGCAGTCTCATGATTTTAAATTCTCTAATTCGTATCTTTAAGCAGCATTTCTCATCTGAATTCCAGAATACTATACACTATCTATTCAGCTTCACCAAAATGTCTAATAGACATTTTCAGTTAACATATGCAATGCTGAACTCCTATTCTTCTCTGTCAAAACCTGCTATGCCCACAGTCTTCCCCAACTCATTTCAAAGCAACTCAATCCTTCCCTTTGCTCATGCCAAAACCATGGACTCATCCCTCAGCCATCTCATTCTCACACCTCACGGAAAATTGATCAGCACATCCTCTTGGCAGAGCCAATTGGTCAGGAAATACTATTGGTTCCACTTTGAAAATGTATCTTCTATTCCGCCACTTCTCACTACTTTCATGCTGCTACCCTGCTCCAAGCCACTATCATTTGTCCCGAGTTGCTGTGAAAGCCTCTTACCTGCTCCCTTGCATTTGCCCTTCCCTCCTGTGTTCTGACATCAATCCAACACAGCTAGAGCAAGCAGATTTTCAGGGAGTGGGTACAGGAATGACACTTAACGTGTACAAGGTTTCTTTTTGAGTTGTTGAAATGATCTAAAATTGGATTGTGGTGGTGGTTGCACAACTCTGTGAATATACTATTAATAAATAATTCTGAACTGTATGCGGTAAATATATGGTATTTAAAATTTTTTTTATGAAAAAGATTGCAAAGGGTCTGGGATTTTATTCTACTTGCAAGACAGCAATTTAGCCTGACACAGCTTGGTGGCTGCTGACAGAACATATGAGACTTCTAAAAGAGGGAAAAGGGACTTTATTACTCACAGCCCAGGAAGCAGCATAAGCTTTGGCATATTTGGTGCCAGTTGCCTGGGCTCTACTTCCTGCAGAGAGATAGAAAGCAGGCCAGCTGATGCCTCCACTCACAGTGGGTGGTGTTACAGAAGAGGAACCCTCAGCTTAATGGGTTCAAATCTTTTCTTATGGGTGGTAAATATATTCCCCTCATCTGGAGGGAGACACCATCTCTCTCTTCCCAAGCTATGAGTAAACCTACCCTTTGCTTCCCAGGGGGACATCATCTCTACCTTCCAAGGCTGTTCACTTTACAAACATCCCTGAGAAGATCGTCTGGAACAAAGATGGTCTGTGCACCTGGTTTCAAAACTTACAACAGATGTGCCAAGCTTTCTATCTGAATTTAGGCCTAAGCTTTTAGATCTCAACTATTAACCAAGATACGATTATTATTTCAAGAAAACACCACAAGTTAGAAGGCTTTCAGTTGTAATAATTTTAAAAAATAGGTATTTCTATACTGCTTTAAAAAAAACATGTTGAGGTTGATTGACATACAAAAAGCCTTACGTATTTGATGTATACAACCTAATGAGTTTGGAGATAAGTATGCACCAGCGAAACCATCACCACCGTCTCTGCCACATATATATCAATAACCTCCAAAAGTTTTCTCTCACTCTCTTTATTATTATTATTTTGTGATAAGAACATTTGTAAGATTGACTTTGTTAGGAAAATTTCAAGCATACGATACAGTAATGTTAAGTCTAGGCACTATGCGGTACAGTAGATCTCGAGGACTTAATTCATCTTGTATAAATAAAACTTTTTATCCTTTCACTAATACTTTCCTGTTTCCCCCTCCAACCCAGACCCTGGTAACTACCATTCTACTCTCATGTTTCTGAGTTTTGACTATTTTAGTTTCCTTATATAAATGATATCATGTAATATTTGTCCTTCCACTCCTGGCTTACTTCACTTAACATAATGTCCTTCATGTTGTCCACATTGCCTGAAATGGCAGGATTTCCTTCTTTTTCTAAGGCTAAGTAATATCCTATTGTATGTATATACCACATTTTCCTTATTTATTCATCTGTCAACAGATATTTAGGTTGCTTCCATATCTTGACTATTGTGAATAATGCTAAAATGAATACGGAAATGCAGATATCTCTTTGAGATCCTGATTTCAATTGCTTTGAATATATATATATATATATCTCACACACATATATATATGTGTGAGAAGGCTGGATCATATGGTAGTTCCTTTTTTTTTTTTTTTGAGACAGAGTCTTACTCTATCGCTCAGGCTGAAGTGCAGTGGCACCATCTCAGTTCACTGCAACCTCTGCCTGCCCGGTTCACACAATTCTTCTGCCTCAGCCTCCCAAGTAGCTGGGATTACAGACGTGCACCACTATGCCTGGCTAATTTTTGGATGTTTTTTAGTAGAGACAGGGTTTCACCATGTTGGCCAGGCTGCTCTCGAACTCCTGACCTCAAAATGCTCTGCCTGCCTCAGCCTCCCAAAGTGCTGAGATTACAGGCTTGAGCCACCACACCCGGCCTCGCAGTCCCATTTTGAATTTTTTGAGGAACCTTCCTACTTTTTTCCTTCCATAATGGTTGAACCAATTTACATTCCCTCTGTGCTGATTTTATAATTTAAGCTTATCTTATTTAATTATCAGTGTTAAGAAGGTATTGCCTCGTCCTTTTTGTTCTTCATCCTTTTTGTGGATGAGGAAACAGGCTCAGAGAGGTTAAAGAACTTGCTCAGGAACCAGCTAGAAAGTGGCAGAGCCTAGATTCAAGCCCAATAGTGTGGTGGAGCTATGCATGAGGTTGGGAGTTAGCGGGGTGGAGCTATGTGGGGGAACCGGAGTATATCAACACAGTGGGAATGAGCTCAGTTGTGAACAACTGCCCTTCACAACCCCTGTTCAGTAAACCTGGAGATTGCTGAATCCACACAAAAAGACAAGGAATAAACGTTCATGTAAAAACCCTTAGGAAAAAAATCAGATGGTAAACTTCATATGTAATCCTGCTTTTCAGTATTCTGTCTAGTGATACAGGGTCTCCCATAGATTTCCAAAGTCATGAAGCAAAGAATAGCACATGAAAGCTTGCTGGGCCATAGTTCCTGAATTTCACTTTGGACTCTAAGTATCGGTAAGATGGTTTGTGAAAATGAGCTCATGTACAAATTGAAGCTCCCCAGAACGAAATCCAGTTGCACAGAGTAAACAAAAATGTCTATGCTGGTGGTGTTCCATGAAACATTTGGTATACAAGGAATAAGTTCTCATATAAGATTTTCTCAAAAACTACCTAATAAATATTGATTGCATAAATATGGTTAGAAAAAAGTTTATTTCCTTCAATATTCTGGTAATAATTTATAAAGCAATGGTATGATGGAAGGTCTACAAAGAGTTAAGCTTCAAGTTTTCATAGTCAATTAGCTACATATACAACCAGTAAATCAGTTTAAAAAACTTGAAAGTTTTGCTTATAAGTTTTAAGAAATGTCTAAAACATTTAATGATCTTTTTTCACATAATTTTAAGAGTGAGCTGTAATTTTGCAATAGGCATCATGATAATGAGTCATAATCACAAATTTTATTTTTTCCTGCAGTGAAGCGACAAATAAGATACCTTCCCTTTATCTCAACTGAAGCTATTACCTCAGGGAAGATTTGGGATTTTAGGTAACTCATAAATCTTTAATAGGTCAATGCCTCAGAAAATTGACTCGTTAATTTTAATTATGAATTCAAAATATATTGTTTATAATTTACTACTGCTTTGTAATAATGTCTTTGAGATCCAGCTTTTTCCCTAGTTTCTCGAGGCTATAAATATAATTAATTTCTGAAAACCTGTTTATAAGGTATTAGAAAGTCTAATATAGAGATTCACTAACAAGATGACTTTATTTTTCTAAAGCCTACAATTTCCAGATTTGAGGTATTTGTTAGCATCATCTTCCAGAACTTCCTGCTTGATATAAAGTGTCATGAGGCTATGCCACTTCTAATATGTAAAATTCAGGAAGATCTTTGGAGTAGCAGACACACCATTGAAAACACACAGAAGATACAACTAGATATGCTAGCATACAAAGTTGCTAATCCATGGGAATGACTCATGCTAAATTAAAATATTCAAGTTAAATAAAAATGCAATGGTAAACAACAGCATCAAGAGAGTCTGTCTGTAATAAAAATTGAAAGTGTACTTGCAGAAGACACTGAGGACCTCAAAAAATTTTTTTAAATATCTTTCTTACTGAATTTCTAAATCTCCCAATTTAGAAAGTCTAGTAGACAAACATCCCAAAACGGAACAAGCACAGTGATGAGGGTGATTCATTTGTTTTTATAAGTTCCCTGCAAATAATTATTTCTGAAAATACATCCCAAGCCCACCATCAGTGCGGGACAATGGAGAAGGAGGTCTTTGTCTTTTGCTCAGCAGGGACCTCTAGACTAATATGTCTCCCCACCCACTATTGCCACACCACATGGTTCCACGGTTCAGTGCAATTTAGCTTCACATAATGTTAATCATTTCAGCATTCACAGGCTCCTTGAAAAGTCCAGCTGAAGGGGCATACTGATTCATGTGGCTTAAAAATATCCTTGCAATTCAGAAGCTATTTTTTAAATAAAGGCTAGAAGGAATTAGTATGAAGAAGACATTAGACACATTTGGATTCTTCTATAATGCCCACTTCTACATTTTCCCGTATCTTTTGCCTTTGTTCCATGTCAGAGCAAATACCACAGCAAAAGGTTGTGTATACCCGAGGATATTAATTTCCTTGAAGATTTCCTAACCCAATGTGAAGAGACATGTAGAAAGTCGTAGAAAAATCACTTCATAGCAGATAAATAAGCCTTCAAACAAAATAGCACTAAAGACAGAAGTTAAGTCATTGGCAGGGAAAGGTCTGACTTTTAAGGTCATATAAATAATATCTAAAGTTCAGATGTTTTGTGGTATACTAATCGTAATCTTTAGTAAATATTGTAAAACTTCTTACTCTTGATTTTTAAATCTGAAACCCCAAAACATTTTTATTTATAAAATAATTATACATTTTTACTTAGTCTGATCCTGATAAAACCCTGTAAGCTCAAAATGAATTAGCACCTAACTAGTAAGTCTTTATGACTGACACTATCCCATGGAACAAAGCTTGTTTTATTTCATTTGATTTTGACTTTCCTTTTCGTAATGATAAACTTTAAAATTTTACAAATGATTACATTATGGATTTTTATAAATTTTTTTCAGAAATCCCAAAATATCTGAAACTCAATTTTAGCCTTATCTTATTGTGTTGATGACTCACGCATATTGTGACTTTCGGACACAAATAATTTCTTTTGATATTTTTACAATCACCAAAATACATATCTGAGGGACTCAGGCTGGAATATCTTGAAATCTGCTCTGGCAACTTTAAAATGTTCTAGACATATTTGTTTCTTTTATGGACCCAACAATTTCTGGTTGTAAATAAAACTTCTCTATCTCGCATTAGTATACACGTGCTAGAAATTATATTTTCAAGTTTCTTAAATTGGTCATATCATGGGTATAACTAGAGCCCATGTAAGTGATAATTTTTTGATAATTAAAACAATGGAAACTATATTCCTTAGACATATTTATTAATTGGTTCTTCACACAATTTTGTGCCAGTGCATATCAAAAATAAAATGTGGGCCGGGAGCAGTGGCTCACGCCTGTAATCTCAGCACTTTAAGAGGCCGAGGTGGGCAGATCACGAGGTCAGAAGATCGAGACCATCCTGGCTAACACGGTGAAACCCCGTCTGTACTAAAAATACAAAAAAATTAGCCAGGCGTGGTGGCGGGCGCCTGTAGTTCCAGCTACTCAGGAGGCTGAGGCAGGAGAATGGCGTGAACCCGGGAGGCGGAGCTTGCAGTGAGCCAAGATCGAGCCACTGCAGTCCAGCCTGGGCGACAGATCGAGACTCCGTCTCAAAAATAAATAAATAATTAATTAATTAATTAATAAAAAATAAAATAAAATGTATAATATATGCTTTAGCCTACAATTTCCCTTATCAGATTTATTTACATAAGTATTAATGGAAGAGTATAAACATACTTGTACAAGATAGTCATTACAACATTGCTTATAATCAAGAAAAGTTAGAAATAACCTGAAGGACCGTCAGTGGAGATATGATAAATAATTTGCAGTATAATTACATTTCAGTGGAATACTATGTTAAAATAAAAACAAAGTAAATTTACCAATGCTAAAATTAAAAAAATGTACAACATTTTAAACACAACCTCATAAGTGCAAAAACAAATCATAAACACCATGTAGAGGATAATTCCACTTGTGTTAAAACAAGAACTATGTAATATAACAAGAACACATTTTATTGATATGTCTTCACTTATGCATAAAAAATGAAATCTAGGAGGATATATGCCAAATGTTAATTGCTGCTAGCAGTGAAAAGAACATGGAGAGAAGAGGGGACTTTCTTTGTCTTTGGACCGCTGATCCCAAAACAATTCTCATATAATTGCGTTATACAATTTTGCACTATTTTTTAATTGGCATTTTTAAATATTACAACAAAACTTTCAGTATGCTATACTGCTATTTTCCCCTTAAAAAGTTTTCAGACTTAGTTCCTCACTCTTACACATCATGGATAAGGAGCAACAGCCCATCAATACCACTAGGGTCCCAGCTTTGCCTTCTCTCATTCTTTAGGGAAGCAATTAAAAACAATAACACACTTTTCACAGCTTTCAGAGGTTTCTCATCAGTCTTTGATTCTTAGAGAGATTCTGACTGTATACTCTTGGCATATGTTCCAGTCTATTAAAGTTGTATTAAAGACAGGATCACAGTAGTTGGGAAGAGATTTATATCAGGTTCATTTCCAACTTTAAATGCAACAAAATAGATCTTTAAGTAAGCTACTTGTCTTTCCAAGTGGACTACAATAAATTGGTATAGTTTTTACATTAATCAGATGCATGTCTTTTAACTATGTTCAGTATGTTTAAATATGGCACATTTTCAGATAGCTTTAAAATCTCCAAGGATATGCACATATGCTATCTTATTTTGATATCACAATAAAGTGAGTGGATAGAGGAAGAAGGAATCGTAAACCAACTCACAGATAAGAAAATTTAGCTTCTAAGAAGGCACATCTAAGATCCCAGTGAAAGAGACTAGGAGGTTACAGAGACTACGAGTGATAGAATTGGAAATTAGATCCAGTTTTTGTTTTTTATTTTTTACTTCAAATCCAGTGCAGTTTTTATTAGACACAATCACCTCTGTAAGATGAGCATTCTTCTCCAGCACAATGCTATAAAATAGGTTGTTAATTCATTCGTTCAGCTATTTCAGTGTACATTTTTATTTTCTTCATTTTATCTTGCTGATCACAATGCATTTCTTTTCATTATCAGATATTTGGCAGGGAGTCACACTGATGTTCTTTCATGGGTAAGACAAGCAAAGTTTAGTTAATGCTCCTCTTATGATGGTTCATGTCACTATTCCTCCTACATAAGATGAGTCTAAAGAATCTATCCTGTAGTATCCACATGATTATGCAAACACAGGCAGTTTGAGGGTAAGTTCATGATTGTGGCTGAGCACGCAGACTATACCATCAGCCTGGGTTCAAATCCTGACTCTGCCACTTACCAGCTGTATAAACTTGGGCAAGGTAATATTGCCCATCAGTTTTCTTATTTGCAAAATGGGAACAACAAGAGTGTACATTGCATGAGGTTACTGTAAAGGTTTAATGAGTTACAAGATGCAAGGCATTTAGAATGGTACTTGGCACAAGGCATGTGATCGGGGAATGTGAGCTATTATCACTCAAACTGTATGCTAGAAAAATATATTGGTTCTAACCATAAGCCATCTGAAAAAACACTTTTGTGTGGCAACGGGCCGCCTCTCTGCTTTTGTAGGAGTACATTCTGTACTTTAACCACACAGAAGACTACCTGGCAACAAATACGGATGCTTAAGTTCCTGTCAAGTAATTTAACTCTGAGAATTTGCCTGCACATCTGACATTTGAGAGTGACAAACAAAGTGGACACACAAAGCGCCCATCCCCTGTACTCCTTCATGAATTAAGTTAGACTATCCCAAAAGCACAGAATTAAATCATATTATCTTAGTTTCTCAGAGACACATGAATCATCATTGAGTAAAAAATTTAAGAGAATATCTTCATCTTTGTTACACTGCAGAAATAAGCAAGTAATATTGTCCTTTGCACTAGTGATGCTTGAAATCCTTTTACTTTTTTCTATCTGACATCCTTACATAAGGACTGCATTAAATTTGCTCTGAGAATTCATTGCTAATAAAATGTTCGTCTTGAAAGTTTGAAAGCTTTCTTCTTTGTCAGACACTAGCTAATTTAACATTTTCTTTTTTGGCCCTAATTGTCTGAAAATTCTGCATTAAATTACAAGTTGAATTGCAATAACTAACTCATCCCAGATGAGCAGCTAGTATGCATTTTTCTTTTATTTTATTTTGTTCAGTGAAATTTTAATTTTTTGTTGTCATTTTAAAGTTGTGTTTTGTCATGTATGCCACCTTGACACTTTTCTCAAAGACAAGCATAAAAAAGTACACTTCTTTAACATGCAGTGGTAATAAATTCATTTATTTTTGTCATCTCTTCATTCAGTTGCTCATCTAGTATTATTGAGCACCAACCTTGCTATGGATAAGAAAAATAGTAAAAAACCAGACAACCTGCAAGTCCTTAATTTCTTTAAAGTGGTTATAAGAAAATAGTATATTGAAAATTACTGTTTTCAGAATAAATAAATGTATAAAATGCATGTTATTAAAATTGTTTCTCTGAAACTGTTAATTCATCTCCTTTAAAAACTGCCTTTTAATCTGTGACTATAACATGAATCTTTTTTAAACAATTATATTAAAATATAATACAACTAAGTGAATGGAAAAACCCTTCACACAAATCATCTTGGTTCTATACATATCCCAAAAATATTTAGAAGATTTTAGAACTATTCATAGCTGTGATCAGAACTTCAGGACATTCCTTTGACTGTCTTAATATTACCAAATTTCATCTTTTAAGGTGAATAATTTTGGGGCTAAGGAGACAAACAAAATCACTGAGAGTCAAGACGTGAAGTCATCATTATAAAAGCAATCAACTCCAAGAAAAATTCTAAAAACATTTTGAACAACTTTCGAACAACATTGCACATTGCATTTAATTTAATGAATGTAGGTCCCTGCCAGTTTAATAGCTGGGACTTACAGACTTTATTTTATTATGGTGATTTCTGAAACTTTGCTTAAAATTGTATTTACTTTACTAGCACACTTCATAGCCTGTGCTACAGAAGCTCAGAAAGAAATGATTCTCTACCTGCTTTTATAATGTCATTAGTCAACTTAGTTTCTTCCTTTTCCTCCACTCAAAGAGCAAGTTTCTAAAGAATAAGATTCAGTCACAGCTCTCAAAAATCTTGTACTCTGGAAAAACCTTGTGCAAATCCCAAATTGCTAATTGCATGCATAAAAGCCCTAGGAGGTCAGGAAAAGAAGAAATTGTAAGTTGCTTTCTGCAACGTGCTGAAATAAATGATAATAACAGCTGTCATTTATTACATCTGCACCTTAGTCGGATGTGTTATGTAAATTATCTCATTTAATACAACCAACGTGGGCAGATATGTATTTATACTTCCTCATTCTTAGATGCGGAAACTAAACTTCAAAGAGTTACCTAAGATTACACAGCTATTGATTGCTGGACCAAGATTCCAAACCAGGCCTGATTTCAAAGGCCCTTGCACTCAGCAACACCACCTGTTACCAGACTAAAGTCCTCCTTCTGTACAGATCTCAACCATTTCTGCCATGGGAAAAGCTGGTAGGAGAGAAAACAGACTGGCAGGACTTCAGATTAAACATGGTTTGTGTTTCCTAAGGAATTTAGGAATTGAATTTCCTAAGGAGGCTGTTAGACTTACTTAACCATGTCTCTTTAAAATGAATAAACAGCAGCTGGGAAAATACATTTCTTACAGAAGTATTCTATATGCATCCGACAAATAAAAAGACCCTCAACTCCAGATGTTAATGTAAAATTATCCAGATGCTACAAAATGATAATCCAGAATACCCGAGGCAAAAGAAAGTCAAGCTGAAAATTTATTTCAAAAAGAGAAATCAAAGTGGAAACACCAATTTGTATTTTTGCTAAGTTACAGAGGACTGGTTATTTCTCTGTTCTTTTTTAGAACACACATGTGGAAAGATCTCTCTTAAATGATAAAATAGAGTTGCAAAATTGGGAATTTCCTGGCTTGAGTAATTAATGCATGGTTTTCTGGGCAACATTCTGGTGTCTCTGTAACATTTTGCTTCTGTGTTGTTTTTGGATAGAGGAAGTATATAGATCTCTGAGGGTGAAATGAAAAAAATAGAAGTCATTGTCATACAAATAATTTGTGTTATTAATATTCTTATGTGGATTTTAAAATTTAAATCTAGAATAATAGGTTATTTTGTTACCGATTTTTCTGGGATTTAGGTGTAGCTGTAGTACATAAATGAATGACATATGCAAATACCACAAAATTCTAAGCTAGCTAGTTCACTAATCAGAATATTCAAACTAGACAAATCAGTTCCCACTTTCAACTCCTAGGCATGATTTGTCTGATTTGGCTGACTGCATGGAAGACCATACATATATGTTTATGTGATGTAAACGGAGGAGTGGGGAAATGTACAAAGGAGTAGGTCATGGCCCTCTCCCTCATGGAACCCAAAAGCTTTTAGCAATGCCTCGTAAACAGTAGCGTCTTTCAACTACCTAATCATCTAAGAAAGACATTGGGAAAAGATTTTATGTTAAATGTCTGCACATAAAATATAGAGTTTTTTTAAAAAAAGCAAATACAGAAAACATTCATTCTTATCACTGGATTTAAAACAAAACAAACAAACAAGCAAAAGTTTATTTGTATTCCTATCTCAAGAAACATCCTTTTTGTAGTTTTCCTTTAGGGAATTGTGTGAGTTATAATCGTATCAATGGGAACTAACAAGAATGTCATTTAGTTTTGAATCTTTAGCTGTTCTTTAACCTTGCAGTCTTCTAATAAGATGACTTGTTTACTCATTTCTGCAGCTGTGGGTTCTGGACAGAGTTGTAGTGACAGTATTTTTCAGAATAACCCCAAATTCTCTTTCCAGACCAGAATATCAAAGTATTGTTTGGTTCTGCATATATTTTGCTGATTGCTCTTGACCTAATTATTTTATACCTGTTCAACCTTGATTTGTATTTACCTTATGCTGTACAAGTTCTCTTGGGATTTTTTAATATATAAATATCCTATTTGATCTGCATCCAATTTTGGAGTCCAAAGTCTAAAGGGCCTGAAGATGCTATTTCTTTATTATTTAAAACAAATTTTAGTATCCTTGGAATTACTGATATCAGCTCCTTTTCACATTCTGCCTTTGCTTGCTTTTTTGATAAAAATCTCATTTGGCTAAAAAATTACCTGTGTTATTTTCAACGAAAGGAAGTTAGGCACCAACTGTGCTATTTTCCACTGATAGGGATAAAATGTTCCAAACTATCTCTCCTCTGAGTCCTAGTGTAGGGCCTTACCATGGAACAGCTGAGGATGATGGTTATTTCTAGCCTCCCCTCTCTAGGGTGCCTCAAAGACACTAGTGAGCCTTGGCAAATTTCAGTTGAGTGTTTGTGCAGGTAGAAGGGTACACACACTTTATGTTGCCCAGGACACTATTCCTTCTCATTTTGCTACTGTCTTAATGATTTATCTTCTAAGAACACTATTTGTAGTCTTCTGTCTATGTTACAGGCTCTTTCTGTGGTCACAGAGTTTTTACTTGTTTGCTTTGTTTTGTTGTTGTTTTGCCTATATTTAAATGGCCCATGTTGCTTAATGGAATTAACTAGTAGAGGGTATGTCATGGCACCCAGACAACAAACTGTAAGTGCTGGAGACAAAACCAGTTACTTGACTTTTGGCGTTTCTGTCTGCCTTAGGATTCCATCAATTCTCAGATGCTTTTCGGCTAGCCATACTCTCAAGAAAAATGTGTGTGCTTTTCTTAGCACGGAACACCAGCAAAAAGACTACATCCATCTCCTGCCAACTGGATTGATTCATTTATGACAAGAACTTAGAATTCGAACATTACCCCCGATTGTTTTGGAAATTATTAAAAGATTGTCAATGGAAAGATTTACAAAAACACTGGAGAAAATGAGGGGCTAACACACTGCAATTCTAGTGACAGAGCCCCTCATGTTAAAGAGTGACCCTCCCATTATGTAAACATTGTTGGAAAACAATTATAAAACAGGATGCATTGTATAAGCTAAAGCTAAAACTCCAAATGTTTCTATTCCTTATGCTGCTAAACATCCTTCTTTTTATTTTAACATTTACTTAATCACAATTGTTGTACAGGGAAATAATTCTGCCTAAAATCTGTTTCTATGACATGTTTCTGCAAGGCAGGTGTTTTGTTTTTGTTTTTGTTTTCCCTAAGTGTATGTTTAAAATGTAATTTTCTCATCCTGAAACTGTTTTACAGTTTGGTACAAGCAGCCTCTCTACTCAATTTATTCAGTTATTCAGTAGGTGAAATAATTATGGTGAGTCAAGGCAATTGCTAGGAACATAGCCTGTCTCCCATCACTCCCTTCCACATTTTCTATGTGGCAACCACACAGTTCCCTAGACAAGTCACTACAGTTTTTTTTTTCTCTCTCTCTCTGTAATCTTGTAACCAGACTTTTCTGTGCTAGAGATCTTTTCTCTGACTTATTTCCTCTCTTATCTAATCCCCCAAAAGCATAATGTCCATTATCCCCTGCACCTAAGACAGTGTTTGCCATAAAGACAGTGCTCAATATTTATTTATTGAAAAAAATAGCTAAATGTTGAGGTCTACTTACTGGCTACATATACCCAAGAAATTTATTCATGATATCAAATCGTTTGGTGGTTGAACTGAAACTGTATTCCAGCTCATTTTTGTTGTCCTCTCTTTTTTGTAACGCATTTGCTTAGTAGTGATTAATGTGTGAGCTGGTCTTCCACAGCTAATTCAACACAAAAGTTTATCTTTCTATGAGATAAATGGATACAATGTAACAAATTGAAATAATGGAAGAGAAAAATGTCTTTAACTGAAATAACCACTGAAATAACAAACTAATGTGGAGATAAAAAATAACACAAAATTAAATCATTCTGATAATTTTTTCTTTAAAAAGCAATAGAGGATTTTTTTCCCTTGACATAATCTAAGAATTTTTAGCAAAAGTCTTGCAATAAAGGTAGTTTATCCTGAAGAGAGTAGTAGATAAGTGCTGTAAGTGGATGTCAGGTTTTAAAACATGTAAAATGCCCCTAAAAGGTGTCAACTGTCACTCCAGATACAATGAACATCTACACATGTGATTATACAATACATATAAGGGTAACAGAGTGTGTCTATGTGGAAACACAGGTATATACATACACGCTTTATATTCTGTGAGCCAAAACAACACAGTTCCCAAACTTACTACTGGTAACCTGTATACCACCAACTTTCATGTAGTTCCTTACAACAACTGATATAATGCCTGATTACTAGCATAAAATATTATTTGCTATTCCCCCCTTCCCTACAAAATTTAAAAACAAATGTAGTATGACTCAGGTTTAGTTTAATATTCACCATATTACTAATTTGGTAAAGAAAAGGCCTTCACAAAATAAATTATTATACTTATAAATTGTTTCAGTGAAAGGACTTGCCTGATTTCCCATTGATACTTTTGCTAAAATACTGTGTGCATCTGAGGTTATACTTAGGACAGTATTCCTGCAAGTATTTCTATTCATGCTTTGGCACATATTAGTTTAAACCATATGAAACTGCATTTTAATGGACTAAAATAGTCAAATATTGGCAATTTCCCATGGCTCAACATAATAGTAGTAGGCTCGGGTTTAGAAGGCACTTACAATTTGAATAAGGAAATAAATAATTCTGATTACTGAATGAAGCTAAAGAACAAATTTACACAAAGAAAATATAATTTTCTAACTTATAACCTTGCCAGGACTGCCATTTTCCTTTGCAAAATAAGTATCATAGGATTTTTGTTATCCCTGATTAGAATTTAAATTACATGTCTTATGTACTACCCAGGTAGCAGAATTGAGCAACATTTTTCATTTACATTTTTCCAATGAAAATATTTGGCTGTAGTCAGTCTGCTGTGTTGCAAAATAGTACACATCCTCAGGCTAGAATGCTTTGCTGTAGATTTTTCTCCAGTTTTCACTTCATAGCAGGGGCCTAGTAAAGCAGCTCCTGATATCTTTTTAAGTTTGCTTATAAAGTGTAATCATAACCATTCCACTCCTGGGTTACTTGTCTCAAGGACTTTTGATGATAGCTCTAGTGTTGAAATAGTTTCCCTAAGGATAAGAAGCTTATTTTAATAGCTTCAATATCCTTTGTTGTATTTTCAAGTGTACTTTTGCCATAATGATAATAGTACATTATCTTTCCTGTTAAGACTGATTAACTGACACACCCTTGGGTTTTTCCGAGTAGAGATGGTGGATGGCATTTAATTATCCACACAGTGTCACACAAACTCTTGTGACCAACAGTAAATACACATTTAGAAAATGACTGATTGGACCTAAGTGTTCCATTTATGAAGTGGAATGATTATAAGGTTTGCCATCAGAAGATCTGGACTGGACCTGGACCAGAGATTAGTGTTGAACATTTACCACAGTGTGACCTCAAATCAGTTCCTTCACCTCCATCTGTAAAATGAGAATAATAACAATTTTGGCTTGAAGCATCTCCAAGGCTTTGGTGAGGATCAGATGGAAGAATGCATGGCAGAGTGCCTTGTAACTGACACAGCACCATAGACAAATAGTTATTGCCAATATTATTGATAACACAAACAATAGTTAATCCATTAATCCTCTTCCTTTTGCTTGGGAGTCATATTTTAACTGAAAGGCTTAAATTCTACTTAGGTAACGTAAAATAAAACTGATAATAACCAGCAAATCTAGCATGATCTGCCATTCCATCATGGAATGTTTGCTTGTGATTTTAGGCCAGATTATAGATGTCATAATATGAGTTTTGACAACCTGAAGTGCTTCTTATAATATCAAGTTCATTTAATAGTTCTTTTCTTTCTTTATGTAGAGAATAAATATTGTTCCTGCTTCACAGTTTGGTAATCTCAATACACTTCAGAATTGGGACCTGAATTATTGACAACAGTTTATAATTTTCAGTTCAGAAAACATTTTCTATAATAAATTGCAATGAATATAAGTAGAACTTTTTTTTTTTTGCAATAAGGTGCTAGCATATTTAAATGCTTGTGTGCCTATCTGTACAATATTAACAATGGCCAAGAGTGGATTCCATGAAACCATACTGTTTTTCACACAAGAAGTAACAGGTCCACACAATGAAATCTGAAGTTTTTTTGGATCAAAACTGACAAGCTTTGAAGAAAAGTCCAGAAGATTAGCAGTTTAATAAATTGAATGGGATAGAGGGCTGTCTTTTCTGACAATGGGATCAATGATGTCAATTCAATTCAGATAGAATTTTACCTGAGTAGTCAATTAATAATAAAAATAACAGAAAGAATTAGCTTGAGCCAAATAAAAGAAAAACATAATTTTTAAAGTTTTGTTTGACCAAAAATGTATTTACCTGTTGGTTTACTTAATGTTTTCATAAATTTTACTATAAGATGGAGAATTACTATATCTCTGTCAAAGTAATATTGATATAATTACCTATAGTTTGGAGAAATATATATCTTTTAAGTCATTTAAAAACCCTAGTTTCTACAGCCTCACTTATGTGCACAAAGTGGTTAACTATGTTCCAAAAATATAATTTTATTGGTTTTAGCAGCCAATTTTAAAGACTTCATAAAAGGATTTATGTATTAAGGCATTTCAGAATTTTATTTCAAAATGTAGTGACATTATTATAATGGATCTCAACTATGTCTAACACAGCATTATGTTCTCTCTTATAGAAATGGACACGAAAAAGATTCTTAGAGGCCTTTCTTGTGGACCATTAAAGTCGTAGTCAAAAACTGAAACGTGTACAATGCTTGAGAAGTTCTGCAGTACTTTGACCACACAACATGGGTTCTGTTGCCCACTTATAAAAGTAATGCATTGACTAATATCTCCCTATTTCTCCCAGCCTCTGCCCCCAACACAGAATCAACAGATTCTGTGTTTAAAAATGTTCCTGATGAGAAATCTTGTCCTATCCATTTTATCACTAGCCTATTTAATACGGTGTGGCCCCGGGACACCCACACACTAGCAGGCTCCATAACCATGCCTGGAAAGAAGTTAAACTCAATAGCTCATTCTACAGGTATATTGGAAGGAAGTTAAATTCAAATAGTAATGTTATAATGGATGCAAATTAATATTTAAAAACATTTTCTAAAACACTTTTTAAGTAGCTTCTATTGGATCTCCTGTAATGTGATCCTTATTAAAACCAAATCAGGTATGCGTTTTGAGGAATCTTCTGTGAGTAAAACCCATATCACCTTCCTTATGTGTTTATAGTATTTGTTCAACCATTAGTCAATCATTTCATATAGTAAACTTTTAGAGGAATAACATGTCTTAGGAACTTGGATAGCAAAAAACAAAACAAAATCTTAAAATTGCTTTAACAATTATGCATATAAGTTACTATTATTGTCTTGGGAAGAAATGTTGGTCAGTGGATCTTCTGTATTGCTATTAGCTTTTGGGATTTAGTATTGAAGGGAAAATGTAAGTTCCCTTAAAAGGGAAGGTCTTTTAAGAACAGCTGAAAGGGAGGCTACAGATGGGTTGAATGGGTGGGGTGTGTAGAGGGGCGGGATTAAGGAATACAAGCCTTCTCTAAATGTGGGTTACTTTCACTGAGGTTTTTATGGTCATATTTCCTATTGCCATGTAGAAGCAATGACTAAAGACACTAAAACACTAGACAAACAAAGTTATATTTAGACATCAAAAGCTCAAAATAAGCTAAGAGTAAAATGATCAAAAGTAATGCAAAAAGTCACTTTAAAAATTATTAAAGCAAACAAAATTCTAACAAGTCTATTGCACAACTGACATACATTAAATTCCAGAAACAAAAATAAAAAATATTTAAAAAACAACACAAAAGAAATATAAATATACATCATTTGCCAGAATAAAGCTTGAAGCAGAAAAACTGATAAATATAAATATGCCAAGATAAAATTATTAAAATCAGCATTTTAAAATCATTAAAAAGATTAAAAAATGAGCAAGATAAAGAGGTTAAGAAATCAATTAAAGTGAAGGTTAAAAAAACCTATTAGATATAAAAATGAAGTAATTCATCAAAGCTAAAAGGTAAAGAATTTTTTTAACCTAAAACATGAAAATACTAAAACCCCAAAATAAAAAATAAGCAGCAGCTCAAACTCAGGTCTGTGCAATCTCACATAGAGCTTCAGCAGGAACTGCTAGGAGGGGGGACTCCTGAGCTTATAGGGCAGAGCAGATTTTCCAGGAAACCCCAGACACAGAAGGAAACTTTTAGCTTTGTACCTTTCTGGTGCTCTGAGAATACACTGAATTCAAATCACAGCTCCAAAAATTACTAGCTGTGGAACCCTGGGAAAGTTATTTGACCTCTCTGTAATACCTGTTTCTCAACTGTAAAATGCGACAAGTATTAGTATATATGAATTTATACATGGGAAATTTCTTAGATTAACACCCTCCATAAAATAAATGTGCAACAAATGCTAGCCATCATTTATTATTATTATTATTGTTGTGGTTTTATTATTATTTTTGTCTACTTGGCCCTGGATTAACCCTACATTAGCACTGAGACCCTCACCTATTCCTTCTGGTCCTCCAACTTCAGCAAGCTTGTGGTTTTTT
Organism: Homo sapiens; assembly: GCF_000001405.40. Taxonomy (NCBI): domain Eukaryota; kingdom Metazoa; phylum Chordata; class Mammalia; order Primates; family Hominidae; genus Homo; species Homo sapiens. Next base: position 129,107,498 of record NC_000006.12, on the reverse strand, counting down.
GCTTTGCTTATTCCTTCAGTCTTGTTCAGTAGCCTCTGCCTTCCCTAGCCATGGCCTCATGTGGTATGGCTGTGTCCCTCTCATGCTCCCCACTCTCATTCCAGGCTGAGCCAGCTCAGTCATTTCATAGTTAGGAGTGGGCTTAAGCCAATGTTAGCTACTGAACCTTGAGAATAAAAAGGCTGGAAATACTATCATATCGTAGAGGTTAAAGAGAGTTTTGCCATAAAAATCTAATTTGATCGTTATTATAACCACGTAAACTGGCTGGGGCACATATTAGATGGTTTACTCTTCTTTCTGAACCCTATTGTTAATCCTTGGCAGAGCTACCTGAAAGCCAAATCCAGGTAATTCCCCAAAAGTCAGTGTGCAGTGTCTTTGTACCTTCTTTCACAACCCTAAGCTTCCTTACCTAGCTTAACAGAAGCTTACCCTTCTGTTCCATATCAGTGGATCCTGTTCCACAACACTGAGAGAACCAGGTCTCTTAAATATTGGTGTTTTCTCCTCAGGATTCCATTCTCATTCAGTTTCTCTGGCCATCTTTGTTTTTCAACAATACTGCATTAATTTAACAGGGATTTGTGGATACTTTCTGGGCATTGTATATATATATATATTTTTTTTTTTTTTTGGAGGAGTAAGGGAGTCTAGTAACTGATCAACAAAGAAAAAGGAGGAATATAATCCTCTTAATTTTATCTTTATTTTATTAAAAAGATGTATTTTTAAAATGTAACAATAAATTACCTTAAATAAATTATGTATTTTATGTGTGTGTCATTTCAAAATATTTCAGCTGCTCTGTGTATTCCAACCAGAGTTGAAACATTTCATTTTTTAGAGGACTCCATATAAACCTCACTGTAAGGAGGTACTTTAATATTGTTGCTCCAGGTACTGATTGGCCCCACATTGGTCTAAAAAGAATTATTTTTAGAGAAAGGAAGCCTGAAACCCCAAATAATTATTTACCTAAATTTCTATTGAAAACCAATACAAATTAGTAATACTCCGCTGTTTCTCCCTAAAGGAACAATTGCAAGGGTAATTGAGAAAGGCTAGGTCTTCATTTCCATTCCCTCATTTCCATACAAACTCACATGCAAAATCATGTTATAACCTTAACAATGTTATATCAAAGGAGAATTTCTGAAACATTTTTTAATACAGTCTTGGGTTTGTGTCTTCCTTCTCCTGTATTTGCAATTCTAAGGACCACCATAATGTCAGATGATGAAAAGAGGAAGAAAAATATTCTGTCTGTATATATAAAATTCTGTCACATAGGAAATCAAAATAATATCAAAGCTCTACATACAGTTTACAAAAAAAAAAAAAAGTGTCTTCAAGATTTAATGATGGTTTCTCCAGGGATTTTTATACAAGCCTGCCATGTTTCAAAGCAGAATCAAAGTGAATCTAAGTTCCATTGAGCTGCAGTCCAGGAGAGTGAGAAGGTGGTGGTAAGAAGGAAAGGAAATCATATGTAAATAACTTAAAGGCCTCTGTATGAGGAAATGGAAGCAAAATCACTATGGTAACCACGAATATTTAGCTAGCAGTCTAGTGACAATCCAAATAAATTAAAAGCAATAATGTGAGTCAAAGAAAGGGAAAAGTCTCATACAACAGAAAAATATTATAATTTTAATTCTAGGATCTCTAAAGCAGTGCCATCTAGAAAGTTCGTCCTCCTCAATATTATTACTGTGATTCTTCTCTCAGATACCCCTTTGACCATCAATAACCTAGTTTTAGTTCGAAGTTTATTTGCTCAACTCAAACCTGCCAAGAGACTCAGTCCACCAAAACCTATCACATTTGTTGACAGAAAAAGTTAGTCTCTTTCTTCAGTTGGAAGTAGTTAGAATGACCAATATTCTTTCCCTAAATAACTGGTGCCCTGTTCTCCTACAGGGTTTAAAAGGCTGGAAATAGCTGAACATTAAGCCAGGAATACAGACATAAGAATCACCAAGAGTACTTGTTTAAAATATACATAGGGCTTAATGAGCCTCTGACAAATATAATGAATTAAAAGTTCTGGTCTCAGGAGTAGCTATTTTTCAAATGCTCCTAGGTGATTTCCAAGTAAAGCCAAGTTCTCAGGGTGCTTCCAAGTGGCAGTTCTTGTAAGCAGTTCTCAATAGCATCTGGGCTACTGCTTTCTGCAGAGGCAGCACTTGGGCTGTGATAGTAGCTCTCGATGGCTTGGTTCCCTGGGGCACTGCTGGACATGCATGTTATGTAGCTGTTCCCACAAGAGCTCTACCCTGTGGTTGGCCTCAAAGTAATGGAGGCCCCTGCAGTCTGTTGCTTCATACCCTGCAACTCCTATTAGGGAGCTCAGTATCATTTGCTCAAAGCAGGACAAAGTAGGGTCCCTGCTGAGCCTTCTCTTGGCATTGATGATAGAAAATTGCCCTTCTAAAATAAAACTGTTTTAAGGCTTTTGCTCAAAGCCTCCTTCTATTTGCAGCCTGGATAACGACATACCCAGTCATATTATTATCTTGCCTATATCCTCCATTATCCCTCCTTTGCCAGGCCCTGAGACTTGATACCTTACGATTATCTCATAGCTCAGAATAAGCTTCTCTTCTCCCTTTGGGTGCAGGCCTAGGATGCTAGGTTTCAGGGTTAAGCTCTTTCTTGGTAGTAGTTGAACCCAGTTCTCTAACATTTGTTGATCTCTTGAAATCAATGTGGAGTGGAGGGCAGAGAAGGGGCCAAACCAAACCATGAAGGGAAACAGGTGGGAGTAACTGGAGTAACAAACAAAGCCAAATAAAACATCAGAGATGATGCAATTAAGATTAAAGAGGCCATAAGGAAAGGCCAGACCTCTCCAGTGATGATATGAACATAGGGCAGTATTGAAGTTTGGATACAGAGGCTGAAATTGGGGGCTTGAATATCCTTTAATAGATTGATGAGAAATTTACCTAAGGTATCTTTCAGCTCTAATGTTCTAAAGATTTTGGCACATGTCTCAAAAATTCTTTAGACAAGTGGAAATGTAATAAACTTTAGACTCAGTGGATTTGGCATTAGTCACAAGAAAACTATTTCCTATTAATGTTCTAAGCCTAAAACATGAACATTGTTGTCTAACTAGTGTGTAACAATTGAGACATGTTTATTTCATAATGCCTTGTTACATGGGTGGGCCTTAAAAATTCCTCTGGGCCAGGCATGGTGGTTCATGTCTGTAATCTCAGAAGACTGTAACTTTAGAAGACTAAGGTGGAAAGATCACTTGAGGCCAGGAGTTTGAGAACGGCCTGGGCAACATAGCAAGACCCTGTCTCTACAAAAAAATTTTAAAAAATTAGCTGGAGGCTGATTTTTTAGGTAGGAAGATTTCTTGAGCCTAGGAGTTTGAGCCTGCAGTGAGCTATAATCATGCCACTGGACTCTAGCCTGATCAACACAATGAGAACCTGTTTGTAAAGAAGAAAGAAAAAAAAGGAAGGAAGGAAGGAAGGGAGGAAGGCAGAGAGGGAGGGACTTGTTTTTCTTATTTCTGACATATTTAAGGAATATTTTGAAGGTCTGGAAGAAAATGACCATTCAATGCTTAGTGAAAAATATACATTACAAATCACAGTAAATATTTAGATACTGCTGTCCACGTTAAAAATCTATCTAAAATATATACACCTACTATGTAACCATAAAAATTAAAAACATTTTAAAAATCTACCTATTAATAGAAGCACAAGCCCCATAAACCAATAAAAAAGAAAAAAATATGCATATATTAATAAAAAATGATTGATGCAATGAGAAACTGTTTCCTCTGTAGTATTGGTTCCCAAAATCCAGAAGCCCAGTTTAACCATGAAAAAACATCAGGCAAACCCAAACTGAATAATAGTCTATAAAATATCTCTAAATATCTCTTAAAATATTTCTTAAAATATCTCTTAAAACTGTCACAGATCAGTGACTAAATGCAAAATAGTACCTGAATTGGATCCCAGAAGAGAAAAAATGAAATTGGTAAAATGAATGAAACCTGAATAAGGTCTGTGGTTTAGATAACAATAATGTATCAATGCTAACTTCTTAGTTTTAACATGTGCATTGTCATTATTTAAGATATTATTCCTAGGGATAGCTGGATGAGGGAATGTGAGGATTCTCTATAATCTTCATACATGTGTGTAAACTTAACATAATTCCAAAATAAAAAAAATTAAATGCATGTGCAACTTCGCTTCTATTTATGGTAGATTATACAGTAAGAGTCAACACTCTCAATGACAACAACTAGACAAACTGGATAAATATACAAAAACATATGTTTAAAGCCATGTGAGAGCTATCAAGAGAGTGAAGATAACCTTCTCAACATCAAGGACAAAAGAGATGTCTAGACAGGTGATTGGTACGTTGTGACAGCTTTTGTCCTGTGAGCATTTTCCTGTCCAGACACATGGCTGAGAGACTGAGCAGCTCTTTTGACAGCCCTGCTGTATTAGGAGGACAAAAGTTGGATTCCAGGACTGCATGGGTGGGACTTTCGTAATTCCCACACACGCTGGCTTGGACTCCAAAGATAAGCAGCATGGGAATGAGCGTATACTGGAATTAAAGCAGCTGTCACTGGGTTATAGCAATGCTTTGAATCATCTGAATGTCCCAGAAATTTGAATCCCTAAAATTGAATTAAGATGATCCAGATTTCCATTGCCTGGCAGTAGCATCAGAAAGTTCACACAGGATGAAGACAATATACTAGCTCTCAAATTATTTCTACACATTCTCTTTCAAATACAACTTCTGTTATACAAAGATAATCAGGCACACAAGAATGTAAGACAGCATAAAAAGAATCAGCAGATGAAACAGAAAATAAAATATATCCAAAAAGGCCATATATTAGAATTATCAGACAAAAACTTTTAAAGATAATTTTTACTTTATGCTCAAGGAGATTAAAAATAGAATATTGAAAATTTTAGAATAAATCATATTATTAAATTAAAATTTTACTATAAATATAAAATTTCAATGTAAAATGAGAAACAACTTCTATTTGAAAATGAACCAGGCTGGGCACAGTGGCTCATGCCTGTAATCCTAGCACTTTGGGAGGCCAAGGTGGGCAGATCATGAGGTCAAGAGATCGAGACCATCCTGACCAACATGGTGAAACCCTGTCTGTACTGAAAACACAAAAATCAAGTGGACATGGTGGCACGCGCCTGTAATCCCAGCTACTCAGGAGGCTGAGGCAGGAGAACCACTTGAACCCGGGAACCCGGGAGGCGGAGGTTACAGTGAGCTGAGATGGCGCCACTGCACTCCAGCCTGGGTGACAGAGCGAGACTCGGTCTCAAAAAAAAAAAAAAAAGAAAGAAAGAAAAAAAGAAAATGAACCAGAGAAATTTAGAAACTGAAAAATATATGAAATTAAGAATCCTATGAATAACTTTAATAGCAATATTTACATAGCTGAGAAGAGAATTAATGAACTAGAAGTAATCCAGAAGAAAATACCTAGAATGAAGATACAGAAAGACAAAAGGATGAAAACTAAAGAAGAGAGTTTAAAATACATAGTGTATACAGTAAAAAGTTCCAAGTCATTTTTAATTAGAATCATAGAGCAGAGGGAATGCGGAAGAAGCAATATTTAGAGAGGTAATGACTGAACAGTTTTCTGAACTGATGAAAGACATCACTTTGCAGATATGTAGAAAATAAAAAGGTACAATCTAAAGTAGCATTGCCCAACAGAACTTTGTGCAATAATGGCAGTGTTGCTTTCTGCCCAATCCAGTGTGGTGGCTGCTAGTCCCATGTGGCTACTGAGTACTTGAAATGTGGCTAGTGTAATGGGGAAATGGAATTTTAATTTAATTTTGATTAACTGAAATTTAAATTTGAATTACCACATATGGCTAGTGGCTATTGTAGTGGGCAGTGAAGATCTGAAGCATCATAGTAAAACTACTGAAGAACAAAGAAAAAAATATTTAAATAAATCAGAGAAAAGTCACTCCAAAAGATAGTAATCGGATAGCTGCATTCTCTACATAAGCAATGGAAATCAGAAAACAATAAAATGTGCCAAAAGAAAATAACTGCAAACCTAGAATTCTACATCTGATAACAATATCCCTCAACAATGGAGGTAAATTCTGTATGTACCGAGTTTAACACATAGGCATTATTGGAGATGAATTTGCATATTGGCTTTGAGACTTTTGAGATAAGAGTTGTTGCTGGTTTTCCCATATTCTGAGAAGTTATCTTCTCAATGTGCCTCCTTCCACTCAAGCAGGGGGAGATTTATTGCTCTCTGTATACACTACTGTTACAGTACTTATGCAATCATGTTTTATTTACTGGTTTATATGTTTGTTTCTCTTATTTGACTGTCACTTCTCTGTAAAGTTTTGAACATAAACAATTAATAATTGTATTCCAGGGATTATGTGAAAGTACATAATTTTAAAACTAAAGCTGACGAGTGAGATTTATTCCACAGCTACTTTGTCTGGATAATGTTAGAGAAAAGTATCCAAAACTTTTAGAATATCCTCAAATGTTGTATGATAGCCAAAGCTATATTATTTTAGAAAATACCATGCTGCCTTAGAACAATCTGGGCATTGAACTAATTCATCTATTAAAGAAATTTAATCCCAGAGAGATTAAATCATTTGACCAAGGTCCCACAAATAACTGGAACCAGTACCAGAATCCAGGTCTTCTAATTCCTTGTGTCTTTTTCTATGCCATGATATATCAGAATTAGGATTCTTTCTACTTACATTAGATCCAGCAATATTGTATCTCCTCTGAACCATTTTTAAGTTTAGCGATTGTCAACTTTTAAAAGTCAACTTTTAATCCTTACCAGATTATGGATGAAATATTTACCTGAGAATCAGAGACCTCAATTATTATTTCAGTTATATTATCATTGAGCTGAGAGTCTTGGAGGATATCACCTGTCTATTCAAAAAAGTAACATATTCCACAAAGTAAGCTATATAAAATGAATAGATAGCCTAGGAGAGGTCTGAATTTAATTCTTATTCTTCAGTCTTATCATTCTATGGCAAATATTTTGAATTACTTTCTGTTCCTTATTTCATTCACTTCCCCATGAGTGACAAATAGACGTAAGGAAACATGTCACAGAGACAGTTCAGTCAGTTGCTCCTAATAGTTACCATCAATAAGCAGTTTTTAGTAAGTGTTGTTTAGGAGTGAAAACAATATAGCCAATTAAAGAAACTAACTAATTAACTAATAAACATGTCTTTTGTTTCATATTGGCAGGCTGACTTGGTTTAAGGAATGGAGAACCATTATTAATGAAGGGAGAGAATGGGTAGGGTATATGCTTGTGACACGCATGTTACATACCTGCCGAAGTGTATTTTATATTGCTTAATAAATTTCTGAATTGAATCATTTTTAAAGGTATAGAATAGTCTTAAATTGTTTGAGAATTATTAGTCTTATGTAAACTGAATCTAGGATAAAAAATAATAAAAATTCAACTCAAAACTCTTTCTGCACTCCCTACTCCCATATCCTCAGGCCAAACTGGCCAGGAATTGGATGCCTCTAGGCACAAAGCAGGTTGAACAGCTGTTTGACTCACTGCATTTGAGTCCTTGTCATTTGGCAGATTGAGATTTCTGCTGAGAGTACCATTTGGAATGTTTTTCCCCAAAACTGGTATTTTTGAACATGGAATTTAAAATATAGTGAAGCACTGGTATACATTAATATAAAAATAGTGCCTAATGAGGGTCTGACAGATTTATGCCAAAACCCTAATTTTCCCTAGAAGTGTTGAGAGATAACCCTAGATTGGCTGGGGTGGGCATGATAGAATGTGAATATGGGTTTTCTGAAAATGTAAATATAAATGATGATACTAGCTTCAGATGTTTGGACTATGTGGGAGAGAATATCAGACATGAGTATCAATGGAGATATACATAATTAGGTAGCATGAAAGGAGGTGGGTCACATATACTAAAGGGAGACAAGTCAGGGAAACATACTAAAGAAATATTGAATAATTCAAGAGAGTCACTAAGTCAAAGTTTGGGTATTTGAGAGAAGACTAAGGATAATAATAAAAATAATAGTAGTAATGGTTATTATTTCCTTAATGGCAACAAAACAATAAAAATAGCACAGAGTACTTAGTGTGCATTTCAGCATTGTTCTAATGCTTTAAATACAATAATGCATTTAATCCTCTTGACAATTATATGAGGTAAGAACTATTATTATTCCTGATTTATGGGCGATGAAACTGAGGTGCAGAGAATTTAAGTAACTGGATCAAGAACACACAACTAAGCCAGAAAACAAAAAAAAAAAAAACAAAAAAAAAACCTCCCCGCCCCCACATACAACTAATAAACTAATAACAACTGAAGCCATGGTTAGAATATGTGGCTTAAAATCAATGAATGAATCTAAAATCTTAACCACAGGATGACAGACACTGGAGAAGAACATATTTGAACTAAGCACGTAACCTAGCTTGCACATCACTGAGAACCTAAGACTTCCTGCACATTACTGTTCCACAAAGCCTGACCCAGGGAAGAAACCCCACTGTAGCCCTATGTGGTGACAGCAGAAAAACATCAAAAGATTGAAAGAATTACTTTTCATTTGGGTCTTTCATGTGGATTACATTTCTTCACAAATTCATTTCTTTTGTCTCCATCTTCAGACCAAAGTACACTCAAATGTAAGGCCACCTTTAAGGTCTCCAATCCTTCTCTAATCATTAGCAATCCTCATTGTTGAGAAAGTCTCTTTATATGTAAAATTAATCATTGACTTTCCAGATTAAACCTATTTCCTCTTCTCTGATCTTTACTGGAGATGGGAGACACATGAAGGTAGTTAAAATTCTAATCACCTCAGGTTTTTCTTTTTTATTTAATAACTCATTTAAATGTACTTTTGCTAAATCCTATTTTAAAATCTCCCTGACATTAATTACTGATATATTCAGGTCTTTCTGACAGGCCTATTTCACCGTATCAAATGTGCTTAAATGGTGAGTTTTCTCATCTTACCTCTCCATTTTCTAAGGGGTGTATCTTGGAGTAAAATGAAGTGCAGATGACCTCATCATCTTTGGCATATGACGGTGGCCCAGTGCGGGGATAAATATTGTAAAGCGTTAGGCACTCCGTGTCTGTCACAGCATGATACTGCCAGGGCTTGTATTCAACATCATCAAGAGAGCGTTCCAAAATCCAGTTTCCAGGCCGGGGGGAGTTAGCTGCCTTCACAATCACATACGCGATCTGGAACACCTAGGGAAGTATAACAACAACAATAACATTGAATTCCCAAATATTCTCATCATTTTATGTCAAATATAAGTCTAAATGCTACAGTAGATTTTATTTCAGATTTTATTCTATAATCTTATAATGTTCTCTGAAATGATTTTACTATTACAGGTTCATATCTAATAATTTTTTGCTAAGAAGTGATGTTTTGTTTTGACAACCATGGCTTTAAAAGAAATGGATTAAGACTGGATTTTAGTAACAACTCATTGGCAACATTTCACCTGATGTTTAAAGTTCCATTATAATTATTACCACCTAAAACATTTATTAATAGTACATACCAATTTACTCACCTTACTGTGTTAAAGACTGTAAAATACAAGCTAGAAATTCCCAGTGTGAATAGTGCTTGATAGTTTAGAAAACTTGTTTACTTATATCACATAATCCTCAAAAAAGTGCCATTTAGAGGCAGTTAGTATGGTACAGCAAAAACAACATAAACACATTCCTATGTTCAGATTGTGGTTCTAGCATTGTGGCAGTAAATCCTCAATAAATGTCCATTCCTTTACATCCCCAAATAGAAAATAATGGAGGAGAAATTCCAGTGTTATGAAGACAACGGATTGAACCTGAAACACATTAAATGAAGGGTTTCTGTACCTTCTCTTTACAAAAGGTAAACATGCAAGAAAAGGGGTGAAATAAAGAGGTATTGTTACTGTTAACAGAGTGACAATGGAGAGGAATGTGGCAATGCTCTATTTACAAATTTATATAGAATTTGAAGACGTAAAAAAAGAAATATTCTAGATGTTTTGTGGTAGTGCATATCTGTGTCTTTACCAATGTAGTCCAAAAGAATAGTGAAGAAACATTATGGAATGACATTTATGTACAATGTTCTAGGTAGAAAGACAGATATGAATTAGTTTAAATTACTATTCCACCATCAATGTGTTGTTAATATATTGTAATAATGAGACAAATGAAAAGTGCTATAATAATAAAACAGTATGATATGTTCTTGACTAGTAAATGCTATGAGGTATGAGAGCTTGGCAGCTCTAAGCTCTAAGTGGATGAGGTCACTGGTGGGGCACAATTGGGAGGACAGGCTCACTACAATGTGATTAACAGGACTGCTGAGCTACAGAGGGAATCCTGAAAGGGATGCTCTAGAAACAAATTTTATCTGCTTCATAGTTTTGACATGGTAACTCATGCATACGTGTATAGGATCTATGGTATACCCTAAGGGACTAGATTTAAAAATATAAAAATTTGGTATGGAATGCGGTAATACAGGTGGCTCTGATGCTATTCCTTCAAGATGTTTACTTGAATGCATGCATGCTTGAGAGCCATGGAGGGGAAATCACCCATCGAATGAGTCAAAGTAGGGTTAGTATTAGCCTTTTAGGCACAGTTGTGGAACAACTAGTGGATAAAATACTGAAATGCTTCTGTACTTGTTGACAAATCACTGCTGCCCAACCTCCCAAATGCCTCCTCTCCCCTGAGACCATCTGATTGACCCCAGCATAGCAAGGACAGCCAAGATATTTGTCCTGAGGGGTCTGGGCTTTGAGCATTCTGTTTTATTGAGTATCACTGCAGGTGAGAAATACTGATGAATTTATATTTACAAAGGCATATAGATAGGTATAACTGCAGATAGACACACATATCTATGTATGTGCCTGTAACTGCTTGAATATGCCAAGACATTTTGGGAGAGGAATTATGTGAACATATTAAAGCTGCCACCTTTAGGAGTCAAGAAAAGAGGAGGACTTTTATTTTCCATCCCGTATTCTGCTATATTTTTTGTATGAACATAAATGTTTTACTTTTAAATAAAATTATCTTTAAAATAAAGACAAAGTAAAATAAGTAACAGAGAAAGGGCAAAAGTAGGAACAACATAGAATATGTTACATCAACCACTATAAAAGATATTTGCTACTTATGCATTTTTAGGTATTATTCATAAGGAATTGTTTTTTAGACAGTTCATATTGAACAACTCATCACGTAGAATGTCTTTATATAGAAATTCAACAAGAAACATACCAATGGATTAATCTTATAAAATGCACAGATAGAGTTGTCTCTGCTATAAAATATGAAATATCTTGGTCCTAACTACTGATAATCCCAAAGTATTCCTGACAAGGTCTTAAAATCATAAAGAAGAAGAATAACTAAATTGTGGGCTTGTGGAGGCCAGGGCCTCTAGCTTTTACACTTTTTTTTTTTTTCCAGACTGCGTCCTGCTCTGTTGTCCAGGATGGAGTGCAATGGCGCAAGCTTGGCTCACTGCAACCTCTGCCTCCCAGGTTCAAGCAATTCTCCTGCCTCAGCCTCCCAAGTAGCTGGATTACAGGCAGGTGCCACTGCGCCTGGCTAATTTTTTTTTTTTTTTTTTTTGTATTTAGTAGAGATGGAGTTTCACCATATTGGTAAGGCTGGTCTCAAACTCCTAACCTCAGGTGATCCACTTGCCTCAGCCTCACAAAGTGTTGGGATTACAGGCATGAGCCACCGTGCCCGGCCAGCTTGTACATCTTTAACCCATAACCCATGTCCCATTAGGAAAAAAAATGTACAGCTCACTGCCAGCTCTCATTTAATTTTACATAAACACATTTTTTGAGGCTGAAGCAAATCTGACTTATTTTCAATGTGAAAATAAAATATAAAAACGTTTCTTAGAGTTATTTCTAAATAAAACTTATCTCTAATCCTAATGTAACAGAAATGTATATGATGATCAGAATTTAATAATTTTTTATATAGGAATGCTGTATTTTCTAGGATTTGATTTCAGCAATCAATAATTACTATATTTTGTATATGGAAATACTACTATCAAACACAGAATGCTACAAATAGAATGATGTCTTTTGTTTCCAAAGTCAATATGCTAGACCTATGCAAAAATAATAATAAAAGTGAGATATTTCATGGCAAACTTTGGGGATAAGGTTAGGACAGTAAGCCACAAGTTATCTCAGGGTAAACATTAAGCCACAAATGCTGTCTGCAAGTATTCTTCAGGCAAATGAGAAATGGGTTAAAGATGCTATATTCCTTATTATAATTCTTCTGAAATGGTGGGCATTTGATATTTATTACATTTAGTTGGATAGCCAAAATCACTGTAATGTGCTTCCACGTTATGGTTATTAGTTTGACATTGGTCTTGCCTGTTTGTTAGAGCTTGAATCCCAGTTAGCATATATTGTCATCTGCAGGAACTAAGGCATACGTTCCTGGAGTATTTGTCCTATTAGGTCTCTGTGAGCTGAGAAAATTACTGAAACTCTTTTACCCTCTGTTATCCATTGTTTCTTTTCTAAAGACACAACCAGGGAAGAGATAATGAGATAATGAATACAAAATACTGCGTGTTCTTGTGAAAGAGAGAATCTAGGTAAATATTCCAAGTGAGCCTGTTTCCTTCCAGAAAAAATAAAAACATAGAGATTTTTTTAAAGATATAAAACAAAAAGAGAGATAGCAAAGCATATTAGAGATCACAGGTACCCACTAAGAAAAATAAGACTACACTAAGGTTATGGATAAAGAACTTTGCTTAGAAAGCACTGAGTATGCAAATATGTGATAAGGCCAAGTTCTCATGCAGCTACAATGTGGATTTATGACTTCATAGCTCCTGTGTTGGCTCTGGAATAATAGATAAAAATAATCCACGAAGAGAAGTTCTACTAGAGACCCCACAGACTCTTTCTATAATTCAACATAACTGCCAGCAGTGACACGGAAAAGCAGTCACCGCCTTACAGAAGACTGAATGAGTCCCATTTCAAAACAATATCCCTCTTTCATTTATTTTCTATGGGTTCTTTCACATTCCATGCAAAATTAATTAAATTTGTTGGCATGGAATTTCTTTTGGACTTCTTAAATGACTTGAAAGTCATGTAGTTTTTGAGTAAACTTTTAAAATGTAGTGAATAGCATTATTAAAAATGTAATAAATAGCAGTATTCTTAGCAGGCTTCAGAGAGTAACTGTAACAATTTTAACAGTGATTTTCTAAGTACTGTACTCCAAATATTTAATGGCCCTAATAAAATAACTCTCTAATGTTTTCTATGCTACTTTTATTAACTGTGTCTTGTTTTCATTATAAAGACTCTTCAAAATCAGTAGTTATAATACCTCATTTCCAGATGATTAACCCCCACCCCAGTCTGTTCTGGTGTGCAGCAGGGAAGGCAGACTCCCCACTAGTAAGTATTAAAATGCTATGACTGCTAGGCTTTGAGGAACCTAAGAGAACATCTCATGATATCCAAGTGTCTTTTCTGTTGAAGGGCACTTGTTACAAACTTGGTGTCTTAAAAAAATCCCAAATAACTTTAAAAACAATATCAAGTGTTTGACAATTTACATAACAAAGGGAACTTTCTATTTCATATTCCATTTGTTACTCATTTGCATGTCACCTAACAAAATATCATTTAATTACTGATGTAGCATTGAATTAGATGTTCCTCCTATAATAAGAAGAGTATTAAGAACTTGATCTCATTTAGTGTGGAAATGGAGAATAGGGTCTTTCTTAAGAATCCTTTAGTCTCAAAATAATAAGCAACGGACAATGATCATCACATAGAGTTATGCTTTCCAATCTTGAACATCATGGCTAAGATAAAATGATATTTGTACAGCACTGGGGTTTTTACCAGTGTTCAGGAGACCTCATAGCTTGAAGTGAGCAGCCCAGGAACTCTAGCTACTCTAGACCCTTCCCTGCAGCTTAATATCTTAGCTCACCTATACCCATGTTAGTTAAGTCTGAAAACCAGAATCAGTTTCTAGAACATGCATTGCTAAGTCTTGATTTAAAAAAAAAAAAAAATCCTCGGCCGGGCACGGTGGCTCACGCCTGTAATCCCAGCACTTTGGGAGGCTGGGGCAGGCGGATCACGATGTCAGGAGTTCGAGACCAGCCTGGCCAATATGGTGAAACTCCGTCTCTACTAAAAAATACAAAAAAAAAAAATTAGTCGGGGGTGGTGGTGGGCGCCTGTAATCCCAGCTACTCCGGAAGCTGAGGCAGGAGAATCGCTTGAAAATCGGAAGGCGGAGGTTGCAGTGAGCCGAGATCACACCACTGCACTCGGGAACCCATTGTATCCCAGATCCTTTGTCCCCAGAAGAATCACAAATCTAAGAAATGCTACTAAAGAGTATTGTGTTTTGGAGATTTACAGAGACTTTTGAGCACCACTGTTACACAGTTAAGAGACCCAGCCAAAGTGTGATTCTGTAATGATGTAATAAGGCCATAGGACTTCTGTTTCCTTAGGCTGATCTCCACAAAAGCCGTAAAAAATATTAATGAAGGTCACTCTCTATGGAAGACAATGCTTTATCCTTCTCATAGGACCTGACTTACTCTCTTCTATTTATTCTTTCTTAATCTCTCAAGAGAACAGCATGTGTCTAATTTCTGCTCAATGTTGAGCTCCGCCTCCTTCCCATATTGCTATTTGTCCCTGAACTCCTATAGCAAATTGATGTGCATGGAACGAAAATGCTTCACTTCTAAAGAGGTTCTGCACTTTTCTAGTATGTGCTCTTGCCCATGTTATGGATTTTAACATTTCCATGTACTGTGATGCCATCTCTAATATATTTGGAAAGCTCATCTGTACTCTCAGTTCTAATAGTGCGTTTTTCAATTCTCTTATTTATCCAAATAGGAACGGTGGCTTTCATTAAGTGATGAGAGTTATACAATATCAGAACCAGAAAGGATCATAGACATCATGTTTTCAAGCTTAATACCCATTGGAATAATCTGGGAATCTTTATAGAACTGCAGGTAATGTCTCTCTGTTTGAGTTGATACATATAGCCAATACAATTATCAGCTCTTCCCCTGTGACGCTAAAGAAAAAAGAAAGAAAGAAAATAGAAACCAATAACAAGAAAAGGATGAGAAGGGTTTAACATTTTTCTGGAAGGTCTGTGGTGAGTTGCTGAGGAAGGAGAGCGGAGGTCATGGCCTAAAGTACTGAGTAGCTGCAGCAGGGCAGAAGTCTAGAACCTCACCGAGGTAGGTCTGATGAAAACAGAGGTGAAAAGTGGGCTGAAATGGAGAATGTATTAAGTCTGTGTACAACAGAGGATTCACTCAAAGCCCCATCCCCACCTAAGCCACATAGAACCTGGCTCTTACTGTGTAACAAAAATGTGTAGGCAATCTCAGAAAATTGTTCACTCTCATCTTAAAAATTCCCTGAAGAGATACTTATACAGATTCTGACAATGCTATAAGTGGACTTGTTTAAGTCAAGCATCAGTGATAAAATTTTTAAATGATGTTTTAAACTTAAAAACATTAATGTGGAAATATGTCTAATTATTATTTTCTGTGTGAGTTTTATGTCCCCTTATAAGTTTACATTTACTTCAATAAACCTAGAATAATGTGGTGGGGAGTTCAGGAGGAGCTTGCCCACCCATATTTTCTATCTTCAGGTAAATTTACTTCAAATACTTTCACATATAGTGAAACGATTTGTAATTGTCACTGAATTATTAAGTGCAACCCACTTATCCAACCTCCTACCCCTACCCCCACAAGTGTGTACTGCAATTAATTGCTAAGCATGAAATTCCTGAAGTTGCAGGTAAGCAAACAGGCCATTTCACCTCCTGTGTTGTAACTGGCTCCTGTATTATAAGAGAAAAAGGAATACTCTGCCCTCAGTTAAAACAGACTTTTTATACTCACATTAAACTCATGAGAAGTTAACACATTGGAAAATGAATTATTCCACCACCTCAGAATTCCTAATAATAATAATCTAACTGGATGACTAATGATAATACTTTGAAGAGAACATTTTCAATTATTTGTTGAAATTGTTTTTCAAAAGGGTTTAAATCAATGCCTAACTCTTCAAGGGACAGTATTTGAAGGACTTCTCTATCTCACTCTGCAAAAAAGCAAATCTCAAAGTCTAGCTCTGAAAAATAGCAAGACTTATTTTCAATGTCCCTAAGAGAATATATAAATGTAATGCAATTTCATTTTTTCATGAAAATGTTATTTTTTTTCCTTAGTGCTGAACGACTTGATTATAAATGTGATTTGGAAGAATTTTAACAAGCAATAATAAGCAAGAAAACCCTGAGATGGAAGAGCAATGAATGGCGGGATTTATTGTTAAATGAAAAAAGCAACATGGAGTAAATTGCTATAGTACACAGGATGCTACAGTTTACCACAAGGTTCACTGTGTATAGTTTACTGTGCAGTTTACTATGAAGGGAGCCCCCATAAAATGATGGACCTGTGGCCATTAATGCTGATCAATGACCAGAAACATCCCCAAAAAAGAGACACCCAGATATTTTCTGCAGTGTGATGGAAGCACATAGCACAATCTATAAAGTGGTTGTGCCAAAAATATGAACCCTGAATCAGAGTAACTCTCTAAATTTATCTATCAGTTTTCAGGAAATATAGTAGTAGAGAAATATGCAAACAGTACTACAGGAACCCTAAGTAGCAAAATGCAGGATGTAAGAAACACTACTGGACACACAACGTGGTTTCTTCAAAAAAATAAGTTGCAAGGAAGTTAAAATGTTATTGATTGAGAGACCTAGATATATCGAACAAATGCAGTATGTGACTTCTTGTGAATCCTGATTCAACTGTTTTTAAAAAACTTGGAAGCAGGTGTGATGAATTTGAATACTGAGTAAATATTTGTTAATATTAAAGAATCAGTATAATAGTATTAATTTTTAGATGTGACAATGGTTTCCTTTATAAAAGAGTCTTATCCTTCAGAGATACATAATGAAGTAGTTACAAAGCGAGTAATACATATGGAATTTGCTTCCCAATAATCTGGAGGGGTGGAGTAGGATGTGGATGGGTTGAAAACTGATACAAGAGGGGTCCTGAGTTAATACTTATGGATGGGTGTTGGGTACATTTGAGTCCACGGTATTCTCTATACTTTTGTGTATATTTGAAAATTTTTATATCAGAATAAAAAAGCTTGCTAATGCATCTCATTTTAGTAAACAAACTATTGATTCCCTTTCACATAATAATATTACTACTACTGGTAATTTAGTGCTTGCTCTTACGGAGCAAACATTTAATGCATTTTCTTAATTATCTTGATAAATGGTTAACTCTGCCTCTTACTGTGAATACACTGCATTCTTAGCTCAAGAAATATGCTTTAATAATTCTTTCAAATTAATTATCAGCTCTAAAGGGTATCGTTGGCCCATAAGGTCTCACAATTTTAGTCCAGTCTTAAGAAAACGAGTAACACGAGTGAGCAGAGTCCAAATTGGAATGAATAAGGTCCTCCCTCAGCTTATTAATGCATTTAGTACGCCATGCTTCATTAAGTTGCTATCATTTTTAACAACGTCAGCTGCAGGGAAAACCCAGGCAAGCATTTTCCTTGTCTTTAGCACTACCCTTGACATCTATTCTCTTCTCACATATTTTTCTCTCATTTGAAACAATCTGTGGTTTCAAAAGATTGACCTGCCTCCTGTGAATAAGTCATTGGCACAGCATGGCTTTCCCACCAGCTACTGGTAAAAGAGCAGGTAGGCTGAGTTCCTCATGGAACATGACAGTCCTTTCAATGAAACTGTCACAGAGTACAACAATGGTGTGAATCACAGGCAATCAGAAATATGACAGTTTAAATTTGCCTTCTAAAATTTATTCACCCTGGAGAAATACCTGGCATTGCCTTTGTTTTTTGTGCTTCTGTATTTACCAAGGTAAGATGAACCTACACATTCTCCAATTTATGACATTACACACATAAATGAATCACTCTAGTTCAAAGCATTTGGGGACTAATAGCAAAGATTTGTAGTGATGGGAAGTGTTAGAAGTATAATGTTAACAGAGTAGAATAACAAATCAAAGACAGAAGAAAGTTTCTGATCTTGGTTCATGAATTCTTTCAACAGATCAGAGTCACTTAACACTTAGTCAATTTTAGCTATTGCAAATGAAATATCATCATCTACCGGGCTGGTCTCCAGCTCCTAACCGCGAGTGATCTGCCAGCCTCGGCCTCCCGAGGTGCCGAGATTGCAGACGGAGTCTCGTTCACTCAGTGCTCAATGTTGCCCAGGCTGGAGTGCAGTGGTGTGATCTCGGCTAGCTACAACCTCCACCTCCCAGCCGCCTGCCTTGGCCTCCCAAAGTGCCGAGTTTGCAGCCTCTGCCCGGCCGCCACCCCGTCTGGGAAGTGAGGAGCGTCTCTGCCTGGCCGCCCATCGTCTGGGATGTAAGGAGCCCCTCTGCCTGGCTACCCAGTCTGGGAAGTGAGGAGTGCCTCTTCCGGACCGCCATCCCGTCTAGGAAGTGAGGAGCGTCTCTGCCCGGCCGCTGCGTCTGAGAAGTGAGGAGCCCCTCTGCCCGGCAGCCGCCCCATCTGAGAAGTGAGGAACCCCTCCGCCCGGCAGCCGCCCCGTCTGAGAAGTGAGGAGCCCCTCCGCCCGGCAGCTACCCCATCTGGGAAGTGAGGAGCGTCTCCGCCCGGCAGCCACCCCGTCCGGGAGGGAGGTGGGGGCAGCCCCCACCCTGCCAGCCGCCCCGTCCAGGAGGGAGGTAGGGGGCAGCCCCCGCCTGGCCAGCCACCCCGTCTGGGAGGGAGGTGGGGGGCGCCTCTACCGGCCACCCCTTCTGGGAAGTGAGGAGCCCCTCTGCCCAGCCGCCACCCCATCTGGGAGGTGTACCCAGCAGCTCATTGAGAACGGGCCATGATGATGATGGTGGTTTTGTGGAATAGAAAAGGGGGAAATGTGGGGAAAAGATAGAGAAATCAGATTGTTGCTGTGTCTGTGTAGAAAGAAGTAGACATAGGAGACTCCATTTTGTTCTGTACTAAGAAAGATTCTTCTGCCTTGGGATGCTGTTGATCTATGACCTTACTCCCAACCCCGTGCTCTCTGAAACATGTGCTGTGTCCACTCAGGGTTGAATGGATTAAGGGCGGTACAAGATGTGCTTTGTTAAACAGATGCTTTAAGGCAGCATGCGCGTTAAGAGTCATCAGGACTCCCTGATCTCAAGTACCCAGGGACACAAACACGGCGGAAGGCCGCAGGGTCCTCTGCCTAGGAAAACCAGAGACCTTTGTTCACTTGTTTATCTGCTGACCTTCCCTCCACTATTGTCCCGTGACCCTGCCAAATCCCCCTCTGTGAGAAACACCCAAGAATGATTAATAAAAAAAATAAATAAATAAAATTAAATTAAAAAAAAAAGAAATATCATCATCTATTTCCAAGCTTATGTATTGCCCCATTTTCTTATCCTTCTCTAGGGACTTTCTTAAGAGTAGCCTGTACCCTCTGCTGTTTACTACTTTACCACTCCTTTTCTACTTGATCCCTTGTAGTCCATGCATGACCTAATCACCCTATTACAATCACTCTCAGGAGTTATTATAACCTGCTTGCAAAATTCAGTCTTTCTCCATCATCCTTATCTTTAAAGTGTCCACAGATTTTGATTATGTTGTTCTTCTCCTTTCTGAAATTTTCTTTGGAAAAGTAATATCTATTAATAATTTAGAGATTTTCTTTTAATAAAAGGAAACCACATTTTCCTAATACAGCTCCTTGCCTAAAATGGAAGGTTAACAATGGCAGAGGAGAGAATGAAGATAGAAGGAGTGTCCAGAAGACAGCACTAACTGAATTTCTCTCCAACCCCTGTATGTGCGCCCCTGCTGTGGTTCTTGTTAATTAGAGCTTTTTAAACAAAGGTGTGTCCCAATGTTATAATTCCTAATAATCTTTCCCTTGGGGAAAATAACATTTTATTTAGGACCTACTTTTTGCCAGGCACTTTATTACACAGAAATTTGTTTCTGCTAACAAGAACTCTAAGAGACAGGTAGTAACTGATTAGAAAATTGAAATGAGATAGGCTAGTTATGGTAGAGTAAACAGTGGTCCCTCAAAGACGTCTATATTTAATTCTTGGAACCTGTGAATATGACCCTTTTTATGGCAAAGGGAACTTTGTAGATATGATTCAGTTAAAGACCTTGAGATGAAAGGATCACCCTGGATAATCCACTGGGCTCAATGTAATCATAAGGGTCCTGAAAAGTATAAGAGGGAGGCAAAAGAAGAGGTTAGGGTGGTACAACGAAGGATTCAACCTGTTCCTGGCTTTGAAGATGGAGGAAGGGGTCATGAGCCAAAGGATGCAGGTAGCCTGTAGAAACTGATTCTTTCAGCTTCTATCCTAAATGAATGAATTTTAGAAAATGAATTCTACCTTAGAGCCTCCAGAAAGAAATGCAATACTACCCACACCTGGACTTTAGCTCAGTGAGACTTGTGTCAGACTACTAACCTATTAAACTGTGAGATAAATTTGTGAGGTTTTAAGCCATTAAGTTTGTGGTAATATGTTGTGTTAACAAAAGAAAACTGATACACTAGGTAATTTGTGCTACTTCACCTGACTAGTACATTATGGAGCAACTTCATAGATCCAGTTTTGCCTACTTTTGCTTTTTGCAAAATACCTTTCATGCCTATGAGTATTTCAACTAACTTCTTTATACAGATATTTTCTACATCTGAATTTCTAACCTAAGGTTATTCTCATGTCTCATTTTATATTTTAAATTAACAACTGAGCATTTCTTTTTGATAATTTAATTTTGTTTTGTTATGAAGCAAGTTTGCCTTTATTTTACCACCAAAACTGTTATAAGTTGCTAGCAGTAGATACCATAGAATATAAATGTCTGTTAATGTCTTGTATATAAAAGATGCTCAGTTATTTTTAAAGTTCAATTGAATAGATTATGAAAAATGGGATACCACCTCTCAGATGGTTTCAGGTACCTCTGCACGTACCTAATGGGTGAACATATCTAACCAACACAACATTAATAAATAGGGATGCTGCACCCTGCATTGATAGATGAGAAGTTCTACCAAAATGACAATCTTAAATATTTCTAAATCACACATTCTTTCTTCAAAACGAAGACTTGCAAAAGAGAGCATTCCGCCAACAGTTTGTCAAGCTGGTCTTTAGCCTTCACCCTAAATTTTAAAGTGGTGACCTCAATTGCCAATGAAGTGTGAAGAGTGTAAATAAAAGGAAAAAATGAGACGGCTGCAAGCCTGATGTCATTTTGGATGTGATTTAAAAACAAGGAGAGGAGATGATGCTCATCTAACTATACAGACATTTTCTCAAGATGGAATGCAAAGCAGTTAACAAAAGTTTCTGAAAAGCTACCATTTTTAAGAGGACATGATAAAAATCTTACAACAATCACCCTGCAAATTCTTCTCCTTGTATTTTCTCCCAATTTTTCTGAATTTTATACTAACCACATAATAATACAACTTCAGTGACATCAGGTCAGAAATGATTTATGAAGTGCTGAGAGCTGGATTTCTGAAGCTCAAAAGGACCCGTGGAACTCACAGTCCTTAGAGAACTCCTCCGTCCTTTTCATGCTGCCTTCAGAAAAATACGTTTTGCTGTTAGCAAGTTTGGCTGCTCATGTTCCTTCCAAAGTTCCTCACATTGGCCTAATTGGTTCCAACAGAGTAAAAGTCCTTTTTTAAAAACATGTTACCATTGGAGAAAATCAAGTGTCTAGTTTAATCAAACTAGGACTCATGCTACAGGAGGCAAAAAAGGAGAAGAATTTTAAAAGTGACATGAGAACAGATTTCTAACATTAATATTTTTCCAATTCAACAGGTTATGAGTGTCACAAAAAATCATGGTTATAGTTGTCCCCAAAAGGATGAATAATTTTGGAGACTTTCTGTAATGCCATGTGTCCTGCTGTGAGCATTCAATCATCCCTTAACATTTGTAAAAGCCTTCACTAGAAAAGTCTATAGACATTTCCATTTAAAGTAGGACAAAATGTCATGAAATTCTGATTCTTAAATCCCTGTCCAATAAAACATTTAATCACAAAATCTAGAAGCAAATCTTAGAAAACAACATATCTTTAGGAAACAGAAGTAGTATTTCACCAATATGGAATCAAACTCTTCCTCATTTGTGATACCCAAGGGATAAAACTGAGTCCATGGGGCTTCCTGGGCAGTCTGTCTGACTACAATTACTTAACAGCAAATGGTAAAGCAGGAAGATCTTCAGTAGCATAACCAGACACTATAAACTGAGTCCATGTGAATGGCAAAGACTGGATAACAGAACACCATGTAATTCTACTATGAACATATGTGTAAACAGATATCATAAAAATACTTTAATGAAGTATTTCATTATGAAGCCAAGACTCTGTTAAACCTAAACATAAGTGGATGGTTGTAAAATGATTGCAGCCATTGGCAAAGCCTTATTAGAGGTATGAAGAATGGAGGCTTAACTTTTCCTTATCCCAGGGTTTATGCCTGCAGTGAGTCTAAGAATGGTACTGCAAATGGTGAAAAGGAACAGCAGGTAGTAAATACTGTTCACTTATTGAAAGCTGATTTTACATACATTTTGCATGGAGGGGACTTTTTCATTGTTTGCCTGCTCAGCATATTACACTATCAAATATCATCACTGATAGAAGTGAAGAACAACAGTACAACTATTAAAATTCTTCAGTTAATCATTTTTGTGTCTAGGTCAGAAACTTCAAAATTAGAATACAAGCCAAAAGAAGGTCATGATTTGAATTGTAGATATTCTTGACATGAACAACATTTTAGAAATGTATCACATGCTTAAAGTACACAATATACCAGACTAACTTCAGATCAATTTTTGCAGCTTAAACATAAATGAAATTATTTAAAGATGAACAGAATACATTTAAATATCTACATTCTCAGTAATCTTTTTAGGAGGTTGAAAAGAGAACATTCAAATGGGGATTGAGGTGACTCTTCAATTAAGAAGAGTGGGAAGGACAGTTGTGCCTGCAGTCAAACCTGCTTTGGCTAGCATTACTCTCACCTTTGTTTTTCAAAATATGTATTGCAGATTTTAATATTCTGCATTTCCATATATATTTTAAAGACCACAGAGTGACATATTAACTTGTTCACTAATCCATTTGTTTTACAAATATTATCAAGCAACACATTGCTTATTGTGCCGGCCTTTAACTTAGGTGTTAATATAGAGTGGTAAAGAAAAATTTGAACAGGCAATACACCTGCGGTGCAGTTTGCACTGGCTCTCAAAATCTAATCGTGTGTATCTTTTCTCACACATATACTTCCTTCATAAAGTTGTGAGGATTACAAAACATAATACATGTGAAATACCTAGATCAGTGTTTGGTCCATATTAAGCCTCGTTAAATACTAGTTATAATCAATAGTGATATTTTCACCTATTCCAGGTTGATACGTTGGATCTAAGCTATACTTTTTATGTAATCTTGAAAAGGAAAGAACACGAGTATCAACTTGGCAAGAGAACCTACATCTACTTTGAAACTTTTAACAAACACAGAGAGAAAGAGAAATTAGATTAGTGGACAAAAATCTTTGAGTTGGAGGTAAAGTCAGCTTGGGTCTTCACTCCCATCTATTCTTATAATTCCCCCATCAACAGTCATTTGATTTGGTGTTGTTTTTTGTTTGTTTGTTTTTATTATTGCAATGAATAAAGAACAAAGAAAGAAGATTGCAAATGCAATGGCAGTGTACTTTCAAATTTATTTAATTATTGATAGAAATGTATCACTTGGTTTGAAAGGCAACATTGTGGGCTCTCATGATACTGGCTGACACCATAAAGTCAGTGGTATTCCCTGAGGTTCTGCTAGCTGTTCTGTCTCGCTTATGTTACCCTGGCATTTCAGGGAGTCCACAGTTCCAAAGAAGTCTTGGAAGCAGGAAAATAGTCTATAAGATCATACATTTGCAATTTAATTTTTAAATAACTAAGTTTCAAATACTACACAGTTACATGGGGATGTTCACAATATAATATCCAGTTACAAAATGTAAAACTTTATAAAGTTTATTTTTATCTTTATTAGTGTGCTGCCCATTTTATATATATGTATTTGTGTGTACACGTGTGTGTGTGTGTGTGTGTGTGTGAGCAGAGGAGAACTAGACAGAAATAAATCCAAACGTTAATGGTGTTAACTATTTTTTATAAGATAAAAAAATCAGAATCTATATTGAAAACTTTATAGAAAAAATATCTGTAAATATAGCTATGCTTGTTATAAAACCTAGACTAAAATCTCAAGATACATATGAGGAAAACAATCAATAGGAAAGTAGCAATGGAAAAACCAAATGTTTCAAGAATAAAATTTTAAAGCATTAAAGCATACTGAAAATAATAAAAGGTAATGATTTTAAAGAGATAAAGAGAAAGCTGTTTGATGAAACGTACTTTTATATAAGCATGTAGTTCACGAATAAAGTTGGAATTAGAAGTTTTAATAAAAATCAAGAGAATTAAAGCTAGTCTCAAGATATTCAATATCCAGAGAGGCTATAAAGATAAGATTTTTCTCAGGAAAACAAAAATACAGACAAATTTAAAAAGGACTGTGAATAAATTAGAGTCTCATTTTGTTACAGTTCAGAATATAATATACTTTATGTGCATTCTCAAAACAGAATCTCCACATTATGCAATCAATAGAGAAATATATAAATGTTTTTGTTGAAACGTTTGGAAACCTGGAAATGGGTGCCTACTAGAGAACTAGCATGTTATATCTTTATTGGATGTTTAAAACGTTTGGATCACCAAAAAATTTCATTTGAGGGGTTGGATTGTCAATTTATACTATTCTTAATCAGGGAATAACATCTGTAATATTATTGCAGTGGAGTGAGAGAATATAATTAAGAAAGTAATGTTGCAGTAGCACAGACAGGAAAGCTCAGAGATGAGAAAATTGAGCAAAGCAATGCATTATTCAATATCTATTCATTGGTTACTTATTATATACCAGTCACCAGTATCCACTTAGGTACTGGAAAAAGTAATAAAATTACGAAAAAGGATTACCAATAACTTATATAGTCCTACATTTAAATAGGATAATATATAATTTCTACTGGCTTTTAATCCAATCATCCAGTACTAATTTCATTCCAACTGTAAAATGTTTTGTTAAAGTTCTCAATATGTTTTTAGGAATATTTTGATTGTTATACATGATTTAAAAACCCAGATATTTGACATATTAATTAAACAAGTTTCTGATAAATGGTTTTTAATAGCAAGTTGTTTTAGCATTTTCCACATTGATAATGATATGAAAAGCATGTGATTTCTTGTGTTTAAAAATTATCCTTATTTTCTATCTTCAGAAATGCTTCTTCTATAAAATTTGGAGTATTGAATTCATTTAATGCTCATAAGTAATAAGAACTTTAAATCCTCTGTTGGTACTTAAACATTCAAGCAGGTATTCCTTGTGAATACTGAGAGAAGTTAAATGTTCTTCCTTAGGAAAATCAATGAATCACACTAAAAATGAAGAAAAAAGGACTTAAACTTCTGGAAATGATTTTGACAAAATGGACCAATGATAATCTTTCTCAAATCTTCCAGCACAGTGTTTAACCTATTGCAATTGAAATTACCCAAAAAGAATTACGATCAAGGACCTACAATTTCTGAATGATTTCTTAAAAGAAGATTACTTAAATTGACCAATGAATAGCATTTAATAATACAAAAACTTTCTTCAAAACATTTGGAAAAAATCAAGAAAATATACGGACATTTCATTTTTTTTAAGTTTCTTTTTTTATTATTATGCTTTAAGTTATAGGATACATGTGCACAATGTGCAGGTTTGTTACATATGTATACATGTGCCATGTTGGTGTGCTGCATCCATTAACTCGTCATTTACATTAGGTGTATCTCCTAATGCTATCCCTCCCCCCTCACCCCACCCCACAACAGGCCCCGGTGTGTGATGTTACCCACCCTGTGTCCAAGTGTTCTCATTGTTCGTTTCCCACCTATGAGTGAGAACATGCGGTGTTTGGTTTCCTGTCCTTGCTATAGTTTGCTGAGAATGATGGTTTCCAGCTTCATCCATATCCCTACAAAGGACATGAACTCTTCATTTTTTATGGCTACATAGTATTCCATGGTATATATGTGCCACATTTTCTTAAACCAGTCTATCATTGATGGACATTTGGGTTGGTTCCAAGTCTTTGCTATTGTGAATAGTGCCACAATAAACATATGTGTGCATGTGTCTTTATAGCAGCATGATTTATAATCCTTTGGGTATATACCCAGTAATGGGATGGCTGGGTCAAATGGTATTTCTAGTTCTAGATCCTTGAGGAATCGCCACACTGTCTTCCACAATGGTTTAACTAGTTTACAGTCCCGCCAACGGTGTAAAAGCATTCCTATTTCTCCACATCCTCTCCAGCACCTGTTGTTTCCTGACTTTTTAATGATCGCCATTCTAACTGGTGTGGGATGGTATCTCTTTGTGGTTTTGATTTGCATTTCTCTGAAGGCCAGTGATGACGAGCATTTTTTCATGTGTCTGTTGGCTGCATAAATGTCTTCTTTTGAGAAGTGTCTCTTCATATCCTTTGCCCACTTTTTGATGGGGTAGTTTGATTTTTTTCTGGTAAATTTGTAAGTTCATATGGACATTTCAATAATCAACCCAGCATTTCAGGTTACATCCATACATGTATATGAGAAGTTAGAAACATTTTTGGTAAATCCTAAGTTTCACTTTTTAGAGTTTTAAATTCTAAGACTCCTCTGTAGTAATTTAATCTTGTTTTTAGTGAGATTCTCACAATTATATATCAGAGAAGCCCTGATGCTTTTAGTTACTCTAAGGTTCAGGTCATCTGGAGTATACACGGCAGGCTTTGACATCAGAAAGAACTGGATTCATCTTGTGCTCTATTGTTTTCTAACTGTGTCATTTTGAGGAAGTTGTTTAATTTCTGTGATACAAAATGTACTAATTATAATAGTATCTTTCTTACGGAGTTGAAAAGTTCTATAAGATAATTTATGTAAAATATTTTGTCCAGTGTCTAGGACAAAACAGGATTTCAAAAAGTGCCAGTAGTAACTCTCTGGAGATAAAAATGTGTCTATTGTAATTCCAGACACAAGTATTCATATGTTACATTTAAATTATAAAAACTATAATTTATACAAATAATAAAAGAGTTCATTTACTAACTGACTCTTTTTGAGTTTTCATGGGCCTTGCATTGGCGACATATCACAGAGGCTATAAAGATAATAATTTTCTCAGGTATCTGACAATATAGCCAAATTTAGAAAGGATATATTTTATATGTACTTATAGGTACATGTATTTGTATATGTGTTGTATATGTACTTACAAGCTAAGCAAAATTGTCCAGGATTTAATTTCCTTTAATGCAATGTTGTATCTGTCATGTTTCAAGATTCTCAAATTTTACATGGGCATTCTTCACTGCTATTCTTTCCAACATCAAAGTTATTTTATATCTCTTACAATATTTCAAAATTGTCTCAAGAAATACTGGGAAACGATGACTGAAAATATGAACCACCACCACTTCATACGCATTTGATGCTAACTATTTAAAAAGAAAAAAAAAAAAACAGAAAAAGAAGTGTTGGCAAGGGTGTGGAGAAATTAGAATCCTTGTGTATGGCCGATGGGAATGTAAAATGGTGCAGCCACTATGGAAAACAATATAGTGGTTCCTCAAAGAATTAACAGTAGAATTATAGTAGTCCCTCCTTATCCTCAGGGGATACATCCTAAGACCCTCATTCAATGCGTGAAGCCCATATATACAATGTATTTTTCTATACACAC
Organism: Homo sapiens; assembly: GCF_000001405.40. NCBI lineage: Eukaryota > Metazoa > Chordata > Mammalia > Primates > Hominidae > Homo > Homo sapiens. The sequence continues at coordinate 129,079,333 of NC_000006.12, read as the reverse complement.
ACATCTTTGATGAAGTTTAATTTATAAAATAGGCACAGTAAGAGATTTAACAACAATAACTAATAAAAAATACAACAATATAATATAATAAAAGTTATGTGAATGTAGCTTCTCCCTCTCTCTCTCTTAAAATGTTTTTGTATGTAATATTTTCAGACTTCAGTTTACCATGAGTAACTGAAACCTTAAAGATTGAAGCCCATATGCCCATGTTCATAGCATTAAGAACAATAGCCAGAAGGTGGAATTAACCTGTGTTCATCAATGGATTAATGGACAAAAAATGTGCCATATATGTACGTGTGTGTGAGTCTACTTATACATAGACATTGGAATATTATTCAGCCTTAAAAATGAAGGAAACTCTGATATATGCTACAACGTGGAAGAATCTCGAAGACACTATGTTGAATGAAATAAGCCAGTTACAAAAGGACAAATACTGTGTGGTTCCACTTATATGACGTGCCCAGAATGATCAAATTTATAGAGACAGAAGGTAGAATAGTGTTTGCCAGGGACTGGGGGAGAGAGAATGGGGAGTTATTATTTAATGGGTGCAGTATTTCAAATTTTACAAGATGAAAAGCATTGTAGAGCTGAATGGTGATGATGGTTGCACAACAATGTACACTTAAAAGTGGCTAAGATAAAAAATTGTTTGTTATGTCATTTTACCATGACTTTTTAAAAAAATAGCCATACCATATTATAAGAGGCTAACCATAAGTGATAATATGGTCCAAAGTGTTAAACATTGCATGAGTTGAGAAAAAAAATAGATAATCTTTGACAAAGAGTCAGTAGGGTACATAGAGTTTCTTTTATTTTTTAATATTTTATTTTTTAGGGAGAATTTTAGGTTCAAAGCAAAATTGAAAGGAAGATACAGAGATTTTGGCCAGGTGCAGTGGCTCATACCTGTAATCCTAGCACTTTGGGAGGCTGACATGGGCAGACCACTTAAGGTCAGGAGTTCAAGACCAGCCTGGGCAACATGGTGAAACCTTGTCTCTACTAAAAACACAAAAATTAGCGGGGTATAGTGGCGCGCACCTGTAGTTCCAGGTACTCAGGAAGCCGAGGCAGGAGAATCGCTTGAATGCTAGAGGCGGAGGCTGCAGTGAGCCGACATTGTGCCACTGCACTCCAGTCTGAGCGACACAGCAAGACTTTGTCTCAAAAAAGAAAAAAAAAAAAATACAGAGATTTCCCATACGCTCACTGCCCCCATAAACATATAACCTCCCCTATTATCACTATCCCCCAGTAGAGTAGTACATTTGTAATGACTGATGAAATGACATTGACACGTCAAAATTACCCAAAGCCTATAGTTTACATTCGGCTTCACTCTTGGCCTTGCACGTCCTGCGGGTTTGGACATGTACCCATCATTATACTATCCTACAGAGTATTTTCACTGCCTTAAAAATCCTTTTGCTCTGCCTAGTCATCCCTCCACTCCCTCAAATCCTGATTTAGTTTTAAAGAAAGTGAGAAATAGTGTCTTGATTGTCAGCCTGTGCAATGATGTGGATGAGAACAACAGCTTCCAGAAAAAGAATCTTTCTGACATATCGAAAGGTAATATAAGAAGTAGGAGCTATTTCAGTGAAGAATTTGGAAGTCCTATGAGGTTCTCTTAAAAGAAAGATATATAAGGTGCTATACAGCACATAGGGTTCTCTGTAATACATATTCGAACAAAATAAAACAACTTTATATCTTCTCATCTGTGTTGCACTACATATACATATTTATCTATGTGCATATATACAGTGGTAGCAGGGCAACTTGAAATCTAATGCAGCTGATGGAGATCTGTTAATTGTATCAGAATGTTATCTATTTACAAAAAAATCTGCAAAGTCTCAGTTATGTATACTGTGATAAATTTTGCCATTAATTTATGAATTAGCTTATAAGTTAAATAAATCTATTTTGTCACTAGTTTAATTTTCTTGAGTATATTCTAAAATCAGTGGGAAAATGTCTTTTTACTTGCCCACTCCATTTCTTAATTTTTGTATTTCGTTTTATAAACATTCCCATATTTCCAGAATCATTAAGTAAATAAATTATTCTTCACAATGATGGATGGAAAATCTTATCATTTGAGATGAATTTATTGAGGAGGGTAGAGGTAAGGATAATGAAGAAGCAAAAAAATGAAATTCAATTTAAATATTATTACGTGAATATCATATATTCTAGCCCACAACTGTAAGCTTTTAGTATGGAAATAGTAAATATTATGAAGGTAGACAACTAAATTGACTATTTACTGTGCCTTTTGAAGATTATTCATCTTTGCTTTCTAACCTGAACCTAACTTATTATATTAGTATAATCATAATGACCCAGTGCTGAGAGGCAACTCCTCATTAGTGTTTTAAACTGATCTCCTTAGTTGTACTGTCTTACAAGGCTGATTTTTCTTTTCATTGTGTTTATTGTTTCAGCTAATTTGACATTAATCTACCATGACCTTCCTACAGAAAATTTGACTCAAAATCCACATTAAAATATTTGTGAAAACAAACAAAAATGAAGTGTTTTGACAAGGGAATGTATTACTTTTAATATTTAGACACAATCTCTTTAGTAAGTAAAAGATGTTATTATCTGCTACCGCTATCTTTTTTCCACACAATTTTATTGGCTATTTCCTTAATTGAAAAATTACATAGTCAACATTTGTGTGTTTACATAAATAAAATGAACACCAGTAGGTATTGCTAGGGTGGGAGCTTCCAAATTAAATCTGTGTTTGGAGCCATTCACCTCTTATTAAAGATTCTCTAATTTTATATATATTATATATATATATTTATATATAATATATAAGATATATTATATATGTATTATATATTATATATAATATATTATATATATTTATATATATATACACACATATACTCATTACAATTTAGGTGTTTTTTCCCCCTATGTTTAGGTATTTCCAAGACCTGAGTGGTTTAATTTGTACCTCACAGCATCTGCATTGCCATAGCTGAAGATTCCCTCTTTCTTGATGTATTTGATCTTACCACCTTTAAATTTGAAGTGCCTAGGATTCAATTATAGGCCCTCTTTTTATCTCTATACCTGCTTTCTAAATGATCTTAAACAGGCCTTTACTGTTAAGTACAGTCTCTTTCCCAGTGCACATCACTCAACTCCAGACTCATAAATCCAATTGTCCCTTTAATATTTCCACTTGAATAATTTTTTTGTTTTGTTTTGAGACAGCGTCTTGCTCTGTCTCCCAGGCTGGAGTGCAGAGACATGAATATGGCTCACTGCAGCCTTGACCTCCTGGACCCAAGTGATTCTCCTGCCTCAACCTCCTGAGTAGCTGGGACTACTATGCCTGGCTAATTTTTTGCTTTTTTTTGTAGAGATAGGGGTCTCACTTTGTTGCCCGGGCTGGTTGCTGGTCTCGAATACCTGGGCTTAAGCAATCCTCCCACCTCAACCTCCCAAAGTGCTGGGCTTACAGGAGTGAGCCACCATGCCTGGCACCACTCGAATGCTTCAAAGATAACACGTTAAAACAGACCCTTAATTGCCACCCAGTATCTCCATTCTGCTCCTCCTTTAATCCATACTATTTCAGGAAAATTTCTTCAGGCCAAACTCCTAGGAGTCAACATTTTGGCCCCACTCTCCACATTTGTTCCACCATCAATTCGGGTGATGCCGAACTCCAGATAAATCTCAGCCTGCCACTTCTCTCTGCTACTACCACTCTATTCCAAGTTACCATCATCTCTTTGCTAAAAAAGTACTATGGTTTCCTGACTGCCACCTAGTTTTCACACTTATCTCACTATAATCATTCTCCATTTAGCAGAATGTTACTTCTAATGAGATAAAGGAAATCATGTTACACCTGCTTAAATACCACTGCGGGTTTCTCATTATACCCAGAATTCAATATAAACTGTTTATCATGACTGACTACTCCCTTCAGGAGCTAAGAAGACCTGGAGACCTCCGTGACAGCATCTCATGCCACCTTTGCTCTTGATCACTAGGTTCCAGCCACATTGGCCTTCTTTCCTTTCCTCAGCACCCCACATTTATTCCTGCTGGTAATAAACTCTACCCAGATTTTTCTATGACTGGTATTTTCTGGTTTTTAATTCTCAGCTCAAATATCACTTCCTGAAAAATGCATACATAGAACATACATGTAAATTAGCTCTTTCATCACCGTCTATAATCTTATTATAATCTTATGCTTTTTTTTTCATGAACTTGCACTATTCTAAATTGTTTACTTGAAAACCCTGGAATGCAAGGACTCCTGTCTCCTTCATGGACAGACCTACAGGCTTAGAACACTGCTTAAAAAACAGTAGTTGCTCAACAAATATTTTTCAAACGCATATTGTTAAATTATTTTCTTTATGTATTATTCAGGGCAGATATGCCATAAGGGGCATGAAGCTTCTTACTAAGAATAGCACCTGCTTTGTTTAGGCCTACTTTATATGCCAATTTCATGCATACCAGATTTTCCACACGATCCCAATTTTACATATTCTTTCTTCATAATCCATCAAAATGTTCCAATAATTATTGTTTTAATATTGAAGCAATAATTCAGAACATTCCTTAAATTCACAAAAAGCAATAATAATTTTATCAGATAATATGCTGATTTTTGTTTTTAAAACTGTAAATAAAATAAATATTTTTTCCCTTTCCATTTTCTCTCAAAGACAACAACCATAAAAGCTGGATAAAATACTAAAAACAGCAGTTTGAAGGCATCAGCAAGCAACCAAGGCAGCCAGACTTAAGTAAAGGGAAGCAAATTAAGGTAAGCTAGCCATTTTCCTCTCAGGGTACTTTTATTGATTTGCTGACAGTTGAATAGGAGGTTATAGAGAAAGCTACATCTTAGTGTGTTCAGCAATCTCACAGGATAAGAAGATAAACATTAGAATTCAGGGCTATGAAGTCAGCTAGGATGTGAGGGACCATAATTCATAGAGAAATGAGACCTACATTCTTCACAGCTTTTGCCTTCAAGAGATTTGCCAATTTCTAAGTGGTGAAGGAGCCAGAAGATAAACATCATGCAAAAATGAACTCATGAGAAGTGAAAAACTAAGAAGATCCTTGGGAAGTCTCCCAGAGTTGGGAAGACAAACTTTGGAGTTAAGAGTCAGCCAAGAAGGAAAGAGTGTGGTAAACAAGTCGGGGTTTCCACTGGAGTCCTGAAAGTCTATCCCTAGAACTAAGAGTAAACTAGAAACAACCATCAGAATCTCTAACTAAGCTACAAAACATTTGAGTTGCTGACTGAAGCAAAGCAACTTGCCTCTACACTAACTCTTGACAGAATGAAAATAAATCATTTTAAGAGAAAAATAACATCTTCCAGAATTTTTATACATTTTCAGACACATACATTATTTAATCAAAAACGACCAAGCTTGTCATAAAACAGGAATGCATGAAAAGACAATAGAAACAGACTCCCAGTTGTTTCCAACGTCAGAGTTATCAGACATATAATTTAAAATAACTGTTATTAATATGTTCCAGATGACTAAGTGGAGAGATATTTGGAGTCTAATTTTTTTAAAGTATCAAATGGATATTCTAAAACTAAAAAATAAAAATACAAAAATTAAAAATCCAGTAAATGTATGTAATAGAAGATTGAATCCAGCAGAAAAAAGGGATTATTTATACCAAACAACAGGTCACCCAGAAAATGTACAGACTGAGAAACCTCAAAAGAAGAGAAGACAAATGAAAAGAAGCCATAGAATACATAATGAGCACGGCAAACGGTCTAGCAGGGATGTGACTGAAGTCTCAGGGAGAGTGGAGAGAAAGAATGGACAGTAACAACATTCGAGAAAATATCGGCTAAGAATTTTACCAAATTGGTGAAAGACATTGATCCACAGAATCTAGAAGCTTTTGAATCCCAAATAGTATTAATACCAATAAAATCATTCCTAAGTACATTGTGGTAAACCCCTGAACACCAAAAGCAAAATTAAAAAAAATAGCCTTCAATGGAGTGAAAGGAAAAATGATCTTGTTTCCAAGAACCAGCAATAAGACTTTCCGCTTACTTCATGATAGAAATAATGAAAAACAAGTAATAATGATAGGATATATTTAGAGTGCTGGAAAAAAACAAAACAAAACAAAATTCCAACCAGGCAAGAAATTCTACTTTATACTTGGTGGAAAATAAGTCTCAAAAGTAAAGAAAAGTGAAAAAACAAACAAAAGATGAGAGATTTATCACTAGCAGGCTTTCATTTAAAAAAGGCAGAAAAGAAATGGGATACTTTCTTGATGGAAGTTTACTAACAGAAATAAATAAATAAACAAAGTATACTAACAAAAAATAAACAAAAAAGTTAAAGGTGTTTAAAATTAGATGAAAACTGCATGTTTATGATGGTAACAATTACTTCCTATGGAGTTTAATATATACATAGAATTAAACATATGAGAACTATAGAATTAAATCTGATGGGGAGGTGGGACTGAGGTAAAATATTACAAAGTTCTGATAAATGAAGGACGCAAGTTACCATATTTATGGTAATTAGTATGAGTAATAAAAGACTTCACAGAAGACAAGCTAATGAAAGAAGAAATGGAATAATTAAATAGGGAAAAACCTTCAGTATTCCAAAAGTAAGAAAGTTATGAGGAAGAAAAATTAGCAAAAGATAAGACAAACAGAAAACAGATGAGAATATGGTAATTTGAACCCATATATCAGTATAGTAACACTAAATGTAAATGAATTAAGTATCCAATTTAAAGGAAAAGATTATCAGATTAGTTAAATAAACAATTCAAATTTATGCTGCTCACAGAAGATACACCTTAAATATAAGTACACTCAACATATGAGAAAACCTATATCACGCAAACACAGAGAAAAAAGGAAGCTAGTGAATCTACATACAAAAGTACACTCTAAAGATAGAAGTACTGCTGGCAGTAGTATTAAAAAGGTGGTTAATACAAAAGAGTTAATACAAAATTTAAATTATTAAATTTAATAATCCTAAATTTGTATGTCTCTAATTTAAAAGTATCAATATATATAAATATAACTCACTGATATATTTGTAGTACTGCAACCAACAACTATAGAATCTGCATTCTTTTCTTTGCTTTTTTTTAGACAGGGTCTGATGTCCAGCTCTGTCACCCAGGCTGGAGTGCAGTGGCGTAATCTCGGCTCACCACAACCTCTACCTCCTGGGTTGAAGTGATTCTCCCACCTCAGACTCCAGAATAGCTGGGACTACAGGCACACACCCAGCTAATTTGTTTTGGGGTTTTGTTTTGTTTTGTTTTGTTTTGTTTGGTAGAGATGAGGTTTCACCACGTTGCCCACACTGGTCTTGAACTTCTGGGCTCAAGCCATCCGCCTGCCTTGGCCTCCCAAAGTGCTGGGATTACAGGAGTGAGCCAGGGCAACTGGTCCACATTGTTTTCAAGTCACTGCCATATGTTGGATAAAAACAAGTCTCAAAAAGTTTAGTCTCAAAGAATTGAAAATACACTGACCATAGTGGAATTAGTGAGGAAAGGAATAACAACAAAAACAAAACGATTAGAAAAATACTCAATTGTTCAGAAATTAAGCACTTCACTTCTATATAACTCAGAGGCCACAGAAAAATTTACTATGAAAATTAGAATATATTTTAAAATAAATGATAATGAAAAATACAATATATCAAACTTGTAGGAGGCAACTAAAGCCCTATGTAGAGGCAAATTGTAGGCGTTAATAAATATATTAGGAAAAAAGAACTGAAATATTAATAACATAGGTATCCATTTCAAGAAGCTAAGAAAATGTAGTAAACTAAAATAAAAAATAACGAGAAGTAAAAAACAAGACATATAAGAGCAGGATTCAATACAATATAACAATTTCACGATAGAGAAAATCAATCAAGCCCAAAACTGGCTATTTGAAAAAGACTAATGAAATTATGAAGACCTATTAAAGCTGTAAAGGAAAAACAAAGGTTACACAACAATATCTGGAATAAAAAAAGGGCATCACTACAGATCATTGTAAATTAAAAGATGATAATATCACTAACAACTCATGTCGATATATTTGAAAAATTAGGTAAGTGGATCAATTTCTTGAAAAGCCCAACTCAACTAAACTGAAAATATAAGAAATGAAAACTCCAGTGAGTCCCACATTTATTATAGATATGGAATCTGTGACTAAAACCCATGCACAGAGAAAACTCCTAGATCAAATGGCTTCACTGGTGAATACAAGTTAGAATACTGGTTACTATTAGGGGAGAAGGCAAGATAGTGATTGGAAAAGGCATGAGGGAAGTTTCTGGGTTGCTGGTTATTTTTGTCTCAGTAGTAGTTACTTGGGAAGGTTCATTTAGCAAAAATTCTCTCAGACTTTTATTTGTCACCTTTTCTGTGTACATGCTTCACTTAGATACACACAGATCCACTGAAAATGCATGTTTCATTAAAAGACCAACACTGCCAAACTAGACAAAACGTCAAAACTTCACTATATGCCATTAATGAGACATATCTAAAATGGAAAGTTGCAGAAAGGTTGAAATTATTAAAATAATTAAAAACTGTACATAATAACAAGATTGATATAATTAAAATAACATAAATCAGAAAAGCTTTTAAGGAAAGAGCATACTAGTAATAAGTAAGGTTACTTCTTGGTTAAAAATTTAAGTAATCTGGAGGATATCATGACAACAACAGAAGAGTAAAGAAGCTGTTACAAAAGAGTTTCAATGCACAAGTGACACTTTTTAAGCTTTCTCCATAGAAATATTAATGTCCATAAAGTGCTAAAAATATATTGAGTAAAATAATATTCTTAGGTGATATACAAAGTGAACCTCATAGGTATCATTTCAATATCCAGTAATTAAAGCATTTTTGAGCTTTTGTTTTGTTATTTTCCATTTTTCACATTACAACTTAGCCCATTTATTCTCCATTCACCATTATTTTCAATGTGGAAGACCAAAAGTAATATTTTCTGAGTATCACCTAAAGTGCAGCAGTGTGCTATGCTCTTTGCCTATAACACATCACTTTATCCTTATAATATGCCTCGTAATAAGGAAGTGGGCCTATTTGCTCCATTTTACACTAGACCAAATTGAAGAGCATAAAAGTGGGACAAGTTACCTAAGGTAAATGTACCAACGCATAAGTCATAGGTAAAGAAATGGAATCTGGGCACACTTATAGCTCCTCCTTTCTCCTTAGTCTCACTCCAGCCTTTTTTTGCCATGTTTGTATTTTAGAGATATGGGTAATATTGGAAACATATCTTATCTATGAATCAAAACATACATGCTGTCTCACAATTCAAATATGTAGTCAATTTCTAGAAAAAGTCTTATATATAGGTACATATAAATACATATAGCTAATACATTAGTACATATAATTAATATAATTGTATATAATTATATATTATACAATATTATTTATCACATTTTTATTATATTGTATATAATTATACATTATACAATATATTATCTATATTTTGTATATTTTATTATATATAAACACACTTATTTACAATTATATTAGTTCTATGTACTAACACATTATTATTGTACAATTATATAATCAAAAATAAGAAATGAAACTTTCCTCATACCCTCTCCCAGTCATTATCTTCCCTCTCCTTGTAACAATAACCAGTATTCTAACTTCTATTCATCAATGAAGCCATTTGACTCAAGAATTTTCTCTGTGCATGGGGTTTTTAGTCACAGTTTCAAGATCTATAATAAATACGGTCTCTTCATTATTTTGTAATTCCTTATTTAAAAACAAATAATATAATTGTTTTTAATTCCTTATTTTTAAATAAATAATATAATTGTATATTAGTTATATATAATATATATAACAAATATGATATACATAAGCATAATATGTAAGTAAAAAATTAAACTCTAAGAATAAAATTGGAAAATACACAGTATTCCACCAAAAGGATGAAATGTGGATGTTTTGTGTGTGGAAGTCATCAGGCAGCTGTGAAAACTGCCCACATTCAATCTATTTTAGAAAGTCTTGTTCAGACTTTCCATAACAGAATTCATGTGGTTTCAACATTTTAACAGCTCTTTCCTCACAGATTTTTTAACAGATCTCCTATGTATTATTGTTCTTTTTTTTTAAATAAACAATCATCTAATTTATTCCATGACTTCAAGAAGCATTTTCTAGGGCAGTCATCTTGACTCTATTTGAAATAGGATCTGGGTCTCCAAAATGTTTACATTTTCATGGTATTGCTAGAATTTGGTTTATCAACATTTTAGATCAAAATACATATCCTACATTTACACTCTTGTTTAAACAGCATCATTGTATGGCCTTTTTTCCCTTTCTTTTATACTAACTTTTGTTCTATGAGGAAAAAATACAATGTCAAGCAAAAAACAAAAAATGACAGTCCCAGACTTCTCTGTTACAAAAGAAGAGTTAAAATAATTAACATCTCTTTTCCTAAATAAAGCTGTAAGTGTGGTAAAGTCACATAGTGACAGATACAACTGAAATTTAGAATACGCTTAAAAGCAGAGTAAGAACATGCATAGGAACTGGAAGAAAATTTACTTCACGCTTTCTATAGACTGAATGTTTCTGTTCCCCTAAAATTCATATGTTGAAATCCTAACCCCTAATGTGATGGTATTAGGTGATGGGGATTGGGGAGGTAATTAGGTCATGAGGACAGAGCCCCCAAGAATGGAATTAGTACCCTTATAAATGAAACCCCAGAAAGCTTATTTGCCCCTTCTGCCATGTGAGGCTACAGCAAGAAGAAGGCCATCTATGAACCAGGAAGCAGACCCTCACCAGACATTGAATCTGCCAGTGCTTTGATCTTGGACGTCAAGCCTCCAGAACTATGAGAAATAAATTGCTGCAGTTTATAAGCCACCTCATCTGGTACTTTGTTATAATAGCCCAAATAGACTAAAACAATGCCATTCAACCTTAAAGGAAATTTCATAATTAGAAAAAGTGCAGTGTGTTTTATCATAAGAAGCACAGTGAAATCACTTAATCCTTTAATTCTCAGATTCAATAAGATTCTTAAATTATGGATTGGTGGTTTGTACTAGTTATTCATTCAGTCATTTATTAACTTAATACAAACACATTGAATGCTTCCTATATGTTGTGCACTATTCTAAGTGCTTAGAAAGCAATGATTACAACAACAAATAGCTCCACGCACAAAAAAATTGCATTTAGAAAGATAAATATTCAACTGAACAGTAACATGTACATAGTAAGTTAGATGGTGATATATTTTATGGAGAAAAATAAAGCAGGAAAGTGGTTTAGGAAGTGGACAGGCTGGGAGCTGCAATTTTAAATAGAGTTGTCAAGGAGGCCCTTGTTGAGAAGGTAACACTTGAATAAAAACCAAAAGGAGGTGAGGAAACAAGCTACATTGAAATTGAAGAAAATAATTCTAGACATAAGAAATATCAAGTGCAAAGGCCCTGAGGCAGGTGTGAGTGTTCAAGACATAGCGGGATGACCAGCTGGGCAACTGAGGAAGAGAGATCAGATGAGGCCAGAGATGAAAAGAGGTGAGGAAAAGGTCCTTAAGGCCTTGTGGGTCATTGTGCTTTTCCCACTGAATGTGATGGAAAACCAGTAGAGACTTTTAGTGGAAAGTGTTGTGTGATCTGTACTAATAAGATTTCCACTTTTAGTGGAAAGTGTTATGTGATCTGTACTAATGAGATTGCTGTGACTGCTGTGTTGAAAGCAGACCAAAGGGTAGACAAACGGAAACCAATTAGGATGAACATTTTCTTCAATATAGACACCAAAGCTAGCTGTCACCTTTATTAATAATTTTAAAAGTCAGCACAAATTCATTTAAAGGGAAAATATATTTTCTAATTAACCACAGATTCTACTTGTGATACTGAACAAATGATCTTAAAAATCTATATACAATTAAAACAGGTAAAGAACTGTGATTTTAACTATATTCTGTTGTACTTAAGGTATACTCAGGTAAGGTATAATCTACATTTGGAACATGTATATTATAATCTCTTCTGTGTTAGTTTGGTATTCACCAATTTAGCAGTGACCCAAATAGTACCAACAAAATAAATTCAGTGATTTGAAGAGCAGCCATGTTGATTGTTTCCCTGGTTATCCAGATGTGTTTCAGTTTAATGTAATCTCATTTGTCTATGTTTTATTGTGTTTCCTGTGCTTTGGGGTTTATATCTTTAAAAAATCATTGCCCAGACCAATGTCATGGAACTTTTCCCCTGTGTTTTCTTTCAGTAGTTTTACAGTTTCAGTCTTTAATTCATTTAGAATTTGAATGGATTTTTTATATGGCATGAGATAAGGGTCTATACTCATTCTTCTGCATGTGGACATCTACTGCTCCAAACACCCTTCACTGGACAGACAGTTCAATCCCATTGTGTGTTCTTGGCATCTTTGTCAAAAATCAATTGACCATAAATGCTTAGATTTATTTCTGGGCTCCTATTCTATTCTGTTGGTCTATGTATCTGTTTTTAAGTTAGCAGCATACTGTTTTGATTACTACAGCTTTGTAGTATATTTTAAAGTCAGATAGTGTGATGCTTCCAGCTTTGTTCTTTTTGCTCAAGATTGCTTTAGCACCTTTTGTGGTTCCATAAAATATTTAGGATTTATTTTTATTTCTGTGAAAAACGTCATTGGAATTTTGACAAGAATTGCACTGAATCTGTGGATCACATTGAGTAGTATGGACATTTTAATAATATTAGTTATTCCACAAAACACAGGATGTTTTCCCATTTATTTGTGTCTTCAATTTATTTCATCACTGTTTTACAGTTTTCAGTGTACCAGTCTTTCATCTCTGTATTAGTCTGTTTTTACACTGCTGATAAAGACATACCTGAGGCCGGGCGCGGTGGCTCACGCCTGTAATCCCAGCACTTTGGGAGGCCGAGGCGGGCGGATCACGAGGTCAGGAGATCGAGACCATCCCGGCTAAAACGGTGAAACCCCGTCTCTACTAAAAATACAAAAAATTAGCCGGGCGTAGTGGCGGGCGCCTGTAGTCCCAGCTACTTGGGAGGCTGAGGCAGGAGAATGGCATGAACCCGGGAGGCGGAGCTTGCAGTGAGCCGAGATCCCGCCACTGCACTCCAGCCTGGGCGACAGAGCGAGACTGCGTCTCAAAAAAAAAAAAAAAAAAAAAAAAACCTGAGACTGGGCAATTTACAAAAGAAAGAGGTTTAATTGGACTTATAGTTCCATGTGGCTGGGGAAGCCTCACAATCATGGTGGAAGGTAAGGAGGAGTCCTGTCTTACATGGATGGCAGCAGGCAAGGAGAGAATGAGGAAAATGCAAAAGCGGAAACCCCTGATAAAACTACCAGATCTCATGAGACTTTTCACTACCACGACAACAGCATGGGGGAAAACACTCCCATGATTCAGCCATCTCCCACCAGGTCCCTCCCACAACACATGGGAATTATTGGAGTACAATTCAAGATGAAATTTGGGTGGGGACACAGAGCCAAATCATAGCAATCCTCTTGGTTAAATTTATTACCAAATTTTTTATTTTTCTTTTAGCTATGGTGAATGGGATTATTTTATTGATTTTTTTAAAGATAGTTCCTCGTTAGTTTATGGAAATGTTGCTAATTTTAGTATATTGATTTTGTATCCTGCTAATTTACAGAATTTGTTTATTAGTTCTAACAGTTATTTTGGTGGAGTCAGGGTTTTCTATATGTAAGATTATGTCATCTGCAAAAAGAGACACTTTACCTTTTTCTTTTTCAATTTTGATGACAATTTTATTTCTTTTTTTGCCTGATTTCTCTGGCTAGGTCTTCCAGTATTATGCCAAATAGAAGTGGTGCAAGTGGGTATCCTTGTCTTATTCCTGATCTTAGAGAAAAACCTTTCAGCTTTTCACTATTGAGTATGATGTTAGCTGAGGATGTGTCATATACAGTCTTTATTATGTTGACGTACATTCCTTCTATAGCTAATTTGTTGACAGCTTTTATCATTAAACAATGTTGAATTTTGTCAAATGCTTTTTCTGCATCTATTGAGATGATCATATGATTTTTGTCCTTCATTCTACTAATGTAAGGTATCACATTTATAGATTTGCAAAGGTTAAACCATGGCATCCCTGGTAGTGATCCCACTTGATCACAGTGAATGATCCTTTTAATGTGCTGCTGAATTTGGTTTGTTAGTATTTTCTTGAGGAGTTTTGCATCTATGTTCATCAAAAATATTGATCTGTAATGTACTTTTCTTGCAGTGTCTTTGGCTTTGGTATCAGGCTAATGGCTGGCCTCATAAAATAAGTTTGGAAGTACTCCCTCATCTTCAGTTATTTGGAGGATTTTGAGAAGGATTGGTATTAGTTCCTTAAATGTTTGGTAGAATTCAGCAGTAAAACCATCAGGTTCTGGGCTTTTCTTTGATAGGGTATTTCTTATTCCTGATTCAATCTCCTTACTCTTCATTGATCTGCTCATGTTATCTATTTCTTCATGATTCAGTGTTAGTAGGTCTAGGAATTTTTCCATTTTTTCTAGGTTATCCAGTTTGTTGGCATATAATTGTTGAGAGTAGTCACTTATGATCCTTTGTATTTCTGAAGTATCAGTAGTAATGTCTCCTCTTTCAATTCTGATCTTTTTTCTTAGAAAGTTTAGCTAAACTTTTGTCAATTTAGCTTATATTTTCCAAAACCCAAGTGACAGTTTTGCTAATCTCTTCCATTGTTTCCCTAGTCTCTATTTCATTTATTTCTACCCAGACCTTTATTATTTCCTTCTTTCTGCTACTTCTAGGCCTAGTTTGTTCTTTCTTTTATCTTTTCTTCATTTTTTTTTTTTTTTGCTTTCTTGAAATGTAACCTTAGGTTGTTAATTTTAGATCTTTCTTCTTTTTGACGTAGGTATTTATTACTATAGCCTTTCTTCTTAGAACTGCTTTTGCTTCTTCTTATCAGTGTTAGTGTGTCCATTCTCATTTGTCTCAAGTTATTTTTAAATTTCTCTTTTAATTTTTTCTTTATCCATTGGTTGTTTGGGAGTATGTTGTTTAATTTCCATGTATTTGTGAATTTTCCAAAATTCCCTCCTTGTACAACACATCCTTTAATCAGTAATCAGGAATCAGTAAGAAGAGCATGAGGAAAGAATTGACATGAAAGAATAATGACCTTCCTTCAAGACTGAAAATTGGATCACCTTTAATATGTTTAAATGATTGTTAAAACTTGAATATATAAAGTATTTCCACGTATTTTATGTTTTATTATTGCAGAAATGTTTAACCATTACATTAATGATTCTAGGCTTTAGAGAAAAATCATTTTATACTATTCACATGGATTCTAAAAGTATAGTAATATTTGCATAGAAATAGTAGTTTATCCTCCTCCTAAAACATAAATTCCAGTTAAAACTGTTAACTTGTCCAAACAAATTTTTCTCTGCAAGATCAGTGAATAAAATATTTAGGTTAAGAATATGTGGAGTGTGATCTCTGTAGCTGTAAGATAATCTTGTTTGGTAAACGCATTCTTAGTTTTGAGGGATAGACCAGGAAGAGAAGTGAATTGCTTATTGAGGAGAAGACTCCTAGTTAAGACATGAGCTTAACTAATTAATGGCATTCCTGGATTAGCCAGGAGTGAGTATCACCTCAATATGTGTTTGAAAAGTCTACTGAAAAGCTGCCTCCCTCTGTTTTACCCCGCCTGCCAATCAGCTTTCTTCTGAAACAAATCAAAGGGCATGACGGAGATAATGGCTAGATTTTAAAAGAAATAAATAAAATCAGACATAATGACATATTCTGGTGAAATCTGGTAGGAAAAAGACTAAAATAGAATGTTTTAGACATCTTATTAACGTTTGAGTCCCTATTACTGTCTCCTTTAAATTGTTGTATATTTTTGTTCGCAATTATATTGAGTTTTTATATACACGTCACTGGAACAGTTAAGCTTTTCTTTAAGTTCATGCTGACTCTAGATCCTTTTAATAGCTGTAATTGTGAGATGGAATTTAGTTGCTATATTGCCATTATCATTACTTTAATTTTCTTGCCAAGATATTGTAATATTTAGTCTGCTAATCTAGAAGTTGAGGCACAGCATGATTAAATCACTTGCTCAAAATATGCTATGAGTAAATAGAATGAGAAAAGTTAATAATCCCTTAGTAATACGTATCTAAGAACAATCTACTTATAAAATAAGTAGCTACTTTCTTCCAAACAAATTGCTATTTTTTCTAGTGCTTATCTTGAATGTTAAAATGTAAAAAAAAAAAAAAAAAAACCCACTGTAATCTATAGTGATTTAATCAAATAAATGCAATCGTTTCTGTTATGTTTAAGATACTAATTTATGAAAATGTGTCACAGAGGAGCCAAGCATTTATCAACAACAATACTGGCACTTGTTGAAATTTATACAAAAGAAGAACTAATAAATGGTCAAGTCTCTTGCTGAATAAATGACAAACAAACATTTAGTGATATTTACCTATTCATTATAATTTTACTGCCTTTTAATCCCAGTTGGATAATAGCTCATCTTATTTTGAATAACCTATTAATCCTTCATGCGGTAGGTAGAAAAGACAGAAGCTTTGCCATTTTAGAGGCACACTAGAGTATACTAGAAAATGAGGGTTCTAGTCCCCTGCTTTATAACGAAACAGGTTGTTGGCTATATTATCCCATAGAAGCCAGGAGAAGATAGTGCAATATTTCTTGAACCTGAACTACATTTGGAGCCCTTGAAAATATATAATAAAAATTATCCTGAGCTCCCTAGGATTATGTCTTCAGATACCCATTAGAAAAGATAGTGTATTTGGGTCTGGATTCAGACTATTCATGTTGCCCCAGCCCTGCCCATAATAAGCTTTAGAAAGAAGGCCAAGTCACTGAACTTTTCTAAAGCACAGTGTTCTTCAACTATGCAATAGGAATATTAATATTAGCTGGTTTATTCAGGATTATTGTGAGGAGTTACATAATAAGAATGTCCACATTTTCTCTGTTGCCAGTGCAGTACAATATACCATCCATAGCTGAATAAGTATTATAAACATGTCTCACAGTTTGTTATTCCAAAGCCTGAGGCCAAATTGGAAGTCTGAAGCTCTTTCTTGTCTGAGAAGTTCCATCACGAAACTTGATTACAAAACCTGTTTAACTTTTCACATCACTAAATAACTGACTAAATTAAAATCTTGAGTCAAGTAGAAATAAGGATTTATTACATTTTTAGAGATTACTTGAATTCCCCTTCTTCTACACACACAGTAGGTTGATTTTCAGGAAATAGAAAGCTGGAATAAATAAGGATATGGATGGACACCATCCTGGAATATGGGACAATTTGAACACATATGCTCTGTACCAATTCCACTTGGTGAATTTCAGACTTTGGAGTCAGGTAGACCTGGGTTATATACAGAATTCTGGCACTTTGTTATGATGAATGAAGCATAAAATATGTCTTGGCATATTCACTCATCTTACCTCCATTAAACTAAATGGGAGGAAGAGAAAACAGAACGACAAATCCACATAATTCTTAAGATACTGTGTGGGAATGGATGAGTGAGTATGCAAAGTAAATTTAGGAAAATATCAATGACATCACTGAAAAATAGGCTTTCAGGTAAACTCTTTGACTTGCTGAATTGATAAAAACAGGCAAGTTAGAAATGATTTAGTAAAAACTTGTGGTTGCGCCATCCAGTTGTAAATTAGGAGGGGAAAAATGCTGCCATGTTTGATAACAGGTAAATAATATTGCTGTTCAGCTCAAAGAGTACTATAAGTGATTTGTGCAAATTATATTAATAATTGACCCCATTGTTCTATGTGCAATCTAAAAGAATAAATGGAGAATAAACCAGAACAATAAAGCATCATTATTTATTGATTGCCTGTCCCTGGAGATGACCTGAGTCAATGCACAGCAGACTCACTCTTGATTGGGAGACTAGACTTTCAATGATCACATGAAGGGGGAGAACTCTTGTGACCAATAAAGGACAAAGTTGTCTTTATCAGGAGTGGTATGCAGTCCATTTTGAGGCTAAGATCCCCAGGGGATTCATGCACAGGATTAATTTTCCTAAAGCATGATTGATCAGTGTGGTAGCTTGCCCTGCCATTCTCTGATAGTGCTCTGAGACTTCCTGAGAAATATTATTAACTCAGGACTGACATTCAGCTGCTGTATATTAGTGAGGGTAGAAATAAGTCCATGCCATTTGGTGATATAAGCTGCAGCACTGAGCCCCTGCCGCCACCAGTTCCTCATATCCCGAGGAGGCCCATATGGGTGGAAGGCAGGTCTACCGTGCAATCCACCAGCTTGTTTGCTCCAGCCAGCTTTCTGTGGCTCTTGAATATATGCAGCCCTCACCAAAATGAACCTAGACACTGGAGGAGGGAGATTGTACTCATGCTGGTGGCAAATGGCATCCATTAGGAAAATGTCTTGTGCTGATCTGGCCCACTGGCTGGGGGCTTCCCCACACAGTGATAACTTATAAAAACCATGACCTTTACAGTGTATGGTGTCTGTCATTAACTATCCTGACCATCACCCCTGCACATTATTTAGGCATACAAATAGGATGGAATGTGGCATTTGTCCACTTTCCATCCTAATTGCAAGCCTAAATAATTTGAGGTGCTGGCGATTCCTGATTAATAACTTCAGCCTGACCTGAATATTGTGAAGAGAAGGAAGAAAGAGATTAAGCATAGAAGGCACCCAGGCCTATGCAAGACAAACTTGAACAACTTCCGGCATCAATTTTGTATAACTACAAAGCTTGTTACTTCATTTAGTCACCCAAGTTTAACTTGAAAGCAACTGTCAAAACTTTCTCAGCTCTCAGTAATGAGAGGCAATTTGCTCAAGAGCCTTGTTATCCAAGAACCTTTAAGTGCACACACCATCAGCACAGTGGGAGCAATGTATTATTTTAAAAGTTAAAAATGATACTATTATATTTTTGTTATGTAAAATTTTATTGATCCATATTTTCATCATTAAGTCCAGCTAGCTAAAACAGAGTTAGCACCTAATTCATTTCTAAGCTCTTCACGTGCTTCCATTTGAATTGTGCTTTATAATTAAATGCTGAATACTCGTAAATAACAATACGCTATATGAATAGGACCCTTTGTTCATCTTATCAAGAAAACAATGGAGAGTGATAAGAAAGAGTATCCTTTCACCCACAAACCACTAACTAAACAAATAGCAAATGTAAAATGCAATTTCAAAAGTGGAAATGACAAAAAAAGAGGAACTATACCTGCTGTAAATCCAGGGTAATTGTCACATAATGGTATTCGATTCCATTCTTAATACTGGGACTCTGCCACCAAGTGTTCTTTCCATCAATAGCATTTGTAATCGGGTGTCTCTCTATTGAGTTAGCAGCATCATATGAAAGGAAGAAGAAAAGATCATATAACTAGTTTATAGCTTTTTCTTTAAAGTAAAAAAAAATGGTTAAAACAACCATCATGTGAATATCAAACATTAAAATAATACAGAAGGAGAGTAATTCAGATTCTCAACAGAATTTCTTCAATGACAGCTGTCTCATAGCACCATACAAGGTAGCAGGAAATGTTTAAATGCTTAGGCTGCAGGGGAATGAGCTGGTCAGCACTCTGGCCATTAACCAAAATGGGCAATTTTAAAGGTAACTACAGAAATTAAGTGTAAAGATATAATGTTAAAATCTAATTGACTTGTCAATCATTCAAAAAAGCAACAACTAACTATTGAGACAGCTCTAGTATGCCATCAACCTTGTTAACAGAAACATAAAATCCTGACTTGTGGTTGAAATACACTTGAACACTTGCCCTTCTGACACATTCATTATTATTAAGACGTAGGGAGTCCAATATATATCTGGTTTTAACATAAAATGCTGTTAAATTCATTCTATGAGATATTGAGGCTCAGAAACCAATACCCGAAAATATAGCATGCTGGTATGCTGATTATTTTAAATTAAAGGCTCTTGGAGACCAGCAAATGCTGAAATAAGTTTTACTCTGATACTCCCGTATCTACTTACAGTCTGATCCCACCAGGAGGAAAAGTTTCCTCTGGCCCTCTTGCTTAAGTTTTCATTAATTTAACTCATTTCACATGAAGAGAGACTGAAGTCTGTCGGCACACCTGAACAGACTTTTGTTACAAACCACTATCTGCTCTGTGGGCCCAACAGACTTTGTCCCAGGCCATTGTAGGTTCTTGAATTCCCCTAAAAAATCATTTACTATTTTCCAAATTGCCATATTTTCCCCATCTTCCCTCCCCCGTGAAGAAGGGTATATCTACATCTATGCTCCTATTGGGTTATTGGGTAATCATCCTCCTGTGATTCTTCCATGCTATGCATGTTAAAATACATTTTGTATGCCTTTCACCTACCAAGCTAACTTTTTTCAGTTGATTTTTCAGCAAACCTTCAGAGGGCAAAAGAGAAGTTTTCCCTTGGCCCTTACAGAAGCTTTTTGCGGCCAGTCTTTAACTTGCCAATTTTCTATCACTATTTAATAATATGAGAGATAACCCAAACCTCTCATCCGGCATTTGTCTGTTGCCATCATCACTAACTCTAGTGGAGGAATCTTTACAATAATGGCAAGGAAGGAGATGATGGCACATGAAACTCTATCCTACCAAAAACCACAGATCTTCCCTTACTTTCACCCAGACATATAAGAACAGGACCAATTGTGAAAATCAAAAGGGAGATTAGAGATAGAAAATAGGAGGCGTGGCAACCCCACAGACCTGTGACCTTTGTTGCAGCTCCCTTCCTTCTTACAATCCTCAAAGCTCACAGTTTCTCATCTCTCCCATTTTAGCTCCATGTGTCTCACAACAGCAGCCACTACTCCTGGGCTGCCAAGCCCTCATTGCATTTTGGTTCCCAGTCATTGGTTCTTGTCTAAAATCTTTGCTTCTCATTTTCCAAGTAATATAAGGTCTTTTTCTTTCTCCCTCTCTAAACAGGCCTTGCTCATGCATGGGTGAGGATGGCAGGAGTGGAGGCTGTTGATGATCCTGTTTCTATTCCCAAGGCTGCAGTAAGGGCACTTAAATTCCTCACATCTCACTAGAAAGTCGGCACATTTGCCCATAGAAATGTAAACAAAGTGGAGGTGAGCTTCCCTGTACTCCTGTGTTTATTATAGATTAAGGATGCTTTGGGGTGTCAGTCTTGAGAATTTCATAAAACTAAGTATCTGGGAAGATGTTTCGAATGAGTGGCTTATGAATGACCTTTTAGATTAGAACACAATCCTTTTTAAATTTGAAGGAATACCTCACATAAGGAACAAATCACATTGCTATGAGGAACAAACATGGACTCTCAATTTGCCTACCTAATATTGCAATCTAGCCATGTATTCTAATAATAATGGTGATGAGAGGGGGACCATGAGGTGCTGGCACACGGGTAGCTGATATTCCTCCTGGCTCCACCACTTAGTACGTAACTGACCACAGACAAATCATTCAACATTATGTGTCATCTCTGATCTAGGAATAACAAAATTCCGCTCACAGCAGTGGTTTCCAGATTCATAATTTTCAGAGAAAAAATATGAAATTAAAAATAAATGTGTGATCGATTTGTGAAATTGATATAGGAGTTCTAGCTCTTAGTTTTTCCAAGTAATAATAACCTCCAATATATTTCTATCATTTAATAAAGCATCATTATTATTTCATGAAACAAAGGGCATTTAAAAACCATCATTAGTTTTTAAAACCCATAATATCAAAATGGAGGACAATTATTTAAATTGTATCCTTTCTATTTTTATGAAAAATGTGGAAAGTTGTTCTCATTTTCTTACTTTGCCACGGACCAGTGAGAACATCTTGGATGTGAACCCTGTATTCACAGGGTTACTGATGAACAGTATAACTGTGAGCATTCTAACCATTATTATGCATATACATAAAATAAATGATACATCTATTCAAAATGTACACTGTTTTGAATCTTAGAGACAAGTTGTACTTGGTAAAACATTTGAAAAAACAATAAAAATAAAGCAAAACTAAGTCCTCAATGCAATAGGAATCTGATAGAAAGTAAAATCATCTTTAAAAGAAAAATTTTATTAAAAGCTGAATATTGGCCAGGTGCAGTGGCTCACACCTGTAATCCCAGCACTTTGGGAGGCTGAGGTGGGCAGATCACCTGAGGTCAGGAGTTCAAGACCAGCCTGGCCAACACAGTGAAACCCCATCTCTATGAAAAAAAAAAAAAAATAGCACAGGCATGGTGGCGGGTGCCTGTATTCCCAGCTACTTGGGAGGCTGAGGCAGGAGAATCACTTGAACCCAGGAGGTAGAGGTTGCAGTGAGCCAAGATCACGCCATTGCACTCCAGCCTAGGTGACAGAGTGAGACTCCATTTCAAAATTTAAAAAGCTGAATATTCACTAAATTTGGCATTTTCAGATTTGTGAAGATTTGTATTACATATTAATTTATAATTAATATATAATACACTGTCATAACATTTACTGAAAACATGAAGACTATGTTTTAAGCTATTTATGGTATTATAGTCCTATTCCAGATATGGATATTCATATTGCAAATCTTAATATGACTGTACAAGACAGGGCAAAAATATTCCATTATTATTGGTAAATTTTTTAATTCAACTTAACAGCTGGCTGGACTTTATTTTCCACCAAATCATCATGTTAGCAGTCCATAGAGATGAGGCTTCCTGTCTCATTAATGAAAAGTAAAATTTCTGAATATATTTAAATGTTAGCATTAGTCAAATTGTTCTTTTGAAGCTAGGGAAGATGTCAGGTCTTTATGATGACAGCAAATATCAGAAGCATAACTAAATACCAAATAAATGACCCTGGTGAAATAAGAGGGTGCTGAAATTGGCATATGGGGAATCAAAACCATAAATGAAATATTGTTGGCACTTCTTCTGAAGAAAAATAAATATCACAGAAAACATTTCCCAAACATCCTCCTGAATCTTTTTTACAGATTGTGCGTTTAATATGTGATAGAAAAACACACACATACAACCCCATTTCTAAATCAAATTCATGGCTCTTAGGTAATTGTGAGAGAAGTTGTCTAATAGGAAATTGTGGTATCTGCCACCTCAGGTCAAACTGATAAGAGAATTAGTCACAAAAAGGAGGACTGGGAGATGAATCAACAATTAACCATAATCCCTATTATGAAAGTTTAATCATAATTAATTTGCAAATACTGACGAATTGTTGGCAAAGTTCCCTTATTTAAAAGGAGATAGAAACGTATAACATCCTCAACAGGGATAAATATGCAAGTCAATCCAAGGGCTAACTGCATCTGAAAACTGGATAGGGAATCGCTGATGAGGTAAACCTTTCAAACTGCTAGCTTTTAATTGGGAAGCAAAGTCTATTAACAGAAAGTTCAAGGTTCGTTTTCTTTGCAGGATAATTAACTGCGGACCTTCCATATTTATTCTCAGAGTTCACTGAATTTGTGGAATTTTATCATCTGTTGCTCCAACTTTTACTAAAATATATTCATGCAGTTGATTGCTAGATTTTTATTCTTGTGGGGTTTTATTCTTTCTAAATTTCTAGTATCAAAGCATAATCTGGAAATGTGGAATGAATCTGGTCATTTAAAAATAATCATGCAGGCCAGGCGCGGTGGCTCACACCTGTAATCCCAGCACTTTGGGAGGCCAAGGCAGGTAGATCATGTGAAGTCGAGAGTTCAAGACCAGCCTGGCCAACACGGTGAAACTCCATCTCTACTAAAAATACAAAAAAATTAGCCAGACGCAGTGGCACACGCGTGTAGTCCCAGCTACTCAGGAGGCTGAGGCTTGAGAATCGCTTGAACCTGGGAGGCGAAGGTTGCAGTGAGCCAAGATTGTGCCACTGCACTCCAGCCCGGGTGACAGAGTGAGACTCCATCTCAAATAATAATAATAATAATAATAATAATAATAAATAATAATAATGTAAAGTAAATCCAGACTGTGACTGGTTTAGAAAACACTACAGGTAAATAAAAATGGGGAAATACAAATCATAACTTATATACACCTTGCTTTACTGAAATAATTGATTCATTTTTGGTTTCAATGTGAAAACATGGATAGTATTGGCTGAATATATTTATCTTCCACGAGACAAAAGATACTCTGAATGTAGAACTTTCAAGAGGGTGAAAGACAGAATAGCTTTTGGACTCAATCTGACAATGCATCTCATCCATTTTTCCAGCCAAGAATAAAAATAATTGAGTGGAGAACTAAATTATTTTCTACCCCAATCTTTGCATCATTCCTCCATCCCATTTTTATGATTGGATACATTTTCTTATTTCTTGCCTTTCTAGTGTAAATATTATATACACATAGGTACATATTATTATATATACATAATATTTATACTTATATGTGTATATTATTTATATAAATTTATTTAATATTATATAAGTATATTATATTACATATCATATATTTCATGTTTAATTTAAATATTTAATAAATACATAAGTATATGTATATACCTGCATACATATACACACACTTATGGTTTTACATATTTTATCTCTCTAATTCTCCCTGTCTGCACAGTCCATCCTAAATACACGTCTACACACTCGCACCTCCTCCCCACAACTCCGTTCATGCCCCTGGGCTTTCTCACATTCTCTATGAAATTTTCAAGGCCACCAGTCCCTGAACCAATGGTAGTTTCCCTCCATCAGGCTTTGTCATCTTGCCTAATGAACCTGAAACTAATAATCCATCAATTCATTTACTTTCTGACCTTTTCTTCAATTTTCTTGCCATCTTCTCTTTCCATTCTACTTTCCCTGTAATGCTCCAAGAGTATCAGTCCACACGTTTGATTCTTTATTTTACTCCATATGGAATTGCCACTTTATTCTGATTACGGCTCAGTGATCCCCTCCTATTCCCCTGAGAGGCTCATAATCTAAATGTTTGCTTCTTTCCTCAGCAGGTAACCCAGATTTACATCTTAATGAAGAAATCAAGATCATCAAATAAGAAATTTCTCCCAACACTTTCTGCTGACTGCTGCTATTCATTCTTTCTTCTTTCTGATTTGGTGAGTTAAAAGTATGTATCTTCTAATATAAGGTTTTTGCCTATGCTTAATGACCCATATGTTTTTACTTCTAGAGAGACACCATGCCCACCACCACTTGGTCTTCAACTTCCCTGCCTTTCCCCCCAAGCATCTAAACCAACTCAAATGTCTCTTATCTTTGAAAACCTTTGCAACTCCACAACCTCCTCTGTCCTTCATTCTCTTTCACATCAAGGATACTTGACAGAATATTTCTATAGTCCCCTCTTCTTCTTCATCATTCATTTATTACCTCTTCAGTGTGCCTCTTGCCACTATGAATCTGCTGAGTACTTTAGAAAGGTGTTCAATGGATGGCCATGTTGTCAAAAGCAAGGGAAACCTATTTTATGCTTTTCTTACTCAATTATCTTCGAAGCATTTAAAACTGTTACTTTTTCTTCCTAAAAATTCTTTCCTTCATCACATACCTAATGCCTCATTTTCCTGATTTTTTTCCCTTGAAATCTGTTTCCCTTTATTGCCTTGACTCCATTTACCTGAACTCCCTTGGCTTTTACATAAAAGCAAAGGGCTCTGACATATGTCCTTTCCTCTTACATTCTATACAAGAGCTAGCAAACACATGGGTATGCAACTATACTCCCCACTCCTACACACATACCATAACAACTTACA
Source organism: Homo sapiens (assembly GCF_000001405.40). Classification (NCBI taxonomy): domain Eukaryota; kingdom Metazoa; phylum Chordata; class Mammalia; order Primates; family Hominidae; genus Homo; species Homo sapiens. Next base: position 129,053,385 of record NC_000006.12, on the reverse strand, counting down.
TCCGAGAAATTCACCAGAGTCGGCCGGGCGCAGTGGCTCATGTCTGTAATCCCAGCACTTTGGGAGGCCGAGGCAGTTGGATCAACTGAGGTCTGGAGTTCGGGACCAGCCTAACCAACATGGAGAAACCTCGTCTCTACTAAAAATACAAAATTAGCCGGGCATGGTGGCGCATGCCTCTCAGGAGGCTGAGGCAGAAGAATCTCTTGAACCCGGGAGGCGGAGGTTGCGGTGAGCCGAGGTCGTGCCATTGCACTCCAGCCTGGGCAACAAGAGCAAAACTCCGTCTCAAAATAAAACAAAACAAAACAAAACAAAAAAGAAAGAAATTAACCAGAGTCATTAATAGGAAAGGTTTCTGGTGGTTGCCTTCTTTGGTGTCTTAACATGTTTTCTGATATTCTGTGATACACACGACCACTAATTTTAATCAAACAAGTGTCAATTGCTGAAATATAGTAATGTTTTCTGCATTCCTAAATTATATAATGAGGGGACTATGCATGCCTCTCTTTAACCAGCTCCAAGAAAAAAGGCACAATGCCTTTCAATTTTCTTTTTGGGATAAAAAATGTAAATTGTGAGAAAAAGCTCTCATTTTATACATTTTATAATTTAAAAAAAAAAGAGCAATGAAACTACTTTGCGTGATACTCTAATGGTAGATATATATCATTATAAGTTTGTCCAAACCCATAAAAGGTACACCACCAAAAGTAAACCCTAATGCAGTCTATGAAGTTTGGGTGATGCTGTTGTCAATGTAGGTTCATGGACTGTAACAAATGTAGCACTCTGGAGGGGGATTTTGGTAATGGAGAAGTCCACGCATGTGTTGGGGCGGGGGAAATATGGGGAATTTCTGTACTTTCCTCTTAATTTTGCTGTGAACCTCAAACTGCTCTAAAAATAAGGTCTATTTAAAAAGACAGAGAAAAGGCCGGGCGCGGTGGCTCACGCCTGTAATCCCAGCACTTTGGGAGGCCGAGGCGGGCATATCACGAGATCAGGAGATTGAGACCGTGCTAGCTAACACGGTGAAACCCCGTCTCAACTAAAAATACAAAAAAAAAAAAAAAAGAATTAGCCGGGCGTGGCAACGTGCGCCTGCAGTCCCAGCTGCTGGGGAGGCTGAGGCAAGAGAATGGCGTGAACCCGGGAGGCGGAGCTTGCAGTGAGCCGAGATCGCGCCACTGCACTGCAGCCTGGGCGACAGAGCGAAACTCTGCCTAAAAAAAAAAAAAAAAAAAGGAGAAGAAATACTAAGCAAATTTTAAAATAATATAATTGTGAAGCTTTACCCCCATCATAGTTCACCTCACTTGGCATTAAGTATTCACGTTATTACCTCCTTTCTCTCTCTCTCTCTACATATATATATATATACCTGCATACATATACACACACTTATGGTTTTACATATTTTATCTCTCTAATTCTCCCCGTCTGCACAGCCCATCCTAAACACACATCTACACACTCGCACCTCCTCCCCACAACTCCGTTCATGCCCCTGGGCTTTCTCATATTCTTCATGAAATTTTCAAGGCCACCAGTCTCTGAACCAATGGTGGTTTCCCTCCATCAGGCTTTATCATCTTGCCTAATGAACCTGAAACTAATAATCCATCAATTCATTTACTTTCTGGCCTCTATATATCTATCTATAGATATAGATATCTATAGATCGATCTATAGATATAGATATCTATAGATCGATCTATAGATATGTAAAATATATCTCTCTACATATAATATATATCTACCTTTTAATATATTATATATGAAATAATATTAACAAAAAATATATCTATTGGGAGGCTGAAGCGGGTGATCACTTGAGGTCAGGAGTTTGAGACCAGCCTGGCCAACATGGTAAAACCCCATTTCTACTTGAAATACAAAAAATAGCCAGGCATGGTGTCACGTGCCTGTAATCCAGCTACTCGGGAGGCTGAGGCAGGAGAATTGCTTGAACCCGGGAGATGGCGGTTGCAGTGAGCTGAGATCGCACCACTGCACTCCAGCCTGGGTGACAGAGTGAGATTCTGCCTCAAAAACAAAATAAAAATAAAATAATATATCTGTTCATTAAAAATAATATAAATAAATATAAATAATATATATTTTTACCTTTATGTAGATTACATATAAGTATATATCTACCTGCTATATATATTTTATATATATATTATATATATACAGAGAGAGAGAGGTAAGCGAGGAGAAGAGAAGAAGGCATGTCAGAAAGATAGATACAGATAGAGATATATAGATATAAAGATTTCTTAGCCAGAAATCTTTAGATGACTTTAGCATCTACATGGAGCATTCATGTTATTTTAGCACTGAATTTACTTTTCTTTTGCCTCTATTTCCCCTCTAGGTCCTCTGAATCAGGGGTTATGTGTAATTTAACATTATGCTCCAATACAATGCTTTGCTAGTAGGAGGTGTTCAAAGGCCTGTTGAATAAATACATCAATGAGTCTGAGGTATCACTGTGGTTCATAGAGGCTGGAAAGAGGGCTTTACATGGTGCCTCTCCCTAAATCACTTCTCCTGTGGTTGTTAAATGCCTTCATAATCTGGCTCCAGCCTTTTGCTCTAGTCTCATCTCTACTCTCTGCCCTTTGGCACTTTCAGTTCTAGTCATTCCTACTTGTAGCTCCCCGAGTAACTAGGATTTTCTGTCTAATTCTGATTTCTCTTCCTGGCATGACTTCTCCTCTTCCCCTCCCTCACCTCTTTACCTGTTTATCTCATACCCTTGTTTAGCTCATGTCCTTGGTCATCAGCTTGGATATCGCTCCTTCTGGCAAGCCTTTACTTACACCAAGCCTTTGTGGCCATCCTCTCTCTTCTGCAGAACGCTGTGCTCATTCTTTCCTTTGTACTTACCACACTATATATCAGTAGCTCAAAGACGATATCCTACCTTATTCCTCCTGGATCTCAGGCACAATATCTGGCACATAAATTACCAATGAATGATGACAGCCTGAGTTAATAACCACACCCTCAGAAACCACTTTGGTATCTGGAGTTAGTAAACCCAATGACTGCCACAGGCCTTCAGCTGGCGAATCATCTCCAATCACTGTACTTAGCACATAGCAGGAACTCCAATAATGTTTGCTGAATGACAGAGAGGGGCCAGGAAGAAGCTCTTAATGGTAAAAAGAATTCTAGGAATTCTTAGTATTACAAACCCTTGAATTTAATGCAACTTGGCCTCAACATCTCACAATTATAGATCCTACCCAGCGCCACACACCTACACACTAAAATACATACGGTTTGGATTGCTGCTGTTTTGATTGCAGATTCGACACTGCGGGTTCCTCACAGGCTGCCCAGGGACATGTTCTACCAATTTGCAGTACATTTCAGGTCCTTTTTCTCCACATGTTGCATTGGTCGTGATAAGAGCATTAGAAGCAAGATTCAGGACAGCAGGGAATAAACCTGAAAAAGATGGACAAATGAAGGTGTGTAGACCAGAAACAAAGTTAGGATTTTGATACATTTTAAAAGCAATTGAGATAAAATATTTTTCGGAGCATTAAAGTAACCCAACATGAGATAATTAATGATAAATACCTGACAATTCAGTATACTACATAAATACTATGTGTTATCAAAAGAATACTATTTTTCTTTCTGGGTCTTAAGTATGGACTTTAAGCCTCTTTTTAATTTTTTATCTCTAATATTTAGCTAGGAAGAAGGTCCTGTCTCTAGGACACATTCTAAAACACAAATCTTCTGTTGAAGTTATTGGTAAAAGATCCCACTAAATCTTCCATCTTCCATTTCAGATATTTTATATCTAGTATCAAGACATAATTGCATGTTAATGTTTCTGCACAACTATGCAAATATATTTTTTCATGGTCATTTCATGCTCTAATTATCCTTCAGTGTAAATAATTATTAAAACTTCTTTATCCCAGACTAGAGAAGATAGATAATGTTTACTTTGGAATACCAATTTTTACTGCTTTCCATGCCATCCAGCAATATAATAAAGCAATATATTGCCAGAAACAAGCCATTATAGTGGTCCATGATCATACACCAGTAATTATGTCTTAGATATAATAGAAGTTTTTAACTTTCATAGATACGATCTCAGAGGTCCATCTAAGTGTAGGGCTGGGGAGATTTTTTTATTCCCTCTGAGAACCAAATTCAGTCTCTTTTCTTCCTGTAAGTTAATGTCAATTGTGCTTCATACATGTCTAGCATTTGCATATTATAGACCCTTTTTCAATAACAGTATAGCAAAGTCACTCATCAAAAGCCACTCTTTAACTGAAAAATCTGTTCTTGGAGAAAGTACATTTGAAATTACAGATAATTTGACTCTATTTATGGAGAAAATATGCCGACCATCTAGGTTGTTTCAGCTCTATATATGTGCCAAGTAGGTCTATATCAATTCAACTTCTGATAGAAAGTCATTCCTCGCCGGGTGTGGTGACTCACGCCTGTAATCCCAGCACTTTGGGAGGCTGAGGTGGGCGGATCACTTGAGGTCAGGAGTTCAAGACCAGTCTGGCCAACATGGTGAAACCCTGTCTCTACTAAAAATACAAAAATTAGCAGGGCGTGGTGGTGGGCATCTGTAATCCCAGCTACTTGGAAACCTGAGGCAGGAGAATTGCTTGAGCCCGGGAGGTGGAGGTTGCAGTGAGCTGAGATCACATCACTGCACTCCAGCCTGGGAGACAGAGGAAGACTCTGTCAAGAAAGAGAGAGAGAGAGAGAGAGAGAGAAAGGAAGGAAGGAAGCAAAGAAGGAAGGAGAAAGAAAGAGAGAGAGAGAGAGAAAGAAAGAAAGGAAGGAAGGAAGGAAGGAAGGAAGGAAGGAAGGAAGGAAGGAAGGAAAGAAAGAAAGAAAGAAAGAAAGAAAGAAAGAAAGAAAGAAAGAAAGAAAGAAAAGAAAAAAGAAACCTTCCTGACTAAATCTCATGGCTTGATATTTTACTGAGATCCCTAGATCTTGAGTTTGTGTTTTCTGCCTTTTTTACCAAGATCTCTAGATCTTGAATTTGTATTTTCTGCCTTATCCTCAAAGCTTGGCACATAGTAGGGACAGAGTAGGCACTCAATGTATTTGTAAAATAAACGAATAATTAGATTATAAATATTGGACTCATAAATGTTTGTCTGTATCATCTGCATATAATAATAATAATTATAATCATAATAGCCAGCATCGTTGAATGTTTGCAATGTGCCAAGCACTATTGTCAGACACTGTTCCTACAATGATTTGCTACACAAAACATCCACATGAGCTTCATACCACTATTATCTCTATTTTATTAAGAAGGCAGAGAGGTGTTAAGTAACTCGCTCCTGATTACAGCTAGCAAGTAGCAGAGCTATGATTTGAACCAAAGCAATCTGGCTCCAGAGTCTATCCTCTTAATCACTCTACTGAATGGCATCTACAATGTTTTATGAAACCAGCATAGATCTAGTGCTACCTTGCGGACCTGGTTGGCCTTAGAATTGCATTGAAAGAAACAAAAAATTAAAAAAGAAAGTAAATTAGGAAGATTTTTATAATATTTGATTATTAGAGTATGTATTGACTATTAAGTTTTCTTTTCTGTTAAAAAAAGATAATAGTACAGTAAAAATTGCAATTATAAATAGTTTAAATCTTTATTGTAATCACTCCAAAAAATTCCACAGGTAAATGAATTCAAAAGATCAAGTGACAACTCAGTTCTTGTCTCAGTCATTCTTAAGATCTCCCAAAGAGCTGCCCCCAAAGAATCTTTTCTTTCTTTTCTCCCTCCTTATACATATGTCTTTAAAAATCCCTTAATCCTGTTCCTCCAAAATAGTGACCCCCAACTCTCATCTGGCCTCCTGCCTTGTGTTTTTCTTCAGCTGAAAGTTGAGGTTCCCAATTTTTCCTGATTTGCCAATGGTACTTACTTTTTCACTTAATCACTATCTCATTTATTGTTCCTGATACATTTATTCCCCCCTCATCTCTGTGCTCTCTGGCCCCAACACAATGAGACATTCTGTCAGTGTGACATAAGGAAAGCTAATGTAATTGTTGGTTAGAGAAATATTAAACATTCATAAAGTATTATTTATTTCATTAGAAAATGTAATGTTTTATAAAAAGTAGAGTACCATTTAAAAGTTTTTACCTTATTTTTTTTTATCTTTTCCATGATATAAGCCTTAGTGAAAACTTCCTAACAATTTTGTGACGTTTGTCAGGTTACAAATTTAAAAATAATTAGATGGTCTCCACGCCATTATCTATCTTAGACATTTTATTTTCTAGGTTAATAAATGATATGCGATTAAATAAAGTTTGTCTGTATATCTTTCTATTTTGTCATTCATCACCATTTTGCATTTAACGGTACAACTATTCCTTCATCAAATATGTTTTGAGCACATATTATGCCAGACAGTAAAGGATCTGAGAATAAAAATATTACTAAGATGGGCTTATCATGGGAAGTAATCTTGAGCTGAATTTTCAAGGAGAAATAGAAGTTTATCTGTTAGGGAAAATGAAGAAAGAAAAAACAAACATATCAGGCAGAGGGAATGGCATATAAGTATGGTCTCTCTGCTGAAAGCTTATGTAAATGATGAGTGAGTCAGAGTACTTGAATCTGTAATTGTTTCAACATATAAGATTATGTAATTGTCTGGATATAGATGTGGCTATAGATACAGATACATATAGGTTACACATTGAATAAACATAATGGTGGATATGGTTTGGCTGTGTCCCTACCCAAATCTCATCTTGAATTGTAGCGCCTGTAATCCCCATGTGTTGTGGGAGGGACACGTTGGGAGGTATTTGAATCATGAGGGCAGGTTTTTCTCATGCTGTTCTCGTGATAGTAAATAAGTCTCATAATATCTGGCGATTTTATAAAGTGCAGTTCCCCTGCACATGCTCTCTTGCCTGCCACCATGTAAGACCTGCCTTTGTTACTTCTTTGCCTTCCACCATGATTGTGAGACCTCCCCAGCCATGTGGAACTGTGAGTCTATTAAACCTATTTTTCTCTATAAATTATCCAGTCTTGGGTATGTCTTTATTAGTAGCATGAGAATGGACTAATACAATGGTGCACTTACATATTAACATAAAGCACTGCTTATTTGTCACTGTTAGTAATTTGTTTTAGTGGACTTTTCTCCAGTTCTTTAAAAATTTAATTTACAGTATAGAAAAATAAGTAGTAAGAACAAAGAGACATGCTGGGAATTCTGTTTAAAGGAGAGCAAAATTATACTTCTCTTGCTCGCTTATATGATGAGTTTAAGCAGTCTAGCTCCATCTGCCCCCTTCAAAGACAGCCAGCTTACTTACACAAAAGCCATCTCAGGCAGGTGCTAACATTTCTAAAACTTCACCAGGGCATTGTCACTTTTTCTCTCGGATTTTTGCCTCCTCCCTCAGCACTGACTAGTTCTGACCCTGACCATGGCCTCATTCCTGTTTTGCAGGTATGGGTAAGACTCCCTGTGCCCTGCTTTGGTCTGCCCTGAAAGACCTGATTGGAGCAGGCCAGGCCTGTACTTTCCCAGGCCTCAGCAATCATGGGAGGAAGCCAAGAAAAGAGACCAGGGATAAAGTATTTTCTTTATGTTGTATGTTCAGAAAATATAGAATTGGATTATGTACCAATTATCCCACATAATTAAATAAATAAAGAGAGCAAAAGCATACAGCTACAAAGGGATTACAGAGTACAAGAAACATTGATTCTGAAGCTATTCTATATTCTTCATATTATTTAATTCCCATATAACCCATTGTATAAATTTTATTAATTCTTTCCACTTTATAAAAATGAAGGAAGTGCAGCTCAGAGAAGATAAATGATATGTACAAAGTTATGAATTAGTAAGATTGATAACTATGATTTGAAGTGAGCTCTTTAAAAAGCTTACAAGACTTCTTGTCAGGGCCTAAAGTAGAACCAAAATCTGGTCCTTGGTAAAGCTTATTTAAATCTTTAATAAAACAAATAACTTATCCCTCACCATGCCATTGTTGCTTCATAGAGTTTTCTAACCATAAAACTAAAGACACTAATAAAATTTACATTTAGGATCTTTCAATTCTTTTCTTTGATTTGTTTCTATTACAGTTACTGATTATGTGCTCAAAATTAACCTTTGCACAATTTAATTGCCTTGTTTTATGGTCAGGGAATAGTTGCTTTATGAAATTTCATTGCTATTTTGCTGTTTATTTTTAAAAATCGGTTAAGCATATTGGTCAGCAAAGGTCTCCAATTAGTTGCTAATGAATGACCAATTTGAAGAATGAATCAATATCTGAGCTTTTATTGAATCTTCAGCATGTCTTATTATAGATTGCAACCCATTTTCATTATATGTTAAATCTATTATGCTGTGCCTACTTATTCCCATTCAAAAGCACCAGGGCAATATTTATTTCCATATTCAATATGTGTTACTTGGTTAAGATTATGTAAACATTAGGAGTGTAAATTAACTATAAATAGCTGATGAACCTTTAGAGAGTATTGACTTACATCTTCTTAACTCAACTTAAGGTCCTGTAATGTTAATGACATAAAAGCCAGTGATCATTATCCATACAACTATGATTGACATTTTTTTTCTGAATAGCACTAGACTAAATAAGTTTAGTTGGAGTTCTGGTTATAAGGAACAATGTCTGAACAAAAATCAAACAATATTCTGTTTATACTATGTATTTTATTAGAGATTAGAATATTCATATTATATATAGAATAATATATTCTGTTCTATAGTGTATATATATATATATGGTAATAGGATATCTAGAAAAAGGCTAAGTGTATATCATGTGAAAATTTGAAAAACTGAAATTCTGCTACAATATGGCAAACATTTGAAAAAAATCACCTAACTTCCACTGTTTTTATTTGGATGTGTTTATACCATATTTGCTTTCTCAAATAATGTAGTATGTTCACACATGTTGGCATGATTTTGATGATCTACATTCTCAAAATCCCACTTTTTGGTTTCAAATGGCAGAAACATTTTAAAATCTACTTATGGAGGTTCTATTTTTAATAATTGTGAAGTAGCTTTTATTGGAGCAAAGCTCCCAGAGATAACAGCTATAAATTCTGTGTATATATTTGGTGTGTGTATGTATATGTGTGTGTATATATATATATATACACACAGCAAACACCAGATATCTGGAGTGCACCTAAGAACAGGTAAGCCAGGAAGACTATGAATACTTAGAAGGAAAAGGCACTGGATGAGCTCCAGAATGGCTAAAACTCAAATAGAAACCCACAGTTTTACTGGCTTGAAGAACTAGTGAACAAAACTAAAAATAGCCACAGCAGGTGTAAAGAGAGGTCCACAGAAAGGGAGCCTCAATCTGTGCATAAACTCTGTCCAAATTGCTCACTGATGCCAGACCTACACCTGCCCTAGTCAGATTCCAAGTAGCCCAGCTAGGGCTGAAAAACTGAACAGAGATTTTAGGTTCTGCACTCTACAGGAAAGAAAAAAGTTGGGACTTTGAGCCCAGTCAAGTTAACCAACTGATGCGACAACAAAAAAGAATGGGTGAGTGCTCTTCAGAGGAACATAACAAAACCCAGAGTTTCTACAATGTGCTATTATTCATGACATCCAGGTTGCAATTAAAAAAAAATACTAGACATACAAGGAAGCAATAAAAAGTAACTCATACTTATGAGAAAAAGCAATCAACGGAGATTGTACTGAGATCAACCAGATGTTGGAATAAGCAAACAAGCATCTTCAAGCAGCTTTTAAACTATACTCAAGGACATACACACATACGAAAATTCTTGTAGCAAAAAAGAAATGGTAACAACAAAAAATATTGAATATAAATTCTGTGACTGAAAAATGTAACACAGTATCTAGAATGAAAAAAAAATCCACTACATGTGATTAATAGAAAATTGGAGATGATAAAAGACAGTATAAGTACATTTGATGTCAATAGACTTTTTCCCTGTTAAATTCTTTTAAATGCATATTAATATTTAAGGCAAAAAATCACATCATTGCATATGTTTGTAAATAGAATATATATGACAACTATAATAAAGAAATGGTGGGTGAGAGATCACAGTAACTGGACCTATATATTGACAAAGTTCTCATGTTTTAGATTAAATGGCATTATATTAAAAAGATTGACAACATCAAATATTAAAAAGTTTGTAGAACAATCAAAAGTCTGCTGCATTGCTGTTGGGAATGTAAATTAGCACAACCCTTTTAGAAAACAGGTAGTTTTTAATAAATATAAAAGTCCTTCAAATTTTCCCCTGTTAGGTACATATCCAAGATAAATGACATTACATGTCCTTAAAAAGACCTAAACAAAAATGTTCATAGAAGTTTTTATCATAATAGCCAAACCTGGAAACACCTTAGGTTTCCATGAATGGGGGAAATGATACAAAAACTGTGGTGTATTTAAACAATGAAATACTATTCAACATAAAAATGGAACAAATTACTGATACACACAACAATGCTGATGACTCCAAAAAGGATTATGCCACATAATATAAGTTTACACCAAAGAGTGGATACTCTATTATTCATTTATATGATCTTTTTAAACATACCTAATCTTTTAGGAAAATAAAACAGGAAAAATGGTTGCCTTTGGGAGCTTGGGGGCAGAGACTGACTGGGAAGAGGCATAAAGAAAATTTCTGGGATGATGATAATATTCTTGATAGCAGTTTGTATTATAATGGTGTATGTATTTGTTAATTAAATATTACATTCAGTGAGTGAATGTTACACGGGGTGATAATTTATGCATTTCAATGTAGATAAATTTGAGCTTGAAAAAAATTAGCAGTATTTAACTCCAGTTAATGATATTCATGATCATGTGTATAGGAATGAGGTTTGCAGTATATTAAAAGATAAAATGGATTTATGGGTAGATATGTTCAGATGGATAGATATGTGATAAAGCACATATCTCCTCCCTACTCAAACATGTTAAATTAATTTATCATTATTATTATTACTATTATTGACATGGAGTCTCGCTCTGTTGCCCAGGATGGAGTGCAGTAGTATGATCCCAACTCACTGCAACCTCCGCCTCTCAGGTTCAAGTGATTCTCCTGCCTCAGCCTCCCGAGTAGCTGGGATTACAGGAGCCTGCCACCACGCCCAGCTAATTTTTGTATTTTTAGTAGAGACGGGGTTTTGCCATATCAGCCAGGCTGGTTTTGAACTCCTGACCTCAACTGATCCACCTGCCTCAGCCTCTGAAAGTGTTAGGATTACAGGCATGAGTCACCACGCCTGGCATTAACTATTTTTTTTTTTTTTGAGACAGGGTCTCATTCTGTTGCCCAGGTTGGAGTGCAATAGCATGATTATAATACTTCACTGTAACCTTGAACTCCTGGGCTCAAGCAATCCTCCTGCCTCAGCTTCCTGAGTAGCTGTAACTACAGGCATGCAGCACCGTGCTGGCCTTACTTTTTTTTGGTAGAGACATGGTCTCACTATGTTGCCCATGCTGGTCTTAAAATCCTGCCCTCAGGCAATGCTCCCACCTCAGCCTCCCAAATCCCTGGGATTACAGGCATCAGCCACTATGCTTGGCCTAATTTTAGAATCTAGATTTCGAGTACATAGTGTTCACTGTATGATTCTTTCAACCTTACCAAGTGCATGAAAATTTTCAAAATAAAATGTTGGTCAAAAAAATCTATAGAAATATGACACATATGTAAGATTTATCTCATTCTTTGGATTTTATGTATTTTCAATATCAGTATCAATAAAAAGTTAAATTGACATTTCTTAAATCAAATGTAGAAAAGGATGTTGGATACAGCAAAGGAAAACTATCTTTTCAACTTCCTTCAGAATCAGAGGAACTGGGCAAAAAGATAGTCCTGGATAAGCAAAATTGCTGAGTTTTTCCAAGAAACCCACAGGCCTGCAATCAGCAGGTGACTATTTCTCTTGTACAGTTTTCCAGTTCTTTAATCTCATATAAATGAAGAACTTTGACTTAGAATCATGTTTGATGTGTAAGTGTTTTCTTTTGAAGCACTACACAAGTCAATGAGAAATTCATTGAACAATTAAGGGGTCTTCTGTGTGGCACAGGGAAGGCTGCTTCCTTAGGCTTCAGGCAATGTTCCTCTAGGTGATGAAGAAGAAGGTTGTTGTCTGGTGGCAAGAAGAATTTAGTTCAAAGAAGCCTAGTTCAAACTTGAATTTTACAAATGAAGAAACATATACCCAGAATTTAAATGGCACAGCTGGTTTTCAAACACAATTTTCATAATTCCAAATGAGTGAAAATTTTATTATTAAAGATCTACTGTGTTTCACTCTTCTCACTACTCTAAACAAAAATATTTATCACCTCCTGCATCATCCCTGAGTCTTATGCCATCTAGCTCTGCCTTCTGTAAACACACTCATGGGCTAACTTCCATCATAGCTTTACAAGTCCTATGATATATTTCCAAATTTCTCAGTTTTAAGAAAGTACTCCTTTTTGCAAGTGAAGCCTTGGTTTTCTCCAGCAGTGACAACACTTCTGCAGATCTCCTCAATGGATTCATAAAATCACTGGGGAAAGACAAGTAGCCTTCTTCTGCCTCCTGAAGGCCACTTGCAAATCAGTTTCTTTAACTGTCACTCAATAACTTCATTTCTTTTTAATTTGTTTAATTTTTTTAAGACAGGGTCTCACTCTTGTTGCCCAGGCTGGAGTGCAGTGGCATGATCATGGCACACTGAAGCCTCTGCCTCCTAGGCTCAAGTGATCCTCTTGCCTGAGCATCCTGAGTAGCTAGAACTACAGGTGCAAGCCATCACATACAGCTAATTTCTATTTTTTTTTTAATTATTGTAAAGATGGATCTTGCTCTGTTGCCCAAGTTTATCTCAAACTCCTGGCCTCAAGTGATCCTCCCACCTCAACCTCCCAAACTGTTGAGATTACAGGCATGAGCCATCATGTTCACCCAATAACTTCTTTTCAAAAAGTCCAAATAATCCATCCTTTCCACATACTCATCTCCATTATTGGCTGACTTCATGAAGATCATCCACAAAAATATTGGTACCTAATTCATAGTCACCTTTGTTCCTGAAATTTCTGTCATTTTTTTCTAGGTAGATAAATGTCAACCAGCATTAATAAAATGTGACTCCACAGAAACCAGAAAATGTTAAAAGATACTTTGTGAACAAATATGCCTTACTTTTCCCCATTCTAAGATTTCTGCTTCCAGTTTAATTACTTTTTGTCTCTACCTCAAATTCAGCTACACACACCGCTCCCCGCCACACAAACACATCAACATTTATATTCAGATATCCTAACCTTACTTTACATTTATTACAGTAGCATCCTAACCCGGGGTCCCCAACCCCAGGGCTGCAGACCAGTACCAGCCTGTGGCCTGTTAGGAACAGGGCTGCACAGCAGGAAGTGAGTGGCTGGCAAACAAGCATTACCACCTGAGCTCTGCCTCCTGTCAGATAAGCAACAGCATTAGACTCTCACAGGAACGTGAACCATATTGTGAACTGTGCATGCGAGGGATCTAGGTTGTGAGCTACTTATAAGAATCTAATGGCTGATGATCTGAGGTGGAACAGTTTCATCCTGAAACCATCCACCCCTATCCCTGTCAATGGAAAAATTGTCTTCCACAAAACTGGTCCCTGGTGCCAAACAGGTTGAGCACCACTGCCCTTCCTAGTCTTCCTGCGTGACTCTACTCCCATTAATCTTCCCCATTGTTGTTGAAATTATCTTCCCTAAAACTCACTTTCTTTTTTAAAGACTTTTGTGAGTTGCCTGTCACCTGTAGTGTCGTAGACAAACTCCTTGGTGATCTAAACATTTATAATCAGGCCTGCTTTCTACCTGTCTGAACTCATCTGTTGCTATCCTCCTTCATGCCTTCTTATACATCTAGTGAACTGATCTCTTCCTATTTACAAATATAGCAGGCATTTTGAAAATGCTTTGTGATGACATTATCTTGTCCCTTCAACAAAGAATGTTCTCCCTTTTTGTTGCATGTTCATCTTTCATAGCTCAAATATTCCCTGCTCTGTGAAAGTGTTTTCTGACTTTGCCACACAGAATTTTCTGTTTCTTTCTTGGTGTCCGTATATTACTTAGTTGATATTTAGTAGAACCCTCATCATACTGTAACTTTAGTATTTTTTACGGTGGCTCTCAAGTCTATAAAATTACTGAGGGCATGGATAGCACTAGTTGGAATATAATGCCACTCAAATTTAAATTTACTGAATAAGAATGAGTTCATGCACTGTATAATCTTTCTTGAGAAAAATATGGCAAATGAAGGGCATTAAACTAATCAGACCTTTAATTTGGTGGAAATGTAGAACTGTTTTGGTACACTAGCTAAGTGAAAACATTCAAAGAAAAAGCCAACCTATATGAAAAATGTGGCAGACCTTCATCATTTCTTGGCTGTCCAACATTCATCCTCCATTTCTTTTCTTGAGTAATTGGCATTGTGTCTACTATTGAGGGTATGCAGTGTCCTACCTCCTGCCAAGGAAATGTAAATAGAGGAGACCTTTCTTCTCCCTACCCTATAGCAGTTAGGGCATGTACATGTGACTTTGGCCTAGGAATTTGAATATTAAGCATGTGAAGCACAGACTAGAGAGATAAGGAAAATCAGATAATGATAGGAGTAGAGATAGTCATATCAGAGGAATGAAAGAGAAAGTAGTGATGGCGGCAGCAGTAAGCAATGACTATTCTGTACAGGTATCAAAACCTAGGGATGACCTTGATGTCTGCCATCTTCTCACCCTGGTTTTCAAATTTTCCCATCAACTCTGCAAGTTATATGGTATATTTCAAATGTATTTCAGCTTAAGTAAAATAGTATTGGTGGTTCCTGTTGCTCATGATCAAGAAGGAAGATGGATATAAATATCACATGTTATGTACACACAGACTCACACACAGAGTGAAGATAGAAAGATTAGGATAGAATAACTTGATTATAACTGACAAAATGAATAAATATGTATACAGTTGCTTCATTTAAATATCTATAGAAAAAAAGTGAAGGGAAAATGGTAGTGACACTACTCACAGCAATTATACAAAGACTCAATGGTTGTACAATGACCATGATCAGAAGTGAACACCGTGTCACTTCAGAAATTCTGTTTCACAGTGAAAATTTCCATCTAGTTATTTTTTAATGTGCTCTTTATTTTCACTATCTTTAACTGTGTAAAATTTGATAAATCATCATTTTAAAATGACCTCTATCTAGCTCACATCTTTAAAGAAAATCTTTCTAATGTAGTCTAGCAAAAATTTTTTAAATATATTTTCTTGTTTTATCAGCTTAAATATTAAACTACACTTTGGGAGGCCAAGGTGGGCAGATCACGAGGTCAGGAGATCAAGACCATCCTGGCTAACACGGTGAAACCCTGTCTCTACTAAAAATACAAAAAATTAGCCAGGTGTGGTGGCAAGCACCTGTAGTTGCAGCTACTCGGGAGGCTGAGGCGGGAGAATGGCGTGAACCTGGGAGGCGGAGCTTGCAGTGAGCAGAGATCGCGCCACTGCACTCCATCCAGCCTGGGCGACAGAGCGAGACTCCGTCTCAAAAAAAAAAAAAAAAATTAAATTAAATGAATATTGTGGAGTAGCTGTCTTCATTGTCCGTACTTGGCATATTATTATATTTTTAACTAACATGCGGAGATACCAATAGATACTTATACACACACATACACACACATGTGTATGTATTTCTCGAAAAATGTCTCAACATTTATAGTCAAGTTTGTAAAGACCACCAATAATGTAATTGATAACTGATGATAGCTGGAGTCTTTCTATGGAAAAGCCATTCAGTCAATGCAACAATTCACTTCAATATATTCATTTTAAAATAATCTCTAAGATATCATATACTGTTTACAATAATACATGGCTGATCCTTATCCTTTCTGTCTCTGTCTCTCTGTCTTCCTCTCTCTCTCATCTTACTTTTGGTAGACAATATTTATCCTGCTATTTCATGCCAATCACCTACCATCTCTCAAAGGAATAAAATCAAAATTTGTGTTTGAATGATTCTAACTTTCCATTTCAGCTTCTAGGTCTATGGAGCATTTTGAAAAATATTCATGCAAGCAGAGATGTTTGCAAGTGATTCAATATTTAAAAGACAAAAGAGAATACACCAATTTAAAATGTTCTAAGACCTATCAAGGAAGAAAAGGAGATAATTGACTGCTGAAATCCTGAGCTATGTGGGTGTGTCAGAGCATATTGGTATAAAACAAAAATGGCACAAAGCAAAATGTGGAAGAGAATGATTTCCAGCTGTGCACTGCAGACAGCTAGTTAATGTATTTGATCCACGATGCAGATGAAGGGTTTAATAGAACTGGAAAATCAGCCCAATTTGAACCATAGCTGTCCTGACACAACAATGCCTAAGAGCTGGGGGGAAAGAAAGAAGGTTGAATCCAGTTGTTCAGAAGCAAACAAAACCAAAGAGAGTAAGTATTCTATTCCTGTTTATAGGACTTTCAATTTGTCTTGTACCATTAGTTAGATCTGCCCTTTTCAGCTTCTAAAATAAAAGAGTATTTTTGGAGGCTTCTGAGCTGCTGTGGGCTCTTTTCTTCTTCTTCTTTTTTTTTTTAATCAGAAAAAGTAGTACATGTTTCTCTGTTGAATTAATTTTTAAAATTGCTTACTCTCTTCCTTCCAAACAGGTTACAGTGAAAATGTTAAGTATTTTTATTGTAACCAAAAAGAAAATAAACAGAGCTAACCATACATACTCCAATGGATCTTAGGCATGTTTATAGAATACCAATGTTTTCTCTATATAGTAGATACCCAAATAAAAGAAGGGCTACAAGGTCCACTATGGATTCAAATGTCATCTTATCCACTTGGTCCAGCTAAGCAGTATTAGATTTTATTAAATTCCCAACAAAGGACATCATCCATCTAATTAAGATAGGATTACACCATAAATTTGCTGTGATTAAAATTTAGACATACATAAGAAAATAACTATTAAAAGTGAAATACCTAGGAATACATTTAACCAAGGAGGTAAAAGATCTCTACCAGGAATTGATTATGATTTCTTCAAAACACTGAGGAAAGAAATCATAAATGACATGGACAAATGGAAAAACATTCCATGCTCATGGATAGAAAGAATCAATATCATTAAAATGACTATGCTACCCAAAACAATCTACAGATTCAGTGCAATCCCTATCAAATTACCAATGTCATTTTTCACAGAATTAGAAAAAACAATTCTAAAATTAATATGGAAACAAAAAGGAGCCCAAATAACCAAAGCAATTCTAAGCAAAAAGATCAACGCTGGGGGCATCACATCACCTGACTTCACACTATGCTCTGAGACTATGAGGCTATAGTAACTAAAACAGCATGGTAATGGTATAAAAATGGCACATAAGGCAATGAGACAAAATAGAGAATGCAAAAATAAATCCATATTCCTACAACTAATCTTCGACAAAGTCAATAAAAATAAGCAATGGGGAAAGGACACCCTATTTAATAACTGGCTAGCGGAAGAATGAAACTGGACCCTATGTGTCACCATATACAAAAATTAACTCAAGATCAATTAAAGACTTAAATGCAAGACCTGAAACCATAAAAAGAAAACCTAGGAAAAATTATTCTCGACATTGGCCTAGGTAAAGAATTAATGACTAAGACTAATTGCAAAAGCAAATGCAAAAAAAAAAAAAAATGAACAAATGGGACTTAATTAAACTAAACGGCGTTTGCACAGCAAAATAAACAATTAACAAAATAAACAGACAACTGCAGAATGACAGAAAATATTTGCTAACTGTGCATCTGACAAATGACTAATATCCAGAAACTATAAGAAACTTAAATCAACAAGAAAAAAACAAATAGCTCCATTAAAAGTGGGCAAAGGAAATTAACAGACACTTCTAAAAAAAAAAAAAAGAAAAGAAAAGAAAAGAAAAAGACATACAAGTGGCCAAAAAGCAAATGAAAAAATGCTCAGTATCACTAATCATCAGGGAGATGCAAATTAAAACCACAATGAGATACCAAGTCATACAAATTAGAATAGCTAGTATTAAAAAGTCAAAAAATATTAGATATCGGTGAGGTTGCAGAGAAAAGGGAATGCTTATACGCTGCTGGTGGGAATGTAAATTAGTTCAACCCCTATGGAAATCAATATGGAGAGTTCTTAAAGAACAAAAAAGAGAACTACTATTTGATATAGCAATCCCATTACTGGGTATCTACCCAAAGGAAAAGAACTAACTATATCAAAAAGACACCTACATTTGTGTGTTTGTTGCAGCACTATTCACAATAGCAAAGTCATGGACTCAATCTATGTGCTCAACAATCTATGTGTTGGTTGGACAAAGAAAATGTGGTGTGGTATATGAACACCATGGAATACTGTGCAGCCATAAAAAATAATGAAATCATGTCCTTTGCAGCAACATGGATGGAGCTGGAGGCCATTATCCTAAGTGAAATAACTCAGAAGCAGAAAATTGAATATGACATTTTCACTTCTAAGTGGGAGCTAAACAATGGATACACATGGAAACAAAGATGGAAATAATAGACACCCAGGAATACAAAAGGGAAGAGGCTGGGAGAGGAATGAGGACTGAAAAATTACTGACTGAATACAATGTTCACCATTTGGGTGATGGGTTCAGTAGAAGCCCAAACCTCACCATTACACAATATACCCATGTCACAAACCCACACATGTATCCCCTAAATCTAAAATTAAAAAAAGAAAAAGGAAAAAAGAAAAAAAAACTGTCATGATAATCCAGATTTCTTGTAGGAACACTAATGGCTACATCAGGAAGGACAAAATAGTGCACCTCTGTAACAGTGACTTCAAATAATGTGTTCGTACTTCAACTTCCCCAAACTCCTCCAAATACTTGTTAAAATACCTGTAACCAATCACTTCATGCTTAATAAATTAGAGTTGACTACACTACCTCAGATCAAAAAGACTTCTTGAAGTGCAAAAAAACTCCAAAAAACCAAAGCAACAAAAAACAAAAGTTAGCAAAACATCATATCTAGAGTTTGATTAAATAGATTCTTGTCTAACTTCAAGTCTATTTTCCCAAGAAACAGGTTCATACTATACCCTGCTTCTGTCATTTATTGAGTACTTACTATCTAGGGGTCCCTTCTCTGGTCACATCATTTTCAGTCTTTACAATTTGCATTGAAATCTCATCCATCACCCATTTAAAATTAGAGTCCACGAACTGCTTTGTTTTGGTTTATGTTCCACTTGTAGAACAATCCTAAATCATCCCAAAGGCTTTCAGAATCATTATGAGAAAAAAAAAAAACCCATAGCTGGGGCACTTATTTGGAATGTTCCAGCATAAGGGTACCCAAAATATTCATAGAGGGGGTGGCAGTTGGAGAGAAATAGACTGCTTCCAAGCTTCTTCCAACCTCACTTCATCAATATCAGCGGAACATATGTTCAGTATCTGCTCTCTTCTGTCTTTCTTCCAAAATCAAGCCTATAAACTAGATGTCTCTTTGGCAGGTTAGTGTGTAAACTCAAAATATAAAGCAAGGAGAGGAAGTGCAAAACAGTTTCAAGTCACGGAAAATGAAATTTAGAACCTTAAACCAAAAAAAGGTACTTGTGATATAGAAAACAAAAAAAATTTAGGGCTTTGTCTGCAGTTAATAATTCAAAAAATAAAAATAAAACAATGATAAATCTCTAAACTAATTGCTATGCTAGGAGCATGAGCTTATATTCATGTTCCTCAAACAAAAATATCAGAAGAGACTCATCTATGCTTTGATGAATACAACAGCATCAGGAAAGATGCTGTTCCCCATGGGCCCTCCCTGGTCCTTAAGGACAGCTTGACAATTTCTTATCTCTAGTGATAAAACACACATAAAAACACTGTTCCACATTATGTTTTCTCTGGCTTAAAAGACTTAGAAAAAATGAAACAGAAAAGTCACATTCATTTACTTCATTCTTTTCTTTTTTTTTTTTTATCAGTAACTATTATCGTTCCTCAGGGCTTAATCCTGGATCATTTTCTTATTTCATTCTTCTCTTCCCCAAATCTTACCCACTTCCAACCCATTTACACACCATCTGTAGAGTCAATAACTCCCAAGTTATATCTCCAGACCAGGTATCTTTCTGAAAGTATAGAGCTATATATCCAAATGCCTGGTTAAATCTCCATTTTTTTAGACGTCTCAGGAACATCACAAATTTAATATTACTCTCCAAAGTAGAGTTCGTGGTTTTCAGCGTTCTAATCCCCACCCGAAGGGACACCCAGATTTAGCTACTCCTGAATTCTCTCAAGCTCAACACATCTTAGTTTACCCACCCAGTGTCTCATAGAGAAAACCGGGAGTCGTTATTGATGCCATTGCATCATTTCATATTATGCTAACTCCGAAATAAATATCAGATCCATCTGCTTCTCTCCAGGGTCATTGCCAATACTTGGGGCCAAGTCACAAGCATTTGTAACATCTGGACATCTGCAATAGCCTCCTGAATGGCCTGCTGACTACCCTTATCCTTTCTTTAGCCCTTTTTTTACATAATGAGTTTTCTTAAGATTCAAATCTGATCAAGTCAGTCTTCTTAAAAATAGATCATAATTGTACCTAGGTTAAAATTCAAAATGATTATCCTGGCTTACAATGTCCTCTGATCACATTCAACGAATACTGCCTTTAGTCCGATTCTAGAATAAAGCTCTGCTTTTTCCTTGCTTAGGGCTTGTCTAGAAATCTCTGTTCCTTAACGCTCCTTCACTTCACATACCTTCCTATTGTTCACAAGTGTTTCTTCCTTGTCTTATTTCCTCCATGAGGGCTTTCCTAATGCTTTGTAAACAGGTCCTTCATTACAGCCCCTAATTCTGCCTTATTTTTCTTGCATAGCACTGATTACAAGGTATAATTTTAAATGATAATTATCTATTGAAGGTCTAGCTTCCTTGCTGGAACGTAAGCTTCATGATGGGAGAGACTATGTATGTTTTGTTTACCTTGTTCATTACTATATTCTCAGAGCCTACCACAGGGCTGGACACATAAAGGGATTCTCCAATAAGAAATTCATATCAGAGGATGGGCCTGGTGGCTCACGCCTGTAATCCCAGCACTTTGGGAGGCCGAGGCAGGAGGATCACCTGAGTAGGAGTTCAAGACCAGCCTGGCCAACATGGCCAAACCCTGTCTCTACTAAAAATACAAAAATTGGCCAGGCATGGTAGTGTATGCCTGTAATCCCAGCTACTCGGGAGGATAAGGCAGGAGAATCATTTTGAACCCAGGAGGTAGAGGTTGCAGAGATCGTGCCACTGTACTCCAGCCTGGGCAACAGAGTAAGACTCCATTTCAAAAAAAAAGAAAAGAAAAGAAAAGAAATTCATATCAGGATTTAGTACATAAATTGTGTGCCTGTTCTGGAGACATGGCAAACTTTCTTTTGTCAGAAAATAAAAAGACTAAAACACAAAACCAAACAACACAACAAAAATAACATTTTAAAAAGATGTATGTATTGTTTTAGTGACTTGGAAGCCCAGAAATAATGTTAGCATCAAAGACTAAAACCATTATTTCCTTAAAATTTATTGTGTGAATTGTCTTTCTAAACCCATACCACTGTCCTCTGGATAGTTTACATTTTCCATCTTGGAAAATAAACAAAACATTTCTTCTTTTGTGTGTCTTTTCGTGAGTCACTTTGAATTCTCTATGGGATTAGGTTGGTTTGGTTGATAAATTAGGAGTTTGATTGACTAACTGATGCATTTTGCAATATCCAGTCTATTCCCCCCACCCCCAGCTTCTGGAATTTCTCTATTGCATTATCACTTTCAAATTACACCAGGCCTCAGCCTAATGCATAGTGTAAAGAATTAGAATGAGTGTTGCATGAAAAAGTATTTCATAGCTGACTCAAGCATCTAATTCTGTTTTATGCTATAAAAGCAAATTCTATGCAGCTTTAGTATATCTATGAAAATACTTGTTTTATAGACAAATTTTTTTCACAGTGAGATTTGACAGTGTTTATAGCAAAACACTTTGTTCTCTAGCAGCTGTTTGAACACACACATAAATATGCAGGGAAACCCACAAATATTCTGTTTCCTCTTGTAAATATTTCAAGTAAAAAGTCAGCATTTTACAGTCATTCAGCATAGTATTGCTAATAATTCTTTTCATTTAGCAAGCACATATAAACTCTCAGATATTATGAGTTTTTGTCAGAATTTTATTTTTGCCATTTTTTTTAAACCAACATTCTATAACCACTAAACTCTAAGTTCCTTGAAGGCAGAAGCCATGATTTATTAATCTTTTTATTTTCAGAGACAATTAGAGTCACTGACATCATATAGGTGCTCAGTAAAATATTCATAAAATTAATAAATGACCTCAAATTTTGTGAATCAATTTAATCACATGAGTTCTAACACGAAAAAAAACTTCTTCATGGAAAATATTTGTTCTAGTTTATCTGGTCTTCTAAAATAAACAAACTCCAAAACCATAAGCCTTTCTTTGTCACATGTTATGTACAATTAATGTTGGTTTGGGTAATGCAGTTCATTGACCATAATAAATGTGTAGCACTGAACTCTACAAAGCATTTTCACTTTATCCCTTGAGTCTTCCAACAAAGCTATAATATAGATGGGATAGGCATTACTTGCTCAATATCATAGATAAAATAATGGAAGATTAGTAATGATGGGTGATTTGCTAAAGACGGAACATGTGTTTCTAATTCCAGTCCCAGTTCTTCTTAAACTATATGCAACACATATTCATTGAATCACTCCACCTTTCCAAGTACTCATCTAGGCAGTAATTACACAACAATGAACAACATAGTCAAGGACCCTTGCCTTCAAAGAGCTTCAGACCCATGCAAGAACATTATATGATAGAACTTCTGCATAATTTTTGAGATGTATTTCTACATTGGAAACATTAAATTAAAAAAAATAATCAAAGTAAGGGGTTGACAATAAGGAGAGAGTTTCAAAGATACTCAAAGTGAGACTGGCTAGAGGCCACGCCCAGAGGGTGAGCTAAAGTAAAGGTAGATACAAGTCAAGAGAAATAAGATTCGGCCAATCTTTACTTTAAATTCCTAGGCAAAGATTAGGACCCCAGGTTAGAAGACAAAGTAATTAAAGATAAGGATCTGAAAGGAAGGAACTGATTCTGAGTCAACTGTTTCAAAAGGGAGGAACTCTTTTTTCCAGCTGAGAACCAGAGGTGGCCTTTAATATGTAAGCAGATCTGAGTCAATTAACAGAAGGGGGAAGTCTCTACAATTGGTTGCCCTAGAGGTCTGAGAAAAAAGTAGCCCCAGAATTCCTAAAAATCAATTTAAGATTTTCAAAATTAGAAATTTCTAAAAACTGCTTTCAAAATGCAAACAAAAATAGCTTGCTACCACTTGCTACAATCATTTCCATAGTTTCCCTCAATTTCTTGGGGTCTTTTACTGCAGTTTATCTCACAATTCATATATTTCGGAGCATATCTGTTTTTTTCCAGTTATGAACAGCCATTAAGAAAATTGCTCATCATTACCAATTTTATGTTATTTCCTAACTTCAGTCACCTTTACATTTTCTAATTTTTTTTAGCATTTCTCAGGATAAATACCATTGTAAATATTTCTAGACATTTAAAAAGTGTTTTGAGAATCAATCTGACTATAAGTAAGATGTCCAAAATGAGACATTCTTACTTGAATAATATTACAGAAGGTGTCTATGTTGTTCTCCAATTAAATATTCCTAATCCGTTTGCTTTTTCAAGAGTAACACTTGACTAAAATTCCTTCCACTTCTGAGTTTTTATATGCTGCCACATACACATGGTACAATCTTATTTATACTCTCTAGTATTTTAATTGCATGGTAGTTAAAGCTCTTCATTGCTGATGTATAATGAGCTCTAAGATCACTATGGTATCACAAGCTATTTTTCTCCACACTTGCACACAGAGTAATTTCTTCATCATCTTGTTTTAGCGTCATGAGATTTTTGCTTCTAAAAAATTGCTTATCAGTTTTCCATATGGAACTTCTTACTTGTTTCTAACATATTCCTTTCTCCTTGTATTTTTAATAATATTTTGTCTATTTTTATACTACTTGTTAATTTAACAATACACTCCATCATCTAAGATCATATCTAGAAAACATATCCTGAGACTATTTTGGAAGTGAGATATATACTTGGTGGATTTGGGCATGTCAAGACAGCCAAAGGCTAGTCATTTTTTCTTACAAATATGAAATTTGATGATTGGTACCAGAACGGCTTATGACTAGAAGTTACTGATCAGTGAAAATATTCCAAAAGATAATTAATGTAATGAAATATTAAAATAATAAAGGGTTGATAATTATATTAAGAACTTAAACTTAGACATACCTAGGAGATCAACTTAAAAACCATATTGATTCCCTCAGGCTCCAAAATTTATTCAAACCTCAAGAAGGTCAACTTATTGAATGAAATGTTTTCAGTATATAGATTCATTCACTCACAAAACTGTAAACATTAACTTGTCCCAAGCATGTTGAAACAAGAGCTATAAACAATATTTTTAGAATTCTATATATTTGCTTGGCTACAACAAACATGCCTGGTAGATTATTACTTTTATGAGATATATATTTTGTCTTTGTCTACCCTGTGAGAAATGAAACAAGCTTGAAAATCATTGTTATGAAACTGATAAATGGATTCGGGTTCTTAATATTTCTAAACACTCATAATAATATTTATCATCCCTCTTTCCCTGAACTAAATTGAAAACTTGCTGAATAATATATCTGCCTAATGTAATGCTGGACCCAAAAAAGTACTGAAGACATATTTAATGAATACATTAATTAATGCAAGAATACAACATGGCTGATATACAATATGAGTTAGAAAAACTTACACAGCAGAGTGTGATAAAATAGTTCATAATTTAAATTATGAGCATGTATGTAGTGTATGTGTATGTGTATTTACTTTATTTTGCAGCTGACACAAATTCTTCTCTTTTAGCTTTTAAACACTAATTCTTATCCTTGTTTTTCAAAATATGTTTTAAATTCACATTTTTCGCCACCTGTACTGATGTACTCTAAATCCCCATTTCTACTAAAAGCAAAGATTATAATAATTTATCAGATTCATGTGCATTACTATAGATTAAACTCCACAGAAGTCCCCATTCCTCACATTCTTGTCTCACTCCAGAATCTCTCTCACTTGACTTTTAGAGTAAACATAAATACTTCATTTAGATATTTCAAGTATAGTATATCATAATCTCACTCTGATACACCTTCCCTACATTTATTATAATTTTATCTCTTAATATTCTCAATTAAAATCCCATGCTCTGGTCAAATTATTTCCTTATCTCACTCTGAACACAGCATCTCACTTCCCACCTCCCCTGGGTAGTGTTCAATTGCTTTCCTAAATTATTCTCCATAAGTCTAAATTTAGTATTTCTTTCAAGATTAGCTCAAAATCTATCCTTCTGATAGAGAAAAAAACTCATCTTTTCCTGTTCTTTATCATTTGGCCCATATCTTTAACATTAAAAAACACAAGTTACCATTAAAAAGAATCATTGTTTGATTCTTTGTCTGTAGATGTAATCATAACATTAGAAATAATGTTGTATACTTCTTCTGAATCTTCAGAATGTCTAGCACACCAATAGGTGCATAGTCAACACTTGACAGTTCTTATCAAACACAGTTTCATTCACTTACGACATGTTAGCCTACATATCTCACCCACAAAAAACACAGAGATATGTATGTGTACCTCCACATATTAAAAACTATCAGTGGGGTGAAAATATGTGCAAATGGACAAGCTATTACATATGGATTCTAACATACGCATTCATTCAGCAAATAATGATGAAGTGCTTGTTATGTATAAGACATAGCTATCCTTGGAACATTCACCTTGGAATTACCCATTTCTATAACTTCCTCAGTGTCTAGCTGAGAGCCTTCCACATGATTAAAACAAACTCATTTGATAATAAGGTGAGGCCTCTGTTCTCAAAGTTTGTTCATTTTGCACTGCTATTTATAAGAAATTAACTTTCAATTTAGGGGTTATTACTAAGCCAAAGATAGGTATTGCTTTTTTTCTTTTTAACCATTGAATACTAGTTTTCTGTTATCTTAAAATTGAAACTACCTGGAACATTTGAAAAATGTTCAATTTTAGTTATGGCTGAACAGAGAAATAAAGGTCTGAGCAGATGGCTGTCAAAACACCAATGACTACATACCATGGCTGAGAACTTACACACAAAAATATGCAACTTGGTACACAGTAGACTTCTTCCATGTAAATGCCAAGGGACATCTGGCTTGAAAACTCTGCAAAATCAATTTGATGCTATTCTATATTTGCCCTGTCTTCCACGAATATTAAATTATATCAGCATCTGCTGGAATCTGACAGGAAAGACTGCATCCCCAGAACCATTTCAAACCCTTGTATTTCACTTTCCCACATTAGAAAACACCTAGAGAATAAAACCTGACTCACATGAAATATACTTCTTACATGAATGAAGTTATTTGGGAAATAGAATCCTTAACATCTGAAAGAGTTAAAGTATCCCACTCACAATAAATTCTCTTTCTTCTAACAAAGCATATACATGTATATATACTATTTGTTTGTAAACTGCTTTATTCTTAGAACTTCTTTCTAAATGTGTAGCTACTGCATTCATTTTTTTGCAGTTAGACTCAATTTTAGTGCATATTTATGTAACCATCTTCATGCAAAATATTCTTACCACTGTGCTGCTCACAACTCGACAATATATTTATTTTAATTAAAATGTTACATAATTTAATACAGAAATCAATATTCTACAAATTTAGCTGATACAGTATGAATGTACTTAATTACCATAAATATTTTTTATATCTTGTCAAAACACTTATTTTATTCTGCATGACAGAAAGATAATTGATATCATGATTTTAATTTCACACAACCTCTCATTCTATTCCATATCACATTAAATATGAAATCACTAACATATTTTACGGAAAATAGTCTATGTCTAGGGAGAGTAAGTGAAGGGCATTTTACTGATGAGGTAAATCAGCATCCAAACTAAAACACAAATTCCAGTTGATGGCTAAGTTTGACACATACACAAAATACATACCTGATTCGTGAAACCTTGCATGTGTGTGTGTTTGTGCAGGTCTGTGCACAACAAATACGTTCTATGGACTAAGTTTGTACTGGCTGTTAAGTGTAGGAAGACTGGAAAAGGATCCTGAGCTGGAAAAGAGCATATACTTTGTTCCACCAAAAAGAAATCACTATAAATTTTCTTGTGGCTACATAATGTATTGAGAATGTTTCAAATGCAATTTCCTTAAATGAGCAAAAGCACCCACATGCCCTGCATCCACCCAGACCACAGAGCTCACATCATTGCTAAGAAGCTATGAAATTTCCCATTTCCCATTTAAAATGCATGATTTTGCACATCATATCGAAAGAAGTGAAAATGGTTTCCTTGATTTAAATTTTTTCAATTTAATTTTAACTCTGATATGGTTTGTCTCTTTTCTCCACGGACCTTTCTACTTAGGTATGATTTCTCCTTGACCTACTAATAAAGCTATCGATGAAAAAGTTGCCTCTAGATATGTTAAAGCAAAACGTGGTATCTCTATCTTTATTGAAGAGCAATAACCATTCTCACGCCACTATTTTTTTAAATCCTTAACACAAACAGAATTCATGATTTGAGCTTTTGATTTTTGTAAATAGCATGGGTTTGAACATTATCACTTTTCTTTTAAATGCAAAACAATGTATATGAATACTTGCACTTTTCCCAAATTTACTTACTACAGATAAACGACTCAAGTGAGAAAAAAAAAATTTTTTGTAACTAGAAGTGGAAGATGTACTTTATGTAAAAAAGTGGAAGTACAGAGTTCATTTGATTTTTTACATTTTATAAAACCTCAATTGTGTCTTTTCCCAGTGATTCAAACTAAATTAGACTCCTCAACAAATTTACTCAAAACAGACACTTATAATGTGTAATGGGAAACTGTTACTGTTGCAAGATTCATTTCTACACATAATGAAACCCAAACTATTTAGCTCTAAGTTAATTTTTAAATTTTCTGAGGTAAAAATAAAATATTTCTTAAGGCCTTTGATTCTTTTTTCAGAGATAGGGTCTTGCTACACTGCCCAGGCTGGAGTGCAGTGGCTATTCATAGGCATAATCATAGTGTGCTATAACCTCAGACTCCTAAGCTCAAAGGGTCCTCCTGTCTCCGCCTCCCAAGTAGCTGGGATTACATGTGCATGCCACCATGCTGGTCTCACTTTTTACTCTGACTGACCATAAGCATACTTCTGCCTAATCAAAAACTGGGTAGCTATTTGGATATACCATTATCATCATCATATTAATTTATTTAGAAAAATTGGCCAGGCACGGTGGCTCATGCCTGTAATCCCAGCACTTTGGGAGGCCAAGGTGGGAGGATCACCTGAGGTCAGGGGTTTGAGACCAGGCTGGCCAACATGGTGAAGTCCCGTCTCTACTAAAAATACAAAAAAATAAAATAAAAATTAGCTGGCATGGTGGCAGGTGCCTGTAATCCCAGCTACTTGGGAGGCTGAGGCAGGAGAATTGTTTTAACCTGGGAGGCAGAGGTTGCAGTGAGCTGAGATCATGCCATTGCACACCAGCCTGGGCAATGGACTGAGACTGTCTCAAAAAAAAAAAAAAAAAAAAAGAAAGAAAAGAAAAAGCTACAGCTGTACAGTGATTGGGTTGAATATGTTCCTTGGACATAACTCTGTTTCCTCTAGGAATTAAGAATTGAGTCTATCATGCTTCCTACTTTTTTTTTTAACATACCATTTGACTCATTTATCCCACATATTCTCCATATTCTCTGTATAACACAATACTCGATAAGATCCAATTCTAAGGTTTATTTGAGTTTTATATAAAATTTCTGAGTCATGCTGCTTTTAATACAAATTAACGTTCAGAAATGCAAGGAAGAGACCGGACTTTTCCCAGATACTTGTTAAAGCAGCTGCTAAAATATCCTTTCAATTTCACTGACCATCGCTCATCCCTGTCTCAGTAATCATTTGGTCATTATCATCTAGCTTAGGAGCATTCAGTCTATACCTATTCACCTGCCTCGTCTCTAAAACCAAACCAAAACAACAACAACAAAAATGGACTGAATGACAAACAGAAAAATAATATTGATATAAAATTGGTACCTAATGAGCTAACAAAGAACATGACTTATAAGTAAATAAAATCAGATATATAATGCAAATTGATAAATGGTATGATAACTGTATAAAGGAAAAGACATCAGAGGAATGGACTAAGTTGGGATGGCAAGACTAAGAACAAGATAGCAAATCAGGTGCTGTTCCAGCAATGTAAACCAGATAGAAACATGGCGGAAAGGTACTAACATTAGGTATAGAGAAAGAAAATCAATTTAAGAGAAATTAAGAAGGTAAAATCAATGAGAATGGTAATCCATTAAATATGGAGGTAAGAGAGAAGGAAGACTCAAAGACAGCTCCCAGGCGTCTTTGCTGACACTCAGGTATAGAATACAGAAAGTACAACAGATCAAGTTGAAAGCCTAGATGTTAGACTTTTCAAAATACACTTGAAATAGATACCATGGAAGTGTTTGCAAGTACACAATCAGACTCTATGGAATGGAAAAAGAGGAGCAGAATGGAATTCAGAACATTGGTATGTAAGGATTACACAGAAGAATCTATAAAGGTTACCTACAAAGACAAACCTAAAATGGTGGAAGAGAATTAAAAAGTGTTGTCTTAGAAGTCATGGAAGAGAGTCCCCAAAGAAAGATGGAGTGAAAAGACATGTTAAATGCCATAAAGAATTCAGCAAAGATAGAGAAAAATCTTCACTTGATTCAGAAATGAAAGGCTTATTGGATTTAATAACAGTTTTATGGAGAGAAACTGAATGCTGATTGCCACCAGCTGAAGAATGAATGAATATGAGGCAGCAGGAACATGGATGCAGGGAGGGTAGTGCATAAATTTTTGTTTAAAAAAAGCAAGAAGCAAGTGAAATGCTGCAAGGAAAAAACTAATAGGGTGACATATCAAGATATAACTAAGAAAAAAGACAATGGATGGAGTGGGGCCCTGATATAACGGGTGGAGGGTGGAGTCAATTTATTTGGCATGTAGATGTGAGTGGTGTTCTTAAATATCTAAACTGGAAACACTAAATAATTTTTAAAATTCCCATTACTTTTGGGGATAATAGTATTTTGAAATTAGAGATTCTATTTATTTTGTTGAGTTATTATTCTGCCTCCTGCAAAGAAGTCCTCTTTAAATAGAAAGTTGTGTCGGCGGTTTGTAGCTATGAAAATTGTTTTTGCTTATTATTGAAAGGAAAAGTCTACAGCTGTGAGTTATGTTAGAAAAAGCTTTTGAAGTATGATGATTTTATCTGGGCACTCCTTATGCATCTATCTATTGATTTTGTCCACATTTATCAAAATCTAAGCACAGGCTGTCAGTACTATGTCAAAGTACTATTTTTGCTAAACTTTTTGGCTAAAAGCGATTAAAGTACAATTTCTTAAGCACCAAGAAAATTTTGCAACTGAGAATGAATTTATAACATGCATATCACTGAGCACTTAATTTCGGAGTAAATGAGTGGTTAGTGTGGTGATGAATACACAATGAGAGCCTGCCAATAGACAGAATTTCTCCCGAGTTTCATGAATAAGCAAAAATGTAGAATAAGCAAAAACGTTAACAGCATTGTAACATTCCTTTTAAGTAAAACAAAATAGAATCTCAGCCTTAAAAACCTCGAAAATGTATGATGTTATCTTAAAGCCTCTTGAAAGATTGCTTTCTTTTCTTTTGTTGGGCTTATAAATTTTATTTATATGCTAAAAATCAACAAAAAAGAAGCAAGCAAATATCCAAGGCAAACCATCCAACCAACAATACAACAACAATGGCAAAACCACTTAGTCTTCACCACTCAGTAATGTCTTGCAGGAGAGATTTTTACTAGCATGGTTGATTTGTACCGCTGTTTTCTTTCTAATATTGTTTAAAGCACTGGAGAACTCTCCAATGGATGAAATTTCCTAGAACCTTGAAGTTCATAAAGCTGCCTGCCATGCCTTGTGGCCTACTTTTGGTCCATGGCCTACTTAAAACCACATTCTGGAGGAGTCTTTTTCTTTTGGAAACAGAGGTAAGTAGCATTCCGAATTAGTCTTCATCTCTTTGTAAAACCTGCAGTCCCTAAAGAAATAACATATATTTAAGTGGAGGAACACAGCAAGCTTTTCTGACTTTCTTCCCTTTGGCTATTTACTACTCTGTTTCCTTACCCACAAGTCCTTATCCAGGCAGGACATACTTGAATTACACAAACGTCACTTACAGTCTCCTCCTGGGATAATAGCACCTCTTCTTGCCTGAGCTATTCAAAGGGATGCTCAGGGCATTCAGTCTCCTACCTTTTCTCTCCAAAGCTTCTGCTAATTCTTATGGCTAGAAAATAACTACACTCTATATATGTTTGTAGCAAATTGAAGAAAAATAACATGAGAGCTTCTTAGCTTTTGAACATTTTTACTTCCAGAATTATGTGCACTTTCTGTATCAGTTTAAGAAATAAACTGTATTACATAAAGCATGTATTTGATCCTAGCCAATTACAATCTACTTGAAATCAATGAAAGGCTAATTTTAGCATCAGAATAATTTACCTTTCTGTAATTATTTTAACTTTTGTATAAAGAAAAGTCTACATGGGAATGTAGCTGATTTTCAAATGAAATATTTTGGAATAAATAGGTAACATAATGTCCTAAATAAGTCAACATTTTGCCCGGTTCATAAGATATTGTAATTTGGCAATCAGGGGTCTACTATAATGAAATAAACTGTGACTCAAAAGCTGGGGGTTGTGTTAAACACTGGAATTTAAGCCTACTAAACATCAAAATGAAAATCCAAAAAGGAGAAACTTCTAAGAGTTACTTGGGAATTAAAGTTGTGGTTTTAAAAAATAAATAAATCTGTTAAGTGAAATAAAACTTATTCATAAAATGTGATTATATTAAGAGACATAATCTGACAAAAGTAATGCAAACTTTTCTGTACAGGGGAATACTTCTTCCATTTGTGGCTGTTAGGGCTCAGAAAATAGTACTCCAAAGTATGGCGCTTTGAGGAGCTGAGCACTTTGGACTAAAGAAGCCACCTTAGAACCAAGTTCTCTCTGACTTGCCTTCCACTCCCATCTCTCGCCCCTCTGCCTCTCCTCAAGCACAGGGAGAGGCTTTCTCTGAAGTTCCCCCTTATCTAAGGGAAGTTCCTCCAGAAGGAATGTAATTGTCATGAACCCCTTCCCTGGAATCTACATGAACTAGAGAAGATTAAATCCTATCTCAGGAGAGGAAACTCCCGGGACACCACGCCTGGGACACCTTTTCACGTGTTCTTCTGAGGATTGCTACCTTAGAGACTTTATCTTCATGATATGACAACCTTTGCTTGCCATGCAGTTCCTCTCCTCACACTCCCACAGCTTGTTGCCACCACCTACTAAGAGACTTTAAGTCCTTATTTCCTTCCTTCCGTATCTCCAGATGCTATCTAAATTTCAACCATCTGGCCCCTCTTTAAGTCTCATACTTTGTTGCCTTCCAGGTACATGTGCGTGTAATGAATGTGTATGCCTTTTCTCATGTTAATCTGTCTAACTGTCCAGTTTATTCCAGTGATGGAAACTTCAGGGGTAGACAAAAGGCCAAGAATAGTTGTGGCCCCAGAATACTTGTAACCACCTCTCCTCCAGGAATAAGTATGGAGATTACCATTCTGGAGAAATGACAGGATCCCAGAGGAAAAAATCTGCACATTCTTACATTTAATGCTGCCTGGCAAAACAGCTAGCTTTCTACCAAATCACCTTTCGTCCTGCCCTATACACAGACTTCTTTTTTTTTTTTTTTTTCTTTTTTTTTCTTTTTGAGATGGAGTCTTGCTCTTGTCGCCCAGGCTGGAGTGCAGTGGTGCGATCTCAGCTCACTGCAACTCTTGCCTCCCAAGTTTTTAGCAATTCTCCTGCCTCAGCCTCCTGAGTAGCTGGGATTACAGGTGCCTGCCACCACACCTGGCTGATTTTGGTACTTTTAGTAGAGACCAGGGTTTCGCCATGTTGGCCAGGCTGGTCTCGAACTCCTGACCTCAGGTGATCTGCCTGCCTCAGCCTCACAGAAGTGCTAGGATTACAGGCGTGAGCCACTGCGCCCTGCTACAGAGCTCTTAATCATCTCAATCAGTTCCTCAATCAGGCCATTTTAGGATATCACAGTTAAATGTTAGTAGGGAATAAAGATTATGTAGATTGTTGCGTAAATAGTCCCTCATGGAAAAGAAGAATCAACATTAAACAGGGGAAAAAATCTGGAGGACAAATGCTTATTTAAAAAACTGATAATATTTTTAAAAGCAAACTGCTAATTAATATTTTTGAAGAGATTCAAGAAGAAAAATAGAATAATATTAAAAAGGGAAAAATACAAATCTTTTAAAATAAAGTTTTAATATGACTCTTGGACAAAAAAGTTGAAGGCATCACCCACAAAAGAGAAACAAAAAAATACTGAAAATATGAGAGAAATGATAATATCAATCACCAATACAACAAGGTAAAAATTTGACTCATGGGAGTTTCAAAAAAGTAGACTGGAGAAATTAGAAGGAATTTATGTTTTAATTTATATTTTAAGTAATATATTAATATATTATTTAATAATAATGCAGATAAATTACCAAAACTTGAAGGAATAAGTATATAAATTGAATGGGCCTGCCATTTTGTATATTGCAATGAGTTAAACTGGAAGGACTCAGAAAATTCACTGCCCATGTAATATTTCTTAAGAAGCCATTTGAGGATGTGCTCCAGCAAAATGAGAAAGTAAACCAAGAAAGAGGAAGGTGTGGATCCCTGACAAGGTAGATCCAATGTAGAAAAACAGTACAGTGGGCATAGGGAATAATCAATCCTAATTCAGGCAGAACATAGAGGACTTTGAGTGAAGAACTCTAAAGAAAAGTCAGACTATTTAGAATAACTAATATTTTGAAATGTTAGTGGGAAAATAATATAATAATGGCAAATAGGACAAGAATACAAGAAAAGCTAAAGACCCAGGAAAAATAAACAAATAAAATTAACCTCTTAAGATAAAACACAGAAACATGGAATAGTAGATGTTTTAGTATTAGACAA
Organism: Homo sapiens; assembly: GCF_000001405.40. Classification (NCBI taxonomy): domain Eukaryota; kingdom Metazoa; phylum Chordata; class Mammalia; order Primates; family Hominidae; genus Homo; species Homo sapiens. The sequence continues at coordinate 129,018,818 of NC_000006.12, read as the reverse complement.
TATTTACGTCATAAAAGACATATAGTATTTAAATAAAATTATGATAGTATTACATTAGAAGGATAAGCACTGAAGATGGAGTATAAGTAGCTAAGTCATGATTTCTAAAAAAGGAATGTCAATTGATGATATTAAAAATTGACAAGTTGAGATATATGAATAGGACCCTATCATTTAGAAATATCCAGTGAAATAGCCAAGAAGTGTTATTATTAGACAACTAAGAGGAATGTGGCTGGGAGCTCAAGAGGGGTAGTTTAAATACTTCGCTTTTTTTTTTTTTTAAATCTCAAGTTTCTTAATACAATTTAACTTTTTTGTACTTACATATTTATTGAAGAAACCTCATTTCATATTAATAAGTCTCATCAATCTTTCCTTTGACTTTCGTATCACTTTTAATATATCATATTAATTCTTCCTTTTTATTTAAGACCTGAGTTAACATTTCTGATTCTTTTCATATGTGAAGATTTGCCTTCAAATTGATTTCCTGACACTTTCTACCACCTTAAAGTTACTACATAAACTGCTTAAAGCAACAAACAAGATCATCATGTCCTCTATTTTAATAAAGTCTTTTTAATGTCTTTTTCTAAAATACTTCTTTTGTTTCCTAAAAAGACAGTTTATTATTTAGCCTGAAACTATTATTTCAAAATCAATTCAAACTTGAAATAGCAAAAATATTTTGTATTGTTTAACACATCTCCTCTTATTCATTCTTCTTCCAAGGCAACTAGATTTGACAAAGTCTGTAGTTTTTTCCATGCAAAGTAGACAGGAAAATATCCCTAAAATGTTTCAAATCACATAATGGAAAGAGATGCCATCAGAAACAAAATTTCTGATTTCAGGATGTTAAATATTGCTGTGCATATATTTAGACCTACAAGATCTAACATAAAATAACTTCATTTGTTATTATTTACCCTTGATGCTAACTTAAAAAAAAAATCCTTTGGGTATCTCAGATGACAGGTATCAAAAGACCGTGTTCTACTTTTAAAATGCCAATTTTGTCTTTCATAGAATAAATGAAATAATGGCGTTAGAAAAAACACTTCATCAATATGAAGACAGGAAAAAAACCTTGTTTAAAGGGACTCTCTTGGGAAACACCTATCACATGTTATCATCAGCCATGTCACCATGTGTCTGGCATGTGGCAGGTGGCTAGTCAATGGCAGTAATTAGTATCACTGTGATCATTCTCTTGGATGATGCATCCCATGAAATTATGAAAAACCATTTTATATATATATATATGTAAGATCAATAAAACTTTGCTAGGCCTTATGTTACCAAAGTTCACCTGTCGTATCTGACAGAGATGAAAACCTTTTATCTTCCATAATACACTTTTTCAATAGTAAGTAAATAATCTATATTTTTACATATGCAAACCTGTGGATGTACATATGTAAATATGTAAATTTTGCTAAAATCAATATACTCTCATGAATAACATTTTCTAAGTAGGAGGCCATATCAGTAACATTTATTACATAAAAACTATAGTGCCTCACAAAAATAGAAACAAAAGAAAATGTGGAAATTGAATTGCTGAACTTTATAAAAATCAAGATAAATCCAACAGACATTGAGTTACAAAACGGTTAAAATAATTGACTCATATTACATTTACTTATGGTCAATATATTGGAAGATTGTTCAGAAAAGAGTTTTATTTTAATTCTTTAAGTGTGAGATAAAATGCATTTAAATGTAGTTCTGGTTTGCGATGCAGAAGTCTAGATGTAGTTGTTGATTTGCTTATTCAGCATATTTTAGATACATATATAAAAAATATGCTGTATATACGATTTGAACATAATAGTAATTCATCTCTAGTGACAAGGAAATGGGGTGTTTTTATTTATTGAGCTTTTCTTTCTCTTAGAACATTTTAAAAATTGGTATATATATGTATATGTAATATATAATGTATATATGTATAGAAAAATGAACAAATGTACCTTTGAATAATCTCAACTTATTGTAATAAATAAAAACCTCAATGTATGATCATATTATCAGTATATTATTTTAATAACCTACATATAAAAACCTATGTAACCATCATATAGATCAAAAGAGAATATTGCCCATACTAAGAATCCTCCCTATCTCTACCCTTTCCAAAGATAACTAGTATCCTGACTTCTATCTAGCATGAAAGTTGAATTGCATCTATTTTTGAATGTTATATGAATGGAATCAGGCACTGTATACTCTTTTATGTCTAATTTCTTTTCCTTAAGATTATGTTTAAGGGTTCACCCGTGCTGTTGGGTATAACAGTTGTTTGTTCATTTTTACTGCTTTATAGTATTCCTAATATTATGATACTATGAAATATTTATTCATGCCAATAGCGATGTCATTTGGTTATTTCCAGCTTTAGATATTATTAATAGTGCTGTTATGAGCATTCTTGAATATGTCTTTGTACACATGTGCACCTATTTCTCTTGAGTATATGCTTACAAGTTGAATTGCAACATCATAGAGTAGGCACATATTAATTTCATTAGATAATGCCAAAGGTTTTCCAAAGTGATTTTTACCACATACTTGTTTTTAAAGCACTTTTATGTCTCATCTGAATCATAGAGAATTATTTGGCCCCGTTTGGTATTCAGATAATGGTGCTTGGTCTATTATGCATGATAATATAAACTTTGATTGGGTTTTACTTTTAACATTGTCATAGATGATACCTTAAACTGTTTTGCAGTTAGACAGAAGTTTCTGCAGCACTCAGTAGTTAAAACACAAAGGGCAAAAGAAAATTTCTTTGTAAAGATTGTATGCCATGCAGATGACAGGCCCTACTTTTTCTAAACAAACTGAAAAAGAACCTCCTGCTGATTGAAGTGCAGATAAGAGTAGTGGTTTTTCTCGGTTGGATGCAAGTTTATATATTGTACCTCACGGTTTCCATTGTCTTCAATCCAAATTTCCACTACAGTTAAAAGCCAGAAGAGTTCAAAATACAAATGGTGATTTTAAATGCACGCATTTGCAAAACTAAGCAAACCTAAGATGCATAAACAATCTCACAGATTAAAAAGCTGTATTTTATGTGCATCATTTCCAATTCCTAGTGCAGACTACATAAAAAGAAATTCTTTGTTTAGGAACAATGAGGAATGCTCTAATACTTACAGGTAATACCTTTCTTTGACATTCGTACCAAAGTAACAAATATAACAAGTTTAAAATTCTAGTGTTAGAGTACCTTAGAGTTGGCAAGAATATGGTCAATAAAAATAATCATCAGAGATGGTATATTTCATATTATATACTTAAAATGTTTAATGTTTTTCATGGTGAAATGCTTGTGGATATTACTTTACTAAGTAAAATATTATTTCAAAACACTCTTACAATCCATAACACAGATAAACTGGAGAGGAGAGGTTGATGCTGTATCTTTCCTGTCTTATGGGGTTCTAAGTGAGGGCTCCTTTTCTTGCTCTTCTACCGTGATCATATATGCCACTAGTGCTTCTTAGAATGGACGCATTACTTTGATGATCTCAGAGCAGACATTGATATCTTGATCAGCCTAAACCTGTATGTGTTTTTAGGAAGAGGAATGGTGTGAACTCTGAAGATTCGATATAATTAATTATGACTACTTTTCCTTAATGTCTCTATTCACGGTTTGTACATCCAAATAAGATTACCTGAATTTAAACTCTATGCTTGTATCTATAAATGATATATATTCAGTTTAATTTCAGACAAAGTTATTCTGAGTTAATATGGGAAAACATTAGTTACTTTGGAATATATTCTATTTAATTTATTTTAATAGATTTCTTAGTTATATTTCAAAGCTCTAAGGCTAAATAGTTCTTCATGTCAAAATATAATACGTGATATACTCATTATTGATTAGAGTCTAATGACAATATTGAACTTTTAATATTTTATAATCTTTATATCTTTATTATAATCATGTTATCCACTCTATTAGATTTTATATCCTTTGTTTTAAAGATGATAGGTTCACTATTTCCACCATGTTCAAATATCTAATTATTGGGGGAGCTGAGGTTTGAATACATGTCTAGCTTCAAAGAAATATGATATAAAGGCATTTAAACTTAAAATTAGTAATCCAAACCTAAATAGCATATTTTTTCTTTTAATTATGCTCTTTAATAATAAACTAAACCACAGTGTAGCACACTGTGTACAGAATGAAGGACATCTTTCTTCTGCTTTGTACACAGAAAATGTAACTAGGGGATCTTGGTGGCCATCTAAGGGCCATCCGAAGGCAGTGTTTATATGGCTTCTGATGCTGCTGAAATCTGGAGAATAGGATGATGAAAAACTAAAGCTTGAAATGACTAAATGCTATTTCTGGTACTCAACAAATACTTGTGTACAAATGAATAATCAATTATGAAAAGGTGGAACTTAAAATTAGACCTGTCAACTGAAATGGTATAAACGCAGAGGGGACAAATGCAGTTCTAGGTTTTGCCAGCTTTTCCAGGCCAGTGTAAAAAATACACAGGATCCGAATGTAAGATAGCCAGAACAGATGGCATACAGATGAGACTTACATATCCAAATATTAAATCAATAGTTCTATTTAGATGTCTAAAAGGTGCCTAAAATTCAGTATGGCTATAGCAGAACTGTTTCTTCTCTGGCCTTCCCTCCATGAAAAATCTTGCACCCCTCCCGATCTATTCCATCACATTCAATGACATCACCATCCATGCAGTTGCTCAAGACAAAAATCTAGAATCTATCCTTGATTTTCCTTCTCTAACTGCCTTATCTAAAGTTTCTCCTCTTTCCTTTACTACCCAGACCTCTGGGCCATTAATAAGTACTATTGATTCCAGCTGCCTAAAACATCCCACACATGTCTGCTTTTTCCCATTTTCATGAAACCTATCTCATCCAAGCTGCCATTATAATGGGGATCCAACAGCCTCATAACCTGTCTTCCTATTTTAGATCTTGCACCCGATATTTATTTCTTGCACCAAATTTATTCTCTATTCTCATATAGAGAATAAATTCTCTATATGAGAACTGGCTCTATATGGTAACCAAATAAATATTTCTAAAATATGTGAGAAGAAAGCTGCATCTCTACTTAAAATCTACAAGAATAAAATGAAAATGCCTTTCGTGGCTTACAAAGTGCTACATGTTCTGGTCCCTGTCCACCTTGATGACATTTCTTTCTAAAATAGAGACATTGGATTTCTCTAACCCACACCTTCTATGCTCATACAAAATACTATGCTGGTTTCTTTTAGTGGGTTTTCCTTGACCACCTTAATAGCTGTCTAGCCATTTGCTATCACATTATTCTATTTATTCAAAAAAAATTTTTTTTTTTTTGAGATGGAGTCTCTCTCTTTCGCCCAGGCCGGACTGCAGTGGCGCGATCTCGGCTCCCTGCAGGCTCCGCCTCCCGGGTTCCCGCCATTCTCCTGCCTCAGCCTCCCGAGTAGCTGGGACTACAGGCGCCCGCCACCACGCCGGGCTAATTTTTTTTGGATTTTTAGTAGAGACGGGGTTTCACCGTGGTAGCCAGGATGGTCTCGATCTCCTGACCTCGTGATCCGCCCGCCTCAGCCTCCCAAAGTGCTGGGATTACAGGCGTGAGCCACCACACCCAGCCTATTCAAAATTTTTAAATAAAAATGTAATCATATAGAAAAGCTGAAAGACTGCTTCAAATAAAACCTGTATGCCCACATTTAGATTCAATAATTGGTGACATTTGGACAATTTGCTTTATCTCTAAAAGTGAGTTTCATAACATAGCCTGATGGTGATAGGTAATACGTCAAGAACAGGTGGAAATTCAGCTGCTCATTGAGGAATCACTGTAATATGATACGTTGAAGAGGGGAAAGAGACATTACAGCATCTCCCTATTTAAGACAAATATTTTATATTTTATCATTTATAAATTGTGTATGTGTCACTTATTGCAAATACAGCCTCCAAAATCCGTATCTCACAGGCAAAAACATAATTAGTGAGGGCCAAGCACAGTGGGTTTGAAAATTATTTTCTCTTCTTTGTCCTTAAATTAGTTTAATAAGCTAAAAAACATAACTAACTTTGTCAATGGAACATATTCTTTATGAACTATCACCTTGAAGAACCAGAAAAAAGATACAGAATATTCTTGTCCTTCAGTGAGCAAACTTTATTTGCATAATCCATTAGCTTGAATGAGACTTAGGTAAAACCTATAACTAGCTATTTCCTGTAAATAGTCAAGAAAAAGGAATTATGCCAAAAACAAACAAAAATTATTCTAAATATCCAAAATAAATGTATACTTTATCCACAGAATACTTCTTATATCATAAATAATTATAACTTAATAATTTTGATTTTACATTACAACATGTTAGAAGAAACAAAGGTGATGACAGTATAGGAGTTCGGGGTTATTTACAGATGGGGTAAGTGGTTCTAAATAACTTAACAAAGCATAATATTCAAATTAGAAAAATAACTATTAATAACAGTGAGTGAGTCACAAAAATAGGGAAATGTATTATCTATATTCTATTTTTAAAATTCAGGTAAGTACAAAATATAGCTGAAGAAATTTTAAATGTTTCTGCAGAAAAATAAGAGAAGCATATTCCCTCATGGTGGTGGATAGCCAAGTTTTAAACTACAATATTATCTTTGCTTTGCAGAAAGACAAGGTACAGTATAGAACTGCATCAAATGACAAAAAAATTAATCCTGAGCATTTACAATGGAGTCCTGAGTAGAAGGAACACAAGGGTGAAGAATATAAACAAGAGTAGAAGAGCCCAGTGCCTCGTTTTTCTCTTTTAATACATTTTCTTTATTTAACAACATTAAACCCCTTCTTGCTTCTACAATGTTTGTCTGTTACCAGATAAAACTTATCAAAAACATAGGATGATAAAAGAGGCTTAGGACATTTACAATTCTACCTACCCTTTATCTCCATCCCTTTTCCACTTAAAATGAATTACCAGACACATTTAACAAAACTACCAAAAATAGTTTTTAAAAGAAACCAAATTTGTTGAAAAGCTTGCCTACTGACCCTGAAAGTCCGGAGTAAACAGTACTAAGAGAAACATGTGCTCTCAGAATGGGATATTTTAAGAGTAATCTCTGGAAAGTTCATTTCTTTGCTCAGTCTTGAGGCTAAGCACACTATTGCCACCTCCAATGCTTGAAAATACCCAGAGATGGACGAGCCACCTGGGCACAGAGTAAGAGTAAATCTCTTCCATTAGGCAGAGCCTTGCCTAATGATACAAATGCTTGAAAAAACATAAAGGACAAGTCACGGTTATTTGATAAATGTGCAAAGGGCATGGATATGGGCACAAGGCTTCCAAATAGGAGAACAGTCTTTTCTCCACATAAGGAGCTTGTGTAGCATTTCTTATCCACTGTTACCCAAAGAGCAGGGACTTGGTACTATAAATGACTGGTGGCTGTGAGGTTTGCCACCAAAATGATGTATGTGGTTAATTTCAGTTACTCTCTAGAAAGGACTCCTGTGTGTCTTAGTAGCTGAAAGCTCTATTAGTGACAGAGCAAAAAGAGAAGGAGAGAGGTACAAAGAATAGTAAGTCGGTTTGCAAAGTGAAATGAGCAGGGTGACATATTCTCCACATGGATAAATGGGATTAAGAATAAATCTAGTCCCAGCTACTCGGGAGGCTGAGGCAGGAGAATTACTTGAACCTGGGAGGCTGAGGTTGCAGTGAGCCAAGATCAAGCCACTGCACTCCAGCCAGGGGGTGACAGAGCGAGACTCCATCTCAAAGAAAAAAAAGAATAAATCTGCTTTTTTCACAAATAAAATTTGAAATCAAAAGTGAACACGCGAATATATAGGGATATGGGTGTATATGTATACACAGTAAAGACATAGGTATAGGAAGTAAACATATTAAATAAAAAAATCATACAAGATTTGCTTTAGCTCTATACCATTCACCTTCTCTACAGAACCTCCAAAACATCATCTAGAATTTTTGAAATTTTACCTCAGGAGAAACACATATTTGGACAAGTAGGAGTGATAGATTGTATAAAGTATGTGTTACCACGACAAATAATAAAGTAATGAACTACATTTCTCTCCCCACTGCCCATTAATTCTTCAGTGCTTCTCCCTAGTTTTTCTCAATGTGAAATGCCATTCTATACCAGGAAGGGTAAAGTCAATTTCACGTTATGACCTTAGAGTCACCTTTTCCCTATTTAAAGTAGGCAAAAGATATGTTGAATTTAAATACATCATGAAAGTTTTTAAATCCCTTTTCTCTTGAGGAGAGAATTTTCTAGATTAGTGAAAATTGATTTCCTCAAATCCACTATGTGTGTGAGCGTTTGCCATATGAAATTCTAATGATCAGAGCTGTATCCTCTATTTCACCTAAACGAAAGAGGAAAGAAACAAATTAAAGAAATATTGTACCTTTGCTATCTTTTCATGCATGTTTGGTAGAGAATCTTTCAGTGTTGTATATTTCTGGGAGAAGATGGTCTTCTTTTCAGTGCATGTATGATCATTACCCAGATTTAGAAAATATAAGTCTGTCCCAAGATATATGCAGGATCATTCTGGTTCACCAGGTAGAATTAACATCTTTGACTCTGAAGAGATTTTTAAATCTTTTAAACAAACCCCTTCAGTAGCCAGTCTAAATCTGATTTATTATTGTTGCCACACTGTTCCTGACAAAGAAACCTGCAATAATCCCTAACAGCTGCTGGCAAACAAGTGCTGCAGAATAACATTGAAACACTGAGCCATAAGCTAGAATCAATTTTGTCTCCTTCACTGTTACAATCAGACAAGCAGAACAACTGGAGCATTTTTAATCTCACCTTTAATATCCTTCAAAAGCAGAGGTGGGAAAGAGGATCCTGCCATATAATCAAGAAAGCATACTCCCGTCATGATAATTGTTCTCCAGAGCCATGCATTTTATGAGTTACGTGTCAAACTTATAGGGAAGGTCATCTGGTGAAATCGGAAGACAGCTGGTAGGCGGTAAGAATCACATTTTGTATATATAAAGAACTCACTCTGTGCCTGAGATACCATATTCAAGGGTTTAAATTTTAAAAAGTGCTCATTTGCAATCTATGAATCTATATCAAGGCAATTTCAACAGTTTTTGTCCTCTGGCCCTGAACCTACATTCATAGTCTTTTCCTTCTAACTGCATCTGTCTTTTTGAAAATGGACATTTGAGAAGGCACAAAAGGTCAAACACTTAATTAATGACTCCACACTTTTTCAAAAAATGATTTCTTAATTTTTTGAAAGATCATTTCTAATTTCTATTTTCACAATGGATTTTTGGCTGAAGCATGTTGTGACTTTTTGAATTACTTATCCTAATTGGAAAAAAAAATGCAACATTTGCCAAAATTTTGAAGCTTTTTTGAAAAAACAGTCATAAAACTCAGTTTTTAAAGAATCTAAATTATAATTCCAAAGTGTTTGAAAGAAAAAGAAAATTCCTAATAATTATTTCAGAGATTATGGTCTGGGTGGGAAGACTATTTATTTCTACAAGATGGCTTAAGTATTTTATAGACTTTTAAAATACTGATCCTCAGTTTGACTAAAGAGTCAAATAGTATACTCTCCAAAGATATCCAAGAAAGAGGACCATTTCCCCATGACCACCAGATGAGACCCCAATGGCATGATCCCTATCTCAAAATTCATCATACTTACTTGAGATATTGATATGTTTAACATGAATGAAGATATTCTCTTGTAGAAGAGCTTTTGTTTTATTGTTAGAAGTGCTAAAATCAGTCATTTCTATCTGGGTCTTTGAATTATGCATGCCAAGAAAAATCATAGACCACACTGCAGTAAGTACACTACATCCTGGGTACAATATGTATTTGTGGTCCCTAAAATGTTTTCCAGAAGATTAAGTTGATGCTGTGTGAATCGTTTGGAAAATTCCTGCAACTGATTCTATCCAAAAAGTAATCTCTCGTCCTGCCAAAGTTCCTGGCAATATATTGCTCCTGACTGTATCACCATTTCTGGAATATTTAAAGAGGTAGAGAAACACTGAAAGGATTCTTGAACATTAATTTTGGTTAACATCCCTTTATTTGTGGAAATATTATTATTACTTTTGCATCTATGTTTAATAAAGATCAAAAATTTAGTAAAATGACTGCTTTGAGACCCTATAGAGAACTAATTAAAGATGTAGCTTTGTATTCATGTAGACCCGGGATCAAAAACCAGCAAATCACTTAGTCTCTCACTAGTAAAATAAGAATAGCAATATTTCCACTCTCCCAGGGTTATGATAAATTAGATAATGTATGTAAATTATCCAGCAGTCATAGGACTACTTTCTCTTGTATAATAGCATGTGGGTCTGTACTCTTAATTTTCAGTACTGGAAGAAAATGAACATCTCTTACCTTCACTCACTTTGAGCATTTTTTTTTTAAGTTCAGCAGCCTTATATTACCTTCTATCCCCAAAGGAGTAATCTTAAGATCAAAGAGATGGAGAGCAATGCTTACGTCAGTAAATGCACACAGAGTTTCTGCAAGGTTTGGCACAAAGATTAATACCAGCCTCTGAGGCAGCATCAGTATCCCATTGTGCAGTTAATGACAGCATGTTCAAGAGCAAAATAAGCGTGTTGTCATTGTCCTCCATGATTTCAATAGTGAACTACCCTGTGTGGTGTACATTGACTTTTTTCTTTCAAATTGTACAGCTACTAAAATGGTGAAGGAAGCTTCTCAAGGATGTATTTCATTAGGTTTAAAACTGCCCATAAAATCTGACAATTTGTGTCAGTGTCGCTGCTGGGAAGCCAATAAAGCCCACATACCATAGCAGGTTGCATGAAACGCCAGCAGGATCTCCATCATCTGATGAATCAAGTACACCCCAAAGACAAACTAATCAACACAGACCATTTTACTGACAATACAGTGTGTTCCTGTATTTCAGAAAGGCAATTTAGGTATGCTCAATGTATAACAGCTCTTAGGAAAAAAATGGCAGCCTAAAATGGAGTAAGAAGGATTTTGATATTTCTGACTATTCCTTCATCAGAAAATACTGAACAAAAAAGTTCCTTAGAATAAATCCCCATTAGTGAAGAAAATGTAAGACTAGTTACTCATGCAATATTTACATGTACATGACAATGGTTTGGTTTAATCTTATTTGAGCCCACATGTCTTCCTCAAATCACCTGGAGGAGACATTTTATTTGGCAGAAGAGCATATTTTAAATAGACTTCAGTGCCACAGAGGATTTACATTTTGAAAGCAATTTAATATGGGAAGATGAATAGCATCTAGAATCCTCAATTCACTTCTTATTTATTAAGAGCCTACTATGTAGCAGGCATACAATCTATCTGGCACACACTATGTGGTGCTCAGGAAACACACAGATGACAGACAGAGTCCCTGTTTTCCAGGAGCTCACTCCACAGTAGAGGAAACACAGCAGTGCTGCCAAGAGGTGCTTAGGGTCTCTCATATTTCCCCTCTCTCCAATAATCTCCCTGAGCCTCCCTAAATCCATCTTAAATAGATATAATCTAAGTAAAACATTGCTCTGCCAATGTAGCTTAGAGACAAGTCTCCTTGGCCCAGTTTCACCAGATTGCTTCCCCTACGCCCTCTGCATAGCTACTCAGGAGCCACGATGGGGAACAGGCACTTAAACTTTCAGTGGAAACACTGTATGATAAATAATGTAACTACAAAGACCTTTGTGAGCACAAAGGGGTGGTTGTTCAGGAATCAGGATGTCAGGGAGAGCTTCAGGAAATTCTTAAAAGGTGAGGACATGTTACCCATGCAAATATGGTGAGGTTTAGGAGAAGAGAGTCAGATGGGATAGCCTGCAGGAAAGCATGCGGGTACACTGCCCAGCAACTGCAGAGTCCAGCATGACAGGAGCATAAAATGTCAGTGAGAAGAGGTCAAAGACCAAGTTGGACTGGTGATGGAGATCTGATTACAAAGGGGATGTCTTCCTGATTACAAGTTTCAGTACGATTTTATACTGGACACGATGGAGAGCCCTAGGAGAGTATTAAGCAGGAATGACAGATGAAAGGAATGAGGAGAGGGCAGCAGAAGACTAACTGCAGAGGCAGTTCAGAAATCAAGGGCAGAAATATTTAGATTCTGAATGAAGGCAGTGGCTGTAAAATTGGAAAGAGGCAGCACCTGCAGGAGTTGGTGGCTGAGTGGATGATCCACAGTATGGCTCATGGTGTGGATAAATGGGTGAATGGGACACCCTTCACTAAGGCTGAGGAAAGAACGGAAGAGATGAGAGGTCATGCTGCCTATTCTCCAGCCTCTAAGATCAAGGCAAGAATGTTTGAATCGGGTAAAAGAAAATAAAATTAAGATTATCACTCATTTCTTGCTAAAACAATCTATTGGCACAAGTTAAAAGATATTAAACTATCAGAAAGCATGTTAAAATTTCCATTAAAACACTGAAAATATAATACCATTTTTACATAGTATATGTTAACACCAAATGAAATGTCACTTGGTCTCAATTATGTAGGCTCACATTTTGGAGATTTCTTAAGCTGATCCTAGCCTGTGATATTTGCTTCTAACATTATTTATTCAATTATAGATTTACTGTATACTGATTGAATCTTTATGATAAACTGCCAAACAGTGATATTGATGGACACTTTTCAAAATTAGGGGGTCTTTCTTGTTGTTGTTTAGCGAAAAATAAGGTTAAGTATATCAAACTTACATATACTTTTGTTAAAAACACAGTCTCAAACAGATCATTCCAAACAAGAAGGAAAACAAGAGAGAAAACTTCAAAATATTAATTACCCAAACAAAAAATGCTGAAGTTTATAGGTAGATAGGTAAATAGACAAAATGGCCAAGCGTTTATATATATAAAAATATATATAACCAAAAAATATATATGTAGATATAATCCATATATATAAATTGTACTGAAACTTGTAATAAGGCAGTCATCCTCATAGATAGATAGATCCAAAAAATTATACACACACATACACACACACACACACATTTTTCCCCCAAGTAGAGACGGCTTTGGATTAATATATAGAACTTTAGAATAATTGAACAACTTTTCAGTATAAAATAATGTGATAGTCCCTCAACATCAATTTATTAATTTTTATGTGTTAAGCATGGGATCTGAAATTTGATTAAAATTTTACATGAAGAAGATACTTGAAAGTAATGAGAAATCAAAAAGTTATCTATACCCATGAATTTGGTAAAATACAAGTATCAAGATATTTTTTTAAAAAGCAGGTTTTCTTTGATATTATTTTATAATAAAAAGCCTGATGAGAATGTTAGTAAATCATTTATTAAAATTTCTAGGGTGAGATATTAGAGTGGTCAGAGAATGCTGCAATCATTATCCATCCTTTCTCCTATAAAAAGAGATATGCATATTTAAAAACTAATAAAGAAGAAGGAAGAAAATAAAGGAGATAGGGAAGAAAAGGAAGGGTGGGAAGAGAGGGAGAATTAAAAATTACTGCCTTATATAGGTCTAACCTCATGGGCTTACATAAAAACTGACAATTAACTAATAAGCTTTGGGAAAGAAACCTTAATGTTTTTCAGAAAAAAAAAGAGGACAGTAAAATCATAACCTATAGGACTTTTTATTTAAAATAAAACACATTAGAGTAAGTAAAATTTTTCTTTCCAGCATGTTTTTTCTTTCCAGAATGAATGTCTGAAAACTCAGCAGATGTGTTATAAAAGTTTTGAAAGTTAGTGATGAATCTGATAATTCCATGAGGTTTTACTTGAAAATTCGGATTGCATAAATTGAAATCAAGATGAAATAGTGTCAACAAGCCCTAACTATATATATATCCTGAAAAGTGTTTTATGAAAAAGGTGTTAAGTGCTGGTTAATAGAATATTATGAAGAATCAAGGATATATTAATTAGTAGTATTTATAATTTGACAATAATTAGAAAGTGTCAAAATACAAGTGCAAGCTGTAACATAATAGTGTATAGCATTAGGAATTATAAATAAGGCCTGAAAATAAGAAAAGTACACTATTCTTAATTTGCAAACTAAAGTCAAAGTAAGGAATTGAGTTTACAATTTACCCAACTGATTTAAGTCAACGTGTGTTTACTGAGAAGGCAATACATTAGGCTGTGATCATTTAGCAGTCCACAGAACAAAAACTATCCCTGTATTGTGGAAATACATGCTGGCTAAATTTCCCAGAAGTACATATAGGTGCAAGTCAGTAAGTAGTGATATATGATTTTATTTTAAGGAAAATGACCATTTGTCATCATACTTCTTTTTTTTTTTTTTTTTTTTTTTTATTATTATACTCTAAGTTTTAGGGTACATGTGCACATTGTGCAGGTTAGTTACATATGTATACATGTGCCATGCTGGTGCGCTGCACCCACTAATGTGTCATCTAGCATTAGGTATATCTCCCAATGCTATCCCTCCCCCCTCCCCCGACCCCACCACAGTCCCCAGAGTGTGATATTCCCCTTCCTGTGTCCATGTGATCTCATTGTTCAATTCCCACCTATGAGTGAGAATATGCGGTGTTTGGTTTTTTGTTCTTGCGATAGTTTACTGAGAATGATGGTTTCCAATTTCATCCATGTCCCTACAAAGGATATGAACTCATCATTTTTTATGGCTGCATAGTATTCCATGGTGTATATGTGCCACATTTTCTTAATCCAGTCTATCATTGTTGGACATTTGGGTTGGTTCCAAGTCTTTGCTATTGTGAATAGTGCCGCAATAAACATACGTGTGCATGTGTCTTTATAGCAGCATGATTTATACTCATTTGGGTATATACCCAGTAATGGGATGGCTGGGTCAAATGGTATTTCTAGTTCTAGATCCCTGAGGAATCGCCACACTGACTTCCACAATGGTTGAACTAGTTTACAGTCCCACCAACAGTGTAAAAGTGTTCCTATTTCTCCACATCCTCTCCAGCACCTGTTGTTTCCTGACTTTTTAATGATTGCCATTCTAACTGGTGTGAGATGATATCTCATAGTGGTTTTGATTTGCATTTCTCTGATGGCCAGTGATGATGAGCATTTCTTCATGTGTTTTTTGGCTGCATAAATGTCTTCTTTTGAGAAGTGTCTGTTCATGTCCTTCGCCCACTTTTTGATGGGGTTGTTTGTTTTTTTCTTGTAAATTTGTTTGAGTTCATTGTAGATTCTGGATATTAGCCCTTTGTCAGATGAGTAGGTTGCAAAAATTTTCTCCCATGTTGTAGGTTGCCTGTTCACTCTGATGGTAGTTTCTTTTGCTGTGCAGAAGCTCTTTAGTTTAATTAGATCCCATTTGTCAATTTTGTCTTTTGTTGCCATTGCTTTTGGTGTTTTGGACATGAAGTCCTTGCCCACGCCTATGTCCTGAATGGTAATGCCTAGGTTTTCTTCTAGGGTTTTTATGGTTTTAGGTTTAACGTTTAAATCTTTAATCCATCTTGAATTGATTTTTGTATAAGGTGTAAGGAAGGGATCCAGTTTCAGCTTTCTACATATGGCTAGCCAGTTTTCCCAGCACCATTTATTAAATAGGGAATCCTTTCCCCATTGCTTGTTTTTCTCAGGTTTGTCAAAGATCAGATAGTTGTAGATATGCGGCATTATTTCTGAGGGCTCTGTTCTGTTCCATTGATCTATATCTCTGTTTTTGTACCAGTACCATGCTGTTTTGGTTACTGTAGCCTTGTAGTATAGTTTGAAGTCAGGTAGTGTGATGCCTCCAGCTTTGTTCTTTTGGCTTAGGATTGACTTGGCAATGCAGGCTCTTTTTTGGTTCCATATGAACTTTAAAGTAGTTTTTTCCAATTCTGTGAAGAAAGTCATTGGTAGCTTGATGGGGATGGCATTGAATCTGTAAATTACCTTGGGCAGTATGGCCATTTTCACGATATTGATTCTTCCTACCCATGAGCATGGAATGTTCTTCCA
Organism: Homo sapiens; assembly: GCF_000001405.40. Taxonomy (NCBI): domain Eukaryota; kingdom Metazoa; phylum Chordata; class Mammalia; order Primates; family Hominidae; genus Homo; species Homo sapiens. Next base: position 129,002,764 of record NC_000006.12, on the reverse strand, counting down.
TTTATTTGTCTCCTCTTTTATTTCCTTGAGCAGTGGTTTGTAGTTCTCCTTGAAGAGGTCCTTCACATCCCTTGTAAGTTGGATTCCTAGGTATTTTATTCTCTTTGAAGCAATTGTGAATGGGAGTTCACCCATGATTTGGCTCTCTGTTTGTCTGTTGTTGGTGTATAAGAATGTTTGTGATTTTTGTACATTGATTTTGTATCCTGAGACTTTGCTGAAGTTGCTTATCAGCTTAAGGAGATTTTGGGCTGAGACGATGGGGTTTTCTAGATAAACAATCATGTCGTCTGCAAACAGGGACAATTTGACTTCCTCTTTTCCTAATTGAATACCCTTTATTTCCTTCTCCTGCCTGATTGCCCTGGCCAGAACTTCCAACACTATGTTGAATAGGAGCGGTGAGAGAGGGCATCCCTGTCTTGTGCCAGTTTTCAAAGGGAATGCTTCCAGTTTTTGCCCATTCAGTATGATATTGGCTGTGGGTTTGTCATAGATAGCTCTTATTATTTTGAAATACATCCCATCAATACCTAATTTATTGAGAGTTTTTAGCATGAAGGGTTGTTGAATTTTGTCAAAGGCTTTTTCTGCATCTATTGAGATAATCATGTGGTTTTTGTCTTTGGCTCTGTTTATATGCTGGATTACATTTATTGATTTGCGTATATTGAACCAGCCTTGCATCCCAGGGATGAAGCCCACTTGATCATGGTGGATAAGCTTTTTGATGTGCTGCTGGATTCGGTTTGCCAGTATTTTATTGAGGATTTTTGCATCAATGTTCATCAAGGATATTGGTCTAAAATTCTCTTTTTTGGTTGTGTCTCTGCCCGGCTTTGGTATCAGAATGATGCTGGCCTCATAAAATGAGTTAGGGAGGATTCCCTCTTTTTCTATTGATTGGAATAGTTTCAGAAGGAATGGTACCAGTTCCTCCTTGTACCTCTGGTAGAATTCGGCTGTGAATCCATCTGGTCCTGGACTCTTTTTGGTTGGTAAACTATTGATTATTGCCACAATTTCAGAGCCTGTTATTGGTCGATTCAGAGATTCAACTTCTTCCTGGTTTAGTCTTGGGAGAGTGTATGTGTCGAGGAATGTATCCATTTCTTCTAGATTTTCTAGTTTATTTGCGTAGAGGTGTTTGTAGTATTCTCTGATGGTAGTTTGTATTTCTGTGGGATCGGTGGTGATATCCCCTTTATCATTTTTTATTGTGTCTATTTGATTCTTCTCTCTTTTTTTCTTTATTAGTCTTGCTAGCGGTCTATCAATTTTGTTGATCCTTTCAAAAAACCAGCTCCTGGATTCATTGATTTTTTGAAGGGTTTTTTGTGTCTCTATTTCCTTCAGTTCTGCTCTGATTTTAGTTATTTCTTGCCTTCTGCTAGCTTTTGAATGTGTTTGCTCTTGCTTTTCTAGTTCTTTTAATTGTGATGTTAGGGTGTCAATTTTGGATCTTTCCTGCTTTCTCTTGTAGGCATTTAGTGCTATAAATTTCCCTCTACACACTGCTTTGAATGCGTCCCAGAGATTCTGGTATGTGGTGTCTTTGTTCTCGTTGGTTTCAAAGAACATCTTTATTTCTGCCTTCATTTCGTTATGTACCCAGTAGTCATTCAGGAGCAGGTTGTTCAGTTTCCATGTAGTTGAGCGGCTTTGAGTGAGATTCTTAATCCTGAGTTCTAGTTTGATTGCACTGTGGTCTGAGAGATAGTTTGTTATAATTTCTGTTCTTTTACATTTGCTGAGGAGAGCTTTACTTCCAACTATGTGGTCAATTTTGGAATAGGTGTGGTGTGGTGCTGAAAAAAATGTATATTCTGTTGATTTGGGGTGGAGAGTTCTGTAGATGTCTATTAGGTCTGCTTGGTGCAGAGCTGAGTTCAATTCCTGGGTATCCTTGTTGACTTTCTGTCTCGTTGATCTGTCTAATGTTGACAGTGGGGTGTTAAAGTCTCCCATTATTAATGTGTGGGAGTCTAAGTCTCTTTGTAGGTCACTGAGGACTTGCTTTATGAATCTGGGTGCTCCTGTATTGGGTGCATAAATATTTAGGATAGTTAGCTCCTCTTGTTGAATTGATCCCTTTACCATTATGTAATGGCCTTCTTTGTCTCTTTTGATCTTTGTTGGTTTAAAGTCTGTTTTGTCAGAGACTAGGATTGCAACCCCTGCCTTTTTTTGTTTTCCATTGGCTTGGTAGATCTTCCTCCATCCTTTTATTTTGAGCCTATGTGTGTCTCTGCACGTGAGATGGGTTTCCTGAATACAGCACACTGATGGGTCTTGACTCTTTATCCAACTTGCCAGTTTGTGTCTTTTAATTGCAGAATTTAGTCCATTTATATTTAAAGTTAATATTGTTATGTGTGAATTTGATCCTGTCATGATGATGTTAGCTGGTGATTTTGCTCATTAGTTGATGCAGTTTCTTCCTAGTCTCGATGGTCTTTACATTTTGGCATGATTTTGCAGCGGCTGGTACCGGTTGTTCCTTTCCATGTTTAGCGCTTCCTTCAGGAGCTCTTTTAGGGCAGGCCTGGTGGTGACAAAATCTCTCAACATTTGCTTGTCTATAAAGTATTTTATTTCTCCTTCACTTATGAAGCTTAGTTTGGCTGGATATGAAATTCTGGGTTGAAAATTCTTTTCTTTAAGAATGTTGAATATTGGCCCCCACTCTCTTCTGGCTTGTAGGGTTTCTGCCGAGAGATCCGCTGTTAGTCTGATGGGCTTTCCTTTGAGGGTAACCCGACCTTTCTCTCTGGCTGCCCTTAACATTTTTTCCTTCATTTCAACTTTGGTGAATCTGACAATTATGTGTCTTGGAGTTGCTCTTCTCGAGGAGTATCTTTGTGGCGTTCTCTGTATTTCCTGAATCTGAACGTTGGCCTGCCTTGCTAGATTGGGGAAGTTCTCCTGGATAATATCCTGCAGAGTGTTTTCCAACTTGGTTTCATTCTCCACATCACTTTCAGGTACACCAATCAGACGTAGATTTGGTCTTTTCACATAGTCCCATATTTCTTGGAGGCTTTGCTCATTTCTTTTTATTCTTTTTTCTCTAAACTTCCCTTCTCGCTTCATTTCATTCATTTCATCTTCCATTGCTGATACCCTTTCTTCCAGTTGATCGCATCGGCTCCTGAGGCTTCTGCATTCTTCACGTAGTTCTCGAGCCTTGGTTTTCAGCTCCATCAGCTCCTTTAAGCACTTCTCTGTATTGGTTATTCTAGTTATACATTCTTCTAAATTTTTTTCAAAGTTTTCAACTTCTTTGCCTTTGGTTTGAATGTCCTCCCGTAGCTCAGAGTAATTTGATCGTCTGAAGCCTTCTTCTCTCAGCTCGTCAAAATCATTCTCCATCCAGCTTTGTTCTGTTGCTGGTGAGGAACTGCGTTCCTTTGGAGGAGGAGAGGCGCTCTGCGTTTTAGAGTTTCCAGTTTTTCTGTTCTGTTTTTTCCCCATCTTTGTGGTTTTATCTACTTTTGGTCTTTGATGATGGTGATGTACAGATGGGTTTTCGGTGTAGATGTCCTTTCTGGTTGTTAGTTTTCCTTCTAACAGACAGGACCCTCAGCTGCAGGTCTGTTGGAATACCCTGCCGTGTGAGGTGTCAGTGTGCCCCTGCTGGGGGGTGCCTCCCAGTTAGGCTGCTCGGGGGTCAGGAGTCAGGGACCCACTTGAGGAGGCAGTCTGCCCATTCTCAGATCTCCAGCTGCGTACTGGGAGAACCACTGCTCTCTTCAAAGCTGTCAGACAGGGACACTTAAGTCTGCAGAGGTTACTGCTGTCTTTTTGTTTGTCTGTGCCCTGCCCCCAGAGGTGGAGCCTACAGAGGCAGGCAGGCCTCCTTGAGCTGTGGTGGGCTCCACCCAGTTCGAGCTTCCCGGCTGCTTTGTTTACCTAAGCAAGCCTGGGCAATGGCGGGCGCCCCTCCCCCAGCCTCGTTGCCGCCTTGCAGTTTGATCTCAGACTGCTGTGCTAGCAATCAGCGAGATTCCGTGGGCGTAGGACCCTCCGAGCCAGGTGTGGGATATAGTCTCGTGGTGCGCCGTTTCTTAAGCCGGTCTGAAAAGCGCAATATTCGGGTGGGAGTGACCCGATTTTCCAGGTGCGTCCGTCACCCCTTTCTTTGACTCGGAAAGGGAACTCCCTGACCCCTTGCGCTTCCCAGGTGAGGCAATGCCTCGCCCTGCTTCGGCTCGCGCACGGTGCGCACACACACTGGCCTGCGCCCACTGTCTGGCACTCCCTAGTGAGATGAACCCGGTACCTCAGATGGAAATGCAGAAATCACCGTCTTCTGCGTCGCTCACACTGGGAGCTGTAGAGCGGAGCTGTTCCTATTCGGCCATCTTGGCTCCTCCCCCTGTCATCATACTTCTGACTTAGAAACAATATTCTATAAGACCTTCAAGATCTAGAGATAGGTTGTGCATCAACTTTGCTCCTCTTTGATGCTACTTCTTAATCAGTTTTCTCTTTCTCTCTGAAAATCCACATCCCTCATAAAACCACCTTCCAGCCATTATTAATGACTTACTTTCTGGTTCGCCATCTTCCTTCCTACCTCTCCTTATGTAACTGTAAAATCTACCAACATGACTGTGCCCAGGCTCTTTACCTCCTCGCTGACCTCTTTTCCTCCTCTCCGCATCAGGCACCCACTCCCATGGCCCTTTCCTTGACCTGGCATATCCCACCCCATCTGTGCAGCTCTCTGACTCTTGGACTCTGTTATAATAACTCAGGGTCCTTTCTCCTATCCATCACCTTCTCCTTGATTTCACTCTCTCCTTCCTGGCTTGATGATTCTATGATCCATCCTTAAAATCACCTCGTTACGAACCTCAACTCCTTTTATCTTCTGTCTGAGAAAATTGGGTCCTTCATTTATACAACACACACTGGAAAATCTGAACTTCTCATCTCATTACAGGTATAAACTTTTTTTTTCTTTTGAGACAGAGTCTCGCTCTGTTGGCCAGGCTGGAGTGCAATGGTGCAATCTTGGCTCACTGCAGCCTCTGCCTTCCAGGTTCAAGTGATTCTCCTACCTCAGCCTCCCGAGTAGCTGGGAGTATAGGCATGTGCCACCATGCCTGGCCAATTTTTGCATTTTTGGTAGAGACAGGGTTTCACCATGTTTGCCAGGCTGGTCTGGAACCCCTGACCTCAAGTGATCCACCTGCCTCAGCCTCCGAAAGTGCTGGAATTACAGGTGTGAGCCACCATGCCTGGCCACATCACAGGCATAAAGTCTTGAATAGCCAGTTTGTGTCTTCAATTTCAACTTTGACTAATACTATTCTTCCCCTCTCTTACTTCACTCTAGTCACATTGGCCATCCCCTCCCTCCCTCCCTCTCTTCCTTTCTCTCTCTCTCTTTCTTTCTTTCGTTCTTTCTTTCTTTCTTTCTCTTTCTTTCTCTCTCTCTCTTTGTTTCTTTCTTTCTTCTTTTCTCTTTCTTTCTTTCTACTTTAAGTTCTGGGATACATGTGCAAAATGTGCAGGTTTGTTACATAGGAATACATGTGCCATGGTGGTTTGCTGCAGCCATCAACCCATCATCTACATTAGGTATTTCTCCTAATGCTATCCCTCCCCTTGCCTCCCACCCCTCCCCCAACAGGCCCCAGTGTGTGATGTTCTCCTCCCTGTGTCCGTCCATATGTTCTCACTGTTCAACACCCACTTATGAGTGAGAACATGCAGTGTTTGGTTTTCTGTTCCTCTGTTAGTTTGCTGAGAATGATGGTTTCCAGCTTCATCCATGTCCCTGCAAAGGACATGAACTCATCCTTTTTCACGGCTGCCTAGTGTTCCATGGTGTATATGTGCCACATTTTCTTTATCCAGTCTATCATTGATAGGCATTTGGGTTGGTTCCAAGTCTTTGCTATTGTGAATAGTGCTGCAGTAAACATACGTGTGCATGTGTCTTTATAGTAGAATGATTTATAATCCTTTGGATAAATACCCAGTAATGGGATGGCTGGGTCAAATGGTATTTCCGGTTCTAGATCCTTGAGGAATCACCACACTGTCTTCCAGAATGTCTGAACTAATTTACATTCACACTAACAGTGTAAAAGCATTCCTATTTCTCCACATCCTCTCCAGCATCTGTTGTTTCCTGACATTTTAATGATCGCCATTCTAACTGGCATGAGTTGGTATCTCATTGTCGTTTTGATTTGCATTTCTCTAATTACCAGTGATGGTGAGCTTTTTTTCATATGTTTGTTGGCCACATAAATGTCTTCTTTTGAGAAGTGTCTGTTCATATCCTTTGCCCACTTTTCGATGGGGTTGCTTTTTCTTGTGAATTTGTTTATGTTCCTTGTAGATTCTGGGTATTAGCCCTTTGTCAGATGGATAGATTGCAAAAATTTTCTCCCATTCTGTAGGTTGCCTGTTACTCTGATGATAGTTTCTCTCACCCCTCAAACACTCCCCACCATCATGCCTTTTCACATTTCCCTCCCTCTGCCCCATGTGCTCATTTCCCCGATCTTCACATGCCAAACTCTTTCTCATTCTCCTGTCTCTGGCAAGATGTCACCTCCATGCACAGCATTCACTCGCCATTTTATCTAAAATTGCCCGACACAACTACTTTCTGTTGTGTCACCTTGTTTAATTCCTTCATAGCACTTACCGCATATACAATTATATTGTTTAGTTACTGTCTGCCTCCTGCATTAGATTTATAAGATCCATTAGGACAAAGGCCTTGTATGTTTTGTCATGTTGATACTATCAATAAAGAATGAATTCATATACAAATCATCAGAGAGAATAAAAAGGAAGTAAAAGAGAGCAGGGCTTGACTATATACCTGTCAAAAACTCTAAACGTCCTAAAGAAAAAAGTTCAGTACTTATTTAGTGATCTATACCAAAAAATCAGTATATGTCAAGTCTATAAATTATGTCCTTATTTTGTTTTACTTAAGAATGAGAAATTAGGCCAAATACATTCTAATCTCTGCAAAAATTGATTTTAACAACATAAAAAATTACTGATTTAAAGAAGAAAAATATAAGGTCATAAAAGTGGGAACAACAGACACTGGGCAATACAACAGAGGGGAGAGAGAGAAGGAGAAAGGGTTTAAACCACCTACTGGGGCCAGGTGCGGTGGTTCATGCCTGTAATCCCAGCACTTTGGAAGGCCAAGGCAGGCGGATCACCTGAGGTCAGGAGTTCAAGACCAGCCCGGCCAACACGGCGAAACCCTGTCTCTACTAAAAATACAAAAAAGTTATCCAGGCGTGGTGGCAGGCACCTGTAATCCCAGCTACTATGGAGGCTGAAGCAGGAGAAGTGCTTGAACCCAGGAGGTGGAGGTTGCAGTGAGCCGAGATCGTGCCACTGCACTCCAGCCTGGGTTACAGAGTGAGACTTTGTCTCAAAACAAAACTGCCTATCAGGTACTATACCCACTACCTGAATGACAGATTCATTTGTACTCCAAACCTCAGCATCACACAATATATCTTGTGTGATATATACCTGCACATGTACTCCCTGATTCTAAAATAAAAGTTGATAAAATAAAATAAAATGGAAAACAGTCAGGTTGTTGAATATCATATGATAAGTACTGTGATATTTAAATTCAGTTTTAAAAACCGAATTCAAAGTAGCATGAAAGATAGAACGCAGAGATTCATCTATAGGAGAATCAGAATTAAATTGTTGTTACTATGACAAAAATATGGTATATCACAGTATATACAAAGAATTCTGGGATTCACAAAGCATTAACTAATTAAATGTGTCACTGAAGAGTCACAAATCTAGGGAATCATGGGATTTCTTTACTAAATATCTGGTCCTTATCAATACCTCTTAAACTCATCCTTTAGAAATCTTCTTTATTCACCGAGGTATATAGGGTGTTATGTTAAATATAATAGAATTAATGTTAATTAGCTATTTCATCTGACATATAATGTCTATAAAAATTGTCACCCACAAAATAATATCTGTTGAGTATGTTATTCTACATGATACCTGCTTAAAGTTTTTAATTTTCTCTGCCCAGAAAACCAAATCCAGGAGTATACTTTTTCATTATTACTAAATTTCTATACAGTAGAGGATAGTATTAGGTATGTACTCAGGATTCCTGTGATACAAGCTATTTTAAAAATAATCTTGATAAAAAATACAGTAGAACTTAAATTCAATTTAATCTTTAGTTTCAAAGATAAACCTATACAGGTTCAATCTAATGAGGATAATACAAATAAGTGAACAAGAATTACTCAACTAAATATTGAATCAAAGTACCATAAGAACTCGTAGTGTTTCAGACCCTAACTGTATCAGATTCTATCCCATTAGCATTCCCACACATAGGTGTGTATATGGTATGATGGAGATCAAAAGTTCCCCCTATTTCTTCAGGACTGGTGCCATGATCCTAGTGTGATATACTGAAAACATCCTCCTTCACAAGTTTGCACTGTCTAGCTAGCTGTAAACTGACTAAGCTAATGCAATAATGTATACCCCCAAATACTTCAAATCCTCCTTGAAGTAAAAGACCTTGACATTCTCTGCTTTTCTCACAAAACTACAGGTCTGTAATAATTCCGCAAAGATTCCTAATCCATCCTTTTGATTTAGACCATCAATTTTCAGCAGCTTCAGCCATCACCATCTATTATGCATCATTTCATACAGATCTTTTGTTATAAATATCTATTCTCTGATTCATGGCATTGACACAACATTTAACTCTTAAAATTGGATTCACAAAACCACTGCAGTTATCAAGTTTAAAACTCTCACTTGAAATTAATATGCTACCAGTTCTTTAACATTATAATGTATTGTTCAAGTTGATTAGTCTTTAATTCAAATATCCACATTTTTGACATTTAATATCTCCCTGGATTTAAGAACCCTATTAATTTTTCTTCTGCATATATTAATTATAGTAATTAAATGAGAAGAACCAGGTGGAACTAACAGACTGTTCCCTTCTTTCATAGATCTCTTGTTTCAGAAACACTGCCTCTCTCCACCTCCCCCTCTGACTGACACACACAAGCATATATTGTAAAGTTTATGTTTTTTTAAAAACAATCTTTTTACATCAAAGGCTACATATTTTCTCTCATATACCACGACTGTCAACCATAAAAATGCATATTAGGACTATGTTAATTTTCAAAAATAGAGGAGCAAGGATACAGGCAGAGTGTCTTTCATGTATATACTGAGAAACTCACATAAAAGACAGAATAGAAATGTACAACTAGCCTGTAATGACATGTGTAATACACTCTCAATATAATATGTCTAAAATCTAACATACATAAGTAAATTTGAGTTTAAATTTTCCATCCCCTCGGGTTGCCTAGCAACACAGAAGCACCATGATCCACTGTCAAGACAACGCTGCTGAAATTTGTGAGACGCAACTGTTCACTCATTGTTAAGTCAGTATCTATAAACATTATGTATACATTTTTCCACTTTCTGCTGGTCAGTAATATCTTCATATGGAAAAGAGAATGCTTAATTATTTTCTTTTGAGCTTTTTAGTCAGAATGTTTTTTGGCGTGATTGATGTGTGTGCATAGAAGTGTGGTTGTTGTAGCTGAAAATAATCAGTGGCGTTGCTGGGGTTAAGTGATTTCATCCTCAGAAAGATCTCACAATGTGTCTCAGGGAGAGCTCTCATTGATGGGAGGAGAAATTAAATAGCACCAGTGATGAGTCTGGCATATAATAGCCCAAAATATTCCTACTTAAAAGATGCAGCTATTTTAAATGAAATTTCCATTTTTCTTTTGGATAGCCCTGTAGATAACTGAGAATTGGACCTTACTTTAACATTGTCTTAACTTTAGTTATAGCTTTCTCTTCATATCAGTAGATTCAAGGAGGTGACGTACCTACAACAAAATCATCAATGTCAAGGGAAGACAGAAGGACAAAGCCAAGCGGGAAAATTGAAATGTCAAAGCACAAAACAAACAAAGAGCTGGTGTCTTCCTACCCTAGTCTAGCTAACCAGAAATTCAACTCTTCATTTTCCCCACTACACAATTAAGGTAATTGGATATTATAGAATACAGACTTTTTTGTTGAATTTAAGTGTGTGTATAGGAGTTCTCTTTAAATGCCAGTCCCTGGGCCCTGTACCTTGTCATCCTGAAACCCAAAAGAGATTTTTATCACATGTAACAGTTATTTGAATGCTTTGCCTTGCCATTTGCAAACCATTTCTAGTTTGCAGATTTCTCCCTTAATGTGAGACTACATCTCAACTACTGAAATAATCTGACCACAGAATAACAAATGTCTTTAACTTCAGCAAAACCTTGACATTCTTGAGGGATAGTCTTGAGATCACAAATTTCCAAAAACATAAAAACTGTAAAGGATTAGCCATTTAACTACTTTTTGGGTACCCGCTCCTGCTATGAAATAAGGTTTTTATTATTTCATAAAAATTAATATAAGGTGCCGATTAGTGGAAACCACATTGTGAAGTTGATACTGGGTGATCAGTTGCGCTTGCTCACTGGCCGCCAATGACTAGAGTCAGAGCACGAATTGCTGTCCTCACAAATTTCAAACCATATTACACACCTATGAGATTCCTCACAAATGTCTGAAACTGAAAGAGTTGCAACTGTGAATGCTACATCTATAAATGCTAAGGCTCTATCATTGCATCTGACGTTTTAAACAGTTGACCGTATCAATTGTCCTATACTACATACTACAATATAAGGTAAGTGAAAATACTTTGCAAATAAATGTGTTCTGGTCATAAAGCACAGTGGAAAATCTATGCTATGATTTAAAATAATGTAGACATAAAAGAAAATTGCTGGACTGTGAATGTATTTCCCTAGTTAATACTCAAATGAGATCACTTGAAGTATTTTGAGCTCACTGGAAATTAAACACATGTACAGATGTCAGGGGCACATAGAAAGTTTTCATAAAAATTAAAACTTGAATGGTTAGTTTGCCTAGATATATCATTTAATTAGACATATAATTCTATTCTCATTTTATTTTGTCCTAGAATAGATTTCATAGTCAATCATAAGTTTCACCTAAAAAGGTTCCTAAAGAAGTTAGCCACTATTACAGAATTTCGTACACTAACAAAACAGAAATATTTCTTTAAAATAATGCTTTTCACTTCACTGTTTAGTATGAAAAGCAGATTGCTTTATCATCTTTAATTTAGTGTAAAGAATTCTAAAACAAGTTTTTATGCAATGTTACAAACCTGACTGCATTTTACTCGGAAAAATTTGTAAAGCAAATAGGAAGATGTTTCTGCTTCCATAATAGATTGAATCGCTTTCATCCATTTACATTTTTTAGAGCACTGGCTGTACCAAAAAATGGCAATAGTGTTTCATACTTCAGGACTGCAGAACAGTTCTGAGATCAACAGTATAAGGAAAAAGGACTGTGTCAGTTGATATAAATTGCTATTTGTAAACCAGTCATCGTTCTCCGGAGGGGGAAAAAAAGGAGGAAGCAAATCTAAGAGAATAAAATAAGCTTCCCAGCAGGATTCTATTCTCACGGAAAAAAATTAGTAAAAATCACAAGTAGGTGATTTTTTTTTCCCCTGTATGGGACAGATTGTGCAATACCCTAAATTCCAAGAACTTACTTTTCGAATCAAAATCCAACTTAAATGATCATCGCTGTGTTTATAGTCGTTTAAACTGATTAGATTACAATCCCTCATCAAACACTAAAGAAACAACAGTGGAATTTCCCCCGTTATAATCATTTAAAAAATTAAAATACCTGTATTCTTAGCTCTGTAGAGCGGTTCTTTTAACTTTTAAATACAGGGACATGTGCTGATTAAAATATCCTCTTTATGCATATATAGAGATATATAATACTGTATAATTTATGTATTGACAAGTCTTCACTTGCAGCTCAATTAAAAACATTTTTAGTTCATTTGTTTCAAACAGCACACACACACACCCACACAATGAAAGTAGTTCAGATTAAAGCTTTTTAATAAACAATAAACTCCCTAATTAAGGCAAGATAAATATGAGAGAAAGGGGCCTATTTAAAAACAAAATAATAATACAAAATAGTCCTTTAACATGTACTTGGCTTAAGGCAAGCTGGTAAATATTTAATCGCCTAACTACAAAGTCCACTTCTTCCCAGACACAAAACTCTATAGGGCGCTATTACCTCCAATGGTGACCCAAGAGCTTCCATGTGTAGCATCCATTATAATAGGGAGTTGAAGCACAGAACAAGTTAAGACCTCAGACAGCAAGCCAGGCTCTAAATGCATATTCGTATTTGAAGATGTATGTTTTATTTGTTAGGTACACATTTATGAGATATTTTGCATGCATCCTATTTGTTATTGTTTTATTCCTGTGAGTTAGAATACAATGGTTCCCCATTAAACCATAAATAATCAATAATTAAAATAATTGCTTCCCTCAGGAAACCAATAGTAAATACAAAAGAGAGTAATATTCTTTCTGTAATAGCATAGGCCGAGGACCTAAAAAACAGAAAAAGCTAAACAAATAGTGTATACAACAGAATCTAATAAACACTCCTCTGAAACATATCTCTGTAAGATACCTTGGCTAGTTCTACAGTTTTCTGTTTGGTTTTAATAGTGGTCATAATAAAGAATAAGAAAGCATTTTAAAATAATATGTATTTTCTATGTTATGAATGTTTGTGTCCCCCTAAAATTCATATGTTGAAACCTAATCTCCAATGTGAGGATATCAGGAGGTGGGGCTTTAGGGAGGTGACCAGCGTCTGAAAGAGGTCCCTCTTGCTCCCTTTCATCATGCGAGGCTACAGAAAAAAAACGTGCTGTCTATAAACAGGAAAGCAGGTACTCACTGGACACTGAATTTGCCACTGCTGTGGTCTTGGACTTCCCAGCCTCCAGACTGTGAGAAATAAATTATCTTTGCTTATAATCCATCCAGTTTATGGTATGTTATCATAGCAGCTCAAATAAACTAACCCAATATTTATAACTATTCTTAGTTCTATTCAGCAAATTATCTACAAAACTGGCTTTTATAAGTATAAGCAAAGCCTGATGTGAAGAATAAAGTTACCATTTAGGAGCACCTACTATGTGCCAAGCCCTTTGTATGCTTTATCTCAAATCCTTAGGACAGCGGTGCAAGGCAGATTTTAATGATCTCCACTTAATAGATGGGGAGCCCAAGGTACTGAAAGGAAAGTGTCTTGCTTTCTAGTCCCCCAGCTAGAAAATGTACATCAAGAATTTGAATGCAAATTCAAAGGTCTAGGCTTGCAAAGCCTAGGCAGGTAATTCAAATACTATTCTATAAATTGATGTTTTATACATTAGCATATGTGAGGAGCATGCATGATTTCACTTAAAAGAAGCTAAAACTCACTTGATTCAGAATCAGTCACCCCTTTCTCCTCTTTAACTTCTCTACATTATTCTATCTTCATATTATATATTTGATTTTTCTGAACTTCTAAGAACAAATGTTTCTCATACATATTCTTTACTATAAATTGTATTGTTAGAACTTTGAAGGATGGAGCCCCATTTTCAGCTACTTTTAAAAATATTTTAAAAATTAAAGTATCAATATTTGTGTTTAACTTACAGAATTAGAGAAGGCAGACTTAAAGATAATTATAACATGTATAACATCTTCTAGATAATCATTCTTTTTAAGCATTTTACATCTATATACCACCAACATTGCCATTCTTTACAGGATGTTTTCTTGAAGACAAATAATCCTTTACTATTTCTTGACTTAATATGTATTAGTTATAAAATAGCGATTCTGTCCTGTTTTTCCATTTAACTTTCCAGGAAAGAATAATTTCATATTTATTCAGTATCCTATTAATTTGAGAATCTAACAAACTTGTTTAAATGAACAATTTTAGGCTGAAGAAATTTGAGTTTTCTAAATTAAATGCTTCAGTTTTAATTTGTTTAGCTCATCTCTGATGAAATTCAATCTTCATCAAGCCCAGAAAATAAAAGTTAAGAACTAAATTTCTCTCCATCATGATTTTTAAAACTCAAAGTTAAAAAAGCTAAGAATTGTGAAAGTTAAAAAAGCTAAGAATTGTGAAAATCCCAATAACTGACTGTTTAATTGTCCAGGTAATGCTCGGATTGGGCTTCCTCTCTTTGAATCCTTCTCTTGCTGACAGTAGCATCTCTGCTGCACTTTAGTTCAGTGCATCTTATGCTGGTTTAGCAGGTTTTGTTCAATAGAAAATAACCCAAACACCCTTAGTAAAACATTTGCCCATACAAATATTTTATACTTTGCATATTTTTTTTTACCTAAAAGTACATTTGATAGAGAAATCAAATTTTTTTTTTAGTCCAGCATCACTTATTCTTACCCCATGTGTTGGTTTGGCATTAGGAAGGATATTTAGTTAACATCAAGTAGACAATCCTAAAATTACCAGTCCATAAGAGATGTCCCCTTGTATGTTCTCGTCAAATAACTTTTGTAGATATCCAAATGCTTTACAAATTTCAATTGCTTTGCCTTTTAAAAACTACATGCTAGGCCGGGCACAGTGGTTCATGCCTATAATCCCAGCACTTTGGGAGGCCAAGACGAGCAGATTACCCGAGGTCAGGAGTTCGAGACCAGCCTGGCCAACATGGTGAAACCCCGTCTCTACTAAAAATACAAAAAATTAGCTGGGCCTGGTGCCGGATGCCTGTAATCCCAGCTATTTGGGAGGAGAATCACTTGAATCCAGCAGGCAGAGGTTGCAGTGAGCAGAGATCTCGCCACTGCACTCCAGCCTGGTGACAGAGGGAGACTCTGTCTCAAAGAAACAAACAAAAAACTTACATGCTGAGTAGCCACTATGGCAAGGTATTCTGTCATATGTTTCATGGATGTCATCTCATTTAATCCTTACCACAGATCTGTGGAGCAGATGAAAAAAGTTGGCTGACTTGTCTAAGGTGAAACAAGTGATCAGCAATGGTCAAGAATTAAACCTGTGTCTTAATTTCAAGCCTAAGACTCTTTTCTTCATACTAAGTTTTTCTCATTTTCTCTGCCCCAATCAACTACCAGACATATCCCCACAAAGCTTTGGAACATAAAGTTTGGCAATATAATTTGTTGGAGAACCTATGGAAACAGAACACATTCTCACATGCTGATCTTAGGATTGGAAAATGGCATTACTCCCAAAGAAGAATTTGACAACATCTAATAAATTTATCTACTTTTACCTTTTGACTGAGTAATCACACTTTTAGAAATCTATCCTGGCAGGGCACGGTAGCTCACAACTGTAATCCCAGCAGTTTGGGAGGCCGAGGCGGTTGGATCCCAAGGTCAGGACTTTGAGACCAGCCTCGCCAAAATGGTGAAACCCGTCTCTACCAAAAATGCGAAAAAAAGAAAAGCCAGGTGTGGGGCACACGCCTGTAGTCTTAGCTACTAGGGAGGCTGAAGCAGAAGACTCACTTGAACCTGGGAAGCAAGAGTTTACAGTGAGCTGAGATCCTGCCACTGCACTCCAGCCTGGGTGACAGAGAGAGACTCTGCCTCAAAAAAAAAAAAAAAACAAAAAAAAAAAAACAAACTATCCTAAAGATGCAATGACAAAAAGCAAAAGACACGTGCACAAAACAACTGATTGCAAGATTATTTGTAGCAGCAAAAGACTAGAAAAATATTCTTAAGCGGACTGTTTAAACAAACTATTTATATATATAATATTTCTAACAAATGGAAAGATAACCCTAAATAAAATGGTTACACATTAGTGAGGAAGAAAACAGGATGAATGGATCTAGAGAGTCTAGTCTCTGAATATAACTTATTTTGCAAATTTGACCTTGAAACTATGTAAAAGTTTTTACATCATTATAAAACAAATATTTAAAATACTTTCAGGCAAAAAGTCAAATGAAGCAAATGAAGTTGTTTGGTGGCTTAACCATAAAATAATTTTTTCAAGTGATTTTTTTTTAAAAAAAGGTAATTTGATTGTAGATGCCTAGTGGGATGCTTTATAAATATAAAATCGTGGCTAAGAAATCTTTCAAAGTCATTTCAGCCACTATGTTGTATATGATAATATTTCTATTATTATTATGAAATGATATATAGAGAGCTATGATAGAGCAAATAAGTTATTAGGAATCAAAACTTTCAGTGGATGAGAAAAAAGATACAAATATGAAATTAATGAATTTAACTATAAGCCTCATATTCCTAAATGGGCATGTCAGAATAAACTATAATGTATTTTCTCTATTTGAAATATATATTTCCCACCTGATCCACTGAAAAGACCTAGAAACAACCTACATATTAACAGTGAACAGCCCTACCGACCTGTGGTCTTGAAATACCCTTTTTCACTATAAGGAACCAGGGCTCCTCCAAGAAATGACTGTTTCTAAAACCAGGACAGGAAATATGCAAAACAATCCTACCACATCTTAACACTGAAAAGCATGAGAATCATTAAGGAAAACTGAGTTTAAAGGACTAGAAAGCCAAGTTGAAGACACTCTTACCAACCAAAGATGAGACAATTTGATTATTGAAAAGAATCATAACTGCAATGAATCGAAACATATCAAATATATTTAAAATCTATGAGTTCATAGAGATACAAAAAGCAAACTGGTTATCATTAAAGGATACTAGTAAACCAACTCATTTTTTCTAAAAACTGGGAAATAAAAAGAAAGAATCAAGTATTTGATCTGCTTTCCTGTTTGAATTCTACCTGTAGGTAAATAAGAGTCAATGGTGAAAAGCTTTTCTTTACATAAAATTCTAGCCAATATATAGTAAAAGAATAATAGCTTGTCAATATTTGATGGGATGAAATAATTATTGTTCATTTTTTAGTGTGTCATTATACTGAGATTATGATTTTAAAAAGAATTCTAACTTTTAGATATGCATACTTAAATATTTGCAGATTACAGATTATATGATATGATGATTTGCTTCAAAATATTCCAGTGGGAAAGGAGAACAGTTGGTAGGGTTACAGATGAAAAAAAAAATTAGTTGATGGGTGATAATTATTGAAGCAAGTAATGTGTACTTGAGGGTTCCTTATACCATATCTTCCATTTTTTATATGTTCAAATTTTTTCATAATAAAAACATTTTTAAGGCATTGGAAGATCAATGTCAGATTTTTAAGCAGGCTCTAAACTGAATTTTTCTTTTGTTTTGTTCTTGTGTGTCATTTTCTTGACATTTCTGGATTTAAAGGTATAAAAAATTATTATTAAGGTAAGTCAATCCCCCCACCAAAAATGATTCAATGTTTTCATCTCTATTTTTGCCTTACATTCCAATAAAATGTCTACTCCTGCCCCAACATCAAAAGACCTGAATTTTGCCATAAGCACTGAATAGTTTTAAACTGCATGGTGGTTTGAAGTGTTCAGGCTAGTAACAGCACTGTAAACCTTGACTAATCTGTATTTTACAACAGCACCCTTCAAAAGAGACCAGGAAGCTATCAGTTTCTTTCCAATATGCACAAGCAACCATCTGACCCACTTTTCTTCAGAGAGACCCATTCCACATTCAGGACCATGCACATCATGGGCATAAATCTAAAAAGAATAAGACAGTCTATGAAAAGAGTTTTTAAAAAGCTGTACTTATCAGACACTGTATTATGATTTATATCAAAGGAATAAAAAGTGATACAGTCTTTGTATAATAAAAATAACGTATCTTAGACATACCAAGTAACTAATTAGTAGAAAATCCACACGGAAGAGCAAGAAAGTGATGGTTCCTAGTAAATTGTGAAATATTCATGAATCTTTATTTCCTATCCAGATTCAACGCAGTGAAGTGATTCCCAGGGTGGATACATGGAATTTATGTTGTTTTGTAAAGAAAACACAGTAGCTGACACTCCCTCAGGAAAACTGAGGACGGAGTAAAATTTAACTAAACCATGTGTGTTGCCATCAAAATGGCTATCAATTTTAAACTATAAAGTCAGATGAAAACCAGTAAGACTAGTGAGAAATCTCTCTTCCCATTGCAAAAAAAAAAAAAAATCATTTAAATTCTCATCTCTACAAAAGAACCTTGTTTCTTCCATAGAAAAATGTCTTAGTATGAGAAACTTGTAATTCAATTCTGCAAAATTGGTAAGACACGACTTTCTTTTTTTCCAGAAGTGTCCACAAAGTTGAAAGTTGGAAATTTTTTGAACAGAGAAAAAGAGAAATTTAGAGAAAAGAACAGTAGCTAAGGGAGTTCACATGTGGATACTTGTCTCTGATGATCTTCCTATTTAAGTACATACGAATGGGCCCTTAAGAAGAGAGGTAAGTTTGCAAACATCTGCAATGAATGAGGAGGCCTCAGAAGAGTTACACATATTGACTATAGCACAGCAAGAATATGGGTAGTTTATAAGCAGGAAAATATCACATGAAGCTAGAGATGAGATTTTGCTAGTAGTTCTGAATTATACCAGCATCATTGCAGAAAACAAAATAACACAAAAAGATGTGGTGGCTAAATGATCTATGGAGCATGGGGAAACAAGAATGACTGAAAGGAAGGGAAAGGGTGAAATTTGCAAGGATAGCCACACTGCGAAAGGTAGGTAGTAGAATTCATTGTATACTTTTTGTGTATTAGCACTGGGGGATACAATGGTGAATTCAGCAATGTTTACTAGGTTCTGATTGCCTTAATCTTCAGTTTAGCGAAGGAAAAAACAAATATCACTGGTGCACACTAAATAAATATCATTAATATTTGGTTTATGTGCATAACATACCTTGACCTGATCCAAATCCCTGAAATTCAGTTTCTCCAATAAATGGCAACTGCAGCCATGTGACTTCATTTCCACTCCCTCCACTCATTTCAGGCCATTACCATTTCTTGTCTGGTCCATTGAAATAGTTTTCTAAATCACTTTACTGCTTCAAATCTTCTCCTTCCTACTGTCTTAATCTCCAAAGCATTGTTCACAAGCTGATTCTTGAAATTCAGCTCTAAAGCAGCTGTTACCCATGTCAGGGACCATCAGTACATTTCTATCACTAGAAGACAAAATCCAAACTTTTTAGCAAGGTGTTTTCCCATTGTCCTCTCCATCCTTTCCTACCATTCTTGCACTATACTAATCACACTGCCTGACTATGCATCTAGAATACTCCCATTTCCTCAAGACAGTGGCCATTCACTCTTTCATTCTCTGGAAAAACATGAATTTACTAGAAATTCAGAGTTGGGAACATGTGAATGGTCAATGGGAAAAAGTTAAATCTCATTATTCATCAAAGAAGACATTTATGCAGCCAAAAAACACATGAAAAAATGCTCACCATCACTGGCCATCAGAGAAATGCAAACCAAAACCACAATGAGATACCATCTCACACCAGTTAGAATGGCAATCATTAAAAAGTCAGGAAACAACAGGGGCTGGAGAGGATATGGAGAAATAGGAACACTTTTACACTGTTGGTGGGACTGTAAACTAGTTCAACCATTGTGGAAGTCAGTGTGGCGATTCCTCAGGGATCTAGAACTAGAAATACCCTTTGACCCAGCCATCCCATTACTGGGTATGTACCCAAAGGACTATAAATCATGCTGCTATAAAGACACATGCACACGTATGTTTATTGCGGCACTATTCACAATAGCAAAGACTTGGAACCAACCCAAATGTACAACAATGATAGACTGGATTAAGAAAATGTGGCACATATACACCATGGAATACTATGCAGCCATAAAAAAATGATGAGTTCCTGTCCTTTGTAGGGACATGGACGATACTGGAAATCATCATTCTCAGTAAACTATCACAAGGACAAAAAACCAAACACCGCATGTTCTCACTCATAGGTGGGAATTGAACAATGAGAACACATGGACACAAGAAGGGGAACATCACACTCTGGGGACTGTTGTGGGGTGGGGTGGGGGGAGGGGGGAGGGATAGCATTAGGAGATATACCTAATGCTAAATGACGAGTTAATGGGTGCAGCACACCAGCAGGCACATGTATACATATGTAACTAACCTGCACATTGTGCACATGTACCCTAAAACTTAAAGTATAATAAAATAAAATAAAATAATAATAAAACAAAACTGGAAAAAAACTGGTAAAAAAAGGTAAATAAAAACAACAGTGATATACAATTTTCACTCATAAAATTGACAAAAATTAAACTTTACATGACATTCTACCTATTGGCATATTCACTCAATGTTATGTTTTTGAGATCTATACATATTGGCATAATTTTGAAATAAAATTGTCAGAAGTCGTAGGTTAAGAAAGGTAGGAAACCATTTCTAAAATTGGAAAAACGCAAACACCACATAAATATAAGATCTGTTGGCTATAGATACACAGTAGGTATGTAAAAGTATTTTTAATGGGAAGGAAATTGACAACAAACCTGTGTTGGTGTTTGCCTCTAAGACAGGCAGAAAAGTAGGATAGAAATGCAGGTTAGTTTTATCTCATTTTCTTTCTCTAGTAAGAAAAGAAAACATGACAAAATGTCAACAGTTATTTCTATGAGTTAGGAATGTGGGTATATATTTTATCATGTTTCTTTTCCTGTATTTTAAAATTTTCTCAGTATAAAAAAGCTAATAAAGAAGACATCCTTGCTACCTCAAGGAGCAATGCAGTAAAGAAGACAAGCAGGTAAACACCAGTTTGGAAAGCGTGTGACTCATGCTATGTTAGAGGGACAGCCTATGTGCTATGAGAGCAGAGAGGTTGGGTGCCTAACTGAGTAGGAACTAGAGAACGGCTTCCCAAAGGCCTGGCTAGCAATTAAGAGATGAGAATGAGTCAACGACCTGGGACCTGTGGGTTGAATGTCTGCTGAAAGCAGTAAGAAGAGTATTTACCAAGGAAAGACATGTTATTTTGGAGGAACTGGAAGGCAGTATTATTATTATTATTTTCTTTTTGAGACAGGCTCTGGCTCTGTCACCTATGCTGGAGTGCAGTGGCTCAATCTCTGCTCACTGCAGCCTTGAACTTCTGAACTCAAGGGATCCTCCCACCTCAGCCTCCTGAGTAGCTGGGACGACAGGCTCAACCACCAAGCCCAGCAATTTTTTTTTTTTTTTTTTTTTTTGGTAGAGATGGGGTTTCGCATATTGCCCAGGCTGGTCTCGAACTCCTGAGCTCAAGTGATCTGCTGGCCTTGGCCTCCCAAAGTGCTGGGATTACAGGTGTGTGCCACTGCACCAAGCCCTGGAAGGCATTTTTAATGTCTCAGGTTCAAATGATGTGTGAAAGAGTTTTGAGAGTGGAGGCTAGAAGTGCAGGCAAGGGTGAGATGCTGAAAGGAAGTAGATCCAACTCTCAGGAGTTTCACGTTTATCCTGGGTGACAGAAGCCGACCAAAGACTTTTCATTAGGGCTTGATATTACTAGGTTATAGAGAGATCATTGCAAGGAGACAAAATAGCCTGATCTTAAAATAGGATAGTCGAGAAATCATTATCTGAGTTAGGGAGAGAAGCAGTAGGGCACAGGGGAGGAAATCAGGAAGTATGTAGGGACCGAAAATCGTTCAATTAATTAAGTGTGACTGTGAGGAACAGAAAGAATGAAGGGATGATGCCTAGGTTTCTGACTTAGGCATCTAGATGATTAGAATGTCCTTCACCAAGTAGAAAAATATGGGAAAGAGTCCGTTTGTTTAGTTTGAGGTAAGTGACAATTACAATTGTAACTGGAAAGGATTGAAACTTTCTAAATACTATCTTACATCAATTAATGTATAAATTAAAGGAAAAATCTCACATTTGTCCAATGATTCGCGTTTCAGGTTTATTTTCATTAGTATTGATCAAAAGAAATCTTAAGATATACACGTTAAAATCAAAGCTTTTTTTATTGTTGATAGTAGTTCTCAAGAAGCAAGAAAAAATTAAAATATCTACTCCTACTTTCTAAAATGGACATGCAGTTCACTAAGTCTTTGTGGAGGAAATATTAGAATAACAATCATGATATTTCAGCTGGCAAAAATAGTTTTATATGAAAGTCTCATTATCTCTCTGACACCATGGAAAAATAAGCTTATTTATTTATAGATGTGAAATTCCTTTAGCAGATATGTGCACAGCTCAATAAACATCAGTTTCCTAAACTTAACCTAATATGACCCATTATTCCATGAGAAATGTTCCACACACACAAAAAAGTGATTTATTTTTCACACAGAAAATTAAATTCCAAAGAGAACCTCTTGCCTTCTGTGAATGGTCACGTGCGTACCCTACAAAAATTTCACCTACACATTTTGCTAACAGTAATCAATATGGAAGTCTAGAACCTGGCAGGTTACTGTCAGCAGACTACGCGTATTTGTGCAGTATTGACATTTCAAGCGGTATATAGTGCAAAAAGTTGACATATTTACTGGGAACCAGCAAGATATTCTAAAATGCACACCAAGTGTTAGTGTGTGTGATATTGATATAGAGAGTAAAATCACCATATTTCTCTTGCATTGTTCTAATATTTGATATGAAAGATGATTATCGCCTTTTCTCATGGCCACCAGCTACACTGAGGTTACTGATCTGTCAGGTGGCTATATCAGCAATTATGATTCCTGGAGCCCCCTGCTGACTATGATGAACCTGTATTGTGAGTGGGAGAAAAAAGTTTGTTGTTTGCAACCACTAAGATTTTGGGGTTGTTCATTATTGCAGCATAACCTAGCCCATCTGCCTAGTATAAATATCTTCTTTCATTTGTGTCCTGTATTATAATTCCAAAATATTTTAAATACACTGGTTGTTTTGACAAGAACTTTATAAATGAATCACTTTAGCATAAAAAAGTTTTCTGAGATTACTCAAAGAAATTAGCACTGGATTAAAAGGGGAGGCAAAATCCACCTTAGTCTGTTAAGCTTTGCTGGGTTTCATCTGAACAATGTTATGACAGTCCATTAACTTCTATAGCTTGAGCACAAAACTCAATACTTTGCAACTACAGAGTCTGTTGACTGCAGGTGCTGTGTATCAGACATGTTGCAGTAGAGCCTTGCAAGATAGTTTGTTCTTGCAAGAGGTGAGTTAGCGAACACTTTGAACAAGTTCATCTACCAAGTGATCTTTGCTTTTCAAGATCCCTTTTGAACATTTTCTTAGCACTCCTTTCCTCTAGTACCTAGTTACTGGCATTTCATTTTGTCTTTCATGCTCTTCCTTCCTTGGCAAATGAACCAGCTTGCTGTTTTCTTCTTGTGACATTACTTCAAAGGAAAATCAAAGCAGTCCATATTTTTTTTTTCCTAACCCGATTTTCAATGTCTAAAGTACACTGATGCTTGCTGACTAGGCATTGCTAAAGTCTCCAAAATATCCCTGCACTAGTTCAAACGGAGACATTGGGAAATAAGGCAGCAACATGAGGATTTATCTGATCAGGAGATATGCCAGATACTGTCATGGCTTGTTTCTGTAAATAAAGCTTTATGGAAACATCTACTCACACATACATATTGTTTATATCTGCTTCTCCCTTACAACAGCAGAGTTGAGTAATTGCAACAGAGACCATATCACCTGCAATATTTATAATACTTACTATCTAAGCCTTTACAGAATGTTTGTTGACCCAAGTGGCAAACATCATTTAATGAGTATAATGCACCAAATTCTTAAAGTAATCTTTAAATCCTTGCATGCTCTGATCCCTTCCTCAATTCAAACTCTTTCCCTTCATCTTTGCATTCCAGCCACAATGACATTTTTATATCTCTGAAGGCTCCATGTTCTCTCCATAATACAGCAGGAGAGGAACTATGTTCCTGTGGAGCCTTCTCTGAAAACATCTTTCTCAACCTTCTGTCTTACCCGAATTTGCCCACCTAGCTCTTACTAATTCTTCCAAGAGTCACTTCCTCAGAGAAGCAAGCGTCTACTGACTGCTGTCTATCTTGTAGATCACACTATTGAGAACCCTGTTTCTTATCTTTTCTCAAGTCAAATGATACTTGCCATTAGGTTGATGAGTTGATCAAAGCTTATCTCCTCCAAAGACTGCAAGCAAGTGCCTTTAGAGAAGGGCAGGTACTGACCGGGCATGGTGGCTCACGCTTGTAATCCCAGCACTTTGGGAGGCTCAGGCATGCAGATCATGAGGTCAAGAGTTCAAGACCAGTCTGGCCAACATGGTGAAACCTTGTCTCTACTAAAAATACAAAAATTAGCCCAGCTTGGTGGCAGGCGCCTGTAATCCCAGCTACTCAGGAGGCTGAGGCAAGTGAATCGCTTGAACCCGGGAGGCGAATGTTGCAGTGAGCCGAGACCACACCATGCTCTCAAAAAAAAAAAAAAAAAAGAAAGAAAGAAGGGCAGGTACTTTTGCTTAAGGCACAGAGTAGGTGGTCAGAAAAAAAAATTTCTGAAAGGATAACTAGATTCTTGGCCTACACAGCCTTAATATTGGAAGTTTCAACTATTCACAAGCGACCTCAATGATTCATTACAAATATTCATTGATAATTCCTCTCAGACCCTGCCTTTGACTCTCAAAAGCATTTGGTTAACAGGTAAGAATGAGTCAGTTAAACTCATCAGTGAAGGTGGATATCCAGGGTATTATTCTATTGCAGGTTTACAACTCCGTACTTATCTTCTCTTATACAATAAATCATGGAATGGCTTGTTTTTAATGATATCATTTTAAAAAAATTTCTCTTTAAAAGAAGGACAACTCATAGTGCTGAAAGTACTTAGCTAGAATGTATATATTTTGGAGTCAGTTAAAAGTAAAATATTGATTCTGCAATGGCTCCAACCTAGGGAGAGAATGAATCAACCATACTCTGAGGCAAACAAGAGAAAAAAAAGTGATGAAATTGTTTCAATAAGTCTTCCTCCACTGTAAGATTATTTATCAAAACAGTGGTAAAACTAGAGAAAAGTTGAAAATAAATTAATTTTGTGAAGTGGAGACATACTCAGAAAATTATTGTCTCAACCGAAACCTGATTCAGGTGAAATATAAAGTATACACAATCATTTCTCTGAACCATCAGAGGCTGAAAGCACTGTTGAAGGTAATGAATCAGTCAACATTTATCGTAAGTACAATCTAGTTTAAGAATCTCTCAAAAAAAAAGAAAAGTTTGGGTGAGGTGGCTCATGTCTGTAATCCCAGCACTTTGAAAGGCTGAGGCAGAAGGATCACTTGGCCCAGGAGTTTGAGAGCAGCCTGGGCAACATAGTGAGACCTCATCTCTATGAAAAACAAAAATAAATTAGTTGGGCATGGTGGCCCTTGCCTGTAGTCCCAGCTGCTTGGGGGTGCGGAGGTGGAAGGATTGCTTGAGCCCAGGAGGTTGAGGCTGCAGTGAGCCATGATTTCACTACTGCACTCCAGCCTGGGCAACACGTCAAGACCTTGAAAAAAAAAAAAAAAGAAAGAATAAAGAAAAGAAAGAAGAAAGCAAGAAAGAAAGGAGGAAGGAAGAAACAGAGAGGGGGAGGAACGAAGGAAGAAAGAGCATTATGTATTAAGAAGAGGTGGCAAAGAAATTAAAAATAAAAAAGAGAGGCTGAAAATTGATAATGTAGCAATGCGAAGTTCTTTATAACCAAAGGTACTCATAGGAAAAAAGGCCAGATAAGGCATTAATCTCAGAAAGATAAAAGCAGAATAAAATATATCCATAAACACATCCAACGAGGAAAATATGGTCAAATGTGGATTGTGCTTTCTGTTTACTAGCACACAGTAGTCTTCCTGTATTACACTGGGAACCCCAATTTAGAAGACAGGAACAGTAACCTTTGTTCATACATGGGCATTGGATCATAAGACTACTGTATAAATCATTTTCATCAGTGCTATGGTCCTGCTACACTTGGAGAATGACTTACAACACAGAACCAAGAACCTAAGTCTCCCACTCATCCTTAAATCCCAGAATTTCTTAGGATTCGTATGATATTTATGATATTTACAGATTTTAAGGCCCCCCAGATACATTTCTCAGGAATGTCAACAGTATTCACTTCACACTCCTTTCATTAGTGACATACCACTTTCAAAACAATCTGAAATATGGAATAAATCAAATTTCTTATTGTCATGATTCTTCTCTCAAAGAGAAAAATTTAAATGTAGAGTACACCCTCAAGCAAAGCATCTCTTCCTCTCTGGTGTTGATATCTTTCCCTGTGTTCCTACTACACAGTCTCTTCCTTCTACAAGCTTATCCTGGATGTTACCTCCCATTTCCCTGGGTTCAAATGAGTATTTTTATGCCAAAATTCCCAAATCATTATCACCAGCTAGAGTTCTCCCCTGAGCTTTGACTCTAAATACTCAACTGCCACTGGGACACTTGAGCATGGCTATCTATCAGGAACTGGAAAAAACAAAACAAAAAGTGGGGATTCTTGTTTCCTCTCCAGATGTATCTTTCTCTGCTTCCTTTAACCAAATCAGCAATCTGAGCATCATGCCTAGAGCCTTCTTCCTCCCCACTCTCTATATCTAATGCTACCAACACCTGCTGAGTCAAAATACAAAAAAAATCCTGTCAGTCCATTCATATTATTCATTCCCACTGCCACCATCTTAGTTCAGGCCATTATCCTAAATCCCTTTAATTACTTCACATCCTTTTAATGAATTTTCCTCTTCTGACTTTTCCAATTCATTTTCCACATTGCAGTTAGAGGGATTTCCCTGAAACTCACTAACAAGGCTCACAAAGCGTTTCATGATCTGCTTCTTGCTTGTCTTTCAACTTTACCTCTCCCCACTCTTTCCCTCTAATGCCTTGTATTAATCCATTCTCATGCTGCTAATAAAGAAATACCCAAGACAGGGTAATTTATAAAGGAAAGAGGTTTAATTGACTCACAATTCCACATGGCTGGGGAGGCCTCACAATCATGGCAGAAAGTACTTGAAGAGCAAAGTCACGTCTTACATGGTGGCAGGCAAGAGGGCATGTGCAGGGGAACTCTCCTTTATAAAATCATCAGATCTCGTGAGACTTATTCACTATCATGAGAAAAGCATGGGAAAGACCTGCCCCTATGATTGAATTGCCTCCCTCCAGGTCCCTCCCATGACCCTTGGGAATTGTGGGAACTGCAATTCAAGATGAGATCTGGGTGGAGACACAGCCAAACTATATTATCCCTGCTGCCTCTTTGTCCTCCATCATTTGCCCCACACTTTATATTCCAAGCATTCCAAATTTCTTTCAGTTCCTGAAATAGGTCATATACTTTCTCATTTAGGGCCCTCCTCCCAAGCTAAAGTGCTCAATTATTCACCTGGAATATCATGGTCCATCCACCTACTCCCAACCCCACTGCAAGTTTTATTTGCCTGAAATTCTCCTGCTCATCTTTAAAAATCTCAGGTTAATTGCCACTTCCTTTGGGAAGTCTTCCCTAACTCTTCTAAGATTCTGTTGTTTTTCTGCCATATGGTCCTAATAGCATTTTGTTTGATTTATTGTTGTACTTTACTCATCATTTGCTATTTATTTTTATTTTAAAAATTGTTACTCATGGCCAGGCGCGATGGCTCAGGCCTGTAATCCCAGCACTTTGGGAGGCAGAGGCAGGCGGATCACGAGGTCAGGAGATCAAGACCATCCTGGCTAACACAGTGAAACCTCGTCTCTACTAAAAATACAAAAAAATTAGCTGGGCATGGTGGTGGGCGCCTGTAGTCCCAGCTACTCCGGAGGCCGAGGCAGGAGAATGGCGTGAACCCGTGAGGCGGAGCTTGCAGTGAACCAAGATCGTGCCACTGCACTCCAGCCTGGGCAACAGAGTGAGACTCCTTCTCAAAAAAAAAAAAAAAATTGTTACTCATTAAATTGTGTCACAAAGCAGACACAAAGTCTATTTTATTGGTTTTGATATTCAAAGTTAATAAAATAGTCCATAAAAGTGGCTTGAAAGCTATATACTGTATGAAGGAATAAATGAATGAATGGATAAATGAATCAGTGAACCCACAGGCTCATTTCCACTGGAACAACACTTCTCAAACATTTCCCAAAGCATTAATACTATTGGCAGAAGAGTGTGAATGAGTACCCAGGAAATATATTAACTTTGGGGGACACATCTGAAAACTGCATGTGAACTTTCAGTTCCATCCCATAATATAATTGAATACATTTTAATATAAAACAATGCTTTCCTTATTATATACTCCTTAAAACCTTTAACTGAAATTTATATTCCACAAGATGGTTCCATATTTATCTTGCAGCTCAGTCTATCTCCTGGCATGCTGCTAGATACTCTAATAGGTCTGAGTGTTTGAGTTGCAGATCCTATTTACCTAAATAATTGATTTTTCTCACGAGTCATGGAGGCATGTCTTCAGGTGGAAATTGGATTTTAGCAATTAATAGAGGGTATTCTGTGATTTCAAGCAACTCTTTTCATACGATGCAAGGACACTTTTTGTCCTCCTTGTGACCTGTTTGACAGTCAAGCCTGTGCTTAATAAAGCAACTAGAGGGTCACCTGGTTAACTGGACATAAATGGTGTACCCTGTATTACTCTAAGGCCAACTAGCATACTGTGCACAGCATGCTGGTGTCTGACCACTCACCTTGATTGGGCTGGCGACTGTGTGATATATTTAGGACTTTTAAATGGTGCACTAGGTCAGTGTTAATGTGCAAAGCTTAGAAAAGCAGTTGAGGAGGGAAAAATACTTATTTGAAATGTGAGTTGGCCTCTCTGCTAGAAGGCAATTCCCAGGGTCCCTTATGGATGGGGGCATAGAGGTCCCACAGCATTGTCCCCACAAAGCACGAACTCCATCCACTCCCATGGTAGCTAAGCACTTTCAGTGAGTTGCCATAGTTACTTATTTGTGGGGTAGGTAAAGTGACAGGTTTAACCCTATGGCTAAATGGTCCCTTGTCTCTGTGATTCTTCTGGTAATCTGAAATGCCTTCAGTACATTGAAAAAACAGTTTATATCCATCCTCCACCCACCTCCTCTTTCCCGCATCCTTTATTCTCAAATTCCCAAGAAGAAACTCGGCAAACTCTCATAATTAACACTGCCTAAGGACAATTAAATCAAATAATAAGCCAATAAGTTAGAGAAGTATATAGCTGAAAGAAGTATTTAAAAATCATGCCAAAAATACTGTTATAGTTTCAATATTTTAATCACCAGTAGAGTTTTTAAAGGTGCTCTAAACAAAATAATGTCAAAAGAGGCACAAAATAATACATTTTAAATCTAGCTTCTATTTTTAAAAATAACTGCTTCAATCATTTTGATTCAAGGATTATAAGGATCCTGGCAAAAGAAAAATTATAAAGAATGTCAAACTCTCTTATTATCAGTGTCCTTCTCCATGTGTGGCTATGTCTTTGAGACAAAGCCAGAGGTAGGAAAATTGCACAGTAAAAAAAATTATGAATCCTGCTCTCAAATGAGCTCTAATGTCCTGGGCTCATTATCACTGGAGCCAAGCTATTAAGAGGTCTGCAGCATCTTATGATGGCTTTGATTTAGGATTGCCATACATAAAAATGACTTCAGCTATTAGGACAGCAATAGTTGAATTACCAATTTTAGGAACTTTTTTTTCATTGCAATATAGTAACTTGCTTGCAACTGCTTTTAAATTAATACGTTGTCTAATCTATAATTTATTTTTCTGTACATTTTCAACTCTGTCATAGTTGCCATTCAGTTGAAATTGTATATCTCAAGAATAAAAGGATATTTAAACCAAATCAAAGTACCAATATCATAACTAAAATAACCTCAATATTTTTCAAAGAATATTGGAAAGCCATTACAAGAGACAGAGAGATGATTTGGAATTAGAGTGGTTCCCGAGGTATTACTAAAATCATTTTATTACTAATATATTTTACTTTGTAATGAGTTTTATGGATGCTCTAACAGTTCTACAAACCATCCTTTCCAATTTCATTTTTTTTAATCTGGCATGTATTTTTTTCAATGTGGAGGTGAGAGAGGTGCTCGAGGGTGCAAAATTTGATGCATACACTCTCAAGTCATACAGATGAAAGTACCTGGCATTTCATCCACCTCATCCTGACTCTAGTCCCATCAATACCCCCAGAAAAGATTCAACCATAGTTCCAAATACCTTCTACTGAAAGCATCAAGGTTTTGCTCATCCAGAAGGAAGTAATGTCTATCATTTGTTGAACATTTATGTGCACCAGACCCTGTGTTCATTGCTTCTTCATATGAATGATTACATTGAATGTTCACAACAAGCATGAGGCAGACATTATAATCCACATATAACTGATGGGAATTTGAGGCTCAGTGTGGTTAAGTAACTCATACAAAACCATTTATACAGCAAAGAACAAGGTCAAGGTTTAAGGTCAGGTCTGTTTGACTTGAAATCTAGTGTTCTTAATTAATAAACTGTCCTAAATCTGTGAGACAGTGAATAGAACAGATTTTTTTTTACAAAATAAGGTTTTTCAAACAGTGTAATTGCTTCAAAGCACATAAAATAGCAATATCTAATGTTTAATAAAGTGTTACCAGCTAGAATTCTTGACAAATATGCATTAATGAATACTTTCCAACAGGCTGGTCTCCCCTCTCACACCTAACATTCTATGCACCTAGCATGTATATTCCCAGTGTAGGAAATTCCACTGGTGGCACAGCCATAACCCTTTACCAGGCCTTTCATCCTGGTACCCATCTCTCAGCTGAGGCAAGGGTTGGCTGCTAATGGCTTGCAGCTGCATCATTCCAGAGACCTGCCTCTTTGAATGAGAGCCTCCTGACCCTGAGACTTCCAGCAAGATACATCACTTGCACTTCCCCCTGCCCCTTGGACTTGTAGCCGATAACTGACAGATATGAGGGGTAAAATCCTGGCATCCTGTTCCTTAAGGGGTACCTCTTTCTGTGGTGCAATTTTCCCTCCAGACCATGCCATGTATCAGTCTGAGGCTCAACTTTAGAGATCACATCTTTGTCCACTTTCTCCCCTACCTTTTTCAGCTTTTCTTACCATCTCATAGATATCTTCTGAGAGGACTTTTTCAATAAATTGCTTACACTAAAATCTGCTGCTGGCTCTGCTTCTAGACACTCTGCCTGGAAGATGTGTCTTCCCTCTAATTTCTCTCTTATTTAATACCAATGCATCCTCCAAACCCCTGTACAGGTACCACCTTTTCTAGAATGCACTCTTTGATCACTCACCTGGCAATGATTTTCATTCTCCTCCATATTCCCACATTCACCTATGAGCTTAAGTTCTCCATGTTGGTATATAATTATTCATTTGTTTCTGCGAAAGTACTCATCTCTTATCTCTACGCATAAAATTATACACTTTCTTGAGGGCAGGTATCCTACTTGATTTATACCTATGACAACACTAGGCACTTAAGAACGTTCATTACTTGCTAAAATAATGTGTAGAATTGTAAATGATCAATATAATTATCATGTTAAATTATAGATATGTGTAACAAAATGCTTCAAAGTGCTTTCACTATGTAAGAAAATAAAAACTTTTCTTTCAGTCTTCACTAGGTCTTTCAGGTACCAGGCACAGGAAGGCAAAGGAGATGGACTCTTCTTGATGGTCAAAGCTAAGGACGCACAAATCTTTCTAAATCAAGTGAGAGACTGGCATGGAGCAGGAAAAGAGCATTCCACATGCCAGCAGTAGAAATGAATATCTTGGCCCCCTTTTCTTATCTTCCCCTATGGCTACCAGTAAAACCATCACTACCCCAAATAAATTCCGCTTTAAGAGAAATGTCAAAGAGGACTAGTACCTCTCACTAGAGACACATGTAGCTATCTGTGTTCATAGTTATAGGCTATTCTCATTCTTAATTAGAATTGAACTCATGTCACTAAAAGGCAGTACATGTAGACTAACCAATGGGCAATGATCGACTTAGTGATGGTAATTCTATCACAAATCATAAAACACACTTTAAGAAAAAGCTTCCTGACAAGGGAACTACTTCATCAGAATAAGTTAGAATATGATTTTCCACAATTGAATTTTCTATTTTGTAATGCAAATTTATTTGTTGATGTTCCGGCATAAATTTTTGAGAGAAGTCATTTCAGCAATCTTATAAAAATATTTATTCTTAATTAAAATATGTTTATATCTGTTGAACGTTTGAACCATATCCAATTTCAGTTATAAAGCCTCAAATAAGTCATCTTCTTAACTGTACCCACAAGGTGTTGGTAAAATCAAATGCAGCTGAAGAAACTCTTACAGACTCTTAACATTCGTAGGTCATATAACATAGAACAAAATTATTAAAAGTGACAGACGTTTGAAAGATCTTCATACTTTACTTTCTGCCTTTATGCTTTGAATTCAGACTCCATAATGTTTTATTCAAGCAAATTTTTTTAAACCTTGTCACGTAATAAAAGTCGAATAAGTTTCATTCTTTCAGGAATTATTGATTAAACAAAACAAAAAAATACCTGTGGCTAAAATATGACTTAGAGTTCAGAAGATAATTTCAATTTTTATAAGAATTAAACTGGGTAATTCATCAACATAATGATGCTACTGACTTGCAGCTTATGACTTATAAATTTAAAGACATTTAAAGAATAAGATACCATATTTTCCTCCAAGAGCCAGATACTTCATTTCACTCAATTTATTTAATTCTGAAATAAAAATTATTTCCACTGATTTTAACCCAGATTCTGTTTTCTATTATAGATTTTTGTTGTTATCCCTTTTGAGACCTCGAAATAACTGCAACATGAGCTACAATTGTACTTGGCTTTGATCTTCACACAACATTAGATTTAGGCCCACTTGCATACAAATACCAGTTGTTCCTAAAGTATGTAGTATCTTTCACTTTTACAGTAGTTTTAATTTTTTTGTTTTATCCAAATAGAAGCATTTTTATTGTAACTTCTGTGTACATAATATTAATTTACTTTAAATTCACAGGTGGCTCATGCCTGTAGTCCCAGCACTTTGGGAGGTCTAGGTGGGTGGATCACTTGAGCTCAGGAGTTTGAGAACAGCCTGGACAACATGGTGAAACCTCATATCTACTAAAAATACAAAAGTTTGCTGGGTGTAGTGGCGTGAATCTGTAATCCCAGCTACTCTCGTGGCTGAGGCAGGAGGATCGCTTGAGCCTGGGAGGCAAAGTTGCAATGAGCTGAGATCACACCACTACACTCCAGCCTGGGCAACAGAGTGAGACCCCATTTCAAAAAAATAAAAATAAATTCACAGGAATCATTAACCTAAATTTTTACAACTATGTAGGAAGTTGTAATATAATATTAACAGCTAAAATCTATTCTCAGAGAGCTGCAGGAATTCATGTCCACTGTCTTTAGAAATTGGAATGTTAGTGGTAATCTAAGATTTCAAAACTTCTGGTAAATTGCATACATGTGATTATTACAACATGTTATTGTCAACCTGTGGAGACCAAAAAAGAGGTAAAAGAAATGGTTTTCCGTCTGTCATCTTCCCTCCTGTTATATTAACCCTTCTCACTGGCCAAGGTGTTAGCCAGAATTGATAGTGTTATTGATGCCAGATTTTAACTGCTCAGGGGTTTGGGCCCATAAGTAAATAAGAGTAACTGAGGAGGAAGCTGTAGTGGTCTCCTGCAGAGCTTGGAAATTATAGAAACCGAACCTACCAAAGTCTTCTGTAGAAGCATTGCTTGCCTCCAACCCTTGTCTCCTTATGATCTGTTTCTCAGAGAGTAGGCAGAGTGACACAGTATTAAGAAAGTATTATTTTTAAAATCATCTAATCAATTCCCAACATTTAGAATAAAATTCAAACGAAGCACAAGGTCCCACGTGATCTGACTCCTACATGTACAAGGTCCTACGTACACAGTACAAGGTCCTACCTGGCCCCTACCTGTCTCCAGATGTCATCTGCCCTTACCCTGGCTGCCCTTATCCTGGCTCACAATATTAGAGCCTTTAGGGCCTTGTTTCTGTTCCTCAAACATGAGAAGCTATACCCTACATGAGATGTTCATTCCCATATTAGGACCTCTGCATTTCTCTACAAGCATCTCCAGAGCTGAAAAGTCCCTTGCTGGGCTCTAACCAACCCAACACTTCTTTAGCAGGGCCTTTCTTGACTACCCCTTCAATTAACTCCCACCCCATGATCTATTCCAACACCTGTTTTCATTTCTTCCCATCCTTAGCATTATATGAAATTATCTTGTTGATTTATTTCTTTCCTTATTCATTGGCTTTTTCTCCTTCTTCCTATCCCCTCTAAAATAAAAACATCATAAGAATGGGGACTTGTTTACTCCTGTTTTCCCATTGCTTAGAACAGTGCCTGGCACCTCATAAGAGCTCAAAAATATTTGTTTGAATAAATGAATGAATGAATGAGTGACATGAATAAGTGTTAGACACCAATGGGTTTATCAAGCCATATTCCCCAGAACGGATGGTTACATCTAGGGCATGAGTACATCTACAGCTTAATTGTGGTCATTTATAAAGACCTCACAAAATAGAGCCAGCAGAGCCACAGCCACTGCTCACCAGACTGGAGGGAAAGCCCTTCCTTAGTTGCCTCACATGGATTCCCTTTTGTTTGATTGAATAAATGCATTTTGATCTGTAGAAGGAATCTAGTGATTGGTCTGTTTAATGCAAATTTTTAGAGAGCAAAATTGGCCCTCACGATTTGCACAGAAGGGAAATAATGCAGGCACTAGGTCTGTGATCTTACCCTTGAGCAACGATGGACCTGGGGCTGGGAATCTTCGGCTAAGACTGAATAATAGAAATAATCTGAGGTGTAATAGATAATAATCTGAGATAATAATCTGAGGTGTAATAGAAATAATCTGAGGTGTAATTAATAGAAATAATCTGAGGTGTAAAAGTCGGAATCCAATTTTCATCATCCCCTGAGCAGTAAAATCCGTGTTTCCCTAGGGTGAGAATGGAGTCCTTTGATGCTTGGTGTATAAACTGGTCCCACTCATTCTTTTCCTCCTAGGAACCCATGCAAACCTATGATCCTGATTAGTAAAGATCCCGTTACATTTTTGAGCAGGGTTAACTTTTAAACATCTGTCAAATATACTCATCAAGTATTGGTCAATATAGATTTTAGTCACCCCCTTAGCACAGTATGAGACATAAATCATGTCTAGCATAAATGCTGGTCAGGAGTATGTTTCCAAGCCTGATGTATAGCAAGTGGGTGCCCATGCAAAGCTCATGAGGCCAATCTAACAGTGCCTGGCACAAATATTTTGCTCAATAAATATTTAATAAAATAATCTATATGAATGTTCCCTTGTGTCTTTCTTTAGTGCCTTGTAAAAGACATTTCTTTGTTTTCTTTTCCTTTTAGAACTTATTTCATTTATATTTCTCTTTAAGTCAGTATTTGATTTTGTATGTCTCTGGGAATGATAGAGGGCTTGAATCTACCTTGACCATTAGCAGTTGAACAAACCCTGCTGGGCACAGGTAATAATCATTCCCTGATGCTGCTCTCTGTCTGCAAAGAGCCTAGGCCTGAAAGCATTGTGGCAGCAAGTGAATTGAACTCATTGACTCTGGGGCACATCCCTGGTCTGTATTCATAGTAGTCATGTTTACATAAGCTTTTCTAACAATTTGCGTAAAGTTTGTGAGGACTTTTTCCCACCTACACTTGAGTCACTGAAATTTGGACCTTCACTAGCTGTATTATGAGGAAGAATGGTGCCTTTCAAATGTATTTTATGCAATACATCTACAATGAAATTTAATTAACTAATTGCAGATTAAAAACAAAAAGCCAGTATTCCTGCATATAGTACTTTCATTATTACAAGTACCTTATTTGCTGAGCTCATCTTTGCTCATTTTAAAGAATAACCATTTAATAAAGAATTAACCATTTGATGAAGAAAAGCCCATTTCTTTGCACATTGACCTGCTTTTTCTAATTACTTCAGTTTAAAAAGGATTAATGAATGGATAGTTTTTATGAATATTTAGCATTGAGACAACAATTGAATCATTTCTCAAATAATAAGAATTTTTCAGTCTATTCAGCTAAATGTGGCCTTTATATACAATGTCTTTCTTAAGAACAGCTGGAACATTCTCTGAGGCCTTACCCAAGAAAATCCCTTGAGTTTAAATTATTTTTCTTTTATTTCCAGTCTTTGTCCTTATGTATTGTTTCTTATTTTTTATTTTGTTATTTTAAGGGACCTGCGTATAAACCAAGAGCAACAGAACAGTCTTCAAGAAGTTGTTCACAGAAGGTAGAAATTACAGAAAGAAATTTGTATTTCCCAAAAATAATTTACCTCAGATCTTTAAGGATCTTAAACAAGTGTCTAATCTCTACATTTATACAAACATGAAACACAAAAACAGTCACAACATTTTAAAATGTATGGCTAATCTCTTAGAATATTACTTAGCAAAAAGAGAAATCAAAAAGTATTTGCATTTTAAATACCAGGTTGAATCCAATGTGAAGTCCTACCTATTCAACAGAATCTTTAAAAAAAAATTTAGTTTTGATCTGTGACTATTTAAATATTAAAAATGTATTCAAAACAATTTTCTGTTCCTGATAAGTTTATCTGTGGATCTCAATTCCTTATTGACAATTAGTGATATCCTAAAAAGTGTTTTAGAATAGTCAGATTGTTCAAAAAAAAAAAAAAAAAAAAACCTCTGGTTTACATGTTAATATTCCAAAGAGCAAGCTATATTTCAACAGAAAAGAGAAACTATGGGACAAAGAGTATAAGTCTTTTATTGTTATAATTTATTGCCTTTACACTCAAAAAAAGGAAAACTGGAATAAAAGATGACTCAAGCAGGATTTAAAGATTGCTGTCTGGAAAGGAAATAATATTGGGAGACATCTTGACAATTCACTTGTAAACATTGTAAAATAAATAAAACTCTCCAGAAAATATTTTTAATCTGTTTAAACACAGTTTTTATGTGACATAAGTAATAATGTCATCGATGATTGTTTATGTGTTTGTTGAAAAATACCTACACTTAGAAACTTACATACATTGAATTACATCTCCTTTCCTTTTGAGAGCTTAGCCTAAGTAGAAAGAAGAATAAAACGAATGATTCAAATAAGCAAGAAACAAGAGGAAAATAAAAATGGAAAAATCCCAATTATCTTTCATGATGTTTTCAATTTAGAATAATTAAATAAGATAGTTCATGTTATCAAATCTGATTCATATCCTAAGGCAATTTCCTTCCTCCTGGAATATAACAGAATTTGTGTTTTCTAAAATACACATTAGTATTTAAAGAGT
Source organism: Homo sapiens (assembly GCF_000001405.40). Lineage (NCBI taxonomy): Eukaryota > Metazoa > Chordata > Mammalia > Primates > Hominidae > Homo > Homo sapiens. The sequence goes on along the minus strand of NC_000006.12, from coordinate 128,965,365 downwards.
TTTATCAAACTTGCACAAGAGAAAAATAAAGTGACACTGACATAGCCATCATTGCACCCAGATGTCAAACAGAGCAAAATATTTCACTCAGAATAGAGATCACTGGCCTGCTTTACTTAGTTTTCCAATATATTGGTCAGCTCAGTGCTTCTAAGAAATACAAACCCTTCTTTCCAATTGCTATTTACCAAAATATATATATTTGGAGTAAGATTAATAAATCCTTGAAAGTATATTTTTTTCATGATTTAAAGAACCTTAACAACACACCATTCACTGCAGTTGCTTGTGCTACTGCTGAACTTCATTTTATAATCCTCTCATATAAACTGTTCATGAGGGGACTCCTCTTACAGACTCTTGAAACAGGAATGTATTCTGTACTTTTATGTTACAGGTTTATTATGATAGATTGTTCTTGCCACAGAACTGGAAACTACCAAGCCAGTTTATAAAATCTGTTAATAAAAACAGTCCTGACACTGAAGTACACTCATTTACCCAGCAACCCAAACCTACCTGACATATATTCAATTTCCCAAATAAATTCAGAAATGTCCTGCCAGATGAGAAGTGTGTGTGGACTAAGAGCAAACATTTCAGATTTCTATTTTTCTTCCTAAGCTTAAATAAAGATGACTTTGATGAGTAGTATGTGTTTTGGATTTCAAGTGATACATCTGTGAAACATTTAAGGTTACATTGTTTAAACATAATTGAAGGAAACAACATTTAGGCTATAACATGTTGCTTCAAGGAAATACTCATCTACTTAGATTCAAACCCATTCTTTAATATTTGTTCCAGTGTGCTGACATTTGAAAGTAGGGATTCAAAACATTGTAGATATTCTGTCCATTATGAATGAAATTGGAGCCAAATATTATGACAGCTGAGCTCTAGAGTACCCTGTCCTATAAAATCATGCCAATATTCACTGTGGGAGAGGTGAATTGTATTTGACAACATATTCCCAGGCATTGTGTAATGAACCTTCAAACTTCAATTAGAGCCTATCAGAAAGAAAGACAAACACAATTTTACTAAAATGCTGCCTTCATAAGAAAAACAAGTCAGTCGGAAAATACAGCCAGTTCAACATCATTGGCTACTCATCAAGCATCCCTTTCCCATGTCAGATATCACATAAAATGCAGATTTTTTTGTTAGTAATAATAGAGATCATGCCCATTTTTAAAATATGAGGCATTCAACTCACTTGATACCATTTCAGTCGACAACAATTCTGCACTCCAGGCTTTAATGATTTCTCTTTCTTACAACTTACCTTCAAAGAAAAAGACTGTGTTTTTTTCAAAGTGCATTGAATGCCACTGTTCATGAAAGGCGATCAGCATATTCAAAGATCAAAAGAGAAAACACAACCTTTTGGGATACCACACATGAAGCATACAAACATTTACATGTTGGTTTAAATTAACCTCGAATAATGCTGAAGGTATGTCTCCCTAGCAAGTTGCATTCTTCATGTACTATAATTTAGACTATTCAGATGATTAATTTCTCAGTGCTTCACCCAGATAGCATTTCAATGAATGTTTTGTCAGCTAAAAGGCATGGCTTCCTGGTTTTAACCTCTCTCCTTGTCAGCATTTATTAGTAATTTGTGGACGTTTTGGCCATAGGAAAAGCATACATGAAAGGCCAAAATGATGAGTCTGGTTAGCTTAGAAGCTGGGATAACAGAGCTGCTTTTGCTAATAATTTAAACAGACAAGTGGAGTGTTTGGTTGTTTTGAGGTTTTGCTGAGGTTCTTTTGATGCAACTCTTCCTTTGATGTAACATTTTGATTTAAGATTTTACAACAGTAAACAACTCTGTGGAAAATACTCAGTGAATTTCACATAATTTAGGGCCTAAAGATAGCCAGATGTGAAGGATTTCAGTTATGTGGACACTAGTTCATTTCCATGATTGGAAATGTTGACTGTCTACTAGGTAAGAAATTAGATTATTAAGAAAATAGTCCATATTACCCCAGCATTTTCTACATACATTTTCACAGTAGTAATATAACCATATGGTATTTATTTGTACATTTGTCTCCAACATGCACCATCATTTCAACCTAGAATGTGGGCCAGTTGTGAACAACTTAGTATCAAGGTCTTAGTATCAATAAGGGAAGAAAGGTAAAAATACAGAAAGGGAGGGAGGATAGGGGCTTTAACGATTATCTAGTTATGATCAGTTACCTTTGATCACACTTCAGAGATACACCAGATAGTGAAAGAACCGTACCAGAAGAAGGCCATCTAGTTCTTGGGTCACCATTCTTCTCCCAATATAATCATGTCTTGTTTTGCTTTTCCAAAAAAGGAATATTTAAAAGACAACAGAGGTACTAAAAATAATTATCTTTATCTCTCATCAGTAGTTTGTTTTATTCAGAAGGAGAAATGTGAGTATATGATTGTTACACTTTCATTAATAAGAGATGTGGATGACAAACTTTTCCTTTGCCTTTTGAGAAAATTCTGTTTTCAAATGAAGAGAAATAGAGCCAGTAAACTTGGAGTAATTTTTATTTGATTCTACCTCTGTCTTTAGCTAAAGAAATACATGCATAAGATATTTGTAATTAATCACAGTTGTGATTGGGATTTATAGACTTCTTTAGTACCCAGAGGTCCACATCATATGGATGTCAAAGCCTTGGACTAAATCACTAAATCAGTAAATCAGGCCTTTTTGTCTTCATAAGCACATGCCTAATGAGCAATGTTATTACTTTATTGTTTAACAATTAAAAGGTACTACCTAACTTCTAATAACACTCTGAATGTATTATACTGTATTTTCATTGTCCTTGTCCCCATGGAAATGAAGAACAACTCATAAGTATCCTCCTCACAATAGTCATGCAGTTAAAGAACCTCTTAAGCTACCCTCTAAACGTGAGACACACAAAATTAAAGAGTTTCATACCATTGGTAATTTGACTGAAAGCATAGATAGGGCTCAGAATCACAGACTATCAAAAATAGAGGTATGAAAGTAATATCATATTCTGTTTGTTCTTCACATTGAAATACTCAGGCCTAGGACTTTGGTTAAACCTGACCATGAACACACACACTTAAATGCTATTATAACCTACAAATCTTCTAAAATAAGAGTTAAGTCATAAATATGTGTATGTGTGTGTGTATGTGTGTATATATATATATATATATATATATATATATATATATATATATATATGGTCCAGAGGATGACATCAGAAAAGAAGTGTCAACAAATTAATATAGGATGGAAGGAAAGTGGATGGAGTGAGTGGTACTAGCCCAGAGCAGAGGAAGCTGGGGATAGGATGTGTCTGCCAAGGGGAGGAGCAAACCACAGCAAGAAGTGTTATTTGAGCTGCTGATCCCCAGAATGTCTCTGAAATTTTAAGTACCAAATAATTTACAAGGCTAGAGTAAGTGTTGAGGCTGCAAAATCTTAGTTAGGTATCCAGATCCCCCTGCCAACCCTATAAACCTCGTTACTATCCCATTGCTGACCTGGCAAGAGACCACTGGGAATTTATTCTTGTGATGGTTAATACAAGTGTCAACTTGATTGGATTGAAGAATACAAAGTATTGATCGTGGGTGTATCTGTGAGGGTGTTGCCAAAGGAAATTAACATTTGAGTCAGTGGGCTGGGAAAGGCAGACCCACCCTTAATCTGGTGGGCACAATCTAATCAGCCGCCAGCAAATATAAAGCAGGCAGAAAATGTGAAAAGGAGAGACTGGCATAGCCTCCCAGTCTACATCTTTCTCCCTTGCTGGATGCTTCCTGTCCTCAAACATCAGACTCCAAGTTCTTCAGTTTTGGGACCCAGACTGGCTCTCCTTGCTCCTCAGCTTGCAGACAGCCTATTGTGGGACCTTGTGATCGAGTAAGTTAACACTTAATAAACTCCCATGATATATACATATATATATGTATATATATGCAGTCGTATAAGTTAATACTTAATAAACTAATATATATATATATATATATATATATATATATATATATATATATATATATCATATTAGTTCTGTCCCTCTACAGAACCCTAATACAATTCTCTAGGGAAATTTAATAAGAAAGTGTCCAATTACCATGCAGTGAAGGATGAGGGGTGAGGATAAGAATTCATACTAAAAATGAAAAAGTGAAAATCTACATATTGTAGAGTGTGATTATTCTCATCCTTAGCTCATACTCCGTTCTCAACAAAAATGCTAGCAGACAAAGATTGGAAAATACCTGTCCATAAAAATAGCCTACCGAGAGGATATTTGGGAGTCTTCCAATGAAATGATACCTTGTTCATATTTGAGTTAACATGCTTTCGTGACATACAGAGATTTAACAATTTTAGTGTCTCAGCTAAACATTATTGGACAGCAAAATTTTCCCAGAAATTTTGTATCTCCCATGAAAGAAAACAAAACAGAGGAAACAAAGGCAAAAATAATATTAAAAACTTCAAAAATGAGTCAATATTCTCGGAGAACTAGCAAAACATATGGCATGCACAAAACAAGAACAGGATGAGATATTAATTTTTAAAAGACTACTCAAAGCACAAAAGAATTATTAAATTATGGTAATATTTAAAATGTTGTAAGATAAAGGTGAGGAGGTCTCCCCAGGGGAAACAATAGAATATAAAGAAAAGGAAATAAAAGAAAAGAGAAATCGGCTGGGCGTGGTGGCTCACGCCTGTAATCCCAGCACTTTGGGAGGACCAGGCGGGTGGATCACCCGAGGTCAGGCGTTCCAGACCAGCCTGGCCCACATGGTGAAACCCCATCTCTACTAAAAATACAAAAATTAGCCGGGTTTGGTGGCAGGCACCTGAAATCCCAGCTACTCATGGGGGTCGGCGGGGGCGGGGTGGGGCCAAGGCCGGAGAATCGCTGGAACCTGGGAGGCAGAGGCTGCAGTGAGCCAAGATCATGCCATTGCACTCCAGCCTGGGGGACAAGAGCGAGACTTTGTCTCAAAAAAAAAAAAGGAAAAAAAAAAAAAGAGTAATCAAAATAAACCAAAGACAAAAAGCTAGGGGATTAATCCATGAAATTCAATATCTAACAAAGAAGAGTTCCATAGATAAATAACACATTGTTAAATAATTAATAATGAAAAATTAAAATCCTTAAGTTAGGTGTATGAATTTCCCGGGTCAAAAAATTCATAGCACAGGTCATATTGTGATCAAACTACAGAACATTTGGGGTCAAGATAAAATCCTAAAAGTTTACAGAGGCAAAAATCTGATCACATATATAAGATAGGGGAAATTGGCAAGACTCTTCAACTTCAATGTGAAAAATCATAAAACTGTTCATAAGAAATACTTTCTAATTTCTAACATGCGCCAGGCACTTTTCTAGGTGTTTAGGCATACATCTAGTTGCTTTGAATATATTAATTTTTTATAATTTATTAATTTAGAAAAGTTTTTAAAGTAATAAAAATTTTATACGATCATGGAATCTACATTTTTTCAAGGGTCAAGAAGTAGCTTGGGGAGTACAGAGAGAGGCAATAAAAAGTTTACCTAATACATAAGTAAACTATATAGTGTATTTCAACATGAAAAGAGAAAGGGAAGAAATACTAAGACTTGTTTAGGGAGACCAGGAATGGCAGTGGGCAGGGGCAGTTTGCAAAAATAAATAAAAGGACAAGAGGCGGCTCATTGGGAATGGTAAATCTTAGCAGTTTTCTAAGAAGAAAAGAGAGTTAGCCAGAAGATATCTTGGGGAGAAGCATTCCAGATAGAAGACCAGCCAGTGCAAAGCACCTGAAGTGGAAACACACTTCAGTCCTCAAGGGATGTAAAGACCCTGGGGTTCATAGAGTAAGGTGAGTGAAGAATTGAGAGCCATGAAGCAATATCTTCAAAATTCTGAGAAGAGATGCTTTCTACCTAGAATTCTAGAGCCAGCTGATATCTAAAAGAGGGGGGAATTAAGGCATCTTCAGACACATAATTTATTAAAAACATTTACCTTTTCTTCACTCTTTCTAAGGAAGCTACAAAAATGTGGGAGAGAAAAGCATCAGGATGGTTTTCTTAACAATGAAACACAAATAATAACAAAAATCATCAATTAATAGATTTCCAAATGTGATGAAACATACTGAAGGGAGTTTAATAATTCTGTCAGAAAGTGTAGTTTAAAATTAGTAAAATGTATGTAGTAAACTAAGACTAATTTTTCAAAACAAAGCAATTATTAATGCCAGGCAACGATGTACAAAAAAGAAAAGAGAGACACAGTGCACCACAGAGCTCAGCTGTGAGTAATATTTATATGGTTTTAACAATGTTAGCATTATATATTTATTTTAAGTATATGTTGCAGGATGTAGGCAGAAATGTGTGAGGGTCAGATGAGAGTGCTCAATCTTTGTCTTCCATACTAGGAAAGGAAGAGATAATGTCTAAAATGTTTAAATTAAGTTATAGTTGTTTAAATATATTATTTTTAAATCCGGGGGTAAATGCTAGAAGAAACAGCTGAGATAGATCAGTCATGTCTCTGAGAGTGAAGGAGGGATGGAAGAATTGCAACTTTTTGTTATGAGCTTTTCTGTATTATTTGACTCTTCGAAAGGTATTACTTAGATACAATTAAATTCAGTGAAAATATATTTAATCTCCTTTAAAATACAACCTAGAGCTTGCTGAGGCAAGAGGCAGGTGATGATTAAAACCAGAGCACATCAATATTATATGTATTTCCAAAAGATAAAGCCTATTGTAAGGATGATGATGAGGGTGAAGGTGCAGAATAAATATAAATATCAGAAAAACTAGTTGAAATCATTCATGATCACAAATCACACATTATAATAGGTTCCCTCTGAAGGGAGGGAAAGGAATTTAATTGTAGGGTTTCGACTGTATGAGTAATATTTTATTTCTTCATAATATAATAAACACCATGGGTACCCAGGAGCCTGTTAGATTATTTTACTGCCTTTAAAATAAATCTAGAAATAGATAAAAATATATTAAACATATAAATGATGGTTTTAAAACTTTTGCTCTAAGAAGCCCAGAGACTTTACAATAACACTGTTTGGATTTCATAGAACAATGTGTGCCACACATCAAGTAGACCAAATGTTGAAAAATTAAAACCAAAATTCATAAATAATTGTAATGATTAAGAAACACTACTTGACATTGTTTTTGATTCATTAGATTACTTATTTCTGCTTCTATGAATTTTCCAGATTTTAATATGAATATGCAATATTTTATAATAAGAAAAAGGAGTACATGGTAATCTTTAAAGAGCAATAAATGGATTAGAAACAGGGAACAGGGAAGGGCTATTAAGAACCTACTGGAATGAATTATTCCCTGTATGGGCTAATAGGATTTTCAAGTGAAACCTCAAACTTGCAGATGATACAACTCTTCTTGATAGTCAAATACATAGTGAGAAATTCATTTCAGGAAAAACTCTAAATACAATAGGCAAAAAAAAAAAAAAAAAAAAAAATGCATGAAGTAGTACAGCCTGGGAAGAATACTCCAAACTATACTTAAAGGATGATGAGCTAAGAGCTCTCAAGGACCTGGTCACTACTGAGTGTAAACTGCTCTTCGAGACAACTCATCCAGCCACGGAGACAGCCAACAAGATCATCAGTGAAACACTGGCCATCATAGAAAAGGGTGTTAAAAACAACAACAAAAAAGGATTATTCTACATCTGTTTCTCCCCTTCCCCCCCTAAAAAAAGCACTCCTCACATATCTGTAATAAGCACGACTTCAAGAAGGCCTAATGGCAATCTAGAGAAAGCTAAAGGCAATGACTGGGGTGGAGCAGCTGCTGTAGAACAGACTTTAAAAGATAACTATTTCAGCCTGGAAAAATTAAAGAAAAAAGAAAAAGAATAAAAGAACACACTTGAAATTGATAGAATGATGTAAATGCATAAAGAATTAACACCATATCAAACCCCAACTGACTACTCGAAATAATCCCTTACAGTCTATGGTAGGTATATTGAAGACAAGAGGAGTTTTGAGTATTAAACCTGTAAGATTTAGTGGTTTATAAATTCACACAGACTACAAAATAAAAATAGAATAGTACTGGAGTCCAAATACCTTTATATACAACCAGCAATTAGCCTAGCACCTTGCACATCATAAATACTCATAATAAACACTCAATAATTTAAAAGAATTTTTGGAAAAACATTCTTAATTTGATAATATTGACAGAATAAAGGCAAATCATTTCTTTCCCTGGCAAATTTCTTGGTACCATAGTGAAACACAGAAGAGTGTCCTGAGAAACTGCTGCTCTCGAAACATTATCATCTTCTGGATGGACCCAAAACAGAATGAGAGTATAACCTTTAATTTATGAAAGAATTGCACTGCTTTGATATTTCCATGCAGTGTGTCTCAGAGAGGAATTTATTTTGAATTTTTCTTCACTCCACACAAGCTCAGTCACACATAAAATCCATCATACCATCATTCGATTTTGGTGTTCCTTTAAAAAAAAAAATACCTTCTTCGTGACCTCTTGAAACAGTATTAGTGGAGAACCAAACATGAATTTGTATGACATAACAAGTAAAATAGAAGCAGTAGATGATAATGATTAAAACAGACTGCAGTGTCTTGACAGAGAACAATAGGAAAAGCCTATGAAGAAAGCAATAATTGCGAAGGAGAAAAAAATTACTAGACAGACATATTTTTAATTCTATGCTGTCATATCATGTAACTTTAAGTTTATTATACATTAATTGTCCCTATTTTCTTTCACTAACAAGACTATCATTTTATCTCTCCTATTTGATTGACATAGACCAACACATATAAAAATATCCAGTGCTATGTTTCACCTCCACTCTTGGATTCATAATAAGTATCAAAAATTTACTACCAATCTACAAACAGAATAACTATGAAGGCTGCATTATCTCACGGCTTCTTGAACTTTTTAAAAAAATTCCCTAAAGGCAGAGAAGAATAAATAGACATACCCCAGGGTCTGGTGGCATAGTTCCAATTTAACAGCCACAGCTCTGAAATTTCACAGAAGAGTCAGGTTGGAGATTTTAAAAATGCAAATAAATTTTATTCTACAGTATCATATGCTTCCTTTAATATTAAAATATTATTTTAAAATGCCCTTGAGTAAAATTGATGGCCCAAGAAAACCTGCCATCTTCATCCTGTGGCTCCATATACCACATGGCATATTATTATGTATCTTTGATGGTAATTGCTCCTCACATTGTGAATTGTGTGAATTGCTTTCATAAAAGTGGTAGCGAAATTTATGATAATGTAAGAATTACTGAGTCATATAAATTCATGTGTTTTGATCAGCTGTCTTTATTTTTTCTTCTTGCTCAAGGAACATTTTTTACTGAATGTTTTTGCATACTATAGTCTATTTAGATACACTGATCAACCACCCTACCTACACCCCATCTTTAATGTGTAGCTATCATCTAAAAAATGGAGGCATTTAAAATGTTTTTACAATGATTAATAGCTCAATGCAATGCTAAAACTTTTAAATCTTTGATTTTTGTATAGTAGCTATATATTTGCTCCTCAGATTTGACACTACTAGAAAAGAGAGATAAATGTGATGTATTGACCAATGATAGATTGACTTATTTTAATAAAAACCAAACTTGGGGGTTTTATTAAACCCAAACTGTATCCAAACGCCCATAACTGCAATGGTAAAAGTAATAGAAGAAAGAAACTCTTAAATGTGATTTTTTTCTATGACATTTTATTCTATTTTTAAAAATATTCTCAGTTTTGAGTTCTTTTACATATTTTGCCTTCTGTTTTTGAGTTTCAACGAGGGAATCTATAACGAAAACTTTTCATCTCTGTATAATTCATTTCCAATGGCCATGTAGGCTAGTGGTTAAATAAACAGATTTTAGTGCCTAAATCCTGGTTCTGCCAATTCCTAGCTGTGTGGCCCCAGTAAAGATACTTAACCTCTATCTCTGTGTCTTTGTCTATAAAATGAGGATAACAATAGTTCCTATCTACAAGTGTAATTCAGAAAATTAATGAATCATGTGTAAAGAGTTCAGGACATTTCCTGGTATGTAATAAATGCCCTATCCACATAAGCCTTTGCTTTGATTATCCCTCAGATCTTATATTAAAAATACAAACTGAAGATTTATCACTACATTTAATAGAACAACTTTAATGACTGTTGGATTGAATTTTTCCTCTTTATAGAGATAGTAGTACTTACTACTATGGATAAAAAAAATGCATGAAACATCTCAATAATAATTGTTATTTAGTATTTCCTTGTGAGGAGTGATTCTTATTATTTTTTTTTTTGCTCACACCTGTGCCTTATAGATTTATCTAGTTCACAAATTACATTCTTCTTCTGACATACCAAAGAAAGCCCATTAACACTGCTGAAATTTACATATATATGGGGAGTTCTTAGAGTAACAAAGAAAATTAAGTTGGAACAGGCACAGGCTTATCTTATGCAATCTAGTGTTTCATTGTAGAATACTTCTCTGCCTTAAACCAAAAGATTGTTTTAAAAGCTCTTAAAAAGATCCCCCTCTATGATTTTGTAGTTTTTTCACCCAAATGTATTATATCTGGCTTACTTATCTGTTGTACTGTACTGAAGAATAACAGAGCTTTGCTGTAGTTAGATTTATCCCATATGACAGGTCAGCACAGAGTAGAAATTGAATCAAGGAATCGATAATGTAAAAATGCCAACATGCCACACCCACATAAAAACAACTGCCATGTTTTTGAGAAATGCTAAATAACACCAAATATGATGACTGTTACCAATTGTCTGCTGATGCAGGTATTTTTTTTAAAGAGCTATAAAAAATAGAATCTCATTTTCCTAAGACACAAAGAATTTCCAGAGCTTGCAATTTCTTCCTGACATAATATAGTATAAAAAACAAATTCTAATTTAAATATTCATACCTTCACTTTATTTAATGGTGTGCTAGTGGGACTATAGATATTATAATCTAATGCTCCATGATGTTCCTTCCTGTTTTATAACAGCTAAAATGATAGCCGTCTTCAAGAATAATATCAGACAGCATTATGGAGTTTATGTTTCCTTTCTTTGAAAGATGTGTTCTTCTAATAATAATGACAACATGCTGACATGCAAAAGTAACATTTTCTTCCACATGCATGCTATATTTTTTCAAATTGGTAGATAATCCACTGGTCGAAGAGACAAGTTTCTGGACTCAAGTCTACTTTCAAACAATCTTGACCTAACTTCTCTGTAGAACTAAAGAAGAAGAGATGAAATGAAATTTAGCATAACAAAAATCTGCAGGATACAATTTGATCCCTAAACTTTTTGAAGATTAAGAAAAATTAGCTTGAACTCAACATTTAAAGGACTCTATCAGTAAAGTATACATAAAATAATGCAAATGTACTTTGTAGGTTTGTCATTTTGACTAGAAACACCTGAGAAACTACCTTCTTTTAAAATTGCCCTCAGTATAGGGGGAAAAGTTCATTTCTTTTAAACCGCACACCAAAAATTGTCCTTTTATCAGTTTGGAAGAGAACGATAAAGAAACTAGTCAACACAATTTTATTATAATATATTGATAAGCTAACGTCATTCTTTTTTCTCTTCTCTTTGCCTCTCACACAAACACCATACATATATATATAGACATACATTCACACACACACACACACACACACACACAAGTCCATGGGCACAAACATTTAAATGCACAAATATACATACTACAGACATAGGTTTTGTTTTTGTTTTTTCAATAAGGGGCACATCTTGGAAGATGGCAAGCAGACCACACAGCCCACCAATTATTATAGAATCCAGGAGACATTACATAGTAAAGGGTATAGTAATATTTTATACAAACTATGTTTTTCTTCCTTAAAGACTGTATCTACTGATGAAGTCTACTATCTGTAAAGCTAATTTTTTTGTGAGCAGAAAATGTTAGAGGGCCTTTTTTCATTGCTTTTACTTAAAATCAAGAAGATAGTTTTTCACACAAAATTAAAGTAACGCCAGGAAACAGGTTCAATTGAAAGGTACTCAATTAGAGGGACAGTGATCACTCGGAAGAAGCATGGACTTCAATTCCAGTTGTCATTTGCTAGCTATGAAATACATATCAGGCAATACCACTTCTCTGATATTTATGGAAATGTGACCTAAGCTGCCCTGTGTTCCTACATGGTTGGGCCCATCACCCATGCAAGGCCAACAGAGATTAATAGGGACTTTAAGAACAGGAGGTATTTTTCCTCCTCCGATTTAAACTGCTAAGGACCAGGTCCTAAACCTGTAGCTACTAGTAGCCATTTTAGGCACCTTACAGAGAAAACCCTAGTGAAAATAAAGACAACAAAGAGGAAAGCTTAGAAGAGAGAGGGGAGAGTCCTGTTGATGTGATTGGTCCTCTGGTCAACAGATGGCTAAGGCAGGTCTCCTCTGTACTTCCCTGGACAGATCAATAGAGGTGTCAATAGATGCTCAATTTGGATTTCTATCACCTGCAACTGAAGGCTAACATAAGCAAAATGACCTATTCTATAAAATTCTAGGAATAAGTAAAATATCTAGGACAGTACATGGAAGAAATCCAACAGTGTTAATAATATTATCACTATTAATATAAAAGTGTGACTCTTCTACTTGTACAAAAAGTGAACTCAGATCTGCATTATAAAATATAACACCTGTAAACATCTCCTAAATATAGATGAAATTGCTTTCTGAACAATCAAGCTTTAATTTTTTTTGAATTCAAGAACATTTATTTGTTATGATGCCTATGTTTCTTAACAAACTAGATCCTTGAGGGCTGAAATTATATCTTACCAAATTTAGATCTCCAGCATCTAAAGCAGTTTCTTATTTATGGTAGCTGCTCCAAAATTCTTTGCTGTTGATAACGTATGGAATTAATTTTTATTCTTGTTAGCTAACATCCAGATTACCACAAGCACTAGACCACTTAACTGAATTTTCAAGAGCTGTTAAAATGTAATATACTCTAGGAAAGATATTTGCTTTTTCATATACTTAAAGAGAGTATTTTTTCTTTTTTAATTCAGAAAAATATGTTTGAATTTGAAATGGTTTGTTTTTGTTTTCTTTTTTCAAGACAGGGTCTTGCTCCATTGCCCAGGCTGGAGCACAGTGGCAAGATCATGGCTCACTGCAGCCTCAAACTCCTGGACTCAAGCAATTCTCCCACCTCAGCCTCTCGAGTATCAGGGACTACAGACATGTGCCACTATGCCTGCCTAATTATTTTTCATTTTCTCTAGAGGCAGGGTCTCCCCATGTTGCACAGGTTAGCCTCGAACTCCTGGCCTCAAGCGATCCTCCTGCACAAGCCTCCCAAAGTGCTGTGATTACCACACACCTGTGTGAGCCACCATACCTGGCCTGAAATGCCGAGTGTTGAGGCTTGGTTTACTTATGAAATATAGAAATTTAAAAATAAATAAATAAAAAGGGTAGAAAAGTTTTTTTTAAACAAAATAGCCAAAGTGGATAAACAACATTTCTGTGACATGCTGAGTTACATACTATATCAACAGTTTTGGGGACAATAAGAAGCTTTTGCCTCTTTAAAGGAGAATTAGCCTTGATGACACTAGACTGCAAATATCAGTAGAATTTATTCTACAGTCATTAACTTGGAGTTTGTATTACTCCCTCAGATCACTATAGATTACTTTGTAACTCAGACTCCAAGCTACAGTTCAGTGGACTGGCTTGATAAGTCGGTCATTTCACTTAAAATGACCCCTTTCTTATGCTTACAAATGAAATATTTTCATTTTGGACATTATGCTGGGAGGATGCTTCTCTTAAAGGGGGTCCCCATGCTCCAATATTGAACCAGGGTTTTTATTTGGAAGTAGTGTCATATCTCTCCTTATATCTTCCTTTTAGTAACAGTTACCCTTCATTGAGGATTTATCTATGACAGGCCCTCTAACAGGCACTTATACCTGTTACCACATTGAATCCTCTTGAAAAATCTTACAAAGAAAAAATCCCTATTTTTTTAATAATAAAAAATGAGTTAAAGTCACTTGTACAAGGTCAAACGGCTAGTGGAGGGAAAACTACTTTTCAAATTCATATCTGCCTAATTTCAAAGTCAATGCTTGACTGGCTCCATGAAAATGACCATCATAGAAATCTCACACAGACAAATACAATCACATTATTGTTGAAAGAATTTGCTGACTCTCAAATATTATGTGACTAGATCCTTCCTCCCCTTCTCTATCCTGGATACCCAAAAATGTGAAAAAGTTTCAATAATTGAAATACATGATATTTTTACATGGCCTTAGTGCTATACCATTTGAATGTTTCAGATAAACCAAATAATAATAGTTAATGTTGATTCAGTGCTTATTTGGTACCAGGGACTCTGTTAAGCACCTTACATGTATATGTATACATGAATATATAATGTAATATATATATGGGCATACATAATAAACATATGTGCAGATTATATATGTGTGTTAATAAATATTAATGTTATATATGATGTATTATTATATACATGTATATATAATCCTCACAATACTTATTATTACCTTATTATTCCCAATTTACAGACAAGAAAACAGAGGCATGAGAGGTGACATAACTTGACTGAGGTCAAACAGCTAAGAAGGGAGAGAAAGAGGTTCAATCCTGGGCCATGTGGAACCCACCTAAGCTACTCCCAGATGTTGACTCTTTATCTGTCACTGACGTGGGCACTTTGTAGAGTAAATAAAATGTCCATAAGACTTCTAGTCCTAGTAGAATTTAGATGGAGAAATATTATGATACTCAAGTTCTACCCACGTGGCCTGGCTCCTCACCCATCTTCCATGCTGCTGTTTTGTCTTCTCTTTTCCTGCCTCCTTCTTGGTATGTTGCTTCTGAAATAATGACCCTTTCCAGACTACTCACTTTTCTTGAACAATCAGTGCCCTTTACCCTTCTGCTTTGAACATATCTTCCTGGAGTGCCAAACCCAAAGCTTCTCCCCACCTGCAGTTGCACACACTCTTTTCTCTGAGTGCCCCATTCTCCAGTATGGAACAAGCTCACATCATGTTATCTCAGATTTATTCATTTCTGCCCTCTGTTTCAAAAAGATGCCACTCGAAGTCAGTAACCATTGCATCTGGCTACTTTTAGCATCATGTACAGTCCCGGGCATATTGTAAGTACTTAAACAATATTTGACTTAAATTTTTAGTATCTAAATTCTCCACATAGTATTTACATATATTTGTTTAGAATCAAAATATTTTAGAAGTAATAAAAAATATAAAGGATCATATTTAGGGGTTTTTTGGTAGTCCCAAATTCTCAAGTATATCAAAAAAGTTTCAAATCGTCTAGTTAAAATTAAAACTGGTTCATCTTTAACACTTGGTGGCAAATGTTAGGTTGTCACACCAAATATATGCCCTTATGTTTAAAAATGTGATTGTTTTAGTGAAAATTGAACATTTTAAATATGTCTACAAAGTTTTAAAACTCTAAAATAAGTTACAAAAGACTTGTGAAATAAAAACAGAAAGAATTACCCCATTTTTAAATCACTGAATGTATCTGTTTTTTCTTCTTTTCATTTTGTTTCATGTTATGTAATCCCATCTAAATTCACACTCAGTTGCAAAGAGACATCCTTCATAAGCTCATCAAACATTCTCCTTCCTTCCCTTCTCTCCTCCTTTCTTTCTTCCTTTCTCTCTCTATTCTTCTCTATTTTCCCCTATCCTTCTTGTCTTTCTTTTTCAAACATTTCCACATTTTGATATTTATTTTCTTTTTTTCCCCCTTAAGTTATCTAACATTTTTCTGACCTTCGATAGGGTTAATTCATCAGTCAATTTGAAATAGTCTTCCTTCCACCTCACTAAAGTGAGAGAGCAACAGTTTGGTTCTAAAAGGAGAGCTGGGGCAGGGTGGGGTGGGTGGCTGTATTATTTGGCCCTTGGTTAAAGAAGAGAAGAATCTGCACCTAATATCAGATTGGGAACCAAAAGTGCATTTTGACAAAGTCAAGGTCTGGTTTTGAGTTCCAGCTCTCACATGAGGATGAGCGTGTCCTTGAGAAATTAGTAGCCCTCGCTGGTCTTGTCTTCTTCACCTTTCTAATGATATTAAAATTAGACTTATCTCACTGGAGTTGTGATAATTCAATAAGCTTAATTATTACTCATAAAAATATTCAAATATTCATACCATATTTATCCTACATCGGGGGGATGTGCACTAATGGACTAGAAAATACCAAATATCACAGTGTTAAGCCATTTTTTGCACTGCTTTTAAGAAACATCTGAGGCTGGGTAATTTATAAAGAAAAGATATTTAATTGGTTCTCTGTTCTGCAGGCTGTACAGGAACCATGGTGCAGACATCTGATTCTGGTGAGGGCCTCAGGAAGCTTCCAGTCATGGCAGAAGATAAAGCTGGAGCACACATGTCACATGGAGGGAGTGGGAGCAAGAGAGAGCAGGGGGAGATCCCAATTTCTTTTAAACAACCAGATCTCATGGGAACTAAGGGAGAACTCACTTATCACCAAGGGGATGGTGCTACACCATTCATGAGGGATCTGTCCCCATGATCCAATCACCTCCCACCAGTCCCCACGTCCAATACTGGGAATACCATTTCAACATGCGATTTGAAGGGGGCAAACATGCAAATCATATCAATCACATTTCCCAAATGTCCTAATTTCACACTAATGTTTAGAGGAAGGTGTGTAATTTGGAATGACTCAAGCATAGTGTGTGTTTTTTGTGTGGCTGGAGGTGGTTTAGAAGTGGTAGTGATAGTCTTGGATGGAAACAGGTAGACTGGGGTCAGGTTAGGGAACAAACTGAAAAACTTCTGTGTTTTAGGAATATAATCTTGAAATACATAAACTGGGAAGTGACTAAGCCTCTTCACAGGACCAGTATAATATCTTTGTTGATGAAGGGAGAAATTAGTATTCCTATAGAGTTCCCACTACAGGTTTATAGCACTGAAATTTCAGGGTGGCTTTCTGACCCTGCCTCAAATCTGTTCACAGTCTGGAATCAAGTCCTCTTGTTACCTGCTTTGCTTGGATTTTTCTAGCCTTAACCTCCCCAAGACCACCCCTATCCCATTGTCAATTTCGGCTAATGACCTGGCTTTCTAGTTCATAGCAAGAATTTAGGCTACATACACAGGCTCTTTTAACTCCCCACCCTTTCATCTCTGTATTTTTTATGGCTACATCAACTCTCACCTCCTTTCTTATAGTCTCAAAAGATCTTTTCTTTCTCCTCCTTAAGGCTAATTCTGTCACCTATATTTCAAATCTGAGTCATTTCTGCTTCCCTAAAAACCTTGCTGAGCTATTTATCGTCTCCCTTCCATTTTAGCTTCTCACTCTTTGCAATTTCTGCTCATATTATAATGATACTTAAGCCTCTCCCTTTATAACACTGTAACTGTCCTCAGGCCTGCGTCTCCCTCTATGTCCCACAATCTCTATCCCTCTTTGCCTTCTTAACCAAGGTCCAAACCAAAAAAATATGTAACAGCCACAGTCTCACATCCTCGCTTTAAATCCATGCTCTTCTTTTTCAATAATGTTTATCTCTCAGGTTATAAAAGTAATAAATGCTTATTAGGTAGAATAAATATAATTTTTAAAAATCACACACAATCTCATCTGAGATAAAACTTGTTAACCTCATGATTGAATTACTTCCAACCTCTTTCCTATGTATTATATTCACATATATGGATTGAGAGTAAAATTATAAAATTGGGATCACACTGAATATACAAGTTAAAAATGTGGCTTTTCCCACTCAACAGTACATTGAAAGCACTTTTCAGTGTCATTAGATTTCATTGTTTATTTCACTCTTCTTATAGATGGAAACATAAATAGCAATTAATTTTCATGAAAGAGTTGACCCTTGAGCTTAGTCTTAAAAACGGAAAACGTTAAAGCCTCAGAAAATCCAAATGAAGCATAAAGAAGTCAACGTGCAAACCTGGTAGTTAAAATACTTCAGCAGTCTTATTTCTTTATGTTTCTTTCTTCACATTGTACTAAAAAGTTCTATTCTATCTTTGTATCCTCACCCCTGGCATACCATTTGGTACAGGATAGATACCTAATTAAGGCTTAGTGAACCAATGAATAAACAGGGTGATGTGTTTGCAATTAGAAAAGCTATCTGTGATATAACACTTTACTTTTCAGCTAGATGTCAAACAATTAACAAGCTACAAGTGCAGACCACTAAGTTAATATTCAATGCCCATGAATTAGGGGAAAAATATAAATTGTAATTTCATTTACCATTTTCCCTTTGGTTTAACAGTATATCTCTCAACCTTCTTAAATAGATTAATTGTGATATTCAATGGGACCTACTTATCAAATGTTAGCAGAGAATCATCAATAAGAAAACCTAAACTTTCAGCAATTTACAACCTTAGAACTAAAATATGGAAATGTTCCAACTGGGCGCTGGTTTATAGATAAAGAAAAAGAAAAATGAGTATAATCATTCAAACTTTTCACTTCTATTATCATCCAATCCTTTTTCAAATCAAGAAGTATTGACTATATAAATAGAGGTCACATACATTGAAGAGAAAAAGTTGAGGATTTGAGTAATGGGCTATTTGGTGGTACAGATAGTCATCAATTTATGACGGTTGAACTTCGTATTTTTCGATTTTGTGATAGTGCCAAAGCAATACATAGTCAATATAAATCATACTTCAAATTTTGAATTTTGATATTTTTCCAGGCTAGTGATATGAAGCACATTTCTCTCTGTGATGCTGGGCAGGGGCAGCAAGCTGAGGATCCCAGTCCACCACATGTTCATGAGGGTGAACCAACAATATTCCACAGTGTACTGTGTTGCCAGGTAATTTTGTCCAACTGTGGGCTAATGTGAGTGTTCTGAGTATGTTAAAGGTAGGCTAGGCTAAACTATGATGTTCAGTAGGTTAGGTGTATTAAATGCAATTCGGTTTAAGATATCTTCAACTTAGATTTCTTTTTAATCTTTTGTATTTGGTTTTTATTACTGTATAATAAATTATCACAAACGTAGTGACTTAAAACAACATTCATTGATAATCAGTTCCTGTCGACCTAGAGAGGCTGCAGTCTCCATGTTAGCTCAGCTGTGCTTTCTTGCTGATTATCAATCCAGTGCTGCTCTCAGCTTCTAGAGGCCTCCTAAGCCTCTTGCTGTGTGGCCTTCTCACATGATTATTTGCTTCTTCAAGAGCAGGAAAAGCTCTCTGAGAACTAGACACTCTTTTAGGAGTTCACTTGATTAAGTTGGGTGCCCTCAGAATAATCTTCCTTTTGAGTAGCTTGAAGAAAACTAATTTAGCCACCTGAGTTATATCCGAATTATATCTTCTACTTTGTTGTAAAATGTTACCTAATCATGGGAATGATGTCCCATCATATTCACAGGCTCCAATCACACTCAACAGGAGGGGATCATATAGGATGTGTACCCCAGAGGTTGTGAATCTTGAGGGTCATCTTAGAATCTTCCTACCACAAATGTGATAGGAAATGTGTATACACAAAGTCCTCAAACAGAGAAGTCATTTAAAAAGCAACCACAACTTAAAAGTCACCAAGTCCAAATATTTCATCTACATGCCATTATTAAAACTTATACTAAACATTATTTTTATTCTGTGAAAATTAATCTGGTATTTAAGTTCAAGCTATTGAAATAACTGCTCTTGGTAAAACACTTATCCCTAGTTATTGGTACCTGGATTTTATGACAGATAGAAGGAGAATGAAATAAGAAAAAGCAGCTGTTCTTCACTGCCTGCTGTATTTGAGTGACACAGATCAGATGGATTAGCAGGCAAGCTGGTGGGTGAGTCCGATGGCAACTACACTGATTAAAAAGTCCAGAACTGAGAAGTTTGGTACAACAAATGCATCTTACTGACAAATTTTTTCATAGGTCAAGGTTTTAAAAATTTTTAACAGATGGTCACCAGAGGAAAAAGGCATAATTAAATCTACTAAAATGCATTTTTAATCAAAATGTTTAGGCAAGTGAGGCACACTCATGACTATACTTCTTCTTACTGATATTTTCTCAGATATTTGAAAACAACTGGTATATCTTGTCTACGCCTGCTCTTCTGTATGATATTTGCCATCACCCCAGCCATTCCTCAAATGCTGTGATGTAACAAACCTTCAGAGCTACCTCCACTCTTTCTCCAAAAGTGATATAGGATGTGTGATCCTACCCAAATCTCGTATTGAAATGTAATCTCCAATGTTAGGGGAGGGGCCTGGTGGGAGATGATTGGAGAATAGGGGCTGATTTCTCATAAGTGGTTTAGCACCATCCCCCTTGGAACTGTCCTCATGACAGTGAGTTCTCATGAGGTCATTTTAAAGTATGTAGCACCTTCCCACTCTCTCTTGCTCCTGTTTATGCAGTGTGGCATGCCTGCTCCTCCTTAACCTTCTGCCATGATTGGAAGCTTCCTGAGGCCTCCCCAGAGGCAGATGCTGTTGTGCTTCCTGTACAGCCTGTAGAATCTAGAACCACTTAATCGTCTTTTCTTTCTTTCTTCTTTTTTTTTTTTTTCTACTTTTAGCAGAGACGAGGTTTCACCATGTTGGCCAGGCTGGTCTTGAACTCCTGACATCGTGGTCTGCTCACCTCGGCCTCCCAAAATCCTGGGATTACAGGCGTGAGCCACTGCATCCCGCCTTAATCATCTTTTCTTTAGAAATTATCCAGTCTTTAGGATTTTAGCAATGCAAGAATGGACTAATGCAAAAAGTAATTGTTTTTCTATATCCCTCTGAAGTCTGGCACCTGAGGTTTATATTTTCCAGATTTAACCTAGTAAACAGAAGATGGATCAGGCCTATCATCTTTCTTATTTTAGATGAGCATTTTGCAAACTTTGGGGTGAACATAAGAAGTCCTGATAAAAATGTAAATATCTAAACCCAAGTCCAAAATTAATTCATTTAATCTAGGTGGGGTACCTTAACTGTGCATTGTCAGCATCCTTTGTGATGTGTGCTCAGGTGAACCATAGACTATTCTTTGAGAAACCATGTCTATTCATATTGTTTAAGGTCCCATTTGCTTTTTCCCCTATCACAGTACCAACGGCTAATGAACTTTCTGTCCACTAAGCCCCCTAAGATTATACACATTAGTTCCTACAAAGTACTAGATTGTCAGGTTTTGGAGAACAAATCTCCAGTAGACAGTATATCACAATTAATTGCATCATAACAGACGTATCACTCTAACCGATGAAAATCTTTTCAGATCTTGATTCCCTCATACATACATGTACCAAATGAGCTTGCTGCCATAAATACATCTTATAAGTGATCTCTCTAAATCTTTATTAATGAGAATTGCTCCTTCTTAATAAAGTACCTCCTGTCTGAAGGACCTACTATGGTATTCTCACAAAGCAGACATTTTTCTTGTCTTCTTCATCTGTGCCAAATAATTTTGCTGAGTTTTCTTGTACATTATCCATGGGTAGCATTTGATGATTTCTTTTTGATATTATTTCCACTAGTTTTCTCTGATAAGTTAGCAAACGGAAAAAACTTCAAAAAGTCTCATTGTTCCTAGGTCATTTTCAAAAATATATGGACGATGGTCAGGCAAGGTGGCTTACGCCTATAATTTCAGCATATTGAGAAGCCAAGCCAGGAGAATTGCTGGAGGTCCAGGAGTTCAAGATCAGCTTGGGCAACACAGCAAAACCCTGTCTCTTCAAAAAAAAAAAAAGTACAATAACTAACTGGGTGTGGTGGTGAATGCTGGGAGTCCCAGCCACTCAGAAGGCTGAGGCATGAGAATTGCTTGAGTCTGGGAGGTGGAGGCTCCAGTGAGCCATAATTGCACCACAGCACCCCAGCTGGTTAACAGAGCAAGACTGACTCTCTCTCTCTCTCTCTCTCTCTCTCTCTCTCTCTCTGTGTATATATACACACACACTCTCTCTGTGTATTTATATGTGCGTGTATGTATATATACAAACAGAGAGACAGTCTTCTTGTGCGTATGTGTTTATATATATACACACACACACAAGACCACAAAGAAAATAATTGTTAATTCCAAAAAGTAGAAGTTGCCCGAGACATAGTTTTTGATCACACAGAAATAAAACCTATATGTCTTAAAAAATAGCTTATAGCTTATGTGCAAAATAAAGAAGAAAAAGCAATGATTTGAGAGCACATAGAACTGATGACAATGAAAGTCTTATAGAGGACATCTGAGAAAATCTTGCACAGATGGTGCTCTTCCTCACTGAAACTACGATTGGAGCAGTCACACTGCCCACAGGCTCTCAAACAATACCTCAGCTCCCACACTTTTCGGTTACCCCTGCCACCCCAAATGAGCTCCCTTTGGTAAGTACTTAAGGCTGAACTGCAACTGAGGCAGGTACCAATGGAATTGATAACTTCCCAGCATGCTCTACAATCCACAGATTAAATACGTAAGTGATTTTAAAATGTCATCCAAAATAAGACTACATATTAACAATTCCATTAAGACCTACCTTTCTCAGCTAAACTTTTTTTTTTATTCTACAGAAGCATCAACTAGAAGAAAACTGCCATCTCCACTGTACACAACAACAACAAAAATGTTTTAATCTCCATGACAACAGTGTTCAGACCCACATACAAATACTTTTAGAATCTATTTAAATGAGCCAATTCATAGTTTTTAAAAAGTAAATAAAAAGGACACTAATTTATTCAGCATTTCTGGCTTCTGTCCATCTTTTTTTGCTTTTCCTTTTGAGCTCAACTGGAAGAAAGAGATTTCTGTAGTCTTCAATGGGAAGACGAGAAAAATTTCAATAAATATTCACTTAACTACAATAGAACACTTTTTAAAAATGATCTGGTGATGTACTGTTATTTTAAAAGCTCTTGAGTAAAAAACCTCCATTTATAGAGATTTTTTTTTCAAGTTTCTCCTAAAAGAACTCAATAAAAGATAAAAGGGGAAATATAATAGACAGGATGATGGAAAAAACACGAAAGTTATGGCTATGAAAAAAGCTTAATGTCCGAAACAGAGCTTGAATAAGTAGAGCTGTGCAAGTAGAAGTCAAGAGAAGGTCATACTATTTGTGCTTCCGTTGTTTAGTTTGCTTTTACTCATATATCTTGGAATTGTTTTCTGAGCTTGTTTTAATGAGATTGCTTTTTGCTGCTCTTCTGTGGTGGAGCATTTTGAACACAGCTAAATTTAGATAGTGTTATCTAAAGATCCTCTTTTCAAGCTAAGATTAATGCAGGCCAACATTGTCCCCCTGCATCTTCTACCTCTGAACTTCTCAGTGATGGAGGTCTATTATTGAGGTCTCAGTGATGACGTCTAACTGCACGGTGCATTTGAAAAACCACCATCAGTAGATACCAACTCGCTGGGCACAGAGAACGAAATTACTTTGGATCACGTGAGAATATATTTAATGGTGTATCTTGTTAATGAAAATCATCATCATATTTCTCACTTATATATTTACCATCTCCATTATTTTTATTTTTTAGTTCTGAGCACATCTATTTTTTCCAGAATGTCATTTATTTTTTTTGTTTCTGAACCTTGAAAATTGTATTTTAAAAATATTTTTAACTGAATGTAAGAGAAGCAAAGAAGTAGTGAAATACAAAGTTAAATGTCACAGTCAAGGTAATCAAACTAAGTGAGGGTTCATAGAATACTCACTAAAATCATGATTAGTTTATTGAATTAATTGGATTGATTGATTCATTCATTCAACAAACATCCTCCCTATCCCAGATCCATTTTTCAAAAGCCTTCAGATTGACCCTTCTAACACAAACTTTGATTATGTATTTTCCTTTCCAAGAGCCACAGTGAACCTCCCCCACCTCATTCTACTTACTTCTATTTCCCCAGCACCTAACATTATATGGCGGGTAACCAATAGACAATCAGTCAGTGTTTGTTGAATGTTCGAAATAAAGTCATTTAGTGTAAATGCTCCACCTAACTGTGAAGGCTTTCCATTGACTTGCTCCACTCCAGCAAGGCTTATTTTATTTTTTCAACTATTGACCAAAGAATATCCTCTTTTCAGACAAGTTCTTAAAAGCCCCATGCTTATTCCACATCATTGCTCTTAACTTCTTCCTTTATGGAATACATGGTTCTGTACCCCTACAAATGCTATACATCTCTTCTCATTCATAATTAAACTAATATTCTGCTTATTAAAACTTTCTTATTTAAAAAAATTTTGGGGGGGACAGGCTCTTGCTCTGTCACCCAGCCTGGAGCACAGTGGCATGATCTCAGCACGCTGCAGCCTGGAACTCCTGGGCTCATGCAATCCTCCCACTTCAGCCTTTGGAGTAGGTGGGACTACAGGTGTGTACTACCATGCTCAACTAATTTTGTTTCTTTTTTTGTAGAGACAAGGTATTGTGCTACCCAGGCTGGCCTTGAACTTCTGAGCTCAAGCGATTCTCTCACCCTGGTCTCTAGAAATGCTGGGATCACAGGTGTGAGCTACCACGTCCAGCTTTATCAAACCTTTCATTCCATGGCTTTCAGGTCATATTTCAGGATATGGAACTCTTTGTTTCAGTCATTGAAGGTAAACAAAATATTTACCACAAAAATATGATATAATCTTTATTCACTCATGAATGCATTACCCATTTATTCTCTCACTAATATTTATTCCTTCCGACAAATATTTATTAGATGTCTGCAATGTACCAGACAATGTGGAAGCACTAAAGAGGGAAAGATGGTAAGAAAAACAGAAATAGTTTTTGCCCTCTTAAAGCTTATAATAAAGAAGGAAGGGACATGAATCAACTCATTCAATGGGTCAATAATTATAATTGCAATTATACTGAAAACATAGTACCCCTAATAAAGGGATGTGATCTAGTTGTTGGGTGGGGTGTGGTGGTCTAGGGAGACAGTCTGATGAGATTCCCCTAAGGAAGTAATATTTGACTTGCAGTTTGAAAATTCAGTAGGGTAAGTGGAGGTGAGGGAAGTAGTAGGAAGACTCAGTGATGAGGGCTTTTTAAGGCAGTAGAAGGAACAGAACACATTCAGAAAACAAACAAAAAAAAATCCATTATGAACAAAACATAACTTGAAAAACTGAGGCAAAATCATGATGAGCAAGAATGGCAGAACATTTTTGGTCTTTTTTTGTAAAGGAACCATGGTAGACCACTGTAAACTTTTGCATCACATTTGGACCCAAACTTTTGGATCATCATTCTGGATGCCGTGAAGGGATCAGATGGGAGTGGGCAAGAAAGAAGAAAGAAAGTTTTTCTAGAAGGCAATGGTGGGGCTTACTCAGAGCACTCAGGGAGAACCAGGAAAGGCAACTGAATCTGCCTAGGAGAGATTCTTGTTTCTTAGATAATTAGCTTAAGCTAATTATTTTACAAGAAGTATAAATCAGCCAATAAGATAATAAAGAGATGCCTATTCCCGTCTCTACTCAAGCTCCTTGAGCATTTGCTTCTTATTGACTCTCCTATTCCTCTCTGCCATTGAAAATGACCCTACATTTTGGACTCTGCTTACCTACTTGTAACCGCCTATAGGTCTTTCATCGTTGGGTGGAATTCCTGGATATTCAAATCTTTTCTGTCTCCTTTAAAAATATCTGTGCAATTAATCTTTTATTTATAATATTTAACTTTTGTACTATGTGTCAGATACTTTGTTAAGCAAAAAGAAAGTAAATGAATTGGAAGCTGTTGCATTCCTTATGAAACTCCAAGTCAGGTGAAGGTATATATGTTATAAATTCATGCTTTCATTCAACATGTACTTATCAAATGGCTACTATGTATCAAGCATTGGGATGAAAAAAAAAAAGGAAACTCTTGGTCTTGTGGTGCTTTCCTCCAGGATAAACTGTAATACATTATGACAAAGTCTATCATGGACACAAGAACAAAAAATTATTAATATCAGAAGGATGGAAGAGTATCCTTTTTCATGAAAAGGCAACAATTTTGTTGAGTCTTGAAGGATGAAAAGGAGTTTGCCAAGCAAAACTGTGGAGGAAAGCCCTTCTACACTAGGTGATAAACGTGTGAACCTGAGTTGGAATTGAAGAGAAATGAAAAGTTGCAGAACCTTTGATTTTTTGGAAATTCACTCTGGACTTAGGGTAAGCTGAATAACTGTTCCAAATAAGAGAAAGCAAAAAGATGAGTTAGAAGTCAGTAGTGAAAGTCTAAGTGGAAAGTATTGAAATTTTGTCCCTGAAGAGGTAACAACAGTGCAGAAGGAGGGAAATGAGTGAAGTCATTGTTAGGTTTTTGGATCAAGCAGCAGGGATCATTAACTAAGATTAAGACTATCAACATGGAGTAGGTTTGGGAGTCAAGATGATAGAATTCTATCCCTTTTGCTGGCTTCCATTCTTTTGGTCACTCTTAAATGTTGGTACTCCCAGGACCTTCCCTTCATTTCTGATTACAAACTGATGTCTACAATCAAAACCAAGCAAAAATTAACAAAACATAAGTAAGAGAAAGAATACTTCTCCGAAGGACATCCTCTGAGAAGTACATTTTAACATCAAATGCTTTGACCCTTCCCTCATGGGACCTAGGCATTGAATTGATAGTCAACAGGGGAGACAGATGTGGTAAAGTTCAGGTCCTTGTGCTAGATTTAAAAAAATCTTATGTTTGCCTAGCAGCTTCTCTATATACAACTGGTGGCTGAAACTAACTCCTATAACTACGCCGTCTAAAACATCGGACAATAAAAACTTTTTTATAAGGTTGTGGTGAGATCATATAAAATAATTCATGCAAACAGTGTCTAGCACTCTAAGGACCTCATAAAACATTAGTTAATCATAAAAATAATAAATACTGTATGCTGTGAACTATTCTAACTACTTTCTACTGACT
This sequence comes from Homo sapiens, assembly GCF_000001405.40. Classification (NCBI taxonomy): domain Eukaryota; kingdom Metazoa; phylum Chordata; class Mammalia; order Primates; family Hominidae; genus Homo; species Homo sapiens. The sequence goes on along the minus strand of NC_000006.12, from coordinate 128,938,285 downwards.
ATTTCATTTCATCTTCACAATCAGTCAGGGAGGTAGATACTCTCATTATTATTATTAATATCACTGTATTACTCATTTTTACAGATAAGGGGACTGAGGCACTGAGAGTTTAAATGGCTTACCTAAAGCTAAATACCTTGTAAGTGGTGAAGTTGTAATTAGAATACAGGCAGCCTGGCTAAAAAGTCAGAAATATTAATCCCAGCACAGATATATGGAAAGTAAGCAACACACTCCAAAATGACCAATGGGTCAAAGAAGAAATCCAAAGAGAAATCAAAAGTATCTTGAGACAAATGAAAATAACAATACAACACACCAAAACTTCTGGGATGCAGCAAAAGACGTTCTAAGAGAGAAGTTTACATTGATAAATGCCTATATTAAAAAAAAAGATCTAAAATGAACAACTTAACTTTATACCTCAAGGAAATAGGAAAAAAAAAACTAAGACAAAGATAGAAAAGGGAAGGGAATAATACATATTAGAGCATAAATAAATGAAATTGTGACTAGAAAGAGAATAGAAAAGATCAATATAAGTAAGAATTGTTTTTTTAAAGATAAACAAAATTGACAAACCTTCAGCCAAACTAAGAAAAAAGGAATGAGGATTCAACTAAATAAAATTATAAATTAAAGAGGAGACATTGCAACAGAAATAAAAAAGGATCATAGAGACTGCTATGAACAATTATACACCAATAAATACAATAACCTACAAGAAGTTGATAAAGGCTAGACACATAGAATCGACCAAGACTGAATGATGAAGAAATAGAAAATCTGAACAAATTTGGGTAATGAGTACCTGATAATGAGTAAGGAGAATAAATCAGAAAAAAAAATCTCCCAATAAAGAAAAGTTCAAGACCAGACACTTGGAGGGAACACTTCCAATCTCATTATATGAGGTAACTATTATACAATGCTAACCCAGATAAGGACACTACAAATAAAGAAAATTACAGGCCAATATCTCTGAAGAACACAGATATAAAAATCCTCAAAAAAATACTAGCAAATCAAATTCAACGGCATATCAAAAGGAACATTCACCATGATTAAGAGGGATTTATCCTTGGAATAAATGGATAATTCAACATACATGAGTCGATAAATGTGATATAGTATTCTCACTTATGCTTTGTTTCACTTTCCATGGTTTCAGTTACCTGTACTCAATCATGGTCTGAAAATATTAAGTGGAAAATTTCAGAAAAACAATTCATAAGTTTTGAATTGTGCATTTTGAGTAGCAGGATTAAATCTTACACTGTCCTGTTTCCTCCCACCCAGGAGATGAACCATTCCTTTTTCTAGGGTATCCAAACTGTATCACAACCGACCTGTTGGACATTGATATCATATGCACCTGGCATCCAACCATCAACATTGTCATAGCTCAATAATCAAGGGTCGCTCAAAGCAGATGGTCTTCCTTCTGATGCATCATCAGAAAATCAATAATAACCTAACTTTATGTTACAATGCCTATGTCGTTCACCATATTTCATCTAATCATGGTGGCCTTTTATCATCTCACATCATCACAAGGAGAAAGATGAGTATAATACAATAAGATATTTTGAGGGGGAGTGAGAGAGACAACATTCACATAACTCTTATTATAGTAAATTGTTATAATTGCTCTATTGTTGTTAATCTCTTGCTGTGCCTAACATAAATTAAACTTTTTCATAGGTATATACATAGAATAAAAAGCATACTATATGTAGGTGTCAGTACAATCTGCAGTTTCAGACATACTCTGGGGGTCCTGGAATGTATCCCCCATGCATAAAGGGGGACTACTGTATACCACTTTCACAGAATAAAGAATAAAAATCATATTATCATCTCAGATGTAGAAAAAGCATTTGAAAAAATTCAACATCCTGTCATGATAAAAGCTCCCAACAAATTAGGTATAGAAAAATGTATCTGAACATAATAAAGGACATATATGACAAGTCTACAGCTGATGTCATACTGAATAGTGAAAAGTTGAAAGCTTTTCTGAGATTAGGAATAAGATAAGGGTGCTGTATTAGTCGTTTTCACAAGGCTATAAAGAACTGCCCGAAACTGGGTGATTTATAAAGGAAAAAGTTTTAATTGAATCACAGTTCAGCACGGCTGGGGAGACCTCAGGAAGCTTACAACCGTGGCAGAAGGCCAAGGGGAAGCAAGGTACCTTCCTCACAAGGCAGCAGGAAGAAGAAGTGCCAAGCGAAGGGGGAAGAGCCCCTTATAAAACTATCAGAGCTCATGAGAACTCACTCACTATCACAAGAAAAGCATCGGGGAAACTGGCCTCCATGATTCAATTACCTTCATCTGGTTTCCTTTGACATTTGGGGATTATGGGGATGATGAGGGTTACAACTGAAGATGAGATTTGGGTGGGGACATAAAGCCTAACCTTATCAGGTGCCCAGTCTTACCACTCCCAATCAACATAGTACTATGAGTCCTAGTCAGAGCAATTCGGCAAGAAAAAGATATAACATTCATCTAAATTGGAAAGGAAGAAGGTAAATTGTCTCTGTTTGCAGATGACATGATCTTATATGAAGGAAACCCTAAACTCCATCTAAAGTGCTATTAGAAGCTAATAAAGAAATTCAATAAAGTTGCAGGATATGAAATCAACATATGAAAATCAGTCGTGCATCTATATTAACAACAAATTATCCAAAAAAGAATTAAGTACCCAAAGGATTATAAATCATGCTACTATAAAGACACATGTACATGTATGTTTACTGCAGCACTATTCACAATAGCAAAGACTTGGAACCAACCCAAATGTCCATCAATAATAGACTGGATAAAGAAAATGTGGCACATATACACCATGGAATACTACAGAGTCATAAAAAAGATGAGTTTATGTCCTTTGCAGGGACATGGATGAAGCTGGAAACCAACATTCTCAGCAAAATATCACAAGGACAGAAAACCAAACAGTGTGTGTTCTCACTCATAAGTGGGAGTTGAACAATGAGAACACATGGACACAGGGAGGGGAACATTACACATTGGGGTCTGTTGGGGGGGGTGTGGGGCTGGGGGAGGGATAGCATTAGGATAAATACCTAATGTAAATGATGAGTTGACGGGTGCGGCAAACCAACATGGCACATGTATACCTATGTAACAAACCTGCACATTGTGCACAAGTACCCTAGAACTCAAAGTATAATAATAATAAGAAACCAAAGCAATAGCGTCAAAAATAATGAAATATATACGAATAAATTTAACCAAGGAGGTGAAAGATCTGTACACTGAAAACTATAAGACATTGAAGAAAGAAATGGAAGACAACACAAATAAATGGAAAGACTTTCTGTGTTCATGAATTGGAAGAACTAATATTGTTAAAATGTCCACATTACCCAAAATGATCTACAGAGTCAATGCAGTCACTCAACATTTCAATGGCAATTTTTTAGAAAATGTAGAAAAAATGGCCGGGTGTAGTGGCTTATGCCTGTAATCCCAGCACTTTGGGAGGCTGAGGTGGGCAGATTACCTGAGGTCAGGAGTTTGAGACCAGCCTGTCCAACATAGCAAAACCCCATCTCTACTAAGAAATACAAAAAATAAAATTGGCTGGGCATGGTGGTGTGCACCTGTAATCTCAGCTACTCAGGAGGCTGAGGCAGGAGAATCACTTGAACCCAGGAGACGGAGGTTGCAGTGAGCTGAGATTGCACCATTGCACTCCACCTTGAGCGAAAAGAGGGAAATTCCACCTCAGAAAAAAAAGAAAGAAAAAAAGAAAGAAAATGTAGAAAAAACAGTTCTAAAAAAAAGAATAAGAATTTTAATAATTAAAATTCATATGAAATCACAAATGACCCAAAATATCCAAAGCAATCTTAAGAAAGAAGGACAAAGCCAGAAGCACCATGGGTCCTGATTTCAAACTATATACAAAGCCATGGTAATCAAAACAGTGTGATAGTGCTATAAAAACAGACATATAGACCAATGAAACGGAATAGCCCAGAAATAAACCCACAAATATATGGCCAACTAATCTTTGACTAGGCCATTAAAACTACACAATGGGGAACAAATAGTCTTTTCAATAAACTGTATTGGGGAAACTAGATATCCACATGCAAAAGAATGATTTTGGATGTTTATCTTATTCCATATACAAAAATCAACTGAAAATGGATTCAAGACTGAAATGTATGACCTGAAACCATAAAGCTTCTAAAATAAATATAAAGAAAAGGCTCCTTGCCATCAGTCTTGGTCATGATTTTTGGGGTACGACACCCGAAGCACAGGCAATGAAAGCAAAAACAAAGAAGTGTAACTGCAGCAAACTAAAAACTTCTACAGCAGAGGATACAATCAACAAAATAAAAAGGCAAGTTGTGGTATGGGATAATATATTGGCAAACCATATATATGATCAGGAGTTAATATTCAAAATATATAAGGAATTCATACAACTCAATAGCAAGAAAACACAAAATAAGCCAATTTCAAAATGGACAAAGGACCTAAACATATCTAAAAAATAGACATGTTTCCAAAAAGAGACATACAAATGGCCAACAGGTATATTAAAAAGTGTTCAACATCATTAATCATCAGGGAAATACAAATCAAAACCACAGTGAGATATCACCTCATACCTATTAGCATGGCTATTATATAAAAGACAAAAGATAACACATGTTGGTGAGGAAACAGAGAAAAAGAAACCCTTCTACACTTTTGGTGGGAATGTAAATAGGCATAGCCACTATGGAAAACAGCATTAAGCATAGAGATTCTTCCAAAAATGAAAATAGTACTACAATATGACCCAGCAATCCCATTTCTAGCTATATATTTTAAAAGGTGATATCAGTATCTCAAGGAGATATCTGCATCCACATGTTCATAGCAGCATCATTCACAACAGTCAAGATAAATAAATGGCCTAAGTATCCATCAGTGAATGAATGGATAAAGTAAATATAGTATACACACATACACAGACACACAGACACACACACACACACACACACACACACACACACAGAAAGAGAGGGAGAGAGGGAGATAGAGGAATATTATTCAGCCATAAAAGAGAAGGAAATCCTGCTATTTGCAATGACATGGATAAGCCTGAAGGGCATTGTGCTAGGTGAGATAAGCCACACATAGAAAAACAAATACAGTATGATCTCACTCACATGTGGAATCTAAAAAGTTGAACTCATAGAAGCAGAGAGTAGAATGGTGGAATGAATGGTGGTTGCCAGGAATTGGGGTAAATGAGAGGTTTGGGTCAAAGGGTACACAGTTTCAGTTATAAGATGAATAAGTTCTAGGGATCTAATGTACAGAATAGTAACTATAGTTAATAATATTGTACTGTTTATTTGGAATTTTCCAAACACAGATCTTAAATGTCCTCCATGCATAAACAAACACGCACACACAAAGTGATAACTATGTGAGGTGATACACGTATTAATTAATTTGGTTGTGGTAATCATTTCACAATGTATATGTATATTAAATCGTCATGCATATCTAGAATATACACAATTTTTAATTGTCAATTATACCTCTATAAATCTAGAAAAAATAGAAATCTTAACTCCAGGACTAGATATGTTCTTTCCTGATCCTACAGGTGGTCACCTAGAGCTCACCCTCTCATGTCTGGCCTTCCTAAGGACCATTTTCCTATACTATTCATGTTCCATATCAATTTCTCCTTTTTTTTAGGGTGTACAGTGAAACTTAGAACTTAATCATTTGCTCTGTTACGCTTCTCTGTAATATATGTAAGTCTTGTCTTGAGCATAAACTCTTCAGGCTGGAATTATATCCCATATCTGGCATTCTGTTTGGTAACAGTTTAAGGTCTGGGTATCAGTAAGCTTTCAGTAAACACTTGTTGAGTGATTGATTCTGAGGCTCTAATGCGTCACTAGTGGAAGAAACTACTGGAGAGATTTGCACAAGGCCCAGTCACTCCTACTGAAGATTTCTTATTAGCAAAAGTGCAGTCAATGACCCAGAGCTCCACTTGTGAGAATATTGCTGCAGGGCAATATTCTCCTCACAACAGAGGAGACATAGCCCTTGCAATGTGTGATGAAGAATGACTCAGTCTTGTTCTCTTGACTGTTGCTGTGAAGATTACATTTACAGTAAAAATAGGGGCATATTTTAATATTATTTTGTAGAATAAAAAGTTGTGAGAGGTTTTTTTCCTTTTATTATTCAAGGCTAGGATAATGTCAAAGAATATTTATGGACTTTGATACATATACAGCAAAGAAGGATTGGTGCTTTTAAAGCAGTTGGAGAAAAATATAATGAACAATCATTACATTTAAAACAAAATAATGGAGTTAAATTAAAAGAATAAGAACAGATTTTACAATAACAGTCCCCGTGGAAAGTAAGAGTTTAAAAGTAACAATTCTGTAATGTAATTTTTATTTGTTTAAATTGTTTAAAAACTGAAGTCAAAACTGAAGCCACAAAGAAATGCTTGAAAGCTAAATAAAATTAGTCAGAGAAAAGAGTAAAAGTGGATCTTAGAAAAAATAATTTTTAATAAGATTATTTGAAAGACTATGACTAGACATGTTCTTGCCTGATCCCACAAGCTGTGACCCAGAGTTCACCCTTTGATATGTACTATTCTCCTGTACCATTCATGTCCTGTAAGGATTTCTCCTTTTCTCAGTTCATTTCTCAGATATTTATGTTTTTTAACTTAATAACTATTTTATTGGCAACATTTGCCTCGTTGTGATTTCTGAAGAAAAAAACGGTAGTTTTAAAATAAAATGCAACCTTAATTTCATTCGTTCATTCATTCATTCATTCATTCAGATATTCAACATTAAGATATTTGCTAGGCATTATGCAAAAGAATTTTCAATAATATGGAAGTGAAAGAAGACCATTTATTGCCTGAAAAGTGCTAGAAATGGCCACTGCAAAGTGTGATAAGAACTACAATAAAGACTCAAAATCATTTGGGAATTCATTTATTTAGTTATTTTTTAAACAATTTCACAGAACTTTTACCTGTATCCTTTATGATAAATTTCTTTTGTTTGAAGAATTTATGAATACCTTGTAAGCTATAGAGACAGGTTAGTTATATTTAAGACAAAAATGGTCCAATTGCTAAAATCTGGCTTACTTATAAGTAATTGCCATTCTTTGTTCCTTTGGGAGGAAGGTGTTTCTTGTCCCTTTTTTTTTGCAGAGATCCAGAAAAAGCCTCATAGAGATACTGGCATTTGAACTGTTACTTAAGAATAGGTAGCACTTAGACAGGACTAGCAGAGAGCATCTTAGAATCATAGGAACAGAAAAGCGAACGTGTTAGAAAGTGTGTGTGTACACGTAGGGAAACCGTGGGTGTTTTAAAAGGAAGTTGAGATGCACACTGTGATGGTCTTGAAAGCCAGTGAAGATAACAGGGAAATATTCAAAGATTTTCATAAGGAATTTATATAATTAGAGTTCTATTTCAGAAAGATTAATATGATAGTGATGTAGAATAATCGGAGGGAGAAGAGACTTTGAGTAGAAAAATCAGTTAAGGGATCATATCAGTCAGGACAGGCTAGGATGCTGTATAACTGCAGACTCCAAAGTCTCTGTGGATTAAACTAACAAAGATAGCAAGGACGTGTATTTCTTGCTCCTGCTCCGTGTACATTTTGGGCCCATGTGTGAAGGGTGGGGGGAACTGATCTATATATTCTACACTCAGGCATCCATCTGGAAGATCATCTGTCTCTATAGCATGGCGAATTATGCACTGGCTTGTAAAACTCGTATTCAATCTAAGAGTAAAGCATGTCAGTTCTGTTCACATTTCATTGACGGTGTCTATGCCTAATTTCAGGGGTGAGCAAATGTAATCCTACTATATGCCCAAAAGGAGAATAACTGCAATATCTATGAATATTTCAGTCACCTCAAGAGGCGGTTGCAATAGTTCAGTCAATGAGGGTGTAAGCAGTAGGAATGAAAAGAAATAGGAAAATATAAGAAATACTTTAGAAATAGAGGCCACGGCAACCAGCACACCCGGGCACTTCCCTTGTGGCAGTCGCGCCTAGCAAACGCAGTGCCGCCGTGCACGTCAGAGTGGCTGTAGCTGCCGGGCGCGGCGCCGCCCTGTGCGGGCTGTGGGCTGCTGATTGAGACCCCGCTGCCGGCCGGCCCTGCAGGGCTGCGGGCGCCACGGCGCCCCGTGCTCTGCAACGCCGAGGCTGGCAGCGTGGGATAACGCCGCCGTGCGCAAAGATCGCCTCCGCAGGATGAGGGAGTGGTGGGTCCAGGTGGGGCTGTGGGCCGCGCTCCTGCTTGCTGCGTACCTGCACATCCCATACACTCAGCTGTCACCTGATCTTCACTCGTGGAAGTCTTCAGGCAAGTTTTTCACTTACAAGGGACTGCGTATCTTCTACCAAGACTCTGTGGGTGTGGTTGGAAGTCAGGAGACAGTTGTGGTTTTACACGTTTTCCAATATCCAGCTACGATTGGTACAAGAATTGGGAAGGTCTGACCTTGAGGTTTCATCGGGTGATTGCCCTTGATTTCTTGGCGTTGGCTTCAGTGACAAACCGAGACCGCATCACTATTCCATATTTGAGCAGGTCAGCATCGTGGAAGCGCTTTTGCGGCATCTGGGGCTCCAGAACTGCAGGATCAAGTCTCATGACTATGGAGATAATTGTCGCTCAGGAGTTTCTCTACAGGTACAAGCAGAATCGATCTGGTCGGCATACCATAAAGAGTCTGTCTGTCAAATGGAGGTATCTTTCCTGAGACTCACCGTCCACTCCTTCTCCAAAAGCTACTCAAAGATGGAGGTGTGCTATCACTCATCCTCACATGACTGATGAACTTCTTTGTATTCTCTCGAGGTCTCACCCCAGTCTTTGGGCCGTGTACTTGGCTCTGTGAGAGTGAGCTGTGGGACATGTGGGCAGGGATCCGCATCAATGACGGGAACTTAGCCATTGACGGTCTCTTACAGTACATCAATCAGAGGAAGAAGCTCAGAAGGCGCTGGGTGGGAGCTCTTGCCTCTGTAACTATCCCCATTCATTTTATCTACCGGCCATTGGATCCTGTAAATCCCTATCCAGAGTTTTTGGATCTGTACGGGAAAACGCTGCTGCGGTCCACAGTGTGGATTCTGGATGACCACATTAGCCACTATCCACAGCTAGAGGATACCATTGGCTTCTTGAATGCATATATGGGCTTCATCTAACTCCTTCTGCTCCTTCTGAGCTGGAATGAGTAGCTTCCCTGTATTACCTCCTCTACTCCCTTATCTGTTGTGTATTCCACTTAGGAAGAAATGCCCAAAAGAGGTCCTGGCCATCAAACACTATTCTCTCACAAAGTCCACTTTACTCAAATTGGTGAACAGTGTATACAAAGAAGCCAGCAGGAGCTCTGACTAAGGTTGACATAATAGTCCACCTCCCATTACTTTGACAACTGATCAAATGTATGGACTTGGCTTTGTTTTTGTGTTATTAGAAAATTCTGATGAGCATTACTATTCACTGATTCAGAAAGACGTTCTTTTGCATAAAAGACTTTTTAACACTTTGGACTTCTCTGAAATACTTAGAAGTGCTCATTTCTGGCACAGCCCCAATAGGAATTCTATCGTAAGAATAAGGAGAAGGGGACCTCCTTCCCTCTCCTTGAACGGCTTTATGGGCACATGCTTTTTAAAGTTCTTTAAGCAACATAGAGCTGAGTCGTCTTTGTCATACCTTTGGATTTAGTTTCATCAGCTGTTTTTATTTATAAACATTTTGTTGAAATAGATATTGGTTTAAATAATATAGTATTCTAAGTATGATTTAAGACTATGATTTACCTACTCATTATATATATATTATAAAGATACTAAACCAGCATACCCTTACTCTGCCAGAGCAGTGAACCTAATTAAACATGTTTGATTTCTGAATAAATTAAACTAAATCCAAACTATTTCCTAAAATCACAGGACATTAAGGACCAATAGCATCTGTGCCAGAGATTTACTGTTATTAGATGGGGAGACCAATTCTAACAGCAAATAACAGTCTGAGACTTCTCATACCTCTGTGCTTAGAAGCATGTCTCTCTTGAGCTACCGTAGAGGAGAAGGAATTGTTGTGTAGTCCAAGTCACTATGCTGAATGTACATTGATTCCTTTATGATGACTGCTTAACTCCCCATTGCCTGTCCCAGAGAGGCTTTCCAGTGTAGCTCAGTATTTCCTGTACTTTACAGAGAGGAAAGTTCCAGAAACTTTAAGAACAAATTCTGAAAGACCTATAAGCAAATGGTGCTGATTACTTTTTTTAAAGCCACATTTCATTGTCTTAGTCAAAGAAGGATTATTAAGTGATTATTTAAAATTCATTTTTTAAAATTAGCAACTTCAATTATAACAACTTTGAAACTGGAATAAGTGTTTATTTTCTATTAATAATAATTAATTGTGACAAAAAACGAAATAGAATCAAGACCTTGCTCACTGATATAGTAACGGGAAGAAAGATAGGGATCTAGTAGGAATCTAATGGTTTACACCTGGAAGACTGATGGGACCCTCAGCAGAAATTTGGAAACAGGAGGAAAATAACTTGATGGAGGTGGGTGAGGACTGTGGAAAGAATGGGATACTTCAGAGGGAGAATGTTTAGCTGTTAAGTTTAAGCCACGTTAAGTTGTACGTTCTGGAAGGAATATGCGAATAAGGATATCCAAAGGAGATAGAAAGTTAGAGACGGAGCTTACTCACAGAAGAGGTCACTAACATAGAAGTAATATTTAAATCTGTGTGCCTAGATGAGACTGAAAAATTTCTTGAAGTCCATTTAATAGGTCAAAACCAGTATTTAAAAAAGAATATAAAATAGAAATATTGGAGTACACTGAATGTAAAATGTCTAAGTATTTAAGACATCTCATGACATTTTTGTTATGTGTGTGTTAGAAAGAGAGATATTCTCCAATTTAAGTGCATTTGTTATCAAGAAAAGAGTTTGAAGGCCACTGTTCTAGAGGAATGAGAAGAGAGGAGGGAGAGTGGTGTGTTGACCAGGAAATGCTTTAGCCATTTTATCAGTTAAAGACAAATATCAGCTATGGATACCATTTCACACTTCATTTCAGTAGCCATCGATCATTCTCAGTCCTTTAGAATCCACCAGATCTCTATGTTCTGCAGCTCTCAGCTTCACTGTTTTGTGCTTGCTCGATGGTTTATACCCAAAACTATACCTTAGAGGATGAATGTATTCAAACTGGATGTCAACCTTAATAAGATTCAGCATACACCTACTTTATTCTCTATTTCATCTTTGTTAGCAGAGCTGAAGTGTACTGGAATTTGTTTCACAATGTTACCAATAATACTACAACGTTATATCTGATGAATACTAAAACATCTTTTCAACTCTGAGCTTTAACACTACATTAGATATTCCTAATTGGAAAAGTGGTCTTTATTTCAAAAGGGCTGAGGAGAAAGGTCAGATTTCCTGAATTTATCTCAGAAGGAGGATTACCAATATTAAAAAGGAGCACAAATATTCAAAATGTGGTCTATGGTGTCTTCCATTAACCAAGACATAATATTAGTATTAAATAATAGTTAGCTGTGGAATATTTAACTGTTATTCTGGATTTTTATATGTTGCCAAAGAGACAGAACACTTGAGCTGTCAGCAGTTTGAGAGCCTACTAAAGCATTAGAGTTTTAAAAATTTCCTTTCCAACTCTTCATCTTGGGTTCACTTTAAATATTGAGAACAAATCAGATTGTTATTAAAGAATTATACATATCTGAGTTACCTCTGGGGATTATAAATTTGGGATATGATATGTTCTGATCCTTGAAGCGGTAAAATGACCATATCTAAAGAACAGAGGCCTAAACGAGAGGAGTTGGTATTCATACTCTAACCTCTATTGCCACCATGACCAAAGAGTTTTTTTTTAAAAGAAGTCAAGAACAGACTCAAAACTCAGAAAACTCAGAGTTGTGGAAAGATGCAATTTCACCTTTGAAAGCCAACACTCTACCTCCCCATGTAGGTGATAAAAAGAAAAAGAAAAAAGGCACACAACTTTCAAATAGAATGGAAAATTTTAGGCAAAGAAATATGGAAATGTTAGAAGTAATATGTAGAAATCCTAGATCTGGTGAAACATTCTCATGAATATTTCATGAGAATAGAATGGCTCATTGGTAAAGGACCAATGGAGAGTCCCAGTCCAGTGGAGACAGAACCACAAAGAATGTGGCAGAGAAGAGAATAAAATGGCCTATTCAGTTTAGGCCCAGGAAGTTTCCCTGCTCCGTTTCTCATGGCAAGACTGAGACATTGTTGAACATGCAGAACAAGATATGCATTAAGATAGCATTTATGTGAAAAAAAAATGAATCAAAGAATAAACCATATATTGCTATGTGAGAATTTGTGTCTATGTAAACGCAGAACTAAAGAATAAAGACATTGGTTTTCTCTGTATAGAGCACTGGGAGTGAGGATGTTACTTTTGAATTATTTTAAAGTATTGTAAAATACACATAACATAAAATTCATCATTGTAACCATTTTTAAGTATACAGTTCAGTAGTATTAGTACCTTCACATTGTTGTGCAACCATCAACACCATTCACATCCAGAATGCTTTTCATCTTGCAAAACTGAAACTCGGTACTCATTAAATAATAACTCCCTATTCCTCTCTCCCTGCAGCCGCTAGTAATCACCATTATACTTTCTGTCTCTATGATTCTGACTACTCTAGGTAAGTAGAATCATAACAGCATTTGTCTTTTTGTGACTGGTATATTTCACTTAGCAGAATGTCCTCAAGGTCCATTCATATGGTAGCATGTGTCAGAATTTCCTCTCTTTTACAGACGGAATAATGTTCCATCGTATACATGCACAACATTTTATTTATCTATTCGTCTGTCAACAGCCAGGTTTCTCCCACCTTTTGGCCATTGTAAATAATGCTACTATGACAGAGATGTATAAATATCTTTTCAGGACCCTGCTTTTAATTATTTGGGGCATATTCCCAGAAGTGGAATTGTTGGATCCTATTGTAATTCTATTTGTAATGTTTTGAGGACCCTCCATACTGTTTTCCATGATTGTCACACCATTTTATATTCCCATCAACAATGCATAAGGCTTCTAATTCCTTCACATCCTCACCAATTTCTACCTTCCATTTTTAAAATTATGGCAGCCATCCTAATGGGTATAAAGCTTCCTTTGAATTTTTTACAACCGAAATATATTCACATACTATTTTTTAAACACTTAAAATATCTCAACAATATGGTGTGAAACTTAAGCATGTATATTCTGTAAAAGGCTTGTTGATGTTATTTCTGGTTAAATAATTCTCTTCTCTAAAAGAAGACGTAATTGTGTAAAAAATAATTGCAACATGATTGATGAGAAGGGGTGGTTGGCCTACAGTGGAGTCAAATAGAGCATCCACATGCTGGGAAATAACCCCTCTGCATGAGCAGGACCTACAAATCCAGCAGGGAAGACGGGGGGCACCCTAGCTACCTGTACATTGAGCTTTTATTAATATCTAAGAGGGGAGTATAAATTTTTCATATGAGGGATTAAGAAGGATGTTAAAAAAGCTTTAGTTTATTATACAGGGGATTTTTTTTTTCCTGGGATATATTTTCTTGAATTATTAACTGATAATTTAATTGATACTCAAAACAATCAAAATGGCAGGTTGTTTCCTTTACTCTATAAACTTACCTGGAAAATTTCTCCTCCTCTTCCTTCTCTTCCTCTTTCTCCTTTATGAGCAGTTGAATGGTATTAGAATTGAACACTAATAAATGTTTAAATAGGAATGATTTTGGATGGAAAAGAGTTTTATGTTGTTAGCAGTCAGTAGTTCTGGTAAGGACAAATATAACACCATGTTAATGGAAAGACTTGGGTAATAGCTATGTATACATACATCACACATAAATACATATGTGTGTGTGTGTATATATATATGAAAAGAAGCTTGTAAAAATTATAGCAGGGATAAAATATCAAATTAAGGGAGCAGCTAGAATCTTTGAGAGCATAGTATGATTTTAATAGATTTAGGAGGATATTTCTTCTGCCATTATATGTAAGCAGAGATAGTAGCTCTCAAAAAATATTCTTGTGTTCCCTACACTTCTCAGCCCCTTGCAGTTAAGAGGGGCATCTGACTATTCTTAGATTGTAAAAATGTGGAGCAGAGTCATGACTATGACTTCCTAGCTGAAGCACTGAAGACCTAGGTGCCAGCTCCCCACTCCTCTCTTCCTCTGCCATAGCAACCATAAAAGGCATTTCCTGAGTTGGAAACATCATAAGCGGAGGACAACTGGGACCCTGAGTCACCAGATGGACCTGTATTTGTCATTGCATCATTGAGAAATAAACCTCTATAATGCTAAGATTTTAAGATTTGGGGGTTTATTCATTCCTGCAGCATGGCTTAGCATCAATCAGACTACTACAGCAGATTAGTGATTGAGTAATTGTGTTCTTATAGGAATTAGCAGTGATATTGAGAACAGTGGGAAAAAAATTATTATTCCTCTGATCATTCTACTATCTATATCTTCATCCTTTCTGTATTAAATATATTGGATATACTATCCCCTTTTAATATAGTTATATTTGTTTCCTAATTTAGGTATCTTAGTTTTCTAGGACTGCCATAATAAATGACCACAAACTAGGTGGCTTAAAACAACAGACATTCTAAAATACCTAGGAATCCAACTTACAAGGGATGTGAAGGACCTCTTCAAGGAGAACTACAAACCACTGCTCAAGGAAATAAAAGAGGATACAAACAAATGGAAGAACATTCCATGCTCATGGGTAGGAAGAATCAATATCGTGAAAATGGCCATACTGCCCAAGGTAATTTACAGATTCAATGCCATTCCCATCAAGCTACCAATGACTTTCTTCACAGAGTTGGAAAAAACTACTTTAAAGTTCATATGGAACCAAAAAAGAGCCCGCATCGCCAAGTCAATCCTAAGCCAAAAGAACAAAGCTGGAGGCATCACACTACCTGACTTCAAACTATACTACAAGGCTACAGTAACCAAAACAGCATGGTACTGGTACCAAAACAGAGATATAGATCAATGGAACAGAACAGAGCCCTCAGAAATAATGCCGCATATCTACAACTATCTGATCTTTGACAAACCTGAGAAAAACAAGCAATGCGGAAAGGATTCCCTATTTAATAAATGGTGCTGGGAAAACTGGCTAGCCATATGTAGAAAGCTGAAACTGGATCCCTTCCTTACACCTTATACAAAAATCAATTCAAGATGGATTAAAGAATTAAACGTTAGACCTAAAACCATAAAAACACTAGAAGAAAACCTAGGCATTACCATTCAGGACATAGGCATGGGCAAAGACTTCATGTCTAAAACACCAAAAGCAATGGCAACAAAAGCCAAAATGGACAAATGGGATCTAATTAAACTAAAGAGCTTCTGCACAGCAAAAGAAACTACCAGCAGAGTGAACAGGCAACCGACAAAATGGGAGAAAATTTTCGCAACCTGCTCATCTGACAAAGGGCTAATATCCAGAATCTACAATGAACTCAAACAAATTTACAAGAAAAAAACAAACAACCCCATCAACAAGTGGGCGAAGGACATGAACAGACACTTCTCAAAAGAAGACATTTATGCAGCCAAAAGACACATGAAAAAATGCTCACCATCACTGGCCATCAGAGAAATGCAAATCAAAACCACAATGAGATACCATCTCACACCAGTTAGAATGGCAATCATTAAAAAGTCAGGAAACAACAGGGGCTGGAGAGGATGTGGAGAAATAGGAACACTTTTACACTGTTGGTGGGACTGTAAACTAGTTCAACCATTGTGGAAGTCAGTGTGGCGATTCCTCAGGGATCTAGAACTAGAAATACCATTTGACCCAGCCATCCCATTACTGGGTATATACCCAAAGGACTATAAATCATGCTGCTATAAAGACACATACACAGGTATGTTTATTGTGGCATTTTTCACAATAGCAAAGACTTGGAACCAACCCAAATGTCCAACAAAGATAGACTAGATTAAGAAAATGTGGCACATATACACCATGGAATACTATGCAGCCATAAAAAATGATGAGTTCATGTGCTTTGTAGGGCCATGGATGAAACTGGAAATCATCATTCTCAGTAAACTATCACAAGGACAAAAAACCAAACACCGCATATTCTCACTCATAGGTGGGAATTGAACAATGAGAACACATGGACACAGGAAGGGGAACATCACACTCTGGGGACTGTTGTGGGGTGGGGGGAGGGGGAAGGGATAGCATTGGGAGATATACCTAATGCTAGATGACGAGTTAGTGGGTGCAGCGCACAAGCATGACACATGTATACATATGTAACTAATCGGCACATTGTGCACATGTACCCTAAAACTTAAAGTATAATAATAATAAAAAAAAAAAAAAAACAGACATTCATTTCACAGTTCAGGAGGCTGTAACTCTGAAACCAAAATGTCAGCCTAGTTGGTTCCTTCTAGACACAGTAAGAAAAAATGTCCATGCTTCTTTCCTTGGCATTGCTTGGCTTGTGGATGCACCACTCCCATCTCTGCCTCCATCTTTACACAGCTTTCTCCCTGTATTTCTGTATCTCCTCCCCTCTTCTATGATACCAGTCATATTGGATCAGGGTCCACCCTAAACCAGTATGACATCACCTTAACTTAATTATATTTGCAAAGACCCTATTTGCAAATAAGGTCACATTCATAGTTACCTGGGGTTAAGACTTCAACATTTCTTTTTGAAGGATGCAATTCAACCTACAAAAATAGCTTAGAAATGATATGCCACTTCAGCTTCCCACTTTCATCTTCTGGAAGTAAATCTTATAAAATGGATTTAAACAACCCTTACTTTTAGTCATCATTTTAGAAATTGTTTTGTTTTTGTTTAACATAACTTACCAACTTTTAAAAAAGGAGAGATAATCTTAGTCCAATACTTACTCAAATTTAAACGTAATTCCTATCTATACTTATACTGAAAATTATGTTACTATATGAGATGTTCTGATAAGTTTGTACATTGCAGGCAAGATACGCGTTTCAGGCTTTTTAAGTGCCCCTGCTAAGATAAGTGCAAGCAATAGTGCAAAGACAGGATCGATGATCAGAAATGGAATGTAGTTGTCCATCCAAATTGTCAGTTCAAAGCCTCTTACTTGTTTTCTATGTGTTCCTTTCTTGATATTCAATAATCAGCCCTTTTCTGGTCTCTCTTTCTTTTCTTCTCCCTTGCTATAGTGCTTCATACTCTCAACATCCCTTTCTCAACATAAAAAGTCAAGAGCAGATGTCAAAGTCCAAAAGCAACCTAAAGTTGTATTTTGTCTCATGAATTTGTTCAACATGTGCACACACATACTCTCATATACATGTGTGCATATATATGCATATATATACACACATGTATATATAATATATATATATATGTAATGTCTGTATAACAAATACTTATAAGGCCCTAGAGAAACAATGGTACATGCTAAAAGGAAGCACATAAACTAGGATATAAACATGGTTAATTGGGAAAAGGGTTTGATTAGGGGAAGAATAGAGCCAATATGGGTACAGAAATAGGAAAATTCAAACTAGTCTAGAGGTCAGAAAGTGCTTCTTGGAGAAACTATAAAAATGGAGCATGAGGGACCGGCACGGTGGCTCACGCCTGTAATCCCAGCACTTTGGGAGCCTGAGGCGGGCGAATTGCGAGGTCGAGAGATCGAGACCAACATGGCCAACATGGTGAAATCCTGTCTCTACTAAAAATACAAAAATTAGCTGGGCGTGGTGGCACACGCCTGTAGTCCCAGCTACTCTAGAGGCTGAGGAAGGAGAATCGCTTGAACCCGGGAGGTGGAGGTTGCAGTGAGCTGAGATCGCAGCACTGCACTCCAGCCTGGGTGACAGAGCAGGACTCCGTCAAAAAAAAAAAAAAGAAAAGAAAAATGAGCATGAAAATTGGTATGCATTAGTCAGGTTAACAGAGAGATATTTTAGGCAGTGACAACATTATGGGCACAGGCTTTGAACTGAAAGAGACAGTGATATATTCCATAAATCCAAAGGAATTCAGAATGGATACAGCTCATTTTTATGATTTAAAAAGTGGTGAGAGATGAGGCTGGAGAGAACTGCACAGGGCAGAGCATGAGGTACATTATAAATAAGGTGGTCATGTAATTCATCATCTAAACCAGTCCACTTCTGAGAATAAAGGGAACACCACTATTAATTAGGCTGGGGCAGCAGTTGTAAACCAGGGCTGTCAGAGACTAACTGGGATGTACGGCTACATGACTTATAAATCACATTAACAGAGCTTGGATTTTATACTAAGGTCAATCAGATGCCATGACAGCATTTTAGAGAGAGGAATAGCTCAATACTATTGTGTTTTATAAAGCTTAACCTAGCTGAAGTACAACAAACAAATGGGGGAGGGCTAAATTGCAAGCAAGAATATCCATTAGAAGGCCACAGTGATGATTTCTAGTTGTGAGATGATGGTGGCCTGAATCACTGTGTTGGCTGTAAGCCTGTAAGGAAATTGAAGTAATAATAAGTTGAACCATATGAAATTGCTTCTACTCACCATTTGAACCGACAAAAAGGGCAGTTTCATAAGGCTCAACTAATAGATTTTAAGGAACTAGGATTGATTTGTGGCCAATATTAACCATTATATAATTGTTACATGATGATGACAATGATGATAATGATGTTGATGACTAGTGAGAATAGTGGTATTATCAGGATTGACTGACGTAAGTTATACATTAAAGTTTAAAACACAGAACATTTAAAATTGCTACCTCTTGATATTGAGAGAACAGTTGATTGTATATGGCTCATACATAAATACATACAAAGAGGGAAACAATCCAAGAACCACAATCCCAATGAGTGCCTCATGATTCTCAAAGAGAGAAATAGAAGAAAACTTCCAGCATTTTTTGGGCCCATCATTGAGGAAACAGTATGGAGATCAGCAGAACACAGTGAAAAGTGATGGGAGAGGAGAAACATCATGAGTCAGATTTGAAGTCAGTAGGTTTGAAGTCAATTTTGAGGTTACTGTGGGGAACTGAATTTGTACCAGGAAGGATTCCTGATCTCCACTATTTGAAACAATCACAATATATTACCTACGTTGATACATTTAATCAGGATCCAAAATGCACACCTCCCAATCCTGACACCGTGACATTACTTATGTTCCCTGCTGCTCCCAGATTCCATATCAGGAAAATGATCAGAAGGCTGAACCTCGAACTACTTGTTTTAAATGGAAAAGTAACTGAAAAATTACTGGATTGGACTAAAATTAACTGAAAGCACCCATATTGTTTGCCCTAAGGAAACTGGGGGCTCAGAGTCACAAATCAAATTTTATACTAGAAATTTAAAATGTACATTTTTTGCACAATGCTGTGAATATTATATTTGTTACAAGGGAATGTTTCGTGTAGTGGAAATAATGAAGACAATGAAGATGAGGAAGACCACTAGGTTTTTAGTTCTACAATAGGTTGGGTGACAATTTTCTAGATAGTGTTTACGGGAGGATAGGAGTAGAAGACGAAAAATTCAGTTTAACACCTAATAAATCTGAAAATTTTAACTTCCAATATTTGTTTATTTCTTTATATTAATTCTAATTTCACTTGAGATGATTTAGAATTATGTAGATTTTTATGATAAAAATGTATTAGGTTTTCAGATAAACACAACCATGAATGGCATGCAAATATATATACATCCTAAAAAGTTTACCTTAGATCCTGAATTGTTTTTCCCCAATATATCTAAAAATCCATTTCAGAAGTCCTACTTTACTAAATTGAATTATAAATTTAGGAAATTTAAAGTAATGTTACCAGTGTTTTGGTAAACATCATTACTTTGGGAAGAAGAATAATTATATTTTCTTACTTCTAAATCTTTCACTCACACACAGAAAAACAGAGCTAATCTTTCCATCACTCTTGATTAACCCATACCACTTTATAACAACGAGTTTAAAGTAAAGAAAATAAATAGAAGAAACAAGAAATATTAAGAATATAAAAGCCAGGTGCAGTGGCTCATGCCTATAATCCTAGCACTATGGGAGGCCGAGGTGGGGAGGATTGTTTGAGCCCAGGAGTTCAGTCTGAGCAACATGGCAAAGTACCATCTTTACAAAAAAAATAGAAAAATTAGCCAGGTGGGGTGGCAAGAGCCTGTAGTCCCAGCTAGTGAAGAGGCTGAAGTGGGAGTATCACTTGAAACTGAGATGTCAAGGGCACAATAAGCCATGATCCTGCCACTGCACTTCAGCCTGGGCAACGGAGTAAGAGCCTGTCTCAAAAAAAAAAAAAAAAAGAAAGAAAGAAAGAAAGAAAGAAAGAAAAAAAAAAGAAAAAGGACAGATAATAGGGTGAGAGTATAAAATAAAGAGAAAAAGTTGTAAGAAAATGAAATAATTCTTATAATTATACACATTCAGTAAAGTGGTTGTGGAGAAACTAAAATTCCATGGGGAAGAACTAGTGCTGATGTGAAGCTCTTCTCATTTCATTTACCTAAGGACTAACTGTAACAATATGTAAGTCCTGAAGCAAACAAAGGGAGCCTCTTTCTCCATTGAGGTTAATAGGTCATATATAAAACAAAGGAAATTTAATTCATTTGTTGCTTAAAAAGGAATAAAAGAAAAAGTAAAAGATAAAATGACTTTTAATTGAGAATGCAGAATACACTTTTAAATAGTTAAGAAAAATAATGTTCTTCTCTATATACTATTACAAATCTTCAAGGTACTCAACCAATTTTGCATGTGGATTGATGGGCAAGCTCTCTTTTTTGTTTATATATAGTTTCTAATTGTAGTAAGTACATAGTAAACATATATTAATTCTGTAATTAGTTTTTTTTTTTTTTAAAAAAGGCTTCAATTTCATGTTCTATTTGTAGAATGGGAGGACAAGAAGAGATGATGAGATACCATGGGATTTTAAAAAAGGAAAGAAAGCCAGCACAAAGAGAATGAAAGAAAAAAATGAAAAGAATCAGGTGGATCAAGGTAGATATGGTGGAATAAAAACAAATGTGAGGATAATGTCAGGGGGAAAGAGAGGTCAACACTCCCTAGCTATCTCAAACCTAATGCTTAAAAGTTTCCACTTCACCAAACTCCATCCCATCAGATCCAATCTTACCATCTGCCTTATAACTTATCCAATTCATTCCAGTTAAAACAGTGGAAAGATCCAGCTGGAGGGCCAACAGGTTTCCCATTTGACTTGAATGTTCAGATGGAAAAGATGCTGAATTGGAAGGTTAAGACTCACCTCTAGCCCTAAGTTCATGGGCTAACCTCACAGCCACTGCTGCCAACATCAAATGCTTCTCAGAGTTGTAGGATGTCTCCTGGCTTCTCCACATCAACACTGAGAAACACCACTGCATAGGAAAGAACCATGGAGCACTATGCAACCAGATTCTAACTTAAAAAAGCAATCATTGAATAAAGACAAAGCAATCACTACAGAAGGAAGACTTGAAATGCCAGTTACTTTACTGAAGCAGTGTTCAACTGAAATGCCCAATTATAAGAGCACTGCATACTCCATTTCAGAAGTAGCCACATAATACTCAGGTATTCATGTAACAGAAGCTCAGTGATTTTAACGCCAGTTGTTTCAGTTGCTAAAACTAGTACCTACAGTTGGTGTTCTCTCTGATTATTATATTTATTTTGGAGTGCCTACCAACCCAACAAATGGGAATATGAATCAAGATAATTGAAGTTTTAAAAAAAATTGGCAAGGACTAAAAGTTTTGGCCTCAATTCTCATATCCCAATTTGCCAAATAGTTTTTTTGTTTTTGTTTTTGTTTTTTTTGTTGTTCACCTGGCTATTATGCTACCCACTTAAGACCATTAAACTGCTATTGAAAATTGCCATGAAATGCAGGACTATCATCACCAAGGGAGATGGGCGGAGATGAACTAGCAGCAATTAAGAACAGCACAGCAGTTAGATAATAGAGAACATCAGCCAACATGTAAATAATTAGGCATTAGGTACACATGCAATTAAATATTTGAATTTCAATGAAAACTATATTTAAATTCCTTTTAAAATAGTGACTAATTAGCTGTATTACACATCTTATTTTAGAAATAAAGAACAGATAGGTTATCTCTCATCATTAATAGTTGGTAGACTAATCACCAAATGATTAAGCTTATATTATTCCCCCACGGTTGTTTTCACTACAAATATACAACTATAAAGACTTGGATTTTATACTGTAGCCTTACAGGTTCATTTTTTTAGACTATAAAATAACTGGCAGACTATCCACTTGCATAAACGTCATTCCAAATTGTGATACAATTTTTATCAGACAATGTATTTCACACTGTTTAAGTAATACTCCCATCGAGTGTAGTTATATAAGACACTGCCAAGTTTACCTGCAGAGAAACACACTTCAATAGTGCTCACACAGCATGAAGGCATTTATCATTATTCAAATATAGAAGAAAAGAAAGGGTTCCGATGTTTTTGATGTTATAACTGGCTTGTGGTAAACTGCTGGTAAGCAGTGTTCAGTGGGCTGTACTTATCCTACACAACTGGAAGACATGTCTCATGCTGTTCCACAAAATACTAAGAGAATCAGAAACGCTTTGCATAGAATTCCTTCCTTAGCTCTCACCTTGTTCTCCCACACCTCTTCCAAGATAACCATGGACTAATCTAAAAAGCAGGTTAGCAACTAAAAGAGAGAAAATTCGTATGTGTATGTATTTTTTTAAAGAAAAAGAATTTTTTATCCATTAACCTTTCTGCCTTGTTTATGTCAATGTCTGAGTGAACATTTACAAAACATTTTGACGGAGGCAAATATATGTTCATTTTCAGCATTTGGCCAAATAGTGAGTACATAGCCATGGTATTCAGGAAAAGGTCCATGTGACACCAAAGTATTTCAAATTAGATGAACTATTCAGCCATCTCAACCTTATCTCTACCACTGAATAGGGTCCAGCAACAAGCTGCTCCAATTAGAGCTACTCATAAATAGGTCTGGCTAATTGTCTTAATTGTACTTTTACTTAAAATCAGTAATATACATGAAGTATAAAGCATTTTTGAAGAAGTAATATTTTTGCTATTTTTAATATGATTTAAAAATGGAAAAGTATAATATAATATTAATATTCTACTGAATTTAAGAACACATTTTAAACATTACAAAATAAAGCATATTTCAATTTGATAATAATGAACCCAATAATGATCAACCCAGTTTAATTATCAGTCTGTTTTAGAAGATTTGCTATCTTCACCTAAAGTCTCTAGTAAAAGAATTATCTGATTAGCACATACACTTACAGTTTATCTCACAAAGTGCCTATAAGACTCTTCTAAATTGAGGTGTCCATGAAAGCTGTCTTTGTTATCTATAGGTGATACAACTTTAAAATTGAAGCCTATAAAATAAAATAAAGCTATAGCAACATCTTCGTTTGAAGTGAGCATAGCTATTTTAAAATTAGACATGGTTGGAACTGGACTAGGATGTACTGGGCCCGGGAGCTATAATGAACTTGAAGAAAGTATTACATATATATGAGATAGAGGATTACACAGTTAAATAATACAAGTGAGCCCTTATAAGTATTTCTTAGTTGCTCACTTTACATTTTGTTCGCTGATTTCAGCATTCACTTCTCTAATAAACATGCAGACATTTTCTAAAGTGCAAAATTACATTCACCTACTATTTAAGTAGCATTTATCTCCCTGTTTGCACCAGGGAGCCAATGAGCACAAACCATTGGTTTGAAGTATCAAATTGTTACGACATCCCAGAACCAGCTGGTTTTTGGGAGTTGTGACAGTAAAACAACTGAAGCAAACCTTCAGCCATAGAAAGCTATTTTTAAAGTAGAAATGCAATTTCTTTCTAGATTTTCAAAATTATTTATGGACATTTATGTTGGAAATAATTTCTGTTAATAACCTTGAGGAAAAAAATGGATAAGGGAGTTAGCTTGCCTCTTCTCTTATTAATTTTTTATATCTCCATTTCTCTACAATCCTTTTTATTTTTCTAATTTTTGCCTGGGTTTGCCATGTGCTTATACCCACAGCAGAAGAGGATAGCTGAATTTAATGGCACCTACAGATACCCTCAAAAGGTAACTAAGACTTTGGCTATAATGTAAAAAATATAGAGCGTTTCCATAACAGACGAATTTTCTTTTCCCTTGCACACAAACCTCAATTATAAACTCATTTAATTTAGATTCTCCATGTGCTGAGGTAATTCCACTACATAAAAATATGATTATGCCTGGTATATTTTGACTATATTTTATTGCTAATAAGCTTCCTCTAATCTGCTTTGAAAGCTTAGCTCTGATTGCTTGACTAGTGCAGTTGTGAAGATACTGTTAACAATGCCCACAAATTGATTCCAGAAGTAAGAATATGGTGTCTTTGGTCACTGTGTTGCAATAAGCTACAAGTACACACTTTTAAAATGGAATCTTGTATTAAAATGCCCATAGTCAGTAAGTAAAACCAATTATTAATGTCATCTAAACAACAATGAAGCAAAGTTATAGCTTACGTTCATACAGACATTTATGAAAAGTCACAGCCAGAAGCCTGAGGAGTTAGTGAAACTGATCTTTTTTTCATAGAAATGTGTCATTTAGAGACAAAGTACACCAGTCGAATAAATAATTATAATGATTGGTTATATCAATGATGGGGTGTGTTTTCATGGGCTAAATTAATCACATTTGAAAAATTACTAAAAATATGGAAGTTGAAAGTTTAAAAGGTCTCCAGCTACTTAGAATTGTCAATGCGCTAATGATCTTTCTCACAGCATCTAGACTCATCAATGCCAGTGACTGTACTCTGCAGTTCACTTCAGTAACACATTAGCAGACCCCATCTTCACTTTAATTAATCTCTCAGAGTGGATTGGTTTTTAAATTTTTAATTTTTAGCTTATTTTCTCTCATCACAAAGTAACATTTTTCTTTATTAAAGCAAATCTAAACTTAAATTCCAGTCCCTTAATCCTGTGTTCTCCCAATTTGTCAACCCTGTTTTAACTTAATCTGCCTTTCTGGTCGCCCATGCTCCACAGCCCACCATTCCCTCCTCCTGAACTGCTCTTTTCCTGATCTGCCCATCGAAATTCTCTTCTGTTCAAAACTCAGTCCAAATTCCAACTCCTCTGTGAAACTGCCCTGTTCCTGTTAGATGGAAATGTTTCTACTTCCCCAGAATGTAAAAACAATTTTAATAACTTTCTTAAAGCCCTTTCCACATTCAGCCTGACTGTATGAATCTAATGATATACATACACTTACTTTTTTCCCTACTATGCCATTCCTGAGGTTAAAAAATCGTCTTGCTCATCTTTGTATTTGGAGTTTAAAATGACTTCTCATTCAAAATGCATTGACACATTCTTATTTAATGAATAAATTGGGATTTTTCTTTTCTTCCTTTTGTATCACTGCCTTACCCATAATTATAGTAGATTTTAAACAACTAACAAATGAATAATACCCTGCTTTAAAAGTTAAACAAAATATACTTACTCTGTTTTATATACCTATGAAGAATTTTATAGAAATCTCAAATTTGCCAGAAATGTAAAAAATAAAACCTTTCCCTATAGAGCCAACTTTTATCTTTAGTTTTTTAATTGTGTAAAAAGAGGGAGAAAGGAAGAAGTAGTGAGAAAAAAATATCCATTACGGTATCATTCATTATCCAAAAAATTAACTTACCAAACACATATGTTGATAGAAGTAAATAAACATTACTAGACTAAGATCATGCCTTCATTTAGAAAACAATTTGTCTATTATAAAATTAAACGAACATTTTTTCCATGCAACCCAGGAATTTTACTCCCAGATAAACATGACAAATGAAAACATATGTCCATAAAAAAGCTTGTACATGACTTGTATATAGCAACTTTATTCATGATAATTAAAAACTGGAAACAGTCTTAATGTCATCAACAGGCCAATAAAATAAAAATGGAGGTACATTCATTCAACGGAAAATGTTAGCGATTAAAAGGAGCAAAATATTGATGGATGCAAAAACATGAATGATTTTTACAGACAGTAGACTGGGTGAAAGAAGGCAGACAGAAAAAAGTACTTAGTTGGTGTTTCATATAAAGGAAATTCTAAGACAGATGAAACTAATCAGATAAGAGTTTCAGGGCTGTGGAAGAAGACAGCAAAAAAACAGTGAGGGCCTTCTGGGAAAGGAGAAATGTTCTATTTTTTGTTGTTGTTGGGCTGACGGTTATATGGGTATATATATATTTGTCAAATGTCACATACATTTCTTATGTGTAAAAAAACTTTATTTTATAGAAATTATACCTTTAGGGGAGGAGCCAAGATGGCCGAATAGGAACAGCTCCGGTCTACAGCTCCCAGCGTGAGCGACGCAGAAGACAGGTGATTTCTGCTTTTCCATCTGAGGTACCGGGTTCATCTCACTAAGGAATGCCAGACAGTGGGCGCAGGTCAGTGGGTGCGCGCACCGTGCGTGAGCCGAAGCAGGGTGAGGCATTGCCTCACTCGGGAAGCGCAAGGGGTCAGGGAGTTCCCTTTCCTAGTCAAAGAAAGGGGTGATGGGCGGCACCTGGAAAATCTGGTCACTCCCACCCGAATACTGCGCCTTTCCGACGGGCTTAAAAAACGGCGAACCACGAGATTATATCCTGCACCTGGCTGGGAAGGTACTACGCCCACGGAGTCTCACTGATTGCTAGCACAGCAGTCTGAGATCAAACTGCAAGGCGGCAGCGAGGCTGGGGGAGGGGCGTCTGCCATTGCCCAGGCTTGATTAGGTAAACAAAGCAGCCGGGAAGCTCGAACTGGGTGTAGCCCACCACAGCTCAAGGAGGCCTGCCTGCCTTTGTAGGCTCCACCTCTGGGGGCAGGGCACAGACAAACAAAAAGACAGCAGTAACCTCTGCAGACTTAAATGTCCCTGTCTGACAGCTTTGAAGAGAGCAGTGGTTCTCCCAGTACGCAGCTGGAGATCTAAGAACGGGCAGACTGCCTCCTCAAGTGGGTCCCTGACCCCTGACCCCCGAGCAGCCTAACTGGGAGGCACCCCCCAGCAGGGGCACACTGACACCTCACATGGCAGGGTACTCCAACAGACCTGCAGTTGAGGGTCCTGTCTGTTAGAAGGAAAACTAATAAACAGAAAGGACATCCACACCAAGAACCCATCTGTACATCACCATCATCAAAGACCAAAAGTAGATAAAACCACAAAGATGGGGAAAAAACAGAACAGAAAAACTGGAAACTCTAAAAAGCAGAGCGCCTCTCCTCCTCCAAAGGAACGCAGTTCCTCACCAACAACAGAACGAAGCTAGACGGAGAACGACTTTGACGAGCTGAGAGAAGAAGGCTTCAGATGATCAAATTACTCTGAGCTACGGGAGGACATTCAAACCAAAGGCAAAGAAGTTGAAAACTTTGAAAAAAATTTAGAAGAATGTATAACTAGAATAACCAATACAGAGAAATGCTTAAAGGAGCTGATGGAGCTGAAAACCAAGGCTCGAGAACTACGTGAAGAATGCAGAAGCCTCAGGAGCCGATGCGATCAACTGGAAGAAAGGGTATCAGCAATGGAAGACGAAATGAATGAAATGAAGCAAGAAGGGAAGTTTAGAGAAAAAAGAATAAAAAGAAATGAGCAAAGCCTCCAAGAAATATGGGACTATGTGAAAAGACCAAATCCACGTCTGATTGGTGTACCTGAAAGTGACGGGGAGAATGAAACCAAGTTGGAAAACACTCTGCAGGATATTATCCAGGAGAACTTCCCCAATCTAGCAAGGCAGGCCAACGTTCAGATTCAGGAAATACAGAGAAGGCCACAAAGATACTTCTCGAGAAAAGCAACTCCAAGACACATAATTGTCAGATTCACCAAAGTTGAAATGAAGGAAAAAATGTTAAGGGCAGCCAGAGAGAAAGCACGGGTTACCCTGGAAGGGAAGCCCATCAGACTAACAGCAGATCTCTCGGCAGAAACCCTACAAGCCAGAAGAGAGTGGGGGCCAATATTCAACATTCTTAAAGAAAAGAATTTTCAACCCAGAATTTCATATCCAGCCAAACTAAGCTTCATAAGCGAAGGAGAAATAAAATACTTTACAGACAAGCAAATGCTGAGAGATTTTGTCACCACCAGGCCTGCCCTAAAAGAGCTCCTGAAGGAAGCACTAAACATGGAAAGGAACAACCAGTACAAGCCACTGCAAAATCATGCCAAAATGTAAAGACCATCGAGACTAGGAAGAAACTGCATCAACTAACGAGCAAAATAACCAGCTAACATCATCATGACAGGATCAAATTCACACATAACAATATTAACTTTAAATGTAAATGGACTAAATGCTCCAATTAAAAGACACAGACTGGCAAATTGGATAAAGAGTCAAGACCCATCAGTGTGCTGTATTCAGGAAACCCATCTCACGTGCAGAGACACACATAGGCTCAAAATAAAAGGATGGAGGAAGATCTACCAAGCAAATGGAAAACAAAAAAAGGCAGGGGTTGCAATCCTAGTCTCTGATAAAACAGATTTTAAACCAACAAAGATCAAAAGAGACAAAGAAGGCCATTACATAATGGTAAAGGGATCAATTCAACAAGAAGAGCTAACTAACCTAAATATATACGCACCCAACACAGGAGCACCCAGATTCATAAAGCAAGTCCTGAGTGACCTACAAAGAGACTTAGACTCCCACACATTAATAATGGGAGACTTTAATACCCCACTGTCAACACTAGACAGATCAACGAGACAGAAAGTCAACAAGGATACCCAGGAATTGAACTCAGCTCTGCACCAAGCGGACCTGATAGACATCTACAGAACTCTCCACCCCAAATCAACAGAATATACATTTTTTTCAGCACCACACCACACCTATTCCAAAATTGACCACATACTTGGAAGTAAAGCTCTCCTCAGCAAATGTAAAAGAACAGAAATTATAACAAACTATCTCTCAGACCACAGTGCAATCAAACTAGAACTCAGGATTAAGAATCTCACTCAAAACTGCTCAACTACATGGAAACTGAACAACCTGCTCCTGAATGACTACTGGGTACATAACGAAATGAAGGCAGAAATAAAGATGTTCTTTGAAACCGACAAGAACAAAGACACAACATACCAGAATCTCTGGGACACATTCAAAGCAGTGTGTAGAGGGAAATTTATAGCACTAAATGCCCACAAGAGACAGCAGGAAAGATCCAAAATTGACACCCTAACATCACAATTAAAAGAACTAGAAAAGCAAGAGCAAACACATTCAAAAGCTAGCAGAAGGCAAGAAATAACTAAAATCAGAGCAGAACTGAAGGAAATAGAGACACAAAAAACCCTTCAAAAAATTAATGAATCCAGGAGCTGGTTTTTTGAAAGGATCAACAAAATTGATAGACCGCTAGCAAGACTAATAAAGAAAAAAAGAGAGAAGAATCAAATAGACGCAATAAAAAATGATAAAGGGGATATCACCACCGATCCCACAGAAATACAAACTACCATCAGAGAATACTATAAACACCTCTACGCAAATAAACTAGAAAATCTAGAAGAAATGGATAAATTCCTCGACACATACACTCTCCCAAGACTAAACCAGGAAGAAGTTGAATCTCTGAATAGACAAATAACAGGATCTGAAATTGTGACAATAATCAATAGCTTACCAACCAAAAAGAGTCCAGGACCAGATGGATTCACAGCCGAATTCTACCAGAGGTACAAGGAGGAACTGGTACCATTCCTTCTGAAACTATTCCAATCAATAGAAAAAGAGGGAATCCTCCCTAACTCATTTTATGAGGCCAGCATCATTCTGATACCAAAGCCAGGCAGAGACACAACCAAAAAAGAGAATTTTAGACCAATATCCTTGATGAACATTGATGCAAAAATCCTCAATAAAATACTGGCAAAACAAATCCAGCAGCACATCAAAAAGCTTATCCACCATGATCAAGTGGGCTTCATCCCTGGGATGCAAGGCTGGTTCAATATACGCAAATCAGTAAATGTAATCCAGCATATAAACAGGGCCAAAGACAAAAACCACATGATTATCTCAATAGATGCAGAAAAGGCCGTTGACAAAATTCAACCACACTTCATGCTAAAAACTCTCAATAAATTAGGTATTGATGGGACATATTTCAAAATAATAAGAGCTATCTATGACAAACCCACAGCGAATATCATACTGAATTGGCAAAAACTGGAAGCATTCCCTTTGAAAACTGGCACAAGACAGGGATGCCCTCTCTCACCACTCCTATTCAATATAGTGTTGGAAGTTCTGGCCAGGGCAATTAGGCAGGAGAAGGAAATAAAGGGTATTCAATTAGGAAAAGAGGAAGTCAAATTGTCCCTCTTTGCAGACGACATGATTGTATATCTAGAAAACCCCATTGTCTCAGTCCAAAATCTCCTTAAGCTGATAAGCAACTTCAGCAAAGTCTCAGGATACAAAATCAATGTGCAAAAATCACAAGCATTCTTATACACCAACAACAGACAAACAGAGCCAAATCATGAGTGAACTCCCATTCACAATTGCTTCAAAGAGAATAAAATACCTAGGAATCCAACTTACAAGGGATGTGAAGGACCTCTTCAAGGAGAACTACAAACCACTGCTCAAGGAAATAAAAGAGGATACAAACAAATGGAAGAACATTCCATGCTCATGGGTAGGAAGAATCAATATCGTGAAAATGGCCATACTGCCCAAGGTAATTTACAGATTCAATGCCATCCCCATCAAGCTACCAATGCCTTTCTTCACAGAATTGGAAAAAACTACTTTAAAGTTCATATGGAACCAAAAAAGAGCCCGCATCGCCAAGTCAATCCTAAGCCAAAAGAACAAAGCTGGAGGCATCACACTACCTGACTTCAAACTATACTACAAGTCTACAGTAACCAAAACAGCATGGTACTGGTACCAAAACAGAGATATAGATCAATGGAACAGAACAGAGCCCTCAGAAATAACACTGCATATCTACAACTATCTGATCTTTGACAAACCTGAGAAAAACAAGCAATGGGGAAAGGATTCCCTATTTAATAAATGGTGCTGGGGAAACTGGCTAGCCATATGTAGAAAGCTGAAACTGGATCCCTTCCTTACACCTTATACAAAAATCAATTCAAGATGGATTAAAGACTTAAACGTTAGACCTAAAACCATAAAAACCCTAGAAGAAAACCTAGGCAGTACCATTCAGGACATAGGCATGGGTAAGGACTTCATGTCTAAAACACCAAAAGCAATGGCAACAAAAGCCAAAATGGACAAATGGGATCTAATTAAACTAAAGAGCTTCTGTGCAGCAAAAGAAACTACCATCAGAGTGAACAGGCAACCTACAAAATGGGAGAAAATTTTCGCAACCTACTCATCTGACAAAGGGCTAATATCCAGAATCTACAATGAACTCAAACAAATTTACAAGAAAAAAACAAACAACCCCATCAAAAAGTGGGCGAAGGACATGAACAGACACTTCTCAAAAGAAGACATTTATGCAGCCAAAAAACACATGAAAAAATGCTCATCATCACTGGCCATCAGAGAAATGCAAATCAAAACCACAATGAGATACCATCTCACACCAGTTAGAATGGCAGTCATTAAAAAGTCAGGAAACAACAGGTGCTGGAGAGGATGTGGAGAAATAGGAACACTTTTACACTGTTGGTGGGACTGTAAACTAGTTCAACCATTGTGGAAGTCAGTGTGGCGATTCCTCAGGGATCTAGAACTAGAAATACCATTTGACCCAGCCATCCCATTACTGGGTATATACCCAAAGGACTATAAATCATGCTGCTATAAAGACACATGCACACATATGTTTATTGCGGCACTATTCACAATAGCAAAGACTTGGAACCAACCCAAATGTCCAACAACGATAGACTGGATTAAGAAAATGTGGCACATATACACCATGGAATACTATGCAGCCATAAAAAATGATGAGTTCATGTCCTTTGTAGGGACATGGATGAAATTGGAAATCATCATTCTCAGCAAACTATCACAAGAATAAAAAACCAAACACCGCATGTTCTCAATCATAGGTGGGAATTGAACAATGAGATCACATGGACACAGGAAGGGGAACATCACACTCTGGGGACTGTTGTGGGGTGGGGGGAGTGGGGAGGGATAGCATTGGGAGATATACCTAATGCTAGATGACGAGTTAGTGGGTGCAGCGCACCAGCATGGCACATGTATACATATGTAACTAACCTGCACAATGTGCACATGTACCCTAAAACTTAAAGTATAATAATAAAAGAAAAAAATAAAAATAAAAAATAAAAAAACGAAAAAAACAAACAAAAAAGAAATTATACCTTTAAAATGCTGTTTTTAAAAAGAGACTGTCTTTATATCATACTCTAAATATCTTCCTGTCCAGATAAGCTTCCTTTCCTCAGTTATAGACTTATAACTGCAATAGTCCTAATCCTCCGGGATCTCAAGAACAGTTGAAACAAAGTGAATAAAATGCCTGACACAGAATTGGTACTATGCCTGCAATGGAACAGAAAAAAATAGTTAAAATTTAGGAAAGTGAAATGGAGGTAAGAGGTTTAAACTCAATAAACCATATTTTCCAAAGAAATTTTATTACACATATCCACATAAATAAGACTAATCTAAATGATTATCAAAATACGTGTCAGAAATAAACACGTACATCATTTATTAGGTCAGGGCTCTAAGTAGAAGTTACCCCAAAGATTGATTTTGAAAATAAAATTGGTTTATGTTGTTTAGCAGTTATAATATAGGAAACTATGACCCAGAATATAATGCATTATATGGAAAGATTTTTAAAGTTATCCAGTTTCTAGAACTTTATACCATCATATAAGTACTGGTCAACCAATATCCGACTAAAATTATAAAATGGTTAATTATTTCATTTAACATATTAATTTCTCCATTGATTAAAATTGGCACATAAGCAAAAGAAAACCATATGCATCTTGGAAAAGAGACGTTATTCTGTTATCTCCCACACATACACAAGAAGTCTAACCTTCAACAGCAGCCTTTTCCTTTAACTAAATTAACAATGCTTATTATATTCTGGCCTTCAGATGCAGAACATGTTTCATGTTACTATGCCTAAGTTCCGACCTGGCAATAATGCTAAGAAACTCAGCAGGAAGGCTGGGCACTGTGGTTCACACCTGTAATCCCAGAACTTTGGGAGGCCAAGGCAGGCAGATCACAAGGTCATGAGTTCGAGACCAGCCTGGCCAACATAGTGAAACCCCATCCCTACTAAAAATACAAGAATAAATTAGCCAGGCATGGTGGCGCTCGCCTGTAATCCCAGCTACTCAGGAGGCTGAGGCAGGAGAATCACTTGAACCCGGGAGGCGGAGGTTGCAGTGAGCCAAGATCACGCCATTGCACTCCAGCCTGGGCAACAGGGTGAGACTCCATCTTAAAAAAAAAAAAA
Source organism: Homo sapiens (assembly GCF_000001405.40). Classification (NCBI taxonomy): domain Eukaryota; kingdom Metazoa; phylum Chordata; class Mammalia; order Primates; family Hominidae; genus Homo; species Homo sapiens. The sequence goes on along the minus strand of NC_000006.12, from coordinate 128,904,459 downwards.
AAAAAAAGAAAGGAAAAAAATAAAGAAACTCAGCAGGAAATCCAACCTCCACATATTTCTATCTAGGGAGATAGAGACAAAGGAAAAAAAAATTCTCTGAATCACATTATTGTAGAATTAAAAATGCTTATTAAAACTGGTGTTAAGGGCATTCACACTCCAAATCTGTTTCTGTAAGTAATGAACAGGACACCCTCAAACCAAGCTAAAAGTAAGACTGTAGGTGGTATAATGACGAGTCAGAAAGCTGTCTTTTGAGGTGGTTACTAACTCCAGACAGAAAAGAGGCGGAGGAGGTGCACAAGACCTAGTGAGTGATCTTGACCTGGATGAATTTGAAATGTTCCTCCTATCAAAGTGTATATATGTCCTGGGCGTTGGTCCCTGGGCCTCAGACTCTTAAGGAAATGGCGGTTCTAGAATGGATAAAACTATTGAAACTCTTATCGGGAGTTGCCTCTTTAGGTCTGGCACTCTAAGGGCTCCTTTGAGCCCAAAACACAATTACCTGCAGCTGGATGCCTACTTCTGAGCTCTGCTAGGGATGGGTGAGAAGATCCCAGCAGCAGGCCTCTTAAAACCAAAGTCCACTGTCTCTGTCTACTTCTTCAGCCCAGATCCGTCCTTCCCCATCCTCCACAGCAGACGCTCTGTCACCAAATCTCAGAAACATACAATCCAGGAAAGATCCTATATTTGCCAAGCTCTTTATCTTAATTTCCCTCTTTAAAAGAGAAAGATGTTCTAAGCATTATTATATAAAATACTTAATTTCCTACAAGGGAATAATAAAGCAGAGGATAAAGAAGCTTGCAAGAGAAAGCTACAATTACAGCTTAATGTCCACAAAGGTTTTAGAATTACTGCTAGAGAAAATTTGCACAAACATATTTATAATCCATAAGTTGTATCTCATTTCAAACCAACAGTAGCCAATACCCTAAGAAATATTTGTAAATGATTTCAGAAGGAAAATAAAAGCCACCAGGAAATCAGGCAATGGCATTTAAACAAAACTCTTCCATACAACCATGTAAATCAATGGCAATTTCTTTAAAACAGAATTGAAAGCACACATAATGCATTTTAATACAGAATGTACAAAGACACTAAGATCTGTAATTCTACTAAATGTCAACGATTCTGGAACCCACTTATTGTGGAGTCAGATATAATGAAATTCCATTTGTAGTGAAGTAGAATGGAAGTTTAAAATTACGTCAATGAAATGTAATGCACAAAGCACAATTCCAGTAACAGTGTCTTACAAAGAAATCTTGGTGAAAGGATGATTTCACTGTAAGCCTCCTATATCCCTCAAATAAACATACTAGATGTTAACATCAGTATTTCACTAAGTAAATTACAATAAATTCAATATTTAACACTCTAATATATGAAACCATACACAAATCTATTATAGAAGAACAAAATGTGTGTGTTAATATGAAATAATACAGTATACATATTCTAAGTTGTGACTGGTCATATTTATGAATAGAATGCAAAAATGAGTTAAACACTTTAAAGTGAAAGAAGGAGTAAGAATTATTTTAAACACATTGATAAAATGAATGGATGTTTCCCTCTGGTGAACATGAGAAACCATCAATTTTCTTTTACAATCAAGAAAACATTGGGTGTTGGGTAGCTCACATTTGTAATCCCAGCACTGAGGGAGACTGAGGCAGGAGGATCACTTGAGCCCAGTAGTTCAAGGCTGCAGTGGGCAAAGATGGGTGACAGAGGGAGACCCTGTCTCTAAAAACAACAACAACAAAAACACCCTCCACTTTGCGTAGCGCACCCTACTTTTGATACCCTACCTTCTCTTCTACTTTAAAATGGGACTGAAAGCTCATTTCTTCCAAGTCCTCATTGCTGAGTCTACCTTTGTCCAATTACTTTTGTCACTTTGGCCCCACATGTCATAATGAATAGTGTAAAATTCTTCATCATATTATATATTTGATTTTTTCTCATTTTTCTTGCTTCGATTATGTGTTTATATGCTGAGAGTGTGAGAAAGGTGGAATTTGTCTCAAAATTATGTGTTTTCTTCTTTTATTATACCAGTTGGGACATCAATAGTGATTGAATTCTCTAAGAACTCACTAGGTCATGGAAATACTTTCAACTGGAAATATTTAAAGGGAATAGGAAAGTGGCATTCTGTGTCCATTTTTATTCTCTTAGTGATATGGTCTGGCTCAGTGTCCTCACAAAATCTCATCTTGAATTGTAATCCAAATTGTAATCCCCATGTGTTGGGGGAGGGACCTCCTGGAAGGTGATTAGATCATGAGAGTGATTCCCCCATGCTGTTCTCAGGATAGTGAGTAGTCTCATGAGGTCTGATGGTTTTATAAGGGGCTTTTCCCCCACTTCGCTCTGCACTTCTCCTTCCTGACATCATGAAGAAGAATGTGTTTGCTTTCCCTTCTGTCATGATTGTAAGTTTCCTGAGGCCTCCCCAGCCAGGTGGAACTGAGTCAATTAAACCTCTTTGTAAATTGCCCAGTCTTGGCCAGTTCTTTACAGCAGTGTGAGAACAGACTAATACACTTGGCATGTATTCTTCATGAATCAAGAAACAGTAAAGTGATTGAAAAGACATTATGAATTAAATAATGAATAAACTCTGCAGTCAACTGTAGAATTATTAGCTAAATATTCTCCTAAGACTTGAGAATTAATATTAAATACTTCTTTTAAAATTTCTGTTTAGTGATTAGCTAATATAACTGTCAGAGAGATTCCACAAACTTAATGTCTAAATTTCAGTAACTATGTAACATAGTTATCATGATTTCTATGGAGAGATAAAATCAAATACTATCTGATGGTCTTAATTAGCTTCCTTTTTCACCATGCTGGTGTCATATGCTTCACATTTGTATAGCATCTGGCATCTAGAAGGTTTCACTGTTTCACTACTCTTTCTATGCCTCTTCACTAACCTTTTAAGTATGGTAGTATATAAGGTAGTATATACCTCTATAGTTGGGGTAAAGGGGATCATTTCTTAAAATGAATGACTTAGCTTAATAAAAAATAAGCAAGGATGGAAACAGAATCCCAAGATTTTCTAAATCCCAGACATGCATTTTGGTTCTATATTAATTATTCATTCCAATATGGAAAGTAGCATTTCTTAAAGGTGAAAGCTAATTTGAAAATTGCAGTATTATAACAATATTTAGAGATGAGAAGCATAGGATTTTTGAAAATTGAATCTATAGATAGTCTATAACATGTTTTTGTTTTGGATCAAATAATGAATAATGAATTTTTTATTGTTCCTAGATAAGGTCTTGCTCTGTTGCCCAGGCTAAAGTGCAGTGGTGTGATCATGGGTCACTGCAGCCTCGACCTCCCGGGTTCAAGTAATCTTCCCATCTCAGCCTCCTGAGTAGCTGGGACCACTGGCATGTGCCACCACACGCAGCTAATTTTTTCATTTTATTTTTGTAGAGGCAGGGATCTCACTATTTTGCCTAAGCTGGTCTTGAACTCCTGGCCTCAAGCCATCCTCCTGCCTTGGCCTTCCAAAGAGCTGGGATTATAGCTGTGAGCCACCATGCCTAGACAGGAGGGTGTTCTTGATGGCTCAAATACCTTAGTGAAAGAGGGGAGTTTTCATTTTTGCAAAAAATGGATGAACCAGATTGATTTGGAAAAAGTAAAGAGGCAATCTTATCCAAGTGATGAGCTTTGAAGGTGTGGAGAACCTAGGAAGGAAAGCAGCAGGGCGTATTTTAAATAGCTGTTAAACTCCTACAATCCTCACTTAAATTTAAATATTTAATTGGAACATCCTGTTTCAGGAATCCATGATCTTACACCTTTCTTTCATGTCCTGGTAAATTCTCTTTAGTTCTTTTTTCTATCGTTGAGTAGAAATTGTAACTGCCTACATCCGACAGTATCATGATGTTAACCATCTTCATAGTTTTTTCAATAACTGTAAGTGGGAAGTAAGTGTTCCTTCCTAAAAGTTAGCTCTTCCTTTTCTATTTTTCTATCATTCAATCTTTACTGTGACCATGCTAGGTGCCAGGCACTGTGCTATGCAGTAAGGATACAGTAGTAACAAAACAGACCTGGGCCCTGATCTCAAAGGTCTTTTCTTGTCCCCCTTTCTCTCAAATTCACTCATATAATAAAAATCCCTCCTTTGCTGAAGGGCCAGCTCCGCCTTATTTTTTATTAGTTTCATTCTTAAAGTAAGGAGAAGAATATAGGTACTGCGTTTCTTGACCTCCAGATGTTTGATTAATTCTAAGTATTTCACCATTTTGCTGGCTGATAACTTCAAGCAAGAGACCATACACATCCAAGGACATTCACGCACATGCATTATCTGACATATTGTAGAGGCCTTGTGAGTGGTTTTTAAAACATATCTTTTTGCCTGAAATAGGAAGGACTTTGGTGGTATCTAAAAAGAAACAAAGAAAAATGAAAACAGATGCCAATCAAATCACCCCATGTGAGTTATCTATATTTTATCCCTATAATTTACATCTTAAATGGGCATTTTAATCTTATGTAGTATAATTCTCATCCAAAAAGACCTTCCATCCAGAAAAGTTCTGACTAAGCCAAGAAATATGCATTCCTTATCCAAAGCTTAAATACTGCTCAACTCTTACTGGAATATCCTTAGAGGGGAAAAAAAAAACTCAAGAAGCAAGATAATTTAAGGTAGCCTCACTTTCTAAAATATTTTATCTATTATCTAGGTGATATTAATAATAATAACTCATATCTGTCCATACTGTGTTTCAGTATTTGTAGAAATTTATGTCTTATACAAACATTCATTCATACTATAAAAGGATCAGGGGGAAAAAGTACACATAAAATGTTTTAAAAGGCAACACTCTTGGTCTGTCCAAAAAGAGCTGCTTCTTCATCCAATTTTTGAGTGCCTACCATATGTCAGACTAGAAGCTGGAGATAAAGCAACAGAAACAATGAAAGACAAAAAGTCCTAGCATTATATAACATACTTTATTAATTTATAACTGTTAAAGAGCTAAAGATCTTGGAAAAGGAACTAGTTGATTAAATACCCTTCTAGTTCTCTGCCATAGCAATTGCTCTTGAGGTTTATCTGAAATATGATTGGATTGGTCTTCTAACTAATTATATAACTGAAAATCATAAACGGGACAGATTCACTACATACAGGAATCCAATTTTGACCTCCTCCATGGAATTACATTCAGAAGAGCCTGAACACAGCCATGTGTTAATTCAAAATAAAAAATATTTATGTATCTCCTCAGCTCTGGAGATGAAGGCCATTTTATAACAAAATTTATATTCCAACAGTCTGGGGAGACAAACAACAAAGAAGAAAAGTAAATAAACAAGGGTATTCAAGATAAACATTTAATTGTTCAAAGAAATTACAACAGGGAGATGAGTGCCTGACAGAAGCTAATTTAAAGTGGTCCTCTGGAAAGGCCTCTGTAAGAGGTGACATTTGACATGAGATTGGAATATTGAGAAGGAGACAGCCATCAGGGATCTAATGGAACAATGCTCTGGACAGAGGAACAGCAAGGACAAAGGCCTTGAGACGGAAAAAAAGTCTTTACTGTTGCTGGTAAATAACAGAAAAAGAGAATAATTTGAAATCAGAGAAAAATACAAGAGCTGTCATGAATAGACTTAAAATCTAATGAATTTAGAATTTATTCTTATAATAGAAATGCATTGAAAGGTTTTAAGCAGAGGAAAGATCTAATCTGATTTACTATTTTCAGAGTTCACTTTGCCTATTGCATGGAAAATTGATTGTAAAATGGAAAAGAGAAAAGAAGGGAGAGCAGCTGGGAGGCTGCTGAAGTTGCATAGGCAAAAAAAGAGTGCTGTGGTCTAGAAGGCAATAGGGACAAAAAGATGTGGATATTTATGGAATAAACTCTGGTGGTGTGGATGACAGACATGCTGATTATTTCAATCTGGGAGGTGAAGGAAAGAGAGAAGTTAATAGTAACTTCTAGATGTCAAATTTGATTCAAGGGGTGAATGATGGTACCATTTTCTGAGTTGGGAAAAGCTGATGGGAAAAGAGTTGAGGAAATGCAGAGTACCTATGTTCAATCCTGGCAAATGTTCGCTGTGAAGGACCTAGGAGACAACTAAGTGAAGACATCAAATAAATAGGCAGTTCTATTACCATCCATAACCAGGATAGTGGCAACTTTGACTACCCTATGACCACCTCTAATCACACTAAAACTGTGGCCAACAAGCCCAGTTTCTAGATCTTTTAAGTTAAAGCTCCAGTTGTCCATGCTGAAAACACCACTGATTGTAAAGTCTTTGAATGATGATTCCATCCTCTTCTGAATACAAATTAAATACTTAATTCCATTTAATCCTTAAAAAGGCACTACTATTTTCATTCTCTTAAAGGTGAGGATGATCAGGTTTAAAGAAGTTAAATAACTCACTCAACAGCACTATTGCAACAGCACTCAGCCAGCAAGGTGTGAATCTAGGACTCAAACTCTCGATGTCTAACTTCAAAAGTGCTGCGCTGCTTTGTGCCCACACTGCTGGACTTCTGATGCAGTCATAGCTCTAGTACTACAGCTCCTGTTAACTAGTAAACTGGCCGATAGGACTTCCATTGCAATCCAAGTTCATAAAGGGGGCCAACTGGATGATATTCTCTACTCTGGGAGTTACCATAAGCAGAATTACAAGATCTTTGATCAACAAATAGATAAGACACTCCCTCTTTTTGCTTATTTATTTCCTTATGTGAAGAAAAGCTATAACAACAAAATGGTCATTTTTGTAGCACTTCAGTTCCAACTGCGGTTTTGGGGATACCCTGAGCCAATTAATGATTAAGTTAATAACTGTAACTATCCTTTTGCCATCACTTGTCATATATCCATTAATGGACCAGGAAAAGCCCTGGGCCTTGATTATTTTTGGTTTAACACTTCATACAACAACAAAGAGAAAAAAAGCACATTCTTACCAATTAAGTTAACAATTCTAGGAGTGCTACAAACTCTTATATGACTCAAAAAATTCAGGCATGCCTGACACAGTTAAGAATTCATTCATTGCTATCTCCAAGGAGTCTTTAAAAAAAAAAAGTTCATAGACTCTTCTGATATATCAGGACATAGTGCTGAATCTAAATGGCAAATATTGTTTAAATTGTTAATCTTTTCATAGGAAATCTCACAAAAAAGGGAAATAAAATCACCTCTGAAGTATGTCACTAAAGGAAGCCCTTTACTTACTAATTTGTACTCTTTCAGGGTTGAGGTCACACGCTGCCATGGGTAGGTGAATGGGCCACAAAGTAGAACTACCTAGGTCCAAATCTTGGTCTCTACCAGTTCACTGGTTGTTTTACTTTTGGAAAGTTACTTAACATTTTGCATTTCAGTTTTCTCTTCTGTTAAATGAGATTAATAGCATCTACCTTTGATAAATTAAGGCATGAGACATGCTTACAGCAGTGCTGGCCCATAGTTAGGTATTCCATAGATGTTAACTAGTTTTATTTCACTATTTCTCACCGAGCAGATCTGAAAACTTAATACAGTCCTAAACTGTCAAAAAGGAGGTCAGCAGATAAATTAATTTCCATTAAAGTGAATAATAACAGCACAGCAAACATTTTAGAAAAGAATAGCCTGTGAGGGCAATGTTTTATCCAAAGGAATAAATAAATAAAGATAAAATTTCAGATTCTGGGTGAATGATGTTTTCTAAAAAATGTTTCTAAAAAACATTTAGAATAATGTTTTCTCAGCATCACTCCAGTAGCACCACATCAGGAACTCTATGGAGAAAATCAGTCCCTAAAAGTTGAATGAAAAATATTTTATCAAAGCTTGAGAAAGAGAATAAAGAGAATTGAAAAGCTATTTTTGCAGAATTTTAAAACATACCATTATCTACATATAAAGTGTATCTATAGCTATTTACAAAAGCAATAAAGATGGGACACATCAATTAACTCTTTCAGTGTTACTGGAATGTGTATGGCAGAAAAAAAAAAAAATGGAAGGAGGGTGAGGACATGTTATTCAGCAGGACCAGGACATGGATTCCAAAGTAATCTGTTCACTTTGTCTAACATTGAACACCTCCTAACAAAGAAATATATAAAAAGTCTGTTAAATACAAAATCTGACATATGCCAAGCCAGTCTAATTTTTAAAGATAAATTATACTAGATAAGGAGAGGACATATTGGGCTGGATACACATAAACCTCAAAAATTTAGTCATTTAAATAGTGATACTAAAAAGTTCTGCACAATTTGTCTACTTAATCTGGAAATATCTTACTACCACTCATGTTCAGACCCATCAGTGTTTGATAAGCAATATATCTATACATCTGAAATCAGAGCAGTATGAGGCCCTTGAAGAGTGAAAAATTTGGTCAAAGGATAGATCCTTGAGTCTCTGGACATCTCCCAACAAATAAGAAAAAGAAACCAGATCCATCATATGACACACATACAATGGTATGAGATGGGCACAGAGAAAAGAATCACGTTTTAGGTTCTCAACATTACAAAACCTTTTAAATGCTTTAGAAATCACAAAACTTCAAAGGCTAGAAATAAATGAAGGAAATTCCATATTTTGAGAAATACGATATCCAGTGCTTCCAACAGGAATTCTTTCTATGAAAAGAACAAAGGACCCCTCCTGATGTGAGTTCAGGAGCTCAGCAAGGAATAAAAATCTCTTCTGCTAATATTCAGAATTACAGATATTAGTATGTTTCCTTTGTACTAAACCTTGCTCATGAGTTCACGGAGTCTCGCTCTGTTGCCCAAGCTGGAGTGCAGTGGCGCAATCTCGGCTCACTGCAAGCTCCTCCTCCCGGATTCACGCCATTCTCCTGCCTCAGCCTCCAGAGTACCTGGCACTACAAGCGCCCGCCACCACGCCCGGCTAATTTTTGCTTTTTTTTTTTTTTTTTTTTTTTAGTAGAGACAGGGTTTCACCATGTTAGCCAGGATGGTCTCGATCTCCTGACCTCGTGATCCACCCGCCCCGGCCTCCCAAAGTGCTGGGATTACAGGCGTGAGCCACCGCGCCCCGCCATGAGTTCACTTTTTAAGTCTATTAGGAATAACATCATATGTCCAACTGTGGGTAAGTACACTATCTCTACTATAGTTTGGGCAAGTGAAAGGAAATTAAGAAGGGCAGATGATATGGCAGAGATTTTGATTTCTATATGTATGTCTGGCTGGTTTTAACACTTCCTGCTTTTTCCACAGAAGAAGCTTTTCTGGATTTCTTCCCCCTTAAAAAGAAATGGTATCACTCTCCTAGACTAGACCTGAGGTAAAAACTGAAGTGGTTTTGGCTTTTTCTGATTGCAAAATTTACCTTCATATGGCTATAGATTTTGTAGAATTGGTGAAGAGGCAGGCAGTGAGGAACTTAACTGTAGTCCAACCCTGTAGAGCTCAAAGAAAGATCTGTGAATCCCTGGGAGTCCACAATACATTATCCATAGGTACACAAGTTCAAAAATCCTTTTAGTAACAAGATTTAATTATTATCTGCCTTTTCATTGTGTTGACATGTGCACTGATGGTGCAAAAGCAATAGTGGTGGGAAACACTGATGGTACATTAGCACAAATCAAGGCAGGGGTACTAAACCATGCTAGTGGTCAGTTTAGTTTTCACCACCACACACTCCCAGAAGAAAAAAACAACTAGTTTCACAGATGAATGTACTTGATGAAGTAGTAACAATGATTAAATTTATTAAATCTTGGGTACATCTTTTTAACATCAACTGTATACTGAAGCATGATGGTTGATTTGAGGAAAAGCATTTGTACAGTTGTTTTCAGCTGCAAGCTAAACTAGCCACTTTTTTCGTGGAATACCCTATGTACTACAAAAAGGATCTAACTATGGTTTTTAAGACTCATTTGTTTGATAAACATTTTCTTAAGAATGAATAAAGTAACTATTTCAAGAAAAATAACAAAATTTGTCAATAACTACAGAAACTTACAAATGAAAATAAAAATTCTGAAAAATTTGTCTCTACCATTGTGAGATTAACAGCTTCTAATATTTAGGGACTTTTCTGGTGAGATCAATAGTCATAAAAAATGTAATTAAAATATTTTATAAGAAAATCTGTCAAGTTGTGGCTGATCTGCATAACTAGTAAATCAGTATCTTCCAAATGATCTATGAATGATACTATAACATCACACATGGGTAAAATTCTTTCCAGGTGTAAGATAGATCCGTAGATTTTAATATAAAAGCGTACAAAAATATCGTTGATGCAGTTTCAGATACCACACTGCAGCCAATCTTTTGAAAACTACCACTTACTGAGTTTTGGTATAGAATCAAAGAATATTTACAGCTATCTTAAAAGGCACTGACAGACTCCTCTTTTTTCCAATAGCTTATCTATGTTTGTTGTTATATATTTCTTAATATGCTTAAACCAAAATAATTTAAACTAAAATAACATGTAATAATTTGAACGCAGAGGCAGAAATGAGAATCCAGTTCTCTTCTATTAAGCCAGACATTGAAGAGTTTTATTTTGGATATAAAATTATTTTTCATAAAGTTATGTTCTTTTTGTCAACATGTAATTGTTTTATTACTGGTATTTTAAATTAATTAGTAAACATTTTTAAATTTCCCAATTTTAATTTTAATACAATCAAATAGTAGATATACCATAAATCAAAGTTTCAATTATTTTTAAGAGGATAAAAAGGAATCTTGACATAGAATGTTTCAGAGCCCTTAGGCTATTTTTATGATAGTTTTATAATTTCACTGAATACTTACTCTTTGCTACTTGTTTGTAGGAAGCTGATGTACACTTTCAGATACCATATTTTCTTCTTATGCAGTAGTATGTATATGTTTACTAAACAAATAATTTGTGCCATGTTTGAAAGCTATGTGTCATGGGTCCTTGAAAACAGGAGAACTAAGTATATTAATACATAACATTATTAACAACATTATTAATACATATATGTATATTAATACATAACATTATTAATTAATAACAAATGGTTAGGAGCCACTGGGGAAAAAAAACAAAGAAAGGGGGTGGAGCAAAACTTCATAACCAATGATGCCTAAGACCAACTCTGTCATTTATTATAATAACAAATAGTATTAATAATGGTATTTGTATGGTCTGCCTTATTTAACCCTTATAACAACCCCATGAAATAGATTCGAACATTACATTGTCATTTTTTAGATGGAAAATTGAATTTCAGAATAGTTAAGTGACTTATCCATGTTTAAGGTAATCTCTTTAGGAAGAGCTAGAGGGAAAATTTATATTTTGGAATTCCAATTACAAATCCAGTGACTTTTCTAATGTATCAGAATGAAAAAATGAATATTTGCACATTATGTGTTAGGCAAGATTGAAACTTTTTGATGGTAAACGGGCCTTTAAGAAGTGTTTTGTCTGAAATATTTTCAAAATCCAGCGTTCCCAAGTTTAGAAAAGCAGTTTTCTCTAGAGATTTGTTAGAGTACTATATGATTTTCTGAAGTAGGTTTTTTGGTTTTGTTTTTTGGTGGTTTTTTTAATAGTAGATTTAATACAAAATAGACACACTAAAAATTTAATACACAAGTAGACACACTAAGAATCCTCCCTATCCAGAGTTGTATTAAATAATGTATTCCAAGAATTTTTTTTACTATAGTAATTAGGGAGAGTCCAAATAAAGACAATCTATATTGAGAGATTTTCTGCAATCCAATTAGACTTTCCACTGAAGGCCATGCTGAAATTAACTTACATTGTGTGTCAAACACGCCACATTGTCATCTCTACCCAAGCAGATGTCAATGAAAACATATACTTCATAGACTAAGAATAATAACTAACCTTTATGAAGTGCTTACTATATGCCATATATTTATCTAAACATATTATAAGTATTAAAGAAGTTTTTAAAAAATAGTTTATCAACAAAATAAATACATATTCAACAATGAGATTCCTAGAAAAAACGTTTATTGTACCACATTTGAAGTATGAATAACTACAAATTATTGCAAAAATTTCCATCATGTTGCCTGTTTTAAATCACTTCTCACACAGAGCTACTAACATAACTGTTAGCTAATTATAGGAACTTGTGTTTCTTCTTATCTCTGTTACTGACTTGCTGTGTAACCTCGACAGAATTATTCAATCTCTTGGCAATGAGATAAATAGTTTGCCATCTATAGTCTCTTAGGGTCTCCTCAAAGAAATTTTTAGAATATTTTGCTGTTCTTAAGCAAAAAGGATATGCTATATGCAAAGCAAATCTTTTTTTTTAGTTTTATGCTCATAAAATAAAGAAGAAAAGAGCTAGTATTTACTGATTAGCTGGCAAGTATTTTCACATTTATTATCTAACCTAAACCTATCTTACGAATAGAAAATTTAACTCCGTTGACTCAGGCTTTTGATCTTAGTAAAGTGGTGACTTGGCTATGGATCCGAGTCTAGCCTTCTCCTAAGTCCATACGTTTTCTACGATTCAGTTACCTCCAAAGAAGAGTACTGTATGTGGAAACTAAAGGTATAAAGAGGTACGTATTGATAAGAGTTTTTATTGTAGGCTAAGCTATAAAGTTGAGAATAAAGAAATACTGCAGCACAAATTCTAATTAGAATTCAAATACTTGTGTGTTTAAGTATATAAGCAAATTCCTTCCTTCACAAACAGTCTCAACTGAATTTGGTATACCACATGATGTTGGAGAAGAGTGTTTCTTTCAGCCAGAGAATGTCATGTTAGGTTGTTAGGTTTAATTCATTTTTTGAGGCATTTTGAAAATGAACATTTATTGAGGCCTTACTAGATGTTTCATGTTTTATATTCAGTGTTTTACATATGTACCACGACAAACCAATGAGATGAGGTAGCTCACTGAAATGACAATTGCACTGCTTCATATTCTCTTTCAAACTTTCAGCCTCATCCAATAATTGAAAATTGCACAGAAGGCAATAAAGCCAGGAAATTGTGTCAACTATAATATGTAGGCATTTGAAAAAATATATTTGATGCAGCAAACTCTACTAACTCTATTTCTTCTATAGAATAGGACCTTCTAAGTTACAAGCAACTCGAAAGGGATTATACCTTGGAATTTTAACAGTATAGCTACTGGATGGAATATTATAATTGTCTCATTTATAATTTATTCTTTGGTCCATAATCATTTGTCAAGGCAACTAGAGTTTTCTAGAAATTCAATTTTTAGATTTTCTTATTCAAAGATTTTGATAAACAAAATCTAATACCTTAAGACAACAAAAATCAAACAGAAAACATACTAAATATACAAATTAGGTCCTGTGAGTGCTAGGCTGTAAATGGTACATGTGCACTGGTGCTGCAATCACATACATACACAAATACACCCTCTCAAAATCTGGGAGATTGGAAGACTTTTGTCTTAACTGAGTTCAACTTCAAATGAAAGTCTTTAAATGTTTTTATGAAGATGTCAAGGTTTTTCATCTTTTCAGAAGGAATTTTGAGATTAATCTTGCTCTGATTCTTAGGTATATCTGTTTGGTTCTTGTTCTTTTCATTCACTGACATTTACACATTGACTATTCTTAAAGGGTTCATTATACAGTATAATAAATACCGTTGTTTCTAGCTTGCTGAAGTAACTTCTGTAAAGTTACTTCAGAAAAGCCAATAAAGAATCAATTAATATTTTCTTATAGCCTAGTGTCCAGTAATCAAAGTTCCAAGAATGTAAACACTAAAATTTGATGAATGCATTTGAATTAATGCATAGTTTTAAGTAATACATGTGTGTATATGTCTACATAGTAATAAGCAGCATGTGTGTGTGTGTGTGTGTGTGTGTGTATTTAAATGAAAAAGACCCTTCAAGACTACACATTTTATTTTTTGTTCTTCCATAATACCAAATGAATCTCTGGATATGATAGACTAACATAACTTAGAAATGGATTTTTTTTTCCTCAGGGTATTTTATGAAAGATAAATATATAAAAGTCCAAAAGAGGTGATAGTTAGCATCTACAAAGTCAAGAGCAGGACCGTAATTTAATTTCTAATTCTAAAATAAGCATTGGAATTTTTGTTTGTCCTTGACAAGTTGCTGGGCATATTTTCCTTCTACAAACTGAGGATAATTATATTAATCTACTAAACAGCTCTGCTACGTAAGTAAATGTGTTAATGCTCACAATGCACTACATATTATTATACCAATCTAAACCATCTGGCACTCAAGACGCAGCTAAATGAAGAGCCTTGGGGAGGTACACAGTTCGGGGGTCAGTTGAGTGGACTACACATACAGAGACATACTTAACATTGCACAAGGTACATTTCCTAAGTGCCAGGCACTAAATAGCTCCTGAGGTTTTCATCATCAGGAATTTGCATAGATTAACTTGTTGTTTGAACTAGATTAGGCATGTCACAGAGGCCGATATTATGAATAATAACCCATTAATAGGCAATCCTCAATGATCTTTTGTAAATGTCACGTGTCCAAATAAAATCCAAATAGCATAAAGTTCCCATATTAAGATCCACACTCAAGATTACTTAGGAGAAAAACATTTTTAAACCCATATTATACATCTTTGACAAGCAAATGTCTTTAGCTTTAACTCACCCTGAAAATATGTCTCAAACTATCTTTAGATAGTAATTACCTGTGGCTTTTAATAAGGAAGATTTAAGTAAAGTTTTGCCTTACTATCTTCCTAAATGTTATATTTGTTAGAATTATCTATTTTAATTACCTTATTTTATTCACAGGAAGAATACTAAGGGAAAAGGAAAATAAAGAAAGGGAGGAAGGAAGAAAGGAAGGGAGAAAGAGAAGAGAGGGAGAGAGAAGGAAAAGCTATCCAATTTTTTTACCTTTTTTGTTCTAAATGACAGAATTAAATTAGGCCAAAATTGCATTACTATAGTCCAAAACGTTATTGTTAAAGCTTACAAGTGATTCTTAAAACAGTAACAAAAATGGAAACAGAACATAGAATAAGTTTCTGAATGTAAAACAGGTAGCATTTCAAATTTCATATCATAAAAGAAATCATCAGATCAATACATCACTATGTCATTTTCAACAATTGTGTCTAAACTTTAGCGTCTGAGATTGAAATAGATAATAAAAAAGGGAACTCCAAAGTACCTATATGTCCATGTGGGATTGTGAATAATTCATTTTTGTTTTAAAGTGCATACTATTTAAAATTACCCTTAAAAATCTGTCATATTTCTAACTACACTGGAGCAAAATTTTTAAAAGCTGCGGAAGTTCCCTGCACACAAATTGTTTCTGAGGTACTGATATATTTTGAATAATGGAATAGCACTGAGTTGCCAAAGGGAAGAAAAGAGTGTTACAAAGACACATCTGAGCTTCACCATGATAAGATGGTTGAAGTGGAATGCTCTTGAATGTAGAATCACTTAAATGTGTTCTATCAGTGGAGTGTTTGGGACAAGAGATAAATCTAAAATAATTCTATGCTTGGACTGTTGGTCTAGTCCCATGGATTAGTGCGTATTTGAGACAAAAAAACCTGTGATTTTATTCATTTATTTAACTCTGTTAAAACTCACCGATGCCTCCTCATCTCACTCAGACAAAAAGGCAAAATCTTTAAAATTAAGGTCAACAATGCTATGTGTTCCAGTTTCCCATTTCTCCTCTGAGCCTTCTCACCATGCTCCAAGCTTAGATCCTCATAGGCCTGCTCCCTGTACAGAGAGTACTCTTCCCCCTGATAACTGCACAAATCACTCCCACGTCATCTTCAAGTGTTTGCCAAAGTGAGATCCTCTCAAAGAGGTCAACCTTTACCAACCTTTACCAACAAAATAGCCATCAACCTCCCTCCATTCCTAGAACTCCTGACTGTCCTTACCCCGTTGTATTTGTTTGTCCAGGACATTTTTCATCAACTACATTTTATACAATATAGGTGTTCTTTTGTTGCTTCATCATATATTCATCATAGTCCTGTCTGCTCATCTCCATCCCAACTAAATATTAGTTCCACAAGAGCAGGAATTTTTTTATCTTCTTTACTCACTGTAAACATTCATTCATTTACCACATTCCAATGCATATAGGCCCAACCCCACCAATTTCCTTCACAACTTCTGACCTCTAAATTCAGTCTTACCAATGGGGAAAGCCTAGAATTAGTTTTATTTCTATCTGCTTGGTATATACTAAGCCTGGAAAATCTACTTTTATCTTTCTCTAAACTCTGTCTTGTTTTCTCATTTACTGAAACGGAGCTTCTGCCTAAATTCCTGTTTAGCTATCGAGGCTCAAGTTGCAACTGTAAACAAATCCTAAACCCGAATCTTCTAGATTAGAAGTTAAACCACTTGTGCAACCATTTACAATAATTATTTACAATAATTTCTTCCTGATCTTTTTCACATGGTTTCTAGATGCTAAATAAGGCCCTACTGCAAACTGGATAGATGATAAGTTGCAAATCTTTTTAAATTTTTGTTTTGTTTTGTTTTGTTTTGTTTGAGATAGAGTCTCCCTCTGTTGCCCAGGCTGGAGTGCAATGACACGATCTCGGCTCACTGCAACCTCTGCCTCCAGGGTTCAAGTGATTCTCCTGCCTCAGCCTCCTGAGTAGCTGGGATTACAGGCACATGCCACCACGCCTGGCTAATTTTTGTATTTTTAGTAGAGACACGGTTTCCGTTATGTTGGTCAGGCTGGTCTTGAACTCCTGACCTAAGGTGATCCACCCACCTAGGCCTCCCAAAGTGCTGCGATTACAGGAGTGAGCCACCTTGCCCAGCCCCCAGCATCCCTTGATATAGATTCAGTTCATTAGTTTGCATGAAATCCTAGGGTAGAAAAATCTTAAGATAGACCAGAAATCTGTACACATTGATATGTGAAATATAACATAATATAAAATTTATATAAATTTTATTAATTCTATCACATCTATAATATTCAGTGTTGAATATGTTCATATAAATATTTTGAATATGTTGAAATGCCATGCATTTTATCTGTTATGAATCATTTTTACTAAATGATTAGGTCAGTATATGGCAAACAAGCCAAAAAGTTAACATATGCAGCAAAGAAAAATATTTAAAAAAATTAATTCCAGGTTTATGGCCACTATGAATCCCCTGAAAATTTCTCAGGTAATTTATAAAGTATTCTTGCGTGTTATAACACAAGATGTTTTAGAACTGTGCAATTGACGATGATGTGGAAAATCCATGCTAAATATCTAAGTATTCTTGCCAAAAATGTGTGAGGATTGTCTCAAACATGTTTTTATTTTAAATCCCAGAAGGGATTTAAAAACACATTTTTATATATTTAACATTTTCTTGACATTTTAAGAATTCAGAAATTTAAATGCAAGTATGCACTCTAAAAGCAATAGACTATAATATTAGAATCTTAGAACTGACAAATGGCTAGACAGTTGATGAGTCTTAACTTCCTCTCAGTAGAGGCATTCCCTCATAAAGCATCCCTCACTAACTGTACATCTGATCACTGCATGGTCATTTCCAGAAGCAAGTTGCTCAAACACAATTCAGCTATTTCTGAACAACTCAAAATGGCATGGGGAGGAAGTGAGGAGAGGAGCTATTTTCTCCATATTATAAAATTCAAACCTGGTTGTTTGTCATGTTCTTCTATGGATCCACCTTCAGCCTTTAGAATAGTCCCTCTTTAACATAACGACTCTTCTGAAAATTTGAGGACAGTCCTTATGATTGCCTTCCCTAAATCTTTCCTTGTTCAGATGGAAAGATTTTACTTGGGACATTCCTCTTCTGAAAATCTTCTCAGACTCTTAACCATTCTGCTCTCCCTTCTCTGCATCTACACCCATTTGTCAATGAAATACCCAAATGTGTGTTAAGCAACAGACCTATGTGCTTCTATGAGTTTTGTGTAAAAGTGAGCCAACCTTTTTTGTCACCATATTACACTATATGTTCATATCGAACTTGCTGCAATTCAGAGTGGCCTTTCTCTTCCTGTCTTCATATTCATTCCTAAACATATAAACAATGTAACTAATTTCCAGAAGAGCACAAATGGACTTTTTTTTTTTAACATGTGGATATGAATAATAAAAGCAACTTCATGTAGGTGCCATTCATGGTCAAGGCTATAGAGACCTTTAAAATTTCTGAACTTGTTAGTAACCAGCTTAGCCACCTCTATCAATTTTGGACCACATGCAGTTCTGATAAGCTTGGATTTTACATTTTCCATCAAGCCATTACCAAGATAGTTGAGTATAAGAAAACCTCTGTTGCACTGCTAGAGACTTCTTTCCGGATTGACCTTAATCCACTATGCAATATTCTTTGTGAACTATTTTTCAATCAGTTGCAATTTACCTGCCATTATGCTTCAGTTTCCACATATTATTCACAAGAATATCAGAAAACATTTTAGACACTGCCTTGCTGAAATGCAGAATCATTTTGATTGCATCATTCTATTTCGTCAATTTTAAATATAGCTAAAGAATTTCCTTGGAATATCATTCTTGCTGAATCAATGCTATTCATACTACAATCGAGTATGCTATAGAAACCACATAAGATTTCAAAGAAAAAGTAAAAAACAAAAAGTCTGGTTATGTTTCTAACTCAACTGCAACATCTAAAAATGGTTGATTCATGTCAAAAATTCTTAATAAAGTGGTATCGAATTATAAGGGGAAATAGAACTTCTACACAATTAGCGCTTGCCTAGAAAGGTCAGTGCTAGTATAATCGAAAACAGAAAAGTTGATCATAGCCAGGAAAACCCTTCTCCAGTCAAACTCATATCCCGTGATTTTCACAGAGGGCTTGCTTCAATGGAACAACACTAAAAAGAAAACATGGCCTAAACAATTAATGGAAAGAAACCTTGGAACCATAAAAAAGGGAATTCAGCACAAACAATACCGGAAGTGTTTTAGTTGTTGAAATAAAGTTATTATTATGTAAACTTAAATTACAACTACTGGAAGCCTAAGTTCTAAATTTGTCCTTTGAGAATAATAATATCTGAAGGTGAATAAAGATCGTGTACATAAGGCATTTTTAAATCATAAATCACTATCCAATTTTAAAGTTTCATGAATTTTACATACTTTCAACATTAACAGGTTTAAGTCATTTATCCTTGAGCCAACCTCCAGATATATTGTAAATGGTCTATGACAAAGACAATAATATATACTAGAATGCAGATTATAGCAGCCTATAGTAGATTGTATGTTGTAGCTATTTTGAATAAAATTCCTTATTGTATGTAGCATTTAAGTGGTATCTTGACAGAATGGTAGTATAAACCCTTCCTCCTGAATTCACTTCATCTTGTGCCTGGGTCATAGAAATCAGAGTTAATATTACCTTATTTGAAAAGAGAGTAAATAAGAAGGGAGAGGAAAAAAGAGAAATCCTGTGTGTGTTCAGGATAATTCTTAGCAACAATTTACTTGATCCTTACTCTGCATGCTTTGAGTTTCTGCCCCATTCCAAGTGGACATAAGGATTGGTGCCCCTGGCCCCTCATTTCTCCCAGCTGCCTAACATTATTAAAGTATTATGTCTTGTTTAAACACACCTTGTAATTGAGCAAAGTTTAATAGTTAAAAGTAGAATTTTTAAAAATAAGTGGCCAGAGATACTCTTAAAATCACTCTCGTAAATTATATTAATTAAGTCATATTGGCCCCATTTTACCTCTCAGAGAAGCAAAAGCAAAAATAGAAGGAAAAAAGTTATATAGTGAATGCAAGGTCATTTTTATTCCAAGAATTTTAATCAGGGAGTTATTATTATAGAAAGAGCTTGGGATATCTCTTTACTCCTTAAAAAATAGTACTGCTAAAAATGCTAGATTATAAGAACAAATATCAGAACTATTGACTTGGCTAGAAGTTAACTGGAAGAAGGATAAGTATACTTCAAAACTTAAGCAGATTCAGCCTCATTAAAACTTTTAAAAGCTTCTAACCTACAGATTTTGTACTCTTAGGTTAAACATTTTCATATTTAAAACCGAATAATAAATATTTCTTTTTTTTTTACTTTGATACAGGTTTTCCAACTTAAAGAATTGTTTGCTGAAATAATGTGTTACAAAGTATGTCTTACAATGCTGCACATGTGCTTCCTGTAAAATTCATGATAATAAAATAACTCTTCAAAGACTCCCCAAAGTTTCAGAAATGAGAGCTATATATACATAAACACTAAGAGGCTCTGAGGAGAATAAGTTATTTAAGTTACATTAAATACAGCCATCTTCCAAAGTCCTCCAAAGTGTATATCTAGTCACTGTGGCCTTAAAGTACACATGACATAGAAGTCTCCTCTGTATTTAAGCAAAAGGAGAAATTTCACGATTTCACTACAATAAAATAGGATATGAAGATAAGATGTGGGTTTGAAAAAGGTGAGGCTGGAGGCGCCATTGCCATGAAAGAAAAAAAACCACATAACTTCTTTAGAAATCCTGTTTTAAAAGTTGAAAACAAAGTTCTGTAAAACTTTATATATATATATATGTGTGTGTGTGTGTGTGTGTGTGTGTGTGTGTGTATATATATATATATAATTTTTTTTTGATGCATCAGCTACCCTCCATAAAGTCCCAGGATGAACCACACAGCTTGGGAAGCCTTTCTCTGCAGGATGGGCTCTGATTTGAAGAAATTCTTTTTTTTCCAATTGGAAAAAGTTTTCCTCTTGGAAAGATTTCAGAAATCAATTTACGGGATGTATCGTGATAGCAAGACCTCTTCGAAACTAAAGAACAATGAAAAGCACTCCCCGTTCCTTTTGCAGGACTTAGGTAATTCCCCCTACACTACGCTCTCATGGCATTGAACTTGAACTTGCTTCAAGTTCCTCTTGCCCCAGAGCGCACTCTCTGAAGGCGAAGCAAGACGGCAGTCCACAGACAGCAACTCTCGGAAGAGTGGAAGAAGTGAGGAATCTCGGTCCCGGCAAAGGATGCAACCCAAGCCCATGCCTCGACTGTACCTCTTTGCTGATGTGCCTGTGACTGCCGCTGCTGCTGCGGCCGCTGCGCCTGTACGCCCCCGAGGCCTCCGGAGAGCAGCAGAAGGAGGAGGACCCCGGCGGCTCCCGGCATCGTAGTGGCCGCGACCGGATCCACTTCTCGGGAGCCAGAGGAGTCGCTGCCGCCCTGTCCCCTGGCCTTGGCTTGTGAGCTGAGCGAGCAGCAGCTGCTGGGGAAGAGGAGGAGACAGCCCCCTCTGGCTTTGGCCGGGCCGCCGCCTGAGGGTGGGGGAGAAAGAGGACACTCCTCCACTCTCGCCTTCCATGGGCACGCGGCCCCAGGACGGCCCTCTATTAAAGGATCCTCCTTTCCTAGAGCGCTCCTTCCCTCTGAGACCGGATCATTCCTAGCTTGACCTGGTATCTGAACTTCTTTTAAATTAAAGAAAGTAATTGACATGAAAGCACTTTGAAATCTGTAAAATCCCTACACATGGAAAACATTATTTCTGGGAAATGCAAACAGCTAGGAACTTTTACCTCTTGAGAAAGGCCTGGCAAAACTGTGTGCAGCCACTGTGTACCTAGAAGATCCAAGACATCCCCAAGGCCAGAGTGTCTGAGAAGTTACTAGCCGAGGGAAGGTGCCCTCTGGGGACACTGCAGGCTGGGGAACTTACTGCTAGGTAGGCTGCTGGGAGGGCAGTAAAGGAAGTGCA
Organism: Homo sapiens; assembly: GCF_000001405.40. NCBI lineage: Eukaryota > Metazoa > Chordata > Mammalia > Primates > Hominidae > Homo > Homo sapiens. The sequence continues at coordinate 128,882,659 of NC_000006.12, read as the reverse complement.
AAATAAAACAGCCACCCTGGCGTCCCTGAAATGTTCCTGACCAAACTAATGGTTAGAATGAAGGCTTTCAGTTCAGTTAGGAGACATTTACTTAAAGGTAATAAAGGCCTTTGCAATAGTTTCCTTCCAGACTCACAATTTCATCTCTTCCAGTCCTGGTTTCTCCTCTTTCTCCTCTTTAACTCAACAGAACTACTGCCATTCCTAGTTTTTGTTGTTTTTTCATTTGTTTTTTATGGCCTAGGTCAGTGGTTCTCATAAGGTTTAAAACAACTCCATAATGGATTTTGTGAGTCGCAGGATGTCTTTTGGTTTACTCCGGGAACGGTGGGTACTGCAGGCATTAGTGTACTGTTGGGTCAGGGTGTGAGCTGTCCCTCAGTGGTCAGGACAGTCCTACAACATATTTTGTCCTTAGACTTCTGAATGGGCCACTGGTCATTTATGTAGTGAGTAAACAAACAAACAAAACAACAAAACCTTGCCTTATATTTGAAACCTAATTTAAGTTTGTTTCCACATCAAATTTTTGTGTGTGTTTTTTGTTTGTTTGTTTGTTTTTTTCTAGGATGCATCTACTATATACATTGAGAAGATAATTTACTTTGTGTTTTTGGATTTTACACCCATTTGTCAATGGGTGTAAAGATGTACTTTCAGAGAAGCACATCACTGATAACAACCTTGCCCATGGTACTTGAGTCACCAGCACAATATCAACATCCCATCGATTACACTGGGGTCATCTAAGAATAGGTGCAAACTTTTATTTTATTTTGCCTCCTAAGGAAGTTTTACCCAAGCATTTATATGTTGAAATACATATTGTCTTATATAGATAGTTTTCTTTTTTATAGTTAAGATGTATTGATTTATCTAAATATTATATTAAAGTTGAATTTTCTTTCAGTAAAATTAAGAGAGTATTGCTTTGAAGAGAATTGATTGAAAATCACTAGCCAAAGCCCATTCTTTAATATTATTCATGTCTTTTAGTTCTGTTAATATTATACCAGAAAGCTTTGTAATCCTTTTACCTTACTGTGGAAATTTGCAAAATGTAGTCTGCCCATGTCTGCACACTTATACATTATTTATTATTATAATAAACAATAATAAAACTTATATTTGAGAGTTTATTATAATTGAAGCCCCAGTGTTTTTAATTTGGTCTAATTTTGCCTAGAAGTGTTTTTCAGGTACATCTAATAGCAGAGAGGCACCCTAAATTAACCTTCTAAACCTATTGCTATTCTCAGAATGATTATTTTTACTCAACCACGTTGTGGCCTCAACTCAAATTAGTTAATCTAATAAATAATAAAAAATATTTATAAAAAGGAAAAGTTTTATTGAATATTTATAAAAAGGAAAATGATTATTTTTACTCAACCATGTTGTGGCCTCAACTCAAATTAGTTAATCTAATAAATAATAAAAAATATTTATAAAAAGGAAAATCAGAATGATGCAGCTGCTAACTCTAATTGTGGAATGAAAATATACCATGTTCCCTCTATCCCCTTCCTCTTTACATTTTCCCAGGATTTTATAATCAATATTTGTACCTGCTTTTCTGCAGTTACTGCAGTTACCTGAGTTCCTATTTTACATGAAAATGCCTTGAGAATAAGACTATGATCTCCACTGTCAACTCTACTTGTTTGATTCAGCACATGGAAAAAATTCTTAAATATTTAACCCAAATTAAAATGAACCAGTATATTTAGAGCTATATTTTTTCCAAATAAACCTAAATAAGGTACAATTTACACACAATAAATATGCTCATTTGAAACATTTTTTAGATGTAAATACTCATCTGACAAAGTACCCAATACATAGTCTATTTCTATAATCTCAAAAAGTTTTCTTTCTGACCTTTTGCAATAAATCCCCCAACCTCCATTCCCAGAAAAAGGCAACTGCTGATCTAATTTTGTCACTATAGATTATAACTATTCTCATATTTCATGTAAATACAATAATAAAATAGTAATCTTTTGTGTCTGGCTTCTTTCACTTTGCAACATGTTTTGGAGGTATAGTCATGTTGCTTATATCAGTAATACATTCCTTTTCATCTCTGAATAATATTCTATCATTCTAATAGTATCTATCATTCTATATCGTATGGATATATCACAATTTTTTAATACATTCAACTATTAAAGTACATTTGGGTTGTTCCAGTTTGGGGCTATGAAGAATAAAATTGCTATGATTATTTAAACACAGTGTTCGCATGGACATGTTTATATTTCTCTATTCCTATCAAGTCTTAGGAGTTATATTATCAGGTATGTAATTAGCGCTATACAAAACTGTGAACCTCTTTTCCAATGTTGTTTTATAATTTTACATTCCTCCCACAGCAATATATAGGAGTTCCAGATGCTCTATGGCTTTATTAACATCTAATATTGTTACATTTTAGCCATTCTAGTGCTTGTGTGGTGATACCTCATTGGTGGTGTCATTTGCACTTCTTTGATGATGCTGAACATATTTTCATGTGCTTAATCGTCATTTGTATATCTTATTTTGTGAAATTCTTCTTGAAATCTTTGCTCATTTTGCTTTGTTTGCCAGATTATTAATAAGATTTAAATACATATTCTAGAGAAAAGACCTTTGTCAAGTACATTTACTATAATATGTATTGTTCTCAATCTGTGGCTTGACTTTGCATTTGGAGTGCTTTCAAAGAGCAGAAGTGTTTAATTCTGATTAAATACAATTTATTAAATCATTCATTATGCTTAATATTTTTTGTCCCTTTCAGAAATCATTGCCTACACCAAAGTTGTGAACATTATCTTCTTTATTTTTTTTCTAGAGATTTTATAGTCTTAGCTTCTACAGTTGGGTCTATGATTTATTTCCAGCAAATTTTGGTGTTTGCTGTGAAGTAGAGGCTTAGGTAAGGGCTTTCTTTTTCCATGTAGATATCCATTCACTTCATCATCATTTGTTGAGAAAGATATAATTTCCTCGTCTAATTACCTTGGATCTTTTTTCAAAAGTCAATTGACCACGTGTGGGTCTATTTTTGGACTCTCTTTTCATTGGCATATATATATATATATATATATATATATAAAATGGCATATATATATATAATGGCATATATATATATAATGGCATATATATATATAATGGCATATATATATATATAATGGCATATATATATATATATATATATATATATATATCTCCTTATTCCACTATCACAGTCTCTATTACTGTAGCTTTACAGTGAGCCTCAAAGTTAGGTAAGGTAAATCCTATAATGTTGTTTTACAAAACAAAATTATCTTTACTATTTTAGGTTCTTCACATATTATGTAATATTTAGGTAAAAATCTATTCATTGGTGAAGTTGAATATTTTATTTTTTAATTTTAATAGACTATTGTTTAGAGCTGTTTTAGATTCACAACAAAGTTGAGCAGAAGGTACAGAGATTTTCCATATACCTCTGACCCAACACATTCATAGCCTCCCCCTTTATCAACATGCCCCATCAGAGTGATATATTTGTCACAACTGAAAACCTACATTGACATATCATTATCACTCCGATTTCATAGTTTACATTAGGTTTTAATGTAATTTATAATTACATTAAATTTATAATGACATGTATCCAACATTACACTATCATATAGAGTAATTTTACTGCCCTGAGATTCCTCTGTGCTCCACGTATTCATGCCTCCTCCCTGTCCCCACCTCCAAACACTGGCAACCACTGATCTTTTTACTGTCCCCTTAGTTTTACCTTTTCCAAAAGGTCATATATTTGGAATCATACAATATATAGCCTTTCAGATAAGTTTCTTTCACTTAGTAATATGCATTTAAGTTTCCTCTTTTCATGGCTTGATAGCTCATTTCTTTTTAGCACTGAAAAAATATTTCGTTATCTTGAAGTACCACAGTTTACTCATCCATTCATCTAATGAAAAACACCTTGGTTGGTTCCAAGTTTTGACAATTATTGATACAACTGCTATCAGCATCTGACCTTTTGCAATAAATCCCCCAACCTCCATTCCCAGAAAAAGGCAACTGCTGATCTAATTTTGTCACTATAGATTATAACTATTCTCATATTTCACATGTGAAGGTTTTTGTGTGGACACAAGTTTCCAACTCCTTTGAGTAAATACCCAGAAGCACAATTGCCTGGATCATATGGTAAGAATATGTTTAGTTTTCTTAAGTCCATATAATTTTAAATATCAGCTTATTAATTTCTACCCAAAAAAGGAGAGTAGGGAACATGATTGTAATGAGGTTGGACCTACAGATAAATTGTGGGATAATTGATATCTTAGCAATATTTAGACTTCCATTCACAAATATAGCCCGTCTTCATTTATTTACATGTTTAATATTCTAAGCAGTGCCTTATAGTTTTGAATGTACATGTCTTTTGGGTTTCTTTTTTTTTTTTTTTTTTTTTTTTGAGACAGAGTCTCACTCTGGCCTAGGTTCAAGCTATCCTCTTGTCTCAGCCTCCCAAGTAGCTGGGATTACAAATGTGTGCCACCAGGCTTACCTAATTTTTGTATTTTTAGTAGAGACAGGTTTTCAGCATGTTGGCCAGGCTGGTCTTGAACTTCTGACCTCAAGTGATCCACCCACCTCGGTCTCCCAAAGTGCTGGGATTACAGATGTGAGCCACCGCGCTTCTTCTTGAGATGAGTCTCGCTATATGACCCAGACTCTAGTGCAGTGGCACAGTCATGGCTCACTGCAGCGTCAACCTCCTGGGTTCAATCAATCCTCCCACTTCAGCCTTCTGAGTATCTGTAACTATAGGCATATGCCACCATACCCAGCTAATTAATTTTTTTTTTTTTTTTTTTTGAGAGACAAGGTCTTACTATGTTGCCAAGGCCAGTCTCAAACTCCTGGGCTCAAGCAATCCTCCCAACTTGGCTTCCCATTCATGTACATGTCAACATAATTTCTAAAATTTAACTTGTGTTTCAAGTTTTTGAGTGCTATTGTAAATATTTTTCAATTTAATTTTTCATAAATTTAGTTTCATAGTAATATAAGTGATATAGGTTATATACATCGGATCCTAAAAAGTTGTTGAAATCACTTGTAAGTAGTTTATATGTTGATTCTTTAGGATTATTATATATAGGATTATGCTATCCAAAAATAAAGGCAGTTTTATTTCTATCTTTCCAATCTGTATGCTTTTTACACTTTTTCTTGCTATTTGGTTCTGGCTGTGACTTCCAGTTAAAAAGTTGAATAGAAATGGTAAGAGTGGACATTTTTGCCTAATTTCTTATCAGAGGGAAAAAACATTCGTTCACCGTTATGATGATGGCTCCAGGTTTTCAATAGATGCTCAGTACAAAGTGGAGGGAATTCTCTTCTTTTGTTGAGAGTTTCTGTGACAAAATAATATTAAATTTTGGTAAATGCTTTTTCTGCATCTGTTTAAATAAACATGATTTGTTTTCTTTGTTTGGTTAATATGGTGAATTATAGTGACTGATTTTCATCATTAAATCAAATTCACGGTCCTGCAATAAACCCCAGTGAGTCATGATGTATTATCCCTTTATATATCACCAGTTTAGATTTACTATTTTTTCTTAAATAAATAATTTTTTTATTTCAAAAAGCTTTTGGAATACATGTGACTTTTGGTTGCATGAATGAATTGTATAGTGGTGAAGTCTAAGATTTTAGTGCACCCATTTTGAGTGCACCTGAGTAGATTAATTAATATTTTGTTAAGCATTGTTGTATCTAATAGTCAACAATACTATCCTGTGCACTTAATATTTTATAATGTAGATCTCGTGTGAAGTGTTCTTGCCACACACACAGAAGAAAGGGACATGAGGAAACTTTTAGAGGTGATAGACATGTCTATTTCCTTGATTATGGCATTGGTTCACGAGTGTATGTATATGTCCAAGCTCATCAGATTGTATACATTAAATATGTACAGTGTTTTGTATATCAATTATACTTGAATAAAGCTTTTTCTATTTAAAAAAGTATGTTTGTTTCTATATTTATAAGGGACATCAGTCTATCGTAATTTTTCTTGTAATATCTTTATCTGGTTTGGGTATCATGGTTATGATGACCTTACATAATGAGTTGGAGCATACTTCCTCCTGAAACAGTTCATATAGGGTTTCTATAATTCCTTCCCTACATCATGTTGGATAGAATTTACCAGTGAAACCATTTTGGGCTATAGTTTACTTTTTTGAAAGGTTTTTCACTATAAATTTCAAATATAATATGTATTAGTCCGTTTTCATGCTTCCAATAAAGACATACCCAGGACTGGGAAGAAAAATAGGTTTATTGGACTCACAGTTCCACATGGCTGGTGGGGCTTCACAATCATGGCAGAAAGTGAAGAGCTCTTCTTACATGGCAGTGGCAAGAGAGAACGAGAGAGACGCAGAAGTAGAAACCCCTTATAAAACCATCAGATCTGACTGAGATTTATTTACTACCTCGAAAACAGTATGGGGGAAACCATCCCATCATTCAATTATCTCCCACTAGTCCCTCCCAAAACACATGGGAATTATGGGAGCTACAGTTCAAGATGAGATTTGGATGCAGACACAGAGCCAAACCATATCATTCCACCCCTGGACCCTAGCAAATCTCATGTCCTCACTTTTCAAAACCAATCATGCCTTCCCAACAGTCCCCCAAACTCTTAACTCATTTCAGCATTAACTCAAAAGTCCACAGTCTTATCTGAGACAAGGCAAGTCCCTTCCACCTATGTGCCTGTAAAACCAAAAGCAAGTTAGTTACTTCCTAGATACAATGAGGGTACAGCTTTGGGAAAATACAGCCATTCCAAACGGGAGAAATTGGCCAAAACAAAGGGGCTGCAGGCCCCATGCTAGAAATTCACGGGGGCAGTCAAATCTTAAAGCTCCAAAATGATCTCTTTTGACTCCTTTGATTGTCTCACATCCAGGTCACACTGATGGAAGGCAGGGGTTCACATGATCTTGGGCAGCTCTGCCCCTGTGGCTTTGCAGGGTACAGCGTCCCTCCTGGCTGCTTTCACAGGCTAGTGTTGGGTGTCTGTGGCTTTTCGAGGCACACAGTGCAAACTGTCAGTGGATCTACCATTCTGGGGTCTGGAGGACAGCAGCCCTCTTCTCACATCTCCACTAGGCAGTGCCCCAGTAGGGATTCTGTGGGGGGGCTCTGACCCCACATTTCCCTTCTGCTCTGCCCTAGCAGAGGTTCTCCATGAGTGCCCTGCCCCTACAGCAAACTTTTGCTTGGACATCCAGGCGCTTCCATACATCCTCTGAAATCTAGGCAGAGGTTCCCAAACCTTAGTTCTTGACTTCTGTGCACTGGCAGGCTCAACACCACATGGAAGCTGCCAAGGCTTGGGGCTTGAACCCTCAAAGCCATGGCCTGAGCCATACCTTGGCCTCTTTTAGTCACAGCTGGAGCAGACAGAACACAGGACACCAAGTCCCTAGACTTCACACAGCAGAGGGACCCTGGGCCCTGCCCACAAACCATTTTTTTTCTCCTAGGCCTTCCAGTCTGTGATGGGACAGCCTGCTGCAAATGTCTCTGACATGCCCTGGAGACATTTTCCCCATAGTCTTGGTGATAAATATTCAACTCCTTGTTACTTATGCTAATTTCTGCAGCCAGCTTGAATTTCTCCACAGAAGATGAGATTTTCTTTTCTATTGCATTGTCAGGCTGCAAATTTTCCAAACTTTTATGCTCTGCTTCCCTTTTAAAACTGAATGCCTTTAACAGCACCCAAGTCACCCCTTGAATGCTTTGCTGCCTAGAAATTTCTTCCACCAGATACCCTATATCATCTCTCTCAAGTTCAAAGTTCCACAAATTTCTAGGGCGAAGCAAAATGCCACCAGTTTCTTTGCTAAAATATAAAAGAATCACCTTTGCTCCAGTTCACAAGCAGTTCCTCATCCTCATCTGAGACCACCTTAGCCTGGATTTCATCATCCGTATCATTATCAGCATTTTGGTCAAAGCCATTCAACAAGTCCCTAGGGAGTTCCAAACGTCCCCCCATTTACCTGTCTTCTTTTGAGCCCTTCAAACTGTTCCAATCTCTGCCCGTTACCCAGTTCCAAAGTCATTTTCACATTTTCAGGTATCTTTTCAGCAGTGCTGCACTCTACTGGTGCCAATTTACTGTATTAGTCCATTTTCATGCTGCTAATAAAGACATACCTGAGACTGGGTAATTTATGCAGGATAGAGGTTTAATGAATTCACAATTCCACATGGCTGGGGAGGCCTCACAATCATGGCAGAAGGCAAAAAGGAGCAAGTCATGTCTTACATGGATGGCAGCAGGCAAAGAGCACCTGTGCAGGGAAACTCCCCCTTGTAAAATCATGAGATCTCGTGAGACTTATTCTCTATCTCAAGAACAGTATGGGCAAAACTGCCCCATTATTCAATTATCTCACACCAGGCCCCTCCCACAACACATGGGAATTATGGGAGCTACAATCCAGAATGAAATTTGAGTGGGAACACAGAGCCAAATCATATCATGATATTTTAAGTAAATATAGAATTACTATTCAGATTTTCTATTTCTTCTTATATCAGTTTTAGTGATTTGTACCTATTAAGGAATGTATCTATTTTGTTTAGGTTGTCAAATTTATTGGCAAAAAGTTATTCAAAATAGTTTTTTATTATCCTTTAAATGTCTATAGGATCTTTAATGATACCCCCTTTTCCTGATATTGGTAATTTGTGTCTCCTCAATTTTTTTAACATCAGTCAAACTAGAGGCTTGTCAATTTTGTTGATTCTTTCAAAGAATCAGCTTTTGGCTTTACTAGTTTTTATTTTATTGTTTTTTAATTTTCTGTATCTTCAATTTCTACTTCAATATTTAAAATTTCCTTCCTTCTACTTATGTTGGGATTACTTCACTCATCGTTTTATTATAGCTTCTTATGGTGGAAGCTTAGATTGACTGTAGACTGTTCTTCTTTCCTAAGTATTAAAGCACTAAATTTTCCTCTATGTAGAGTCTTAGATGTATCACACAAATTTGAAAATTAAAAATTTTTTATTCAACGAAAAACTTGAAATATTTCTTTTGTGTTTTCTTCTTTGACCTACATGTTATTTTTAAGTGTGTTGTTAATACTCAATTTTTTGAGCTTTTGCTAGAAATAACAATATCTTATTGTTGATAATAATATTATTATTATTTTTGCTAGAAATAACAATATCTTATTGTTATTAATTTCTCATTAATTTATTTATGGTCAGAGAACATAATCTGCATGATTTCAATACTTTTTAACTTACTGAAACTTGTTTTTTATTCTAGGATATGGTATATCTATACCTGTGAATATTCTATATTCACTTGAAAACAATAGTATTCTGCCTTTCTTAGGTGGAGTGTTCTATAAAGGTTAATTAAGTCAAGTTTGTTTATAGCATTTTTCTTTATACTTACCATTTGCTGTTAATTTGTTCTATCAATTACTAAGAGATAAGCAGTGAAATCTCCAACTATAATTGTGGCTATTTCTATTTCACCTTTTATGTCTTCTATTAGTTATCTATTGCTTAATAAAAAATTGCTATCAAGTTTAGCAGCTTAAAAAAGTGAACACTTATTATCTGAGAGTTACTGTGATCAAGAACTCAGAAATAATTTACTCAGGTAGTTCTGACTCAGGGTCTCTCATGAGGTTGCAATAAAGAAGTTAGCTAGGGTTACAGTCATCTGAAGACTAGAATGGGGCTAGAGGATCCACGTCTAAGATGGCCATTGGCAGGAGGCTTTAGCTTCTTGCCACATGTGCTTCACCATAGGGGTCCTTAGGTGTCCTTATGACATGGCAGTTGGCTTACCTAGAGCAAGTGATATGAGAGACAAAGAGGGCACGGAGAAATCCATAATGCCATTTGTGACTTAGTTACAGAAGTCACACATCACTTCTTCCATCAAGTTCTGTTTACTCTAAGTAGATTAATAAGTACAGATCACACTCAAGATACAGGAAATTAGGTTACTCCGCCTTACAAAGGGGGAGTATCAGAAAACGTGTGAATATATTTTAAAACCACCACAATCTTATGAGATTTTTCATCATTTTAAGATTAAGAGTTCTTCATCATAATATTTCTACTCATGACGAAGCTCTATTATCAGTGTCCACACATTACTATTGTTATATCTTCCTCAAAATCTGATCTTTTATCACTATTAAATATCTCTCTTTATCTCTGGTAATATTTTTTCTGCTAAAATCCATTTGCACGATAGTCATATATCCATTCTATATTTTTTATAATTAATCTTTGCTTTGCATATTTTTCTCATCCTCCATCTTTATGTATAAAAGTTGTCTCCTATAGTCAGCTGATAATTGAGTCTTGCTTTTTCAAACAGGCTGATAATTTTTGCCTTCTTCCTGGAGTGTTTAGCACTGTCCAATGCAGTATCCACTAGCTACACATGATTAGCTAAATTTAAATAAGTTAAAGTAAAATAAAACTAATAATTCAAGTCTTCAGTCACCTAGTCATTTTAGATATTCAAACGCCACATGTGGACAGTATTTGTGAACACAGCACATTTTCCTTGTCACTGAAAGTTTTATCACACATTGCTGGCTTATTATCCGTAGAAGGAAAAATGGCGTAAGAGAAATCAACCTCACCGTCTAATCTCAAAACACAATTATTTTCTGTAGGATTTCTGTAGCTCTACCTAGAAAAACAAATAGTGTTTAAGGGTTAAGATTCTAAAATATAGAAAAAAAATTAATAGAAACAAAAAAATCCCTATGGAGAATAGAAATAAAGGAATTTAATATGTGAGAAAAAATAAGTTGGAAACATCTTTGACGAAAGGATACACATAATCTGGATTAACTCATGTTAGTTTTTTTCCCTCTAAAACTACTCAGTTTTTCTAAATACAGAATTTAATACAGAAATATGAATTTTAAGATTTTGATCTAATATCATATATTCAATTCTACTCAAAACTTCATTTAAAGTAGATTCAAAGCAGTTCTATCATTTTTTATAGGCTAAGGAAGGTAGTATCTATCTTGTACTTAGGGAGACAGTGATGGGTTTTTAAGATGAGATTTATCATGATTAGATCTCTATTTTGGTAACCAGTTCTATCAGTGCAGAGGTTGTTTGGAAGAAAATGACTAAGACAGGTGGAAGCAAATAAACCTAATAAAAGGGCATTGTGTCATTCATTCTTTCATTCATTCATTCTCACATAATTACATAGTGCCTGCTATACGCTAAAAACTAGACACTGTAGTTACTATAGAAAACAAAATAGACAAGGCCCACTGTCACAGCACTTACATTCTATTGGAGAAATAAATAGTAAATTAATAAAATAGAAAGTTTTAAATGAGTCATTACAAACTGTTAGAACATTTATAAAGGAAAGAAACGAGGTGATATAACAGTATCTGTAAGATGAAGGCTTCTTTAACAGGGTGGCAGGAAACCCTCTCCCAGGAGGTAACATTTAAGCTGAGATCTGACAGCCGACAGGACTCCAATGAATGCAGTGTCAGTGGAGAGGAGAGAAAATATTTTGGAGATGTTCAGGACAGTGAATTCACAAGACTTCCCAACCAACCGGATATGGGGATTTAAGGATTATTCTAAAGTTTCTGGCTGGAGCAACTGGCCGTCTGGCAGTGTTAATAACTGAGATAGGACATAGAGAAAGACTGCCAGGTGTGAGTTAGATGTATTGAAGTAATTGCCATTGGAGATGTCCAGATGGTTATTTTTAGTTCTTATACAAGCATTTCATAGTCATCCAGGGACAGAGCACACAATCAAGGGAATAGATTTCTCTATGAAGTTGAGGAATGAATGTGGAGGACATAATTAAAAAACATAGCTAGCCTAAACACAAAATAATTTAGTATATGCTCATTTGCATCATAAATTAATGAGGAGAAAACAGAAGTATCAACTATAATGGCTTAGACAATTGGGTGAGCAATTGGAAAAATAAAATTGAGTTAGATCTTCACTAAATGTCATACATAAAATTCCAAATAAGTTGAGCAATTAAATGTGAGAAATGTCAAATTATTTAAAACAATGATAATGAGTATGGCAAGGAAGATAGATACACAGTTATTATAGAAATAAAAAACATTTGTGGTATATACCAAACACAATCAACTAGAAAATGAGAGTCTATTCATATTAGTTTTGAAAAATTCTATCTAGTAATAAATATAACAAAAAATGCATAAAGCAAAGATATAAAGCAATATTTTGAAAACATCCAAGTAACATAAGAGATGACCTAAATAAATAAAAGGTTATTCAATACTTTTAGATAAGAATATTCAAAGTTATAAAGAGTCCTTCCAAATTAATTTGTAAATCTAATGCAATTCTTTAAGGAATTTTTTTTCTTTTTTTCAGCTCATCTTTCTTTTGGGAAACCAACTATTATTTGGTTTTTGGTAGAAAGAGGAGCGTTGTCATCCAATACAGAAAACAAACCACTTTCTTGGAAGCTGATAAGGGAAAGAGTGTTAAACATTGCCAATCAGAAGCTCCTGCCCAAACAGGCCTCATAACTTACATCTGATAGTATAAAGAAGCAGCGATAAGTTCAAATTTATTATAGTGGCAATGGTGGTGATGCTTCATCAGTAGTATCAATACCAGACCTCATTTCAGTTCATTCAACTGATATTAACTGAGGGCCTACTATGTGCCCAGCATTGTTCTAGGTGCTGGGGATACAGCTATCAACAAAACAAAGATATCTGTTTCTCTATAACCTGAAGCTTTTATTATGGGGAAGGAGGGAAGATACAAATAATAATTATAATAATTAAGTAAATTATACATTAGATAATAATAAATGAAAAAGTCAAAGAGATTTGTGGGGGTGAGCAGTGCCTGGAGTGGGTGGCTGGGATAAGCTTCAGTGAAAGTATGACATTGCAGAGAAATGTGTCTTAGCCATGGTGCTGTAGAAAACAGACCCTGAAGGAAACACATTTGTGCTAACACTTTATTATGAAGTACAATCCCAGAGAAGCAGGAATGCTGGAAAAATGAAGTAAAGCAGGGAATTAGATAGAAGACAATAAAGGAAAATATCATTGAGCTGGACACAGATTTATAGTAAGCCAATTGTTTAGCCATGCAAGACATTTTCAGAAATTTCATGAAGCTACTCTGCCTCCAAAACGAGGAAAAGGGAAAAATAATTTATCCACTGACTCCATCACCCTTTCATCAAAGTTCACCATTTAGGAATTACCCTCCACACTTCTGAGTTGCACAAGTTTGGGTGCTTAGTAAAATGAAGAGCGAAGAGCTGCTGCCCATGTATTGAAACTTAGTGGCAACACAGGAACCCTAAAAAAGAAGCAAAAGAAAGGTTATGCTCTTACGTTAAAAAGGGACCAGGAACAGCAGCAAGAGCAGGCCAATCAGTCTAAAGCAGAAGAAGCTGTTATAGCAGCAACCTAGCTTGAGGCCTATGGGAACAGAGCAGGTTGTCCTTAAGTACTCTGCGTAGAAAGCGGGATATGTGCATAGAGCTGATGTGGTGTGTAAGTTAAAGCCAATGCAGACTTTAAGACATTGAGGAATGAAGAAAAGGGTGGGCAAAATGATAAGAGACAGGTCAGCGAGAATGGGGCCAGATCATGTTAGCCATTATGAACACACTGGTTTTACTCTGAGTGAAAACAGCAGCTATTGCTATTTTACTTTTTTTTTTTTTTTTGAGAAAGAGTCTCGCTCTGTTGCCCAGGCTGGAGTGCAGTGGTGTGATCTTGGCTCACTGCAACCTCCACCTCCCGGTTTCAAGCGATTCTCCTGCCTCAGCCTCCTGAGTAGCTGGGATTACAAGCGTGCACCACCATGCCTGGCTAATTTTTTTTTTTTTTTTTTTTTTTTTTTTTTTTTTTGAGACGGAGTCTCGCTCTGTCGCCCAGGCCGGACTGCGGACTGCAGTGGCGCAATCTCGGCTCACTGCAAGCTCCGCTTCCCGGGTTCACGCCATTCTCCTGCCTCAGCCTCCCGAGTAGCTGGGACTACAGGCGCCCGCCACCGCGCCCGGCTAATTTTTTGTATTTTTAGTAGAGACAGGGTTTCACCATGTTGGTCAGGCTGGTCTCAAACTCTTGATCTCATGATCTGCCCAACCCAGCCTCCCAAAGTGTATTTTACATTTTTAAAAGATACCTCTAGCTGCTGTGTTAAAATAGCTTGAAGGCAACAAGTACAGACAAAAGATGATCACTTAGCAGGCTACTGCAGAAATCTGTAACTGTGATGGTGTCTAGAACCAGGGGGTAGCTGAGGTGGAGAGAAGAGATGGATACTAGGCATATTTTAAAGATAGAGCCCACAGGATTTCCTTGCTTCACATTTTTCACAAAATCAAAATTCCAGCACAGTAAGAACCTAAACTTAACTTAAAGCTAAGTTTTAAAGGTAATGTTAAAACTGTTAAATATAAAATTATAAAAACATTAGAAGAAAATACAGTTGAAGATAGAGAAGCCTTCTTAACACCTCAAAATTGAAAAGCCATAAACAATATTAACATTACAATAAATAAAATTAACAGATAAGCAACAGACAGGTAGAAAGTATGTGTAACGTATATGAGATAGAAGCTTAGTACTTCAAACATATATCACATTCTTAGAAATGAACAAGAGAAGGCAAATAATTCAACAGAAAAAATTAGCAAAATATATGTTGAGGATATTCACAAAAGAGAAAATGGGAAGAGTAATACACATAGAGAAAGATGCTCACCCTTGCCAGTTAGTAAGAAAACACAAATTAAAACAATGAAATGCCATCATCCATCAGGCTGGAAACAAAAAACAAGAAGTTGGAAATATTCAAGAGTTGGACAAAGCATAATATGGGATGCTCATGTACTGTCTATGGAAATGCAAAATTTTCAAACACATTGAGGAGTACAGATTGACAAAATATGCTTAAATGTAAAATACCTAACATCTCAACCCAGCAAGTTCATTTCACGTCTATTATCGGGAAATATTCTCATATAACTAAAAAAAGCTATGATCTGGGTGCTCCCTCCAAAATAATAATAATAATAATAATAATTTTAAGAAGCTGTGCACAGTATTCTTTGTACTAGTGAAAAATGAGAAGTCTCCTAAATATCTACCAACAGGGGAGTTGATAAACCTATGAAGTATATATACCACATACAAGAATAAAGTATATTTTTAGGCCCTAACATGGAAAGATACGTAATATAAAAGTTACCCAAAAAAGGAAGTTGACTGAAAAAACACAGGATAATATTCACGTGATGAAAGGGTATGATTGTGTGGGTAAAAGTTTTCTGAGTTTCCACAGTTGTGAGATTAGATAGAAAAAAATAAAATCATTATTAGGTCATTATAACATTAAAATAGTCTATTTTAATAGCTCGATTTTAAAATTAGTTCCCAAACTTCAGTGAAGCATATCCCTGCATGTCACGCTAAATTATTGGTCAGTCTCTTATTGATTATTAGAAATTATTTCTAATAGTACAGTAAAAATACAATACAAACCAATTACAATATGAAAATGAAAATTATGCAAAAATTATAATGTTGCATGAAGTCATTGAAAGTGACCTTGGGAACTACATAAGGTACAGACCAGATCATTTGAAATTAGTCCAGTTAGCAATTAAAGAAGAGAAAATGAAGAAGGATAGTAACAAGATGAATGCTTTAAAAGAGAATGATTTTAAGATCAAAGTGCTTAACAAACCAAGCTTGCATACTTAAGTAAAACTGACCTGTTTAAGGACCTTGTTACAAATGCCAAATGTGAAATAAATAATTTTATATCATGTTTTCATACAACATTACCAGAAAAATTTACAACAAAACACTCTCATTTCATTCTTTCAGTATGCCACAAATAAGAGCAGTTAAAATGATCTCTTATTTTCATAAGATAAATATTTGTTTTATATTTTTAGTCTCATTTTCAGGATAAAATGCCAAGAAAAGCCTTTCCCCTCTATCTACTTTGAAATGTGCCTTTTTATAAATTATACAAACCTATCCCCAAAACCATTTGAAAGTTTGTTTACATTTCCTATACATGCATTTAATTTAATGAATCATAAGTTTTTAATTTTTAATTTTGTTTTAGTCTTTCTGATTGAAGATGGCAAACATTGACTAAAAAGAATTAAAAATGTATTATTCAGATTCCCAAAAATAAAAAAGTAAAAAAATTAAATGAACGTTTAAATATGTTTTGTAAGTTTATGTCCATACTTCTGATATTGTCAAAGCTTAAAACTACACACATGTGTATTTGTATGCACATACCTAGACCTATAAAAATAAAATTATACTCATGTAACAGATTTTGTTTTAAAGAAGCTCAAGACCTGCTAAAATTGAGATACAGACTATGTGCCCTTAAGAAAAAATCAAATATTACATATATTATTCTCAAAATTGATCAATACTAATTAAAACCCTAGAATTATTTATGAAATCTGACAAGTTGATTCTTGTTAAAGAAAAAATTATTCTGACATTTGTTAAAAAGATAAGAACACTTAACTGAGGACTGTTTGTATGTGTCAAGGCTGCTGCAATAGGAGAAAGAGATTGGCCTCAATTCTGAATGCAAGAAGTACACGTGGGGATTCATAGCCAAGGAGTAGATTGTGGGGTCAGTGGATGAAAACTTACTAAAAGGATACATCAAGGGCAGGGAGATTCTTGCTAAACCAACTTAACAGGATTCTTGCTAAAGTTATGCCAGAGTGATCTGATATCAGGGTGCGGGATTCACTCAGACTTAGCAGGATTCTTGCTAAACCTGGACTCTGCAAGAACAGACATGGAAGTCCAGGGTCAAGGCCTTATCCAGAAGAGGGCTCATAAGAACCTAATTAAAATTTGCTCAAGGAGAGGGTCTTAGTTACCTTAAAAAAGTTCTTTTAGGGGAGAAATGGGTTACAAATAGCCAAAACAAAATTTCAATTAAAAAAAGAAGAACAACCAGGGAAGACATTAACACTTCAGCAATTTGGAAATAAATCAATTTAATAGTGTATGTTTAGATTTATAGGTAGGTAAAATCCTTATGA
Source organism: Homo sapiens (assembly GCF_000001405.40). Classification (NCBI taxonomy): domain Eukaryota; kingdom Metazoa; phylum Chordata; class Mammalia; order Primates; family Hominidae; genus Homo; species Homo sapiens. The sequence goes on along the minus strand of NC_000006.12, from coordinate 128,865,477 downwards.
ATTACGGGAGGAAGGTTGGCTCTATGACCATTAACTATGTATCAATTGAGGGAAAAAGGAAACAGGTGACTATTGCATATCTTACAGAAAAATAAATACCAAATAAATTCAAATTTAAACAATATGATAGCATTTCAAAAGTCTACATGGAAATTATAAAAGAATATGTGAATAATATAGGGGTAGGAAAGTACTTTCTAAACAAATCATAAAGTTCCAAACCACCAGAGAAAAATTAGCATAATTTTTCACATAAAAATGTTAAATTTTTTTCATGTGAAAATAACCCACATGTAATGTTAAGTTACAGGCCAAAGTCTGTGAGGAATTTTTTTCAACATATAATGGGTGCATGGTTTATATACTTTTTTTTTAAGTTTCTGTGAACTACAAAGAAGAAAGCAAGCAAGCCAGTGTAAAAGTAGGCAAAGAATAGTAATAAATAATTCACAAGAACGAAGATTCAATTGAAAAAAAGACATAAAAAATTTTCAACTACTTAGATATTTTTTAATCATGAATTTTTACTCTGGTGGGTGAAATAAATTGATCAAACAAAATCTAAAAGTTAATCCTACCTAGTGCTGATGAACATACAGAAAAAATACTCTCAAACCCTGTTGTTGTAAATTATTATCATTGTTTGGGGGAACAATCTGGCAGAATCCACAACATTTAAAACGTACATCTCCTTTGTCCTAATTATTCCTCTTGTAGAAACATACGATTCATAAATACAGTCTGTTTTACCTCAGCCCATGTTTCTCTAATGTGAATTACGAGTACTTGATTCATAAATAAGATAATGGGTGCAAACATCACACAGAATCTGTGTAGGGTTAATACATGGTTTTTTTCCAGCCAAAGGAAATACAGGAAGCATGAATAGAAATACAACCTCCAGTGTAAAAGGAAAAAGCCTACAGCTGGGCTGATTCAATAGTATCAGGACTCCATTAAGAAGCAGCGCCTGCAGCCAGCTTCCCATGATGACCTGCCCTCAGCCTCATGTAGCCTTCATCTCACAAAGGTTTCATTGCCCATGTTAAGGGCCTCCATCCAGCTCACAGCTCTTCTTCAACTGCACTCTTTCAGCACCTACTCTTCAGCATTTCCATTTAGTGATTTTGTACATTTTTAATATCCACTGTGACAGCCTCCAAACACAAGAGCTCTTTTGCCTGGGCAGTCCACATTATCTCCCCAAGTACCATATTCTGTTTTGTTTGGTGCTCTAGTTTCAATGGCACACAGGTATTGAGTGGTCTACCACAATCCTATTTTATGCCATGTCATCTTAATTGCACTAATTTGAAGAACATGAGGCTCTTTTTTTAGGAGCTCAAAGAAAAAAGCTTGTACTTGCAAAAGGTGTGTCTGCAATAGTAAATATCTGGAAACCTCAAGTCCATCAGTGGGGGAATTTTAAAAATTATGGTCTTTCCTTTCTAGAGAATACTATGCCATTATCAAAAGGAAGTAGTTCCATAGGCATGGAAATTTCACCAAGATATACTAATTTTAAAAAGTTACTAAGGCAAGATGGTAGAATAGAAGCCTGTACTGTTTGTCTCCCCCACTGGAACAGCAAATTTTAACAACTATCTGAACACGGGAAAGCACTGTCAGAAGAACCAAAAATCAGGTGAGCAATCACAGTACCTGGTTTTAACTTCATATTATGTAAACAGGGATTGAGGAAGGCGGGAGAGACAGTCTTGAATCACCCACACCACCCCTCCCCATCTCTCCCTGCAGAGGCAGTGGCACACAGAGAGAGAATCTGCGTTCTTTGGGGCGAGAGAGCACAGCAACTGGGAGACTTTATATTGAACTCAGTGCTGCCCTTTCACAGTGGAAAATAAAGCCATACTGGGCTCAGCCAGTGCCTGTGCATGGAGAGAGCATTTGAACCAGCACTAGCCAGAGAGGAACGGTCCATTCCAGCCATCAGAAATTGAGTTTCTTGGCACACCTTGGCAAACCTCTCCACTGCAGGACAAAGTGCTCTGTGGTTCTAGGTAAACGTGAAAGGCAACCTAGGACACAAAGACAACTAGGCAACTCCTAGTGCTGGGCTGGGCTTAGAGCCAGCAAAGTAGGGTGACACACGACCTAGGAAGACACTACCTGGCACAGCTAAGGGAGGGCTGGTGCCATCCCTCCTCCAATCCCAGACAGTGCAGCTTGCAGCAATAGAAGTGATTCCTTCCTTCTACTTAAGGAGAAGAGATCAAAGAGTAAAGAGGACTTTGTCTTGCATCTTAGATATCAGCTCAGCCATAGCATGATAGGGCACTGGGCAGAGTTGTGAGACTTCTAGTGCTGGCCCTAGCTCCCAGACTGCATTTCTAGATATAACCTTCAAGGAATAGGGTTCCCTTTGATGGGCCAGAAGGGAACGCCATGGACCACGGGCTCTGAGAACTCCTGGTTGCAGGGGAGACCCAGCACATTCCCGGCTATGGTGGCTATGATGTAAGACTCCTTCTGTTTGAGAAAAGCAGAGAGAAAATTAAACTGGACTTTGTGTTATACCCTACATACCAGCTCAGCCACAGTAGGGTAGAGCAACAAGCAGGCTCTTGGGGTTCCCAAGGCCACACCTAGGCTCTTGGACAGCATTTCTGGACCTGTACTAGGCCAGAAAAAAAGCCAGCTCCCCAAAGGGTGAGTCCGAGGCCTGGCATCATTCACCAGAAGCTGACAAAAGAGCCTTTGGGCTTTAAGTGAACATTGGTGGTGGCCTAGCAGAAACCCCCCAACCCATGGACAAGTGGTGGCCACAGGAAGAAGCTCCTCTGCCTATGGAAAGGGAAGGGAGGAGTGGGGGAAGGACTTTGTATTGTGGCTTGAGTGCCGGCTTAGCCACAATAGAATGGAACATTAGATAAATTGCTAAGGATTTTGACTCCAATCCCTGGCTCCCTGACAGCATCTCTAGACATGCTTGGGACCTGGGGGAACTGGACACCCTGAAGGGAAGGGCTTGGATAAGGCCCTATGTTGTGCTTCAGGTCAGAACCTATACAGTCCCAGTATTGGTGGCCACAGTGGTGCTTGTATCACCACACCCCCAGTTCTAGGTGGCTCAGCACAGAGAGAAAAATTCCTTATGTTTAGGAGAAAGTAGGGGAAAAAAACCAAGAGTCTCTGTCTGGTAATCCAGATAATTCTTCCAGATCTTATGCAAGACCCCTAAGGCCTCTACAAGTCTGATCCAATTAGCTCCCACCAGGCTCCACCTCCAATAGTGGGGACTACAATTCATCATGAGACTTGGGCAGGAACACATATCCAAACTGTATCAGTTAGTGAGCTTGAAGAGAGGCTATTTGAAAATACAGTCAGAGGGTACCAAAAAAAGAAGAATAAAAAACAATGAAGCATGTCTCTAAGATCTAGAAAATAGCCTCATAATGGCAAATCTAAGAGTTATTGGACTTAAAGAAGAAGTAAAGAAAGAGACAGGGGTAGAAGTTTATTCCAAGAGATAATAACAGAGAACTTTCCAAACCTGGAGAAAAATACAACATTTAAGTACAAGAAGGTTATAGAACACCAAGCAGATTTAACCCAAAGGCTATCTCAAGGCATTTAATAATCAGACTCCCAAATGTCAAGAATAAAGAAAGGCTTCTAAAAGCAGCAAGAGAAAAGAAACAAATAACATAAAATGGAGCTCCAATACATCTGGCAGAAGACTTTTCAGTGGAAACCTTGCAGGCCAGGAGAGAGTGGCATGACATATTTAAAGTGCTAAGAGAAAAAACCTTGTACTCTAGAGTAGTATATCCAGTGAAAACATCCTTTAAACATGAAGGAGAAATAAAGAACTTCCCAAAAAAACAAATACTGAGGGATTTTATCAACACCAGACCTGTCCTATAAGAAATGTTAAAAGGAATTCTTCAGTCTGAAAGAAAAGAATCTTAATAAGCAAGAAAAAAATCATCAGGTGGTATAAAACTCACTGGTAATAGTAAAAACACAGAATAGTATAACACTGTAATTATGGTGTGTAAACTTTTCCTGACTTAAGTAGAAAAACTAAATGATGAAACAATCAAAAATAATAACAACAACAACTTTTCAAAACATAGTATAAAAAGACATAAAGAGAAACAACAAAAAGCTAAAAAGTGGAGGGACGAAGTTAAAGTGTAGAGTTTTTATTAGTTTTAATTTTGCATGTTTGTTTAGGCAATGAGAGTTAAATTTTCATCACTTTAAAATAATGGGTTATAAGATAATATTTGCAAGTCTTATGGTAACCTCAAATTGAAAAACATCCAAAGGACACACAAAATGAAAGAAGGAAACGAAAGCATATCACCAGAGAAAATGACTTAAAGGAAGTCAGGAAGGAAAGAAAGAAAGCAGAGAAGGCTGAAAAACAAACAGAAACTAAATAACAAAATGGCAGGTGTAAGACCCTATTTATCAATAACAATATTAAATGTAAATGGACTATATTCTCCAACCAAAAGACAGAGTGCTGAAAGGATAAAAAAAAAAAAGACCCAATGATCTGTTGCCTACAAGAAACACACTTCACCTATAAAGAAGCACATAGAATTAAAATAAAGGGAGGGAAAAAGATATTCCATGTGAATAGAAACCAAGAAAGAGCAGGACTAGCTATACTTATATGAGATAAAAATAGATATCAAGATAAAAACTGGTCATTATATAAGAGGAGACAAAAAGGGTCATTATATAATTATAAAGGGATCAATTCAGCAAGAGGATATAACGATTTTAAATATATGTGCACCCAACTCTGGAGCAATCAGATATATAAAGCAAACATTATTAGCACTAAAGAGAGAAAATATAGATCCCAATACAATAATAGCTGGAGACTTTAACAGCCTACTTTAAGCATTGAACAGATCTCCAAAAAAGAAAATAAACAAAGAAACATTGGACTTAATCTGTACTACAGAACAATTGATCTGATATATATTTATGGAACATTTTATCCGATGGATGCATAATACACATTTTTTCTCTTCAGCACAGGAATTATTCTCAAGGATAGACCATAAATTAGGTCACAAATAAGTCTTAAAAGAATCAAAAACATGAAATAATATCAAGCATCTCCTCTGACTTAAATGAAGTAAAACTATAAATAAATAACAGGAGTAATTTTGGAAACTATACAAATACATGGAAATTAAACAATATGTTCTGGAATGACCATTGGGTCAATGAAGAAATTAAGAAGAAAATTGAATGGAAACACAACATACCAAAACCTATGGGATATAGTGAAAGCTGTACTAAGAGGAAACTTTATATCTGTAAGTGCCTACATAAAAAAAAAAAAAAGAAAAACTTCTAAGAAATAACCTAATGATGAATTTTAAAGAACTAGAAAAGCAAGAGCAAACCAAATACAAAATTAGTAGAAGAAAAGAAATAATAAAATTAGAGCAGAAATAAATGAATTTGAAATGAAAACAACATAAAAAATCAATGAACAAAAATTTGATTTTTTGAAAACAATATTGACAAACCTTTAGCCAGATTAAGAAAAAAGAGAGAAGACCCAAATAAAGAAAATCAGAAATGAAAAAGGAGACATTACAACTGATACTGCAGAAATTTAAAGGATAAGTAGTGGCTACTATGAGCAAATACATGCCAATAAATTGGAAAATATAGAAGTGGATAAATTCCTAGACACATACAACCTATCCAGATTGAACCATAACAAAATCCAAAACTTGAACAGACCAATAGCAAGTAACAAGAATATAAAGCCATCATAAAAGTTCTCCAAAAAGAAAAGCCTGGGACCCGATGTGGCTTCACTGCTGTTTCTACCAAACACTTAAAGAAGAACTAATATCAATCACACTGATGTATGAGATGTTTCAAAAAACAGAGGAAGAGGTAATACTTCCAAACTCATTCTCACGTGGCCAGTATTACCCTCATACGAAAACCAGACAAAGACACCTCCAAGAAATAAAACTACAGGCTAATAACCCTAATTAATACTGATGCAAAAATTCTCAACAAAATACTAGCAAACCAAATTCAGCAATACATTAAAATAATCATTCATCATGATCAAGTGGGATTTATCCTAGGAATACAAGGATGGTTTATACTAGGTAAAATTTAGAAGCAACCGAAGTGTGCATTGACAGATGAATGGGTAAAGAAAATGTGGTACAGATACACAATGGAGTACTATCCATCCATAAAAAATAATGAGATCCTGTCATTTGCAACAATATGAGTAGAACTGGAGGTCATTAAGTTAAGTGAAATAAGCCAGGCATAGAAAGACAAACTTTGCATGTTCTCACTTATTTATGGGCCTAAAAATCAAAACAATTGAAGTCATGGAGGTAGAAAATAGAAGGATAATTACCAGAGGCTTGGAAGGGTAGTAGGGGGTGATGGGGGTTGGGGAGATGGAGATGGTTGATGTATACAAAAAAAATAGTTAGACTATAGTCAATAATAATTTAACTGTATGTTTAAAAATAACTAAAACGGTATAATTGAATTGTTTGTAACACACAGGATAAATACTTGAGGAAATGGATACCCAATTTTCCACGATGTGATTATTATTCATTGCATACCTGTAACAAAACACCTCATGTACTTCATAAATACATATACCCACTATGTACTGACAAAATTAAAGACACTTTTTAAAGTTATTAAGGAATATATATGTTAACATTAAAATTAGAAATACAAAGCTCTATCTGCATATACCAAATTGTTCCTGATGGTTGCCTGTAAGGCTGGAAGTGCTATTAATTGGCAACTTTTGTGTTTTAATAAATATGTTTCTGTACAATTTAGGGCTTTTTAAACAATCTGCATGCATTCATGTAGTGATTTTAAATAACCTATTTTAAATTCAAACCCTAAAATCTACAGGAAAATATTCAACTCCCAGAAAAGAGGAAGATAGAAATGGAAAAATATAAAGATGAATAGCCTTATCAGTAAATTTCAAACCTTTATGTCAAAAATCATAAACAATATGAAAACATAAACATAAACTTGACAAAAATATGCAACACATATAATCAATATGTCAACATCTTCATTAACCTGTGAGCATATGAAAATATATATGGAGTTTTCTGAAAATATATATTTCCAGACCCACCTCCAGCAATTCCAGTTCAGTTAGTGAAGAGTAGCAGGGAAATTGGATGGACTAATCTGTAGCAGTGAACCTAGGACGGGACTGGTTAAAGGAGGAATGGATGTTTAGGATTTGAAAAATTTTCTCTTTGCCTGAGTTCAGTATCTGTTAAAAGATAGACAAAGGAGCCAGACAGAGAAGAAATAAAAAATCAGTATACGCCATCGTATTGTTGGAAAGTACCACAGTATTGTTGTGTAACCAGGAGAGCTTTTCAATACCAAATCCCGGAGTGAGGCACTTCCACCAACTAGCAGTCAATTCCAGGAAATTACAAGCATCACCCTCACCACTTCACAGAGCTCCACACAAAGAAAACTTATTTATGGAGCAGAGGACCTGAGCAAGCAGTCAAATATCAGAAATAGCAAAGCCACAGCGTTACATGCCCAATTCCTACTCCTCAGTTTATGAACCAGATAATTTTCTCCTCTTCTCCTGGAGAAAAGACAGTCAGGAAACCGAGAAAGGCAGAAGTGTACCAGAAGAGTCGGTGAGGATTTTAATTTTTAATTAGGAGAAGGCTGCCATAAAGAGGCAAAAACATTTCAAAAAATAATTAATGAGCTCCTAGTTATGAATATAATTGATAACACATGCCATAGAACAGCTTCTACCATTGTATAGGAAATTCTTTTCTTTCGTACTGTTTTACAAAACTTCTGCAGTAGATAAAACCCTTGTATGGAACATCAAATACATCATTAACACTGACTTACAGGTTCAAGAATGTAGAATGGCTCCCTGAATCAGCACTCCTCTGAAGGAGAAAAATAGGGTTGAAATTTATATCTTAAGTGTCAAACAATATTCTTTAGAAGCCAAATGTCCCACCAACCTATTTTACCTTACACCATATTATAATTCAATTAGGATCAAAATATATCCATTATCTACATGGAGGCAAAAATTATGACAAGAAATATAGAAAGAATTATGAAGTACTTATAGATTCATTGTAACTAGCATAGTGTTACAAAAATTTTCAACTGAAAGAACACATGTATCAAAAGAGGTATTGAGAAAGAAAATCAGTTGACAGACCCTGAATTTTAAGTTAGTGAGTAAATTGCCCTTAAAAAATTGAAGCACCCTGTTCATGTCAGGACATATAATCTCAAAACACTCTTAACCAGAGTAATTTGGGGATGGCTTAGAGGATAAAGGTCAATTTTAAGTTTTTTTACTTCTTATTGGATCTTTTCTCTCTCTTCCCACACTAGAAAAATGACCAACCCAACACAACTAGAATTTTTCTCTCCTCCTACTTTTCCGATGCAGGTCTGCAGAGGATTCGACAAGGTCTCTTTTAATTGTATTTGCGATGAGGGCTGAAAGGGGTAATTCATTGACCCTACCAGTGGGGACATTACAATTCACTGATTTGAACCCTGGCTTGCCATGTGACTTGTTTTGGCCAGTGAAATAAGAAACGTGGTATTTGTCACTTCTGTGTTCTTCAGCATGCTTTTCCCCACTCTGTCATGGAGACTAGCAATGGTCCGGAGAAGGCAGTACCTGGGTCCCATGCCGTTTTAAGTGACATGTAGTGTAAATAAGATCTAAACATTTGCTGTTATTAGACCTTGAGAAGTTGGGGTCTTTGATTGCAGTAGAGCATTCCTATCCTTACCTTCCTATCCCTACATTCCTATCTCTACTAAGAATTATCCAGGAGAAAGGAGAGGAAAAGCCTTCAGCACACTTTCCCCTTCAGGAGTACAAGTAAACCAAAAATTACTGTCTTTTATTTTTCATTCCCAAGTGCCTGCTTGAATTGACTTCTTAAAACAGAAAAATGATCATGTGGCCTAGTAATCTACAGACTTAATCTCTGTCTTTATTTCTGCAAAAACTGGCAACCACTTACTAAATATAGAAGCTTTATTTCAGTCTTGCGTTTAGGAAAACCATCATCCAATTTCTAATCTGGATCTGCATGAATGGCCATTTATTAAAAGAAATCAAAATAATACCAACTTTTTCCTGTTAGGCGGAAAGTGCATTATTTTGTAATTCCTGAATCAAATAAGCTTCTATTTATTTTCACTGTGAAGAAGCATGCTTTAAGGTAATAATAAAATGAATAATGATCATGCTTTTAGAAAACTATGTAATTTTCAAATGAAAAAATACTAATCTTAACACATTCTTAGGCAAAGAAAGTTATGGTCTACTAAAGAGAGCTTGACACTTTCAATTAAAATAACATTTTTGAAAAGAGTCTCTACCGCCTTTATTTGAATAGTACTTCTGTTGCAAGAAAAAAGCTGCCAAATGTGTCTAGAATTGATTAATAAGGAGAATAATTGCCTCCTACTAATTTTAATCTTTTGTACAGCTTTGCCTCTCATGGGATAAACACGAGGACTATGTGGCATTATCATCAAATCTGAATCTAACCATTCCCTTGCCAGTAGCCAATGAAGTGCAAACACAAATTAAACTATATTGAGAATTATATTACTTGGCTCTTTGAAAATTTATATTACTGCAAAGCATGCAGGCAGAGAGAAGCAGATGGGCAATACCGAGCAAAATTTTCTTACTGGATATTGCCCATCTGTTTTCCTTTTTGCGTTTCTACTTCAAACTATTCTAGATGTCCTATTTTTTTTGCAATTGCATAAATTAGTCATTCTAATTTTCAGTGGTCAAGCCATATCGAGTTGATAATTTCACTATAAGCAATAATAAAAATTATAGTTTATATCGAGTGCTTGCTATCTTTCAGTCACTCTCCTAAGGCTTTTAAATGTCTTATAATTTTTTTACTAGATAGATGCCATTATTATCTTCATTTTACAGATGAGGAAATTAAAGAATAAAAGTTCAAGACAGTTTTCCAGTTCACATTGCTAGGAAATGGTGGAATAGGGATTTAATGCTGCTTTAATCTATCAAGCCTTGGAAGTAAAAAAAAGACTCATTTTGTTCTAAAATTCAATGTATTTATCTATTACTGATTTTAATTATAAATAAAAATAATCAAACTTTAAAATTCATTTTATTTAATTCTCTCAAATTCACCAAATATTTTTTAATACTCAAAATATACACATTTCAAAAAAATTAAGATTTGATAAGTGGTGAGTTTGTAAGTATCAAGCTATTGAATTTTGGAGTTGGAATGGGCATTAAATATCATCTAGTGCTTCACAAAAGTCTTTAAGCAAAGAAGACAGCTGGAGCCCTTCCCACTGAACAGCTCTCTCCTTTTCCCTCTTTGCCTTGCAGAGGTCCGTGATATGCTTTCTTGCAGCTCCTAGGGCGTCGGGGGCCTCTGAATAAAACTACTAGGACTTTCTAATGACAATATCTGCTTAATAATGAAGATAATTTTTTTAAACAGGCCTCAGTTTCACTAAAACTCAATATACAGATAATCCCAAAATTTTAACCATCTACCTTTATCCACTGTCCCAATTCTTAGAAGCCAAGCTGTGCCACCAAAGGAATCTCCAGAAGATAAAGTTTCAGAATTATCTATGTATTTAGAATTGGAGAAAAGAAGAAGCTGCAGAAAGCAGAAGAGGTCTGGCGAACCAAACTTGGGGGTAGACCTATAGGTAGAGCCAGCCTACCAAAATAGCGCTTTATGAACACAAATGTAAAGCATCTTCATATTTACTAGCAAATACAGTGCTATAAATATTAGTGTAAACTAATTTTTAAAAGTCAATAATTTTGGAATGTGTATACCTTTATATCTTACAGTAAAGTTGGATGAGTGCCACACATCAACCAGGAAGTTGAATAGAAACAGTTTTGATTCTTTTATTTTTTTTCAAAGTCCTAAAGACAGAAAGATGCCTCTTTTTTCTTATTCCACTGCAGTTCATGATTTCCTTGTCACAGGACCTAAAATGCTCAGTGCAATCACACTATACCTACTTCATAGTCTAACAAAACTAAGTTGGCCTGTATGGGCTGGCCTAATAACCAATCTAATTAAAAATACAATATGTGTTCCCTTTAGGAATGGTAATCCAAAACCCAAATAACTTATGAAAGAATGGTTAGAAATAAACCAGTAACTGTATTAGAGTTGTCTTTGCAAACACACCCATAATAACACACACACATACAAACACTCAAGTGACTCGTTCATCAGGCCCTCAAACCCAAAGCATAGGTAAGCACACTGATGTGACTCCTGACATATACACTTAAATGCTTGTCTTTCATCTCTGTTAACTCACACCCACACTTACAATATAGTTTGAGGGGACCTGAAGCCCCAGGATACCGCACAAAACTGAGTTTACTTATACATCAATGACATTATGCTAAAGAAGCCAGATAAGCAATGAGAGACAACCACGCTGGAAACCTTGGTGAGAAAAACCAGCTGCAGAAGAGAGAAAATATATTCTACGAAAAATCAGGGGTCTACCACATCACTGAAATTTGGTGGAGGTGGGGGATATATCAGTGGTCTGAGGCATGCCAGTAGATCCTTTCCAAAGAACGGCAAATTATTGTATCTTGGGCTTCTTTCAAGTCTTCGATAATGGTATTTTCTCCAGGGATAGGGTATTGGTTTCAATTACTATCTTGCTAGGAAACAAAAGCACCATAGATTGCATTTGGTCCTTTCTGTCATAGTGACCTTTATTCCCTGGTTTTGATGAGTAAATGGAGGTGCTACAAGTTACTAAAAATATGTATTCCAATCATATTCTCAGAATCTGGCAAAATAAATACAGGATAATGTGGCATACCTTATTAGTTGACAACTTAATATTCATTCTTTACCTCATTCTTGCTAACACTCTCACTTTGATTCAGAGAGCAATGTGTGTAGCTCAGTGGAATGCATCACGACAAACCCCTGTTTTTTCCTATACTTTCTTATTGTCAGGGTGGACATACACACATGACTCAGTTCTAACTATGATACCTTAGCAGAAGTGCATAAGGTTGATGGTATTTCTTGGAAAATGTTTACTTTCTTGATAAAAGGGGCAACACACAGAGATTTAGCCCCTTTTTTCTTAACATGGCCCTACCTTGAACATAAATGAAGAGGTAAGAATTGCAGTGGCCATCCTTTGACAGGAGGGAACATCAAAGTGAAACACAGAGCCATAGGCCCTGACACGACAGAGCTTTTGAAAGCATTGAACACTTCTTACCTCGGGGCTTCTTGGTTTAGGTACATACCATACTAGTTGGACTTTTGTTACTTGCAGGCAAATATAATCCTAACAAAAACAGATGGGTTCATCTGGGTGATTAAACAACTATGATTAAGTTCTTTGTGCCTCTCTGTACTGAAAAGCAAGACCTATTTAATTTATCTTTGTATCTGGACAGTGTTTTGCATGCACTAATAAAAGTATGAACGATGAATTCACTCAACACAATTCAGCAATACATAAACCCAAGTTTACATTTTGTTTTCAGTGTCTTAGCCATGTGTAGCAAAAAATGATAGATATCTTTTCTTCTATCAGCATGCACATAGAAATTCCCTGACAGTCCGTGCCTTAAGCCAAGAATTTTGGAATTTGAGAAAACCATTCTCTTTTTTTAGGATGTCCATATATCCAGAAAAAAAGTCTTCCATACTAATTGAATTGCCCTTCATACTATACTGTAATAGCCACTGGGTCTGTCACAGCCTTTCTTTGAATGGTTATTTCATAGTAGATGACCACAGGGGATAATTTAATTAGTGGCTTAGGTACCACATACCATTGACTACCAAAGTTCTTTCCCTTAGTACTAGATTTTTTTTCTGCCTCCAAGCCAGTTAACAAATCCCAGACTTCTCAACCCCCCAACATCCATCCCTAATTTTCCCTTAGGCTTGTTGCTTGCAATTATTTCTGGTCCCAATTTTATATGAATCCAGGCTCTTCATTGAGAGCAACAAAAACTAAACCTGGCTGATTCAAGAGAAAAGCATGTTTTGAAATAATTCCAGTGGTGTTAGAGAACCAGGCTTAGCAGCCACACAGCTAGACCAGCAGCCAAAATGATACCCTATGAATTTGCCCCTTTTCTTGCCACTGTTGCCACTGCTGAAACACATTCAAAGCCACAGGAAGCACCACTAACAATTCTAAATGTCTGCTGGGACTCCTGCTATTGCTGCCCCTGGAAGGTGGTTGTCACTGCTATGGCTGTCTTTTTCTTCTGCAAGACAGATTCACTTCCGTGTATATTTCTTTGCAACATTATCTCAATTCAAAGTATAGGCCACATGGCACTTGGTTTCCAAGCCTAACTGCGAGAGAGGCAAGACAAGAAAGCATCATAAATGCTTGCCATTTACGTTTCTATATAAGACAGTAGACTCCCTCACCAAGAGTTTTAAGTTGGAAATTCTCAGTATATAGGAAAGTAGACCACATAATGAACAGCTTAAAACAAACTAAAAGAAAAGCAAATATTCAGTAGAAGTTGTTAACATTTATCAACTTTGTGCTATTACCAGCCACTTTTTTATTAGTTTTCTATCTATTAATTCATTTGGTTCTTACATTACTCCATTTACCCCATTTTTGGAGCAGAATCTAAAATATAACAAGATTAAATAGCTTCTTTGAGGTCACAGCTAATAAGTGACAGAAAAAAATTTATTTCAGGTGTGTCAGATGCCAATTCCACCCTTTTACTTATTATGTACATTGTTTATAATTGCATAAGTAACTTTGCACAAGGTTTAAAGTGTAAATAGTGTACATAGTAATTTTGACATATAATATTGCCTTCTTTCTTGAGGAAAACTGATAAAGCACTAAGGAAATGTCATATGGAAGAAGAATGTAAGATTACAATTGAATTTAAAACCTGAACCAATAGATTAAGATTTTGGCCATAGGCCTAAAAGTTCTTAGAATTGTGAAATTGAGTCAAAAGACTCTAGTTATAAAATTATACTTTACTTTAGAATATATTTTAAACCTCTGAGCAGACCTCAGCAGGTATTTTTTTCTGTTTTGGGACAATGACTCAATATCCTGCTTTCTGGATAACTTCAGCAAAGATAATAAAGAAAGTGATATTGCCAGAGGTATTTTTCTCTTTACTGGACAACAAAATAGCAAAATAATAGATTCTGACATTGGTAGCAGCTATATGTAATGGAGGAATGCTTAGTTTCAAGGCTTAAATATTTGATATATGTTTTGCTTTTTAAATAAGTGTTTTCATATTTTTGACTAATAGTATTATTTAGATGCTTTGGGGGATAAACTTGGTCAAAATAATAGAATGAAAATACTGATATAAAGAAATGGATGTGTATTCTTTATCTCAGTCATGCTCAGTATGGGACAGAATACATAATAGGTGTTCCATAATTCTTTACTGATTGAAGAAATGCCAATACTGTGCCTCACTGCTGATTATCTATCTGCACTGTTTTCCTCTTCAGGTTTCTCAAGCCTTTTCCACTCCACTCAAACCTGTATCTTCTTACCTCTTTATCTCGGCAATTGATTTTCTCTCCAACTTTATTGAAAAGAGGAAGAACATTTAACATGAACTCTCAATGTTCTTCTCTATTTTAATTTTCCTGTCATTTTACTTCCTCCCTCCTTCTCACAACAATCTCTCTCTTATTTCGTTCATTTATTTTCTCCTTTTCTTTTTTTCTCATTCACTTTCTTCTTAATTCATTTCTGTTTTCTTCTTCTTCTTCTTTTTCTTTTTTTTTTTTTTTTTTTGAAAGACTAGCCAGGAAAGCAAAAATCAGAAAAACAAATAAAATGAAGCTTGTCATCAATTAGAAGGCAAAAGTCATGAGGTGGAATTTCAGGCACAAGAGTCCATTCCCTGAAAGACAAGCTTTATGGTCCACACAGGGTCAAACACTCCACAATTCTAGAGGAATCAGAGGACTAAAAAGGGTGATTGAGGGATTTCAATGACACAAAGGATAATCCCAGTTCGTTTCAGTAGCCATTTGTTAAAGGTCCATCATGAGCCAAGTTTAGCCCAAGATCGTGGAAATGCAGAGATAAGTCCCTTTGCTGGAGTAGTCGAGAGGAGGAGGCAAAAGAGATTAGATCTAATAGATGTTCTATAATGAAATCTAAGAAACATAGAGGAAAAGTGCTATGGAAAAACAGGAGAAGAAGTGTATAACTTTGGAGTTCCCTCAAGAGCAGACCCTGAGCCAATATGCTACTTAGCAATTAAGGGCTCCTTCCAGAAGGATGCTAATTCCCAGGAACCTCTATTCTTTATCTCTTCATTCCAACTCTTACTTTGTGAAGTGGATTCAGTAGCAGGAGGGCAAAATGGATTCAACAACACAAGGGCTGCTATTAGACAAAAATGGTCTTTGGAAATCAGGTCATTTTACGTGGAAAGGACAGGAAAACCCAAGGGGATATGGGCAAAACACCATCAATGTTCACGAGAACATTGAAAACATAGAACTTGATAAACAACTAAATATGGGATAGAAGGTATGAGGTAGAAAGTAGAGTTAAGGACATTTTCAAACTTAATTACTTGGACGCCACAATGTTTGTTATTGTTGTAGGGAGTTTGACCTTGTTCACATCCTTGAAAAATGAGTTAATTTAATTAATTCCTGTATCCTATTAACAGGAGCAAGCCAGAATTCCAATTTTCAGAAATAAGTAAAAGATGAGAGCTAGACTGATGGTCATTATGATAATATTGAGCCTCAATCTACTGAATAAAATGTTCTTACTCTTTCTTCTCTTGGGTCAAAACCAGTTCTAAAACAAAGTTGATGGAGTCAAGAGGCAATGAACATGAGAAAAGAAAACTTTCCGAGTCTAACGAACCAGTCTGAACCAAATACCATCAAATTCAATTATTTATTTATACTCAAGTGTTAAAACTGTATGTGTCTTTTAGTAACTCCATAGAAAATATGATCCATTTACCAGACACAGTTCTTGTCTGAATACCTGAAACCCACAGTTCTAATATAAGCAGAACAAGAAATGTGTTGAAAGACTATTGTATAGCTCACATATTGCAATTTACTAAAAAAAGAGTTCTACCTAAAACATCAGAAAACATCAGAATTAGGGCCATGTAGAGAAGTCATTTATGCCAACCCATCAAAAACATTCTATGTTTTTCTCATAAGTAACTATTTCTCATCTCTAACGATGTTAACCAATCGGAAGAATTACTCTTTAAAGGTTTCCATATCAAATGCTAGCTTCCCACAATGTAAAAGAGAACTCCTGGGTCTTCCTTTATTCATTTAATTCTCCATGCCTCAGGCAATCAAACTACCTCTAAACTGAAGGTAAGTAATCCACAATCCTTTTTACAACTGACTTTAGAAGTCACTGATGCTGAAGTAATGTAATAGGAAACAGAGTTCTCTTGAAATACATAGCATAAATACAAGTACTCTTTGCCTTGAGGTTCATTAATTGTCTCTTTTTATATTTGTTTGTTTTGTTTTTGCAATCATAAAGCTAAAAAATGGGCTATTGAATACATCCCTTGCCAATATGAAGTAATCTTATTAACAGCAACAACTCAAATACCACTGGATTACGACTCCATCTGTCTATGAAAAATATCCCGCATCCCCACCCAGTCCTCTCCCCCTGTTGTTTTGTCTTGTATAAGCTTACAAACAATTCTCTGGTCTTAGTCCAGCATCTCCCTGAATTCGCTCTCTACCAAAGCACTCTGAGGGTGGCCTCTCACACTGCTGCTGCTGTGTGTGCCCTTCATGAAAATATTATTTCCAGATAAGGGTAATCTCTCTCATTGCTTACAAAGCTGCCAACTCACTAGGGAACAAAATGACACTGGATTTCCTTCAGTCTTCTCTATGTCTATGTCATGCTGTGTTGCTTAGAAACAAATAAACAAGTAGAATATACCGCTCTCTCTCGGTCACATTTCAGACCAGAGGCCTGAACTGACAATGCTCAAGCCTCCCTTGTTTCATGGAATCCTTTATAAAAAGGGCTCTTTCAATTATTAGCTGCTGCCTGTCTGTGCATAAGCTGAGATGCAGTCAAGGGGGTCTTTCTCTGCACTTCTCCAACCTCCAGCATCAACCAAGCATAAACTACCGCCAAGCCCTTTCTTTTTCATGTAAATCAGCTCACGCATGGCGTAACTTACCAGCAATTCCCTTTTTCAAATTATTGTCTGAGCCTACTCTTCTGGAGGATTTTAAGAAATATTAGCACCAATAAACTTTCTGGAAAGTTTTAAGCATAGTTTGGCCTGAAGATATGCACATTCTCAAGGTGTCCTTTTTGGAACTCCTTTCTAGGCTAAATAACGTTTTCTGTATCCTTAATCCTCCTAATCCTCCTAATCCTCCTAATTCTTTCCTCCAAATGCAGTCATATACAAACCCATGTTTATTTGTTCTGTGTAGGTCATTACATGTGGATAAAAATATATAAAGAACTGAAGAATTTTGGCTCTAAAGCCTTAAAAAATTTGGAGCAAAGCTTTATATCTTGTTCATTTGAATTGAACAGAATTGTTCAGTCCCTAAAGAAGAATTCACAGCATCTGTTAACTTTTCACATAAACCATCCTGAGCTTATATTGTGTGAAGGTTAATTTTATGTGTCAACTTGACTTGCTCATGAGATATCCAGACATTTGGTCAAACATCATTGTGTCTATGAGGGTGTTTCTGGATAAGATTAACATTTGAATAGGTAGACTAAGAAAATCAGACTGTCCTCCTTATAATGTGAGTGGGTCCCCACCCAGTGGACTCACCCAATCAGTTGAAGTCCTGAATAGACCAAGAAGGCTGAGGCTCTCTTGAGTAAGAGAAGTGTTCTTGCCTGACTGCCTTTGAGTTAGGATACAGGTTTTTTCCTGCCTTCGGACTCATATTGAAACACTGGATCTTCCCGGTCTGAAACCTACTAGCCTTCATACTAGAACTGTATCTGGTTCTCAGGCCTACAGACTCAACTAGAACAAAACCATCAGCTCTCCAGGGTCTCCAGCTTGCCACCTACAGATCTGGGCACTCATCAGCCTCCATAATTGCATGAGCCAATTCCTTATAATATTCATAGGTTCTATTCAGTATCTATTAGTTCTGACTATCTGGAGAACCTTGACTAATATATATTGTGTATTGGCCCAATATTCTCAAGCCTCTTCTAACTGAAGTTTTGCCTCAACTCATCCAGAGTGGTTGTGCTAAAACCAAAAAGACAGAAGAGGAATGTTAACTCTTCCTTCCCTCTTCATACACAGTTGTCTGTCCTGGAGGTCTATTTGAAATAGGGGTGTGGTTGTTGATGGCACCAGAGAAATGGGAAAGATAAAACCATATATAATTTTCATATATGTTATACTTTTGCATTCTTAAACCATCCAGTATTAAACCAGATCTAGAAATCCAATATTACCATGTTTCCAGATGAAAAGGTATCTGAACTGAGCATGATGGATTCACATGACAAGTGTCTCCCAGATGTCATTAGGAGTGGATATTTTTAGAAGATTTATCTGTCATATTATTTATTTATTAGGAGTTTTTAAGTACCCAATTTATGTAACTAATAGTACAATCCATTGCAACACACTGCCCAATATACACTTGGCTACAGTCATTTAAGACTTTTGCATCCCAAGACCTATACGCTTCAGTAAGATCTACATTAAAAAAAAATAGATAACCCTTGGTAATACAGTCTCGCTTTGAGAAAAAAAAAGTTAAATAATTACTGTAATATTAGTAAACATGTTCTTTAGATGTGTTTTTATTTATTTCTAGATGTAATTTAAGATGAGTTATATTAGCAAAATCTCTGAGATTGGATTCTTTGAATTTTGTGATTTTTTTCTGACTTTGAAAAATGTCCCTGCAGTGGATTAATTGGCCACCTAGTCAGCATCTATTGACTCCTTTCTCCTTCCTAAAAGCATTATGAATTTCAGTTTGTATGTATACCATTCCGCTATGTAGCCCAGATACTATAAGAAAAGTTAGACTTGAGAGCATGGCATCCGATTGACCTAAATCAATCAGCACATTTAGAATCCCTGCATAGTGGTTACTTCAAAGGTATGGAGGTAATCTTAACTGATCCAATCAGAAGCTGAACTTTGACAAGTGAATTTTAGGACTCTTGCTTAGAATGCTGGGAAAGAAACACTCTTATTTCAGGATGATGTATGGTTATAAACACTAGAATTGCTGCAGCAATTTTGTCATCATGAGGAAAGCTCTAAGATAAAGCTGACTATGGGCGAATATAAATACCAAAAAAAACAAAACAACAACAAAAAAAAAACTAGGTCTGTAAAGATACCATTAGATTGTTGAATCAAAACCAACTCAGAAAGTCAAGGGGCTTCCAGAGTTACATACTTATGAAAGCCAATAAATCCCCTTTAATGTTTAAGCCACTTTCTCTTGGGTGTCTGTGTCTGTATGTTACGTGCAACATGAGGAATGCAGTCAAGTATGGTAGAAAAGCCAAGGCATACTAGTTGTGGATATGAATTTCTGATCTCTAGAATTATCTTTCCTTGGGGGTCTACTTTTTAAATACATGAGATTAGGCACAAATGGCCTAAGGTCTTCCACTATTTTTATGGGGGGAAAATAAAATATCTATGACTATAATTATTTATCTTCCATTAAAAATTTCTCTAAGCAGGAGTAGTACTAATTTCTTATAAACTTGTATTAGAGTTTTTGAAAGCCCAAATGATTTTTACTTTACCTTGGATATTACATACACCACCTGCTTTACTAATGATAGAAAGAACAGATGGAAATGTTGATTTTTTAGAACGCCTCAGAATTTGACTAGAGGAAACTTTTTAAAAAAAGTTTCCTAGAGACAGAGCTTAACTCTGTTGCCCAGGCTGGAGTGCAATGGTGCAATCATAGCTCACTGCAGCCTCAAACTTCTGGGCTCAAGTGATCTTCCCACCTCAACCTCCCAAGTAGCTAGGACTACTTACATGTGCCACCATACCTGGATAATTTTTCTATTTTATTTTTTGTAAAGATGGGGTCATGCTATGTTGCCCAGGCTGGTCTCAAACCCCTGGCCTCAAGTGATCCTCCCACCTCAGCCTCCTAAAGTACTGGGATTACAGGTGTGAGCCACCATGCCCAACCAGGAAGCTCTTAACATTTAGGAATTTATTTTCTCTAAAATTTCACTCAAATTACTAAGCTATTATATGTTTTTTATAAGATGGACTATTTAATATTAAAATCTTATCTCTCAATTCACCAATAATAAATTATTCTAAAAGATCAATAATTGCAAAAAAGAAATATTAAGTCTAAAATATTAATTTACTGTTATTCATAGGCATATTATACACTAAATTAAGTAATGTGTCAATCTAAAGTATAAGAACGTTGCTTATTGTGTTGTTTGTGATAATATCCAGTGATATAAACATCAAAAAACTGCGTACTTATAAATAAGTAAATATTATCATTATTTTGATATTTTAGATGAGTATAATATTAGCTATATGTAATAACAATAGCAATAATAATTTAAATACTTAAATTGCTGACCAAGATATATTTTTCATGCATTCCTCATAATAATTATTGCAGAGGTATTATTATTCCTCATTTTACAGATAAAGAAAGTAAAGTTTGTAGAAGTTTAAAAGCTTCATTAAAGTAACAGTTAGCAAGGAGGGAGCCAAAGCTCAAATCTGTGGACTCTACTGCAAGCCTACAGGATTAATCACTGTGTGATTCTTCCCAACATATCTGTCCTGTTCCAATTTAAAATTTAGCAAAATAAAAATAAAATAATTACTACAAATGTTTGAAGAGGCAGATGTCAAACAATTATATGAATAGAATTAAATGTAGTAATTTAGCTAATTATTTCCAGCAGTGATGTATTATTTGTCCAAATGATTCACTAAGGAAATAATGAGTTCTAGTGCTTATGGGTTCTGTTAGATTGAACTTAGAAATATTTGTCAGAGGAGATAAAGTTGTAGAATTTGTTTAAAAGATGGAATGTTTTGTCAATAATATGTTGCATTTTAGAAAGCCCGGAAACTGTGCAAAGATAAGAGTTAATTAATCAGATGGTGGATTTTCTCTTACTTATAATTGCTCCAACTATTTTGATAAATGAGGTAAAAATATTTTATGAAGATATTTCTAATTTTTGCTTTTTTATATATGTAAATACTTGGTCAGAATGGCTATTATTAAAAAGTCTAAAAACAACAGATGCTGGCAAGGTTGTGGAGAAAAAGGAATGCTTTTACACTGTTGGTGGGAGTATATATTAGTTCAACTGTTGTGGAAGACAGTGTGGCAATTCCTTGAAGACCTAGAGGCAGAAATACCATTTGATCCAGCAATCCCATTACTGGGTATATACCCCAAGGAATACAAATCATTCTATCATAAACATACATGCACGCATATGTTCACTGAAGCACAATTTACAATAGCAAAGACATGGGATCAACCTAAATGTCCATCAATGATAGAATGGATAAAGAAAATGTAGAATGTATTTGCCATGGAATACTATGTAGCCATAAAAAGGAACAAGATCACGTCCTTCACAGGAACATAGATGGAGCTGGAAGCCACTATCCTCAGCAAACTAATGCAGGAACAGAAAACCAGATACTGCATGTTCTTACTTATAAGTGAGAGCTGAATGATGAGAACACATGGACACACAGAGGAGAATAACAAACACTGGGACCTGTTGGAGGGTGGGGATTGGGAGAAGGGAGAGCATCAGGAAGAATAGCTAATGGATGCTGGGCTTAATACCTAGGTGATGAGATGATTTGTGTGGCCATGGCACACATTTACCTATGTAACAAACCTGCACATCCTGCACATGTATCCCTGAACTTAAAAGTCAGAGAAAAAAAAAACTTGGTGATTTCCTATTACTCTATGGTATTCATTTATCTTGTCAAGTAACAAATTTACACTATCCACCTATAGAGCTCAAGTACCACACAGCTATCTTAGCAGTTTCTGAAACTGTGTAACTCTTTCCAAAGATAGAAAGACTTGGTCACTCTGAGAATACCGCCAAGACTTTACTGTCAAAGGGTTCTCAAAGAAGTAGATTCCAGTAGGGCTTATCCTCCACAAGGATTGGGAAAATATCTTACATCAACCATTGAGTTACCGTGACACTGAGCATAATAAGCTCAGGAGACCAGTTAAGCCATCATTAAATAAATTGGTCAACTGATTTTTGTTAAAATATAAATTTGTGACCCCCAGTGATCTCTCCTGGACTGAGCCTCCACTTTTTTTTTCTCAGTACATGACTTAGCTCATGATTGTTTATTTTTTTGGCTTTGTAATCTATTGTGCATATTTCTTAGTCTTCTCCGTGGTTCAATTTCAGAGGCAGAAGAATACAACAAGCTTATTTTATACCAACAATACTTGACAAACACATATTCTTGTCTGTAAATAACATATCCGAATGGCTATGCTGACTGTAATCTCAGCCCCACTGCAGCTTCTGTACTGTTTATTTGCTGTTATTCATTGGCCCTCCCCTGTCTTCACGTATTCTACTTCTTTCTTTGCCAATCCCCGTGGACTACATTACACAAGTTCCTTTGTTGCCTGGCTTCTTATGGGATTTGAATAAAAGAAGGCACCATCAGGGGAAGAGAGGGAAGAAAGAAGGAGAAATTAAGTGTTATATTTTCACTACTCCATTGCTTTGGGCCATATTTCTGTGAGTAGTTTAACTCACCCACCCGTCTACAGCTCCCCCGTGTGTCCCCTTCCTCCATGATTGATTCCAGTTTTCAGCAGGCTCCAATACCGACTTTCCTGCCTTTGAACCTTCTGATCTAAGAGTGGTAATGGCTAGGCTTGGTGCACCTCAGTGGATTTCATTTGTTTTCTCAACCCTGTCCACATCTCTCTAAATAGTTATTTCACAGAGGAGTCTTCCTTTGAGCAACCTTGTGTGAATTGTTTTACCACTTGCATCAAGAAAATCCAATTTATCCTTAGCCCAAACTGGGATTAGGTTGGTTTATATTGTGAGTTATATGAGAGTTCAATCTCATTATAAATTAAATGTACTGTTTTAGATCTTCTGAGAAACTGATCCTTTAACAAAATATGCCTTCTATAGGACTATGCATTGTAATTCACTAATAGGCAAATTTACAAATAAATATTTAGAAATAACCTTGGAAAATGAAGGCAAAATAAGCTTTGTTTATTCCCTTGGCTCCTATGGTAGCCCTGGAAATGTAGTAGCCCTTAATATATGGCTATAGAAGGACTGATTGTAGGAAAAAGAAAAGAGAATGTTTTAGATACAAATTCAAAGGGGGCAATTTTAAAGTTGTACTTCAAGGATATGTTTTCTCGTAACAACTGTGAATGTCTGTTATGGGATGAGTTGCATTTACCCAAAATTCGTATGTTGAAGTCCCAACCCTCAGTACCTCAGAATGTAAGTGTGTATAGAGATAGGGCCTTTGAAGAGGTAATTAAGGTGAAATGAAGTCATAAACGTGGACCTTCATCCATGTGACTGTACTTGAGATAGGGCCTTCAAAGACAGGGTGAAGTCAAAATGAGGCTAGTAGGGTGGGGCCCTAATCCAAAATGACTCACGTCCTCATCAGATGAGAAAGAAACACCAGGAAGGCACAGGCACAGAGAAAAAGCCATGTGACAAAACAGCACGAAGACAGCCATCTGCAAGCCAAGAGAAGAGGCCTTACAAGAAGGTAAGTCCTGCCAACACCTTGATCTTAGACTTTCCATCTTCAGAACTGAGAAATAAGTCTCTGTTGTTGAAACCACTCTGTGGAATTTTGTTATAAAAGTCCTAGTAAGCTAACACAGTATCTTAATCACTATTTATAAATATAAGATCTACAGATCTATCTCACTTTTCAGATTTAGTGAAATAGCTTTACATTTCATTTTAAGTATGATTGTCTTGATTTGATAAATAAAATACTGATTCATTCCATATAGAAAAATATTGAGTGACATAAAAATACTGTAGAAACATGAAAGTGCAAGTAGTAGCTAAACACTGGATTAATTTGTGATATAAACCAAACTTACACACTCACTCAGAATAATCACCTCCAGTAAAGAAAATGTAGCTTTCCCACTGTTTTATTTCTAGGTTTTGATACATAGTAGGTACTCATTCTAAATTTGTATACAATGGTTGAATTAACGACTAAATAAATTCACATAACATTTTACAACAGTGATTCTCCAAGTGTGGTTCCTAGCCCATCAGCCTCCACATCAAGTAAGAACTTCTGAGAAAGGCACATTCCCAAATGCTACTCCAAATTTGTTGGATTAACAATTCTGGGCCAGCAATCTGAGTTTTAACAGCCTTCAAGTGACCCTGATGCAGGCTAAAGTTTGAGAACCTCTGATTTAGATTCAGTACAAATCTGAGAATTTCAACATTAAATGAATGACTGAAAAAGTATGTGGTGAGAAAGAGCTACTTATCTCATAAATACATTTAATTATTTCCTTCAGGTATTATTTTAATAACAGTTGATGTCAAAATGCAAAGTTATCATTATCGTTTGGATTCTAAATTTTACAGTGTAGCAAATAGCAACTCATTAATATTATAGTACTTAAATCTTGGTAATTATTAATAAGTTGTAACTTCTTCAAAATCTAGTTTTGGTTAACATTTAAAATATTTAAGGTAGTCTTTCAAAAAATATGCAAAGTAATAGGTCACATTTATACTGCATACCTTTAGTAACACTTGTCAAACAATAATAAAAATCCTAGTTCATTCAAAATTACTCACCTAGTCATCTGCTTATTCTTTCTGTTCCTCACAGTCACATGTAATTAGTCCTACAGTTTCCACTTCCTACATCTGATTTCCTCCCCTATGCCCTACTGCTTCTCTCCCTAGTTCAGACAATCACTTCTCAAATAGCCTATTATAAGATCAAGCTATTTGGTCTCCCTGCAGTGATCTCTCTACAATCTACACCTGGTAATATTATGCCCTAATGAAAAGTGTCTGGTGGGTTCCCTCACCCAGGATAAACTTGAAACTCCTGAGAGTTGAATCTACTTCCTTTCAGCATCTCACCCTTGCCTGCCTTTCCAGCCCCCACTCTCACAACTCCTTCACACACCTTTTGAACCCGAGACATTAAAAATTCCTTCCAGTTCCTCCAAAATATCATGTTCTCTCTGGCTGTCTTCCCTTTGTAAATACTCTTCTTACTGCCTTCACCAGAAACTCAACCTGCAGTTCCCAGTTCATCAACTCCTTCTCATCTCTTAATTGCTGGCCATGCGTTTGGGAAGCTGTTCCCTAGTTCCTATCAGTTAGGCACCCAACCTCTCTGCTCTCATAGCACATAGTCTGTCCTTCTAACATAGCATTAGTCACACACTTTCCAAATTGGTGTTTTACTTGCTTTTCTTCTTTATTGCATTGCTCCTTGATGGTAGCAATGGTGTCATTGTTTTTTAGTTTTTTTTAATACTGAGAAAATTTAAACAATACAGGGAAAAAATGATAAAATATACACTCACCTTACTATCATGTAGAAATAATTCATCATTTTATCATGTTTTATTTTTCTTACTAAAGAAATAAAATTACTCACTTAGGAACTATATGGAAGGAAAGACAAGTACAATAAGAATCCCCAATGTTTTCTTGCCACCTATAACTTGATAAATAATTTTCAACAACTTAAGAATTTCTATGAATTTTTAAATAAAATGGTAAAATGGAATTCTTTCTAACAAAGAATATTTTTTCGCTGCCTTTTATTTTCTTCATCTCCAAGTGACACAGATTGGGTGCAATAATTTTTAGTTGATTTAGACCTGTCAAAAGAAATACATCAGAATCCATTTCAACACATAAATTTCCAAGATTTTTCTCACATATATAGAGTCTTCCTGAAATCGAATTTCACTGCTAATATTTTAGTATGTGAAAGTTTTTGTTTCATGACATAGATAGTGTTCAAAAAGCCCCAAGAAAAAAGATAAACAAGAAAAGCCTCTGCTACTCACAAAGCTTAGAGCTGGAAGTACACAATCGAATTGTAGTAATAAAAAGTTACGTTAAATAGCAAACATGGTATTTACCTCAACTGTAAGATATATTTGAACTTGCATAGTCTACATTCATAGCTTGTGTAACAAAAGACTGCCTTTTAATAACACAAACAGAGTTGAGTACTCTCATGTAGTCTATCCAAACCAAGGCACGGTGTTGTCGATAAATAATCATTAGGCTCAGGTTTGGTTCCTAGTTGGCTAACGAGGATTGCGGACAAGAAGACTGATTACTTATATTCTAGTAGGGTATCTAATATCCACAGTTAAATGTTGATGTAAAATAATCAATAGAAGAATAATAAAGGAAAATAGCATTTCAAGATATCTGCAACAACTGTAATATTATATGGAAATATTTACTTGTTTACTTGTGACAAATAGAAGCCTATATAGCAGTGCTAATATTTCTGTGATTGGTTGCCTACATTCAATATAAAGGAAATGCTAAATTTCTGTTAGTCATCAGGGAACATAAAGATGCTTTCTGTCCAATCCATAGTAATAGACTCCTTGAGTTCTATCGATCTGAGATACCCAGGTTTAAAACTCTGTTAGGGAGGAGTATCTTATACAAACACCATGGAATCATTAACAGTCAGTGAGACAGTATAGGAAATTCCACAGAACACATGATCTAGTTGCTGTTGCTTCAACAAATAAATGAGGTGTTAGGTATACACACACAGACACACACACAACACACAATATTATATATTCAATGAAAATAAAGCAACTGTATAAGAAGCATTTTGGAAAAAGGAAAAAATGAACATGAACTTGGCATTAGATTACATTTATTTTGCCAAGTGTAACAATGATATTGTGATTAGATTTTAAAGTTCTTATCTAATAGAGATATATACTAAAGTTCTTATAGATAAAAATTAATATATCGCATTGGATTTGCTTTACAATATGCCAGACAAAAAGGTGATGTAGCAATTGATGAAATAAGAGTGGCGGAATATTGACAGTTGTTAAAGCTGGGTACGTAGGGTCCTATTACATCATTTGTTATAATTTTATTTATTCAAAATTTTCTTAATACAGTGAAAAGAGGCTTAAAGATGGAAAATTGCCAGAAGTCCTTAAGATAAGAGAAACTGAACCTAATTTGTAATGAAGCTTCCAAAGAAGGTATATTAGGTACCTCTTGGGGCACACCTCATATTCTCTTGACCTGCCTTTTAATTTTAGCCATTAATGCAGCAAACAGCTGTACAGAGGTATAAATGATAGCATCTTGCTTCAGGTGTTCCTCCTCTCTCTCACTTCCTGGCAAAGGATTATCTGCTCTCCCACTCCTGGGTTGCCAGCAGGAATCCATTCAATCATTTGGATATAAGGATACACAGGTTAAACCAGGCAGCACAAATGAGTTAACACCCTAAGGGCAACCTTTGACCAAGGAGGGACAGGGGGTGATGAAAATCACTCTTGTATTAGTCTGTTCTTGCACTACTAGAAAGAAATACCTGAAACTGGGTAATTTATAAAGACAAGAGGTTTGATTGTCTCACGATTCTGCAGGCTGTACAGTAGGCATGGCTGGGGAGGCCTCAGGAAACTTACAATCATGGTAGAAGGCGAACGGGAAGTAGACACGTCCTGCATGGCAGAAGCAGTAGGAAGAAAGTGAAGTGGGAAGTGCTACATACTTTTAAACAACCAGATCTGGTGAGAACTCACTCACTATCATGAGAACAGCAAGGGGGAAATTCATCCCCACGATCCAATCACCTTCCACCAGGTCCTTCCTCCAACACTGGGGATTACAATTTAACATGAGATTTGGGTAAGGAAAGACATCCAAGTCATATCAACTCCCTCTTTCCATTCTTCCAGCAAACAGTTCTGAAAGGGTTTGACCAACCTCCTCAACAGGTACTTAATAGTACTTTGCTCCAGTAGCTCACAGAGACCACCTGACTAACTACCCTTGGATTATCTGTTTCATTCTGTTCAGCGTCCACTCCTGTTCGTTAGAATAACTTAGCAAATAAGCTGTCCAGATGTAAGCCCCGGTCTCAAACTTGCTTCTTGAAGAACTTAAGAGATTAAAAGGGGAATAGATTATAAATCACAGCAAACGTTTTAAGCATTAAACAAATCAGGTAAAATACTATGTTCTTTGGGAAGCAGACTCTGAGACAAATATAGGCAGTCAAGAGTTTTATTGAGAGGCAATACACATAAAAGATAAGAGTTGAAAGCAGCAGAATCTGGCAGAGAAAGGCTTGTGGTCACAAAGAAAATCTCATACTTACAAAAGGAAAAAATGAGCTATAAGAAGGATTGGGCAGGGATATCTCTCAGCAGTGATACAGATCTGATGAAATCTCAACCAACTCAACAGGGAACTCTGGAGCAAAGATTGTCCCTTAGTGGAGTCCTGTTCTGGGCAGATGTACCAGGACCACTACCCAGACCATGCTCAGTCATTGATTAGGGGCTGTTTGGGAATAGTATGGACTTGGATCAAAAGATACTGAATGTGCTCACAGCTGTAGGCTCTCAGCTCACTGCAATACTTACAGTTAAACAGCAAGTTCTTCTTGAAGAGAGATTCAAAAGGCCCATATACGTGAGTGCCAAAGCAACATTTTTGAAAATATTTTTTAGAGAATTCTTATATTTTGTTAGCTTTGTCTTTGTAACCTCAGTGAAAAGGACTATAAAGCTGAAGATAAAGTGCAGTAATCATTGAGAAATACAATGACACATTTTTGGTCTGTTATGCTGAAATCAATCAAGAAAATCTCTTCCAATTCTGTGAATTTACAGTATTCTGTGATAGTATTTAGGTGAGGAAAAAATGTGAGTACTGGTGAGAAAAATAAGTTTGCATTAATATTCTAAGGATAGACATGGTGGATGGGCCCTCACAGTCCTCTAGGGGCTTCTCAACGATAATGGAAGCAACTGCCACAGCAAAAGATTACCAGAAGAGGCTGGGCATGGTGACTCATGCCTGTAATCCCAGCACTCTGGGAGGCCAAGGGGGGGTGGATCACCTGAGGTCAGGAGGTCAAGACCAGCCTGGCCAACATGGTGAAACCCCGTCTCTACTAAAAATACAAAAAATTAGCCGGGCTTGGTCGTGGGCACCTGTAGTCCCAGCTACTCGGGAGCCTGAGGCAGGAAATTCGCTTGAACCCAGAGGCAGAGGTTGCAGTGAGCCAAGAGTGCACCATTGCATTCCAGCCTGGGCAACAAGAGTGAAACTCCATCTAAAAAAAAAAAAAAAAAAAAGGATTTGAACAAGTAAATGAAAACATAAGTATTTAAGTGAGCAGAATGACATGGGGCACCTGTGACAGTGCCAGATGGGGGCTGAGGGATTGATGTCTCTGTAACTCTTACTCTAAACTTAACTTATGTTCAAGGCTAGTGTGGTCCAAGTCTTGAGGAAAGACTAAGAAAAGCAAAGGAAGTAGAAATAAATTATCAGCATTAGCATGTTTCGTACAGACTGTGGCTCCCATTTTAGTAAGGCTTTCTTCTGGCTTCATCAAATACATCAACAGTCAAGGTGATGTGACTGTAGTTCTTTAAAAAAAGGTAAGTCTGTATTACATTGAAGCTAACAGTTCTCTTTTTATTTATTTATTTATTTATTTATTTATTTTATTATTATACTTTAGGTTCTAGGGTACATGTGCACAACATGCAGGTTTGTTACATATGTATACATGTGCCATGTTGGTGTGCAGCACCCATTAACTCATCATTTACGTTAGGTATATCTCCTAATGCTATCCCTCCCCCCTCCCCCTACCCCAAGACAGGCCCCGGTGTGTGATGTTACCCACCCTGTGTCAAAGTATTCTCATTGTTCAATTCCCACCTATAAGTGAGAACATGCGGTGTTTGGTTTTCTGTCCTTGCAATAGTTTGCTGAGAATGATGGTTTCCAGCTTCATCCATGTCCCTACAAAGGACATGAACTCATCCTTTTTTATGGCTGCATAGTATTCCACGGTGTATATGTGCCACATTTTCTTAATCCAGTCTATCATTGATGGACATTTGGGTTGGTTCCAAGTCTTTGCTATTGTGAATAGTGCTGCAATAAACATACATGTGCATGTGTCTTTATAGCAGCATGATTTATAATCCTTTGGGTATATACCCAGTAATGGGATGGCTAGGTCAAATGGTATTTCTAGTTCTAGATCCTTGAGGAATCGCCACACTGTCTTCCACAATGGTTGAACTAGTTTACAGTCCCACCAACAGTGTAAAAGTGTTCCTATTTCTCCACATCCTCTCCAGCACCTTTTGTTTCCTGACTTTTTAATGATCGCCATTCTAAATGGTGTGAGATGGTATCTCATTGTGGTTTTGATTTGCATTTTTCTGATGGCCAGTGATGATGAGTATTTTTTCATTTGTCTGTTAGCTGCATCAATGTCTTCTTTTGAGAAATGTCTGTTCACATCCTTTGCCCACTTTTTGATGAGGTTGTTTGTTTTTTTCTTGTAAATTTGTTTGAGTTCTTTCAAGTAAATTTGCTTGAGTTGTTGTTTAGCCCTTTGTCAGATGAGTAGATTGCAAAAATTTTCTCCCATTCTGTAGGTTGCCTGTTCACTCTGATGGTAGTTTCTTTTGCTGTGCAGAAGCTCTTTAGTTTAATTAGATCCCATTTGTCCATTTTGGCTTTTGTTGCCATTGCTTTTGGTGTTTTAGACATGAAGACTTTGTTCATGTCTATGTCCTGAATGGGATCGCCTAGGTTTTCTTCTAGGGTTTTTATGGTTTTATGTCTAACATTTAAGTCTTAATCCATCTTG
This sequence comes from Homo sapiens, assembly GCF_000001405.40. NCBI lineage: Eukaryota > Metazoa > Chordata > Mammalia > Primates > Hominidae > Homo > Homo sapiens. The sequence continues at coordinate 128,834,450 of NC_000006.12, read as the reverse complement.
AATTGATTTTTGTATAAGGTGTACGGAAGGGATCCAGTTTCAGCTTTCTACATATGGCTAGCCAGTTTTCCCAGCACCATTTATTAAATAGGGAATCCTTTCCCCATTTCTTGTTTTTGTCAGGTTTGTCAAAGATCACATGGTTGTAGATGTGTGGTATTATTTCTGAGGTCTGTGTTCTGTTCCACTGGTCTATATCTCTGTTTTGGTACCAGTACCATGCTGTTTTGGTTACTGTAGCCTTGTAGTGTAGTTTGAAGTCAGGTAGCGTGATGCCTCCAGCTTTGTTCTTTTGGCTTAGGATTGTCTTGGCAATGTGGGCTCTTTTTTGGTTCCATATGAACTTTAAAGTAGTTTTCTCCAATTCTGTGAAGAAAGTCATTGGTAGCTTGATGGGAATGGCATTGAATCTATAAAATACCTTGGGCAGTATGGCCATTTTCACGATATTGATTCTTCCTATCCATGAGCATGGAATGTTCTTCCATTTGTTTGTATCCTCTTTTATTTCATTGAGCAGTGGTTTGTAGTTCTCCTTGAAGAGGTCCTTCACATCCCTTGTAAGTTGGATTCCTAGGTATTTTATTCTCTTTGAAGCAATTGTAAATAGGAGTTCACTCATGATTTGGCTCTCTGTTTGTCTGTTATTGGTGTATAAGAATGCTTGTGATTTCTGCACATTGATTTTGTATCCTGAGACTTTGCTGAAGTTGCTTATCAGCTTAAGGAGATTTTGGGCTGAGATGATGGGGTTTTCTCCATATACAATCATGTCATCTGCAAAGAGGGACAATTTGACTTCCTCTTTTCCTAATTGAATACCCTTTATTTCTTTCTTTTGCCTGATTGCCCTGGCCAGAACTTCCAACACTATGTTGAATAGGAGTGGTGAGAGAGGGCATCCCTGTCTTGTGCCAATTTTCAAAGGGAATTCTTCCAGTTTTTGCCCATTCGGTATGATATTGGCTGTGGGTTTGTCATAAATAGTTCTTATTATTTTGAGATACCTCCCATCAATGCCAAATGTATTGAGAGTTTTTAGCATGAAGGGTTGTTGAATTTTGTCAAAGGCCTTTTCTGCATCTATTGAGATAATCATGTGGTTTTCGTCTTTGGTTCTGTTTATATGCTGGATTACATTTATTGATTTGTGTATGTTGAACCAGCCTTGCATCCCAGGGATGAAGCCCACTTGATCATGGTGGATAAGCTTTTTGATGTGCTGCTGGATTCGGTTTGCCAGTATTTTATTGAGGATTTTTGCATCGATGTTCATCAGGGATATTGGTCTAACATTCTCTTTTTTTGTTGTGTCTCTGCCAGGCTTTGTTATCAGGATGATGCTGACCTCATAAAATGAGTTAGGGAAGATTCCCTCTTTTTTATTGATTGGAATAGTTTCAGAAGGAATGGTACCAGCTCCTCCTTGTACCTCTGGTAGAATTCGGCTGTGAATCCATCTGGTCCTGGACTTTTCTTGGTTGGTAGGCTATTAATGATTGCTTCAATTACAGATCCTGTTATTGGTCTATTCAGGGATTCAACTTCTTCCTGGTTTAGTCTTGGGAGGTTGTATGTGTCCAGGAATTTATCCATTTCTTCTAGATTTTTTAGTTTATTTGTGTAGAGGTATTTATAGTATTTTCTGATGGTAGTTTGTATTTCTGTGGGATCGGTGGTGATATCCCTTTTTTCATTTTTTATTGCATCTATTTCATTCTTCTCTCTTTTCTTCTTTATTAGTCTTGCTAGTGGTCTGTCAATTTTATTGATCCTTTCAAAAAACCAGCTCCTGGATTCATTAATTTTTTGAAGAGTTTTTTGTGTCTCTATCTCCTTCAGTTCTGCTCTGATCTTAGTTATTTCTTGCCTTCTGCTAGATTTTGAATGTTTTTGCTCCTGCTTCTCTAGTTCTTTTAATTGTGATGTTAGAGTGTCAATTTTAGATCTTTCCTGCTTTCTCTTGTGGGCATTTAGTGCTATAAGTTTCCCTCTACACACTGCTTTGAATGTGTCCCAGAGATTCTGGTATGTTGTGTCTTTGTTCTTGTTGGTTTCAAAGAACATCTTTATTTCTGCCTTCATTTCGTTATGTACCCAGTAGTCATTCAGGAGCAGGTTGTTCAGTTTCCATGTAGATGAGAGCTTTTGAGTGAGTTTCTTAATCCTGAGTTCTAGTTTGATTGCACTGTGGTCTGAGAGACAGTTTGTTATAATTTCTGATCTTTTACATTTGCTAAGGAGTGCTTTACTTCCAACTATGTGGTCAATTTTGGAATAAGTGCAATGTGGTGCTGAGAAGAAGGTATATTTTGTTGATATGGGGTGGAGAGTTCTGTAGATGTCTATTAGGTCTGCTTGGTGCAGAGCTGAGTTCAATTCCTGGATATCCTTGTTAACTTTCTGTCTCGTTGATCTGTCTAATGTTGACAGTGGGGTGTTAAAGTCTCCCATTATTATTGTGTGGGAATCTAAGTCTCTTTGTAAGTCTCTAAGGACTTGTTTTATGAATCTGGGTGCTCCTGTATTGGGTGCATATATGTTTAGGACAGTTAGCTCTTCTTGTTGAATTGATCCCTTTACCATTATGTAATGGCTTTTTTTGTCTTTTTTGATCTTTGTTAGTTTAAAGTCAGTTTTATCAGAGACTAGGATTGCAACCCCTGCCTTTTTTTGTTTTCCATTTCCTTGGTAGATCTTCCTCCATCCCTTTATTTTGAGCCTATGTGTGTCTCTGCATGTGAGATGGGTTTCCTGAATACAGCACACTGATGGGTCTTGACTCTTTATCCAATTTGCCAGTCTGTGTCTTTTAATTGGAGCATTTAGCCCATTTACATTTAAGGTTAATATTGTTATGTGCGAATTTGATCCTGTCATTATGATGTTAGCTGGTTATTTTGCTCATTAGTTGATGCAGTTTCTTCCAACATTGATGGTCTTTACATTTTGGCATGTTTTTGCAGTGGCTGGTACTGGTTGTTCCTTTCCATGTTTAGTGCTTCCTTCAGGAGCTCTTGTAGGGCAGGCCTGGTGGTGACAAAATCTCTCAGCATTTGCTTGTCTATAAAAGATTTTATTTCTCCTTCACTTATGAAGCTTAGTTTGGCTGTATATCAAATTCTGGGTTGAAAATTCTTTCCTTTATGAATGTTGAATATTGGCCCCCCCTCTCTTCTGGCTTGTAGAGTTTCTGCTGACTGATCCACTGTTAGTCTGATGGGCTTCTTTTTGTGGGTAAGCCGACCTTTCTCTCTGGCTGCCCTTAACATTTTTTCCTTCATTTCAACTTTGGTGAATCTGACAATTATGTGTCTTGGAGTTGTTCTTCTCGAGGAGTATCTCTGTGGCGTTCTCTGTATTTCGTGAATTTGAACATTGGCCTGCCTTGCTAGGTTAGGTAAGTTCTCCTGGATAATATCCTGCAGAGTGTTTTCTAACTTGGTTTCATTCTCCCCTTCACTTTCAGGTACACCAATCAGACGTAGATTTGGTCTTTTCACATAGTCCCATATTTCTTGGAGGCTTTGTTCGTTTCTTTCTACTCTTTTTTCTCTAAACTTCTCTTCTCGCTTCATTTCATTCATTTGATCTTCAATCACTGATACCCTTTCTTCCACTTGATCAAATCAGTTACTGAAGCTTGTGCATTCGTCACGTAGTTCTTGTGCCATGGTTTTCAGCTCCATCAGGTCATTTAAGGACTTCTCTACACTGGTTATTCCAGTTAGCCATTCATCTAATCTTTTTTCAAGGTTTTTAGCTTCTTTGCGATGGGTTCAAACTTCTTCCTTTAGCTCAGAGAAGTTTGATCATCTGAAGCCTTCTTCTCTCAGTTCGTCAAAGTCATTCTCCATCCAGCATTGCTCCATTACTGGTGAGGAGCTGTGTTCCTTTGGAGGGGGAGAGGCACTCTGATTTTTAGAATTTTCAGTTTTCTGCTCTGTTTTTTCCCCAACTTTGTGGTTTTATCTACCTTTGGTCTTTGATGATGGTGATGTATAGATGGGGTTTTGGTGTGGATGTCCTTTCTGTTTGTTAGTTTTCCTTCTTACTGTCAGGACCCTCAGCTGCAGGTCTGTTGGAGTTTGCTGGAGGTCCACTCCAGACCCTGTTTGCCTCGGTATCAGCAGCAGAGGCTGCAGAACAGTGAATATTGCTGAACAGCAAATGTTGCTGCCTGATTGTTGCTCTGGAAGCTTCATCTCAGAGGGGTACCCAGCTGTGTGGGGTGTCAGTCTGCCCCTACTGGGGGGTGCCTCCCAGTTAGGCTACTCCGGGGTCAGGGACCCACTTGAGGAGGCAGTCTGTCCGTTCTCAGATCTCAAACTCCATGCTGGGAGAACCACTACTCTCTTCAAAGCTGTCAGACAGAGACATTTAAATCTGCAGAGGTTTCTGCTGCCTTCTGTTTGGCTATGCCCTGACCCCAGAGGTGGAGTCTACAGAAGCAGGCAGGCCTCCTTGAGCTGCAGTGGGCTCCACCCAGTTGGAGCTTCCTAGCCACTTTGTTTACCTACTCAAGCCTCAGCAATGGCGGGCACCCCCGCCTCCTGGCCTCACTGCCACCTTGCAGTTAGATCTCAGACTGCTGTGCTAGAATGAGCAAGGTTCCGTGGGCATGGGACCCTCTGAGCCAGGCGCAGGATATAATCTCCTGGTGTGCTGTTTGCTAAGACCCTTGGAAGAGCGCAGTATTAGGGTGGGAATGACCCGATTTTCCAGGTGCTGTCTGTCATGGCTTCCCTTGGCTAGAAAAGGGAATTCCCTGACCCCTTGCACTTCCCATGTGAGGCGATGCCTTGCCCTGCTTCAGCTCTCACTCGGTGGGATGCACCCACTGTCCTCCACCCACTGTCCAACACCCACTCCAGTGAGATGAACCCGGTACCTCAGTTGGAAAAGCAGAAATCACCCGTCTTCTGCGTTGCTCACGCTGGGAGCTGTAGACTGGAGCTGTTCCTATTTGGCCATCTTGGAACCGCCCCGAAGCTAACAGTTCTCTTAACGTAACAAAGTGTATGTAAGTACACACACAAAAGTTCTACATATAATCCTCACTTCATTACATTTGCCATTATAAAATAACCAACAAACAATCAAAAACAGTAGTAAAGATGTCTAGTTGTATTGATTTTCTTTTCTTCTAGGGTTCTGCCTCCCATCACATTTAATTAATTTTAAATAGCATTGAGAGAGCATAGACTGCATACTTGTCACTGTTAAATTGATCTCACCAATATTTCCAAATAGTCTCTCTTGTCCTAACAATTTATAACTCTATTCAGTTTCTAAATAAGAACCAGTTGAACGGCAGTGAGGGGCACGGCTGAAGCAGTAGTCCTGGAATGCTATAGGAAAATCCACTGGGAAAAGCCTAGTTTGCCCACGGCTCTTCATGGCTTTTGAGGGACTGATTTTTTTGTCTTTGAGAAAGCTTATAACTGGAGAAGAGGGCCTTTAGGCAATTTCTCTTGGGAATAACAACCACAGATATTGTTAGAGAAAAATGACTGTCTTACCTTCTTTGTCACAAATCGGGGTTAAAAAAATTTTTATCGTCAGTAGAAGTAAAAACACAGTTCTGCCTGCAGAATAAATGCAGACAATACATCAGCTTGCCTTAACTAATATTCCAAGTTACTCATCAGAAAAATACTATCATAGTTCAGCTAATTAAATTGTCAATTAACTGGGTACATGATTCCCATTTGCTGTTTAGAATAACTTAGAAAATGATATATTCAAAAACTCTGAGATAATGATATGAAAATATTCAGAGTGATAGCAATTTTATATCAACAGTCCAATTTTCTATACAGATTTTTTGTGAAACATTTATTTTCTTCATAAATGTTCCAATATTCTTGCTTACTATTTCTACCTTTAAGGAGCACAAAAGAAAAGTTCAACCAAGCATTTTCAAATTTTGTATTCATATAATAGCAAAGATCCTTAGATAGCTGATAACCAGTTTACTAAACCAGTTGCTGGAGATAAGTCTACACTTAGTTGTATTTATATATAACACAGCAAATTATAAGCAGCTATTTAGGGTTTCTACTTCACCATTTCTGAGAATAAATTTGCAAAGTCATATGTGCATGGTGTAACTGTTCCATTTTTGTTGTGTTCAATAATACACCAAGAACATTCCAGTGATTGGGGCTTGCCATATCACATTACCTCATATGAGCAACATCTCATTTATAGTGATATGCAACAAATTCTTTCCATGCATACCTCATGTTATTTTATAATCACAAAGATCTCATTGATGCAGAGCTGAGCAAATCGTTGATGGCAGAGAGAAAATAGTGGAATGTCAAAAGAAAGGTCATAAAGATGTCTGGAAGAGAAGAGTGGTGAGAGAGGCACCTCCCAACTCTGATTAATCAAAAAGGTGCAGGAGTTAGGGCTGTAGAGAGACTTCAGAATCATTTTTCCACCCACACGTGGACTCTTTAAGTAGCAAGCACTTAATGAGTATACGCTGAGCTTTGGATTTAGCATTGTGAGGGATACAAATACACAGAAGGCCCGATGGTCAGGAGTTTACAACCTATTGGTGACATCATCACTAACACACAAAATCATTAAAACCTAACGAGTGGTACTGATCTAAAAGCAATAGTAATTTGAATTCAAACAAACACAGTAGGGCTGAAGGTATCTTTTTGCACTAGATGGGAACTTAGAGGCCTTAAGTGTTGGTTAAGATCTGGTGAGAATAAAGAAAAACCAATAGCAAGCACAGGAAATAAATACACAAGATTAGGTTGATATTAGGTATCCTTATAGAGATAATATTCAGGTTTTAATCGACTTGATTAACATGACTTGTTGGAGAGAAAGTAGGTAAGCATTTTAAGCAGAGGAAGGAGATTAAAAGTTGTCTACATAAAAAAAAAAGATCAGACACTAAATTCAGATACTGATAAAGAGCAGTGAAAGGCAAATGTTTGTGATCATGGAAATCATAAGTATTTGCCTTTCATGATATAGGACAAAGAAAGATAAAGGCAACTAACATTTATGTGTGCTTCCTATGTCCAAACAATGTGCCAAAGTGTCTTATTCAAGCTGCAACCACAAAAGACATCAATGGCTTCATTGCAGATTTCCATGAGGGTATCCCAAGGTTTTATCTCAATATCCTACCATCAATTGAGACCAGGCTACAACTTTAGACATGAACCCCACTAGGTGATATCACCACTGTGTGATAATGGAAGAGAATTATTGAACAGTAAATGACTTATACTACAATATGGAGTAGCTCTAGTCCAACCCTCGGAACTATTTCTCCTGGCCTGCCTTCCCATGGCCAGAGGCAATCCATACATACCAAAAGTCCAGCCTCCAAAACTGCTTCTGTCATTTCCAAGTCTCAGAACTTCCTCTGCTGTGGTTGCGGTGCCCATTCAAACCTTGCCACAGTCAGATTTAACACAGTATTGAAACCTATTTTTTTCAGGAAGAAATTTCAAGCAAGTGCTTTCCTTCCTTTATCTCAGCGAATTCCCTACCAAACCTTCAGTATCCTCCACATGTCTAATCTATCTAAAATGATAACCCCTGCTCCCGTCTCCAGGCTTTTCAGCCTTTAGAGACTTCATCTCCCAAACAAGGCTGGCAGCCACTCAGACCTATTGGCTGTTGACCAGACTATCAAGCTGTTTTGTCCTTCTGTGCCATTGAGTAACTTGATGTATTCTTTTCCTGTCTTTCCCATAGAATCGGTTTATGCATCATCTCCACAGTAAAATTTAGCCTAACATCCCAAGGCAGATTTAATTTTTGTTCATTCTTTTAAAAAATGCTGAGTACTCTTCTGTGCCAGTCAGTAGTCTAGGAACTGGAAATACAGTGCTAAATAAGGCAGGTAAGATCTCTCTCTGGCCTGCAAATTGAGAATCCATTCTGAAAATTTGAGACATAAGAGCTCTTTCATCAATATTTCATGTGTATTCTATGCATACCTCTCCAAAAATATATGGTAGTGTATTTTTTATTTCCACATCTCCTTCTCAATATACTGTAAGCAACTTAATAACTGACACTGTGAATTCCTTGAGAATCTCCAGTGTCCAGAAAAGTACCTGGACCATACTTCCCTACCCAACATCCATGGGCAATGCTGTCATCTGTCAATGTTGAAGGAACCATGTTGAATAAATTGATTTTTTCCTATATCTAAAGGCTTTTTAACATTTTTTTGTTATTATCTTAATAATAGCACCTCTTCAGAAACAGCTGTTTCTGTTTTCCAAATTTGAATAAAGTTCCATCCTCTAAACCCAATTCTAAAGAGTTTATTGTTTTTCTTCTAAGGACACATTCCCTCTGAGGGTAGGTACTTTATGAATTCAAGAAACATCATACATCACTTGATAAATTATTACTTAATTCAGATGTATTGATTGATTTCAAGTCTGTCCTTCCTCATAAATATTTTTCTTCATAAATATTCACATTTGGGGTTTTGTGTCTTTTTTGGCAGTGTTGTTGGGTGTTTTTTTTTATTGCTGTTGTTTTGCTTATTTTCTCACACATCTTTCCTTTGTCTCTGGAAACAATGAGATGACCCAAAAAGAACATAACGCATCAGTAATCCTATTATATGTTCATTCTTTGTCTATCTTTTTAATTTTTTTACTCTAAGTCAACAGTTTCTGCTTACTTCTCTAAGGTTTGGATTTTTTTGGCTTTGCAAACTTCTGTTTCTTAGTTTATACACTCTAACTTCTGAAAGAAAAAAATGACTTTTATTTGTACAATTGTATCTCCACCAATTTTCTGTAACTTAAGCTGTCACTTTCAGCTGCTGAGTCAAAAATGTTCTGCAGGGATGATAGCAGCTTCTGCTCATCACCTTTTTTCCTGCACAGGTGGAAGCCAAATGCTCTGCACCAAAAAAATACAAAGAGAGATTTTAGGACATTATTTTTCTGGGGCAACATGACTGATGTCACTTTGTATTCTTTCTAGCCAATTTAAAATCTATATTTTGCAATCGATTTTTCCAATTTCCTTATAATTCAATACATGGTTATGACATAAATCCTTATCTTAAAAAAGCACTATGTCTAACATCCTTTTAACTTTGTAATGTCTAAATAATGAACCTGCTTTTCCTTCCTAAATATCATCCCTTCATTGTTTAGATATCTCACTGTACCTTCTACCTTCCTAAGGTTGTTCCTAATGCATTTAATCCAAACTACCAAACACATAGTATCAGAGCTGTATTGCCCCTTCTCCTTCCACCGAAATGTGGTTGCCCCAGGTAAGATCCTTCAATTGTTAAACTAGGTAACTAGTGATTTGAATGAGTAATTTTCATTCAAGTTTCCATTTGTAACTTTCACTGGTAAAACTTTGGCACATCTATATCACTTACTAATATCATATGGTTGTTCCCATCACCCAGTTTCAAGTTTCATTTGTACTTTAAACCACTTCATTTATTTACTTTGAATATCAAGATAGTATTTACTTACATAACAAAAGTGTAACTTTTTGTTGTCTTCTCTACTCAGCTGCTGATGCCTACCTGTTCTTCCTCCATAACCCCTGAAGTGGCACTCAGAGATCTTCCAAATGTTGTACTTAAATATATTACAGGGATGCTGATTCTCCCGACAATCATATTAAGGAATTATGTGGAAACTAATTCTCTCACCACCTTAAATAGGAAGAAGCTGGGCTGCAAATAAAAATGTGCACTTTTTATACAAAATAAGTTAGTGGTTGGTCTGAAAAAGGAGCCCAGGGAATTCACCTCCTGTGTTAGCATATCAGTCAATAAATTAATTTTTATTTTCATTTAAAATAGGATTGAAAAAACGTTCAGAAAGCAATTCTGAAAGATAAAATTCAGAAATCTATCAATGCTATATCAGAGGGAAGGTTAATTTCACAAATGTTTATATAAGAATTCTTTGTGATATGATTCCACAATTTGTTAAAAAAAATAAGTTAGATTCTAAGAACTGTAACTCTGTATCTCAAATTGGAATCTAGTCTAGCCAGGAGAAATGACATAGAGTTCTTTTGGAAAAGAACAATGGTAAGTGACATTATAATATTCACAAAAGCTTTTTTTGACCATTCTTCCTAGGTCCAAACCTATCTTGTCCAAAGCTGACATTTGTATATTAATTCATTCAATAGTTACTTACTGAGAAGATATTATATGCCAGTCCCCAGTAAACAAATTAGACACAATCCCTTCCTCATGAAGATTTCAGAGAAAACTTACAATCTTTCAGAGGAAACAGAAGATGAGAGATAGCATGGTACATTAGAAAATGTGTTTGAAGTTTGGCATGCTGGTGTGTAAGTCGGAGGTGATACAGGAAGGAGCCAGAAAAAGATCTAGGACCGGTGTGGAAAATGAAATAGAGCAAACTTTTACTGTAAAAGGCTAGGTAGTAAATAATTTGGGCTTTATGGACCATACCATACCTTGCGGCAACTTCTACTCAAATTGGCTACTGTAGTGCTAAAGCAGCTTTGGGCAACATGTACATGAATATAATTCATTGAATGTGTAAATCAGTTCTTAGAGAACTGACATCTTAACAATATTTAGTCTTCTGACTCATGAACACAGTGTGTCTCTCCATTTATTTAGCTTTTTGTTAATTTTCCTCGGCAATATTTTATAATTTTCAGGATACAAGTCTTGTCCATTTTTTGGTCAGGTTCTTCCCTAGTTTATATTTTTGATGTAGTATTTTTAAGTAGTATTATTTTATGCCATTTTCCTATTTATTACTAATATGTAAAAACATAATTAACTTTACATATTGATCCTATATCCTGCAACATTTCTAGACTCCCTCGTTAATTAGAGTAGCCTTATTATAGGTTCCATGGGATATTCTTCCATCATGTCAGCTACAAATAATACAACTTCTTTTCCAATCTGGATTCTTTTTATTTCTTTTGCTTGCTATGTTGTATTGGCTAAAATCTGCAATACAATGTTGAATAGAAATGATGAGACAGAGTATCCTTGCTTTCTTCCTCATCTTTGAGGGATAGCATTTAATCTTTCACCATTAAATATGGGGTTAACTGTAGGTTTGTCATAGATGGATTTTTATCAAGTTGAAGACATTCCCTTCCGTGATAGTTAATTTTATGTGTCAACTTGTCTAGGCTATGGTGCCCAGTTATTTTGTCAAACACCAGTCTAGATATTCCTGTAAACATGTTGTTCAGATGTGACTAACATGTAAATCAGTAGATTCTGAGTAAAGTAGGCTGCTCTTCATTATGCAAATGGGCCTCATCCAGTCAGTTGAAGGCCTTAAGATAAAAGACTAAGGTCTCCAAAAGAAGAATTTCTGCCTCCAGACTACCTTCAAACTCAAGACCACAACATCTTGCCAGAAATTCCAGCCTATCAGCCTGCCGAATTTCAGACTTGCTAACTACTACAATCAAATGAACTAATTCCTTGAAATGAATGTCTCTCAATCCATGCCTTTCTGCATCCATCCGTTTATTCATCTATCTATCCATCTGCATCAGTTCTGTTTCTCTGGAGAATATTGACTAATATACCTTCCACTCCTATTTGCTGAATGGTTTTGTTCATTTTTTTGCTTGTTTGTTTGTTGAGACAGGGTCTTGCTCTGTCTCCCAGACTGGAGTGTGGTGGTACAATCTCGGTTCACCACAACCTCAGCTTCTTGGGCTCAAGAGATCTTCCCACCTCAGCTTCCCAAGTAGCTGGCACTGCAGGTGCACAGCATCACAACCAGCTAATTTTTGCAATTTTTTTAGAGACAGGGTTTTGCCATGCGGGCTGGGCTAGGCTTGTCTTGAACTCCTGGGCTCAAGCAAATCTGCCCACCTCACCTCCCAAAGCATCTGGAGCCATGGCGCCCGGCCTGCTGAGTGTTTCTAATAGTACTAGAAGCTGGATTCTCTTAAATGTTTTTTTCTGCATGTATTGAGATAAGCATGTGGTTTTTCTTTTTTAGTTTGTTTATATAATGAGTCATATTCTCTTACTTTCAAATGTTAAACTAAACTTGTATTACTGTCATAAGCACCACTTTTTCATATCACTTTATCAATTGTATATATTATATTTGATTTGCTACAATTCTGTTACTAATTTTAAAATCTACATTAACAAGGGATATTGTTCTATAATTTTTTCCCTGTAATGCATTTGTCTGGTTTATCAGAGTAATACATTTGTCAAAGTAATGCTGGCCTCAAAAGAATAGGTCAGAAATCCTTCCTCTTCAGTTTTCTGGAAGCATTTGTGTCACCATACTAAATCCACTCATTAGTTCTAGCAGGCTTTTGCTTTTGTTTTTGCTTTATTTTTACAATGTTTAGAATTTTTTTATGTATACAATGTGTCATGTCATCCTCAACAAAAAAAAATTTACTTCTTCCGTTCTAATCTTCCTACTTTTTAAAAAAATAACTTTTTTAAAAAATTAATTTTTTTGAGCAGTTTCAGGTGCACAGCAAAATTGAGAGTAAGGTACAGAGATTTCAACATTATCATCATCCTTCACTAGAATGGTACATTTGTTAACAGTTGATGAACCTATACTGACTCATTATTATCACCAGAAATTAGTTGTTTACACCAGGGTTGTATATGTAAATACAATTGCAGTATCATATAGAATATTTCCACTGCCCTCCAAATTCTCTGTGTTTTGCCTTTTCATCCCTTTTCCCATCGCCACCCTACTCCCTGTTTTTTTCTTTTTTTTTTTTCTGTCCCCTTAGTTTTGCCTTTTACAGAATGTCATATAGTTGGGCTTACACAGTAGGTAGCTTTTTCAGATTGGCTTCTTTCACTTAATAATATACATTTAAGTTTGCTTAATGTCTTTTCATGTTGTGATAGCTCATTTCTTTTTACCCATTAATAATATCTCTTTGTCTGGATGTACCACAGTTATTTAACTACTGAAGGACATTTTGGTTGTTTCCAAGTTTTGGCAATTATGAATACAGCTGCTATAAACATCCGAGTGCAAGTTTTTGTGTGAACATAGTTTTCAACTCCTTTGTGTAGAGAGCAAGGATCACAATTGTTGGATCAAATGATAAGAGTGTGTTTTGTTGTAAGAAACTTGGCAGATTGTCTTCCACAGTGGTCATGCCATTTGGGATTCCCATCAACAATGAACAAGAGTTTTTGTTGCTCCATATCCTTCCCACCAACAATGAACAAGAGTTTTTGTTGCTCCACATCCTTGCCAGTATTTGATGTTGTCAACCTTCTGGATTTTGGCCATCCTAATAGGTGTCTAGTTATATAGCTCATTGTTGTTTTAATTTGCGTTTTCCTGATGACATGTAATGTGGAGCATCTTTTCATATGCTTCTTTGCCATCCGTATATCTTCTTTGGTGAGGTTTCTGTTAAAGTCTTTAGCCTGTTTTATAACCTAATTGTTTATTTTCTTGTTGTTGAGTTTTAAGAGCTCTTTGTGTAGTTTGGATAACAGTTTTTTTTTAATCAGATGTATCTTTTGAAAATTTTTTCTCCCAGCCTGTGCTTTGTCTTCTCATTCTCTTGAAATAGCCTGCTTTTATTCTTTTTGTTTAACTTTCTGGCTAGGACTTTCAACATTGACTAGAAGTGCTGAGAGCAATGAGTGTCTGGTTTTTCATTTGAATAACATATATATTAGTGAACGACTAAGAGTTATATTATGTTAATTGTAGGTTTTTCACAGTTGTCCTCAATCATGTTAGGAATGTTTCTGTGTACTCCTAGTTTGCTGGGATATTTTTTTCTTATGAATTAGTGTTGAATTTTATTAAATAATTTTTGTGCATCTATTGATCATATTTTTCTTTAATTTTTTTGATGTGGTGAAATTACATTGAATGATTTCAAATAATAAATCAATCTTGCGTTTATGGAATAAACTGCCCTTGGTCATGATTTATTATCTTGGTTACATGTGGCTGCATGTGATTTGCTCATTATATTGGTTTACAAAGGTTACCGTAACAAAGTACACAAACTGGGTGACTTCAGCAAGAGACACTTATTCTCTCACAGGTCTAGAGACTTAACTTAGCAACATTTAAATGGCAAACTTTGTCCTGAGCAAGGGGCAGGTGTTGAAGTCTCTTCTCATTTTCTTGGCCTCCCAGCTCTGCTTTCCTTTGGATTCTTTTGAATCTTGCTGGTCATGTGCATATTTTAGGAATTATTGAAGGACTTAAAAGAAGTGTGGGAAGAATTGGTATCCAGAATTTAGCGGCGGATATCCCTTTTCTGTGGCTCTCTCATTCCTGAGACTTTCCCCTCAATTTCTGTCTGCTCTTGTCTTTTTCAGCCTCTGTCCTTTCAATACAGTAAGAATGGAAATTTTTATTTGACCTCTATTTCTCTACATGTCTCAGGAAATTGGGAAGTACCCTTGGGGGAAAACCAACTAAATAAAAGTATTACCTTCTTCACTTCTTGTCTTTAAAAGATTGTATCCCATGAAGTTTCTGGTGCTTTTCATTGCTTTCTAATATCTTCAAACAGTTTTTTAAAACTAGAGGTGTAATGGTTGTCAATAGGAGGGTCAGTTTGATAAAAGTTACTCACCGTTACTGGAATCAGAACTCTAATCAATGTTCTTTGGTTAAAAAAAAAAATCAGGCCAGGCGCTGTGGCTCTTGCCTGTAATCCCAGCACTTTGGGAGGCTGAGGCAGGCGGATCACTTGAGGTCAGGAGTTTGAGACCAGCCTGGCCAACATGGTGAAACCCCCATCTCTACTAAAAATACAAAAAATTAGCCTGGCGTGGTGACACGTGCCTGTAGTCCCAGCTACTCGGGAGGCTGAGGCATGAGAATCGCTTGAACCTGGGAGGGAGAGGTTGCAGTGAGCTGAGATAGCACCACTGCACTCCAACCTGGGTTACTGAGTGAGACTCTGTCTCAATTAAAAAAAAAAAAAAGTTTCATAAGGCAACATCTCCATGATTCCTGTATATTAATTTATTTTTATAATAAAAATGAACTTAATACATTCACTTTATCACCTGATTGTTAGAGTTTAATTTTATAAAGTTTTTATTGTATAATATGTCAAAAGTATTTTTAAAAATAACATTCAATGACTACTAATGAGGCTCAAATATATGTTCCTTAATCTTTAACATAATTTCATAATTTTAACAGAAAATAATTTAACATAATATAAATTTTATCACAATGCACTAATGTAATTCCTTCATCTCTAACATTATATAAAACATAATTTAAAATACTAAATGAAAGAAACTTCTTACTCTGTCCATGTTTCATGGGAATTAGTATCCCTTATATCATGTCCCTGTTTTGTGCAGACAACACATTAACATCCTTAAATTATTTAGAATGTGATGTAATTAAGGGAGGTCCAATATTTATTCTGAACATAGAAATATAACAGACCAGAAACCAGACCTGGGGAAGAGGGAGGCGAAATGCCATGATTGAATTGCTATTGTGCTAAATGCTATCCCCACAAAAAGCAAGACTTGACTAGTGATTCCTGCTCCTCTTTTCCTCCTCTCAATTTTCTTTATGTACTTTTTCATCTATCAAATAGACTTCTCTCAGACCCATTGTATTAGTAAGATTTCTCTCAACAAACAGTACCCTTAGGATATAGAGAAAGATGTATGAGATGATTTAATATCAGAATTGGCTCATGTGGTTATGGAGTCTGAAAAGTCCCATGATAATCTCTGCAAACTAGAAAACCAGAGAAGCCATTTGGCTCAGTCCAAATTCAAACACCTGAGAACCAAATATGAACTCTGAGAATGAAGCCAAAGTCCCGAGAACTGGAAAGCCACTGGTAAAAGTCCCGAGTCCAAAGGCCAGAGAAACTGAAGTTGTGATGTCCAAGGGCAGGAAAAGAAAGGTGTCTCAGTTCCAGGAGAAACAGGAATAATTTACCTTTCCTCTGACTTTTTGTTTTATCTGGGCCCTCAACCAATTTGATAGTGCTGGCCCACACTAGATGAGGGTGATCTTCCTAACTCAGTCCACTGATTTAAATACCTATTTCTTCTGGAAAAATTTTCATAGACATACTGATATGGTATGGCTGTGTCCCCACCCAAATCTCATCTTGAATTGTAGTTCTCATAATCCCCATGTGTCATGGGAGGGACCAGGTAGAGATAATTGATTCATGGGAGCCGTTTCCCACATCACGTTCTTGTGATAGTTAGTTCTCATGAGAACTGATGATTTTACAAGAGGCTTTCTCCTTCACTGGGTACTCATTCTTCTCCTTCTTCCCATCATGTGAAGAAGGAGACGTTTGCTTCCCCTTCAGCTATGGCTGTAAATTTTCTGAGGCCTCCCTAGCCATGTGAAACTGTAAGTCAATTAAACCTCTTTCCTTTATGAAATACCCAGTCTCTGGCAGTCCTTAATAGTAGTGTGAGAATGGACTAATACACATACCCTCAAATAGTATTTTATCAGCTATCTAGATATCCTTTAACCCAGTCAAGTTGATACTAAAATTATCCATTATACCCACAATAAGTAGGAGACAGTTGACCACTAACTTAACAAAAATGACGATGAAATATTTTCTTTTAATATATAGGAAAATTATATTCAGGAATGATTAATTAGATACTATTGATTTTCTGCACATTATTTTTACTCTGGTGCGGGGAAAGATCATAGAATGCTATTCTGACTTGCATAATACTGAGAATAAGTTTCACCATTGCATTCTCATAAAAAAAGTTTGTAAAGACACTAATGTGTTGCCACAATATGCTGGGTTCATGGAATGCATAAATGAGCTCAAAAAATATATGATCGCTCTCTAACTCATCTTCCTTCCCCCAAATTTCTCATGCCTATCCCTTCATCTACAGTTTTATTGCCAGATCTTTAAAATGCCTATCCCTTCCTCTATGATTTTATTGCCAGATCTCTAATATATATTTTATAACACCTCTAAAACATAGTAACCTCTTATATAGCAGTGTAGGATAGTGAAGAGCATGAACTTTGAAGCCAGAAGGACCTGGATTCAAATTTTAACTTAAGCATGTATGAAATATATGTGTTTGAGGAAGTTGCTTCAACTCTCTGGGCTTAATTTTGTTATGTGTAATATATGAGCACTAACACACACATCAAAGTGTTTTTGCAAATAGTAGATGAGATAACAATTGTGCAAATCTTCTGGGATATTATCAAGGCTAATTTTTATTTCCTAACTTCCACCAGCATTAAAAAAAAACGATGTAGGCTGGGAACGGTGGTTCACACCTGTAATCTCAGCACTTTGGGAGGCCGAGGCGGGTGGATCACAAAGTCAGGAGATCGAGACCATCCTGGCTAACATGGTGAAACCCCATCTCTATTAAAAATACAAAAAAATGAGCCAGGTGTGGTGGTGGGTGCCTGTAGTCCCAGCTACTCAGGAGGCTGAGGCAGGAGAATGGTGTGAACTCAGGAGGTGGAGCTTGCAGTGAATTGAGATCGCGCCACTGTACTCCAGTCTGGGCAACAGAGCGAGACTGTCTCAAAAAAAAATTATAAGCCTATTTTATATATTATAAATTAAAATACTAATTTCAATTTGACTCCATCAAGCACATTGCTGACACTCTCCTTAAATTTGTTTTACACACAACGTGCCTCAAAACTGATCAGCTTTCGGTTTCCTTTCTTAGATAATTTAGCTACTCTGCCTAACCTTCAAGGTCACCAAAAGCTGCTTACATCATTCCTATCCAACATTTTCCCATTACTTCCCAAGGCCCACTATAAACTTACAGGCATGCACATCTAGGCCTTCATCACTTTGAAAACATGCTCTTTTCATTTATGCAGATGCTTCCCGTTATTCTTCAACACTTGGATCAACTCTCAGTTCAAAGAAAACCTTTTCTGATTATAAAAACCTTTATTGAGCTCTCTTGTTTCAACTCCTAAAGCACCTGTGCAACACTCAACTTTTTCATGCATTTCAGTATTACAACTATCCCTCTGTTTGTTTGCAAACTCCTTAAAGACAGCAATCTTCTTTTATGGACTTTATAACTACATATGATGGATTAAGTAAAGTGCTTTAATTTTTGATTTATAAATAAAAAAATTAAATAAGAAAATAAAGATCGAAAGTCAGCCGTTGTTATGTAGTGTTGTGGTTTGAATTATGTCCACCCCAAGAAAGAAGATGACTCTCCACAAGCCAAGTAGAGAGGCCTAGAACAGGTTCTTTTATCATAGCCCTCAGAAAGAACTAACCTGCTGACACCTTGATTTTGGACTTCCAGCCTCCAGAATGGGGAGTTTAAGCCACCTAGTCTCAGGCACTTTGCTTTTGCACCCTAGCAAACTAATATGTATGGCATTTTATCTTCCCTAATGTTCCCATAAAAACAGACAGAGCACTTGGAGTACGACCATCAAAAACCATGGACAACCTCTACATCAATACTGGGTGGTAAGTTATCCTCACAAACCTTAAAATACTAATAGGTGAGGATATAAACTGCAAGAACAAGACCCACATAGCCTGGCTGGCTGTGCAGGAGGAAGCAGAGGGAAGGCACAAGGACTTTTGAGAGCCACGGGATCTAGAGAACACCCAAGTCACCAAGCTTTGGAAAGCGTGGAAAGCAAATGTTGGACAAGTAACTGATTTAGAAAAGGACTTAACAGGCTTCAATTTGCAGGTACAATCTAAGAAAACATGGTAAGGTCAGATGGTGTTGGAGTAGTCAGAGCCCTCTGAACTCAGTAAAAAAATTAAAAAACTAAAACTAAACAAAAACAAAAAACAAAGCTCAAGCAATATGCCTTCGAAAACCTGCCGGCGAGTAGAATCAAACTGAGTAGGTGAGCAATAGGGCAAAGAAAGAGAAACATCACTTGATGTAGGGGGGAAGAAAAGAGCCATAAGGTCTCAGAGAGTACAAGGATGTATTTGTTTTCAAACTTCACCTAGCTAACAGAAGAAGGATATCTAAAATTATGAACCTTGGAAATATAATATTACCCATGCCTTTCTCCTAAGAATACAAGAAAATGAATCTCAAGCATGAACAATAAAAAGAATTATAGTCAAATCACATGTAAAATTATTGGAATAAAATGGAGATTAAAGAGAAGGTTTATGTCTCCATAGACAATGAAGACAGTATCTCCCACTAGAAAGACATTCCTACAAACCAGTTACCTAATCTTTAAAAATGAATCCAAAGAAATTAAGAAAATGTTAGAAGCCATGAACGAACAGCTTAAATAGAATTATACATACCTATAATGGAGACTACCAGAGAAACAAAAGCTGTCAAAACTTAGAAAGAATTATGAATAGGAGAAAATTATTTCAGAAATAAAGACTAAACTAGCAGGGAAACACACACACACACACACACACACACACACACACAAATAATGACTTCAGAGAAAAGGAAGATGGAAAGCAGCCAATGCTTAAAAATCAACATAAAATGAAGAAAGAGATGAAGTGGGGATTCAAAAGAAAATGAAAGACATAGGTGGAAGATAGGCGAGATCCAACATATAAAAACCAAGATCATGAAATAAGAAATAGTAATAACACAATTCAAAAATTCCCTGAAAAAAGGAGAACTTGAAAGTACATATTGTAAGGCACACTGTATACATGGACAAATGATCCAGAACAGGAAAGATCCAGACAACTTTTAGGAAAACTATTATATTTGGGGAAAAAGAAAAAAAGCATGTAGGGGAGTTTGAGTGTCTAGGCAAAATACCAAGACACTTAAAAGAGAAAGGAAATTGGACCCTTACTAGACTATTTGACATTAGCACTTTCTGTCAGAAGACAAAGAAGAAACATTTCAAAACATGATGCAAGAAAATGTAAATCAATGATTTTCTATTCAGGCTAACTGCCATACATGCCTATAAACATATAATATATACAGGCATAAAAGGCATTCAACTCTTAGAAACATCAAGAGCACAGAGAATATTGCTTCTATGAGCACTTGTGGAGAAATCTGTTAGAGAAGAAGTTTCAACAACCTACATAAATTGGGAGCCATCAGCATGAGCTCTGGAATGAGTGTTAAGTATATATTTACCTATAGACCTAAAACTAAATGATAGTTATAAAGAAAATAGTACAGTCACAATGGCTATATTTCTGTGGAAGCATACATACACTATAATTATTTTATATTGGGTATGGGAAGGAAGTAGAACAGATACTAACTGTGATAAGTTAAAAACCAGCACCCAAAAGATACCCATATCACATTTTGGGACCTGTAAATATTAATTTGGAAAAAGAGTCTTTACAGCTGTAATTAAGGTAAGGACCTTGAGAAGAGATCATCCTGGATTGAGTGTGCCCTAAATCCAATGAGAAGAATAAGAGGCACACAGAGGAGAATAGAGAAGGGCGGGAGGCAATGTGATCATGAAAGAAAAGACTGGGGTTATTCAGCAAAGGAATGACCAGAAATGCCACCAGAAACCAAAAGAGGTAAGGAATAAATCTCCCTAAACCCTCTGGAAGGAGTATGGCCCTACTGACACGTGGAATTTGTACTTCTGGCCTCTAGAACCATGAAAGAATAAAATTTCTTTTGTTTTAAGCCACTGAGTTTGTGGTAATTTGTTATGGTAACCCTAAGAAATAAATACAATAACTAAATTCATTAATATCGTAGAACACCGGTGGCCAATAGTGGGGAAAAGGCAGCGGGGAAGGAATAAGAATATGTTATAAAGGCATTAGTATAAGGATAACCATTATACCAAAATTGTATGTATTTCTAAATTTCAGATTCTAAAACTATAAGAAAGAAAGATGGATACATTTTATTACATAAAATCTGTGAGACCAAAAAAGTCATGAACGAAGTGGAAATCAAATGAGAAAGTGAGAAAAGTAAATCTCTGTCACAGAAAACAGTTAATATCACAAACATATAAAATGCTTCTAAAATTGTGAAGAAAAACCATTCAAAAACCCTATCATAGGCTGTGTACTATTGGGTCCACTAAGTCATAAAGTCAGGCAGACCTGGAAGCCATACACTGTAAGATGGAAATAATACATCCAGGATCAAGCCCAAATAAGGCTAAAGTACATGAAAAAGGCACATGATCACACATCCCAGAATCCCCTATCACCCATGTTAACTCACACCGGTGGTCATGTGGGAGGAGAAAAGAGTAGGAAAAAGCCTGAACCTGGTTTACAAATGGTTTGGATTGCTTTGTGATTATATTTTCAGATGACATGATAATCAGGGGTGGATGGCATATGGTAATAAAGATTGATCATGGGTTGATAATTGTCAAAGCTGTGTGAGGAATACAGGGGATTTATTATACCATTCTATCTCATTTATTACATTTTTACATTTTCTATAATTTAAAAAATTAAATCTAAAATAAAGGTGATGATAGGTATGATGGGAAATAAAGTCCTCAGTAAAATGCTACAATATTGAGTGACTTCAAAATTCCACTTACAGCACTAGACAAGTCATCAAGACAGAAACTCAACAAAGAAACAATAGACTTCAGCTATACCCTAGAACAAATGGACCTAACAGATATTTATAAAACATTCTACCCAACAATACAGAATACATTCTTTTCATCAGCACATGTAACATTCTCCAAGACAGACCATACAATAGGCCACAAAACAAGTCTCAATAAATTTAATAAAATCAAAATTATATCAAGTATCATCTCAGACCACAGTAAAATAAAACTAGAAATTAGCTCCAAAAGGAACCCTGAGATCTACACAAATACACGGAAATTAAATAACCTGCTCTTGAATGATCTTAGGGTTAATAATAAAATCAAAATGAAATTTAAAAATTATTTGAACTGAATGATAATACTGACACAACCTATCAAAACCTCTGAGATACAGCAAAAGCAGTGCTAAGAGGAAAGTTCATAGCATTAAATGCATATATAAAAAAGTCTAAAAGAACACAAATAAACAACCTAAAGTTACACCTCAAGGAACTAGAGAAACAAAAACAAACCAATCCCCAAACCAGCAAAGAAAAGAAATAACAAAGATCAGAACAGAATTAAATAAAATTGAAAAGAAATACGAAAGATCAATCAAACAAAAAGCTAGTTCTTTGAACAGATAAACAAAATTGATAGACCATTAGCAAAACTAACCAAGAAAGGAAGAGAGAAGATACAATTAAGCTCAACTAGAAATGAAGCCGGAGATATTACAACCAATACCACAGAAATACAAAAGATCATCTAAGGCTACTATGAACATCTTTACATGGACAAACTAGAACATCTGGAGGAGATGGATAAGTTCCTGGAAATATTCAACCCTCCTAGATTAAATCAGGAGGATATTGAAACTCTGAACACACCAATAGCAAGTAGCAAGTTTGAAACACTAATAAAAAAATTGTCAACAAAATAAAGCCCAGGACAAGATGGATTCATAGCTGAATTCCATCAGACATTCAAAGAAGAATTGGTACCAAGCCTACTGAAACTATTCCAAAAGATGGAGAAAGAAGAAATCCTTCCTAAATCATTCTATGAAGCCAGTTTCACCCTAAGAGGAAAGGCTGTAACAAAAAAGAAAAAAAAAGAAAAAAGAAAACTAGAGACCAATATCCTTGACAAACATAGATGCAAAAATCCTCAACAAAATACTAGCTAACTGAATCCTACACCATATCAGAAAGATGATACATCATGATCAAGTGGGTATCATCTTGGCAGTCAATAAATGCAATAAATCACATAAACAGAATTAAAAACAAAGATCATATGATCATCTCATAGATGCAGAAAAAACATTTGACAAAATCCAGCATCCCTTTATGATAAAAACCCTCAGCAAAATTGGCCTAGAAGAGTCATGTCTCAAAGTAATAAAAGCCATATATGAAAAACCCACAGCCAGCATCATACTGAATGGGGAACAGTTTAAAGCATTCCCCCTGAGAACTGGAACAAGACAAGGATGCCCACTTTTACCATTTCTATTCAACATATTACTGGAAGTCCTACCCAGAGCAATCAGACAAGAGAAAGAAATAAAGAACATCCAAACTGGAAAAGAGGAAGTCAAAATGTCACTGTTTGCCAATGCTGTGATTTTATACATAGGAAATCCTAAAGACTCATTCACAGCTACTACTCAGGAGGCTAAGACAGAAGAATAGCTTGAACCCAAGAGGCAGAGGAAGGTTGCAATGAGCAGATATCATGCCACTGCATTCCAGCCTGGGTAACAGAGCGAGATTCCATCTAAAAAAAAAAAACTCATCCAAAAAGCTCCTAGATCTGATAAAGAAATTCAGTAAAGTTTCAGGATAGAAAATCAATGTGCACAAGTCAACAACATTGCTATACACCAACAGTGACCAAGCTGAGAATCAAATCAAAAACTCAATCCCTTTTACAACAGCTGCAAAAAATATATAACATACTTAGGGATATACTTAACCAAGGAGGTGAAAGATCTCTACAAGGAAAACTATGACACACTGCTGAAAGAAATAATAGATGACACAAACAAATGGAAACATATCCCATACTCATGGATGGGTAGAATCAATATTGTGAAAATGACCATACTGCCAAAAGTAATCTACAGTTCCATGCAATTCCCATCAAACTACCATCATCATTCTTCCCAGAACTAGAAAAAAAATTCTAAAATTCACATGAAACCAAAAAAGAGCCCAGATAGCCAAAGCAATGCTAAGCAAAAAGAACGAATCTGGAGGCATCACATTACCCAACTTCAAGCTATACTGCAAGGCTATCGTTAACAAAATGGCAAGGTACTGGTATAAAGACCAATGGAACAGAATAGAAAAGCCAGAATTAAGGCCAAATACTTAACAGCCAACTGATCTTTGACAAAGCAAACAAAACATAAAGTGGGGAAAGGTGACCCTATTCAACAAATGGTGCTGGGAAAACTGGCAAGCCATATGTAAAAGAATGAAACTAGATCCTCTTCTCTCACCTTATACAAAAATCAGCTCAAGATGGATCAAAGATCTAAATCTAAGACCTGAAGCCATTAAAAATTCTAGAAGATAACATCGGAAAAACTCTTCTAGATATTGGCTTAGGCAAAGAATTCCTGGCCAACAACTTAAAAGCAAATGCAACAAAAACAAAAATAAATAAATGGGACCTAATTAAACTAAAAAGCTTCTGCACAGCAAAAGAAATAATCAGCAGAGTAAACGTGGGAGAAGATATTTGCAAACTATGCATCCAACAAAGGACTAATATCCAGAATCTATAAGGAACTCAAACAAATCAGCAAGTAAAAAACAACCCCATCAAAAAGTGGGCAAAGGACATGAATAGACAGTTCTCAAAATAAGATATACAAATGGCCAACAGACATGAAAAAAATGCTCAACATCACTGATGTTCAGGGAAATGCAGATTAAAACCAAAACGTGCTACCACCTTACTCTTGCAAAAATGGCCATAATTTAAAAAGCAAAAAATAATAGATGTTGGCATGGATGTGGTGAAAAGGGAACACTAACTGCTGGTGGGAATGTAAACTAGCACAACCACTATAGGAAACGCTACAGAGATTCCTTAAAGAACTAAAAGTAGAACTATCATCATTTAATGCAGCAATCCCACTACTAGGTATCTGTGCAAAGGAACAGAAGTCATTATATGAAAAACACACTTGTACACACGTTTATAGTAGCACAATTCAGAATTGCAAAATATGGATCCAACATAAATGCCCATCAGCCAATGAGTGAATAAAGAAAATCTGGTATATATACACCGCAGAATACTACTGAGCCATTTAAAAAAATGAAATAATGGCATTTACAGCAACTTGGATGGGGTTGGAGACCATTACTCTAAGTGAAGTAAGTCAGGAATGGAAAATCAAATATCACATGTTCTCACTTATAAGTGGGAGCTAAGCTATGAGGATTCAAAGGCATAAGAATGATATAATAGACTTTGAGAACTCTGGGGGAAGGGTGGGATGCGATGAGGGATAAAAGACTACACCTTGGATACAGTGTACACTGCTCGGGTGATGGGTGCACCAAAATCTCAGAAATCACCACTGAGGAACTTATTCATGTAACTAAAACCCACCTGTTCCCAAAAACTGTTGAAATAAAAAATTAAAATAAAAATATAGAAAGATAAAAAATAAAAAGTTGTTAACAGAGTAAAAAAAATCCCACAGTATGTAATTTTCAATGTTAAGTATAACTTCTTGGACTGATATTCTACATTTTTTTCATCATCAAGCCAATTAGCCTACCAAGAAATTTACCATAATGAATAGCAGTGGACTGGAATGTTGTGGTATTCAAAGGATTATTTTCTATGTAAGGGGTCATTTTGTGCCTATCATATGGGCAAGATGCCCACTGCTGAACTAAACTGTAAAAATGAATAATGTCTTTATATTCAAAATTAAAAGCTTACAATATATGTATTGTCCTGTTACTACAAAATATTGTTTGCAATCCAGTTTCTTTTGCATTGTAATGGAGCAAATCTTTTAATTATGCAGTCACATAAGTGACATGAAAGCATGTTAAAGCTCAGAGAAAATAGAAAGGTCATTTACTCTACATCTTGTATTTTGCAAATGAGATATTTTGAATTTTCCAAGGTATTATTGATTGAGCTGAGTCTAAAACTCAGAAAACTTCTGCTTCTCAAGCTAGTGCTTCTTCCACTACCAAACATAAAAACATAATATGGCATTATGTCCCTTGCAAATAAATTCACTCTGCTAATGCAGACTCTCCAATGCATATTGAAGAAAGCTTTGACCCCTCACACTCCTCTCTAGTAACTCCATCTCCACTACCATCCTGATAGATCGTGAAAGCCTTTAAAGGGGTCTTTGTTGTTGCTGTTATTAATTCTTGATTCTGCAAAATCTATCACAGTGCCTGACATACAATAGGCAGTTAATAATGTTCACTGCAGAATAAAGGATGTGTCAGATCTATATGTCAACAATTGCAAAGCTTTATCTAAAAGAAAAATGATTGCCACTTGTCAATAAGAAGGCAGACATGATGTGTTTCTAATATAGAGACATAATTAGGTTTGGGGCACTATTGTTGGTGTGAATGTTTGATTTTTGAAAAGAAATCGCCTCATTTCCAATAGTGCAGATTGTATATGCAGTATGTTAAATGCTTCTTGATTTATGTAAGGCTTATAAAAACCCAATAGATAATTTTATGTAACAATTCAAGTAATGAAGAAAAATTGACATGAAGCTAACAAGATATAAAGTTTTACAGTTCACAATTAGAATATATGCTAAAACCCTATCACAATTTCTCCCAAATAATTAAATTTTTTTCCAAGAGGAAACTAATTTTTTAATTGCCAACGACATAAAAAAATCCTTGACTGAATTTATTTTCATGCCTGAAACAATCTATGAAATATTTTAAATATTTAATGATTAGTTTATAGAAACACACTCTATCTTTTGTATTTTATTTTTGAGGGAAATATAGTATTGCTCCTATGCACAGTACCTCTAACAATGTAGGAAAGTTCTTTGAGTACCAACACTTTCAAGTGAAAAAACGTTTTATTGCTCTGGTTAAATAAGTCACAGCAAATTAAGTAGCTGATTCTTGTGTTTATGCGGGCTTCTTAGTGCACCCTTGTGGTAAAGTAATAAATTACAAATGCAACCTTAAGAAAAAAATTCTGAATACAAAAGCAGACCTAAGAGACCTAAGAGAAGCAAGTAAGAATCATGCCTTCAGTAACTTCAGGAGGCACTGACCACTGTCCTACCTGGCCACAGAAAAGAAAGTTTAGTGTAAGTTTTGCTTTGGGATAAGGAGATACAAGATACATAATTTTAATAAAAGGGTTTAGTACAAAAAGAAACATCAAATAGTTTGTAAGAGGCCATTAAAAGAGATGTTGAATAACATAAACATATTGAACACATATCAATGGATTCTTTTACTCCAAATAGCTTGTTAAAAATTCTGCGCTCTATCATATGAGAAAATGGTATTAGGACGATATTTTCCATTTCCTCTCAATTTGTAAAATCTGTTTACAGCTCTTGGCTTACTTTTTTTAGCTAACCATGAGAAATGGTTATCCAGTGAAAAAAATAGATGTTTTAATTACATTAACTGATATACCCACTGAGAAACAACATGGTATTTAGCATGTTCTTTCTAATTAGGCAAAAGAGCACCTGTTCACCTTTAAAAATAAGATGAAAAAAGAAGAATTCATAAGTTGAAAGTATTTTTTCTTGTATTATATTTCACTTCATAAACATTTTTCTATAAATATTTAGAAAAATTTGCATTTTATAGAAATGTAAATTTCTATAAAATTTGCAGCAAATCATCCTATTAACAGAATTGGATCAATCTACGTCTGGAAATAATTACTGACTTCCTTGCCAAAGTCTTAAAAAATAGCCTGAAATTCTAAATACTCCATTCCATTTTAGTTGCTAATTATATTTTGCTTTTTATTGAGATCTGAATTAAAGAAGTCATTGTCACTGCATATTGCCAAAATGTATTTACACTTTTAGTAGTAACATATAAATTGAAATAAGAAACAGTAATATTTTCTGGTCAATAAAAATGTTGCTCAAGTTTGCATAAGCCTGAGAACTCTTTAAAATTATCTGATAAATAATTATGTTGAGCAAAGTTCACAAATGCCTACATAGGCCATGAAGAAATTGCATATTAGTGAAGTGTTCTAGGCAGAAACATTGGAAAACTGTCTGAGTCGCTTATTCCTTTCTGGCAGAACCTGCCTCCTGATGGAAAGATTAAAAAATTGAGGTATTTACTTATGCAGCCTCCCTCGCAGCTAGACCATTGCATCCATCTGTCAGTGCTGTAGTTTGAATGTTTGTTTCCTCAAAAACTGATGTTGAAATTTGATGTTGCAACAGTATTAAGTAATCACATTTTAGAGGTGATTAGACCACAAGGGCTCCACCCTCATGGGTGGAATTGGTGCCATTATAAAAGGACAAGTTTGGTCCCCTCTTGCTCTCTCTTTGTCCTGCTATGTGATGATGCAGCAAGAAGGCCCTTGTAAGATACTGGCACCTTCATATCGGCCTTTACAGCCTCCAGAACTATGAGTCAATAAATTTTTCTTCATGATAAACTACCCAGTCTCAGGTACTCTGTAAGCACAAAGCAGACTAAGACAGTCAGTCACAATCCTAACCAATGGAACCTGATGAGATAGCTGGAAAACTTTTCTTTCCTGATAAAGAAGAGAAAGCTAATTTCTTCCTGCCAGCCTTGGACACTGTCATTTGAAGATACAATGATTGGCAATGTAGCTGTCATCCTGTGGCAATGAGGGGAAATCCAAGAGGGTCGTTGAGAAACTGAACTGCTAAAATCATCTACCTCTGGAGTAAAGGGAGATTTATTATTAAACTACCTTTCTTTAGTTCACTTTTAGTCAAATATTCTCTTACAGCCTTATGCCTCCGAGCTGATACCCAGTTTCAAGGAGTCTGTCACTACAGTTCTTGCTAATTGTATGAAATAAAGACTCAGTGCTGCCAAATTGCTCTATTATTCAGAGGAGATAGAAAACAAGACTTGATTTTATATTCCAATAAGTAAATGTTTGCATCTAATATTTTAAAACATTCTGTGAGGCAAACAAAAACGTTTGCAGGTTGAATTTAATCCTTGAACAAAAAATTTGAGATTTCAGAAAAAATGAACTTTTAGAAAAGTATTAAAATTACATTTCTACACACACGTACATTACAATAAATAAAATTTATCTGAGATCCATGAGATCATATAACAACAAAGTTTAGAACACTCCTGTTTTGTTCTGATAACTTTTAGGAAAATCATGGTTAATTCAGACAATTTTATACCAAAGATAATTGTTTGCAAAGGTAGACCAGTGCATAAGTACAGAATATCAGTACATACCAGTTTATATTGGCAATGTTCATAATAGCAAAAATCTGAAAACAATCCAAAAACACACTGGCAGGCAAATGAATGAACACATTAGTTTATATTCCCAAAATGCAATAATGTTAAATAATGAATGAATAAATACTACACACAATGACATGTATAAATAAAAACTGCTTAAGTGGGGGAAGTAAATCCAAAAAGCTAAAATACTACATAATATATTTGTAAAACAGCAATTTACTTTTTATAGATACATAGCTATGAGTAAGTCATATTTTTTAAAGCAAGAGAATATCCAAACATAATTCAGAAAAATAGGGACTGGAAGTTGGTGAGAAAGTACATAGAGAACACAAAGGAGAAGAACCAGATCATTAGATGTTGTAGTTTCTAAACTGGGTGTCAGGTAAGAAACTGGTGTTTGTTACATTATTACTTATAAACAAAAACAGACTAATAAATACCGTACACAAGCACCACTAATGAGAGTATGGGATAAAACAAAGATAAATATTAATCTGATTCTGTGCCCCAGAATAATTAATCTGATTCTGTGCCCCTGGAATACGAAGAAGCAATAAGGAAAAAAGAAGACAAATTTAGTTAATATATCAGTTTCTGCAGAATATAAAAAAAAGGTATAGAATATAGTTAGGCAATGTAGATGCTCTAAACTTTTACAGTTCAGCTCTGAGCCAATAACTTGCCTTTTAGTGATCTGTTTACATACAGGTACATGAAAGCAGACACTACATGTCCATTGTTGACTCTTACATATTCCCAAAATCAAGCATTGTTTTTCGTATATCAGTGCTTAATATTTTATGACAGACGGATATATGATTCAAATAATTAAGTGCAGTCTATATTCAAAAAGTCTGAAGAAGTAAAACCAAAGCAATTATTTTTTTCTTTTGAAGCATTATCATACACATACTTTCAAGTCATTTAACTGAAAAAAGAAATTCCTCTAAAACTGTGCAAAATAGAGTTTCATGTTAGTAACTTAAAGCATTTTAGTTTTACGTGAGAATACCGTCTTACAGACATTCTTCTCAAGTGTAAAAATAAGATTTTGCCTTTTGTTTTTTCCTTTGATTTAAAAAACAATTTAAATACCATCTTGTCTCACTAGCTAAATAATTTCTGCTTGGTGGTTTGTAATAGGACTAGGAATTCTGCCCACCACCAGTCAAGACCAATAGCCTTTGCCTCATTAGAGAATCTGGTATTACGAGAAAAAGCCAAGTCAAGAGGAACCTGGAACAGAAGATAGCCCATGAATATTGGAAAGGGTTTTAAGAAGATTCCAGCTGGCCTGGGGAAGGAGTAGAAGAACTTTTCTTGGAATAAAATTGAACGATTATGCCGGCCTTAAATTGGGTGAAATCTGGTACTAAATGGAGAGCCCTGGAGGAAGTCCAGATGACTCAGTAAAAGAGAGATGAGAACAGGAAGCAGGTGGATAAACTCTGCTGCAGACTTGAGCTGTTGAAAACAAACATACTTCTAACTATTCAGTTAAAAAAAAATAAAGACCTTCAGAAGACAGGCATGAGTAACATAATTTTATTTAAGAACTCATTTAGTTTTAAAAACAAAATATCACAAATATTCAGATTTTGTCTAACCTCCATCCTGTCTTCCCCAACACCAAATAACAATATGCAAAAGGAAATATTTCTTATTTGCCTGTTATGTGGTAGACACTGAGTTAAACCTATAGGAAGTATACTTCAAATGTCCTCCACTTAAAGATAAGTAGGAGA
Source organism: Homo sapiens (assembly GCF_000001405.40). NCBI lineage: Eukaryota > Metazoa > Chordata > Mammalia > Primates > Hominidae > Homo > Homo sapiens. Next base: position 128,803,706 of record NC_000006.12, on the reverse strand, counting down.
TAATTAAAGAAGAGTAGGAAATAACTAGGAGAAAGGGGAAAGTATGTATCAGTATCTAAAAGATGCGAGACTGTCTTGCACCTTTGAAGAACTCCAAGTTCAGTGTGGCTGGAATATAGGTTACAGAGGAAGACTTGAAAGATACTGGACTGGAGAAGTTGAGGCCAGATTTGAATGAAAAGCTTCTTTCTAAACCATATTAAATTTTTATTAGTTTTCTTTGTGTGTGTGTGTGTGTGTGTGTGTGTGAGTGTGCATGCATGCTAAATGCTAGCAGAAGCCCTTAACATTTTAAAGCCAAGTTTTTCTTGATTAACTATGTATTTTAGAAGAATCACTCTCATTGCAACAAAGGAAGTTTACTAGAAGAGAGTAAAAATGGAGGGAGAGAATGTAGGAAATATTTTAGATGTGTAGGTAAAATAGAATGGTGGGAGACTTTCACATCTGGCTAAGGAGTTAGAAGAACTGTTCTACTTGAAACAACTAAAAATCCAGACAAAATATATGGAAAAATAGTTTTCAGTACATCAGATTAAAGACAGCGATCCCTGAGAGATGGGAGCCAAAGCAGGTGAGTCCTACTGCCCGAGCTTCCTGTCTTGAAAGAGTTTCCAGGTTTCTGTGCAGGAAGGGGCTACCCAGAGGAGACGGGCAGACTCTGTAAGTGAAGAAAACAGCTGAAAATCCATAACAATCAAAACGAATAGAGTTGTAGAAAAGATTACCAATGAGAAGAAAGCTTCACAGAGTGCAAACCCCAAAGAACTGTGGAGCATTCGTCTCTAGTCTACAAAAGAATACTCATTGCTGTATGAATGTAATGAGACTACTCCAGGCAAAGAAAAATCTATCCTCTTTAATTAGAGGGGCCAGTATCTAGTACTCTCCCAGGGCCATAAAAAGTGCCTATTCCCACCAGCCAGACTAGAAAACCTCAACATTTGAGGCACATGATGTAAAGTATTCAGAAAGGTCTTGCCTCAGTAATGCGATAAAATAAGCCCGAGATTAAATGTTGCCTTTGTCCTCACAAACAAATTTAAAGCAAGACCAGAAAGGATCAAACTGTTTCCAAGTAACTTAAGTGCATTGAGACTAAAAGTAAAGAACATTTCTAGAAATACAAAAGTAACTTGTACCAAACCAAGCAAAATTCACATTGCCTGTCATTCAATTAAAAAGACCAAGTATCCAAAGAACCAGGAAAATATGACTGGCCCATCATTGGAGAAAAATCAACCAATTGTAACTGACCCAGAATAGGAACAGATATTAAAATTAGTAGACAGGACATGAAAGCAGTCACTATAATTATTCCTTATATGTTCAAAAGCTAGAGGAAGGATTGAACATATTAAGTACATGGGACAAAAAGACATGGAGACATGGGGGGTTATACATATATAGAGAGAGATATATATACACACACATATACACACACACATATATTTACACACACAGGGGAATTTATATATCATGTGAAACTATAAAATACATAAGATATATAATAGAGTCTTATATATTATATACTATATATCTGTTATAAAGTTCAATATTATATATGTCATATTACATATGAAATATGAGTTTTATATTATATATATTCCCCCATATATATACACACATATATAGGCACACACATATACATATATATGTGTGTGTGTGAACTGAACTTCTAGAGATAAAACTAAAATATGTGAGATGAAGAATACACTGGATAGGATTAACTGAAGATGAGATATTGTAAAATATTAGTAAACTCTAAGACATAGCAATAGAAACAAAAAAAGATGTATAAAAAGAATTAAAACAAACTGAACAGAGAATTAGTGAGTTGTGAGCTGTTACATAACTACAAGTGGTCTAACATATGAGTAATTGGAGGACTCAAAAAATAGAAGATTATGATGGGACAGAAAATTAACTGAACAAATAAAGGCCAATTTTTCCACATATATGATGAAAATTATAAACTCAAAGGTACACCAAGCTCAAGAAAATCTAAAGTAGGAGAATCATGAGGAAATCTATACCAATGCACATCATATTCTAGTTGCTCAAAACCAGTGATAAAGAAACAACCTTAAAAGTATACATGGAAAAAAACTTTGTTATATAAAAAGCAACAAAGATAAGGAAGACAGCACATTTCTCATTGAAAACACTGTAGTCCAAAAGATAATAGAGCAATGTGTTTAAAATAATGAAATAAAAAACTCAACTTAAATTTTACACAAGGAAAAAATATATTTCAAAAGTAAAGACAAATACGAACTTTTCCAGACATAAAAAAGTTAAAAAAAATTATCACCAGAATTCACACTATGAGAAATGCTAATGAAATTCAAGCAGAAGAAAAGTGGCACTGGATAAATATCTGAATCAACACAAAAGAAAAAAGAACACTGAAAATCGAAGCTATGTGGATAAATATATTTTTTCTTACTGTTTAACCAAATAGTATTGTTAAAACAAAGAAATAACAATGTAGCATGGGGGTTATAATATTTGTAGAAATAAAAATGCTTATCCACATAGCTTTGATTTTCAGTGTTCTTTGTTCTTTTGTGTTGGTGAATACATAACAATAGCATAAAGGACTGAAGTGGAAAAAATTACAATATGTAAGTAAGATTCCCATACTATATATGAAGTGGCACAATAGCACTTGAAAATAGACTGTGATAAGTTAAAGATTTAACTCTAAATTGAGGGTCATTAAACTATGGCCTATGGTCTATTTTTTTAATTGCTGTTGGTTTTTGTTGTTGTTTTGTGTGGTTCATGAGCTAAAAATAATGTTTTTCATTTTTAACAGTTTATTAGATGAACAAGAAAAAACAGAAGAATAAGAGGAGGGGGAAGAGGAAGAAGAGAAGCAGGGGGGAAAGAGGAGTATACCACAGAGACTTCACATGACTTTTAAAGCCTAAGATGTTTAATAACTTTCTTTACAGAAAAAAAAAATTCTAACTTCAGACTTAACGCTAATTAAACCACAGGAGTAATAAAACAAATCATTCTAGTTAATAAGTCAACAAAAGCAATGACATAAAATAATCACTGAATCAAAAATAAGGCAGAAAAAAGGAAAAAGGGAACAGCAATCAGAAGGGAAAAATAAACTATAAATAAGTTTGTAGATTTAAATCTAACCATATTAATAATTACATTAAATATAAATGACTTTACAATGGAAAAGTAAAGTATAGATAATCAGATGGAATAAAAAGCAAGACTTTACTATATGCTGCCTATAAGAAATTTATTTTTCTTGTTATTTTTTAATTGACAAAAAAAGAATGCATATATTTATGGTGTACAATATGATGTTTTGAAATATGTATACATTGGGGAATGACTGAATTGAGCTAATTAACATATGCATTACCTCATATGGTTATCTTTTTTTATTCTGAGAATACTCAAAATCTACTCTTTTAGTGACTTTCAAGCATGGAATACATTGTTACTAATTACAGTCACCATGTTGTATCTTGAACTGATTTTTATCTAACTGTATCCCTTGACCAACATCTCCCCAATCCCCCAACCCACCCCACCAGCCCCTGGTAACCATGAGTTTACTCTCTTCTTTAACAAGCAATAAAATCATTTTTAAACCCAATACACAAATATTAAATATAAAGGATAGAAAAAAATCAAAAGAAAGGTAGAATTGCTGTATGAATTTTGGTAAAATGGACTTCAAAGGAAAGAATATGACTTGGGTTAAAGGAAGTCAGTTCATAAATTATAAAAGAGTAAATATAACAAAAGGACATCACAATACTAAGTAGAGTTTCAAAATACATGAAGTAAAAAGAATAGAATTGCAAGAGAAATAGACATATACACATTTACACAGGCAGATTTCAATACCCCTCTCAATAACTGATAGGTTGAATGGATTAAAAAAATCAGTTCAACTTTAGAAGAATTGAGTAACACTATCAACCAGCTTCACCTAATTGAAATTTACACAATACTCTAAAATGATATTGAACATTATTAGTCAAAAAAGAATAAAAATTCCTTTCAAAATTACACAGAACATTTACCAAGATAGACCATAATCTGGATGATAAACAAATATCGATGAATTTAAATGCATGGAAGTCATATGGCACATAACATTTTGAGGCTGGCTTTTTTTTTTTCAACATTATGACCTTGAGATCCATGCAAGTTGCTGTGTGTATCAATAGTTCATCAATTTTTATTGCACAGAAGTATTACATTGTATAGATATACCACTGTTCATTTACCCATACGTATCAAAGACTTCTGGGTAGTTTCAAGTTTGTAGCTATAACAAATTAAACTATTATAAAAATTTCTATTCAGGTGTTTGTGTAACATAAATTTTTATTTTTCTAGGATAGATAACCAGGGTTGTAATTGCTGAGTTGTATGGTAAGTGTATGGTTAACTTTTTAAGAAAAAGGTAGACTGATTTCCACAGTAGCTATATCACTTTACATTCACACCAGCAGATTCCACTATTCTGTACAGCACTGGTGTTATTAGTTTTGTTTTTTTGTTTATTGTTTTTTCATTTTAGCCATTCTAATAGGTGTGTAGTGTCATATCATGGTAGCTTTTAATTTGTATTTCTCTAATGGCTAGTGATATTGAACATCTTTCATGTGTTTATTTACTACTTATATATCTGTTTTAGTGAAGTGCTCAAGATTTTTGAATATTTTCTAACTGGGTTCCTTTTTTTCTGACTGTAGAGTTGAAAGTTTATTTTCTGGATTCAAGTTTCTGTCATATAGGTGATTTCCAAATATTTTCTCCCAGTCAGTGGCTTTTATTTTATCAGCTAACTTAACCTAATAGACATTTAACGGAGTCTTTACAGAGCAAATATTTTAAATTTTTTATGAGGTTCAATTTATCTACTTTTTCTCTTATGGATCATTCTTTTGATGTTATGTCTAGCAAGTCTTTGCCTAATGCTAAATCATGAAGATTTTTTCCAATATTCTCCTTTAAATGTTTGTAGCTTTATGTTTTATATACATGATTAATTTTAAGCAAATTCCTGTAAATGGTTTTTGCGTAAGCTTGTTTTTTTTGTTTTTTTTGTTTGTTTGTTTTGTCAACTGACATTCAAATGTGCATAAATCACTTGAAACTACAATTATACAATCCTTCCTCCATCTTGTTGGGAATTTGACAAGAAACGTGTTTAATCCACAAATTGGTTTAAGGAGAATTAACCTCTTTATTATGTTGAGCTTTGCCGTCCAGGAACATGGTTTGTCTCTCTATCTAGCTCGTTTTTCATCATGATTTTGTAGTTTTTAGCATACAGATTCTGTTCATGTTTTGTTAAATTTATGCCTAAGTACTTCATGCGTTTTCAGAGTAATTATAAATGGTATTGTGTTTTAAATTTTGTTTTCCAAAAGTTTATTTTTAGAATAAAGTAATACAAATAGTTTGTGTGCTGACCTTGTACCCTTGACCTTACTGAGCCTACTTAGTAGTTCTAATGTTTTTTAGATTTTTTATGGTTTTATATTTAGAATATCATGTAATCTCAAAGTAAAGACAATTTTACTTCTTCCTTTCCAATCTACATACTTTTATTTTCTTGCCTTTTGCGCTGTCAGGGTCTTCCAATACTCTGTTAAATAAGAATGGTGAGAGTGGACATCTGTATTAGTCTGTTTATGTTGCTTACAACAGAATACCCAAAACTGGGTAATTTATTTTTAAAAGGAGTTTATTTCTTACAGTTATGAAGACTGAGAAATCCAAGGTCAAGGGGCCAGATTTGGTGAGGGCATTTTTGCTGGCGGAGACTCTCTACAGAGTCCCAAAGTGGCACAGTGCATCGTATGGTGAGGGGGCTGAGTGTGCTAGCTCAGGTCTCTCTTCCTTTTCTCATAAAGCTACCGGCCCAAATGCTTTGATAACCTGTTAATCCATTAGTCCACAAATGGGTTAATACATTCCTGAGAGCAAAGCCCTCGTGACCCAGTTACCTCTTAAAAAGGCCCCACTTCTCAGTGATACCACACTGGAGATTAAATTTCAACATGAGTTTTGGAGGGGACAAATATTCAAACCTTGGCAACATTCTTGCCTTGTTTCCAGTGTATTCAGTGTTGAGGATGATGCTACATGGAGGTTTTCCATAGATGTTTTATATCAGGTTGAGGAAGTTTTCTTCTATTCCCAATTAACTGAAAGTTTTTATCAGGAATAAATTTTGCATTCTGTCATACTTTTCCTGCATTAATTGAGGTAACCATGTGATTTTTTCCTCTCCAGTCTCTTAATATGATGGCTACATTGATAGATTATTTTAGTGTTAAACTAGCCTTATACATGTGAAAAAAAAATTAACTTGGTCATTATATATAATTTTTTATGTATTACTAAATTTAATATAATATTTTCTCGAGGATTTTTGCATCTATGTTCTTGCAAAATACTGATTTGTAGTTTGATTTTGGGGTACAATCTTCATCTAGTTTTTGTATCATGATAATGCTGGCCTCAAAAAATATGTCAGGAAGTGTACCCTCTTCTATTTTCTGAGAGAGATTATATAGAGTTGATATTAATTCTTCTGTAAGTACTTGGTAAAATTCTCCAATGAAATTCACTTTTCAGAAGTTTGATATGAGAAATTCAATTTCTCTAATAGTTGCAGAACATTCAAATTCTCTATTTCATCTTGGGTGAGTTTAGGTAGTTTGTGGCATTTGAGGAATTGGTCTAGTTTAATTGAAATTTGCCAGTATAAATATCCTGACCTAGATAACACTGTGTAAGATGCCACTCTTGGCAGAAACTGGATGATGTATATACAGACCCTCTCTGTATTATTTTTGCAACTATTAGTAAGCCTATGATTTTTTCAAAAAAAAGTTGAATAAAAAGAATAGTAGTAGTAATTATAATTTGTTAAATTATACAAATTAATTCAACTATTTCTATGAGATAATTTCTAACACATTATTCTTAGTTCGTTGTTTTCTTCTTTGATCACAATCCTTTTTGGCTTGAAATAGCAAAAAATAAAAATAACATAACTCTTAGTCTTTTCTATCCCCACATTAATTCAGTAGGAAAAAAACTCTCAATACTGCTGCCTGTGCTCATTTCTTATAGAAAAAAGTGTCTCATATAATTGTATTAGTTAAGCTTCCTCAGATTGGAACAAACATTTTAGGATATGATGATGTTATCTCAGTTGATAGGAATTTATTTTAGTTATATCCAGTATTCCCAAACCTTACTAGTCTGTGGTTTTAAAAATGGACATATATTTAAATATGGGCCACCAACCTCTCTCTTATATGCCTAAGTAGGAAATAAGCTTCCCTCCATTTATGCACCAGGGTTTTTTTTCCTCCTGGTAGTATTCAAGGATGTGTCAGTTAGGCTTAGAAGCCAGTCTGTCATCATGCCACATTCACAAGCTTCTTAACTTTCTTTCTGGGATCCCACAAGTTTGTAACCCCTGAATGCAGAACCTTTTGGAAAAGACTCACGTTTCTCGTCATGAAAACTCCAGTGCCCCAAGCTGTAGGAGTTTAAAAGACTAAAAATATACTGTGATCAATACAGGTATTAGAACTAATCTGGGGTTATATGCAAATATAATAAAGTACTATTTTTAAAGCTGGGAAATATAGGCTAACATTATCATAATATTATCATGGTTATTATTATTAACATTATAAAATGTACTGATTGTGTAGCTATTCATTGAGTATATATGCTATATATCTATATTATCACTTTTAACATGTTATCAAATTAATTTTTATCTTTTTGAACATGTGACTTCATTGACATTAAAGAGGTCTTACATAACTTTATATCCTCAATATGTAGTAATCTGTTACATTGCTGGTGCTAAGCACAATGTTTGTAGATTGAATAAATTAATAAATGAGCAAAGTTAAACAAATCCTTAAGTCAAATAAAAAACTTATTTTCTTTCACATATGCTTCTTCCTTTTACATGACTTTTCAATCTATATTTGTTTCTATAAACGTAATGTCAACTGTAGATTGTAGCTAGTAAAAAAACATTTTGTTAGTAGGGGCATAATATAATTCTGTCAGATTAAAGCAATAAGAGAATTTAAAATATTTCATTATGTTTGAAAAGTAAAACTGTACAGTAATATAGCAAACATACAATCAATAGAAATATCATACATTGGGAAGCCCTTTAATGACATAAGATTTTTTTTTAACTTTTTAAATTCATGGGTACATGTGCAGATTAGTTACATAGGTAAACGTGTGTCACGGGGGTTTGTTGTACAGGTTCTTTAATCACTCAGGTATTAAATCTAGTACCCATTAGTTATTTTTCCAAATCCTCTCCCTCCTCCCACCCTCCACCCTCTCATAGGCCCCAGTGTGTGTTGTTCCCCTCTGTGTGTTCATGTGTTCTCAACATTTAGCTCCCACTTATAAGTGAGAACATGCGGTATTTGGTTTTCTGCTCCTGTGTTAGTTTGCTAAGAATAATGGCCTCCAGCTTTATCCATGTCCCTGCAAAGGACATGATTTCGTTCTTTTTATGGCTGCATTGCATTCCATGGTGTTTATATACCATTTTCTTTATCCAGTCTATCACTGATGGGCATTTAGGTTGATTCCATGTCTTTGCTATTATGAATAGTGCTGCAATGAACATGGGTGTGTGTGTCTTTATAATACAATGATTTATATTCCTTTGAGTACATACCCAGTAATGAGATTGCTAGGTCGAATGGTAATTCTTTCCTTAGGTTTTCGAGGAATCGCTGTGCTGTCTTTCACAATGGTTGAACTAATTTACAGTCCCATCAACAGTATAAGCATCCCTTTTTCTCCATAACTTTGCCAGCATCTGTCTCTTCTTTTTTTGACCTTTTAGTAATAGCCATTGTGACTGGTGTAAGATGGTATCTCACTGTGATTTTGATTTGCATTTCTCTAATGATCAGTGATGTTGAGCTTTTTAAAAATATAATTGTTGGTTGCGTGTATGTCTTCTTTTGAAAAGTGACTGTTCATGTTCTCTGCCCACTTTTTAATGGGGTTGTTTGGTTTTGTATTGTAAATTTGTTTAAGTTCCTTATAGATGCTGGATATTAGACCTTTGTCAGATGTATAGTTTGCAAAAAATTTCTCTCTTTCCATAGGTAGTCTATTTATTCTGTTGATAGTTTATCTTGCTGTGCAGAAGCTCTTTAGTTGAATTAGATCCTAGTTTGTCAATTTTTGCTTTTGTTGCAATTCCTTTTGGTGTTTTTGTCATGAAATCTTTGCCCATGCCTATGTCCTGAATGGTATTGCCTAGGTTGTCTTCTAGGGTTTTTATAGTTTAAATTTTTTTTCTTTGAGACAGAGTCTTGTTTTATAGCCCAGGCTGGAGTGCAATGGCGCCATCTCAGCTAACTGCAAACTCTGCCTCCCAGGTTCCAGCTATTCTCCTCCCTCAGCCCTCCCGAATAGCTGGGATTACAGGCACATGCCACCATGCCTGGCTCATCCCGGGTTCCAGCTATTCTCTTCCCTCAGCCTCCTGGGTAGCTGGAATTACAGGCATGTGCCACCATGCCCTGCTCATTTTTGTATTTTTAGTAGAGACAGGGTTTCACCATGTTGGCCAGGCTGGTCTCAAGTTCCTTACCTCAGGTGATCCACGCATCTCAGCCTCCCAAAGTGCTGGGATTACAGGCGTGAGCCACTGTACTGGCCAGTTTTAGATTTTACATTTAAGTCTTTAATCCATTTTGAGTTAATGTTTGTATGAGTTAATTGAGTTAATTTAAAATCTTCTGCATATGGCTACCCAGTTATCTCAGCACCATTTATTGAAGAGGAAATCCTTTCCTTATTGCTTGTTTTTGCCAAGTTTGTTGAAGATCAGACAGTTGTAGGTATGTAGTCTTATTTCTGGGTTCTCCATTCTATTCCATTGGTCTATATGTTTGTTTTATATCAGTACCATGCTGTTTTGATTACAGTAGCCCTGTAGTATAGTTTGAAGTCGAGTAGTATAATGCCTCCAGCTTTGTTCTTTTTGCTTAGGATTGCCTTGGCTATTTGGGCTCTTTTTTTTTTTTTTTTTTTTTTTTTTTTGGTTTCACGTAAATTTTAAAATAGTTTCTTCTAGATCTGTAAAGAATCTCGGTGGTAGTTTAATAGGAATAGCATTGAATCTATAAATTGCTTTGGGAAGTATGGCCATTTTAATGGTATTGATTCTTCCTATCAAAGGTTTTTCCATTTGTTTGTGTCACCTCTGATTTCTTTGAGCAGTGGTTTGTAGTTCTCCTTGTAGAGATCTTTTGCCTCGCTAGTTAGCTGTTTTTCTAGGTATTTTATTCTTTTTGTGGCAATTGTGAATGGGAGTTCATTTCTGATTTGAGCCATTCATTCATGGCTCTTGGTTTGACTCTTGTTAGTGTATAGCAGGGCTAGGGATTTTTGCACATTGATTTTGTATACTGAGACTTTGCTGAAGTTGTTCATCAGCTTAAGAAGCTTTTGGGCTGAGTTGATGGGGTTTACTAGATATAGGATTATGTTGTCTGCAAACAGGTATAGTTTGACTTCTTCTCTTCCTATTTGGATGTCCTTTATCTCTTTCTCTTGCCTGATTGCCCTGGCCAGGCAAGAGAAAGAAATAAAGGCATCCAAATAGGAAGAGAATACTATATGAATATACGTGGTGAGAGAGGGCATCCTTGTCTTGCGCCAGTTTTCATGAGGAATGCTTCCAGCTTTTGCCCATTGATTATGATGTTTGCTGTGGCTTTGTTGTATGTGGCTCTTACTATTTTGAGGTATGTCCCTTCAATACCTAGTGTACTGAGAGTCTTTAACATAAATATATGTTGAATTTTATTGAAAGCATTTTCTTCATCTATTGATATAATCATATGGTTTTTGCCTTTAGTAACTGTAGAAACAGGCATAATTGTACTTGTACTTAAGAATAAATGATCAAGTTGATGTGTCAAATTTGACACCAAGTTTGACAATTTTTATGAAGAGGAAAAATTTCTTCTAAGATATAAACAATCAAAGTTCACTCAAGAAAAAATAGAAAACATAAATACCCCTAAATTTACTAAAGAAATGTAATGTATATTCAATTCACTTTACCACAAAAAAATTTAGAACCAAGAGTTTACAATTGAATCTTATCAAGCACTTTGAGAAAAAGAAAATATCAATAAGTGAAAACAATTTCAGAAAATACACTGCCTAAATGATTTTATGAAACCAACATTACCCTGATATGAAAAAGAGCCAAATTATTTAAAAGGAGAGAGAGAGAGAGAAAGGAAGGAAGGAAGGAAAGAAGAAAGCTATACATTAATATCCAACTGGAAAACAGATGAAAAACTTAGATAAAATTAGCAATGTTAGACAAATCAATTCTAGTAATATAGAGAAATATAATACAACAATGAAAAAGTGAAAAATGTAGTGATTATCTCAGGAATTCAATGTTGGTTTAATACCTGAAAATCAAGCCATATACTGCACCATATTGACAAAATAAAACCGTTAAGTTATATGAACATCCCAGTAGGTGCAGAAAAACAGTTAGCAAAATTTATTATCCATCCATATTAAAAATTCTGAGCAAACTAGAAATTCAGGGAAATTTCCTCAAACAGATAAGGCATCTATGAAAAACCTGTAGTGACATAATACTTAATGAGGAAAAACTGAATGTTTTCACTATATATCAGGAGCTATGAGGGAATATACTCTTCTACTCAAATTGTACTGAAAATTTTAGCCAATGCAATAAGGTGAGAAAAATAAATAAAATGCATCCTCATGGATAAGGAGGAAATATAGCTGTCTTTGTTCCCAGATGACATGATCATTCACATGGAATATGGTAAGAAATATACAAAGTGATTCTGAGAAATGATAAGAAAATTTAACAAGCATGCAAGATATAAAATCAATGTAAAAAATCAATTTTATTGCTGTTTACTATCAATGAATAATTAGAAATTGAAAATCAAACTGTAACAATTTACAAAAGCAGCAAAGACATGAAATACTGAAGGATAAATTCTTAAAATATGTGGAAAACTTACATTTTAAATATTTCAAAACATTTCTGTGTAAAATTTTAAAACACCTGAAGAAATGGAGGAAAATTCTATCTTCATGAATTCATATGTCTCATGTTGCTAAGACAATTCTCCATAATTGACCTATCTCTTCAATACAATCCCAATAAAACACAAGGAGGCTTTTGTGAAAGTTAAGCTGTTCCTAAAATTACATAGAAATGCAAAGAACCCAGAATAATAAAATTTGTTTTTAAAAAGAAGAACGAATTTGAAGAACATGCATTACTTGATTTCAAGCCTTAGTATATAACTACAGAAATCAAGATAATTTGTCATTGATATAAGGAGTGAGATAAGGATCAAAGGAACAAAATACTGAATACAGAGTAGGTCTGTACATTTGCACTGAATTTATTTTGACAAAGGTGCTGAGATAATTTTATAGGAAAATTATATTTGCATCAAATGGTCCTAGAACAACTTGATATTTACATGGAAAAAAATGTAAACCTCTACTGCTACCTGAGAGCTACTACTACGTTTTTACATATAAATGTTAGCTCTAGGAGGCTGAGGGAGGAGAATCACTTGAACCTGGGAGGGGAGGTTGCAGTGAGCCAAAATCATGCCACTAAACTCCAGCCTAGGTGACAGAGAGAGACTCCATCTCAAAAAAAAAAAAGTTAGCTCAAAGTGTATTATAGATCTAAGCATAAAGCCTAAAAATGTAACATTTCTATGAAGAAAACATAAGACAACCTCTTTATAATAGTGAAGTAGGCAAAGATAGTACAGAAAAATCATCATTCATATACACATATATATGTAAATTGGACTTAAATAAAATTCTATAGAGCAGGAATGATTTTCTCACCACATTCCTAAGTTTGAAATAAACTAGGTCTATGAAATAAACCGACAACAGGAAGATTAACAAGAGAAAAGGTATACAAATTTATTAATTTTTAATGTTACACGCATGAAGCATCACAAGGGGAAAAAAAATGAATACCAAAAAGAAGTGGTGGAATTTGAAAGTTTATATACAGCCTTAAGAGGAGAATGGGAGGAGGGAAAAGTAGGTCACTTAGGGGAGAGTAAATGACTTTTAGGAAAAGTAAATGGGTCCTGATATTGCTTGGATATTTATCCCCTCCAAATCTCATTTGAAAATGTGACCCCCAGTGTTGGGGGTGGCTGGTGGAAGGTGTTTGGGTCATGGGGATATATCTCTCATGAATGCTTTGGTGCCCTCTTATGATAATGAGTGAGTTCCTGCTCAGTTAGTACACACAAAAACTGGTTGTTTAAAAAAATCCTGGCGCCTCCACTTCTCTCTCTTGCTCCTTCTCTCACCATGTGATATGCCAGCTCCCCTTCCTCTTTCACCATAATTGGTTGCTCTCCGAAGCCCTCACCAGAAGCAGATGCTGGCACCATGCTTCTTGTACAGCCTGCAGAGCCGTGAACCAGATAAACCTTTCTTTATAAATTACCCAGTTTCAGGTATTCCTTTATAGCAATGCAAAACGGACTAACACAGGTCCTTAAAATAATAGGTGGGGCTGGATGCGGTGGCTCACACCTGCAATCTCAGCACTTTGGGCCGTTGAGCTGGGTAGATCACTTAAGCCCAGGAGTTCAAGACCAGCCTTGGCAACATGGTGAAACTCCATCTCTACAAAAAATACAAAACTTAGCCAGTGTGGTGGTGCATACCTGTACTTACAGCTACGTGAGGGGCTGAGATGGAGGATCGCTTGAGCCTAGGAGGTCAAGGCTCCGGTGAGCAGAGATCACGCCACTGAACTCCAGCCTGGGTGACAAAGTGAGATCCTGTCTCAAAAATGAGAGAAAGGAAAAATAATAATAGGTGGAAGATATGATTGTTTGTGACAAAGTTTGGGTATAGTGTTGAAATCTAGTTTCCTCTCCTGTGATAAGAGTCAATCTTCCCTAGCTGATGAAACTGCTGGGGAAGAGACTTATGACAACTGAATTTCTTTTGGGGCATCTTTCTTTTGATAGATAAGGGGAATTTGGAAAAGCCTCTACCTGCATTTGCTGCTTTGCAAGTGCCTTCAACTCAAAATAATCAATATACGAAAGTAACATATTTTGGCGTGGCATGTCCTGCACCCGTTCAGTTCAAAACAGGCTTTTTAAATTACACTGTTAAGAAAATGGTAAGACAGTGCACAGACTGAAAGAAAATATTCTCAGTATACATATTTGGAAAATGACTTATATTTAGACTATATAAAGTGCATTCAAAAATAAATATTTATTAGAAAAAAACACAACCCTCAAAAATAAGCAAAAGACTTCATCGGTTACCTCACACCTGTAATCCCAGCACTTTGGGAGTTCAAGACAGGCAGATCAATTGAGGTCAGGAGTTCGAGACCAGTCTGGGCAACATGGTGAAACCCCATCTTTACTGAAAAAACAAAAATTGGCCAGGCACGGTAGTGCACACCCGTGGTCCCAGCTACTTAGAAGGCTGAGACAGGAGAATCACTTGAACTCAGGGGGTGGAGGCTGCAGTGAGCCGAGATGGTGCAACTCCACTCCAGCCTGGTGAGAGAGTGAGACTCTGTCAAAAAAAAAAAAAAAAAAAAAAAAAAAAGAAAGAAAGAAAAGAAAAAGAAAAAGAAAATTAAAGGATTTTATTTCTCCTTCACTTATGAAGCTTAGTTTGGCTGGATATGAAATTCTGGGTTGAAAATTCTTTTCTTTAAGAATGTTGAATATTGGCCCCTACTCTCTTCTGGCATGTAGGGTTTCTGCCGAGAGGTCCACTGTTAGTCTGACGGGCTTCCCTTTGTGGGTAACCAAACCTTTCTCTCTGGCTGCCCTTAACATTTCTTCCTTCACTTCAATCTTGGTGAATCTGACGATTATGTGTCTTAGGGTTGCTCTTCTCAAGGAGTATCTTTGTGGTGTTCTCTGTATTTCCTGAATTTGAATGTTGGCCTGCCTTGCTAGGTTTGGAAATTTCTACTGGATAATATCCTGAAGAGGGTTTTCCAACTTGGTTCCATTCTCACCGTCACTTTCAAGTACACCAATCAAACATAGATTTGGTCTTTTCACATAGCCCCATATTTCTTAGAGGCTTTGTTCATTTCTTCACTCTTTTTTCTCAATCTTCTCTTCTCACTCAATTTCATTGAGTTGATCTTCAATTTCTGATACCCTTTCTTCTGCTTGATTGATTCGGCTATTGATTCTTGTGTATGCTTCATGAAGTTCTCATGCTGTGTTTTTCAGCTCCAACAGGTCATTTATGTTCTTCTCTAAACTGGTTTTTCTAGTTAGCAGTTCATCTAAACTTTTTTTCAAGATTCTTAGCTTCCTTGCATTGGGGAGGAGTTTGTTTTTACCCACCTTCTGAAACCTACTTCTGTCAATTCATCAAACTCATTCTCCGCCCAGTTTTGTTCCCTTGCTGGCAAGGAGTTGTGATCCTTTGGAAGAGAGGAAGCATTCTGGTTTTTGGAATTTTCAGCCTTTTTGCACTGGTTTCTCCCCATCTTTGTGGATTTACCTACCTTTGGTCTTTGATGTTGGTGAACTTTGGATGGGGTCTCTGAGTGGATGTCCTTTTTGTTGATGCTGATACTATTCATTTCTGTTTGTTAGTTTTCCTTCTAACAGTCAGACCCACTGCTGCAGGTCTGCTGGAGTTGGCTGGAGGTCCATTCCAGACCCTGTTTGTCTGGCCATCACCAGTGGAGGGTGCAGAGCAGCAAAGATTGCTGCCTATTCCTTCCTCTGGACGCTTGGTCCCAGAGGGGCCCCCACAAGATGCCAGCCAGAACTCTCGTGTATGAGGTGTCTGTCAGCCCCTACTGGGAGGTGTCTCCCAGTCAGGATACACAGGGGTCAGGGACACACTTAAGGAGGCAGTCTGTCCCTTATCAAAGCTCAAACACTGTGCTTGGAGAACCACTGCCCTCTTCAGAGCTGTCAGGCAGGTACATTTAAGTCTGCTAATGCTGTGTCACAGTCGCCTCTTCCCCCAGGTGCTCTGTCCCATAGAGATAGGAGTTTTATCTATAAGTCTCTGACTGGGGCTGCTGCCTATTTTTCAGAGATGCCCTGTCCAGAGAGGAGGAGTCTAGAGAGGCAGTCTCAGGATACAAAATCAATGTGCAAAAATCATAAGCATTCCTATACACCAATAACAGACAAACAGACAGCCAAATTGAGTGAACTCCCATTCACAATTGCTACAAAGAGAATAAAATACCTAGTAATACAACTTACAAGGGATGTGAAGGACCTCTTCAAAGAGAACTACAAACCACTGCTCAAGAAAATAAGAGAGGACACAAACAAATGGAAAAACGTTCCATGCTCATGAATAGGAAGCATCAATATTGTGAAAATGGCCATACTGCCCAAAGTAATTTATAGATTCAGTGCTATCCCCATCAAGCTACCATTGACTTTCTTCACAGAATTGGAAAAAAACTACTTTAAAGTTCATATGGAACCAAAAAAGAGCCCACATTGCAAAGACAATCCTAAGTAAAAAGAAGAAAGCTGGAGGCATCATGCTACCTGACTTCAAACTATACTACAAAGCTACAGAAACCAAAACAGCATGGTACTGACACCAAAATAGATATATCAACCAATGGAAGAGAACAGAAGCCTCAGAAATAACACCACACCTCTACAACCATGTGATCTTTGACAAACCTGACAAAAACAAGCAATGAGGAAAGGATTCCCTATTTAATAAATGGTGTTGGGAAAACTGGCTAGCCATATGCAGAAAGCTGAAACTGGATCCCTTCCTTACACCTTATAAAAAATTAGCTCAAGATGGATTAAAGACTTAAACATAAGACCTAAAACCGTAAAAACCCTAGAAGAAAACCTAGGCAATACCATTGAGGACATAGGCATGGGCAAAGACTTCATGACTAAAACGCCAAAAGCAATGGCAACAGAAGCCAAAATAGACAAATGGGATCTAATTAAACTAAAGAGCATCTGCACAGCAAAATAAATTATCATCAAAGTGAACAGGCAACTTACACAGAATGGGAGAAAATTTTTGCAATCTATCCATCTGAAAAAGGGCTAATATCCAGAATCTATAAAGAACTTAAACAATTTTACAAGAAAAAAATGAACGACCCCATCAAAAAGTGGGTGAAGGATATGAACAGACACACTTCTCAAAAGAAGACTTTATGCAGCCAACAAACACATGAAAAAATGCTCATCATCACTGGTCATTAGAGAAATGCAAATCAAAACCACATTGAGATACCATCTCATGCCAGTTAAAATGGCGATCATTAAAAAGTCAGGAAAAAACAGATGCTGGAGAGGATGTGGAGAAATAGGAATGCTTTTACACTGTTGGTGGGAGTGTAAATTAGTTCAACCATTGTGGAAGACAGTGTGGCGATTCCTCAAGGATCTAGAACTAGAAATACCATTTGACCCAGCAATCCCATTACTGGGTATATACCCAAAGGATTATAAATCATTATACTATAAAGACTCAGGCACACGTATGTTTATTGTGGCACTGTTCACAATGGCAAAGACTTGGAACCAACCAAAATACCCATCAATGAAAGACTGAATAAAGAAAATGTGGCACATATACACCATGGAATACTATGCAGCCATAAAAAAGGATGAGTTCATGTCCTTTATAGGGACATGGATGAGGCTGGAAACCATCATTCTCAGCAAACTAACACAAGAACAGAAAACCAGACACCACATGTTCTCACTCATAAGTGGGAGTTGAACAGTGAGAACACATGGACACAGAGAGGGGAACATCACACACCAGGCCCTGTCAGAGGGTAGAGGGCTAGGGGAGGCTTAGCATTAGGAGAAATACCTAATGTAAATGACAGGTTGATGGGTGCAGCAAACCACCATGGCACATGTATACTTATGTAATAAAACTGCAGGTTCTGCACATGTACCCCAGAACTTAAAGTATTATTTTAAAAATTAATTTAAAAAAGAAAATTAAAACTGCAATAAGTTATTGCTATATACTCATTATGATCATTAAAACAAAGCAGACTGATAATATCAATTGTTGGTAATGATGGGGAGTCCCTGGTACTTTCATACACTAAGGGATTCTAAAATGATATAACCGCTTTGAAAAACTTGTTGGCAGTTTCTCCTGTGAAAATTGTCAGAATCAACGTGGAGTCACTAATGTTGAAAAAAAAAACCCTGACAAATAGAGCCAGGGAACACCATGAAGAGAGGGTTCTCCTGCTCATATGCTTGATAATAAAAAGTATCACAAAAGAATCTGTGAAAATCATAATCTTGCAAAAAGACCATCACATCCTTATACAAAAAAATACTTCTGCAAGGACATCTGCCCAGCAACTGGCTGTCAACCCTCAGACTGGTGTCACCCTTTTAATTGATCTTTGTAGCTGAGGATTATTTTAAAACAATTGTATAATCATCCTCATTTTTTCTTTAAAAATCTTTGTCTTCCTTTACCTCCTTGAATATGCATATGGTTTACTATGGCACATGTATTACCATTGCTATGCTCTATTCCCAAATAAATATCCTTTTCTTTTAGAGAGCCTCTCCCTGTTTATTTAAATTGATACTTATAAAGGTAACTCATTAATATCACTCAGTTATTTACCCAGTAGAAATGAAAACATTCACATCAGACTTATTATATGTGAAGACCCTTAGCTTCATTCAAAATAGCTAAAAACTGGAAAGATAAAAAGACACGAAAAAGGAAGTAAGTGGATAAACAAATCTTGGGATGTCCATACACAACTCAACAACAACAACAAAATTTACTACTGGTAAACACTAAAATATATTTAGCCCAACGACATTGTACTAAGCAAAATATCCAGACTCAAAAGAGTACATTATACCTGATTCTATTTCTAGAATCTCTAAGAGATCAAATCTAATTTATAGTGACATAAAACGTCAGTGGTTGTCTGCAGCCAGGGATAAAGAGAATTTGTGTTTATAAGGGAGGAACTGTTAACACACAAAAAAAAATCCAATGCTTGGAAATAAGCAAATGGAAAACCGCTTGTCCTTTCAATGTCATACTAGAATATTGCCTAAGAGGCTTATCTAACAAGGATTATCTAACCCCTAGGGGGATGTGCCTTTGAATATAGTATTTTACAACTCTATAATGATAGGTGTTGAAGAGTAGAAAACTGATAGTTATGCAGATGATTCTGTTTCTATAGCAGTGCAGATTAATTTCATCCTGTAGATATGCAAAGGATTTTTATCACGTAGAAAACATTGCATGCCCTGTAGGGCACTGACATTTTTTTTTTGTGCACAATTTAGAAATCTTAATATAGCATTCTCTTTGTATGTCTATAAATTATTTCTACCCTATAGTTTTTTTTTTAAAAAAAAAAACAGCTTTATCATCTTGTGGCTCTGCCAATAAGGATTTAAAAACACCTTTGATACAGACCCATTTTTATAAATAGTCCCCTCTAAAAATTCCTGTGGCTTAAAATATTTAGATTACCAACTCAACCCTACTTTCCATTATGGTAAAAGTACCTACCTTGTCCTATTAAATCACAGCTGCTAAGCTTCTGTTGCTCTTGGATCTTCCCTTCCCTATTGAAATTAGGAAACCTATCTTACTGGCAGCATCACATATGGTGGTCACTGGGCTAAAGAAGACAGTCGCCACATGACTTTTCAAGGAGGCTGGTGCTCAGTGCTTTACATAAGTGAGAATTCTCTAAACATCCTTGGAATATATAATGGATGGGGAATGCACAGGGCAGGTCATGCATAATAAATTTTCCAACATACCATAAGAAGAAGAAGAATCAACCAAGTAAAAAACTGAAAAAAAAAATGCAAAGAGGAAGGATCTAGAGCACAGAAGATTAATAAATGAGACAAAAGATGGAAAAAATATAAATGTGATGAGATGAAGGAGACAGAACTTTCTACTTCCCATTCTTAAAACCAGAATGTGATTGTTTGAACCAGGTTCAGTCCAACA
Organism: Homo sapiens; assembly: GCF_000001405.40. NCBI lineage: Eukaryota > Metazoa > Chordata > Mammalia > Primates > Hominidae > Homo > Homo sapiens. The sequence continues at coordinate 128,783,594 of NC_000006.12, read as the reverse complement.
TATACTCCCACCTGAGACTTTGAATCTTGAGAAAATGGTACAAAGGCACAGACAGAATTTAGAAGTCATTTGTGGCCTCAGCACAGCTTTGCTAATCCATCAGTATCTGAATTGGTATGCTGCGGCAGAACTGTTCCTAGGAGCCGTGTCAGTGCGGCTGGCTGCTTCAACATCAGCACCCTACTCAGACGTCCCTGTGGCCTGACCCTGCTCACAGGTTCTTTGCAGAACCTCCCTTGATGCCCGCCTATTTTCTGAGCTTCATTCTCCTGCCTTCCAACTTATTTTGTAAGCTACCAAGTAAGTATCTTTCTAATACATTCCTTTCTGCTCTAATGAGTCAGATCAGTTTCCATCACTTGCAACAACTATTCCTGACGGATACAGGTATGTTGTTCCCAGCAGATAGGATCGAAGGAGAATTTGACGTGAGATTGAAGATACTGGGGAGAGTGAAGTAATAAACCTGGACATCTAAACTGAATAAGAATGTATGTAAAGGCAGGAGCAGGGAAAGCAGGAAAAAAAGAGTGTTCCGATGCATGAGATTCCAGAGAGGGCAGAGGAAAGACAAGCTAGGAGAAACTAAGTGAGAAAGTTGTCCTGAGAAGAGGTTGTTGGCAGAAATTAAGATTTGAATCGAATGGTTGAGGTGGGTAAGTCCTTGGTGATAAAACTTTTAGGATATGACAGTGACTGAGGGATTGAAGATGGGTAGAGATAAGAGTGCAAGAAACTTGAGACATTAGAATGTTGCAAAAATCATCCACATGTTTGTTGCAGTCACCAAGAATGATGGCAGGAATATGATGTGAGGTGGAAAGCTGTAATTTGCGTATTAAAGCCTTCAGAGAATGAGAAGGAAAGACTGAAAAGCCTGCTCATTAAAAAACTGAGGAAGGTGGCTTGGAGTCATAGTAAAGGTTTCAAAAGAAGGCAAGGTATTTTACATCTGGCACAGCCACAGGAGCAGTGGTTTGTAAACTAAAGACGGGCGTCCTGGTACCGATGACGATGTAGTGGTACCAAATTAGCAGTGTCATCAGGAGAGGCAAAGAATTGAAGGAAATGCTCAGTTAGAAAACTATCTTTCAGGAATGTATTCAGAATAAAAAAATAAAATTCTTTTTGGAAAGATTCTTGCTTTGGTGACCCTGGAAATTTGGATTTTCTTTTAGCTTATTTTCTTAGGTTAAGAGATAGATTTGGTTTGAAATATCTGCGATCACAGCACTGTTCATTAGGGGGAAGAAAGATTGCCATAGGAGCTAGCCTGTAGGTTATTAATATAGTACACAAAACGTGTCATTACTGAAAATATTTGGATTCTGATATACTCTTGTATTTTTTAAAAATTACTATTTGAGTGTGTTCTTTTTAAAAAGTTTTGTCTAGTAACAAAACATCCTAGATTATAGGAAATCCACACATTAAAAAAAACAGTGTGTATCCAGAAAAAAGTTCATTATATAAATTTTAAGATTTATTCTTATATATTTTTCAAGATTTCTGTTAAATATCTTTTTCTAATTATGTTTTTTATCTGATTATTTTCCACCAACATGAAACATATCAGAATACTAAATGGTTCTAGATTTCTTCATTCTGCTCCCAGGGAGAAAATAAACAAGTCCTTTTCTTCTAATTAAAAAGGAAAAATTAAATCTATTAGGTTGGTGCAAAAAATAATTACGGTTTCTGCCATTGAACCTAATGACAAAAACCACAATTACTTTTGTACCAATCTAAATATTTAATTTTTCAGCATTTAGTACTGAGTTAAAATTCAACCAAGAGAGGGGAGAAACTCCCTTATTTCTTTTGCAGTAGTAAACAGATAGTGAAGTCAGGGTTCCTGTGTGGCTATGGTAAAGCTGGCATTCCTTTAAGCTAGGGTTTTTTAGGCCACTTTCAAGTCCTAAAGGCATTTAAGTATCATTGTTTCTGCCTGTCAAGCAAGATAATTGTTAGCCTCTGTGAATATTTCCTCATAGCTCCACCAATCATTTTTATCTCTGCTGCCAACCTAAGTTTGATTAGCAAGTGTGAAAAATGCTCAAGAAGTAACATAAAGAGGTACTGAACCAATCTGATCTTTTGGAGGAGTTTTTACTTATACCCAGCAAGAATTGTTATATTACCAGGAAAGACTTTGGAAATCACAACTTACCTAATATTATTTCTCCCTCTCACTAAAATGGCAACTTATGTTTTTCCAGTCAAGCCAAAATTCATGGAGTCATCTTAGCTTTTCTTCCTCTCACATTCCCTATCCAAAACATCAACAAATCTTGGTTTACCTTTGAGAAATATTGAGAAACTGATTCTTCTATAGGTGCCACATTGTTTCAAGCCCACTTCAACATTAGTTCTAGCTTATTTTCTTAGGTTATTTCTTAGGTTAAGAAATTGAGGCACTATGTACTATTCTTTTCAATGCACACACAATATTGTCTTATATTTTTAATTTTACTTTTGGAAGACAGGAATTTTTTGTTTGTTAGTGGCTATAACGGTATTACAGTTTTAAAAAAACTATTAAAGATGCAAACTGACGTACTTATGATGAAATGATATAAAGTCTTGAATTTCTTTAAAATATACTTTTCAATTGATGAACTGGTCCTGTGTTGATAATTGTTGAATATGGGTCATGGGTACAAGTTGTTCATTATGCAATTCTCTCTACTATTGTCTACGCTTGAACAACATGTAATAAAGAATGTGAGGAGGCACAAAGATCTCCAGGAAAGGTAGAGAACCAGAATTAGGGGCTACACAGCCAGGAATGTTATCTCAAAGCCCACCTGAGAATTAGTCCAGTGAAGAAAACTTTGTCACAAGGACCGAGTCTGTACAGAGACCACAGCTAGCACTTCAAGGATCACTGTGGCTGTATACCAGATTTGTTGCCACTTATAAATTTCTCTAAGTGTAGTTTCAATTACATCTCATAAGTTTTGACAGAAAGTGTTCTTATTTTCATTTATCTCTGTAGCTTGGATATAACTGCCTCCAACCCACTTCCTAACAGATTCTAGCCCAGGGACCTGTTTCTTCTTATCACTGGCTTTTGATTCCAATTGTGATTGGCAGAATCTCAGCCTTGTGCTTCCTAGCTATATAGGAGGATGGGAAAGTATTTGGCGATAGCAACTTCTAAGAGGCAGTTTTATCCTTAAAATATATGATGTTCCCTCCATAATAGGGGTCCATTCCAAGATAGCTGAACAGGAACTGCTCCAGTCTGTAGATCCCAGTGTGATCAATGCAGAAGACTGGTGATTTCTGCATTTCCAATTGAAGTACCTGGTTCATCTCTTTGGGACTGGTTGGACAGTGGGTGCAGCCCATGGAGGGTGAGCTGAAGCAGGGCAGGGCATCGCCTCACCCAGGATGGGCAAGGGGTCGGGGGATATACCTTTCCTAGCTAAGGGAAGCCATGACAGATTGTACTGGGAAAAATAGGACACTCTAGCCCAAATACTGCACTTTTCCCAAGGTCTTAGCAACTGGCAAACCAAGAGATTCTCTCCCATGACTTGCTCAGTGGGTCCCATGCCCATGGAGACTTGCTCACTACTAGCACACCAGTCTGAGATTGACCTGCAAGGTTGCAGCCTGGTGGGGGGAGGGGCATCTGTCATTCCTGAGGCTTCAGTAGGTAAACAAAGTGGCCAGGAAGCTCAAAGTGGGTGGAGCCCACCACAGCTCAGCAAGGCCTACTGCCTCTGTAGACTCCACCTCTGTGGGCAGGGCATAGCTGAACAAAAGGCAGCAGAAACTTCTGCAGACTTAAACTTCCCTGTCTGACAGCTCTGAAGAGAACAGTGGTTCTCCCAGCACGGCATTTGAGCTCTGAGAATAGACAGACTGCCTCCTCAAGTGGGTCCCTGAACCCCATGTAGCCTAACTGGGAGACACCTCCTAGTAGGGGCCGACAGACACCTCATACAGGCAGGTGACCCTCTGGGACGAAGCTTCTAGAGGAAGGATCAGGCAGTAATATTTGCTGTTCTGCAATATTTGCTGTTCTGCAGCCTCTGCTGGTGACACCCAGGCAAACAGGGTCTGGAGTGGACCCCCAGCAAACTCCAACAGACCTGCAGCAGAGGGACCTGTTAGAAAGAAAACTAACAAACAGAAAGGAATAGCATCAACATCAACAAAAAGGACAACCACACCAAAACCCCATCTGTAGGTCACCAACATCAAAGACCAAAGGTAGATAAAACCACAACAAAGATGGGGAGAAACCAGAGCAGAAAAGCTGAAAATTCTAAAAACCAGAGTGCCTCTTCTCCTCCAAAGGATCACAACTCCTCGCCAGCAATGGAACAAAGCTGGATGGAGAATGATTTGATGAGTTGTCAGAAGTAGGCTTCAGAAGGTCAGTAACAACGAACTTCTCCAAGCTAAAGTAGACTTCAGAAGGTCAGTAATAACGAACTTCTCCAAGCTAAAGGAGAATGTTTTAACCCATCGCAAGGAAGCTAAAAACCTTGAAAAAAGGTTAGATGAATGGCTAACTAGAATAAACAGTGTAGAGAAGACTTTAAATGACCTGATGGAGCTGAAAACCACGGCACGAGAACTTCATGATGCATGCACAAGCTTCAATAGCCAATTCGATCAAGTGGAAGAAAGGATATCAGTGATTGAAGATCAAATTAATGAAATAAAATGAGAAGACAAGATTAGAGAAAAAAGAGTAAAAAGAAACGAACAAAGCCTCCAAGAAATATGGGACTATGTGAAAAGACCAAATCTATGTTTGACCGGTGTACCTGAAAGTGATGGGGAGAAGGGAACCAAATTGGAAAACACTCTTCACGATTTTATCCAGGAGAACTTCCCCAACCTAGCAAGGCAGGCCAACATTCAAATTCAGGAAATACAGAGAACACCACAAAGATACTCCCCGAGAAGAGCAACACCAAGACACGTAACTGTCAGATTCACCAAGATTGAAATGAAGGAAAAAATGTTAAGGGCAGCCAGAGAGAAAGGTTGGGTTACCCACAAAGGGAAGCCCATCAGACTAACAGTGGATCAGTCAGCAGAAACCCTACAGCCAGAAGAGAGTGGGAGCCAATATTCAACATTCTTAAAGAAAAGAATTTTCAACCAAGAATTTCATATCTAGCCAAACTAAGCTTCATAAGTGAAGGAGAAATAAAATCCTTTACAGACAAGCAAACGCTGAGAGATTTTGTCACCACCAGGCCTGCCTTACAAGAGCTCTTGAAGGAAGCACTAAACATGGAAAGGAACAACCGGTACCAGCCACTGCAAAAACATGCCAAATTGTAAAGATCATAGATGCTAGGAAGAAACTGCAGCAATAAACTGGCAAAATAACCAGCTAACCTCATAATGACAGGATCAAATTCACAAATAACAATATTAACCTTAAATGTAAATGAGCTAAATGCTCTGATTAAGAGACACAGATTGGCAAATTGGATAAAGAGTCAAGACGACCCATCTCAAATGCAGAGACACACATAGGCTCAGAATAAAGGGATGGAGGAAGATCTACCAAGCAAATGGAAAGAAAAAAAAAAGCAGGGGTTGCAATCCTAGTCTCTGATAAAACAGACTCTAAACCAACAAAGATCAAAAGAGACAAAGAAGGCCATTACATAATGATAAAGAGATCAATACAACAAGAAGAGCTAACTATCCTAAATATGTATGCACCCAATACAGGAGCACCCAGATTCATAAAGCAAGTTCTTAGAGACCTACAAAGAGAATTAGACTCCCACGCAGTAATAATGGGAGACTTTTAACACCCCACTGTCAATATTAGACAGATCAACAAGACAGAAGGTTAACAAGGATATCCAGGACTTCAACTCAGCTCTGCAACAAGCAGACCTAATAGACATCTACAGAACTCTCCACCCCAAATCAACAGAATATACATTCTTCTCAGCACCACATTGCACTTATTCTAAAATTGACCACATAATTGGAAGCAAAGCACTCCTCAGCAAATGTAAAAGAATAGAAATCACAACAAACTGTCTCTCAGACCACAGTGCAATCAAATTAGAACTCAGATTTAAGAAACTCACTCAAAACCGCTCAACTACGTGGAAACTGAACAACCTGCTCCTGAATGACTACCGGGTACATAAAGAAATGAAGGCAGAAATAAAGATGTTCTTTGAAACCAATGAGAACAAAGACACAACATACCAGAATTTCTGGGATACATTTAAAGCAGTGTGTAGAGGGAAATTTATAGCACTAAATGCCCACAGGAGAAAGCAGGAAAGATCTGAAATCAACACCCTAACATCACAGTTAAAAGAACTAGAGAAGCAAAAGCAAACAAATTCAAAATCTAGCAGAAGGCAAGAAATAACTAAGATCAGAGCAGAACTGAAAGAGATAGAGACACAAAAAAACCTTCAAAAAATCAATGAATCCAGGAGCTAGTTTTTTGAATAGATCAACAAAATCGATCTAAAAGGCAGAAAAGAGAGAGGAATCAAATAGATGCAACAGAAAATGATAAAGGGGATATCACCCCGATCCCACAGAAATACAAACTACCATCAGAGAATACTATAAACACCTCTACGCAAACAAACTAGAAAATCTAGAAGAAATGGATAAATTCCTGGACACATACACCCTCCCAAGACTAAATCAGGAATAAGTTGAATCTCTGAATAGACCAATAACAGGCTCTGAAATTGAAGCAATAATTAATAGCCTACCAACAAAAAACAGTACAGGACCAGATGGATTCACAGCCGAATTCTACCAGAGGTACAAGGAGGAACTGGTACCATTCCTTCTGAAACCATTCCAATCAACAGAAAAAGAGAGAATCCTCCCAAACTCATTTAAGAGGCCATCATCATCCTGATACCAAAGCCTGGCAGAGACACACACAAAAAAGAGAATTTTAGACCAATATCCCTGATGAACATTGATGTAAAAATCCTCAGTAAAATACTGGCAAACCAAATCCAGCAGCACATCAAAAAGCTTATCCACCACGATCAAGTCAGCTTCATCCCTGGGATGCAAGGCTGGTTCAACATACACAAATCAGTAAACATAATCCATCACATAAACAGAACCGACAACAAAAACCACATGATTATCTCAATAGATGCAGAAAAGGCTTTTGACAAAATTCAACAGCGCTTCATGGTAAAAACTCTTAATAAACTAGGTACTGATGGAACGTATCACAAAATAATAAAAGCTATTTATGACAAACCCACAGCCAATATCATACTGAATGGGCAAAAACTGGAAGCATTCCTTTTGAAAACCAGCACATGACAAGGATACCCTCTCTCACCACTCCTATTCCACATACCGTTGGAAGTTCTGGCCAGGGCAATCAGGCAGGAGAAAGGAATAAAGGGTATTCAATTAGGAAAAGAGGAAGTCAAATTGTCCCTGTTTGCAGATGACGTGATTGTATATTTAGAAAACCCCATCATCTCAGCCCAAAATCTCGTTAAGCTGATAAGCAACTTCAGCAAAGTCTCAGGATACAAAATCAATGTGCAGAAATCACAAGCATTCTTATACATCGATAACAGACAAACAGAAAGCCAAATCATGAATGAACTCCCATTCACAATTGCTTCAAAGAGAATAAAATACCTAGGAATCCAACTTACAAGGGATATGAAGGACCTCTTCAAGGAGAACTACAAACCACTGCTCAACAAAATAAAAGAGGACACAAACAAATGGAAGAACATTCCATGCTTATGGATAAAAGAATCAATATTGTGAAAATGGCTATACTGCCCAAGGTAAGTTATAGAGTCAATGCTATCCCCATCAAGCTACCAGTGACTTTCTTCACAGAATTGGGGGAAAAAAACTACTTTAAAGTTCATATGGAACCAAAAAAGAGCCTGCATAGCCAAGACAATCCTAAGCCAAAAGAACAAAGCTGGAGGCGTCATGCTACCTGACTTCAAACTATACTACAAGGCTACAGTAACCAAAACAGCATGGTACTGATACCAAAACAGATATATAGACCAATGGAACAGAACAGAGGCCTCGGAAATAACACCACATATCTACAACCATCTGATCTTTGACAAACAGGACAAAAACAAGAAATGAGGAAAGGATTCCCTATTTAATAAATAATAATTCGCTGCCAAATTCTACCAGAGGTACAAAGATGAGCTGGTACCATTCCTTCTGAAACTATTCCAATCAATATCGTGGAAATGGCCATACTGGCTAGCCGTATGCAGAAAGCTGAAACTGGATCCCTTCCTTACACCTTATACAAAATTTAATTCAAGATGGATTAAAGACTTAAATGTTAGACCTAAAACCATAAAAACCATAGAAGACAACCTAGGCGATATCATTCAGGACATAGGCATGGGCAAAGACTTCATGACTAAAACACCAAAAGCAATGACAACAAAAGCCAAAATTGACAAATGGGATCTAATTAAACTAAAGAGCTTCTGCATGGCAAAAGAAACTACACTCAGAGTGAGCAGGCAACCTACAGAACGGGAGAAAATTTTTGCAATCTACCCATCTGACAAAGGGCTAATATCCAGAGTCTACAAAGAACTTAAACAAATTTACAAGAAAAAAACAAACAACCCCATCAAAAACTGGGCAAAGGATATGAACAGACGGTTCTCAAAAGAAGACATTTATGCAGCCAACAAACACATGAAAAAATGCTCATCATCACTGGTTATCAGAGAAATGCAAATCAAAGCCACAATGAGATACCATCTCACACCAGTTAGAATGGTGATCATTAAAAAGTCAGGAAACAACAGATGCTGGAAAGGATGTGGAGAAATAGGAATGCTTTTACAGTGTTGATGGGAGTGTAAATTAGTTCAACCACTGTGGAAGACAGTGTGGCAATTCCTCAATGATCTAGAACTAGAAAAAACATTTGACCCAGCGATCCCTTTACTGGGTATATACCCAAGGGATTATAAATCATGCTACTATAAAGACACATGCGCATGTATGTTTATTGCAGCACTATTCACAATAGTAAAGACTTGAATTCAACCCAAATGTCCATCAATGATAGACTGGATGAAGAAAATGTGGCTTATATAACCCATGGAATACTACGCAGCCATAAGAAAGGATGAGTTCATGTCCTTTGCAGGGACATGGATGATGCTGGAAACCATCATTCTCAGCAAATTATCACAAGGATAGAAAACCAAACACCACATGTTCTCACTCATAGGTGGGAATTGAACAATGGAAACACTTGGACACAGGGCAGGGAACATCACTCACTGGGGCCTGTCGGGGAGTGGGGGGCTGCGGGAGGGATAGTATTAGGAGAAATACCTACTGTAAATGACAGGTTGATGGGTGCAGCAAACCAACATGGCACATGTATACCTATGTAACAAACCTGCACGTTGTGCACATGTGCCCTGAAGTACAATTAAAAAGAAATTTAAAAAAAGATATGATGTTCCCTAGACACAGGGGACACAGGAGTGGGTGAAGGGGTCAGGCATTAGGTAGTCCAGAAAAGCAGGTACTTTAGCAGCTTTAGAACAGCAAATCCAAGCAACGCTTAATCCAATTAGCCATTCATCCAGTCCTGGTAATTGCATTCTAAAGTCCAAAGGATTCCTTCCAACATGCCAGATACTTCAGGTAACCAAGAATTTCAAGCAAGTTAGACCTCCATGACAAAGTCACCAATTCTGAAGACCAGATGTCTGCAGTTCAGGTGTTAGCAGAAGTAGTTCCTTCTGAGACCTCTCTTCTTGGCTTGTAGATAGGCATCTTTTTCCTATGCCTTTGCAGCTTCTTTCTTCTTACATGTTTGTGTCCAAATTTCCTTTTCTTCTCCCATCTACCAGCGTGGCAAGATGGAAACTCCACGTGAGATATTTCTCATTCTTCCCTTAGCTCCAGGGCTGAGGCTAAGCTCCAGGCAAGTGCAGCTCTTCAAAGAGATTATACTTTTTCCAAAATTGTTGATAAATTCCAATTATCAGATCTAAGGAATTCAGGGATCCCCAAACAGGACAAATAAATTTAAAAACCCATCCTTAGACATAGAATGTGTATTGCAAAATGGCAAAAAAAAAAAAAAAAAAAAAAAAAAAAAAAAGGAATGGTTTTAAAAGAAACCAGAAAGACCAAAAAATAAAATCAAAAAATAGCATTTAGATTTAGACACAGCTCCTTAACAGTGATAAGAGAAACCACAAGTGGAATATGTTTAATGTACTAAGAAAAATAATTTTCAACTTAGAATTCTATACCCAGTGAAGCTATCTTTTAAGAACACAGCAAAATAAATTTCTTTTCAGGCACACAAAATTTTAGGGAGTTTTATCACACAGGGTTCTTATTACTGAAAAAAGTTTTAAATAGTTACCTCTGACAAATATTAATAGAAATCAATCTGACATACAAGGTTTAATTGAGTAAAAGTTACAAGCAAAGATACTGCATGTATGCAGATATATCCATAAATTATTGATGTGATAAATAAAATAGCAACAACAATAATGCCTAATTTGTTGGCAAAACTTGGCAATCAAGTCACGTAAGATTGCTTAAGATTTTGTGATTTGCAAAAAAAAATGCAGATCACAAAAGTTTCAGGCTGTTAGGAGAAAAAAATGAATTGAGAAAAATTAAAGGGGGAAGTTTTAAAAAATGTGATCTAAAGAAGGTGAGAGTGAAAAGATGGGAAAGCAAATAAAATAATGTAAAATAAAGAAGCCACTCAAGTAGAAAGCTTGTAAGAAGATGCAAGCCAATCGCAATATGTTAGCAATCATTATAAATGTAAACATACTACACTTATCAATAAAGGAAAAGATTATTGGAGCGGTTAAAAAGTACAATATCCAGATTTTTTTTTTGCGTTCTAAAGATACATCTTAAACAAGACAGAAAACTTCAGTCATAGGATGTACAAAATATTTAAGGATTATCATATCATAAGGGAAGCTGGAGTTATTATTTTAATATCACAGAAAAAGGTAGGCACAAATCCATAGGCTATGGGGTTGGGAAATGGAGAATAAAGAGAAAAAAGGAAGAAAGAGAAAGAGGCCTAACATGGATCATAATGAAAATGTGCCATCATCCAAAGATTATGAATAACTCAATCTTCTGCATGTGAAATCCATGAGGGGAATAAAGTAATATGAGGATATTAGGAGCAGAAATAGGCCACTACATTTTACAACTTACATGAAATGAATACATTCTTGGAAAATACTACTTACCTGAATTGAGAAGAAATGGAAAATTTGAATAGTCATTTATAATCATTACTAAACTTAAACCAGTAGTTTAAAATATTTTTGCAAGGAAAACAACATAACCATATTAATTTATAGCTGAGGCTGATAAAATATTAAAGAAATACATTATTCAAGTCTTGCATAATTTCTTCCTAAAAACAGAAAGATCAGAAAAATTCCTCAATCTATAATCTGAACAACAAACCCAGGCAAAGATAGTAAAATAAAGGAAAATTATAGTCCAATGTTATCTATAACAGAGATGCAAACATTCTTAATAAAATATAAGTAAAATATTTTATTAATAAAAGTAAAATATTTTATTAATAAAATAAAAAGTAAAATATTTGTTAAAATAATCTACCAATATGTATAAAAATATACCACAGCTCACTGGGTCTATTCAGGAATGGAAATATCCTTTAGAAAATAAATTTATGTCATTTGACAAATTAAATAAAACAAATTGTATAGTTATCCCTATAGATATGGAAAACATGTTCAGTAAACATTTATTTATGACAAAAGCTATCAGTGAACGAGGAACTGAAAAAGTCTTTATTGAAAAAGTGTTATCTTCAAAGTACTTACATCAGATATAATATATATATACAGACAGACAGACAGCACCATAAATAATGGTGAATTTTATTTTTAGACTTTTAGGTTCACGGGTACATGTGCAGGTTTGTCATATATGTAAATTGTGTGTTACAGGGACATGGTGTACAGGTTATTTCATCACCCAGGTGATAAACATAGTATGCAGTAGGTAGCTTTTAATCCTCATCCTCCTCCCACTCTCCACCCACAAGTAGGCCCCAGTATCTATTGTTTCCTTCTTTGTGTCCTGTGTACTCATTATTTAGCTCCTACTTATAAGTGAGAACTTGTGGTATTTGTGTTTTTGTGCCTGCACCAGTTCACTTAGGATAATAGCCTCCAGCTCCATCAGTGTTGCTGCACTTTCCTTTTTATGGCTGCACAGTATTCCATGATGTGTATGTACCACATATTCTTTATCCAGTCTATTGATGGGAATTTATGTTGATTCCATTTCTTTGTTATTGTGAATATGCCACAATGAACATACATGTGAGAGTGTCTCTATGGTAGAATGATTTATATTCCTTTGGGTATATAAACAATAATGGGATTGCTGGGTCAAATGGTAGCTACGTTTTAAGTTCTTTGAAAAATTGCCAAACTGTTTTCCACACTGGCTGAAATAGCATCGGTTATTTTTTGACTTTTTAATAATAGCCATTCTGACTGGTGTGAGATGATATTCATTGTGATTTTGATTTGCATTTCTCTAATAATGAGTGATGTTGTGCATTTTTTCATATGCTTGATGACCGCTTGTATGTCTTCTTTTGAAAAGCTTCTGTTTGTGTCCTTTGCCCACTTTTTAATGGGGTTTCTTGATTTTTATTTGTTGTTTAAGCTCCTTAAATATTCTTAATATTAGACCTTTGTAGGATGCATAGTTAACAAATATTTTCTCCCATTCTAGATTGTCTGTTTACTCTGTTGACAGTTTCTTTTGCTATGCAGAAGCTCTTTACTTTAATTAGGTCATATTTGTCAGTTTTTGTTTTTGTTGCAATTGCCTTTCTCATCTTTGTCATGAAATATTTGCCAGGGCCTGTGTCCAGAATAATATTTCCTAGGTTTTTGTCTAGGGTTTTTATAGTCTTAGGTTTTACATTTAAGTCTTTAATCCATCTTGAGTTGATTTTTGGATATGGTGAAAGGAAAGGGTCCACTTTTAATCTTCTGTACATGGCTAGCCAGTTATTCCCACACCTTTTATTGAATAGGAAGTCCTTTCCACATTGCTTGTTTTTGTTGACTTTGTCAAAGTTGTAGGTGTCTTGCCTTTTTTCTGAGCTCTCTACTCTGTTCCATTGGTCTAAGTGCCTGTTTTTGTACCAGTTCCATTCTGTTTTGGTTACTGTACCCTCGTAATACAGTTTGGAATTGGGTAATGTGATGCCTCCAGCTTTGATCTTTTTGCATAGTGATATAGTTTGGATATATGTTCCTACCCAACTCTCATGTTCAAATGTAACCCCTAATGTTGGAAGTGGGGCCTGGTGGGAAGTAACTGGACCATGGGGGAGGATTTTTCATGAATAATTTAGCACCATCCCCTTGGTGCTGTCCTTAAGATAGTGAGTGACTGCTCATGAGACCTGGTTATTTAAAAGTGCATGGCACTTCCTCCCTTTCTCTCTTGCTCCTGCTTTTGCCACGTGAAGTACATGCTCCCACTTTGTCTTCCTCCATCAGTAAAAGCTCACTGAGGCCTCCCCAGAAGCAGCTGCTGCCGTGCTTCCTTTTCAGCCTGCAGCGTCGTAAGCCAATTCAACCTCTTTTCCTATAAATTACCAAGTTTCAGGTACTTATCTATAGCAATGCAAGAATGACATAATACACTTAGTATTGCTTTGGCTACCTGGACTCTTTTCTGGTTCCGTATGAATATTAGAATAGATTTTTTTCTCTTTTTTTTTGAGACAGAGCCTCGCTCTGTCACCGAGGCTGGAGTGCAGTGGCATGATCTCGGCTCACTGCAACCTCCACCTCCTGGGTTCACGCCATTCTCCTGCCTCAGCCTCCCGAGTAGCTGGGACTACAGGCGCCTGCCACCATGCCTGGCCAATTTTTTGTATTTTTAGGTAGAGACAGGGTTTCACCATGTTAGCCAGGATGGTCTTGATCTCCTGACCTCATGATCCACCCCCCTCGGCCTCCCAAAGTGCTGGGATTACATGCGTGAGCCACCGCGCCTGGCCTAGATTTTTCTAATTCTGTGATATGGTCTGGCTGGCTGTGTCCCCACTAGAATCTCATCTTGAATTGTAGTTCCATAATGCCCATGTATCATAGGAGGGACCTGGTAGGAGGTAATTGAATCATGGGAGCAGGTGTTTCCCATGCTGTTCTCATGATAGTGAACAAGTTTCATGAGATCTGATTGTTTTATAAAGGGCAGTGCCCCTGCACATGCTCTCTTGCCTGCCACCATGGAAGATGTACCTCTGCTCCTCCTTCACATTCTGCCATGATTTTGAGGCCTCCCCAGCCATGTGGAACTGTCAGTCCCTTAAACCTCTTTTTCTTTATAAATTACCTAGTCTTGGGTATTTCTTCATAGCAGTATGAAAATGGACTAATATGGTAAATTGGTACTGGTAGAGTGGGTTACTGCTATAAGCATACCTGAAAATGTGGAAGTGACTTTGGAACTGGGTAACAGGCTCAAAAGAAGATAGGAAGATACAGGAAAGTTTGGAACTTCCTAGAGACTTGGAAAGCTCAGAGAACGGGAAGATATGGGAAAGTTTGGAACTCCCTAGAGACTTATTGAATGGCTTGGACTAAATGCTGATAGTGATATGGACAATGAAACCCAGGCTGAGGTGGTCTCAGATGGAGATGAGGAATTTGTTGGAAACTTGAATAAAGGTGACTTTTGCTATGTTTTAGCAAAGAGACATGGCATTTTTCCCTTGCCCTAGAGATCTATGGAACATTGAACTTGAGAGAGATAATCTAGGATATCTGGCAGAAGAAATTTCTAAGCAGCAAAGCATTCAAGAGGTGATGGGTGCTGTTGAAAGCATTCAGATCTATGTATTCACAAAGATATGGTTTGGAATTTGAACTTATATTTAAAAGTGAAGCAGGGCATAAAAGTTCAGAAAATTTGCAGCCTGACAATGCAATAGAAACAAAACAAAACAATCTATTTTCGAAAAATAAATTCAAGCCAACTACAGAAATTTGCATAATTAAGGAGCAGCCATATGTTAATCGCCAAGACAATGGGGAAAATGTCTCCAGGACATGTCAGAGGCCTTCATGGCAGCCTCTCCCATCACAGGCCCAGTGGTCTAGGAGGAAAAAATGGTTTTGTGGGCCTGGTCCAGGACCCCCTGCTGTGTACAGCCTGGAGACTTGGTGCCTTGTGTCCTAGCTGCTCCAGTTGTGGCTAAAAGGGGCCAAGGTACAGCTTAGGCTATGGCTTCAGAGGATACAAGCCACAAGCCTTGGTGGCTTTCACATGATGTTGGTCCTGGGGATGCACAGAAGATGAGAATCAAGGTTTGGGAACCTCCACCTAGATTACAGATGATGTATAGAGACACCTGAATGTTGCACTGCAGGGGCAGAGCCCTCATGGAGTACCTCTGCTACAGGAATGCAGAAGGGAAATGTGGGGTCTGGAGTACCCACACAGAGTCCCCACTGGGACACTGCCTAGTAAAGCTGTGAGAAGAGGGCTAACATCCTCTAGACCCCAGAATGGTAGATCCACTGACACCTTGTACCATGCACCTGGAAAAGCCACAGACACTCAACACCAGCCTGTGAAACACCAGCTACCAGCCAGAAGGGGAGCTATACTCTGCAGAGCCACAGGGATGGAGCTGCCCAAGGCTGTGGGAGCCCACCTCTTGCATCAGCATGCCCTGGATAGGAGACATGAAGTCAAAGGAGATCATTTTGGAACTTTAAGGTTTAATGACTTGCCCTGTTGGATTTTCGACTTTCATGGGGCCTCTGACCCATTTGTTTTGGCCAATTTCTCTCATTTGGAATGGCTATATTTATCCAGTGCTTGTACCCACATTTTATCTAGGAAGTAACTACCTTGTTTTTGAATTTATAGGCTCAGAGGTGGAAGGGACTTGTCTTCTCTCAAATGAGACTTTAGACATGGATTTTGAGTTAATGCTGGAAGGAGTTAAGACTTTGAGGGACTGTTACAAAGGCATGATTGTATTTTGAAATGTGAGGACACAAGATTTGGGGGCCAGGGGTAGAATGATAGAGTTTGGCTGTGTCTCCACTCAAATTTCATCTTGAATTATAGTTTCCATAATCCCCACATATTGTGGGAGGGACCTGGTAGGAGGTCATTGACTCATGAGGGCAGTTATCTCTATGCTGTTCTTATCATAGTGAGTGAGCTCTCATAAGAGCTGATGGCTTTATAAGGAGCTTTTCCCTCACTTCACTCGGCACTTCTCCTTGCTGTCACTTTGTGAAAAAGGATATGTTTGCTTCCCCTTCCACCATGATTGTAAGTTTCCTGAGGCCTCCCCAGCTATGCTGAACTATGAATCAATTAAACCTCTTTTCTTTATAAATTACCCAGTCTTGGGTATGCTTTTATTAGCAGTGTGAGAATGGACTAATACATTCTGTAAAAAATGTCATTGGTAACTTGATAGGAATAGCAACAAATCTGTAAATTGCTTTGGGCAGCATGGCCATTTTAACAATATTGATTCTTCTTATCCATGAGAGTGCAATGTTTTTCCATTTGTTTGTGTCATCTCTGATTTCTTTCAGCAGTGTTTTGTAATTCTATTTGTGGAGATCTTTCTCCTCCTTGGTTGGCTGTGTTCCTAGGTATTTTATTTTCATGTGTGGCTATTGCGAATGGGATTGCTTTCTCAGCTTGTACTTTGTTGAGGTATAGAAATGCTACTAATTTTTGTACATTGATTTTGTATACTGAAACTTTGCTGAAGTTGTTTGTCAGATCAAGGGGCTTTTGGACAGAGACTGTGGGATTTTCTAGGTACAGAATCATATAATCTGCAAACAGAGATAGGTTGACTTCCTCTCTTCCTATCTGGATGCCTTTTTTTTTCTCTTGCCTGATTCCTCTGTCTAGGACTTCCATTGCTATTCTGAATAGGAGTGGTTAGAGTGGGCATAACTGTCTTGTTCCCATTCTCACAGGGAATGATTCTAGCTTTTGCCCATTTGGTTTCATGTTGGCTGTGAGTTTGTCATAGCTTGCTGTTATTATTTTGAGGTAAGTTGCTTCAATGCCTAGTTTGTTGAGGGTTTTTTTTTTTAACATAACATAATGCTGAATTTTATTAAAAGCTTTTCTGCATCTATTAAGATGATCTTCGGTTTGTAGTTCTGTTCATATGATGAATCACATTTAGTGATTGGTATATGTTGAACCAACCATGCATCCCACGAATAAAGCCTACTCAATAGTGGTGAATTAGCTTTTTGATGTGGTACTCAGTTCAGTTTGCCATTATTTTGTTGAGAAGTTTTGCATCCATGTTCATCAAGAATATTGGCCTGAAGTTTTCTGATTTTTGTTGTGTCTCTACCAGGTTTTGGTATCAAGATGATGCTTCCCTCGTAAAATGGGTTAGTGAAGAGTTCATCCTCCTCAATTTTTAAAAATAGTTTCAGTAGGAATGGTACTAACAATTATTTTTCTTTTCTTTTTTTTTTCTTTTGAGACAGAGTCTTGCTGTGTCTTCCAGTCTGGAGTGCAGTGGTGTAATCTCAGCTCACCGCAATCTCTGCCTCCCAGGGTCAAGCCATTCTCGTGCCTCAGACTCTTGAGTAGCTGGGATTAAGGCATGGGCCACCATGTCCAGCTAATTTTTGCATTTTTAATAGAGATGGGGTTTCACCATGTTGGCCAGGCTGGTCTCAAACTCCTGGCCTCAAGTGATCCAACTGCCTCAGCTTTCCAAAGTGCTGGGATTACAGGCGTGTGCCACTGTGCCTGGCCCTGGAATAGTACTAACACTTCTTTACATGTCTGGTAGAAGTCAGCTCTGAATCAGTCTGGTCCAGGCCTTTCTTGATTGCTAGGATTTTTATTACTGATTCAATTTTTGAATGTTGTTGGTCTGTTCATGGTTTCAGTGTTTTCCTGGTTCAATCTTGGGAGGTTGCATGTTTCCAGGAATGTATCCATTTCTTGTAGGGTGTCTAGTTTGTGGGTAGAGAGGTGTTCATAATAGTTCTTGAGTGCTTTATGTGTTTCTGTGGAGTTGGTGGTAATATCCTCTTTGTCCAATTTCTGACTGTGTTTGTTTGGATCTTCTCTTTTTTTTATTAGTCTAGCTAGAAATCTATAAATATTTTTATTCTTTTGACAAACTATCTTCTGGTTATGTTTGTCTTTTGTATGGTTTCTCACATCTTAGTTTCATTCAGTTCAGCTTTGATTTGGATTATTTCTTGTCTTCTGCTAGGTTTTGGGTTTGTTTGGTCCTATTTTTTTAGCTCCTTGGGTGTGATTTTAGGTTGTTAATTTGAGATCTAATTTTTGATGTGGGCATTTAGCGCTATAAACTTCCCTTTTAACACTGTGTTAGCTCTGTCCCAGAGATTCAGGTATGTTGTAACTTCATTTTCATCAGTTTCAAATAATTTCTTGATTTCTGCCTTAATTCATTGTTTACCCGAAAGTCATTCATGAGCAGGTTGTTTAATATTCATGTAATGATATGGTGTTGAGCAATTTTCTTAGTATTGATTCCTATTTTTGTTTTGCTGTGGTCCAAGAGTGTGGCTGGTATTGTTTTGGTTTCTTTGAAAGTGCTGAGAATTGTTTTATGGCTGATTGTGTAGTTGATTTTAGAGTATATGCCATGTGCAGATGAGAAGAATGTATATCCTGTTGGTTTTGGGTGAACAGTTCTATAGATGTCTGTGAGGTCCATTTGGTCCAGTGCTGAGTTTAGGTCCTGAATATCTTTGTTAGTTTTCTGCCTCAGTGATCTCTCTAATACTCTCGGTGGAGTATTGAAGTCTCCCACTATTATTGTGTGGTTATCTAAGTGTCTGCCTACATCTCTAAGAACTTGTTTTATGAATATGGATGTTCCTGTGTTGGGTGCATATATATTTAGGATAGTTAGGTCTTCTTGTTGAATTGAGCTTTTTACCACTGTGAAGTGGCCTTCTTTGTCTTTTTTTTTTATAGTTGTTGGTTTTGAGTCTGTTTTGTCTGAAATTAGAGTAGCAACCCTGATTTTTTTGTTGTTGTTTATTTTACATTTGCTTGGTAGATTTTTTTTTCCATCCTTTTACTTTGAGCCTATGGTTGTCATTGCATTTGAGATGGATCTCTTGAATGCAGCATACTGGGTATTATTTCTTTATCCAACTTGCCACTCTCTGCCCTTAAGTGGGGCATTTAAGCCCATAGTTGTTCAAGGTTAATATTGATATGTGTGGATGTTATCCTGTGATATGGTTTGGCTGTGTTCCCACCCAAATCTCATCTCGAATTCCCACATGTTGTGGGAGGGATGCAGTGGGAGGTAATTGAATCATGGGGGCAAGTCTTTCCTGTGCAGTTCTCATGAGAGTGAATAAGTCTCACAAGACCTGATGGTTTTAAAAAAGGGGAATTCCCCTGCACAAGCTCTCTTTCTTTTTGCCTGCTGCCATCCACATAAGATGTGACTTGTTCCTTCTTGCCTTCCACCGTAATTGTGAGGCCTCTCCAGCCATGTGGAATTCTAAGTCCAATTAAACCTCTTTCTTTTGTAAATTGCCCAATCTCAGGTATGTCTTTATCAGCAGCATGAAAACAGACTAATACATCCTATCAGTGTGTTGTTAGCTGGTTATTATGCAGACTTGATTGTGTAGTTGCTTCACAGTGTCAATGGTCTATGTCCTTAAGTGGTTTTTTTATGTGTGGTGGTGGCTGTAACAGTCTTTCATTTCCATATTTAGCATTCCCTTAAAGATACCTTATAAGGCAAAGACACCTTATAAGGCAGGTCTGGTGGTAACACATTTCCTTAGCATTTGCTTGTCTGAAAAGGATCTTATTTCTCTATCACTTATGAAGCTTAGTTTGGCTAGATATGAAATTCTTGGTTGTAATTTCTCTTCCTTAAGAATACTGAATATAGGTCCCCATTTGCTTCTTGCTTTTAGGGTTTCTGCTGAAAGGTTGCACTGTTTGCTTAATTGTGTTCCCTTTGTGGGTAACCTGCCCCTTTTCTTTCTTGTTGACCTTGGAGAATCTGATAATTATGTGTAATGGCGATGGCCATCTTTTTGTAGTATCTCACAGGGGTTGTTCACATTTCCAGAATTTGAATGTTGGCCTCTCTAGTGATGTTGGGGAAATTTTCATAGAACAGTATTCTCAAATATGTTTTCCAAGTTGCTTGCTTTCTCTCCTTCCTTTTCAGAGACACCAATGAATCATAGACTTGTTTTCCTCATATAATCCCATATTTCCCAGAGGTTTTGTTCATTCTTTTTTATTATTTTTCCTTATTTTCATTTGACTGTGTTGATTCAAAGAACCAGTCTTTGATCTCTGAGATTCTTTCCTCACTTTGGTCCAATCTGCTGTTAATACTTGCAATTGTGTTATGAAATTCTTGTAGTGAGTTTTTCAGCCTCCTTGAATCAGTTTTGTTCTTTCTTAAAATGGCTATTTCATCTTTCATTCTTTCTATTGTTTTATTGGATTCCTTAGTTTCCTTGGATTGGGTTTCGACTTTCTCCTGAATCTTGGTGATCTTTATTTCTATCCATATTCTGAACTCTATGTCTGTCATTTCAGCCATTTCAGCTTGGTTAACAACCATTGCTGGGAAACTTGGGTGTTCATTTGGAGGTAAGAAGGCACTCTGGGTTTTTGAGTTGTCAGAGTTCTTGTGCTGGTTCTTTCTCATCTGTGTGAGCTGATATTGCTTTAATCTTTGAAGTTGCTGTCCTTTGGATGAGGTTTTTTTGCTTTAATATTTGATACCTTGAGGGTTTGATTGTCGTATAAGGTGGGCTCACTTGACTGGTTTTGTTTCTGGGAGATTTCAGGGGACCAAGGCTCAGCTCATCACTCCTGGGCTGTGTGCTGTAGCCTTGAAGGGCTGTTTCTGGGCCCATTGCTTTGTTCTGTGACCCCTTGAGGTTAGAAACCTGCTGCACTTTGGGGCTGAAGAGTTCCTGGTCTGCTGGCATCAACACCCAATGAGGAGTGCCTACCACAGTGCTTCATTGGGGCAATAGAAGTGGGATCCTTGCCTGCATCTACATACCAGCAGGAGCCATGGCATGGTGAGGTACATGTGCATTGGCAGGGGTGGGCCATGGGTGAGGGTGGGAGGCCAGCATCCATGCACATGCTCACACTGGCAACAGCGGTGCAGCAAGGTGCCCACATATTGGTGGGGTGGCATGCCCATGGGGGCTTGGCAGAATTATCCATACAAGCACATTTGTGTCAGTGGCAGTGGAGCAATGTAGTGTGTGCATGCATGCTGGTGGAGAAGACGAGGCAAAGTCCACCTGCGTGTTCCAGCAAAACAGTGTATGGGGCAGGCGTTGGTGAGCGTGCATCTGCAAAGTGCACGCTGCGTTGCATCTGCACGAGCGTGCATCTGCCAAGTGCACAAAGGCGTTGGTGAGCGTGCGTCTGCAAAGTGGTGGGGGGAAGGCTGCAATGGAGAGAGGCTGCAGATGGGTAGTTGCATGTCTGCATGATAGGGGGTGCTGATAGTCAGGCACAGTCTCCCAGTGAAGGAACTATTATGATGGCCTCAGGAGCACCTTGGTTGGGCATTCAAGGCTGTGCGCAAGTGGCTATAGCAAGGCTGGGGTCCCAGGAAAGGCCAGGAGACAGTGGGGCACTGAGATCAGACTGCCCCCATCCTACTGGAAAATATTGAAAACATTCCCTTTAAAATGCCTTTAGGGTAGGTCCAAGTGCAGTGGTGTTTACAATTAATTGCTCACAGCCAGTTACAGATTTCTTTTTCCTTCTCCACTGCCTCTGGCTTTTCTAATATTTATTTTTTGGATTGACAAATAATAATTGTACACATTAATGGGGTACATAGTAATGTTCAACACACGTGATGTATAGTGATCAGATTGGGGTAATTAACATATTCATTATCTTGAACATTTATTATTTCTTTTTGCTGGGAACATTCAATGTCTTCCTTCTAGCCATTAAAAATTATATATTATTAACTACACTCATGCTATAGTGATACGGAACCTTAGAACTTATTCCTCCTATCTAGCTACAGTGTTGTATTCTTTAACAAATATCTCCTTATCCGCCATTTCTCTCTACCTTTCCTGGCCTCTAGTATCCTCTGTTCTGCTTTTTACTTTTATAACTTCAACTTTTTTTAGTGTCTGCCTATGAGTGAGAACATGCAGTGTTTAACTTTTTATTCCTGGTTTCTTTCTTTTCTTTTTTTTTTTTCTTACATGAAAGCAAGTTCATTAAAGGAATAAATGATGACTACTCCATAAGCAGAGCAGCAGCATGGGCTGCTCGTTGGCTATTTTATGGTTATTTCTTGATTATATGCTAAACAAGGGGTGGATTATTCACGAGTTTTCCAGGAAAGGGGTGGGCAATTCCCAAAGTTGAGAGTTCCTCCCCTTTTTAGACCACATAGAGCAACCTCTGGATGTTGCCATGGCATCTGTAAAGTGTCATGGCGCTTGTAGGAGTGTCTTTTAGCATTCTTATGCGTTATAATTAGCATATAACGAGCAGTGAGGACGACCAAAGATCACTTCTTGTCACCACCTTGGTTTTGGTGGGTTTTGGCCAACTTGGGGGCATGGGGGGTTTTGGCCAACAGGGGCAGCTGACAGAGCTGTTTCTCAGGTCTGGTATATGGCCACACAGCTTCTCAGTTGGCCTAGGTACATGTCTGCTGGGAGGGGCCCAGTGGGGCTATTTCTCCAGCATGGGATGTGGGCGCAAAACTGCTTGGCTGACTTAGGGGTGTGTATGCCAGGGGCAGCCTGCAGGGCTGTTTCTCAGGAGTGGGATATAGGTGTAAAGCTGCTTGGCTGGCCTGGGGTTATGTCTGTTGGGGGTGGCCCATGGGACCATTTTTGGGCTTGGAGCATGGGTGTATTCGTTCATTTTCACACTGCTGATAAAGACATACCCAAAACTGGGAACAAAAAGAGGTTCAATTGGACTTACAGTTCCACATGGCTGGGGAGGCCTTAGAATTATGGTGGGAGGCAAATGTACTTCTTACATGGCATCAGCAAGAGAAAAATGAGGAAGAAGCAAAAGCAGAAATCCCTGATAAACCCATCAGATCTCGTGAAACTTATTCACTATCACAAGAATAGCACAGGAAAAGACTGGCACCCATGATTCAATTACCTCTCCCTGGGTCCCTCCCACAACATGTGGGAATTCTGGGAGATAAAATTCAAGTTGAGATTTGGGTGGAGACACAGCCAAACCATATCAGTGGGTAGACAGCTGCTTGGCTGGCCTGGGGGTCTGCCCACCAGGGGAAGCCTGCAGAGGTCTCTCTCAGTCCTGGGGCATGGGCACACAGCTGCTCATCCAGCCTGGGGCGTTTATGCTAGAGGAAACCCATGGAGGTATTTCTCAGGCTCTGGCTGCAGGTGCAGGGCCATTGGGCAGGTCAAGGGCTCATCTGCCATGGGATGGAGCCCTCAGGGCTGTTACTTAGGTTCTGGAAGCAGGTGTGTAGCCACTTTACTGGCCTGGGAGCAGGTCAGCTGCTCGGGGGCTTGAAGGCCTCTGCCGCTTGGTGGGAAGAGTACACAGCAATTTGACCAGCTTAAGGGCAGGTTCTTGGTGGGACTGCCAGACTGTTTCTCTGACTGGAAGTTAGGGTAACAGGAGTTGGCTTCCCTCCTGTCTAGGACCAACATCACAACCAATTCTGGGCTTAGGTTCCATGCTACTGGGGTTTTGGTGTTCAGCCATTGACATGGGCTTGCAGGAACAAAAATGGAGTCTCAATGTTGGGGAATTACAGTGGCCACTGGCCTCCAGAGGAGGGCACACTCCAGAGGTGGCTCTGTTCTCAAGATGGCACCATACTGAAACAAGTTGTCTCACAGGGAGTGGGTAGGGTGTAAGGAGTACACACCCTGTGCTCCCAATCCAGGGCAATGCAGTGGCATGAAAACCTGGAAGTTCTCCAACCTGGGAGACTGTGGGAGTCTCCTGTTATAAGGACTACAGGTGTTTGTGATGGCAATGGAGGCTTGTGGAATTCTTCTGCCTACCTTTTCCCCTCAACAAGAATCCATCCTACTCCAGTCAGGTCTGATCCAGGCTTGGGGAGATGGGGCTGCAGAGGTGAGGCACCTTCACACTTTCCTTCTGGATCTCCAATCACCATAGGTACCTCTCTACTAACCCCCTGCACTCCAGTACTCTCCTTTCAACACTCCAGTCAAATCTTAGCTGTGTATTTGTTGCCTTAGTCCTTTGTTTTTGGGAGGATAAATGCCAGGCATCTCTAATCACCCATCTTGCTGGTGTTTTCCTGCACTATTTTTTAAAACATAAACAAGATCATGTCCTTCATCAACTCAAAACCCTTCAGTATATGCACATTTTATAGAGAATAAAGTCCAAAGTCTTTACTAGGCCTACAAACCCTACATCACCTGGTTCCTGACAGCTTGTCAGATGCCAGGTTCTCTTACTTTCCTGTCATGGTGCTCCAACCACATCACCGCTCTGCAATTCTACAAACATACAAACCATGCTCCTCCCAAAGCAAGAATTGAAATGTTCTTTTTTCTGATTTCACCCTGGCTCACTCCTTCACTTAATCTATATCTCTACTTAAATGTTACTACATATGGGAGGCATTTGCTGTCTAGCTAAAATAACACCCCTGGGAAATTCTGTCCCCTTACTCACTTTATTTTATTACCCCTTATCACCAAACATATACCCACACCCATATACATATATATTTGTAAACATGTATATATGGATATATGTGGATATATATATGCATATATATGTATGTGGACATATATATATGCATGTGTGTATATATATATACATATATATATACACACACACACACGTATATCAGTGTGTGTAAAATCTTTACCAGCCAGACTATAAAATTGTAAGTTGCAACCAGGCTATAAACTTTATGAGAGCAAAGACTTTGTTGTAGTGATTGTTCTGTGCCCATGACTTAGGACAATGTTTGGCACATAGTAGGAGCTCAATGAATATATTTTTAACATAAATCAATGAATGTATACTAAAAAAATATAATTCTGATGAGTTTATATACACAGATATTTAATAGACAAAAAGAAAGTTCAAGACATAACAAAAAAAGTGTATCTCTCAAAGCTCAGAAATTAGACTGATGGATGTAAAATAATTTACATAGTGAATAGGATTAGTAATTTTGATATGATGAAATTGGCTCTGATTCTCACCCAAGAACCAGGTGCCATGAGCAGGAACTGACAGATCTCAGCTGCATGCCAATGCCTGTTTTCACCCACTTATCTCTGATACCAGAAAAGGACTGTGCATCATCACTGTCCCAGAAAATTATCCTCCTTGTTATAGGACTGTCTGAACTTATGAAATTAGTGAACCCACAGGATGGAAGTATAAACCAGATTGGCTAAATGAGTTAATCAGAATTAATCATTAGGGCAAGAGCTCTGACATTTTTCATCCCTGATTAAACATTCCAACAAAGTGTTCCAAAACCTTATGTAATACAAGAACACAAGATCTGCTTAAAGACTGGTAGAACTATATTGATACCTTTGAGTTTGTCAGGAAGCATCAAACTAGGAATAACTAAGGAAATTTATGTCTGAGTATTTCTCTACCAGAGACTCACTGTTTTAAAACAGTTAAAGACAATCAGTTTGTTTGTTTTTTAAAAGAAAAAGTTCAAAGAATCCACATGCATTTGTGAACTGAAGTGATAAATCATTACGGTCACTAAGGTAAGTGTATGAAGAGGAGGGTAAAACATGATGCATTAGAAAGAGCACTGCATTTAAAAATGGGAGACAAAGGCATCGTTTCCAGTTCTGTTTTCTTACCTGATTTTCTGGGCAGTGTTGGACAAAACTGACTCTCAATTGCTCATTTTTTTAAAAAAAGTTTATATTAGATATACGATCCTTCAGAAAGGAGAAAGGATACCAGAATTATTATTATTATTATTATTATTATTATTATTATTTTGAGACAGAGTCTCGCTCTGTCACCCAGGCTGGAGTGCAGTGGTGCGATCTCAGCTCACTGCAACCTCCACCTCCCCGGTTCAAGCAATTCTCCTGCCTCAGCCTCCTGAGTAGCTGAGATTACAGGCGCCCACCACCACGCTCAGCTAATATTTTGTATTTTTAGTAGAGATGGGATTTTGCCACGTTGGCCAGGCTGGTCTCAAACTGCTGACCTCAGGTGATCCACCTGCCTAGGCCTCCCAAAGTGCTGGGATTACAGGCATGAGCCACTGCACCCAGCCGGATACCAGAATGATTTAGAGGACTTCATCAAACTACTTATGTCACTCTGTAGCCTCCCAATCCTTCACTGGAATTTTGAACTACCACCATTTTGGGAACCACTCCAGTGGTTACCTTTAGGAGTTGGTTGTTTTCCTCAGGTGTGTTGAGTAGGGGGAAAATGGTTGAGAACAACTAGAAAATGGTCCTTTCCAATCCTAAAATCTGACTCATCATGTATACACAAACCACAGAGAAATCTGTAGAATGTGCAAAATCATTAAGAAGATACCCATCTCAAAAAGATGATCATAAGTGTTCCTCTGAAAATTGTCCACAGTTGTCAGTTATCTTCCTGGTTTATACTCCAGTTACAAGTATTTCCTTATATTCCATGTAACCATTATTTCTGCTGTAATTTAAAATCTGTTGTCTCATAAAACAAAACAGGTACTTAAAATACTCAAAAATTTCTTTTTATTTCACTTTAAACATTTAACAATTCCATATTCTATTCCCTCTTCTGATAATAATAATAACAATTTTAGGTAGCAGTTTATTTGTTCATAATTCCAGTAATGTGTCTATTTGATTTCTAGGCTTCCTGCTTACTTTAATAATGGGGAACTTGTGGTGTGCAGTAAGTAGTATGTGATCTGGAGAGAAATCCTGGCGGTGTGTGCAATTTTGTGTCTAAAAGATCTATTTATGACTACTTTTGGTTGTATTTGTAATATGATTTTTACTGAATTTTTAGAAGGCAAGACTGCAAGTGATCATTTGAAACTTTTAATATCTTTTTAAAAAACAAAAAAATGTTTTCAATTATAGTTAACACAAGATAGCTAATAATCATAAAATCTACATGGTAGGGGTTCCAACAGGCAGGAAAATCTCCTCCAAACATGGGTGTCACTAGCAGTCACCTTATTGAGTTGTTTGGAAGACAAGCTTCTTCCTTGCTTTCTGTTGATATGTTTGTCTCTGGTTTGAGATTTCCATTAATAGAATCATCTATTTGGATTATTGAATCCAAAAGACCACTGTTACCTTAGGCACATGTTACATGAGACTTGCAAATTCCAGGATATACCTACTATTATTCACATGCAACACAGCTTGGTTTTGTCAATTTGCTAATCATACTCTTGAAAAACAAAAAGAATAGTAAGAAAATTACCCTCATGAGAGAAGTGGCATTCAGAGAGATATGTGGGGTATAGGATTTACAGTCCAAGGAGTCTAAACCTGAAAGTTTAGATTCTGAGCACCCTACTTGTAATGTGAATGGGGTTACCAGATAAAATACAGGACACCTATTTAAATTTGAATTCCAGATAAACAACAAATATTGCAATTTGAGACATACTTATATATTTAAAACATTCATTGTTTATTTGAAATTCAAATTTAATGGAGAGTTTTATGTTATTATAATTATTTGCTAAATCTGGCAACTATAGAATGAAGGCAATATAACTTTGCTGTAACTGGCTTGAGAAAAGCACCATTGTCTTCTCGCCTTTGGAGTTTGTTTTTTTTTAATTTTATTATTATTATGCTTTAAGTTTTAGGGTACATGTGCACAACGTGCAGGTTTCTTACATATGTACACATGCGCCATGTTGGTGTGCTGCACCCATTAACTCGTCATTTAGCATTAGGTATATCTCCTAATGATATCCCTCCCCCATCCTGCCACCCCACAACAGTCCCCGGTGTGTGATGTTCCCCTTCCTGTGTCCATGTGTTCTCATTGTTCAGTTCCCACCTGGGTATATACCCAAAGGATTATAAATCATGCCTTTGGAGTTTTTTCTTGTCTGTTTCTATAACTAAAGGGATCAAAAACTGCAGAATTTTACCTGGGTCACGGAAATGTTTTTCTTTTTGTCTGGAGAAATTCATTGACATTATTATACTCTCCATACATCAATTCTTCCATCGAGTGCATAGTCTATTGCAATGTATTACACCTGGCCCTAAAGATATAAAGAATATAAGAAAATTGTTTCATTATTAAACTTACATTCTTACAGTATATCTAGGACATGCATGCACACTAGTAGTGACATAACAGAGAACATGGTGTCATTAAAGGGGAACTGAAAAGTTCTGAAGGGTTTCAGAAGAAAGATAGTATTTCCAGATTGTGTGGCGGAAAGGTTAAAAGTTACATGAAGGCATAAGAAAAGACTTCTGTTTTTGCCAATATGGCACAGTAGATATTGTTCAACCACAGAGCCCCTAGAAATGCTGAATAAAATCTAGAAAACAAGCTTTCATAAATATAATTTAGTGCGTTGAGGATGGGGGAACTCCACCATGAGTTGCTAAAAGGGTGAGTGAGAGAATAGAGAAAAGAAACAAAGCACTAATAACCTGTGTGATACACTAAAACCTAATCATGACTCTTCATGAGCTATTTATTGATTTCAATGAACTAATGGTTTGTATTTTAAGGTGCAGATAGAAACTAAGAGAAAAAATCTTGGACCTACTCGTAGCCACACTCAGGGATGGCTGTACCCTTAATAAAAGCGTGGTAGGAAAGAAATTGGTCTGTCGGTGAACACAGACAATAGAGATAATTCTGTCTGCACAAACAGAAGGCACAATATAAGATGGTTGAAACAATTTCTGCTTTTGAGTAGGATGTAGAAGGATGTAAAAATATATCCATAAAAAAATAATAAATAATAAACATACACAGACATGTGTCCCTTAACAACAGGGAGATGTTCTGAGAAGTGCATCGTTAGGTGATTTTACTATTGTGCAAACTTAGATGGCATAGTCTACTACATATGTAGACTATATATGGTATATAAATATATATACATCATATATACATATGGTATATATATATATATACCATATATATATACCTTTTGCTCCTAGCAAAATGTATAGCCTTTTGCTCCTAGACTACAAACCTATACAACCTGTGCAGCATGTTACTCTACTGAATACCGTAGGCTATTGTAACACAATAAGTATTTGTATATCTAAACATACTGAAACATGGAAAAGGTACAGTAAAAATACAATAGAAAAGATAAAAAATGGTACACCTATATAGGGCAATTACCATAAATGGAGCTTGCAAGACTGGAAATTGCTCTGGGTAAGTCAGTGAGTGAATGATGAGTAAATGTGAAGGCCTAGGACATTATTGTACTCTACTGTTATAGACTTATAAACACTGTACACTTAGGCTACACTAATTTATAAAAAATAATTTTCTATTCAATAACTTTTTACTTCATAAAATTTTTAATTTTTAAACTTTTTGACTGTCTTGATGTAACAATTAGCTTAAAACAGAAACACATTGTACAGCTGTACAAAAATTCAGCTATCCTTTTTATCCTTTTTATAAATAAAAATTATTCTATCCTTATTCTATAAGCTTTGTTCGATTTAAAGTTTTTTTATTTGTATTTTTTAAAGATTTTGTTGAAAACTAAGACACAAACATACACATTAGCCTAGGCCTACACAGGGTCAGGATCAATGTCACTGTCTTCCGCTTCCACATCTTGGGCCACAGGAATGTTTTCAAGGACTATAACACACACGGAGCTGTCATCTCTTATAATAACAAAGCCTTCTTCTATAAGACCTCCTGAAGGACCTGCCTGAGGCTGTTTTACAGTTAACTTTTTTTTGGTAAGTAGAATAAATACACTTTAAAAATAATGATAACAAGTATAGTATAGAAAATACATATATCTGTAACATCATTGTTTATTATCTTTATCAAGTACTATGTACTATACATAATTGTACACAATATACTTTTATATGACTAGCAGCACAATAGGTTTGTTTACACCAACATCACCACAAACATGTAAGCAATGTGTTGCACTATGATGTTATGACAGCTACTATGTTACCAGGTAATAGGAGAAAATTTTCAGTTCCATTGTAATCTTATGGGACCACCGTTGTATATGCTATCCATTGTTGACCAAAACATGGCTAGGCAGTGCATGACTGTACATGATATTCAAGGAGTATCAGCAGGTTTGGATGCCTGGAAGCCTTGAGGAGCTAAATCTCAGCAAGAAATGAATCTTACATGAAGGAGAAGCAAGCCAAGACAGTTTCCATGCCTAGGGGTACATATCTTGCCTATGTATTGGTGGGCAGCAAGTGACCTGTCATAGACTGAAAGACTTTGCAGGAATGAGGAGAAACCAGCCTAACTTTTAGAATCTGTATTGGCTGGGAAAGAGGACTGAAATCTGGAAGAGTCCTAGATGCAAAAACTAATCAATGTCACTGACAATTTCTCCCACAACTTCCTGAACTTTGCGGAGAGAAGTCTCAGTAAAATAAAGGTATGGAATCAAATTTACGCAGTCTTATGCATTTTGGGGTGCAAAGCTTCCAGAATCCTGCTGGAAATGAATTCAATGGTAAAACAAAACTATTGAAAGTTGTAGCCCAAACCAGCTCAATATGACCCCAGTGGAATTTGAATGATAAGCCCCTTACCCTAGCCACTAGGCCTGCCCACTCTGAGATACAAACACTATGTTTAGAGTTAGATAGAAATTATGAGATATGTTAAGAAACAGGAAAATGTGATAAATATTCAAGAATGAAAGTCAATAGAGACAAACTCACAGATCATCCAGATTTTTTAATTAGGAAGTATTACATTGAAATAAGTATCATAAATATGTTAAAGGATTTGCAAAAAAGATGGATATAATGAATGAAGATAAATGGAGCTTCAGAAGAAAAATAGATACCTTTTAGAAATATAAACAAATGAGAATCTAGAAATCAAAACTAAAATATCTCAAAAAAAGGTTTTTAATTTTCAGCAACTAGGAATACAATAGAAATTCTTCAATCTGGAGAAAGACATCTGCAATAAAGCTATAGTTACTTAAGTAAAATATCAAAGCCTTTCACCTAACCTGTGAAACAAAGCAAAGATGCTCACTCTCAATACTTCGACTCAAAATTTTGCTGGAATCTACAAAACAAGATACTAGAATGAATAAATAAATTTAGCAAAGTCACAGTCTACAAAGTCAATATAAAAAATATATCCTATTTCTCTATATTAGCAAGAAACAATTGTGAAAAGACAATTAAAAAAACACTTATGTTAGCATTGAAAAACACAAAATACTTGAGAAGAAATTCAAGATAAGATATGACAGTCCCACACAATGAAAACTACTAAATTTTTCTGAGAATTAACAAACAGAAAGATAGTCTGTGTTCACTGAGGTGAATGATGTTGTGAGAGGCTACCACAAGGCAATTTCTTATTCACTTCCCTGGTTCTGATGGCATGGGATTCTCCTTGCCCTTCCTCTGCCTCTATGTCCCTTGCTTCCCACCGCACTTCCTTTGGCACAGCTGCAGACTATAAAATTATCTAACACATAATTGTTGCTCTCAAGTAATTTAAATCTTTGCAAAGACCAAAGTTTTCTTGATTCTGGCAATAAGATGTATATGTTAATTTTTCTAGTGTTGGCCCTGAAGGCAAAATAAATATCTCAAAGGTAGGTCTTCATCTACTTCCTCTATTGAAAATCTCCATTGTTAAATCTAAATTAAAAACCTGTATCAAACAAAAGGAAAATCAACAGATTATTTGCAGTTTTAATGATTATTGTAAAGTTGGAAATAATTCATTTGCTACCAAGCTAAAAAATGCAACTGCTTCATTCAATAATAACCAAGGACAAAATGAATTGTAACAAAAATTTAATATATATTTGACTAGATCTAATTAGCATTTAATATGATATTTAAAATGTTTTAGTGATGTTTTTATTGGGTCATATTGGAAGGTGCCTTTTGAATAGGAACTCAACTTGAGTGAATAATCCTGCACTTTATAGGCACAATTTTTCAGCTCTTATTTAATAAAAATTTCAAAAATTAGACAATTGGTAAGATATTTTCATTAAATCTAAATGGGCTCAGAAAACTATCAAAGGCATAAGCTTAGTCTATCAGATTGAGCAGTTTCTAAATGGCCACCTCATCTGATGCTAAGCTTCAAATAGATGAATGTAATTGTTTTAAATGTTGCTACTTGTAAATTAAAACACAAAAGTAGTATCTATATTAAATGGTTAATATGAATTATCAAGGGTATATATTTAATTTAGATTTACTATTACAGGCATATTTTCCTGTGTTATATTATCACATTTCACAAAATTTGTTTTCCAATCAATTGCTTGATACTATAGCGTGTTTCTAACGTATGCAAGAGTCTGTGAGTTTGAATTTATATTGTCAAAATAACCATCTCTATCCCTTGGAGGTATGGGTTTAGGTCACAAATTTGAGGACCACAATTATCATTTGTTTTTCCCACTGTTAAAGTAGAGAGATAAGTGATTTTGAGAAATTAAGCGGTTCCGCACAATTGCTTTAAATATGAACATTTTTATTTGCTTCATACCCCATCCATGTTTAAGAGAAGTGAGTTTCAAAAGACTAACCTAAATCTTTAAAGTTTGTGTGACTTCAGGACTCATTGCTGTTGAAGGCAAAATTAAAATACCAAAAAGTTCCTTTTGAACAGGAACTTAAGTGAATAAACCTTGTGCCTTATAGATTTAAGTTCCACATATAAAAGAGCAAATATCTAAATGCAAAGGGAAAAAACAGCAGTTAAGGGAGGTCATTTCAAACAACTGTCATAAACAACAATCATCATTTATGAAACTTAGTAAAATAAAACACTCTCACTAATACCTTAATTTCTAATGTCTTTAACTAACTTAAATTCACTGTAGACAGATTAAAATACAAACTATTTCTCTCAAGTAAAATGTATCTATTTTTTCAAAATATATTATATAATTGCGGCTGTATCATTGACTTTTCAACTCATGCTTCTTATTTTAGTGGTATGTACTCCCAGATGAGTAATTTAACGGAAATATTTTATATAATAGCACAAAATACAGGACATTTCCCTCCCCGTACCATAGATATCTTTTCAAGTTGATTTAATTATCAATGCATTATAAGGTTATTATGATAGGAGGTAAGCTTTGTTTATAAATTTTAAAACCATCAGATTATTTTATTCATTCAAAAAACCTTTAGTGACAGAATTGATTAACTGGCCAACAAAAATTCATGATTTCTCTCAGGAATGTAAGCATTTCTATTGGGAAGCAGCTGTCTATGCAAAGTCTACAATTCCAATCCTTTGTGAATAAAAGTGATGTATGCCACTTCAGGCTGAGAAACAACAGCTCTGGTTTATTCTCACTCTTTTCTGACCTGCCAGATAAATTCAGAGGACTTCAAGGTTCTAAAGGATATTGAAGATACAGAATGGAAAGAGTTTAAGGTCTTGAATCACTGGATACAAGGCTACTTATCAACCAAGAACACCTATATTAAACTATTACTTGAGCAAAAAAGAAAAAAAATCTCTACTTACATAAACTCACCAAAAGAAACAATATTTTGCTTTGTTTCTTTCTAAATTTTATAGCTTCTCTATTTTTTTTTTTTTTTTTTTTTTTTGGCAGAGTCTCAGTCTGTCACCCAGGCTGGAGGGCAGTGGAGGGATCTTGGCTTGCTGCAACCTCCACCTCCTGGGTTCAACCGATTCTCCTGTTGATTCTCCTGCTGATTCTCAGCCTCCCAAGTAGCTGGGATTACAGGGGCGTGCCACCATGCTCAGCTAATTTTTGTATTTTTATTAGAGACAAGGTTTTGTCATGTTGGCCAAGCTGATCTCGAACTCCTGACCTCAGGTGATCCACCCACCTCAGCCTCCCAAAGTGCTGGAATTAAAGGCGTGAGCCACCACACCGGCCTAAATTTTATAGCTTCTGATATTATCTTAACTAATGTAGATATTGGTAATTTGAAGTGGGATACATCCTTTGAAAAATGCCTTACATGTGTCACACTGGCCTAGTGATCGGGTAGTAGACAATGAAGAAATTGATAACAGAAATGGAAAATATGCAAGAGTCTATTAGGCAATGGCAAAAGATTGGGTAAAACTGTCAACATCAATACATTGAAAGTCATAGAGCTTGCAGCACTAGATGAAAGGTTAGAAAAAGTCAGAATGTTGATATAGTAGTATAAATTTTTTATTAGCCCCCTATGATATTTTGTATTGCTGTGTATTTTAATTTTTCACATATTTTAACAACTACAAATAATTACTATTATTGTTTTAAGAATAGTATGTGATTGGATTTATCCACATATTTATCTTTACCTCTTGAATTTACGTGTTTCAATCTCAAATTATTTTACTTCTGCCTGAGGAATTTCTTAAGTGTTTGTGTTCATTCAGATCTGCTGGTGGTGACTTCTCATTCTTTGTTTTTCTGAAAATGTCATTAATTATTTTGTCTACATTTTTGGAGGGTTATTTGCTTGATATAGAATTCAGGTAGGCAATTTTTCTGTAGCATTTTTAAGGTGTCATTCTATTGATTTCTGGCTTCCATAATGATTTTGTTTGATGTATGTATTTTTTAACTTTCATTTTAGGTTCAAGGGTACATGTGCTGGTTTGTGTTATGGGTAAATTTCATGTCACTTGAGTTTGGTGTACAGATCATTTTGTCAGCCAGGTAATAAGCATAGTACCCTATAGGTGGTTTTTTGATCCTCTCCCTATTTCCACCCTTTACCCCCAAGCAGGCCCCAGTGTCTGTTGTTCCCTTGTGTCCACGTGTACTCAGTATTTAGCTCTCACTTGTAAGTGAGAACATATGGCATTTGGTTTTCTGTACCTATGTTAGTTTGCTTAGGATAATGGTCTCCAGCTCTATCTATGTTGCTGCAAATGACATGATCTTGTTCCTTTTTATGGCTGCATAGTATTCTATATTGTATATGTAGCATATTTATTTTTATCCATCTACCATTGAGGGGCATTTAATTTGATTTAATGTCTTTGCTATTGTGAATAGTGCTGAGATGAATACATGCATGGATGTGTCTTTATGTTAGAATGATTTATAGTCCTTTGGGTATATACCCAATAATGGATTGCTGGGTCAAATAATTTTGTTCTGAGTTCCTTGAGGAATTGCCACACTGCTTTTCACAGTGGCTGAACTAATGTATATTTCCACCAGTAGCATATAAGCATTAAGCATTCCCTTTTTGACACAACCTTGCTAACATCTATTATTTTTTGACTTTTTAATAAATGGCTTCCATAATTTCTGCTGAGTATTTAGCTGTCAGACTTTGATGGTAAAATGTCTTTTTTATTTTTCCTGCTTTTAAGATTTTCTATTTGACTTTGGTTTTCAGAGTTTTGCTATTATATGCCTGCGTATGATTTATTTGTATTTGTTACGCTAGACGTTTTCTAGTACAGTCCTTCTCTGAGTCTTTCCATTGAGTCCTTCATCAGTTGTTAAAAAAAAATCCTGGCTATGATCTATTCAAATATTACTTCTGCTACACTTTTTACTTTTTCTGGAACTCCCGATCATATCCATGTGTTCCATATGTCTCTAACGTCCTTTCTCTTTTGAGCATTCAGGCCTCAGATTTTCTATTGAATCCTATCTTCTACTGTTTTCAAATTTCTATAGAGCTTAATTTGAGCCTTAAGTATCAATTTGCTTTTCAATTTGTAATTTATAACATTCTCTAACTTTTCATCTTTTTCCCATTTTTCTAAATTCTTGAATGCATTAATTACAGCTATATTAATGTTTCTATCCGCTAACTCTAATAACAGAATCACCCTGTGGATTTGCTTATATTGTCTGGAATTTTTCTTTGTATTTCTGATCATATTATCCTATCTCATAACATGTCTAGTGATATTTAATGAAACATAACAAATTGTGTGTAAAAAGTTGTGGTGACTCCAAGAATATTGAATTCTTCCAGATAAGTTTTCCCAACCAACTGCTGCTTGACAAATAAAATTGAGAGGCATAGCTATCCTCATACCATTAATCAGGGACTGAGTAAAGTCAAGTCTGGATTCCCGTTTTGGTGAGGTTCCTTTAATTTGTACTCTTTTCCATGAGTACAATTCCTATGAGTACTCATTCCTATGAGTACAAACTCCTAGTTTGGGAGTCAAAGATCTCCTCAGTGCTTTCCATGACACCAAGCTGTGTTCACTAGGCCCCTTCCCCTGGTAGATCTTGATCGCTATTCCTGTGTAAAACAGGTAACAGTAAGCCAGGTCATGATGGGGCTTATAGGCCACTGTGAGAACTTTAGCTTTTAAATTGAAATGAGGTACCAAATGAGAATTTTATCAGAGAAATGACATGAAAATTGCATTTTAAAAAGCTCGCTTGGTCGGTTTAATGTGAATAAATTGTAAAGGAGCAAGATGGGTGGTAAGAAGACCATTTAAAAGTCTAGGAGGAACATACAGAAGTCTGCTGCAATCTTCTAGACTATAGATGGTGATTCAGACAGAGAAGTGGTTAAGATGCTATATATACTTTGAAATTATAGAAAACACAATTTCCTGATGACTAGATATGGGATTAGAGAGAAAAAGAGGAGTCAATGATGAACCCAAGTTCTTGGCCAAAGCACTTGGAAGGATTTGTGCTATTGATTGAAATGAAGATGGCTTTTATGGGGTTTGGGAAGTGCAAAGGGGTGTGGGGGGACAGATTGGGAGTTGAGTTTGGGAGTCACTGTCAGGCCTCTGAGCCCAAGCCAAGCCATCGCATCCCCTGTGACTTGCACGTATACGCCCAGATGGCCTGAAGTAACTGAAGAATCACAAAAGAAGTGAATATGCCCTGCCCCATCTTAACTGATGACATTCCACCACAAAAGAAGTGTAAATGGCCAGTCCTTGCCTTAACTGATGACATTACCTTGTGAAAGTCCTTTGCCTGGCTCATCCTGGCTCAAAAAGCACCCCCACTGAGCACCTTGCGACCCCCACTCCTGCCCACTGAGCACATTGCGACCCCCACTCCTGCCCGCCAGAGAACAAACCCCCTTTGACTGTAATTTTCCTTTACCTACCCAAATCCTATAAAACGGCCCCACTCTTATCTCCCTTCGCTGACTCTCTTTTCGGACTCAGCCCGCCTGCACCCAGGTGAAATAAACAGCCATGTTGCTCACACAAAGCCTGTTTGGTGGTATCTTCACACGGACGCGCATGAAAGTCACTAACTGCAGACAGATATACAAACCTGATATTCGAGAAAAAATCTGGCTGGAGAGAAAAATTTGTGAGTGGTATTTAATTTGACAATGAAAATTCATTTAAATAAAACATGAAGAACTTCTAAGTACATGGAACCAAACTGAGAATTGAGAATATTTACTGAGGATTTTTTCCTTCATTCCTGTCATAATTTTGAGGTTATGTTGTCCATGAAGAGCCGAGATGACTGCCTAAATTCTAGTAAAGTGAATGTTGGTTTTGCCAGAATAAATAAGTTTTCAATTTCCCTCTACAATTTTGAAACTTTCAATACATATTTGTCAACTATCAGTAATATATAGGCTACCAAACTCAGACTGATGTAAAAGATATTCAAGACATTTGGTTTTCTTTCTGCGAAGATAAACTGGATTTTACGACAATGGTGCATCCACTCCCTATTCTTGTACTCAGTTTAATAAGTTCCAAATCTATCTTTTCTACTATTACATCATTTCTTACAATGCCCAAATTTTTAATATAACTATATGTAAGTAGAAAGGCAACAAATTAGTTATGACATAACTTTTCATTTGGGGAAAGAAAATAAGCTACAAAAAATGGAGATAAAGATTAGGGTAAGAAACTGAAAAAGAAAACACTAGATACCTTGTCATAATTGGGAGTCAAAGATCTGGGGATCAGCTAGACGTGCAGTTGAATGATTTTGACAACAATGTTAAATAGGTGGGTGATACTTGATTTGTTTTTCAACTTCTGAACAGAACTGGCACTTAGAGAAAAGAGGAAAATTATAAGACACATCTGATAACATTTCCGAATGTCAGCCTCCCCATTTCAAATAATTTGCTAATGTAAGAGAAAGCATATAGTTATTATTCGCTTAGGAATTCCTATTTTAAAAAACAGAATATATGTGTGATGTACATATACATATATTGTCTTTATATATACAAATATTTTTTACATCTTCACTATTGTGTTTATTTTGAAAATAAATTTTAAAATTAAAATTTGGCATGAATTATGGTATTGTCCCAGTTGGAGCTGGAGTTGAGTCTACTCCCTCTCCCCAGCTGCAGAATCCCATTGCAGGGGTTCCTATACCTATTTCTAGGGCCCTCTTTGAATAAAGACTGCATTACCATCTTTAACAAGTGACATAAATATTTTTTCTTTAACAGTATCTATCTTTTTGTTTTTTTCTGATATAACACTTTAGACAACTATTTCAGTTAACTTTTCACCAACTGGTCCTAAATTGGGTAGGAGGGGATACTATTGTATAATGTATAGAACATGTAACCTAATATATGTTATGAAAGTTTTTGGTGATTATTTCAAGTTGTTGATGAACATGAGACAACCAGGTGGGAAGGGACCCCCAGAGAAACTCCAAGAAGCCTGTACACTGGGAAGAGTGCACACTAGAGTAGAACCACAGAAGTTCATGCCATTTGCAACAGGGAGGAGCCTGGCCCCTCCTCTTCCTGGGTGGAACCTGGGATTCCAGCTGCGAGGCGAGAAGCACACCAGCAGGGACTCAGGCCTTGCAGAGAGTCCCTGCTTCTCTCTTTTCCTTTTCACCCAATAAACCTTGCCCTCCTCACCCTTCAAATTTTTCTGCGAGCCTAATTTTTTATGGCCATGTGTTAAGGACCCCTGTCTTTAGCTGAACTAAGGAAAGAGTCCTACAACAAAATAATTAAATTTTGCTAATCCTAATGAAACTCAGGATAAAATATGTTAGTTTTAATTTATGCTTTATTTGGGGCAAACTATTAATACTCTTCTTCCTTTAGAAATAATAGCCTTGATTGAAAACATTGTTTATGTAAATAATTGTTTCAGACGACCAAAGTTTCCAAGGAAACATGCTTTGAATTCCTCAGCAGAATATGCAAATGAAAACCTCTTTTCTGTGTAAATTGCCTCTAAGTGAGGGACAAAGCTTGAAACAATAAGCCAATTCAAAGAGATAAAAAGGAGAAGCAACTGGCAGATGAAAAGAAACAACTGACTCCAGTGGCTTTTTTCAATAGCCATGAAAATCATTCTTTTTTGCTTTACGGATTTTAGTACCCACTATCAATATTTGCCTATTGTCAACTGGGGAGAGATTAAAAGTAAGTTGGGTCTAAATGCTCTTGAATTTGCATGGTGATGTTTTGTCTCTGAATGTTATCTATTCTGCTAGCTGATTATTGATACTAAATTGCCCCATAGAGCAGGTTGCGGCTGTTTTTAGCCTTCTTTCTATTGCAGAAATCAATGTGACTTCCCTGCTGAAAAAATGGAAAGAAGAAAAACAAATAAGGAACAAGAAAGCTCTTGCTAGTTGTAGCATTATAAAAGATAGTTATGTATCCAGAATACATCTACACAGATTAACCATTTTACCCATTAGATAA
Source organism: Homo sapiens (assembly GCF_000001405.40). Taxonomy (NCBI): domain Eukaryota; kingdom Metazoa; phylum Chordata; class Mammalia; order Primates; family Hominidae; genus Homo; species Homo sapiens. Next base: position 128,743,689 of record NC_000006.12, on the reverse strand, counting down.
TTATTTTATTCAAATAAAAGTATTATTAAGTATATACTATATAATATTAAGTATTAAGTATTTTATCCAAATAAAGTATTATTAAATATTATTTTATACCAAAAAAGTAGAAAGAAAAGAAGTAGTACTATAAGATGCCATCACATCTGATTTCTGTAAACCAAGCTTTAAATCACACCATCTACCAGTCCCCTCTTTTAAATTCTTAAGTCAACAAACAGGTATAGCTTCCTATGAATGCACTGTGCAATCACAACTTTGCTGCTACAAAATGAACCAACTCATAGTATCTATGTGGATGATAAAGTCTTGCCTATGCCTACTCTAAACTATGCCTGAGTGTGAAAACTATACTGTGAATATAACAGTTTTTTAAAGCAGCTTAATGTTTCCAAAGAGAGACAAGGAAGACCAAAAGGAAGAGACCGTAGGAGTAAATACAGGAGAATTTTTGTAAGGATGCTGCTGGAATCTTAGCACCTGTTGCAAAAATAATGAAACAGGAGAGTTCCTTGACCCCTTCATGGGACTCGCGACAGGGGCATGGCTCGTTTGCTCCCGTACAGGAGGAGGAGCACGCAGACGGGCAGGTGCAAGCACCAGGGCAAGCGCTTTTGGGCTCCAGGCCCGCAGTAGCATCTAGGAGTGTTACAATTAATGCCCTTTCAGCAGTTACCATTCACAGATGGCTCAGTGTTAACCAGCTCAGGGGAGAGTCAGGGTGACAGCCTTTTACATCCTGCCCTCTTGGTACCGGGGTCCTTGTCTGGCATCCAGGAAGAAACAGGTCACATGGACTTGAAGGATGGTGAATGTGGGGATTTTATTGAGCGCTAGAGGTGGCTCTCAGCAGGATGGATGGGGAGCCAGAAAGGGGATGGAGTGGGAAGATGATCTTCCCCTGGAGTTCAGCCGTCCTGTGGCTGAGCTCCTCTCCCACAGTCCCTAGCCAAATTCCTCTTGACGTTGATACTCCTCTTCTCTCTTTCTCTGCCATGCAACTCTGCTGCTCTGCCAGTGGAGCTTGGGGTATATATGGACACAGGATAGGGGTGTGGTAGGCCAGAGTGGTCTTGGAAAAGGCACCATTTCAGCACCAAAACAGGAATGCCTATTCCCATTTAGGCCCATGGGTTTCCAGGCTTGAGGGTGGGGCCTTTGCCAGGGAACCACCCTCTTCTACCCAGTATTCCCCTGCCTCCTGTCAATATCAATAAGAGGACTTCTCTTAAAGAGTACATGAATAGTTTAGCAATAGAAAAAGGAGATATGTATAGAGAGAGCAAATAAAAACATTCAGAAGCGATAGCCAAAATATGTTGTGACACCAAATAGAAATGGATAAACACTAAATACAGTATGCAGATGAGATTGACTTGTATCTGAGTTTGAATTTCCCCAGAAGCAAACTCAGTGAAAAAGTTTAGAATATAAGTAATTTGTTTTTTCAGTGATCCAGGTAAGTGTCTACAAAAGAATACAGAAAAAAAGGGAAAGAAATAAAATCAATAGAAGCTACATTACAAGTAAGTTACCACTGTGGGCAACTGGAGCTAAGTACCACTAAGGAACTCCAGGAGACAGTGCAAAACATGCATCATAGTTATCCCAAATGAGAAGCAAGGAACCTGTCACAATTACACAACACATCTTCTCCAAAATTTCTGGTGACTTGTTTTGGAGGTATTACACCTCCAGGACTTCTGATTTGTATTGTATGTGGACTAAGCAAATTACTACAAACAAAAAATTCCCTAAATGGAAGAGTGCCCTAAGTGGAGAGTCAAGTATTTGCAAAAAGTAAACCTTTAGAGTGAATGCAAACAGGATATGGATGAGGCACCAAAGACATCTGTGAAAGTTAGAAGAACCAAGATGAGATCTGGTTACACATAGCAAGAGCACATCCTATAAATTCAAGAACCTTTTTGTCAGATGGCTAGAATTCAGAGTTTTAAAAATAATACCTACATTTAAGTGGTCAATAGAAAAAAAAATGGTACTAATGGAGTTCAGGGCACACTACCCCAAAAATATGGCACTGTGGCATTTAAGAAAACAGTAGAAGCAAGACGGTCTCTCTGATTTTCTCCCAACATTTTCCTCTGAAGCAGGCCATAAAATAATTCTTGATCTTCCTTTGAAGTAGGTCATAGACCCTCATTCTGGGGTGCCCTCCTCATACCCAGAAGAAAAGAACATCCTTATTGTCGCAGGTCACAGCTATCTGGGGCCAGTGTCACACAAGCAGTAAAAGAATTTACTGAAACAGTTGTAGGTAAAGAAAAGCAGACTTATTAGAAGTATGGAAATATGTTGCAAGGGTGTAATGGGCAAGTCAGCAAGATAGGAACTGATCGCAGGGAAACAAAGGCTTGCTGAGGACTTCATAGGATGGTGCTTGTGCTGTGGGCTGAAGAGGGCTTTGTGCAATACTGATAACACCAAGGTTGCAGTGAGCTAACTTGAATTTTTCTTTCAGCCAAGGGTTTGGTAATATGTGGATGCAGGAAGATTGTGAATTATTTGTGCAGGAGGGCTGTGTGTTCTGGACCATGAAGAAAAGCAACTTGGAGATCTTATTTTTCTTTTTGTTTTTCCCTGCTCCTGCCAGTCTGACTCATTTTCCCTAATTAGGACTCCATACTTACTTCTGAAGACACAGGGACACAGAGAAGAATCAGAACAAACAGGCCTTGCTAAATTCCTCCCAGTTTATTATTATTAAATCATACCCACTTTGTCCAATCATACTTCCCTACAACTGTACATTCTTCATCAAGCCTGAGCATTAAAAATCTGAGTAAAAAATTACACAGGTTTCCCTGTTTCTTCAGGTCTTTTCTGAAGGCTCCCATGTCATGTAAAACAGTAAATAAATTTGTATTTTTTTTTCATTAATCTGGCTTTTATTATAGGTGCCTCAGTCATTAACCTACCAGTAGGTAAGGAAAAGACATTATTTTTTTCTCCCCTCCAGTGCATTTGAGAAAAAAACGCAGAACATAACAGAATAGTGTAAGAGAAGAATGGACTATGGCGCAGTAAAATGCAGAGGACCAAGAAACAGTGCAATAGCAGTTCCAAGAATAATAGAACTACACCTGGAAGGGTGGCAAAGACTTGCAGTTCAATAGCCAGACACTAAACAAATTAAAAAGAAGCTTAAAGACCTGTGGCAAACTTTCAAAAATTATCACAATATCAGAAGACAAAATATGGGTCAAGGCAGAAAAGGATGATGAAAAAGCAAATAGTAAGATGAATAAATTGATATCCAGGTCAAAATAGTACAAAGCATCCATACACCCTTTGATAAACTCCCCTTCTCCATGATAACCAGCAGATAAAATATAGAGAAACAAAATGGCACAGCCAAACTCAAATTCAAAGTAAGGATCTCCATTGACCAGAAATGGAATATAAATGCAAAACATTGTAAGACACTGATGTTTCAGGAGAGGCTGAGGTGGGCAGATCACAAGGTCAGGAGATCAAGACCATCTTGGCTAATGTGGTGAAACCCCAACTCTACTAAAAATAAAATACAAAAAATTAGCTGGGCGTGGTGGCGTGCACCTGTAGTCCCAGCTACTCCGGAGGCTGAGGCGGGAGAATGGCGTGAACCCCAGAGGCAGAGCTTGCAGTGAGCCGAGATCACGACACTGCACTCCAGCCTGGGCGACAGAGAGAGACTCCATCTCAAAAAAAAAAAAAAAAAAAAAAGACAAAAAATATACAAGAAGTATGACAAGAAGCTGAACTATACCAATCACTGGCTTTATGAATTTATCTAATATTTCCAATATCACCACCAGTCAGTAACTATCTGGTTATCTGACCTGGTTCTCTACTGAAGAATCAGAGGGCTAGCCAGAAGCAAATTCAGACTGCTGGTTAGGGTGGGAGGAAGTGGGGGAGGAAGCGAGGGAGGGAGGGTAAGGGAGAGAAAGACAGACAGTAAAAATTATAAAACACATAAAAATTTAATATCAAAACACAGCTAAAAAAAAGTCAACAATTAGAATGTAAATTCATTCCAATTAATTTAAACTTGTAAAAAAATTGGGACAAGAATTTTAAAATAAGTATGTTGAAGATTTTCAAGGGAAAAAGGAGGCATAGGTTGCTTTAAATTTAACAAATTATAAAATTTAGGAATCCAGGCCAGGCCTGGTGGTTCATGTCTGTAATCCCAGCACTTTGTGAGGCTGAGGTGGGTAGATGGCTTGAGGCCAGGAGTTCAGAACCAGCCTGGGCAACGTGGCAAAACCCTGTCTCTACCAAAAATGCAAAAAATTAGCTAGTGGGTGGCATGTACCTGTAGTGTCAGCTACTCAGAAGGTTAGGTAGGACAGTCACCTGAGGCCAGGTGGTCAAGGCTGCACTGAGTCATGATTGCATCACTGCATTCAAGCCTGGGTGACAGAGTGAGATCCTGTCTTAAAAAAAAAAAAAAAAGAAAGAAAGAAAAGAAAAAAATAGAGATTCTTAAGAAATACATCGAGAATATAAAAAGATAATTTAAACATCCTGAAAATAAGAAATAATGCCATTAAAATAAAATTCAATACATATGATTAATATAAAAATGGTAACAACCACAGAATGACTAGGGAGATGACATAAGGATGGAACTCACCTGGCATACAGTTCAGAGAAGCTAGAATAAATATAGATATGTAAAGGCTAAAACTCTTCCTTAATGAGAAAGACTGGTAGAGATGTAATATTGAAGCAATAACTGCTTGAGAATGCTCCAGAATTTTCCATGGTTTCACATTCTGTGGTTTCAATTACTGCCAGTCAACTGCAGTTCAAAAACTTTAAATGGAAAACTCCAGAAATAAAAAATTATGTTTTAGAATTGTATGCCATTCTGAAGATTGTTATAATTGTTTTATTTCATCATTAATTATTGCTGGTGATCTCTTACTGTGCCTAACTTATGAATTAAACTTTATTGTAGAAATGTGTTATAGGAAAAAACATAGTATATATAGGGTTCTTCGGTACTCTCTGCCATTCAGGCATCCACGGGGGGTCTTGGGACATATTCCCTGCAGATAAGAGGGGACTACTGTATTCTGATTTGTTGGCAAACTCCATACATATACACAGTGTGCTGATACTATAGTATTGGGGCTGAGAAAATAATACTCCATAGTGTGACACTTTAGCCTGCCAAGTACTTTGAACTAAAGGAGACTGGAGGGCCTCAGAAGCAACCAAGACTTTCTACTGCCTCCTGTCTCCTGCCCCTCCCTTTCCCCTAAAGCAAATCATAGAAACCAGTTTCTCTTCTCCAAAGCGAGTCATAGAAACTAGAACCCTTCTCCTCCAAAGCAAGCCATAAAACCTAGAAACATTACTATAACCTTCCCCCACCTTTTTCTGTAGAAGCTGGCCATAAAATTGTTCTCTGACCTACCTTGTCTGATAATAGATCATAAAACCCTCATTCCAGAGGAGTCCTGCACCATACCCCGGAGGAAGAAACGCTACACAGAGAGGCCAAGAAGAACCTGAACAGACAGGCCTTGGTGGACTTTTCCCCTCAGTCTGCTATCACTAGATCATAACTTTTTTCCAGTTACATTTCTAGATGGTTGTCTATTCTTCATCAAGCCTAAGCATAAAAACCGTTTTTCCTGGGCCTTTTGAGCTCTGCATTCCTGAAGTCTCTTGTGTCACGTAAAACGTTGATTAAATAAATTCGTTGTGCTCTTCTCTTGTTAACCTGTCTTTTATCATAGGAGTGTGGGCTATGATCCTTCTGATGGGCAAGGAAAGGTATTGCACCTTTCTGTCCCTACAAGAACATGAAGGAAAAAGTGACAATCCTGAAATCTACCAGAGCCAAACAAAAAATTATATACAAATGACAGTCAGATAGAAGGTAGACTTCTCATCTGCAACAGTGTACTTCAAAATTATACGGAATAATTATATTCAAGGAAAGATGGAAGGGAGAAAAAGAAAACTATCAACATAGAATTTATACTTAACTAAAATGTTATTCAAGAGTGAAGGCAAAATAGAAATGTTTTCTGACATATAACATCTAAGATCTTTTACCCAGTAGTTATTCTCCAAAAGAAAATTTATCCATGAACTATATCAAAGGAATAGTGAAAAAGGAGGTAAGTCAGAATATTAGTCAGGATAAACAAAACCAACAGGATATTTTATATATATACATATAAACACACATACACACATACATGAATATACGACACATATATATGTGTGTATATAGCTATACAACAGAACATATGTGTGTATATATATATATGTATGTATGTATACACACACACACACATATGTAAGAGGAAATTTATTATGGAAATAGGCCCACATGATTATGGAGACCAAGATGTCCCGTTATGTGCTATGTGCAAGCTGGAGAACCAGGAAAGCCGGTGGTGTAATGCAGTCCAAGTCCAAAGGCCTGAGAACCAGGGGAGCTGATGGTTTAACTCCTAGTTTGAGGCCAAAGATGGTGGAGTTCACAGGAAAGTGGTTTGTATGTCCCAGTAGAGTTCCAAGGAAACCAGAAGCTTCAATGTCCAAGGGAAAGGGAATGTCCTAGCTGAAGGAGAAAGCCAGAGTTTTCACTGCCTTCACCTTTTTGTTCTATTCAGGTGGATCCTTAACAGATTAGATGATGCCCACCCACCTTATTGATGGTAGATCTCCCTTATTTACTCCAGTGATTCAAATGCTAATCTCTTCTGGAAACACCCTTATCCAGAAACCATGTTTTGCCAGCCATAGGCATCCCTTAAAGCAGTCTAGAAGATGCATAAAATTATCACAAGAAATGAAAACAAAAGAGCAGTAAATTTGATTAAATAACCTAGTAAATTTAATTAACTACACTGTATAAATACTAATTTTGTGTTTTAAAAGTAGGGAAATCAAAATTCTTAACTAAAATCACAAGATATGGACATGTTGTAGACTGTTATATGGGAAAATCATGCTAAGATTTTTATTATTTTGTGGTGCAAAACAAATACTAAAAATTATAGAATTGAATTTTAAATTATCGTTACTTAATTATGCTAATGTTGAAACAAACAAAAAGATAATATTTACATGTCAAATCCATAGAGAAAGTAATGAAAAAATATATATGCCTATATATTCATTCAGCTATATTCTACTTACAAGTGTCATGCCTCATGGCTGTTGAAAATACTGTCCTACCACTGTTTTTATTTAAAAAATTTAACAATTACATTGCTATTATTTCAATGCAGGTGTAAATAGAGAATAGTCTAGAGATAGATCTACATGCTTATGGAAAACATATATAACACATGTAATGCAGATCAGTGGTGAACTCATACTGAGTCCGTCCAAGCAGGGTGATGCCTTTGGAGCATCATTCTGTCCATTTGATCAAACATATCAATGCTTTGTATCTTCACTTTTTATTTTGTCTCCCTGAACTATCATTTCCTGGAGAGTTATATTTTTAAAACTTCTACTAAAATAGTGGATTTGTTCCCCTATCATTTCAATCATTTTTACAGCCAATTTAGTGTTTTTTATATCTAATAATGCCTTTTGCTTTAAAAATCTATGTTGTCTCAAAATAACATCACTTTTTTTGATTTAGTATATTTTTAGTCTGTTTTTCTCATCCTTTTACTTTTATGTTTTTGTAATATGAAGTTTATCTTGTGTAAGAAGCAAGTTTTTTTATTCTAATCTGATAATTTTTTGTTAACTAGAAACTAGTTTAGTTCAACCGTTTATATTTATTGCAATTACAGTTGCATTTGGATTTATTTGTACCACCTTCTTATGTATTTTTATTGTTTTCTGTTTATATTTTCTGTTTCATTTTGCTTTAACTAATTTTTGTCTTCTTTTGGATTAGAGTCTTGTTTCTTCATTACATTCTACTGTTAGTTTGGAAATGATACACTTGAGAGACTAACCCATTTATTATATTGTGACTACTGCTGTGTTTGGATTTATTTATACCAACTTTATATGTACTTGTTATTGAACTGAGTTTTTTGTTTTCCTGTTTCTTTTTCACTTTTACTCATTTCTTGTATTTTTGAGATTGGAGTTGGGTTTTCTTCATCACATTTTTCCTTCTACTTGTTTGAAAATTGTACTCTCTTAGTATGCGTATTTTTAGTTATCCTCAATAACTTAAGATGCATTTGTAACAAGGTCTAAAGTGTTGAATCTCATTGTGAAGTCTATTATTTCATCTGGCTCTCTCATACGGTCTCTTATTTATTTCTGTGTGTGTGTGAGTGTGTGTGTGTGGTATAAGAGAGAGAGTTGTTGTTTTTTTTACCTGTACTCATACAGCTGAAAACCTGATATGCGTAAATTCTTGAGGGCATATTTAAAGTTGTATTTCACCCGAGAAGAATTGAGTTTGCTTTTGCAAATTTTTTCCGAAGGCATTACCAACCCTGGACAAGAATTAGCTAAATTCTCCATTTAAGTGTTTTAGAACAACTCAGTGGGAATTTGGACCTCAAACTTACTTAAGGGTTGCTTTTGGACATAAATTGTTATATTCTTTTTTCCCTTCATCCCAGAACAAAAGTTGATACAGGAAAATTTCCTTGCTGTCCCCTTCAGCATTGTGGGTTCTTTAATCTTCACTCAAATCTTTACACTAGAGTCTGAGCTTTGTGAAAGTGTCTGCTGTAAGACTATCGATCCTGCAAAGGTTCTAGGCTTTGTATCTTATTCCCTGCACTCCATGTCTTTCAGAGTGAAAGGAAGTTTTGGCTGTTTCTTACCTCTAGGGTTTCTATTTTCATTTTGTGTTTATTCTTTTTAAATTTCATTCCTTTCTGCCAGCTACGGAATATGTTTCAAGATGTTTAAATATTTTAAAAACAGTGTTATTATTTTATTTGAGAGGGTCATTTAAGGTATTTTACCCACCTTATTTTTGGAAGTAGTAGCAAACCTATATAAGATGATTTAGAACAATTAGTTACTATTATATTTCTCAGAATTTCCAGTAAAAACTTTAAGTGAAATTTCCAGAGATAACTATACTAGTTCCAGTTAGCAGCATAAATGTGCATAACAAATCAGTAAGCAAGTTTAATGTATTGCCTCTGAAGAGAGACTAACACTACGTGGATAGTTTAATAACTTGATGTTCACAAGCCAGGAGTACATCTTCCTGTCCTCTTTGATTTTTAAATTTACTAGATCATAAATTATGAGAGTTAAAAATCCTGAATTCTTGGTATAGATGAGCTTGCTACTTCTTTTGACACTTTAAATATTGCTTCTTTTTTACATCATGGCCCTATAAACATAAGAACAGCAAAGAGCCATTTAATAATTATTCTTTGTTAATAAATAATTCAGACTCTGAAAAGTTGATCATTCTAATTCCCATGACAAAGTTTTCTGTTAGTATTATCCCATTGAAATTATGTGTTTCTTACCTACGGTTTAATAGGCTAGTAATTATATAATTATATCAGGGTATGTGTTTTGCATTTTAATACATCTATTTAATGTTGCACATTTGTAATAAGTGTGGTTTGCTTAAATCAATAGTTTTCTTTGATGTAGAAACACTGCAAAAATAAATGCAAAAATCATTTTTCAAACTCAGATTGTATATCTCAAGTGATTTCAGAGATCCTTTTAATTTTCAACTCAGTTCTGGGTAGTAAGATGTCACAGAGCAATTGATAGGAATCTTACATGATATTTATTTAGAAATATTGCAATATTGAAATGCTAAATGAAATGCTTCACAGTTAAAGCCCAGCCTTCCTCTGAATTTCCTGGGTATAGGTATGGGTGTGAGAAACTTTTACTGTAAATATAAAGCCATCATTTGTGCCTGTTGTATTTGCTCATCTTTTCCTTAGTTGATCCGTTTTCCAGTGTTATCCACAGTATACTTGTGAGTATAATGAAGAGCCATTAAAAATTGCTTTCTAATTAGTTGATACATTTGAGCAAAATTTGATTATGTCAAGAAACAAGCTTATACATGAATAAAAATCAACAGATCTTATAATATTTTGCCAAGAAGATGGCACTTTCCTTCAACTACTGATGAAAATGAGGACAAATGCGAGCCAAACAACATTTAATAGTGTGGTAGCCACATGAACTTTGGTAACAGATTTCATATATCTCATCATTGAAGATTTAAGGGTTTTTCTCAGCAAGGTGGGGAATAAAAATTGTTGGGGCTGGGTGCAGTGACTCACGCCTGTAATCCCAACACTTTGGGACGCTGAGGCGGGTGGATCACCTGAGGTCAGGAGTTTGAGACCTGCCTGATCAACATGATGAAAGCCCGTCTCCACTAAAAATACAAAAATTAGCTGGGTTTGGTGGCACCCGCCTGTAATCCCAACTCCTTGGGAGGCTGAGGCATGAGAATTGCTTGATCCCAGAGGTGGAGGTTTCAGTGAGCCAAGATTGTGCCACTGCACTCCAGCCTGGGCATCAGAGTAAGACTGTTTCAGAAAAAAAAAAAAAATTGCAGAATGGTGAACATGTTGCTCACCAGTATCTATCCAACCAACCAGAAGTACACTGAATATATACAAATCTCTGCAAAGCAGGCATGATGTGTGAAAGCAAAGGAAGAAACAGTAACATAATAGACATGCTGCACTGCTAATAGGTAATAAATAAAGACTACTATGAGGATGACACTTCATGAGGCTTTTTGCATGAATTAATTTCATTTATTTCTCAAAAAGACCCTATGGAATAGATAGTGATATTAGCTCTACTTTGTAGAGGAAGTTATGTCTCCAACTCTTATATAACATTCTTAGTTAAAAAAAAATGTTTTTTAAGCCATATGATATATATTATTATATTCTCTGTGATTAAATAATACGGGGACAATCTTAAAGACACATATTAGGCTACCTAAAATCACTGACTCTAAAATTAAGCCAGTAAATAACTATTCTGAGAACAATTACATAAGAGGAAGAATCTGAATTATACCTAAAATTCAAGCAGGGATACTTCTCTGGATTAAATATTTTCTAACTATAAAAGGAATATATGTTTATTAAACATTTTTAGAAGTGGGCCGGGTGCAGTGGCTCACGTCTGTAATCCCAGCACTTTGGGAGGCTGAGGTGGGTGGATCACCTGAGGTCAGAAGTTCGAGACAAGCCTGGCCAACATGGTGAAATCCCGTCTCTACTAAAAATACAAAAATTAGCCAGTGTGGTGGTGGGTGCCAGTAATCCCAGCTACTCAGGAGCCTGAGTCAGGAGAAACGCTTGAACTGAGGAGGGAGAGGTTGTAGTGACCTGAGATCCTGCCACCGCACTCCATCCTGGGTGACAGAGCAAGTCTTCTCAAAAATAAATTTTTTTTTAGAAGTGAACAACAGAATAAAGAAGAAAATATCACTCATAAAAATAAATCCCATCTATCCAGAATAACCACTGTTAACATTCTGGTACATATACTCTTAATCATATGAATATATTCCTCTATTTTAGATTCTTACAACATTGGAGATACATGTTTTGCAGTCTCTTTTTTTTTACTTAAAATGTTGTAACATTTTCCCTTGACAATAAGTATTGTTCAAGATTATTTTTAAGGCTCCCTTGCATGCAATCACATGATAATGGTATAAATATATTTCAGTAATCCCTTATGATTGGACTTTAGATTATTTCTGCTATTTGCAATAACCATTCTTGTGCATAAACCTGTGGTCATGCCAAGTATTTTTCCTTAGGACAAATTCCCAGCAGTGAAATTGTTAGGTGGACAGATATGCTTTTTGGCCTTGGTATGTGTATCTTTATCACTGGCCTCCCTGCTGGTAAATCCAAATGAGTGTACTGCAGTGTGATAATACAAATGTAGGAGTTTGCTGTTTTCTAGTGTTACTCTCCTAACTGTTTCTCATGTAAGTACTGGGCTAGAGGAGTACGGGGAGATATGAACAGTTCTGTAGTCCCCCTGCTGAATTATACCCTGATCTTGCAGTCTTCCTGCTCTTTCCCACAGAACCAGGCCCTGCCTTCTTCTGGAACTCTGAATACTGGTGCTTTCTTTCATTTGTTAGCCATTAAGAAACCTCTTCCTTTTCCAAGACCTTGCTCTTTCACAAGCATTGGGTCTCTGATGAAACACATCTCTCCTTTCATTTCACTGACTTCTTTCTCAGTTGACAAAGGCAGGATTGAAGATGAACCGCTTGCTGGTTTACTGGATGGTCAAGCAACATCCCCATGCATAGACCTTTAAGCCTAGAATCCTAGCTGGGCATCTATTTTTAAGTCCCTGGGATGTCTGAAAGTTTGTGTGACCAGAGAATGATAGTGACCTCTAGGGAGCAGTATTGCCTAATGCCATGAGCTAGCCCCTGCTAAATTACTGTCCTCTAGAAAACTGGTGTCAATAAAACATCCATATATTGATGTCTATTTCTCTACATCTTTGCCAACACTGTTATTTTTTTTCTTCTTTTTTAAACCAATTTGAGAGACAACAATGATATCTTATGTTGTTTTAATTTGCATTTTTTATTAATAGAAATAAGATTGTAATTTTTAAAATTTTAATTGTACAAACAACACAAGGCCTTTGGAAAACAGGATTATACCACTCTAAAATGCACAAAGAAATGAAAGTCTGCCATAATTTTACCTCTAGAGGAAACTATTTGTGGTCAGATTTTTTGCCAGATTTTCTTTAGTGTAATATGTCTATAGAGGTAAATATTTTTATGCCTAAACCCATATACCTAAATCTACCTAAGCTATTTTTAATAGCTGCAGAAACTTTTTTACACAATGAGTACCATAATTTATTCAATCAGTCCTGTATTGATGAACTTTAGCTTGTTCCTAATTTTTCACACGATTAACAGTGCTACAATGAATATCATTTTACCTAAACCTCCGTGCACTTTTGCAAGCTATTCTGTAAGATAAATTTCTAGAAGTGCTATTATTGGGTCAAAGGGTTTGCACACTAAGTTTTAATACAATGAAATCCCATGAGGCCAGAGACTTTTGTCAATCATGTTCCGTGTTTTAACTCCAGTGCCTAGAATAGTATAATACTTGGCACATTGCAGACACAGAATATTTTTGAGTGAATGAATGAATGAAACTATATTGCCTAATCCTCCAGAAATTTTGCACCAATTTAGCCTCCTATCAACAGTGTATTAAAAATTGCTGGTTCATTTCAAACTTGTCATACTGGTGGTTATCAGATCTTCTGATCGTCACTAGTCTAAAGAGCAAATAAGAGGGTATCTCATTTTTCTTAGCATCTACTTATTGTGAAGTTTAGCTTTTGTATATTTTCTACCATTAGTATATCCTAACAATTGTTTATATACTGTCTTTTTCTCATTTTCATTGAATTATTCCAATTTTTCAAAAATATTTGTATTATGTCAGTAAATACTACAAACATTTGTCTCATCTCATTGTCTATTACGAATTTTGTTTAAATGTCTACGCGGCCAAATCTGACTCTTTCCTTATGGCTCCTGTGAATTTTTCATGGTAAGAAAGATCTTTGCTGCTCAAAGACTAGAAAAAATACGTATTTTTATATTTTCATTTTGATTATTTTACTCACAGAGACTGAAAGCACTGAGACAATCACACTGACAAAGTGGGCAAGGAGCAACTCTTCTGAGGATGAGAAGTCCCGGGAAGCTAGCTCAAATCGGAGAAATATTAGTGGGCGAGCAAAAGCATCAAGTGTGAAAAATAAGAATTCACCAGCTCTGACATAGATGTGAAAACATGTTTTGAGTTTGTCACTTGGATTTCACATGGGTTTACATTGTTTTTTGAAATAACATTTCTCATTTGTATGGTAAATGCATCTATTTTTCTTTTATGGTTAATTCCTTCCTTATGTATTTACAAATATCATACAAATTAATAAGTGATGCTCCAGGCCAGAGCAGGAAACATAGACTCAGTACCTGGATTGTTTAGTTATGAGAGGAAGACATGGCTAAACTTTCAGGAGGGGTGAGGTTTAGGGATTGGACTTTGTAAACTGATATTACTTAGGTTTATTCTTACAAATAGCTCAGAGGATTTTTTGTTTTGTTTTGTTTTGGGGTTTTTGTTTGTTTGTTTTTTGTTTTTATTATCTCAGGAGTCTAAAGAAACATGAGGAAAATTCTAATAGAAATGAGCAAAGACTAGTGGAATAGAGCAATTGGTCCTTGAGGACAGATATAGTGCAGATGTTTTTAAACATTTATTTTGAGTAGAACGTAAAAGTGAAATATTTATGTAAGAAACCCCATTAATCATAGAGGAGATGCTTGGGTTTAAAAGAGGGACTGGAGAAAAAAGTAGAGAGTGTTTATAAATTGTTTATATTTATTTGTTCATTTTATTGAGACAGAGTCTCAATAAATGTTGCCCACGTTGGTCTCGAACCCCTGGACTCACACAATTCTGCTGCCTCAGCCTCCCTCGTAGCTGGGACTACAAGCACGTGCCACTGTACCCAGCTTAAAAGTAAATATTTATGTAAGAAACCTAATTAATCATAGAGAAGATGCTCGGGTTGAAGAGAAGGATTGGAGAAATAACAGAGTATGAAGAGGCTGGTGGTCACCTCTCATGAAGCCCAGAGTGCCACAAAGCACAGAATAAAAATCACTGGTGTCACACAGTGTGCTCATAGCCTAGAAGAAGAAAGACTTCGGTTTAAAGTGGATTCAATGCACAACAATGTGAAAGTACTTTATGCCACTGATTTATACACCTAAAATTGGTTAAAATGGTAAATTTTATGCTATGCATATTTTAACCACAATTTTTTTTTAAAAAAGGTAGATCTGCCATTGACCAGCTCTGTGACATGAGGCAAATATTCTAACTACAAGGAGTTTGTGTTCTTTTTCAGCATATTGGCCCAAGTTGTAACTTGATTAACAGAACGTTAAGAGATCATTATTTTCATCTCAATTTTCAGCCAAAGCCTCAAGATTACATATTAAAATCAAGTACAACACTACCAGTGAAATTTGCAGAAAATGATGATATGATCTGGCTTTGGGGGAGTCTTTAGTACCTCACCTACTGAGTGTATAAAAGTCTTGGAGGAATTTAGTAGAGAATTTTTGGCAAGTTTGTGTGCTGTGCTTCTCCTCTGCAAGGGAAATAGAATTAGGAGTTCTTTTTTCTTGATCTCAAAACCAAGCAGAGGTCTTTGAAGAAACCATTTAGAGAGTAATGTATGTCTAAATTTAAAGGTGGAGAAGAAACTTTCCCTCTCAAGAGAACTACAGGTGTGAGGTCATCTACAACATGAGGTGGAAGTGGGAGAGTCTGTAAGGAACCCCAAAAGTGCTTTAAGAGGAAAAAGGTAGCTCAAAACAAGATCAAGACACAGAGAGCTCAACGCCAGCTCTTGAACGCATCAGTCAAGTGAAAACTTTCTTGCTAATTTCTTCCCTTCCCTCCACTTGCTGGTACCAAGGCTGCCTGAGGCCAGGAGAAGGATTTGCTCAGAGAAAAGAGGAGAGAGATGGAATGGGTTAAGTGCACAGAACAAAGCCAATATAGAAGTCGGCATGTGACTTCTTAAATTTCCATGATTTAAGTCTTCTCCATGACTTCTTAAATCTCAAAGAGGGTTTCTCAACTCCAGAAAAATCAAGTGTGAGTAAAAATGTCGTGGGCAAACATGGGAAATTGGCAGATTTTGTAACTAGACTGATGAGGTGTAAACAGGAGCAGCAGGTAGGGATGCCGAGTGACAGATGTCTCATCAGGCATCTAGAAGACAAGAGGTTGTTTCCTCAGCCCCAAAATAGTTTCTGTCAATGCTGACAATGAAGCAGAGATTTAATTGCCTATACCAAACTCAGTTTGGCAAAGGATTATTTTAACCTTTGCAGTGCAATATATAGACTGCCACCTGGAAACCGGCACAGAAAAGCAACGTTGGTCCAGGTATGAGGTGAGCCTCATCATTTTCCTTTCCTTTTTCCTCCACCTCCCTTCCCCTCCCTCCCCTACTTTTCCCTTCCCTCCCTTCCCTTCCCTTTTTCTCTCTCTGAATCACTTGTAACTTGCTGCATCTGTCTAGCACAGCATCCCTGCACACCCAGCCCCAATTCTCACCTTAATGCTGTTATGCAACATTTTAGTCTTATATTGAAAAATATGGCAAAGAGTCTCTTAAAATTAGAAATTCATTTCTTCACAACTGTTTTCAGTTTCTCATATGTTTGACACTGTGATATATGTTGGTGATGCCACAAGGAACAAGACAGTCTCAACTTCTGTGAGTGTATAGATTAGGTGCAGGAAACCAAAGACATAATTATGAGGTAATGAGAAAATTACAGTAATAACATATATACAAATTGCCAAGGCGCACAGAGGAAGGAGAAATTTGTTGTTCCTCTGAATTTGGGGAAAGCTATAGATGGGGGGGATCCTGCCTAAAGAACCAATTAAATGTCATTATATCCTGTTTAACCATTCCCTGTCTTCCCAACACACTCAAACATCACTGTCCCCAAGGAGTGAGTTACCCAGTTGTTGCTACAAAGGCTGCTGGCTCTGCTAGTTGATGTGCTTCCTTTGTGGGAAAATTGAGGATGTTGTGTGATCCCCACTTTTTTCAGATAGGCACTCTACTGATCCCACTACTGTGTCCAAAATGCCACTGTTAGAATCATTCATTTGAAATTACATCAGTATCTTCAGAAAATTCCTGGTAATTGTGCATTTCCCACCTCATGTTTAGGTGCTTTGGGGGCACTTATGCATGTGTGCTGTGTAACTGATATGCAGTTTTGTGGTTGGGTAGCCAATTCGGCACAACCTAAAGTTTAGGAATGTATTCATATATTCTGGTGTCTGGCAGCCTCAGTTCAGATCCTGCTTCTGGCATTCCATTTACATTACTGTGCCTCAGTTTCTTCACCTCGAAAATGAAGATGCGAAGCCTCTGTGCTTAGCAAATAAACATTTCATAACTGAGATTATTATCTTTATAATCTGGATGAATGAAATAAAAGATCAATGGGAACACTTTCAAAACAAGGAAAAAGTATAAGGGCAGAGGTAACTGTTTTTAAATGAAAGCAAAAACAGTTCAAGACTGTTGGAGAGAATTGTGATCTCTTTTAGAGCCATATTATGTGTGAAATAATCCAGCTAAGAAGAAATAGGGACAGAGTGAGACACCAGCTTCCTGACAAAATTATTAAACTTACCTTCAAAACAACTGCAGAGCAAATCTATGAACTAGTGATTTCTACTATGCAAATTCTTTGCATCATTATACATGGAAATATTCTTTCAACCAGACACTCACACACACGCCAAACAAAAAAGCATGAACAAACATTATATATTTCAGCATACACTTTTTATCTAAAATTTCATTCTCAGCTAACTTTTATAAGCCCATAGTCTGATATGCATAATCATTAAGTCCTCCCATTTCATTTTATGAAGACATTTGTACTATTTTCTTAAGTAAACTCAGTATCATATCTATAATACAGGTTATTAAATTAAAAATGCATTTTTAAATTTAATGGTTTCAAATAATACCCTATAAATAATACTCTAAAATGCTTATTTTTTTTAGTCCTACCTCAAGCTGAATAAATTTTTATTCTCAGAATATTTTTGCCCCCCAAAAGCTCAACATCATTTCCTCATTCATAAAATTTTGTTACAAATTTGGGCTTCAGGACAGGGCAAGGACAAAAAGCAACATTACTAGCACTCTTAGAGCCAAAGTCTTTTGCTTTTCTTTACAAAATTCCTTACTTTCTTTGGAGATTAATGGGCTGTCAGTGGGTTCTGGACAATGACTAAAACTTTAAAATAAGGAAGGGTGACCCCTAGCGTTGGCCTTTAGAAACCAAATTCATGCAAAGTTTCAACAATGTGGGGAAGAATTCAATAACATGCATTATTTTAAAAAGTCAAAATACTGAATTTATTTACCTTAATTGCCTTTAGACACATAAATCGCTATTATTTAAGATATCATTCAAATGCTTTAAGAGAATCTTTCAAATGACAACAATTCCTCCCACAGAAACTCCCCTTCACTGATGAAAAGTGTACAAATCAAAAATGAATAACATAAAAGGAAAAGGCACAAGATTTGCTTGAGTGAGCAAAGAGAAAACTAGTCAAGGAAAAAAAATAAAGGCTAAATATTAACTCCACATTGTACTGAAGATGACAATTCATACTTAAGCCGCAGCATTAGACTTCTGTGAAGTATTTAGTAAGGAAATCTTGAGAGAATCATTTACTTCCTTACTAGTTTTTGCCTCAAAAAATTTACCTTCACAAGCTCAAGGTCATTAGTCCTGCAGAAGCAGGAAAATAGTTCAGCTTAAACACCTGTCACTTGTGACAAAATGAATGAAATGAGAGGTCAAAAGTGACTTACTGCATCATTTGAACTCATTGTCACTCAACAAGAGGAGATTTTGGCAAAAAGCGCACATGCTAGGACAGGGAAATCTTACATTTGAAGGGAAATTCTTCCTGGAGAAAAAAAATATACAGTATGTAGGAAAGCCCTGACATTCTTTCTTAATAAGTTTTATTGCCATTATTTACTAAATCTCTTGACTGGAGCTGGCTTGGCACCAGCACAGAGCTAAGCAAAAATTAGACGTTTCATGCTCCCCTTTTGAGTCTCAGGTGCCAAAGTGGCATAAGAGACGCTTAGGCAAAGTTTGTGCTGAGGACAGCTCTGCCACTTCCTTGTACTTGTACGGACATGAGAAGAAACAGTACAGAATGATGAGGGAATTAAGCATGAGAAGGAATTGGAATATGGCGATGAAACTGCCAATTTAATATGGTAGGTGGAATTTAAAAGGACAATAGAAATTTTATATTAACAATAACTGAAGACACATCATCCATCATCCATACAACACGGTTAGTTCTTAGGATTTGAATTTATTTTCTCACTGTTCTACTGCTTCCATGAAAAGAGAGCCTTTTGCTTGGTGAGATCTTTACAGTTGGTATCTTATGCTTTCTAAGTGCCAGTTCTACCAGCAAACATTTTGTGTTAGTCATTTAAACCCTCCAAAGTCCCTGAATTTGGTTGCAAGTAGATTTTTCTATTTATTTTTCTCCTATATCCTCTGACTTTATCCTGTAGTGGCCCCCTCACCTTTATCAGCAAAGGCATCCCTTTTTTATTTCATATGAATGGTTCCTAGTAAATATCTGTTATGTACATTGTAACTGTAAACTATTTAGATCACACTTGCTAAATTATTTAAAATAATGCTCTGAAAGAATGTTATTTGTATTAACAAAAAACAAGATTTTACTCTCTAAGATTATTTAGCACTAAGAGATTTATTTTACTCTGTTGTGTTTCTGATTTAAACATTTGGAAGAAAGTAAAATACCTCTTTTTAATGTGCATTTTCAATATTTTTTATAAAAAGAATTCATTCAAGCGGGTTCCCTTGAGTTCCTGTTGTCATTGCACCACTGCAATCAAGGACTTTCAATCACAAGCAATATGTCTATCATAAAATTTTTCATTTATTTAGCAAGAAGGTAATCTTTAATAGGTGCATACATAATTTCATTTTGTGTGACTGATTTACCTGCCTACTGGTGCTCATTCTAGCAGAGCATTAGCACTCTCTGGGAACTACTGTTTCTTTTAAAAGCTGCATCAATACCTTCCAGTGACTAATTTAATTCATTCAGTGACTAAGACACTGAAATGGTCTCTTAGAAATTCAGCTTTCAAAGTGCATGGAAATCTCAGGAAGGAACTTATGTACACATTGTGGTTTTCTTTACATGTAACTCCTACAAGTAAGCATAGCAGGTCCCTGAGAAATGTTGGGAAGGCAACCTCTCTTTACCAAACGATACTGCAAGACAATACCCTACTCAAACACACACTCTTCAAATGCAAATGCATACAAAAGTTAAGTAGTAAATACTGTGCTTTGGGGGCGTGATATGCAAGAAAGCATGAGGAGTGAGGGTATAACAGAAGACACCTTGTTGGGCAATCCATCGTATTAAAGATTTGGTGAAATAATGATTCATTTTATTTCATAGTTGAAACCACAATTTTATATTAAACGTATTATGAAGTATAATTCAGCAATGCTTGAATTATACAGACAAAACATAGGGATCCAAAGATATTTAGTATTTAGTATGTATACTAAATAGAGACATTTAGTATTTGCTGGAGTGCTTTAATCTATTTTTCCAAGTCCTTTGGGTTCAAAGAGACTTATTCTTCTATTTGGAATAAATCTATGGAAAAGTTCAAGGTCAAATTTTCCTTTCAAATTTAGACTCTCCTGGAAGAGGTAACATATAAAGCTGTTTAAATAAAAGTGTAAGCATATTCATCATATCCATGTGAAAATCAAGAACAGCTGCCTATACGGAATAAATGGGTAGACAAAAGAGACAGAGAGAGAGGGGGGGAGAGAGAGAGATGATAGATGATAGATATGTGGATGATTGGTAGGTGGGTAGGTAGATAGATGGATGGATGGATGGATGGATGGATGATAGACAGATAGATACGAGAAAGAGACTGAGTGAGAGCAAGCACTTTGACGAGGATGAGGACCATATTTAAAGGCTGTATAGGGAAAGCAGGTTCAGCCACATGGGGAAAAGCTGGGGAAGAATGCGAGTCTAATGCTTCTGGGTGGGTTCAGAGTGGAAGATACAACCGGAAGGCAAAGCAACAAAAGGAAAGATAGGAACATGGGAACATCCCAAGGACAGGTGGCTGACAGCACAGTTTTGTGAAAGTCTACCTTTAACATCCATATCCTTAAAACAAGGAGACTTTCGATACAAAAACTCAGACTGATATCCTATCCTTTGTTCTATACAATGAAAACATTTAAGCAGTAACTTAGATAAATCTGTAATGTGACCTAAAACTATGAAGAGACTATGTTGTTTTGTTTAACCAAAATCCCCAAACCATCTGGATTAGCTTAAGAGAACAGGGTAATTTAAAGACAATATTAAATAAGATGAATGTGAAGTCTTATGCTTAAGTCTAAACATTCAACTGCAAAAGGGATAGTGTAGTTTAGCTGAAATTAGAGTGAATCTGGTTTCTAAAGCAGATCTGCCACTAATTACCAAATAAGAGGCTATAAGGAAATGCTTTTTCTGAGCCTGACATCTCTCCATCAGTCTATGTCACTTTGACTGCAATTCCAAGCTAAGTGACATGTGGTTTTTCCAGTAGCCACTGCCAACCTTATGATCCCTCCCAAGACTTGACTTTTTATTTTAATTATGAAAATTTTGTGTTCTTTTTTTAAAAAAACTAACATTACAGCACTGTACGAAGTAGTAAAGAGTTTTTAATGCTTCATCAGTTAACATTTAGATTCGCATCTTTTGAGACACTTTTCTTCATATATGTAAATATGCCTAAATATATATATAAGGATTTTTAGCAAAATAAAATTAAACAGTTTTTCAACTTGCTTTCTTCCGTTACTAATACACTCACCAATTAATCAATAAACATCTGTCTCACTGCTGAATCAAAGAATATGTACATTACGCAGCTATATATATAATGCCATACTAGCCCCCTGCCACCCGTGCAGGAAATTCCACTCCCATCAAGCATGACTGAGAGTGCCCATGTCTTTGCAAACATTGATTAATCCAGATAAAATCGAGACTCAAGATTCTATTGAAAATTTTATTTGAATCGCATTCAATATATAGATTAATTTAAGGACAATTACTAGCTATAAATACTGAGTTTCCCCATCTAGAACATCCTATATGTCTCTATTTCTCAGAGACATATAAGTATGTGATGTGGTGTTTTGTTGTGGTTTCTATTTTTCTATCCCATTATCACAATAGTTTCTCTAATACATAAGCATGGCTGTATTCTTGAAGAAAACCTTGATTTTGAAGTCATATCTTATAAGTAAGATTTGTCATGAGTGCGTGTGTATATATGAATGATTCCTTTCTGGGTCAGGTTTAGCTTATCAGTGTTTTGCTAGTGTCAACATAGCAATAAGATTTCCATCTTATCCTGTTTTCAGAAGCAGTTATTAAAAACTTAAGAATTTTCCCTTGCCTAAAGGTTCAGAAGAGCCTGGTCATAAAATCACATAATCCTGGTAACTTGCTTAGATGCTGGTTTCTTCTATAATTATTACTGTGTTCAGGTTTTCTTCTTCAGATGAGTCAAAATCAGTATACGTATTTTCTAAAAGGCAAATTCAACAATCCAGTTTTTCAGTTTTGTCAAACACTTGTTTAAAATATTCTAATGTTTTCTCTGCTGTTCATATTTTTAGAGTCCATTTCTTTATCATAATAACAATACTTCTATTTCGGATCTCTATGTCAGGCACTGTATTAATTTAACTCTCAAAATACCCTTTTGAGATAGGTACCACATTTTTTTCCCATTTTTCAGATGAGGAAATTGAGTGGTAAATCATTATGTTACTTGTCCGATATCAGACAGAGAACAAGTGGCCTAATAAGAGTTCGAACTCAAAGCCTGTGTTCTTAACTCATACCAACAAAAAGCTGGCAATTCTTTAGGTTCTTTCAATTGCAAATCTAACTCTTTTACTTTGTGAAAGGAAGAAGTTCTTTTGTAAGACCTCTGCAGCACAAGTTTCAGGGATAGGTCTTCTCTCTAGAACAAGTCCCCAGACATTTTCTTATATATCTACATAAGAATTTTTAGGTTGAGAATCAAAATTTTCATTATAAATATAGGAAGTTACAAAAGATACCTTTTTTCTTATTGTAAATATGTAACGTTAAAAATAAAACTGTCATGTCACTTTAAATTGTATGTAGTGGGAATCTAAATACCATAATAATTTGACACCCACTACAATCCATTTTTAAAAAGGCTCTTCTAAGTAAAAATTTTACACCATTCTTTTCTTTTTATTTATCTTTCACTTGCCCTATAAAACTTTATACTAAGCTAATACATATTTTTATGTTTGGGCATCTTCTATTATCTTTTAACATATTTTTATAAGAAAACTATACAAACTTAAAGTTTAATTTCCTTTGACTATAAGTTTCTAAGTATTGAATTACTTTTTTCTGGACTAAATTATTTCTATAATTATTAGTTGTATGCAGGTGACTTAAACAACAAATTTGCAAATGTTGATGATTTTCAATCATGAAAATGTAAACTTTACTTGAAAATGTTTTTCTTAATGAAATAGATGGAACTGAAGCTTTACTGATTTCTCTTATTTTTTCTATTAATTCACATATTCATCAATGAATGTTATTATTGTCAATTGAAATATAGTTCAGCATCCATATAATCCCTATTTTCATTGTCATAGATGCAAGTGCTGAGAAAGCTTGTTCACATAAGGTAACAATAGGTCCTAGAGGGAGTTTTGATATAGCAATCGTATTCAGTTCTTTGAATTCATTATTGGGTATATGACAAAAATTACTTAGCGATATTTCTTCAAAAATTATTTTTAAAGATTAATCAATAGAAATTCTATTAGGTTCTCTTTAAATTTTATTTAATTCGGTGAAAAAGAAATCCCCTGATTTGCAAGAGGATTTGTTACCCAATCATTAGGCATTCACTTTCTCAGCACCAACATCGGTATTTCTATTTGTCCATTGTTTGGCATTCTGGTTAAGTTTTACACACTAATACAATGCACCATTGTAATACTCAAGAATACTGATGGAGGCATATGCCTCTCTCTTGTAAAGAAGAAAAAGGTTACTATGAAAATGAAAGTGAGAAAAGCATATTTTTAAAAAACTGAACTCCTTTCAAACAGATGGATTTTAGGCTAAAGAACGTATGAATAATGTGAATATAGAAACTCCCTGGCAGAGGTGTCCAATCTTTTGGCTTCCCTGGGCCAAATTGGAAGAATTGTCTTGGGCCACACAAAAAATACACTAATGATAGCTGATGAGCTTTAAAAAAAAAAATCACAAAATCATCTCATAATGTTTTAAGAAAGTTTACAAATTTGTGTTGGACCACATTCAAAGCCATCCAGGGCTGCAGATGGCCCATGGGCTGCAGGTTGGACAAGCTTGCTAAAATACCTATGAATGCAAGTAACATTTGGAGTTACATCCCCAGATGACCACTGCTCTGTGCTTTAAACACTCTCTTTTTCTTAACAATTTTAAATGTCAAATTTCCAGGAAAAACTCACCCAAACTGGACCACCAGTTTGAGGTGAGTTCACTAATCCTTCCTCTATGAATCACAGTTACTTGGATAGGACTACATATCATACATGGGGCTACCAAGCATCAGTTGCTATACAATAGAAAGCAGTCCCAGAAAAGGTGGAATTTTGAGCTGAACCACCCTCACAAGAGTTACCTACAACAGGTATTCATGCATCTTCTCTTATTCTTCTTCAAATTTGCCAATTTTAATTGTATTTATATTTAATTCCTGTTTATAGTTTGTTTCATCCTTTCTACCAAATTATTTAACCTTACTTTGTTAATCCTTATACTTTTGTTTGGTTTCTTTTTAGTTACTTACCTTCAACATTGAAAAAAAAATACACCTCCTGTTATGAATGTCCCCCCACCAAGTACCACTATGCTTATATTCTATAGGTTTTAATATATAGTAACCTTAATGTCATTAATTTCTAAGTAATCTGTAATTTCGATTTGCAATGTCACTGGCAGTTTAGGAAAGTGTTTTTACAGCTTTCGTATGGAGATTTTTCATCTTTTTCCAAGATCACTAAATATCTTCCCTGCTTATTTATACTTGCCTATTGAAAAATCCCAACAGAGCATCCACACGGTCATTTTAGAATATGAATATTTCATAGCATGCTCTCCACAAAACTCTATAATAGATTTGCATCAACTTTAGAATAAATTCCAAACTTCCCATGGGTTAGATTACTCTCCTTGGTTTGGTCCCTCCTACCTTCCCATCCTGCTCTGCCGCAATCTCCTCTTTACCCTCCATGCAGACAACACAGTCCAGCTTATTCTCCCTGAAGTACAAGCTTGCTACCATCTGAAGGACTTGGCAATTACTGTTTACTTTGCCTGGAATCTTCTTTCCCCAGATCCTTACCTGATATGCTCAATCATTTCTTTCAGGTTTCTGCTTAATTGTGACCTCTTTAGGGACAGCTTCGATACTCCCTCCATCATTTGTATTAAAAAGAGGGGCGAAAGAGAAATAAGGGAAGAATATATATAATATTTGTTTATATAGAGAACATCTCTCAGAGAAGGAGGGAATCTGGCAGGCGTGTTGCTGAGGTTAAGAGACTTTAACTACATGGCCTGGGATACCTTCTGAATCTTATTCCACATGACTAAATCATCTATTTTAGATTATTTTTAGAGACTATGTAACAACATTAAGAGGGGGGAGATTCATGAAGAAATAGTTGACAGGGGAGAAAAAATGTGTATTGGGTCATGGAGTTTAGGAGAAGGCATTCCAGGAGACTTAAATAGCATGTGTAAAAGCATAGAAGGTGAGAGCAAAATAAGGAACATGCTACTGAATATTTTATGCAAATTTTTATCTTCAGGGCCTAGTTTACTAGAGACAAAAAATATACCTGTCTCAGTAGGATGGTGGAAGCTTGTTAAGGAATAATGGAAAATAATATTGCATAGGAAGAGTAGAAACAGATGGAGGATTTTAAAATTCAAGGGAGAAATTTAGCTTTGCTGTGCTAGGAAAAAGCAAGTCATTGCAAGTTCTTAAACAAGGGAAGGGCATGGTCAAATGAGTGTTTACAGAAGATTATCTATTGTATATCATTGTAATAAATGGATTAATAGAGTTAAAAGCTGGAGGTATGAGGGCCAAGTAGGAGACACTTATGGTTATTCTTAAAGGGAGTTGGGGTCTGATTAGAGGAGTGGCTTTGGGTTACAGGGTAATGAAGATGAGATTTTTCATTTTTTTGATCAATAGGATTTGGAAAGTGCATATATATAAGAAATGGAGGATTGACATCAAAGTAAATTCAATCAACAAATAACTAAAATTTTTAAATATAATCCACCCTGGTTTTGCTCATGTAATATACAAAATGCAAAGATGTACAAAATCAGATTCTGCTGTTCAAATGCTTGATTTTAATCATTGTTTACAATTTAGCAAGAATAGTTTATGAACATCTTTATAGAAATTTTTCCATCTATCCCACAAATACTTTTTTTTTTTTTTTTTTTTTTTTTTTTTTAAGATGGAGTCCCTTTCTGTTACCCAGGCTAGAATGCAATGGTGCGATCTTGGGTCACTGCAACCTCTGCCTCCTGGGTTCAAGTGATTCTCCTGCCTCACTCTCCTGAGTAGCTGGGATTACAGGCACATGCCACAACACCCAGCTTAATTTTGTATTTTTAGTAGAGACAGGGTTTCGCCATGTTGGCCAGGCTGGTCTCGAATTCCTGATCTCAAGTGATCCATCCGCCTCAGCCTCCCAAAATGCTGGGATTACAGGCATGAGCCATAGCATCCAGCCCCACAAATACTTATTTAAATTATAATACATTCCATTGTATAGCAGAGATAATCAAAGTATTCTAAGTCATGACCAGATCACAGCATCACAGCATTGTAAAGCCTCAGGCACAAAACTAGGAACTGGATCTTAAAAGTCAGGTTCTGCATGTGTTCAGAATATTACATTATAGAAAGTGAGTTAGCTAACAATTTTTTGAGCATTTAGTATGTTCCAGTTCCGCGTATGATTATCTGATGTAATCTTTTTAAACATCCCACAAACTAGGCATTATGATCATGAACACTGTGTACCAATATGGAAAAACGAAGCTTTAAAAAGGTGACTTGCAACAAGTCATCCACCTCGTAAGTGGCAGCACAAAAACTGGAGCACGAGCCTGTCTGACCCAACACCCCGAGGTCTGAGAGCCACACTATTTAGCAATATCAGGATGGAGACAAAAAGTGCCACAGGAACAGAGTTGTGAAAATGTTCCTAGGAGCATTGCGATAAGGTGATGACTCTTGAAGGAGCTGGCATTTGAGTGGGCTTCTAAAGGATGAGTTGACAGTGGGGAGGGTCACCAACAGATAATAATCCAAGTTCATCCCATTGGAAGCCTCTACTGTTTGAAATGAAGCTTACTCTTAAGACTTTGAACTAACAGACTTGGCCAGTAGCCTGGCCAATTTAATACCAACAGGAAGGTTGAGAAGGGACACTGGATGGGACATAAAAAGACAATAGACTTAATTTTTGATACATTACTACACCACAGTGAATGCCTAAGTGCAGTAAATATCTAGTTGACTTATGGAGAATGACCAAATAGTAGGAAACTGAAAATGTGAATTTGGTAGTCTGTGTAATGAATGTATCTACCTCATAAATTCTTATTAAAGATTAAATATAAGTATCCAAGGAAAAGCTCTTTGAAAATGGGAAATGATTATTATTTTGGGCTTTTTCACATAGAAGGGAGAGTTGCAGTAATGGGGTAGATGAGATCGCTGAGATTTCATATTTAGTAGAGATAACACACAGAGGAGTGAAAAGGAATATATGAAAAAGACTGAGCATTTAGGTGGTAGTAAGAGAAGAATCTGAGTATTATGGGGCAATATAATGTGCTTTCCCAGAAGTCAAGAAAAAAACAGTTTTAAGTTGTGAAATGCACTAAAGAATTAACCAGACTGAGAGTGAATATGTGACTGCTAGAGCTGACACGAAGTTGATTTTGAGAAGGCAATCTCCGTAGAAAGGGAAAAAGAGAAAACAATTAAATGAACTTACATCCAGGGTGATACAGATGCAAGGGACATGGAAGACATTTTTCACTAAAGGAAAAGAGGAAAGAGGACAGTAGCCAGAGGGGGATGAGGGAACAAATGTGTATGTAAAGACTAGAAAAGAAGATCTATAAGAGTAATATCTCTTATGAAACAGGAGAAGCTGGGTCAAGGACAGAGAGATAGGTTGGTTTTATAGAAGAATCATCTCTTTCTCTGAAATCAAAGGAAATCACAAGTTGACAAGCTGAGGAGGAGGGAAAGTGTCCTAAATCTTTTCACATCAACAGGGAGAATAATCATTTGATGAGGAATACAAATGGAAGTTGAGAAGGAAGGGAATATGGAATTGGAAAGATAAAATATTCATGGCAGCTACTCCTTTGGATATTTTGTTAGAGAACCAACAACAGATAAATTAAAATAGAAGGGCACTGGTAAGGGCTCAGTTAAAATGAGCATGAAATTGTGGCGAGCCAGAAATGAACAATTTTTTTCCCCTATGAGGTCATGCATCCAGAGGTAAGAATTGGATTGCACATGGAGAGCAAAATTCTGATAAATCAGAAATAAATTAAGAGTGTTCCATTTTTTTTCTCGGAAAACAATGTATTGAAGTTAGGTTCTAGATTTCCACAATTCAGCTTTATTATGAGATAAACAACCAGTTTGGGAGTTATTCTTGGACCAAGTCCCATTCTTTTAATACTGTTGCAATAGAAAATTATTTCCAAAATTTAAAAACAATCTTTTTTTTAAAGAACAAGCTATTGGAAGACTTAATTTTATTTTTCGACTTTGGAGTTCAGGGGGTACATGTGCAGGTTTGTTACATGGGTAAACTGCATGTTCCTGAGCTTTGGTTGGATACTATGCTTACTACCTGGGTGACAGGATCCTTCATACACCAAAACAATCATAAGCGATATTTTTAAAAATCTCATACATAAGTAAATAGTTGCTTGTCCCAAAGAAGTTGATCTTGAACTGTAACTTAAGATGATATTTAATAAGTAGTTGAAGAAATCAGTTGTGGTATTTTCATATTTGCAGTTTCTCAGCTGGAATCTTGAGAAAAGCATTACAAGAGGATCTGTTTGTGACTATATTTCAGCTAAAATAAGTCAATATAGTCATTTCAAATAAACAAGAAATTTTAAGAAAATAATATGATCACAGGGATTGTGAACTGATTGCTGTAATTTGGCTCTAAAACTATGTAGAATTTGTATAACATACTAGGCAAAAGAGAAAAGTAATAAATTCAAACTTATATTCAAAATTTTCTTAGAATAAAAACTTCTTTGATACGTACACACACTCCACACACTCGTATATGTGTGCCCTGAGCTTGCAAAACCAAATAGAATAACATCGGCATCTTAAAATTCGCCTCAGAGTGGAACCATGTCTTGCTGTGCTAGAAAATAATTTCACTGGGAAACAAGGAATAAAAGAAGAGATGAAAAGGAAGAAGAGGAAATAATTTTAGGAAAGGAAAATGAAGAGAAAACCAAATATTAAAAACTGCAGTCTAAAAATTTATAAATGACCAACAATGGACTTAGACTTCAATGTGCCAAATACGCAATTAAGTCTAAATCCATCGTTGGTCATGACATTCTCTCATCTCTAACTTCTTTACTTTTTTCACAATTTTAGTTTATTTCTGAGTAATTCATTAGTATTCTCACAATTTCCTATACTATATGGATCTTCCCATTCGAGAAAGATTAAAAAAAAAATCTTTGTTACAACTAATTCTTCTTCAGATATAGGTTACCTGGAATTTAACATGCCATAGTAGAGGAAACCAGTGAATTTATACATCACAAATATTAACCATGAAATTATTTAAACCATGAACAGTTTTAATGTTCAAAGCTTTGTAAAACATAAGCTCAGAACATTATCCTACTTCAAATGTTATACTTTTTAATTTCCTATATGGCAAATTGAAGAACATTTCCTAAAGCAAAAAAAACAAAAACAGGCTGTTACATTGGATGTTTAAAACTTGGCAGAATATAATGGAAGCGTTCTGCACAAAAAATTAACTATGGGTCTAATATTTCTTTTTAATCTCAGCAAAATCAGATATTCTAATTTAATAGCTTCCAGATAACTAGCACATTAGCAAATGATGTAAAAGTTAAAACTTCCGGCATACCCCTAAGCCTTCTCAAATGATACTTTACTTTTAGATGACTATTAACTCTGAACCAGATGTAGTCCTCAATCCAAACAAATGAATCACCTCCTACCATTTTCAGCTTTTAAAAAAATAATAATAAATTAAACCTGCACCAGAAATGAAACTAGAGCTTGTTTTTATTATAACATGCCTACTCCTTGATTATGAAGTCTGATTGCTTTTAAGATGTTGATATATGTTTTTAATCATATCAACATTAAATTTTAAATAAGAAATTTTCTTTATTGTTTTATTTTATTTTTATGTCTTTTCATGCATATAAGTTTTGGGGGATTGGCTGTTGGTAACTTAATTTAATAGCTTTAAATGCATGGTTAAGCAGTCGTGATTTACTAAGACTGCAAAATGC
The DNA here is from genome assembly GCF_000001405.40 of Homo sapiens. Classification (NCBI taxonomy): domain Eukaryota; kingdom Metazoa; phylum Chordata; class Mammalia; order Primates; family Hominidae; genus Homo; species Homo sapiens. The sequence goes on along the minus strand of NC_000006.12, from coordinate 128,713,321 downwards.
AGTCACCCACTTGTAAAAGCTAGGCTAAAGGAGAGCATATTTGTAAACAGAAAATTCTTGCCCTTAAGGTTTTATTTATCTTTTTCTTTCTGTCTTGCTTTTTCTATTTTTTCTTCTATGTGGACAATTTTCATCCCTCCTGGCCTAACATATGCTTTTCTCTGCATTCATGTTAGTGGACTGTTACTTATTATCCTGCCACAGGGCTTGGCTGTTAAATGGCAAAATTCCAACTGCTTGTCTATGAGTTAAAATAAAGACGGGCAGGCATAAGAGTGAGAAGTTCAGAGGATGATTTTGCTGACAGCTAAGAAAGGAGCTAAAACTCAAACCAGATACCAGAATTATTACTATGCCCAGGTTTTGGATCATGACTTTCATTTGCATCTTTTTGTTAGCAGAAACTTGCTGATATTTAGAATCACATCCGTATTTGTGACAAAGAATTGCATCTGCTTTAAAAATTTTTAAATATATTTATAAATGCATTTATAGACATTTATGAGCTTATTTTTTCACTAAGCTATGCCATACATTCAGACTTTGCTTTATTTCAGATTAAAGCTGGAATTATTTTTTAAATGCTGGTTCCCTGCACATAGCCAAACAATCAGATCTATAACTAAGCCCAGCCTGTTCAGTTTTATAGTCCATTTCGTTTTGTTTTCATGGCGAAGACTTACTGTCTGACTGAAATAGATTAGGAGCCCTAAGAGAAATTCATACTGTCCAGTGAGTTTGTAAATTGGGACGATAATTTTCAGTTATACCTCCCAAGAATTTCTTCCTTTCGTAAAAAGTAGGTCACGTTTGTGTTAGGCTACACACATTCTTTCTGGCCAATGTATCTAAAGCGACTTTCATGTACAATCCTGACCCAAGGAAAGAGACCCAAAGAAAGTGACCATCAACAGCTTTCACCTTTCTTTCAAATGCCAGAGATCTTGGGCCTCATCAGAAGCACTGCTGTCTTCTCTCCTTTTCCTCTAGTTACACATGCAGAAATACTTGATACTTTGACATTTTAGTGGCAACTGATTTCTTCCCCAAGCCTTGGTTGTTCCTAAGTGATCTTCTAGGCAAAGCAGGCTTATTATATCTCTACCACAATGTGCTGGGATAATGGGTCAGACCAGCAAAACCAAAGGGGCAACCATGATTTTTACTTTTTATCTTACTTATTTAATTAAAGATAAGAAAGTGAGACGTGGAGGTGATTGCTTTTGTTGAAATAGAAAACCATTTATGTTCTTTTAGGTTTCATTTGCAGCCTATAAATAATAATACGTACAAGGAAAGGATAATGAGAAAACTTTGAAGGAGGAAAGATAGCTGCTCAAATGCTAAAATTTAAATGTTCCTTTAAATAATAACTGATGCACTTTAAAAAAATATGTACTTAAAATTTACTTCTTTATCCATATAGTATCTTTCCAAAAGGAGAACTCTTTCTGAAGACACAAAAATATTTAATTTCTTGAAAGTAACCTCTAATCAGTATATCCTATTATTTAATAAGCTTTTTACTGGGTAAAATATTAAAATTTACAAAATTTGGCAGTCAACCAGACTCCACAACAATTGAAAGAAAAGTTGAGTCAAATTAGTTTCCCTATTTCAGGTGGACCAAAAATTATAAGTTATTGTTTTAATAATTTTGCTAACAATTGAATGTATTAATTGCACACCCAAGGTTTTTACCTTAGTAAACCACACAAAGCAAAATTGATAAAAGAATATTTAAAGATCTCTTATTATAACAATAAAAAGACAACACAATTTTTTAGATAGGCAAAGGATCTGAATAGACATTTATCTTAGAAGATATTCGAACAGCCAATAAAGCACTAAAAGATGAATGTCAACATCATTAAGGAAACGTAAGGCAAAACCACAATGAAATACTACTTCACCCCCATCAGTATGGCCATAATAAAAAAAAGACAGATAATATCAAGTGTTGGTGATGACATGTAGAAAATGGAATCCCCATATAACACTTATGGGAATGAAAAATGGCACAACCTCTTTGCAAAACTGTCCAGCAGTTCCTCAGAGGGGTAATCATAGAGTTACTATATAATCCAGCAATTCCACTCCTTGGCATATACCAAAGAGAAGTGAAAACATATGTCCACTCAAAAATGTGTACACAAATGTTCATAGCGACATTATTCATAATAGCCAAAGGGTGGAAACAACCCAAATGTCCTTTAACTGATGAAGAGCTAAATAAAATGTGGTATATACACATGATGGAATATCACTTGTCAATAAAACACATTGATATACTACTGATATATACTACAACATGGATGAGCTTTGAAAACACTATGACAAGTGAAAGAAGCTAGTCACGAAAGACCACATACTATATAATTTCAATTATATTAAATGTCTACAATAGCAAATATATACAGACAGAAAGTAAATTAGTGGTTGCCTAGAGCTGAGAGGTTGGGTGAGGGGTGGTTAGGAGGAAATAAGGAGCGATTGCTAATAGATACGAGATTTCTTTTTGGAGTGACGAAAATGTCCTAAAATTGATTGCAGTGATGGTTGCATTAACTGTGAATATAGTAAAAACCATCGAACTGTACAATTTCAGTGGGTGAATTGTATGGTTTGTGAATTATATCTCAATAAAGCTGTTACCAGAAAAAAATTTATTAGTCTTGGCTGAGAACAACGTATCACTTTTAATATGTACAGAAAGAGACTTGGCATGCTAAGTAACATCAACTACATAACAGCGTCATCTAAGCATTCTTATTATCAGTGATTTGATGAGCAATCCCTCTTTCCAACAATAAAACCAAAAGATGACTTTTAGAACAGCTATGTCAGTCTTGAGGTTGTTTTCTTGCTCTGCTGAGTGAATATGTATTCTAAAAAAAGCTTTAATCAGGCTTCCCTTGCTCCAATAAAATAGAAAACAACTTTGGCTTTAACTTAGAGACTGTTTGCAATAGTAGAAATCTGGAAATAGAGTTAACATTTCTGCCCTCTATTTGCAAGTATGCCTTCAAACCAACATTATTAAGCTCAGATGAAACTCTTTGGAGAGTGGAATGAGACCAGAAATAGACACTTGTTTAAGAAATATTTACTTAAAGCATGTAAAATTTTATACTTAATTGCCAGAAAATTCCACTAAGCCTATTTCCTGAGATTCCTGTCTGCATCATGAAACAATCTGATTGGTTTAAGATTAGTTCTTTATTTTAAACATTCCATATGTAGTTCACTTTTCTTATTATACTGAGTAACACCGTTTGGATTTCCATCATCCAGCACAAATCCTATTATTATGATTAATGATAAAGTAAATCAAACTTAAGCAAAAACATAAAGAACTTATATTCTTCAAACTTGAGATACTAAGTAAAAAAAACAAAGTCACAATTTATTTCACACTGTATTCAATTTATTATGCTAGGAAACAATTTGTACAGGATCGTATCAAATATATATGAAATATTTTACATTAAACCTGTGAGTTCATTTAAATGAATAAGGTATTCTGAGGAAAAGGTTAAATTCTCACTATGAGTAGTGTCAGCCTTTATTACATTATAGCAAATTCACCCATCAGCACAAGCTTGGATGTTTTATTAACAAACTATTTATCTGCTAGTAATATTTTATACAAACCAGACTTTGAAACTTAGCCTAAGGAGTATTTGGCAAAAAAAAATTCTAATCCCTTATCATCGGGGTATAAACAACTATAACTGGTTTTAAGTCATATTTTTGAGATGTGAAATAGTGGAGATCCGTACTTAAGTATGATGTGACAATTGAAAGAATATTAAAATTAAATTTCTATACAAAGTTATAAGTATCTATAGAAATTTTAGTACACATCAGCAAGAACTGTAGTTTTCTGATGCTTGGAATTTATTTAAATAACAACCTATTTCCTTAAGAAATAATATACCCTCTTTATTTTTATGCATTATGTACAATAAAAGAAAGAAGCACTGTGCAGTGATGTGGTTGAAAGGTTATTATTACTCCAATGACAGAAACAAAAGTATATTATCACTTGGATGATGTCAATGAAAGGGTATCATTACTTTTTCTGAAGAGAACATTCTGGTAAGTAAACACACAAGTACAGTATTTATTACATTTTATTCCACATGTGTCTCCAAGGAAATAAGAAAGAAATGCAATTAGTTTCTGATGGGGAAAAAATCGTTGGTTTCATTTGTTCAACAAAAATCTCTCAATCAATTATATTTTCATCAAATTTTCCTCCATATAGCATTCTATTTTGTCATTTACTTTATATCTCATACATATCTCTAAGTTATCTTGCTAGAAAGACTGAAATGAAAAATCCAAATTCTAAAAGAAAGTGCTTGAAACTTTCAATGTTAAATGTATTCGCAGCTATGTACATCAAATGGAATGCTGTCTACTGCATCCTTGTAATCCTCTGAAAATAAGCATATTAGTCTAAGAAACATCTAATTCAAAAGCACACTGTGATATGTAAATAAATAAATCTTTGCAAAATTTTAGATTATTGTAAACTCAAATTAAGCCAATTTATTTCTTAAACTACTTCTTATTAGCTTATTGAAAATCAGTGCTTATTGTTCTTTGCATCTGTCGAAGTGAACTGTCAGGCTTAGAGACTTTTAAATACTGCCACTAATGATGCTATAGAAACAACAGATTATACCTGAAAGCATATAATTGAAAAGCTGAATTATTTTTACATAAAAAAGGTAGCAGCTGAATTTTCACATATGTTAATACTATTGTTTTTCTCACCAATTGTTGCTCCCCAAATCTGCAAAGTACCAACCAAAAGAATTAAGAAAATACAAACTCCAGGCCGGGCGCGGTGGCTCACGCCTGTAATCCCAGCACTTTGGGAAGCCAAGGTGGGCGGATCATGAGGTCAGGAGATCAAGACCATCCTGGCTAACACGGTGAAACCCCGTCTCTACTAAATATACAAAAAATTAGCCGGGCGTGGTGGCGGGCGCCTGTAGTCCCAGCTACCCGGGAGGCTGAGGCAGGAGAATGGCGTGAACCCAGCAGGCGGAGCTTGCAGTGAGCCGAGATCGTGCCACTGCACTCCAGCCTGGGCGACAGAGCAAGACTCAGTCTCAAAAAATAAAAAAAATAAAAAATAAAAAAAGAAAGGGAAAAAAAAAGAAAATACAAACTCCAAAGCACTGCATGTCTTACCTCTATGGTCAACCTGATATCTAGAATAAAATATGTGGTTTCACCAGGAAAGTCAAGGAAGATGGATTTGGACATGCTGGCTAAGTGACATTTTCCAGTTGCCTATTGCTGTTGTCATTAAGTAGAGAAAGCATCTACTGCGTAACGAATGGTCAGGAAGAATCCATACTTCCATCCTGCAACCTTCTGCTTACTGCTTGATTAGCACATTGATGGGTCGATCAATATAGAATAATCAGCTTTATACTTCTTTAGTCCCCTTCTCTTGAGATTTTTTCCTTTCAGATTTTTCCCCGCTATATAACTGATAATTTTTCTGTTCTTTTGTTTTCCCTTCTTCTCAGAATATTGTTCCTGGCATTTTTATTTCCTTATCTTTTGTGGAGCGTAGCTCCCGTTAGTTTTCAATTCTCCAGAGCGGTTGCCTCATTCTATTTCTGGAGCGGTCTTTCTGCAGCTTTCTGCAAATGGATTGTCATTCACTCTAATCAAGAAAGGAATGAATTCCCAATTTTTCTACCAAACACTTCACCTACTATGAACCAAACAAGTATAATAAGAGCTAAATTTTTGAGGCGTATATGGCAGGAGACATGGTAATCACTGTGCATGTCTTAGCTCACTAATCTTCCCAGCTACTCTTTTGTTACTCTCATTTTACATACAAGGAAACAGGTGTAGAGAGATCAAAGTAATTTTAACCTGTTCACACAGTTAACATAAGGCAAAGGTGAGATTTAAAACCTGAGCTATCTAAGCTATGCAACTGCTTCCACAACCACCACATCACTACTGTTGATCAGTTTTTCTTCTAAGCCTATGTGAAGCTCAAAAATAATGCCTGGAGAATATGGACTTTAAAGTGAAAGATGGTATTTTTTATTATTTAGAGTTATAAAGCATGAAGGGAAATAAACAATGTTCTATTGAAAATGATTTAAATTAGCATTGGATCAAAGGGCCTAAAATCAACAATTCTGTAGTAAATTAAAATGCAAATAAACAACAACATTCTGGATTCCCATTGGCTACTACAGCACATGCTTAAAATACATAATATCTCTGCATCCCTAAATGCTGGGCTTGGGGAAGGCACAAAATTAAACCTTATCTCCCTCTTCAAGTTCTAAACAAGTTGGAAATAGAAGCAGGTATTAAAGAGATGGATATCAAAATACCAGCATTGTTGTTAGAAATACTAAATTGAAGGATGCGGTTGAAACCTATGACTTTACGGACTTCCTGGTTCTTCCCTCTAAGTGTAGACTTTGAAACTCCTGACCTGAGGATATTTTAAGTCTTTGGGAACAGACTACCTCTCCCAGTTAGCTGGAAGCAGAATTCTGGCCTTACCTACTTCATGTGTTGTAAAGACAGAAGTCACATGTGTGAGTGACTTTTAACATCCAGGAACATGGAGTGATGGTATTATAGACTCACCACTCACCATCAGTTAATCTTTTTCCCAATAGCAGGGTGGAGTAAGGAGAGGAGAGGCGAGTTCTTCCAGACAATTTGCATTATTTTTATATCTCCTTGAAATTCTTGTAAAGCCTGTCAAGTATAAAACCGAAAAGTATACATATTTTTAATTTTTATGAGTTGGGTTTTATGTTTCCTAGGCTGGTCTCAAACTCCTGAGCTGAAGCAATCCTTCCACCTCAGCTTGCCAAAGTGCCAGGATTACATGAAAATAATATTTTAATAAATTGAAGAAAAAATAGTTTTATAGAATATATTATTGTATAATAATATATCACATAATATATAATCATCATATAAAATAGATATAATCTTAAAAAAGATACACAAATATATATGTGTCTGTGCATGTATGTATATATACATACCTTTTTTTTTTAAGACGGAGTCTTGTTCTGTCGCCCAGGCTGGAGGGCAGTGGTGCGGTCTCAGCTCACTGCAAGCTCCGCCTGCTGGGTTCACACCATTCTCCTGCCTCAGCCTCCCGAGTAGCTAGGACTACAGGCACCCACCACCACGCCCAGCTAATTTTTTGTATTTTTAATAGAGACGCAGTTTCACTGTGTTAGCCAGGATGGTCTCAATCTCCTGACCTCGTCATCTGCCCACCTCAGCCTCCCAAAGTGCTGGGATTATAGGTGTGAGCCATCACGCCTGGCCTATACATACCTTTTAAAGAACACTTTAAAATAGGTTACTGCAGTTTACCAAACAAATGTTTATTTAATTCACAGCAACTTCATGGCATCTAAATGGTGAGAAATACCTGATATACATCATTTCTACCTAAACATATCTGTTAGCAGATATTAAACATCTAAAAGGGCATATACTATAGTAGCATAAAATTAATATAGTAGTATTGATACCCAAATTTTGTAATTCTCTGCCTTGTATATATACATTTTAATTTTAATTATTTTACTAATACAAAGAAGATAATTTTCTTGTGACAGTATCAACTGATGCTTTTAACTCCAGTTGGCGGAACGAAGACCAATAGTTAGTACCTAAAAAATTTTGACTTTACATGAGGAAGACTTTTGCAGCAATTAAAGCCTACATTCAGCACACATATCCTAATAAGGGCATGCTTCTACATAAGTACAATACCATTATCACAATTGTTAAAAATTAATAATAATTTCATGTCATCTAATTCAGTCCATATTAAAGTTTCCTCAATTTTCATCAAAATAAATTTTATATCTTTAAAAACAACTTCAGTATTCAAAGAAAAATTCTCATATTGCAATAAAGATTATTTCTCTGAAATCATTTTTAATCAAGATAGTTCTCTTACTTTTTTTTTTTTAATAGCACACCTCTGCTGGCAAGAGTTTATTGTTGTTGTTGTTTAAGAGAACGAGTTCTCACTATGTTGCCCAGGTTGATCTGAAACTCCCGGCCTTAAGTGATCCACCCACCTCTGCCTCCCTAAGTGCTGGGATTACAGGTGTGAGCCACCATGCCATGCCTCCTACATTTTTATTTTCTCTTGACTTTCACTTTCTAAAAGAGCCAAATTAGTTGACTTAGAGAATGTCCCAAATCATGGATTTGTCTGATTGATGCATAATGGTGCTACTTCATTTGTTTCTCTAATTCCTATACTTACTATATAAATGAGAACCACAGTAGATGCTTTATTTAGAATAAACATTTTTGGTAAGCATAGTTTGTTGGTAATGATTTAGGTACTTTATACTGCATAGCAGAGGAGAAACAAAATATTATGTTCTATTACTTGCAACGTTAAGTTTGTCTACTTGCCAGATCTTTCTATCTTAAAGGTATTAATACATTTTCCCCTTTTCGATTAGTAAGCAATTTATGAAGTAACACTGTATTAGTCTGTTCTCACACTGCTATGAAGAAATACCTGAAACTGCGTAATTTATAAAGAAAAATGGTTTAATTGACTCGTACTTCTGTATGGCTGGAGAGGCCTCAGGAAACTTACAATCATGGAGGAAGGCACCTCTTCACAGGGTGGCAGGAGAGAGAGAATGCCAGCAAGGGAAATGCCAGACACATAAAACCATTAGATCTCATGAGAACTCACTCTTACAAGAACAGCATGGAGGAAACCACCCCCATGATTCAATTACCTCCCACTGGGTCCCTCCCATGACACGTGGGATTACAATTCAAGATTAGATTTGGGTGAGGACACACCCAAACCATATCATTCCACTTCTGGCCCCTCCCAAATCACATGTCCTCATGTTTTAAAACACAACCATGCCTTCCTAAAGGTTCCCCAAAGTTTTAACTCATTCTAGCATTAACCCAAAAGTCCAAGTTCAAAGTCTCATCTGAGACAAGGCAAATCCCTTCCACCTATGAGCCTGCAAAATAAAAAGAAAGTTAGTTACTTCCTAGATGCAATGGGGTAGAGCCATTGGGTAAATACATCCATTCCAAATGAGAAATTGGCCAAAGCCAAAGAGCTAGAGGCCCCATGCAAGTCAAATCCAATAGGACAGTCATTAAACCTTAAAGTTCCAAAATGATTTCCTTTGACTCCATGTCTCATATCCAGGTCACGCTGATGCAAGAGATGAGTTCCCACAGCCTTAGGCAGCTCTGCCCCTGTGGCTTTGCAGGGTACCGCCCCCTCCTGGCTGCTTTCACAGGCTGGCATTGAGTGTCTGTGACTTTTCCAGGCACATGGTGCAAGCTGCCAGTAGATCTACCATTCTAGGGTCTGGAGAATTGTGTCCCAATTCTCATAGCTCCACTAGGCAGTGCCCCACTGGGGACTCTGTGTGGAGGCTCCAACCCCACATTTCCCTTTCGTATTGTCCAACAGAGGTTCTCCATGAGGGCTCTACCGCTGCAGCACACTTCTGCCTGCACATCCAGGGGTTTCTGTACATCCTCTGAAATCTAGGTGGAGGTTCCTAAACCTCAATTCTTGACTTCTGTGCACCCGTAGGCCCAACACCACATGTAAGCTGCCAAGTCACGGGGCTAGTACCCCTGAAGAAATGGCCCAAGCTGTACCTTGGCTCCTTTTAACCAAGGCTGGAGCTGACGCAGCTGGGATACTGGGCACCATGTCCCAAGGCTGCCGGGGGGCAGGGCTGGGGGGCGCTTGGGCCTGGCCCACAAAACACTTTTTCTCTCCTAGGCCTCTGGGTCTGTGAAGCGAGGGGCTGCTGTGAAGGTCTCTGACATTTTCCTCATTGTCTTGGTGATTAACATTTGGCTCCTTGTTATTTATGAAAATTTCTGCAGCAGGCTTGAATTCCCAGAAAATGGGTTTTTCTTTTCTATTGCATCATAAGTCTGCAAATTTTCCAAACATTTAAGCTCTGCTTCTTCTTGAATGGTTTGCTGCTTAGAAATTCCTTCTGTCAGATACCCTAAACCATCTCTCAAGTTCAATGTTCCACAGATTTCTAGGGCAAAATGTCGCCAGTCTCTTTGCTAAAGCATAGCAAGAGTGACCTTTACTCCAATTCCCAATAAGTTCCTCATCTCCATCTGAGACCACTTCAGCCTGGTCTTCATTGTCCATATCACTATCAGCATTTTGGTCAAAGCCATTCAACAAGTCTCTAGGAAGTTCCAAATTTTCCCACATATTCCTGTCTTCTGAGCCCTCCAAGTCTCCAGGAAGTTCCAAACTTTCCCATATTTTCCTTTCTTTTTCTGAGTCCTCCCAACTGTTTCAACCTCTGCCTGCTACTCAGTTCCAAAGCCACTTCCACATTTTCGAGTACCCTTATAGCAGCACATCACTCTCTGTGGTGCCAATTTACTGCATTAGTCTGTTCTCATGCTGCTATGATGAAATACCTGAGACTGGATGATTTATCAATAATAGAGGTTTAATTGACTCACAGTTCCACATGGCTGGAGAGGCCTCAGGAAACTTACAGTCATGGTGGAAGGCACCTCTTCACAGGGCAGCAGGAGAGAGAATAAATGATAGCAGGAGAAATGCAAGATATTTATAAAACCATCAGATCTCATAAGAACTCACTCACTATCACAAGAACAGCATAGGAGAAACCGCCCCCATGATTCAATTACCCCCATCCAGTCCCTCCCACAACATTTGGAATTACAATTCAAGATGAGATTTGGGTGGGCACACAGCCAAACCTTATCAAACATTGTATCCTTGTGAGACTACCGTGTTCCCCAACAATCTAATGGCCAAAATTTTAGCCTCTGTCCATGTTCTTGCCTAATCAAATGTTATACTGGAGCTGCAATAGTGATTCTTAAATATACATGTTTTCCCTACATTTATTAGTCTCTCATTTTTTTGGAATATCTCTGCTGACTCAAGATTTTTTTTTGTTTATTCAAATGTTTTGTGATCCTTTACCATCATTGTTATTTATTCTCTATTTTTGGTATTCAAATTTTTTCCAGAGTAGACCAGCAGTGGCTCCTTGAATGTGATTTCTGAGTCCTTTTAACATGACTCCCTCCATTAGTCTCTGAGTACTTCCTTGTTTCTAACGCCACAAAATAATTCAGATCTGATTGTTTTTTCTTGGCCACAACCTGTAATCAGCCATTTCTCCAAGCACTCTTGGTTCTTTTTAGAAGTAAATGACCTTCAGAAACCAAGATCTGGACTCTAGGTGTTTGATACTGGGATGTTATCACTTCCAGGACACTACTCCTTTATTAAAGGAGAAAGACAAAAATAAAGGAATCTAGTACCCACCTTAAAGAATTAGAAAATATATAGTAATGATATTACAAATATTTCAAGACTAGGAATAATAAAATTTAAAAATTCTTGTAGCAAGGGAGATCAAAAGCAAAACCAATAGTCAAACAATACAACTGGAAGAAATATTTGCAATTCAAATGACAAAACCCAATATCTACAATTCCAAATATATTTATATTCTAAAAAAAAAAGACAAAACACCCAAAGGAAAAATTTATAAAGGGTTAAACTGAAGTTAACAATTGAGCAAATTCAGTCAACTAGCAAACACGTGAAAATGCCCAAATTTGCTAGTCATGATAGGAATGCAAATGCCCAGTCACATTTAACTGAACAATTTAACTGAACAACCTTTGAAAATGGACAGCTCCCTGACTTAAGTGGATATGGGAGAAAGGATGCCCACACATTTGGGAGAAAAGTGAATTATCACATACGTTTCAGAAAGCCATCTGGCAACATAAATCAAAATAAAACCATATAAGCCTTTGAGCCAAAAATTTTACTCCTGGACTTGAAACTACAGAAATAAAAAGCACCCGTACTTAAGGATCTATAAATGGGTACAAATGTGGTTATTGTTTTACTGGCTGTTGGGGGTGTGGAATAAACCTAGAAACAAATTGAATGCTCATCAGTGGGGGAATGCATACCATGAAATAGTATGCAGTCATTAAAAATAATAAATTGAAACTAATGGGTGAATTTCTATGAGGTAATGTTGAATGAGAAAATCAAGATGCTGAAAAGTATATAGAGTCAGTTCCATTTTAATAAGATAAAAAAACAAAATAAAACTCCTACAGTGTTTATGTTTGTGGATACATATGTTTACACAAGCATGGCTTTTAAGGACACCATTAAGATAAAGCAAAGACAAGCCTCAGGCTGGGAAAAAATATATGCCAATCATATCTAGGAAAGGGCTTGTATTTGGAATAAAAAAAGAACTTTTACAATCCAAGAGGACAATAACCCAATATAAAAATGAGCAAAAGATGTGGATATTTCATTGAAAAAGATATGCAAAAGCGTATAAAAATATGTTCAACATAAGTAACCATTGGGAAAATGGATATTGAACAAGATGATACCACAACACACCAACTAGAGTGATTATAATCAAAACAACTAACAATATCAAGTGTTGGTAAGAGTGTAGAAAAACCATTTTACATTGCTGGTGGCAATGCACAATGATACGTACACATTGGAAAAGTGGTAGCTTGGTAGTTTCTTTAAAAGTTAAGAATATACTTATCATATAACCCAGAAATTTTAGTCCTAGGTATCTACCCAAGAGAAATAAAAACATATGTTTACATAACACTTGTGTGTGAGAAATCATTATTCATAATCGCTTGTTCAGAACAATTCATAATAGGCAAATGCTAGAAATAATCCAAACATCTATCAACTGATGACTGAATAAACAAAATATATCCAAATGTGGAATGCTACTCATCAATAAAAGGAACAAAGTACTAATACATGTGGCAAGTTAATAGTTCAAAAACATACAAATATAATTAGACACAAAAGACTACATATTGTATGGTTCCTTTTATACAAAATTTCTAGAAAAGGCAAAATTATAGAGACAGAAAAATTAGTGGCTGTTGTTAGGGCTGCAGCGGGAGCAAGAATTAACTGCAAAGGGGCATGAGGGAAACTTCTTGGTAACTGAAATGTTATATAACTGGATTGTGGTGATGGTTGCACAATTATAAAAATTTACTAAATTTCATTGAACTGTACACTTAAAATGGGTGTACACCTGAATACACTACCAGAATAAAGCATGACTCTTTATGAGCCACTTCACTTTTTCAAAACCTTAAATTTTCACTGAAACCAAATATAGCAAAAATGGAATTACATAGAGAACATCAGAATGGTCCTGCGGAACAGCTAAACCACATTTAAAAATGAATTAAATAAATAAATAAATAATTTTATAATATGTAAATTATACCTCAAGAAACCTTTTTAAAATATGAGAGAACACATAAACTACTGGGAAATAAGGTGGGCATTTAGTGATGCTGGTAAATTGAGGGGAAGAAGGGTTGGAATAACAATTTTAAAAAGAAAACTTGGAGATGACAAAATACATATCTTTTAAAATGAAGTGTTATAGCATACAAGTTTCTCAAATATTTATCTGGGTTCATCAAATATTTTTGTTGGTTTTGACTGCTAACAAAAACTATGTGAATAACAGACATTTCGTAAATCAAAAAGGTATCATTAAAACTGATAATATTAGTTTTGGAAATTCTCCCATTAAAGTGGATATTAACCTGATACTAACTTTGTTACACTACAATTATTAGAACCTTTCTAGGGGGGAATCTCAGTATTAACTAAAAGGAAATGCTACCCTCTTTAATGGGGAAAAAAAATAGACACTCCCAGGCTGGTCATGGCAAGTATGTCCTGATGTGGAGGCAAGACTAGATTACTCTAACCATCCTCACTTTCTTCAGAGGTTCACATTGGATTTAGGTTTCCTTACAGATTATCCCTGCTACCACCATGCTAACTAGGAGGGGTCTTTCTTTTATCAAGGGTTGAATAAATGATCCATTTCTTCTTTTCCCATTGCACCATTGTGACGTAAGTAGAAAGTTCACAGAAAATAGAAAAGACAGGGACCATATTTTATTCATTTGTGCATTCCTAGAATTGATAACAGTGATTGGCGTATATGGTGTCCAGTACAGTAAGTATAATTTAACTGAACAACCACAACCAATAAAACCCCAAAATGTGTACCTTTACTTAAGCTAAATTGGTTTGCAATAAATACATTTTTTTTTCTTTAGGGACACAGGCCTATTGAATTCAAGTAGAATCCTCATACAAAGACAAGATTTTACCTAAGTCTCTCTTTGTAGTCTTTGGCCCATCTCCATGTAGTATATCCCCACCACCAAGAAGATTTTTTTGATATAGATACTTCAAAGATCAAAAGAGGGAAATAGAGTTATTGCTTCAGTCTATTAGTGCCTGCATCTGCAGTTTATTTCTTGTAAGAAGAATCACTTTTTCTCCAGTTTATAGATACCAGAAGTTACCTTCTCCATTAAAAGATTGTCATACCCCTGCATGCTAATCTAATCTCAATGTAGACTCTTAACATTCATAAAAGTAATAGATATAATTGGTAACTAAAAAGGAATTGGGGAAGAAGATGTTTCTTCCCATCCAAATACTAACCAAGCTGGACGGTGCTTAGCCTCTGAGATCAGACAGTATCGGCGTGTTCAGAGTGGAATGGCCACAGACATGGTTGTTTCCGTACGTTAAATTTTGGATTTTTACTACTGTCTTTCCCTGCCTATCTCACATCATCTTTCTACACTGTCAGGTTCAATGAGTTTCCAGGCACTGTCACTATAACAGCACAATCTCTTTTCCATTCATGCTTTCCCTGCCATGGCTAACTCTCTTCAAATCATTATCTTGCTTTTTAAAAATATTGGCGTCAGTTCATTAGAATTATAAAATAAAGGAAAACATAATCAATAAAGTATTAATTACTCATTATTAAATGTACATCTGGGTTTGTCTCCTTGCCTCATGCCTTCTTCCCGTCTTTGAAATCCATCTACCAGAATAAAGCATGACTCTTGAGCCACTTCACTTTTTCAAAACCTTACATTTTCACTGAAACCAAATATAGCAAAAATGGAATTATATGGAGAACATCAGAATGGTCCTGCGGAACAGCTAAACCACATTTAAAAATAAATAAAAGAGGCTGAGCATGGTGGCTCACTCCTGTAATCCCAGCACTTTGGGAGGCCGAGGCAGGTGGATCACTTGAAGTCAGGAGTTCGAGACCAGCCTGGACAACATGACGAAACCCTGTCTCTACTAAATACACACACCACACACAAATTAGCTGGGTGTGGTGGCAGGTTCCTATAATCCCAGCTACTCGGGAGGCTGAGGCAGGAGAATTGCTTGAAGCCGGGAGGTGGAGGTTGCACTGAGCTGAGATCACACCACTGCACTCCAGCCTGGGCGACAGCTAGACTCCATCTCAAAATAAATAAATACATACATACAGATACATACATACATGCAGGAATAAATAAGCTAACAGATACATTCTTCAATAGATGTGCATAAGTCATAATATGAAATTTAAACTTTTCGGACTCCTTCCTATGCAGAACTCTTTTTAAAAGCAACTACCATACAAGCAGTTCCCAAGTCATGTTCCCCATATATAACAATGAGAATCCTAGACTGGCACTTTGAGGAGTGCTTAATAAAGGATTTTTACAAATGTGTAGGCAGTTTCCTAAAGAGGGATAGTGAAGCAGCATACAGCTCACAACAGATGAGGAACATTGCCAGCTTTAGATAGAAGGGATAAGGAGAGGAAACAGTTATAAGGACCCAGACAGGGTAGCTCTATAAGAAAGGGCATCTGAAAGGAGTGTGGCCTTCAGTGGAGGGATGCAGCAAGTCTGTGGTGACCTGGCTATTTGGAGGAGGGAGTTGAGGGACCAAATGCCCCAACCCCTGTCTCCTCTCACCCTCTCATCTCCTATAAATGTCCCTCTTGGGCCAAACACAATCAAGAACCGAACACAGGGACACTCAGCATGAAGTTCCCGAAGATCAGTATCTTGAGCCTGGAATAGCACAGAGAAGGGTCCAGAGTGAGTCTGGAAGGGAAGCTATCCAATACGTCATGGGTTGCTAATAGTTGTTATATAAAAGGGAATTAAAAGTACACTGCCAAAAGAAATGCTGGCTGAAATAAAGGCAAACTGATACACAAAACAAGATTGTATATAGTCCCAAGTTGTGGAGAAGTATGTAGTGCATACTCTTTCCAAAATTTATTTTTAATTGAACTTTTTTTAAAGACACAGTAGAATTGGTGTTTGACAGATATCACTTTGTTCACACAGTGGGTGGTTTATCTGACTGTCTCCAACTAAATTGTAAACTTTACAGCAGCATCTATATCTTCTATCTCTCTGTCCGTATTGCCTGAGATATAAATGTTTATTGAATGACTCACAGTGCGTGAGTGATTCAATGAGTCAGCTTTGTAGTCTAATCTAATAATCAAGGCTATCCTAAAGCATTTTCAATGTTACCTTCAACGTCTACTCCTGCCAAGCTATTCCTGATATACATCTTATACTTTCTCCATCTGGTGCCTTGATAGTTCTGTGTTTTCCAACAAGAGCAGACTTCCTCAAGCTCAGTTTTGTTGATATTTAGGGCTGGATAATTCTCTGTTGTGGTGGGCCGTCCTGTGTTTTGTAGGATGTTTAGTAGCTTCCCACTAGATGCAAGTAGCACTTCCCTAGTTGTGACAACCAAAAATATTTCCAGAAATTGATAAATGTCCCAGGAATGGGGGACAGGGGACTATTGCCCTTGTTGAGAACCACTGTTCTAGAATACCACTACTGCCTTCTTTCCTATGAAATACAGGTACATCTAGGATATTATCTACACAAAAATTGAGTGCTTCCCAAAACCACATTTGATGCCTCTCTTTGTAATGTTTCAGCCTTTGCCATACTGGCTTTTAACCTATATTACATCAATCACTTTCACCTTAAATTTAATTACTTGATTATTTCATTGGATAAAAATTTCATGCAAGTGACATATTACTATATTTTCCAATTTACCGAGTGGCTTATCTTTTTTAAACTATAGCATTTGCTCAATAAATGTTTAAATGGATGAATAACCTTGTGTTTTCCATATGCAGAATTGTTATCATAGATGACACTTTGTCTTTGCATTAAGTAAAGAGCTTCAGAAAAAGAAAAATCTTAGTGGCTTTAACATGGCAAACCTCTTTTTGTAATAATGAGCTGGGAGCAATACTCGCTCACTCAATGGGATTTGAGAGAGGCGTATAAACATGAAAAAAACAAAATTCGGAAAAAAAACTTACCTATTATTTCACAAGTTAAGCATCAAGATAGAAAGCAGAATTTCATATGTTTCCTAAGTGTTGTTTTAAAATTTTTTAATTAACACCTGGATCCGAATAGAGCATTTAAAAACAAGTTTAAAAGACCAAATGAATGACTTTGACTGGTTACCATAACAAATTACCTTTAATAATGAGGCCTATAAAATTGTTTTCATCTTCAAAGTACTTTAAAGCTTTAATTAATTATTGCAAGACTCCTGTGCAATAAATAATTAGGTATTATTATTGCTCCATTTATTGATGGGAAAATGAAAGATAATTGTTTAAGAATTTTCTCCAATTTATTTAGGTCAGCTACAATGTTAAATATCTAATTCCTTTCAGAATAATTTTTAAAAAATGTATAACCTGAGTTAAGAATGCTTTTTATGAAATATATTTTGTGAAGTTTGGTAACAGAAACCTCAAGTAATTTCTAATATCAGAGCTACAAATAACAAACTCTCCTGTTTCTACCAAATATTAAATCATACTTCCATCTTCAGTATTCCAGTTCACAAACTATAAAACTTTGAAAAGTGATGATTTCTAGAAATTACATTTCCATTCCTTCAGCATCATTATTAGTAACTGGATGAACGTATTCTGTGAAAAAACATGTAATCTTTTAAAATTCTAGCTCAAAAAGAAATAAATTTCAAAATATAATTTGATGATATTCTAGGATTTACAAACCTAGCACTTCCCTTGGGAAGTAAAATGACAAGAAATTTACTATGTTCTGTCACATTTTCTAATGTATTCAGAAGTAAACTGCTGGAAAAGTTTTACATATTTCTGTCAATTTTGTGTTTGTGAATTTGCTGTTTCTGATGAATTATAGGGTATGCTCACAGATTTAGGGAAACAAATTTCTTGTTCTCTTACTTTCATAAAGTATGGACTTGTCTTCAAATTTCCACCATTTACTCGTAATACAGATATTCAAAATGATGTCTGCAGCAGTACACTCAACTTAAATGAATCTGTATCTCCTTGGAGGTCTCAATCATTTCTGTACCCCTTTTCCTAATTGGTCAGTTAAGTAGCAACTTCTCACGAAACACCCAGTTTCTACAATCATAAGTTGCCTTCTACTGAGGAGTATGTACTTCTATATAATAGGTCAACCTACAACAGTTTCACTTCTTGAGAAAACACAAACATAAACTAATGTATCACTAGCTGCAGAGGGTTACAAAGCAGGAAGCATTTAAGAAAGGAAGGAAGCAGAGTAAAGGGTGAGAGAACTGGGTTAGTACCTAACACTTCAAATAAAAGTTGTTCACTCAGTGTAAAAAAGGTGAGGGAAAGGAATTGACAAGATGGGAAACACTAGGAAATTCTATAGTAGCAGACAGGAGAATATTTGGAAGCAGTCACTGTCAGTGCTGGTTTTCTTTTTTTTTTTTTTTTTCACTAATGGGATTGCTCTTGACTAGAGACCATCAACAAGGCCATGACCTCTGGCAGGAGAGAGATATGGTTAGCCCTACACAATAGCCACTTCCAAATGCTGCCCTGAAACAGCCTCTTTCTTACAATTTCTACATTTTTAGACATCTACATGCTTGCCACTGCTAGGACATTAGTCAGAGTGAGTGGGTAAGTGAAGTCAAGAGGGGAAAGACAAAATACACCTGAGGTGATACAGAAAACAGTCAACGCTAACATATCCCCTAAGTTCACACTAAGATGCCAATATAAGAACACTCACAGTCAGAAATATTTCACTTGCTTTTTTTTTTTCTTTCAGAGGCAATGTGAGCCTTCAGTGATTGAATAAAAATTTGGCAAAGTGTGACTTAAGAGTTACAGGAATCTTAAGCCTTAGATTAGGACGATGTCATCTCTATTAAACAACAAACATGTTATTTTGGAGAGATAAAGGTAAAGAGGGCAGGTTGGGAGGATTGAGAGAGAAAAAGTATATTAACCACTTACCTACTCTTTAATGTGCACCCGTTCTCCATTTTTATATGTGACATTAGTCATGTGGTTATACCCTACTATAAAGAAGGGTACACAACAGTCTTTTAGTTAGGCAAAAAACTAGAGTTTTGTTACAAAGGAAGAAAAAAATGGAAATTAAGAGGTAATTACAAGTCCACACCACAATAAGCTTCTACCATTGTCCCTCATTGTAAAAACCATTCTTTAAATCCTGTTTTTAATCATTTGCTATGCTCTTTCTTTAGGTGATGGGTTTTATTATCCAATATCCAACTAATCAACTGTATATCATTGTCACTGTCTTCAAAGGCTATATTTATCATTCAGCCCTAACTCCTAATTTCCCAATTTCTTTATTACACTATAAAATATCCGATCTCTATTTGGATATTCTATAGTGTAATAAAGAAAATGCTATGTATTCACAAACCCATTTTATTTTTTGGGAGGTACACAGGAAGATGATATTTCCCAGCTACCGTTGCTCTTAAGTTGAAGCCACATGTGATATAGTCCTAAAAAGTCTCATTTGGTAGTTCATTCTTTCTCTCTTCTGTAGCTGAGGCAGGAAGTGATGGACTTAAAGATGACAGAGCCACACAATTGAATAAAGCCTACATAGTTTTGTCACTGCTTAGAGGTAAGCCCCCTAGTAAAGCCCCCACCCAAATCCATATCAGACTTCATGTTAAGCCCATGAGATTTACAGCACTGCTTGTTCCAGTAGTAAGCCTTAGTTACCCTGATCAATGCAGGTATCAATAACTTGAGGCATCACTATACTCTGTTCTCTAGTGAATCAAATACAGTTCATATCAGATTAGTTTTGTAAAGAGGACAAATCATGTTTGGAATGACAGGTTGTCTTTACATGAATCAGATAGACTGAAATTCAATGATAATTAAATTATGAAGATTAGAGAAATTATGTGTAATAGAATGAAGGAGAATATCACATTCAAGAAAAATTCTGGTCAGGCACAGTGGCTCATACCTGTAGTCCCAGCACTTTGGGAGGTTGAGGACAGAGGACTGCTTGAGCCCTGGAGTTTGAGACCAGCCTGGGAAAAAGAGTGAGACTATGTTTCTGCAAAAAAATAAAAAAATAAATAATGAGCTGGTGTGGGGCATGCCTATAGTCCTAGCTACTAGGGAGGCTGAGGTTGGGGGATTGCTTGAGCCCAGGAGGCTGAGGCACCTCCAGTGAGCCATGAGGAATGTGCCACTGCACTCCAGCTTGGGTACAGACTAAGACCCTGTTTGAAAAAAAAAAAAAAAAGGAAAAAGAAAAATAGAAAAATTAGGGGAAACTCTTCAAGTAAGCCTAATGATTACACAACTTAGATACCATCAAACATCCCTTCATTGTTGTGCACATCTACCATCTACACTACTAGTTACAGCATCCTTGTGATTAGAGTTATTGTCTAATCTCTGCTTATAATACAAACACATAACATCTTACTTTGTATGGAGTGTGTGTTCAATGATGATGACCATGTTGATGAAGATGACAATGATAATGATGGTTTTAATAGAGTTGGGGGAAATGTACACCACCATTATTGGAGATTACACACAGCACTTCCAAAGAAGGAATTTGGAGTTGATTAAAGCTATTTTCCCTTTATTTCATGTTTTTCCACTCCCAATAAAGAATTTCTAACAATGCCAAATTGTTTCTTTTTCTTTTTTTTTTTTTTTTCATTTTTCATCTTCTAAAAAAACTCTGGTGCTTTCACTTCTTACACAGGTATCAAGATTTATCATCTGATCATTTTCACAAAAGCCTTTACTTTTGAGCTTTCCTCTAACATTGTAATTGTGAAAATAAAACAACACATATGAAATCCTAATTGGCATTATCCTTTTTTTGATGTAACAATGTGCCTCTTTCAGAAACGCAAATGTCAACACTTGTCACCTCACTTTTTTCCAGCTGATATGTGAATAATTAATCTTTCAATGTGTCCACACCCTGAAGGAAGTCACAAGAAGGATTCCCTACTCAAATAAAGAAGAGTTAGAGTACATAAGTGATAGTGCTGAGATAAGTCTCCAAGTCCATTTTCAGCACTTAAACATGAATGGCAATACATATATAGTAAGTGGTTTGGTTTTGTTTTGTTGATGGAAATTCTAAGGACAAAGTCTTGTTCACTCTGCCATCTGTGCAGAAATAATGGAGATATCTATTCTAGTTGTTCTGGCAGATAACACATTAAAGTCATATAGAAAATGGGATGACTGGAGGAATGAAAAACTTTACACAAATATTATAGGCCTCCTTTTAAAATTAGCTTTAGAAAAAACAGAAAATTTGTAATGTTAACTAAGAAAGCAAGCACAAAAGAGAAGAAAGAAAAGGTTAAAAAAAACATATTTAGAAGTGAGGGAAAAGCACAGGCAAAGGTTATTTTTTGTTTTAAATGTAGTGGAGAAAAGAGACCAAAAAAAATGATGAGATATAACAAAGAGCCCAAAGTAATTCAGGCTTGTCCTGTTTTACTTTATTCCAATTTTCCATTGAATAATGGTCATGAAAACAGAAAAGGGGCAGGGTTATCTCAGATGGGAAACAAGCACATAGGGTGTGAGCAGAGCATAAACTACAGAAAAGATGGTTGCCAGTACAAAGGAGAAAATAACCTGCCTTATTGGTGCCTTATTGGTGAAGGACCACTCCCCCTTCAAATTTGTTTCAAAAATTTTTCATGTTTGAATAGAAATACAGGCAGGTGATACAAAATTAACGCCCGAAAGGGCCTTTTTGTTGTGCATGTCCACTTATGTTAATTTCCTTGTCCCCACCCGCTTCCCATTCACCCTACTCCCACCCCTCTTCCCAGCCTGAGCTTTCACCTTACAGAGAGTGCCTGGCACAGAGGAAACTGTCATTAAATGTCTGAAGAAATGTTATAGAACTGGAAGTGTTCCTCAACAGAAAGGTTCAAAAAGCTGTTCGTCTGCACAATGATGCCCTATATTTTGGAAACTGAATTTCTCATGTACTTGATTTTCATACATTTGATGAAAATTCTTCTCATATCTTGGAATGTATCTTTAATTTGTTCAAGTTTGCAACATAGTAAAGGGCATAATGGAGCAGAGAAAAGGAGCTAACCAGGAAACAAATTAATTCAGCCAAATCTTCCTTAGTAATTAACAGGCTGACAGATGTCAATGCCAAATCATCCTTATGTCCGCAGAATCGACTTCAGTGTTGCTTTTCAGGAGATGTGCTGCTGCTAACAAAAATATATTAAAGAACCAATTTAGATGTTCATAATACAATGATTTTTGACCTGCTGAGAATGATGTGTAGTCATGAAATAAATATCACAGTTGGGAATTCTACCAAAAGAACCTATCAATTCTACATGATGTGTTCCTTAAAAAGCTACAATGTCAGAGAGGGTGATTATTTAACATAAAGGAAAATAAGAGAGAGCTCTAGGATTTTTTTTACTTCCTGAAATAGATTATGTTAAAACATTCAATATCAAATGTGGTTTCAGTGTGCCAAGGAGTTAGACTGAAGAAAGCACAGGGTCAACAGAATTTAATCTTTAAGGTTTACCTGTAGAACATGTGGACAAAATAAGTTAGGAAAATATTCAGAAAAAAAATGAAAGGAATAGATAACGATACAGAGTACTCTGAAAAAGGAAGAAGGAGCAACCCTTTCAGGTATGACTAAAACCTACAACACCCCAGGCATACATCCTTAGGGAATTTTTTTGCCTATTTATAGCTTACAGAGAAGTTATAATTACCCACTGGAGAGATAAGACATTTCTGTCCACTCTCTTAGAAAGAGAGGTTGAGGAGAATAATTTCTCCCCGAGGAAACAGATCGGAACCCAAAAGGAGCTTTTTTTTTTCTCTTTTTCTTTTTTTTATTTTATTATTATTATACTTTAAGTTTTAGGGTACATGTGCACAATGTGCAGGCTTGTTACATATGTATACACGTGCCATGTTCACACCGGGGACTGTTTTTTTTTTTTTTTTCTTTGAGACGGAGTCTTGCTCTGTTGACAGGCTGGAGTGCAGTAGTGCAAACTCGGCTCACTGCAACATCCGCCTCCTGGGTTCAAGTGATTCTCCTGCCTCAGCCTCCCGAGTAGCTGGGACTACAGGCGCCCACCACTACGCCTGGCTAATTCTTGTATTTTTAGTAGAGACGGGGTTTCACCATGTTGGCCAGGATGATCTCGATCTCTTGACTTTGTGATCCACCCGCCTCGGCCTCCCAAAGTGCTGGGATTACAGGCGTGAGCCACTGCTTCCAGCTACATGTGCCTTTTCTAAAGGAATTGAAGACTTCCACTTCTGGACCCACCTCATGTTTCTTCCTTCCCTCTGATTTTCTCCTGAAATCACTGAAATCTGTTTTCTATGTCTAGCATTCTACTAACTCTATTCTCACAAGTTAACCAAAACCTCTGTCTACAAAGGATTATCTTTGCCTCAGTATTTTTAGCAATTACCGTGGAACTCTATACAACTTACATTTGTATAATGCTTTCCATTTTCCAAGGCTCCTTCATTTATGTTAATCAGCTTTGTGAGATAAGATGAATATAGCTCTTCCTGGTTTTGAAGATGACGAAATTGAAGCACAACAGGCCACAGAGCTAAATGTAAGTATAGAACATACCTCCTGGTTACCAGTTAATTAGTAAAATATAGAACTGAAATTCTCTATCCTAGATATACTCCACCCCTGACCCAGCTGTCCACTTGAACCACAATACTTAATCTAGTTTGTAATTAAACATTAATGAGACCTTTTAATTAATACATTACCATTCAAGAATAAACTCTGAAAGTCTATTTTGTTCACCATCATAACTCTTGTACAAAGCGTGATCCTGGCACATTAGAGGTGTTCAATGAATAGTTGTTGCTCAGATGATGGATGATTTTCTTTTAATCACACAGTGTCTAATTTTTGTCCCTTGCACCTCAGCTATAACTACCTCAACTGTATTATCTGCATCTAACTGTACCTCAACTATATCACCTGCAGCTCATTACATGTAGGTATCTCTGCATGTATCATCTATTTCCTTCTACTAGTCTGTAGTAGTAGACTTACAGAGAAGTCATAATTACCGACTGGAGAGATAAGACATTTCTGTCCACTCTCTTAGAAAGAGAGCTTGAGGGGAACAATTTCTCCCTAAGGAAACAGATCGGAAACCAAAAGGAGCATTTTTTTTCTCTCTTTTTTGAGACTGAATCTTGCTCTGTTGCCAAGCTGGAGTGCAGTAGTGCGATCTTGGCTCACTGCAACATCTGTGTCCCGGGTTCAAGTGATTCTCCTCCCTCAGCCTCCTGAGTAGCTGGGACTATAGGTTCTTTTGGTAGAATTGCCAACTGTGATATCTACTAGTCTGTAGCAGTAGAAGGAAATAGATCATACATGCAGAGATACCTACACATAATGAGCTGCAAGTGATATAGTTGAGGTACAGTTAAGGAAACTATAGATAGTTAAGGAAACTTCTTAAGTTTCCTTAACTATCTATAGACATCAATAACCTAGTACAGGCCCGTCTCCTGTGTTGGTACCCAATAAATATTTGAGAAAATGAAGTTTTTCTCCATGCACCCTAGGAAGCTGTTATTCATAGAATGATGTTTGAAGTTCTGTGATCACTTCATATAGAGAATCCAACCCAATGGTAAACCCTTAATGAATTTCAGGATATCATTTCCTGTACCAAAGACATTTTCCAAGTGAGTGAATAATTTTCACTTGACCAGAGGCCATGCCACACATGATAAGAAACATTACTTCCACCTTTCAATTCAGGTGAGGTCACAACTATTCTTAACAAGAAAACCTTCTAAAGCCATGATCACAGAGCAAATAAAGGAAAAAGTGAACACTCAGACTGGCCATTTGAACTCTGACATTTCTTGCCAACATATTAATATTGCCTGTAATTGCTCTCAGCTGGGTACTGAATTCCCTAAAACAAGTGGAGACTTTTTGTGAGTTTGATTTCCTGTATCTACGCAAGCATCGAGCCCTTACACCTGAATGTGAGAAATGCCACTGGTAAAAAAATTTTGACCTAACGTTCTATACAAGTATAAGTTACACATTACGAAACTAGAGACTGAACATTTCCAAAAGATTTCCTCCACACCTCAAAGGGAAAAGTGACATTTTCAGTTCTTGCTTCTCAATCAGGAATAAAGTTCTCCCAATTTAAGAATGGAAAACAGCAGTAACTCAGAGACATTGTAAAGATCAGTAATATATGACACAGAACCGAAGTTTGTGAAGAAAACCACTACTTAAAAAGAGTAAAAGTATCCACTCGACCTTCAAATACACTAATTAAAATGATATCTTCCTTAAAAAATGCTAAGTCAGATACTTCACAAAATAACAGCCTAGTTTCACTGAAATTCAATTTCATATAACCAAGAGGTTCTTAAATGCCATTCAAACCCTTACACAAATGATATCAATAGTGATATAAAAAGAGACATTTTATTGGTCATATGATTCAAATTTCTGAATTTCCTTACTCCCAGGCTTTATTTATTAAGGGTTAAACTTTGTATTTCTTGCATGTCTATCTGAAGGAAGGGCTAAGGATCACCCACTCCCTTTAAATTCCAGACAGACTGCATTTAGTTTTATATCTAAAGAATAGCTGCCAGCCCAATCCATCATTTTTTATTTCAATTACTTGCTTTAGGTCTTTGTGTTTTTGCTCTCAGCAGTCATAAAAATAAGGAAGATGTCTTCATTGTTAGCTATTAAATCTTAGTTTAGAATCTACATGTCAATTTCTTAATACTATCTTAATTTTTTTAAAAATTTATCAGTTCATTTATCCACTTCAGATTTGCTGTAATGATGCTTAAAATTTGGTTTTACTATAGACATAAAAATTATGATTTGTAAAAATATCTTAGCTAAAAACTACCTTCCCATCTGCTTTAGCTCCTAGAGAGTACAAAATGTACCCATAAGCCTGAACAAAAGGCTCAAGCCCAACTTCTGAGAACACAAGAGTTGGGTAATTCACATACCAGGAAGGATGCTGAAGAGGAGCAGAATATGCCACCCCAAAAATATTCCATATTGGCATAAGGATCATTTTTGAGCTGAAGGAAATTGAGAAGCAGCAGGAAGAATTCTCTGGTGTCAACTTTCTGCCTAAAATCACAGCATAAATTTTCCTTTGTAAAAGTGACATAGGTCTCCATTTTTAAAGGTGTTCTCCTCTCCTGTACCTGGAAGAGGTAAACAACTCTTATCTGTATGACAAACCATACTAAACAGCCTTTATCTACAATACTAGTCACATTTTCACAATTTACTGCCCCTAGGAGCCCAAATCCCTTTTTTTTGCTGATTTCTTCTCTGCAATTTATTGCCCTTCATTAAAGTGGTACATATGCCTCGGGGTCTAACTGCCTTTTGGGGTTTCCACTTCTTTTTCTGATACCTCAAGCATATAAAATATTAATGTAAATAAAGCAACATATGGGGAAATGACACCAGCAATATGGTGGAATAGATGGTTCCAGCCCTTGTCATCCCACAGAAATTAATTTAACAAACATCCATGGACAAAACATCTTGATAAGAACTCTGGAATCCAGGTGAAAGACTGCAGCACATAAATAGAGCACATAAATTAGAAAAGGCACAATATGCAGAGTAGAAAGGATGGTTTCACTTCCACATTAGTATTTCCCTAGCCCACTTAATGAACTGCCCAAAGAGATCTTATTGGCTCAGGAGTTCACCTGTGGAAGAAAGGGAGAGAAAAGTGTATATTAGACTTTATCATGACCCCAAAACCAGACCTACCACAGTGGAAACCAGAACCAGGCCTGCTCCCAGAAACCCAGGTTACAGGCTACCTTCCCAAAGACATCAACAGCAGTCCTGCCCCCAGCGGACCAACCAGCTCACCCAGAATCTCTGACTGGACTGATTAGTCTGTAAAGACTGGAAAAAATGATGTCTTCAAATGCATGGACATAAATACAAGTCCTAAAATTCACAAAGAATCAGGGAAACATGACATCAACAAAGGAACAAAATAAAATGGCAGTAACCAGCCATGAAGAAATGGAGATCTATGAACTGCCTGATAAGAATTCAAAATAATCATCTTAAACTCAATAAGTTACAAGCGAACACAGATAGACAAATAAATAAATCAGGAAAATGATACAGGAGCAAAACAAGAAGTTCCTCGAAGAGATAGAAATCATAAAAGAGAACCAAACAGAAATTCTACCACCAAAGAAAATAACTGAATTCAAAATTTCTATAGAGAGTTTCAACAGCAGAATATCATGCAGAAAAATGAATTTATTAGCTCAAATACAGGTAATTTAAAATTATCTCTTCAGAGGAATGAAAAGATAAAAAATGAAAAAGAGTGAAGAAAGCCTACAGGACTTACAGAACAACATCCTGCAAATCAATATTTACCTTATGGGTACCTCAGGAAAAAAAATAAAAGAGAAAGGGGCAAAATCCTTATTTAAAGAAATAATGGGTGAAAATTTCCCAAATCTGAAAAGGAAAATGAACATCCAGATTTATGAAGCCCCCAAAACCCCAGGTGGAACTTAAAGACTAGAGGTCTACACTAAGACACATTATCACTAAATTGCTAAAAGTCAAAGAGAGAATTTTAAAAGCTGTAAGAAAAATGTGACTCATCACATAGGAAGGATCCCTATGAAACTATTAATGAATTTTTCAGCAGAAACTTTCCAGGCTAGGAGAGAATAGGATAATATATTCAAAGTGCTGAAAGAAAGAAACTGCTAACCAATAATAATATACCTGGAAAATCTTTCCTCTAATAATGAAGAAGATACAAAGGCTTTCCCAGAGAAACCAAAACTAAGAAGTTTATTACCATTAGAACTGCCATGCAAGAAGTGCTAAAAGGAGTTCTTCAAATTGAAATTAAAGAACACCAAACAGTAATATGAAAATATATGAAAGCATAACTCTCAATGGTAAAGGTAAATATATACACAAATACATAATAACGTAAAATAGTAATGAGGGTGCGTAAATCACTCTTAACCCTAGCATAGAGCTTAAAAGGCAAAACATAGAAAGAAACTATAACTGCAGAAAGTTGGATAATGAATACATAGTACAAAAATAAGTTAATTCTGACATTAATAAAGTGGGGCAGGGGAGTGCAAGTATAGTTTTTGCATGCAATTGAAGTTGTCATTAGTCAAAATGGACTGTTACAGTAATAAAGAGTTTTATGCAAGCCTCATTGTAACCACAAAGAAAAAACTTGCAGCAGATACAGAAAAGAGAAAGGAGACTGCATATAGTTGCATTCTGGTTTTATTTTTTAACACATTCTGCCACTCTGTGTCTTTTTATTGGTGAGTTTAATCCACTTGCATTTAAAGTAATTATTGATAGGCAAGGACTTACTATTGCCATTTTGTTAACTGTTTTTCTGAATGTTTTGCAGTTATTGTGTTCCTCTCTCCATCTCATGTTGTCTATCTTTGTGTTTTGATGCTTCTTTGTGGCAATATTTTTAAATTATTTTCTCTTTTTTGTATCATATGAAATAAGAATAATAGATAAGAAGTCAGGAGTAAACTCTTGTAGGTAATGAATAGGTTTATGGCATAGACTGTGGTGCTGGCTTCATGGATGTATACTTATCTTTGAAATCATAAAGTTGTGTACATTAAATATGTACATATTTTTTGTCAATCATACTCCAATAAAATTTTAAGAAGAAAAGAAATATATGCCCTTCCTCCTATAGATCTGCCTTTTTTTTTGTGGTTTGTTTAATTTGCAGGCTTCCAGATACTGAAAATAAGAGGATAGAAGAAATGCGTTCCTCCCCAAGAATGCTTTCAGCTGCAAGGAAAAGAAAAACAATTAAAACAAGATTGGATTTTGTAAATACATTTTCTATGTTATGTAAGAGTTTAGAGCTATGGCAGGGCAAGAATGGTTAGCTGGTTAATTCCTCAGTCCATTATAAAAAAAATAACTCCTGTTCTTTCCATCCCTTCCATACTGCCAACATCAGAAAGTAGAACTATATCCTCTGGCCCTTCATGATAGCAAGATGGCTGCAACAGCTTCAAATATTACA
This sequence comes from Homo sapiens, assembly GCF_000001405.40. Lineage (NCBI taxonomy): Eukaryota > Metazoa > Chordata > Mammalia > Primates > Hominidae > Homo > Homo sapiens. Next base: position 128,683,863 of record NC_000006.12, on the reverse strand, counting down.
TCCTCACGCAGTACTACTGAAAAGCCACAAAAGGGCATTTTCTCATCTTTCTATCCTAAATAAGAATGACTAAAACAGTCTCAGAAGCTACCCAACTGATTTTCCCTCATATCTTATTTGCCAAAATTCTGTCGTCCTGTGTCCATAACAGAATGAGTCACTTGACAATGGTATGGAATTACCATAACTGGCCTGGACTAATCAAGCTTCACCCCTGAGGTTGGGGAAGAGACTAGATTCTCCTGATTCTCAAGGTTCTAGGACAAAACATGAACAAAATCAATGAAAGTTTGGATATAGGCCACCAAATGACTTTGTGTGTTATGATTGTTAAACCTATCTCTTTGTTCTACTCATCCACAACTTTCCTCCTTTCATTACATACTAAAAATACCAACTTATTTGCTTTAGTTTTCACAACCCCAAGTTTGTAGCATGAGCTTAAAAAGTTCCTACTAGATCACTTTGTGGCATGTCTTATAAATAGGCTAACATTCAGTTCACAAAAGAAACACGTACAAGAACATTAAGAAATGCAATTGTTCATTAACCTTCCTACTATTTCCAGATCAGCAATATTATTAACTCAAGACACCTGGGGGGCCAGAAGTAGCCACAACATCGTCCAGCCAATTCTATTACTTTGGTTCTTCAGACTCAAAGATCTTGATGTTTGTGGTATGTTATGAAATTCTCAAGAACAAGACTCTCATCTCCCACAGGGATACATTAAAGGCAGTTAATATTTATTAGATAAATTAATACATTTGTGTTATTCATTTTGTGACTCTTTTACATTCTGACTCGATAAAGATTGCCTTTCAAAGCTCATTAAACTTTCCGTATCTATTTACGCTCTGACTCTCCTTCACCCCAGGGAATCTAGATTCATCCTGAAAAATGACCACTTGTTTCACATTAGACTGCACCATCCTGTTTCACAACACTTCATAGATTTGTGTTATGTCTTGTCATAATATGTTTAGGGATTATGACAGCATTATTTCTTCTAACATTACAGGACTCGAAGGACTGCACTTCAAAACACTTTACTTCGGGCTAATGTGCAAGACATTTCACGAGCTGCCCTTTGCCACACTCCGGGGTCATGGCTTTGACAACTCCATCAGCACTCTACTATTTAGTCTGCAATTTCCTTAGGATTCTCTACTTCACGTCACTTCAGTGTATCTGCCTATAAAGTTTCCTCTGCCTGAAATGCCCTTTCCTACCTGGTCTATCTTTGGGACTTATCCTGAGATTTACTCCTCTGGTCATAGCTTACCAGATACCCCAAAACAGAATTAGACACCCTTTTTTCTGAGTTCCTCCAACCATGTTTCATTAAAGCTTGATTTGTTTGGTTTGACTTTTTAGCTTGATTGTTTCCGAATGTGGATGGTGAAATTTTTGGAGACAAAACTGTTTTTTACTCTTCTAGAAAATTATTTCCATTGTCTTTTACAGTCCCTTGAACATAAAAACTACTCAATAAATATTTTTTAATTTAAAATTTTGAATAGTGTAGGACTGGTGATCTGTGTCAACTGTAGCACCTTCCTTTCAATTCTCAGCACCTAGTAAGATTGTAACTAGTCAGCTTCATTGACAGAAACAGCCTAAAGCAAAGTATATTTCACAGTTATTAGGTTGGTGCAAACATAACTGCGGTTTTTGCATTGTTGAAATTTGCTGTTTGATATTGAAATACAGTCTTAAATAAGTGTTGTTATGTTATACATCATTTTAATGTGCATTTCTTGCTTTATGTTGTTTTGCTAATGACTTACTTGCTGTTTATTTTAGATTTATCTTAGACTATGGAAATGATGTTAGACAAAACACAAATTCGGGCGATTTTCTTATTTGAGTTCAAAATGGGTCATAAAGCAGTGGAGATAACTCACAACATCAACAATGCATTTGACCCAGGAACTGCTAATGAACATACAGTGCAGTGGTGGTTCAAGAAGTTTTGCAAAGGAGGTGAGAGTGTTGAAGATGTGAAGCATAGTGGCCAGCCATCAGAAGTTGACAATGACTAATTGAGAGCCATCATTGAAGCTAATCCTCCTACAACTACACAAGAAGTTGCAGAAGAACTCAACATTGACCATTCTATGGTCGTTTGGCATTTGAAGCAAATTGGAAAGGTGAAAAAGCTCAGTAAGTGAGTGCCTCATGAGCTGACTGAAAATTTAAAAAAATGTCATTTGGAAGTGTCATATTCTCTTATTCAACACAAAAACGACAAACCATTTCTAGATCGAATTGTGACATGCAATGAAAAGTGGATTTTATACAACTGTTGATGACCAGCTCAGTGGCTGGACTCAGAAGAAGCTCCAAAGCACTTCCCAAAGCCAAACTTGAACCCAAAATAGGTCATGGTCAACATCACTAATGATCAGGGAAATGCAAATTCAAATCACAATGAGATACCAACTTACTCATGCAAAAATTGGCCATAATTTAAAAAAATTAAAAAAATAGATGTTGGCTTGGATGTGGTGAAAAGGGACCACTTTTACACTGCTGGTCAAATGTAAACTAGTACAGCCACTATGGAAAACAGTATGAAGATTCCTTAAGGAACTAAAAGTAAGTCTACCATTTGATCCAGGAATCCCAAGAGGAAAAGAAGCCATTATATGAAAAAGATACTTGCACATGCATGTTTAGAGTAGCACAATTTGTAATTCCAAAAATATGGAACCAGCCCAAATGCCCATCAATCAACAAGTGGATAAGGGAAATGTGGTGTGTGTGTGTGTGTGTGTGTGGTGTGTGTGTGTGTGTGTGTGTGTGTGTGTTTGTGTATCATGGAATACTACTCGGCCATAAAAAGGAACAAAATAATGGCATTTGCAGCAGCCTGGATGGAGTTGGAAATCATTATTCTAAGTGAAGTAACTCAGGAATGGAAAACCAAACATCTTATGTTCTCACTTATAAGTGGGAGATAGGCATCACAAGAATACCACCATGGACTTTGAGGACTCAGGGGGAAGAGTGCCAGGGGGGTGAGGGAGAAAAGATTACACATTGGGTACAGTGTACACTGCTCAGGTGATGGGTGCACCAAAATCTCAGAAATCACCACTAAAGAACTTATCTATGTGATAAAGCACCACTTGTTCCCCAAAAACTATTGAAATTTAAAAATGCCTTTATTCTTCTGAGCTATAGCAAAATCTGTGCCACTCACAAACTAGATTGTATCGTCATGGTGTCTACTTCTTTTCTCTTCAACTAAATTATAAATTTCTGGAAAGTATGGACCAAGTCATGCACATGCATACATCCCCCTGTAAGTAACACAGTGCCTTGATCAGAGCTTACAATTTTAAAAATCTTAAAAATCTGTAGCCTATTAAAGTCCATCTTAGAAATAATTTTCAGTATGATCAATGACAGCTAAGCTTATATACATTTTCATCTCATGCAACATTCTGTACTATTACTTATGCTTATGTATATAATTACATTTTTTAAAATATCTGAATGATATTTCCTATATTCTAATTTGAGAAATTTAAATAGAATTTTTGATAGTACTTTGATTAAATAGGAAGGGAAAAATGAAGCAAGTCACTGCAGAATTTTGTGCCTCAGTTGCTGTATATTTTTACTTTGTCTTATTTTTTCTTCTCTAAAATAAACATATATTACTATATGGAAACAAACAGATACATCTGTTGGTCAAAACTGTAGTTAAATGCTTAAGTGCTAAAGTACAATAATGGGGTGGGGGATAGATAAGGGCAACAGAGAGGAAGAGAGAGAAAGGATTTCCAGGAAAGAGAAAAAAAAATTATGTCTTAAAAGTTTCATAGTAATATGTAGAGAAAATATTCTATAAATCCCTAAGTGGATTTATTTTATGTTATGAAATACTGCTCTCCAGAAGAAACTAAAATCTTTTCTCTATTATAACTTGTTTCTACAATTTTATCTCTGCTATTAAAAATATGAAATATTGTAACTTTTTAATATACAGCATTGAATTTGTAGAGAATTCTCAGAATCAAAGATAAAACCAATTTCAAAGGACTAGGTAACCATATTAGGATTCTTCTGCAAGAATGTACTTGTTTCACTCAGATTCTCCAGGGGAAGTGAACACATTTTGAATATACAACGACCCATTCATCATTTTGTTAAAAGTATAAATAATCCACTGAAGGGAAATGTGGGGAGAAAAACCCAAGAGCAGTATGTGATTCTGGAATACAAAATCAGTTTGGACAAATCATTAGAAAACATACTGTAAAGAATAATCCTTTGCTACTCCCCAGACTGAACAAAATGACATAGAAAGAAATTTACATTTTTGTCATCAATAGAACTCTCCCCCTAGAATAACAGAAAATCTGAATCAACCTCTCAACAGGACAATTAACCTTTTTTTTTTTTTGCCTGATTCCTACTTTTTTTTTTTATACTTTAAGTTTTAGGGTACATGTGTACAACGTGCAGGTTTGTTACATATGTATACATGTGCCACGTGGGTGTGCTGCACCCATTAACTCATCATTTAACATTAGATATATCTCCTAATGCTATCCCTCCCCCCTCTCCCCACCCCACGACAGTCCCCGGTGTGTGATGTTCCCCTTCCTGTGTCCATGTGTTCTCATTGTTCAATTCCCACCTATGAGTGAGAACATGCGGTGTTTGGTTTTTTGTCCTTGCGATAGTTTGCTGAGAATGATGGTTTCCAGCTTCATCCATGTCCCTACAAAGGACATGAACTCATCCTTTTTTATGGCTGCATAGTATTCCATGGTGTATATGTGCCACATTTTCTTAATCTGGTCTATCACTGTTGGACATTTGGGTTGGTTCCAAGTCTTTGCTATTGTGAATAGTGCCGCAATAAACATACGTGCGCATGTGTCTTTATTGCAGCATGTTTTATAATCCTTTGGGTATATACCCAGTAATGGGATGGCTGGGTCAAATGGTATTTCTACTTCTAGATCCCTGAGGAATCGCCACACTGACTTCCACAATGGTTGAACTAGTTTACAGTCCCACCAACAGTGTAAAAGTGTTCCTATTTCTCCACATCCTCTCCAGCACCTGTTGTTTCCTGACTTTTTAATGATTGCCATTCTAAATGGTGTGAGATGGTATCTCATTGTGGTTTTGATTTGCATTTCTCTGATGGCCAGTGATGATGGGCATTTTTTCATGTGTCTGTTGGCTGCATAAATGTCTTCTTTTGAGAAGTGTCTGTTCATATCTTTCGCCCACTTGTTGATGGGGTTGTTTTTTTCTTGTAAATTTGTTTGAATTCATTGTAGATTCTGGATATTAGCCCTTTGTCAGATAAGTAGATTGCAAAAATTTTCTCCCATTCTGTATGTTGCCTGCTCACTCTGATGGTAGTTTCTTCTGCTGTGCAGAAGCTCTTTAGTTTAATTAGATCCCATTGGTCAATTTTGGCTTTTGTTGCCATTGCTTTTGGTGTTTTAGACATGAAGTCCTTGCCCATGCCTATGTCCTGAATGGTATTGTCTAGGTTTTCTTCTAGGGTTTTTATGGTTTTAGGTCTAACATTTAAGTCTTTAATCCATCTCGAATTAATTTTTGTATAAGGTGTAAGGAAGGGATGCAGTTTCAGCTTTCTCCATATGGCTAGCCAGTTTTCCCAACACCATTTGTTAAATAGGGAATCCTTTCTCTGTTTCTTGGTTTTGTCAGGTTTGTCAAAGATCAGATAGCTGTAGATATGCGGCATTATTTCTTAGGGCTCTGTTCTGTTCCATTGGTCTATATCTCTGTTTTGGTACCAGTACCATGCTGTTTTGGTTACTGTAGCCTTGTATATAGTTTGAAGTCAGGTAGCATGATGCCTCCAGCTTTGTTCTTTTGGCTTAGGATTGACTTGGCAATGTGGGCTCTTTTTTGGTTCCATAAATTAACCGTTTCTTAATCTGCATCATCCTAAAATTTCTACAAAATATCTTCATATTTTTAGGACTTTCCAAATGGATGCATCATAGATGCAAATATTGAAAGAGACTTTCAAATGTCAAAAAGTCCCAGGTGCCACCCACAAAAAATCACAAGGGCCAGCAATTCATGAATGAGCAAAATACAGGTAACAGCCTCTGAACCAGCTCTAAAATCCTTTCCGGTCTTGTATTTGACATGTTTGTTTGGAGTCTGGATTTATGTAGACTATGTGGTATGGTGTTCTCAGAAGCACCAAGGTTTCTAGCCCTGAATATTCTCAAGACTCCTAGAAAGAGAAGCTTGGTCCAATTTTGCTAACTCTAGAGTAGTTTGGAATCTCAATAGTCCTTGTTCCCTAAAGCAGGAGTTTGAAACTTTAGACCTTTTAATACTTACCTGGCTGAACTAACAGTACATCTAGGCTAATTTAGCATGTTTGGGCAAGAACATGCTAGATTGGCCTGGTAAAACCAGAATAAATAAACTCTAGATCCACTCCATCCTTTACATACTGCAAGCTTTACTTCAAGTTCAAACATTACCATACATTTGTCTTTTGCTCCCTTAAATGGTAGTGTTTACCATTTCTGTCATGAGCTACTCAAGCATACAGCCTTTATTACACAAACACACACACACACACACACATATATATATACACACTCATATACATATACACTTAACAACCATTTACTATTGGTCAGGTATTATTCTAAGCACTTTACAAATATTTCAATTAATGTTTATGGCAATCTTTTGAGGTATGTGCTACTATTCTCCCCATTTTAAATATAAGAACACTGAGGTACAAAGAGGTTAAATAATTTGCCCAAAGTCACAAAGTTTGTAAATAGTGAAACTAGGATTTGAATTCAGGCAGTCCGACTCCAAAGTACATGCTCTTAATCACTATGCTCTCTGAAATTGTCCCCCTTAGGTACTATTTTGATTGCATGATAGCCATAATCTCCCCTCAAAACAACAACAACAGTAGCAGGTAACCAAACAATTTAAATTAATATTTTTGACAAAGGTTCACTCTGTTTGTTTATCCACTCTATGGACCAACCAATGTTTACTGTTGAAGCCAAAGTGACCTGGTTTCTCTTAAAATGAATCTATCCTCTTTGATAGCCCAACACTGCTTGTGCCTCCCTTCTCATTGCCAATGCCCCTTTCTGTACCATGCAATTTTCCCTCATGAAAGCCTGCTAGAACTGTAGTTTATTATTTCCTTACTTGAGTCATCATCTAATAGAACTTCCCCCTCTGCTAGCTTGAACATGACTTCTTGCCTGCCAGTGCTACCATGCCTCTAAGACTCCTTTTACCTAATTGGGCTTTTGGACTTGCTCCTAAATGGTCAGTTTTATCCTGATGTAGTTACTGTCCACTCTTGATATCTTCCCTCCAACACTGCAGCCCTTTCCTTCTTCAAATATTGCTCAAAACTAACCTTAACAGTATTTTAGTCTAAGAAAGTTTTGCATTTGTTTGTACAGCAATATATTTGTCACTACATTAATACATTTTGTACTCATTCAGTAATCTCTCAATAAATATTTGTGGAGGGAAAAGAGGCAAAAGGGAAGTAATGGAGATTGGAGAAGGCAGAGGGCAAGAGAGGGAGAATGACAGAAAAGAACTCTCCTGTAAGGTCTTATTTAAAAGGATAACTGTAAAGCAAATTCCTACTTTTCTTACATTTAAAACATAGCAAGTTTCAATTGCTCATTCAATCTAAACTTTGATCTCCAAAGACGATTGTAACAATTAACCCCTTAATTATATCAATGGCTTAACAGACAAAATAATATATAACTTAGGATAATACATGTGCTTTCCTCCCCCACAGAAATTTGTATCTAATAACCTTGAATTCCAATTTTAAAGCCCAATCTTTTAAGTAATGATTTTTTTTATCATTTCTAGAAATGTTACTCCAGGGGGAAAATGAGACCCAAAAAGATAAATGTTAGCAATTAAACTAGAATCTTCTATCTTATGATAGATGGTGCATTTATAAAGCCACATAGAAAAATATGAATCATCTTTATGACAATTGTTACAAGAATCATTAGTACTAGTCTTGCATTAAGTAAGAAAATAAATTGCTTTGCCCAAAAGTTAACCCAACTATTCCTTTACATATTCACTAAAATGAACAACATTTTCCATGCTAGAAGGACAGCTAAGGACCCTGAACTTCTTGCAGCAAACAATTAATATGCTTTACTATTACAAAACATCTAAATTTTGACAGTATAATGAGACTAGATATGGTATAGAGCCTTGATTGTTTTGATTAACCTGACTTGTCAAATCAAGTCAAAACCATCAAACAATACTTGACATGGACAAACAATTCCAGGCACAAGAATATTCTCTGTTTCATAATCTATCACAGTAGAGATTTTGAACAGTATAAATAAGACAGAATAAATAATAAAGGCATTATATATGAGTAATAATAATCTTCATAGCAAGAGTTCCTACTTTCCAAAGTCAATGATATTTTGTCTTTTCAACTTTCATTGTACAAGAATTAAATTGTCATTTGGTGTGTTGCTCGTTTATGTACTTTCTTCACCTTTTCTTTTCAGTCAGCTGCCTTTTGAATCTTTTTCTAACAATTTACATTGTGTTTGCTTTGCAGGAAGTGTCAGGTAAGGAAGGTAAAACAGATCAATTGCTTTTGCTTTCAGATGTCTTCAAAATCTTGGTAAAGGAGATGTATTTATTTTTAAAAACAGTTGTTTTGGTTACAGTGGAGTTCATTTATCAACCTCATGGGCCTCTGTCAACCACATGGATGAACAGTAACTTGAACATGTGAAAAAAATTATTTTAAAAAGTATGAAAAAAATGAAGATGTATTCAAATCATTATATAAACTATCTTGATAAACTGTCTTGTTGAAAATAAAAAATGAAAAAAATTAAGTATGAACAATATTCTCTAATCTTTATATATTTTATTGTAATCTAGCAGTAAAACCAATGCTAATTAGTTACATATAAGAGAGCTCTTCCTAGAAAAACCCATGGCTTCCTTTTCTGCTAAAAAAATAATAGATCAGTATCATTTTTGTATAATTGGCCCTGCTATCAATCTGTTCCTGTTTGGTACAATCTCCACAATATAAGTTGATAATCTCTTTATAAAAGTCATAAACTGATGTCAGTCTTATCGCTTTAAAATATTGGCTAGCTCTCTATGCCTGCAGAATTATTCCTTATCTTGGCAATAATGCCCTTGATAACCTGACCTTAGATGAGTTCGAAGCCCCTTACTCTACTTCTCCACCATTTTGTTTACCTTCCCAATCTTATGAACTTCAATTTCTTGGCTTTCCCTTAACTGACTATATTATTTCATACTACTCTTTTTGTTGGAATACTCTTCACCTCCAACTTTCATAGCTGGAGTTCCTACTTTCCAAAGTCAATGGCGTTTTCTCTTTTTAACTTTCGTTGTACAATAATTAAATTGGACTGGATAAATTCCTATGCATTCCTCGTGTCCCAATATAAATATTAGTTTCTCTGTGAAATCATTACTATTCAAGGAAGAGCGAGTTGCATCCTCCTGTATTATCCAAACATATGCTTATTCATAACTATGAATATTATACCACACATCAAGCTGTGTCACAAATATAGCTTATGTGAGAAGTACTGTGGTATATTGATGATAGCTTGTTATCCAGAGTCAGCCCTAGTTACCTCACAGGAGTTTTATATCAGATGATATAGGTACGTACCCAGCCTATTATATGTGTTTTGTTAAGTATTAAGGACTTCCACATCTATCTACATAAAGTGATAACCTAAGGATACACATCAAATATATAAAATATTTTAATTTTAGATTAAATCTTAAATACGTAAGACTGGTTATACGATTCTTGTTTATTTGCATGTTGAAAGTTAATCCCTATAAAGTAGGATGTATCCCATATACAGTATTTTTAATAGTGCCACAGAAATTAAAAGTAGAGCATTTCATCCTTATTGGCTCTAAAGTAGTTTATTTTATGAATGCTAATAATGGACTTTATATTGGCAATCCAAAGTCTTTTTAAAGTGTATTTTTGTTCTTTCTTACATTTTACATTCGTATCCAGTCTTTTTCAAGACCTGAGATTTTGAATAAAAGGAAAGACAAGCCATAAAACTAATAAAATATGGCCTTAGCCAGAAGAATACTAGTTACGTCAAGGAGAAACCCCCACAGGTGGCATGTTAAAATGAGCAATAAAAGAAGTATAAAAAGGGGGATAAAACAGAGGAGATAAAAACCAACCCCCACATCCCCTACTACTGGTAATGAATACATCAATTATTCAAAAATAAGCCTAAGAAAAGAAAACCTAAAATAAGCCATGTAATGAAATAAGTGGATTGAGGGGTTGTGTGCAGATATTCCTACTAATTTAGATATCCAATACCTTTGATTTCACAAATCCAGATTGCAATATAATAATTATGCAAATTCTTTGGATGCATCTTTCCTAAACAGTTTGGGAAGTTACTACTCTAATGGGGAGGATATCTAACTTGCATATGCAGGCTAAATACATTTTTCTTGTAAGTTATACTTGGATTGGGGGTACATTATTAAAGCAATACCACTTGAAATAAATGTATCAGAGAGCAGATTTTGTTTTTTACAATAATTTCACACTGACTGAAAAGCTACAGAGATTGAATCATAATCACCAAGCAGTTCTGGCAAGAATAGCTGGACTCATTATCTAAGCACACAGGTCTAGACCAGCAGAGCTCAAATGTCTTTCTGCCCAAGACTGTTGATAGGTCCTGTTCAGAAGGTAAATTTTCTGTATTATTCACAATGAAATGTCCTCAAAAACAATATTGTAAACAGGGACAAAATGAATGTACACTTACTGTGTGTATTCTCTATATATAGTGTTTAAAATTTATGACTTGCAAATCATTTAGAAAAAACCTATATTACAATTCCAGATGGCTGCTTAATTTTATCATAAAATTTATTTCAAAATCTTTAAACATTTACCACTGATAAACTATATTGGCAAAGATATATGTGATTGATTAAAATTGATGTTTATAGCAGGTGGCCAAATTACACAAATCTGCTTTGATGTGAAGCTGTATTAAAAACACCACTGGTAAAACTAATCTGCCATTTTAAGGAAACAGTTCAAGCCAATCCAGTAGCTGCTGCTTTTTAAAAATTTTGACCACTTAGCTGCCCATGCCCTACCAATACGCTAATATCCATCTGGGACATAATCCATTAAAATAATCCAAAGATACAGAATGGAATGATGACCAGACTCTGTCACTTGTTCCTCAAAAATAGCAGGCTGAAAACAGTCCTAAAGCTTTATTTTCCTTACCTTTTTGTTTCAAAATTTATATTATGTTGGAAATTTATGAGCAAAATATCATGCTGACTACAAGAAATACCCAAGCTTTCTTTATATACTCAGATCTGTTACATACTTGGGTAAGATTGGTGATTATGTCCCCCATGCCATCTGTCCACTCTAGTTTCCAGAACCCAACAAACACTATTTATAGAGATTGTATCTAGGGGATAACCAAATTATACAGACTGCAAGGGTCAGAAAATAATTGCCTTGCATTGCCCAGCTCATGCTTGGTAACAATGTTGACGGTAACAGTAGAGCGATGAGACCAGAGATCAAGATATGTCATCTACATCTGGCTATTAATATGCTGACATCAGCTATACACATGAGCACAGCCAAGTAGACCATTTTGTTAGAATTAATTACTTAAAAAATCAGAAAGAAAAACAAATGAAAACAAAGTAAAATAACTAGTTTATATTTTTAAAGTTATAGATCTGACTTCGGACAAAGACATAAAATTTGAAATCTTATCAGGAAGTCTAATGAGCTGGCCAGATGCAGTGACTCATGCCTGTAATCCCAGCACTTTGGGAGGCCGAAGTGGGCGGATCACTTGAGGTCAGGGGTTCGAGACCAGCCTGGCCAACATGGTGAAACCCTGTGTCTACTAAAAATACAAAAATTAGCCTGTAATCCTCACTACTCAGGAGGCTGAGGCAGGAGAATTTCTTGAACCTAGGAGGCAGAGACTACAGTGAGCCGAGATCACGCCACTGCACTCCAGCCTGGGCGACACAGCAAGACCCAGTCTCAAAAAAAAAAAAAAAAAAAAAAGTGAAGTCTAATGAGCTAATACTTTTTAAAGTTAAAAAAAAATCTCATCACGTGGAATTTTTTAAACTTAGTTAATAATTATGTGTGTGTATGTGTGCATATAGTACTTATATAAAGTGTGTATAGATTTGTATAGCATTTTGGCATATATTTATATACATACACACATATAATTATATATAATAATATTGGGGTTTTATCACTCTAGTATTTGATATTGATCACTCTAGCATTTGACATTGCCTCAAATCTTGCTGACAAAATTTAAAGCATTTAGTGTCACCAAAAATAGTGGTATTAGGCTTTCGGACAGATGGATTGGTTGTACTTTATAGGATACTGAACTACCAGGTTTATATACAAGTATAAGATGTTTTGACATTTCTTTATCATTTGATTAACTCATTCCACTGCCTGTGGGCAACTTCACATAAATTTAAATATGTACAATGTTGGGTAGGATTTTGTCTTTAAAGATAAAAGTTGTTTCAATTCCCATCTGTCTGAAAACTAGTAACATTGCTCTGTCTATAAAAGGAATTCTAGCCTTTCTGGCCACAAAGAGAGAAATAACTTATATCTTCTAGTTACCTTCAGGATGAACACCCTCAGGTTCCATTAGGTATTCAAAGCTTTTTGTCCTTTGATTTATTCGTTCCACATTTATTGAGTGTAAATGTGTTTATGACAATACAAAACTATCCGTAACATGTCCAATTTTATGACTTGTACTTTATTTTATTTTACACTTGGTGTATAAACACACAAACACAAACATACATACACGGCATTCAGCTGGACTGACCTGTCTACTCCTCCCCCAGATACACTATGCTCATTCCCATTATTGTGGCTTTCCACATACTATTTCAGGCAAGGGTGACACTGAGCCAAAACCAACTCAGAATCTCTATCTTCAAGAAGACTGCAAGCTTCTAGATGTAAGGCCTTCTTCGTTAAACTCAGAAAATCACCCTCTCAACTCTTCTCAATAATTGCTTATTTCAAGGTTTGTAAGAAACTATCGGGATGTGTTGCATGTGTACTTTAAATGAATTCTGTTTAATAAACCATGGCACTACTACATAAAATATTCTGAGGGTTTTATCCACTATAATATCCCTTTTAAATCCAATTAAAATGATTGCTTTGGAAATTGCTAAATTTATAGATTCTCACTGTCAGTGTTACTAAGATTATTATTTAATGAAAAGAACAAAATATTTTTTAAGGCACATTCTTTTAAAAATTTTTTTTAGTTTTATTTTTAACTGACATAATAACTGCATCTACTTGTGAGGTATAAGGTTGTTTCAATACATGTATATATCACAGAATGATCTGATAGGCTAATTAGCATATCTATCACCTCAAATATTTACCATTTCTTGTGGTAGGATCATTTAAAATCTTCTCTTTTAGCAATTTTGAAATATACAATACATTATTATTAACTACAGTCACTGTGCTATGGAAGAGATCACCAGAACTTATGCCTACTGCCTAACTGAAACTTTGTACCCATTAACCAACATCTCCCCTTTCTCCATCCACCATCACCACCCTCAGTTTCTGGTAACCACCATTCTAATCTCTACTTCTATGAGTTTGGCTTTTCTGGATTTCACATATAGAGAGATCCTGTGGCATTTGTCTCTCTGAAGGCACATTCTTTTAATTCTGAATTTGCTTAGTGCCATGAGTATCTGTATAATCCAGAGTTTCTAGTTTTAAACCAAATCATTTCTCCATGCTTCTCAAAGTCAAATCTCTCTCAATATCCCAGCATGATGAGTAACACTTACTAGTTTGAAGAGGGTGCATCTGCATTTTCAGTAGGTTCTGTTAATTACTATTAGCTGTGGTAAATGGCCAAGAGATTCCTTTAACTGGATGCAGAATATCACATTCTGAACCCCAGAACAGAAGCAGGACATTGCAATGACCGTTATTCTTTTAAAGCAAATCATGGTTTCCCTCTACTTGATCCAACCACACAGGGCACATGTTGACCAGTGCTCTTGGGCTATCTTTTAATCTGTTTGCTCGTGTTCACTTTTGGTTCCTCAAAGGAAAGTGGATCAGCCAAAAGAGATTTGTACTCCTTAGGGTAGAATCAAGAAAGATTAAGCAGGGCTTAAGAATAAAGCAGGAGACTTAAATTGGAACCCTTTAAATGACACATTTATTTCTTTCCCTTTTCACTTATTTAAAGAATAAACAGTGGTGATCATTATGGAGCAGGATAAGAGGGAGAAGGAAATGACATGCCAGCCCTTCCCTTAAACCTTTCTCCCAGTGACTATCACAGACCAGCCAAGCACCCCCTACATGAGCTGGGCATCCTCATGGCATCCTTACTCCATGTTATGTCAAAATGTACTATATCACCAGACTACAAGATCTAAAACTTAACCTAAAAATGCTCCAGAGGAAATAGGACATAGGCATGGGCGGGTTCTTATGTGGTCTGGAGGAAAGTAGGTTTTGTTGCTAAAGATATTCATATCGTTTTAGGTTTAAAATCATCAGTGGAATTTCCCTCACATTTCAGCAGGACATACTGCCTTTCAAAATCTCTGCCAGTGACTACTTTACAGTGTTAGAAGTCAGTGTAGCAGTTGCCCTTGGTAGGGAATTGGCTAGACAGTAGCCGAATGGAGGATATTGGGGAGCTAATCATGTAGTGTTTCTTTTTTTTTTTTTTTTTTTTTTTTTTTTTTTTTGAGACGGAGTCTCGCTCTGTCGCCCAGGCCGGACTGCGGACTGCAGTGGCGCAATCTCGGCTCACTGCAAGCTCCGCTTCCCGGGTTCACGCCATTCTCCTGCCTCAGCCTCCCGAGTAGCTGGGACTACATGCGCCCGCCACCGCGCCCGGCTAATTTTTTGTATTTTTAGTAGAGACGGGGTTTCACCTTGTTAGCCAGGATGGTCTCGATCTCCTGACCTCATGATCCACCCGCCTCGGCCTCCCAAAGTGCTGGGATTACAGGCGTGAGCCACCGCGCCCGGCCCATGTAGTGTTTCTTAATTTGGGTGTTCATTACATTGATATGTTCTCTTGGTGAGAATGTACGGAGCTGTCCACTTATGATTTGTGCAATTTTCCATTTTAAGTTATATATATATATAATTTTCTAAAAATAATAAAATAAAATTTGCTTCCAAGTTGAAAAACCAACTTTCCCTACTGTGAAATGACTTAGAGCCTTCTCAACCTGACATTTACCTGCCAGTACATAAATGGCCTTCATGCTAAGAAGTGAGGAGAGAATGATGTAACTACTTGAAAATTAATAAAGATTTTTTCTATCCTAGTATTATAAATTATGTATATCATCGAATATAATTAATATCTAGTATTATGAATTTATTTTTCTTTAAGCTACCAAAATAGTCATAATATCCCAGTGTCTTGTAATAACATTGTCTTCCACAGAAATAATTCTTCAGATATTGCAGATCATCCCTTTTCACTGGGGGCAGTTTCTTTCTTTTATCCAACTCTTCAGAGGTTATCAAGAACAAGTGACTAATGTCCGTGATCCTCTGTAACACTAGTCTTGCTAGATAAAAAAAAAAAGAAGACTACAAAGCAACAAATTCTACATTAAGATTCCACTTAGGCAGCTTATAGAGTGTAGGTGCCATTTGTTCCTTTTTTTCTTACATCCTCTTGGGCTACACCAAAGGGTATCAGTGGCAATTTCTCTTTAATAAATATTAGCGTTTCACTGCTACTCACTACAGAAGAAATTTCTATGTAAAATAAAACTATTTTGTTCCCTAAAAAGGGAAGGAGGTATTTATTATTAAGCTATCTGCACAGAAGAGATGAAACACAGCTGCCATTTGTGTCGTGTGCCTGACGCTGCCTTCATGGTCCTCTCCTCAGAAGGTAAAACAAGATAGAAGGGAACTGGATTCTGTGGAGAATTCTCAGCTTTGAAATACAGATGCTCCCAAGCCCCACTGTGGGTGTGGAAGCAAAACAAACATTTTATTTCCTAGGACTGATTTGGTTGTAACAGAAAAAGGCAAGTCATGGTGACTTATGGGAAATAAGGGAGGTAGAGTAATCTATAGGCTCAAGAAATGTTCAGAAGGCAGTAGATCGAGTGTGTCAAATGAGATCAGTAGGGACTTGGTCCCTCTCTTTCTCTCAGTTCTGCTTTCCTCTGTGTGGACTTTATTCGGTCAGGCTTATCCCAGAGAGTGGCAAGATGGCTACTGGCAGCTCCAGGCAGCCCTCTACCTTCAACTACCACAGTGGAAAGAGCTCCTCCTTTTCAAAAGTTCAAACCTAGGATTGCCTCTGAAAAGTGTGGGTTTTTTTCCTCTTCTCAACCATGCTTTGTAGGTATGGAAATTGAATAAGGTCATTGGGTAGGCCTGGACGACAGCTACATCTTGATCTAGGTTGGTGGTCTGCCCTTCCAAAACAAAAGCCCTAAAGGTTGGAGCAGCATCGTTTTCCAAAGAAGGTGGGGAGGGAACAGTGCTGCACTGAAGAAAAGGTAATGGGTTCTGGGTGGGCAAAAGTAGCAGATATATTCAGATGAGTATTTTAAAATACGAAGTTAACTAACTCAGGACAGCAGAAAAATACAGATATGCCAATTTACAAGTCAGGTAGTCACAGCTATGTTCAAAGTCCTGTACTAATCTAGATTAATGTTCCCAGTTTTCCTGGTCCAGAATGTTCTCTGACAAAGATACTGTTCTGCATGTCCAAGAAGCCTGCTCCAAAGGCAAAGTCCCAGCTTTGCCCCTTCCTCAGCAACTACCTCTCCAAACCCTTTCACATCCATCTCAAATCTCAAATTCAACTTATTTCTACCACCCTTAAACTATCTTTCCTCATTGTCTCTTCTAAACCTTTTCTAAAGGCAAAGAGGGTGCTACATAAAATACAAAATAAAAGACATGATCTGGGTATAAGTTTACACTGTAGATAAAATTAAGAAAGAAAATCTATATATAATCCCAAAGGAATAAACGAATTCTTCTCCTTCCAGGGACCTATTAGTTAAAGCACTAGAATGACATGATAATAACATGGGCTGTTGGCATCATGTGCTAGTACTGTATTAAGAAGAGACTTGTAAAAAAGCAGAAACTTTGATAATGTGTCTAATAATAGCCCACCAGTTAGATGATTTCCACAGGGCTTCTAAGGGAAAGCTTGTGGCATCTCCTTCACAAAATATTTTTTAAGAACCAAAAGAGTGATGTTTTTAGGTAAGTTTGAATGCTGTACCTGGCCTATGATTCAGAGACGCTAAACTACTCAATGATGGGATCATCTACAAACCAATTGTTATATGAGACAGTCAGGGATGGGCTAAGTTAAAAACTAGAAGACAGATTACAGGGCCAACTCCTGGACTGCTAGAAAGTGGAGTATTTTATCCAATTTTGCCTGTTGTTTTTGCTATTTTACTAGTTGTTATGTGGCACATTCTCTTTGGAAAAAAAATTGCTTTCAGTATCAACTATTGTGAAAATAAAATGCCCCATAAAATCTATATGATGCTCTCCTTATTTCTTTAGGGATCTGAACATTCTAAGCTTTTAGACTTTTGTGTGGTTTTCTAACATTAACTTTTCTCTTTTAAAGCTTTGTTTCATGAAGATCTCGACTTTTTCTCCTGAGTTTTGAAATTTTTGTATCTGTTCTTTCTGCCAAACTTCTGTTTATTTCCATATTTTTACTTTTACTTATTAAAGTTATAAGATAATTTCAGCGTCATTATTTAAAGATTTTCTGTTGCTTGCATTGTTGTTGGATTGTGGTTTTCCTTTTGACTTGTTAGGAAACAAACCAAAGTAAGTTTTTTTTGTTGTTTTCTTCGTTTATTTGAAAAGACTTGGCAAAATTTCCAGACCAGAGAATGTCATTTAATTATTTTACTACTAGCTAATATTTTGATTTCCTACCTTATCCACTTGGGTTCCCTTGTTTTATACAATTACATTGCCACTAAATTTTACAAGACCAAAGCCACTATATTTATATATTGTTCTTTAAAAATAAAACCCTATTACCTCCTCTGTGTTATCTCTTATCAGAAGTATTGTGATTGTTCACTTGATTTCTCAATTCTTCTATAGACACTTTGAAAGTAGCCATGGTCTAACTTGTTCACTGTGATATTTCAAGCTTCTAACATAGTCCCCAATACATAGTAAATACAGTATGTCTTAAAGAAACTAATAAATGAATTAACCAATTAACAGATTACTCCAGTGCTTGGCATACAGTAGAATCTCAATTATTTGTCTAGCAAATGAATGTAGAATATGGAACCCACATTCAATTACCAGTATATAATATAAATATTATGAGTGATATGTGGGAATAACAGTGAGGTACCCATCAAGATTTAGAAAATAAAAACAAAAATGCCACCTGAGAACAATCATAGGCTGGGATGTAGCCACTTTTCAAATGGTGTCTGCAGCTTCAGATGGGGAGGAAAAAACAATTATAAGATAGCCATTCAATGCTTTCCCGAGTCTTCTGTAACAAATAATGAATACTCTGGTCAGATGTGGCCTTGAGGAATCTACTTTTATATGCATTTCCTGTGTGCTTGGTCAGTGTAAGTTCACTGCTTGAGATTGATCTTATCCACTTTTGCGGGTGTGATGGGTCAGGTGTCCGTGCTTAAAAGGATGCAAGTTAGACCTGAACAGGGATGAATGTACAAAGGGAAATTCTGCCCTATTGGTCAATAGTCTACAAGACATCCTTCTCCAAGCACAAGCCTCTGTATCACCTTGAATTGGTCATCTTGTTATCAAAAAACTATGTAGTCTGATTTTTGTAGCTGCTAATAAAGGTTGTACTGCTAACATTCCAAATACTTATTGAGTGTTAGCTCTACAACATTCAGCTTAACTTTCTCCATATATATATATTTTTTTGCATCAGCTCTGCTTCTTTCTTCTTCTAACTTAAGATTAACTGTTGTCTGCCTGAGACAGAAAAAGTGCTGTCTGTAGCAAATGTGTCTTGAAGGACTGACGGCTACACCTCCTGTTGCTCTGTTCCTATCCTTATACTAGTTTCCCCTCCCATTAAAACTTTTACTCAGTGCTGGCTGCACATGTCACCATATTTCCAAATAGAAGGCACTGAAAAAAATGTTGAATGCACTGTAATGCCCCCACACCCATCGTAAATTTCTAACACAAAATGCTGACATGAACACAGTGAAAGAGCCAAGCTTGACCTCACTACAAAGGGAGGGATATGTGGGGAAGGGAATAGATTCAATCGCCATACTTATATACCTTTCCAATCTGTGAATAACCCAGTATGAAGTAAAGACAGAACCAGAGTATTTTCCTAATGTAGGGGATACTTTTTCAATGTTGATTAGGAGATCCAGCCTTGAATGTTCTGTTGATAACTGAGTTAGGTTGTGAGTGAGAATTTTCCTCTATTGTTTCTCTCATCTTGGAAAATAAAGCTAAAATTTATGGAATTGCAATTTTGAAAAGTAACTATGTTTTGGCTCTATATTAGGATGATTTAAAACTTACTTTGGTAAATGGAACTCAAGAGAATATTCTGATTTCTTGGAAATATAAGGTAGATAATAAACACCAGTTAGATCAACGCCACCATACGCTTTCCTTTAGCTGAATTATGAGGAAACAAGCCAATAAGAATCATGCACTGCTCACGTACACACACATGCACACAAAATCCACCCCAATTCTTCCAGGCTCTCCTCTGATGTAACGGTATCATGGAAGGTGAACCAGTCATCAAGAGAAGTGGTATTAAGAGACAGAATTCTTAAGGAAAGTTCCTTTGAAAAGAGCTAAGCCCTGATCAAATAACAGGACTACCACAGGTGGTAGCATATCTATTCTCTTCCAAGGTACTTGAAAATCTAGACTTTCTCTTCACCAGTCAGAAAAAATGATGACCTGCTATACTGAACCATGATCTAGAAGGAGACCTCAATACTATAGCAATATCAAGTAACCTATCAAGAGGCGATGTTTTTCCCAACTAGGAGTACATTCCTGGAAGAGGGTAAGACTGGGAAAATAGGCACTCAATAAATAAAAAAAAAACTTCTTCTTTTAAAATAATTTGTTTATTTAGAAATGGAACTTATATATCATTTATGCTAATGATAATTTTCTATTTATCTTATAGATACTTATGAAACTAGTGTAAGAATAGGAACAGAACAACAGGAGGTATAGCTGTCAGTCCTTCAAGATACATTTGCTACAGAGAGCACTGTTTCTGTTTCAGGCAGACCACAGTTAATCAAAAACCCACTCAGCCCAACTCAGTCTCAACTGAGCATTATTTCCTTGTACTTGAAGCTCATACCTGTAATCCCAGCACTTTGGGAGGCCAAAGCAGGTGGATCACCTGAGGTCAGGAGTTTGAGACCAGCCTGGCCAACACGGAGAAACCCCGTCTCTACTAAAAATACACAATTAATTGGGCATGGTGGTGCATGCCTGTAATCCCAGCTACTCGGGAGGCTGAGGCAGGACAATCATTTGAACCCAGGAGGTGGAGGTTGCAGTGAGCTGAGATCGTGCCATTGCACTCCAGCCTGGGCAAGAACAGTGAAACTCCATCTCAAAAAATAAAAATAAAAAAATTAAAAAATTAAAAATAACTTTATGTTGGAAAGAAAAGAAACTAGATCAATATAAAATATTCAGTAACTAAACTTCTTGCTTAAGAGTCTTGAATACCCCAAACAAAATATGGTAAAAATAACAAAATAGTGTTTCAAACAATCAACTCATAAAAGATAAATAGAAAATTCTCATTAGTATAAATGAAGTATAAGAAAAAAAGGCATAAAGCTAAGATATCACAGGCAATTTATCTTTCCTCCAAAAATACACCTTTCTTTATTTCCTGGCTCTAATAAGAAAGAAGTTTCAGAGCAGACATTGTGTTTATGGAGATGAACATTGTTTAAAGGTTCTTCACGAAATTCAGGTCTTTTATGTAAACATTTTTCACTAATGTGACAAAATTTTCTTATATTTATAACTTAGTTCCATTTCTAAAAATACTCATGAAAGAGGAATACAATCTCAAAATTCTAGAAAATTGCTTGTTATCGATTTGATATAGAAAACAGAAAAAATGTTCAATTTCAATTTTAGCTCAGTACAATCATACACTCACAAATTTGTGAAACATGAGATTATAATATAAAGGAACCCCACTTCAATATTTTAATTTAAGATTGTTTTCATAGAACACCAACTTAAAGTAATCCTATGTCTGCCATCAATCTCCTTGGCTTGTCTATTTCTTCTGTATTATTAATGCTTCTTAATAGAGATGTAAATTTAATCAGCACTGTGGACTTCAGTCAAAATCTATAAAATAATTGAAAGAAATTAAACACATGTTTTTTGCTTGATTAGTTCAACTCATTTTATTTATGACTAATCTTTTCTGTTAATTTATTGTTTTTCATTTCAATTAACTTCAATATATTATAAATATGGTTATTGGTTATTTTTATCACCTCTAAAAATATATGTAAGCTACACAGGCCCTTTACTAGTTTCTCTACATACACATAAGCCATTCAGTAACTCTCTGAGTTAATATGTATTATCTCTGTCTTACAGGTGACACAACCAAGACTGATGAAGTTAGGTGTTTTCTCTCTGATCTTCAAAGTGTGCTACTGTGTTTGAGATTATAAAGCAGGTGTGTCAATCTTTTGCCTTCCCTGGGCCACATTGGAAGGAGAACTGTCTTGTGCCACACATAAAATACACAAACACTAATGATAGCTGATGAGCTAAAAAAAAAAAAAAAAAAAAAAAAAATCACAATTTTTTATTTCTTCCAAAAAAAAATGGGGTACATGTGCAGAACATGTAGGTTTGTTACATAGGTATACATGTGCCTTGGTGATTGGCTGCACCTACTAACCCATCCTCTAAGTTCTCTCCCCTCACCTCCCCACCCCCCAACAGGCCCTGGTGTGTGTTGTTCCCTCTCTGTGTCCCTATGTTCTCAATGTTGAACTCCCACTTACAAGTGAGAACACACAATGTTTGGTTTTCCATTCTTGTGTTAGTTTGCTGAAAATGATGGCTTCCAGCTTCATCTATGTCCCTGCAAAGGACATGATCTCATTTCTTTTTATGGCTGCATAGTATTCCATGGTGCATATGTACCACATTTTCTTTATCCAGTCTATCATTGATGGGCATTTGGGTTGGTTCCATGTCTTTGCTATTGTGAATAGTGCTGCAATAAACATACGTATGCATGTGTCCTTATAGTAGAATACTATTTTGGTATTTTGGGTATATACCCAGTAATGGGATTGCTGAGTCAAATGGTATTTCTGGTTCTAGATCCTTGAGGAATCGCCATTCTGTCTTCCACAATGGTTGAACTAATTTACATTCCCACCAACAGTGTAAAAGCATTCCTATTTCTCCACAGCCTCGCTAGCATCTATTGTTTCCTGACTTGTAAATTCTGGGTATTAGACCTTTGTCAGATGGTAGATTGCAAAAATTTTCTCCCATTCTGTAGGTTGCCTGTACACTCTGATGATAGTTTCTTTGCTGTGCTGTATCTGTTTAGTTTAATTAGATCCCATTTGTCAGTTCTGTGTTTTGTTGCAATTGCTTTTGGCAAAACTCATAATGTTTTAAGAAAGTTTAAAAATTTGTGTTGGGCCGCATTCAAAGCTGTCCTGGGCTGCATGCGGTTTGTGTGCTGCCAGTTGGACGAGCTTACTATAAAGCAAAACAATAAAAACGTGAATGCTCTTAAATGTTAGAGAAATTATTCATCAGATTAAGTTAAGATAACTTTAAATTTCACTTGTTTCAAAAACGGTATTCCTTTTTGAGTGTCATATCAACTTGCTGTGTGTTACTTCCTTCCCACTCCTCCTCACTTTTGTCATCTTTTGGTACCTTTCTTTTTACAGTGACTTATACTTTGCTTCACCTTCTGTAATGCCATATTTTCAAAAACTGCTCTTTATCTGTTCCAACCTGCCCTTTCAACTTGAACATCCTTCATCCTGAGACGCCAAATATTTTTCCACTGTAATTTATATACATCATTATTCAGACTTGACCCTACTTGTCACAACTGCCTTTAAATACATTTTTTAAAAGAGGCCACAGGTAATATTCACGTTGTAGTACTGTGTCACCAAGATAAAACAGTTAGAGTTCGGACTTCTTTAAGTCTGGTGTTTGCAGTTTATGTTCCTGCAGTACTGTGTACACACAACTGAAAATCAATAGGAAGTTAATGGAAAGCAAATACCATAGGGAGAATCAGGCACTACACAAAACATACTTATAGAGCAAGAGAGAAAACATTTCAAGCAAATGGATAAAAACAAGTTTGGAAAGTTGAAGAAAAAATGGATCGGTTGTTTTATATGATGCTTACTTTTAGGGAATCTATAACTTGGCCTTAGGTTCAATATGCTTTCACTTTCTCATATTATAAAAAATGTCTGTTTGGAATACCTTGAGGGAAACACCCTGATTAAGATGATTCACCAGGGTGTACTAGGAGGTTCATATATCTTCATATTTTCAGAATTGTAAGAAACAAACTCTCAAAGGCTTGAGTATATCTTAAATGATGAATGTAATGAACAGCTCAGATAGAATGTGCTAAGCTCAAAGTTGCTCCAGCCATGACGCCTCTATCCAGGGAGGTAGAATAACTCTGGCTTGCTGAATATTCCTATGGGCCAAAAAGCCACTCTTCAGATAAGCATTTATAAGCATTTGCTGAGTACTTCGTATGTGCTCCAAATGAGCACAGACTTGATGTTCCGTATTTCAATCATTCATTGAATTATTAATTTAAAAAAGAGGTTGTATAGCACAATGGTTAAGACTGTATATTCTGCAGTCAGATAGAACTAAAAATACATGTGTGTAAAGTACTTAATTATTTACTTGGCCCACAATGTGTGGACAATAAAAGTAATCTAATGTTCCTACCTGATAGTATTAGTAAGTTTCTTGTTGCCACTTCAAATTCAGTGGCTTAAAACAAAACAGATTTGTTACCTTATAATTCCAGAGATAAGAAGTTCAAAATAGGTCCTGCTAGACTAAAATCAAGGTGTTTTCTGTATACTTTCCTCAAAGCTTCAGGGGAGAATGTTTTCTTGCCTTTGTTTGCTGCTAGAGAACACCTGTTTGTGGTCTCCTAACATCAACATCTTCAAAGCCAGCGACAGACTGGCAAGTCTTTCTCACATTGAATAACTCTGACTCCAGTCCTTCTGCCTTCCTCTTCTATATTTAAGGGCCTTTGTGTTTACATTACACCCATCTCAATAATACAGGAAAATATTCTTATTCTGAGGTCAATTGATCAGCAACCTTAATTCCACCTGCAACCTCACACCCCCTTGCCATGAGGTTATGCCAAGACAACATCTTCACAGATTCAGAGATAAGGAGGTAGATATCTTTGTCAGCCATTATTCTGCCTACAACATACTGAGTAGTTAAACAATATTATTTACTCTACTAACCTTAACATTTTAAAACTATGCATAATAGGAAAAGAAATTGACATTTACAAGCTCCTTTTCTAAATAGTACAGTAATAGCAAGTAATAACAAAATAAACTAACTCTATGTGTCTTGTTCATTAAGCTAAACATATTTTTTACAAATAAAAGTTTATAAGAACAATTAAATATGATTGTAAATTATAGAAATGTAGAAATATATAATATATATATTTTCCAAGTTTTTACTGACCCCCTGAAATCCACACAATAACTCCAAACGTCCCTGGCCTTGGTGAGAAAGCTCTGTTCTGTTGGAGAATTACATAAAGAGATCATTGAGGAAAAGAATGGATTTCTAATGCTAAAGATGCAGCCCAAAATGGCCAAGCACCTCCTATTGGACCTGGTGCATAGCTCATGCTTAAAATCTTCTAGTTTCCTTGTTCTCTTTTCCTTCCCAGTGCCTGAAGGTTTCGAGAAGTCTGAGCATGTGAGTTAGGAAGCAGAAAAAAGAAAAGCCTAAATGAAATGGTGTAAGGAGGTATCAAATAAAGTAGCATCGGGTTTATTTGATATTTGAAGCCTTTCCATTTAGGATGTTAGATTTCTTAGGCAAGATAATTCTTTGCACTCACTGCATCCCTCTGACAAAGCTAGACAATGTGTATCATTTTCTGCATTTTAAGTCACATGACTAACACTTATTTCAAGAAGAAAATTAATGTCAAAGGCATAAAAAAAAGAACACAGAAATTTAAATCCATACACTTTTGCATTTCTACCAGTTTTTGTTACAAGTAATTATAAAGTGATTTTAAAAAAAAATCCACATGCCCACTGGAACAAGTCTACTATTTTAAACATCTGGCCTAGAAAATATATGCAAAGATACTTTATTTCACTTTCTTAAAGAATCATTCCTTGTCACCCAGACCTGGTCAAGTTCCTTCAGCTTAAACTTTAATGGTTCTCCTTAACAGTACTCATTACAGTAATAATGAATGAATAAATGTATACTTAATTATTTAATACCTTCCTTCTCCATCCCACAAGAATGTGAGCTCCATAATGGAAGGGCTGTGTTTGCCTTGGTTTCTGCTGTATATGCCGGTTTTGTCCAGTACCCTATGCCTATATAGCTTCTAAATGAAAAAAATAAAGGATTAACTAAACTTATTAATCATGAGACTCTTTCTAGATTGATTCTGTATGGATTATCTAGTTTAACTAAGTGTTATTTCCAGTCTTCTCTTATTACTCTTCCATTTTGTGTCTGCCCCTTCTCCAGGCTAGGTATTGATACTTAACCAGTCTCTCCCACGGTTTTCTAACCTAGCTCAAGCTTAATTTCTTTTGTCTTAGAAATTATAAGATCTGGTAGTAATATACAAAACTAGCTTCTGCCTTGACCTCAGCCTCTTTCTTTTGTGAACTGCCTTCATATGCTGCCCAGAAGGTGGTATATAATTTATCTAGTTCCTACTCTTAGGGTGAATGTTGGATACTCCATCTGACAGCTTACACCAAACTTATTACAAAAAAGGGAAAAAACTTGAATTCTTTATTAGTTAAAACTCCTGAATTAGAAGTACTATAAACTAAATTTAGCTAAAGTAAGTGAAAGAGAGAATTTATTATAAAGATATAAGTACATTTTATTAATGACCAAGAACAGAAATGCAGGCTGGTTTTAGAGAAACACTGGAACTAGGAAGCAGAAGACATAAAAATCCCAGGAAATTCCCTTCCTCCTCTCACTTCTGCTTCTTACTGAGCATTAAGTTCATTTATTCACCTCTTTCTCTGAACACCCCAGTGATATCATAACTAAGATATCTCTTCTACAGTGTCCTAAGATTACATCTTATTCATTCAAGTGACTCTCCTTGTTTTCAATTTAAATTTTACAGCCCAGATTTAAAGTCCCAGGAAAATAATGCTAATTAGGCCATCTTGATTCAGATGGTCACTGGATTAAAATAAACCATCATCAAAGAGGAAGAATCAGATTGTGCCAACAGGGCTATTATGGACCCACCCCCATGCTGCTATGGATTAGCCAAGTGATGAGAGGAGTAGTCAGGAAGGAGAAAAATATGAGAGACGGAACAACACTCTAATATGTCTACAAAAATAAAATATATATTCAAAAATCTACCAGAAAATGGAATTTAATGCTTTTCAGGTCTCTAGATTAAATATTAATTCATTCGTATACATTAAAGAGAAGAAACAATAAATGTAAAGATTTTATACTTTTTACTATATTAGAATTTTAATTCTGTTCCAGCCTGGGCAACATAGCAAGATTCCACTGCTACAAAATAATTTTTTTAATTAGCCAGTCATAGTGCATGTATGGAGTCCCAGGAGTTTGATGTTACAAAGCTATGATTGAGCCACTGCACTCCACCCTGGGCAAAAGAGCAAGACCCTGTCTGCCACTGCCTCCCCTCACCGACCAATCCACCACAAAAAAAATTATTTTAATTCTATGGACAATGAAATAGAACCAAAATAAGGGCAAGGTCAAACTAGAAGATATTAACAAATAAATAATACCCAAAAATCTAGATTATAAAGGAGCTCATACAAATAAGATAGATGGTCCTAGCAAAGATTTTTTTTTAAATAGGAATATGTTCAAAAATTCTTAATTCACAGTAATTATAGTCACAACATTTACAATGAAATTGATCTTTGAGATAAAACTGGTAAAAATCAACACAAAATTACTGAATTACTCATATATAAGAATGACTCATAGGACTATCAGTATTTGTGAATAAAGAGTTTTGGAAACCCCAAGTGAGATGACTAATTAGCAAAGATTGTAATGTCACTGGGACTGAGAGAGCTACAAACTTACCACAAAAGAAAGAGGGTTTATCAAGCAGGGGTATGTTGGCATGCAACAAAAGGAAACGGAGACCAAGAGGGCTAGATTCACAGGGAATCTCCACCATTGTCCTGGAGAGAGGATGTCTAGTCAGCTGACATGAGCTTCCTTGCCTATGTGAGAGATATGTCTGACAATGAGGAAATGATGCCTTAAAATTGATTGACATCACCACAAAACATTTCATTTCCCTGGCTAACACCACTCAGGAGCCAGTATACTCTAATCCCTGACAAACTGCTCAGGTCTCTTTGGAGAAAGCTACATTTTGCTGGTCAGAGTACCAGAGGGGAAAGTTACACAGAGATTCAGAAATCTTCACAGGATCTCCCTTCCCTCAAGGCTTTGGCTGAGTATTAATCAGGGTATTTCTGTGAGGAAACTCTCTGAGGATGGAAAAAGAACAACCCAAAAGGATTAGAGGAGAAAATTTACAGAGTTTTCACAGGGCCAAGAATAGTTTCTCTACCCACTAGTCAGAGTGGAAAATGGGGCATTGAGTAGTATATGCATAATGGCTTTTCTTCAGTAGCGTGACAAAATTAGCTGCTCTAATCCCACCTAACAAAGATTAAATTCAAGACCTGAAAGAACCCATCTGTTTCCGAGTAACTTAACTATGTCCCAGAACAAAGCTCAACAACATTTATAGTAATACAAAAATATCCATCACTCAATGAGGTAAATTTCACAAAGTCTGCCATACAAACATAAAAAAGCAGGAAAATAAGACTCATAACGAAGAGAAAAAATTAAATCAAAACTGACCCAGAAATTATGAAGATGATAGAACATATAAACAAAGACATTAAAACAGTTATTACAACTCTATCCAGGTGTTCAAGAACCAATAGGTCCCAGATATCTATGTTAGTTTTCTGCCTTAATGATGTGTCTAACACTGTCAGTAAGGTGTTAAGTCTCCCACAATTATTGTGTGGTTATCTAAGTCTCTTTATAGGTCTCTAAGAATTTGTTTTATGTGGCCCAATGTTGGCTGCCTAAATATTTAGGATAGTTAAGTTAAGTTAGGATAGTTAAGTTAAGTTAGGATAGTTAAGCTTAATAGAGGAAATATTAAGCATTTTAAATAGAAACATGGATGATATGAAGAAGACCTAACTCAAACCAGAGATAAAAATAGCAAAGTAAAAATAAGCTTTAATGCTTAATTCAAATCATACATAAAAATTAACTTAAATCATAGCCCTAAGTGTGAAAGTTAAAACTGTAAAACTTCTAGAATAAAATATAGTAGAAAATATTTGTGACCTTGCTATACTGTTTATATTGTTTTTTGTGTTATTTTTACATACTATGTAGAAAGCATGAACGTAAAAGAAAAACTGATGCTTGTACTCCATCAAGATTAAAAATGACTGCCCTTTGAAAGACACTTTGACAAAAATAAAAAGGCAAGATAAAGTCTGGGAGTAAACATTTACAGTACAAATTTCTGACAAAGGATTAGTTTCCAGAATATATAAAGACCTCTTACAACTAAATAATAAGAAAAACAATCAAATTTTAAATGGACAGAGAGTTGAACTGATGCATCACATAGAAAGATATATAAATTGCTAATGGGCATATGAAACATCATTAATCAACAGAAAAATCAAAATTAAGTCCACCAAATGCCCGTTAGAAATTGCTAAAGTTAAAAGTCTGACAATACAAAATACTGGCAAAAATGTGGAGCAATTAGAACTCTACTATAATGTTGGTGGGAATAATCAACCATCATTTGGAAAACATTTTGTGAGTCCCTTGTAAAGCGAAACATGAACAGAACATTCAAACCAGTCATTTAATTCTTATTTACCCAAGAAAATTAGTAATACTTGTTTACAGAAAGAAGAAGACATTTATGCAGCCAAAAACACATGAAAAAAATGCTCACCATCACTGGCCATCAGAGAAATGCAAATCAAAACCACAATGAGATATCATCTCACACCAGTTAGAATGGCAATCATTAAAAAGTCAGGAAACAACAGGTGCTGGAGAGGATGTGGAGAAATAGGAACACTTTTACACTGTTGGTGGGACTGTAAACTAGTTCAACTATTGTGGAAGTCAGTGTGGCGATTCCTGAGGGATCTAGAACTAGAAATACCATTTGACCCACCCATCCCATTACTGGGTATATACCCAAAGGACTATAAATCATGCTGCTATAAAGACACATGCACACATATGTTTATTGCGGTACTATTCACAATAGCAAAGACTTGGAACCAACCCAAATGTCCAACAATGATAGACCGGATTAAGAAAATGTGGCACATATACACCATGGAATACTATGCAGCCATAAAAAATGATGAGTTCATGTCCTTTGTAGGGACATGGATGAAATTGGAAATCATCATTCTCAGTAAACTATCGCAAGAACAAAAAACCAAACACCACATATTCTCACTCACAGGTGGGAATTGAACAATGAGAACACATGGACACAGGAAGGGGAACATCACACTCTGGGGACTGTTGTGGGGTTGGGGGAGGGGAGGGATAGCGTTGGGAGATATACCAAATGCTAGATGACGAGTTAGTCGGTGTAGCGCACCAGCATGGCACATGTATACATATGTAACTAACCTGCACATTGTGCACATGTACCCTAAAACTTAAAGTATAAATAATAAAAAAAAAGATTTAAAAAAAAAGAACTTGTACAAGTATATCCAACACAGTGATGGGTAAACAAATTGTGATATATTCAAACAATGGGATACTACTCAGCAGTGAAACAGAACCAACTACTGATATACGCAACAGCATGGATGAATCTCAGAATCTTTATATAGTGAAATAAAACCAGGCATAAAAGACTATACACTGTATGATTCCACTTATGTAAAAATCCAGAATAGGCAAAACCAATCTATAGTGATAAAAATCAGATCAGTGTTTGTTTGGGGCAGGAATAAGTGCAGGTACTGACTGCAAAAAGGCACTGGGTAATTTTTGAATGAAGGAAATATTCTATATATTCGGTTTCGTGAAGGTCATACAGGGAGAACATTTGCCAAAGCTCATCAAATTCTGCACTTAAAATGAATGCATTTTGGTATGTAAATTAAATCTCAATAACATTGATTTAATTTTTTAAAGAGTGTATAGCAGCATTCCATTATCAAACTGAAGTGGCGTATGTGCAACTGAGCTCAATTAGTCCTGAAAGCACAGGTGTGTTGTGCTATAGAGAAAAATTCAGCAAGCTCACATAAGTTTGGCATAAGTTGCCCTTCACACCAGCCAGAGTAGAAACATGAGATATGGGGTAGAATTTGAACTGATGGCAAAATTTGAACTTTTGGCATCAAAAGCTTGCATTGACAACTATACCACACACCACATTTGGGACCTCAGGGGGAGTTCATCATCAAGTGACTGAGGTAAAACAAATCAGTCCTGGTTTGTAGATATGTCCACACAATAGTCTTGTACCATGTAGCATTTCAGTCCCACTATGTAATGGCCGTTAAGGATTGGGGAAAAAGGAAATCTTTCTAGTGGGCAGAACTGCATTCAATTTTTTTTTTCTTTTTTGGAAAGAGATGCCATATCTACACTGGACAATGGAAAGTGGTTTTCTCATTTCTCCGGATTTTGAAGAAAATAAAATAAGGGATTGATAACACAAAGGTCTGAGTAAGAAATGGTAAACCTCTGGGAATGGTAAGAGTTTGAAATTTTTTGTGCCCCAAGTAATTGCTCACAAACAGGCTTCAACTGCAAGGCATTTTTCGAATAATAAAGTCGAGATAACGCTTTCTGTGAATATTAGCCACCCTCTTCCCAGCCATTTGAGCTTGACCAATGGGCTCATAAATAAAATGGTCAAAGTGTCAGTGATAGAGACTATGCATGGGCTCAAAAGCAGGGTCTTCTCTTCAATAAGACTATTCTAGCTATCACAGTTGCTAAAAACATAGTATGTTGTCAGCTGAGTTTGATGCTGATTTCCTTCTGTGGCACTATTCTTGAGGGGATCTGCTAGCCATGTTGACTACCTCCATCATGGAAGAAAGAACAGCATGTTTTACCAGAATAAACACAGTAGATATGAATGTGCCATCCCTGTCTGCTCTGCCTTTGTAAAGTACCAGTATCCACAGGCTAATGGAAAGCCTGATTCTCTTTAATGATGCCCATATAACTTTGCTCCTGGCCAAAGAACACATTGACCAGCAAAGAATGAGGGAAATGTTCACATCTGTAGAATTTATTGGTCTTACAGTGTACCACATCACCTCAAGTTGGCCTGCCTGACATAACAGTGGAATGCCCTATTAAAAACTCATTTTGGGTGCTGGCTA
Organism: Homo sapiens; assembly: GCF_000001405.40. Classification (NCBI taxonomy): domain Eukaryota; kingdom Metazoa; phylum Chordata; class Mammalia; order Primates; family Hominidae; genus Homo; species Homo sapiens. The sequence goes on along the minus strand of NC_000006.12, from coordinate 128,651,940 downwards.
AGTAATAATACCTTGTTTGGCTATGTGCTGTCCTGAAAGATTTCATATATGTTCTGAACTAGCAAACAATATGACAACATGACACTATCTTTTCCCATGGCCAGAAGACATGGATAAAGGAGCCAAGAAGTGGGAATGGGAGTGGTTCCTCTCTCTGTTATTCTTAAAGACCCAATCACAAAAGATTTGCTTTTTGTATTAGTCCATTTTCACACTGCTCTAAAGATACAACTTGAGACAATGTAATTTACAAAGGAGAGAGGTTTAATTGACTTATAGTTCTGCATGGTTGGGGAGGCCTCAGGAAACTTACAATTATGGCAGAAGGCAAAGGGGAAGTAAGGCACCTCTTACATGGCGACAGGAGACAGAGAAAGTGGGGGGAACTGCCAAACACTTTTATAACCATCAGCTGTTGCGGGAACTCATTCACTTTCATAAGAACAGCATGGGGGAACCATCCCCATGATCCAATCACCTCCCACCAGGTCCCTCCCTCAACACCTGGGGATTACAATTCCAGATGAGATTTGGGTGGGTATAAAGATCCAAACCATATCACTTCTCTTAACCACTTTTGGCTCTGCAGGTTTAGAGGACTTAATTTCTAAAAAATGAATGCTTACACTAGTGGACCTAACAATGATTCTACTGAATGTGAAATTTAAACTATCACTTTGAATTCTTCATGCCACTAAGGCAACAGTCAAAGAAGGGCTTGCTGTACTAACCGGAGTGAATAATATTGATTGTCAAGGAGAAATAGAGTTGCTGCTGCATAATAAAGGCAAAGAGGATTCAAAGGATTCTCTGGATTGCCCCTCAGTACTTGTATATCTAGTGTAAAAGGTTAGCAAAGGAGTAGAGCAACCCAAAAAAGCAAGGCTACTAGTGGCTCTAGCCCTTCAAAAATGAGGTTTTGCATCATCCCATCAAGTGAAGAACCATGACCAGATAACGCGCCCACTGAGAACAAATCAAATGGATAGGGAGAAAGCAAAATCGTAAAGACCAATTATGGCCTCTTATTCACTTGTAGAAACGAAGCATGTGAAAGCTAAGCCTATTTCCTTTTCTGATTTATGATGTACATAGTTGCATATATTAACCAGTTTTTTGCCACCATCCTCATCTTTTATCTAATGCGAAGTGTATTAATAGAGATTTACCTTATAATTTAGTCTATAAGTTAAAAGATACCAAAGGAGAATTGGAACTGAGTTAGAAAAAGAATGAACATCACCCCAAAATAGCATACAGTGATTTATAGAACTTTGTGTCTACCCCTGTAGGGAGAGAGTGTATACATATATGTATATGTATATATGGCTGGATAAGACATAGTTAGATCATATCATGTGGAAGCATGAAGTTGGATGGTTGTTTTTGAAGTTAGAATGTGGGTAGAAGAGTATATACGAATGCTAGGTTGACAAAACATGGCTATGCCAGATTTGTCTTCAACTTGACATCATTACTGTGCCTGTTTTATCATTTTGTCTACTTCAACAAAGAGAAACCCAAAACTCCCTTCCCAGTACCCATTTAACTGGATGGCTACAGATTACTCTGCAAATGACAAGCAAGCTTGTAGTAAGGGTATCAAAGCAGAAAAAAGCATTCTTTTCTATCAACAATTAAGGAAATATGCACATGCAGGCATGAGCTTCTGTGCATGACAGCTTTCAAATCAGCCACTTTGAGTATCTCAGGCAGCAGGAATGTTGATTCTTAAGATTCACAGCAGCTTCCAGATGAACTTTTGAGAATGCTCTGTAGGTCTACTCAACAGGGAGACTTTCCTGATCTTCACTCTGCAGCCCTAACAATGATTATACCTACAATTACTGTATCGAAACCCTTCCTATCTGAATATCCAGAGTGGCTTCTGGTTTCCTGACTAAAACCTACCCATACAGTAAAATACGACAAGTTTGAAATGGCCAGAAATTGATTGATAAATAGTCCTTTAGACAATTTAAAGGGAGAAAAATAACAGCAACAACAAAATACACCTCCGTCAGTTCTGGTGAAGTCAAAGATCAGGAATTTTTGCTACATAATGATCTATTCTCAAGCACTACACATACAGGAAATAGAAGAGCTATTGGCTTAGTCTGCTTAGTGTTGTTCTAAAGAAATAGCTGAGACTGGGTAATTTATAAAGAAAAGAAATTTATGTAGCCCATAGTTTTGCTGACTGGAACTGGAACATTCAAGATTGAGCATCTGGTGAGGGCCTCAGGCTGCTTCCACTAGCTGGAAGGTGAAGGAAAGCCAGAGTGTGCAGAGATCAGATGTACAGAGAGCAACCAAGACAAAGAAGGAGGAGGTGCTAAGCTCTTTTTAACAACCAGCTCTTATGGGAAATAATAAAGTGAAACCTCACTCAGCACCAAGAGAGAACATTAATCTGTTCATGCAGGATGTGTCCCATGACCTAGGACCCACCTCCCAGCATTGCCACACTAGGAATTAAATTTCAACATGATATTTGCAGAGAACAAACATCCAAACAATAGCAACTATTGTCTTAATCTACTATAAGAAATATTTGAAAATACTGTTTTCCTCTGGCTACACATTTTTTTGATAAGAAATGGAGGAAAAGTGGTCTACCACATAAGCATGAGCTCAAAGCTTTAGTCAAATGAATGAACCACCTTCATGGTTCTTACCATGGGAGGATAATCCTCCACAGGCATATCTCTCAACCAGATTTCACAGTTAATCTCAGCAAATTCATTATTGGTGAGCTTGTGTTACTATACATAGCCTACCATATTTAATATCATAACAATATAATTAAAATATTTTGTAAATTATTCATTTTAGATTGTTGAAAATATGGTATTTAATATCAGATGGCATTAAATGATGACTGAGTTAGTAAGAAACAAAAATAAATTTCTCTTTCCTGTTCCAAGAAACATTTCATGCCAGTGAGTAAAAATTAGATTTCTGTTTCAAAATTAATCATAAAATTAATGTTAATTTAGAAGAGATCCTTATGCATGCAACAATTAAGGAAAATACTTCTATGAGCCTTCTGAATAAAGGCTCACTTCTAAGTATTAAAAGTTCAAATTGAAAATGCTCTATGTTTGTGATTTTATGTTTAGTTTTAAAAACATTACTCCCACTTAACAGAAAATACTTGTGAGTGTCAAAAAGAAACGTTACGGTCGATTACTGCTCCTAGTAAGAGCATTTAAATATTTCATTGTTATAGAGAATCCATCATTCAAATCACTGAATATTTATTCCCATTTCATGTGTTAAAAACAAGACTAAATTAAAGAAGTTATTAAAGATCTATTTACCTTGTGAGAAGTAAATGAAGCTTTTCCAACTAAAAATAATCCTGGCCTCTTGCTACATTTTTAGCAAGCTTCTAAATGACATACTGATATGGGAAAAGTTAGACAGCTATAGTGAACCCAGTGTGCCTTTTGGCATAGAGTCAAACAATATTCTATCAAGCAACACTACTGTCTACTATATAATGTGACACCTAAGTCTATCAGTTACTTCATATTCAGCTTTCAGATAAGTTTCACTGTTGACATGTTCCTCTTAGCATCAAGTGACAAGAGAAAGTGTCCAGTAAAAAAGTTCTGAACTGCAGGCTCTCCAGAGGCATGACAACCTAATCTATGTTCAACTAAGCATTTTGGTTAACCGATAAAAATGTAACCAGTGACAACTAATTGTGGGAGAAGTTGATTCTAAGGCAATTGCACAGAGGGCAGAATACCTGAAGTGGTTCCAGAGCACGTTACAATCCAATCTGAAATGATGCATGAACAAGAGGAGCCAGAAAGTGATAATAGCAGAGCAGCTATAGCTGTCAAATATGGAGCAGGGGAGAAAGTGTAAGTTTGGGAAAGACTGAACAAAGCTACAATTTGCAAATGATCTAAAAGAAGTAGCATTTTCTAGATGACAGAAAGGGCAAATGATGAATATTTTCAGGCAGTATTGTTTAGTTTTTTGAAAATATATGTGATTATATGAGAAAATAATAATTGCCATTTGTTGACACTGATACATCAAGCATTTATCAAACAGACCTTTTATGTCATTACCATATATAATCCTTGTAACATCACCTTAAGATAGTCATTATTATCCTCATTTTGTAAGTGAGAAAACTAAATTTCAGAAGCTAAATGACTTTTCCAAGATCACATAGCCATGAAGTAGAAGTTGATATTTGATCCCAAATCTATAGATCTCAAAGTCCAAGTCCCTTTCCTATTCAAAAATTGAGAACCCTATATGTATCAGAGAACATGTACGTATATAAATGTGTTCTATATGAACACAGAATATACACATATTCTTAGATGATTATTCATACACATATCTTAGGACATTTTGATGACTATGCTCAGCAGTATGAGGAGAACAAATGCTGTATTGGCCCTTTCTCTGCTCAACCTACTCACTGCTTTGAAAAACTAAGAGGCATACAATTCTGAAAAAAATGGAGACACGTTTAAGAGAGAAATGGCATTAGGACAGATTAAGAGTAGGTTAAATGACTCTAGTTGCTCTTCTGAGATTTTCATAGTACTGAAACAATCGTCCCTGGAGAAAGTAAATATTGAATATGGCATTTATTAGACAGAAGTAAGGGATTTTCACAAGGACTCTTTTAGAGGAAAAAACATCACCATTTGGCGAAATTCTGGATATCTCTGAAAAAAATAAAAAGTTGTTTGCTACTATTTGCCACAAAATAAGCAGCTTGCGGGAGTGCTGCAGAGGATAGATCGGAAGCATATAAAAATTAGCCAAAATGATTCAGAAACTGGAAGCCGTTTTCCTAGAGAAAAAGCTAAAAATATACTCCTGTATTCAACACAGAAAGTTCTGGAGAGTGATAAATTCTCTATTGTTATTGTGTTTTTACCTCAAGTTTGAAAAAAAAATGGTGTTTTCTTCAATTTATTGAGGCTAATAATTCAATCATAAACACCTGTTCATTTGCTTACCTCAAGCAGCTGTCTTTAGAGACCCTCTGCTATTTTTAAAATTTCCTTCCTTGCTTTGTTTTAGTCAACCTAGTAGGGGGTTCTGAATATCTAGGATGTGTTTCCCTGATAGCTCAACAGAAAAAAAAAAGGTGAATAAAATTATCTGTATCTGTAGGTAATATAAGAGCAAACCAGCATCTTTCTCTAACTAACTGGACAATCTTCAGTAACTCAGTAGCCTTGTAGCCCTGTTTGTGCCTCATCTTCCTCCACTATGAAATAAGGGAATTGGATTAGACAGCATCTACAAATTTATCAGCCCTTATTTCTGTGATTTTGTACACCAAACAGTTAATTGTGGCTGACACCAAGAAGTGGGTATCTCTGAGAATGTCGCCCTCCATACTATATACTTTTATTACAGCACTTGTTTATTTTTTTAAATAATGAACATGTATTACTTTTTAAAACAGAAACATCAATATTGATTTTTTATTCTAATATTTTATGGTAAGCGACGTAACAAAATTCTGTTGCCTTTGATGCATACCATGGTAAATATATACTAAGTGTCCTCTAGAAATAATCTTCTGTCCACACATTTTAAACAACAGGCACAGTAATCTCTACTCCTCCTTTTACACTTAGAGGGGATCGGTTTCATTGGTCCTTTTAGTGAATAAATACCTCATTCTTTTCACTCGTTTCCTTTGTTTCCCAACTTTATTTTATATACCCTCACAAGTGACTCGACTGGGCCCCTCACACTATCTGACCAAACTCAGCATGACTTGAACCTCTAAAAAGAAAACCTTGCTTTTCCCTTTTGATCGTTTTAAGGGTATGTCAATCTCTGAATATCACTTTCTTGTTCTAGGAAGAATAAGTCTGGTCACCACTGCCAGGTCGTTATCAAGTTTCTCTTGCTTTTGTGATAAGCGTTTGGGATATCAACTAACTGAGGGAGGGCTCCCTGAAACTCTCGCTGGAGCTAGATTCCCTGAATTATCTTCATCTGGCCCACATCTCAGTGCATCAATGGAGCTAAGGCCTGACAGCTAGATTATAATGTTGCCTTTGTGTAACATGAAAAAGTTTCCTATTTGTCTGTCAAATGTAAATTTACTAGGTCTGGTGTCTACAAGGTGGCTTTGAGGAAGGAATGCTTGTGGAGGTAGTCTAGTTTGAGTTTTGAAGCAGCACGGATTTTTGTGTGTGTTTTTTTTTTAATCTGTAATTTAAACCATTTCTTTACAAACAACTGTTCTTCAAGCCCCCAAAAATTAATTTGGCAACTTTCTTTCTTTTGGTTTCCGTCTTGATAAACTATGGCATAAACCTATTTGCCCAGCCATGCACTTTTGAATAATAACCCCGGATTTGGATAAATAACCCCACAGAGTATCCTGGCTCCAGTTCCCACCCAGTCTTTTAAATAGAACAATGTCATCTCATCTGGATGGCTAGGTCTGATGTGTCAACTAAAAGAGGGATTAGGGCACTCAGGAAAGTGACCCTTCCACTCTTATTCTCCCACCTTCACTCCCCAGTGCTCTTACAATAGCAGATGCTATTGTGGCCACCGTACTCCTAGACACCTACCACCACTGCCTTCCTACGCTTTACAGCTGATTTCACCTTCTACCGTCTTACAGGTACACTATTGGCAATCACTTTCCTCCCCAACCAATCAGAATGAGGCTGTTTTCCCACACAAGAGTTATTTTATTCACTGTGTGTGTTTTCTAGGGCTGCCATAACAAATTACCACAGATTTGCTAGCCGAAAACAACAGGAATGTGTTCCCTCACTGCTCTGAAGGCCCAAAGTCTGAAATTAAGGCATCAGTAGGACTACAGTCTCTCCAAAGGATCCAGGGAAGTATCTGCTCTTGCCTCTTCCACCTTTGGGCAACTCCGAGTGTTTCTTGTTTTGTGGCCATGCCACCCCAATTTTTGTCTCCATGGTCACATTGCACCCTCCTCTTCTGTTTGTCTCCTCTGTGTGTCGGCGTGGAATCTCCCTCGGCCTCTATTTTATGAAGACACTTTTGATGGTATTTAAAGCTCATCTGGGTCATCCAAGGTAGAATCTATTCATTTCAAAATCCTTAACTTTGTAATATCTGCAAAGACCTTTTTTTCAAAGAAGATAACGTTTATAAATTCCAACGATTTGGACTTGATATTTTGGGGCAGCCATTATTCACCTATGACAGTCAGCCACAGAAGGTCTAGGCCATAAAAATTGTACCTCTTTGAAACTCTTGAAAAAACAATTTGCAATTTCCTTTGTTAAAGGACTGATATCAGTTATCTGCATGTCCATTGATATCATATCACACTATTCTCTTAATTTTCCTTATTAACCCTGAATATCTGTCCCAAAATGCGGCACTTATTCCATCAATTTTCCCTGCCTCTGAATGATTTCCCTGCTTCCTCCATATGTCTTTCCCACCTCCTATTTTCTGAAAAATAATACTTATTCTTTTGATTAGTAAAAATATTAAAGACTACCTTTATCACCCCTAGTATTCTTTCCTTCATCAAATACTTCTTGAGTATCTATAATGCTCCGACGTCTCTGAGAGCAACTGACTTTTAATCCCAAAGTCCCATACCCTTAATTTACCGAGGAGTCCTAGGGACTTGCATGAAAACATTCTTGTAACCCATCTTATCAGTAAAGTCCTCAGTATAAACAGGATTATTGGTAGAGAGATGTAGCCGAAATTCTGAGAGCTAAAGATGGCTAAATATGCCCCCTGGTCATCCCAAAATTTTTTAAGTAGATTTTGGGATACTTGATACATCCCTTGAGGTTTTACTAGCTTCACTAAAGCATGAAGCCAGCCAGTGTGGCAGTGAGCAACTAATGGTGGAATGGAATGGTTTAACCACCTCAACCTGAGGATGGCTTCATGAAAGGGTGGATGCCAAAACCAGGAGTCAACTGTTGGGGGTGGATTACTAAGAGGTAGGAAACAAAATGCTCCAAAGCCCAGAAGAAAATTGCTCTAGCCTGGAGACCCAAACACTGGCACAAAGAAATATTCACATGAGCAGGGGTCCCACTGACACAGTAGTTGGGCAGGAAGATGTGTGAAGGGAATCTGCCTGTAGAGAAGCCAGGAATTCTTTTCACCCAGAAAATGTTTAAGCTTATTTTTCAAATTATATACTTGATGTAAACTTTTTGTAAAAAACTTGGAAAATACAGAAATAAATTTTAAAAACTAAAATTATTTATAATTCTCATTACCCAGATATAACCACAATTGATATTTTGCTGTATCTCCTCTAAGTCTTTTTATAAAAGTTCCAATGTTTATTGTTTATTATATTTTGAAGTATTTTATATATACTATTTTGCGTGCTACTTTGTTTTTCTCTTAACATTGCATGGAGATCATCTTCCCATTAAGCATTCACTGCAAACATGATTTCAATGACTGTATAATATCCTTTATGTAACTTTTCCTAAGCATTCTTCAGTGTTGGACATTTGTTTCAGACTTTATGCTATGTAAATAATGCTGAAGCAAACATTTTAGTGCATAATTCTTTATATGGGTCATTAATTATTACTATGAGTTCCTGGATATAGAAATACTAGGTCAAGACCATTAATACTTTTTTTTTTTTTTTGAGACAGAATCTCACTCTGTCACCCAGGCTGGAGTGCAGTGGCACGATCTCAGCTCACTGCAAGCTCCAACTCCCAGGTTCATGCCATTCTCCTGCCTCAGCCTCCCGAGTAGCTGGGACTACAGGCACCTGCCACCTCGCCTGGCTAATTTTTTGTATTTTTAGTAGAGACAGGGTTTCACTGTGTTAGCCAGGATGGTCTCGATCCCCTGACCTTGTGATCCACCCATCTCAGCCTCCCAAAGTGCTGGGATTACAGGTGTGAGCCGCCGTGCCTGGCCCCATTAATACTTTTAAGAATCCTTACACATAGTAAGTAATTCAGTTATTAAATTATATATAAATAAATTAATACAGTTCCTGGCATATAGAAAGTACTAAATTAATGCTAGCTAATTCTTAATAATAATTTGCCATTCAAAAGGATTAAACCAATTGGTATTCCCATTGTCATATCCTTTTAACTTCAGTCTTATTAGAAATACTTCTCTAAATCCCTTTTGAAGTTTGGGGATGGGTGTCAAATTCTGACCACCCACCAATACCAACTATCCACCCCCAGGTTCTGTACTGGTTTCAGATATGGCACTTACTAAATTCAAATTTCTCTGAACATTCAGAAATGTTCCAATGCATTAGCAATCCCTGTCAACCTGATTCATTAGAGCCATGCTGTATGTAGTTTACAGTTTTGAAAATAATGGGGATAAGGCAGAAGGACTGACACTCAGAAATAAACAAGACGGAACAACTTCCACATTAAAATACAAATTGTTCTACATTGTTTGGTATCCTCTAAGCATACCAAAGGAATAACTTTTTTATTTTATCTAAGCCTTGTCCACTGAGAAACTTCCAAGGTTAATTTTCTATTTCATAAAGCCCTTAGCATACTGTTACTGTGAACATTTGCGTCTCTCTCTCATATTCTGAAAGGCACTTTTGATTTAATACATGGGCTTGTGTTATAGTTGCCTTGCACTTGAACATAAGGATGATTTATAAGGGTTTCTTACAAGTGTGTGCTGTGCAATCCAAAAGGGCTGACCTTTGGTCACTCTTAAAATTGGGAAGAAATTAGCTCATTAAAAGGCAATACCATATCCCTTATTCAGCTGTCATGAATTTCAACTTGAAATATAATATATTTCAAGCCTAAACTTGTATTCTATTGAAGCATGATTTTGATATCACATTCCATACTATTCCAACAGTAGTTCAATATGTTTTGTGTAATTCTATTAAATTTCACCCTAATATTTCTCATAATAGCAAAGATTCAGTTATACTGGAAGAAAAATCATGTCCTCTTACTTAAAGTTTCATCATGAATTTCTCTCATTATATTACTAAGTCTACATGTGGCCATTAGCCCAGTTTCTCAATACCACTATTACAAATGAGTTCTACTGTATAACATCATTAGCTATACACATTACATCATTTAGGACATCCATTTCAGTTTGAAGGTCAGGAGTAGGGTTTCTGCCCAAAGGCCCATAACTTTCTACAGCAGGAGCCACATGTTCAGCATTAAATCCATATGTTAGATTGTGAACAACTAAAACACTGCAAATGAGTACTCAAGATATAATAAGTAAACACAAATATTAACCTATGACCTCAACACACATATTCTGTAAACTCTTTTTAGGTGAGAGACACATCTTATTCATCATTATAAGTGCTTCAAACAATGTATGCAGTAGAGATTATTTTTGTAAAAGAAGGAAAATGAGAGAAGGAAGTTAAGGAAGGGAAGGAAGGGAGGGAGGGAGGAATAGGAAGAAGGAGGGAAAGAGAAAGCAAGGAAGTAAGCGAGGGAGGAAGATCAGCGTAACATACCATACATAAAACCTTACTTGAATCTTCTACTCAGCTGCTTTTGGACAGCCTGTCCTGAAACTTTTGTGCCAAGATTATTTGTGTTGATTCATGACCATTGTCATACTAGACCTTAACTTAGTCACCTGGCTTTATTTTCTTTTATTGATGATTTTGGCTTAGTAATACAATCTTACTAGTTGGGCCTGTGATCTATAGGCCCAATTACTATACCTCCTCTGCTGTTTAAATGGATTCCTTTCTTTTTTCTAGGTTCTTCTCTATATACAATTGATTTGGTTTGGAGTCTTCTAATCTGTGCATTGGTTAAATTTGCCATTTAAACAGGAAGAGCCAAATTCCCTTGTACTGAATAATAACCACCTAACAATTTCAGCTGGCCCGCTATTCCAAAAGAATCTATACCTAGACCTCTCTGGATCTCTAAATTTTTAACTGCCTGAAGGTAATTATGAAGATCTTTATAGCTTTGCAACAGCAACCAGTAGGACTCAAAAATATCCTTATATGTAATTGGGAAGGGCTTTTACAACTGTACAGTCAGTAATTAGAGTGAAGGTGGTCTAACGTCAAGAACAGCCAAATGAAAGCTCTTTTCTCTATGTCCACCCCGCCCCCCCGTGTGTGTGTGCGTGTGTGTGTGTGTGAGTGTGTGTCTTTGACTCTTTCTTCCCTCTCTCTCTTTCTCTCCCTGTCCCCCAGCCCCCACACGGGAGTATCTGAGTGTTTTTCTTTAGGCCTGAGTAGTCTATCTTTGATCATAGAGGAAAGAATATAACCTTATATTTCAAAGCTGAGCTCTAATGTTTACAACTGTGTAACATTGGAATACGTATTTTTTAAATGATACGTTGCTTTTTTAAAATATAAAGCTGAGATATACTCATCGTCAGAAATTTAGAGTGAATAAACAAAAGAATGAAAATCATCTGTAACTCACTACCCTGATATAAGTGCTAAAGCAACTTTTACCAGTTTTCTCTGTTTTAATGTGGTTTTTTTATTTTATGTGATTCTGTGAGTCTTGTGTTGTATGTAGGTCTTTATTTTTTAAAAAACAGATGTGTGTGTATACACACCCATATACATACATATAAATGGTTGTGTGTACTATTTTTTAAATTTGGCAATATCTAGTAGGCATTTTATGATATCAAATAATAACATACTTACTAATCTTTCATTGCTTTTTTGCATTGTAACACATGAATGTACAAAAGTTTACTCAATCCATTAGCTTTGAGTCATTTAGGTTATTTGCAACTTAGTTACTTAACTTCTTGATACTTTATTTCTTAAACCGTATAAAAATGCACAAAACTTTTGCAACCTCAAAGAATAGTTGTGAGATTAAAGTATCTGACACAGTGGTTGGTATGTAATAGGTACTGAATAAGAATTAGTTTCTCTTTTTCTTTTCCAAAGTGAGATTTCATTGTCTCCCATATTTCTCCAAAGAGAAATTAACCAAAACTAAAATGGGATATGAGTAAATACTGTATGAATTGAATAGTACTGCAAATTTGGATAAATAAATAAGAAGAAGTTGCCTTCTCATACTATTACCGGGAACTACAAGCAAATTTTAAATGGCTTGCTAAACAGAATCAATCTGAATCTGAAATTATGATATTGGTATGTTTAGACAAAAACAAATTTAGATCATTTCTGAAAAGTGAAATTTACTTAATACTATACAATTGATTTTTAGAAATTAATTAGAAATTATTAAAAGTAGAATCATTAGAAATTTTTAAATTAAAAAATTAGCCTTTCAGCCAGAACCACCATCTTTCAGTAATTCACCAAAATGATGAACACACAGGGAAAGAGGATAGGCACTGATACATGTTCTCCAGTCTATTTGGAAAACAGGGAGTTGTTCATTTGGCCATGTACATGCAAACTTAGAAGAAAGGTGATACTGTAGACATCAAGGGAATGAGTCCTGTTCAAAAAGGAATGCCTCACAAGTATTACCATGGCAAAATTGGAAGAATCTACAGTGTTACCCAGCATGCTGTTGGCAGTGTTGTAAACAAGTTAAGGACAAGATTCTTGCCAAGGGAATTCATGTGCATATTGAGCATATTAAGCACTCTAAGTGCCGAGACGGCTTCCTAAAACACATAAAGGAAAATGGTCAGAGAAAGAAGCCAAAGAGAAAGGTTCCTGGGTTCAACTGAAGCACCAGCCTGCTCCACCCAGGGAAACATACTTTGTGAGAACCAAAGCCTGAGCTGCTGGAACCTGTCCCCTATGCAGTCAGGGCATAATAGGTGTAAAAGAAGCAAAAGACCTCTGGACTCTAAAAATGTTTCTTTTCATTAAGTGGAAGTGTGGTGTTCCCTCCCCTAAAGAAATATTTAAATCAAATTTTAATTGTGCCCTAATTCATTGTGTAATGTCTTTACTATTCACAGCTAATGTTTTACTTGCAGAAAGATGTGAAGTGGCTTATTGTGCAACAAATTACTCAATTGGTTAGAAAACAGGCAGATATTATTTATGAAATATTTGTACTGGTTTGTTGATAGTCCCTCTAAATCATCATGGAAGAAATAATTTACAAAAAAATGTAGAACTATTTCAAAATTAAATTTATTTTACTTATTCACCTTTTAAAATTTGTTAAAAACATCATTCTCACACACATCTAAGTTTTTAAATGTGTAATTTACCTTCGTCCTAATGTATTTTGAAGCATCTATTCCATTCTTTTTTTTTTTTTTTTTTTTTTTTGAGACGGAGTCTCGCTGTCACCCAGGCTGGAGTGCAGTGGCGCGATCTGGGCTCACTGCAAGCTCCGCCTCCCGGATTCACGCCATTCTCCTGCCTCAGCCTCCCCAGTAGCTGGGACTACAGGCGCCCGCCACCACGCCCAGCTAATTTTTTGTATTTTTTAGTAGAGGTGGGGTTTCACCGTGTTAGCCAGGATGGTCTCGATCTCCTGACCTCATGATCCGCCCGCCTCGGCCTCCCAAAGTGCTGGGATTACAGGCGTGAGCCACCGCGCCCGGCCTCCATTCTTATTTTTTATTTCCTAAGAGCTATGATACAGACCATCCCAAACTAGCCCATTTCCCCATATCCTTAAGAGCAGTTAATATCAGAGGATTTGAGGGACACAGTACTGCTTTCAGGAATTTCATCCCCTTTGATCTTGCAATTCCATGGAAATAAGTATGCATACCCTTCAAATTTAAAGTAATCAATTAAAGACTTTTAACTTGACTCTGAAGTTTTATTTGTGGATATTGGAAGTTAGAGCTAATTAGTAATCAAGAAGATAAAAAACCCAAGTTTGAATGTTATGGGCTTCACTTTCCTATAGAAATCATTGCTGAAGCAGAAGTGTCCCTGACAAGACTTCAAGACCACTTGGCAGAGAAACGACCATCAAACCATGTAAAGAGCAAGAGCTACCTGATGATAATTACATAAACTTAGGTACCCTGAAAAACAACCAAATGTGTTCTTCTATGCCATTCCCCTACCCACCTTGCCCTTTAATAAAAAAAAAAAAAAAAAAAAAAAAAAAAAAAACCTAAGAAGAATCTTACTAAAGATCATGCCAGGGTTGTGAGTTGTTTAGAGGGAGGACTGGGAGAGCCAAGAGACATCTGAAACTCTACACAGGGATGGAGCTCAAAATGAAAGGCAAAATTACTTTCAGAGGTTGGAAGTAGACAAAAGCTAAAGATTAAGACGAACTAAATAGTAGATTTAAAGTGCAAAGATAAGATGACCTTGAAATTGTAACAACTTTGATTTCCATAAGCAAAACTTCTAAACATGTCTTGCTCTATCCAGCAGGAACATGATCATTCTAGGACCCAATAATAGGAGGCAAGTGAGTCAAGAGAAAAATATGGTAAACAAGCTACTGTGACAATAGTGAAAAATGTGTTGACAAAAAAAGAACTAGTTTGTATTTGGGTTGCCATAATGCCTCCATGTGTAAGCACATTTGTATGCTGCTGATAAATATGTTTTTGGCCAAAGTATCTTCTATCTTTCAAAATCCTTTTATGTTTGCCTGCTTTTCTTCTCTAAAATTTAATTCCACTAAAAACAAGATATTCGAACATGAGTTATCTACCTGTTTATCTCTCTGTCTCTCTAGCTCTGTATCAATCTATCAATCAATCTATCAATCTAATACTGATCTAATGAGATAGATAATACAAACCCGAAGAAGAAACTCTGCCTTCAAGGAAGTTACAAAATAGTGTGGCAAATGAACAAATTAAACAAATAAATGTCACAAAGTTAAGAGTGAGATAGTTTGTGAGGTCAGAGGAAGGACAGAGTATATTTGGTTGAAAAGATTCAGAAAAGACTTCAGGAAGGAGATGACATTTTGGAAAGAATTTGAAAATGAGTCCGATTTTTTGTCAGTGAGAGATGGAGGGAGGGTTATTTACTAACTAATATGCAGTCAGTGAATATTTTTTAACAAGAGGGGTAGGAGTTGGACTTCTGAAAGATGTCACTCTCTGAAGCCAGGTTTTGACAACCAGGAGCTAAGGAATTGCCTCAATGGCTCTGGTGGAAAATCGATTCATTCCAAGGAGAGAATTTGATACTTTATAATGGTGTTTCATTTGTTTCCAGCAACTCTCACATATATAAAATGGGAAACAAATTTTATGGAGTAGTTAAATATTCCTATCATGTTTCAAAGGATCACAGAAATGTGAACAATCACTTATTCCTCATTGACAACGTTTGGTTAGCATTTGGTTAATCATCTTTCTAGAAAAGTATGCTGCTTTTCCAAGCAACTTTTATATAGTTCTTTAAAAAATTCTCACGTTTAGCAAGATGGAAATTATGGTATAGACATAAATATCAGGACTTGAACATTTTCCACAGCAGAGTTTAATCTCATATTTCCCTGAGTCATGCCCGCAATCAAATTTCCAAATCTTGTATGTGTCCACATCCATTTGCTTTTTTTTTTTTTTTTTTTAAACACAGTGTCTCGCTCTGTCACCTAGGCTGGAGTGCAGGGGCACAATCACAGCTCACTGCAGCCTCAACATCCCAGGTTCAAGTGATCCTGGGAGATGCCTGAGTGTCTCAGCCTCCCGAGAAGGTGGGACCAGAGGCCCCTTCCACCATACCCAGCTAATTTTTGTATTTTTTGTAGAAATGGGGGTCTCACCATGTTGCCCAGGCTGGTCTGGAACTCCTGGGCTCAAGTGATCCGCCTGCCTCAGCCTCCCAAAGTGCTGGGATTCCAGGCGTAAGCCATCTCACCCAGCCTTGCAGTGATTTTCAAAGGTGTCTTGAATCAGACACACAATGCTAGATTACTGAAATATTTACGTAAAAATTCTAATTGGTTTCCAGATTGAGACATTTTTAAATCAATAAGCAAAGAAATTACTATTTCCAGACACGGCGCCATGGGGGATTTCTGGAATGTTTTTGTGCACATAACTGTCTAGCGTGCCCTCTGACTCTAAAGAAACAAAAGCTCTTCCATCCCTCACAATCTGAATTAGAGGACATCTGAGATATACTGACATATATATACATCGTTGCTCTGTGGATGTTCTACGGCAGACGACTCCAATCAGCTCTGCTAAACTTATTGAGAGAATAGAAATCTTCATCAGTCCTGTCTCTGTCCCTTGGGTGTTGCTGATCAAGGATATAAGAACACATCTACTTATTCACCAAGAAGACACTGACTTAGGGAGTGCTACATTTTCTAGAACTTTCTTCTGTTAATTGTAGATATGTTCTATTCATTGAAAAATGTTTGCATTGACGTACAATGAAATAAGCAATCAATTTAACTTCTCCAAAATTCCTAACCATCCACACTGCAGGTGCTATATATCTAGGAAATATAATTCATACAATCCTGTTTCAGAGAGTGGGTAGCCCTTTGGAATCGTCACATTCTTTCCTAGGCCCAAAATGTAACTCTTGCTGACAATTTTTCACCTGTTCTCTCTCATTGATTTCATCTTGGCATCCAGTTCAGTGCTTCATCTGCTCTCCTGTACTGCCCAAGGCTATTTTGAGCTTTTGTGATCGCTCTACTTTGAAATAGAAGTTGGCCTGTTGTTCACAATACTGTTAAATAACACTGGTAAGTCTCTGTATTTCCCTTCTGTTTCCTGTCTTGTCACCAGATTCAAACTTCATGTATGTTTCTTCCCATGTTTAAGGATCAAACTGGAAAACCTGCATCAGAGAGAAAAACCTTGCTCTGGGAATAAATCTTCCTTGATGCTTTTAAATTTACTAATTTCCTTGAAGAAACCTATAGCCTCTCTGCATAAGGGATGCTATAATTGTTTATTTTTTAAGTTATATTATCTCTTACCTTCTTCCAAAAGCATTAATATGGTGTTAGATTTCACATTATAATCTCTATATTATGAACCTAGAATCGCTAATGCTATTCTAGAAAATGACACTCAGAATTATTATTTAAATTTATAAAAAGAAATACAAGTACTGCCATGAAAAAGAAAGAAATAGATTGGAGGGGCACATTTTGTCATGTTGAATATATGGATTTACTAAAATCTATAATTGACTTAAATAATAAGGATGTTAATGCCATAAATATAATGTTCCCTCTCCCTCTCCTTTCTCTTCAACCAAAAGACCAAAGTGTCTTGTAACATTTAGAAAAATATGTAAAGGAAATGCTTTTATGCTATCAGAGTATTTTTTGGTTTGGCTTGGTTTCATCTCTTCAAGATAAATTATTTTGCTTAATAAAATTATTAAAATGTCACCTGAATTTTTACAAATGAGGCAATCTGTCTGCCAAGGACTTTTTAACTCCAAATTGAATGGACATTTGTAGGTCCTCATCTTACTTGACCTCTCAGTCACTTTTGACACTGTGATTACTTCTTGCAGCATCTTCCAAAATTTTGCTGTCTTGATTTGAATCCTATGTCTATGGTTGCTCTTTCTCAGTTTTTTTCAGGTTTTATCTTCCTCTTTCTCCTTATAAATATGGGAATTTTCCCCAAAGTTTCTTGATTTATACTCTTCTGATTCCAGTCAACTCTCTGTCCTGGAACACCATGGCCAAACCTGTAACTTCAACTATCTGTTCAGCAATGAGTTTCAGATTCATAATTGCTTAGCAGACATCTCTTCTGAGCTCCAACCCATATCTTCATATGCCTATTACACATTACTATCTCTAAGTCAATAGATACCCAACTGAACTCACCATCTTTTCTACCTCTTTTCCATACCCCTTCAAAATACTGTGATATGTGTCACCATCTACCCAATAGGCTGAGCAAGAAACTGGGCAGTCAACATCAACCATTCTGTCTTTCCATCCCCCATTCAATCTACCACCAAGTCTCACTGATGCAACCTCCATAGTATCTCTTATACCAATCCCATTCTCTCAGTTCCTATCACTGCTATGTCAGCACAGGCACACATCACTCTTACCTGCAATACCCAAGAGCCTGCTAACAGATCTCCCCAGGTCATTCTGAGATTTCTTTATCCACATTCCACACTGATCCTAAATCTGTTATTCTCAACTGAGTGACTGCAAGGAAATAATATAATAATCCCATCTAAGGGTTGGGGAAGGGGTAGGTGAAAGAAAGGAGACTTCTTTAATTAAACAAATCATATGATAGATTAATTCAGAAAATCTTATCAGAGATTACAATTGCTTTAGCTTAGAAAAAATGATTATTTTGCACTTCAACATTTTTTAAAGGAGGCCGTATTATTTTTATATATATATTGAAGGACAGTATGTAGCCTAAAAAAAAAAGGACTATTCTGTGTAAGATTTGTTAGTGGATCCACATTATTCTTAAAATAAAGAGCCATTTGTTTAGCATGTTTTAAAGGTTTCTTCATGATCTGTCTCCTGTTTATCTCCCCCAACTTTTCATCAATGGTTACTAAACCTAAATACCACACAGAATTAAAAGTGAGACATTGCTATTTGATGCCAGAATATCTTTGCACATGCTTTGCACATACTCGAAATACCCAAAGTACTACCTCTCTCTCTCTCATGCACACACACACACACACACACACACGAGTTTCCTCCTGGCTGGTATCTTCTTTTCCTTCAAGAAATGCATTAAGTTTAGTTGCCTATAGAAAATCTTCTTTGACAACAAAGTCAATTTTTAGGTTAAAAAATATGCCTCTATTCTCTGCTCTCATCTTTAAATATTGTGTGAATTCCTCTGTTATATTACTTATCACACTGTAATGAAATCCTTGGCTTCTTTATCTGTATTCCCAATACACAGTGAACTTAAGATTACATTTTCAACACTATATCCTCAACATCTAGCCTGGTATTTGAATAAATGTTTTCTAAAACTATTGAGACTTTTTTTTAATGCTTTACCAAACAAGAGGTAAAAACAAATTCTTTAATACAGGTTTGTGTTGAACATTTCATATTTGATATTGTTTAGAGGAGCTTATAGCTTATAACACATCTATTATATACAGAAGATAAATATAGATGTATTAGTTAAAGTATTAACTCAATTCTAAAAATTATATAATGGGGCATTGAAGTCTAAGGTACTAAAAGGAAAGTCATTAAAGACAAAGTAAGACATAAAATTCCATATATTTTTTATTCTGTAAAAGCTCTTAGTTCAATAAATTAGGCTGAGTTCATTTGATTTTTTTCTTTAATTGGCTTTAAAACTCAAATTTATAAGCCTATGAAGAAAAGACAAATTGCTTCTAGTAGACAGTACATAAAGAAATTTGGTGAACATAAACTAGCCTAAATAAATTATGTTGCAAATTGTTTTGGAAAAAAATAGCCCACTTAAGGAAGATAAGCTTGCTATTATTAGCTAAGATGGTCCTTTAATGTCTTTATTATGTATATTAATTACACAACCAACCAGTTCGATAGGCCAGCTTGGATTTGTTCCTATTGAACATACAATTAAAAGTTACCATAAACTTTAAGGAATTACAACAATGATATCTTAATGACTATCCCGAAAATATTTTTAAAGCATTTGACTTTCTGCCAAATTGTTTGTCATCTCTTATGCTAAAGAATTGCACAAGAAGTTTAAGAAATGAAAACAGCCTTTGTTTAATGCTCACCTGGCCTATTACACAATTACTGTATACATAGTACGTAATCAGAATCCAGAGTAAGATAACAGCTTGCTGCTACCAACACAATCAGAGAAAAGAGTCACCTTCAGGTCTCACAATGCTTGCTGGTCATGGTCAATACCTGGGCACTCAGGGCCATTGGTACTCAACAGGCTATAAATCAGGGCACAGAGCATAAACTCTTCAGTCATATTATTCACTGTCAACTCTTTTGACTCTCTGTGGCACCCTTGCACTTACTTTCTTGACTGTCTAAGCCTCTAATTATCTACTAGACTCATTCATTCTTTCACTAATTCATTTATTCTTTCATAAAAATAAATTGAACACTCATCTTGTGCAGGCTCCATGCATCATACACAGTATATGGGGGATTCAAGATGAGGAAAATGGGCAATGTTCTTGCCCTTGTGGATCTCCTACTTTATTTGCGGAAATAAGGCATTCTTCAAAGACTCACTTACATATATATAATTCTAAATTTACCAAGTGCTACATAAGGGAAAAACATATAAAATGATAAAAATGTCTGGTGGGGAAGTGATAAAGGATTTTCTTCCTCATTTTATTACATGATCTTTCTTAATTCCTCTTAGTTGTATATACTTCCACGCTCAGAAATCTTTCAGTAGGTGCCATTGACTAAAGCCTTATTTCTCAAACATCTTCATAACTTTCAGGTATACTGGCTCTGACCATTTCACTGTCATTGAGACCTGCTATGAGAATAATTGTCTTCCATGATGTTTACAAATGGTGACAATATTGCTCAGATGTATCTAAAATGTTTTTTTAAACATGTATATTTTCAGCTTGTGCAGTTTCTGGCAGAAATGATACCATTAGCTTATTGTTCATTTTGTAAATGCAGAGAAGAGAAACTTTTGGTCAGTGAATGTATTAAAGGGGGTTTTGGGGCCTATTCCAAATGCTGAAGCTCTAACAGAGTTGTACAAAACTTACGGGGAAAATGAAATTTTAGTTAAGCCTCTTCTCTGTGAGAATTTGTGACTGGAACTCGACAGGAGAGAAAAGGAAGAATAGTCTTACCCACAGTTCCCTTGAGGGATAATCATAAAGTTATCTCGTGAGAGGTACTTAATGACTGTGCACTAAAAGTAGCCCGGCGCTTATCCTACCATAATTCTATGCCAAGGTAAGGTTCAGTTATACTAGGATGGCATTTAAAGCATCAGAAAGTATAAAACCAATGTCCATTGTTTAAAACTTGAGCCTGACTGGTTTTACATATGGAGCAAATTCTGTATAAATACTAATTTGACAACTGTCAGTTCCACATATTCAGAGTTAGTGTTATATAAACCGTCAACCCGCAGCCAGGTTGAAGAGGCAGTGGATATACTCTGGGGAACCCATCTTATCAGTCTGCCCCACATTGCCTTTTTAAGTAAACGAGCTGACAGAGTCAAGGGCAAAGTAAGGAGAGCTGCAGATTTCATGGATTCTCTCGGGTTAGGATTTTACTGCTTAAGGACAGATGCATCCGTGGTTTTAAGATTCTCCTCTTTTCCTAGCACAAATTTCACTTTTTCTAACACCAGGGAATGATTTTACCAGTGAGGACAAAGGTCAATAACAAGTTCTAATTCAGAATCAGAAGACTTTTCCTAGGGAACTAAGAATATGATATTTTTTCCAGGTAACAGGGCTTTTCTCAACTTTTTGAACCTCTTAGATCTGCAAATTCTATCCCACAGGGAAGCAGAAAAGGCAAAGAACAACAGAGCAGCCCTTAGCCAAAAAGAACTGAGGCCAGGCATCTACTAAGTCACCAGTTCATGGTGCTCTTGCTATGCCTGCCTCTGCCCTACCTGTCTGGCCTACTTGACGTTGTGCCAGTTCAAGTATTTCAGATCAAACCACCTGCTTAGTTCCTCCCTAGGACCTTGATCTAGACCAAATGCAGCTTCTCAGCCCCAGGCAAGAGGCTAGGTCAGCTCTTTAGTGGGTACTGGGGTGCCCCGGCTAGTCCAGTGCTCCCCGGATGACTCATGCTGGTTCCTACCCACCAGATGCTGTAAAAGCCACTGGCACAGTAGCTAGTTCTAGCTTTGAAAACCATAAACACACACCTGGTCAATGCTTTCTGCAGAGCCTTACCCTGAGCATGCAACTCCACTTTATACTCAGTTGGATCAGCTTAAAACTTTTCTTAAAAGGAGCTCCAAATATGTACTTTGTGCCTGTTCTGCTTTCTGCAAAGATTATTTTTCAGCGGCATCTTGCTGTACTGCATCATTTTTTTTTATTGCCACTCTCCTGATGAAGTTTTTCTTCCTCAGCCCCACAGAATAGCTATTTAGATATCCTAAAAGTATTAATTACCTATATACATCCTGCCTAACAAAGTTGTGCTGCAATAGCATTGTTTATTTGCCAAAGAGTTTTGAGACTATTACCTTGATCATCATTTCTCGGTTAATATTAATTATGGTTTTGAGATGACAGTGATAAGAAATGTGGCATATTCAGCAGACATAGCTTCCTAAAACATCTACAAAATTGGAAAGTACTGTACTATCCAGCCTAAAGTGTTACTTCCCTGTATGAGTGGCTATTTGCAAAGCTGATTTACAATGTGGCAAATAAGAAAATGGGATGATATACAGCAGCAGAGATGCTGCAAGAATTGCCATGCAGGCACTGTTCCCCAACACCATCTACCATAAATTCTTACAAGATAAAGTGTATACCAGAGGTAGCAGTGAACCATTTTCTTTACATTCTTACCATTCTGCCAGAACTCTGAAATTAAAATAGGGGAGAGTGAACAGGAGCCACTATTTTGAAAATCAGAGTAGACAGCACCAGACGAAGAGCAGATCTGTGACTGGTTCTAGCTGTGTGTGAGCATACGTGACCTTGGGCAAGACTGAATCTCAATATTCTCAGCTGCTTTCTATTGTTTGTTTGATTTTTTAAGGAACAACAAATATCTTCTCTGTCAGTGTGAGGATAGTATGAAATAATATATAATTGTCCTGTGTCACTAAAAATTATATAAATACCTGTGTGTGTAATAAAATTACCTAATTTGACAGGTGATTGATAAGGAATATACGTAAAATAATACCATGAATGAAATATAGTAGTTGCATATATCTCAATACTCGATATGCACAGGGCAGGTTTGAGACTAATCTAATTCCCAATATCACGAGCTCCCCAATTACATGAGTTTTTCTTTTCTTTTTTTTTTTTTGAGACGGAGTCTCACTTTGTCCCTCAGGCTGGAGTGCAGTGGCGCGATCTTGGCCCACTGCAAGCTCCGCCTCCCGAGTTCACGCCATTCTCTTGCCTCAGAGTCCCGAGTAGCTGGGACCACAGGCGCCCGCCACCACGCCCGGCTAATTTTTTTGTGTTTTTAGTAGAGACGGGGTTTCACTGTGTTAGCCAAGATGGTCTTGATCTCCTGACCTCGTGATCCACCTGCCTCGGCCTCCCAAAGTGCTGGAATTACAGGCGTGAGCCACCGCGCTTGGCTGAAAATTCTAATAACAGTAGATAGGTAAGCAAATTTGTTATCTTTTATATAACTTAAGAGGGGAAATAAGTTTTAAATTACATGTTCAACTGGCAATATTGAGTGTGATTTAAAAACCAGTAATTTGAAAATAGACTTGAAACCAGTAACAACATACAAGACAATGGAAATGCATAGAAATCTAATATTATGGAGTCAGTTACCCTTCAGATGTCCCTAAAATGATCTTGACAGAAGAAACAACCAAAGGATATTTTCTTAACCTAATCTTGTGAATTGGTGGTAACACAGAAACTATCGATACTAAACATGTTGGTGAGTTTTGATGCTTATTTGTATTTTAAATTTTATTATTGTAAAAATATAAATAATCCTGAATATTGAGTGAGATTTTGTTTTTTAAAAATCCCTAGGCCTAGCGCGGTGGCTCACACCTGTAATCCCAGCACTTTGGGAGGCTAAGGCCTGTGGATCACGAGGTCAGGAGTTCGAAACCAGCCTGGTCAATATGGTGAAACCTCATATCTCTACTAAAAAACACAAAAATTAGATGGGCGTAGTGGCGCATGCTGGTAGTCCCAGCTACTCGGGAGGCTTAGGCAGGAGAATTGTTTGAACCCAGGAGGTGGAGGTTGCAGTGAGCCGAGATTGCACCACTGCACTCCAGCCTGCGCAACAGAGTGAGACTCTATATCAAAAAAAAAAAAAAAAAAAAAGGAAAGAAAAAAAAAATCCCTGGACAACCATTCTTATAGCTATATTTCAAACAAATCTCTCAAAACGTTTTCAGAATGTTTTGCAACTGAAATGAAATCATGAATAGAACAATACAATAAAAAGGCAAAATCAATTAAACTAAAAATTACTTCAGGCTTTCTTCAAGGTCAGTGAAGCTTGACATGTCAAAAGCATATTTTAGGAGTAAATTATCTGTGAAAGTCCTATGCTGCGATCATTCAACAAATACTAAATGCCCAATATATATACTACCAGGCAAAATGCTAGGTGTGGAGGATATATTAGTTAGAAACACAGACTAAGTTTCTACCTTCCTAGAGCTTATACCAGCAGAAAATATGCAAAGTAAACAGATACTTACAAGAGTTGAATAAATAATTGCCAAAAATAAAAAGTGCTGCCAAATGAGTGTTTGAAATAGACACAGAATCACTACCAAAAAAATAAAATTTCACTGGATGAAGAGAGTTACTAATAGGGACTATGAGTCACTTGAGATTACTATTGTTATTATTATTATTATTATTATTATTATTATTATTATTTTGAGATAGAGTCTCACTCTATTTCCTCAGCCGGAGTGCAGTGGTGCGATCTCAGCTCACTGCAATCTCTGCCTCCTGTATTCAAGTGATTCTCCTGCCTCAGCCTCCCCAGTAGCTGGGATTACGGCCTGCGCCATCACGCTCTGCTAATTTTTGTATTTTTAGTAGAGATGGGGTTTCACCATGTTGGCCAGACTGGTCTTGAACTCCTGTCTTCAAGTGATCCACCTGCCTTGTCCTCGAGATTCTTGATTCATGACATAAGCATTATACCATATGGGGGTGGGGGGAAGATCAGCATCAGTGAGTTAAGTGAGACTGGTCAGTGAATGCAGAGGCCTTTTTAATTCAGGCAGCATTTGAGGGTTTAAGAAGCATGGAGAACTTTGGGAGGCCGAGGCGGGCAGATCACGAGGTCAGGAGATTGAGACCATCCTGGCTAACATGGTGAAACCCCGTCTGTACTAAAAATACAAAAAATTAGCCAGGTGTGCTGGCGGGCGCCTGTAGTCCCAGCTACTCAGGAGGCTGAGGCAGGAGAATGGAGTGAATCCGGGAGGCGGAGCTTGCAGTGAGCCGAGATCGTGCCACTGCACTCCAGCCTGGGCGACAGAGCAAGACTCCGTCTCAAGGATTAAAAAAAAAAAAAAAAAAAGAAGCACGGAGAAAAAGATCTGTTACCATTTGTATCCCCAGATCTATGAAATTCAGTGATTGCAATCCAGAGCAGAGCAATTTCCTAGATGCTGAGCCTTATATGTTGAGTCAGTTCTCTTTAGTCAACACGATTTTCTGAAATTGATAAACTCAATGCAGTTGCATCCCTTAAGGCAGAAACAGATTATTTTTTCCTAATGGCAAATTAAGCCCAATTTTTGCATTTTAATCATCATATGGGGGTGAAATAAAAATTCAAGTGAGTTTTAAAGATACAAGAAGAAATTTCAAAGAAACAACATTGCCAGAACAACTTCCTGAAATACGTGCATACACATATGATTTGCAAGGGGACGTGGCTATACTCTTTTTGACTTTAGAGAAACTGGAAGAAAAAATGTTGGGGGAAGTAACTTTGCAGTTTACATCCTAGTTTTGTAATAAGTGGCTTTACTTATTACAAGTTCCTTAATCATTTTTAGTCTCAGAATCCTCATTTGTAAACTGGAGTGAATAATGCCTCTGTCACAGATTTGTGAGATTCTGCCTGTGAAATGTGAATCCGTAGCTAACACAGTAGAAACCAAATGAAAGTTTCCTAGGCTCTTTCTTTCTCAATCCCCTAATCTTCCCACTTTACTAAAACCAAACAAGAAAAGGAAAGAAAGAAAGAAAAAGAAAAGAGAGAAGAGAAAAGAGGAGAAAATTTGCCTCTCTTTCTAATAGAGCCAGACTCAGAATAAGAGATGCCTTCCAGGCACAAAGAAATTAGTCAAAACAAATTTGCATTTTATCCATCAAGTGGTGATGTTGGGGACTCTAATTCAGGGACAAATACAAAGTGGGTACTTCATAAATATTGAATTAATTGAATGCAATGAAAAGAATGACTAAACTGAATACCTGAACTGAATAAATAAATGAATGAATGATACCCATCTTAAAGGGTCTTTGAACCTCTACACGAATCACTTTTTTTCATCCTATTTCCTTTTAGGTTATTGGTTTTCAACTCTGACTACCTAACAGAATCTCATGGGTAACTTTTAAAATCACTATGCCCAGGACAACTTGCATCAGAATTTGAGTGGTGGGTGGGGGTGGGGATCAGTATTTTTTAAAGTTCCCCAGGTGATTCCAATGCACTGTCAAGGGCGGTTCCTTTATTCTATACTAGTCTGTGTGTCTCACCTCATGTATATTCACTTGATGACATTCCCTTTTATCCCTACTTTCAGTGCCTTAGATATCATAATTACTTAATTACTCTATTTTGTCCTAGTTTACTAATAGATGAGAATTAAATAATGCAGCCCTTGTTGGCTCTTGTTTCATCTGGTTACTAAGCACAATGTGGAATCATTTGTAATGACAATCATTTTAGATAGATTTGAAATGAATTGTAATTCTAGCTGAACAAACCTGAGAGGGTAAATTTCTCTCTCTCTCTCTCTCTCTCTCTCTCTCTCTGGGCTTCAGAAAACCAGCCACACACCTCTTATACCAATTCAATCAGAATCTCTGGAATGAAAACCTGGGCATCAGAATTTTTTGGTAAATTTAGAAATTGATACCTTCAGTTAGGTAGGAATTGTTCATATTCCTATACAGAGATGGCTACCTGCCATAACCTTCAAAGCAATTTGTTCCAGTGGTCAATGGAGAAGGCAAAGCAGAGTAATAAGACCCCCCACCATTTAATTTTTTTTTTTTTTTTGAAACAGAGTCTTACTCTGTCGCCCAGGCTGGATTGCAGTGGCACAATCTAAGCTCACTGCAACCTCCGCCTCCCAGGTTCAAGCCATTCTCCTGCCTCAGCCTCCTGAGTTGCTGGGATTACAGGTGCATACCACCATGCCTGGCTAATTTTTCTATTTTTAGTAGAGTTTCACCGTGTTGGCCTGACTAGTCTAGAACTCCTGACCTCAGGTGATCCGCCTGTGTCAGCCTCCCAAAGTGCTGGGATTACAGGCATGAGTACCCATTTGAGACCCCTCATTTAAATATAATCCTGCTGCTTCCTTTTGAAATCGGCAACCCTCCAGCCATCCCTAGTATTTCCTAGACAAGGCAAGGTCAGCATCTTGCCTATGCCCTCTCTGGTCTGCAGGATACAAGTGTAGCCTCAACAAAATACACCATTTTAAAGCCCAAATTTTCCATATAATTGTCCATTTTTGGAACTCATTCTGGTAGATTAAGGTTGTTCATTATTAGGGCTTTTAATGCATTTATAATTAAGCCTATTAATTGTTAAATATCAATTTTTCTCTTCTAAAAAGCACAAGACTAGCAGAATACTAATTTACATAAATGCATAAATGAGACCACCATATATTAGACATTTTGTTTTTTGTTTCAAGACACTGTCTCACTCTGTTGCCTAGGCTGGAGTGCGGTGGCATGATCTCAGCTCACTGCAACCTCCACTTCCTGGGTTCAAGAAGCATTACTCCTACTTCAGCCTCCCAAGTAGCTGGGTTCTACAGGTTCATACCACCATGCCCTGCCAATTTTTGTATTTTTTGTAAAGATGGGGCTTTGCCATCTTGCCCAGGCTGGTCTCAAACTCCTGGCTCAAGTGATGTGCCTGCCTAGGCCTCCCAAACATTTTGTTTTTTCTTTTGTGGTCTATTATCACTTGCTTGTTTTTCTCTATTCTTGATTCCACTTCCCCCCCTCCCCACTTTATAACATTTATTCGATTTTTCCTCCCCATATTTAATATGTTCCAACATTTTAAAATGTAGTAACTATTCCACCATATTTTCGGCATATACATGCAAAAATATATACTTTTACAATTATTTGCAACATAAAAATGAAATCTTATATATACTTTTTTGCTTATCAGTCTTTTGTTAGATGCATAGTTTGTGAATATTTTCTCCCACTCTGTGGGTTGTCTATTTATTCTGCTGATTATTTCTTTTGCCGTGTAGAAGCTTTTCACTTTAATTAAGTCCTGTTTATTTTTGGTTTTGTTGCATTTGCTTTTGGGTTTTTAGTCATGAATTATTTGCTTAAGCCAATGTCTAGAAGAGTTTTTCTGATGTTATCTTCTAAAATTTTTATGGTTTCAGGTCTTAGATTTAAGCCTTTGATCCATCTTGAGTTGACTTTTTGTATAAGGTGAGAGATGAGGATCCAGTTTCATTCTCCTACATGTGGCTTGCCAGTTAACCTAGCACCATTTATTGAATAGGGTGTCCTTTCCTCATTTTAGGTTTTTGTATGCGTTTTCGAAGATCAGTTGGTTCTCACTATTTGGCTTTATTTCTGGGTTCTCTATTCTGTTCCATTGATCTATGTGCCTATTATACCAATACCATGCTGTTTTGGTAACTGTAGCCTTGTAGTATAGTTTGAAGTTGGGTAATATGATGCCTCCCGATTTGTTCTTTTTGCTTAATATTGCTTTGGTTATGAAGGCTCTTTTTTGGCTCCATATGAATTTTAGAATTGTTTTTTCTAGTTATGTGAAGAATGATGGTATTTTGATGGAATTACATTAAATCTGTAGATTGCTTTTGGCAGTATGGTCATTTTCACAATATTGATTCTACCCATCCATGAGCATGGGATGTGTTTCCATTTATTTGTGTCATCTGTGATTTTTTTCAGCAGTGTTTTGTAGTTTTCCTTGTGGAGATCTTTCACCTGCTTAGTTAAGTATATTCCTAAATATTTTATTTTCTTTTTTTTTTTTGCAGCTGTTGTAAAGGGATTGAGTTCTTGATTTGATTCTCAGCTTGGTCATTTGTTGGTGTATAGCAGTGCTACTGATTTGTGTACATTGATTTTGTATCCTGAAACATTACTGAATTTATTTATCAGATCTAGGAGCTTTTTGGATGAGTCTTCAGGGTTTTCTAGGTATACAATCATATCATCAGCAAACAGTGACAAGTTTTAATAGCTGCAAAATAATTCATTATATGCAGGTACCATAAGTTAACTATTACAATGGATATTCATTTTCCTCCATTTTTTGCTAGTATGAACAATAATTAAGTTATTAAACATCCTTATACTTATGCTCACATACTGGTACTTTAATTCTATAGCCTAAATACCTGGTTTGGGATTTCTGGATCAAAGGGTATATGAGGGTTTTAAAAATTTTTTATTTTAATATTTATTGCTAAATGTTCTGTCCAAAAAATATAGTACCTCACATATCCACTAGCAATATTTGGAAATACTTTTCTCTACACCACCACAAATATTAGGGAGATATGGGTATTTTATTATTTTGGCCAATCTAATTAGGTGTATAATATGTCATTTTCAATTTAATTCACATTTCTGACTCCCAGTGAGTTTGTGTATCATTTAATTAATCGTTTGTTTATTTATCTAGAGAAGGAGTTTCATTCTGTCACCCAGACTGGTATGCAGTGGTGTGATCTCAGCTCACTGCAACTTCTGCCTCCCGGGTTCACTCTTCCCTGACTCATCTATTTATTTATTTATAAATAATGAGTTTGCACATTTATTTATTTATTTATTTATTTATTTATTTAGAGGCAGAGTCTCGCTCTGTCACCCAGGCTGGAGTGCAGTGGTGCGATCTCGGCTCACTGAAACCTCTGCCTCCTGGGCTCAAGCGATTCTCCTGCTTCAGCCTCCCATGTAGCTGGGATTACAGGCACGCACTACCATGTCTAGCTAATTGTTGGATTTTTATTAGAGATGGGGTTTTCCCATGTTGGCCAGGCTGGTCTCAAACTCTTGACCTCAAGTGATCCGCCCACCTCAGCCTCCCAAAATGCTGGAATTACAGGCATAAGCCCTGCATCAGGCCTATTTGCACATCAATTTATGTATTTGTTGCCCTTTTGGATTTGCTGTCCTGTGAATTGCCCATTCATGTCCTTTGTCTATTTTTTCATTTGGAAACTATACCCTCAATGAATTTTAAGTATTTTTAGTATTTCATCACTTACAAAAGAAAAAAAAAACTTCAGCTGTGCTTTTGGTAAATGGTCTTTTTGTTTTTTGTAATTCGTTTTATTAGAAATTCCTGATAAATTTTTAAAACGTCATTTTCATCATCTGCTATTATGACCACATGCTTATTCTCTTTACCATTAAATTTTGTATTAAATTCTGGTGACTAGATTTTCTTCTGGGGTTTTTATAGTTTTGGGTGTTACATTTAAGTCGTCATTCCATCTTGAGTTAGTTTTTGTATAAGGTGTAAGAAAGGTGTCTAGTTTCAATTTTTTTGCATATGGCTAGCCAGTTCTCCCAGCACCATTTGTTAAATAGCGAATCTGTTCCCCATTGCTTGTTTTTGTCAGATTTGTTGAAGATCACATTGCATGTTCTCACTTATCAGTGGGAGCTGAATGATGAGAACACATGGACACATGGTGGGGGAACAACACACACTGAGGCCTGTGGGGGGAGTAGGGAGAGGGAGAGCATCCGGAAGCTAATGGATGCTGGGGTTAATACCTAGGTGATTGGTTAATAGGTGCAGCAAACCACCATGGCAAACATTTACCTATGTAACAAACCTGTACATCCTGCATATGTACCCCAGAACTTAAAAGTTGATGAAAAAAAAATTCTGGTGACAAACTTCCTGATAAGGAACCACCATTCATTTCTAAAATAAAACCTTTATCATAGTATATCAATTGTTTGATAAACTCTAAGATTTTTTCTAATATTTAATTTATTTTTTACCTATATGTTAAAATCTAAGACTAAGCTATATTTTCTCTTAAGGGCTGTAAAATATTATATTTATGTTCATATTCATGTATGTATGTGTGTTGTATATGTGTTTGTCTAATATTGTTTTATTAAAAGCATCTCTTAAAATTTTTTTCTACTGGACATATTTGAAATTTAAAGTGGTATTCTAAAGTTTCATTATATTAAATTCAAATAGATTTTAATTTCTCATAGATTTTAGTTTATATGCTTAGTTGCTATATTTGGTGCATAAAAGTTTATAACAGTGTATCTCCTTCATTAATAGTAATTTTATTGTATAATGTCTTTCTTTATCCTGATTATTGCTATTATCATTAAATTTCAGCCTCTCTGATATTTACAATACCACACTTGCTTTATTTTGTTTCCATTTGGCATATATCTCTGCTCATCTCTTGTTATTATGCATTTCCTGTAAAGGCAGTACATAGTTGTGCTTTTTTACTTCAATCTGATGGTCTTGTAAAGTGAGATTTCAGTCAATTAACACTTACTATAATGACAGACCTAAGTTTTTATTCCTTTTTAAACTTTTTTATCACAGTCATTTCTGCTATAGCACTTGTTTTAAAACATGAATTTGTTCCAACATGATTGACATACGAGGGAATGTTTTCAGCATAAAACAAATTTTCTATCTCTGCTAAATCTCTACTAGTGTTAAGAAACACTAGATAAAGGCAGAAAACTGCATGGTTAGATGGATCCATGTGGGAATTAGTACACAAAACACGTACACGCTCAGACCTGAGCCATCTACCAGTTACCTCAGTCCACAGCATGTGTTAGCCTACATTGTTCTGTTTTTCCATTCTTTTGAACTCATGAACTTTTCAATACAAAAAAAAAGCACTCTTTTAATTAATCTCTCAAACATATCCAAGCATCTGTGTTCAAAACCAGCAAGCCGTGCATGTAAAAGAAAATCTTTAAGTATTGATGATATTGAAGATCATCTTGAACTAAAGTGTTTTGAAAGAAAGGAGGGAATATGATATCTCCAGAGCAACAAGCATAAAGGAATCCACATGGTGGACCATCAGAGACAACTCTGCACAAATACATGGCTGTATCTTAAATCACTTCAAGTGCTATGAAGTCAATAAGAACAAGGCAGAAAGAAATACAAGAAATTGAAATATTGTTCAGCATATGAAGACCAAATAGTGCAATGATCAAAAACAACCTTTCTCACAATCAAAGAGAAAACATAATCAAAGAGAAAGCACTATCTCTATACAAAGACCGTTATCACCAAATCCTGCATAATTTGCTCCTTTCAGTGCTACTAGAGGGTGGTTTGGTGGTTTCAAACACCACTGCAATTCGTAAAGCCTTCCTATCAGTAAAGCTATGAGTGTAGATGAAAAAGTCACAGATTTCCAGCAGGGATACTGAAGTTAATTGAAGGAGAAGACTATGCATTGGATCAAATTTTAAATATTTATGACATAGGTATCTATTGTAAACATATGCTTCCAAGGAGCTGCATCTCAAAGGGAAAACAAACATGTCCCAGTTTTTAAGGCTGCAAAAAGACTGCAAATTTTGATAACCCTCATTTCACTACTACGTAGTAACTCACAAGCTGCAATTCTTCCAACTCTCATTTTCACAAGCAAACTGTAGACTATTTCAAGGTAAATTGTCAAATGTATTATAACCATTGATGTATTTTTTAACTATTTAACATGTATAAAACTGTTCTACTGTTTTTATTAGGCTCTTATCTTGTATTAATATTTAACTGAAGTTTTTGAGTGTCCTACTCAATAGAATAATCCTGAATAACAATAACATTTTTTGTTCAGTATGATTTTAACAATCATTCATTATAATTAAAGTGGCTTGAAAATCTTATTTACCCTGGAACAAAGAAAATGTTTAGAAAAAACTAAATGAGTGATTACTTTTGGCATGAAGAACAGTTGCCCTTTTGCTCCCCTCGCAACTCATTCTTACATCCAAAGCAAGGTTTGATAATTTGACAAAAAAAAAAAAAAAAAAACAAGTACAAAAGGAATTCTATGAAGCTACCTCTTTTTATCACCAACTTAAAACTTCACTTCTAAAGGCCCAGTGACTACTGTATTCATTATTCAATGAACTTGTAATTTCTAACAATGAGTCCAAATTTATAAGGCAGGCCACTTGCTTTTCCCAGGAAGCTTGCCATAATGAAATTACCTTTCAAATTACACTGTTATTATTCAATAGTACTAAAACACTCCTACTACGAGCACTAATTTGCACAAACTACCATTGCACTTGGCACTGATAAAAATACAAATATATTTTAGAATGACATTTGAATTTGGAAATATACCCAATATCGCTCTTTACTCTGAATAGAAAGAACTGCCTGTGGTTCTGGGTAAAAATATAACTGCTTATATCTAATATACTTTCTAATAAGATAATTTCATTTGCAAAAAATCTAGTTACCTATAATCGTGAGGTCAATTTTTTTTATGAATCTTCTATTTAAAAAATAAATTCAGGGCTGGCCACAGTGGCTCATGTCTGTAATCCCAGCAATTTGGGAGGCCAAGTCAGGCAGATATGTTGAGCCCAGGAGTTTGAGACCAGCCTGGGCAACATGGTGAAACCCTGTCTCTACAAAAACATAAAAATTAGCCAGGCATAGTGGTGCATGCCTGTGGTCCCTGCTACTTGGGAGGCTGAGGTGGGTGGAGGTCAAGGCTGTAATGATCCAAGATTGCATCACTGCACTCCAGCCTGGGCAATAGAGCGAGACTTTGTCTCAAAAATAAATAATAATAATAGTAATAATGATAATAACATGAGGTGTAGTTTTAGAAGATGGGATGGCAGAATAGGAAGAACCAGAAATCTATCTCCCTACCTAAAATCTATCTGCCTACATAAAATCTATCTCCCTACTACAATTGTACTGACAGAATTTATCTGATGTAACTATTTTGGAACTGTGGATCCTATTGAAGGCTTGCACCTTCCAAAGGAAGGCTTGTTTAGTGTATTGCTATTACTTTTGCCAACTTTAGTTTGCACAGGAGGAGCTACACATACCCTACACACAGTTCCTTGTCAGGTAGCAATGCACATGTTCCTGGAGCAGCTTGAATGCAGCTTGTGGAAATCAGTGTGACAAAAAGAACTCTGTCCTGCAAATCAAGATCTGAGCTTTGATTACTGATTGTTGTTTTTGATCTCGGAGGTGCAAAGAAGCAGGCAGCTATTGTTTTGTATCTTCTCAAATTGCTGCTACTCCCTCCTACCCCCAAATGAATTGACTTCCAGGGGATTTTAAGGGCCACTGCCTCCTCCCTCTCCCCTTTATTTTTTTCTTTTTGCCTTTTTGGGAGCCAGACATTAAAGGCTGGGACATTCAAAAGCAGCAGTATATGTGAGGAAAATTAGAAAGTGACCACTTAAAGAAAACTAAATATGGCGTGAGAAGGACTCCATACTTCTATATTTGAGTCCTTGTGGATGAACTGTAACCTAGCTTAATAGTCACACAAGATTAAAAACCTAATTTAACAGTATGCACCTGTAACAATAACTGTCTTGGGCAATCCCAGCGGCCATACTCCAAGCACTCATAGACTGCTAAGTGTTCAAACTGTGTTCCAATAAGGCAAACACCAACCTGTAACCAATCCAGCTGTTTCTGTACCTCACCACCAATTTCTGTAGGTCATTTCCCCTTTTTTGTCTATAAATCTTCTTCCACTACATAGCTGTGCTGGAGTCTCTGTGAATCAGCTGTGCTTCTGGGGGCTGCCCAACTTACAAAATACTCATTGCTCAATTAAACTCCTTCAAATTTAATTCAGCTGAAGTTTTTCTTTTATCACCACACAAGCCCATGGGAAAGCACTGACTCAGAAAATACCTGAGAAGACCTTAAGTATATACCTCATTCTGATCCTTGACACAGAGATAGCTTAAAACACTCAAATTAAAAAAAAAATCAATAAACAATAAATTGTAACCAAAAAACAGCAAACACAGGGAAAGGGAGGAGAATCTGGCTTCTAGAGTTACCACTTTATTAGGTTCAAATATGCAGTTTTCAAAAAAAAAAATCACAGGGCATTCAGAGAAATGGAAACTATGGCTCACTCAAAGGAAACAAAAATAAATCAACCAAAACTGTCCCTGAGTAACACAGATGGAAGATCCACTAGACAAAGTCTTTGAAACAACTGCCTTAAATATATTTTCAAAACTAAAGGAAGATGTTAAAAAAATCAAGAAAATGATAAATGAACAAAATAGAAATATAAAGATACCAAAACCTAAAAAGAAACCAAAAATAAATTCTGGAAATGATAAGTATGATAACTGAAACAAAAAATTCCCTAGAGAGATTCAAAGGCAGGTTTTAAGAGGCAAAAGAATCAGTGACACTTGAAGATAAGACAATGGAAATTATTGAGTCTAAGGAACAGAAAGAAAAAAATGTTGAAGAAAAGTGAACAGAGCCTAAGGGACCTGTAGCACATCATCAAGCAGACCAACATACACATTGCAGAAGTTTTAGAAGGAGAAGAGAGAAAGGGGTAGAGTGAATATTTGGAGAAATAATGACTGAAAAACTTCTGACACTGGATGACAGACATGAATATAAACATCCAAGAAATTCAAGAAAATCCAAATATGATGAACTCAAGGAGACCCACACTGAGATACATTATAATCAAACCTTTGATTGAACAAAGACAGACTTACTACATACAAGAGATTTTCAATAAGATCATAAGCAGATTTCTCATTTGAAACTTTGGAGGCCAAAAGGCATTGGGTCAATATATTCCAAGTGCAAAAAAAAAAAAAAAAGAAAAAATCTATTAACCAAAAATTCTATCTCTGGCCAAACTGTCCTTCTAAAATAAGAAATTAAGACGTATTCCCAGATGGCTGGGCATAGTGATTCACACCTGTAATCCTGGCACTTTGGGAGCCTGAAGCAGGAGGATTGCTTAGGCCAAGCATTCAAAACCAACATGGGAATCACAGTGAGACCTCATCCTTACAAAAAATAATAATTAAAAAAGATTAGCTGGGCATGGTGGTGCATGCCTGTAGTCCTGGCTACTTGGGAGGCTGAAGTGGGAGGATCACTTGAGCCCAGGAGTTTGAGGCTGCAGTAAGTTACAGTTGTGCCACTGCACTCCAGCCTGAGTGACAGACCAAGATCTTGTCAAAAAAAAAAAGAGATATTCCCAAATAAAAAAACTGAGGGAGTTCATTACCACTAGAGCTGCCCTGAAAGAAATGCTCAAGGGAAGCCTGTAGCATGAAATGAAAAGACACTGGACAGTAATTCAAAGACATATGAAAAAATAACTATCTCAGCAAAGGTAAATACATGTGCAATCATAAAATCAAGTATTATTGTAATAATGGTTTATAACTCCACTTTTTATTTTCTACATGATTTAAGAGAAAAATACATTTAAAGAATTATTACTCAAAAACCTAATATTGTAACTTTGGTTGGTAACTTCACATTTCATTTTCTATATAATTTAAAAGGCTAATGTATTTAAAAGAATTATTAGTTTATGTTTTGGGGTGCATAATATATAAAGCTGTAATTTTATGACATCAGCCACTGAAATAAGTGGGGATGAAGCTATAACAGAGTAAACTTTTTGTATAGTATTAAAGTTAAGCTGGTTTAAATTTAAATTACAGTGTTATTACTTTAAGATGTTAAATGTAATCCTCATGACAACCATAAAGAAAATAACTACAGACTATATACAAGGAAATGAGAAATAAATTTAAACACTTCCCTACAAAAAATCAACTAAACACAAAAGATGACAGTAATGCAGGAACTGAGGGATAATAAAGTATAAGGCATATAGAAAACAAATAGCAAACTGGCAGAAGTAAGTCCTCCTTATCAGTAATTACTTTAAATAAATGTGGAGTAAACTCTCCAATTGAAAGATACATACTGGCAGAATAGATTTAAAAATACATGATCCAACTAAATGCTGTCTACAAGAGACTCATTTTAGATTTAGAAATACAAACAGATAGAAAGTGAAAAGATGGAATGATAGGCCAGGCATGGTGGCTTATGCTTGTAATCCCAGCACTTTGGGAGGCTGAGGCAGGTGGATCACCTGAGTTCAGGAGTTTGAGACCAGCCTGGCCAATATGGTGAAACCCTGTCTCTACTAAAAATACAAAAAATTATCTGAGGTGGTGGCGCACGCCTGTAATCCCAGCTACTCGGGAGGCTGAGGTGGGAGAATCACTTGAACCTGGGAGGCGGAGGTTGGAGTGAGCCAAGATTGTGCCATTGCACTGCAGCCTGGGCAACAAGAGCAAAACTCCATCTCAAAAAAAAAAAAAAAAGATGGAATGATAGAAAAAGCTATTCTGGCTGGGTGCAGTGGCTCACACCTATAATCCCAGCACTTTGGGAGGCCAAGGTGGGCAGATTGCCTGAGGTCAGGAGTTCAAGATCAGCCTGGGCAACATGATAAAACCCTGTCTCTACTAAAATACAAAACATTAGCCGGGGGTGGTGGTGTGCACTTGTAGTCCCAGCTTCTCTGGAGACTGAGGCATAAGAATTGCTTGAACCCAGGAGGCAGAGGTTGCGGTGAGCTGAGATTGCACCACAGCATTCCAGACTGGACAAGAGGGAGACTGTCTCTCAAAAAAAAAAAAAAAAAATGTGTTTATTTAAAAAAAAAAAAAGAAAGAAAAAAAGAAATAAGCTATTCCATGCAAATAGTAACCAAAAGAGAGCAGCAGTGGCTATACCAATATCAGGGAAAATACACTTTAAATCCAAAAAGTGAAAAAGACATAAAGAAGGACATTATAAATTAAAATGTTCAATACAGAAAGAAGATATAAAAACTATAAACATTCATGCATCTAATAACTGACCATCAAAATATATGAGGCAAAAGCTGACAGAAATGAAGGGAGAAATATAGTTCTACAATAATAGTTAAAGATTTCAGTACTCCCCTCTCAATAATGAAGACACCAATCAGACAGATGATAAGAAAGGAAATAGAACACAACACAAACCAACTAGATCTAGCAGACACATACAGAGCATTACTCAACATCAACAGCATACACATTCTTCTCAAGTACACATGGAATATTTATCAAGATATATCATATTGAGAGGTGAAGCCAGCTGGACTTCCTGGGTCGAATGGGGACTTGGAGGACTTTTCTGTCTTACAAGGGGTTTGTAAAATGCACCAATCAGTGCTCTGTAAAAATGTACCAATCAGCACTCTGTAGCTAGCTAGAGGTTTGTAAAATGCACCTATCAATGCTCTGTAAAAACACACCAATCAGCGCTCTGTAGCTAGAGTTTTGTAAAACCAATCAGCACACTGTAAAATGGACCAATCAGTGCTCTGTAAAGTGAACCAATCAGCACTCTGTAAAATGGACCAATCAGCAGGATATGGGTGGGGACAAATAAGGGAATAAAAGCTGGGCACCCCAGCCAGCAGCGGCAACCCGCTCAGGTCCCCTTCCGTGCTGGGGAATGTTTGTTATTTTGCTCTTCACAATAAATATTACTGCTGCTCACTCTTTGGGTCCGTGCCATCTTTAAGAGCTGTATCACTCACTGCTAAGGTCCGCAGCTCCATTCTTGAAGTCAGGGAGACCACAAACCCACCAGGAGGAACCAACTCCAGACACAATATATTAAGTCACCAATTCTCGATGGATTATAAAAGATAAATATTATGCAAATTGTCTTCTCTGATCACAACAGGATGAAATTAGAACTCAGTAACACAAGTAAAATTAGAAACTTCACAAATTTGTGGAAATTGCACAGCACACTCCTTTTTCCTTTTTTTCGTGTTAGACAAGTAATGTGCCTATGCTGTAACAACCAGGTTTGAGGGAGGTGCATCTCATCCACGTGAATGAAAACCCAATCATCAGGCTTGTGAACTACAAAAGGATCATACAGCACAGTCTTCAACAACCAATGGATCAAAGAAATCACAAAAGAAATTAGAATATAATTAGAGACAAATGAAAAATGAAACTACATCACACGAAAACTTATGGTACACAGCAAAAGTGGTGCTAAAGGAAAAAACTATAGCTGTAAACACTTATCGTTAAAAAACAAAAAAGGTCTCAAATCAACAACTTCGCTTTATACCTTAAGAAACTAGAAAAAGAAGAACTAAACTCAAAACTTGGAGAAAGAAGGAAATAAAGATTAGAGCAAA
This sequence comes from Homo sapiens, assembly GCF_000001405.40. Lineage (NCBI taxonomy): Eukaryota > Metazoa > Chordata > Mammalia > Primates > Hominidae > Homo > Homo sapiens. The sequence goes on along the minus strand of NC_000006.12, from coordinate 128,612,925 downwards.
GATAAAATAGAGAACAGAGAAATAATAGAGAAAATCAATAAAACCAAAAATTGATTCCTCAAGATTAGCAAAAGTGATGAAATTTTAGCCAGATGAACTAAAAAAAAAAGAGAAAAATTTAAATTAATAAAATCAAAAATGAAAGTGGAAATAATGAGTCCACATAAATAAAAAGAATTATAATAGGCTGGGTGAGGTGGCTCATGCCTGTAATTCTAGCACTTTGGGAGGCCAAGGCAGGCAGGTCACTTGAGGTCAAGAGTTTGAGACCAACCTGGCAAAAATGGTAAAACCATGTCTCTACTAAAAATACAAAAATTGGGTGGGCATGGTAGCCTACGCCTGCAATCCCAGCTATTCAGGAGGCTGAGACAGAATAATCGCTTGAACCCAGGAGGCAGAAATTGCAGTGAGCCAAGATCACACCACTGCACTCCAGCCTGGGCAACAGAGCAAGACTCCGTCTCAAAAAAATAAAAAAACATTCTAAGATAGTACTAAGAACAAGTGTATGCCAACAACTAGGTAGTCTTTATAAAATGGAAAAATTTCCAGAAACACAAAACCTGCAAAACTAAATCCTGAAGAAATAGAAAATATGAATAGACTTACAACTGGTAAGAAGATTGAATCAATGGTAAGAAGATTGAATCAATAATCAAAAAATCTCTTGAAGAAAACCATGGACCTGATGGCTTCCTCAGTGAATTCTACCAAACATTTAAAGAATGAATACTAATCCTTCTCTAACTCTTCCAGAAAATTGGAGACATATGATGGTAGGGCTAAATAAGCATTGACTATATAAAACAATAACAATGTCTAAGTGATAGATTTAACAAAAATAAGATGGAAAGAAATGTAATATGGGAGAGGTTGATTCGAGTTAGACTTCTAGGGTTCTTGTATATTTGGGATAAGAACAAACATAGATAAACTTTAAACATTAAATATGCATGTTTACATTTCTAGATTAATCATGACATGTGTAAATGCCAAACTAGTAGAGGCGGAACATAGAATGAGAAATTTTAGTACCTGTTCTCCATCCAAGCCATCAACATCTTTCTCACCATGGTTACCCTGCGGAGCAAAGGAAAAGCAGAATGTTAGAGACGAGAGGAACAGGTGAATGTGGTTATTTCTTTGATGTTAATTTCCTGGTTTATATTTTGTTCAGTTAATAGTAGAATTTAAACTTTACAAAACAACATTTATATACTGTATCAAATTATTAAAAACAATGATACATTTATTTCTGAACTAGTCATTAGGGGTATATACTGCTTTTCCTGACAGTTTCCGGTGCTGAAGAGAAAAAAAAAAAAAACCTTCAACTTTTGAATAAATAAAAAGACTTTCTTTTAAACTTTTGCACTGGGAACAAGTAACTTACAAGAGTGAATGAAACATTCCCACTGGTTGTCCACGTGATGGTCCTTTTGTCATTGACTTTCTTTAATTTCAAAAGACTAGGAAAATTTACATGAATTAATCTATGTAATAGAAACCTGAAAGATCACAGATTAAGAAGAAATTAAGTGTGTGTACATGTGTGCATTTATAATATTTTTAAAAACCTGAAAAACTGAGACTAGGTGACAAGAATAAAAACAGGCAGCCACATCATGTATCAAATATTCCATTTCTTTTAAATTATGGTCCCTTCATTTTCCCAACTATCTTAAAATAATAGTTAATATATATATCATAAAGTATATTTTGAAGAAAAACATTGAGAGTTTTACAGGGAGAATAAAACGTACTTTACATGTATGGAATAGTTGATTTACTCTTAATATCCACACAAGCAAATCAAGTTTCAGGCATTTTTTTAAACAAGTACAGCTGAGTGAGTACCTGAAAATAAGTATACTAAGCTCATGGACTAGAATTACACCATACATTTGCCACAGGCCACAGGAGATAAATTGGTGATACCAAAAGACATGCATGAGGAAGCCCCATGAGCCCATGTCTGTCTTGCTCATCATTTTGTAATAACTCCCTGGGATAATATGGGGAACAAAGTGGGCACCTAATAAATATTTCCAAATAAAAATAAAATACATAGGAATTAACCAAGGAGATGAAAGACATGTACAAGAAAAACTACAAAATATTGCTGGAAGAAATTAAAGGCATAAAAAAATAGAAACTCATCCTATGTTTATGGAGTAGAAGACAACATTTTTAGGATAGCAATACTACCCAAAGTGATCTACAGATTCAATACAATCCTATCAAAATCCTAATGATACTCTTTATAGAAAAATTCATCCTAAAATTCATATGGAATATCAAAGTTCCCTGAATAGCCAGAACAATCTTGAAAAAGGAACAAATCTGGAAGAGTCACAGTTCCTGAGTTTAAAACTTACCACAAAGCTACAGTAATCAAAACAGTGTAGTACAGTCACAAACATAGATATAGACCAATGGAAGACATAGACCAATGGAATAGAATAGATAATTCAGAAATAAACCCTCATATATACGGTAAATGATTTTCACAAGAGAGCTAAGACCATTCAATATGGAAAAGAGTCTTTGCAACAACAGGTGCTGGGAAAACTGGATATCCACATGCAAAATAATGAAGTTGGACCCTTGCCTAACACCATATACAAAAATTTATTTAAATGGATCAAAGAACTACATTTAAAACCTTAAGAAGCTATAAAACTCTTAAGAAAAAACATACAGCAAAAGCTTTATGACATTGGATTTGGCAATTATTTCTTGGATATGATTCTAAGGGCACAGGCTACAAAAGAAAAAAAACAGACAAATTAAACTTTATGGAAAGGAAAAAAATTTGTGAATAATTATGTGAGGCAATGGATATGTCAATTAACATGATTTAATCATTTCATACTGTATGCATACATCAAAATATCATGTTGCATACCACAAATATATATAACTTTTATTTGTCAATAATATATTAAGCTGGTTAGAATTTTTAATATACATTTTTAAAGACAATATCAACAGAGTAAAAAGGCAACCTACAGAATAAAATATTTGCAAATCACATATCTGATAAGATACTAATATAAAGAGAGCTCCTAAAACTCAACAATGAAAAAGGAACAATTTGATTTAAAAGTGGGCAAAAGACATGAGTAGACACTTCTCTAAAGAAGATATATAAATGGCCAATAAGCACATGAAAGGTGCTCAGCATCACTAATCATTAGGGAAATGCAAGCCAAAACTTACAATGAGATAACACCCCACACCTGTTAAGGATACTATAAATTTTTTTTTTTTTTTTTTTTTGAGACGGAGTCTCGCACTGTTACCTGGGCTGCAGTGCAGTGGCATGATCTGGGCTCACTGCAACTTCCGCCTCCCAGGTTCAAGTGATTCTCCTGCCCAAGACTCCCAAGTAGCTAGGATTACAGGCCCCACCACCATGCCCAGCTTTTTTTTTTATTTTATTTTTAGTAGAGACGGGGTTTCACTATGTTGGCCAGGCTGGTCTTGAATGCCTGACCTCGTGATCCACCCATCTCGGCCTCTCAAAGTGCTGGGATTACAGGAAAACTTTTTTAAAAACATAGAAAATAATATGTTGACAAGAATGTGGAGACATAGAAACTCTTCTGCACTGTTGCTGGAATGCAAAATGTTATAGCCACTGTGGAAAACAGTATGGCAAGTCCTCAAAAATTAAAAATACAATTATCATATGATCCAGAAGTTCCAATTCTTGGTATACACCCCAAAGAATTGAAAACAGAATCTTGAAGAGATATTTATATACCCATGTTACAACAGCATTATTCACAATAGCTAAAACATAGAAGTAACTCAAGTGTTCACCAGTGGGATGAATGGAAAAGCAAAATGTGGTACATGCCTGTAGTCCCAACTCCTAGGGAGGCTGAGGTGGGAAGACTGCTTGAGCCCAGAAATTCAAGGTCACCCTAGGCAACATAGTGAGACCTCATCTCTAAAAACATTTAAAAAAATTAAAAAAGAAATATTGATATATGCTACAACATGGATGAACCTTGAAGGTGTTATGCTAAATGAAGTAAACCAGTCACAATAATACATATACCATATGATTCCACTTACATGAGCTACTTAGAATAGGCAAAATCATAGAGACAGAAAGTATTGTACATTTCTGCCCTATCACAAGAGTGAAACTGCTTTCATTGTATGTCATTATCTTCTAATTGATGAAATTCATAGATTATTTTCACTAAGTCTATTAGATTTATCTGGGAACATGGCGCTGATCATTCTTCTCTATAAAGAGACTTAAAAAACTAACCAGGCACCGTGGTGAGGGCCTATATTCCCAGCTGCTAGCAAGACTGGAGCAGGAGTATTGCTTGAGCCCAGGAGATTGCAGCTGCAGTGAGCTATGATCCCACCACTGCACTCCAGCTGGTCAACAGGACAAAATTTCATCTCTAAAATTAAAAAATAATAATAATGTAAATAAAAAGATAGCACTATCTCCTACTTTGACTTGGGTGAAACTGCTCTCTCCTGCTGTTCTTACTGATTCTTCTCAGTTTCTTTGGATGGCTATTCTCCCCACTTCCATAATTGGCCCCCTTTTCTTCTGTTTCCAAATGGCAACCTCACTTAGGTCTCTGGCCTTAGCCATGAACTTTGTCAAGGACTCTATTACCCTTGATCAGACTCAGTGCTCAAATTCCTCCAGAGGGGAAGCAAGTGACCCAAACAAATGAGGAATAGGTGTGCATACATACTGAATGAAGAATTGGAATCATGGCCAAAGAAGTAGCTGCTCCTCAGTTCCCTTTGATATTTGTCATGTCAAGCAAATTTATTCTTTAAAACTAAATTTCTTTGTATGTAATATTTAAAGTAGCCCATTTATTAAGATCTATTTAGGAGGAAAAAAATACACAATCCATTTTTGCCTAACATTATGGATATATTTAATACCACATAACAAATCTCTGACATAAACAAATGACTCTTCTTTTGTTTATTATCCTGACCTCTGTACAGAATCAGAGTTCCAGCTATAAACTGGATATATCCATTTTGTTACCACATAGGTGCGTCAAATTCCACACACTCAGACCAGGAGCGGTGGCTCACGCCTGTAATCCCAGCACTTTGGGAGGCAGAGGCACGCGGATCACGAAGTCAGGAGATTTAGACTATCCTGGCCAACATGGTGAAACCCATCTCTACTAAAAATACAAAAATTAGCCAGGTGTGGTGGCATGCACCTGTAGTCCCAGCTACTCAGGAGGCTGAGGCAGGAGAATTGCTTGAACCGGGGAGGCGGAGGTTGCAGTGAGCCAAGATCACACCATTGCACTCCAGCCTGATGACAGAGCTAGACTCCATCTCAAATTGTAAAAAAAAATTTAAAAAAAATTCCACACAGCATTGAGATATGTGGAATCTGGCAAGTCCAGTTTCTAGTCTCTTCCTGAAATCTGGTTTAGGATATATTTGAAAAACATATTTCAAATCTTTCATACCTGTCACCTTCATCTTTTTGTCAATAATAAAGTCTAAAGATAATAGTTAAGCTAAATTCAAATCTCAGAATGACAGATGCAATTAGGTCATTTCAGTGTATTGAACAATCTATACATAAGAATAAACAGTAATAGTAGATGTAGTAAGAACAATAGTAGGCAGTTATCTTCTATTTCTATTACTATGTAAGGCATTGTATTAAAAGTTTTGCATGTGCTGGGTGCAGTAGCTCACACCTGTAATCCTGCATTTTGGGAGGCTGAGGCAGGTGGATCACCTGAGGTCAGGAGTTCCGACTATCCTAACCAACATGGTGAAACCCCATCTCTACTAAATACAAAACATTAGCCGGGCATGGTGGCATACGCCTGCAATCCCAGCTACTTGGGAGCATGAAGCAGGAGAATCACTTGAACCCGGGAGGCAGAGGTTGCAGTGAGCCGAGATTGCACCATTGCACTCCAGCCTGGGCAACAAGAGTGAAACTCCGCCTCAAAAATAAAGTTTTGCATGAATTAATGAAAGAATCCTCACAACAAGCACAGGAGAAAAATAATAATTATCCCCGATACATAGATGAGGAAGTGAAGACTCAAATTTAACTTCCCAGTTTGGTCTTAGTGGTAAATGAGTAAGTTCTGATGTTATTATTTGACTTCACATATCCAGCCATGCCTAAACCTAGGAAACCCCTATAACTTTTACTTGAGGACACACTGTTTTGTTTTTTTTAACTGGTTCAGATTGGAATTATTTCACTTCAAATTGAGAGAGGCCTAAGAAATACACCTTGGAAAAATAGGTATCTTTTACAGAGTACCTGAAGTAGCCTGACATGTGATATTGATGTACTTATGAATCAATCACAGGTTAGGAAACACTAAATGATCAATGCCCCCATGGAAACCATTCTAAGACATGTTGCTTATAGTGTGTTACGATGAGGTAACCACCACCCTCCAGAATATTTTCCTATATACAACTTCTTAGTTCCAAGGGATAAGGGAGACAGCAGCGGGTAAGGGGCAGGGAGTAGAAATGGATAATCTTTGTTGATTACTTGAGAACAACTTAAATTCCTCCACCAACTTTTCTACGGGACTCTGCCAACATACCCATTTTAATATGTCAGACAAAAAAAGGGCATGCACAAACAATTCACAAAAGAGAAAATAATTGCATAACCTCTCTTGTAATGTAAATGCCAAAGAAGGCTAGTTGCCATTTTTCAGCTATAAAACTTGTAAAAACATGTAGCAATCCTAGTGCTGATCACAAAGTGTTGTCTAGCTTTCTTCCTTTTTGGTACATGGTAGATTTGCACTTCTAGGCAACTTGTAAGTGGGTGAAGCCAGATGACTTGTTATGACTAATGGATTGTGAACTAAGTGATATTTTTTACTTCTGGAAAAGAACATTGAATAGCACATGCAAAACCCTATACAGCTCTTCTGCGTGGGATTCTAGAGAAAGGATAGAGGACAGAGCACCCACCTAGCCTGTAAAAAATTATGTAGTTTGAGCAAAATATACATCTAAGTTGTTTTAAGTCAATAAAGTTCTGAGGCTGCTTGATACTGTGGATGTCCACAGACTCTCCTGACTGAAATTAAACATAAAAAGTGACAATAGCCTATTTTAAAATACATTTTAATTTAAATAAATCTTAATCCAAGGTGGATTAAAATGTGCACACTTATGTCCCCTTACTGGCAGGATAAATTGGGGGAAACTTTTTGGAGTATACTTTTGCAGGATGTCTTAACAGATAATTTATTTTTCTCCTGGTAATATATCTCAATATAAAAAGGAAAAAGGAAAGAACTATTAGCACTGATAACAAAAGTTCTATTTTCAAGGAAGTTCAGAGACAAATTTGTCTTAATAAATTTCCAGTATATTCTAAAAGAACCCACTCTGAGATCAAGCCCTTGATTATGAATCCAGTCTCCACGTCTTTTTGGCTGTCATCTCACAATATTGGGACTCACAAAAAATGGGGCTCACAATATTACCAAAATTAATTGGACAGAATAAACACTTGGTAAATATTAGCCATTAGTATGATTATGTAAGACCTTATATTCTGTTCCCCAGCTTGTTCAAGGCTACATGCTCTGACTTAATTCGTACATTCATTACTGATACTTCATTTATTTATATTAGTACATCATTGCAAATTTATTTTAATTCTATCCTGTCATTTAGGAAATAGAGCAGAATACTGCTGAAAGTATTGTTGAAAAACATATCTTTCCTCCATGTTCAACTTTGGGATAACATCAAAATATACCTTTATTACTAACAAAAGTGACAAAAGGTATATTACTAACAAAATACACTTTTATTACTAACAAAAGTGATTGGAGACTATGGCTTAGACACTGGCAGTGCGAACTTGCTAAGACTTCACCTCTGAAATGAACAAATTTACCCCTTCCCTTCTGTCCATAAGTACAGCCAGAAAGTGGCAGACCTACCACACTGTAGCAGGGTCGTATCAAGTGGTAAAGAGCACACAATACATCCCTTCTCCCAGCACACAGACTCAAGAAGAAGAGAGAGGAATGGGCTGCATTGATTATATCTAACTAATCCTAAACCCACCAATCAGGTAAGTTCCTCCTTCTCCTAAGAGTAGGTGGATATGAGGGCTGGATTGAGACTAAGGATGTGACCCTAATGTAAGTCCTTGCAAAGCTACTGCTGAATGCTGGCAGAAGTATCTCACTCAAACACCCAAATGGGTTTTGAATTTCCTCAGCAGCTGTAGACTGGGATTTTTTATTACTGGATGCATGTGGTTTATCATTCATATTGATAATTCTAAAGAATTGAAGGAATCACACAAGAAAATCAAGACATGTTCCCATTAACAGTTTAACTTGTTTCTTAATATGTCTTGTTTCTTCTCAACCTAATGTAGGGTTCTCACCACTTTCAGTTCCCGCTCTCCCGCTCTCCCGCTCTCCCGCTCTCCCGCTCTCCCGCTCTCCCGCTCTCCCGCTCTCCCGCTCTCCCGCTCTCCCGCTCTCCCGCTCTCCCGCTCTCCCGCTCTCCCGCTCTCCCGCTCTCCCGCTCTCCCGCTCTCCCGACTTGGCCATTTGTTTTTCAAACATGCTATTTAGATCTCTGGAGTGAGCACATGAAGTCAATGAGTTCTTTATGTTCAAAATCATTCATAGCTGTTCACATTCACTGCCCTAGATAATTCCTCCAAAACAATAACTAACCCTGGCCTGAATTTGATGTTCTGCCTGGTTCACTTGTAATATGCTTCCATTTGTTTATGCCTATCTTTGAAGTCCCAGTTTTCTCATTTTTTGAGCATTTTCATTCAGAACTCAGGACTTTCCGTGATGACTCTTCACCAGTAATAGCTTTGTCACCTCTAAACCCATATAGCAATTCTTTGAAGAATTTATGACGCTCTTCCCCTCTCAAACCTATTCATATTTTCTGTAACCATTTGGTGTAGCTGCCTGATCATCAAGGTGTGATCCACCAGGTGCTCTTCCTATATATGTGGTTGGAGAGAAGGGAAAGTAAATGGATCCCAAGACCCATTCCTGCCCAGAGGATGATGTTAGTGATGTAGGACAACCCCAAATTTGCTTAAACTTTCAGTTGCCTCTACTACTTCATCAAAGATCTAATCCAAATCAGCGTGGAATCCTCAATCACATATCAAAGAAAGGGAGATTTTTGTATTTATCAATTTGAGCCTTAGGGCATTTCATTAGTTAACAGATGGTATGCAACATGATGGAAAGTGCATTAGATAAAAAGTAGAATTAATTGTGAGAGCTTTGTGTCATGTTGTGATTTTTATTTGATTATTAGAGTCATTATTTGTTCAAAAGACCCAGAGCCTTTAGGTTTCAAGAATAATAGAAGAAACTCTTATTTACTAAAGTAGTTTAAAATGTTTTTCAAAGGCAAATATAGTAAATCGTCTTTATTTATTGAAATCAGGTGGTAGTTCATTATATTAGTATATACATTTTTGAATGTGTGAAATGTTTTGAATGTTTGAAATGTTTTATAATAAAAATAGGTTATTTTTAAAAATTCCAAACTTAAACACAGCCAACCACCAAAATGTTAGGTATCAAGGAGATAATGATACCCTTTTCCCCTCCCTAGTTCAGAAACAATTGAGAAATAGATGCAGAAATCAGATGAAGATTATTGTGTCATCTTTATCACTTGTGAAAACAGCTTGGAAAATGTTGCCTTAGCTCTTTGGCCAAGTGGCCCCGCCAACCCTGACTCCCAAAATTGACTCTCATATCCAGACCCAGGCACAGGGGCACTTGCAGAAGTAAAGCTCTTCCACATGAGAGAGAAGGGCCTAAGTGAACCCTCTCTGCAGGGAAGCAGATCTGAAAATCGGGCACAGACTGCTAACGTGAGTGGGAAGGGGCAGGAGGGAGGTTTCTGGGGTACTGGAAATGTTCTGTTTCTTGATCTGCAGTGATTTCATGGGTTTATGAATATATAGAAATCCATCAAGCTGAATACTTAAGATTTGAGTATTTTTGTGTATTTCCCCATATGTATTAACCTGCTAGCGTTGGAATAACAAAATGTCATAGACTAGGTGGCTTCAACAACAAATTAATTTTCTTACAATTCTGGAAGCTGGAATTCCAAGATCAACATGTCAACAATTCTCACTGTGTCCTCACATGGCCTTTTCTTTATTTATACATGTCCCTGTGTCACTTCCTTTTCTTATAAGGGTACCAGTCATCTTCGATTAAGGTCCCACCCTATAGGCCTTAATTAACTTTAATTACCTTTTTAAAGGCCCTATCTCCAAATATAGTCACATAGTGAGTTAAGGCATCAACATATGAATTTTGGGACAGAGTTCAGTCCACGACACCATTTATATGGTAAACTGTACTTCAATAACAAAGTTTTTTTTAAAAAGCAAATGTTCATAAAGTGGGAACTTTAATGTAAATGAAGAGACTGAATTTACTATATGATAATGCATTAGTCCATTCTCACACTACTATAAAGCTACTACCTAAGACTGATAATTTATAAACAAAAGAGGTTTAATTGACTCACAGTTCCACATGGCTCGGGAGGCCTCAGGAAACTTACAATCATGGCAGAAGACAAGGGGAAGCAAGAACCTTCTTCACATGGCAGGAGAGAGAAGCAAGCAAGGGTAGGGAAACTGTCTTATAAAACCACCAGATCTCGTGAGAACTCACTTACTATCACAAGAACAGCATGGGGGAAACCACTCCCATGATCCAATCAACCCTCTCCCTCAACACCTGGAGATTACAATTGAAGTTGAGATCTGGGTGGGGACACAGAGCCAAACCATATCAGATGACTTTAAGACAACCCATTCTTTCCTGAGAAAACTGTGGGAGAAGAGTACAAGAGAACTGGAAGCCTATGCAAAAGAAGGAAGGCGACAGAGGGACAAGGGAGGGTCAGTGGGAAGGGGAGATCTGGAAGCAGGGAGTAGCTTTTCCTGCTTTACAAGTATGATTTAATTTGGGAGAGGCCAAAATCCCCTGTCTGGGGCCAGCTGGTGGACCCAGATGGGGCTCATCACTTCCAGCAATAGAGAGGGAGAGAGAGAGGAGAGAGGAGAGAAGTAGGAAGTGGGTGTGGGCTTGAGGGGAAAGATTGGGGGCAGGTGTGAAAGAGTAGTAGAAAAATGGTAAGAAAGAGAGAGGGAGAGAAAGAGGAGAGGAAACAAGAGGAGAGAAAACGAATAAATATGACTCTACAAGAGGTAAATATGTGGCTTAAAGTTAAAGGAAATAAACTGGATGCCAGATGCCTGGGTTCATGTCCCGCCTCAGCTACTTAAGAGCTTGGTGACCATGGTAACATCACTTAATTTTTCCATGCCTCAGTCTCTTAATCTGTCAAATGAAGTAAAGAATACTACCCACATTATATGATCATTTACAGAAACAAATGAGCTAATATATGTACAGTTAGCAAAGGTCTACTATTATTATCACTCAAGTTCCAGGTTTCCATCTAGGATTCAAGAAATAAACAAGAAATGACAACCTGCCTTTGTGAAGATTCAGCAAATGTGTACAGCCTGGGAAATAGTCTGTTCCCTTTTTCACTCCCTTGTTTGCTTTTCCAACTGGGCTTACGGTGTGTATAGTTACAGCCAACTCTGAACATAGCAACCCTAGAAAGACTGCTCAGCGTAGCTGTGCCGAGGTGACTGGGATATACACAGTAGTTGTCATGTGATTTTACTTAAGCCTGATATCTCCCAACATAGACCTAATTTTCCATCTAGGAAATGTTGATATCCTGCCGTTCCATGATAAGGCTAAGTGAGAAGTCTGCAGTCCTCAAATGTAATTTTTCTACATGAGTTATCTTGCTTGCTTTTTTCATTGAGGCAGCCAAAAAAATAAATCCAGCAAAGACCATTTTATTCCCCTCCACTTCACTGTGATGCAAGTTGATAGACCACACTAACCCCTAAGGAGGATCATTTCTGAAATGTGAGAATGCAGGTGTTTTGCTTATTTTCTACATGGGCACTTTTCTCTCTGCCAGCGCCTGTCTCCAGAGATGACAGCACTGCAAAGAAACCGGGAGCTGAAAAACCACAGGTAATGTTTACTGTGTGCATTTATTAAAAGGTGTTAACAACTAATTGCATAGCATCACCCACTTAAACACATTGCAAAGAGTATTATTGCCATGAGTCTGAAAAATGCTTCCCTGGCATAGATTTTTAATAGCTTTTAAAAAGAATATGGTCCTGTAGGAAATGCCAAATTTGTGGCTTCATCCAGTGCATTTGGGAGACAGGATGTGGTTCAGCAGTTATGGGGGTTGCCGTGAGTCATCTATGGAGACAGATGTTTCCATGGTGACCTTCCCCATTCATTCAGTGTGAGGCCTCCATATACTCGTGAGGATTAATGACATGGCATTAACACTGATAATCATAATGAAGAGAGCTGTCTGAGATTGGGGCAACCCAACCCTGACATTTTCAAGGAAATAGGATGGAGGAATTTAACCAATGTGTAGAGGAAGAAAATATTGAACTACAAGGAGAGGAAATCCATTTCTTCTTTTTTTTATAAAATAGTCTTCCTGCCAGAAAAGAGTCAGCTGCTGACAGACTTCTATAGTCTCCCCTCTGAGAATTCTCTTTATATTATGACAGAGTGGGGGTGGAAATAAATAACCCCAAAAATGTTTCACTTTACGTCAAAAGAACCAGGACTAGAGAATAAGGAAAAGGCACAGACTTAAACTCTACTCAGTTGTCTTATTTGTTTGTTTATTTAAATACCTTAAGATGTTCCTTAGGAAATCCTTTTAGGGAAACTCATTTTACTGAGAGACTTGCCTATTCTATAGCTTTATGGCACTACTTTTGTCCCTTCGGGGAAAAAAAACCATTCTTCTCACATTGTGCTGATAGCAACATGTTTTTTTAGCTCACAGAGATGTGGGGCATTGTACGAACTGATAAAGTGAAATGTTAGGAGCCTATGATCTAACTCAGATGCCAGCCCGGGTACAATCGTAGACACAAAAAGAGATTATTACACTTTCCCAGAGCAGGATGCAGATACTCACAGGCTCACAGAGGATTGTGCCTTGTGATTTAGTTAGTTGTTTGCATGGTTATCTCTTTTATTAAATTTCAAGATTCTATAGAGCAGGAACTTCATCTTATTCACCTTTGGCACAGCCAGCTACCCCTAACATACACACATAAAAATATACACAAGCACACATATAAACAAACATACCTACACACACACACCCCTAGCATTTTACTTTACACCCCACACACTGCATTACTACCTACCTCTTAAATGAGTGGATTTCATCAGCAATGTAAAACCTCGAATGAGACAATTAAGCACTTGTATATGAAGTTTTTGAAACTCATAGAGTCAAATTATAATGGTTTTTAAAACTATGTAACACTGTTTTGCTTTTTTAAATGTTTAGACAAGTGGATTTGACACAAATGCAATAAAGCCTGAGAGGCAGTAAATGAAAAAAAATCATGAAAAAAGAAATTAAGAGACTCTAGAGCCACTGGACTATTCGGGTTGATTAAATGATGTCTGCAAAATGCTGATGACTGGACCTATTGTGGCATTTGCTAATCCAGCAAATATTTACTAAGTACCTATTTTAATAGTTACTTGCTCTGTGCCAAGCATTGTCCTAAGTGCTTATGCATATTGACTTATTTAATCTCTCCTAAGAGGTAAACACTATTATGAAAATACCTGTTTTTAGGAAAGTAAACTGAAGTAGGAGTAATTTCAGTGACTTGCCTAAATTCACATAAATAATATGGAGTTGAGTTTTAAGCTGAACCACGCAGGCTGGCTCCAGATCACAAGCTCTTAACTGCTATGTGATAATGCCAACCCCTGGGCTAGAAATGGGAGATATAAAAATAGTCAAATGGTACATACATCTTCTTGGTTTTCATAAAGCTTGGAGTTTTGAAGTGGTAACATGCTTAAAACCACCAGTTGCAATCACAACTGGCAAGTGCCACAAGGGACAAGGAAGGGACTCTAGGAACAGGTTAGTGCAAGTCATTCTAACCTAAAGATTATGAGGCTAGTCATAATAGGAAAAGGTACAGACAGTAAGATAGGTGAGCACCGCTTTCCTATTGACCTTGTTTTCTATTTGTCTTTGATGAGGAGGTATGCATGACTCAGCCAGAGATATTGAAGGAAGGAATCTTTCCAAATGATTCCTCAGGTATGAACTTTGAGGGACATACCTCTGCGGAGCAGAAAGTTAGCATCTGACTAGACAGATGTGATTACCCAGTTGGAAACTCTCAGCATGGACTGTTGGGAGGGACAGTGTTTCCAAGAAGCCAAAAGTGCAGAAAGAACAGCACAGTCAACAGAAGATCCTGATAACCTTTGCTAAGGTTATAGTGCGTGTCATGGGCATGAGAAACTTTGGGGAACCAGGTACCTGCTAAGAAAGTTCCTCTAAAAGTCAGTTTAAATCTCGGTGATTAATTAAACATTTTTATGCCTCATCATAGTAGTTAAGTACTTTCTATGTACCAAACTCTATGGTAAGTCTTGGGAGAAAAAATATTATTATTATTGCTATCCTGATCAAAGTTATGACATGGGAGAGCTGGCATAGGAACCAAAGCCTAACTTATTCCAAAGCCAGTTCTTATGGCAACTGTGGCTTGTGACCAAAATTCTTGCTGGGGTTTGCAAATGAAGCAAGTTAATACCTGTTCATAAGTAGGAACTAGTGACTCATTGGATCTGAGTGGAGAGCTTGACATAGAATCATCCTACAACTCCCAGAAGTAATTTGTCACTTAATGCCACTGATGCCCCAAAGTGTGATAGTCAAATCTATGGGGACACACTAGAAACAAATGTAAGATTTTGTCCCCATTTCAAAGTCTGTATGAATTTCCAGTCTTGGTTGATTAGATTCTTTCATTCAACATTAATTATGGCAGGATATCTAGGGACAGGGCAAAGTAGTAGTCAGGAGAAGAGCTAAAACTGAGGAGAAACACATTTTAAAATGTCAGGGAAATGGATACACATAGGTATCAAGAGAATGGACATAAATATTGCAAGCTGGGAGTTGCAAAGGCCCCAGCAAACAGCTTCTGGATGATCAATAGAAATGCAAGGGGAAAAGCAAAATGTGTGCTCAAACAGGGAAGCTATGAGAAATTGTCAGGAGAGCCAAAGAAATAGAGAAAGTGGAGAGGAGACAAGGCAAGACCTATAGCCGGGTCTGACCCCTGGCCTGAGGCAACTTGCTCTCGTGCTGCCAGTTCTTGAGTTCCTTGTCCCCTTGCTGAGAACGAATGAGCCATGGCAGGGTATCATATATGCTAAGAACAGAGGGCAGTAACCAGGAGTGAAACAGTGGGTGAGGGCAGGAGATGATACAGCTGAGTTCATCGAAATGGTTAGTGGGGGTACAAAAGTGCTGTTGCAGTATTTTCTGCAAGTCCACCTCAAGAGGCCAAAATATTTTCAACAAAAATGCCATTGGTTTTTACAAATTATGACTGAAAAATTATTCTTAAAACATTTGAGGACAAAGAGACCCATTTGCAAGCCCAAAACATTAAAGCTTTCCAGGACTTTCCTTCTACAGCTTTGCAACTGCCTTAGGACTTGCTTTCTGAATCATTTCCTGACCATCACTAGTTTCATGCTCCTCTAACAGACCAAAAATGTGGCATATTTGGGCATCATATGAAGTATATATTGGATTAGGCACCTATAGGTACATTACCCATTTCCTAAATTGTACCTTTATGTTTGATTACAATTACTTTGTGGCTTATCTATTAATCTATCTTGCATCACAGCTAGGATTACTAAATACAGGGTAAAGGGATTCTAACATCCTTTATAAAATATGGCAATGCTTAACTGAGTATATTTTCAGTTCCAGGCACAAGTCTGTTTAATTATACTATTCCTTTTGTAAGTTAGGTTGAACATAATGTTATTTTACTCAAATAATGTACTTAACTACTTTGAAAATCTATACCTCAATGAGTTTCTAGAAGAGCTCTCTAAAACTAACCAGTTCACTAATAATGTGGTCCCAAAATAACTTCCTTATTTTAATAAGAGGAAGTATTTTTGTCACCTCTAGTAACTTGGGTGGTGCTTTTGGGAATCACGAAGTAAGAATTTATTTCCCTATGTGCAGACCTCTATCTGTAGGTTCCTACCATTGTCCTTGGGGCTTCTGGCTGGCTTATTACAGATTCAACATATTGTCTTTTGTCCTTTTGGTTCCTGTCACTGTCTTCTCTTTTCCATTCGTTTTCATGGTATCTACTTGGTTTTGGAATATCTTTATGGTTGCTTTTTCCCCTTTGTACAAAATGTTGTCTCGTTCTTTGAGCATTTCAAAAGCCCTCCCCAGTGACTTGAATTTGAAGAAAGCTGCAGGGTTGTAGCTCAGTGGAAAGCTTAGAATGACAGTGAAATGCCTAAACAGGGACTACTCTTTCTGAATAGGGAAACCTAAAAATAAAAGCTGTCTGCAGCTGGGACTGTGTGCCAAGACAACTATCACTGAGATGCAGAGGAAATAAAAAACATAAATAAAAAACAACCTTGCTAGAAAGGATGCAAGTGTTAAATTGGTGCCAAGGTAGAAACCTGGAAAAGGCCAACTTCATCATAGTTGGTTTATCATCCACAGGTAGTTTGATGTGGTGGAAGTTTGCTTTGTCCCAGAAATGTCATCCCCACGAATGCAAGGATACTCAGCAAGAAACTCTAGGCCAGCTTAACTTCCTAAAAACAACTGAAGGTCCCTAGGCATCTCTCTTTGATTTTCTTCTTTGTACACAAGGATGCTTGATTTTTTATTGGCAGTTTTTTTCACGAGCAAGCCTTTTGAGTAGTCAATTTCAATTCTGAATTTCTTCCCCTCCTCCTCTCAGTCTTTCATGGACCACAACTTCATAGAATCCCCTCTTTTTGCTCCTTTAATCCCACTCTACCTGCTATTTCAGCAAATTTTGACCTCCAGTTGAATTCTGCCTGACATACTTGCATAGTTTCTCTTCTTTTTCTTTTTAGTTTACGCCATACCCTGGGTTATTACTTGTTTGCAAGACTGGGCAAATCCCAAATCTAAATTTAGTAGCTACACCCAGGCTGCCAAAAACATTAGAATAAAAGCTTTAAAAAGCACTATACAAATGTGTGGCTAATGCTGTTAAAAATTCATGTTCACCTCCTCAGCAGGACCATCCATGCTGCTGGGCAATTCTTCTGTGTGTTCCTCTTTTAGCTCCCTCAACTATGAGGCATGGATGTTATTTCAACTTTTTGCAAAGCTTTGCAATCCTCTTTATCCATCTATGCCCTATTTTTTTTTTCTTAGAATATGCCTTTGTATAAAGAAAAGTGAGGCTCTCTGCAGCACACTAGACTACAAATTATTTCTATCTACTTGGTACATCACCTCCTTTCTACCAACCTTAGTAAAAAAGCACTCTTTTCTAGTGCATTTTATTTGGTCACCCAGTTTCTGGCTTTCCTTCAGATCACAGTACCATGCTTATTTCTCTTAATTTAGCAGGAAAAACAGTCTCTCAAACATAGATTCCTTTTTAACTACCTTCTCTGCTTTCTCCTTTATTTGCTGTTAAAAAAATTAGGCTTTACTTGCCGTCTTCATTTCCCCACTCACTTCTTTAAATTCATATTAAATATAATTTTTAAATAATCAGTAAAGAAATGCATGCACCTATTTTAAAATATCTACATTGGAAAATAGTAATTTCCAGACATATCTCTGCACACTCTCCCATTCTGCTACTTTTTGGCCCCTCTTTTTAACTTCTTAGGCCAACAGAACACTGTCATTTTATTGTTTCTCTCCACCACTGTGTGCATTTTTTATTGCCTCATTTGCATAAGGTTGATTCTCCAGTTTTTGATAGAGGGAATGGGGACTCTGAGTTCTCATATATCTGAAAATGTTGCTGTTTTACCCTCACACTTGATTGAAAGGTGATCTGCGTATGATTCAGTGATGAACAGCAGTTGCCCCGAGAATTTTGAAGGCATTACTCCACTATCTCTAGCATCTAATGTTACTACTGATAATTTAAATGATATTTCAATGGTATTCATTTATATGGTCAATTTTGAAGTTGATTTTTGTATAAAAATTTTCCAACGTACACAAAAGTTGCACAAACAGCAGAAAGAATTTTTCCTGAACTATCTGAGAATAAATTATCAACCTAAAGCCTCAACACCCTGACTACTTTAGTGTGTATTTCCTATGAACAAAGACATTTAACATTCTTTCACGATAATGAAATGCAGCCATCAAAATCAGAAGATTAACACTGATGCAATACTATCACTTAAGTCTTTTAACTCTTTAGGCCACCTCTTTGAATCCTATTCAAGTTTGACCCGTTGTTCCAACAAGACTTATATTTAAAAGCTCCAGTTCAGAATCACCCCTTGAAGGTCTCTTTAGTTTTCTTCATCTGGAACAACTCTTCGGTTTTTCCTTGACTTTTATAACCTTGACACTATTGCAGAGGACAGGTCAGTCATTTTGTGGGGTTTCCCTCACCTTGGGTTGTCTGATGTTTCCCCATGATTAGATTCAAGATACATACTTTTGGCAGGAATACCACAGAAGTGGTGCTGCAGCCTCCTTGGTATATCATAATAGTTTTTAAATGCATGGTACATATATTCCCATTCTTTTATTTTTAAGTATTTCTGGGTCATTATATTAAAAATGTGTCTCATGCAGACAACACATAGTTAGTGTTGAACTATGAAGAGAAATCTGTGATCATCCTTACATACCTGTTTTTCCTCTAGCTGGTAGGGCTTAACTCATTTGTTAAGAAAATAATAGTCCTTTGTTATCTATAGGCCAATCTTTAAAAATAACTGTTTTACATATTTGGTCCAGTTTTCTAATTATTTACAGAAAGGGGGCAATTCTATATTAGTTACCACCTCATGAAAGCAAATGAATTTGCCATTCCATTTCTCAAATTCTTATATGTTGTACTTTCATTATCATTCACTTCAAAATGTTGTTTAATATTTCTTGTGATTTCACCTTTGGCCCATATATTAATATTATTTAGAGTTGGTTATTTAATTTTCAAATATTCCAGACTTTCCTAGACATCGTATTTTTTTCTAATTTACATCCATTGTGGTTAGAGATTATAGTCAGCAATACTGCAAGGTTTTAAAATTTATTTAGACATGTTTAGCACATCAGCTACATTGGTGAATGTTCTATGTTCACTTAAAAAGAATGTATATTCTGCAGTTATTGGATGTATTCTGTTGATGTTAGTTAACTGAAAGTATCTGATATTTTTGTTCTGATATTCCATACAGTTACTGATTCCTTTGCCTAGTTGTTCTACATTAATGAGAGAAAAGTGATATAATTATTGGAATTGCCTATTTCTTTTTTCGGTTCTGTCAAATTTTGTGTTTTTTTTTTCATTGAATTTGAAGCTCTGTTATTAGTACATACACATATATATTTTAATTTTTTAAAAAAGTTGTGGGTACATAGTAGGTGTACATATTTATGGAGCACAGAAGATGTTTTGATACAGGCATGAAACGTGAAATTAGCACATCATGGAGAATAGGTTATCCATTCCCTGAAGCATTTATCCTTTGAGTTACAAATGATGCAGTTACACTGTTTTTATTTTAAAATGCACAATTAAGTTAGTACTGACTATAGTCACACTGTTGTGCTATCAAATAGCAGGTCTTATTCATTCTAACTACAATTTTTATACCCATTATTCATCCCCACCTCCTTTCCCAGGCTTGCACCACTCATCCCAGCCTCTGGTAACCATTCTTCTACTCTCTATGTTAATAAGTTCAGTTGTTTTGATTTTATATCCCACAAATTAGTGAAAACGTGATGTTTGTCTTTCTATGCCTGGTTCATTTCACTTAACATAATGATCTCCAGTTGTATCCATGTTGTTACAAATGACTGAATCTCATTCTTTTTATGGCTGAATAATACTCTAATGTCTATATGTACCACATTTTCTTTATCCATTCATTTGTTGGTGGACACTTAGGTTGCTTCCAAATCTTACTTATTGTAAACAGTTCTGCAATAAACACAGGAGTGTAAATATCTTTGGTATACTGATATCCTTTCTTTTGGCTATGTACTCAGCAGTGGGATTACCAGATGATATGGCAGCTCAGATTTTTTTTTTTTTTTTTTTTGAGGAACCTCCAAACTGACCTCTATAGTGGTTGTATTAATTTACATTCCCACCAACAGTGTACAAGGGTTCCCTTTTCTCCACATCCTCGTCAGCATTCGTTATTGCCTGTCTTTTGGATAAAAGCCATTTTAACTGGGGTGAGATGATGTCTCACTGCAGTTTTGATTTGCATTTCTCTGATGATCAATGATGTTGAGCATTTTTTATACGCCTGTTTGCCATTGGTATGTCTTCATTTGAGAAATGTCTATACAAATCTTTTGACCATTTTTTAAATTGAATTATTAGATTTTTTTCCTGTAGAGTTGTTTGAGCTCCTTATATATTCTGGTTGTTAATCCTTTGTCAGATGGGAAGTGTGCAAATAGTTTCTCTCATTCCATGGGTTGTTTCTTCACTTTCTTGATTGTATGCTTAGCTGTGTGGAAGTTTTTTAACTTGATGTCATTCCATTTGTCCCGTTTTGCTTTGGTTACCTATGCTTCTGGGGTATTGGTCAAGACATTTTTGCCCAGACCAACGTCCTGGATATTTTCCCCAAAGTTTTCCTGTAGTACTTTCAGAGTTTGAGGTCTTAAATTTAAGTGTTTAATCCATATTGACTTGATTTTTGTATATGGTGAGAGATAGAGGTCTAGTTTCAATTTTCTGCCTGTGAAGATCTAGCTTTCCCAGCACCATTTATTGAAGACACGGTCCTTTCCCCAGGGTAAGTTATTGACACTTTTGTCAAAAATGAGTTCACTGTAGGTGAGTGGATTTGTTTCTGGGTTCTCTATCCTGTTCCATTGGTTTATGTGTCTGTTCTTATGCCAGCACCATGCTGTTTTGATTACTATAGCTCTATAGCATAATTTGAAGTCAGGCAATGTGATTCCTCCAGTTTTATTCTTTTTGCTTAGGATAGATTTGGCTATTCTGCATGTTCTGTGGTTCCATATAAATTTTAGGATTGTTTTTTCTATTTCTGTAAAGAATGTCATTAGTATTTTGATAGGGATTGCATTTAATCTGTAGACTGATTTGGATAGCGTGGCCATTTTAACAATATTAATTCTTCTAATCCACCAATGTGAAATATTTTTCCATTTTTTGTGTTCTCTTCGATTTCTTTTATCAGCATTTCATAGTTTTCAGAGACCTTTCACTTCCTCAATTAACTCCTAGTTATTTAATTATATGTGTGGCTATTGCAAATGGGGTTACATTTTTATTTCTTTTTCACATTGTTCACTGTTATATATGGAAATGCTACTTATTTTTGTTTGTTGATTTTGTATCCTGCAATATCACTGAATTTGCTTATCAGTTTTAATAGTTTTCTTGTGGAGTCTGTAGGTTTTTCCAAATATAAGATCATATCATTTCAAACAAGAATAATTTGACTTCTTCCTTTCCCATTTGGATGCCTTTTATATCTTTCTCTTGTCTGATTGCTCTAGCTAGGACTTCCAATACTATGTTGAGTAACAGTGGTGACATTGGGCATCCTTGTCATGTTCCAGATCTTAGAAGAAAGGTTTTCAGTTTTTCCCCATTCAGTGTGATACTAGCTGTGGGTCTGATGTACATAGCTTTTATTATGTTGACATATGTTCCTTCCATTCCCAGTTTTTTTTTTTAGAGTTTTTATCATGCAGTGATGTTTAATTTTATTAAATGCTTTTTCAGCATCAATTGAAATGATCATATGGTTTTTATCCTTCATTTGTTGATATGATGTATCATATTGATTGGTTTGCATATGTTGAACCATTCTTGCATCTCAGGGATAAATCTCACTTGGACATAATGAATGATCTTTCTTATGTATTGTTGAATTCTGTTTGCTAGTATTTTGTTGAGGATTTTTGTATCAATATTCATCAGATATATTGACCTGTAGTTTCCTTTTTTTTAATGTGCTTTTGTCTGATTTTGGTGTCAGGGTAACCACTGACCTTGTAGAATGAATTTGGAAGTGGTCCCTCCTCCTATATTTTTCAGAATATTAATAAGAGTATGAGTAGAATTGGTATTAGTTCTTTAAATGTTTGATAGAATTCAGTAATGAAGCCATCAGGTCTGAGGCTTCTCTTTACTGGGAAAATTTTTATTACAGCTTTAATTTCATTACTTGTTATTGGTCTGTTCAGGTTTTGGATTTCTTCATGGTTCAATCTTGCTAGGTTGAATGTGTCTAGGAATTTGTCCATTTCTTCTAAATCTTCAAATTTATGGGCATATAGTTGCTCATTGTAGCCACTAATGATCCTTTGAATTTCTGGAGTATCAGTTGTAATGTCTACTTTTTCAATTCTGATTTTATTTATTTAGATCTTCTCTCCTTTTTTTCTTAGTCTGACTAAAGGCTTGCCAATTTTGTTTAACTTTTTAAAAAACCAACTTCTTGTTTCATTGATCCTTTGAATTTTTTTTTCATTTCAATTTCATTTATTTCTGCTCTGATCTTTATTATTTCTCTTTTTCCACTAATTTTGGGTTTGGTTTGCTCTTGCTTCTCTAGTTCTTTAGGATGCATTATTAGATTGTTTTTTGAAGCTTTTCCTCTTTTTTGATGTAGGCACTTATAGCAATAAACTTGCCTCTTAGTACTGCTTTTGCTGTGTCTCATAGGTTATGGTATGTTGTGTTTCTATTATAATTTATTTCAAGACATTTTTAAATTTCCTTCTTAATTTCTTTATTGACCCACTGGTCATTCAGGAGCATATTGCTTAATTTCCTTGTATTAGTATAGTTTCCCAAATTCTTCTTTTTATTAATTTCTAGTTTTGTTCCATTATGGTCAGAGAAGATGCTTGATATTATTTCAATTTTTTAATATTTTAAGACTTCTTTTGTGATGTAACACATGGTCTATCCTTGAGAATAATCCATGTGCTGAGGAAAAGAATGTGTATTCTGCAGCCATTGCATTACATGTTCTATAAATATCCACTAGATACATTTAGTCTATAGTGCAGATTAAGTCTGATGTTTCTTTGTTGAATTTCTGTCTAGAAGATAAGTCCAATGCTGAAAGTGGGGTGTTGAAGTCTCCAGCTATTATTGTATATGGGTTCTATATCTCTCTTTAGCTCTAATATTTACCTTATATATCTGGGTGCTCCAGTGTTGGTTGCATATATATATTTTAAATTATTATATTTTCTTGCTGAATTGACCCCTTCATCATTATATAGTGATCTTCTTTGTCTCTTCTCAAAGTTTTGGTCTTGAAATCTATTTTGTCTGATATATGTATAATGACTCCTACTTTTTTATGGCTTCCATCAACATGGAATATCTTTTTCCATCCCTTTATTTTGAGTCTATGTTTTTATACGTGATGTGTGTTTCTTGGAGGCAAAAGACCAATGGGTCTTGTTTCTTCCATTCAGCCAGTCTATGTCTTTTGATTGGAGCATTAAGTCCATTTACATTCAATGTTATTACTGATAAGTAAGGACCTACTCCTACCATTTTGTTAATTGTTTTCTGGTTGTTTTGTGATCTTGTCTTCCTTCTTTCATTCCTTCCCACCTTCCTTTAGTGAAGGTGATTTTCTTTGGTGTTATGACTTGGTTTCTTGCTTTTTATTTTTTGCATCTCCATTGTATGTTTTTTGGCTTGAGGTAACCATGAGGCTTGCAAATGCTATCTTATAACCCATTATTTTAAGCTGATAACAATTTACCACTGTTTGCATAAACAAAGAAACAAGCAAGAAGAAAACAAATAAAAAATCTATGCCTTAACTTCATTGCCCACCCTGCTTTTAAACTTTTTGTTGTTTCTATTTATATATTATTGTACTGACTATGTCTTGGGAAGTTGCCGTAGTTATTATTTTTGATTGGTTCTTCATTGAGTCTTTTTACTTAGGATAAGAGTAGCTTACACACCACAGTTACAGCGTTAAAATATTCTGATTTTCTGTATACTTATTAATACCAGTGAGTGTTATACCTTCAGATGATTACTTATTGATCACTGATGTCTTCTTTTGATTGAAGTACTCCTTTTAGCACTTCTTGTAGGACAAGTCTGGTATTGATGAAGTCCCTCGGGTTTTGTTTGTCTGAGAAAGTATTTATTTCTCCTTCGTGTTTGAAGAACATTTTCGCCAGATATAGTATTCTAGGGTACAAGTTTTTTTTCCTTCAGCACTTTAAATATGGCACACCACTCTCTCCTGGAAAATTTCCACTGAAAAGTCTGCTGCCAGACTTATTGGAGCTCCATCATATGTTATTTGTTTCTTTTTTTCTTGCTGCTTTTAGGGTTCTTTCTTTATCCTTGACCTTTGAGAGTTTCATTATTAAATGCCTTGAGGTAGTCTTTGGATTAAATCTGCTTGGTGTTCTATAACCTTTGTGTACTTGGATATTTATATATTTTTCTAGGTTTGGGAACTCTCTGTAATTATTCCTTTGAATAAAATTTCTACCCCTATCTCTTTGTCTACCTCCTCTTTAAGGCCAATAACTCTTAGATTTATCCTTTTGAAGCTATTTTCTAAATCCTGTAAGCATGCTTCATTGTTTTTTATTCTTTTTTTCTTTTATCTCCTCTGACTGTTGATTTTTGAATACCCTGTCTTCAAGCTCACTAATTCTTTCTTCTGCTCGATCACATCTGCTATTAAAAGACTCTGATGTATTCTTCAGTATGCCAACTGCATTTTTCAGCTTCAGAATTTCTGCTTGATTCTTTTTAATTATTTCATTCTCTTTGTTAAATTTATCTGATAGAATTCTGAATTCCTTCTCTGTCTTATTGTGAATTTCTTTTTAATTTCCTCTATACAGCTATTTTGAATGCTGTTTCTGAAAGGTCACATAGCTCTGTTTCTCCAGGATTGGTCCCTGGTGCTTTATTTAGTTCATTTGGTGAGGTCATATTTTCCTGGATAGTGTTGATGCTGTCAGATGTTCTTTGGTGTCTGGGCATTGAAGAACTCAGTATTTATTGTAGTCTTCACTGTCTGGGCATATTTGTACCTGTCCTTCTTCAGAAGGCTTTCCAGATATTTCAAAGGGCTTAGGTGTTATGATCTAAGCTGTGTCTGATTTAGGGGCACTTCAAGCCCAGTAACACTGTGGTTCTTGCAGACTCATAGAAGTACTGCCTTGATGGTCTTGGATAAGATCCAGGAGCATTCTCTGGATTACCAGGCAGAGACTCTTGTTCTCTTTCCTTAATTTCTTCCAAATGAACAAAGTCTCTCTGTTCCAAGTCACCTAAATTTGGAGTAACACAAGCACCTCTGTGTCCACCACTACTATGACTGCACTGGGTCAGATCTAAAGTTAGCGCAGCACCGGGCCTCGCCCAAGGCCTGCTGTAGTCACTCCCTGGCTACTGCCTATGTTCACTCAAGGCCCTGGGGCTACCCAATCAGCCAGTGGCAAAGCCAACCAGGCCTGTGTCCTTTTCTTCAGGGTGGCAAGGTCCCCCAGGCCCCACGTGGGTCCAGAGCTACAGTCTGGTAGTTCAGAGACTAGAGTCAAAAATCTTAGAAGTCTTCTGGTGTTCTATTGTACTGTGGCTGAGCTGGCACTCAAACCACAAGATGCAGTCCTTCCCACACTTTCCTCCCCTTTCCAAAGGTAGAGGAGCTTCACCCCATTGCCACCACCACCCCAGGCCACAAGGAGTACTGCCAGACTATCTCCAATATTCCCTTAAAACCCAAGGGCTCTAAGTCAGCTTGTGGTGAATGCTGCCTTGCCTGGGACTTATCCTTCAGGGCAGTGAGCACCTCTGTGGCCCAGGGCAGGTGCAGAAATGCCATCCAAGAGTCAAGTGCTAGAATCAGGGACCCCAAGAGACCACTTGGTGCTCTACCCCCCAGTGGCAGTGCTTGTACCTAAGGTGCAAGACTTTACTTTTCCCTCTGCTTTTCTCAAGCAGAGGGAGTTTTGACCCATAGCCATCCAAGCTAGTAAGATGATGAGTTTCACCTGAAGTCAGAAAGTCTCAGAGACTCACCCAAGGCCCAAGACATAGCACCTGTGTATCACTAATGGTCATTCCTGGCCCAAAGACTCTTCAGTTAGCAAGTAATGAATGCTACCAGGACTGGGTCCTTTCCTTTAAGGCAGTGGGTTCCCTTCTGGCCCAAGGTATGTCTAGAAATGTCTGGGACCTAGGGCCTAGAACAAGGGCTTCTTGACTCTGACCATTGCTCTATCCTGCTGTGGCTGAGCTAATACCTAAGTTGCAAGACAAAGTCCTCCCCATTCTGTCCTCTCCTCTCCTTCAAGTGGAAGAAAGGGGTCTCTTTTGGAGAGACTTGTGCAGCCTAGGCTTAAGGGAGAGGTGGTGGTGTCTGGCTCAGGGAGTGCTAGCATTACCTCTACCCTGTGCAGCCCTGCCCCAGCTGGTGTCTCAGTATGTACTGCACCAGCCCAGTCCACTATTCTAGGCCTAGTCCAGCACTAGGACTTGCCTAAAAGTTGCAGTCCTTATGGCCTAGACTGCCTTTCAAGTTTACTTGGAGACATAGAGTATTGTATCCCTCGGTGTGGAGGTTTGCAGGAACTCAAGTTTCAGCTGTTGGGATCAGCAATTCCCCTCTGGCTGGGGCTGGTTTAAATGCTCCCTTTGTGGGTGGACATCAGCTAAGTTTGATGTGATTTTCCTTTCTGCTCTAAAAGAACAGTACTGAGTTCAATGCCTCATAATTGCTGTATTCTCCTCCCTCAGCACTGAGAGATGCTTTCCACACCACACTCAGTTTCTGTGGGTAGGGAGGAAGGCATTGGGATTCAGGACTGTTTTTTTCTATTTCTTCAGTGCCTCATTCAGCAATAAAGTTAAAACCAGGTACTGAGTTGCTCACCTGATTTTTGATTCTTCTGAAGATATTTTTTTCTGTGTAGATAGGTGTTAATTTGGTGTCCTTGCAGGGTAGTGGGGACAATCGGTAGAGCCTTCTATTCTGCCATCTTGCTCCACCTTCCCACATATATAATTGTTATATTTCCTTAATGAATCAGCAGTTTATTATTATGTAATATTCTTCTTCATATCTGATAATACTCTTTACATTGAAGTCTATTTTTTTCTGGTATTAATATAGGCACTCCATATTGCCTATGTTTATTGAATGCATGGTATAATTTTTTCCATTATTTTGCTTCAATCAATCTGTATTTTCTTAACAAAAAGTTTTTCTCTTATGGACAGGATATAATGGGGCCATACATTTTTATCCAGGCTAAAAATCTATATATTTTAATAGGACTTAAGCCCAACTTAATTGACAATTATATTTGTTATAAATAGATTACTTCTCCCCATTAAAAGATGGAAATTCTTAGCCCAGATTTTGAAAATCAAGACCCAACTATAACTTGCTATGTCTTTTCTGTTTGTCTCACCTGTATTTTTGTTCCTGTCTTCCTTATTTTCTGTCTTCTTTAAGGTTAACTGATGTTGTTATAAAATATTCCTTTGAATTCCTCTATTGGCTTTTTAAATATACATTTTTACATTATTTTTAGTGTATGCTGTAGGGTTTACAACATTCATTATTAAGTACCACAATCTACTTACAATTAATTTTATAATACTTCTAATAAAGTGCAAGAATTTTGAAAAATATGACTTCTGTTTATTTACCCTTGTCCTTTTTGCTACTGTTGTCATATATATCATTTCTACAAATATTTCCTCAATCATATAGTTTTGGTTACTGTCATATAGCTTTAAAAAAACATAATTAAGGGCCGGGCATTGTGGCTCACACCTGTAATCCCAGCACATTGGGAGGCTGAGGCGGGTGTATCACCTGAGGTCAGAAGTTCAAGACCAGCCTGGGCAACATGGTGAAGCCCCGTCTCTACTAAAAATACAAAAACTTAGCTGGGCATGGTGGCGGATGCCTGTAATCCCAGCTACTTGGAAGGCTGAGGCAGGAGAATCACTTGAACCCGGGAGGTGGAGGTTGCAGTGAGCTGAGATCGCACTACTGCACTCTAGCCTGGGCAATGAGAGCGAAATTCCATCTCAAAAAAATAGTTAATTAATTAATTAAATATAATTTTTTATATACCCACATATTTACCAAGCATTGGTGACAAGGATTGGAAATATGGGGACCAAAGCACAGATCTTAAGCTCTATAATCCACCCTTTTTCTTTTCTTTTTTTCATTTCTAAGTCTAGTCAAGTGAAGCAATGGGAGTAGAGAAAGAACTAAGAAATCTGTAACTGGTTGTGATCAATTAGGTGTAAACATCACTGTACTTGGGCGAGCCTCATCTACCCTTCTTGTCATCCCATGAAGAAATACAACTTCTCTCTCTCTGTTCCATGCTTCCATTTTTATTCCATCTTAGTAAAGACTTTGTCAATGAGAAGCAAAAGCTAGATTCTGAAATGTTTTATTTCTATTTCTTTAAATATCCAGTGCATTCTGTCTAAATGAAAAAATATATATCATATTATTGTTCTGGCTTAACTCTGCTGATTTTTCCCTTGACCATATTTTGTGGTTTGAAATCCAAACTCTCTGTCTTGTTATTATCCATTAACTGGTCCCTGCCCCACTGATATGCCTTTCTGCTTTAGCCAGACTGCACTACTTGTCATTTTCCCTGAATTCATCCTTCAGTTTCCAGCCCTCTGGTTCTCCCTCTATAGGGAGAGCACCTTAATCTGTTAGACTATCTGGCAAAAAGCACCTGTGAACACAGTTCAAGCATCGTCTTCACCTATAAACCTTCTGGTTCACCACCTGCCTCCCAGATGGGAAAATTCCTACCTTCCATTGGGCCTCCGGCATGTCCTGCATATTCTCTTGTCTTTGTTCTCTTAACATTTAAATGCACTTATTTGTTTACCTGACCTTTAGGAACATTTTTAGATCATAGAACACACCTCTTTCCTCTTTTCATTCCATGTTTCTAGCACAGTGCTGGCACTGGAAGATACTGAATGAATAAATGACTAATTGACTGGACATGTGAAGGAAGGAAGGAAGGAATATAAAAGCTTCTATATATTAAATTGTAGTGGACAATTTTAAGGTGATAAATATTTTAATAAGGAAGCAACATCTTAAACTGGATAAGTTAAATTAAGAAAAAAATGTAGGGATTATCATGAAAATTGGGTAAGAATTGACAGAAGATCCTGAGATTTCTAAATGTAAACTGAACCCTGTGTACATATTTTTCCTATTTTTCTTAGGAAATATAGATTAGCATGTAATCTATAGATGATCAGCACAGAATTTCCACAGACAGTTGACCAAGCAGAAGAGGCCAGAATGAGAGAGTTCAAGGGAAGGAATATCTTCTCTAGACAGATAAAATGCAAATGTGCTTAATCATTTCAGAAACTGGTAGAGAAAGAAGATTTAAATTCCTAAAAAATTTAAGTCCAAGACAGAGGGGAAAAAAAATGGTCTTTTAGAAATCAGTGTTTTAATGATGAATAATTTTGACCAATTAAAGTGTAGACTAATTGCTATGGTGATTTTGGGAAAGAAAGAAGCTAATGAGTTTCTGAATGTCAACTGCAATTTTTGAGTACTTTTAATTTGCAATCTTTTTATCTAATGGACAAAGCACTGAAGACTCCCTCTAAATGTATTCAAGCTGCATTTTGGTTTTTACAGCTGTATTTTAGTATAGGAATTATATTTTACTATAATATCCAGTCAGTTTTTTGGAAGTAAAGTCTTAGAAGGTCTCCTTTAGGAGTGTCAAATCATATGATCTCTTAGATTCCAAAAATAACTGTGCTCAACATTGCACAGGATAAGTATCTGGCCTGATATGCTAATCCTATGATCTAGAGGAAAATAGTTGACCGATTGCTTGACCTAGCAAATCATTCAGATAACTCTGCTAGGAACATTGGCCCTGCCATTTTTTTTAACATAAATTTTTGATTCAAATCAATTTTCACTGAAGGAAACTTTGAGGAGAATGCCTAAAGATTCTGAATTCACTATAGTTTAAATGTCTGTCTCAGGTAGATAGAAGGCAATCCTTTTATTTCTTCTTTTTTGCAGAGGCAAGTAGGCAAAATAATAACTGATATTTTGTCTCTTCCTTCTTGCTTTTCTAGATGTTAATTACTATAAATGTAAAAATATAGCACAACTACCTATACATTTAAATCTACTTCTGTCTAGACATTTACCTGAAGATCAATAGTTAGAAATCCATACAAATGATGTGCATACATAAATAATTGGTGTTTATCCTCACACTTTAGGATTTTGCAGTTCATTTGTTAGTATTGATGTCTACAGAGAAAGGAGTGAAATGACACTACAAAGTCTAATGCACCAATCACATGAGCCCAATCATATATGGGAGAGAAGTAACAAGGTGATTCTCCTCGTTCTCCTGCCTGCATTTTCCCTTCTTGATTTTTTTAGTACCAAGGTAATATTTGATATCGGGGGGAAATGCACCAAAATATAAACATGAAAAGGAAAAAAAAAAGGGCATCAAACCAAGGGTGACTTTCTGTGTCTGCATTTCAGATTCACCCTGCCAATTATTTCAGGCCCAGGAAACTCAGAGACACAAAGTTTGCCCAGGAAACTCAGAGACACAAACTCAGAGACACAAAATAATGTAGAAATACTTCTATATTATTTTCCCTTTAGTTGTCAGGATGTCAGACAACATGAAAATAAACACAATATACATATATATATATATATATATATATGCAATATTTTATTTAGTTAATGGTTTATTTGTTCAACATTTGCTAAATCAAACTGCTGTAGAAAAATACCTGCCTTGTGATTTTGCTTTCTTTCTCTACCCTGCAACTGAAAACCTAACGAGAAATACTACTAGTTCTGAGGCTTTTAGTTGACATACTTTGGTGGACTGGTTTAAGAGCTTTGACATTTTCCTGTCTAGCCCAGGGGCACTGATCTATGAAACAAACTTTGCTTAAGAAATACACACACACGATACAATTAGTTTAGCTGAGTGCTAGAAGGCATTAATTTAACAAATGATATGTAGATAATGGTCCATATTATCTACAGATCTATTAAGATCAATTATATCTAATTGTCTATCTTTTACTATAAAGATTCATGTACTCTTTCCTCCATCAGTATTTGAGGGGAATATACAAGTTTTAAGGAAGAAATAGTACCCCTCTCCAGTGGTAGCTGGTCATCAGAGCAATAGTACACTGAAATAATACCTCTGGGATTTCTCAACATAGCAGCTCAGTATATAGAAAAATATTCAAAACATTTTTCTTTAAATATTTAAATAATTTTTAAATATTATACCAAGAGTATCTGAATGATAATTTTATATTTGAGAAAAAGAAGAACTTTAAAGATTTTACAGACAAGCCTCTTCCTTTGATGTAAGAGAAACAAGGCTCTGACAGATGAAATGACCTGTCCAAGGTAAAACCTTGAGCTCCTGAAGGAGCCAGAAATAGAAAACAAAGACTTCTGGTATGAGATGGATTCATCAGGCTAACTCCTGTTGAGATGTCAGAATGTTTTCATTGTCTTTTAAAAATCTTACTTTATTCCCAGCAGTTTATGTTTATAAAGGCAGTCTTTAATGGATTATTTCCTCACCAACTCTCTGAAATACAAACTTTTATTTGCAAACTGCAGGATTTTCTTTTAAATAAAAAAGGTGCTTTCTGTTGAAGACTTAAGGGTTTTGTACATTATGAAAGAGCAACTTCGCCCTTAGGCGTCCTGCGTCTACCGATTCCTCATTTCTGGTAGCCGCATTCTTGGCAGGCGTCAGAAAAATGGCTACAAAATTCCTAGCACATGAGAAGATCTGGCTCGACAAATTCAAATATGAAGATACAGAAAGGAAATTCTACAAGCAGATGAATGGGCCTGTGGCCAGCGCCTCCCGCCAGAGCTCGGCCCCAGGGAAGACCACAGCGAGCTCGTCCTCCAGATCGCCAGCCTGGAAGTGGAGAACCAGAGCCTGCGCGGCGTGGTGCAGGAGCTGCAGCAGGCGGTCTCCAACCTGGAGGCCTGGCTGAACATGCCGGAGAAGAGAGAAGAGCTCGCCTGGCCATGGTCCACAGTCCCGCAGACACAGCACGTGTCTCCCATGCGCCAAGTGGAGCGCCCCTCCCCTCGCCCCCCTTACTACGACCCCGGCCAAGAAGCAGAGGATAACGAGGACGATGACATTGATCTGTTGGCAGCGACAATAAGGAGGAAGACAAGGAGGCAAGGCGGCTGCGGGAGGAGCGGCTGCGGCTGTACGCCAAGAAGGCCAAGAATCCCTCGCTGGTGGCCAAGTCCTCCATCCTGCTGGACATCAAGCCTTGGGACAATAAGACGGACATGACCCAGCTGGAGGCATGTGTGCGCTCTATCCAGCTGGATGGGCTAGTGAGCGGGGCCTCCAAGCTGGCGTCCGTGGGCTATGGTATCCGGAAGATGCAGATTCAGTGTGTGGTGGAGGACGACAAAGTGGGGACAGACTTGCTGGAGGAGGAGATCACCAAGTTTGAGGAGCATGTGCAGAGTGTCGACATCGCAGCTTTGAACAAGATCTGAACCCTGAATGTGTGTGTGAGGCGCTGCCACGATTAAAAACAGACCGGCAAAAACACACACACAAAAAAACAAACAAACAACAACAACAAAAAAAAAAAAAGAAAGAAAAGAAAGAATGACTTCGAATTTGGAAATTTATTTTAGAAATTTAGAAATACTTGTTGGCTTATATGTCACTTGAAACTTAATTTGCCATTCAAGATGTTCATTCATTTAGGAGCACTTCATTCATTTCAGAAGTTCAGCCAGGTGCAATGTGTAATCCCAGCACTTCGGGAGGCTGAGGTGGGTGGATCACCTGAGCCCAGGAGTTAGAGGTCAGCTTGGGCAACATGGACCCTCTCTCTACTAAAAAAAGCCAGGCGTGGTGGCTGCGCCTGTAATCCCAATTACTTGGGAGGTTGAGGTAAGAGGATGGCTTGAGCTGGGAGGTGGAGGTTGCAGTGAGTGAGCTGAGATCGTTCCACTGCACTCCGGCTTAGGTGACAGAGTGAGACCCTGTCTCAAAAAAAAAAAGAAAAGAAAACCAAAAAACCAAAGTTTACATTCACGAATGAAACTGGTGTCTGCTTTTTTCCCCCTCTCCTTTTTATCGTATTTGGTAACAAGTAGAAGATTAAAAAGTTAGTTGGGGGGACAGATCTTTTAAAATAAGAAAGCAAATGACTATTCATCTTCTTCAGGTATTTTTATAAAAAATTTAGAGAAGGAGTCCCAAATATGTACTTCTGTCAACTGACTGGGGCTCATTGGCTTGATCTGTGTAGTAGTGCTCTTTTTTTAAAAAAACAGTGACCATCTTAACAAATATTATGTTTAATTTTGGAAGAGTGTTTTGTTGATTATGTAGGACATTTTGTCCTACACTACACATTTTATCAGACACTAAGCAAATATTAATGCAAGTTAATTGAGAATATTGTCTGACACATTTTAGTGCTGCAAAATTTAAAATTTGATGTTTTAAAATGCATTTATAGATGTAAATGTCTTACGATTTACAGAGAGTCTGTAGTGAGTCTAATAAACACTACAGATTTAAAGATCAAACCATAGGGGATCAACAAGGCCATCAAAAGTTCCTCAATTAACAAATATATTAATTGATCTTCCTATATGGCCCAATTTAATTGATATTCTCTCTGTTATAGAGTAAGCAGTGAATTACATACATACACACACACACACATGCACACACACACACGCACACACACACACACAACGAACTAGCCTAGTGTTCTATCGAGATATATGCACAAGTGATTGATTTAAACTGAATAATTGTCAGCCCCTTCCCTATGTAGAGTATCTCTAGCCATTGTTCAGTGCCAGTAGCTGCTCTCCATGGGATACAGCTTTGTATGGAAACCTCTAGTCTAAAAGTTATCATGATGCTTTTTATTATGATCACAAAGCATTTAATTGCACAGAGCAATTTAGAAAACAGAGTCTAAGTTAAGACAGATAATAATGTAAGACAACACTGATGTGGGAAACAGAACATATACAAACAACAAAATAATAAGCCACGAATCATTATAAAGATAAAACTTGGTAGTTTCATTGTATTCCTGTTCAGGGTAAATGCATTTTGGGCAACTCACCTTTTATTGCTGAATGCTTCATAGGGCCATCAGGTGATATCATTTCCTCACTGAGCTTTAATTACTCCAGAGATTATACTTTCTTTGCACTGCATCTTTGGAAAAAGAGGTGTGATGGAGTGGAGAATATACTGAAAAATAAGAAAATACAAGAGTTCTTTCTGTACAACCTCACTTGAGCCAATTGTTTGAACAGAACCTATACACAGCTAATTACCAAAGAACTTCTCCCTCTTTATACAATAAGGATGTCTATAATCAACAAGCAGTTCTTGATTTCTTTAAAGAGCTAATTAAAAATATAAGAACAAAAATCTTTTGGAAAAGGACAAATAAGACAAAGAAATATATACTAACGGAAATAGTAGTAGCAATGATGATAATAACAATAAACAGCCTTTCCTTTTAAATCTTACTGTGATGTCAAACTTCTCATGTTTTTGTAAAAAATCCTTTGGCACTTATCAACAAATCTGTGTTCCAAGAAGAAAAGAATAATCTGGGCAATTTTCAGGTATTTGTATATTACTATGACAATAGGTTATCAAAGAGAGAGGAAACTAGGTAGGAATTCAACTTTTTTCTTGGAATGTTTTCTGAAAAAGACTAATATATTTTAGTACTTAAAGCCCGGAATGACAGAGTCAAACAAAATATATCAATATGAAAACTGGTAAACATTTTAAAGGCTATTATTCTGTGATAGTGAACACCTTAGATTTGTGTGTGTGTGTGTGTGTGCTACTCAAGAGGAAACAAAATAATTATGATTATAAAATGAAAAGTTTGCCCTGAAATAAGGATTGTAACAGTTATAAGTTGCTAAGTTTTGCTCAAATTAGTCTCAATTCTGCTTTAGTGCAACATAGGGATTGCTAAAATTCTCTGTGCAATGCAAAAGAACACAATAAAAATCATAGGCCTCGGGGCATAATACTCAAAACATTTGTCAGTGGAACATTTTTAAAAAGAAGCAGCTAATAAATGGTAGCATAGTTTTACATTCATTAAATGATTAAAAAATACATAAATACTGCAAGCAATATGGCACTTTATCTTGAAAACCACCTGAAGTTAGTTTGTGGAAGACTTGCAGCTTGTATTAATAACAGTGAAGTGGTGGAAATGGACAAGAAGTTGTAATAGTAGATGTGCATGGGTCTGGGCCACTGATTGTCCTTGAGAGGTGTGTGTGTGTTTTATGTGTTCCTATGAGACTCAGCTCAGCTGTGTATGGTTCCTACATTCACCTAGTTGGTCTAGCAGATGAAGTAGTGCACAAATAAATGCAAAATTTGCCTTATGCTAAATTTGTTTCCCAATATATTAATTGCATTGAAACAAATTCCCATTTT
This sequence comes from Homo sapiens, assembly GCF_000001405.40. Taxonomy (NCBI): domain Eukaryota; kingdom Metazoa; phylum Chordata; class Mammalia; order Primates; family Hominidae; genus Homo; species Homo sapiens. The sequence goes on along the minus strand of NC_000006.12, from coordinate 128,577,153 downwards.
AAAAATCATTATAGCAGAACTGACTGTCCTATGTTGGTTGTATTCAAGGTTTTATTGGTATTTACCAGAATTTAGTAAGAAAATAATTTATCTGAGGCTCAGTTGTCTGGCCAGACAAAATCTCAAATAGCAAGTAAATGAAAGTAAATGGACCTGTCAAGCCCATATGTAAACCACAGTATAATAGTGCAAATAAGCATCAAACCAGTGGTTTCTAAACTTCAGCATGATCAGAATCAATGGCAGTGTTCATTAAAACTCAGATTTGCCCCATCCCCAGAGTTTCTGTTTCAATATTTGCATTTCTAAACATTTCCAGGAGATGCTGATGCTGCTGGCCTGGGAGAAGGAGCCACTGATTAGAACTGATTGAGAACCACTCGGTTAGACCATACTAACTATTGCTGAAAGCAGTTTATGACACTGTCTCAGACCCACACAAGGAAGAAAATATGTTTTCATCATGGTTACCAATGAGAATGTGATTTGCTCTTCAAAAAGATCCCAATAACCTTCCTCCAACTTTCTCTGCTCCATTGCTAGTTGTAAAACAGACAACAAAAAAGTAAAGACAAATTTAATATTTAGGTTCAGTGAAATGTGGTGGGCATTTTGATTACCTCCAAACAAGTCTTTGTCACTCTTCATTGTATAGAAACCGTGCATTTGTTGGAAGAGTTGACCTCTTCCAGGGGTGCACCTTGATTAGAATAAATCAGGTTAATCTCATTTACCCCAAGCATCCATGATTGATTCCTTCAGAGAAAAATTTAGAACTTCAATTCAATGGCTTGAGAAGCAATTCTCTCTTTCTTTTCTATAAACCTGAATGGAGAAACGGGTCACTTCAGAAGTTGCTGGCAGCCGTTTTATAACCATAGGACAAGCCAGACTTAGGGCAAAGCTACAACTGCAAAACCAGAGCCAAAAGAATAGCAGAGAAATAGAGCCAGATTCTTCACTGATCAAAAGCTGAAGCCCACAATACCACGAAAACTTTAATCACTTTCACTTTTTAAGCCAATTTGAGCTGGGTTCTCTGCTGCTTTAACCAAAAATAAAACAAACAAAAGAGAAAACAAACTCCTACTTAAACAGTAAGAGATAAAGCCAAGAAGAGAGGAGAGCTAGTAAATAAATCAAGCAACAAGTGTATTGGAGGGATCCGCAGTCTCCACAGAAATCTATTGATAAGCTTTCTACTTAAGGTGAACTTGAGCTATTTGTAGATGCAAGGACTAACCAAGATCTTGCTAATAAGAGTTCTGGAACCAAGTATCAGCAGTTCCAGGTAGTAAAGCCTGGATAAACCACCAAAGGGATCAAAAGACTCAAAACTGTGAGGTTGCAAAGCATTTAGAACAATTACATATGGAAACTAATCCCACAACCCCCTAGTAAGACCTCCAGTATCTATACAGAAAAAATGAATGTAGTCCCCATTCCTAAGTGCAGTTAGTCGTTCTTTTTTTTTTTTTAGATGGAGCCTCACTCTTTTACCCAGATTGGAGTGCTGTGGTGCAATCTCAGCTCACTGCAACCTCCACCTCCCGGGTTCAAGTGATTCTCATGCCTCAGCCTCCCGAGTAGCTGGGAATACAGGTATGTGCCACCACGCCTGACTAATTTTTGTATTTTTTAGTAGAGAAAGGATTTCTTCATGTTGGCCAGGCTGGTCTCAAACTCCTAGCCTCAAGCGATCCGCCTACCTTGACCTCTGAAAGTACCAGGATTACAGGTGTGAGCCACCACACCTGGCCCACTTAGTCATTCTTAATGTCTTTTGGTCAACTTCATAAAGCCTCAAGTACAAGAATCTTTCTAACCTATTGTCACATACAGACACCTGGACTGAGGAGATCCTACCTATCACAATGGAGATTTGGGACAAAGAGTGGACAGAACTAGTCAGACACTTAACTTCCACCCAACTTTCAAAATCCCACCTTAACCAGACTTACTTTTGACTGGATGTACTCTATTCTCACCAATAGAAAACAAACAAAAAACAGAGTCATGGGAAGTAACAGACTTTTCAAAAGCATAGATTTGATTTGTCAGTTTGCCTATCAGAAGAGAAATTCTTTTGCTGTCATTTGGTCTTAGTGCAAATTAAACCCGGTTAACCAAATGCTAAGTAGAAAGAGCATGATCTTGGGAGTAAGATAAAACTGAATTTGAAATCCCACCTCTGTTATTTGCCTTTCAGCAAATACTATCTTTCTTGAGTAGCAGATTGCTCATCTGTAAAATGGGGATAATACATAATTTATAGAGAGTTTTCGTATGACAATTTAAGAAGATAGCATGTGGAAAGCACCTCAGTGCCTGCTACATAATAGATTCACAATATATGAAAATTTCCTATCTATCCCTTATTGTAAATACATCAATGACCCCCTAGAACAAAATACAAAAAGCTATATTTAGGCTATATTTAGCTCAGCTTTTGGTGGAAGAAGACACTCTGAATCCTATTGTCCTTAGGAGCTTTGCAGTCATTGCTGTATTGGAGGGGTTGTCATCTTGAGAGTAACCCAAGCAGTACTAGGCAGAGCACCCTTCACTGGGGAATCCCCTGGCAAAGGAAACCATAATAATAGCCAGGACAAGGTTCAGGTATATACAAAAGGGATAGCAATGAGTTCTCCAGAAAGCAGATTCCTATACAAAGTGTTTCCTATCAACAAAAAGGCAGAAGCTTTTGATGGGCCACTTGAACCCATTGATTTCTGACAAACAGCTTTCACATTTGGCAGCAGGACATGAAACCTGAGGGCAGAGTGTATCCATGAAAAGTAAGTCATCAAACAATGAAACTGCAGGAAAATTATATGGCATTCTAGGACTCATTTATCAACACTGTCTCCTGGAATACTTCTATGAGGCTGTTGAAATTGTGGTCCAATTTACTCCTGCTTGCCAAATAGTAATAATCACAAACTGCTGAGTTTAAGAAGAAAAGGGAGACCTTAACGGCTTTTGCATATACCATTCCTGCTGTCTTTTATGTAATAAAACCCTCACTATTGAAAGCTCTATCTGTCAAAAATAATGTACATTTCCAGCTCTGTATTTACAAGATATGTATTATACATACAAGGAGGGGTGCTAGAGCTCTGTTTTGTTTTGTTTTTCTAGTTGTTTTAACCTTATTTTGGAAGCTGAAATGTACTTTTTTAAACCTTGTCTGAATGACAGGTTGACTTAAGAAAATTGTAGAAAATACTCTGAAAAGCAGAATGTGTCAGGTAATTGTTTTATGATTTTACTGCCTGCCACTGTCACTTCATTGTTCAAACTGTATACCTGGGTGTTATTTAGAATATATAATGTTATGAGAAAAATTAACTTCATGGGAAATTAATTTATAAAGCATTTAAAAATCTCTATTATATTTATAATAAATTTTTAAAATTCCATTTGCCTATAAGAATATAGAAAGATTAAAGAAAATATTTGTGTTCAGCTTCCACAGTTGATTTTTTCAATGAACATAGTTGGATTTTCAGTTCTACCATTACCAGCTAGATAAATCTGGGCAGATAATGCAACAATTCCACATCATCGGGCACGAAGATTAGAGAGGAATCAGTAATTACCACACAGATCATTTTGAAGAACAAATAAAATAATAAATATAAAAATATTTTCCAAATTTAAAAGTACTAAGGCAGTTTTGGAATTTTTAAATATTCTAAACTCAAGTATTTGCTACTTACACCTCTGGGATCTTGAGAAGTAATTTACTCTGTCTAAACCCAAGTTCTGCATCTGCACAGTACAAAAAAACAATAATAACGCCTATCCTATGTATCTTAAAAGTTACTGTGAAATTCCAATGAGAATGTATTCTCTAAAAGAGCATTGTCAACTGTAAAATCTTATAAAACCTTTAATGAATAGGCATTCTTGTTATTATGAAATACACTTTGAAAAAGCCCTGGGGCCGGGCACGGTGGCTCACGCCTGTAATCCCAGCATTTTCGGAGGCCAAGGCAGGCGGATCGCCTGAGGTCAGGAATTCAAGACCAGCCTGACCAACATGGTGAAACCATGTCTCTACTAAAAATACAAAAGTTAGCTGCGCATGGTGGCAGGCACCTGTAATCCCAGCTACTCAGGAGGCTGAGGCAGGAGAATCACTTGAACCTGGAAGGTGGAGGTTGCAGTGAGCCAAGATGGTGCCATTGCACTCCAGCCTGGGCAACAAGAGCAAAACTCCATCAAAAAAAAAAAAAGAGAGAAACAAAGAAAAACAAAGAAAGAAAGAAAGAAAGGAAAAGAAGGAAACGAGAAAGAGAGAAAGAGAAAGAGAAAAAGAACCCTCCCAATTACACGAACACAAATTCTTGATAGTGAGAGAGACACTTCAGTTACATGTACTGTATTGTAAACTCTGTGAAGTTAGGGATTCTGACTTTTGCTTAATGATGCACCTTCAACTCTTAGAACAATGTCTGATACATAGCAGGTGTTCAATAAATATTTGTTCAATAAATGATAGTGTAAATATATAGAAAATATATTGAAGTTGATATGTTAATAGTGACAGGTTGGAAAAAGAGATAATGATCTGAATGTTATTGAGAAATCAAATGACAAGGAGAGAAAGGAATTTTTCTGGAGGGTAAGAAAATAATTTGAGAGAAGGCTGTGGATTTTTATTCCATGATTTACATTGGGAAAGAATAGCCACATTACACTTCCCTAGGGGCCAAGCAATACATTGGTTTTCTTCCACATATGTGAGAAAGGAAACTATCCAATAAAAATAAACTAGAAGCAAGCATTCAGCAAATGAGATCATTTCAATAAAGAATATGTGATGCACTTGCTCGTGTTGCTACCCACTGGCCCTATACCCTACATCTTCCTCTGCCTGAACACCTAAAGTTCACTTAAGTAATCATTGTTCATACTGATGATTGAGTTCTCAAAGAAAAGGTAAATTATATTCAGTTTTTTCCTCACTAATACAGAAAAGCATGGCATAAAATGTTTTCTAAATACTCTCTACAAAAAAGAATCATTTCTTTTTTTTTCTGTTCTTTTTTTTTTTTTTTTTAAAGATTGGGCCTTGCTCTGTCACCCAGGCTGGATTGCAGTGGCATGATCATAGCTTACCACAGCCTCCAATTCCGAGGCTAGAGCAATCCTCCTGCCTCAGTTTCCTGAGTACCTGGGACTACAGGAATGGGCCACTGTGCCTGGGTACTTTTTATTTTTATTCTTTTATTTTTGTAGACACGAGGTCTCACTTTGTTGCCCAGGCTGGTCCCAAATTCCTGGGCTCAAGCGATCCTTGCATCTCAGCCTCCCAAAGTGCTGAGATTACAGGCACGAGCCACTATGCCCAGCCAAATCATTACTTTTTAAAATTGTGACATTTACATCTCCTTTCTTTCAAACATTTTAATTAAGCATCTATTATGTGTTAGGAAATGTATATAATTCAAAGAAGAAATAAATATGTTCCATACTGTAATGGATTTTCAGTGAGAAAGATTAAACCTCTTTTTCAAAATTATTTTATCCAGTTCATCTGTATTTCTAGACCACCAATAATTGTATATCAGGTTCACTTCCTGTAAAACTAAAAACAACTAAGTTGTGTTCATGAATTCTTTTCCAGCAGCTTCCAATGTATATTTTAACCAAAATATTATAATTTTTCATTTACTTTTCTTTTTCCCCAACAACTACACTGTTAGTTTATTAGAAAATAAATGTATGCTTTGTTTGACTTTGTTTCTCAAATATGTAGCATGGGTTCTGGTTATAGACATTAAATAAATGTGGAAGAAAGGAAGGAAGTGATGAGGGAAGGGAGTAAGAAAGGAAGAAAAGAAATAAGAGAGCAATGAAGCGGGGCAAGAAGGGAGGGAGGGAGGGAGGGAGACCAAATCCATGCAAATGTATGTCACAGTCTACCCAAAATGACCGCATTAACTGAACCTGGAGAATTTTTAATACAACTAAATATACTGATGGCAAACTTCACTAGAGATGTAAGAGCATATAAAAGGAAAAGAAACAAGGCAATAGGGGATAAGTTTTGAACCGGGAATTGGATCATGTCTATCTCTATGCCCAAGTTAACTTCATGTATTTTCTATGTCACAGCCTACTGAGCTGGACAGAGTCTACGTTCCTAACACAAGTCACAGCTAGGAGAACTCAGATTTCCATTGCCAAACCAAAGCAGAACCCTGTGGTTGTTACCTCAGAAGCGTAAGCCGGAGGTGGGACAGCACTAAATCATCCTCTCTTTGTGTTTACCTTTTGGCCTGAACTATCTGGATAACTGGCTTAGCCTTTCATTTTGCCTAGAATGTGAAGACCTGGTAGGACTGTAAATAGAAATGTGCCCAGTCTTAACCCACAGGGCCAATCTCTTTATTATAACTCACCCCCACACTCTAAATAAACAATAAACCACTAGATAATGGCTGGGAAAAGTTCTGCCAAAATTACACACCTGCTGCTTCCAGACTTGAGAAACAGAAACTCAAAAGTGATTTACAGGAAAACAAAAGCACAAATAAAAAAAATGTAGCCTGTTGCAGTCCTACAGAGCAGGTTTTACTGGTGTCACTGCAATCTTAGTACTACATTATGTTAGTGCTCTGAGGTTCTGAGCCAAGGGCATGCCCCTCTGGAACGGGGGTGACTTCTCTCCACCGTCCTGTCCCAAGGGAGCATTTCACATTAGTATCTGTTAGGACAGCTGGAAAGATATTATTTTACCAAAAGAAACTTTCGTTATTAAAAGTTATGATTGTGCCTTCAGTACAGCTCGGCATGTGGTGTGTCAGCTTTGCTGTGCATTATTTTCCTATTACTATTCCAGGAAACCTCTCTATCAGGTGACTGCCTGCAGGGTAGGAAAAAAAAAGTCTAAAAGGAGCATTATAACTTATAGCCCAGAAGATTAAAATAAGAAGAGGAAGAAAACATTAAAAAAAGAAAACAGCAAGAAAAACCTGAGATCCCATGTCTCTCTGTCCCTTAGGAAAGTGTAATGTCTACCTGATTGTGTGGCTTAGTTCACATATGCAACACTTATTTTAAAGCCCACAAGAAAAGAAATTGCTGCACCCAAAGAAAATTTAAATGTACTTAAAATGTGGATGGCTATTGCCAAATTACACTCCAAAAAATGCTTTACTTTTATGACCCCTTCAGTCTTCACCAAACTGCGTGTGAGTCATCCTCTGCACTGGCTGGTGTGCATCTCTGGAATGCTCTTTCTGCCCCCACCAGCCTTTCCAGGCCACACCCTTTGTCTTCCTAAAGACTTAGCTTAAATGGTCATTACTCAGAGAGACCTTTCTTGAACTTTCTGCTTGAAATACCTTTCTGCCCTCCTGGGGATCCCTATGTGATTTCTTCATCAAAATTATTACATATTGTAACTACTTAATTTTATTTCCTTGGTTCCCTCTATTTCCTTCAGTAAAATTTAACCTCCCAGGAGAAAGGTACCTTCTGTCTTTTTAATCATTGCTTTTTCAATACCTAACTCACTGCTTGGCACATATTAAGTAACTGAATTGTTTTGTTGAATGAATGAACGATACACACTGGTGTTAAACAGAATAGAGTTCATTTATGGGCCCTGCCATTTATATTAGTCCATTTTCACATTGCTGATAAAGGCATACCCGAGACAGGGTAATTTATAAAGAAAAAGAGGCTTAATGGATGCACAGTTCCACATGGCTGGAAAGACCTCACAATCATGGCCAAAGGTGAAAGGCACATCTTACATGGCAGCAGACAAGAGAGAAAATGAGAGCCAAGCAAAAGAGGAAAACCCCTATAAAACAATCAGGTCTCCTAAGACTTATTCACTACCACAAGAACAGTATAGGGGAAACCACCCCCAGGATCTAATTATCTCCTACCAGGTCCCTCCTACAACACGTGGAATTATGGGAGCTACAATTCAAGATGAGATTTGGGTGGGGACACAGCAAAATGATATCACCCTTTGTTTACTGCATTATCTCGAGAGAGTTATCTACATCCCTCAATTATTTTGCGTTCTTTCATTTGTAAAGTAATAGTATTTCTAACCACATAGAGATTCTGTGAGCATTAGATGAAATAATGTTAAAAAGCATCATGTCTAACAAAAAAGAATTGACAATGGCGATCTATGATTATTATTGCCTGAACCAGGAAGAGGGCAGGAGGATGAAGTGCATTAGTGAATTCATCTAGGCTCTTGCTGGGACTTGTATATGAGAAGTGAGGCAACTTGAGTTGTTGATTGCCGGTTTCTTGGAAGCAGAAGACCACCACCTACCCAGCCATGATTTGCCTATAGAAAGAAGAAGTTGCTAAGGATACTTCTCCCTGAAGATATTTAAGGGATAAGATTTCCACAAATTATCTTATTTAAGTATTTCTGGATCCTGTAGTGTCTTCTTTCTGTGGCATGTCCCTACAAGGAAGCAACTGTAAAACAGTCATGAAAGGAATAGGAATTTGTGCCCAACCCCACCCTACCACCACCTTTCCTCCCATCACTACATAGCTAGAGAAGCCTAAAGGTTGGGAGAAAGATTCTGAAGCAGAGTAATGAGTTGCTCTATTGTCTTTAGGAAGGGAGCCAAGAAATCTGATGGAGGCTCGCATTTGACTTGTAACTCAGGGATATAATTACTCCATTGGAAAATGTAAAGAATTAAAAAAAAAATTAAGGCCAGGCGTGGTGGCTCACGCCTGTAATCCCAGCACTTTCGGAGGCCAAGGCAGGTGGATCACGAAGTCAGGAGATCGAGACCATGGTAACACGGTGAAACCCCCTCTCTACTAAAAGTACAAAAAATTAGCTGGGAGTGGTGGCCGGCGCCTGTAGTCCCAGCTGCTTGGGAGGCTGAGGCAGGAGAATGGCGTGAACCCGGGAGGCGGAGCTTGCAGTGAGCCGAGATCGTGCCACTGCACTCCAGCCTGGGCGTTAGAGAGAGACTCCGTCTCACCAAGAAGAAAAAAAAAAATTTAAACCTAAAACTTTCTTTTTTTTTTTTTTGAGAAAGAGTCTCCCCCTGTCACCCAGGTTGGAGCGTAGTGGTGTGATTTCGGCTCACTGCAGCCTCCACCTCCTGTGCTCAAGTGATTCTCCTGCCTCAGCCTCCCTTCAAGTAGCTGGGACTACAGGCACATGCCACCACACCCGGCTAATTTTTGTATTTTTAGTAGAGGCGGGGTTTCATCATGTTGGCCAGGCTGATCTCAAACTCCTGACCTCAAATGATCCACCCACCTTGGCCTCCCAAAGAGCTGGGATTACAGGCATGAGCCACTGTGCCCAGCCTAAAACTTTCTAATTTATATGTAAACTACCGTCATATAATTAAATTATCTTTTGGTGATGAATTCCATTATAAATCATCTAAGCAGAAATTAAAAGTGTCCCCACAAGAAGAATGTAAACTTTATTTTAATTTTGAAAAGGTATGTTCATTATCATTTAGTAACCAAAATAAGGTTAACACAAATTTTTAATTTTTATTTAGAATAACTTTAAAAATAGACCATTTTTATTGAAATTGTCTAGGAATTTGCTTAATTTTCCACTGTGGCTCTGTGGAGCTCTTATCAAACTATAGGAGGTAAGCTCTATTTCATATTCTGCTCACAGGTCTACAAGGTTCTTGATAGAGCTCAGGTAATTAAATGACATACTAAGGTCAATATTTCCACTGACAGTAGCTCTGGCTCTGCCTGAATATCCAAAGTATTTCGAGGTGGGGGTAGGTAGTGTTTGCACAGTTCTTTATGGACAGAGCACTACAATTTTCCTTGAAGAGGCTTCTCTTATAGTCCAAGGAGTCAACTTTTGGCTTCTGCTAAGGTGCCTCTCAGTCATAACATATCCAACATTCCTTTTTTATTATACTTATTTTGTTACACTCCTTTTATGACCCTGAAATAAAACTGATGATTAATGCAACCTACCAACACACATAATTTCAAAGGAGGAAGCAAGGAAGGGGGGAAAGGAGGGAGGGAGGATGCCCCAACCATACAATTTTAGAGCCATAATAGGAAAATAATTTAAAATAATTTACATTTCATCATGTAAGGACTTGTATACACCAGAAGATGTATAAAAGTTTCAAATGCATGTGCCTACAGGAAATGAATAAGATACAATTTGTGACAAGTGAGGTGAACTCATTTTGTAGAAGCCTAGGAAAATGAAACAACAAACATGGGCATGAACACTAGAACAACAACTGGTGTTCGAAAAAATATATTACAGGCAGAATAATGCCCCTACCAAAAAATATCCACATCTGAATCCTTGGAACATGTGAATATATTATGTTACCTGCCAAAGAGAATTTAAGGTTGCACAGGTAGAATTAAGATTGTTAATTGGCTGACCTTAAAAAGAAAGATTTTTCTGGATTGTCTGGGTGGGCCCCATGTAATCACGAGGATCATTAAAAGTGGAAGAGAGACCCAGAGCCAGAGAAAGAAATGCGGAGAGAGAAGCCAGGTGAGAGTGCTGCAGATGAGAGAAGGGCACCGCTTACCTTTGCTGGCTTTGTGGATGGAGGAGGCCACGCATTAAGGCATGCTGGCAGCCTCTAGAGGAAACACCAGGAAACAGATTCATCCCTAGAGCCTCTAGAAAGGAACATTGTCCTGTCAAAACCTTGATTTTAGCCCAGTGAGACCTGTGTCAGACTTCTCAACTGTAGAACTATCAGGTCATAAATGTTTGCTCTTTCAAGCCAAGTTTGTGAATATTTGTTACAGCAGCAATAAAAAGAATTGATGCAATAAGTAAAACAGACTAGTATTACTTCTGTGATAAAAGAAAGTGGGACATAACCTTAATTGAAGTAGGGGTGATAAGTCAAGACAAATGACAAAGTGACATAGGGGCGGAAAATGAAATATAATACCCTCACAAATGAGCTGAGCTTTATAAAGTCAAAATATTTCCTTATGTCACTGCATGGAATGAGACAGTAACATATCATGACAGAAGGCATATCTCATCTCTGGAAAGCCTGCTACTTGTCAAAGCATATATTAGGCTTTGGTGCTGAAATCTTGAAGTATATCTATTGAAGATGGGGAAGAAAGGATGGATTAAGAGCAAATATAAAATATACAAACAGCCCAACTATAAAATAAGAATCTGTAGAGAAATTGTAAAATTATCCTGCAGGACATTTATCTGAGTTAGTTTGAAAAAGATTGCCAACTCCAAATTATATAAATAATTTCACTCTGCTCTTTTCACAGCAGATTAATTTATCAATGGATTCCAGAATAAATCAAAAATACGTAGGTTAAAAAATATGAAATATTTTTAAAGTTACCTTTACTAGTGAGATGTAATAGCATCCCTGACTTTGCTGTTTCACTGTTAATTTAATGGTGTTCTAAATCTGTTAAAAATGAGCCACGAATCTCCTATTTAGCATATTTATATGCAACAGCTACAAGTGTAGACCAACACAAGTGACTTGTTGAGATGACTCAAATACCAGGGCCAGAACTGGGGTAAACCTAGGAAGCTCCTGGGACAAAAATACGTAAACAGGTATTTACATGATTCCACGGGTGGTTGATTCCTTGAATTTTGCACCTTGGTTGCCTCACTTGCCTCACCCTAATTCATGCACTGTTAACATAGTTAATGTGACATTGTGATGTCATTTGCCAAAATGGTGAAACACTGTTTATAAAATTTCAAACAAAATATGCTTTATTTGCACCGAAGCTACAAGCTTAGAAAATTCTTGAAATGTTCTTAATTTCTAGTAATTTATTGTTTTTGTTACCAACTTTTAACTTAATTGTCTTGTGAAAGAGCATGGCTTTTTAAGGGCCTATTATATGCTTTCTGTGTCTTCAATAGAACAATGTGTATTCTGCAATTGTGGTATGCAGAATTCTACGTGTGTTGATTAAGTCATCTTTGTTGATTTTATTTTCATCTCTTTTATATACTGGCTTTTATTTTCTTCACTTTGACCAACTAAAAATTAAAGGGGTGTGTTAAAATTTCTCATTTTGATGTTGGATTTATCAGTTTATTTCTATAGCATTTTAATGGACTTTTGCGGACTTTTGCTTCATATAATTGGAAACTCTTGTATTAAGTATAAGCATGTTTTAAAAGCCTATATCATTATGGTGTGCTCCTCTTTATCTCTAATGATTCAATGTTATTTTATCTGGTCCTAACATACCTACACCTACTTTTCTTAGTCGACATTATATCCAACCTTTGATTGTTATTATGTTTTAGCTGAGCCTTTTTCTATCTTATTAGAGCCTACTTCCAGCAATATTTTACCACTTCACATATAACACTCTTATGCTCTTATATTTCCATGTGTTCCCTCTCTACCTTTATGCAATTGATGACATGCATTTTAATTATGGCTATGTTATAAATCCCCCAAAAGCATGGTATAACTTTTCAAACCATCAATTATCTTTTGAAGAGATACTGATGAGAAGAAAAATTATTTTATATGTACCTACAGTGTTATTTGTGGTTTTCTTCATTCTTGTGACTAGATAATCTGAAAAATCTGTATTTTCACATTATTTTTGAAATATATTTTTGCTAATCATAGAACACCTGGTGCACACGTTTCTTTTTCCCATAATTCTTTAATGATGCTGCTCTACTATCCTCTCAGATTTGCCAGTGCAAAGTCTCCTAGCATCCTTATCTTTGTTTCTCAGTTGTGATATCTTTTTTTTGCTCTGATTTCTTTTAAGATTTTCTCTTTATCACTTACTTTAAGCAAGTTAATTATATGTAGGTTTAGGCCTTTTTTTTTTTTTTTTTTTTTTTTTTTTTTTGAGATAGAGTCTCACTCTGTCACCCAGGCTGGAGTGCAGTGGCAAGATCTTGGCTCACTGCAACCTCCGCCTCCCGGGTTCAAGCGATTCTCCTGCCTCAGCGTCCCGAGTAGCTGGGATTACAGGTGACCGCCACCAGGTCCAGCTAATTTTTGTATTTTAGTAGAGACAAAGTTTCACCATGTTTGTGAGGCTGGTCTCGAACTCCTGACCTCAAATGATCCACCCCCCTCAGCCTCCCAAAGTGCTGGGATTACAGGTGTGAGCCACTGTGCCCGGCCAGGTTTATGTCTCTTATACTTCGAGTTCATTGCTTTCCTTTGAACTTGTGGGTTTGCAGCTTTCATTAGATTTGGAAAATTTTAGGCCATTGTTTCTTCAACCATTTCTCTGCTCCTGCTCCTTCAGAGACTACAATTACATGTGCATTAGGAAACTTGAAATTGTCTCAGAGCTAACTAACACACGGTTCATTTTCTTTTTAAATCTTTTTTTCTACTTCTTTCATTTTGGATAATTTATATTGCTAAGCCTATAAATTCACTAAACTTTTGGTTTTTTCTTCAGTGCTTGGTCTGCTGTTAATACTACTTTGTGTGTTTTTCATCTCTGACACTGTAGTTTTCATCCCTAAAAGTTCTATTTGGTTCTCTTATATTTTCCAGTTCTCTTAATATAATGTTCAATCTTTCTTCTGCTATTTTTAGCATGTAGAGTTTAAGTATTTTAATGTTCTTGTCTGGTAATTACTACATCTTTATCCATTCTGATTGGTTTATCAGTTCTGATTGATTGATCAATTTTGATGAACTGATTTTTTTTTTTTTTTTGAGATGGAGTCTCACTCTGTTGTCCAGGCTGGAGTGCAGTGGCGCAATCTCTGCTCACTGCAAGCTCTGCCTCCTGGGTTCATGCTATTAGAAGCCAGGAATCGTTAATTCTACCTTGTTGGATGTTGAATATTTTGTATTCTAAAAGTATCATGAGTTTTTTTGAAATGCAGTTAAGTTACTTGAAACAGTTTGACCATTTGGTGTCCTGCTTTTAAGACTTATTAAGCAAGAACAGCACCATGTTTGGTCTAGGGTTAATTACTCCCCACTGCCAAGACAAGATCCCTTACCCAAAGCCCTGTGAATTGTATGGTTTACCAGTCTGCCTCGTGGGGAACAAGCACTTTCCCCCATTCTGGGTGAGTGCTGAGTCCTGTTTCCTTTAATCATTTTGGGTAGTTGATAATTGATCCCTCAATTATGATTGAGGTTTTTTCCTTCAAATACATGCACTGATCAGTAATTTGCTGAATATTAAAGGGCAATTTTTCTGTAGTTGTCCAGAGTTTTATCTCTGTGTGGCTCTCTCTCCTTTGGTGCTTGAGTTGCCATGTTAACCTTAGCTGCATTCTTCTTCCTGTATTCTTAGCTTCATCTCCTTCACTCAGGGAGTCCACTGGTCTCCACTTGGGTTTCCCCTTCTGATGGCCTGGAAATTCTCTTGAGTAAAATCAGAGGGCTCACCTCATTTGTTTGCTGTCTGCCAGGGATCACGGTTCTGTGTTGCTTGATGCCAATGCCTTGAAAGCTGTTCTTTCCTATATTTACCCAGTTTCTCAGTTGTTTCAGATATAAGGGTAAATCTGGTTTCTGTTGCTCCATGTTGGGCACAAGTGAAGTCCACATACTTTTTAAACAATATGTATCTGGCTTTTTTTAATACTCAGTTTTTCAATATTGGACTTTACATTGGTGAATCTAGTCTACTTACATTAATCATTATTACTGGTATACTTGGACATGTTTCTCCAACCTTAACTTATTTTTTGTTTATGTTTACCTTTTCTATTTCTTTTTAATGCTGTCTCCTAAAAAAAAAGTTACTCCCTATTAAGGCAAGAAATTGGCCAATTCTTAAGTTCCTTAGTTCTCCACAAAAATCCCCATGACTTTTTTTTTCCAGACTTTTAATTGTGGATTATTATGAATATTTTTCCTCTTTTTATTTGACTTTAAATAAATGGCCAAGACAAGAACAAACTTTGCCAATATATTCAATCACCTTTTATACAGATATCTTTTGCAGCATCTCTTGGATTTTTCTTTCCTCTGACTTTATCCAAAACTGTTGTCTATGTGAGTTTCTGCATGGCAAACCTCTTGGGACTTTCTATGCTTCCAAAACCTTTCCTTATGCTGACATATTTGAAGACTGTTTGGCTTGATGGGAAATTCTATATTTTAAATTATTTTCCTTCAGAACTTATAAAATATCCCTTTGTCATCTTCTTGCATATAGTATTTACTGTTGAAAAACCTAATGTCTGTCTTACTTTAGATTCTTTGTTGGTCTTCTGACCTGGAAACCTTCATATGTGTATATGGTATGAATTTGGCTATCCACTCCTTTTTTTAATCTTTCAAATATCTTCCCTAGTTTTAAATTCACAATCTGTCTTACTATTTCAGCTATATGGACATCTATAATTTTTAACAGAATATTGTTTTGAAATGGCTGTGCTCCTTAAATGTCCTGTTGTATTGTTCTACGAGCTTTTTTTCACTGGGACTGGGTCCCAATCTTTGCTGCTCATTAGAACAAGCTGCACAACTTTTTAAAAATCCTAAAGCCAGGTGCCACTCCATAGAAATTAAATCGGCATGTCTAGGAGTAGGAGCCGGGTATCAGTGTTTGTTAAAGATGTCCAAGTGATTCCAATGGGCTATAAAATTTAGAAACCGCTTCTCTAGGAGTATCAGCCACACGGTCAGGCAATGTGTATTTTCGAATGTGTCAGCCCAATGTGTCTGACAGTGCAAGTAGAGGATTGATGACTCTTAAGATAAAGAGCCAGAAATACCAAAATAGCCTTTCTCTTCCCCACCACCAAAATCACAGGTCAAGTCTTCACTTTCCACTCTTTACTGCCCTATGTAGAATCAGCATTTGGAGGACATACACCTTAGATTATAAGTCCCTAGTCCTAGGTTGTGAGAGAACCATTTCAGAATCACCAGGGCATACCCTAAAGCAATTAAATCAGAAGCCATTAGAATGAGACCTAGGCATTAGTATTTCTTAAAGTTCCATTGATAATGTCACTGTGCAGTAAGACTGAGTAACACTCTCCCAAGAATTTGGAGAATGAGGGGCAGAGACACATCTGCTTGAGGTCAGATTTTCTCCATCTGTTTTTCTTAGCTCCTCAGAAGGAAAGAACCCCTTTAGTGCCAGAATTTACTCCTGAGATACTGGGTTAAGAATTCTGAGTGGGGATTTGGAACAGGTACTGTGTGTCACAAGATAATGGGGGTAAGCAGAGCAAGAACAGGACTCCAACTGTACTCTTTTTATTTTATTCTCTAACTGTTTTATGGAGTGGCATCCTATCCAAGCGAAAGTCGCCTTCACACACACACATGCACAAACACACACACACACTCACATCCTAAAAAATTGTTCAGAGGGCAACAGTGTGGGAATACCCTGGGTTTTTATCACAATGCTCTTCACTGACCTATTCTACTTCCTAAAGTTTAAAAATAGAAGATGGATCTATCAGTTGGGCAAGGAATTAGGTGGGTTGAAATTAGCATCAAAATCAGTGCATATTAAAATGATTCCAAAAAATAAATAAAATCAAAGCTTTTCCAAAAAATAAATAAAATCAAAGCTTTGTACATTATAAAAAAACAGAGTTGAGCTCTGAGTTCAGATGAGATTCTCATGTCTTTGAACATTTTGTGGGGCATTTGAAAGTCATGTAAAATGTGGGACAAATAATTTTGTTATATAGAACTGCCCTGCACATTGTAGGAAATTAATCATCCCTGGTTCCTGCTGTTCCCCCAAATAATAATAATATATTGTGTCAAAAGGTAAAGAGTGTCAAAAGCTCTGAAAAATGTGAACCCTTTTCTAAAAGCCACTGAAAGGTGTTAAAGATTTTTAAAGAAGAAAGATGCAAGGTTCTACGGAACAGTAGTAAACCGGACTAGGCTGTCAGTTTCTTAAGGGAGGCAACATTTGGTATCAGTTTACTAATACCAGAAATTAATGAGGAACATGGAAAGTAGTAGACAATAAATATATTGGTAGACAGGTGATGAGTGGAGAGGGAGAGAGAGAGAATATAGATGGCAGGGATACCATTTGGGGGCAAATGTAATTATTTAGTTAATTGTTAAATAAGGCCCAAACTAAAATAATAATAGTAGAATAATGAGAACAGGACAGATGAGAAAAATTTTTAAAAAGTAATCAATAGATCCTGTGAAATAGTGCAATGCTGTAGCTAGAACATTAATTCTGTTGCCCAGATAATCACTGACTTAGGCAATAATTCCTTTTGAGCCGAAAGAAGGCACAGTAAAACAAAAAATTCTAAGATAAAGCAACTAAATTGTTTGTACAAGGTATTCATAGTTTCTCAAACATGTCTCTGTTTTTACATCACACAGGAGCACACTCATATATACAACAAAACATTAATAATTACCTGTTAAATTTGTATATCTATAAACAAGGCTTTATCTCATTTACATAATCAAGTTACTAAAATCCTCAACACTTGCAGTTTCAACAATGAGTCTGTTGTTAGCCGTTATTGAATGAGCAGTATTTATTGTACATTTATAACAATTTTGAGTTGTTTTCCTAATTTTACACTTTACAGGTGTAGATATTGCCAATTCTCTTTAGACTGATCATGCTTTAAAAACAGGCACTGCTGGGCAGAGTGCCTCATGCCTGTAGTCCCAGCTCCTTGGGAGGCTGAGTTGGGAAGATCGCTTGAGCTCCAAGGTTGGAGGCCACAGTGATTTTTGATGGTGCCACGAAACTCCAGCCTTCGTGACAGAGTGAGACCCCGTCTCAAAAACAAAAAACAAAAAACAAACAATAGGTGCACATATACATCGTTAATTACCAAAATCAATAACATGTATATTTAAAGGAAAGTTTAGGATGTGTCCAAAGAGTTTGAAGGATCTTAGATATAAAGGATATTTCTTTATAATGTAGAATAATGTAGAAATGAGTTGAGTAAATATAACAGTTTGAGAGAACAAAATCACTGGAGAATGGGAGATTAGTGGATTAGGAAAAAAAAGGGAACTGTCAAGAAAATTAAAGACAAGGAGGTGATAGATATCAGAGCAAAGAAGAGGAAGCTCTTAACAATCACTGAGAGCCAACTGCGAAGACTGGGTGTAGTTTAGAAAGAAAACCAGAGAGGATTATAGGCAGCTCGAAAAAAAAAAAGAGAGAGATAAACAAGAATGAGCAGAAGGCTGGTCTTGATTGGTGGTAATTTGTACACCCTGTAGAAGGATGTAAAGAATATGGGCTTACTGAGGAAAAAAAAATTAAACATAAAAAATTAGTGAAAAGAAACGAAGTAACCAAAGAGAGGTTAGTAAAATTAATGTTATTGTGTAGAAGTTATTGAGGGAAGCAACGGAATGGT
This sequence comes from Homo sapiens, assembly GCF_000001405.40. Classification (NCBI taxonomy): domain Eukaryota; kingdom Metazoa; phylum Chordata; class Mammalia; order Primates; family Hominidae; genus Homo; species Homo sapiens. Next base: position 128,558,840 of record NC_000006.12, on the reverse strand, counting down.
TGGTGTGCTAGAGAAACGATAACTGAACTCAGAAAAAGAAAATAAATCATTTAGAGAATTCAAAGTACAACAAAACTCAAAAGGAGGACACAAATCCTTATGACATGTTTTCATATCACATTTCCAATTAGCAAATTTGTTTAATATATCTGAGTCCAGAACAAGTATAGGCTTTCAACAGTGTCAGAACAAAAGTACCTGACCCTGACATGAAACAAGGGAACCTGCCTGTGCTCACAAATCAGATGGAAAAAAACTAAATGATAGCAACAGGTGGGAAATAAGCATTAATATTAAGGAAACTGTGGCAAAGATTTGGATAACGGGACATTTCTAGCATATTTGCTTGGCAGGGTCATCAAAATGTGGCAGTTTGGCCTTAGTGCCTCCCACCTCACCTTCCTTCCCTTTGAGGCTCTCTAACCTCCCAGGTTCCCTGCATTCTAAGAGCTCTATCTCTTTTCCCCAAGGCCTGCACTTGGAGTGATCTTCATAGATAATCTCCATTAAAATATTAGTTGATAAGAGATTAATGTGTTTTGCATTTAAACAGAAAACAGTTGTTCAAACCCTTTTAGAAACTAGACAAACGTATCAAGTACTATTGTTCAAAAAAGGAACTGAAAGAAATTAACAATGTCAAAGGTGCTGGCCTTGGCCAGCCCCTTTCATGCCTATCTTTTTAAAAAAATTTAGGGTGTGGTGGCTCAGACCTGTAATCCCAGCAATCTGGGAGGCTAAGGCAGGCGGATCACTTGAGCCAGGATTTTAAGACCAGCCTGGGCAACATGGCAAAACCCCATCTCTACAAAAAATAAAGAAAAAAAAAATTAGCCGGGCATGGTGTCATGTGCCTGTAGTCCCAGTTACTTGGGAGGCTGAGGTAGGAAGATCATTTCAACTGGGGAGGCTGAGGCTGCAGTGAGCTGTGATCGTGCCACTGCAGCCTGGGAGACAGAGTGAGACCCTGTCTCAAAAATAAAAAGAAAGAAAAGAAAAAAAAAGAAATATATATATGGCATGTGCTTCCAAAGGAATATTTTATATCCCTATAATGTAGAGGAATTCAAGGAGATTTTAATTAAATCTAAGATTTCTCATCCCTCATCACCCCACATTCCTGATTTGTTTATCATAAAATTAAGAGATATGCCCTTACCTTATGGAATTATACATAGCAGGAAGAATTCTGACGTGATGGACAGTTTTCTAGGAAGCAGGAAAAAAACGACTAAAAGGGGGAGATGAGGTAGAATAGATCAATGTGGGTCGAGAGAATATACATTTTCCAGGCTAACAGCATTTTAGAAACTTAATGATTTTGGGGGTTTAGTTAACTGTCAAAATGTAGAAAATGGAAAATAATTGGAACAAACAGGAAAACAGCATAGCTGGTAGAAAAGCAAACAGGGATGAAATGGTCTCGTAATAACAATGTTTATGTTTTTTAAAATAACTTACTGACAGCAGAAACTGTAAAATGTTTCTCCCACTCCATTCTCTTCTTGCATACTTTGTGCCTCTTATCTGTTCACAAAGGCAGATAAGCTTGTTCCCATCACATGAGTAATTGAGTGTGAACATTATTTGAGCAAATAAGGCTTTCTGCAAAAAAGGTGCTGTATTGCTTATTGGTGGATATTATCACACACACGCATACACACACACACAGCACACACACAAAATTCAGATAATAGTTTGCGAAATTGATTATTTTATAAACACTCATGAGTTAAATATCACAGAAGCTCCTCCTAACAATGTCTAAAGAGAAACAACATAGTGAACCTACAAATCCTGAGATTTGACAAGTATATGTAAAACACTAATTTCAAATAGTGTTGTGACCTCTAAACATCAATTCTCCTCTATTTTATACCTCTCCAATAACACATCTGATTTTTAAAAATAAACTACATCTACATAATTATTAAATTGTTTGGAATTAAATGATCACTTTCTTGAAGATATTTGTGAAGTTATAATCCTATATATTATTCTAAAATATTGCTCTCAAATGCAGTTTAGGTTGATTTTTTTTTTCTGCTGCTAATATAGTTTCAATCTCTCCTATTTTTCCAGGACACTGTTTCTGATTCTTTCTTTCTCCTGCTTTTTTCCAATGTTGATTCCCTCTCCTTGAAGTAGTGTACCATCTTTTAATTATAAGTTTCTGTTTCTATCTTCTTCCCCTATTCTCTCAGTCTAATCCATGGTCCTCTCTGGATCATCTATGTTTTGCTTCTCAATATTAGGGAATTCCTAGTAGTTACAAGTAGGTTGCTGCAAAAGTAATTGTGGTTTTTGCCATTAAAAGTAATGACAAAACCCCAATTACTTTTGCACCAACCTGATAACACTGCAAGCCAACTCTGGATTGTAACAGGCCAGGGTAAGAATGCAAAAGAGCAACCGCTACGGAAAAAGGCCAAGCAGGTTAATAAGTTAACAACATTGGTACTAAGATTTCCAGCCCTAAAATTATTTGAAGCTTTCACTCAATGGTCTGTTTTATATTTGATGATTCTCTACTTTGATAATTGCTCAAAGAATGCTTTTAAAAGAGAACACCAGCTGTGCTAAGTAGTTGATAAGGTGATTGTGTTAGTCTGTTTGCATTGCCAAGGAATATCTAAGACTGGATAATTTATAAAGACAAGAGGTTTATTTGGCTTATGGTTCTGCAGGTTGTACAAGCATGGCACCAGCATCTCCTTGGCTTCTGGTGAGGCCCAGAAAGCTTTTACTCATGGTGGAAGGCCAAGGGGGAGCAGATGTGTCACATGGGAAGAGAGGGAGCAAGAGAAGTACCAAACAACCAGCTCTCACCTGAACTCATTACCAAAGGGAGGACACCAAGCCATTCATGAGGGATCTGCCCTCAAAACCCTAACACCTCCCACTAGGCCCATCTCCAACAATGGAGATCATATTTCAATATGCGATTTGAAGGCGACACACATCCAAACCATATCAGTGATGATGCACATGTTGCAATTTGTCTTTTCTGAATCTCAGTATTTGAGGAAAGTCGGGATGAGCCCTCTTATTGTGGTATCATTTATTAACTTTAATAATTGGGTGCTGGGTAGTTATCCTCTTGAATCTTATACAAAGGTAGTTGATATGTCTCTTCTACAAACTGTTCTCTCAGCATTGCCTGCACACCCAGCAAAATTGTGTAGTATTAGGGCTCTAAGGACCTTAATATACAACAGAATCTTTCTTGGGTAGGAGTAATCTCACTTGGCCAGAGGATACTTTACTAGTTTTCTAGGTATTCCATAACAAATACCACAAATTTTGTGGCTTATAACAACAGAAATTTATTGTTTCATAGCTCTGGAGGCTAGAAGTCTAAAATCAAGAAGTCAGCAGGGCCATGTTACCTCTGAAGGCTGTAGGGGACAGTCCTTTCTTGCCCCTTCCTAGATTCTGGTGGTAGTTGGCTATCCTTGGGTTTCCTTGGCTTGCGGTAAAATAACTCTAATCTCTGTCTCCGTCTATTCATAGCCTTATTCCTATGTCTCTGTGTCTGTTTTTTATCCTTATAAGGACTCTAGCATTGGGATCAGGGTCTCCTGTAATCAATACAACCTCATCTTAACTTGAATACATCTGCAAAGATCCTGTTTCCAAATATGGTCACATTAGTAGGTATCAAGGTTAGGACTTCAGCATATCTTTTTTGGTGACACAATTCAACACATAACAAATTTATTTCCTTTTTTTTTCATTTGAAATCAGTGATGAATTATCTAATATGATGTTACATACACCATTGATGTTTAATTCACAGTATTTGATTTCACTTGCTATACTTGTAATACTTTTTAATATTAGTCATTTGGTAGTAATGGTAATAATAATCATCAGAGAGAAAGGCTATTCTGCTTTCATCTGTAAAACACAAGTTGAAATATATATTTTAGTAATGAGATCTTACAAGTTGCTCAAATAATAATTTCACTTTTATTTTAAATATATTTTTGGAAACACAACAACGCATGTATGAATGTTACAAAAAGTTACACTGAACTCTGCTAAAATATCTGGGAGTTAGTTATTATCTTCAAATGAATTAAGACTGCTTTTAAACAAAGTAATGTAACTCAGGTTTCCCTTGAATGGAGAGCAGATGTAAGATCTGAATATTCAATAACCAATGAGTAGAAAGGGTAAACCTCTCTTTTATTTGTTTCTGTTAATTATGCTAATTAAAATTAGAACTCCCACCATTAAAATTACCTGCAGCTGTATTGTGCTTGTTGCTATTGTTGGTGTACACTGAAAATACTCCAACAGAGGGCACCAAGAATTGCTTGCAATCAGCACGCCCACTCAGTTCTGTCACTTTGGAAGATTGCAGACAGCATAACTAATAAAGTTATTGTGCTCTTGTGTGAGAATAATAACATGTTTGAAGACAGTGTATTAACCCTGTTGTAAAGTATTGATTGTACTCCGTAGTAAAGGAAATGAAAGAACAAAGATAAAGTGTTTTTAATTCTTACCCTGTTTGCTCTTACTTGTTTTATTCCATTTCAATTTACACCTATATTCAAGAACACTAAAAATGTATCACCCGGCCTCAAAGGCAGTTTTATTTTTTATACACAGTTTTGTAACAATTTGATGCTTTGAAGAACAGATGTATAATCTAACTTAGAAAGTGATGAATAAGAAAGATCGTCCAATCTCAAATAGCTGTGAACTCAATTTGCTGTGTTTACTATTATCAAAAAAAAGGAAGAGAGGGAGAAGGAGGATGGGAGAAAGAGAAGAGGTAGAGAAAGACAGAAAAGGAAGAGAAGAGAGAAAACCAGTAATGGGGAACATTGTTATTTCCTTTTACTGTTTGTTAAGGTTTTTATTTATTGTGCCATAACTGTACTAAGTTATAACTCTGATTGTAAACTCCCACAGAATATAGAAATAAACAATAAATACTTCCAAAATCCCAAGTGTGAAGTTAGAAGTTTTTATGTGCTAATCCTCATCAAAGACTATTAATGTTAATAATATGTTCACGAATATGAATATTGGTGCAAACCAGCACCCCTTGTATATAAGGAGAAAGTTCTTTGAAACGTGGGTAGTATGAGAAGCAGGAGTAATGAAACTTATTTGGATTTTTATAATTGAAAATGGAAAATTTTTGAAATTTATGTTTCAAACTATAGAATTTATATTTTTAACACCACACTACTCCCTTGTTACCTTATTACATATAAAAATGAAATATACCTGAAAATAAATAATATGTACACATTAAGTGCCTCTATATTCAACTTGTCTGCAGAGTATAGCTCAGGAATATTGATGTGTAAAAATAAATTGAATTCCTGGTGAATGTAAAGAATGTACAAAGTTTAAAATTGCAAAGTTTTTTTAATGAAAAAATTATGACAGGATAATGCACCACATAAGCAGATGATGGATATTTCACACATTATGTATTAGATATAAACTAATATTTTAAAATTAGATAAAATTATCCTTTATTGCTAATGAACATCATTTAAAATCATCCTTTCATGGTGATCTAGTAAATATAAAATCACTCACCTTTTCTGAACCAATTATTTTAAAAGCAGAGTTTCTGTAATTGCATTCCCATACCTCTCTCTTTCTTTCTCTCACTCTCTTTCTCTCTCTCTATCTCTTGTCCTTCTCTCTCTCTCTTTGAAGACATATCTGTAAAAACACTTGGCATTCTCATCAGCAAAAACAGCAGCTGGAGAAAGGCCTTCCTACATGCTGTGTCAAAGGAATTGCAAGTTTAGGTGGGGTTTTAATAGAAATCAAGGATTTACTGACATAACATAGATTGCATGCTTTCATTCTATCTATTATCTGTGCCTTTCTCTTTTAATGGAAATGAAATCAATTATAGAGCAGAAAAGATCAAGCTTTTCTTTGAAAATCCTGTATTATAGTCCATGAAGAGATAAAAACTGACAAATACATATATAAGGTAGGCATTTACACATCAGATGACACTAGTTCAACTTAATTTCTATTTTTAAATTTTGTAGGAAACAAAGTAATGCAACTCAGGTTCTGTGAAAGCTGACCCAAGCTAACAAATCAGCAACATCATACATAGGTCAGGGGACTTTTCAAAATAATTATTATTACAATTAACATTTTCTTAGAACTGCTAATAGTTATCTGGCTTTTTTACATTTCTTTTCTGTTTTCTTTTCCTTTCTTATTTCTTTCTCTTTTTTCTTTCTTGTTCTTTCTTTCTTTGTTCTCTTTCTTTTTGTCTTTTCTTCTTTCTTTCATTCTTCTTTCTTTCCTTCTTTCTTTTTGAAACAAGGTCTCACTCTCTCACGCAGGCTGAACTGCAGTGGCCTTATCACAGCTCATGGCAGCCTGGCAGTCTTGGCTCAAGTGATCCTCCTACCTTGGTCTTTCAAACAACTGGGATTACAGGCACGAGCCACTGCTCCTGGCTTTTATATTTCTAATTTGGTTAAGAAGTTATTTATTTCATAAATACATCCATAATTTGGACTTTAAAAAATAAAAACTAGACAAACATTCCCTGAATCTAGCCCTGAAGATTTCTTTCCGAAGGTGCTGACAGTTCCTCAATATGCAAGTACTCTACAGACATCCTGCATGCATCAAATATAAACAACAGTTCAGCACATTAAGAATCAAACCTATAACCAGAAAAAGAACTGTAAAAATATCACACTTGATAGAGCTCTGTTGAATATATGGGAAGTGGGCATTGTAAGGCAATCAATTTACTTGTGTTTTATTCAGGACTAATTATAGGATATAGAAATATATAGAGAGAGCTTGTCTTATCTGCCAAAGTCAGCATTCATATTAAAATAACTTTTTAAAGTTTTAAATTAAATCATATTCCTTGTGGTAATTTTAGGAAACAGGTTTCACTCAAGCATGGTAGATTGAACTCTTCCATTTACTTCCACTCCCCCTAGAAATGAAAGTAATAGAAAATAATGCTAATAAAAGAATAAAAGCATAAGGACAAGAGAATTTGAGAGAAGATAACAGTGGGCAAGAGATTTGAACAAATTTTAACATTTTCTTAGAACTACTGGTAGTTATCTGGCAAGAGATGTGAAAAGCAGGTGGAAGAGCGGTAATCAAATTGTTGGAGCAAGATGAAATCTAAGACCTACAAAGGAGAATACTAAAAAGGAGCTAGCTGATCCATCCTTCAGAATCCCAGAAAGACTAGGAACATTGAGGTCTGCAGTACTGGTGCAGTCCACAGTATGCCATGGAACCCGCTGGCACCCAGATTACTGCCTCCATGGCAGCAGAAAACCTTAGGTTTAGTCATTGAAATGAAGACATTGGATGAAAAATGAAATCAATTAAATGAAAGGCTAAATGCTGAATAGTTCTAACTCCCACCTCACTAACCACCAATTCTTCCATTGCCAGTGTCCAAGAACACCAGCATTAAATCCCAACACATTTGAGGAAAAACCTCCAACATTTAACACAGAGAACAAAACACAAAGTTTCACCATTTACCCTCTCACCAGGAGCATATGGTAATCCCTGTTTTTTCCCATGCCCTCTTCAATTTTGGATATTTGTAGTTATTTAAAATGGTTTTTCTTTCAAGAGTTGAAAAATACCTTATTTTACAAATGTTAATTTTGTAGATTATTAATGACATGAGGCATTTTTTGTTTTTATTATTTGTATTTCTTACTCCCTGATTTGCTTTTTAAATGCTCCTTGTCCCTTTTTACAAGTGGAATAGTCATCTTTCCAATAGATTTCCCAAAACTTTGAGAATTCTATAATGGGTATACTTGGTATATCCTTCATAATAAAAATCATAGTATCAAAAACTAACTCTACATAGTCCTACAAAGTATTCTTATTATTAGTTTTTTAGAACAGGAATTGAGGCAGAGTGTTTATGTCAATCATCCAAAGCCTATTAAGCAATAAAGTGGCACAGGTGGGATCTGAACCCAGTTGATTTGGCTCCAGTCTCTGCTTTTAGTACCTTTCATTCTCTGAAATATGAGTTATTCATCTTATTCTCCAATCTGTTGTTTGTTTTCTGAACTTCAATACTGGCAAATTAGTTGGTTTATTGCTGTTTGGACAACTAATTTTTTCATATTCAAATTTGTCTATCAAATGTCTGAAGTTGTTTGTCTTGTGGGTACTGCTAAAAGGAAAAAAAACCCAGCAATTTTCCACACCAACACTATATCAAATATTTTCTTATATTCCTCCAAATAATGTTATAATTTGATACATTTCAAATTTACTTTTTATGTATATTTTACTTTTTAATATAGCCTATTTTTCAGTATCATTTATTAGATAATTTAGCCCTTCCTCATTGAGCTTAAAATGTATTTTTTTCCTATGTTCTATGTAAATGTTTACTTACATTTTCACTTTTGGTCTCAGTGACAATAATTTTAAAACTCAGGAGGTTAAAACCTACAAATCTTGTGAGAAGAAAATTCAACAAGCCTATACTTTTGCCAACATGACAAATAGCAGAAATAAACTTACTGTCTCTATCTTTAAAAAAACTCTTTAAAATTTTAAAATAATTATGGATTCACAGGAAGTTGCAAAGAAAGTACAGAGAGATCCTGTGCACCATTCACATAATTTCCTCGTGGTTACTTCTAACACAACTGTAGTACAGTATCAACTAGGAACTTGACATTGGTGTAAAGTGTGTGTACATGTCTATGCCATTTTATTGTATACGTAGATTCATGTAATCATCATTTAATCAAGATACAGAACTATTTCCTCACTTTAAATATTTCCCTCCTGCTTTCCCTTAATAGTCACATTCATTTCCTTCTCCTTACCATCCATAGTCCTTGGTAACCATTAATTTACTTTTTACTTCTATAATTCTTCATTTTGAGAATGTTAGATAAATGGGACCATGTGCTATGTGACCTTTGAATTTGGCTCTTTAAACTCAGCATAATATTTCTGGGACTCATCTAGAGTGTCATATGCATCTGTGGTTTATTCGTTTTTATTTCTGAGGAATATTCTGTGAAATGGATATACCACACTGTGTTTAACCATTCAACTATTGAGAGACATTTTGGTTGTTTCCAGTTTGGGGCTATTACAAATAAAGCTGCTATAAACAATCACGTACAGGTTCTATGTGCACATAATTTTCATTTCTTTGGGATAAATGCCCAGGAGTGCAATTACAAGGATGTATGATAAGTGCATATAGTTTTTCAATAAGCTGTCAAACTTTTTTGGACAATGCTTCAGTAACATTTGTGAAAAAGATTATCATTCCTTCATTTAATTGTTTTTGCATTTTTATAAAAAATCGTTTGGCCATACTTGTTAGGGCTATGCATGGATTCTCAATTCTATGCTATTGATATATATGTCTGTCCCTCCACTAACACTACGCAGTCTTGATTAATGTAGTTATATATATATATATCAAAATTGGGAAAAGAGATTTCTCCCATTTTATTCTTTTTTTTTTTCAAAATTGTTTTAGCTTCTTTGCCTTTCCATATGATTTTAGAATAATCTTGTCTTTAAAAGCAAATCCTGATAGCACAGGATTTTGATGGGAATTGTGTTGTGTTTGAACATCTGTTTGGGAGAATTAATGTCTATACTGTGTTAAGACTCAATCCATGAACAGATTGTATCTCTCCATTTATTTAGAACTTTTAAAATTTCTTCTCTTCATTTTGTAGTTTTTGGCATACAAGTCCTGTTCATGTTTTGTTATGTTTATACCTAATATTTTTAGTGATTGTAAATGATGGATTTCTAATTTCGGTGTCGATATAGTCATCATTTCATCTTTTTATGTAGGACATCATAGCATCTGCGAATATGAAAAATTTATTTACTCATTTTTTTATTTGTATGTTTTAAATTTCCTTTTCTTTTTGATGGAGTTTCTCTCTATCGCCCAGGCTGGAGTGCGGTGGCGCGATCTCGGCTCACTGCAAGCTCTGCCTCCCGGGTCCATACCATTCTCCTGCCTCAGCCTCCTGAGTAGTTGGGACTACAGGCGCCCACCACCACGCCCAGCTAATTTTTTTGTATTTTTAATAGAGACAGGATGGTCTCGATTTACTGACCTCGTGATCCGCCCGCCTCGGCCTTCCAAAGTGCTGGAATTACAGGCGTGAGCCACCGCGCCTGGCCGCTAAATTTCCTTTTCTTAATGTATTGACCTGGCTAGAACTTCCAGCACCATATTCAATAGCAATGGTGAGAGCAGACATAATTGCCTTGTTGCTAATTTTAGGAGAAAAGCATTCAGTTTTTCACCCATTAAATATGATGTTTGTTATAGGTCTTCTGTGGATGTCTTTTTATCGATTTGAAGATGTTCCCTTGTACTCTAACTTTTCAGAGACTTTTCATGATGAATAGGAGTTGAATGTTGTTAAATATTTACTGTATCAATTGATAAAATTGCATAATATTTCTTCTTAGCCTGTATATATTGTCAAATGGCTTGCTCTCTTCAAAGAACTAGATTTTTCTGCACTTATTTTTTCTATTATTTTTGTATTTTTAGTTTCATTGGTTTATGTTCTTCTCATTATTATTTTTTATTTTTTCTTATTTCCTTCCTTTTGCTTGCTTTGAGCACATTTTTTCTTCTTTTTCTAGGTTCTTGAGGTAGAAGTTTAGATTATTAATTTGAGGATTTTTCTTTTTTTCTAATACCATCATAACTAAGTATCCATGGGGGATTGTTTCCAGGACCCCCTGCAGATACCCAAATCCACAGATACTCAAGTCCCTTTTATAAAATGGTATAGTATTTGCATATAACATACGCACATTCTCCCAAATCCTTTAAATCATTTACAGATTAGTGACAATACAAAATATAATGTAAATGCTACGTAAATGTTATACTGTATTGTTTAGGAAATAATGACAAGAAAAAAAAGTCTGTACGTGGTCAGTACAGATACAACCATCCTTTTCTTCCCCCCCAAATAATTTGGATCCAAGGTTGGTTGAATTCATAGATTCGGAACCCATGAATATGAAGGGCAGGCTGTACCTGCATAAGCATTTATTGCTATAAATTTCCCTCTTAACACTGCTTTACTTGTGTCCCATACATTTTGAAATGTTGTGTTTTTTATTTTCATTCAGTTCAATGTATTTTTTATTTCCCATGAGACTTATCTTCAACTCATTAATTATTTAGAATGTGTGTTGTTTAGTTTCAAGTTTTTGAAGGTTTTCTTATAATCTCTTTTGTAATTAATTTCTAGTTTGAGTTGGTTGTTGTTGGAGAACATACTCTATATGGTTTCAATTATTTTTAATTTGTTGAGGTTTGTTTTATGGCCCAGGATATGGCATATTTTGGTATATGTTCTGTGGCATTTGTAAAAAGTGTATATTCTGCTGTTGCTGGGTAGAATGACCTATAAATCTCAATTTGATCTTACTGATTGGGTTTGTTGTTGAGTTTTTCCAAATCCCACCTAGTTTTTCTATAAGTTATTGATAGAGGGGGTCAAAAACTCCAAATTTAATTATGGTTATGTATATCCATTCAGTTCTATGAGTATTTGCTTCACATATTTTGCAGCTCACTCTTCGGTGTATTAAGATTCTTGTGTCTTTTGGTAGACTGACCGTTTTATCATTACATAATGTCCTCCTCCATCTCTAGTAACTTTCTTTGCTCTGAATTCTATCTGATGTTAATACAGCTACGCTTGCTTTTTAAAAAATTGACTTATATGGTATATTTTTTTCTATCCTTTTTTTCAACCCACCTATATCATTGTATTTGAAATGAGTTTCTTGCAGACAGTATAGTTAGGCCATATCTTTTTATGTATTCTGCCAATATCTGTCCTCTGTGTATGTATATAACTTAAATTTCATGTACATTATCAATATAATAGGGTTTAAGCCAGCCATTTTAGTTTTTGTTTTCTTTTTATTCTCTCTTTCATTTCTGTTTTCTTTTCCTATTTCTGCAGATTACTTGAACATTTTTTAAAAATCGATTTTGATTTATGTATGATATTTTTCAGTGTATTTCTTTATTCATTTTTCTTAGTGACCATGATAGGTATCACATTATATATTCATAACTTATCACAGCTTACTAGTGTTGATATTTTATTTGATTGAGTGAAGTGTAGAAACTTTACCTCTCTTAACAACCCTTCACCCATTTATAATATACTTGTCTTAAGTATTTTCTCTACACACATTTGGAACCACATCAGGCAGTAAAATAATTATTGCTTCAACTGTCAAACACAATTTAAAAACTCAAGAGGAGAAGAAAAATTATTACAATTAAATATTCTCTGCACATTGTTCTTTCTTTCTTGTTGATATTTTAAGATTTGTCATTTTTCATGTTCTTCTTGTTAGGAAAGTTCTGTTAGCCATTATTTGGGCATAAGTCTCCTGGAAAAAAAAATCTTAGTTTTTCTTTACCTGAGCATGACTTTATTTCCACTTTATCCTTGAAGGATATTTTTGCTGAATACAAAATTTCTGGTTGACAATCTTCTTCTTTAACACTTGAAAAATGTTGTGTTACTTCCTGTGGTTTTCATGGTTTCTGAAGATAAATCTACTCTTGTTTGAATTTTTTTCCCTACAGTTAAGCTATAATTTCAAAAATTTCTCTTTTTTCTTTAGTTTTCCTGTTTGACATTGATGTGGCTTTGTCTGAATTTCTTTGGGTTTGTCCTTGTCGGATTTCACTCATCTTCTTGGGTTACCTATGTCTACTTTAAAAATTAAATTTATAGTCAAAAACTTTCTGACAAAGAAAGCACAAGTCCTTCATGTCTTCACTGGTGAATTCCATCAAACCTTTAATGAAGACATAATATAATTGTCGGAAGAATAGCTAATGGATGCTGGGCTTAATACTTAAGTGATGGGATAATCTATGCAGCAAACCACCATGGCACACATTTACCTATGTAACAAACCCATATATCCTGTACATGTACCCTTGAACTTAAAACAAAAGTGAAGAAAAAAAATCAATTGTCGACAGAATCTCCTAGAAAATTGAAGAAGAAGGAATACTTTCCAAGTGATTCTATTCTAGCAATACTATGTAAATAACAGCCAGATAAATATTTATGATAGACATAGATAAAATAATTCTTAATAAATGTTAGTGAAATTGAAATCAATAACATGTAAATAAATTAGTGTAATTCACTATATTAACAGACTAAAAATGAAAAACTCTGTGAACATCTCAATAAATACAAAAAAAAAGCATTTGCCAAAATTCAACATCCATTCCTGATAAAACCTCTTAATTAACTTGGAATAGAAGGGAAAGTTTTTCTAGGGGCAGTAGTGCAAGCCTGTAATCCCAGCTACTTGAGAGGTTAAGGCAGGATGATAGCTTGAGCCCAGGAGTTTGAGGCTAGCCTGGGCAACATAACAAGACCCTGTTCCTCACCCCCAAAAAGAGTAAAATCTTCTGATGGTGGCTACAATGTACAATTAACCTACAGCTACTTAAAGTAAAACATTGAATGCTTTCTGATTAAAATATAAAATGATAACACTATACTAAATGGAAAAAGACAGAATTCCTTCTCCCTAAGATCAGAAACAAGGCTGTGGTGTTTCTTCTCATTGCTTCTATTCAATATTATACTGAAGGTTTTAGTTAGAAGAGTAATGCACAAAAAATTAAAGGCATCCAGTATGGAAAGGAAGAAGTACAATTATCTTTATACTCAGGTAATGTGGTCATATGGAAGAAATATTTTGAAATTTATTCTAAAATCTAGTAGAACTAATAAGTTAGATTAGCAAGTATTTGGTATACAAGTTCAATATACATAAACAATTGTTTTTCTATATGCTAATAATGAACAATCAGAAGTTGAAGTTGTAAAATACCATGTACAATAAGATGAAATATAAAAAAGAATAAGGAATACATTTGACAAAAGTCATGCAAGACCTGTACACTGAAAACTTCAAAATATTGTTGAGTGCAATTAAAGACCTACACAAATGAAAAGATATACTATGTTCATGGATCAGAAGCTTAATATTATTAAGATGTCAATACTTGCCACATCTAGATATTGATTCATTGCAATTCTAATAAAAGGTACAGCAATCTAAGCTTTGTAAAAATTGACAAATTGATTCTAAAATTTATCTGGAAATTCACAGAACTTGGAATAGTCAAAACAATTTTGAGAAAGAACAAAGTTGGGAGAATTATATCACCTGATTTCCAGACAATATAAAGATATAATAATCAAGACAATGAGATAAAGATAGAAAAATAGATCAAAGGAAGAGAATAGAGTCTGCAAATAAATACACATAGATATGACCAATTGTGTTTTGGCAAACATGCAAAAGGAATTTACTGGAGAAAGCATACACTAGTCCCCATTTATCCACAGGAGATACATTTCAAGACTCCAAGTAGATGCCTGAATCCATGGATAGTGCCAAACCCAATATATACTGTTTTTTCCTATATATACATATCTATAATGAAGTTTTAATTTATAAATTAGGCAAAGTAAGAAATTAACAACAATAATGAATAATAACATAGAACAATTATAACAATATACTGTAATAAAATTCATGTGAATGTGGTCTCTATCTCTCTCTCTCAAAATATCCTATTATACCATACCCACCTGTTTTTGGAACTTGGTTTACTGTGGGTAACTGAAACTTCAGAAAACAAAAGTGTGGATAAGGGGGTATTACTGTACTCTCTTCATCAAATGGTGTTGAAACAATTGGATACCCATATGATATTATAAGTTAACCTCAATCCACACCTCATCCCATATATGAAAAGAAAATCACAGGCCTACATATAAAACCCAAAAGTATAAAAATTCTAACAAGACATGGTAGAAAATTTGTGACAATGGGTTAGATAAAGATTTCTCAGACTCAACTCTGAAAGCATCATCCATAAAGCAAAACAAAAAAATTAAAAATGGGAGTTTATCAAATTAAAAACTTCTGCTCTTCACATGGCACCGTTAAGGGAATGAAAAGACAAATCAAAGACTTCAAGAAAATATATGCATATTATATATTTAATAAAGGGCTTCTATACAGAAGATATAGTCATCAAATCTCATCAGTAAGGAAACAACAAACATATTAAAAATAGATGTAAGCAAAATAAGGCTGGAACATCTTTTATACAAGAAATGAAGAAGGTGCTCAAAAACAAAACACAATCCTTTATTGATGGAATTGTGTCAAAGAAATACAGGAACCAACTGAAAGAGCTCCAAGTAGTCAAAGCTGGAACAATTTGAGTATTAATAACAACAACAAATTAGATTATTTAAAGAAATATAATCCAGAGTGTAAAATGAAATTTTATCTATCAGTTTCTATTGATATGAATAAATGATCAAATAAATAATAGAGGAAAAGAGATGATAACACTCCTGGGCAGAAGAATTCCAAATAATTTATGTAATTACTTCACCCTCAGAGAGGGGGAGCATAACTTCCCATTCATTAGGTGTGGGATGCACATAGTGACTTCTTTACAAGAAGAACATTATGGAAAGAAAAAACGAGAAGGGTAACTTTACAGTGGACAAACTTGACAAATACTACTTTAATTGAGTGATCAAGGTTCATATTGACACCGATAAGTCAAATAGTATAAATTCTTAATATGATATGATGAAAATGGAACTTTGCCATTGTGGTCTTCCTCCCAAACAACTGTAATCCCAGTATAACTATTAGAAAAAGACCAGACAAACTCAATTAGAGAAGCATTCTACAAAACACCTGATCTGTACTTCTCAAAACTTGCCAGGGCCATCATCACCAAAAACAGAGTCTGAGAAGCTGTTACAGACAAGGGGAGCCTACGGAGAAACAACTAAGTGTAATATAGTATCCCAGATGGGATCCTGAAAACAATACAGAAAATCAGGTAAAAACTAAAGAAATATGAATCAAGTATAGATTTTAGCTAATGATAAAATATCAATATTGATTCATTAATTAGAACAAATGTACCATAGTAATGTAAGATGTTAAAGGAAACTAGGTGCGGGATATATGAGAACTCTTTGTACTATATTCTCAGTTTTTCTGTAGATCTAAAACCATTCTAAAAAATAAAGTGTATTTTTAAGGAATGGGTATAAAATTTGAATAGACACCTCTCCAAAAAAAAAGATACATAGATGAAAAACAGTTACATAAGAAGATCCACACATCATTAGTCATTAGAAAAACATAAATAAAAACTATAATTAGATACTACTATATACTTATTTGAATGTCCCCAACTAAAAGGCTGACCATACCAAATGTTGTTGAAGATGTAGACTAACTGGAAGTTTCATAGACTCCTCATGGGAATGTAAAATGGTCCAACTGCTTTGAAAAGCAGTGTGGCAGGCTCTTGGAAAGTTAAATATACACCTACCATATGATACAACTTTTCTACTCCAAGATATTTACTTAAACGTGTGTCCTTATATAGAAATGTTCACAATAGTTTTATTTGTAATACCAAAAACTGAATATACCTTCATTGATTCATGAATAAGTACATGGATAAAGAAATTGTGGCATATCCATACAATGTAATACCACCCAGCATCACAAAGAAATAAATTCCCAATGCACTCAATGCATGGATGGATCTCAAAATAATTAAACCAAATGAAGTCAGTAAAAAAACAGAAGTATACACCGTATGATTCCATTTGCATAAAATTCTAGAAAATGCAAAGTATTCTATAGTGGACAGAAAGCAGATCAGTAGCTGCCTGGGGACAAGATGTGGAAAAGAGCCAGGAGGGATGGGAGAAAAGGCTGACAGAATCTTGAAGAAACTTTTGGGGGTGATAAATATGTTCATGATCTTGATTGTGTTGATGTTTTCACAGGTGTATACATATGTCAACATTTCTGAAATTGCTAACTTTAAATTTGTGCAGTTTATTGAGCAATATTTTATCATTTCTCTGAGTTAATTTGGAAATTATACCAAGATAGAAAGGTTCTATTTCAAATTCCTATTTTTTCCGTCCATACTAAATGTTATTAACACATGATCTCCGTTTGCTTAATTGATATAATCATATTATCACTTGATCCAGGGCTATTCTTATAGCATTTCCATAATAAACACAAAAGTTCATTACAACTGTTTTAAATAGGGCAATATTTATGTACATTTAACTTCCATGTGGGAAAAAAGCATTGTATTTCAAGAGAAGGGCTCCATATGCATCTAAGTTCCTTAAAGATAGTACTCATTTGAAGGAAGGAAGGAAGGGAGAATGAAAGAGAGGGAGGGAGGAAGGAAGGAAGAAAGGAAGGAAGGAAGGGAGAATGAAAGAGAGGGAGTGAGGGAGGGAGAAAGGAAGGAAAGAAGGAAGAAAGGAAGGAAGGAAGGAAGGAATGAAAGACGGAAGGGAGGGAGGGAGGGAGAATGAAAGGGAGGGAGGGAGGGAGAATGAAAGGGAGGGAGGCAGGGAGAGAGGGAGGAAGGAAAGAAGGGAGGAAGGGAGGGAAGGAAGGAAGGAGAGCTCTAATATAGATCCAAAAACTTACTTTATTGCAGTAATAACTTGAAGTCTGAAATCCTATATGTAGAAAACATAAAATGTTTTCTTTTATGATTAAAGAAAGGAAATATAAATGCTCTAGATATGTATGAGGTATGGTCCTAAATAGGAGTTAAATGGACCAGGACAGTAAACAATTACATGATTCACAGAGCAGGATGGCAAAGCAGTAAGGGCCATCTATCAAAAACTTTAAAAACAGCTGGATTATGGTAGAAAAGCACAGGACTTTTAGCAGTTAGTATACAGTGACAGGCATCTGCTGTTTGAGATGTGTTGATAAAATAAAACTCGTACATTTAGCATCCTGTTTCCTTCAGTGATAAGCAATCTTATCTTTTTGTTTGTTTTCAGATGGATACTCCTGATTGGTATCTGGTGTTTGCCCTTCCTCTCTAACAGAAATAACTTCAATTCTACTTGTGGTAATTCACAAGATGTCCTGAATTATTAACTCTTGATCAATTTCTAAGCACAGCTGACTTTTAATGAAATTAAAATTACTGAATCTTTAAAAATAGAAATAAAGAAAAAAAGTTGAGTTGAAACAAGAGCAATTCTAAAGGAAATCCAAATCTACAATCTCTCCTGAACTCCATGGGTCTAGATGTGTATAAAAGTTAAGAACTTTTAGGATTTTAAAACAGTGTTGTACACATACTGTAGATTATATACATCCATCGTTACCCATAACTATGCAAAATAAGAGATTAGAAATAACCTACTGTTTAGCCATGGCAGGTTTGCCATCAAATGAGTTTCAGAAAAACTTTTAGTATTCATATCATTTTGGATTACAGATTTGCAAATAAGGCTTTGTGGACCTATAATTTTAATACCTTAAGAAGAGAAGAAAGCCATAGCATAAAACTGGAAAAGTTTAAACCTTTTTTGAAAATGTATGCATTTTAACAGATTCTTTTAACTTTGAAAGTTCCAATAATATAGAATTATAGCTAAGAGTTTCACCATCATGTTTCAATTTTGTTTTTCCAGAGTTTTTCCAGAATGGCCATGTAGTTTCTGAAAAGTGTAGCCATGGATTTACGAAACCAATGTTTATATTTTGTATATTTTATTATTATTTATTTTTTATTTTTTAGAGACATGGTCTCACTATGTTGCCCAGACTGGCCTGAAACTCCTGTGCTCAGATAATCCACCTGTTTCAGTGTCACAAGTAGTTGGGATTATGGGCATATGCTACCATTCCTGGTTACTTTGTGCATCTTAAACTAACAATTATAATCAAATAACACCTGGCCTAGTTAGTGGTTTGAAGGGGAACCAGACAACAAAGAATATAGATGAATTAGTGTCTGTCTACCAGCGCTGCTATTTTTAGAGAAAACCTTTCAACAATTATGAATAGTGGTGTGTTAGGCAGAATTATAAGAAATGTAATATAACATTTCCAATAGTACATTTAAGAATACTTTTACGTATACTTTCTACTCTATATTTAAGATAGCATACTATGTTTCTTTTACATTGGAATCTCCTTTTGATGCTGTGATTAGGGTCTATGTAGGACAACCTTATAGATAAGACTATTATACTGAAATCTTTTAGGTCTAAAACTTAGTACATTGTATTGAGGCCCAACTGCCTTCTGTTCCATCAGAAACTTGTTAATAAAATAAATAAGAAAGAAATCCAAGTGTTTTTCATTCTGATGAATAATGTACCAGACATTTCTATGTGTGGTGGTAGAAATTGTTAGCCCAAGTTTCCCTTAAATTAAAATATGCACCTGTTTTTTCAATAGTTTGACTTAATTTTAGCATGGTTTTCATATGTAATATTTTTTTTTTAAAAAAAAAAGATAGAAATATTGGGTACACAAAGTAGTTTGAGTGTCCAGGCACGGTGCTTTACACCTGTAATCCCAGTACTTTGAGAGGTCGAAGAGGGTGGATCACTTGAGGCCAAGAGTTCAAGACCAGCCTGGCCAACATGGTAAAACCCAGTCTCTACTAAAATACAAAAATTAGCTGGGCATGGTGGCGCAGGCCTGTAATCCCAGCTATTCGGGTGGCTGAGGCATGAGAATCGCTTGAACCCAGGAGGCAAAGGTTTCAGTGAGCCAGAGATCGGGTTTTTATAAAGGTAAGGTATTTTTAGAATGTTGCATTCCTATTCCTACTTCTCAGCAAATAAGAACTCATGATATCCTGTGAATCATCTAATAACCAGATCTTTCTCCTCATTTTGTTAACATTCTTTCCCTCAAATTTCAAAATATTTACCCATATGAAGAAACAAAGTAATTATGATTAACTTTAAAATGTAGTAGACAAACAGCTTTCTCTAAAGCATCATTACCTAGGTATTAGTAGTTGGGGCAGAGAAAGGAAGAGAAGAGCCAAGCTGGGCGCGGTGGCTCATGCCTGTAATCCCAGCACTTTTGGAGGCCAAGGCAGGCGGATTACCTGAGGTCAGGAGTTCAAGACCAGCCTGACCAACATGGAGAAACCCTGTCTCTACTAAAAATACAAAATTAGCCGGGAGTGGTGGCACATGCCTGTAGTCCCAGCTACTTGGGAGGGTGAGGCAGGAAGAATTGCTTGAACCCGGGAGGCAGAGGTTGCAGTGAGCCGAGATTGTGCCATTGCACTCCAGCCTGGGCAATAAGAGCGAAACTCCATCTCAAGAAAGAAAAAAAAAAAAGGGAAGGATTACTATTAAAACCACAGCAACAATAAAACAACTTTGTTCCAGGCCCCATGTTATTATATTATCAGTATAATATTACTATTATTTCATCTTCATCACCATTCCTCAGATGTGTACTCTTAAATATTTTGCAGATAAGTTTAAGAAATGTAGCCAGGTTACAGTCATGCACAGTTTCTCTGTCTCTGGATTGGCAGCTTTTTCTTTGTATCAAACTACTTTCTTTTTTCTTTATTCTGTATAATATTAAGGGTATAGAGTCATCTAGATATTTTTCTTAGGCGATTGGTAGAATTCTCAGCTAAATTCTCCGCTAAAAGCTCAAAGTATACAGATACTCCCTAAAAGTTTCAGACGACAAGCCTATCTGCTTATTCCAGAGCTGTACGAAGTAGAGTACAGGAAGTTGAATGAGGAGCTCAAACACTTTATCTGTGTGATTATCTACACACAGCCAGCCTTCTAAGTGGATTTTAGCTTTAAATATTCCCTAATCTGCAATCTGGGGTTCTTGATGCCCATCACCTTTCTGTCTCCCTGTTAGTCTGGGGCTTTCTGAGACTGAATGAAGTTGGAAATGCTTAGGAAGCAGAGTCTCTGAAATATTATTATGCCCTATTGCAACCTATATTTCTGTCTCTTTGGCCAGAATGTTCAGGCAACTGCAAGTAGTGCCCAGATGTTTTGGGACATTTGATTAGCAGGAGTTATTCCTCAGAAAATGTGAGGGATTTATTTTGAGATGTGTGCTGTTACTCTGACTGCTGCTGTAAAGCGGTGGGTTGTTCTTTCCTTTTTGCCATAGGAGTACTTTATAATTTCAGTCAGATTCTCTCTGCATGAAATAATGTACTTTAATGTAGATTTCCTGCAGCAATCCTCAAATACTTCTCTGTGGGATTTTACGTTTCAACCAATTCAATGTACTCATATCACTTTTAAATTCATTTTTACTTACATTTTTATAATGTTCACCCTGACTAGTAATTTTAGCCTTACCATAGATATTTTTTGTCATGTTCTCTCTAAATCTTAAAGTCCCAGAACTCTGAACCATAAGGCAAAAAGTGCTCTTTTTCTTGGACCCTAATTCTAGTATGGAATGACAAGTCTTAGATCATAAAATATTAAATCAAAATGAAAATTTTCTTCAATGTTAACATGATTAGATTGGCTTAAAAATCAAACGGACTACTTTTTGCTAACTTGCTTTATAGTCTGGCTGGGGGTAGAACAATATTCTGATTTGGGTATAAGCTACATACATATATTTTTCCAATTCCTAGACTGGTTCTTTCGGTTTAAGCTTTTAAATTCTAATTCCAATTTCAATAAACTTTATTGGCATGGCAAGGAATGCAAACATGGCTAGAATCCATAAATTATATTTGTGACTTTAGGGCAGCAGGCTTCACATAGGTAATAGGATTTTTTTTTCTTGCCTCTTCATTTTCCAATAAGTAAGGGAAATGGAAGAGAATATTTTAGTCCTAGAAAGACAGGGCAGAAGAGAGAAAAAATGGATTTCTCAGTGGGGCTGCTTTTTGAAATGAGCCATGAGCAGGAAACAAACATTGTCTTTAAAGAAATAAAGAAAATCTCAGTTCAATATTTCATTTCGAAATAAAATGTATATATAGGAGAATATCCAGGTTCTGTGAGGCTTGAAATTTATACAAATTTGTGGATCCTTTTTAAGAAAAAGAAGTTAAAGTTACAAATTCAAAATGAGTTTAATAGTATTTAAATTGATAAAAGAAATCACAATAAATTAAACATTTTTTAAAGCTGACAAAATGAACATTACAAAAAATCAAGAATAATATAATGTTTTTTATTAATTAATTGCCTAATATACTTCTTTAATACTTTTTTGATGGCATTTTTGGTTGCATACCTTTGGTCACTTTATTATATGACAATCTTGTATTTTCTATAGCAGCAATAGAAAGATAATTCAGTCTGTCTTCTAGCCTGATAGATCAAAACATGTTCTAAACAAATGATAGTTTAGAAAACTTTCTTGCAACTTCACAATCCATTTTCGGTAATATCAATCACATCAAGACTCCTCTATATGTTGGCATGCATAAAATATGTAACTTTAAAAACAGACATACGTGGTGTTCAATGTTCTGCTATAGATTTGTAACCTATCATTGCAAGAGTTCTATAAATTCTATTTTGCATAATTCCTGTCTCGAAAAATAGAAAAAAATGTGGTTCATTTATAATTGTACATGCTGCATTTTCCTGACAGAAGAGGACTTCTGTTTGGGGTAGTCATCTTCCCTTTAATTTTACAAGTTTAATGTTTGGAAAAATAATCACAGACTAGGTCCTGGCTCATTTCAAATCTTTCTCCACCACCTTTAGACCTCTAGTGCTAATTACTGGAGAGCAAGTGCACATAATGATACAATCTCTGGTCTTCTATCTTCAGATCATGACATTGGGTAAGTCAGCACAGAGTATTTCCTACAAACATTTCTGTATCCAGACAATCAGAAATTTAAGTATACCTAAAATTGTTTGCAAACCATTAAAGTTCTTTCCATTAAACCAAGGTTTCTCAACCTGGAACTACTGACCTTTAAGGCCAGAGAATTCTTTGTTGAAGGAGGAGTCATTCTGTGAATTCCAGGATGTTTTGCAGCCTCCCTGTCCTCTACCCACTGGAAGCGAGTAGCTCCCCTGACCACTGCCCTGGCTGTGACACCCCAGCATTTCTCCGGACATTGCTAAATGTCTCCCAGGGGGCGAAATCGACCTCGGTTGAGAACTACTGTATTATACAAATCTCACTACAGTCCCACCTCATCTGATTAATTAAATACCAAAAATGCCCACCACTATTCCCATACTTCAATATGGCACAGGACAAGTTGATGAGGAAAGAGACAAAGTCTTTTTGCAGGTGCAATATCTTTATTTGCAAATTTTACCAAAAGTATATGATCATACGAAGACATTGTTAGGGCTTTCCCAGAGTTTTGGAAAGGGGTCCAAAAGCCAAGACCAACTTTGCTTCTCTTCCAGCTCTTTCACATTGACAGGCCTTGCTACCTCTAAAGATACTCACTTCAAGTTTCCTGGTCTAGACCATTTTATCTTCCCCTTTATGAAACAACTGAAAATTGTAGTCATAACATCATCAAATTTTAAGTTCTTTGGTACAGTAAAGTGAAACGTGAGGATGTAAGCTTTGAGCCAATGAATTAAATTCTTGTGACAAACAATAATTGAGTATCCTGAAATAAAAAGTGGTGATCTACTGGTCAGTGGCACTGAAGTGGAGGAAGGCAGTTGGTGTACTGTCAGACTCCCCAAATTGTAGGTACAGAATATAGTAACCTCCTCTGATCTCTGCTACACACTGCCATCACACTAATTTTCTTAAAACTAACCTGCTTTGAAAAAAGTTTGATGACTTCCTGTTGTGTAGCAGCCAAGTCTACATTTCTTGTCTTGGAATTTAAAGCAGTTAAGATCCTCCTACAATCTGGTACCTTTCTCCCGTAATTAATATTAATTATGTATTAACATCATCCACCCTATTTTACAGACAAGGAGTCTGAAGCTCATTCAGTTAGGAAAAATATTGCCCAGTGAGACATTTTTACAGATTTACATCTGGCTCAGCAACCTGTAATCACCCTTGAATTAAAGGTAAACAGTAACTTTATTTTGGTCTCCAGATCCTTCCTTTCAGTCCACAATAACTCCAAGCCATGGAGTTGAATCTGTAAAAGATCTTACTTAAGTGATGCTGTATTTTTTCATTATCTCTGTATTGTTGGTGGGAAGTGGGGAAGATTTTCAAGTCCTTCATAACCAACTTCATGATTTTAGGAAAAAAAGGAATTTTCACTGTCAAATAAGAAATAAGTGTTAAACTGAGAAAACATATTTCTTTCCTGCAATGCTATGTTTCCCAAACATAGTTGACATGGACCCTTTTTTTCATGGAACATTATCTCACTCAATACTAGTATTATTTGGAAAACAGTTCAGTGAATGCTGGTATAGTGGTAAAAACATGATATTTGGCACCAGGCAGTTTTGGGTTCAAATCTTGGTTGAGATCTTTACTAGCAATGTAGCTGTAATAAAGTCAATTAACCTCTCTAAGCCACTGAATCTTATCTGTAAAACTGTGATAAAAAAATCCGCTCTAGAGTATTATTATGAGGTTCAAGTTAGCACATAGAAAGTACCCTGTACAGTGCCTGGTACATACTCCATAATTCCCCTCCTATTAATATTTGAGTGTGTTATTTGAAATGGCCTTAGGAGGCATAAATCTGAAGCCACAGGGAAGACGTTTATACTGAGTTGTAATTCTATTCATTTTTACTTAATGTCTGTTGATTGACTTTGTAGGGAGAAAGAAATCTGCCTAGATTCATTGAACCCCATGAAATCTTCAATAGTTATTTCTGTGAAAATTACTTGGCTCTATAATAAGCAAACAAACAACCTTTTTTAGTAGAGAATAATTTACCATTATTTAATATAATCTTACATGAAATAATAATCTTCTTAGTAAGGTTATATACCAAGTATTAACCATGGTTGTGTCTGAGCGGGTAGAAGTTGTGATGTTTTACAATTTTATTTTCTAATTTTTCTGTAATGAACATGTATTATTTTTATAATAAGAAAAAGAGTTATTTTTAAAATTTCAAACAATAAAACCCTGAGTTCTTTAATGTCAATGCTCTGGTACTGCTTAGGCTTCTAGTAGGAGGAGATAATGTCTACTTAGATAGTGCTATACACACTGCAATTCTTCCAGGATATAAAAATAATAATAGTCTTTAGAACTAAAAGAGATCTTAAGGATCATCTTTTCTGGCGCTTTCCTGTGAAATATGCAAATTGGATTGCTTGGTGTTTAGGGTACTTGCGAGTAGTTAGTTAATGATAGAGCCAGGACGCCTGAGCTTTTCAATATGTTTATGTGTAACAAATACAGACCTGAGGGACTGGGAGAAGGAATTGATTAAAAGGAATGTTGACAATTCATGCACTGTCAGTTTCATTATTCATACTCTAATTCCATCCGATTTATCCTACTAATCTGATCCTAACTGCGTTGTTTCTTTGCCTCTTAAAACAAGTTCTTAATGGCAAAAATTTTAAATGTTATAGTCCGTCTTATAATTCTCCCATATCCCATTCTCCCTTTAGACATTTTCTTCCAAATACTGAATCTACCTCTTCTCCCCTATCCATAGAGTCTTATGCTATTCTTGGTTGCTTGAAATCTTTACCTCAGCTCTCACTCAAACCCTTTCCATTTCAGAGTGTTCATAATTCTAGTTATTTTTCCCTGCTTCCCTCGCTATGGCCAACTCCAAATTACACTTCAAGATTTACCTAAAATCTTTGGTCCTCTTTTAAGCCTTTACCCAATGCCCAGGGCAGTGTTGGCGGTTCCTCCATGCAATTATCACTTATTAAAATTACAATTGTATTTCTTCCCTCAACCAGCATATGAGTCAGACAAGTCTTACTCATTTTAGAAACAAGTTAACATATAATAGGATGCTAAGTAGATAATGGCTGAATGAGTGAACTAGCCTCCCCAGGGTAGCTCATCTCTGCTAGTTATTTAAAGAAAAATGATACGATGAAATAATTTTAACTGAGGTGTAAATGACTGATGGACCTTCTGCTTTGTCCTCACAGGGACATTTGAATGTCTAAGACACATAAAGTGTTGGCATTTTAGGCAAAGTGACTCTGGAGAGTGTCTCTAAACTCTTAACACATAGGCAAACAGGTCATCTTGGTACACAGACTGGTCTATACTCGAAGTATAAGGCAGCTAGAATAGCCTGGTACGAGAAACTAGTGAGTTAGCAAGAGGAAAACACAGGGAAATCCTGGGAAGAGATTGGGAAGTTGGAGGAGAGAGGGAGAAATGAGAAAACCTGGCTGAAAACAGTTAGTATTGGGAGTCCTAAAGCAGTAACTGACAACAGGGATGTAGGATGGTTGTGTCTTACGGAGAATTGGTCACTAAACTGCTCCTTCACTATATTAAGTTAAATACAGCAGCTTCTGTGGTTGACATCAGAATAAATTTCATCCTCCAGTTTCACATTTCAGTAGCAGAAACTGACAACCCAGATCCCAAATTGTCCCCATTAGAAGTGAGAGAAACAGATGGGAGGGGAATACGCAGAGTGAAGATATTTGTCACCCACTCATGCTAGAAAATGACAGGAACTAATTGCCTCTTCATCTGTGTTTTCACAGCAGGTTGTTTGTACCTCCATTGTGCCTATCATTTTTACATTTATTCCTAGTTTTTTTTCTTTACATAGCATTCTCTCTGTTTGCTGTACTCGCCATTAGATGGTAACTTATGCTTTTGGAGGATAATATCCTGCATGCTATCTTGGTACAGGGGTGTACAGGCAATGCCCAATATAGAGCATTATAAATAGGAAGAAAGGGATGGAAGACGCAGAGAGGAATTGCCATACTAGAAAGGTATGGGTTAGTACAATGTTAGTGGAAGTGGGGGTGGGGGGAAAGTGGGTAATTGGATGAGCTGGAGTATGGGAAAATGGAGGTTGAGGGTTAAGAGAAAAGAAAAGGAGACGATGATGTCAGACCATTTACAAAACCTGGTTTCAAATTCACTCATATTTTCTGTGATTATTGCTGAGAGTTTTGCAGAATCTGCTGCTTCAATTTGTCTTGAAGTCATTTAGGCCAACTTTGCAATTTATTCCACTGCTAAATAATTAATCTGCCCCTTGGGCTTTTTAGTAAACTGATCAGCAGCTGGGTTGCTACTGGACAAAATATCTCTGTGATGGGTCTTGTCACTTACCACCAACTTAGATATCATTTTTCTTCTTTGAAAAATCATACCTTTGGATTTAAATCACATAATTAATATCTTTTAAATGCAGGAGTATGCTGCAATAATTTAAAGGCATTTCTGATGGCATATCTAGTCTCCTCAAGCATGTCCATGTGCTATGATTTATAGATTCTGTATCTACATTTATTCTTATTCACAGTTTTGGTAAAAATTTGGAAAACCCAGCTGGTCATTCTAATCTCTTTCTCTCATCAAAACTCAGAGATAAATGGCAGAATGTCACATAGAACAGATAGAAACTTAAAAGCTAGTATCATTTTGTGAGTTAGAGCTGAATAACCTTTGATTACATTTTAACCAATAGCCTTCAAAATGCAGAAACCACTCTCGCTCCCATTTCACCCTAAGTTGTTAATGAGCCACTTGTTTAACAGGTAGTTAATAAGCCATGCTTAAGGATTCACTCTGAAATTTTGGATAAGACACCCTACCCTCCTGTGACCTGGCATTTTTCAGCCAAAAAGATTTAAGAAGTAGGAAGGCAGAATCTCTCGATTAATTCTGTGAATGTATAAAACCGAAGTACCAGCCGTGCTCGGTGACTTACACCTGTAATCCCAGCACTTTGGAAGGCCGAGGCAGGTGAATCACAATGTCAGGAGTTCGAGAACAGCCTGGCCAACATGGTGAAACCCCGTCTCTACTAAAAATACAAAAAAATTAGCTGGGCGTGGTCGTGGGCGCCTGTAATCTCAGCTACTCAAGAGACTGAGTAGGAGAATTGCTTGAACTCGGGAGGCGGAGGTTGCAGTGAGCCGAGATCGCGCCACGGCACTGCAGCCTGGGCGACAGAGCGAGACTCCGTCTCAAAACAAAAAACTGAAGTACCTGTTTTCTTGGGGTAGTTTTCATTATTGGTCAGTAGACTTAGTTCTTGGTTAGCAAAAATGAAAGCAATACATTAAAATACAAATAAATAGAGAAATCAAAGTAAAAGAAAAACGAGGGTAGAATAGTAAGAATTATTAGAATAGTAGAATTGGAAGTTCAGTATATAACAATACAGACCAGTAAGTTGTGCGCAACTACTGTGACTACAAATTTAGATCTGAATGTCCTAACAGCCAAAGTAAAAAAGGAAACCCAGATAGTTACCCTATAATTTATAAAATATAAACACACAAGATTTATAAGAAGTTTTTTTTGAGACGATGTCTCGCTCTGTCGCCCAGGCTGGAGTGCAGTGGCGCGGTCTCTACTCACTCACTGCAAGCTCTGCCTCCCGGGGTTCACGCCATTCTCCTGCGTCAGCCTCCCGAGTAGCTGGGACTACAGGCGCCCGCCACCACGACGGGCTAATTTTTTTTTTTTTGTATTTTTAGTAGAGACGGGGTTTCACCGTGTTAGCCAGGATGGTCTCAATCTCCTGACCTCGTGATCCACCCGCCTCGGCCTCCCAAAGTGCTGGGATTACAGGCATGAGCCACCGCGCCCGGCCGAAAAAAAAATTTTAATGTATTAATAACACATTCTTTTCTTATACTGAGTTAAAATGTTACTTTTGATAACATTGTTACATTGAATCTAATCTTGGTTTGGGAGCAAATACAATAAAAGTCCCTCTTTTTTCTGATATTTTTCAGATATTGCGATATTAATTGTAACGATAGGAATTATTCTTTCTAGACCATTTATAGGTTTTACTTATTTGTTTATTGTCTGTCTCCCTCCGCTAGAATGTAACTGTGGGCAAAGATTTTTGTCTACTTGGCGCCCTGTTATGTAAGCAGTATCTAGAATAGTACCTGGCACCTATGAGGCATACAGTGAATATTTACCGAATAAATGAAGAAATAAGGTTGTGTGGGCAGGCTGGCAGGAGACATAGCTTAGTCAAACCACCCTGAAATAAGAGTGTATAACCAGTAACTGAATCCTAGGGCCATCAATCTGATCATGATTTGTTTGCTAAGGTATTTTACCATTGAAAGACAGCATAGTGAATAAGAGATGTGAACTTAGCTTTCCCTTCTTGAAGCTGTCTAGGAAAGGGGAAACCTCAAATACTCTGAGATCTAAGATGACTTAAACCACCCTAAAGTGTTTTAGTATGCAATCTCACTTTATCCTGGATGCTTTGGATTTATTTATTTATTTATCAGGTATTTATTTATTTATTATGGAGACAGGATCTCTCTCGCTGTGTCACCCAGGCTGTAGTGCAGTGGTGTGATCTTGGCTCACTGTAGTCTCTACCTCCCTCGCTCAAGCAATCTTCCCACCTCGACCTCCCAAGTAGCTGGAACTATAGCCATGCCTGGCTAATTTTTGTTTGTTTGTTTGTTTGTTTGTTTGTTTTGGTAGAGATAGGGTTTTGCTGTGTTTCCCAGGCTGGTCCCAAACTCCTGGGCTCCAGCAACGTGCCCAGTTCGGCCTCTCAAAGTGCTGGGATTACAGGCATGAGCCACTGCTCCCAGCCCCTGATGCCTTGGATTTAGACTCAAAGCTCTCATTGCTCCAGCAGGTACTGAGTTCTGAATATCACACAGTGATTTATGAAAATAAGTCTTCAATATCTCTAGGTGTAAATGAATGATGTTAACGGCTGTTTGTTATGCATAAATGAAAATATTTCATGTTCAGACAGCAGGAAGAATACAAAAAGAAGGAAACTAGTAAGTTTGCATTCTTCATCAGTATTAGAGCCATAAACAAGAAAAATACTAGAAATAGAATAAAGGAAAACATGGACTTCAGCATCTTGAATCAGAGTGATACTTTTAAACTATTCAAATGGCCATAGAAATTAAGATTTTCTTTCTCTGTTCAATCATTCTTAAGCCTTCTTTCAAGGGATTTCTTCCTTCATTTTCTTAAAATTCAACATCTTCTCCTGCCAGACTTTTCCAAAGCTGCTTGGCTTTAGAAAGTCTGCTCATGCATTCATTTCTCAACTACAGTTAATTGAATAACTATATGACCACTGTATTATGGGCAGGGATATAATGACAAACAATACAGAATCCTCAACTTCCACGACATTAGAATGACAGCCCAGCAACCAATGAAACAAAAGTTTAATTCTTAAGGAGGCAATGATCCTCAGCATTAATGACCAACAGACTCATTATGACCTACACATGCAAACATGTACATGGGATGACATAGGCTGTGGTCCTTGTAGAACATAGAGGAAATACAGTCTCAGCTTTCTAATAGCTTACAATCTATAGAAGACATCATAATGAGAGTTATGACAAGAAATATGCCAAATGTAAATGATGACTAATCATCCAGGTAACTATTGACAAAGGTTATCTCCTAGTTTATGTCTTCCTCTGATGAAGTAATGTAATATCAAACTAATATAAGATTGCTGGCATTCATAGCAAAGGAACTGTAATGGAATGTTAAGAATTGTATTCACTGTGAATACAGAGAAGATTGAAAATATATTCAATATCTTTTTTATAAATTTGCTATCACAGTTTACCTTTATGGAGTAATACAATATATTCTTGCCATTCTAAATTAGTGTTTTTTAAAACAGTGTATTTTTTAAGCGTACACACTCTGGAGTCAGAGTGCCTGGATCTGTAGTTTAGCTCCACCATTTACTTAAGCAAACTGCTTAACCTATTTGAGCAACAGTTTTCACATCCGTAAAGTGGCTATAATATTTTAAGGATTAAATGAGGTGATCCATGCATATTAGCTTTGGATTGCTATTTTGACAAATTACTGCAAATTTAGTAGCTTAAAACTACACAGATTTGTTGTCTTTCAGTTCTGGAGGTCAGAAGTCAGAAATGGATTTTGCTAGACTACAGTCAAGGAGTCAGCAGGGCTGTGTTCCATCTGGAGGCTGTAGGGGAGAATCCATTCTCTTGACTTATCCACCTTCTGGAAAACACTTGTATTCCCTGGCTTATGGCCCCCTTCTCCATTTTTCAAATAAGCAGTGTAGCATTTCCTCTCTTCTATCCTTACATCTTCTCTCTCTAACTCCAGCTCTATTGCCTCCCTCTTGTAAGGACTCTTGTGGATTACACTAAACCCATGCAAACAGTCCAGGATAATATTGCCATTGCGAGATCCTTAACTTGATAACATCTGCAAAGTTTCTTTGGCCTGTGAGGTGACATATTCACAGCTTCCAGGGATTACATCATGCATATCTTTTTGAGAGTGGAGGTGGGGAATGTTGTTATTATTCTGCCTACCACCCCTGTAAAGTATTTTTAAATATTAGCTAATATTATTTATTATGTACATTCACATTGTTCACCAAGCTTCTCTAGGATGTATCTGAAACAGTTAAGTGGCTATTTTACATCATGTGGAAACTGAAATAAAACTATGTTTGATCAATTCAGCCTCTGATTCTTTTCTCAGACTGTTTTAACTTGTTGTTCTTTGACTTTCTGCTCAGATCAGTGGACCATTAGTTTATATCAGCTGTAGTTGTCAACAAGTAAAAAAGTTAATTGACTATTTCATTATGGCCCCAAAGAAATTGCATGTGATTTTAATACTCCACTGTGCTCGTGCAGCTATTTCTTAATGAACTCTTCTCTGGGCTTATTTAGACAGTTGCGAAGATTTAAATGCTTATAAACTGATGTTATGAGAAATCTGTTGTGTACTTTATGCATCTTCCAACAAGGCTTCTTAGATGATTTAAAAAATTTATCAATAAAAATGAGAATTCATCCCCAGGATGGACAAGTGTTCAGTCAATGAGAGGCACACTTTGGTCAGATACTAACAGCCAGCTACTTCCCAGAAAGCGTGTTCAAGGAAGAAGTTCAAGCTTCACAAAGTGGTTTACGCCTCAGGCCTTTTTTTTTTTTTTCTGCCTGCAACAACTATCACTTTCTTTCAGATCTAGCTCAAAACTAGCCATATCCCAAAGTTTCTTCCTTCAGCTGTGCTTCACCATGACTTAATACTTCGCTTTATACTCCTTCGCATTTAGGGTACATGTATTTGCACACATGCATATACATACATACATATACATACATATATATACATACATATATATACATATTTATTTATTCATCTTCCTCTTCCCTCAAGTGGTTTGTTGTCTCTTATTTTTTTATGTTTTATTTTTTTGCCTGTTAAACTCAGATGTAAACTACTAATTCTCCTGTATCCCCCACAGAGTAACTAGCACTGTGTTGTGCCCTTAATAAATGCTTGCAAATGACAAAATGAATTCTGGGCTTTGGTTAAAGATGACTTCAGCATGGAAATGAGCCCCTATGTTTGTGTGTAGGTTTTAATGGTTCATTTTCTTGTCAGACTTCCCCTGGTTATGAATGCTGTGGCGGCATCAGCAGTATAAAGGGAGGATTTTATTGGAGAACATTTGGAGGATTAGAAAAATCTCCAAAGCTTTGGAAGCACCGCATCCTGTGTTCAGACTTCTATTTCTTTCTGTCTCAAGACCACAATAAGCACAGAAGAAAGATGGCAAGATCCACAGGGTTCCATATGTGAAGCCAGTCCCCCAGCCCCCCTCAGAAGTAGGTGGGAGGAGGAAAGGAGCATAATCATTAGAGAATTTATTATTCAGCTGTGTTAATTCTCATCAGGCTGCAACTTTGCATACGAGCTCTTAACCCCACAAGATATAGTTATTATTTAATGCATGATGTATTTAGTTTTAAGTTATCCTCTTTCCTGGTTTTTACTAAAATAACAAACAACAAAAAAATCCCCATGATAATTCATGCATTCAGACCAAAAGAATTCAAACAGGATTCAATGGGAGGCTGTATAGCCGGTACCTTTATACCTCTTTATAGTGAGCCGTGAAAAACATAATACATTTTGGTGGGCATAGAAAATACTCACTAGCATAAAGGGAGAATAAGGCACCATTTATTGTCCCAGAAAAAATAATTTGTCAAACACATACTGGGTTACTGTGAAGACCAGGCATTTTTTCCCCCAGAGTTTATTCTTCTATTAACATCATTAGACGAGGCTTTTTGAAAATGGGGAGCGGCTCACCAGTGGGAACCTACCAGCTCTGGAAGTGACTGTTACTGTCCCATCCCTCCACCTCAATCCAATTCACACTTTTATGATTGGCTTCCTTTTTGACCCATGCTTGTTAATTATATCCAGCTGTAGGCAAATTGCTCTTCCAAATTGGCAATACTGAGCTCTCAAGCTGCTCACATTTTCTGCTTCCCTTGATAAAACCTTTGGAGCATGCATTTTCTTGACTAGTGTTTCTGAACTAATCCTCAGTTATGGATGTTTTAAGGGTTCAAGGGACTTACAAAATAACTCTGGTTGTGAATACAGTGTATGTCTTTCCATCTGATCAGAAATTGCCTAAGACCATATAGAGAGAATTTCCTGAGAAATGCAGGCAAGTGGCATCACTATTTCTCTTATTCCTGAATACTCTATTGTTAAGGTCTAAGAGCCAAGCTAACTGGACAGGTCACAGTGCAACTCCAGGGAGGAGTTAGGCTTTGTTCTACAATCCAAGGCCCCAGTGCCCATCCAGGGTGATAGCTTTTAAGGGTATGACAAGCACATTTTTCCACTCTGGAAGTCCCTGCTCTATTCATGGGCTTTATTGTCAGAAATTCCCTGTCCCTCTTGTCCCCAGGGATTCTCTTGACAACACACGTACCCATGCAAGAAGTTTCCTGTAAGAAAGTGCTTATAGGTGTGTTTTTCTTTCAAAGAGAAAATAGAAGCTTATTTCCACCTACCAGGTCAAGAGGCTCTGCAAGAATTGGCTTGAGGATTTTGACACCTGACTCAAATAAAAATTTTTAGAGATAAGAATTAGGTACATAGGAATTGGAAAAAAATCAGATTTAGAATCCGAAGACCCCAGGTCAGAGTTACAATCCTGCTATTAGCTAGCAGCATAACCTTGGGCAGGTATTTTAATTGCTCTAAGCTTTGATTTTCCTCCTCAGTTAAGTGAAATTAATCATACCTGCCTTGCCTCCTTCACAGAGTTGGAGTGAGGATAGATCATGATCCATCATATTCATGTGGGTGAATATGCTTTACAAACTAAAAAGCGTAATATAAGCAGTTAGTTATTATTAACAAGCTGAGAATATTATCTAATTGCTTATAAATACATGCTGTGTGTACACTCATGATCTGCCACTGGGTAAATAAAACCTTGCTTCCGCTCAGTACAAGTTTGTGCATAGTCCTTTAGTGAACAAGACAAGGAAAATAACATTTAGCAGCTGTTATCAACCAGGCCCTTTCATGTCTATGCTTTTTTTTTTTTTTTTTTTGAGATGGAGTCTCGCTCTGTTGCCAGACTGGAGTGCAGTGGCACAATCTTGGCTCACTGCAACTTCCACCTCCTGGGTTCAAGTGATTCTCCTGCCTCAGCCTCCCGAGTAGCTGGGACAACAGGTACATGCCACCATGCCCAGTTAATTTTTGTATTTTTAGTAGAGACAGGGTTTCACCATGTTGGTCAGGATGGTTTTGATCTCCTGACCTCGTGATCCGCCCGCCTCAGCCTCCCAAAGTGCTGGGATTACAGGCGTGAGCCACCGTGCCTGGCCTCATGTCTATACTTACAAGCAAATCTGCAGCTCTACAAGAAAAGAAAATGTATATATATATATATATCTATCTATCTATATATATAGATAGATATATATATATAGATAGATAGATATATAATTTAATCCTATAAAAATATTATTACTTCATTTTCACAAAAAGGAAATTAAGATACGGTGGTATTAAATGTTGTTTAATGCAATGTTCCCAAATTCTGTTCCCTGGAACCCTGGTCCTGAGACCTACTCCTCTATTAAAGCGTTCTATGGTCCAAAACTTTGAGAAACAATGAATTCTTTTTCCTTCTCCAATAGACTTATAGCACATGATACCATATCGGAAACCATGGGAAAGATTCTATAATAAAGAAGCTTGCTATATTGAAGAAATCTGTTAAACTTTGCTCAGTCCAGAGTTCTCCGAGCTAATTTAATCTTGAGGCTGTATTTTTGAATTATACTTATTTAAATCTGATAGAACTGGGATTCTACAGAAAACACTTGCCAAATGCAGATCTAAGATTATGATTGGAGTTAGTGTGTGGTAGATCTGCAATCAGAACACAAAGCTGTCCTCTTTTAAAAGAAATAATGTAACCATAGGCCAAAACAATAGGAAAATAGAGAAGAGCTCCCATAAAATTTTAGTATACTACATCTATTGCTAACTATATTAATACTATGTTTTGTAATTTTTTTCAGCCTTCTTTTTTTCTTGGTTATAGTACAAAGACCTTTGTCTTCTGTTTTTGTTTATTGTTGTAAAATATACATAGCATAAACTTTATCATTTTAACAATTATTGAGTATGTAATTTGGTGGCATTGAGTCCATTCATGTTGTTAGGCAACTATTACCACCATCCCTCTCCAGAACAGTTTTATCTTTCTAAACTGAAACTCTGTATTGTCTTCTGATGATTTTACCCAACATTTGATCATAAGCATTTTTCCATCTTGCAATTTACTTTTTTCATAACTTTCATTTCTAGTGGCTATGAGATATTCTACCATATAATGCTTATGAATCTGCCTATTGTAGAATATTTATATTCTTTCTCTTTTGAAATGATAAACATATTAAATAACATTTTTCATATTTTGGATTATTTACTTGCAATAGCTTCTAGACTAAAGAATAGGAAGATTTTAGTGATTTTTAATGCAGGCTGATGATTTCTTTTCCTAAAAGTTTAACCAAATTTATACTTCTATTGATTCATGTATTCATTTATTCTTTCAAACAAACAAAAATCTACTAATTCCTAATATTTGCCACGCACTTAGCTATGTAGAAGACCCACCAGATTTCTACTCAAGTGATTTCAATCCATACTGGTCGCATTAGTTATGCACAAAAGGAATAATGTACTTACCTAAAAGTTTTATTGCATGCTTTTGATTTTTAGTGAGAAACCATCTGTGTTGGTTTGCTGATTTCTTTTGAGAATTTCCTTTCTTCTCTTTGCATCGCCTCCCCCACTTCTCACTTAAGTATGTGTCTTTGGGTAAGTTACTTAATCTATAACCTTGTTTTCTTATTTGTCAAATGGGAATAATTGTACCAAAGTCTTCACGGAATTGTTGACTGAACTCAATGAAACACTGAAAATCTTGATGTCTCAGTGTGACATTGTATA
The DNA here is from genome assembly GCF_000001405.40 of Homo sapiens. Lineage (NCBI taxonomy): Eukaryota > Metazoa > Chordata > Mammalia > Primates > Hominidae > Homo > Homo sapiens. The sequence goes on along the minus strand of NC_000006.12, from coordinate 128,522,498 downwards.
CTCTAAGACAGTGCCTAGAACATTTGAAGAACTTTCTAAACATTACCTGCTATTATTATTACTTCCATGATAGAGAAATTAATAAAGTTTCATGAAATGAATCTTCTATCAGCTGTCCCCCAAAATGGGCAAGGTAAGAATTGTGTGCACTTTGTCCTGGCACTGTGTGAAAATATTTAAAGAAGTTTTTTGTTTGTGTGTTTAAACAAACAAATTACCACGTCATGAACTTCTTTTACATTTCTTACAAGAGTAGAACAGATGAATTAGTATACAGACAGTAGGGTTTTGTTTGTTTTTACTGGGAAAAATTGCTGCTAAATTTTAGGAAGTTCTGCTGTCCTCAAAAAGAAAAATATGTCCCTCAGTTTTTTGTTACCTGGGATCTAGGAATGTTCTCTAATTAAAGAAATGGAATGGTGATGGTGTGTTGAAAGGTATAGGTTAATGAGTTAAAAAAAAAAAATCTACATTGCACCCTAAGGAAGGATGAACTTAACTATGCTGAACTGAATTGACAAGGGTTGAGCTAGTCAGTGTGCTAATGAGCAGGCTACTATTCTCATAGAATTTTTAAAAGTCTTTTCTGCCTGATATGTATGTGTGTATAATATGTATTTATATATGTATATATTTGTGTGTATATTTATTACATTTTTGTTTCCACAGGCTCTGTCATAAGTCTGGTCATTAATAGCATATATTTGATTAAAAGAATATGTGGCTTGGTAAATTATGTGAATGTTATATTAAAATGAATTTCACATTGTCTTGATTTACAAAGGCTAAGATGTCTGAGAAACTGAGAGATGTCAATCAACAGACTATTGTTTTAGCAATTGTACATAACACATAAAAATTCTGAATCAAAGTTATTATGTTATTCAATTGTGACCATACCTATTTTTTGTGACATTTTACAAAAATGAATAAAGTATGCACCATACAGTCTTACCACAGAAGTAAGGCAGGGTGGCATATGGCGAAACCACTTCAAGCTGCTGAAGTAGTTAACTGTGAAATATTTTACTGTCATAATATAGCATTATTTTCTGCCAGATGAATCATTCCGAAGAAGCTGTTTTCATGGTCAGTGTAAAAGTCCTTTTGTTAAATACTTATGTCTTAACTACCTACTAGATATTAAAAAAAACAAAACCACACACACACCAGACCTAGGTGCAAGGAAGGGATAATAAGCCCTGATGCAGTTCTTAGGTGAGAACTGGAAAGGGGCCGGAGGGTTTCAGAGCAACAAGCAAAGTCAGTGAAGCAGAGTAAATCCAAATACTTGGCCAATGACAAATAAACCAGAAAGGAGACACGCCAGCTGTTCACGCTGGAAAGTTACTGATCGTTTATTCTGGTTCAAGTTTTATTTATTCTATGAATAAGGGACAAGTTTTCGATGGGGGTGGGGTGTCTTATTCCTTATTACAAGAATAAGGAACGGGGAGTTTTCAAGGCAGGCGGGTGTTTCCTCAGGGCGCTTCCACACTCCCCTTTCAATCAGCAACCGCTCGGGGGGACCTCCACCTTGGGACGGAACCCCAGGACGCCTCTCCTCGGACGGCGGGGGTTTCTCTGCGCGCGTCCTCGGTCGTCTGGTCGCACGGCTTACCGAACTCTCGCCTCTCAAATTCTGAGTTCTGGAACAGGGCAGCGAGCTGCGCCGGCTCCCCTTTCTCGCTCGCTCCCTCCGAGCAGCGGCTGGCGGCGGGGCCCAGGCTGCGAACAAAGGCGGCGCGGGGCGCGCGGCCGGGGCTGGCGCGCGTCTCTCCGGCAGGAGGCGGTGGCGGCGCCGCGCCCGAGCCCGCATTCCTCAGAAGCGCCCGGAGCCCGCGGGGCGACGTCACCCCCGGCTCCGCCCCCGTCCCTCCCCGAGCAAAGTAACTCTTGACTAACAGGAGCAGCCTCCGCCGAGCATGGAGAGCTGCCGCCGCGGCCGGCCGGCGACGCTGGCGACGCTTTCGCCCCTGAGGTAGTTTGGCGACCGCGAAGAAGGAAAAAGGGCGGGCGGGCGGCTGTCCTCTCACCGTCCTCACCCCGCGAGGCCCGGCCCGCTCCTCCGTCGTGGATTTCGCGGCGATCCCCCCGGCAGCTCTTTGCAAAGCTGCTTGAAACTTCTCCCAAACTCGGCATGGATACGACTGCGGCGGCGGCGCTGCCTGCTTTTGTGGCGCTCTTGCTCCTCTCTCCTTGGCCTCTCCTGGGATCGGCCCAAGGCCAGTTCTCCGCAGGTGAGTGGCCGGGGGGCGTCCCCGACGAACGCCTGGAGTCCTGGGCTCACGAGGGGTGAGCCAGGTCCCCGCTAGGGCTGGGGACAAGGATCGTGGGGAGCTCTCTCTGTCCGGGGGTGGGGAACACAGGGTAGAGGGAGGGCTGTCCCCAGAGTTCGTGCCAGGTGGGACGCGGGGCACCCATTGTTCCTCTCCGAAGCTTGCTCGGGGCTCAGGCTGGCACGGTCTAGCCGGAGAGTGTGGGGACCTGCTGGCTTCGGCGTCTCGCGTGGCCTGCGCCGGGCTAGTGGGGAAGAGAGAAAGAAAAAGTAGTTACGACTCCCGTGACGGCACTCTGTTGCTTGTGGTGCGGGTTTGTTGCTGTCTGCCACTTGGGTGTTTAAACAAATTCCCTGGGAAGCCATTGTCAGAAATGTGGAGATTCGAAGGGACTGACCTCGGCGCGCTTTGCCAGGTGCTTTTTGTCCCGGGAATAACCTCCCCTGACTATTGTCTAACTACTTCCCCGTCCCTCCCGGAGTCCCCTTTTCTCCTCCCCCAGCTCTGGGTTGCTCCCGGGCTTGCCCTGTGCGCTCGGGCACTGCTTGGAGCATGTTCTGTGTGTGTGTTGGCGGAGCCCTGTAAGATGTGTTGAAATGCGGTTCTAAGGACCCACTCTGAGCGTTCATGGGCATCGAGGTCTGGGCGCCTGGTGGAGGAAGCCTGACTCGCGCGTGGGAGCCCGCTCCTCGGGCAAAACCACCGCCAGGCTGGCCCCGCGCTCCCCGGATCCGGCCTGGGGCTCTGGCCCCGCGCTCCCCGGATCCGGCCTGGGGCTGGAAGCGGACTGTAAATGTCTGCCTTCTGCCGGAGAACCCAAAAGGAGACAAGTGGAGCGTCTCGCTGTAGCCCTGGGGGTTCTCGGTCAAGCCGCTCAGAGAAGTCCGTGAACCCTGGCTCTCCCGGTCCCGCCCTCTGTTCCCCTCCAGTTTTGTTATCCTTCGTGTAGGTTGGTTGCTTCTTTCGTTCTCTCCTCTGGGGGCTCTGAAGTTTCACCAGGTGGACGCTGGGGAGCGGGCTCCCGAGCACTTGTCTACCTCCCGCCAGTCCTGACAACTTTTCTGGCCAACCTACCCAGCTTCGCTTGGCTGGCGAGCGCATCTGCTGCTGGGGTTCGCGGTGCAGATGGAGACGCAGTGGTGGCCAGAGGGTGATGGAGAAGACGGGAAAAGCGACAGCCACGCTCCTGGCTGAAGCCGCAGGACGCAAATAACTTACTTTGTACCTGACAGTTTCTCACGTTGTTGTGGAGGCCCTGTTTCCTGGAAATAAACTCAAATTGTTGTTTTCTGGAGTAATCGTTTATTTCCCTTCCATTGCTCTCCTACCCCCGCCCCATTTAGAACTCTGTAAAGGGAGTTAAACAACAGATTCAGGTGGCAGCATGTGTCGTACATTCAGGCAGAGATTATGAAATGGCAGCACGCAGAGGAAAAGCCCTGTATATAATTGATGTACGCAGAGGGTAACAGCTCTATGCAAAAAATAATCCAATGGTTTAATTGAATTCTTTCTGGAGTAAGCATTACTGCATGCATTTCTGACATATAATGCCCGTTAGCATTGAAACCGTGCTTGATGTAACTCATTATATGCAGGCAAGTTGGAGTGAGTATTGATTTCTGCACAGTGTTTGTCACTGCACGGAGAGCCTACGCTTGAAAAGGCTTGTAGTTTGTTAATTGAAAGTTTGAACTCTACCAGTTGCATAATTAAACTTACATGTATTCAAGAGTTGCAACTATTAATGTCTCAACAGCGATGGATATATTTTCAGCAGTTAGAAAACTTTTTCTCTTTTTAAATGTTATTTACCCTTTAATTAACAAATAAATACTACTTTTCCTCCAGCTGAATGTGAAAATGAGCTTTTCTGATACCTGGAGTTTAGATACGTACAATAAACAATTGTGTTCTTAGATATCTAGTTCTAAGTACTTTAACTAAATATGCCTGGCTTTTCTTTAGTGACAAAGCATAACATTTGACATGATGTTGTATATTTAATTAATATAATGTGCATTCCTAAAAAGTACAGTAATCACAGGATTGCATCTCAAGATTTTGCCCTTTAGGAATGTATGCCCAGAAATGAATGTCTTTTATTCCCAGAGTTTAAAGTCAGATTGTGGATTTGCCTTTCTCCACAAATTATAAGTTTGTTTTGTAAATACTTCCTTTTTTTTCTGGCTACCATAAATCATTTGATATTTTATTGTCATAAAATTCTATGGCAGTCAGATTTGTTGCAGACATAGATTAGAGATGTATTGAAGATTGGAGGTGTATTCCATATTGCTGGTTTTTCTTATATTTTACTTTAACTAGTGAACTTTTATTCCTTTTGAGAAATTTAAATAAACCCACTTTAAAAGTCCAAGACAAATTCATGTTGAGAATTTAAAAATATCTGAAGTATGTCTTTCAAATCATACTCATTAAGATCAGTTTACTTTCCGATATCATGTGGTTCCTAATGTAGTAAGCTTCAAAAGCAAATTTTGAAAGGCTGAGCATTGTTGGGACTTTGATGTGTCATATACTTATTCAGTTTTCTTTGTTTAAACCAAAAATGTAAGAGTGTTTTCATTATTGTGACTTTTTTCTTAGCTTTTGCAGTTAAAGTGTAAAACTGCTGCACTGTGAGCCTCTTTAAAACCAGAACGTTCTGTAAATCCCAACTCATACATTCTTTCAGTTTCACCTCTCACTTAAAATGACACCCATGTCATATCTGAGGAAACCGAGGCATAGAAGAATAAAGAAGTATTAAAGTTTATTCACTGGGTTGTATAGCTGTGATCTCTTGATATAATGTAAGAAAGTTTTCTGTAGAAGGACTTAGATGACTGACGAAACCAGATGCAGGTAAGGTGACTTGGAAACTCAGCTTTCTCCTCTGTAAAATGGGGATAATAATACCCAACTTGACCTTTCCACATGTTTTTTATGATTAAATGAAGTAATTTATGGGAACTAGCACTGTAAATTGTAAAGCACTGTGCAGCTATCTGGGGTGTAATCATCATTAAGTGCCTTAGTCTCAGCTTTTTACTCCTTCCAAATTCTCTCTCCAGTAAGTGCAGGCTGTTCAGGATTTGTGTGTGAGTGTGTGTGTGCGCACGTGTGTGTGTGCATGTGTGTGTGTGTTTTCACTCAGCCAGTCATTCATTTAATTATTGTTTAACATAGTTATTGTTAAACATAAACATACTAGATTGGCCAGACCATAATTTTGTCAGCACAATGATCGATTATCCTTAATTTTTTTAACTTACCTCGTATAAATCCTTACTTGAGTTAGACCCATGGAAGAGTCACTATTAACATTCCTGGCATTTCTAACTACAGAAAAAAATATTTTTAGTCAGTTTCTTTAGCTGTTTGTTTAACTGTTGGTTCAGGTTTTCAACTCTGTGTTGAGAATAATATGTAGCTTTCTAGATGCAGTCTTATCAATGACCTAGAGAGGGACTATTGTCTCTCTTGTATGATAGGAGCCTGGAAATACAGCTCGAGATCCTGCTTTGTCTATAGTTCCTGACATGTCACCCTGTTGATGTGCACTTAGAATGCTGTAACTCATCTAAGCAGCACCTGAGCAGTATCTGACTCCTTGTTGTCTCTTTAGGTGAGATTAATTTCTCTTATACTTATTACCTGCTAGGAAGATACTTTGGAGCCAGCTTGCTTTAAGGTTTGCCTGTTAGTTTTTTTTGGTTTTGATTGGCTAAATATCCCTCGATCCCTCAATTCATTAAAACTCCACGTTCTAATCACTAGCAATCATATGTAGCTGGACATTTCCAGGACTGTTTTTTTTTCTCTCTCTAGTTCTCTTGCATCTGACTCTTGATTTTCCTAGGTCGTGAGATGTAGTTTTGTGTCTGGCCTACCCAGACGGAAAGAGGAGAGTCTGGCTGCTGTTTGGACATTGGCATGTGTGCTGCTGACAGCTCTTCTCTTTGTGCTCATAAAAGTGAATTTCAAAAATAAATCAACCCCTCTGCCACTCTGCCCCCTCCCACACTCCCTCCTACTCTTTTCTAGCAAAAACAGAGCCCCACATATATATACACAAGATCACAGCCCTTTTGTTTTTGCCAAATATATTTTAGTGCTGTACATGTCCTTAAGAACTGGAAATATGACTCATCCACTAACCAAAGCTAATGCCAACATTCCCACCAAATCTCATATTTCTAGCAATGATGGTTTGTTACAGGTTTTTCTGGCCTTTAAGGTAATATTTAATTCATGTGATAAGATTCCATATAGAAAAAGTGTGTTGGCTACTAATATTTTTAAAGTGCAGTATACCAGGTCTACTCAAACTGGTATTAAAGACAGTGAACATCATGCTAAATAGGGATCTGTGCTGCTCCCATTTCCCCTACTTGCTTTTCATGGAGTGCAGGAAGAGAGATGCTGGAAGATTGAGAGCAGGAAGCATCAAGAAAGTTTACAGATTGTTCTTAAAGACAAAACAAAGAACACAGGGATTCTGTGTGTGTGCACGTGTATGTGTGTGTGTGAGTGTGTGTATGTGTTTTTGATCTTTTACTTAATTTTTAGAAGAGGAAAAAAGTCCTATGGTATTTTTGACTTGTTTATTGAAATCAGCCTTTGCCTTTGCGCAAACACATTTTCTAGTTCTGTCAATGTAAAAATTTCCCTCTGTGTATTCTTCTCAGTCTTTACACTTTGATCATATGTATCTGGTCTGTGTTCCTTCTTCAAATGGTGTTTCTTTTTGCCTAAAAAGGTTGTAATTGCTTTTGAACATGACTTGTTTTTTTAATCAAAACTCATGCTGTTTGTCATAGTACTGAAAAAAAAAAGTACAAGACATCAATTCATGATAGGTCTTAAAACAGTATTTGATAACAAAGTAAGTGAATAATACATTAATCAGGCTATTTTTTATTTCAATTGAAGCAAAAAGCAAACTTGCATATCCATGAACTAATCTTTTAATGTCACAGAACATTTATTTGTTGCTGTTTCTGAAGTCTTTAAGTTCCCTTTTATAAATGGGGATAGACAATTTCAGAACCACATTGCTTGATATTTTGAGATAAGTGAGATAAGTTACATACAACTATGCCTTGGAAAACTGAAAAAATGTTATGATGTTTGATATCAGTGTGAACTCTGAATAGTTTGTAAACTTCACACTCCACATTAGTGCAAATGTGTTTTGTGAAAATACTCCTAAAGAAACGTAGTTTCACATAAAAGGTTTTTAAAGTTTCATGAAGATTCTGTTGTGGGAAGTATGTTTATTTTCCTTTTGTATTCTTGTGGGAATTCTTTTGATCTGTATTTAATATTTTAATAATGAAAACTAAGTGTATGTAATTTTAAAACTTAGTTTCGTGAGGTTTTTTTTAGATTGTTGAGGTTCTGGGAAAACACTGGGCCTGGGATCTAAGGATCACATTGATCCTCTCGTGGAACATTGCCATTTCCCCACTTAACTCTGGTTGAAATTTTTGGCATTCTCCTTCGTGTGTTGATAATCCATAAAAATTACAAGTGGCTTATTTTGTCACTTACAGTTGTTTTAGGATCAAATTAAGTTGTCCTAAATGGAATAATCCGTGTTTCCACTTGATATGATTATTGAGCTCTGATAATGAAAATGATGAACAGGGCAGTGCTGGCTGAATCCTCCAACAGGTGTCATTCTAGGAATTGTTTTAATAAGGGGAATTCAGAAACAAGGCAAAATAAAATAGTGCGTAGTGGAGTTATTGTTTGTATTTATTTTGTTGGGAAATGTGAAAGATGTAAGTATGTAGTCCTCTGTGTGAATACACACACACACACACACACACACACACACATCTTAACAATGCTAGGACTTAGTTGTAGAAACATTTAGGTTAGAAAGAAGGTAAGGGCATCTAGAGATGGTATCAAAACTCCATACTTAACATTTTTGGAAAGAGTAGTGAAAATAGATCACTACTTTATTTCATAGATGTAGAAACAAGTGGAAAATAAGCTGTATATAATCTATACTGTATACTATACTATACTGTTATACTTTTAAGGATAAAATAATAAATCTTTCTCCAGATTGGTATCTATTAATATAAACCCTTCCCAGTGCAGCCTGTTCCTTAACCAGCTGCTCATAGGCCGATTCTCCAAGCGCTGTTCAAGGCAGCAGCTGACCAGCCACAGAAATTCCCTTAATCCGTGTTGGATAGTGGAGGTGACCTAGCAGCTGCTTAAGTGACAGACTGGCAACAGTTCCTTGATGTGATTTTTCTTAGGTCATTCAGTAAATTCAAGAGTAGAGAGGAAGGCTTTCTAGGGTCCTCACTACCCACCCAGGGATTGATGACTGATTGCTTCATGGTCATTGGATTCCTCACTGCAAGGTGTCCTGGGATTTTGTGGTTCATGGACCAATATAATTAGCATCATCTGGAAATTTGTGATGATCTGTGATCATCAGAGTCACCCCAGATCTACTGAATCAGAATCTGCATTTTGATGAAATCCCCAGGTGATTTGATGGAACATTTAATTCTGGGAAACACTGCTCTAGGACAAAGAAAGCTCAGTTTAAAAAGATTGTCACATGAACTTTACCATAGAATTTCAAGAATATTGCAAAAGGATTAATGATAACCTGAAATACATTTCCTTGGATTTATATTTCTTTTTCCTTTCTTTTTCTTTTTCTTTATTTCTTTCTTTCTTTCTTTCTTTTTTTTTTTTTGGAGATGGAGTCTTGCCCTGTCACCCAAGCTGGAGTGCAGTGGCACGATCTCGGCTCACTGAAACTTCTGCCTCCTGGGTTCAAGAGATTCTCCTGCTTCAGGCTTCCAAGTAGCTGGGATTACAGGTGCGCCACCATGCCCAGCTAATTTTTGTATTTTTAGTCAAGATGGGGTTTTACCATGTTGCCCAGGCTGGTCACGAACTCCTGAGCTGAAGTGATATTCCTGTTTTAGCCTTCTAAAATGCTGGGATTACAGGTGTGAGCCACCATGCCCGGCCCCTGGAGTATATTTCTGATCAATATTTACTTGATTATTATTTAATATTCCAGACACATCAAAACAACAGTACTATACAAGCTTTTTAAAAGAATGCTCAGATGACTTTGAAAAAAAATATTTTCATAAGAGACTAAAAGTAAGACTAGTTTTGGTTATGAATATTTTGTATAAGAATATTTAAAGATAAACATACTCTTCAAGGAACCAAACATGCTATATGCAAATCATTTTTAGCATAATGTTATGTTGATACAGGAAATACTATTCCCTCTGACATTACTAGTAGCAGTCTCTTGCTTTATAATTCTCTTTTTCATCTAAGTGTAATTTAAGATCTTTGTAGTAAGGAGCTCATTTATAGGACAGTCAAATTTAATGAATGGGAGTTGGTAGGTAGAATGCATTAAATATAACTGGTGTTCTTTTTATTATCTTTTGTGCTCATATTTAAGAACAGAGATTCTTGTCAGTTTTCTCAAGAGAAAAATTATGATGTAATAGACAGTGTACACTATTCATGTCAAAACACAATTTTACTTGCATTTTATAGCTTGCTTTAGCATTCTTTTAGAAAATGAATTTTCCCAGAAGACCTAATTGCCTTCTTATTAATGAGCCTGTAAGTGTTTTTTGTTATCCATTTACTATTCTAAATGTGTCTACTTGTGCTAGCTGTTTCAACAGTGTTGTCTCTGATTAAATCACAACTGCTATATTTGTTTTTGCCATTCACTAGTGATTCAGAAAATATTGGCATAATGACGTGGTTATGGCAGAGACTAATAAAAAACAAGAAGTAAAAATTAATGTTCACCCATTACAGTTGGCTGTATCATGAGATCAGAAGCTGGAGTTTGGGATAATAGCAACGTTCTCTATATTTTTGATACTGTAAATAAAAGTCTGCATAACCTATATTGTCTTAAATATAAAATATATAATTTATTGAATTAATGAACTGTAAATCAGTGTATTTCCATATGTACTTAATTTAGACACTAATGTTTAAAGAAAGATTTAATAGGAGACTGATCACTGTTAGAGGAGAAGTAGTGGTGGAGAGACTCTGAGAGGGCACTTTCGTATATCTTCAAGAACTTCACAGTTACTTTTTCTAGTTTGACTCCAAATTCTGGAACTTGTCTTTTTTACTAGTACTGCTTTTATTCTTATGAGCAATAATTAGGTTCATTTATTTTCTTATATGTTGGAGAAGAGAGCTTTTCCTAAAGCAATTGCAAAAATAACAATATGAGCTGTAATTTACTGAGAGCCCATGACCTGCTAGGGCCTGTGATCAGTGTTTTACATAATTTTAAATCCTCACAATATCCTTTAAGATGAGGATCATCTCCATTTTACAAACTAAGGCCTCGAGGGGTTAAGTAATAACTTGTCCCAAGTGGCTATATGAGTCACTGGTAGAGTCAAGATTCGTTAATGAATGTACACAAATGTTTAAAGATTAGACATTTCTTTGGTTGCATCTTGGCAGAAAATGTAACCCAGACTGGTTGCAACAAAAGGTGAATTTATTTGTCTCTCCTAACTACAGTTCAGGTGGAGCTTGATTTAGAAGTTGACGTAATTCCACTGAGACATGATGTTTCTCTGCCTGCTTAGTTTAGTTCTAGGGTATTCCAGGAGCTTCTTAGGCTCCATATAGAGGCACGATGGCTGTGGCAGCTCCCACCGAACAAGATCCCAGGTTCAAGTCCCTTAAGGAAATGTGAATTATCTGCTGGTTGCACCTGATAAGGCTCTAAGGTTTACAGTGCTTGAATCCACTGATCTTGTTTCCAACCATTGAATCTAAGGCTCTGACTGAGGGGAAGTTAGTGTGCTGATTGGCTTGGCCCAGGGTTTGTAATCTTTCTAATGGGGAAGAAAGAAGATGGGAGATGATGGGGAAGAGACAGTAGGATCAGATTGTTCTCTGTTGTGGACCACTAGGTGATCTCTAAGTGGGAAAGCGTGGAAGAGAAAGAGAGGAAAGAGGCAATTTGTGTCTGGCAGGCTTGTATACATTTACAGATCACCTGTTTTTAATCTGAGAGTGTTTATTTATTGGCTTTCCCTTTAAGGACTACTTTAAAGCATGAATTTATATTATTTCCATTATTTTATTTTCCTTGTCTCAGTATTGAATTAGTCTAACATTAAAAATTTGTAGAATTTGGTGTTAAAAAAGATCTTAGAAATTAATGACCCCTTCATTTGACGTAAGTTGCCCAAAGTCATACAGGTAGGAAGAACTTGAGCTCAAATTAAAGATTTTAATGTATAGGTTAGTGTTCTTACTATATATGTATCATATATTAATGTATACTATATATATATCATTTTCCTTAACAGTAATCTATATAATTATTATTTAAGATTAAAAAATTTTTGGCTTGTATTCCAAATTTCTGAAACAATATTTCCAAATATAAACCTGACTTAGTGATTGGATTTGATTAGAATAGTAGTCTGCATATAAGGTGATAATATGTCTGTGAATGCAAGAGACTATCTTAGATAACTGCTTGGTTTTCAGATATCATGACAGAATTTATACATGTATGCATGTATAGGTGTTTGCATGTATGCATTTATTTATTTTTAATAGAAAGCAAAGGGTAAAGTAAGCTGTGGTAAATGATATTGACACAGACAAAACCTACTAACTCTACTATTTTTGAAAACCTCAAGAGATGATGGTGATTTTATTTTTAATTTTGATCCTCTAACCTCTGCTGCCTAAATTTATTATGTATATCTGAGCAACATGGGATATTAGGAAGAGTTGCTATAAGAAATATCTTGGGGTACTGAATAATGAATAAAATGTAGAGAAGTAGCAGCTGTTTGCCTAGCTACCTCCTCTCCTAATGAGAGATTTACCCAGGCTGTCTTAATCACATGTTAGTGCTAGTGGATTTGACTGAGGACCATGGCTGTGCCAGTTGAGGCCAGGGGATAGTCTCCAGGCACTTTAATGGTCCGTAATGGACCTTCAATGGCCAGGGCAGCTGGCCTGGCACATAGGGGTGTAGACAGTGGTTGAGGAGGAAGGTTTACTGACTTCATCATGCTTCCCTTTGTCACTGGAGGCTTGTTTTCGTACACTTTTGTCTATTATCATAAATAACTTATGATAATAACTTATGACTCTTTTTCTGTCTTATTTATGTCCTTATGTGATGACTGTCAGTCCTAAATGATGAAGTTTGTAATAATTTGCCCTAACCACCTGGTCAGTTGGAGCAGATTGCTATCTGGTGTTGACTCATTATGCCCCTTTATCTAAACCAACACTTAAATGCTCAGGAAATATATGAATGAGGTGAAGGGGCTGGCAGCAACCTACCTCAGAACCAATGCCTTTGGAGATCTATGCAGGAGGCTGTTTAATGCACAGAGCACTGGCCTTGCTACAGGAGGACTTATGTTCCAGTCTTAAGCTCTGTCACTTTCTGAAATTTGGGAGCAGTCCTTTCTGCTTGATCTTTCATTTCTTTATCACCAAAATGAGAATATTACAATGAAGAATGACTTTAATGTCTTGTCTAGTCTACTGAACCAGACACTTTTAAGGTGAAATGAATAATATATGTGAAAGTAGTTTTATATTTGTAAACTACCATAAAAATGTAAATTTTGTTAGGAATAGAAACTTTGACAATAAGGAAAGTATTGCTGAAGGCACAAAAAGTGTGTATGCTGAAGAAGGGAAATGAAAACAATAAATAAATGCTTCATATATTTGCATGTTTAAGTGATACATTGCCTCTCAATGTTGGGGAAAGTGGTATAATAAAGAAGAATGAGCATGGTTCTTGTGAATAATGGGTGATTCTGCAATCATGTATCATAAAGAGCAGTCCCCCCAACTTTTTTCACATATATGTATTTCCTATGTATGTATAAATAAACTTTAATGCTACCAGGTAGTTCACTAGCCCTCCCATATCTCTGGGGGATACATTCCAAGGTGCCCGGTAGACGTCTGAAACTCGTATGGAACCCACCCTTAAATATACTATACCATGTTGTTTCAATCTGATAATGGAAATGGCTACTGAGTGACTAACAGGCAAGTGGGCTGTACAATATGGACACACTAGACAAAGGGATGATTCATGTCCCGGGTAGGACGGAGTGAGACAGCATGTGATTTCATCACGCCACTCAGAAGGGTGTGTAATTTAAAAGCTGTTTATTTATGAAATTTTTTCGTTTTCTTTTCTTTTCTTTTCTTTTTTTTTTTTGAGATGGAGTTTCGCACTTATTGCTCAGGCTGGAGTGCAGTGGCATGATCTTGGCTCACCGCAACCTCCGCCTCCTGGGTTCAAGCGATTCTCCTGCCTCAGCATCCCAAGTAGCTGGGATTACAGGCACCTGCCTCCACCATGCCCGGCTATTTTTTTGTGTTTTTAGTAGAGGCGGGATTTTGCCATGTTGGCCAGGCTGGTCTTGAACTCCTGACCTCAGGTGACCTGCCGCCTCAGCCTCCCAAAGTGCGGGATTACAGGTGTGAGCCACAGAGCCCTGCTTGAAATTTTTCATTTAATATTTTTGGACCACAGTTGGCCAAGGGCAACTGAAACCACAGAAAGTGAAACTGTGGGTAAGGGGGTCCTACTGTATTTGTATTTCCTCCAGATATTCAATATAGATTATGTGATTATAAAATAAGTTATTAAAGAAATGTAAATGTGTTTTAAGTACTTATATATATCATATATAGAAAGTTGTGTGTATACTTTTTTCCTTTTAAAAATTTTCGTGATAAGCTAGAACATGCTCTTGCCATCTAAGCTGTTCTGCCTGGTTTTTAAGAGCATGATCCTGATGAGGTTTATATCCTTTCATTTATTCTTTCACTCCATGAATCTTTGAGCACCTTACTATGTGCCCATGCTGTGCCAGGTTTTGGGTATGCTGGCAAGTAAGCCAGCAGTGACTTGTCCCAGTGCCTGTGCAGCATTTATAATGTTAATGACTATTAAGGCATGGTAATATTTGCATCGCTGCCCACATCTAGTGATTCACAAGTGAAGCTTGGGGCTTTGTTGGTAACTGACCATATATTTTATAACTGACCATACTCCTGAGATGTGGCAAGTGTCAAAGCTCTGTCTGTCTTACAGTTTGCTGATTCACTTCAGAACTTGCCTAGGATAATTCCAGTCTATCAGTAGTCTTTCCATAGTCTCAAAACTACCCAAACAAGTAAAAGCCTACCGAAAAAGAATTACAAACACATTGCCACAATGATAGTAAAATTCCGCCAAGTGGAATTTCCCAAAACTTGAGTAATCCGAAATGTAAACAAAGTCAGGCAGAGGAGAGAGCACATTTGTTTTCTGGAGGTTTGCTGTCACTAACTCTCCCTCTGGAAGCAGGATCAAGAAGATTGGTGGACAGCCTCTTAGACTACAGTGTATGTCAATGTGCATTTACAACCTGAATATTCACATGCATAATCCCTGGTTGTTTGGCTGCAGAATCCTGTTTGCTCTGACCTGCAGCTGCTTATGAACTGCCTCTCTTGCCTGGACTTTGATCAGCCCTCTCTCTGCTATTGCTTCTGTAGCCCATTGCCCTGTCTAGTGGGCAGCCACAAGAGAGGGAGACCAGTGGCTGGCAGAGTCCTATCAGCCAGGAATGAGGGTGGGCTGTGACCATCACCTAATTGCCCTGGCACCTGCATCCCATAAGGCACTGTTTGGTCATTCATTATGAAGGGGACAACAGTAGTTATTTAAGTACACTCACGGTCTTACCAGGAAATGGGGATTTTGAACTTCTGTCTTAAAAGAGGCCCACATGGCCTCTAGAGTGGGCCTCTAGTGTGAATTAAGGAGAGAAAAGCAATTTTGGAGAAGTGTAAATTTTTCCTAAGCCAAATTAAAGTTACTAGATTACATATACCCAAGGTTCAAAAATAGAAATTTAAAAAACTGTTTTTTGTTAGTTGAGTCACTGATATTTTATGCCCATTTTGTGTTTAAGCAAAAGAATACTTATCAAATGCTGATCTCCACACATAGTATAGAGCATAGTGTTTAAGAGTGCGGACATTGGAACTTGACTGCTTGAGTGGGAATATACATTCCAACATGTTTTTACTACATGATCTGACCACTTTCCTTCAGTTTCCACATATTCAAAATGGGAAAGTACCCATTCCAGATGTAGGTTTTGAGAAATATTGAGTTACAGTGCTTAAATGAGTGCCTGGCACACTAATAAAATTTGTCCATTTTAGTTATTATTGTTAATGAAATTGCCAGTGTTTGCAGAATATCTAATCTCATGCTGTTATCTCTTAAAATCTCTAACTACATTATCTTTTACTTTAAAATAAAACCACCAGAGAATAAATAATAGGATGCCTGAAGTAAATCAGCTCAATATGCTGATTAACAAAGACCACAAGCATCACTTTATAGAATATAATCCAGTGTTTATGAAAACAAGAAGCAAACTTATTCTTTTTTTATGTTAGAGGTTACAGTGACTTATAATAATTTTTTTTTTTTTTTTTTTTTTTGAGACAGAGTTTTACTCTGTCAACCAGACTGGAATGCAGTGGTGTGAACATAGCTCTCTGTGGCCTCAACCTCCTGGGCTCAAGCAAAACTCCTGCCTCAGCCTTCAGAGTTGCTGGGACCACAGGTGTGCGCCACCATACCTGGCTAATTTTTAAAAATTTTTTTGTAGAGATCAGGGTCTTGCCATGTATAAAAACCTACCCAACATCTTTGGAAAATGCATTTAAAATTCTCTAGGTAGGTTGAGGGAGGTGGGAAGTTTTTGGCCTACAAAGAATTGCTTACCTTCTAGAACGATTTAATCTCAGATGATAAAATATGAAAATTCTAAATTGGGAATAAGGTTAAAATAAGAATTGACCAGAAAGTGGAGGAATGAAATCTCTGCCACTCCAAGCAGTGCCCATCCCAGTAAGTATTATGTCCTATCTGGGAGTAGCACTCAGATTTAGAATGAGAGAATTAGAATTAATCAACAAGATAAGAGGGATCTCTTTAATGCCTAAGAATGTTGGTATATTGTTTCCCCAATGGTTATAGAATGAGAAAGGAATATCACTATTGCTTCTGTTTGCATTTGACACATATGCTAAACAAATGCACTGGCTTTTAGAACGTGTTTATGAATTCTATATAACATTTTTCTTTTTCTTTTTGGAGGTTGCCTAGCTATTTAATTTTCCTTAGTTCACAAAACAATGAGGTAGTTTCAAATCTATTTGAACCCCAAGACTTTTTCAAGCTGCTGTTCTCTGGGTAAAGCCACTTAGTCCTGGCACATGGTGGAAAGGTCTGGCTAAAGTTTTGACAATTATTAGCTCATTTGCAGAGTTGCTCTTTGACCTGTCAACACAGAGGAAAGCTTTTCTAAGCTGTGAGAAGGATTTTATGTTAGACTCGAGCTTTAGATTTCTTTTATTTTTCCAACTTTTTAACACTATCTTTTCTAGCTTTAATTGACACAAACTTCTCTTTTCCTTGTGTAACACTTGTGCACTCCAGATGTTAGAAATCCCTGTTAACTTTCTTACCGGAGAAGCTCTTTGCACTGCAGGCTTGAATGTCACTGAGATAATGTCCTTACAATATTTGCAACTTTGTGTTCTGACTGGATGCTCCTACTAACCTAGGTCTTCTTTGTGATTGCGGTGGCAGCAGCTGTCTTCATAAACTCATCTTCATTTATTTTTTATTTTATGTGTGTATTTATTTTTTTTGAGACAGAGTTTCGCTCTTGTTGCCCAGGCTGGAGTGCAATGGCACGATCTCAGCTCACTGCAACCTCCGCCTCCCAGGTTCAAGCGATTCTCCTGCCTCAGCCTCCTGAGTAGCTGGGATAGCAGGCATGTGCCACCACGCATGGCTAATTTTCTATTTTTAGTAGAGATGGGGTTTCTTCCTGTTGGTCAGGCCTGTAGTCCCAGCTACTCAAGAGGCTGAGGCAGGAGAATCGCATGAACCCGGGAGGCAGAAGTTGCAGCGAGCCGAGATTTCGCCACTGCACTCCAGCCTGGTGACAGAGTGAGACTCCGTCTCAAAAAAAAAAAAAAACAAGTAAATTTCTTAAGTTGTTATCATTTTGGTATACTGTTTGACCAGATTCAGTCTCAATAAAAGGAGCATTAACAAAACTTCAAAACTTCTATGGCACATCTAAATTTAAATATGAAACAGTTCTAAAAGCAGGGATGTATACTTGCTTGTCCTGGACCCCAGAATCGTGACTCACTTATTATTTGGAAAGCAGACTGCTACATATTTTGGTCACAATAATACCTAAAGGATACTGAATCAGAAAATGAGTAACTGAAAATGGGAGATCTCTATAATGAAAACACTAGATAGTAGTATACTTAAATATGATAGTGTACATGAGAAACCATAAATTTTAACCAGTGTGATTCAGGCTCTGGCTTTCAATCTATTTGCACTAGGGTATCGGACAAACCCACAACCAGGAAAGGTGAGCGCAGATATTGCCAGAAGAACCCAGGTGCTCTGATTGCTTACTCCTTAGGCAACGTTTCAGATTTTGCAAGGTACATTGTGCCCTTTCCCGGCTAATTCTTATCAGGAATGCACATCCCAGTTGAAGCCTGCTAATTGCTCTGAGGGCTGTTGTTTTTACCTTTAATTTAGGTTCAGGAGTCTGTAGGGCAATCCTTTGAAGTTCTTAGTTACTTACTGTTCACTGAAGTATCCACTTGAGATCTTTCCTGGACTCTCTCCACAGTTTGTTCACAATTTGGCACACCATTGGCTGAAAGTACTCTATCCTTGCTCCTTGCTCATTGACAGTTATACTACAGGCTGCTTCCAGTTGCCAACACATTTTAGAAAAGCATATAATTTTATTAAGAGTTTTTCCTGTTGCTTTCACATGTAGTCAAGTAAAGGGCAGGGGACAGAGAAGGGGCAGGATGTCATGTCAGCATTTACCTTTCCAGAGGCTAATGCTTTGAAAGAATAAGAGGGGTCCTTTTAGGTCAAGACTCTTATTGTTCTTGTCACCTGATTTGTTGGCATTGCAGTTACATCACGTGTTGTCTTTTATGTGAGCAATGACAAAAAGGATATATCTATTCTGTACATTTTTATCAAATATGATATCCTTCAAAGCTTGTTAAAACAGGTGATATCAGTCTGTGTTCTTAATATGGTCTTGTTGGCAACACCTTATTGGGGCGGGAACCATTGATTTGTGCATTTCCAGGATTGATTACTATCCCTAATAAAGTTAGTCTGGTAGGCAAAATAGCAAGACCTTATCTCTACACACACACACACACACACACACACACACACACACACACACAATAATAACCAGGCATAGTGGTGCATGCTTTTAGTCCCAGCTATTTTGGAGGCTGAGGCTGGAGGATTGCTTGAGCTCAGTAGTTAAAGGCTGCAGTGAGTGGTGATTGGGCACTGCACTCTAGCTTGGGCAACAGAGCAAGACCTTGTCTCTAAAACAAAATACATAAAGTTAGGCTGGTGAGCTAGGGTCTCTTCATTTAACAAAATATGTATGACAGAGTTTATCTGATTTCTTTCATGTTAGTTTGGTTAAGTTAATCAAATAGTAAATGCATGTTCATTCTGTGCCAGGCAGTGTATATAGCACAGAGGGCAAAATGATTTAGTTGACTAAGTCCCTGCACTTAATGACCTTACAGACTATTTAGAAGATCTAGAAATAAGTAAGATATAATTAAGAGTGGGAGGTACAAAAAGTGCCATCAGGACGTGGAGAAAGTACAGTCACTCACTCCTGGGTGATTAGTTAAGTTTCTCGGATCAGGCCATCAATTGGCAAAATCCTTATGAATGGGCACAAAATGTACTTGGGAAAATGAGGAAGTAATAGCGATGGTGGTAAATGTTTAATAATCAGCTCTCAAGCCAAAAAGTTCAGGTTTTATTTGTTTGTTTTGAGATGGAGTCTCGCTCTGTTGCCTAGGCTGGAGTGCAGTGGCGCGATCTCGGCTCACTGCAACCTCTGCCTCCTGGCTTCAAGTGATTCTCCTGCCTCATCCTCCTGAGTAGCTGAGATTACAGGCATATGCCATACGCCCGGCTAATTTTTGTATTTTTAGTAGAGGCGGGGGTTTCACCACGTTGGCCAGGCTGGTCTCGAACTCCTGACCTCGTGATCTGCCTGCCTTGGACTCCCAAAGTGCTGAGATTACAGATGTGAGCCACCATGCCTGGCCAAAGTTCAGGTTTTAGCACTTGCCAGTTTCCATGGTATAAATACTACCACCATGGCTGAATTCAAAGGACCAATGTGACATCACTGAACACAAAATTAGGAAGAGATGCATAGTAACACACCCTTATTTAGTACTTCCACCATACAGATACAAGAGAAGTAAATATCCTGCAAATATAATTAATAGTAAAATAATTAGAAAGTGATAAGTTTTGATTTATTACCTCTGTTTTTAATATAATTTATTTAGCTGTAAGTTTATATAATTTAATTTTAAATAATGGTTGTGACTAATAACTGGCCCACAAAATTCCTGAACATTTTAGCAACTGACTTTCAGGAGCTGGTATAGGCTGGTTTCAGCCCAGCCCACTACTCCATGCCTTATAATTTGGCATATGGGTGTGAGGAATCCAGTGAGATAATCCTCTTTAATTATGGGATCTTTCTATAACACTTTCCTAATTGAACAGTTTAGTGTAAGAAAACCTGGTCCATTTTGAAACTCCCTGGCAGGGGTTTAGTTATCAAGAAACTTTAGGTTCGTTGACACAAAATGTTGATGTCAGAAGGCTTTGGTGCATCCACTGTGGAGCTTAATCTCAGGAATAAATCCCCAAGAAGAAGACTGTTTTTCTGTTTAACTCAAGTTTCCCCACTATACAGGATTGACTCTCTTTGGTCTCAGGTGCTGATATGACTATTCAAGCTCTCTTTAAGTCCTGTTAACTTAGAGCACTGCTAGGACTATATAAAAGGTAAACTTTTCAATGTCTTTGAACTATGGACATTTTTCATGCTAAACACCATCTTTCCCAAATACTACACAGTAGGTAGTGGGTTTTCAGTAAATGTAGCTTGTAAATTACTACATCATCTTTGTACTAACAAACCTCCCGTGGCTCACAAGAGCACCCAATATTTAAGTTATTCAGAAATATTGGAAGAATCAACATGTCTGTAAAAGTAGGTAGATTTTCATCCAATTCTGCTATACATTGCCACTTTGATGGATTTTAATTTTGGGTGTATGTATGTGAAATTGTTAACATCTACAAAATATACATTATTAAATATAAAGCATGTTTTTTCATCTTAATACTGCATTTGGGCTTTGATTTAATGGTCTTTTATCATTATTTTCTACTGAATTATCAGTTACTTTTAAGCAGTTATTACTATTTGTTAGCTAAAGTTACTTTTGATTATTTCACTTGAGTTTTAAAATTCTTTCATTATTTAATCTCTATCAGTGTTAGAAAAGTGGAATGTTGTTTTAACATATGCTCTTATAATATTTGTTTATATAGGACAAAAATATTTCATGTTCCAAAAAATGTCATGTAAGATTAATGTAGCGCTAAATGGAAATTCCTGTGCTCCACATGCCTTTGTTAGGCTCCGCCCACAAAAAACCTAGTGTCTAAAACTAAGATATTCACATTTTAAGGCATATTGTAAGAAAGTTCTTGAAATTGGCAGATTGTGAATATGTTGTATATGTATTTTTTCCCTTTTAATGGGAAGGGTGTGTGTGTGTGTGTGTGTGTGTGTGATTTGAGTTTAGTAATATATGACAAAGTGCTGACAGTCCCCAAGTGACTTATGACTTATTTTGGGAAAATGGATTTTCTCCATATGATTTCTCTTTGTATATCTTATATAAAATCTTTTATCTTGTAGCAGGAAAAAAATTTACTTTCCCTTATATATGAACAATTTCAAGAATTTGGAAGCATTCCAAACTTTACAGTTTAAACATAGATTTCAGGCTGGGCACAGTGGCTCATGCCTGTAATCCAGCACTTTGGCAGGCTGAGGCAGATGGATCATTTGAGGTCAGGAGTTTGAGACCAGCCTGGTCAACGTGGTGAAACCCTGTCTCTATTAAAAATACAAAAATTAGCTGGGTGTGGTTGCACACACCTGTAGTCCCAGCCTACCTGGGAGGCTGAGGCAGGAGGATTGCTTGAGCCCAGGAGGTGGAGGTTGCAATAAGTCGAGATTATGCCACTGCACTTAGCCCGGGCTAGTCCCAGCCTACCTGGGAGGCAGGAGGATTGCTTGAGCCCAGGAGGCGGAGGTTGTAGTGAGCTGAGATTATGCCACTGCACTTAGCCCGGGCAACAGAGTATAGATTTCATAATAAAGATTCCTCAGACTGTGCAAAACAAAATGTAGATTTTTAACTCTTCTCAGTTAGTACTCTTTCTCCTTGAGGAAACCAAGTGGGAGAAGACATAGAGACAAATAATATTCAGAATTAATAAAGGTGTAGCACTAAGTCGATTGTTTCCTGTACTTAAATGGTTATATAATAGGAAAAAGACATATGTTCATATAAACTCTCAGGGATTTATTTTTAAAGAGCAATCTCTTCTGTGTGACCTGTGATCAGTAGACGTTAAACTCAATCTCTTACCTTTATGCCTATAATACTTTAACAATTAATTGATATTCAGAGTGATGGCTGAATTAGCTAAGCATAATCAAAAATGTAATTATGCTGGGTAAATTGTAATTCATAAGGCTGGAAAGCTTACCAGTAGTGGCCACAGTGATTGAAATGAGACTCCCCCCCCCAAATTTTCAGTTAATCACATGATTGTATTAACTAGGATGACCCATTTTTAGAGCATCTGTTTCTGACAACTTCTAATTTGTATTACTCTCTATTTCAACATTCTGTTTATTCAGCAGGGCCTGATAAAGATTTTTAGTTCATGTCTCACTATATTTAGCCACTCCTTCACTGCAGCCTGATGACATAATGACAACAATACATGAGCATCAGGATTTTACCTGCCTCTGCATCAGAAACTGAAGCCATTGGTGTATGTTTCTCTGGGCCATTTACATGTCTTGCCTGAGTATTTCAGAGGTAAACATTGTATCCCTTTTGAGTGTTTTGAGTCCACCAACCTATAGGGACATAACTTTAAAAATTATTTTCAATAACTAACATTTTAGTGTTTACTGGTCCTAGCATTGAGCTAAGTATCAGCTCATTATTTTCAAATTGTATGTAACCACCCATTTGGTGGGTACCGAATTCAATTCAGTAGGTAGCAACCAGCTTAAGGAAGAAAACCAGACCAACCATGAAATAGAATATAACAAAAACAATAACAAAGGTAATCATACATTTTGTAGAGGAAGAGAGAAGTATTGTTTCATGAAACTTTGGTTTTAATGGAATAGATTTATGTATCCTTATATGTCTGTGTACTGAGTCACAATGCAAAAAGAATTTCTAACTGTGGGTCTGGCCAAAAATATGGGAAAGTTACTATACTTCTCTCATACAATGTTTGCTATAAATCCTATTCACACAACTTTATAAGCTCCAAGTTTTTTCTCTTAACTATTATGTCGTGGCACTTCCTGGTACAGTGCAAAGAGCATAGAGTTTGCGTAATTTGGTAAATGAGTAATTTAACTTATATAGCCTGTTTCCTTATCCTCAATTCGTGTATAATTTCTGGATATTTACAGGGTTGTGAGAATCAAACTGGGTAATTTATGTTGGATATTCTTTTCCAAATTGAGCTACACATATGTAAGTTACTATGATTGTAATGCCTTGCCCTTTGGCCCTTCAAATACTAATTGACTACTGGGTTTGACTTAGGAAGACTGGATTGTCTTTTAAAATATTTTTCGAACCTGAAGATTTACAGTTCAGTGTTTTCACTTGTAGAGATCAGTCCTGTTGAGTACTTTTTACACAGTCTTTTGTTTCTTCTTTATGACAGGATGTTGTGAATAAAGCTAAGGTTTTTTTTTTATTTACTTTTCCTATTTTGGTATTACTCTTGACAAAAGCAATGGAAGGCAAATGTACTTTGGACATACCTGTATGAACTCATTATTCACATTTGTCTTCAAATAAAGCTGCATTTTGATTTTAAAACAAAATAACACTATGTAAATAAAACTCGATTTAAAATTTACGTTGAAATACCTATTGTGATACTCAATGGAACATTGAAATAATTTTGACCAATAAAAATATATCCAAGACTTAACAACAACAAAGGAATAAAAAAGATACACAAAACCTCCAATCAACTGTAAAACTTGTGAGTAGAGATATTTCAGTAATTGAAAATAGCTAGCAGAGTAGCTGTCCGCTGCCTGTCTTCTCTCTCTCTGCCATTCATTCTATTTATCTATCTATGTGGGTATCCAGCTGAATTTTTTGTCAAGATATATGTTTTTATTCCATATTTATTCTGTGGCCTAATCCAAAATATAATCATAAAAATATATATTTTACATTTTATGTATCAGTGTGGCATAACCTTATAATTCAGTATATATCCTGAAGACTTTGAGTTATGCACATTGTCATACTTAGACATAGTTCTCAACCTTTAGAGGATCAGACAGTTATCTGGACAGAGGAGCATTGATGCCACTGTTCTCCAGCATTCCCTTAGCCTCATCTTGCTAAAAGCAGAAGAGGATATTGGGATGCAAATAAAGTAGAGGAAGGGCTCTTTGCCAAGTGCTGTTTATTGAACTGAGTAAACGTCTCCCCCATGGGTTGGAGGGAGCTGGTTCGTTTAAGTGGGCAAGAAAAGCCAGTATTCTTCCAAGTAATGAGGTTTCTTAAATAAATATTCCAAATGTAGATTCTCTGGGCTGCATCAACAAGGGGCAAGCCTGAAAAGTCCCCTCAGTATCCAGGAGCCCAGGTTGAGAAGGGTTCTGTTTTGAAACTGGAAACTGTCCGTAGTTTGGATGGGAGAATGCTTGGAATGGAAGCTAGGCTGTGATTTGTCTTTTTAACATTCTTGACAGAAAAAGGGTGTTAAGGAAGCAGGATGACTACAGTTTCAGGGGATTTATTTACAGCTCCTAAGAAAATTAATTGTTTTTTTGCTTTTGTTTTTGTTTTTTTTTACAACTCAGACAAACATTATGCTAATAGAAAAGTATCTAAATCTACTCATGAGAAAAATTCTTTAAGGATGCATATTAGTCAACCTGTTCTTAAAACTACTTATTGTTAAAAATACTTCGTAATATACACAACATATTCTTTTAAAATGTTCTACAGTTCAGATTTTAAAGTGATTCGTAGTCATCTCACCCCACCTCCAGTTAATGAGATTTTACTGTTTATTTGTTAGCTACATCTAATAGAAAGGAAAAAAAAAAACAACCTTTTTGATAGGTGATAATTACTTAAAAATTTGGATCCAAATTAAGAGAACAGAGCTCATCAAAATATGGATGTATTAACACTGGAATGTATAATAATGGGAAAGAAGGTATAAGAATGACAGAGTGAGAAATTTTAAAAGAGGGGAAATAGGATGAATTCAATCAAAACAAGGAAGCCAAGGTGTTTAAATGGGTGACCCTCTCACTTTGATGTTTATCTGATTGAAATTTGACATTTTCTATTTACTCATTTCAAACCAAGATAAAAATCTCAAGTATTTAAAGCAACCTATTTTCTGTCTAGTTTGTGTTCAAATTATTATTATTATTAAAGACAGGGTCTCCCTATGTTGCCCAGGATGGTCTCAAAC
Organism: Homo sapiens; assembly: GCF_000001405.40. Taxonomy (NCBI): domain Eukaryota; kingdom Metazoa; phylum Chordata; class Mammalia; order Primates; family Hominidae; genus Homo; species Homo sapiens. Next base: position 128,497,403 of record NC_000006.12, on the reverse strand, counting down.
TCCTGGGCTCAAGGGATCGCCCTGCCTCAGCCTCCAGAGTAGCTGGTATTACAGGTGTGAACCACTGAGCTCAGCATAAAATGGTTATTTTTTAAGTATATATAGCCAGGCATAATTAAATTAAATATAGTTTAAAAGTGAGTTTAATGTTATTTTTTTCCTCCTCTTCCTGGGATCATAAAATGATTAATGTTAAAATTAGTGTTCTGCTACTGACTGGAACATACATGTTTATTATTTCCCTCTAATGTGAACACTTGCTGGTAGTATAGAATATAGTCATCTTCAATTCCGACAGTTGACATAAGGCAATTTTATAAGTGATTAATCACATACTATTGTGCATGTAGGAGGGTTTTGGCTTAGAGTTATTTTGGTGTACTTTTTGGATGTTACGATTTTTATTTTATAAGTAAACTCATGTTTGTTACCTGTAATGTTTTACTGATTCCAGAACAACTTGGCCTTCTTTGGTTTATTGTAATGCCAAGCACAATTATATTTTGAGTAAGATTTTGTGAGAAAAATTATAGTCTTCTTGGTTTATAAATAATTGTGTTATGAGAGTAATTCTAAAAGCCACACCTGAAAATGTCACATTACAACATCATTAGTTTATTATACCTTGTGTAACACTTTTGCTTTTCATAAACCAAGAAGCAATTAGAGTTAGATTATACAATATTTGTTTAGAAGATAATAAATCTTACAGGATGCTAATAATTTAAAAAGCTGCATATGTTGTTACTAATGATCAAACTGAAAGAAATTATATGATTTCAAACATGACTGTCTTTCTGATCGTTCAGGACAGGACCATGTAAGGATAACATCTGGACCTGATCTCACATCTCAAGGTCTTAAAGTTGTCACTTCACTTAGGTTTAATATTTTATCTTAAAAATGGTTATTCATCAAATATTCATTAAATGCTAACCATATTTACAACATTCTGCGAGGAACCATAGGGTTACAAAGTATATGACAAATTCCTTAGATATAATATATAATAATCAGAGGTGGAATTTTACAATTATTATTCTCTATTCTCTACTTTACTACTGGACTGGGTTTTAGGACTAGCCCCCATCCCTGCTCTACTTTTCTGCCTTAAGATTTAGGGAAATGTTTTTTCTGATAATCACATTGCTGGAATCTAAGATGGGCTTCCTCATCAAGTTTGCTTTTTTTCTTGAGATTTTGAAAGACACTCTCAGTCTTCAGCTGTATATTGAGCACCTTCACTGTGGCATGCTTTAGGGACTGAGGTCATAGTCCTTTTCATTGTGGACTTTTCATCCTGGACTTTTACAGTCTGGGGTAGATGGATGTGAAACATATACTTGTCAATATGTAATCCTAAGTTTGGAAAGTCCAGAAAAAAATATAGGGGGTTTAGAAGAATGTGTCTTACCCAAGGAGTGCACAGGAATTTTGACATTAGGAAAGCTAGGCAGGAGATACAAGCAAAGAGTCCCACCTGTGTGAAGACATGGAGACTGGAGAGAATGCGGTGCATTGGAGAGAATGCAGTGCATTGCAGCAACTGAGAGAAGCCCACTCACTATGGCTGGGGAAGAGGCGTGAAGGAGAGTCTGGTGAGAGTGGCCAAAGCTTCAGGTAAAAGCCAGAGCATGCAGGACCTTATAACTAACGATGACGACTTAAAGGAAAAGACATGATCAAATTTTCATAAGTATCGCCCTCAGTATAGTGTGAAAAAGGGTTTGGAGGGGCCACGTGGATTTTGGTGAGACCAGTTAGGAGGACATTGTTGCAGTCTAAGTGACTGTAGGGTGAGAGAAGTGTACAGGTAAAGGTATTTTGAAGGTGGGAGTGATGGAGCATGCTAGTAGATTTGTGGGGACTTAGAGAGAGGGAAGGATGAGAGATGCTGCCTGAGTATTTGGTTTGAACTGTAACATTTAAGGAGGATTTTTTTTTTTAGGCTCTTGCCTCCACGAGGATTTAAAAACAAATTTGCATATTACCTTTTCCTTACAGTTCACATAATTCCTTTTTTAGGCAACATGGCTATATATTCTTTTATCTTTTCCCTGAAATTGCGTCTCTTATTAAGATTTAAAGTATATATCTATGTACATATGCATTTGTTTAAAATGTAGTCATTTAAAATTCAGTTCTAAACAACTGGGTCCTTACCCCAGGCACCTTTCTATATTGATTCTCCTTTAACTTCCTTGAGTGATAAGCTTTGCTATTTTTGAAGTTCTTTGCCTATTCACTTTCTCTTCTTTAGACTGTGTATGAATGGATAGATACACACACTCACCCACACAGTTTGTTTTAAATTGCACAGAGTTGATGTATAATAAAATATGAAGAAAGGAAGAAATATTTTTAAAATTCTTATATTTTCTTTAGTGGTTTGTCTTAGAAAATGAACACATACCGGAGAGTTGAGAACTGAGATTTTTGTTTATTTTATTTATTTATTTTTTGTGAGAATAGCAAAGGCTTTACAATGTGACTGCTTACTAATGTCAGAAAAATAGCAATTCAGCTCTTACTTTCTCCCCTATACTTTCAGGGCGTTATGACAGTTTTAATGTGAGTTGTAAAATGTAGGGAGGTATACTCTAATTCTCTTTCACACACATAAATCAAGTTTCAGGCTCTTTTGGAAATGTTTACTAGAAAAAACATCATGGGCAGATTTTAAAATGCTTTTGGATTGCATGACGGCGTGGTGCCACTTCCATTGAAGTGTTGTAATATTTTATTTTCCTTCCCAAAGCGTCAAGATAAATCCTGTAAACATTTTTTCTCCTTTTGTTGTTTTGGTTGTACTATTGTGTTTGGCTCTAGCCTTTTGCCCCCAGGGAAACAAAAGTGTTTTTTTTTAACTGCAGTGCTCCCGCTGAGTACTCCAGCTGTTGGGCAGCAGTTTCAAAGTTGTTCCCTATTTACACACTGCAAGTCTGGCGGATCACAAAGCTTCCTACATCTTATCTGAAACACAATATACTAATTTCAGGGATATATTTAGAAGGAAAATTGTTGTCAAAATTTACTATAATGTAGCTTATTTTATCTTTTAAATTTAAAATCTACTAAATCATTATATCTTTAAAAAATGGTGATGGTGAATGTCAGCATAACACGTAATCTTATCGAAACAATTAAAATTTATCAATTAGCAGGTTCAAGTAACTACACTTTTTTTTTTTTTTTTTTTTTTAAGATACAGGGTCTTGCTACATTACCCAGGCTGGAGTGCGGTGGCTGTTCACAGTTGAGGTCATGGCTCATTGCAGCCTCAAACTCCTGGGCTCAAGCCATCCTCCTGCCTCAGCTGCCCAGGTAGTTGGACCACAGACACCTGTTCTAGTAACTACTGTTTGTCTATATTTAACGTTAACCAATGTGGTAAACCACTAGTGTGTACCAGCACTATGTTAGGCTTTGTTTAGGTTTTGCCCTCTAGGAGCTTCAGTCTGTTTGGAGAAATGGACATGTAGATAAATGTTATAACTCACGTAGAAATGAAGTGCTTAGAGAAGGCAGATGACAGAGTTACTGGCTGTATCTGGAGAAGTTGGATAAAGCATCATAGATGAGGGGACAGTTACCTTTGGAGTTTCCAGATGAAGAGATGGAGGAAAAGTGCCTTGATGACACCAAGTCACCCATTGTGCTTGTTTACCATGTGGTTAAAATAAAGCATTTGCATTTGGTGATTTCTAAACTCTCTTCTAGTTCTATGAATTGACCACAGTATAAGTATAGTTGTTTCTGTGTGTGTGTGTGTGTGTGTGTGTGTGTGTGTGTGTGTGTGTGTGTGTGTGTGTAGGGGGCGGGAGGTACTTTTTTTTTTTTTTTGAGACGGAGTCTCGCTCTTTCACCCAGCTGGAGCGCAGTGGCACGATCTCGGCTCACTGCAAGCTCTGCCTCCCGGGTTCACGCCATTCTCCTGCCTCAGCCTCCCAAGCAGCTGGGACTACAGGCGCCTGCCACCATGCCCAGCTAATTTTTTGTATTTTTAGTAGAGACAGGGTTTCACTGTGTTAGCCAGGATGGTCTTGATCTCCTGACCTCGTGATCAGCCCACCTTGGCCTCCCAAAGTGCTGGGATTGCAGGCGTGAGCCACCGCGCCCAGCCAGTTAGCGGGGGGTACATTGACTGGGCTTGAGATGTTCGTATGTAATAAATTTTTAAAAATTGCAGTTTTAATTTCCAGTTTTTAGTGAATTTTGGTCAATAGAATTTGCTCTTAGGAAAAAGTAAAGGAGGTGAATGCTGGCTTTCTTTTGCAATAGAAACAGCCAACTCACTCATTCATTTAACATATATTGTTGAGTGCCTACCATGTGCCAGATATTGTTAGAGAGCAATAAAAACACATATTCCGGCTTCTAAAATACTTACATTTTGGTGGCACATGGGACACCACACTCTGGATTGGGGGAAAATTTGGGGTATGGGTTGCCACAAAAATGAGCAAACATCAGTGTCTCCTGCCCTTTCCAAAAAGCACAAGGGGGCTATCCAAGAGAAGGGAGAAAGCAGGTCTAGGCTTGGAAAGGATAGGTGGAAAGTGTGGCACTAGCAAGGGGTTTTTGGAAGGCAAGGGTTTCCATATGCAAAGATTGGGAGATGGAGTATTTCAGCTGAAGAGAAAACTTAAGACTATTTTCAGGCCAAACAGTCCAACTTGAAGAGTGGGTTATATTCAATAGAGTAGTAGGAGATGAATTAGATACTGAGCATGAAAATAACAGCTATGAACTTGTCCTCATGCCAGGTGCTGCGGCAAGTGTATTTACTTATTAAATACTTCAAAATCCCGTAAAATAAATATTATTGTGTCTCCATGTTACAGCTTCTCTTGGGGCCATATGAGTAATAAAAGACAAATAAGTTTCAAGCTCAGGTCTGTCTGATATAGAAATACTTGATCTCAACCACCATAATATATTGGAATTTTCATTTTTGGATAGTTAGGCTACAAGGTTCTCTTGAAAATTTTGAGTAGGCAGTTGCTTAAATATGTACAATGTAACAGTATGATATATCCCATAATAGTGTTAGATTTGGGGTATTCTGGGAACATGCTGAAGAGGCAAACTACTCAGTTGGGGGTGGATGGATGGAATTTGCCTAGGAGGGGATATCAGCATTGAGACCAAAGACATAGAGCAGTTATCAGAGCCAATGAGGAGGGTTTTCTTGATAGAGAAGGCAGCATGTGAAGGGCCCAGAAGTACGGTACTAGGAACTGCTACTGGTATCTTTGAAGATTCTGTAATAGAGATGAATGTGGCAATTTGTTGGGACTAGATCATGAAACCCTTGGGTGTTATGCAAGGGAATGATGACTTTATCTTGGAGGCAACCTGATGATATGGAAGAGTTTTAGGCAGATAGGCAGGGGAGTGATAGGATCAGACTTCCACAATTAGAAGATTATGTTAAATTCATTTAAACAAATGTGAACAGTAGTGAATCAATTCCCAGGGGAAGTTTCATTGCCAAGTATTCTTCCTGCCGTGAAGATTAGCCTGTTAGTTACCAAGCCGCTTTCGTTTTCAGTGTCTGTGCTTGTGGTCGGTAACTTTTGCTGCTGTTGTTCTGCTGCTGTCTGCCATTCCATTCGCCATCTATCACGCACACAGAACCCTGGCCAGGATCATGAAGGGCGATTGAAAAGGTAACAAGAGAAAAAAAATGATAGATTAATGTAAGCCTGATGTTTGTTTTAGTGGCAGATTTTGGTGTTCACATGAGTGCCTGAGCCTGTCTAAATTAATCTCATATTCTCACCACAGTCTTCTAGCTTGAGAATTGACTGCAGGTAAAAATAATTGGAAATTATTGGTGTAGCCGAAACTGCATTACAGCTGCCAAGTGTGGATACACCGGAGCCAGGCTGCTTTTGTCTGCTTCCTCATAAACATTCTTTCCGCATTCTTTATCAGCACATAATCCTGAGACACAAAAAGCCTTTGTGTCCCACTGGGAATGTGAGAAAATCAAAGCTATCTATTGGTTTTGCTCCTGTTAGGAACCACTAACATTTCTATATTAACCACCCATGTTTTGAATTGAGATAGATGTTATCAGCAAGATGTGTCCTCCATTTATCCCCAAAGATATCACTGTCCCAATACAAGAAATCTTAAAGACAGACTGCAAATGTCTGTTTTCATCCACTTGATGCTGTGATTTGTGGATACTTGTTAGACATGTGAATTTAATGGGGCTTAGCCTAATAGTAAGCATTTATATAGAACTTCCCATGAGCCAGGCACTTGTATAGTAATACATCTAATCATCACCACAGTCATGTGAGGTAGCTATTATTGTTTTATACTGTTTGTTATGCACTGAATTGTATTCCCCAAAATTCATATGTTGAAGCCCTAACCCCCAATGTGATTGTATTTGGAGGTAGGGACTTTAAAGAGGTCATTAAGGTTAAATGATGTCATAAGAGTGGGCCCTAATCTACTATGACTGATGTCCTTATAAAAAGAGGAAGAGACTCCAAGAATGTGTGTTCACAGAAATGAAGACAGAAGACCAGAAGGTGGCTATCCAGAAATCAAGGAGAGTCCTCAGGAGAAACCAGCCTTATTGGTATCTTGATCTTGGACTTTCAGCCTCTGGAACTATGAGAAAATTAATTAATTATTTAAGCCTTCAAGTCTGTGGTATTTTGCTATGTTGGCCCTAGTATACTAATACATACACATTTTGCTGTGTGGGAAAATGAAGGCACAGAGAGGTTGAGCGACTGCCCCAAGGTCACATGGCTAGAAAATGACAGAATTAGGATTTACACATGGGGAGTGTGATTGTGGAATCAATGCTGTTAATCACCATGCTGTACTGCTTCTCATGAAGACAGAACTTCCCAGTATTGGGGCCTGGGCGGTATGACCATATTCTGCCTCTGGCATCTTTCCTCCCCTTATTTTCTGTACCCAGCCCTCTGCGTTCTAGTGTATAATACTCATGGACTGTTCACCTTGGGCTATACTATGTAGGAATGATGCATCTGCAGAATCCTTTACTCTCGTCATGGTTGGCAGTTTGCTCTGGTTTGAGCAATTTCATGGCTCAGAATAAGTAGGGTCAGCAAACATGTTAACATTTTTCTTGTCACGAATTAACTTTTCAAATAACAGCAAAACTCAGCTTCATTTTTTTCCCCAGTTTTAGTCTCATTGATTCAGTAAAAGAATGCTTTTGTAGTCTATTCTTGACTGTCATCTTTTGGAAAAGATTTTTTTTTGTGAAAGGACAGGAAGAAGAAAAGAGGAGAGAAAAGCAGTTGTTTGAATTAAAGTGACCATGTTAACACCTATGACTGGTCTGATGAATTGAGTACTTTTTAATTACTTAAATATGTTTAGTATGTTACATGTTTTAAAATAGTTCTTAAAATGTAGTAGCGTTTTTTCGTAGACACTTAAGCTTCAGCATACCTGAAGAAATGATACAGTTGTAAAAATGCAATACAATGACCATCGAGGGTGAGTAAGTGTGGGAAGCTTCCTGAAAATGCAGATGCAGAATGGATTATACTGCATACATATCTACATTAGGGTTGATCTGGGAAATTATAAAAAGTTTATTTCTGAGCTCATTAAACATTTCCTGCAAATTTAAAATTGAGTTGGTTGTATAGGAAAACAAAACTTATAATGAATACATGGACTCTTTTCCTGATCCTCCTTTTAATGAGGTAATTAAATGAAGAACAGACAATGTGTACATGGCCATGTGCCTTTCATATAGTGTAATTTAATACAGATACATGGCCACATATGAAAAGAATAAAATTAGATTTTATTGATTTTATATTTTCCTTAATTTTATATGACTAAGAGAGTTATATGACAAGTATTGTTTAATTTCTGAAACCATGTTACTATCACTTTAGTTATCATGATTCAGGCCGGAGCATATGCATCATTTCCAGGTGAAGTTTGTTCCAGCTCATGGATCAAGCCATTATCTGCTCTGTGTGCAGGACTCTTACCAGGATAAGAAGAAACAGGAGAATGCATTGAGCTTTACTCTAAACTGTGAAAATAAACATAAACTGCCTTTGGAACAATTTATGCAGTTTTTTTCCATCATGAAGCCAATTTGTTATCTATTTCTGCATATCAGTAAAAACATGTTCCTTATTCAAAATAAAATATTTCTCTTTATATGTTACTTTATTTAATACCTGAAGGTGCACTCCTCAACTTATGGCACTAATATTCGTTGCTGTGGAAATATTTTCAGAACTCAAGTTTATGATTTGTGGAAAGTGTACTAGAGAATCACATGAATTATTAATTAATTATTTTTTAAAGTATGCTTTTTTCTCCTATTCATGGTAAAAATAAAGAAATGTAAATTATGAGAAAAAGATTATTTTAATATATGGTAGAGTTTTTTTCTTTCTCATTAGAGATCAGTGGCTTTATAGCTTAGAGTAGTTTTTCTTATTTTTTTTTTGTGTGTGAGTAAACTTATCCTACTTTTAAAACACTCTATTTGTTGGTACAAGCTGAAAAAGTATTTATTGCATTTTCTTCATAGTTGAAATTTACTTTTAAGAATTCCCTTTAGATTTCAAAGAATTAAATGACATTTAAATTTATTTATTGCAAAACTTCAGTACCATTATGCCAACTTATGTATGATGCTTTTCTTCTTGAACCATATGCCTTTACTGCCTACTGCCAGAAATCCTATGGAGGTTTTGCTCTGAGCACTCCAGTAAGCAATTTTGGAATGTAATTATCCAGCATATTCAACAAGAAAGGTGAGGTGGAACCCTTATTTCAAAGAAAATTATCTGCTTTTGTTTATGTTAGAAATCGCGTATTCTATTGGCTCCTAGAGAGTAGGCATCTGGCTTGTGGATGCCCAGTATCTATTCTCCATTCTGATAACAGCATCCAGATTTTGCTTTGGGAATTGTGATGGTTAATATCTAGTGGCAACTTGATCGGATTGAAGGATACGAAGTATTGTTCCTAGGTGTGTCTTTGAGGGTGTTGCCAAAGCATATGAACGTTTGAGTCAGTGGTTTGGGAGAGGCAGACCCTATGTCTGGGTGGACACCACCTAATCAGCTGCCAGCGCAGCTAGAATAAAGCAGGCAGAAGAAAGTGGAATTAACAGAGTTGCTGAATTTTCTGGCCTTCATCTTTCTCCTGTGCTGGATGCTTCCTGCCCTTGAACATCAGACTCCAAGTTCTTCAGCTTTTGGACTCTTGGACCTGCACCAGTGATTTGCCAGGGGCTCTCAGATCTGTGGCCACAGACTGAAGGCTGCACTGTCAGCTTCCCTACTCTTGAGGTTTTGGGACTTGGACTGGCTTCCTTGCTTCTCAGCTTGTAGACGGCCTATTGTGGAACTTCACCTTGTGACTGTGTGAGTCAGTACTCCTTAGTAAATTCCCCTTCACATATACAACTATCCTATTAGTTCTGTCCCTCTAGAGAACCCTGACTAATACAGGAATCTACACCTCATTGAATGCGGTTTTGGGGGCAGAAAAGTTTGATACCTTTTCTTACTGGTGATAAGGCTCTCATCTGACCGCTCCTATTACAAAAGACAGGTTAACAAGAGAAAAGCATAGCAAATGTATTTAATCAAGTTTTATGTGACCTGGGAGTCTTCTGAAATGAAGGCCCAAAGACGCAGGGAAAACTCTATTTTTATTCTTAGGATTGATGAAGAATGGACACTCCCCCATCACTCTGTTACTATTAGATCATTCCCTTTTGTGAACACCTGTCTGTTCATTCTTCTTGGCCTTTCTGTAGTATTGCTTCCTCTTGGGTATGCTGCTGGACCCGCCCTGGAATGAGGCTCTTTAGGGAAGGATGGAGAAGGGAGAGGGTGACCTTTCTGGGTTTTATGGCCTGTTTTGGAGGAGAGGAGTTGCCTTGGGGAAAACAAATTTTGTTTTCTATGACTTGCTTCAGGGGAGATAGAGGGATAGGAGACAGAAGGGCAGGAGAAAGTCAGAATAAGGCTTTGCTTCTGAGGCTGTTTTTGAGGCCTTCCCAGTTTCCCAGTGTGCCACAGTGCCATACTTCTGTGTCATTTTCTGAAGCCCAACACAGTCCTGGAGGGACTTTCGGTCAAGGTGTCCTGCCTTCTTTTATCCAGGAGGTGGGTTCCTGAGCTACACCAGGAAAATATGAGTCCTACTTCAGAAAGCCATCCTCTCACAGGTAGTGAACATTGTAAAATTTAAAATGTCAGCGCTCACAACATGCAGCTTTCCTGCCATGTGAAACAAACAGTAGAAGAGAATTAGGGAGAGGAACTGGAGGTACTCTGCCATGTTAACATTCCCTGGTTCAGTTGTTGTTGAGAGCTAGCTTCTTTCTTGTGTATCCTGTGGTTTAACTATTCAACATTTCCTTTGATTCCACAAGTCAATACATTTTTTCTTTTTTTCTGAGCTAGTTTCAGTTGAATTTCTGTCACAACCAAAGTGATATCTATGTCAATTAAATATTTTTTCTGTGTTCATATTCATAAATCCTCCCTCCCTCCCTTTTTATTTTTTTCCTTTCTTCCTTCCTTCCTTCCTTCTTTCCTTCCTTCCTTCCTTTCTGTCTTTCTGTCTTTCTTTCTTTCTACAGGATCTGCCTCTATCACCCAGGCTGGAGTGCAGTGGCACGATCTCAGCTCACTGCCACCTCCACCTCAGCCTCCCCAGTAGGTGGATGCTGCAGGCACATGCCTCCATGCCTGGCTAATTTTTGTATTTTTTTGTAGACAGGGTTTCACCATGTTGCCCAGGCTGGTCTTGAACTCCTGAGTTCAAGCAATCCTTCAGTCTTGGCCTCCCAAAGTCCTGGGATTACAGGCATGAACCACCTTGCCTGGCCATATTCATAAATTATTTCAATAATTATAATCAGAGTATAGATATAATTGTGTTTTCTGCCTTTTTGAAGTAACATGATTTTTTCCCCTAAACTTTTTCTTTATGTTTGTCATAAAAACCATATAATATATTAATTGGTGTCATAGTTAGTTTACCACTTTATCCATGTTACTAATAAATACTTGGGATTTCAAAGCAGAAGAGGGATGTTGACAAGGTCCAAGAATAAACAGAATGGTGCTTCTGCTGGAACTATGTTATTAAGTAATACATTAATAATAATCAGACAAGCACACCCTTTTTATTAGTTTTTTAAACTAAACTAACTAAAAAACTGTCACCCCCTTTTTATTAGTTTTTTTTAAAAAAACAAAGATAACAGAATTTTGTGCATTTTTGGTAGTATTCTGTGGGTTAATTTTTAACAGCTGGATTATTGAGAAAATATGAAACTATTTAATGAACATACATTTTAGAATTCAACTAAAATTGAACACAAATGTAAACTCTGCCAGTCACTACTTAAGTGGCATTAATTAAACAATTGCTTCTTGATCAAAATGAGGATAGCTTGTCTTCTGACTTTGTTATAAAAATGAAAAGATGGTATGTAGATTTTAAAAAGTGTGTTTATCACTCAAGAAAGACGCTGATTTTTCTTTGTTTTACAATTATTTTTCGTAGAATCAGACATTGCTTATCTGGTCATTATTAATTTATTACTTAATAACATATTTCCAGCAGAAGCTCCATTCTGTTTATTCTTGGAACTTGTCAACATCCCTCTTCTCCTTCGAAATCCTTTCTTTGGTGGTGATTACTTTCAGTCTTGGTCCCCTTAGAAGAGCTACTCCATCGCTCTTCCATGGGCTCTTCCTTCATTCGCTAGCATTCCTCATGGGGACAGCAACTGTGCAAAATAGTCTTCTTTTATTTGCTTCATTTTATTTATCATAGCAACACACATGAGACACATTATCTCTGTGTCTCTTCATGACTGGGAACTTGCCTTTGTAATAACAGTGATTGTTATATATTAGGCATTATCTGTGTGTGTGTGTGTGCATGCATTTTCAATGAATGACTTTCTAGGTAAAACATTTTAATGATATAGATCTATGTAAGGCTACATTGGCATGAGATGCCAGGAGATTTTTCCATTCACTCTGTTTTCTTCCCAGTGAAAGAAATGGTTGAAAATCTGATGGCAGCAGAACTACATGAAGACTAAATAGCACAATAGCTGGTTACTTACTTAGAACCTGATGATAAATTTGTGATGTGTACTAATATAACCAACTGTTCTAAATTTTTAAAACTGATTATGGGTTGATTGCCACAGAGTCATAGGTTAACATTTTTGTAGACAACTAGGTATTTCTGATAATTTTCCTAATCATACAGTTGAATTGTAATTATATAGCTTGTATTTATTTGTGGGTAGCATTAAAACTGCGTATAATTTACATTTGGTATATGGACCTCATTCTTCCTTTTCATTGTGGGTTCAGAGACCTCAGTCTAATGCATTTGATCCCATGTGCCTCCTGTTGAGACTGTCTGCTTCTTAAAATGGAAATTTAATTTTTATGATATTTGTATGTGTTTTGAAGCAAATTAAAATTATAGTAGTTAGAGTTGTGGATTTGATTTGCATTTTCTGAAAGGAAAGGAAACTATTGAGTTTAAAAATGTGATTCGATTTGAACAAACTATGCTAATTAAATTTATTTTCAAGGACACTATTAGCAGAAAAAATATAAATTGGTGCAATTTTCCATTGCCTCATTTTGTATTTCAGAAGTATAATTCAACATTTTCTCAACACTTTGTTTTTAAAATAAAGCATTAACAAAATTTACAAGTGACTTATTTGTGTTTTAAAAGTTTACTTTATAAAATATTAGTCAGGAAATAGTTTCTTCCCTAGTTTACTTGTAACCATGGGGACAAATATATGTAAGTATTATCACTTGATAACTGGCTCAACAACAATGAAATTAGCATCACAAACTCAGACTTATTCAAATTTGTTGAAGCTAGTTTAAAGCCTCTAGGTAGAAATTTATTGAAGGTTAATAATTTACTTTAAAATTTAAGATTACAAACAGGATTGAAATTAACCTGTAGCAAGCATTATGTTTTCAAAATAGTTATAATTTTACTGTTGGGGTTTAAAATCTTGCTAAGCATTTATCATTAAGGCTTCTAGAGAAGGAAGTAAAAAGAAGGGTTGGTGGTACTGAAACCTATATTTTTGAGAAAACATAGGTTTGCTAAAAGATCACTGTACTTTAGTCTGTCTTCAGCATAATTTAGGACCAAGGGTGATGAATAAGTCCATTAATACCAAATGAGAAAAAAATGGGGGATTTTTGTTTGTTTTATTTGATACACGTGGTAACCATAAGGTGTCTATCTAGGATTTACCAGTTAATTATATTTGAAGGGCACTTTGGTCAGTAGCTAGGATATGTTTCTGAGGAATTAAGGGAAACCAGGGATGCATAACAGAACCACGAAGAGGGGAAAATACATGGGAAAGGAAATGACTGACCCTGGAAATTATTAGGACATCCTGCCCAGGATGTCATTACTAAATCTGTGTTCCATTATTTTCATAAAAAGATATCATCTATACACACCAGAGGACAATGGCAAGCAGACATAATTGGGCTGTGAACATTTCATATCACGTTAGCCTAGTACTTTTAATTAGAGTTTCAGTTTAATTATAGTATAATTCTAAACTAGTTGCAGGCACTGACTATCTGATGAGGGAGTGCAGAGATTTTATTTGGGACAGGTTGGTTCGTCATATCAAGGGATAGCTGTGATTGGGTGCAAAATGACATTGAATGCATTGTGCAATGTCTGAGACCTGAGATTAGGGGAACGTGTCAGTTCCTTTAGTCACATTAGAGTTCCATTACTATGTTTTGGACCTTCCCTTGTTCACCTTAATTAATACATAGTTACCCAGAAAGAGAGTCAGGTTCAATATTACTACACTTTACCTATGCAAATTTATAATATCAGAGGGAGAAGAAGATGAAAAGGAAATGAAAAATCAAAATTAATATTATTTTTGAATTAAATTATTTTTATAAGAAACATGCTGCTTTTTGCTTTTAAACACACAAAGTAGCAGATGTAAATGAATTAATAGGATAAAGCAAGTTGCTAGAAAAAAATACCTCTCATAGGAAGTAAAATCAGAATTGTATTATTGAATTAAATTATTTTAATGAAAGACATGCTGCTTTTTTGCTTTTAAACATTTCGAGTGGTAGAAACAAGATGTAAATGAATTTGTTGGATAAAAAAAGTTGTAGAAAAAACACGACTTTTGTAGGCCTTGATAATGTAATAAGGTACTACTTTGCTCAAACTTTTGAAAATAAATAGATAAATTGCTGGGCCTAGTGTTGTTGGCATTACTACACTGTTGAGGGCTTCTGTCTAAATATTTAAGAGACATTCAGATTAGTATAATTTTATTTTATTAAGAATCATGCAGCTAAGGAAGTTAGCCTTAGTTGGCCCAGCTAAGAAAAAAGGACAATGTTGGTGCATCAAGTGGTTTTATGAGCAGGATACCACCTGGTTCCGTGCTCTGACTTCATTTGTTGTTGTCTGGAATAATAACTCTTCATTGGCTTAATGCCTTTGCTTGTAAGAGACAGATGCTATCTGATCCCTCCTGTCAGAAGAATTCCCAGAATAAGCCATTCAACCAAGAACAATTGCTGTCTTGTTGATTGCAAACAGTAGAAGAGGGAATTCTCTGTATTTCCTAGCACCTTGCTGTTTGGTTGGTGTGTGTTCATCAGTAGCAGAAACTGTTCACTGACCGACGAACTGAAGTGGTACATGGGTGGCTTTTGAGGCGCTTTTCTGTGATTTGGCTGTTACTACTTTGAGTTAACTTCTCACTATCTAAGATGTCCACATTGCTAGTTTACTTTTAGCCTTTCCATTGAGTCTGTTTCCTAAAGTATGTTTCTATCCACCTCTTCTGGTGTATAAATTTTATTTTAAACAGGTCTCTGTTTCTAGTCCTTCTTTTCTTTCTCCACCCCTTTTCCTCCCATGTCTCATGACCACATCTCATTCATAGGCAGGATTTTCTTTAAGGCCGCTCCCATTTCAGAGTAGCGTAAGCAATACATTGTGGCTAAGAACAAATATATTACAGTGCAATATGAACTATGAGAAAATGTAAACAGAGATGCAACTCCGAAATGTATTTCCAAATTCACTGTAGGCTTGGGTGGATATTATAGCCCTGCCTGTTTCACTTATACTTCACGTCTTAAAAGATCTGGGGAATGTTTTCCAACATCATTCAGCACAGTTCTAGGTCTCATTAGGGCCGGCAGAGTCAATTTTCTTGTTTGAACTGCTAGGGGCAAGTCCTAAAAACAAACAACCAAAAAGAAACAGTGTAAATTGCTAATTCGTGTCATTGCCTGAAATCCATGCAAGCAGGATTCGTTCATTAGTTCTTATTTATTTATTTTTGGGATAGCATATTTGATTAGAACAAAATTCAGTTCTGAGAAGAAAATGTACGGTAGCCAAACAGTTCATTTTAGAACCCCCCTTCATTTAGTTAGCCAGCCTTTGTAGTGTGCTTGTTTTCTGCAAAATGTTGTCTATGTAGTCCTGGAAAAGATAAAAGACCTATAAGACCCAATTCTTTGAAGTATGTATGTCTTGCTGGATACTCTTAAAATGTATATTCATGAAAGTTCTTGGTAGAGGATGAAGACTACCTATCAACAAGTCAACAGTATTATAATTATAATTATAATATTTTCAATCAGAATATCTCCAAGGCAACTGAGGAATGATACTGAATCAGGTCAAGAAAGAGGGAGGTAGATTTACAACTAGAGGAGAAAAAGATGTGGAAGGGATTCTTAATAAAGGAGGTCTTGATACCACAATCCCTGCAATACAATGTTACAGTATCACATGGGGAAACAGACATCATTATGGTAGGAAAATAATGAATTAGTTGGTCACTTAAAGAGTGAGTTTCCATTCATTTATCTAATCTTTGTTCATCATCTTGAAATCTGCATTGGTTAGTCTATTGGGGAGTTTTGCAAGTTGTAAACATCCATCAATGTAAAGCAACTAAAATGCAGAGCATTTGGTATGCAAAATTGCAAATATGAAAAAAGATATAGAATTTCATATTCTAAATCTTGGCAATGAGGTAAGGGAAGTGGCCAGTTAACAGTTGAACCTAAATAATTGGCCACATATTTCATGTTAACAGCTGAATGAAATTAAAGACTATGTATGAATGAAGAAAATACATTTTCAAAATTACTTCAAAAGATAAGGTGTAATTTGAGCTTTTAGTTTTTTTTTTTTCCTCTCTCTCTCTGAATTTAGAATTGAAAATGCAAACCTATTTGACTCTTTATGGGTCTTGCAGTTTGTTCTCAGGGCTGTAATGTGTATAAAAGTAAATGACTGTCCAGGGTATGGTATGTGTACCAATCTAGTAGCGGAGATATGTTGGTAAGAATGTGACAAAGAGAATGACTTAAGGAAGAGGGATTATAGCACTGGGTAAAGAGAAGTGAATTTGGAGAAGCAGTGAAAGTATTTTTAATGGCTTGAATAGTACAGTGTAAGATTTTAGGTTTTGTTCCCTGTGATGTATGAAGAGTGGGCCTTGGCCATGGGTGGCTGATGTGGTATTGGAAGCATTCTGATAAAGTGGGCAGAACACTGGACTGGAAGTCATGAACCCTGGGCTTTGTAGCCTTGGCTTCACGTCCAATTATGTGAACTTGTGGAAGTTAATTCACCTTTTTGAGCCTTAGCTTTTCATCAGGAAAATGAGGGTGTTAAACTGCTCTGTAAGATGCCTTACCTGTTGTGTGAGGTTATTCTGTCAATTCAGAACTGAGAAGAAACTGAAGGTGTGTGGATGAGCTAGGGACTAACTAATTCATATGTGAGGAATAAGGACATGAGCTGGAACCACATTTAAAATTGAAGAGGAATGGATAGAGCACGGAGATATGGTGGAGGTGGAAATGGTAGTTTTTTAGACAGGACGAATGTTGATAAAGAAGAGAAAGAGTCACAAATAACTTTATGAGCCTAGGGGTTTGGGAGGACAAAAGTAATACTGAAGATTACAGGGAATTTAGGAACACTTGCTTATTGTTGGGGGAAGAAGAGCTCAGGTTTTCACCTATCCAATTTTAGTTGACATGTGAGTGAGATGTCCTGCAGGCATCTGGAAGAACAAGCGCGAAAGGGGAATGAGAGAGGTCAAGCCTGGTGATGGCTCCTGGGTTTCAGCCACAGTCAGGCTGTCATTAGAACAGAAAGTGGATGAGAACAATGAGCTCACTGAGGAAGGAATCAGAAAAAAGAACATTGGCCTAAGGTGTGGTATTGGAGTGGGAGTCGGGGCAGCACTTTCGTGTAATTCAGAGCCAACATGTCTGGAAGTTGGAAGTCAAGGGCAAACATTTAGAGAAATGGGAAAGGCAAAGGGAATCTGAGAGGTTCAGAAAGCCACCACTGAGTTTGGTTATGAGATATAGTAAGTGGATTCTGGGCAACTGCCTTGAGCCTTGAGCTATTTCTTGAATATTGAAGTGAAAGAAATAATTTTGTGGAGGAAATGAAGATTATAAGAATAGAGTGCTTATTTTAACCAAAAACCAGAAGTTAGACATTCTAGCAAGTAGGAAAATAGTGTTAAGTAAAATTCAAGACACTTAATTTGTTTGCTGTGAGAAAAGAAAAGCTTTTTTCTCCTTTTAATTCTGCTTTCAACGAGCAATTAACTATCCCCTCTAATCATTTCTCTTTCAAATTCTACCTATACTGGTTTACCATCTATCCAAGTGAAGCATCTCTCTCTTAGGAAGGCAGAGAGTGAAAACCTATGTGTGAAACCTCTTTCTTAATACTCCTATTGCAATTAAAAATGTACCCCCTCCCAATCTGTTTACTACAAAGAGGCCCTATGCCAGCTTGGTGTCATGACCACCATCTGTAAACACTATGTGTGAATTAAGATGGATTTTGTTACAGTGAAATTTGGACATTGACTGGGATTGAGTCAACATGGAATTTTATAACTCCATTTAGTTCATACGGCTTAAAGCAAGCTCGCAGTGATCTACATGAGGATGGCCAAAATTACTGGGTTCCCCTCCCCCTAATTTTTAGTGTCATAATCATTTCAGAAATAAAATGCAGAATTTTTTTTTTCCATCTGAGACATTGAATTAGTTGCAATAACTTTGCACCAGAATCATACAGTTTTATTGATGCTGGGGAAGTAAAGCCCTAGTGAACTGGGCCATTGAACACACCATAAACTTTGTGGCAGGACAAGTTTTCTGGGCTAGTCATTAAGCACCCTTTTTTCAACTGGAACAATACCAGCTACACTCTAGTAGAGTCAGTGTTTGCTGAGGCTTTATTCCAGCTTCAAATCTATCCCCCTGCCCACTGAGAACATTTGGCTTGCTTTATAGCTCTCTAGGGAGGAGTGGGAGCCCAGGAGCACTGGCTGAGGAAGAGTCAGCCAGCTGGATGGCTAAGGTGAAGTTGGTATGGAGCTGGTTGCTCAACTCACCTGTGAGTCCAGGAAGAGGAAGTACTATAAGGAATTTTGTATCTTAGGAATTTTATTTCCTAGCAATATATCTTAACCTAAAACTGGAGATGCTTCTTTATTTGCCTGTAAATTAGCAAAACTTTAATATTGTCTTACCAATTTTATTTTTGTATCCATAATACTGCTTTTCTCTGATATGGGCAAGTGAAAATGAAAGTAACTGAAAATGTTCTGCTGAATAGCAAACACCCAAGGCATCGTCATCTTTACTTTTGCTAAAAAACAAACAGAAAACCCCCAAAACTCACATGTATTTGAAATCATCTCTTTCCGAGAGTGGCAGAGTATCATAAAAATCCAAAATGGCCTGTGCCTATGGTCTTGTTTTGTAACATTATTTTGTTTGCATTTGTCAGCATGAAGGTCACTTTAGGGCTACCTGAATATCTGTATTGCACTCTCCAGTGTGGAGAGAAGACCAAAGAAGGTTAGAGCAGTTCCGGAACTAGCACATCAAATAAAAGTACCAAGCAGTACTTGAGGTGTGGTCAGCTGCAACTCTTTGCAGCCACCAATACTTAGGCACAGTGATGGGTCCAGAATGGATCCAGTGAGAAGGCAAAAAAGGAAGGTCTCATGTATTTGCTGGTATTCTATCAGAAAACAAGAGTTAGGAAGGAGAGTGTAAGTAAGGCATGAAGGAGTCCATGAGCCATAAGCAAAATCACATCAATTTTTAAACTCTTTGATCTTTGTTCTGCTTTTTTTCCCCACTGAATGGTAGATATCAGAACACTATCTCCAAAGATTGTCTGAATTAATTAATTCCCAAGTAGGCAGGAATACCAAACCCTCTCTTTCAATGAGTTTAAATGACGTTCCACACATTTGCCCTAAGTAAGGTGATACTTAAATTGTATCTTTACACGTATTGTGCAGTTCCTATCCTAGGCCTCTTCATTTTGGTGGCAGTGGCAATGGCATATGGAGAGTGATGGCTGGAGAAGGAGTTGTTAAATTATCCTCAAAGGCCTCAGAATTGAACATTGTTTCTTATTTCTGTCCTATGAAAAAAGACGGATTTTAATTATGATCTTTTTAAAATCAGGTTGGGTTTTTACTAATAAAAAAAGTCAGTGTTTAAATTGTATATTTGAATGTTTTCTCTCTACATTTTTTTAATCACAAATATCAGCTACATGTTACACAGTTTTTCATTTCTTAGTCTTTTTGAATGAAATAAGTAGTCTTTTCTTTGGTGCTTTTAAATACTATTAGTTGAAACTTGGTGGTTATTCTTGAAATTTAGCTTTTAGAATTTAATTTATTCTAAAGTGTACAGAAAAGAGATTGCAACTTTGTGGTGAATGTTGAATGCAGCTATGAAAACAATGTTACCTTTTTTCAAGATCTCTTGCCTAGCTATAATACATCTGCTAGTTACTAAGTGTAACTGTGTATAGGGTACAGAAAAGAGATTGCAACTTTGTGGTAAATGTTGAATGCAACCATGAAAATAATGTTACCTTTTTTCAAGATCTCTTGCCTAGCTATAATACATCTGCTAGTTACTAAGTGTAACTGTGTATAGGGTACAGAAAAGAGATTGCAACTTTGTGGTAAATGGTGAATGCAACCATGAAAATAATGTTACCTTTTTTCAAGATCTCTTGCCTAGCTATAATACATCTGCTAGTTACTAAGTGTAACTGTGTATATTTTCTTTAATAGAATTTGTTAGCTTCCTGAAATAAAATTAGCTTGCTTTATTTGCCACAAATTTGTTACTTTTTCTAAAATTTAGTTCAGGGTAATTTCACACCAAAATGGGTAAACATTTTTATCCTTCTTGGCTTTCATGATTGCTCTGACTTCTTCATAAAATTTGGAAATCACGTTTTAACTTTTTATTGCCTCTTTATTAAGTGCTTGGAAAACACATGGAAGCCTTTTTATTTTACATACTGTGGTAACATCCTAGTAAGATTTTATTCGTTTTCACTCTCAAGATTGATTTTTTTTTTTTAGAAAAGCAGTTTAGAAAGTACCCATACTCGTTGAAATTTGTCATCATCTAGACCTTAATATCACATATCCTAAGTTCCCCACTAATTATTTGCAGATTTCCAGGACTTAAATATGTGCTAAACCTGAAAACTATGAATGCATTTGCTGAATCAAACCAAAATGAAATTGTTTTCTTAACTATGAACGAGACTAAATAATTTTAAAACACTACTCAGCCACAGTAAAAAGAGTGTTGAAATAAAACTAAATATATATATGGTATACACTTGTTGAACTAAGCCTGCTTTATTAAAATGACTTTATGATTCTCCAGTGTATTGTTTATACATATTATTTCTAAAGATTCATGTTTAGCTGATAATTCATACTGCTTACATATTTTTGGATTGGTTGACCTCAGACAACAAGGATGGTTTCTAGCACACAACACATTCTGAACATATCATGAGCAAGATGCTACCCAAGTTGTTTTGTTTGTTTTCTTAAATATTTAACCAACAACAAATAAAAGTATATATTCAAGGTACTAATATGATGATTTGATATACATATACATGTCTAATGATCTCCACAATCAAATCAATTAACATATCTGTCTTCATCCAGAGTTATCATTTGTGTGTGTGTGTATGTGTGTCCCAAGATATTGTTGAGGGTCTGATTTTATGACCCCAGTAAAAATGATGGACATAGGCTCTTGATATGAGGGGAAAAGTGCTGTAAACACAAAGACTGCCTTATGGGGTGAGAGTGTAGTTCTTGGGTGACAGAAGTAAATCTGTACTGTGAATGTCCTCTTTGGAGAATTACAAAATGACATGATGACTGAACTGTAATGGAAAACTTGTTTTGGTAAGATATCCTTTCTAAATTTTTTTTAAGAAAAAGAATTCTAAGTGCTGAGTTCAAAGACTTAGTAGAATGCTACTGATAGGAGGATTTTAGTGTCAGTATTAAATACTGCACAAATACTTGACACTGAACATCGTGTATAATGGATATGGCCATATACTGTCTTTTTAAAGGAAGTGCTTCCTGCTTTTTCTCCAAAATAGCAACATATTTTTCTCATTAGTGAAATGATGGCTCTCAAATAAATATCCCAGCCCAGTCCTCTGTTTTTCAGCCCAGCCTGTGCTTCAGATTTACCTAAGACCATAACCCACAGTGATGCCCAGGAGTACCTCAATCTCAGCATACTTAAAAGCAATTGTATTATTTGTGCCCAACCTTGTTTCTTATGAATTTTGCAGAGTTTTAGTTACCTAAACTTGAAACTTGCCAGTTGGCCTTGGTTCTTCCTACCTTCCTTACATCAAATCTTGCACTGTCTCCTTAAAATCTCTCATACCTATGTCTTCTGCATATTCCAGTACTGATGTAGTTAAGACCTTCAGAGTATCATTCCTAGACCGTGGCAGTAGTCTCCTGTCTTCCACTTTAGTTGCACAGATAACATCCCCTAACCAATCTATCTTTCGCTGTTCTCGCGAAGTGATCTATCTGAAATAAAAATCTAATCATGGGAGTCTGTCTTAAATGTTCACTGCCTCCCTATTGCCAACAGAAAGTAGCTTTACCTCTCAAATGTTTTCTATGCACAAGTCACTCTTTAAAAATATTATATTGTATAATCCAAACAGCAACTAAATGAGGTACTTACCTTTATTATCACCATTTTATAAATGAGGAAACAAATACAGAGAAAATAAATACCTGGCCCAAGGTCACATAGCTGATAATAACAGGGCCAGGATTCGGCCCAAGCAGTCTGATGATAGATGCCCTGTGTGTAAACACTATGCAATGATACTTCTAATTTCTTAGCTTCCCACAAAGGCAGGGTTTGAATTTCAAAGTGAACCAAGAGAGGATGGGCCCATTTTATATCATCCTATACCAATGAATGTGGCCTGCCTTGCCACACTGTGTAAAGGAGATTGTTTCACATTTTATGGTATAAACTTAATGCTGAAAGGCAGTAGTTCTTATCGCCTGAGTTGGTACAAGTACTAATGGTTCTTAAGCTATTTATTACATTGTATGGCATCAGTTTTAGTTGAGACATTGGGTGTTTGTAAATGCATTCGCAACACCCATACATGATCTTTTCCTTTTAGCAGCATCTTTTCCTGCCCTTGTGCTGTTGACAGTTTGGGGCATACATTTTGCTGCAAAGAAAAAGATAATGACAGTGAGCATTGGTATGAAGGTATTTCCCTTCTTGCTTCTGCCTGAGGCACTTGTGAGTTTTCAGTTGTTGCAGAAGTTCTGAAAACTTTTATATTTTGATGGACAGAGCCATTGAAAACCTTGTTTCTTGAAGTTAAGTTTGATTTGAGAAAAGGAGTATACAGATACTTATATAGCCATATGTTGCCAACTCCTTGCCATTTATTCAGTCCACAGCTTGTTCTTGTTCTAAGCATTTATTTTATTTTCTGAGGTCATTGGTTTTTCTCCTAGGATCAGGTGAGTTAGGAAGATCATTTTTTTTTTCCATTGAAGAATGTAGTGTTTTCTAGGACACAGTTCAAACTTTTGTGAATGTCTTAAGTCAGTTTCTGATGTTTCTTTCATATGAGAACCCTTCATCTATTTGATGACAGCTCTCATGTCCCGTGATGTCACCTCTGCTTTAAATAAACATTCATGTTTCTCTTACAACATGACTTTCAGGGTTTGTTTGTTTGTTTGTTTGTTTGTTTTCCCCTACCATCCTGCTCTCCCTTTGAATTAGGAGACTCAAGGGTATAATTGAATATGGTTTAGTGTTACCTAGCAAAACACTGGCAGTGATCTTACAAATAATTTAGTTATCAGTCCCTACACCTTGTTTTATTATTTCTCGAGCCTAAGACAGTGGTTATTGCATGAAGATCTGTGGCCCGTTAGGTTACATGGAAAGGAGTGATTCATGAACAGACTAAAAATTCAGATTATACAAAATATGTCAGGTTTTGTTTTTGTTTTACTTTGTCTTTAATGTTTGTTTTCTACTTTGTTTATTATAGAAATGGATGCTCATTCTAGAATGAAAATAATGGAGTTTCAAAAATGTAGCTTTTTAACCCAGTAGTAGCTTTACAAGATAGGTTTTGTATGCTGATCAGCAGGAGATTCTGGTTATCTGAGTCTTCAGAACATTCGTTCAGGCATTCTGTACTCTGAGAGACTTTAAGATCATGGAAATTAAGAGTTTTGAAAGTTCTCAAGTTCTCAAAAGCATCCTTGAAAAATAACTAGGAGGTGAGTCATTTAATATTTCTGAACATCTGATTTCTGATCGTAAAAATCAATTAGGAAAATTACCACTTTGCATCCATAATAGTAAATATTGATTTGGGAAAGAATAATCATTGGATACTAAATTGGAATTAATAGAAATTTGACAGAGAGCAGGATATTTGCATGGTCTTAAAGCACTTCCCTACAGACATTTTGTTAATTGCAAGGCAAAAAAAAAAAAAAAAAAAAAAAATAGTAACCATATAGTGGAAAAACTGAATGTCAAAATTAATATCACTGAGGGGAGGCAGACAGATATCATGTGCTTTCAGGTATGATACTATAAGAACACAAAACCACTTTTGTAGCATTCTGGTGAAGAATGCATTACCTGAATCTCATCATGAGGAAATATCAGACAAATCCAAATAGAGAAATTGTCTAAAAAAATACCTGGCCTATATTCTTTCATGGCAGTGTCATGAAAGAGAAAAAAGGCTGAAGAACTGTTTTGCATTAAAGGAGATTTAGAGATGTGAGTTGAAACTAAATGCCATGCAGGATCCTGGGTTGAATCCTAGACTGGAAATTATACTTAAAAAGGACATTATGGAGAAACTTGGCAATTGAATATGGACTGTGAATTATATCAGGTGTTTGAAAAATTTTAAAATAAAAGAAGAAATACATATTTTAGAATTTGCAGGCAATACTGTTGTCTCATGCAACAACTATCCAATTCTGCTGTTGTTCACACTGCTGCCACAAATAATGCAGAAAAGAAGGGGCATGATTTTGTCCCAGTAAAACTGAATAGATGAAATCAGGTGGCAGACTAGATTTGGTTCACAGGTTTGTCAAACTCTGGATTATATAACTGTGGTGTATCAATGTTAAGTTTTCTTAATTTGGCATCAATATTGTGATTATATAAGAGAATATTGTTACAGTTGGAAATATATATTATTGAAATATTGGGGTTAAAGAGCAAGTTGTATGCAACCACTCTCAAGTTGTTTTAAAAATATTAATATGTAGAATTATATATAATAAATGGTAAATAGATGTAAAGATGGGAAATACATAGTAGAAGATGTTGAAAATTGGTGAACTTGGGTAAGGGATATTCAGGAGTTCTTTGTGTTAGTCTCGCAACTTTTCTGTAAGTTTGAAATTATTTCAAAATAAAAAGATAAAAACAAATTCAGGGAGTTCCCTAAGCTAAAGGGGGGGGGGGTGTCAAAAATTCAGGGAGTTCCCTAAACTAAATTGGGGAGGGTGTCAAAAAACAAAACAAACAAGCAACACACATGTGCACACACCCACTTGCCGCATGTAGCTCGGGTGCACCACCTGTGACATAACGAACCATGTGAATAAACAGAAGCAACACAACCGGGCTTCTGAGGCACTATTCAAATAAAACACAGAATTAATGAGGAGAAAATTTCAGAGAAACAAAGAACAGAATTAGAAGCAAAAGCTCAGCAGAATCACCTGATTTCACTTGGCTTTATCCTCTCTGGAGGGAAGAAGCAGCCTTGGAGAGATGGCAAGGTGTGGCTGTGTTGCTGTCAACTTCTACTTTGCCCTCTTGAACTGTCTCCTTCATCTTTCCATTCTCCACCCTCTTCTTTCCCCCCTCTCTTTTCCTCTCTCTCTCTCTTTTGTTTCTGCAACCGCCTTTTTTCAGTCTTCTTATTTTCTTTGGCTATGTTTTATTGCCCGCTCATAAGCTGGCACACAGACTTATTTGCTTCTGCTATGTTCTTATTATACATTAGCTCAATTAAAGTAATTGAAGAGAAACCATAATCAGCATGACGATATTCAACTCATTTGAAACCCAGCCCCAAATACAGTGTGAAAATACCCATTGTTAACTTCATGCACACTCCACATACACCTGTTGGGCCACTAGCTTATAGGTAAAAATAAAAAAGAATGTATTTTATCAGTGAGTCCATTTGCCTGGTCCATTTCACAGCCAGGCCACATTCTCCTTATTAATTGACCTGCTTTTGTTGTGAGTTTTTTTTTTTTTTTTTTTTTTAGGTTGTTTTGTATCTAGTGAATGCCTTTCTGATTTAAATTTTTCAGTAATTTATAATTGCTTTCCTTTAAGGCTTCTCTTTTCTCCTCTGTAATATTATCCCTGTCCATCTCTATTGCCCCAAACTGTTCTTGGTAAGTTTCTATCATTATTATTTTTTTCTGGAACAGGATTGTCTGAGCCTTTTCTTCTCATCTTCCCTAATAGCTAGAATCTTCTGCCCATTCACTTTTCCCCCCCATTCATTTCCTGCCTCAGTTTCTACTTCCAAATGTCTTGAAAAGTAAAATTTTATTTTGTTGAGTAAAATGTAAAAAGAATCTCACAGTACTTATATCAGAAAACTGGATGCCCTGTAAAATACCTTGATGTGTGGCATATTTCTTACAGTGGCTGGGAAAATGTTGAATATATGTATTCTCTGACCGTTTTCAACTATTGGCCATGACTATCATTTTCTCCCAGGAATATTAAATTCATTTAAAGCCCAGAGAACAGTGTTGCATAAAATTTGCTTTTAAATGATGTCCTTCAGTGATATTTATTGAAGGCATTATCATATATTCTAAGAATATTTTGATTCTCTAACTTATAGAAGGCAACCTAGCTCTTAATGTAATGTGATTTTAACTTTCCTTGTCTTGTTTATTTTCAGTTTGGTGACTTACTCTCTCCTTTAAAAAAAAAAAAAAAGGAAGAAAGAAATTCACTACATGGTTAAATGCAGTGAAAATGTGTACTATAGTTTCTTTTTTTTCCTTTCTTTTTAACTGTGGATGTTAAGCTGTATAGCCCAGACTTGTAATAGTTTGCAGGAAAGGCTTCTTAGCCATTAAAAAAAAAAAAAAAAAAAAAGAGAGAGATATTGTTTCTTCTTCTAGATAATGCCTCATTGAACCTGTAAAATCTGTATGTTAAGAATTATTTAAAAGAAAAATTCTGCACAATATTGATTTCTTTTTTTGTCTTGCCTCTTCTGACATAGAAAAAAGCTGCAGGCAAGTATTAACTGAAACACTTTCTAAGTTTCAACACCAAGTTCTCTTACTTGAACTTAGTGTTTTTGAAAGATGATGGTAGTGCTATAGTAAAGCAGAGACTTTGTTAGAGGCCCAAAGTGAAAAGCACTAGGCTATTATGAATAATTTTGTGAACTTACGTTGGATTGATTTTAACATGACTACTTTTGTTTAAAAAAAAACGCATTAGAGGTTAAGAAAACGATTTCATAGAAAAAGTCAAAGCTCAAACAACACTTCATAATTAGCATTCAGGACACAAAAACACTTGAGAACTCTAGAAAACCTTAGAACATTCCAATAAACTCATATATATATATATATATGAAAACTGAGACCCAAGGATGAATAACTAATTGTTTTAATGGGGTCTGAAATAGACCATGAGTTCCCCAAACTACAAGTTATATAAGATGGTTAGTTTATTATTCTGCTTAGGAATAACAGGATGTATAATGTTTTCATTGTTGTTAGTTTGTTGTTCTGTTAGTTGTTGAAGTATGTATTATACTAGTTTTCTATGGCTGCTGCAACAAATTGCAACAAAGTTAGCGGCGTAAAACAACACAAATTTATTCTCTTACATTTCTGGAGGTCAGAAGTCAGGAGTCTCACTGGGCCCATAAAATGGTCTGCAGGGCTAGGTTCCTTCTGGAGTCTGTAGGGGAAGATCCATTTCCTTGCCTATTCTAGTTTCTAGAAGTCACCTATCTTTCTTGGCTCATGGCCCTTTTTCTCTCTCTTTAAAGCCCACACTGTCATCTCTTTTCTTTGCTGCCTCCCTCTTCCACATTTAAAGACACTTGTGATTGTATTGGGTACACCTTGGTAATCCAGGACACTCTCCCCATCTCAACGTCAGCTGATTATCAACCTTAATTCCTCTTTGCCGGATAACCTAACATATTCACAGTCCCAGCGATTAGGATATAGACACTTGTGTTTGTTGGGGGCGCATTATTCAGCCTACCACAAGTCTAATCTAAATATTCACATTAAAATAAAAATATGACTTGAAGCAGCCAAAGTCTTATTTGTTTGGAGGCATAGATATCAAGTTAACTTGATTGTTTTACTCTTCTGTTTCTTCTCCTATCCTCAACACTTGTGCTAGAATATCTCTTTAAAGCTACTCCAGGGTGTTAGTAAATAACAATAATATAAAAAATGGCCAGCATTTTGTTTCATTGGATTTGAAATGGATTTCTATGTTGGAATATACATTATTTTGGAGGTATTTTTAGGTTATTGGAAGCCGAGTGCATCAAGCATGCTCTCTTTGTGTGCATTCTTTATTAATTTGTAACAGCAGCTTCCCTTGGCATACATCTACAGCTAAGTACACAAGCTAACCTTTTGTTTCTTGATAGATGGCTTAATATATGCTTTCTAGCTAGATAAAATAAATGGAGGAAAGCACTTCCTTATAGTAGTCATTTCTGTTTCTTCAATGTTAGATACTGGTTTGTTTTTGCTCATCTTGCCATGGATATAGTGATCTTTTTTTCCTACAAATGTGAAAAGTACATTTATCGTTGCTATCACCTAAATACTTCGTTTCAAAAAATTGTGAGATTTCTTTATCAATGGGAACTTCTGTGGAAAAGAAACTTACCCTATGTTGGTGAAATTGAATACATTAAGGTTTTTTTTTTTTTTTTTTTGAAAAGGTGTTTAATGTGTATATTGAATTTCCCTGGCTTGAGGCAGTGTTTTCATTTCGTACAGAGATTTTAGGAAATTATTTCTGATTGAAACAGAAACATTGGAATTTGTCAAAGGGTTAGAGAAATCTCTGACTAAAGCAAAGTGCCAAATACTAGTTAGGTTAGAGAAAATTTAGGAGAAAATAAAACAGAACCAATGGAAATTTGCTTCTTGGGTGGGTGGACATGTCTAAATATGAATTACCAACATGGAGGTTTTGGTGTTGTCCACCGAAGTCATGGAATTGCTGGAGGTTTTGGTGGGAAATTCTTTTCTGCAAATCTATTTTAGAAAAAGTTTTCTACTCATGACAATTTATATCAAAGATAATATTTAACAGTAATACAAACTTGAGAACAGAAAAAGTCCAAGTAGAGGCAAATTCCTTGAAAATAAACATTACTGATAAGCAATGTTATTGTATTGTATTGTATTGTATTGTATTGTCAGGCTCTTAAATGAAGGCCCTAATAAACTTCCATTGAAGAGTTTATTTAACTAAAAACTTGAAATTCAGGATTTGTGTGATGCTGCCAGACTGAAATTTGGTCTAAGATTGTGTGTGTGTATATGCATACATGTTTAGTAACATATGCATGTCAGCCTGTTAATATTCCTACAAATTGTGAGCCCCAAATTCGTTTGTACTGGTGGCTCAATCAGCAGTTAAAGTGTTGCCCTCTCCATCATCAACTAAGATTTCTCTAATCAGAATAGTCTTTATTTATTTATTTGATAATAATTTGTGTGTCCACTAATTGCCACGCGTTGTGCGAGATGTTAGACGCAGGATACTGAATATAAGCAAATGTGGTCCTTGACCTCATGGAGTTTATAGTGACACTCAAGTCAAGAAATCAATTAGGTAGTTGGATATATAGGTGTAGAGGGCAAAGGATTATATCTAGATTATGGAATTTTAAGAATTTTAATGGGACAGTTACATTTGCTTCTAATTGAAGCTATTGATACTAAGGAAAAATTCCAACATTTAATGGCCAATGAGAGGATTAATGGGACAGTTACATTTGCTTCTAATTGAAGCTATTGATACTAAGGAAAAATTCCAACATTTAATGGCCAATGAGAGGATTAATGGGACAGTTACATTTGCTTCTAATTGAAGCTATTGATACTAAGGAAAAATTCCAACATTTAATGGCCAATGAGAGGACTATGAATTTGCAAAGGAAACCTACGAGTGGCCAGAAAGGTTGGAAGAAACTAGTAGGTTTACATAATGGAAGCCAAGAACATGAAGAGAAGTAAGTGATCACCGGTATTGAATTTTGCTGAAATATGAAGAAGAGTGAGGGCTGCAAACATGCTTCGCGTTGGTGATATGAAAGTCATCAGTGACCTTAGACAAAGTGGTTTCAATGACACAGATCTGTAAGTTTTCTTACGGTTAGGATGTAGTTCTTCTGGGAGTGGATATCTAAACTCACTGGAAGTGAACATTTGCTATTTTGTAGAATTCTCATCTATGTGCAGGGTTTACTTTCTTCTTTTTGTATGTGATATTTATCTTACCCTCTCAACATCAAACTGAGTAACATTAGCAAGATAGGATTTGCCATTGTTAACACTGCACTAGGCCAGTCCAATGGCTCCTGCTTATAATTTTAGCACTTTGGGAGGCTGAGGCAAGAAGTTTGAGACCAGCCTGGGCAACGTGGCAAAACCCCGTCTATACAAAAAATACAAAAAAATTAGCCGGGCGCGGTGGTGCTCACCTGTAGTCACAGCTACTTGGGAGACTGAGGTGGGCGGATCACCCTGGGATGTCAATGCTCTGCAGTGAGCTGTGACTGTGCCACTGCAGAGCCTGGAAGACAGAGTGAGACCCTGCCTCAAACAAACCAACAAAATGCAGTTCACTGTCTGCCTTGATATAAGCATAATTTTCTTTAATCCTCGTGTCCAAAATATAATAGTAAAAGCTTCTTTTGTTATTTTTAGTATCATTCAGTTTTAGTTGATTCTCAACTTCAGTCTCTCTGATATTTTTTAAGGGTTTATTCATTTGTATATTATTTTTCTCTTACATTTCATTTAAAATTTATGTATATTAAATGCCTTAGCTGAAAAATATTGTGTGCATTTCTTTGAAGCATACTCTGCCTTTTCTGTTGATTCATTTTCCTTGTATATTCAATTAAAATGAGCCATATTGTATATTGTGTGCAACATTGTATATTGTAAAATGAGTACTCATAAAATCCGTTTTTCTCATCCCAAATTAAAATAATTTATTTTTAAATGTCTAAATATCTGGCCATGCCTACTATCCCCCTTGCTAGTTATTAGGAACCTAATTGTCTTGTGTTTCTAGACTCTGACATTTCAAAGACCTGAAATGCATCTACTTACAGTTGTTACCCTGTACCTGTAGGAGGCTCTTGTACATTATGCATAGAAAGTGCCTCAAATATAATTGCTTTATTTTCTAGATTAAGAAAATCTGTGTTAGAATATTCGTCTTTGACAATTCTTGCCTATGCTATTGTCTTCTTTAAGCTTCAGAACTAATTTGCTTTGCACTTAGTATGGATTGTCTGACACATGAATTAACAGGTAAAATATTGTATATCCAGTGTGTTTTTTCTTCTATTAGATTTCTTTATCTGTAATTGTGGCATTGACAAAGACTTGGCAGTAGATACTATGAAGACAGATTCAGCCAAGTAAACTGACAGTAGTTGCTACAAGAAAACATTCAGGAAAAAAACATTTAGTAATTTTTTTCCCTTAGTCTGAGTAACAACTGAGTAACAAGTCATAGTAACAAGTATGACTTGCTTCCTAGGCAGGCAACCAGTGCAGTGACACAGGATCCCAAATTCAGAAGAGGGTCCACACTTGGGGTTTAATATCCTGTTATTACTGTCTTGAAATTTTTATTAATTTTATCTTTGATTTTGGTTTTATAAATGAAGCCCCATGAGACAATGGGCCGAGAGCTTGAGGCTTGGACCCTCTGCTCACATATGGTCTGCCTCCCATGCCTCTTGCCTTCCTGGGGTGGGTTAGTGGGAGCTTGGGCACAGGTGTGGGTATGGTTGAGTTTGGTAAGTATTTACTGAGTTATGATACAGGGCCCCAGGTACCTGTGAGGGTCTCTAATCACCTCATGGATAGTCCCATGCCCAAGAGAGCTTGTCATTCAATAGCAAATAAAAAATAAGTGACAAGTTGAGAGAGACACCTGGGAAGAAAGATAAAGGAATTCATTTTCCTGGTGTTTGAATAAAAGGCCTGCATTTTCATTTTGTTCTGGACAAGTGATAAAGTCAGCCCTGACAATTGTTAATAGTGAACTAGTGCTTGGAAACAAGCTTCACCTTTGGAACTTATTGATTCGTTTCCATAATTTTTACATTTTTTTTAAACATGGTATATGAATAGATTTGGTTGTACTTAGAACCCTAAGGAATTCCCAAATATTTTATAATAAGAATTGTCTTTCCACAGATTAAATTGTTTGAAATTGAGCTATTTATAGCCTTATAGTAGTAACAAAAGGAATTTGAATTTAAAATATGGATTTGCAAAATTAATATCAAAGTTTTACAATTATTTTTACCCTGAAATTGTTGAAAAAAAAGCAACTTGTTTAATTAAAACTCTTCATGATCTTTTAAAATTTTCATTTTATTTCATGATTTAGTGTGTGAAGACTTTTTTTACGTAAAGCTTTTCTATATCTTCACTACCTTTCCCTGGGTCCCACGTTCATTTCAGCCTTGTCTTTACTCTCAATTGGTTTAACATACCAAACTGCTCTTGTTGGAAATTATAAATTTTATTTGACTGCTTTATTGTAGGACATATTTGCTTTGCATGAGGACTTTTAATACATCAGAATAGTGTAGGGTTGTCCTTGGCAAAATCCCAAACCTTTTTTCAGAGCAAAAAACAAACCCGGGAGAGAGAACAAATTGTCTTTAATCTTTCCATCCATAGCCTTTGTGACCTCTGTTATTGCAACTCCTGTAGACCTGCAGTGTTTTTTTTGTGTTGTTATTGTCTTTTTTTTTAAATCTCAGTGATCTTATTTTATTTTCTTCTAAATTAAAAAAAAATAACATTGGTGTTATGGCTCGAATTTTGTCCTTTGTCACAAGTTGGAAGAGTTGGTTATGCTGGTGTTACAGGTACTCACGGGGGAATGTGCTGGAGCTGTTGTGTGACCATCTGTTGTATATATATATATATATATATATATATATATATATATGTGTATATATATATATATGTATATGTATATATATATATTTAAACTAAAATAAAGGCTTTAGATGGCTCCTGGTGAAATATAT
Source organism: Homo sapiens (assembly GCF_000001405.40). Taxonomy (NCBI): domain Eukaryota; kingdom Metazoa; phylum Chordata; class Mammalia; order Primates; family Hominidae; genus Homo; species Homo sapiens. Next base: position 128,464,556 of record NC_000006.12, on the reverse strand, counting down.
AATAACATGTTAAAAATTCTTAATTTATTACTTTTGATGTATGGTTCTATCAGCACAGCAGATTTCAGAGATCTGCTTTGTTGATTTTTTCCAAATTAACTTTTTCCTTCCTTTTATATCTCCTAAGGCAGATCACACAAATGGATATTTTGGGTTGTTAATGCACTCTTTTCTTACTCAAAAGTCCTAGGGACCTTAAGTAATTTACTTTGCCTTCTGTGCCAGCTTTCATCTAGTTTATGTCTTCATATTTTCTTTCCATCTAGAGACTAGACGCCTGTTTGACTTAATAGTTGAATTTATGACTTTTTACTTGACTTCTGTTGAAGCAACTGTTTAGCTACATGAAGAGATTTTTTTTTGTGTATTTTTTATAGTTTGGCTCATTGCCTAAAATATTATGCAATAGTGAGTAGGTGCTTTGCATTCCAGGCATAATTTAGTTTATCTAAAAGTTTGTCATGTAATTCATGGAGGAATCATTTATTTAAAAGTAAAGTTTGGCCGGGTGTGGTGGCTCATGTCTGTAATCCTAGCATTTTCGGATGCTGAGGCAGGCAGATCGCCTGAGGTCGGGAGTTCGAGACCGCCTGGCCAACATGGTGAAACCCCATCTCTACTAAAAAAAAATACAAAAATTACCCGGGTGTGGTGGCAGGCACCTGTAATCCCAGCTACTCAGGAGGCTGAGGCAGGAGAATTGCCTGAACCCTGGAGGCGGGCGTTGCAGAGAGCCAAGATTGTGCCACTGCACTCCAGCCTGGGTGACAAGAGTGAAACTCTGTCTCAAAAAAAAAAAAAAAAAAAAAAAAAAACCGTGAAGATTGACTTTTATAGAGAAGGCTGAATTATTTTGCAGAAACTAAATAAAATTTGAATAAAATACTTCAATTTCTCACTTCCTAATAGCTATATTAGTTTTATGTTGTTATCTGGAAAGGTGCATATCTTTAAAGTATAAACTTGTTTTATATAAAACTACTTAAGATAAAATATCAATGTTATAGAGCTAAATGCTGATGGGGGCCTTGAATGGTTGGTAAACGTTGGATAGATGTGGCATCAAGGTGCATTTCACAGGTAAATTGAAGCCTTTGTGGTTTGAAGAGGTGAATGTACATCACAGGCATTCAACATGTGTAAGCAGAGACCCCCAGTTCTAAACTGGTTATTAACCCTGGGAATAGCACATTGGAGGCTGCCAGGTGATCCAAACACTAGCATCAAACACTTAATTTTAACTGTTGTAAGAGAGACAATAGATAGTATAAACAAGCAGAGAGAATATAGGACAAACTTGGAAGGGCAGTGCTTGACTTTTCTAGTTGTGAATAAATTCTGAACCTTTTCTTCCACACTTTATCTGCATTTGTCATATAGGGGGCATCACTTTCTAATGTACAGTTTTTTAAATATTTTACCTTTTGTGGTGATATGTTTATTGAGGACAGGCATTTATTGTTCCTTTTTTATAGTCCCCTTGATAACCCAATTAATTAATTTTCCAAGTGTCATGCACAGTGTGATAGGGGTTCTAGGTGTAGCTAGATGTGGGACTAAAAAATATTTAACGAAGAAATTAAAATTTACCTATTTTTGACTGGGCACGGTGGCTCCCATGTCTGTAATCCCAGCACTTTAGGAGGCCAAGGCAGGTGGATCACCCAAGGTCAGGAGTTCGACACCAGCCTGGCCAATATGGTGAAACCCTGTCTCTACTAAAAATACAAAAAATTAGCTGGGTGTGGTGGCAGGTGCCTGTAATCCCAGCTACTTGGGAGGCTGAGGCAGGAGAATCGCTTGAACCCTGGAGGTGGAGGTTGCAGTGAGCCGAGATCATGCCATTGCACTCCAGCCTGGGCAACAAGAGCAAAACTCCATCTCAAATAAATAAATAAATAAATAAATAAATAAATAAATAAATAAATAAAATATACCTACTTTTTTCCCAGATAGCCTTCCATTTTCCACTCTGTTTTCACTTCATGTTCCTCATCCTTTCTAGCCATTCCTGTCTTTCTCTGATGTCCCTCCACTCTCTAGATCTATTTTGAGCCATTAAAATGTGGGTAGTCTGAATTGAGATCTGTAATAAATGCTAAGTTACATCACGGGTATGATAAGAACAAAAGAGTGTTACTATCTCATTAGTTTTTATATTATTTACATATTGAAGATAATATTTTGGCTATATTGGATTACATAAGTATTAAAATAAACAACATGTGATTTTTCCTTTCTAAAATACAGTTTACTAGCAAATTTAAAATTATGTATGTAGATTTAATTATATTTTTATTGGAGAATGCTGCTCTAGAGTCTTTTATTGATTTTTTTCTACTAACTCTCTTAAGACACCTTTTTGCCTAATCTCTTCTGCTCAAAAAATATTTTCATGGGGGCCTGAAATTAGAAGACTGACAAATCTAGCCAAGCACAGTGGCCCACACCTATAGCCTTGGCTACTTGGGAGGCTGAGGCAGGAGCATTGCTTGAGCGCAGGAGTTGGAGTATAGCCTGGGCAACATCGCAAGACCCTGTCTCTTAAAAAACAAAAGAAAAAAATACCAACAAATCTTCTGAAACTTGTCTTTAAAAATGTTAGATGTAATATGAAAATGTTAGATGTAATATTATTCATCAATGATGCACTGATAAATGCAATCACAAACATTATGCTAAAATAAACAAGTCAAAATAGACCTTGTTCTATATAATTCCAGTTATGTATGAAATGTGTAGAACAGGTAAATCTGCAGAGATGGGAAGTGGTTGCCTAGGAAAGCAGGGAGGAGGAAGTGAGGAATGACTGCTAGTAGGCACTAGGTTTCTTTTAGGAGAGAGAAAGGTAAAATCAGAGAGTGGTGATTGTTGCACAACTCTGACTACGTTAAAAGCCTCTGAATTGTACGTTTTAAAAGGGTGAATTTTGTGGTATGTGAATTATATCTTAACAGCAGTTAAAACAAATTTACCTTATCCTTTATTAAAATCAACTTTGCTAGAATTTAAGTGTGTGTTTTTGTTAACGTCAATTGTGGCCAGGTGCTTTCATCTTAAAAAATGAAAAAAAAACAGGTCAATGTGTGCTGGAACTTTTGTAAGCAGTTAATTCCTTTTTAAAATTGGTGTGTGTGCAAAATTTATTTTAATGCAGTTTTTCCCCCAAGGGGACTTGTTAGGCAAATGTATTTAAGTGTCCTTTTAATGCATTTTATAGCTTCAGTTTATTCCTTTATACCACAGTGATGTTCCAACATCTGATGAATTCTGGCTTTTCATTAGGACATCTGGATTTCACACACACACACACACACACACACACGGAATAACAAAAGATAAAACATTTTTCACAAGGTGGTTATACATATCTATACTACAAATGTATAAATATGTTTTTTCCTAACAAATCTTGACAATACAGAGGTTGATGTGCTGAAGAGAAACACTTCGATTAAATTGGTCCATTATAAGAAATGAAAAAAGATGAATGTAAAGGAGTATTTTAAAAAATAATTTCTTTCCAGCTTCATTTTTTTCTTTTACTATTCTTCCTTAAAGATGACTGTAAACTGGAATATCTTAGGTTAATATTATTTTTATATTTACACCTCTAAGTGTTCATTATTTTATATCTGTCCTTCATTTTGACATGGCTAATTTTAACCTTCAAAATAAATATATAAATAAACCAATGTAAAACTAATATCAACTTTGATCAGCTTGACCTTAACTAAGCAAATAGTGGAGAAATGAAAGTTTCTTACAGAAGTTTAATGTCTTAAAATGGGGAGAAGCATTTTGCTTTCATCTGCTCCATCAGCTACACTGGGACAGCAGTTGTGTCTCCATTAAATTAGGTGTGCTTTGATTCTCCAAAATAAAGAATTTTCTAGACACTTGACTTGTGTCAGTGACTTAATAGAGAAGGAACACCCCCAAATTGGCAACTCTGTTTATCTTTAATGATTACTTCTTTTGGAAGGAAAAGGGCATTCTTTCTTTTTTTTTTAAAGACAGGTCTCACTTTGTTGCCTAGGCTGGAGTACAGTGGTATGATTACAGCTGCTCACTGCAGCCTCAACCTCCTGGGCTCAAGTGATCCTCCCACCTCAGCCTCTTGAATAGCTGGGACTTCAGGCATGCATCACCATGCCCTGCTAATTTTTTATTTTTAGTAGAGACGAGATCTCACTGTGTTGCTAGGCTGGTCTCCACTTCCTGAGCTCAAGCAATCCTCCCACCTTGACCTTCCAAAGTGCTGGGATTACAGGTGTGAGTCCCCATGCCCAGCTGGAAAAGGGCATTCTTGATGATTTTCAAACCACAGCTGGGACATACAATGAATCTATAATCAATAATGTATTATTACTCTCCACTGTTGACATGGTTTTGATCGGTGTCCCCACCCAAATCTCATGTTCAAATGTAATCCCCAGTGCTGGAGGTGGGGCCTGGTGGGCAGTGATTGGATCATGGGGGAGTTTTCTCATGAATGGTTTAGCACCATCCCCCTAGTGCTGTTCTCCTGGTAGAGTTCTCATGAGATCTGATTGTTAAAATTGTGTGGTACCTCCCCACTTCTTTCTCTTGGTCCTGCTCCTGCCATGTGAGATGCTGTGCTCCCCCTTTGCCTTCTGCATGATTGAAAACTCCCTGAGCCCTCTCCAGAAGCAGATACTACCATGCTGCCTGTACAACTTGTGGGATCCTGAGCCAATTAAACCTCTTTTCTTTATAAATTACCCAGTTTCAGGTATTTCTTTATAGCAATGCAAGAACAGACTAATACAACCTCTTTGAATCTTTTCCCATTAATTATGGACAACTGTTATCTCCAGTGTAATGTTATTATTCTGATAGATAAGTACCATGATTGTCTTGTTTATTAGAAATGGCAGCCCATGAAGGTTTCTTACTTGGAGGAACTTAAAGAATGATAGCAACAGACTATGAGCATTTTCTTGCAGTCTATAGAGTACAGGGCCAGACTTCTGGCCTGTGCTGTTTCACTGGTTCAAATGACTCCATTTGTATTTGCTGTGGATGTCTGTGTTTTAGTAGCAGCTTTGGGTATAAAGCTGTCAAAGCCATCACTTCAGAATTCATAGGTGATCCACAGAGATCCAGGTGGTGGGAGAATGGCTTTCAAGGTGAAACTTGGTGAGGTGGAACAAGGTTTCCAGGTGGTTGTGGGTTTCTTGCCTGTCTTCCTTTTTTCTTTTGTCCCATTGTAAGTAGTGGGCATAAAAGCTATGGGCTATAATGAACTTTGCCAAGTTTTGATGCCATGCCCTGACCATTATAGAAGCCCGGTAAATTAATTTAGTGTGATCGTATAACTATAAGAAGATGTTTTTGATTTATTGGATATTAAAACTTGAAGGAACATAGGGATAATGAAATTTATCCTACTCATTTTCCAAATGAGGAGCCTGCCAAAGATTCCCAACACATTTACCATTAATCTTTTTCTTCCTTTGCAATAGATTCCTGATACTTTTAACCTGTACTGCTCATATTTAAACATTCCAATTTTCAAGCCATGAGGATGGCTTTTTAAGTGTATATATAATTTTAATGTCAATGCATGTATTTCCAAAATTCTGTGAGCTTTAATAATAGAAGGAATATTTGAATGACCATGAGAAATGTCCGTCGTTTGTGTGTGTGCCTTTTCATTGGTGACAGAGATGAGTGTAAGGAGAAGAGCATAATGGATTTCTTTCACATATGTAAGCAAACAAATACACTGAAAAATGCTCTGTGATTCTCTCAAATGGTATGGTTTCTTTTTTATTCCTCTAGTTTTATTGAATTTTAATTGACCAATACAAATTGCATATAGTCAAGATGTACAACATCATGACTTAATTCATATATACATTGTGTAGTGATTTCTACAATCAAATTAATACACCGTTCACCACACAGTTGCCATTTTGTGTGTGTGTGCAAGTGTGTGCGTGTGCACATGCGCACATAAAAAGGACACTTAAAATCTGCTTCAAATGGCATGGTTTCTTATTATAAGCAATTAAATGTAGACATTTATTTCAAGTCATATTATACAAATGTGTAGTTTATACTCTTCTTAGAGTATATTTTAAATTTTTTAGTGTAGAGTTATCTTCCATATATTCTGTATTTATGACTGCATACTCATATCTGTAAGGAGAGTGTCATCTTTTTATTAACTTATTTTATAATAAAGTGAATAAAACAGCTGGCTTAATCTTAAGAATAAGCAATCCCTGTCAGATGATTGACTCTTCATCTGCTCTCTGTATACTGGCCCTGTTTCCTTTTTTTGCCCAAAACATTTACATATTTCCTGATTTTTAGTTTGGATGGAGGTGGGGAGATCAATTTTCTTATTGCTATTCATCTTGACAGTTTGTGCCACTAAAGTAAGAGATGGAGAGAAATTTTCTGAATGTTCAAGTCCCTATGGAGACCATAGTGTTGACCCAGTAGAGACAGTTGAGAATACAAATTGGGAGACTGATTTTCTTGCCTTCTCTACTATTTGTATATTTGACAGTATAAGGTGTTTGAGGGCAGTACATGTGGAAATGTTAAGGAGTTAACATTAATAGTACTGTGGTTAAACAGATGGCGTAATTAGCCCGCAATGGGGAAGAACAATGTTTTCGTGTTTGGATAAAAAGGGCACACTGTAGGTGGTAGAATAAGAGGTTCCAAATGACAGTACCTTATGAAGATCAGGCAAGTGACAATTTTCATGATTTAGGCACATATCTGTGCATATGTGCACCTATATATAATCTCTAGACCTATTTTTATCTAAGTAAACAAACTCTTGTCATTTTTAGGAAAAAATTATCTGTATGTGAATGCATAAATGACTATTAATTCAGCTTAGTCTGGGAGATGTGGCTAAGTATTGTGGAGGATGCAGAAAAGAATTTGGTCTTTGTATTCAAGTAGTCAGTTTTCTGGGACAAATTCATAAGCACAATGGCAAATATAGGACCTGGCAAAAATTTATTGCAAGTGATTAGCTATATGATTACTTAGCCAAGTCCAGTATTCTTCACAAGGGGAATATTTTTAGTAAGACAGAGAAAGCAGTTGATGGACTAAGTCTGTCTGTCTCTTCAACTTACTCAATATTGTTACCTACTTCTCTGTGTGGAATGAGGTTTGCTTTTGTCAAATCTGATTTATTCTGAACTTGGTTATAGATGCAGCACAAAAAGTGATGCAACAAGCAAGAAAACATAATCAAGTGAATAAAAGAATATGGTAAACCTTCCTGTTTGTATACTTTGAAAGTATTTTCCATAGTAAACTTGGAAGTTGAAATTGGTTGTATTCTGTGCTATTTAGATAGATATGACTCAGATTTTTATAATAATGTAAATTTTGAATATTACCTCATATTTTGGCTAATTATTAGAGAGATATTTGCAGATTTTCCCCCTTGTCAGCCCATCTGCTCCTATGGTACAGTCATAATGCGGAAACATTGACATCTCAATTATTTCCATGGCAACAAATTGATGTCAGGATCCTACATTTAACTTCACTGCAGGACCAAATAGGATTTGGATTACAGGGGTGGGTTGGGAGCTGTTATTGAAACATAAGTCTTTAAGAAAGGGAAATAGAAACATTTTGGGAAATGTATTTTTCAAATTTAGACTTACCTTTAAAGAGGAAATTATAAAACCACACATGAAGTGAATAAATGAATGCTCTTCTCTCTTTCTATCTGTAAAAAGCCAATGAAGGACATTTTCTTTCTCTGTGATGGTTGCAAGTAAAACTTTGAATCTCATCTAATGTTTGCTTAAAAACCGGAAAGACCCAGGCAGTTGTCCATAGTCCAAGTTCAGAACTATCATACTTTTAGTTTAGTAATGTATATAAATAAAGTATATGGTACTTCAACCTTAAATTATGTAATCTCTGTGTCTTTTGTTTAGAATATGGTAATTATAGTTATCTTATCTTCCATACTTGAGGGACTGCATAACTTCAGTGTGTTTTGGTACTTTGCCTTCCTTTTTTTATGTCATTTTTGTGCTGCATTAAAGAGTATCTAGTATTTTATTAGATACTCCTGATATGGTTTTACTCATTTTTTTTACTCAGGGTAAACAATTACATTTGATTCCTACTTACAAATTTTGTTGAATCTACAAATATTTCTGATACTTTTTTGTTCTGTAACCCTTGGTTTGTAACTTGTCATAAGGCTGGCCTCATATTCAAGTGCATTTGGGCTTCTGCCTCCCTGGCTGGAATGTGAAGGCAGGAATTGTGTCTTTGTTATACTCATAGTACCTGGCACATAGTGGGTAATTTAAGTCTGTTTGTTGAAAAATCTTGTTATGATCTCATAACAAGAGTTTGTCAGGGCAGATTTTCAGAGTATCGATGATGTCACCCCATTCCACTGCTGGATCTTGAATTTTGCAGGGTTAACATTTTGATTTATCTGTTTTGAGGAGCCCGATTCATGATAAAACAAGCTGAAAAGAGACTGACTTATCATGAATAATTGGTGATAATTCCCTGGTTCTGTCTATTAACTTCTTTTGATGACTGATTTCACGCTGGGAGATCACATTGTAGATTATATGGCTCTTAGATGAACCAGCCCTGGATTAGGTGTTCCTAAATTAGGTGTTCAAAAGTATTGTGTTTGCTGTATAAATTGTGTCTGGACATTTTTTCTATCCAGGTACCTGATAGCCATCTCTAGGAGGAAAGTATTTTCTAACTCTTAACTGTGCTGGACAAATACCACCAGAAATTGTGTTCTTCTCTCCTCTAAAATGACTGTATATCTTCACCCTCCCATTAAATATTACATAAGACATTAGAGTGTGAATATTACAAATGTATGACCTTTGGTATCCCTATTAAAACAAGAGGGAAGGAGAGGTAGAGAAATGGGCACTAACTTGCTTCAAATCGCACTCTGAAATAAGTGGAGGAGTTGGGATTTGAATCTGATTCTGGAGTCAGGTCACTTGCTTCTGAGCTCATATATAGATTGATAGATCATTTCTGAAGTAGGATATGCTGCTTATGCTTTAATTTTAACTGTTTTCAGTATTAAAAGGGGAGCGTCTTTCCAAATTTGAGCATATCTCACTGTAGCCCCTAAGTGGGAATGATAGTTTTCTACCTGCAATATACCTGCTTTCAAGGTCAGGAAAGCAGAGAATTGACATGAGACTAAGAAGAAAATGAGTGTATTTAATGATAAGAATTTATAATGAGATTTCAAATCAGCAAATATACCCATTTTGGATCTATTTATTTATTTTTTCTGTGCAACTTAATAGCATTGCAGTAAAAACTTGCTAATTTAGATGACTTGTGGGCAACACCTGTTTGAATTAACTGAAAGTCTGAATCACATAATAATTTTGTATACAATAAGTTTTATTATTTTTCTGATACATAATTAACATCATTTAGGAGCTAGAAAAACTAAGCTTCTGAGTTACTTAGAATAGTTTGTTTTATATGCTATTAATTGCCTTTTAAAATATTTAATATTTTCTACTTAGAGATTGACTCTTTGCAAAAGGCTTTTATATACAGCCCTACATTTAATCCCCAGAGGAATCCTTATTTTTCAGATTAGTCAATTTGGAGTAAAAGGAGAGCATTAAAAAAATTTCTTCAGGACCAGATGTCTGGTTATATAATTCTATATCAAGTTAATATAGCTTTCAAAAAGTAAAGCAAAATAGCTGAGTAAACTTATCATGAGCAGACCCACATTACAAGAAATATTCAAGGATTTCCTTCAGACAGAAGGTAAATGATACCAGGTGGAAGTATGGATCTACACAAAAGAACAGTGCTGAGATGCCTATATTAGTAAATATAACATTTTTTATTAGGTATATCTCTTTAAAGGATAATTAGTGACTCCTGACAGGTATGGGGTTTCTTTTTGGGGTGATGAAAATGTTTTGGAGTTAGACAATAATGATGGTTGTAAATCCACTAAAATCCACTGCGTTGTACACTTGAAAATGATGAATTTTATGGCATGTAAATCATATTGCAATACAAATAAATAACAAATATTTTTAAATAAGGTATTGATAAAGCAAAAAGATGGCTGGTTAGCATTAGCCTGGCCTAAAGCCTGTGTATTTGAGATGTTTCATTATTACATCACAAATCTTTGCTATTTAGATAACTCTTTTTAAATTATCATCAAAGTTTGCTTAGCAGCATCTGAACTGTCTTGGTCTGCTCAGGCTGCTATAACAGAATACCAGAGGCTGGGTAGCTGATCAACAAAAGAAATTTATTTCTCACAGTTCTGGAGGCTGGGAGATCCAAGGTCAAGGTGCCAGTAGATTTGGTGTCTGGCGAGGGCCCTTTTTGTGGTTCATAGAAGCTGTCTTCTGGCTATGTCCTCACTTGGCTGAAGGGGCAAGGGACGGAGGTCTCTTAAAACTAAAGGTTTTGCCCTTCGCTGAAGACCGTTGCTGTTGCTTTATTCCATTAAGGGCTGCAAAATGGGGATTTTCTTATTATATATCCATATGTTATTGTGTATTGTGTCTTATTCTTTCTTATCCATAGAGTGTCTGGAATTAACTTCTATAGAAGAACTTTGCTTTACCTGCCAGGGCTATTTGGTTACCTGGAACCACAGTTTTTAATGGCAAGGTGGAAGAATTTTCTTCCTTATGTATCAGTTTTCAGCATACTAAGTTGGTGCCCTGCATGCATCATAGTTTTCAGTTTCTCCATGTGATTCTTACATGCAGCTTGGGTAGAGTAGCACCAATGTAGAGCTTGGATACATCCCAAATTCCAAAGTTTTATTACTTATTATAAAAGCACATTTACAGGGTGGCTATTTTGTTTTTGCCACATTATTTATCCTCTTGCCAAACTTTATCAGAGCATATGGATTTCTTTCGAAGCATTTCTATAGGGGAGTTTTGGGAGGTGCTTCCTTATATTTGTTCATCTTACAAACTAAGGTAAATGAATTGTAGAAGAAACACTCCAAAGGCAACCAAAAAATAATGTTAACATTTGTTCAGGATTTATTTTGTGCCAGGCTTTGAGCTTGGCCCTTTACAATCGTTAGCTTATTTACCCTCATAACACCTCATGAGGTAGGTAATCTAATTCCTAATGCAACAGAAGCTAAAATTTATCTACTTGTCTAAAGTTATGGGTCCAGCAAAGGGTTGGGCTGGAGCTAAGGGGTGCAGACGTTGGGAGATCCAGAGCCTATGCAGTGAGTCCCAATTCTCTGCTCTTCTCAGAGTGGGATATTTCACATGTCTAATCCCATTCCCCCTGTAGATTTGTCTATTTCCATTCTGAGACAAAGAAATGGAATGACTGTTTGTAATATTCAGATTCTGCCATGGGAAAATGGAAATATATACAGTTGTCTACAGTAGTGGTATTTTGATTAGACCAATATAGCTAGCATTTTCAAAGTGGTTATAAGGTGATGGTCACAATGTTATTTACATACCTTCATGATAGCATTTAATCGCTAAATCTGCAGGTCAGCTGTTATTAACTCTGAGGAAATAGGCTTAAGGAAATTTAGTACTCAATGTGACACAGTGAAGTTGGAACCAAAGTTCCTCTGACTATGTAGATCTTTATTCTTAATCACATTATGCTGACTGGGCAGAGGAAGAGTTAATAGGAATTAAGAGAGGTTGGAGAGTAGCCATCTCCGGAAGCCAATTTAAGGTTGTTTTCCATCCAAAACAGGAAACCTATATAGCAATAACAACACAAGTTTTATAGAATATGGCCCAATTAATTACCTCAATATGAAAATATGGTCATATCTCTATAGTGTGCTTGTTTTCATTTTTCAGTTCCTCCCTGGTGTTGGACAGTGAAAGAATAAGGTATTGACTAATCATGATCAGTTCAGAATTTTGCTGTGATTTTTCAATAGGTGTTTCTCATTATTTGGAAATGAGCACTCAGTAAAAGACCTTGCTGTGTCTTGCATGGTTTGCCTCATTATGCTTGTGGGATGTGAATTTAAGAAAAGTAAGCTTGGATTATTTTCCCCAGCGATTGAAGCTTAGGTTGTATAGGTATATAATTTTACCATATCAAAATATTTGATAATTAAAACCTTATAAAGAGAATGTAATGCATCCCTAAAAGCCCATTTGGAAGGGAAGACACAGTCAACAACCAGCAACTTATTAACTGGGGAAAAAGTACCAAATGCACTTGTGTATATTTTAAGTGAAAAGAAGAGAGGACTCGGATGACCATGCTTAGTTAAGGGGGAGGGTGACCTTTTATATGCAAGTTGGGAAATACAGAGAAAGTGAAAGGGGACCAAAATGAAAACACATGAAATAAGATAAGCAGAGATGAAAGGTGGCACTAGAACTGTAAGAAGCATTTGAACAGGCAGAACAGTGCTGGAGACTTTAGGAGAGGGCTCAAGCTGCCATGTGGCCGGTCCTCAAATAGTTCTAGAATGACTAGCATATCTTTTTACAAAACTATAAGCAACTTGAGGGCAAAAATAAAGTATATTTATCTTGCATCCTGAAGAATAAACATGGTGCTTGGCATTTGGTAGGTTTTCTTTATGTGTATATATGAAAAGCATATTTTCATTTTATTAGAAGATTGTGGTAAAAATTCTATTGAAAACCATGCTATAATGTAGATAGCTAGACTTAGTTCGGTGGTTTCCAAACTTTTTGGTTCAAGTACCCATTTATGCTCCTAAAATTGTTACTGACAGTCTAAAATAACTTAGGTTTATGTGGATTATGTCTATCAATATTTACCATATAAGAAATTAAAACTGAGAGATTAGAAAACCAATAATTAAAAACCCATTACATGTTAGCATAAAACGTATTTTTGCAGGAAATAAAACCCCTACATTTCCAAAATAAACAACAAACAAAAAAAATTTACCGAGGCTTTTTTTTTAACATATTTTGCAAATCTTCAGTTTCTAGCTTATTAGAAGACTAAATTTTTGTACCTCTTCTGCATTCAATCTCATATTTTGTTTTGTTTGAATGTATTAAAAAAACTCACCCCACACAAATATGTGGTTGGAAAAAGGAGGTGTGTTTTATAGACTTTTCAAATAATTGTGTATATCCTTCTTTTATACTATGCCAAAAGTCTACAGATTATAATTTCTTAAGAGTTTGAATCAGAATCTAAAACTTTATCAGTGAGCAATTTATACTCTGTTTTGTTAAAATAGATTGGTGTTTTTTGTAGTTTGGGTGGATCTTTTACCTATGCATGATTTGGAAACATCATGTATTGGTCAATTGGAAAATATCAAGTTGCTAAGTTATTTAGATGTTCCCCACGTTGGCATATTTCATTATGTATCAAACAATCAGATTTTTAATATCAAAGTATTTTAAGAGTTGGAAAGCTGTCAAGCTCAGGATGGTGGATTAAATTTTTTAGTATACCGTTTTTGGCTTAAGAGCTCAAATTTTGTCATTGGCAACAGACATTGTCACTTATTTTTCTTGAGGTGACAGGCTTACTCCTTTTCTCATTTTAAACGTTGGTCATGACCACTTGGGAAGAGTTTGTCTTCAGTGAATCAGTCAAGTAAAAATGGCGTTTCATGAAAAGAGTGGCTAGTTCAGCTCATATCTCAGTCTCATAAGTGCTTTCCTTGAGATAAACAACCCATCTTATTTTGATATGCAACAGAAATGCTTTATGTATACTTTCCTTCATCATACAGAATATTAAAATGACATAACGATTGTGATTTTAACAATTAATTTTACATGTTTATCAAAGATATTGTCAAGTGAAACTGCGTTCTATTTACTATGATTGCATGTCAGTGAAAAGTAAAATGACTGCCAGTAAAATTTGTTGCCCCTGCCTTAGTTCTTGCTAAAGGAATCAACAGTTTTACCAACCAAGAGTTTCATTGCACCATCAGTGGAAAAGGTAAGTAGTGCCTTAATATGACGTGGAAATGGTTTTGACCTCAAAGACCCCAGGAGGGCCCTGAGAAACACTCACTTTGAGTATCCGTGGTTTGGGGCAGGGGAGGTTATAGTGTACGATAAAGCAATTATACTTATATGTGAAAATTATTTTGGTATATATTTCTAAGAGTAGAATTTCTTCCATGCATTAGAACAAGTGGTTTTGTTTAATTGGTTCATTAACAGCTTGGATAAATTAAATTGCTATTACAGAGAAGAAGATAATTTGTTTTTAATTTTCAAATAAATTGAGTACAATAATGCTTCACAGTGAATTTCTTAATAGTGATCTTGCTCATTGTCATAACTGTGTGCACATCCTTAGACACAAATATGGTTTAAGCAGGTGGCATACTTTTCTCCACTGTCAAAGTATTAATATCATTTCTCTGCTTATATGGTTCTTTTTCTTTTCTTTTCCTTCTTTTTTTTTTTTTGTTGAGATGCGTCTTGCTTTGTCACCCAGGCTGGAGTGAAATGGCGTGATCTCAGCTTGCTGCAACCTCCGCCCCCGCCCCCAACCTGGGTTCAAGTGATTCTGGTGTCTCAGCCTCCCTAATAGCTGAAATAACAGGCGTGTGCCATTATGCCTGGCAATTTTTTTTTTTTTTTTTTGCATTTTTAGTAAAGACGGGGCTTCACCACGTTGGCCAGGCTGGTCTCAAACTCCTGGCCTCAAATAATTCTTCTGCCTCGCCCTCCCAAAGTGCTGGAATTACAGGCATGAGCCACCGCACCCAGCCAGCTTATAGAGTTCTTTGTCTGATTTTTGTACTACTATAGTTTTATCTCACAAAGTAAGCATATGGGCAAAAACAGCGTAAGTGTGAATGTGTTAGACTTTTCAGTTACTGAGTTAACATAGCACCTAATTCACATGCAAATATTATATATTTATTCCTACCCTTGGTTAATAGTCAATTTAAAAAATTGCACCTTGGGAAAAAAAAATCATTGTTTTTACCTAGAGAGCAGAGATGAGATTATTTTATTAGAATTTCTTCTAGGATTTTCTACTGTTGTATTTTCCCCTTCATTTTTTTATCCAGGTTTCCGTTTTGGAGAAAAAAGCAACATTGAAGAATGAGGTAGAGCCCTGGAAAAAAGTGTCCTTCTAGGTGTGTTAAGAATGGTTATAGAGATTGATATCAGATACCATGAGTGAGCAAAATAGTAAATTCTCATAAAATAATACATGAGTATAGGTATTGAGCTCTTTTAAATAATATCAAGTGATATAGATGAAGGAAGAAAATGTTAAAAGGGTTTTAAATAAGTCTCTTTTTCAATGGTGTAAGTATGAGATTTGTGAAGCCCTTTCCAGATGCATGTGTGTTTGCTTATGTTTAAAAAATCACTTGAGTGCAAACATTTAAACACATTTTATAAAACTGGCGGGCCAGGCACGGTGGCTCATGCCTGTAATCCCAGCACTTTGGGAGGCCGAGGCGGGTGGATCACGAGGTCAGGAGTTTGAGACCAGCCTGACCAACATGGTGAAACCCCGTCTCTACTGGGGGAAAAAAAAAATTAGCCAGGCGTGGTGGTGGGTGCCTGTAGTCCCAGCTACTCAGGAGGCTGAGGCAGGAGAATCACTTGAACCCAGGAGGCGGAGGTTGCAATGAGCCGAGATCATGCCATTGTGCTCCGGCCTGGGTGACAAAGCGAGACTCTTTCTCAAAAAAACAAAAACAAAAACAAACAGACAAACAAACAAAACTGGCATGGCATTGGACAGTGACACATAAGAAGCTGATGTCATCTTTGCCACTTAGAGAAGGCAAAATATCTTGTTAGATAACCCCTCTTAAATGCTCTGCTTGGCTAGTACTTTTTGGGCTTGGTCAGTGATTAGAGTTTAAGTTGTAAATGGTATTCATAATTTCTTGTCTCTGTCTCATCCCAAACAGATTAGAAAATCTTTGATTTTTGTTGGTAAGGAGCTAGCATCTTATTAATACAAAGCCTTGTGCATAAATTATTTCCAGTAATTATTTAGTGCCTAATGTGGCATGCTTTGTGCTGAGTGCTGAGGATAAAAGAGGAATAAGGTAAGATCTTTATAGTTTAGCAGAGGAGGATGTGAGTGGGCAGAAAAATGTTATGAGTTCTATAATAGGAATATGTATAGGGGAACTTGGTTACAGCTCAGCTTAATTGAGAAAGGGTGTGAAATGAAAAGACCAAACATTCTTTGCAGAACAGCTAAACAGTTGGAATTATATACTCAGATGAGTTAATGATTATAAATAGCCATCATTTATTATCTCTCCAGAACTCCAGAACCAAGGTTATAAAAAATGAATAGTTCTTTATTTAGTTCAGAAGCATTTGTGAAGTATCTATAGCATCTGTAACATGGCAGGCCCTAAGGACGCTGGCATGAATAGTGGGCCGTCATCTACTGGGAGAGTCAGTATAGCGTGTACGTGCGTTAGAGGTGAAATGCATAAAGGGGCATCCAACATGGCTGGTGGCTGGCCATGTGAACAAGACATTTGCATTTGCCACAGCATAAAGAAGGATATTTCTGAGTCATGGAGTATTTTATTATGTTTATTTGGCCCCAATATTTCCAAATAAAAAGAGGCCTTTGCTTTTGTGCTACAGGCGTTTCTTATCTTTAGGAAGAATGGGCCGGGCGCGGTGGCTCACACCTGTAATCCCAGCACTTTGGGAGGTCAAGGCAGGCGGATCACAAGGTCAGGAGTTCGAGACAAGCCTGACCAATATGGTGAAACCCCATCTCTACTAAAAATACAAAAATTAGCTGGGCTTGGTGGCACACGCGTGTAGTCCCAGCTACTCAGGAGGCGAGGCAGGAGAATTGCTTGAACCTGGTAGGTGGAGGTTACAGTGAGCCAAGATCGTGCCATTGCACTCCAGCCTGGGTGACAGAGTGAGACTCCATCTAAAAAAAAAAAAAAAGGCACGGTTTTGAATCTGCACACTCAAAAATGGCCACAGCTTTCCCGCTACTTTAAGCACTCATAATAGATTAAGCATGGGTCAGATCTCACCACTCATTAGCTATTGGGTCTGACCACTAATTATTTAGTGGATCTCTAGATCAGTTATGTAACATCTCTAAATCTTACTTTCTTCTACTGTAAATTAGAGATAAAAAAAGTAGCCAACTCCTAGTGGTTTTGTGAGCATTTAATGAAATGATCTATGTAAAGTGCTCAGCATGGTGCCTGACATATGGTGGAGACTTGTTATATGTTAGCTATTATTATTTTCTCTTAAAGTACTTTAATAAACTGCATATAATTTAATCCTCAGAATAACTCCAAAATTAGGATTTCTCTTATTTCACAGGTCAGGTAGAAATCTTGGCATTCTGGCAGGGCTTTTCACTACCAACCAAGATAACAGCTTGCTTATTCAAACCAGGAGCTGCTTTTAGTGTTGGTAATGATTTCATAGAGAGTGATGCTATCTTTTTTTCATTAAAGTGGGATGATAAACATTTTCGTACCCCCTCACCATGTGCAAAGCACTGTGCTAAGTATTTTAGAAATAGGAAACTTGAAACTGGGATCATCCTTGTCCTTAAGAAGCTTACACTTTATTATGATAAATAAGATAAAAATTTAAGTAACTATGCAGTAGAATATACTGTATAGTTTTGAAAAGAAAAAGTATTACTTGACTTTGTCTTATTTAAGCTTTAGATATTCTGAGGGGTAAAAAACACAAGATTGCAGTTGTTAGAAAAGCTGTTTTGAGCATTTTTCCCCTACTGTTTTCCTTAGTTTTATTTGCAAGCTGGAGCAGGTATTAAAGATGAAGTGTTCTGGTGGGAGCGGTAGCCCAGAGTGCTTGAAGCATTGCTAATTTCAAACCTTATAATTTAGTTAAATTGAAACATAACTGCATTTAGATGAATGGGCTGCTAGTTTTCCTTCCCAAAGCAAACATGCCAACCTCTCATTACTTCTTGTCTGTGCTACGGCTTCTGTGCTATTCAGATCTGCTCGTTTACACATAATTGACATGTAACAGTGTCACAGACTTTTTATTTTGCAGAAAGAATTTTTAAAAAATTAGGAATGCTTTCCATAGCATGCCGTATCAATTATTCTACATTTTGAAGTGAGAATGACAGAGTGATCCAGAAACTTGGTGTTTCTGTGGAAAGCGGTTTGTACAGTACTTGGCTCATGCTTTTACAGACCTGGGAGTAAGTGACACAGTAGGTCTGATTACAAATACAGTTTATCTTCATTTGGAATCCATGACTTCTATTAAATTTAATTACTTCCCCCGTGGCTTCTATTAAATTTAATTAATTCCCCCTGCAGCTGGCATGGTAGAGGTGCTGCTGCTAAATGAAGGTGATTGCTAATTGAGGGAGTTTTCTGAAAGAGGTTTTACCCTTTCTCTTGTTTATCTGGAAATCGCTTATCCAGCCAGACATCTGAGAACATTAGTGAGAAGTGCAGGTTGCAAAGTCATAGGTGAGTTCATCACCGTTACTTAGAGAATGGTAGATTTTTTTTTTTTCTTTTTCTCTTGGATCTGATTCTGCAGTTAACATGCCTTTTGGTGAGAGGCCAGTGTAGGATTCTAATTGAAGAAAACTGGCCCAGTCTTAACCTATACAAGATGGAACATGTTAGGTCTATATACTTGGAATTTTCTAGCAACCCTGTCGAGGTTAATTGTTGCTCAGTTTCAAAAACAAAAGAAAACAGGTGAAAGAATTCAGCATCAGGAGCAGTTTGTTACCCATCCAATAGCCATTATTTGGTGGACTCCACCAATGACAGTAAGCAGTCTTATTGTTAATATGGTTTACCTGGTCATACAGCTATAATGATAATGTAAATATCACTATACATTCCTAAGGCAAAACAAGAAAACTCAAAACATTTAAAAAAATCAAATATATAATTGCCATTGCTTTGCTTCTAAAAGTTGGTCAAATATTAGGAAGAAAAATGTATACTGTAATTAGAACTACATGCATTTAATGCATTTTTATTCTCATCCTTTCATGTATATATGTAAGTATATATATATACATATACTTTATATGTAAGCATATATATACTTTATATAAATTACCCAGTCTCAGGGAAGTTCTTTAGAGCAGTGTGAAAAGGGACTAATACAATAGATGATGCCTAAAGCTGAAAAGTCACGAAGCAGCTATATAAGCATATTATACAAATATACTTTATATGTAAGTGTATTTATACTTTCATATATATAAAAGAAAGGATGAGAATAAATGCTATTTTATAGTATTTATATAATATACTATTATATATAGTATTTATACTATTATATATAAATTATATATAGTATTTATACTATTATATATAAATTATATATATATATATATATAAATAAAATAGTAGAGTTGGGGGTCTTGCTATTTTGCTCAGCTGGTCTCCAACTCCTGGGCTCAAGCTTTCCTCCCACCAAAGTGCTGGGATTACAGGCATGAGCTACCGCACCTGGCCCTTTTATTCTATAATAGAAAGGAGCTCTCATTTTTTTGAGCATCAGTGTGTGCCAGAAATTATATATATACTCTACACACATACTTTATATGTAAGTATATTTATGGTATTGTATATAAATGTGGAATATATGTACATTAATTTTCCTAGCAGTCCAATGAACTATTTTATACATGAAGTGTTGAGACTCAAATTCTTATCTTTTCTCTCAATAATTTCACCTGCTCATATAAATGGTGTGTGAAAATCCTGGCTTTGAAGGAAGATCTGTTGTTCTTTGAATGGACAATAAATACTCTTTTGGCAACAAGCTCCTTAGGAAGCTACTTCCCTTTTCTTCATAATTTCATTTCTGTTTTTTCTTCTACTTTTCTGGACATTCTGCTTGGCTCAACCTCGGAAGTCATTATTTCTTACTTACCATCTATAAACTCATTCATTACTCTAAATTTGTTACTCCAGTCCTGACCTCTCTTTGAGCCTGTTAAAGAAAACCAGAGCTGCACAGTAGTTAAAGCGATAAAAAACAGATTTTATTCAGGAACTATTGCAATAGAGGGAAAGAGGGCTCAGCATATAACTGGGCTTACTTCTGAATACAGCATGGACAAGTGGGGATTTATAGCCACAGAAGCAGGGTTGGGAGTCAGTGAATGGAAAATTACTAAGAGGAAATCTCAGAGGAAAAAGGGGATTCTGGTTAAACAGACCTAACAGAATTCTTGCTAAAGGCAAGCCAGGGTGGTGAGATACATCACCTGGGGATGGGAATCGGGGGAATGAGGAATTTGATCAGATGTATAATAGGTTGGAGGGTTCTCACTAAACTGATAAGCAGGATTTTGCTAACATTGGGCTATTCACGTCTGGCATTCTTGGGGCCTAGTTGAGAAATGGGCTTAGAAGAGCCTGAATAAATTCTGGTCTAGGAAGGCTGGGAGTGCTGGCTCACACCTGTAATCCTAGCACTTTGGGAAGCCGAGGCAGGTGGATCACAAGGTCAGGAGTTCAAGACCAGCCTGGCCAACATGGTGAAACCCTGTCTCTACAAAAAGTACAAAAATTAGCCAGGTGTGGTGGCACGTGCCTGTAGTCCCAGCTACTCGTGAGTCTGAGGCAGGAGAATTGCTTGAACCTGGGAGGTGGAGGTTGCAGTGAGCCAAGAGCGTGCCAGTGCACTCCAGCTTGGGCAACAGTGTGAGACTCCATCTCAAAAACAAAAGAAAAAAAAATCTGGTCTAGGAGAGTGTCTCTGTCAAGCCCCGGAAACTTTCACTCTTTCCATATCTCTATTTGCTTATTTCCCAGGCATAGCAAACTGAAATCATTACATTCCTGTACAAATATGTATTTTCTTCCTCCAACCTTCCCTGCTGGCTTTGACTCAGTTAGTGATTAATATCAGAAACCTGGGAGTCATAATTCCTTCTCTGTCTCTGCCTCACCTTCAAGTATTAAGCTGTATTTAGTTTAATAACAGATCTTTCTACTTTATTGCATTTCACCCCAACCTCACCGTTTTAGTCTCTGCCACTTGGATGACTATACTTGCTCCCTAATCTAGTGTTCCCTCAAATCCAGGCTCCAGACAACTTGTACCTTTGGATTATAATATGATAATTTTACTTTTCTTTTCCCACTTTGTTCCTCCTCCTCTTTCCCCTTTCCTCTCTTCTTTCCTCCTCTATTTTTCTAGTCTCCGCATCCCTTATTCCCTCCTACTTTTCTTCTTCTCAATTCACTTCCTCACCCCTCTTCCCTCATCTCCTTCTTACGTCTCCCTCCTCCAGGTACCTGGCAGATAGAATCATAAAGACTTGTGTGTTTCAGTAATCTGTGATGTGGTGCTTATTACTGATTTAGACTGAGCATATTTAAAGACGGTGTACTGATAACCATGTGAAATTCCAAGAAAATTCTGTTTTTCAGAATGACCTCAGTGTTCCTGTCTGCTACCATTTTAAATAATTAATCTTATTGTTTTTGGTTTTTTTTTTGTGAAGTGTACTATGTTATCATGTTATTTTAACTTGATTTGTCAGCTTTATTTTAAGATGGTAACCAATTACTAAAGTTCTGAACTTTACAGTTCTGATGAAAGTACACATATGTTTGCGCTTCACCAATGCTATACAAATTCAAATTCCTTTTACAATAAATCTTAGTTTTTCTTCTCAATTAGTCATTAAGTTTCCTGATTATTCTTTAACTGATACTGTATTAATGTACTGGCTATGTTAATTAGAGCCATGAAGATGCAGGGGTCCATCGGTGAATGAATTAGACTTTTTCCCTTAACCCTTTATATGCCTCTATCCTCAGTTGTTCTGCTCAGGATATAGTAGAGGCTGCATAGTACAGATTGTACTACCATTTTTGCACAAGTTTAGTTTGAAGATACTTTTCGTTATGTATGAAGATGCACTTTTATTCTTTGGAAGCTCACCACTGTGTGGGAGAAATGAGATAGGTGTTTGGTAGAGTACAAGTATACAGGGCCAGAAATAATTAGGTATATTTTATGGGCACTGGTGGCCAGTTTCCTATATAGGAGGGCTTATGGGTGGCCATATAGTTGTAGGTGGGAGGGCCATGGACTTGTTTTGAAGCTGCATTTGATAACATGCAAATGTTTACCTATTTGAAAAATAGTTTACTTGAGGTGGGTATGGGGTCTAGGAGGAGGTTAGATGTTGGACTTAGATCCCTAGTCAATGCTGATCCCACCACCATTGAAGGAAAAGAAGGTGGACAGAGATAAAATGATGAAAGAGGGAGCTGCAAAAGGAGGTAGGCAATGAATTGAAAAATGAGGTGACTGTGGCCCCAAGGCTAGAAGAATTTAACCTGACAGCGTGCAGGGAATTCAGGGAGGAAAGTCTACCTGCTTTACTCCATTCCAGAACTATCTTTTGCATATTTAAACTTTAAACAAATGTACAACTCTATTCAGAATTTTGTAAAGAACATTATGAAGTATTTTGAAGACATGTCTAGCAGTATTCATCTTTACTTGTCTTTTCTGATATTTATTCAAATATGGAGTTAACACTTGAGATCTGACTTTTGATGACTCCTAGATCGGTCTGAGTTTGGAAGTCAGAGATCTCTGGAGATTTAGTTTTGATTGTTATTTACATGTTGGGCTTATAGCTACTGAGTGTTGGTGTCCACTGTGGTCTCTTCTGAACCATTTTTCTAGGCTTTCTTTTCTGATGGCTTCTCTTTAGAATGATAGTACAGACCATTTGTGCTTTCATAATCTTTTGTTATTACTGCAATAGTGACCAAAACCAGCTGTCTAGCTCTCTTTCATGTGTAAACCATTCTGTATATATCGTCTTAAATTACTAATCTTTTGGTTGACTCTTAGAAGTGAATCCATCTTGTGAATCCTTGTTTGCGGACTGTGTTATACTTTTGTTAGTTTCATGGAAGATAGATCTGACTCCCAAGCTTATGTGTATTAGCTTTTTTCTACACTATCTAGAGGAGAGACTAGCTGGTCAAGAATGAAAGGCCTTAATGTAAGGCCTAGGGGAGAGGGGACTTGAGGGTGGGCCCTGGTCCTTGACATGAAAACCAATGCTGTTTGCCAATTGTTTTAATTTTCTAATCTTTGTTTTTTTTTTGATTAATAAAAGAGCACTTCAAAGACCTTTAGACAAGGCTAAACTATCTCTTTGTTGCTTACTTTTGCCCAGTAGAATGTTCTCCCCACAACTGCCTAAAGTTTCCATTTCACTTCATGTTTTTTCAAATAGCACCGTTTACAGACTAATTTGGGTGACTGAGTCTCCTTAGAAAACATGGAATGCTTTTCAGAGGTTTAAGTGGCTACCCAAAATTCATAGTGTTGGTAAGATATGAACCATTTACAGAAAAGGAAATATAAACCTTTAAGCAGATTTTTAAAATGAGGCTTAATAATCCTTATAACAAAGAAATGCAAATTAAAATCATAAGAATTGTCATTTTTTTCACCTCTAAGATTGTCAAATATTCAGAAATTTGATGTGGCTCTATATTAGCATAGATTTTGGAAACAGCAATTCTTATATGCTGTTGTTTGGTGTGTAAGTTGGAACACACAGTGTAGGGGGTAATTTAGCAGCATCCATCAAATACAGATGGCTGTATCTAACAACACCTTCCCTGGGAATTTATTCAAAATGTCTACGTACAAGATATTCACCGTGGTATTTTTTTTTTAATAGCAAAAGTTGAAAAGCCACTAAACGTCCATCAGCATGGAACTACTTAAATCAATTGTAGTCCATTTATACAGTTGAATACTCTCCAGCTGTTAAAAAAATTAAAATAATGAGGCAGTTCTTTCTTTATATACTGATATGGAAAGGTCAAGGCATTTTATTAAAGATAAAAAATAAAGGTGTCTGACAGCACATATAGTGTACTACCTTCTATTAAGGAGAGAAATGACATATATTTCTTCTTGATTGTATATATACACACACGCATACAGATATACATAGAAATTAAGGATGGATTCACAAGATACTAATGGCAGCAGTTACTTGCAGAATGGGAAAATTTCACTATATTGCATTTAGTATGTTAAAACAAGTTTTTGAAACATACAAATATATTTTAAAAATTAGATTTAAAAATCATACTTTAGCATGAGTTAATTGCATTGTTTCCTTTCTAACACTCATCTGAAATCGGGGGAAAGAGTTTTGATTGAGAAAGAAAGAGGATCTAAGCAATTGCATAGCATTGAATCCTTAGCTGAGGCAAGCTCTCATCCATAACCTACCATGAAGACAGTTTGGAACCCTTGAGAGATAAGAAATTAAGTAGCAGGAGCTTTGCAAGAAAATGGAGGTGAAAGGATGCCAAAGGCTAATTTATACCACAGTTGTCTCTGGGTAAATATGGGGATTTGTTCCAGAACCCCCTTGCCCATACCAAAATCCATGTATACTCAAGTCCTACAGTTGGCCCCATGAAATCCACATGTATGAACAGTTGGCCCTCTGGATATGCAGGTTTTGAGTCTCACAAATACTGTATTTTCTCTCTGGTTTGGTTGAAAAACAAATCTACATATTTGGACCTGTGCAGTTCCAGCTCTGTTGTTCAAGGCTCAGTGGTACTTTGAATATTTTCTACAGGCAGCTAACTCAAAGAAAAGGAAAAGATAGGGTGGGATATTCTTCTTTCTTGTCTACTCTTCTGCTTCTAGTATGAGTCAGAATGTAAATCACAATCAGAATGTGAATGTAAAGTAGTAGCTTGGAATTAGCACATGGTTGAGGTCCATTACAGACCAAATATATTTAATTATTTACTCTGGGAACCATTCAGATGTTTAGAAGTCTATCTATTTGCAACTGCATTTTCACTTTCAGCAGATGAATTCTCAAACTTTTGGAAGACTAATTAGGGGCAGCATATAATTATCCTCAGGGTCACAGATTGTCATTCATTGTAATCGGTAGGCTTTACTCCTTGGTGTTTGGACTGTTTTTGTGATACTTTCTCTTTACCCCAAAGCATAGGTTTTTGAATTATTAAACCATAGCAGAAATCATGAATAAAGCATTTTGAAGGAGATTCTATTATCTGAAACCTACTGTAATTTTTTCATGCTTGAATTAGTTCTATGTACTAAGGATTATTGTTTCAAATTACATTAGTGGGAATAGTTTTCCATTTTTCTTAATGAATTATTTTATTAAAAAATATATTGGCCAGACTCTGTTCTTGACTGGGTACTCAATGGTGAATCAAAGTTTCTGCACTCATTGTATTATTTGTAGTCTTTTTGGATACAGGTGTTATCTACCGTGCTCATTCATAGCCCCCCACCCCACCACTTCAGTAATTTCATTGTAAAATATGTGAAGCAGGAAGGGGAAGGGGAAATGCATAACTGTTCAATCAATTTTGCTCCTAAATGTTTGATTCCCATCTAATAAAGAACTTATGACCATTTAGTGGAATCCTGATCTTCTAAGAAATTTTTCCGTTTTTTTAAAAACAATTCTTTGATCACTCCAAAGTACTTTCTAAGCAAATCTCAGTGTTTCCCTGGTATTATTCCACTGTTTAATGGAAAGAACGTTAAGTTTGGAGTTCTAATTGGAATACTGATCCATCACTGAATAATTATATGGTCATTTTTTTTTTCTCTAAACTTCTGTTTCAATGGGAAAGCAAAACTTCTTCCCAGAGTTGATGCAACTATTGGAAGTATTTTTTGTGTACCAGGAGTACTAGGAGCTCTCTGTAAATGCTGCCCATTATTTGGTGATTAATTCAGAAGCAGCTGATCAGTAAGAGCTTAAGTAGTGGTACTGTATTCATCAGTGTGTTCAGGTTTCAGTCTTGCAGCCTGAACTCCTTTGTCTTTAGGCTTTTCTCAGCCTAACTTGGCACCTGGGGCAGCCCTAGTTCACTGTTTGTATCTTTTTGTAAGTTGATACTCCATTGCATCTGAGGTGCACAACAGCTCTTTGATTCAATCCCCAAATCAAAAGAGGTAAGATGAAGGCAGATGAAGAGAGCTAGAAGTAGTTAGTTGGACAGAAGTAGAGAGATGAATGCTGACTGGCTCTTCTCCATTTCCTGCCTGTGGCAAGCAGCCAGCTGTTTCCTTAATTCAAAATTCTGTGTGCCCTGGCAGTGATAGAGTAGATTCTTCTTACAGAATTCCCTGCTGGCGATTGCCATTTCAAAGAAGAAACTTACAGTAGAATTATTATGGTTTAGAGTGTTACTGTGTGTATAAGAGTAGGTAGAATGAAGAGCCAAGGGTTGGCATCCATTCAAAAGTGGCACGCAGAATTTTCATTTATTCCTTTACTCCTTAGCAGAGGTAGAGATGTCAGTGGAGGTCACCTACAGGCAAGACTCTCTTTGAGAAACGTCTGTGATGTTAGGTGGTTTGACTGAGCGAATCAGCCCCAATGTATGCACAGCCGACCCTTGAACAACACGGGCTTGAACTGCGTGGGGCCGTTTATATACCCGGATATTTTTTCATCCAAATGGTGATTGAAATTACAGTATCCCGGGATGGGAAACCCGTATATGGGGAGAAGCAACTTTTCGGATGTTCAGGTTCTTCAGGGCTGACTGTGGGACTTTAGTATGCACGGATTTGGGTATAAGCTGGGATCTTGAAACTGATCTCTCCCGCCTATGCGAGGGATGACTGTGTCCTGTTAACCCTGCCCTTCTGGGAATCGCGACAGCTTCTGGCCGAAGGTGGGAGCTGTTTCAATTCCACATATTCACACTCCTCATAGCCCATTTGCTATGCTATACCTCGGTACACCCCCTCATCAGCCCTGCCTATACTGCTATTTTGGGTCTGCCTTCATTATTTCTCTGCCTGCTACTCATTTAGTTTTGTCTCATTCTATTCTTTCTAGCAAGAACATCTTTATTCTACACTCTCCTCCTGCCTTGGGTCAGCTTAATTACCGCCTAAATAATCGCTAAGGCTTTGGAGTCGACCTGTTTGTTTAAAAATGTATTTAATTATGTAATTTATTTTTATTTATTGTGGTAATGTCACCGGAAAAGGGTTCTTGTCCCAGACCCCAAGAGTGGGTTCTTGGATCTCTCATGGAAAGGAATTCAGGGCGAGTGGCAGAGTATAGTATAGTGAAGGTAACATAGTTTATTAGATACTACTTAGTTGCAGAGTAGGGTGTCCTCAGAATGCAAGAGGAGGCACACCGCCATTTCAAATACAATGCTTGCTTATATAAATAGGTTTTGATGTACTCTTTTATGATGGTTTGTGATTAGCTTGTGGCAGGCTATTAATATTGTTACTTTCTTATATTACGCTTATCTTTAAAGCAAAACCTATTCTCAAACTAAGAATGGTTTTTGTTCTTAAAGTACTAGGGCATTTCCATAAGTTCTGGGTCTTATACAGTTAGTTAACACTATTAACTTAGTCCCTCAACCATGAATATCTTGTGACCAAGAGTGCTGAACCCCAGGGAAAGTAACCCAGCAGATTTGACTTTTTCCCACCTTCATTCAAGATGGAGTGACTCTGGTTAGGATGCCTCTGATGGTAGGAATACTTAACCATCATAAATTAAAAACACAAGATTTCCCTCTTAAACAATTTCTAAGTGCACAATACAGTATCGCTAACTATAGGTGTAACGTTGTACAGCAGATCTCTGGGCCTTATTCATCCTGCGTAACTGAGGCTTTATATCCATTGAACAGCAATTCTTGTTTCCCCTTCTCTTCATACCCTGGCAGCCACCATTCTATTTTCTGTTCCTATGAGTTTGACTAATTTAGATAACTCAAAGCAAAATCTTATCAGTCACAGAAGGACAAATACTGCCTAGGTTTTAATCCCTTTCCTATCCGGTGATCTTGGCAAGTTACCTGGTACTCTGTGCCTTTGTTTCCTATAAAATGGGAGGCTAAAATAAAAAATGCATGTGAAGTTCTCAGCATATCATTTTATAAAAAAAAAAATCACTCAACAGTGATTGTTAGCACTTATTATTTAGCGCCACTGCACCTTTTTATTTAAGTCCCATAAATAATCTCAATTGATGAAATTAGTGTCAGTATATACTGAAAGCATGGAAAAGAAAAGTCGTTTTAGAGAAAGCAGCTTTACACCAATTTCTAAAGTAAGCGACAATGTCAAAAATTGTCTTTAGAAACTATATGTGTCTCTGAATATTCCTCCTCCGCAAAACTTTCAAATCTGATTTTCTTTAAGCTCCATTAGGTGAAATATATTGTAAAAGTTTCCTTCAGTTGGATTATTTTACTTGTTAGTATAGTTTTAATTGCTATTATGGTTAATTTATTATTTTCCAATCTTAATACAAATATTTAAAACTGTAATTTAAAATGAAATTTAAACTATCTACCAGTCTTTTGGGGACTATCTTGAGATTTTAAAACAGTGCTTTGGAAAAATGTTGGTCGAGACCCAAAGAGCAACAAATTATCTTTTTGGATTGAAAAAAGGGATTGATTTTTTTCATATCTTTTGTTGCTTTACCTGGGACTCTCACAAAGTGTTAAGAGGTAAAATTGTTGCTATATATATATATATATATTTTTTTTTTCCTCTTTCTCATTTTGGCCAGTTGACTGAATAATTTGGTCAATTAGTTGACTTATTTAATTAAACTACATCCTGTTATAATGCCAAAATGTTTATTTCTAGTATGGTTTATTTGAGAACTCATTTTTTATTAGAACACTTTTGATGACTAGAAAGCACACAACAACTTACTTTCATTGTAATTTTTGAGTTGGGGCTTTTCTGAAATTTTTTGTCTAGCTTCACCCAGGGCCAAGCTGTTACAGTCATGCCTTGCTCTCCTGCCCTTTATTCATCATCTCTTTGTGATTCGTCCCTTAAGAGAAGTCTCTAACAGTTCTTTGGGTTAGCATTTCTCTTTCAAGTAACAGATAACGAACTGCTTTAAGACCATACACCAGAAAGATAGAAAACTATCATTTCCTTCTCCTTTCATCAGCTGACCCACATTGTTCTGTGCGACTCTTGGTCTTTGCCCAGCCTCTTCCTCGGTGCTGTAGTAAATTCAAATTTAAACCACTGGCTAGTTATGTTGAGATGAATTCCATATCAAGAAAAAAGTTTTTTTTTTAAATTAAAAAAGTAATTCCACATTATTTATGTCATCCTCAAAAGACCAACTAGTTTAGGGGAAGCTGTTTAATTACACATTCATTTGACTTACAATTTTAGACCCTGTCAGGATGTCCATTGCAAACTAAGATTTTGAAAATTATAAAGTTTGAAATTGTTTTAAAAAATTGTAGAACCTATTTGGGAGCATATCCAACATAGCATTTTCTTGATTTTTGTTATAAAGAGAGCACACTGGGGAGGCTCACATGTGAGGAATATCTAAGCCAGCCTGCCTGCCTGCCTGCCTGCCTGCCTGCCTGCCTGCCTGCCTTCCTGCCTGCCTTCCTGCCTTCCTTCCTTCCTTCCTTCCTTCCTTCCTTCCTTCCTTCCTTCCTTCCTTCCTTCCTTCCTGCCTTCCTGCCTTCCTGTCTTACTTCCTTCTTGCCTTCCTTTCTATGCCTGCCTGCCTGCCTGCCTGCCTGCCTGCCTGCCTGCAACCTTGACCTCCTAGGCTCAAGTGATCCTCCTACCTCAGCCTCCTGAGTGGTGGGGACTACACGTGTGTACCACCATGCTCAACTTTTTTTTTTCTTATTTTTTTGTAGAGACAGATTCTTGCTATTTTGCCAAGGCTGGTGTTGAACTCCTGGCCTCAAGTGATCCTCCCACCTTGGCCTTTCAAAGTGCTGGCATAAGCCACTGTACCCAGCTAAATTCCTTTCCTGAAGTGAAATAGCTCTATTTATTCAAGTTTATTCTGGAATGGACCAGCATAAAAAAGATTCCAGTACTTTAATTTTGATGCTTAGTTTTTTTTAACTAATTATATTTATTGAGTTCTTTGAGTGCCGGACACACTCCACATTTGTGCTCTCATTTAACACTTCAGCAGTAATATATGAGGTGAATTCTATGACTGAGTAAGTAAACTGAAATTTCAGGAGGGTAAGCAGTTTGTTCCAAGTCATATGGCTATTTAGTGTTGGGATCTGCTCTGCCATTGTTCACAGCTATATTCAATTGCCCCGGGTGTTGTGTATCTTTCCAAAAACGTTGAAAGGGAGGTTCAGAAGTATTCAGTTATTTGTATTATTAGTCGTTTTGAAACTGAGTAGAAAGACTCATTTAGGAAAGTTCCATATGCCTTCTTGTCTGTCTATGGCTGGTTTGCTCAGGAGAAAAGTCCACAATTATACAATTGTACTCAGAGATCATGTTATTTGTATATCTACCTGCCTCATCGGAGAGGTTGTGAATCGTCCCAGAGACAAGATAATCTTTTTGTTTGCATTCACCTGGGCTATTTTGGAGGCTAGTTTGTCATCTTCCTGCAGGAGTAATTTTATCCATGTAGTTCCTAGACTGTTGTCTAAATGGAATCAAGATGGGTTTGTCAGCCACCGTTGCCTAATGGTGATTTTAGGATAAATTATCTTATCTCGTATTAGCCTAAGAAATCTCTGACTTGGGATTTGGGGTGATTTAATACAAAATCATTCAAAGATTTCTTTCTGTCTTTTCTTTATGGCTTTTGGACTGTGTACTTATGACTTTCTCTGCTGTGCTCAAGTATCTTCTTAGTATCTGTAAGTAAAAGTTACTTATAAATGTCTGTAAAAAAAAAAAAAAAACAGTGTTAGAGGCTGGGCATGGTAGCTCACCCCTGTAATCCCAGCACCTTGGGAGGCCGAGGCAGGAGGATTGTTTGAGCTCAGGGATTCAAGACCAGCCTGGGCAACATGGCGAAACCCTGTCTCTATCAAAAATACAAAAAATTAACCTGGTGTGATGGTGTGCACCTGTGATCCCAGCTACTTGGGTGGCTGAGGTGGGAGTATCACTTGAGCCTGGGAGGCAGAGGTTGCAATGAGCTGAAATCTGAGATTGAGCCACTGCAGTATAGCCTTGGAGACAGAGCAAAACCCTGCCTCAAAAACAAACAAACAAACAAACAAAATACAAAAAAAAAACTATTAGAAATGCCCTGGAATAAAAAGAATGAAATCCGGTCATTTGCAACAGCAGGGATGGACGTGGAGTTCACTATGGTAAGTGAAATATGCCAGGCACAGAAAGACAATATCACATGTTCTCATTCACATGTGGGAGTTTCAAAAGTTGATCTCATGGAAGTAGAGAGTAGAATGATAATTACCAGAGGCTGGGAAGGGTGTGTGTGGGTTGCGGGGTGGAAAGCGGGGATGAAGAGGGGTTGGTTGATGGATACAAACATACAGTTAGATAGAAGGAATACGTTCTCGTGTTTGATAGCACAGTAGGGTGACTATAGTTAACAATATGTTGTATATTTCAAAATAGGTAGAAGAATTGAAATCTTCGTAGCACAAATAAATGATAAATATTTGAGTAAATATCCTAAATACTTTGATTTGATCAATACATATTGTATACATGAATCTAAATATCACATGTACCACATAACTATGTACAAACCTTATGTATTGATACAAATAGTTAAAGGGAATTGAATAATAAAGAATAAAGGATAAAATATTTAAACTAATATTAAAATCAGGGTAAAATAAACTATAGCTGCAAAATCATAAGACAGTTAAGTGAATATACCTGGATTAAGGAAATAAAATTTAAAATAATGAAAATACCGAATAAAAATTAATAATAAAAATGTAAAAATAAAATTGAATAAACTACATTGAGTTAGGGTGTGTGTGTGTGTGTGTGTGTGTGTGTTTGTGAACACAACATACCTGTATGGTAGGGGTAACATTGGTTTAGATTCACTTTGTACTTCATACCTGTGTTCAAAAGACTCAGCTGAGCCCTTTGTGAGGATATTTTGACTTTGAAAATCTGGAATTGATGACTCACTTAAAATAGTTTTATCTTGGGACTGAAACAGGGACATAGGCATATTTTTGTATGATTCACATCAGAGCTGATAATCTTAATGGTTTGTAAAGGGCCTAAATGATTCTACAGTTTTATATAAAGCATGTTAAACTATCAAGGCTCATTATTACATAACTATAAATGGACAGAGTTTTATAATAAGAAAAATGTACATTTGTTTAGCCATTGTCTCCTAGGAACTTCTCTCTATTATTACACTATTGCATTTGCAAAGGCACCAAAGGTGCAGTTTGGTTTATATACTGCAGTAGTAATTCCTAAAAGATTTAATTGTATCAGGTTTTTTAACTTAAAAATGGAATCCTATTTAAAGTATATCCAAATATTCGTACAATAAGAAGTTATCACAGTCTACCTATTTTGTAAATGAGGTGCAGTGTTTAGTTTTCATTGGGGTTTTTGATTTTCTGTTTTGAGCATTTAAAACAAAATCCTTTGAAAATAGTAGTTGGTGATCACAATGGTTTATGACAATTTTAACAAATTGTATTAGAAGACTCTAAGGAGCTGTATTTTCAACCGTGCTTTTTCTCTTCCTTCCTTCCTTTCTCTTCCCTCACTTTTTTTCTTCCTCTTCCTTCCTTCCTTCCTTCCTTTTTGCATTGGGGTAAGAACATAAATAATATTACATCTTTCCACTATGTCTAAAAAAGTTGGAGGTGGAGAACAGTATATTTTCCATGAAAATGTCAGCCTGCCACATAGCTCTGCTTAGTAGGCAAACCGTTATTCATTTGGATTCTCTCTTGGCTTTACATTTGGAAACAGTTTTAGTGTTAGGTACTTATGATTGAAAAGGAGATCTCATGTTGAGCTTTTATTGCGTTGGATGCGCTTAAAGGAGGTTTTGTAAAAGACCATTGCTTCATTAAGAAAGGAAGAAAGAAAAACAAACAATTACATCCAGGGAAATGCTAGGATTTTTGATAGTTTAACATGACCATGTCTTGAGCATTTTCAGTTCATAATGAGGCTTGCCCTAACTAAAATGGCATTTCATTTCGGTTGATGTACTCTTGACATTATTGGTGACATCTGCTAAATTCTAAACCATATTTTTTTTTAAATTGATTTCATTCCTACATCATCAGCTATGACCACCAGTTGAGCTGGAGAGATTGGAATCTGGTGTTTTATTTATTAAAAAAGACATTTTCAGACTGCTTAGCTCACAAAGATATTTTGTATTCTTTTTCAAAATATATTTTATTTATCATGGATGCTTGTGTTTTAAGGCTGCATATTTATTTAAAATTTATGAAGAACCCTGGAAAACATTCCCAACACAATACAAAGTCCACACATTTGCACAATAATTAAGAATATTTGGCCGAGCACGATGGCTCATGCTTGTAATTCCAGCACTTTAGGAAGCCGAGGTGGGCGGATCACTTGAGGTCTGGAGTTAGAGACCAGACTGGCCAACATGGTGAAACCCGTCTCTACTAAAAATACAAAAATTAGCCGGGCATGGTGGTGGGTGCCTGTAATCCCAGCTACTCGGAAGGCTGAGGCAGGACAACTGCCTGAACTTGAGAGGTAGAGGTTGCAGTGAGCCGAGATCACACCATTGCACTCCAGCCTGGGTGACGCAGCAAGACTCCATCTCAAAAAAAAAAAAAAAAGAAAAAAATTAAAAATCACACGTTGACTAATAAAGATTTCTTTAAATGTTTGTGTGTGGGATGTGCTTGTTCTTTTTGGAAGACACTAGGTATGTTCACGTCTCCAGGTTTCTCCCCGGGGGTGTGTGGTGCCAGTTCAGAATCTAGCACACAGTAGACTTCCTAATCCAAATTTTCCTGAATTAATGTCTAATTTTTCCTAATGTGGCTTGTTTTTTGCTATGACCAATTCCTGCTTATATTTCAACGTCAAACCTTAAAGTCACCCTTTTGTGACTTTTCTTGTTTATTATTTTTTAAAGCAGAATTAAATTTTTGTATGTGTGTTTTATACACTCTCATGCAAGTGCATAAGCTGCTTCACTAGTTATCATGTCCTCTCTGTCTTTTCTGCTATTATTAAAGGTAGGTAATATATTTTAGTCTCATTGCATCATTAGTACTTAGTATACTCTCTGATATAGAATGAACACTTGATAAATTCTTGTTCAATCAAGTAAAGT
Source organism: Homo sapiens (assembly GCF_000001405.40). Classification (NCBI taxonomy): domain Eukaryota; kingdom Metazoa; phylum Chordata; class Mammalia; order Primates; family Hominidae; genus Homo; species Homo sapiens. Next base: position 128,430,437 of record NC_000006.12, on the reverse strand, counting down.
CAAAGACTTCAAAAGATGACTTGGGAGGACAACTAGCATATATCGATTTTGTAAAATATGTTAATATCTTCATTAGTTACTTTAGAATTCAATGCCCATATAATCTTTTAAATAATCTTGGGAGAAAGGAGACATTATTTCTATTTACAGTCGAGGAAACTACGGAGTTAAAAGTACAGAATTAAACTTTCTCCCTATCTGTCTCCTGTCAAAGCTGTATTAAGCTGCTTCCTGAGAGTTTGAATTTCCATGGTTTTAGAGCCGTTTCTTTCTTAACTCATTGCTAAGTGACTTGGTGGAGTACAATTTTCAAGACTAAGTTTCTTCCCTTAAATTCCTCATATTGTATAAACATACTCATTCAATACTCATCCATCAAGGTGATTCTATTATTCCCACAGGGAACCTTTTCATCATCACAATTCCATGTAAAATCTCTTACAAACTACTGAAATTTTCATTCTGATCTTTTATAAATAAAATTTCATACCTAATAAGTGAATTCAAAAATGATAAAATGCCTATAGTTTAAAATTAACTTTATATTGCATTGATGATTATACAAATATATCTCATTATGGTTGATGTTCTCTGTCTATTTGATCTTTTTTGTAAGTCTCTCAAGGTAGAAATTATCTAATTAATAATGCACACCTCACTGAATTGAGTAAGTTTACATTCTGAGTCACTAAGGCAAACTTCTAGAAGAGCCTCTAGGATTTTCTTTTTTAAACAGAAATGCCCCTTTAAAACATTTCTCTGCTCTCATGTCTTGCCACTGGAATGCAATGGAATGCATTGTAAAAAGATATATATTTTATAGATTAGATGTTGGTGAAGTTTTTAGTTGTCAGATTTTACTTTGCTATAACTTTGGAATTGGAACTATTACCTTTGTTTTATTGCAGTCTAATTAGTAGGACGGGATGAGGAAGTATGAATCTTTATTTTTATCAAAAAGCCAAGAAGGTTTTTGTATTGGCCATTAGCTCAGTTGCTTGGAATAATGTATTAGTCACCTGGAGGTCATAGGCTTATCACCTGGTGGATGATAGCTTTAGTCCTTTCTGGAGCACATCTTTGACATAGCCCCTGTCAGCTCTGTCACCAGGGAGGCAGGGCAAGGCTATAATGGTGGAAGTACACATTAATTATCTACTTTGAAAAAGCAACTTGAAGTTTAGACTTCGTGACCATAGAATTCTAAGAATTTCGAGTTGGAAGGTACCTTACGGTCATGTGTTCCTGTCCCTCCTTTTAAGGATGATGAAATTGACACACACATAAGCTAAGTGACTTCCCCTAGTTTACTAGTAGCATCACTTGGATTTAAGGCCTTACATTTTCTTAACAAATGTGCAGATACTTCTTGATTTATGAAGGGATTACATCCCGATAAACCTATCATAAATGAAAAAATATTCTAAGTAGAAATACTTTTAATACACCTAACCTAATGAAAATTACAACCTAGCTTATTCCACCTTAAATATGTTCAGAACATTTACATTAGCCTACAGTTGGGCAAAGTCATCTGACACAAGGCCTATTTATAATAAAGTGTTGAATATCTCATGCAATGTATTGAATACTGTATTGAAAGTGAAAAACAGGATGGCTGTATGGGTACTCTAAGGACAGTTAATACTGAATGTATATGACCTTTGCACCATTGTTAAGTAGAAAAATTGCAAGTCAATCCATCATAGGTTGGGGACCCCATCGGTACTTTAGTCAGGATAGGTCATTGAAATTCATTCTGAGTATTCATTTGTTTGTAGGTTAGTTAACTTGTTGATGTAATTTGTACTTGCTGTTAGTTTGTCTGGAATGACTATTTACCACAGATCTTCACATTGACATATTTCTTCCAGTCATCCTAGTTCCTCCTCAGGGAGGTATCCCCTCTAGCACTCTGTATGACGTTCCTAGATCTAACTGCCATTGCTTGTGGAACGTAGACTCCATGAACATCTCGTTGTCTTTACTGATCTCAGTATGCTTAGAACAGTGTCTACATTTAATATATATTTACTGAACAGTTGAAAGAATAGATAACGATAGGCTTTAGACCTTAGTAGTCTACTAATGATGTGCATCTTTAGATTGCTATAATTGCTTTCTCCTAAGCTGGAGTACGATGCTTAGCGATGGAAGTCCTACTATAATTCTGAGCAGCTAATTCTTCAGTTGAAGAATGGACTCGGTCTTATCGCTGAGTGAGTAACTCCATTGAATTCTTAGGAAGCAGATTTGTCATTTCACAGTGTCCACAGATTCTCATATGATTTCTCATTTCACTGTACATGGAAAGGATGATGCCAAACTTTTTTTTTCTTTTTTTTCGAGACGGAGTCTCTCTCTGTCACCAGGCTGGAGTGCAGTGGCGTGATCTCGGCTCACTGCAATCTCCGCCTCCCGGGTTCAAGTGATTCCCCTGCCTCAGCCTCCCAAGTAGCTGGGACCACAGGCACCCACCACCATGCCCGGCTAATTTTTTGTGTTTTTTAGTAGAGACGAGGTTTTACCCTGTTGGCCAGGATGCTCTCGATCTCCTGACCTCATGATCTGCCCGCCTCAGCCTCCCATAGTGCTGGGATTGCAGGCGTGAGCCACCGCACCTGGCCCAAACATTTTGTTTTATATTGTCTTGCTAGCTGATGGTCGTGGTTGATCCTGGCTGTGTGGAGGCTATGTGGAGGGAGGGCTTCAGGAGAAGGGACTACTTCTGGTGTGGCAGTCATCCAGGAATTGAAGACGATATCTAGCTTTACTTTGGGGAATACAGAAGTAATAGATTCATTAAATGTATTTAATGAATGGATTAATTGAATCATAAAAAAGTAAAAATCATGTTCATATGTTACATTGTCTTTCTCCAGGAGGACATACTTCATTTGTCTGGGAAGGAGCACAGACATTATTGCTTTCTGATATTGTGGCATATCTTCTGATTGTCAGCAATGGCACAAAGAAGTGTGCTTATTGATAGGGTTGATAGGAGTGGCTCTTCAGCCATGAATGTAACTGCACAGTAGTTCCTGTGTACCTAAATAGAAGGCAGGCAAGGGAGTGGTGTGGCTTAGAGTTTGGGCTCTGGAGTCAGACTGCCTGGATTGAAATCTTGGAACTGTCATTACTGGCTGTGTGAACTTGGCTAAATTACATAACACCTCTTAAAGTATTCTTATTTGTGGAGTCAATAATAGTGCTTTCTTTAAAGAATTGTGAGGGTTAAGAGAGAGAATGCACACAAAGCACATAAGCACTCTCTGGCGCATAGAGTGGCACTGAGTGTTAGCTATTACTATTATTAATGAATCAATGCTAGCTCCACACCTTTAACATGTGCCTGTTCAGTACTAATGGCACGTTAGAACACATGATGGGGAACTACATTAAAGGAAGATCATAATCTTTAAACTTATTCATGTGTTATGTTTTGAAAAGAGAACTTATGCCTCACCAGTTGCAGTGTTGGCTGTGTGGAAGATTCCATTATCAAAAGACTGAAATTGAGGAGTACCAGGAAAAGTCAAGGCCCTGAAATCTTAAGTCTTACCAGTTTATTTAACAAGTGTTCCTTGGTAGTTTTTACTTGCAGTAGGAACATTATATATTTAATTTCAGGCAAATCAAGAAAAAAAACTTTGTAAGTCGACCTTATGTAGAGACAAATGTTTTTGTTTCACTTTTCCCGCCAAAACATGGGTTATAGAAAAGCCATTTTAATTACAAATGACAAGATAAGTGACCAGATGTTCAGTAAAATGTTAGAACTACAAAGTTTTTCTTTGAAAATGTTACATCTTGTTCCTACATGATTTTAAAGATTTTAAATATTTCATTCATTGTTTTCAAAGCAAAGAGCATTTGAAGGAGCTTGGTCTGTGAAGGGGTCCTGAGAGAGTTAGAAGAAGTTATAAGGATTAAGCTATATTTGAATTTTTCTGTTGGGTGCTGAGAAGAATACAATGATAAGGTCCAGATGATGCTTCCAAAGGGATTATAAGGATTGAATAAAATACTGTAAAAATAGCTTTCATAGAAAAGTAGAAAGTGTTAGATAATGAAAGAAAAATAGAAACAGTGTTCTCTGGGAGATATTACTTGCAGCTAGAGACCTCAAGGGGAGCTTTAAAAATGAACTGATATTTGAACTAGGCCTAGAAAAAAAGTGAAGTTGATAAATACTAATACGCATTGGAGGCACATAAGGGAAAGGCATCCTCAACAAAGTGACTTGAATGTGCAAGGACTAGAAATCAGAGGAATAATTATGGGAAGAAATCAGAAGAATAAATATGGGAAGCAGAAAGTCATAGTTTATTTCACCAAGAATACTAGTCCCAAGAGATAACATGCACACAGAGGTTTCTATGGTGAAATTAGTTTTGGAAACATTGGGTACTATATCTGCCTCCTGGAAATTTTTCAAACATTACATATTAAAGATTCTGAGCAGTCTTGTAGTAAAAAAAGTATTTAATGTTATTTATGCTAGTTTATTTAATTATGAAACCCTCTTTTTAAGCAAAATACATAGAAATGCTATGAAACAATTTTTTGCCGATGCTTATTGGGAAATGTAAGCCTGTAAAAGTAGATGGAGTCAAGGTGGTAGAGTGCCTGAACGTCAGAGTGAAGAGTCAGTGGGTGGATCCATGGAAGCTTTCTCATGAAAGCTTCCCAGATAAGTGGATGAGCCATGATCTGGAGACTGTATGTGAGATGGGATGGATCAGAGACCTGGAGGAGATTTGTAGGGATGCATCCAATAGTAAGTCTTTTTTAGCAGACTAAGCCTGAGGTAATGTTGGTCTAACCTGGGATAGTTGTGGTAGTTGTAGAAGAAAAGTTATGAAAGGAAAGGAGTAGATGGAATTGGGGACTATTATTCTAAGTGAAGTAACTCAGGAATGGAAAACAAAACATCATATGTTCTGATTCATATGTGGGAGCTAAGCTATTAGGATGCAAAGGCATAAGAATGATACATTAGCCTTTGGGGACTCGGGGAAAAGGGTGAGGGGTTGTGAGGGATAAAAGACTACACATTGGGGCCAGGCACACCGGCTCACCCCTGTAATCCCAGCACTTTGGGAGGCTGAGGCAGGCGGATCACCAGGTCAGGAGATCGAGACCATCCTGGCTAACATGGTGAAACCCCAACTCTACTAAAAATACAAATAATTAGCTGGGCATGGTGACACATGCCTATAGTCCCAGCTACTCAGGAGGCAGAGACAGGAGAATCACTTGAACCCGGGAGGCGGAGGTTGCAGTGAGCCGAGATCACGCCACTGCACTCCAGCCTGGTAACAGAGCGAGACTCCGTCTCAAAAAAAAAAAAAAAAAGACTACACATTGGGTACAGTGTACACTGCTTAGGTGATGGCTGCACCAAAATCTCAAAAATCACCGCTAAAGAACTTATTCATGTAATCAAACACCACCTATTCCCCAAAAACCTATTGAAATAAAAAAAAAAGAAAAAAAGGAAAGGAAAGGAATATAGCTGGCAGTTCTTTGATGTTAGTTGTATGTGGCTGATACATGGTTTTTAGATTCTTAAATGTATTTTTTTCACATTTTAACATATCTAAAATCAGGAAGATTTTAGCATTAGTGACAGCATCCTTCATTCTTAACGGTGCATGAAGTCAGATTTACTGAAATACTGTTGTTAAGGATGTTTTTGAGGTAAAGCAATACAGTAGCCTGAGAGTGACTTGGGGCTTAGCAGTTTCTAACAGTAAGCTCTTCCCTTTTCTGGAAGAGAAGTGACACTAGAAGAGTATCCTCCAGCCTTTGGGCCGAAGGAGATGCTGATTTGGATCAGAGAAAAAGGGTGAATGAACATCAGAGCCAGAATTCCCTCATGACTTCTGCTGTTCTTCATAGGCTTTTTGACCTGTCAGTAAAGGAGAAGGAATCCTTCTGAACTTCCACATCGCACTTATTTACTTACTAGTCTGATTTTATACGACTGAGAATAGTGTAATTTCAAGCAAAATCTTACTTCCTTGAGAGATGTGGGCTTCAGCCTTCATCTTCCAGATATTAACTTGACCAGATGAGCAAGCCTGAACTTCCTGTCTCAAAATGACTTTTCCGCAGCCACTATTCTTTCTCTGCACTATATCTTTATCTGTAGCTGTAAAAATTAACCTTTAAAACTTTTATTTATTTATTAATGTTTTAAGAGACAGGGTCTCACTCTATCACCCAGTCTGGAGCGTAGTGTTGTGATTATAACTCACTGCAGCCTTGAACTCCAGGGCTCAAGTGATCCTCCCACCTCAGCCTCCCAAGTAACTGGGACTACAGGCACCTGCCAGCATGCCTGGCTAATTTTTTTTTTTTTTTTTTACTTTTTGTAGGGACTAGGTGTCTCTCTGTGCTGACCAGGCTGATCTTGACTCCTGGCCTCAAGCAATCCTCCTGCCTTTGTCTCCCAAAGTGCTGGGATTACAGGTGTAAGCCACCACACCCAGCCATAATAAACCTTTTTTTGCACCACATATTATTTGCTATAGTTCTCTTAAGAGTCAATTAATCCATGTTATTTTTTATTTTTTATGTACTGTATTTTATTTATTTCTTTTCTGAGACAGACTCTTGCTCTGTCACCCAGGCTGGAGTGCAGTGGCGTGATCTTGGCTCACTGCAGCCTCTGCCTCCTATGTTCAAGTGATTCTCCTGCCTCAGCCTCCCGTGTAGCTGGGATTACAGGCATGTACCACCCCTCCTGGCTAAGTATTGTATTTTTAGTAGAGATGGGGTTTCACTATCTTGGTCAGGTTGGTCTTGAACTCCTGACCTCATGATCCACCCGCCTCTGCCTCCCAAAGTGTGGGACTACAGGTGTGAGCCACTGCACCTGGCCAATCTATGTTACTTTTGAAAAAAGTTCAAATAAATTGAAATAAGTCTTTACTATTATACATTATGTTCTTATGGTCTAAAGAACTCAAGAAATAGTTTTAAAATCGAGAACACACAAACACACTCACACTCACACATAGAACCTAAAACAAAACTCCCCAAAACAAATATAGATTCAACAAAATACTATAAAAAGCCATAAAGCATATTCAGTATATAATTTTTAAATTGTTCTGACATATATGTTGTTTGTATACCCGCACAAATGTTACTGTCATTAAACTAATGATCCTATTTTCTTCTTCTCAAAAAAAGTCCTAGAAATCTGTTTGTGATGGCTTGATGAAGTTTAGTCACTTTATAAAAGGTTAAGCTTTTAAAAACTTTTCCTTTTTTATTTTTAGATTGCTAATGTGGCTAGGTCATGAGAAGACTCTGAAAATAGTTTTCCTTCATTGCTAATCGCAGCTGTTGCATTACTAACCAATGGTCAGATCCTGCATTAAGAACAAGAGACTAAAATTACAAATAGTTTCTTCTTTTTAAATCAGAGATGCTGGACTTCCCAAATTTTTGTCAGGCAGATATATTCATGTGATTTTAGGTGCTTAGAAAAAGTTTATTCATGGAAAGAGTTTATAATTGCTAGAGATAGCTGAACCTATTTTAAGATGACTGTATGCCCATTTTGAGTTTGAACCACATAGACTAGGGAATGAAGAGGAGTCATTTTGAAAATTTTAGCGTTAGCTCAGTATGTACCAGTAACTGACCAGGTTATTATATTAGACATTTCAACCTCTTCTTCTTTTTTTTAATATTTCTAAACATCAGAAATGCTCAGGTTTTTTTTTTTTTTTTTTTTTTTTTTTTGCGTCCGTGAAATGTTAAAAACTATTTTGAGTTCTTTGGGAAAAAAGTGTTCTCCCATGCTGTAACAAATGGAACCAATAATGTGAACCTTTTGATTACAAACAAAGATCAGACTATTTGGAAGGGAAAAAAAGAATATATTGGAAAGTACATGGGAATCTAATGAAGTCCAAAGATGAAGTGAATAATAAACAAGAAGCCATGGAGAGCTCAGGAATGCAGTCTGACCTCTGGAACAACTAGAAATGTGACACAGACCCCAATGATATCTTCATCTCACTTACCTATTTCTCTTTGTGTGTTGGCTTTTTTTCTTCTTTTTCTCCATGCAGTAGTATGACCATTGAGTTTCCTAGTGATTCAGCTTTCACAGTAGTTATATTTGTTGGGAGAAGGTGGGGGAGAGTGAGTTTTTACTAATTAAAGATAATGAAATCAATTTACATATACCCATGCATGTGCACACATGCAGAAACTAAAATATTAAATTCATTCCGGAAATAACAACAAAAATAACATGCTAAAAATGTGTGCATGAGGAAAAATAATGCATCATGAAAAATTAAACATAACCTTTCAACAACACACTTTGAAAATGCACAACACAAAAATACAGTTGTAGGCAGAGGGATCTCCCTGAAGAAATACAAAGCAGCTCTGTTGGCTCCTGGTTGCTGGCCAGGCCTCTTAGGTGGATGAGCCTTTGTATGTTGTTTAGCAATGTGTGTTTCTTATTTGAATGGGCCTAGCCTCATGAATCATGAATTGTTAGTTCATAAGAGTAAGGTGTTCTTATAAGCCAAACCAAAACATTAACGAAACCCAAATGCTTTTTACACCAGAAGGATTTTAAGAACACAATTTTAGCTTCTTTTAGATTGATTGCGGAGCTTGAAGAAATATTATTTCATGATAATTCCATCATTTATAATCAACTCCTCTCTGCTGTTTGTATGCTGATCCTTGTAATTCTGGGTAAAAGAGAACAGCAGTACATTTTGGGTATATTGTGTAAGGTGGGAAGTGGAGAGGTGTTCTCTTGTGTAGTTACTGAGTCCTTCCTTCCTGAAATGAATCGTAATTCTGGAAAAGTGAATACTTGTGAAGAGTCGTCTTGAATGATTTGTAAAAAATCCTGTTCTTATATTCAACGAGTTTCGAATCTTTGTCAGAGGAGTATTACCATTAGATTGAAAAAAAGGAAAATAAATAATACACACTTTTAAAAAAACTCCCCATTCTCTTATTCTCACTTTTAGGAAAAGAGACTGACTAATATCTTCTGCCACAAATACCGATGTTCTTAAAAATATTTATGGGACTGCTTTTGGCAACCAGCCCTATTTTGTTTTCATATCCCTTTTTGCTCCCATCTTTCCAAACTCATAAACTCCCAAATTATATTTTCCAGTTTTATTCCACAAGGTAAGATTTATTTTCCCCTAAAACTTTATTGCTTTATAATTTTAAGATAAAATATTCTAATACATTTCTTTACCAGTTGATGTACTAAAAATACAGTGAATTTTTACTTGTTTATAAATGACATTAGGAAAAATATATCTGTCAGATTTGATCAATGTTGATTTTAAACAACAATATGGAAAAGAATGATTGTGTTTTTTATAAGCAACTAGAAGCTAATGTAGGAAAGATGATATTGATATTTAAGACATGCTGGCAAACAATAACATATAAATATCAAGTAGGCTATTTTACCTGGGCACAGAAGGTCTCTTCCAAATACCAAAATTGAATTTCGTCATTTTATCCAGAGTTGAAATTGATTATACTGAGAATAACCACTTAATTTCTATCTTTATCTGCCACTGTTTTTTGGTTCAAATCTAAGCTACATGTTACACTGTTCTCCAGATACACTGTGTGGCTTTTTGTCTATACTGTCCCCACCACTAGAATGTCCTTCTTCAGCTTTAGTTTACAAAATCTTTCGTGATTTATTCTTAATGCTGTCATTTTCGTAAGTTCTTCCTGACTGTAAATGGCAAATGTAAAATTCCTGCTGCTCTCTAAATGCTCACATCACTTTGCTTGTACTTTCTGTTGTATTAATAATTACCACCAGTTGCTTGGGTTGTCATTATTTGTTTCTATGCCCGGGCTTCTCCAGGGAGCTCTAAGCATTCTGAGGGCAATGGCAAAGTCTCATTCATCAAAGCATGTTCCATATACCTAAAGTAAGGTCTAGGATTTAGTGGGTAGTAATTAAACATTTATTGATTAAAAACCAACAGTTGATTCACAGATTAAAGAAGGAAAAATAGATATTTTAGTTTTCTGCTTACAAGAATTTCAGGCAAAATTGTGCAAATAATTCAGTTTACCGCCTTGTGTTTATTTTATTGATTAATTTCCCTATGCATAGAAAAAAGGATCATTCCAAGAATTTTAACCTCATTGAGACAATTTATATTTTTTCTTTCAATTTGATTCAGTTATTTGGGATGACTATTTTTCTCGACACACTATCGACAAAGACAATGTTCCATTCCTTTTTGGGGAAGAACAGGTAGCTACATTTTAAGCAAAGTGCAAGGTAGGCTGAATACACTCGAAAAAAGTTTGGAAATGTAGTGATATAAACTCACAATATAGTAGATCTTATACACATTCAGTGTTACGCATGATTATTCGTTTGCTAGGTGCTAATTGGGCTTTAGTACTAGACAGCTATTATGAAGGATTTCCTACCTAACTAAACCAACACCATGATCTTCCCCAAGAAGAAAGAGTTGATCTTGGGAAGTTTGGAAGCACAGCTTTTGGATCCTTTGTTACCTTCCTTTTTGGAGGGAAGACTTTAGAGGAACAGATACTCTTCTCGCTATTATTGCTTAACAGTTTTTTTGTTGGGAACATAAAGAGCATATGATCCTCTTCAACCCCAGAATCGGTCTTGCCCTGGCTCCACAACACTGGCAATGAGAGGTTCCCAGAACAGCAAGATTATTGGAAATTTAAGTTTTAAACAGGTTCTCAGATTGGTTTCCTATTGAATTTCCATTCTCTGTCTTTTCTTTTTTTCTTTTTCTTTTTTTTTTTTTGAGACGGAGTCTCGCTCTGTCGCCCAGGCTGGAGTGGTGCAGTGGCGCAATCTCTGCTCACTGCAAGCTCCGCCTCCCGGGTTAACGCCATTCTCCTGCCTCAGCCTCAGCTGGGACTACAGGTGCCCGCCACCATGCCCGGCTAATTTTTTTTTGTATTTTTAGTAGAGACGGGGTTTCACCGTGTTAGCCAGGACGGTCTCGATCTCCTGACGTCGTGATCCGCCCGCCTTGGTGTCCCAAAGTGCTGGGATTACAGGCGTGAGCCACCGCGCCCGGCCGCATTCTCTGTCTTTTCACTTTCTAATATTTAAAAGAGGCAGCTCAAGGCCACACTTACCCCCTTTTAGTGTCCATTTTAATCTTTCCGTGGTCTGTAGTGCACAGATTTAGTAGACTCCAATATTTCAAATAATGGCCCCATGCCCCAAGTGTTTTCCTTACAGCTCTGTAGACATCATGTGGTAAAACAAAAACATTAAAAGCATTCAGAAACCAAACAAAACAGAATAGCTTTGGTGTTACCATTTATACTTCATTTGAATTACTGGATACTAGTTCTTTGTAGACATTTGGAGGTTTCTCCGTAAAGTCCTGATAAGAATTTTCAGAAAAGGAAGGCATAGCTCTTAGGTGACTGAGTATATTGGGGAGTAGTGTGGATTGGTGACACAATAGAGTGCTTTACAGAGCTAGAGGGGATCATTACAGTGAAGTATTTCTGAGCAAGGATAGGCATCAAAAATAGGGATGGAAAAAAAGAATGATATAGACAAGAAGGTGGTTGAGATAATGTCAGAGACACCCTAAGCAACACTTAAAATTTGGCAGAGGTGTGATTTTTTCCTCAGTTTCCCCCTTGCTGCTTTTAGTAGTGTTCTGGTGCTGAGGAGGAGGCTCAGGATCTGGATACGGTGGACATATGCTTATGGTAGATGCTTTAGGACAGTGGTTCACAACCTTTCTGGCACCAGGAACTGGTTTCATGGAAGACAATTTTTCCCCAGATGAGGGTGAGGGATTGGGGGGCTGGTATGGGGAGGACACCGTTCCACCTCAGGTCATCAGGCATTAGTTAGATTCTCATAAGGAGCTTGCAACCTAGATCCCTCACATGTGCACTTCATAATAGGGTTCACACTTCTATCAGAATCTAATGCCTCAGCTGATCTGACACACGAGGCAGAGCTCAGGCAGTATGCTCATTCAGCCAGTGCTCACCTCCTGCTGTGCAGCCGGGTTCCTAACAAGCCACAGACATGTACCAGTCCATGACCTGGGGGTTAGGGACCCCTGCTTTAGGACATGCAGAACAAGTTTGTAATGAGGACTGCGACCTCTAGGTCAAGCCACATTTTTCCTAAAGGTAACATTTTATTTGGAGTATTTGGAATTTTGAGGAGTGCGAGGGTGGGGATGGTTTGAAGGAACTGTGATTATGTTAAAAATTAACACCTAATGGATTTTAGATGGTTAGACCTTTGTAATAAATGGAATTCATAAAGCCTAGCATTGGCAAAAATACATATCAATTTTTTTTGACGAGATACAGTGTCTAATAGAATGTTAGCGTCCATCTTTGCATCTAAAATAATTTAAAAACAAATAAATTCACTTGCACCTAGGCATTTTTACTTTCTCTTTCATCTCTCTGTATATGGGTGGGAAGTAATGTGATACATTGCCCAGAATGTGAAGAGTGTGAGAGGAACACACACAAAGTGGTTGCCAAGAATGTGTCTGGGAATTAGACACGAAAAGGACCACGTTCCTTTTTCTTCTCATACCACGTAAGATTCCCTGTGGAATTCTGCTTGTTCCTCAGGGAGGAAAAGCAAACCATGAGTTCCTGGCAATATTATTGGCTATGAGAAAGTTAAGGAAGAGATACTGAGTGACAAAAATACCATGATGATCGAACAAATTTTCTTGTTATTAAGCAAATCAAAATGGAAGGCCCACCTTTATTGGCTAATTATTATATGTTAGTGAAGTCAGAATGATTTATAATAGTGATAGACCCAGAAAGAACCTTTAATGATATGCAAACACATTAGTTTTCTTGTATTAAAGTGATCTGTACCTGTTGACATTATTAAATGACTCCCATGCTTTCCATTCTAACATGATTGCTTTTGAATTTGCATTATTAACCATTATAGTTTTTCTATGTACAAATGGTGTATAAACTTCTCTTTGGAGGTGCTGATATTTAATGGCCTATTCTTGGGAAAGGTTGCAGGGAGAATATTATGATCCATAGGGCAATTTTGAAATTACAATTAGTACTCTGTTGTCTTCCTAGGCATGACTTTCATAGTGGCTTATCTTGTCCTGGTATTTTAACTTCTTGGCTCTCTTATTCCTCACACATACCGTGTATCTTTAATACTTGACCACTTGTTAAAACTAATGAGATTGTTTTGAAAACGTAAATGTTAGCTCAAGAAAAAAAAGGAATTACTTTCCAAGGCACGTCAGAGTACTATATAAAAAAAGGGGAAAATACAGACTTTAGATAAAATGTCCTACTTTACAGTATATATATATACACATAAAATTATATAGATAATTATCTGAGATAACTATAATTATATAGTGATATTACCTATATAATTATAATTTTATAATTATTATATCTATATAATTTTATTATATATAATTATTATATCCATAAAATTATGTGTATAGCACAACACCAACAGTAGATCTGGTTTTAAACCTGAGTTAGTTTAGCTCTTCACCGACTCTTACCCAGACTATTGCTATCACATCTTCAAATTTTGTTTTTGTCTCTGTGGATGGCCTTCTGCAATCTATCCTGTATACTATTGTTAATGTGTTAAAACACAGATCTCACTGATGTACCTCATTACAAGGCAATACAGGATACTCAGCATGGAATAAAAGCCAGTTGTTATTGAGTGTTGTTTGCCTCTCCAGTTCTTTTTTTTTTTTTTTTTTAAGATGGAGTCTGGCTCTTTCACCCAAGCTGGACTGCAGTGGCGTGATCTCGGCTCACTGCAAGCTCTGACTCCCGGGTTCACGCCATTCTCCTGCCTCAGCCCTCCCGAGTAGCTGGGACTACAGGCGCCAGCCACCACACCCGGCTAATTTTTTTTTTTTGTATTTTTAGTAGAGACTGGGTTTCACCGTGTTAGCCAGGATGGTCTCGATCTCCTGACCTCGTGATCCGCCTGCCTCCGCCTCCCAAAGTGCTGGGATTACAGGTGTGAGCCACCGTGCCCGGCCACCTCTCCAGTTCTTATCTTAGTATTCCACCTTCAACTTGATCCTGCCCATCAACAAAGTTAATGCTGCATTAATCGTTAATCATGCTGCTTTTGTACTTTTTTTGTGTGTGTGGTGGTCGTCATTCTTGTTGCAAAAATTAGTTAATATGTCAGATCTTCTGTGAAGTCTTTTTTGACCATCCACCCAAGTATAAGTACTTATTAACCATGTATCCTATTGCTGCCTGTACACATGGCATATATTTCTCATACTGTAATTATGTACTTATATTTCTGTAGTCCTGTTTAGGACAGGCACTTTTCATCTCTGTATTCCCCAGATTGAGTGTAGTACTGATACTTCACTACATGTTTATTGAATTAAATTCTTTACTGTTAACTAGGTTTAGTGAGCTCTGATGTCACCTACAAATATATTATCAGCCCCAAACATTTAATCTCAACCATCAAAAATTTAGCACAACCACCATTTTTATCGTATATATAGGAATGGAATTTTTTTTTAAATTTTCAGTTATTTTGAATAGTAATTTATTTAAGCCTTCCTATGTGTCATGGACCCTGCTGGTTTCAAACAGATTACTGTGATTGAGTGAATAAACATCAAGAATCTTTTATAGAGGGATTTAATATTATTGTAATCATAACGCTGGTTGGATTAGGGTTTGTTTATCATGCCATTATCTTCAACAAGGCTCATCTGCTGCCTCTTGGATTCAGATGCTGCTCAGTGGCTCCAGCCTGTTCTCTCTGAAGAGAGGAGAACTTAACAAATGGACATTATCCTCAAGAGTCATCTCTGCCAGAGGGCTTTGTGGAAGTGATTTGTGAGAATAATTTTTTTTTTTTTTTTCTCACTGCATATCTCAAATGGCATGTTTTTCACCACTGAAAATAGGAAGACAGTTCTTTTGTGTTTATTAAAAATAATAGCTAACTTATTCATTAAAAGAAAAAGCATTCTTAATTGTGGCAATGGTTTTGTGGCTTTGGACATTAAGAACAAGTTAAATTTTTATATGATTCCTCATCCAGATTTTTCTCAAGATTAAAAACTAAGATTCCTAGAGAAAAACATTTTTTTCTTTCAATTTTCACATAGAATTCTTGCCGTTGGAGAATTCTGAGATCGTTGGGAGGAACTTTGTACAGTGATCTGTAGACAATAGCTCTTGACTGTCTGTGTTTTCTGCCAGGTTGTGTGTGATTTTGTAATACTTCCCTAGTCTAGGCCGTATGCTTCTGAAGAGTCCCTGCCATTTCTTCATTCCGCGATGTCATTAAGACCCCTGTTGCTTTTATTTGAAAAGTATACAAGCTTTGGAATCGGATAACATGTTTCAGTTCACCAATTAATAGCTGTCTGACCTTGGCCAAATCAATGAACTGTTCTTTAAAGCAGTTTTCTGAGGTGTAAAATGAGAACTTTTTCATTGACCTTGTTTGTAAATATTAAATGAAATTGAATGTTTATAGTAAATAAAATGTTAACATTTTATATCAAGTGAAAAAATGGAAATTAATATTCATAAATATTAAATAATATAAAACTTAAACACTTGTAAATATTAAGTGAAAGTACCACCTACAGTCTGAACACATAATATGTGACTTAATAAAACCGTTTAGGTTACTTTATGAAGCAAGCATTTGGTTTCACATATTCTGTGTACCACACTTAGTAAAGCTTAGCAATGGCATCGTTACATTAGATCAACTGGACAGAACAATAAAAGAACAAATCTCCTCCAGAAGATAAGGTTTTACAAATAAGTAGTGGCAAGGCAATCCAACTTCTCACCTATTTGATTCATTTTTTAAAAATTTAGGTGAATGATATACAATAGCTGCTCTCTTTAAATTTTTTTCACTCTGAGGTTATTTCAGTTGTGCATACTACCAAAAAATATTTAAAAAATCAAATCGGCTGACAGAGGCAACTTGAATAATTAAACATTGCAGGGTGGTGTGCAACAGGGAAAGAACTGCCGCACTAGGAAGAAGGGGTCCCGCGATGGAGACGCTCATCATTTACTATGAGTCTGAGAAACTCAGTTAACCTTAGAGAATCTGGGGTGTGAAAGGAGGCTATGATACCTTTCCTACCTGGAGATAGGGAGCTGATTCAGGTAAAATCTTGACATTCCTTCAGGTTCTGAAACTCTAATACTAGGAGTTGGAGAAAATGTGGACTTTTTCTGTGAGTATCTATTTACTATTATAAGTATATTTAGGATGAATAGGATTGTGCCTTAGAGTTTGGGGAGTATCACAGGGAATTTGTTGCTCTACTCAGTCCTTCTTAAGGGCTGAATGAATCTACTTTTATTTTTCTCCCAGTTGTGACCCATGAGCTATCAGAATCCCAGTACTATAGTTTCTCTTTTCTTTTAGTGATTTATTAACTACTGTTAGTCTTTTTTTAATAGGGTTATTAAGGTCAATTAAATAGTAAGGAAAGAGAAAACTTAAGTAGACATTGGTTTGAGTAAGAAAAAGGCAACAGAAATAAAACCATGTTTTGAAAAGTTGGGTCAGTATAGGAAGGTAATCCTTATAAAGTGATCATTCTAGGTAGGCATCACATTTATACACCCGTGGACTTCTTACTAAACTGACCTAGATTGTGGTGACCTGTGCTTAAATGATTCTTAAAGTCATTCTCAATTCCGATTTCCAGTGGTTATGTTACATTCAATAGGGTGTAGCCTTTGGAAAGATCTAATTTCTCAAATGTGCCGTGCCATTCCATCTGAATAGTCCAGTGATTTCAAAGACACCACGGAGGAATACCATTGATATCACAGAAGTCCTGTCCTTTCTTAAGATGAAGAGTATGAAAAATATCCAAGCAGATGCAGAGAGGCCATCTGTCTTGAGACTCTAGAGGACATTCCTATACTGGGTGGAGAATTGTACTAAGTGGGCTTGGGAGTCTTTCGCAACTCCTCACATTTGATTTTTTTTTTTCATTTTAAATAAATGATCATTTAGAATAAGTAGAGCTCTGCGTTTTCCTTGAAAAGTAGGATGGAATTCATGAAAGGGACCAGCGAATGTTCTCTTATGCCCTGGTCTGTGCAGTACTCTATGCAGACAGACACTTGACAGATACCCTTGATATTTCCTTTCTCTTCCTTTGTGGGATTGCTTTGAACTCTGTAGGAGACAGTTTAGAATATAATTGCCTTGTCCTGCTTTAGGGATATGTAGGCGGGCTTAAATACAGATATTCTCAAATAGCTGGTTCTAGTAAACTAAATGCCCTTCCTGAGGAAATATATGGGTTGTAGATGCTGAAATAAACTAGGTTAAAAATATTTATTACACAAAAGAGATGCTAACTGAAAGAGGCACACATCCTTGTTCTCCCAACAGTTTCTCACTTGTAAATGGCATCTCTAAAGGGTTGTCCAAATTCCTAGTGTGGGCATGTAGAGTAGACAGCTGAGTCACAGCTGCTGAAATGAGACCATGCCTCCCTCCCGCTCGTGAAGGGAAGAAATAGGGAGAAAGGAGTGCAAGAGAATTAGTGCCAACAGCTTACTTAAAATTCACTGGCTTGAGAAGTCTATGAGATTCCTGGGCCAACCGGAAGCCATTACTCTACCACGTGGAGTGTCTGAAGCATGAAATCTGCCTTTCCTTAGAGAACTCTTATCATTGGCCATAGTTTGTACAAAAATGTATCTTCTTTCTGCAGAGATCTTTCCTGTATTGCAGGAATGCTAGTGTTCTCTGGCCTATCATATGAGGCTGCTGGCCTACCATTCTAGTTTGCATTTTCGACTTGGTGATACCTGGCCAGCATGTTGGCTTTCTCCTGAAGTTTGATGTTTCTCTTCCCCTTGCAGTACATATTTGAAAAGAAGTTTGGAACTGCCAGCTTTGCTTGGATTTGAACTATGGCTTGGTGCCTTACTAGCAATGAGACCTTGAACAAATTACTCAAGCTCTCTCTACCTTAGTTTCCTCATCAATAAAATGGGAATGATAATAATGCCCAACTTTTTAGGTTGTTGTGGGGATTAAATAAATTGTTTCATATTAATGTACCCCCCACCAAGGTGTGGGGATTAAATGAATTGTTCAGATTGCTTAGAACATTGCCTGGCTTGTCGCCACTCTGCCATCAATGGCTGCTGAATATCCTGTATTGGAAGTAGCATTGAAGATGATTGGAAAGAGATATTAATTTACCAGCAAATTAACACTCCATCTCATAGAAAGAGCACTAATAAATTAAGATCTGCTCCATATCACCATTACTAATATTGTTTTAGAATTTTTTATGGATTTAAATAATTTTACACACATACAGAGGAAAACAAACAGTATTATTTAGACATTATGAATTTATACTTAGAAGGCCCAGTAGCATCAATTGTAAAATTACTAGATTTAGATCATTAGCAAAATATTTGAGACTGCAAATTTTCAAAAAGAGGTGACTTTTCCAAATATCATCAATAAATTATAAGAAAGTATAATGTGGGAAAGGCTAGAAATAAATATAAACCAAAATATTAGCACTTACTACTTCTGGTTTTTGGGAATATATGTGATCTTTTAAATAAATTTAAAAAGCCCTATTGTTTACGTAGTATTTACTGTGTGCTGTGAACTGTGTTAAGTAATTTTTGTATTTTAAAAATAGCTATTGGCTTTACACTTCATTTGTGTTCTGACCAAATATTTTCATTAGTCCCCTTTGAGATCCATAAAGCCTTTCTGAGTTTTGTGAATGTAATGCAGCTAAAGATTATAATTGTAAAACTGCATTCCAAATGGCACGTATTGTAATTTGCTGCTACTTATATCTGCTTGAAGCTGTCAATATGTAGAGAATAGATTTGATCATTGAACTGAAGTAAAACTGCTCTCAATTTAGGAGTGAAAAATTTTAAGGCCCCACCTACTTTCTCTCTGGGAAAAGATGTTTCTGTTTTCTGTGTGTGTTTATATTTTCTCTATTTAATGTAGATAGTAATGTTGACTAGTTTACATCTGACTTTTCTTCCAGGTAACATTGAGATTTAGAAAAAGTACAATATGGCTGGCACCCTGAGTTTTTGGAGAGCTTAACTTTGTGTCCGAAATGCTTAAGAAGAGGAGTGTGTTCATTTGCTGTGGTTGTGATTATGATTATAAACTTAAGGCTGGTAGGCCGGGTGTGGTGGTTCATGCCTGTAATCCCAGTACTTTGAGAGGCTGAGGTGAGTGAATCGCATGAGCTCAGAAGTTCGAGACTAGCCTGGGCAGCATGGCAGCACCCTGTCTCTACAAAAAAATACAAAAATTAGCCAGGCGTCGTGGCATGCACCTATAGTCCCAGGTACTCAGGAGTCTGAGGCAGGAGGATCACTTGAGCTCCAGAGGTTGAGGCTGCAGTGAGCCAAGATCGTGCCACTGCACTTCAGTCTGGGCGACAGAACAAAGACCCCATCTCAAAAAGAAAATAAACAAACAAACGTAAGGCTGGTAAGGAAGTTTTGCCACTGAAGGCCCAGCCTCAGCCAAGTTAGTGATTGGGCAGGAAGTCAGCTCTCACCCTCACTTACCCTGCAGTTCCCCTCCCCTGTGACTTCTACACCAGTATTTTATAGTACTATAAAGTTTTCTTTGACTCACACAGTTCTCACTTCACCCTTGGAGATGCAGTTAATGCCGTTGAGTCAGATTCAGTAGACTTTCACTCATTATGCTGTTAGGGTCTTTAAAGAAATCACAGATACTCCAATTTAGGACTGCCTGTTGTGGAGGTTACCACAGCCCGATGCAAGGCCACATGACAAATCATTCATAGTGATTTTTAATGTTTTGGTAGAAATAATATTTCTTGAAAACATGACTATGTTATTGCCAATATCTGCCCAGCAAAAAGTAGTTTTTGTCTCTTTTACAATATGCTCAGAATATATGAAAAACAAATCTTCATATGAAACATAGTCAATCCTTTTTATAGATTGTTAAAGGGGACTGAGGGTGAACTGCAGAATCCTATAAATTGGATGATTCTCGTTTTGTGGGTATATTTACTTGTTGAGCTGATCGCAGCAGGGAGAGGGTGCACATATTTCCTTCTAGATACAGCAGTCCTTCACTGGTTGGAGGTTAAAAGCTGTTGAAAAATAACCCGAATGCATTTCATGAAAGAATCTTAGACAAATACAATTACTTGGAATATCAGCTAATTGCTTGCTCTATACCATGATTTTCATGTCTTACTTCCTCCAGCCTGACTTCCTCCATGTACCTTCTTGGTCTGAGTAAAATCTATGGTAATAACCAAATCGTAGACTAAAATTAATCATAATGGTGAGGGCTAAAAGGAGGGGTTAGGAAAGGACTTGACCCTGGATGGTATTTTCTTATTTTTCTTAGTACATTTAACATGTGTATTAGTCCATTTTCACGCTGCTGATAAAGACATACCTGAAACTGGGCAATTTACAAAAGAAAGAGGTTTAATGGACTTACAGTTCCACATGGCTGGGGAGGCCTCATAATCATGGCATAAGGCAAGGAGGAGCAAGTCACATCTTATGTGGAATGGCAGCGGGCAAAAAGAGCTTGTGCAGGAAAACGCCCCCTTTTAATAACAACTACAACAGCATGGGAAAATCCTGCCTCCATGATTCAATTACCTCCCATCGGCCCCCTCCCACAACACCTGGGAATTCAAAATGAGATTTGGTTGGGGACACAGCCAAACCATATCAACATGTAACTTTACAAGTTGATTGTATTGTAGACCACTAATTGAAAATGCTATTTCTAGGAACAGACTTTATTTTACTAATGCCAGGCTATGAGTAAAAATGTTGAATTAAATAATGTTATGAGTAATAGTAGCTAGGTAGTCACAGTCATAGTTCAAGCATTTCATAATGAAAATATACATATTTACATCTTCTGGCAAAGTTATAAACCCATCCCTTCCAGATAAAGCAGCATCAGAAATACTTATGATGTGTCTACCTCTATTATACCTAATCTATTTTGCATTCTGATTTTATCTTCAGAAAAGGCCTGCAGTTACTGAAATGACAAGTGAAAAGGAGGTAAGTTATGTAATTAGATGTCAGGAGAATAATAGGAAGTTATAGCCA
Organism: Homo sapiens; assembly: GCF_000001405.40. Classification (NCBI taxonomy): domain Eukaryota; kingdom Metazoa; phylum Chordata; class Mammalia; order Primates; family Hominidae; genus Homo; species Homo sapiens. The sequence continues at coordinate 128,409,245 of NC_000006.12, read as the reverse complement.
TGTTTTAGATAAGTTTATTGTTGGCTGACTTAAAATGCTATTGGTGTAATCAATCTTTTCTTGGATAGCTTATCATAAAATGTTGCTTCCCATAAGTAGTTTCCCTGTGTTTATTTTCTTAATCCACTAAATTGCTAGCTGAAACAGTTCGTGGCTAGGAAGGGACACTTTTATGTCACATATCTCCTATGACACTGTCTTCTTTCCATTTTTGTAATTGATTCAACATCTCTTTACCTCTGTAACATATTTGGATCTTTTTATTCTGTCAGCATTTGGCCAAATAATTGCTAGATCCTATGTTGTTTCTTAAAATATGCTTTGTCTTAATCAATTGTTGAGTATTTAGATTCTCCACATGAATTGACTATCATGATATCTTACTATTATTCATTAGTCCAAAGTTTGAGGGTATATTTGCAAGCCATTTTGCTCTCAGTGCCCTTCAAGTCTGTTCTTTCAATTTTTTCCTATAGCCATTGGGTTCATCTAAAAAGACCCATAGACATTTTGCTTTTGCTTCTAGCAGTATTGGTAGCCTTAGCTTGTATTTGTAGGACTCAGGACTAAACATATGCCAACAATTTATGTAGGGTAGAAGTGAAAATGCTGGATTATAGGGCAAGTATATTAACAACTTTGGTAAATGAAACCAAGTTGCCCTCAAAGTACCAGTTGTCCTGTTGTTATCTCCTCTATGATCAATACTACATATTGTCAATCCTTTGCTTTTTTGCAAATGATATAGACAAACTCTTCATTTTTGTTGCAATTTGCCCTTACTCGAATAGTGAAGCTGAGAGATTTTTCCTGTTTATTGGAACATTAATTAGGGGTAGTTTTTGTTTGTTTGTTTGTTTGAGAGAGTCTTGCTCTGTCGCTCAGGCTGGAGTGCAATGGCACGATCTCGGCTCACTGTAACCTCCGCCTCCTGGGTTCAAGCTATTCTCCTGCCTCAGCCTCCTGAGTAGCTGGGATTACAGGCGCCCGCCACCACGCCCAACTATTTCTTGTATTTTTAGTAGAGATGGGGTTTCACCATGTTGGCCAGGCTGGTCTCGAACTCCTGACCTCAGGTGATCCGTCTGCCTTGGCCTCTCAAAGTGCTGGGATTACAGGCGTGAGCCACTGTGCCCAGCCAGGATAGTTTTATTTTTAATAATTACTTGCCAGGATGTCCGTGTCAGAAACACATTGTAATAATTTATTTTATCTATTTTTAGTGACTTGAATATTTCAAAATATAAGGTATGGCTTGAGATGAGAAGTGAGTCATGAAAGCTATAATACTACAGAGAAGATACCAGACTTCAAATGCTATCTTCATACTGCTAGTGCTTTAATCTATTATGCAAATCATATTTGCCAGCTTTCTTCCCCCATACTTGAAATTTAAAAACTTCTTGGTTTTTATATTTTATTCTGAAGAACTGTGTTCACCTTTTTAATAAACCTTACAATTTGATAGATTAAAACTTGGTCATTATGTTTTAGAGCAAGGGCTGGAGGGAAAATTGAAAGAATGTTGAATAAATGAGTTTTATAATACTTTAGTGAATCATTTTTTCTTTCTTCTTCTTCTTCTTCTTCTTTTTTTTTTTTTTTTTTTTTTGATAGGGTCTTGCTCTGTCCATCAGGCTGGAGTACAGTTGCACAATAGCTCACTGCAGTCTCAAATTCCTGGGCTCAAGATATCTTCCCGCCTCAGCCTCCCAAGTAGCTGGGACTACAGGTGTATGCCACTCCTCCTGGCTAATTTTTAGAAATTTTTGTAGACATGGGGATCTCGCTTTGTTGCCCAGGCTGGTCTTGAACTCTTAGGCTCAAGAAATCTAACCCCTCTGTCTTCCCAAAGTGCTGGGATTACTGGTATGAGCCACTGTGCCAGGCCCCAATCATCTAACTCTGATGAGATCAGAATATTTCAAGTTTGGAGATCTTCTCATATGTACTGTTCTTAGGAACCACGAACTTCTGATATACTAGAGTTTGAAGCAAAAGAAGGTTCACTTCTTATCTCCATTAAATTATTGCCTGTGGGTTGGACAAGCTTGATCTAGATGTTTTCCTAACTAAAATACTAACTAATGATGACTTAAATGTACACAGCACTTAGCTTCTAATATCATAGGATATTGTGGAGAAATTTTCAAATTAATTGACACACGTTTCTAAGTAGTAGTTGGAAGCAGAAATTGGAGGGAGTCCAAATAGTTTCTTTGTTGGTATAGAAATGAACACACACACACAAACCTGAATCTTGGTGAGATCCAATGTAAAATTTCATTCACTATTCCCCCCTTTAACACTGTCTTTGTTAGGTTAGAATGGCCATTGACTTACATGTCACTTAAATGTCTGTGCAAAGCAGTGCTTTTTGCTGCTTGGGAAATCTTTATGTGGTGATTCCACTAAATGGTAACCATATGCACTCAACTGAGGGAGGAAATTTGAGGAGAAAGTTACTGTGATTCAGGTTTCAGCATTGATTTGGTTAGAAGTTGACACCTTTAAAGATTATCTTAAAAGTTTCACTAAAACTTCCCTTAAAACCCAGAGTGCTGTCTTTATGAGAAAGGGAGCAAAGGTCCCCGACATCCAGGGTTCTGATGTCAGTCAACATTAACAAAATGATTTGCTTGTGTTTGTGTGAGTGGCTTGTTTGCTCTGGACCAGACAGAAGGCTAAACTGTCATTAAATTATGCTTAGAATGAGAAGAACTGGTTAATGTATCCAATAGCAATAGTTAATATACTGGTTGTAATGAGGATGATATCCAATTATCTATTCTAACCAAAGAAAATGACAGAAAAAAACCATCATTCTTTAGTCTTAAGAATTGTGTTTTAAGAAGTTTGAAAAACCCAAACATTGGCCCATATGCCTTCTATGTTAACCTAGTCTAGAAACATTTTGATATGCAAGGGGGTTAATATTAATGAAAAATATAGGAAGATAAAGTTTTATATATATAATTATTATTATTATTTTTGAGATGGGGTCTCACTCTGCCACCCAGGCTGGAGTGCAGTGGTATGATCATGGCTTACTGCAGCCTTGACCTCCCAGGCTCAAGTAATCAGCCTCTCGGGTAGCTGAGACTATAGTCACGTTCCACCATGCTTGGCTAATTTTTTTTTATTTATTTTTTGTAGAGGTGGGTTCTCCCTATGTTGCCCAGGGTAGTCTCCAACTCTGGGCTCAAGTGATCCTCCTTAAAAAAGTGTTCTTTTTTTTTGTTTTTTGATTTCAAGATGCATTTTAATTATTTACATAAATTAATTGGTTATCTATTTTCTTGAAGTGTATTTCAAAGTCCTACAAAACTTAATTGTTGACCTCCTTAAAATGTAGTTGAGTATACTTAAATTTCCTTTGCCAATCTGAAGTAAAACTTTAAATTCAAACCCTCAAAGCAGGTCTTTGCCCTTCCTCTAGGAGGTTGGGTCACGGAATTCTGTTTTACGTCCCTTCATAAAAAAAAAGAAAAATGATCTCTCTCCCATCATGCTTGAGCTAAGTCAGGAGCAACTGCTGAAATAAGCCAGTGTGTGTCTCATATGGGTGAAGTGGAGCCCACCAGTAATCAGTAATCTCTCCAGGAGAAACAAAACAAAACAAAACAAAGATATGTTTAAATGTGAGCTTGGGTGGTTTCCAGTTTTACCAAAATGTAAATATGGCTTCAGTTGAGAATTTTATTTTTCAGTACATTTACTCTCTGTTGCTTTGTTCGATGAATTTCTCTAGATTGTGTATCTAACACTAAGTGAAAAAGACCTTTTACTGGAATAGTTAAAAGTATAAAAAATAGGAAAAGAAACTTGGGTAAATATACTCACTAATGATCTTTGGGAAAACACCTGGTTTATTATCCTACAGTTTGTGCAAGGGCTACTGCAAAAATAGTCCGAACAAAATTGCTTTTAATGTTTTCAAAGATAGAAAATTCACTGGTTTATACATGCTTTAGGGGGAGGTGAGGTGAAAAGGGAAGGTTGCCAAGCAAGAGTGATAGTATAGTGTTAATGATCATATAAATTTTCAGCCTTAAGTCACCCTATTTAAATAAAATTATTTGTAGAAATTTTAGTTAATTAGCTAGGCTTTTATAGCTTTTTCTATTAAAGACCCTTTCCTGTCAGTGATATCAGGGATGCCTGAGAGACGTTGATATATTATATGGTTCAAAGTTTACCACATGTCTATTCTCATAGGATGCAGCATCATCATGCTACCAAATGGATGGAATGGGGAATACCTTCTCTTGAGGTTGTGCCCATTGGAGGCAGCTGTACTGGATAATTCTGAAAATGGCTAATCCTGCCTCACTTTTAGGAGACACTTAATGTAGTGTTTAAGAGTAAAGAACCCATAGTGCCTAGGTTCAGCCCCTGGCTCTGGTACTTTCTTGCTCTGTGACTCTTGGCAAGTTTCATTTTTTCTTCTTTGGGGTACTTTTCACTAACATGTTCCTTTTACATTTTCAAAACCTCTTTTCATCTGTGAAATCATTTCTATGGGTATTTGGCATGTAATTAATTACCCATTAGCTCCAATAATGAGGTTGGATGAAGTCACATACTTATTGGCAGAGCTGCCCAGGTCTCAGAGGCTTATTTTTGAATTCCAACTTGTACCTGAGAGCTAAAAATTAGGTAAGATTTGGATTGATCACACTTCGGGATCCCCTGCTACAATGGATATGCGGTTACCTGTATTTAAAACAAAGAACTGATGACCTTTTTCCTTTTAATAGCTGATTCCTTGATTTACCTAACTATTCTTCATTTTATTTCATTTATGGAAAGAGCACTGAACTAGTGAAGCATAGTAGGAGATAACTTGCACGCATGTATGCATGTATATGCTAGGGCATGAGGTATTTCCCACTGTGGTCTTACAAGCTTGAAGCATTTGGACGGAAGGCCCTTGAAAGTGTCTCTAGTTCTCACCTTTTCTAGTCTCACTTTATTACTCATACTGCTTGCCAGCCAAACAACTGATTTGGTTTCAGATGTAGCACTATCATTCTCCATTTCTGGTTCAGTTGCTTGGCTGTGGCTCACCGCTACTCCTCTTAATATGTGAGAAAGAAAATATGGAGGTGATGCAGAAGTTAAAGGTTCTTGGTTGTAAGCTTTTAACCAGACTATGTTCTGCCTATGGTTTAAGATCAGAGTGATCTAAACCAAGGGCTGGTGAACTTTGGGCCAAATTCAGACTGTGGCCTGTTTTGTGAATAGAATTTTATTCAAGTACAGCCATAGCTATGCCCATTTGTTAGGTATTCTTTGTGGCTTCTTGATACTATGACAAGAGTTTTGTAGTTATGACAAAAATGGCATGGCCCACAAAACTGGAAACATTTACTAACTTGCTTTTTGTACATGAAGTTTGCTGACTCCTACGCTAAAGGAAGGTATTTCCTGACTGTTTGAAAGTATATATGATGAGTGTTCAGGTAAAACTGGTTTTGGCAATATGGTAATATTGCCTTCATATAAACTATTTTTAGTCTTTCTGTGTATATTAGATGGAAACCATATTTCTCTTTTTGTTAAGGGCTTAGCTGTTAAATATGTGCATCTGTATAGCATATAGAGAATAAACTGGGAAGAATAAAACATGAAAAAATAAGGATGCTTTTTTAACCAAAAAAAAAACTGTGTTGGGTGTTAGGAGCTTGACATGCATTATGACTAATCCTAACACCACTGTGCTATAACTGTTATTATTTTGATCGTACTGGGGAGGAAATTGAAGCTAAAAGAGGTAAAATATGAAAGCTATTTATGTATTTAGCCATTACTCCAGGCTGTGTCTAGATATATTGTCTCTCTTCTATTACCTGCGTGGATGATGTATGGCCCATACTTAAAATTCTTAAGCCTTATTCATAGATGTATAAGGGATTTTAATGTTGTTTCTCTGTAAAGATGAAGGGGGTGGAACTGAACTTGTTATTCCATTCTGGATAATTCAGTCTTATTGAAGATTGTTTATTTAGTTGGAGTGGAGCATCTGCTTCGAATAATATACAGTTTGAATAGAAGTCTTACTAGCTAAATAATCTTGGATTATATGAACATGTATTCTTGGCTAGAGATGGAACTCAAGGGATGAACAATTAGATAAGTAACAATTGTGTTTGAAGTGAGTTCTTCTGTCATCATTAAGAGTTATTTCTACCTATCAATAAATAATGGGTTTGGATTTCCTGAAATGTGTCTCTAGTTGTTTTTCCTTAATGAAGGAGTTAGACCTAAATAATATTTTCACACCCTAATTAACTACAAGCAGGGCAAAGGATACTTTCAGGATCTCAAGTGATTATTATTTAAAGAACTCCTATTCATAAATTTTCTGTTTTCTTCTAGTAGATCCTCTTTGGTAATGAACCAGAGCAATATATTATGACCAGTGACTCATAAATATGCCCTTAAAACCATTTGTTACTTGTATCTACTTGGAATTTTTCCTATTTTAATTTCAGTACTTAAATTGGAAAACAAAAGTGTTGCTTATCATTAGAGCAGGTATAAAGTACCTAAATATTTATCACGGTATGCCAGTTTTTATTTTGTACCTTCAGTATTCCCAGAAGTGTAGCGTTAAAAGGAAAAAAAATGATTCGCATATCCCAGTATATTTCAGAGGAAATAGGAACTTTATTTAAAAGCATTAATTTCTGGCTGGGCGCAGTGGCTCACGCCTGTAATCCCAGCACACTGGGAGGCCAAGACGGGTGGATCACGAGGTCAAGAGATTGAGACCATCCTGGCCCCACATGGTGAAACCCCGTCTCTACTAAAAATACAAAAATTAGATGGGCATGGTGGCACGAGTCCCAGCTACTCAGGGGAGGCTGAGGCAGGAGGATCGCTTAAACCTGGAAGGCAGAGGTTGCTGTGAGCCGAGATCGCGCCACTGCACTCTAGCCTGGGCGACAGAGTGAGACTCCATCTCTAAACAAAAACAAAAACAAAAACAAACAAACAAAACCATTAATTTCTATACTTCTGTAAGGTGTTTTTCTGGGAATAAACTGTATTACTCAGATTATCAATAGAACTGCATTTAAGATATTTAGTAATTTTCATTCTTTTTACAATTTTTGTGAAATATATTGGCTTTTTTGTAATGAATTTTGTAGATCATATCAACAAATTTATATCATGGTTTCTGATTAGCATAGATAGATGACAAAGTTAGCTTAACTCAGTATTGCATGTGTCCTAATGTGACATGTATTAATCTTTCTCTGTGTCCTGAATGGAAGAAAGATCATTCCAAGTTGATAATCACTTACATGAGCAAAGTTATGTATCACAGCTTAATTCACAATTGGAGAAGGTTAATTTGTCCATTTTTGAGGATCATCAAGCAGCTTTACTAAGGATATTGTATTTTCCAACTTATTTTGTCTTGGACTTTCTTTTTACTTGAAAAAACTATATATATTCCAAAAATTTAAGAAAATGCTTCATATCTTCAGCTAAATAAAGCTTGTTCTTTACAAACAGTAAAGAACCATGAAAGATAATTCTATTTGTTTCTTGCTACTGTACTCAGTCAGAAAATTAAGAATCTAGAGGTGCCATGGAGGGGAGAGTGTGGAAGATCTTAGGACAATAATCTTTTAAAAGAATGTCCTTCATGGCTCTCCAGTGATCTACGACTTTTCATTTTTCTTCAGTTCAACTTTGTTTAAATTAACGTGACCCCAGGTTTTATTGAAAAGTTTGACTTCAGAAAGGACTTAAATTTAGTATTCATTTTTTCCTGATTCTACAGAAAATGTCTCTGGTTCCGTGTTCTCTCATAGAGCTTTTACCCTCTGTTTAAATAAGCACTCAAGAATCTAAATGCTAGATGTTTAGGCAATATAGTTTTGGGGTCAGGGGTACTTACTTTTCTTTCCTTTTTATGTTTAATCTTTTTGGTGTCTAATACTACTTAGTACCACATTTTTCACCGAGCAGTTTCGGAGTAAAAAGATATTCTGGCAAGTTCATATCAGCTTGATTTTTATTTTCAGATGAACAGGTTGCCAACCCCTTAAGTGGCTTGCTATCATAGAAACAGACCATTTCGGTGATAGATCTGTCCCTTAGTTGATTGATTGGCGTAGAGGAATTAGCAGTCTGTGAAATGCTCTTCAGAAGTAATTTTCCTCCAAAGGTCAAGGAACTGTGGTCACCATTTCTCTGGCATGATTTGCAGCTACTCATTGTAGCCTTATTACCAGTAGCAAATGAAACAGCTGAAATGGAATGTTTCCTTGCTCATTTTTCTTTCCCTCTGCCTAACTAAATTTCTTGAACACCAGTTTGGTATTACCTCTTTCTGTTCTGCCATCTGCCATCCAGCTCAGTGAAACTTTAAATTCATAAGGTATGTTTTAATTTATGAATTAGGAGCTTGCTATGACATTTCTCTTTTTAAATAGATTTATGTAATACTATACATAAAGATGTCTTGAACTCAAGAACATGTATTGAGGACCACGTATGATAGAGGACTTGGTGTTTAGGCCTTTCTAGTGAGTCCTAAATGGTCAATAGGAACTGTATATGATGGAATTAGTTCAGGATATATTATGCGCTCTCTGTTACAAGGTTGAAACAAATTATTTTCCTCTGTTTCCCTCTATTCCTCTTTTAACTCAACATGGGTTATTACCATTTTTTTAATGTGGCTTGAATTGCCTCATACTCTTGGATAAAATCTTTTAAAGATTTTAATACAGCTGTAGAACAAACTCTAAACTCCTTTTTCTGACATCTAAAACTTTTCGTATTTACTTTCATTTCTTCCTAGTTTCCTATGTATTCTGGATGCTCATTATACAGAGTTATTTGAAATTTCACAACATATGATGTTCCTTTAGAGTTATATGCCTTTGATCTTGCTTTTCCTCTAGTTTTATTCCCATTTCCATTCTGGCTTTGCTCTGTTTGGTATATCCTTCCTCATATTCACTATGAGTAACTCATTGAAACCTTCCCTAACCAACCCTGGTGTGAGTAGCCAATTCTTTAATGTTCTGTGGAATTTTCATCATATTATTATCCCGCATAACACATTGTATTTATTTTAATATATATGTCTCCCATAGTTTGTCTCATTTATCAGTCCAGTTATTTTTGCATTTCCTATCATCTACTCCAGTATACTGTATTTGCCCTTAACCTTGAAATACAAAATTCTTTACAAAAAAATTTGTAAAAGTTTTATTAGTATGCTATATTTTATGCCTCTTGGATTAGACCTTGTTGTAAATTAGAAATTAAAAATTATTTAAAAAGCTTTCTTATTACTCAAGTCAAGTAGACCAGTAATGATTTTCAAGACTCCTTTGACAAATTTCAGATAGGGAAGGGATGTGCAACAAATAGCAAGCATTGACCCACTTATTTTGTACAGCTACTCCTAGTTGTTATTGCTAATCAGAATCCTGTAGTCTAAAATTAACAGTGGCTATGAAGGAGAGCAATTAAGGCCATTTGTCTTTCAAATGAGTCAATGTGGGTCCCACTGGTAGTTTAAATTTATATACAGAGGGCACTCACACTATTATAAAGGGTAATGGGGGCCCTGAAGGCCTGTGTTACAAAGCAGTAAATTATTTTAGAGTTTGATAGCAAATTATATTTTGAGAAAAACTTTCCTCTTGCTATGTGAAGATACATTTCCTAGCAACCTATTTTCATTGGTTAATTTTAAATTAAAAAGTACATCTTTTTTAATGAGAGCATTTATAAAAGGTCTATTTTAAGCATATTTAAAAGACAATATTAAGGTTTTGAGTTCTCGAGTTTGGTTGTTTTATAGGATTGCTGTAGTCATAAGAGTGATTCAAGAATACACTCAACATATTCTCCTTTTGGAAAAGATTTCAGAGCTTGTAGTGCCACCATGACATCTCTGATGTCTCCTGCTTTGCCTGTGACACTGACCCCTCCCTGTCATTGGTGAGCAGTGTAACTTTCACTTATACTCAGATTGCCAAACTTTTGATGAGGAAAGTAAATTCCTTTTTTTTACAGAGAAGAATTTACAGCACTGGAGTTTACTACTCCTTAGTCTGTTGCTTGGTCAGAGAATTCACTGAGTTTCTGCACAGAGATCCCTATGGAAACTGAACAAATACACTATTTGAAAGGAGACAGGTTATTGGTTTTTCTCATTAAACCCACTGCTGGATTTTCGTTAGTTCTAATGCATTTTCTTTCAAGATGAGACATATAGGCCAGTTCTTATTTTCATGATTTGAATAAACTAAATATGTTGAGTCGTGTGTGCCTGTACACATCGCCTAAGAAGCAAAAATAATCCTTCTACTTTTGCAATACAATTACCCCTGAAAATTACGCCAGAAAAACCATGACTGATGCAAATGGGGAATGCTACCCCCGTTTAAAAAGACCAAGTTATTAAATAAAGTGGGAACGGTGAAAGTGATTATAGGCTAATCTGATTGGTTTTATGCTTGAGTCACCCCCAACCTTTTAAATCATAATTGTGTATGAAAGTAATCTAAATAAAGCATGAAAGATATCACAGACCTCAAACACTTTAGACCCTAAAAAGCTTTATGTTTCATTGGCTATTATGAGATTTCAAAGAGTTCTTTTAAAGCAAAGATGTTAGTAAAACTTAAATTATTTCACCTTCTTGAACTTGCATTGTAGAGGAAGACAACTTTCACTCTTATTCTTCCTCTACTTCTCACCACTAAAGTTACTAAAAACGATTTAGACTCCAGGTGGTTTGTGAGGCAGGAGAATAGGGTCCGGAGGCAGGGAACCTAAGGCTGATTCACCTGACGTCCTAGAACTAAATAGAAAGGAAAACCCCAACTTTCCAGGCCTTAGTAACAGAAGGACCACAGCGTACTCCCTTTGCAAACTTCCTTGTTTTCTGAGTGGTGATGGAAAATTGAAAGTACCTCTGATTGGTTGCAGAAAGTACTGTAAAATGTTGATTGCGGGCCACCACTTCATTTACATGAGGTGAACACCAAGTGGCCAATCGGAAACCTCTAGGGAGGTATTTGGACCTGAGAAGATTCCGTACTGTTCCCTTGAGCTGCTGCTCGCGCACTCCCACAGTGTGGAGTGTACTTTCATTTTCAGTAAATCTCTGCTTTCGTTACTTCATTCTTTCCTCGCTTTGGTGTGGATTTTGTCCAATTCTTTGTTCAAGACGCCAAGAACCTGGACAACTTGCAGTCAAGATCCTCTACCACTAACACTTTGTATATTTCAAGAAAGCCTGACTTATGCATGTATCTATTATTTTTAATAATTCAAAATCTGTGCCTCAGTCTTCCTTCTGGGTCTCAAATGGGCTTCTTTTTCAAACAGAAAGTACTGATAGACATTTATTTTTCTGTGAAAATTTAAAGAGAATAGTGATAAACAGGAGTACCATTTATTATTAAGATTGTGAGTAACATTATATATATCAATATAACATTTCCTTCTCCAGAACTTTCGTTATGTTTGGAAAATCTGTTTAGAATGTAACAGTAGTCTTCTTTTCTCCTAGGTGGCTGTACTTTTGATGATGGTCCAGGGGCCTGTGATTACCACCAGGATCTGTATGATGACTTTGAATGGGTGCATGTTAGTGCTCAAGAGCCTCATTATCTACCACCCGAGATGCCCCAAGGTGAGAGTCACTCTGTTTAGTCAGTGTTGGGGGAATAGTTTTGCAGTATCTATGATTTTCTTATTTAAAGTGTAACAACAATAATTTAATGGTTATAATAAGCTAAATTATTGTGCTACTGGATCACTTCTAAGAGCCTTATTCTTTGCCTTTCCCTTAATAACTTTCTGTAATTCTGTATTCCTTGTTGTCTTTGAAAAAAAAAAGATAAGTATTAGTGTTTTTTTCTATTTAATAAAAACCCAAGTGACAAACCAAAAATCAAAAAATAAAAGAAAAAACAGAATAAACAAAAAAAAATCCTTTCCAAAAAATTCTCAAATGTGGGATCAGCTCTTTTCGTAGTTATTCAATTAAATTGTATATGTTGGATCCAATCAGACTGAAGGGAAAGAATTTTATTACATTGTAAGGAGAGAGGTTGTGTCTTTCTCCCAGTGGTCATGAGCATGCCAGTGACTCTGAGGGGAGGCAGTGTGGAGACAAAAGTATCAAATGGAGATCTTTTATGTGGGAATTATAGAGAAATAGGGCCAGATCTGTTCTTTTGTTGTTGTTGTTGTTTTTTGATATGGAGTCTCACTCTGTCACCCAGGCTGGAATGCAGTGGCCTGATCTCTGCTCACTGCGATCTCTGCCTCCCAGGTTCAAGTGATTCCCCTGCCTTAGCCTCCTGAGTAGCTGGGACTACAGGCGTGCACTGCCACGCCCAGCTAATTTTTGTATTTTTAGTGGAGGCGGGGTTTCACTGTGTTGGTCAGGCTGGTCTCGAACTCCTGACCTCGTGATCCGCCCGCCTCGGCCTCCCAAACTGCTGGGATTACAAGCGTGAGCCACCGCGCCCAGCATCTTTTCGTTTTTTACCTTACTTTGTTATATCCTTTGATTTTGGGTTTTGGGAGATAATATAATTTATAATTGTTTAAAACAGTGTGCATTATGTTTCATCTTAGGAAAAACACATTAACATAGGATGTCAATATTTACATACCATTTCATACAATATTGGACTAATAGTTGTGCTTTCAATTCTGCATATTAATCTGGAGCAAATTCCAAGTTCTGTGCGTATATGCTTAGCAATAACATTAAATTGTGACATTAAAATGTAAACAGGAATTTAAAAATACAACATGAAAGAGAACAAACTCTTTTCCTTCCAATATTTAGAAAGAAACAAAAATAGTACATAATTATATATTATATATAGTTATGTATATATAATATATTATCATTATGCTATTATAATATATAATATAATTAATGTGCTGATTGCTTAGTACTAATAATTTAGGTTTCAAAGTATATTTAGTATTTTTATTATGATTAAAAATGGTTTAGAATTAATTTTTCTACAAAAAGAGTAAGTCCTTCTTGAGTGTGAATTTTAGATATGACAATTTTAGACATAGCCATTAGAAATGAAAATGTTAATTCTGCTTATTGAAGAGAGAAAATTCTATCAGCAGCATCCCTGAACTTGCTGATCAATGTGATTTAAAAAAAAAAGTGAAAACATCAACAATAAACAATTTATCACAAGCACACAAAGTAAATAAAACCTAAAAGTTACATTTCTAAATGTAATTTTTAGTTTGTAAATGAATATGGTAAATATTTCCTTGAAAAATTTTGTGTTGGTTCCCCCGTGATGTGTACTTTTATAATAGAATGAATTAAATTTGCTTTTTACTCTGAATTGTCACTCTCCGTGATTGAGTAGGAAATGGTTATTTTTGAGGCTGAACTGAGCCATAATTTCCTTTGCAGAGGGAAAACTGGAACTGTGTGGTTGACACTCTTTGTTTCTTATATTTGACCCCTACTTTGTCAGCAGACTCATTTAATTTTGTGCGTAGATTTGTATTTTTTCTTTCAAAGGTATGTAACCTTATTTTCCTGGTGCATTTTAATTAAACTACTGTAATTTTTCACCTGAATTTTCTCTGTGGTATATTTAGACTAAACTTTTCATATAAAATTAAAGGATGTGGGTGGGCTGGGATGCACACATTTTGAATGTTTATCATCATAGAATAATAAGAAAGATGTTGATTTATGGAAATGTTACCATTGCTAATTACCATTGATGGTGGGTAATGAATAGTTGAAGAATTACTGCTCAGATGACCTTGTTGGCTCACCTTTGATGAACAGCTTAATCGGTGGTTACAGTACAGGATGATATGCACAGAAAATGAAAGCATTTGAAATTCAGCCATATCTTCCAATTAATAGGACATTAAGTAATTAATCATGCAGAGGAGGGAAAAAGGTCACGGCCACTTTGCCGAATGAAACAGTGTTTAGTCTTCAGAGAGGTGAGAGAAAGCACTCATGTATGTTATTCTTTTAGTCATCTCTTTTTATAATAGATACTATTTTTTTCATTTTCCTTCTGATATTCCTTTAAAGTGCTGACTGAATATTCCTTGCTCATAAATTGGTGTAAAGGAGACATTTAGATTTTTCATGCTAAAATGTTATGATCTTTTTATTGTCACATAAATTAGCAAGCATGCTTATTTTCTTTATGTACTTTAAAAACACAAACAAAAACAAAACAAACAAAAAACCCCAAATGTTTGGGAACTCTATAAAAGCTGGCTCTCCAAACCTAACTTGTTATTGAACTGTGTGATACTTGGTGCTATTAACTGGCTTCTGTTTATTAACTTTTTGGACTGAAAGCCAAGAGTGAGAGAAAAAAGGATGAATAAATAGATTAGAATGAAAGAAGACTGAAGATAGATAGTAGAGAATAATAAAAAAAATTGTTTCTATTCATGAGGAGATACAGTACCATCAATCATTGCTTAAAATGTTCTGTAGCAGTTCCTACTTACTACTTACTACACAGTTCCACATACTAGTTTGGTCAGATTACAATGATGATGACTGAAAGGTCTGCCAAATAGAATAAAAAATAGCATGCAGAAGAATGAGTACTTCATAAGACAGTTCTAGTGTCCCCAAATCATATGAAATTATGAACACCTACTTAACTCAGTCATCAAAGAAATGCATATTTAAAACACAGTGAGAAACTACTGTACAATCAGTGGAAAAATGAAAATTTTAATTCCAAGTGTTGGTAAGAATGTAGAATAAGTAAAACCCTCTAATACTACTGTTGGAGCATAAATCTGTACAACCTTGTGACCAGCAAATCCATTCTTGGGTATAAGCCCAGCAGGACTGAGTATGCATGTTCACCAAAAGACATGTGCAAGAATGTTGATAGCATCAGCATTCATAATAGTTCCAAGCTAAAAACAACCCAAATGTCTGTCAGCAGTGCAATGTATAAATAAATGGTGGCATATTCATAAAGTGAAATATTGTACTGCAAATAAATGAAAGAACCATTGCTTTATACAATAACATGAATGAATTTCGCAAACACAATCTTAAGGGAGAGAAACCAGATGCAAGAGAGTATGTATTATATACATTTATATAAATTATGTAAGTTTCAGAAACAGGCAAAACTAATCAATGATATTAGAAATCAGCATATTATTTACTTGAAGGAGGGTTTGGGTAATGATGGTTAGTGCTTGTCAGGTGGCATGAAGGAGTCTTCCAGATGCTGGTGATGATATTCTATTTCTTAATCTGGATGGCGTTTTACAGTTTGAGGTGTGCTGAAATCTGTAAAAAGTCATTGAGCTGTGTGCAATGATGAGTTGTGTACTTTTCTTTATGTATCTGATATGTCAATGTAAATTGAAAAAAATAAAAACCAATGCACACAAGGCTGGGAAACTAAAATAATAAATAAAATGTCATGGATTAGAACAAAAGATATAAAATAGATATCCTCAAATGGGTCCAAACTTCTAGTTTTCTTACCATACTGGATTCTCTCCTCCCTACTAAATAAATACTGTGTTCGCTGATATCTTTGTGTGGGCCTTGTATTGTTCTTTTCCCTCTGCTGAAATATTTCTTTGTCTGCTTATCCATTCGTTAATCTCTTACCCATTTTTACTGTGTCTTCTCACGTTCTACCTGCTTTGAGAAGATTTTCCTGACTGGCTTGAAACTCTGTTTCTTCTATCCTCATATCAGAAGATGCGGCCCACTGTACTATGTACTACTTAAATTGTAGCTATTTTTATAGTATATTTCTTATATGTCCTTCTGTCCATTAGACTATAAGGTCCTTATGAACAGCCGGGCGTGGTGGCTCACGCCTGTAATCCCAGCACTTTGGAAGACCGAGGCGGGCGGATCACGAGGTTAGGAGTTCGAGACCAGCCTGAGCAACATGGTGAAACCCCGTCTCTACTAAAAATAGAAAAATTAGTCAGGCATGGTGGCAGCTGCCTGTAATCCCAGCTACTCAGGAGGCTGAGGAAGGAGAATTGCTTGAACTGGGAGGCGGAGGTTGCAGTGAGCCGAGATCAGGCCACTGCACTGCAGCCTGGGTAACAGAGTGAGACTCTGTCTTAAAAAAAAAAAAAAAAAAAAGTCCTTATGAACATAGACCATATTTTTTTGTGTTTTATTTCTCAAAAAAAATTATTTTTCTTAGACAAAAATGTCAACTTCTGTAATGTAAGTTTTAAAATATTTTTGTCAAGAATTAAACAAGATGTTTTTCCTCTTGTTAGAAAATTAATTGAATTCAAAAATACCCCATTTACCAAACATTATATTGAGTTGAGATTTTTATGTAATTAGACCCTTACATAATTATTAAGATTTGACCTTAGTCTTTATAAATATTACCTATCTATATTGGATACACTTAAATGTTGTTAATTCTATCAAAAAAGTGTTCTCTTTTCATATTTCTTTCTCTCTTTTTGTTTTTGACTTTTGCTTGTCAAATTCCGATCTTCTGTCCCTCAAAAGTCTATTGTATATATATTTTCAGAACCCATAGAGAATAAGAGCTGTTGCATAGAACTAGAAATCATTCTTTGATCTCAAAGACATGTGTGTTCTTGACATTGTTTGTCAATTTTTTTATGCTTATGACCTCATGAAATAAATTTATTTGACCATTTTACTATATGTTCTCTCCTAGATCTGAGAGTAGGGATTGTGACTGACATCTCAATACATTTATCTTTGACTGTAATTATAACTGCTTTTTATTTTTAACAGGTTTTTGCAAAATAGCTAATTGAATTTTAGTTTAGAGTCTCTAGAGAACTTATTTGATAGTATTTAAAATTATGACTGAATTGTATCCCACCTTCAGTCTAGTGTTTTCACTGATAATAATGAAAATAACTGTACAGAGTTCTTTATTTAAAATGCACACACTGTATATATAGTAAAAAATGAAAGCCCTTTGTTGTTAAATTACTCTGAAGATTGAAGTAAGGAACCACTCCTCCTCCCTTATAAAACTTAGTGAGGTCTGATTCAGTAGTTTAAGGCCATATGTCTCTAAGTGTTTTTCTGAGGAGCCACCTTGATGGAGCCAGGTGGTATACAGAAAGGGGTAGGGGTGAGAATGTAGGGGATTATAAAACAGATAATTCCAGGACCATTTTTCAATTATTTATTTGGAGAGATTTGGTGTGTTTTTTTATTCAGTGGGGAGCATGCATGGGTCACATGATTTTGTACCTGGCTTTCTTCTGATACTGTGATGAAGTGAAAATTAAATAAGACATGGGTGTCCATAATTTGATGCATACAATAAAAGTTATAGGTAACATGATTTCAGCTAAGTTTCCTAAGTAATGATATGAGTCTCTTAGTTTTATAAGAGAAGATTTAGTAATAATTTATTTAATTTAGTAATAATTTATTAAAATAATATTATATATGCCATGGAACACATTTTAATACATCTGAGAAAAAATTTCAAGGAAGTTATGTTGACTTAGGCTTTCTTTCTCTCTGGGAACAGTGATCAGTTACTAAAAGTAGTGGATCACTTTGACTAATATTTTCATCCCCCTATTATAGATGATTAATAAAAAAGCATAGTTTTTTACAAAGCCATAACTGTCAAAAATCTCACACAGCTGAATTAACAGAATTATTTGACAGTGTATCTTCCAGAGACAAAACATGGCAGAGATTGGTAGAATAAAGTTCTGTGCATGTAGTATTGGCAATGAATATTAGCTTGCAATATTATCGCTAGTTTTGTATTACGAGATTGAGAAAATCAGGCCAAAATGTTGGTTTACTTTCTTTTTGTCATCTACTTAGCATTGTCTGTTAACACAACCAAAGAGAGTGTGTGTGAACATGTGCAGTTGTCCTAAGGGGAACTGAGAGATTTGGTGGTAATGGGGAGAGGAAGGGCTTAACATGAGGCCATTAACGTAGATGGGAAAACCTCAAAAAGTACTGGATATAGGTGTTAGATTCTAAGGAGCGTGAAAACTTCAGATGTTTAAAGCTGGAAGGTTATGCGTCATTCAATGATTTTCAGATTTTTTTTTAAGTAATAGAATTCTTTTTTAAAAAAATAATATTTTCTATCACTTTAATATTTAAAATCAATGACAAGGAATGAATGGTCCTGGAACTTATCTGTTTTATAATCCCCTACATTCTCACCATCTACCCCTTTCTCTATACCACCCTGGCTCCATCAAGATGGCTTCTCTGAAAAACACGTAGAGACATATGGCTCCAAAGGGTAGTTTGAAAACAATGATGTTGCAGACTCAAGCACTTTTAGAAAAGCATCTCTGAGATGAAAGTACTTACTACTATTAGCTACCACTTACTGGTCACTTACTGAGTTTTACTATACCAGGGACATGACATGTATCTTCTAATCTTCACAAGAGCCTTATAAAATTGGTGATATTTCGGAGATAAGTGGAGTGAATATCTTAACAGCATATCTACCAGAGACAAAACATGGCAGAGAGTGATAGAATAATTGTCACCCAGGGACAGAATTGGAACTTAAATCTGTCTGTCTAATATAAAAGTTACTCTTGTTCCAGTACCACCGTGCTTCATCACTGCAGTTGAGTTGACAAATTTCCTTGACTTGGGCATGGGCATTTATTTAAATCCACTATATAATGAGCTATATAATTTATTTGATTTAATCCAGAATGATCTTCTACTACTTCATTTAAAATACTTCTTTCCACAATTTGAAAGCTTTAAATGACTGTTTCTTACCCTTTGTGGGAAATGGAATCTGAGACTCACTGTTGTTTGGAATTGCTGCCAAGCTTCAGGATTTTCTCTATGATATTCTCATCCCTTGGGGAGACGCTTTGCCCTTCCTTTGATTTATGTGTATGTTATTTTTAGTTATTTGATAAACACTTGCTGCGTGTCTGTTTAAGCAAACCTTTAGAAACACATATGTTATCTGCTGTCTCATTAGAGCATGTATGGTAAAAGAAAAAATCATGGACGAAAGGAATCAGACTAAAGTCTAGGGTTTGAAAATAATTTTAAGTCTTTGTTTGCAGTGAGGTATTTTAGGATGAGAATTATGGGCTTATTTCAATGTGCTCTTCCAAACCATGTTATCATCTGTCTATTGATGCTTTTGCCCTCTGCACAGAGAAGATAGTTTGCCACATTTGAGTTGCTTATTAAAAACAGTGGGAGTTGGAAGCAGTGCAAGGTGAGAGAGTGAAAGGCTGTAATGGACTACTTGAAGGGTAAGCCACTTAATGAAGGCTGGTTTTTAATGTAAGGACTGTTACCCTCGCAGACATAAATGCAACATGAAAAATGTCTAAATTACAGTGGACAGAAATGGCATGCTGAGACTGGAATTTTTTCCTGATATTTCAGGTACATAATGCATCTAAGTTAGATATGTCCTAATATATTTCAGGGGAAAAGAATAGCCTAGTATTAAAAAAAAGGAAATAAAAATGAATATAGGTGTCAGTGCTAGAGAACTTCCAACCTCCTAGATGAATTAAGATAGGAACACACAGCAATTTCAAAGACTATATAGTCACCTTTAACATATACCTTAAAATCAATACATAGTCCAAAGACTCAAAATTTCTTTTCCCTGGTAGGAGTGTGACCGAAAATACAGTTATGACCTTATACTTCTCCTCTCCAAAAATAAACTTGACTCAAGATAGGTAGGTACTATCTCAGTTTAAAAGCTTATTATCTTTCAAACACAAGAAGAATGCCAGGGAAATACATACACACACACACACACACACAACAAAAAAAACAAAAAAAAACAAAAAAAAACCGAGCAAACAAGAAAAGGTAGGTAACTAGGAATTATTAAAAATATATATGATATTAATTATCTCTTATAATTAATGTGAAAAATATGGAGTTATGATTATATATTAGATTATCATTACATATAAAAGATGCTTTAAAATCTTGGAAGAATGTTAGTTTTCCAACCTAGTTTCTGCCAAGAGTGGTATGTTGTAAAGACCTCTACTCCCTCACCAAAGAGGAAATTATTGGCTGAGATGTATTTTTCAATGAAAAGTGAACATTTTCTAAATTTAGAGCATATGACAACTTAGAAATGCTCACAGCATCATGAAGTCTCCACCTAGCCATGCTGATTAAAAAGACGCTGGCTTGCTTTTTCTAGGTTTATGAGAATAAAATTAAATAGGACAGTTTTACAAACTTCATCAAGCTGGTTATGTATTTCTGTATGTTCCTCCCACCTCAGTTATTTAAGAGTTGGAGATTAAATAGGAAAGTAGGGTGGCAATTTTGACTATTCAAAAGTTATGTTTTGAGTGTGTAATTTTTATCCATGTTAGGTCAGACTTACTGGATACTTAAAAAATAATTCTCTGACTCCTTCTGTCTGATCCCAAGCATTTAAAATATGTCATTTCACTTAATTCTCCCAAAATGCCTTTGGAATATGTATTTACATCATTCTGTAGGTGAAGGAACTGAAGTCAGGTGAACCTAAGTAAATTATCAAAGGTTTTATGTCTTGGGAAAGGCAAGGCTAGGAATCCAGGTATATAGAGATATAGGATAAGGATTTAACCTTTGAACTTTATAAAACAAGTATATGTAGAGATCTTTCTTTAGAGACTGCAGCAAAAAGCTTCAGGGCTGACTTGGAGGTGTGGCAGAAGTTGTATCTCTTATGCCTTTTCCAGTGCAAGTAATGGGAAGCACAACTACAAATGTGTTTAAACCATAAGGAAGGCTACTTTCGCATAACAAAAGGTCCAGAGTTGGCTCATTCAGTGGCTCAGTGATTTCATCAATAATTCAGATTTTTTCTTATGTCTTTGCCTCTCCATTCAGTAGGTCATCTTTTTACCTCAGGCTATCTCTCTTTAAAGGTCTAAAATCTATGGCTATTCCAGGTACAAAATTCAGACACAACAGTATCCTGAAGAAAAAGAGGTTCTTAGTTGTCTCCTCCTTATGTCTTATAAGTATCAATAAATAAACACAAAAAACTTTCCTGGGATACTCTTTGATATAGATATGTTAGCATAGATCTGTAAGTAGAGTTTCAAAGCTGTGGGATTTAGAAGAATGCACAAATAAAGCATTTATTAAAACAGCATTGTATTCTCTAATGCAAGCTTGTCTAACCTGTGGGCCACATGCTGCCCAGGATAGCTTTGCATATGGCCCAACACAAATTTGTAAACTTTCTTCAAAGATTATGAGATTTTTTGCTTTTTTTTTTTTGTAAGCTCATCAGCTGTCGTTAGTGTTAGTGTATTCTTCTTCTTCCAGGGTGGCCCAGGCAAGCCAAAAGATTGGATGCCCCTGCTCTAATGCGTTATTCAGCCTAGCATCAGGTTTCCCTTAATTTCATGCATTTACTGCATATGTTACATATGCAGTATCTTCCTACCCCTAGTAAGCTTACCTTATCTTTCTAACCTGCCATTGTTACTCACTAGAATTTTTCATTGTCTCTTGTTTTCCTTATGATTTTTATGATGTGGAATAAATAAGGGAACATACTTTATTTAAAAAAACCTCCAAAACGAAGAAAGAGTCAAGTGTTATACACTGTGTATGTGAGTGTATGCTAAAGATAGATTAATTTATTATTAGGGGAACCAGCAGGATAGTAAGACTGGTTCAAAAGATTATAGGAATAAGGGAAACATTTATAATCAGTGAAAGAAAGAATGGTGGAATAAGATTCCTAAATTTTATACTAAATGTCCAATAAGACAATCAAAGTGAAACCATGAGGCTATCTTTACTAACAGACAAATCATTTTCCTCTGTACTAGACAAAATTTGTTTGCATTATCATAATATGAGTATCATTTGTGTTGCTATAAATGTTCTACAAGTTAAGTCTTTTCTCACAGAGTTGTAAAATATCTTAATCAGTGGTAATTAGTGACTCAGATGAAGCGACATACTTTTAAATAATTAGCGAATCCTTTGGTGAAGGATATACAGTCATTCTTGTGCTGGGTCCCAAGTTTTGAACATTTTTTCTTAAAACTTCCCCCTTAGGATCGTAAATATTATCCAAGGATGATTCTTGTTTAAAACAACAAAAAAGTGGTATCCTTTTGTTTTTGTCTGATTTATTTATTTATTTATTTAGACAGAGTCTCGCTGTGTCACCCAGGCTGGAGTGCAGTGGTGCGATCTCGGCTCACTGCAACCTTCGCCTCCTGGGTTCAACCGATTCTCCTGCCTCAGCCACCTGAGTAGCTGGGATTACAGGCATGCACCACCATGCCCAGCTAATTTTTGTATTTTTAGTAGAGATGGAGTTTCACCATGTTGGCCAGGCTGGTCTCAAACTCCTGATCTTATGTGATCTGCCTGCCTTGGCCTCCCAAAGTGCTGGGATTACAGGCATGAGCCACTGCACCCAGCCCGTTTCCTTTAGATAGGTGCAGCAAGAAGTGTTTATTGACATGAGCCTTGTAGTAGGAGTGAAATATCCAGTGTCACGCAATATTAAACAATTAGTAAGAGTGGAAAATTAACATCTATTTGAAGATTTCATTAGAAATCTAGAATTGTGTTTTCAGTAGCCTTTATTACTTCAGAGTATTTTAAAAAACAAAACTTGGTTTCTTCTTCTTTTCAGAAGCTTAGGAACCAACTCAAAATAACCATCTCCATTAGGAGTATTTCACTTGAAGTTCTTATAAATGTGGGTGAATTCCTTCCTCTTTTATGTCACCCAAATGAGCTGAGCTTCCTTGCTTGCCAGGGATTAACTATTTCCTCTCAGGCCGGGACCCTATAAACTCAGACTAGGTAACAGACCCTGTTACTGGGAGGGCTCTATAGGTATCGATTGTTTCCACATATGAAATACACAGCCTTTGTCTCTTTGGTGAGCTTATCATATGTGTTTTAGTAAAAAAGTTCTTCTTAATCAAACAATTTGTACACTTGATTTGTCAAACTATATTCTGGTTAAAGAAAAGGCCGATTCTTAGTTATTTATCCAGTTATCTGCCATTGAAAGTAAAGAAAAGTAGAAAAAAAATCTATTACTGAATATCTTAGATGTCAGAAGCACATATCAATTAAAGAACCTTTATTAAGTCAAGGATTAAAATTAAATCAAGATAAATAAAAAGCTTTATTATTATATATACCAATCAAAAAAACAGAACATTAAAAGTATACTGAAAATCTCCCAAACAAATAATGCCAAATTGATTCACTGCATGAGTTCCTTTAAGTTATATTTAACTAATTATTTATCTCTTGAATTTGGGGATTATAGTTTATTTCATGAAGTCATCAATCCTAGAAACTCTGGCTTAGTAACCTGGTATAGTCTGGCTGATGTCTAGGTGATATCAGCTCTGAAGCTTGTACCCTTGAGGCTGGTCCTTGAAGACATAACAGTTAGATGTACCTGATCTTTGACTTTCTATTGAGGCCAGTATTTGAAGACTTAATCTGTGGAGCCTATAGTTAATAGCAGAGCCTTCAGGCAAGCATGGGAGGAATGCAGAAACCACCTGCTGAATGACTGAATGCTTGTGATTAATTTATTATAGTAATCAACCGTATCACACTAGAAAAGAGAAAAATTCTCCATCAGGGTATAAGACTTACTATTTAATAAGTATTTGTTAACAGCTCCTCTGAAAGTAAGAATATATGGACATGACTGTATTAACAGCTTGCCATGTTCTTCCCATAAATTGAATTATTTTGGACACATTTTATATTACCTGAAAAAAATTAATGCACAGAA
The DNA here is from genome assembly GCF_000001405.40 of Homo sapiens. NCBI lineage: Eukaryota > Metazoa > Chordata > Mammalia > Primates > Hominidae > Homo > Homo sapiens. The sequence continues at coordinate 128,385,438 of NC_000006.12, read as the reverse complement.
AGTTGAACTAATCTGATTTGAAGCTCTTTTTCATGCAAGCCTTATAATGGTGTTGAGCTAATTAAAAAATATGGAACATACCAAACAAATTTAATTATTTTTATTGTTCCTAATCTTACAAGGCAAGGAAGTGAATCCCTGCGGTTGTCCAAAGACCTATAGGAAATCACAAAGGCAGATTAGAAGAAAAGACCTCTTGAAATTTTTATTTTTTCTGAATTTGTTGTTTTATCATGCAAGGAAGAATCAGAAGTGTTATCACAGGAGATTGGTCACTTGATTAAGACAGGTGCCTAAAAATAAGGAATAATACCAGTATTTTAAAATTATTAATATTAATATTTATAATATTAATTATATTAATATAGTAATTTTGATATTTAAAAATAAAATAGAAGGTAACACAATGATAAGGAAACTCAGCTCTTCCAAGAAATAAAGTTGTATTTGTTTTTAATCATCAAAACCATAATAAAATAAACTTAATATGTATAATACTATCCTGGAGAGATACCCAATCATTCCTCAGATTAAACAGAAATTAGGAATAATTTTTGTAACCTCTTTTTAAGAGGAGACTGAAAATACTAAGATCAATTTGTTATTTTAACAGAGATAAAACCTAATTCCAGTCTGGCATTAATATAATATTTGACAGCAAAAGCTTTAAAAAAAAAATAAAAATTTTTTCTGGTCACCAAATAATTTATTTCACGATTGCCTTGTATTCAATGTATTTCTTTAAATTCATTATGTTCTGCACACATTCCATTTGTAGTTACTCTAAACTTTTCAAAATATCTGTACTATTCTGATGTTTTACTAACTGTTGTATTTGAATGTAACTCACAACAAACTCTTTCCACTGGTGGTTTTATTTACATCAAGCTTGTCCAACCCATGGCCCACCAGCCACATGTGGCCTAGGATAGCTTTGAATGTGGCCTAACACCAGTATGGCCTAGGGAAGCCAAAAGATTGGACACCCCTGATTTACATATTATATTGAGTTTTTGAGTCATAAGTAAAAATACTTTCTCAGGAAAAAAAAAATAGAAATATTGTCCAAAAATCTTTGTATTGCGAGATATCTCTATTAAGTTATATGTTGAGAAATATCTCCATTAAATTTGGTTTTTAAACCAAGAAAAGTTTTCTATTGATAAAAATATGGACAAGGCCAACATTTTGTGGACTATCGTGCGTGTGGAACATATCTATGAGAAGTCCCCCTTCAACCAGTTGTCAAAGTGAGTCTTGAATGAGAAGGAATATTTATTAGGAAGGGAAAAGTTAATTTGAAATTGTATTTTTGATGTAATTGTTGGTAATGAGCAAGCCTAAAAGGATAGGAATTTATTTCCTAAAGTAGCAGCTAAAGTAACAAAAAAATTATCCTTCTCTGAAAAGTTTAAGAAATAAATTCAATAATAGCTGTATAAAGCATTTGGGTATTTAATTTTTCTCATGTTTCTAGTATATTGCTTTACTTTATATGGGACTAAGAAATAATTTAACTTAATGTTTTATAGAAAATAAAAATGTGTTTAAACTGTCAAAATATTTTTTCTGAATGTAATCTACTAATGATTTTGACTTATTACTTTTGTGGCTATAATGATAGTTAAAACAATGTTAAAGATATGCTATTGTTCATAAAACCACACTGTTCTTGACAATAGAATTAAGAAATTGATACTTAAGAATAAGGTGAAACAATACCACCGTTCAGTGTTGTGCAGTTTAGCACTGTGTTTGGCACATAGACCTATGATAAATAACTGTTTTATGAATAGCTCAAAAGCTTAAAAATAGAAACATGATTTTCTCAACTTTCTTCTGGAACACATAAGTATGTTGGAACTCAAATTATTTTTGAATGAATACATAAATGGAATGATAAATTTACACAAAGGAAAAAGGGGAATATTTTAGAAAATGATTTGAATTTAACTGTTGTTAATGCACTATACTATTGCAAAATGGCCTTTTGAAGCTTTTTAACGTAGATGAATGAATAGGATGGATCTGGTCAAGAGGATTGTCTGAGTGGGTTTAATTCCAGCCCCGTATAACACTATAATAATATTCTACTGATGGTGTTTATGTTTTTTTTTCTGCATGTTACATGAAATCTTTGGAAGTTTAGATCTTTGCCCCAGTATTGGAAGATTATATTTTTCATGTTACGTCTTATAGTTAAACTTTGCTATTAAGGATGCTATTGTGACAAGAACATGTTGCTTTATGTAATAAGCACTGATTTCGATTTTTTAAACTGGATTATTCAGGTATTTTCATTGCCACTGGAACCAAGAAACAGACTCTTCTTAGCTTAGCAGTGGTGACTATTTCTTCTGTTCTCTTTGACTCAAAATTGAAGTCAATGAAGAAAAGCCAGTGGGAAGAGCTGATTGTTGCCATATGTCACATTCCTTATGATAAAGTCTAAGTTTCTCCCTAGTAATAAAATTTATATAAGCCCTTTAAAAAATAGGATGACATTTATGTTAGTTTCTTATTTTCGCAGGCTGAGCAGTTCTTTTACTGAACCAGTAGCAGTGGTACAAAAGTTGTTTTGAAATTTCAAATGCTCTACATCTATGTTTAGGAAGTGGACACCTATAGGTCCCAAGAAATCATTAGAGTGGAAGAAATAAAGAGAAATGGATGGTCAATAAAAACAATTTATAATTTTTGGCTGGGTGTGGTGGCTAACACCTGTAATTCCAGCACTTTGGGAGGCTGAGGCTGGAGGATCACTTGAGGCTAGGAGTTCGAGACCAGCCTGGCCAACATAGTAAAACCCCGTCTCTACTAAAAATACAAACAAAACCAAAAACAACAAACAAACAAACAAAAAATTAGCCAGGCATGGTGGTGCGTGCCTGTAATCCCAGCTACTTGGGAGGCTGAGGCAGGAGTATCTCTTGAACCCGGGAGGCAGAGATTGCAGTTAGCCGAGATCACACCACTGCACTCCAGCCTGGGTGACAGAGTGAGACTCTATTAAAAAAAAAAAAAAAAAGAATTTTCATATAGGTTTTCTTTATGCTGCTTTTAAATATTTATTGTCCATTTTTAAATGGACACATGATTACATATAGTTGAAAAGATAGTATTCTATAATAGAAGTCATAGTTCTTTGTGCTCAATTTTCCTAGTATTTTTACACACAGAATCTCCAAACTCAGCATATCATATAAACCATTTTGGTACTAGCACCATTATAATACTTTCAACATTATTGAAATTGATTTTTTTCCTTTTTTTTTTTTTTTTTTTTTGAGATAGGGTATTGCTCTGTTGCCCAGGCTTGAGTGCAGTGTCACAGTCATGGCAGTCCTCCCACCTCAGCCTTCCTAGCAAGTGGGACTACAGGTGTGTGCCACCACACCTGGCTAATTCTTGTATTTTTTTGTAGAGATGGGGTTTTGCCATGTTGCCCAAGCTGGTCTCAAACTCCTGGGCTCAAGTGATCCACCTCAGCCTTCCAAAGTTCTGGGATTACAGGCATGAGCCACCATGCCTGGCCTGAAATTAATTTCTGTTAAATCTGAAAGAGACTCTATAGATTATCTCTAGTCTAAACTTCCGTTTTACAAATAAAGAATAGTGTAGAAATAGGCAAACTGACACAGGAACCTGAGTAACCTGAATTTAAATCTAGGTTTTATTGCTTGAGATTTGGTCATGACATACAACCTTTCTTAGCTTCCATTTTCCCATCAGTAAATTAGGAATAATAACATTTCTCTCTCTCTCTGTAAATGTTGTTGTACCAGTGAAATGAAATACAGAGTGCAGTATCTGGTAGTATCTGGGATGTAGCTGATGGTGAATGAATAATATTTGCCTCCTTCCCTCTGGCCCAAGGTGACACGGCCGGTTAGTAATCTCATTAATCTATAAGAAATTGGTTTGAATTTCTTTCACTTACTTTTTTTTTAAAAGCAAGGAATAAATTGCACTTTCTCATCACAATATTTCAGTAGCTCATTAGGAATTATTTTATATCCAATTCTGAAAATCACCTTTGTTATATAATTGCTCACTGAGTACAGTTGCTTTGCACTCTGACGCATAATGATATCTAGAAATGATTTTTATAACAAAGATAGAATAATGAGGTATGGAAATAGTTTGGGAAAAGGTTTATTATTTCTCAAGTCTTAAGACTGTTTTTATGTAGTTATTCCATGTGGGTTATTGAATTGCTTTGTGGTCATTCTAATTAAAAAATTTTCTAATGAAATACACCCTTTTACTTTGAATTTTACTTAATGTTGACAGCAGCTGCAGTCTATAATGTCATAAGGCCAAGGAAGAAGTTATGCAACAACATTTAAAGCTGAGACACTGGAAAAATTGTTAAAAGTATCTCACACTGCAAAAACACAAGCAAGCACCAGCAAATATCTAGATTTGAAAAAAAATGGGTTTAAAACTGTCTGATAGAGTTTATTGTCATATATTTAAAAATCTGGATATTCTGTTGCACAAACAGATTTTGGTTTTATGGCTTACAGTAGAACTTGTAAGATACTTACTTGGATTCTACATATTTGAGTAATTTTTTAACCTGTTTTCAGATGTTTGGGCTGTGCCCAGATTGTTAGCTACGAATTCTTGTTCTAAAATGAGAAATCTGATAGGTTGGCTGTCTTACCTGTGCCTTGGTTACGTCTGTTGAAGAATGAGAGAAGGATAAATTCTCTCTGCTCTTTGTAGGTCCCTTTTACATACTATGATAATTAATGTATTTTCAGTTACTTTGTATGTCAAATGCAGATTCCTTTAAACCTGCAGCTCCATGGATGTGTTTACGGGGTTTATAAACCCTTTAAAAGTGTAATATTGCATACACACACACACACACACACACGTGTGTGTGTGTGTATGTCTGTGTGTAGGAAGGTGTGTGATTTTCCAAGAATGTATTAGACACAGAATATCAGAATAATCACGCAGAATAGTAGCAGAATTCTATAGAGTACAACATTGAACAGGTCTCTAAGGCACAGCCCTTGGGGAAGGTTGCGTTTATAAGGGGAAACAAAACTCCCACTTTGCTCATCTCCAAGTCTGGTATCTTGTGCTGATGCAATCAAAGTTGATACTTTTTTCTACAGAGTCTCCTTTGCACCCTTTTAATTTTATTTTCATCCTTTCAAGGAGAGTTAGCTATATCCAGAATTTAAAGGATGTAAAATTCTTTATTCTCAAAGAATTATTGTGTGAATTTTTTTCTCTCCTGAGGCTAATATCTGTAGGTTTTTTCTGTTATTGATGAACACATCTTTTTTATGTCCCTTTTGCTATACTATTGAGATGAAAGCCCGTTTGCTAGGGTTTACATCCAGGCTGAGCAGGGTTTGGAAAATCCCCTTCATCCTTTTTCTTCCATATACTTAACCTATTGTCCATGGGAATGCTTAGATAAATTACTTTGAGCATTGTGTTTTTCATTTCTTGCAACTTAATGTTGATTATTACAATTAAAGACATAAGTAAAAACAAACCAACAAGCACACAAATATTATTAAACAACAAAATATTAGATAGCAAATATTATGAAATAACAAAATAAACAGACAGTTTGCCATCCATTCCTAAAGTGAATGCCCTGGAAGGTCAAGGCTTTTTCCCTCTGTCTAGCCAACTAGTGTTAGAAAGGAACATGTGACTTACCAAATGTTTCATAAGAGTCTGAGAATATCTACAGCTGTAAAGGATTTGCTGTTTTTGGAAATATAAAAAATTGTTCCTTTTCTTCAATACCTTATGAAGTAAAAGAAAGCAACTGAGGCATTTCTGCCAAAGAACTTCTTATCTTGGAAGACTGAGGCTCTGGACTCTAGCACTTACACCACATGACATGGACAGATTGTCCTCTCTTTCTTAAAGGTAAAATCAAGACTTTCCTATTTGTCCTTCTTTTCCCAGAAAGTAGTTGTAAGAACCAAAATAATACATGATTGTGAACATACTTTGAAAACAGTTGAAGTATGTTTTTATAATCTCACGAAGTAACAAGTGTATTGTGTTGGTAATGTAAATGGATTGATACTTGGATCTTTAATTATTCCATGTCATTTTACTAGTCAATATCTCAAAGAATGAGACTCAATCACATGGTTCATGGCAGTGCATCATATAGCATTTATTCGATTCATGGTATTTTATCCCATGACTCTAGGTAGTAATGGCAGAGTACAGAGATAGAGAGAGTAGAAAGGAAGAACCAGTAAACTGGAGTATGTTCAAATAAAGTAGCTGAACTTGGAGTCACCAGTTTCCAAAAAGAACAGGGAGTAGAACATTTAGTCAGAAACTAGACAGACTAGTAGAAAGATATCAGGAAGATGAGGCAAGTGGCAAATAATCAGGTACTATATTATATTCTTTCTTTCTTAATAGTGCCTTGAATAGTACTTTACTGTGATAGACATTCAATAATTAAAATAGCTTCTTAAAGTTTAATCTCTAAGGTCATTTTAACAATAGCAAGTAACTCATTACTTTCCTCTGTTATTTTCAATCTTACTTGAACTTTGCATAGGGTAAGAATTATATTGGAGTGGAGATAAAACTAGAAGATATTTATGCATAGGTGAAAACAGCATTTATAAGAAGAAAATAGATGAAAGCAGGAAGTGACAAAATTCTGCTCTGTAAAATTTCTCCAAAAGTGAGATACGTATATATTTTCAGTTATATGGCATATTTCACATAGTATTCTTTGGACTTCTTTGAACGATTATGCATATACATTAGCAGTAATTATTTTAGAATCTAATTTTTATAGTCAGATTCCTGAAAGGTATTTTTCTCAAGACTTTTCTTTATTTGTATTTTCAGTGGAAATTTTTTTCATGCTTATTTTCTTATTTTAACATTTGTACATGTATATGAATGAAACAAAAATGGTTAGAAAACATGGAAATTATACATAAGTCTCATAACCAAGAGAAAATCACCATCAATCTTTTGATGTCATTTTTTGTTACCTCTAAGTCTATGTTTGTGTGCATTGTTGTTTGTATGTACATCTCTGTGTGTGTCTGTGTATATTTACTTATGAAATCATGACCAGATAGCATGTACATTTTTTGTTTTGCTTTCAAAATTAATGCTGCATCAAACATCCGAAAATTCTGTTATTTATAATTGTTATCTTTGGGAAGATTGGTTCAATAGGAACTACTCAGTTTTGTCCAGAAGCAAGGCCTAACTTATGTTTTACTTAATTATATTTGTTTTCTAGTTCATAAATGTAATAATTTCTTAATTACATATAGAGATGAAAGTAACTTATGGTTTATATTTATTGAAATATAACTTTCACCTTAATATTTGTGGTTAAATTCAATCTATTTTTGTGAAGATTTGTGAAACACAGTCTAAAAAGCAAACCATGATCACAGATTACTTCTGAAATATAATTCTTGACTATATTGGAGTTAAGCAGAGCAAAGAAACATGTGCTCTTTTTCAACAGTAAGAAAGAAAGAATTCTAATGTGTTTAAAATTCAGCCTAATTTATATGCTTGTAACAGTTTGGAAGTTGATTAAAGTCTGTAGAGTAAGTGAAAATTACATGTAGTTCTCATTTTAGTTGACCTTCCATGTTAATTAGGACATTTTTTTTTTCCATTTATTTTGTAGTTAAGAACATTTTCTTTATCTAGTAAACTTTGATTCTGGGTTTTTTTTCTTTTTTTTTTGTTGGTTGCTTCTTGCTTTAATGAAGTTGATCACTTTCATATCCCTTTTAACTTTTCTCAAGATGCTGAATATGATTTTGAAATACAAATCAAAGTACTATGATGAAGAAAATTTAGGCAGTTCCAGTTGTCTATTACTTACAAGTCAGTCATATATTCATTTAACAAATATATATTTAATGGTACATGATATGGTTTGGCTCTGTGTCCCCACCAAAATCTCATCTTGTAGCTCCCATAATTTTCATGTGTTGTGGGAGGGGCCTGGTGGGAGATGACTGAATCAAGGGAGTAGGTCTTTCCCATGCTATTCTCGTGTTAGTGAATGGGTCTTACGAGATCTGATGGTTTTAAAAAAGAGAGAGTTTCCCTGCATAAGTTCTCTTTGCCTGCTGCCATCCATGTAAGATGTGATTTGCTCCTCCTTGCCTTCCACCATGATTGTGAGGCCTCCCCAGCTACATGGAACTGTAAGTCCATTAAACCCTTTTTCCTGCATAAATTACCCAACGTCAGGTACGTTACATCTTTATCAGCAGTGTGAAAATGGACTAATACAGTAAATTGGTACCAGGAGTGAGGTGCTGTGAAAAGATACCCAAAAATATGGAAATGATTTGGAACTGGGTAACAGGCAGAGGTTAGAACAGTTTAGAGGGATCAGAAGAAGACAGGAAAATATGGGAAAGTGTGGAACTCCCTAGAGACCTGTTGACTTGGGCTTTGACATTTGGCTTTGACCAAAATGCTGATAATGATATCGACAATGAAATCCAGACTGAAGTGGTCTCAGATGGAGATGAGGAACTTGTTGGGAACCGGAGCAAAGGTGACTCTTGTTACGTATTAGCAAAAGATTGGTGGCATTATGCCCCTGCCCTAGAGATTTGTGGAAGTTTGAACTTGAGAGAGGTGATTTAGGTTATCTGGTGAAAGAAATTTCTGAGCAGCAAAGCATTCAAGAGTGACTTGGGTGCTGTTAAAGGTGTTCAGTTTTAAAAGGGAAACATAGCATAAAAGTCTGGAAAATTTGCAGCCTGACAATGTGATAGAAAAGAAAATCTCATTTTCTGAGTAGAAATTCAAGCCTGCTGCAGAAATTTGCATAAGTAATGAGGAGCCGAATGTTAATCACCAAGACAATGGGGAAAATGTCTCAGGATATGTTAGATGTCTTCACAACAGCCCCTCCCATCACAGGCTCAGAGGGCTAGGAGAAAAAGATGGTTTTGTGAGTCGGACCCAAGGCTTCCCTGCTCTGTGCAGCCTAGGGACCTGGTACCCTGTGTTTCAGTCATGCCAGCCATGGCTGAAAGGTAGCTCTGGCTGTTGCCTTACAGGGTGGAAACCCCAAACCTTGGCATCTTCCACATGGTGTTGAGCCTGCAGGTACATGAAAGTCAAGAGTTAAAGTTTGGGAACCTCCAGTTAGATTTCAGAGGCTGTATGGAAATGCCTGGATATCCAGGAAGAAGTTTGCTGAAGGGGTGGGGCCCTCATGGAGAACTTCTGCTAGGGAAGTGTGGAAGGGAAATGTGGGGTTGATGCCCCCACAATGAGTACCTTACTGGGGCACCACCTAGTGGAGCAGTGAGAAGAGGGCCACTGTCCTTCAGACACCAGAATAGTAGATCCACTGACAGCTTGCATTGTGTGCCTGGAAAAGCCACAGACACTCAATGCCAACCCATGAAAGCAGACAGGAGAGGGGCTATAGCATGTAAAGCCACAGAGGTGGAACTGCCCAAGACCATGGGAACCCATCTCTTGCATCAACATGAACTGGATGTGAGACATGGATTCAAAGGAGCTCATTTTGGAATTTAAGATTTGACTGCCCTGCTGGATTTTGGACTTTCATGGGTCCTGTAGTCCCTTTGTTTTGGCCAATTTCTCCTATTTGGAAGGGCTGTATTTACCCAATGCCTGTACTCCCATTGTATCTGGAAAGTAACTAACTTGCTTTTGATTTTACAGGCTCACAGATGGAAGGAACTTTCCTTGTCTCAGATGAGACTTTGGACTGTGGACTTTTGAGTTAATGCTGAAATGAGCTGAGACTTTGGGGGACTATTTGGGAAGCATGGTTGGCTTGGAATATGAAGTTATGAGATTTCGGAGGGGCCGGGGATGGAATGTTATGATCTGGCTGTGTCCCCACCAAAATCTCATCTTGTAGCTCCCATAATTCCCATGTGTTGTGGGAGGGACCCAGTGGGAGATGATTGAATCATAGGGCAGGTCTTTCCCATGCTATTCTCGTGATAATGAATGGGTCTCATGAGATCTGATGTTTTTTTTTTTAAAAAGGTTGTTTCCCTGCACAAGCTCTCTTTGCCTGCTGCCATCCATGTAAGACATAACTTGCTCCTCCTTGCCTTCTGCCATTATTATGAGGCCTCCCTAGCCACGTGGAACTGTATGTCCATTGAACCCCTTTTCCTGCATAATTTACCCAGCCTCAGGTATGTCTTTATCAGCAGCATGAAAACAAACTTATACAGTTTGTGTGCCAGGTATTCTTCCAGGCACTTGGGCTAAATCCGTGAACAAAATAGACAAAATTCTTTGCCCCAGAGAAGCTTATACCTTGATGGGGAAAAGGATAATAATAATAATAATAATAATAATAATAATAATAATAATAATAATGCAGTGTTTCTAAGTACCATGGAGAAAATTAAAGACCTAAAAGATGTGGAGGAGTATCCATGCAGTTATCTAGGGGAAAAGCATTCCAGGCATAGGGATCAGCAAGTGGAAAGTCCTTGAACTAGGAGCATGCCTGGCATTTGAGGAAGAATAAGATGACCAATTTGGTTTAAAGAAAAGAGTGGAAGGCATTGTTATAGGAGATAAAGTCAGAGTAGTAATAGGGGACTGATTGTATATGGCTATTATCAGTACTTCACAAAGTTCTAAATGGAGTGACATGATTTTATCTTGACAGGGTCATACTGAGTGCGGGATGTGGAGAGTAGACATTGGGATGGGACAAGGGTGGAATCAGGGAAACTAGCTATTAGGCAGTTGTGATAATCCAAGTCAGAGAAGATTATAACTTGGGGCCAGGATATAATCAGAGATGGTTATTAAATATTAGGGTAAATTGAATTTGCTGACGGATTGGATTTCTGGTGTGAGAGAAAGATAGGAGTCATGGATGAGTGAATATTGTTTTAGCCTGAGCACTGGGAAGGACACAATAGTCATGAGCTGAGATGGGGATGAATGTGAGAGGGGCAGATGTTTGGGAAGAATGGGAGTTAGGTTTTAGAGATGTTAAGTTTGAAATACTTAATCGATATGCATGTCTGATTATCAGGGGAGAGGACTATGCTGGGGATACACACTTTGGAGTCTTTATTGTATAGATGGTCTTTGAAACCATGAGACTGGATGAAATCACAATGGTATAGGTACGAATAGAGAGCAGAAGAGTTGCAAGGACCGACACATGCATTACTCCAGTGTTTAGAGTTCAAAGATTTAGAGAAATGTACAAAGGAAACTAAGCAGTAGTGGACTGTGCCATCAGAGGAATATGCACTATATTGAGAAATATATCAATAAATTCTGAGAATGATTCAGGTGAACTTAGGGTAGAATGATTAAACGTCTGTTTACCTTTCTGTCTTTATCCATGAAAGAAGGAAAATAAATAACAAACAAGGTGTGAGATTAATATTAAAATGTGTACTGGAAAGGTACTGGAAAATCAGAGGATGGGGGCTACATCTGTATTTCTGAAGCCTTTTTACCCTTTCTTGTTTTATGTAGTAAGAAATGGAATACAATTAATTGTAACATAAGATAAAATATAATCAAATATTAATAGAAACAATTTTGTTGCTCAAGAGAATGATAACTACTGCTAGTACTGAGACTAAAGGGTATTCATGGGCAGGCAAAGATTTGTGTCATAAACAGAAATTTGGAGTGATCACTACCACAATGGTGAATGAAAGATGGAGAAGCCTGCATTCTAGACCACTGTGCATAGGTGCATATTGATCGCATAGTTACCTTTAGCACTTTGTAATGTTATCTGTTAGTATTAGCATAATGAAAAATCAGAATACTAGGCCTAGAAGAAAAGATAATTTCAAGCAACATCGAGGCAATGTTGTAAGACAGTTATGAAACACTGGTTCTCGAAGCTGGCTGCATTTTAGAAAAACCAGACATTCTTTATAAAGGATTAATGCCACACCCCCAGAAACTTCTGTATATTTGGTTTGAGTTAGGACTAGTATTTAAAGTCCCATAGGTGATTTTAATATACAACTAATGATAAACATCAATGTAATGGAAGCCAAGGCATTGTGTGTGAGGATGTGCGTGTTTTGTGTCTACCATTTGTAGCACTTTGTGTTGCAATAGGTTATCCTGATTTTGTTTGTAGATTATTGCATATGCATCTGTGCCTAATTGATATCTGTGTGCTGCACATCAAAATGTGAACTAACGCAGCTTTGCAAAGAGTCAAGTCCAAGGACTAAGCCTTGCAACTTTATTTAAATAGTATATAGAAAAATTCTAAAAAGAATATGTGACCACTAGGAATAATTCTAATTGGTTGGTTAGCAGTTTTAGCACAATGTCTTTGATAGGCCCTTACATTTGCCACATAGACTTTGTGCTTTTACTGGGAAATGCTAACTAAAAAAATACATTGGAATGTTTCCAGTCCTAGGTCACCATTTTTTTTTTTTTTTAAAATTACCTCCCTCATTAGTTCCCAGCATTACAGTGTATGGTACATTCACATATACACACACATACTCATGTATATCAGAGTACTCAGTTCTGTTCATTTCCTCATTCCATTTTTCTTTTCAAAATTTGGCAGGCTATAGTGAAAAAACTCAGGACACTGACTTACCAGAAATGTGTTTGTGATGTGCTGAAAAGTTAGACACTTTTCTGAGAGCCAGGTAGGGGTCTTCTCCATGTACTATGGAGTAGCCATTTATACCAGTCATTCATGCCTGTCAGAGTATCATGTGTGGGCACTTAAAATACAACATAATGAAAATCAACTCTCCTTATTATCATTATCTGTCCTCAGTAACCTAAAATCAAGTATTAATAGGAAAGACCAACTACAGGTATAGACCTTATTTACCCTTAGGTTTCTGGCCTGCTTTTCAACTCTTTGGAAATTCTCTTTGAGGATTAAATGAACAATGTATACAATGTGCCTAATGTACCTCTGTCACTTTATCTTTGGTTTTCCTGATACATTGAATGTTGGAATAAACTGAATCCTGATTTTTGACTTGATTCTTTTGTTCCTGAGTGTTCTTGTGGTGAACATGATTTTAATTACCACACCCAAAGCGTTAAAAAAATCATTTCCTTTCTACAGATTCTCCCTGAATTCTACTTTTTCACTTCTAATTTATTTTTATCACCATTTCCTGGTATTCTTTTGCCATGCTTTTGAAGTCCATTCCTTTGTTATGCTATAGGCAACTGCTAGCAGACCTATTTCTGAAAAACTCTATTTGACAATTTAAAATAAAAGTCTTATAGTCAGAACTTGGAAACAGAACGAGAAGTTGGGGCTAGAGCTAGGGGAATCACTAAGTTGATGTGAGAGAAAAAGCAGTAACTGGAAAGGACCAAAATAATGGACACATATAGGTCAACTAGGCAAATGTCATTTCATGCAGTTGTGTGCCTCGGAGGTCCTAATCTCTAACCAGTTTTTCTTGTACTAAAATGCCATTGAATTTATAGCTTAAGCAGAGTAATTAAAAAGCTGAGAAATTGGTGATGAAGAATGAAATCTGGAATGGCTTCTCTCTCTCTCTCTTTTTTTTTTTTTTTGAGACAAGGTCTTACTCTGTCACCAGGGCTGGGGTGCAGTGGCACGATCTCGGATCACTGCAGCCTCGACCTCCCAGGTTTAAGCAATCTTCCTGCCTCCCCTTCCCCCAGTAGCTGGAACTACAGGTGTGCATCATGGTGCCTGGCTGCATTTGGCCTTGCTTTCTTGAGATTATTGCATTTATTTGTTTTTCAGAAAAGATAAAGATGGTGATTGGTTGGGTGAGTTAGTAGTTAGGGTTCTTTCAGTATCTTAGAGTTGACTCCACAACCACAGTTGGAAGGAAGGAGGCTCTTTAACCAAAGTATGAACTACTGTTGAAATATGCTGATGAAGTGTGAGAATGACAGCAGCAGATTGTAATGGATTTTGAAGTGTTCCAGGTTTTAATAGTAACTAATAGTAGAACTATAGTTCAAATCTGTAATGACAACATTGAAACTGTAGTCAAAATACTAAATCTAGATTGCATTAAACCTTTTTATGAGAATACGTAAAATTATCATATGCTAACAAGCTATCAATCTGAGTTAGAAATGCTTGGCAATAAAAGTGTTGTTTCATTTGATTGATATTGAAGTAGCCGTTTGTTTTATACTAACTTCACATTATGGTACAGATAGAGTCCAAACTGATGAAACAGATGTAACTAATAAAATGAATCGACAGTATAATAATTGTAAAGGGAAATAATCGAAGACAAAGAAAGTGTTTTTTGAGTTTTTTTGCTGATTGGGTGGTGAGAGTGGAAGAGCGTGGGAAAGCGTGGTATAATTCATAGACAAATCCTAGTATTTCTCTGTATTCAGTTTCATTTCACTGAGTTGTCTGATTGTAATTGAGTTGTTCATATTGTTCTCTTGAAATGTTTTGAGGCAAATGAAATCTTCTAAGAATTCAAGTATAGTGAAACAATAGCCACAAGACATGGTAAACTTATTGCTGATGTTAACAAAGGACAAAAAGGGAAAACATGATTTGTATTTAGTAGTGTTGGTGCTATTGCTTGGAACCAAATATTTAAAATTATTTGCAAGGCAAATAGATTTGACTTTAATGATGAATTTTGGTAATAAATCATGAAGGGAATCTTTTAATCTTTGAAGTAATAAGCTAAGCGTGCTTTTTTGTGAGATGAATTGACTTTAAAAATAGTAATAACAAAAGTCTAAAACATATTTACAAATGATGATTTTTGATAGGACTTTTATATAAAAATTTGAACTATCATGTGATAATCCTGAATTTAAAACCTAACAGTTTTACTGGTAGAAATTTTTTATGAGAAAAGTAATGCTCATTTAAGTAGATTTTAAAGTAAAAAAAGCTAAGATGATATGATGAATTATCTTGATGTTAAAAAGGCACTGCTTCATGAATAATATTACTATGAAAAAATATTTGAGACCCTAAAGGCCTATAAAGGAGAAATATTTTATTTAGGAAATGAAAAAATGTATATCAGGGGCAATAGCTTAGGGGACCCTGAGTTCTATTCCCTATTTTACTGTTTATTCTGTAGCTGTGAGCAACTAATTTAACCTTCCAAAATCTTTTCCTCATTTGAGTAAGGAATGACTAATACTTTCCAGCTACATCAATAACAGGGATGCCCTGGTGGATGATGATGTTTGTAATTTAGTACATTAAGCTCTGTGGGTGGAAGGCAAGTACTACAATATGCACAAGCTATTATCGTCGAACCACTTTTTGTTTTAATACTTATTTTAAAAATATTTATTTTGATTCTGTTATGTGCAAGGGAACAAATGATATGTCCTTTCTGTAAACTCTAAGCCTCTGAAATGCAGCTTTCATTTCTTGCTCATTATTGTATCCTGTCCATTCAAGCTTTGCTTTTAATCTTCTACATGGTAAAAAATTAACAAATGTTTATTTAGACCATAAATATTTTGAATGGTTTCAAGTTTTGAATGGTTTCAAAGTTTGAATGTTTTTTTTTCTCTTACAAGACTGTCTGCTTTAGAAGAAAGGAACTTCTGTTTGCTACTATCCTCTTACCTCCCATCATTGGAACAAAGTGCTCAGTTCTGGAATAGATTTCCTCACTAGCATAGCTATAAAATATTCTTCAGAAACATGGCATCCACGTCTTTGTGGCATATGCCATAAGAGCATTTACTAAAATATGAGAGAAAGGTTAAAAATTAAATGAATTTCTAAAGCTTTTTAAAAAATTGCTAAACTTTCATAATCTATTCAGCTTCTCAATACATGTGAGTTTGGAAGACAGTAATTTCTATAAATTTATTAACATTTAACCTACTAAATATAATTCTTTGAACATGGAATACAGCTAAATTTCTTTAAATATTCTTTTGTATGTCAAGAATTTAAGAATAAAGAATAGTCAGTTTTCACATGCAGTATTTTGTTTACCAGGTAGAAGCCTAACTTAAACTCCTATTTATCAGACCAGGATCTGATATATTTTGAATGTCTTATAAAATATCTATATTGTTCTTGTAAAATGTCTATCTATATTGTTCTTATATCTGAGGTTTTACCTGGGGTTCCCTGCCTTTAAACGTTATTTACATATGGAATATTTTCATTTTTCTCTTCAAAGTTAAACTGTACTTTGGAAAAGAGCTCACTCTCTATAATCATTACTGCACTTCTCAAAACTGCCACCTTTTCTTCAGGAATATAGAAGTGGGAAATGATTCTGTAAAATTTCAAGGAAAGAGTGGTGGGACAGTAATGGGGAAATAACCTCTTTCCCTTGGTAAAATGTGTAATATATCTTTTAAAGGCAGGAAACTTGACTTGTGAAGTGATGGTAGAATTTAAACTGCATGCAAAGCCAAGGCTCTTTAAAAGAACGTGAATTAAGTCAACTATGTAGTTTAGCTCTTGGGTGATTTTTTTGTTGTTATTGCTGTGTGTGTGTTTTTTTTTTTGTTTGTTTGTTTTTTGTTTTGTTTTGTTTTTTTAAATAGAGTGAAGAGTTTTATTCTTCTATAGCCTCTGAATAATGGAAAGACTTCCTGGTGCCTGAATTTTAAAGACCATTATTGTAGTCTATAATTGTATTGTACTTTGGAACTAGAGAGTACTGTAGAAACCTAGTCCAAATGCCTTACTTTACAGACATGGAAACTTAGTTGCAGAGAAGTAGCAGTACTTGCTTGGTGAAGAGCACGTAGCTACTTGGAGTTAAGGTGACAATTGTCATGGCTCACCCCTCACTCTAGGTTTTGTGGTCCTAAAGAGTTAAAGGAAAATAATTTCTGACTCAGATACTCCTCATTCCAGTTAGTAGCAATCTTGAGTTAGTAGCATTTATTTTGTGTTAAAAATAAATTGGAAGTGAGTTGACAGGAATGATAAAGTTTCATTGGGGGAAAATTAGGATTATTCAAAGGAAGCTCCAACTAGTCAGAGGAAGCAACCAGTAAAAGCAGGATCTTGGTCATTGGCCTCGTCACAGATTTGTCTGCACTTTGACGTTTTTTTTTTTTCTTTTTTAACAGAACAGTTTATTGTTAATACATCTCTCCTTTTATTGGAATTCCTCTTACATGAATGGATTTTGTTTTGTTTGTTTAAATAGAGTAAGTGTTGATCATGGCTCTATCCCTTTCTTTTCATCTTAGTTCCTCCTTCAGTTTATATTCTCTGCTCTCTGTCACCCTAAATTTATTCATTAAATTTAGTCTCTGCTTTCTGTTGTCCCTGTGTGTGAGCCTTTGCTTTTCATGTCTATATTTCAGTGAAATTGGGACCTGTTAATTTTCTGACACCTGTAGATTTAAATCCAGTGACTTACAAAACAAACTCAGCAATTTTGGAATGAGAGGACATCTGTGCATTTTGCATTATTTTTTATTGTGAACATGGGAAGGTTATGTATGCACATTAGAGAGTCAAATTTCAAAAATTAAGTACTGGATTTGCTTCATTTAATTGCTTTATAAAATTGAACTAACATTGTAAATCATTAAAGTGAGAATATTTTTTCCCGAAGGCTCTCTCAAACTCTCAAGTAGGACATTACTTTGTAATTTTTATAGTAGTTAATGGTTTCCATTTCAGTATTGCTATTATGTGCTAAGAAACCTGTGTTTGATGTAGGGACCTAGTATTAATGAGGCCCAAGTTAGTGGTTTGATTTATATATGAAATAATTTAGAAGGAGAAATGCTCTCTATCACCATACTTAATATTATCTTTTATTGTAGTATTGGCCTTGTGCCAACACTTGATTCGGAGATTAGTCAAAGGTCAGAGGTGATCATACTTGACGGTTTAGATTCTTTTGGAAGCTAAGAAAGCAAACTGTGCCAGGCCCGCCCTGAGACCACTTAAATTTAAGTGAGGGCCAGGGTATTGGTGTTTTTAAAAGTGCTGCAAGTTATGTCAGGTTGGATAATATTGGATACATTAGGTTAAGTCACTGAATTTGTCGATAGTTGGCTTTGAGCCTTCTACTACTTTGGGCCCAAGTGGGTATTCTAATGGCTGGTTTTACATACTCCTTGGATTCTAGAATCCTGTGATATTGGAAATCTCTCTTTAAGTAAATGCTGACAAACTGGTTAGAATTAAATGGGGAGGGTTTGGGATGGAGTCCTGGATAATTCAGCGTCGCCAATTGTCAGTGTTGGAAAACCAGCATGCAGAATATAGTAGAACTGCATTTAAATTAACCATACATCAACAGATATTTATTAAGGGCCTACCATATACCAGGCATGGGGTTAGAAAAGTCAACAGAGTAGTAGATTATTCTTCGCTTATGGAGTTTACATCCTTAAAGAAGGTGGCACATAGAGACCAAGGTACTATAATATAGTAGGTCCAACCCAGCTAGCTTCCCTGCAGTGCTGGGGCTGCTGAGCATCAAACGAGAAGTTTGCTTGGTGTTGGGAGCCTGTTTCTATGAAGATATCTATCTTCTAACGCTGGAGTCATCCTCTGAATCCAAAGAAGCTAATACTGTGAGAGGTAGGAGGGAAGTAACATGATGAAGGGAATAGCAGATCTGTGTTTGCAATCTGACTTGCATGCTCATTAAGTCTAAAAGCAGGCAAACTGTCACCATGATTTTAATTCACTCTCTTTTATGTTTCATGAACCCACACAGTTGGTTTTATATATGTTCAATGCACACTTGACATGCCTCCACATCCTCATTGTGTGTTATTAATACTGTAAATATGTAAGGCATTGTTGTCACAGTCTCTGGGATCATAGACTTGATTGATTTCTCAACTCTGTATCCCGAGGTGGATAAGTTACCTTAAACTTAAGAGTTTATTTACTCAGCCATAAAAATGGATACTGTGATATCCACTTTGTAGTAGTCTTTTGCATGTCTGAGATGTGTAACCCCTTTAGTCCAGTACTTGGTACAAATAGATGCTTAGTAAATGGAGATGTTTTTGTTAGTATAAGAAGAGCCACAATTTTTATTTAATACTTAAAATTGAGAAATAGGGAAATTATTAAAACTTTAACATACAACAACAGAAGAGATGTGAAACATATTTATGTACATTCTTTCATTTAGAGTTTAAAGGTTTTAATTACATCTGTTGTATTAGTTGAAACTTTCTTGAATAACTACAGTGTTTTTCCGTAAGTGATCCAAGTTTTCTATTTTGCTCTTTTCCAAAAGTATCATCTAACACCTGCATTTTAGTACCTAAGGAGCTAGTTAGAGTGGCATAGTACTCCCAAAAGTGTCTAAGGCTCGCTTCATTTTTGTGCTTACCTTGAGCTTCTTTGTGTGACCCTTTACTGACAAGTTTTCCTAATGGTAAGGGCTAGTTCATCAGGAATATTCTATGGAAAGGCTTATCTGTCTTCTACTAAAATAGTTCATTCCCTGTGACTGATCTGAACTTAGAGGAAATCTGGCTCAGTTGTCACCTAATGTTTGCAGAAAGATTCAGAGATTAATAAAACATGAGTCTGTGTTGCTTGAGACTGTGTCACAAGTATTAGATCCATAGCACTTCTGGGAGCATTTAATAAGAATAGTCAAGAATACCTTAGCATTTGGATATCAAACCTGATTAGGTTTTAAACCAGTCTTATCAGGTTTTCCTTGTTACTGATTTAACTTAAACATTGCATAAGATCATTGGCTTGGAAGCCATTCAACTCTCCAGCCAGGAGAGGTACCTGTTCTCTGTGTTCTAAAAGTACAAAGACAAGGCTGATATTGATAACAAATTACGTAACAAACTCATAAATACAGCTCAAAATGCTATCATTAGCTGAAGCTATGCACACCATGGCTGGTGGGCATTTACGATTGAGGAACTTATAGCATGTTAGTATGAATGGTCACTTGACTAGAAAAAGTAATACCACCTCCACTTCATATCAATTATAAAAGACTTCAGAAGGCATTTTATAATCTAAGTTTTTATTCTCTGGAAGTATTTTTATTTTACCACTTCATTTCTTTTCAGTTAAATATTACCTCAGCCTTTCTTTCTCTTATCTCTATTCAAATGATATCAAATCTCAAATGACATTTCAGGCACTTAAACTTTAAACTCAGAAATGACTTTTAAACTGACCAAATGACTTTGATTGTTTGTGTCTATAAAGATATGCATAAGATTGCTAGGAAAATTGAATATACAGACAGTACCCCTAACAAAAGCCTGAATTTGGCCTATGATGTTTACAAGTTTACAAGTGTTTATTCACATCTACTTTGTGTTGTATATTGTGCTAGATTCTGTAGGACACTACAGACTTCCAAGAAATCAGAAGAGGTTGAATCACAGTGCTCATTAGACATTCTTTGCCATTTTCAAAATATATCTATTCAGATATATGCAGATACAGTCTACGTTACAAACCTATTCTTAAATTTACCATGAATAATACAGAAACATAGCTTATCAAACTCATACCATAACTGGGAAAAGATGAAGTCATCGACTCTATTACAGCACTGTTTATAGCAGCACTGTTTAATAAGCTCAGATTTAGATAGACAAGATGACAGGAAAAGGAAAGTTTTAAAAACTTGGTTCACAATATTAAAGACTTCATGGGCGTTTGGGTTACCCTAATAGGAAAACCAGTGTGCAGGAGAAAGGTTGTGACTATTCATTACTATATTTTTCTTAAAAATGTACAAGTTTAGGCTGTGTTTATATATGTGAAATCATAGGTGAGATTAATAATTATCCATATACTTTAAAATACCCAATAATTGCTGCTTAGGAGGAGGTTATTTATTTATTTATCTGTCTGTTTAATTTGTTTGGAAGATGTCAATCATCATTACTGTTAATGAAGCTTACTTAACAATGCCTTATTAAGGCCTCTGCTTTCCTTTGTAAATGTTACCAAAAGCTTAGCAAGACTTGGGAGATATTCATGACAATAAACTGAAATGTTTGCATTCAGGTTTCAAATCAATTATATGTTTCTAAGTATGTTTTTATATGTAAAAAGTATTCAGTAAATGTAATGCAAACTTCTGTAACTAACTGGCAAGTTTAGGTAGGGATAATATGTCCCCCATAATACGACAAGATAAAAAAAATTGTTTGAATGCCGTTTGCTTTTAAGAAATATATTAAGATTTGAAACTTAAAGTTGAGAATGTATAAGAAAAATTATGCCTTGAAGAAACTCATCATGACTCAGAATCACAATTTTGTTAGAATTTTGTTATATATCACAGGGATAAAAAAAAGTTTTCATGTTGGGTAATTTTATAAAAATTGAATGATAAAATTTGAGTATGGTCTATTTTTTTTGATAAATGGCTATGTAATATAGAGTTTTAATAATAACACCCAAAAGTTCAGGTTCAGGTTTTGGCTCTGCTAATTACTAACTCTTATAGTTTTGGTTCTCTCATCTATAAAAAAATGAGACAGTTAAATATCTATTCCTTCTACTTTTGAAGTGTAGCATCGACTGATATGGTAACTAACTAACTGTGAATGTACGTATAGAAATGCCATTTGGAAGGGCGTCTTCTGTCAAAAGCAACAAGTAAAAAGAGAGTGCTATAAATCTAAAGTCTGGGCCTGGAAGTAAAGACAGAAAATTCTCCAAATAGATTTACAAAGGAAGACCTTCCTTTTTGATGGGTTTAAAAAACTATTTGAGTTGTTTTGAGAATATTTTTACTTAGCTATGATTTGGTTAGTCATTAGGGGTAAACCTAGTAGATAGAAATGAGTGTTCAGCAAACTGATTCCCAGATGAAAGAGAAATGATGTTTATGTCTGTTTCCAGTGAGACTGCAGTTTATGAGCCAAGACATGGGGGTGTGAAGGAGGTTTCCAGACATGCAATAGGAATGGAGGCAGGTACTGTTTTATCAAGTAGTTTAGAACAGACCATTGATATGACCAACTCTTTGATTTTGAAAGGTATTCAAGTCAACTTAGATTGTATTGTAGTTCCTAATTAGCCATGGCATTCAGGGACAATGGCAATTTATTTATTATTTATGTTATGTGCATAGCAAGTCATTGGGGGGATTTGTACTGTGTAGTCACCCACAAACTCATGCTGACTGAGGCTCTACATTTTGTGGTTGCACCATTTGGGACACAGAACTTTATCTTAGTGGCAAGAAAAGACAGTGACTGGAGAACCTTCATGGGTGTTCCGAAGCCTTATTTAGGAAGTAACACATGTCACAGCTCATTAGTCACAAGTGACATTATACCATCTAACTGCAAGCAGGATGAGAAATGTGGGCAGCAGACAAGTGCTTGATGTGCATCTTCATGTGTAACACAAAATAAATGTTGCAGAAGAGGGTTTCCTACCTCATTCTACCATTTTAAGTTTATAGAGTTAAGGTAATTAAAGCAAATATGACTTACATTACTGAATTCCCAGTGATTCTTTTTCTTCCTACCGTGGCTTCTCTGTTTTGGCAGAACTTCAGTTCATGAGGACCTATTTCATAATAGTCAAAAATACATCAAATTCTAATTTATACTGTGTCATTGGCACATAGACATCTCTCTTTTGGGGAAAGTATTTGTACCGGGCTTTCTTTGTTGAGAAAATTTACACATATTTATATTTATATTCTGTAATTTTTTCTCTTTGGAATTTTGTTATTAAAGGTGATCTATGCCTCCATTCACCAATGCTATTTTATTTTATATGAGCCCTTTTCAAATTTTAATCTAACAATTAAATTTCATTTCAGCAAACTGGAAATTCAGGGGTCCCCATCTGTCTTTTTAAAGGTGAAAACTAGGATTTCTTTTGTGCTTGAGCAAAAAGCTGGACAGCCAATAATTCTCTTATTTGTTGGTGAATGAGGAATCAAAGGTTACATTTATAAATCACTTTAAGAGCATAATTTAGATCCTTGTTTTGAAATCCTCTATAGAATAGTATATATGTAAAATGATCTTATTATGTCTGTGTGCCCATCATAGGTTTAAAGACAAGTTGAGTACACAAATTGATGTAATTTGGATATATATCCCTGCCAAACCTCATGTTGAATTGCAATCCCCAGTCTTGGTGATGGGGGCCAGGTGGGAGGTGATTGTTCATGGAGACAGATCTCTCATGAAGGGTTTAATACAATTCCCTTGGTGCTGTCCTCACAATTGTAAGAGAGTTTAAAAATATGTAGCACTTTCCTCCTTCCTCCCTTGCTCCCACTTTCACCGTGTAAAATGCCCGCTTCCCCTTTATTTTCTGCCATGAGTAAAAGCTCTCTGAGGCCTCACCAGAAGCCCAGCAGACATGCTCAGCACCATGCTTCCGGTAATGCTTGCAGAACTGTGAACCAGTTAAACCCCTTTTCTTTAAAAATTACCCAGATTCAGGTATTTCTTTATAGTAATTGCAAGAATGGCCTAACATATAAAGTGTCCCCTTTTGTGCTCTAAGATACGAAAGATAAATTTATATTAGTGCAAATCTGGTTTGTATCATACTCTGTTAACTTGTTGAGGTAGTATATGATTGGGTGAGAATAAGCTGGAAACTATGGAATGTGCTATTTGCACAACATTTGATTGACAAAAATGCCTTTATTTAGATGAACTAAAGAACTTTTTATTATTTAAATGTAGTCATTTGCCACATAATGATGTTTTGGTCAATGATAGACTGCGTATATACAATCTGATAAGATTATACTACTATATTTTTATAGTACCTTTTCTATTTTTAGATATATTTAGATATAAAAATACCATTGTGATGCAGCTGCCTACAGTATTCAGTACAGCACCATGCTGTACAGGTTTATATTGTAGGAGCAATAGACTATATCATATGTAATAGACTATATCTATTGTATAGGTTTGTGTGAGTAACACTCAATGATGCTTATGTAATTAACACCCTATGATGTTTGCACAACTACAGTGACATTCTTAGAAGCTATCCTCATCATTAGGCAACTCATGACATATATGCATTTATTTGTATTAACTGAAATTTATACATTTTATAATTTAAAGGATCATCCAGTGTGCTCGCATAGAATCACACCTGTGCTATGAAAAATTATAAACAAAATAACAAAAAGTAACTGAATACTGTTTGTTTTTTAAATATAGAAAGGGAAGTTTAGTTACACTGAAGAAAACAGGTAACTATTCATGGGCACAAACTGAAAATGAGGGGAACAGATTCTCTCATAGGTGAATATTTTTCTTTCCTGAGATAGTAGTTTTATATGTATGGTTTTGCCCAGGGACTACCCAAGTATAGAGTTTGTAAATTGAATGGTTGCAGTAATTTCTGGAATCCCTATAAACTATGCTAAATATGAAACATTCTAAATGGTTGGAAAGCTAGTCCTTATAAATTTAGATACTCAATACTTAGACATATTTATTTCAAGTAGTTAATTATTCTTAATTTGCTCTGAATTCTTAAGTGTAAGAAAGCTATAATGGGACAGAGGGAGACCTATATCCCATTTTCAGTATTTCAAAAAATTCAGTATTTCTGAATTATGACACAGGTTATTTCATGTTACTCAGGAGCTCTGTTGGGTAGTATTTACATAAGTAAAACTAAAAGGAATTTTAATGCTAGCGGTGCAATGTTGAAAACAAACTAAGGCTAGTTTTGGTTGTATAGGGTGTAGAATAACATTGCCACCCTACACTTTTTAGTTTCCTAGCTATTAATTTCACCAATGTTTATTTAAAAGCATATAAAAGTTTAATTGATGCTCATATCAACATGAAGGGAGTCACACATTAGGTCCTGGATTATGAACATTTTGCAGAATTAGTCTAGGAATTCTGCTATGGAAAGTAGAAGACATAGAAGAATGGGTTTGGAGGTGAATTACTGGCTTCATATTCACCATACTTATTAGGTTAATACTCTTTATATGTTTCTCAAATGCTAATTAGTGATTTACCTTGACGTTATATAATAGCAGCTGTCATCACATCTCAATGTTTTGTGACTACTTTTTGGCTCTAGTTGATGAAATTTCAAAGAGATGGAGTTGAGTAGGAAAAGTGTTGGAAATCTGTGCCCCTTACTGGCCCATGATTTTAAGAACATTAGTGTCTCATCTGAAATACAGAGATTAAATGAGGATTAAGTGAAATGATAATGTGTCAAGGTTTTAGTACTCTGGCCTGTTACTTGTTTTTCTCACTTAAAGCGACCAGGTCCCGGGAAATAGGAGGAGTTAAAATTTCTTAAACTTTGATAAATTTTTGTTAGAATGTTGTGATTTTATGAAATGATCTCTTAAGCGCTGTCATTCTCAGAAGATCATGGGTTGTCTTAAAGTGCTTTTTTCTGTTATAAAATCTTGGTAAAATTCAACTCTGAGCAACAACAAATACAAAATTGCCTATAAAGATAACTAGTTTTTATTTTGAAATAGATATTTATTGATGAAGAAGACCTTCTAACTTGTACCACTCAAGAAGCAGTGAATTGAACTAATACAGTGGAAAATGCTTGTGAAAAAGACCAGCATTCCTTTGACTCTAGACTAAAGGATAATGCCACCTGAGCAAGCTACTGAATTATTGCCATGCACTCTATGGCTAATTCTTCACTTATTAATTGAGATAGTAGGCAAACGCTCTTTCACAGATGTGTTATGGATTATTTTTTATTTTATTTTATTTTATTATTTTTTTTTTATTTTTGAGACCGAGTTTCGCTCTTGTTGCCCAAGCTGGAGTGCAGTGGCGTGATCTCAGCTCACTGCAACCTCTGCCTCCTAGGTTCAAGCGATTCTTCTGTCTCAGCCTCCCAAGTAGCTGGGATTACAGGCGCTTGCCACCACACCTGGCTACTTTTTGTATTTTTAGTAGAGGTGGGGTTTCATCATATAGGTTAGGCTGGCCCCGGGCTCCTGACCTCAGGTGATCCACCCGCCTCAGCCTCCCAAAGTGCTGGGATTACAGGCGTGAGCCACTGCGTCTGTCCCTGGACCTTTTTATTGAACTACAAAAACAAACAGATAACTTTCATTTTTGGATTACTATTAAATGTTGTCAAACTTTATTCTTTAGGGAAAATGGAAGTATACCACTATACAGAGAATAACTTTGTTATACTCAAAGATAGAAAATACTGCCTTGGCTAGATGTGGTGGCTCACGCCTGTAATCCCAGATGGGGTTTTTCCATGTTGGCCAGGCTTGTCTTGAACTCCTGACCTCAGGTGATCCACCCACCTCGGCATCCCAAAGTGCTGGGATTACAGGCGTGAGCCACCGTACCTGGTGGAAATTATCCTTTATAACAGTCAACCACTGGGTTGTATGGTTGCCCTCCAGTGAGATCCTATGCTACATTTGAGTGCCAGTATCCTGGAGGAGTCTGTATCTTAGTGAAAGCAAGGGCAATTAGGGTATTGTCTACAGTATGCATCCTATTTAACTGGCTGTCATGATAGAAACCGGGAGCAATAAGTATCACATAAGTAAAAGCTGTTATCTCCATGTATATCATTCTCCCCACTTTTCTCCTTCTGCCTTCAAATCTGAGCAGTCTATTATAATTTTAGGAGCTGCTCTTCCTAACTGAAATATATTGCTGCTTTCCAGCTGCTGCCTGCAGATACTTAAAAATTGAAGCAAGCCTTTCATTTCATATTATCTTTCTACCAATCCATGTGCTGAGGTAATGCACTGGATATTTTTGTCATTCAGCCGAGCAAGGGTTCTATTTGCATGATTTATCAAGTTAATTATTTGCTTTGAAACAGCAGACTTAGAAAGACATCTCACTTCTAGGTATTCTGCTACTGAAGATGGCACTGCATTATTGAGTTATTGTACTGTACTGTCCAGTGAAAATTTCTGGTAGACAAAACCTCCCAGTATTTGGAAAATACCCAGAGCTCTGCTCAAGATTCTTCTTTTCACGTTTTTCTTCTTATTGTACCATGTCTGAAACTTTGGGATGCATGACCTCATCTATTAAAATTTCCCTGTGGTTGGAGCAGTGTTTTCATTCAGCTGCACACTGTTGGGTTACTCTGAATATGTAGCAGGTATTGAACTCTTCAACTGCCACAAACCCCATGACCCATGGTGAACTGAAAGCAAGGGTCTGTATGTAGAAGGGAGTGCAGGAGCACTGCCACCCCTCACCACCGATGGTGTCTGAATGGGATTGTAGAGTCTGGCCTGAATATGCCCTCTCCTTCAGGGCCAAGGACCATTATAGTAAATTGTGGTTATTATAAGTCAAATGGAATTGGGTCTCTGGTTTATCATAATTGTTTTGAATTTCATTTGGCTGTTCTGACCACTCTAACTTATGAAGGAGGTAGCCAATTTTGATGTATTTTAGTATTAAAGTTATAAAACTATATTGAATTTAACTTTGGGATAAGCTCACAGATCTGAAGTAAAATTGTCATTCATACGGCTTCACTGAGTGGGCCTATCCTGGGTAGATGCTAATGTTTTTCATGGAAATTTGCTGTGTGAGTAGAGATGGCAAAACGGGTGACTGAATGATGTAATGTCTGTATAACATCACTACCACTTACTGTTAAAATACAGCAGCACATTATCTATTTACAAAGGTTGCACTGATGAAAGTAATGGTTACAGTTAATTTGGACAGAGATTTTATAAATAAATAGTTACAATATCAGCATAATCAGCAATAAGGTAATTGTAAGGTGCCAGGAATGGAAACACTGTAGCTTTCATATTTCTATCATTTTGAAAAACAAAGACAGTTGCTCTTGACTATGAATATTTATAATTATTTGGGTGGTGTTGATGTCTTCTGGCTACAAAGAGCCAACTAGTCTATAAATATAAATAGACTGAGGCTGGGAACAGCGTGTACAGTGACAGTGTCCAGAAATGCTGAATCCTTAAGACTTACAGTGGAGCTAGATGTCTGGGATCTGGGGTCCCCACCTAGACCTGAAATGTAGGTCTCCTCCCCATATCTCTCTCCTGCTCCTGCCTTTCTTGCCCTCTCAGGGAAGTGACTATTTCCTACATGATGTTATACAACTGGTAAAAGGCAGTTGGTAATCAGAGGTCTGTGATCTCTGTCTTTGTTTCTTTCCTGTGCTTAATATTGTGATATCATATAAAACTATTAAAATCTGAACTCTGATCCATAGCTGATTAAACAGTTACTGAGATATACCTACCGAGTGAGCTGACTTGAAACCTTGATTTAATATAAGCATAATAGTAGCTAAATTTCATTGTTTCATTAGGTAATTGAAAATACAGGCAAAAGAAAATGTGAAGGAGAAAAATTTTATCTGTTTCTTGGTTCAGGAAGGATGGATCCCTGTGCTCTGTCTCATCTTAATGGACTTCCAGCCTCCATCCTCATTCTTAAATTGTGTCTAGAAATTCTCTTTTCTACCTCTCTTAGGCTTCCCCAGTATTCAAACCCCAGCTCCACCATGGAGTTCTGCCTTTGTGTAAAGTTTTGGAATTTATATTTCTTCTGCTACTTCTCTGAAACAGCATTGATACAATTGTAGAACTAGAGAAGCTATATGCTATGTTAGAAAAAGCACAGGACTAAAATTGGACGCAGGGGTATGGCTTACAATTTCAACTCTGATCCTGGTTGTCTGAGTGACATAGAATGAATAAAATAGTTCCAGACCCCTATTGTTCATACTAATTTGGAAAGTGATCTGAAGTAGAAATGTAAATTTATGCATCATCAGAATGAATTGATGGTGAAGCCATGGGGTGTGAAAAATTATCCATGAAACATTGCAATTTATGATATGAGAAAGAAAAGAAACCTAAATGAAAGCCATTACTTGAAGGATGGACAGAGAAAGAGACATTAATAAGAAAATTGAAGAGGGTCATCAGAGAAGTAGCAGGAAAAAGAACAATAGTTGTTTCGTGAAGGGCATGGGGGAGGGTTTCAAGAAGGCAGAAGAATTGCCAATAGTTCTCATTGCTTTGGAAAGATACAGTAGGATGAGAAATGAAAAATGCCTAATAGATTCATTAATTAAGGGCTCATTAGTGACTGGCTAAACTAGTTTCAGCTGTCAGAAGGGTCAAGAATAAAGTTGCAATGAAGTGAGCTCGCCATGCAAATGAGGAAGTCCGTTGATTATACCTTCAATAAGCTCGATTAAAGAAAGGAGAAAGAGTAGATCTGGACTTGAATTGTTGTTGTTGCTGTTGTTGTTAAAATGGAGGAGATTCTATGCAGGGGCCAGATTAGTCAAGGGGGTAGACTAAAGAAACAGGAGAAGAGGGGTTTAATTGATGTTTGATGTGGGGAGAGGGACTGGAAGAAGATAAAAGGAAATGAGACCTTGCAAATAGAGAGAAGGGTTAGCCTTAAACAGGACAAGTAACACCTGGGACCTAGGCATTTCTCTATTTGACTAAGTTAAATATATTGTGTATAGACTGATTTTCCATTTACTTACTTTTCCCAAAGCTATTTGCCTTTTAATTGTCTCACTGATTTTTAACAATTTCAGAAAAGGATGGGTTGAAAATGACTAAAGGAAAACTGCACTCAGCAGCATTCTTAAATTGTGAAATTCTAGTAGAAAATATGTTTATGTGTAGAAAAATTGGGAACTTTGGTAAAGAATTTCTTTTTGTTTATTTTTATTTTTATTTACTTTTTTTATTGTACTTTAAGTTTTAGGGTACATGTGCACAACGTGCAGGTTTGTTACATATGTATACATGTGCCATGTTGGTGTGCTGCACCCATTAACTCGTCATTTAACATTAGGTATATCTCCTAAAGCTATCCCTCCGCCGTCCTCCCACCCCACAACAGGCCCCGGTGTGTGTAAAGAATATTTTTTTAAAAATTTACTTGAATCTTCTTCTTCGTTCCCCAGTTTTTAGAATTTTTACAATGTCTATGATACATGCACCTATACCCACATGCATGTGTGTGTATATTATTAATATTCGGTAAAGAGAGGCTATTTTACACACAATAGGCCCTCTACAAATATGTATTGAATGTGTGTTAAAGGCACAAAAAATATTTTTTTCTCTGGATAAGGAAGGTAAGGGAAATTAAAAGACTGACTTAATGTCAAATCTTAAGTATTTTTATTCTACTATTTTAAATTTCAAATAATTTAGATAGCATGGATAGAAATTTATTTTTTGGTAATTTGATAAAATGGTTTGCTAGGCAGCTTTACCCTTTATTCTCACTTTTGGACGTTGCATAATTACTGAACTCAGTTGTTCTGCATGTAAGTGTAAGAAAACTTTCATCTTCACATCAGAATATTTGGATTGTAAACAACATTTAAAGAATGTTTAGGTGTTGTAAAACAATGAAGTCAATATACTCTTAAGAATTTTAGAGTTAGCTGTTACCATAAGGGAAACCAGCTTTTTTGTTTCTGTGAATATAATTGTAACTCTCCAGTAAAGTGTTAACATTCATTAAAACTTTTACTAGTTGAGTTCTGGTTTCTGTAAAATATTTGTTGATGAAATAATTTCCTTTAAGAACATGCTATAATTTGCATGTAATTACTTCAGCCTGACCTTGAACAGATAAGGGCTGACCATTGGAGGCTGAAAGCATGTGTGATTAAAAGTTAGTCTAGATGAAAGTGGCCTAGGCTTGAATGTGAGCTTCATCATGTATTAGCTGTGTAATCTTAAGCAAGTTAGTTTAAATTCCTACGCTTCATAGTCCATGTAAAACAGGAATAATACTAGTGCCCTCATACTGTCATAAGAATTGGATGAGTTAATACTTATAAAATGCTTAGCACATTGCCTTACTCTTTCTAATCATGTTAACCATTCTTATTGCCAGTTATATAGATGCTTATGTGGTAAAAAAGACATGAATAAAAATACAACAAATTTAGAATGTGTGAGATATATCGTAACATTAAACATGTAAAGGAGGCTGGGCGTGGTGGCTCACGCCTGTAATCCCAGCACTTTGGGAGGCCGAGGCGGGCAGATCATGAGGTCAGGAGATTGAGACCATCCTGGCTAACACGGTGAAACCCCGTCTCTACTAAAAATACAAGAAATTAGCCGGGCGGTGGTGGATGCCTGTAGTCCCAGCTACTTAGGAGGCTGAGGCAGGAGAATGGTGTGAACCCAGGAGGCAGAGCTTGCAGTGAGCCGAGATGGTGCCACTACACTCCAGCCTGGGCGACAGAGTGAGACTCAGTCTCAAAAAAAAAAAAAAAAAAAAAAAACATAAACAAAAAACCAAAATACATGTAAAGGATTAAATGCTAGAGGCTTATCCCAACTTAGTAAGGAATATGATAATTTTCTGAGACATAAAATATATGCTAGCTTCCTTACGGTATATTTAACCAAGAAAACAAGGGTAGCATTATTCAAACTACTCTTAATTTTTAAATTCAACTTTTATTTCTGAGATAATTATAAATTCACATGCAGTTATAAGAAAGAATACAGGGAGTTTTTGTGTCCCTTTATCCATTTTCCCTCAAATGTATTATTTTACATTTTGCATTAACTGTAGTACATTATCACAACTTGGAAACCGATATTGATAGAACCTGATCTTATTCAGAATTTACCAGTTTTATACGCAGTCATATGTGTATGTGTGTTATTTCCAGTTTTATCATGTGTAGAGTCATAGTAACTACCACGATAATCAAGATATATAACAGAATTTTTTTTGTCACCTGAAGGATCCCTTGGGCTACCTTTTCGTAGACACAGCCCCCTCCCCTTGTTCCTTCAGAACCACTCATCATTACTCCTCTGTAACGTCACAATTTAAGATTTTTGTATAAATGGAATATGTGTGTATATGTATGTATGTATGTATATGGTATGTATGTACTATGTACCTTTTGGGTTCAGTTTTTTCAATCTAGATATTCCCTTAGGATCCATGCAAGTTGTGCATATTAATAGTTCCTTTATTCTGCTGAATAGTATTCCACTGTATGCCATTATTTATTTAACTGTTTTCTCATTGAGGGACATTTTTGTTTTTTTCTTTTTGGCTATTACAAATAAAGCTATGAACACTCATCTAAATGTTTTTGTGTGAACATAAATTTTTATTTCTTTGCAATAAATGCACAAGAGTACAATTGCTATCTAGCATGGTAAATACATGTTTAGTTTCATAAAATACTGTCAAGCTGTTTTTCATAGTGGCTGTACCATTTTACATTCCCATCAGCAATGTATGAGTAATCCATCTTCACCAGCATTTGATGCTAGCACTGTGTTTTATTTTAGCTGTTCCAATAGTTGTTTAGTGATCTCATTGAAATTTTAGTTTGCGTTTCTCTAATGGCTGATAATATCAAATATGTTTTCATGTGCTTGCTAAACAACTGTGAAATGTCTTTAATGAATTGTCTGCATTTGCTAAATAAATAGTTTTTTTTAAGTGCTGAGTGTTCTTTTATTGATGGTTTTCAAGATTTTTAATGTTCTGTATTTAGTATGGTAAATAACTGTGAGTTTGACTACCTCATTTCTGTATACATTTGTAAAAAATGACAGTTTTTTTAGTGTTTTGACAAAAATTTTCAAAGGACATTGAACAAACTATTTTATTACTTATTACAAAGATTTATTTGCACAGTTTCAACTAGCATATCATTTTCATATTCCTACACTACTGAGCAAAGTGAAGACTATTTGCAGTCATTATAAGATGTTATATGTGCTTTGTTAGGGGATACTGCTGTGGAAACTCATAGCCTTTGAGAATTTGATGTCTCAGTTGGGATCTGTCTATGAATAAGAGTTCTCCAGGCAGAGACAGAGGGGAGAGTGGTCCTCCATGCAGAGGGAACTCCACATGCAAAGACCTGGAGGAATGAGAGTACGTGGCACTTTAGAGGAAATAAAAAAAGTTCAGTATGGCTGCAGCATAGACCAAGAAGGGCAGTAGATAAGCTTTGAAGATAGGAGGGGCAGGTCATAAAGACATAATCTATGTTAAATACTTTATCTTTATACTAGGGCCAAGGAAGAGGCAATCAAATCTGGACTGTACAGTGATCTGCAACTAGAGGTAGTTGCAGAATGAAAAATAAATTATAGGATAGTGCAACTAAAGCACTTAATATTGTATAGTAGTGTTTTACATTTAAAGTTGTTTTAGTGTTTATGTTTGTTTTAGGGTTTCTGTGATTTTTACTAATGGAATATTTCTTTTTTTTTTTTTTTTTTGAGATGAAGTCTCGCTCTGTCACCCAGGCTGGAGGGCAGTGGTGCGATCTCTGCTCACTGCAATCTTCACCTCCTGGGTTCAAGCAATTCTCCTGCCCCAGCCTCCTTAGTAGCTGGGATTACAGGTGTGCGCCACCATGCCCGGCTAATTTTTGTATTTTTGGTAGAGACAGGTTTCACCATGTTGGCCAGGCTGGTCTCGAACTCCTGACCTCGTGATCCACCTGCCTTAGCCTCCCAAAGTGCTGGGATTACAGAATTGAGCCACCACGCCAGGCCTACTAATGGAATATTTCAAATGATTATATACTAATCAGAAGGCCCAATAGAAAAATGTAAAACTGACTGAAGTTGAGCTACATTGAAGAAAATTGAGATGGATGATCTGGACCCCAGAAATCTGATTCCCTCTTTCAACATCCAACCAGACCTTGACCCCATCTCTCTAAGCCCCTACTACAGTGTTCCTGGCAGGCTGGAGTGGACTGCAAGGAGACCCTTTGTCATTTTGACTATGATATTTAGCTTTTATTTGTTTCATGTAAGTTTCATTGCACGATTTCATTTTTGAAAAGATTCTCCATGAACAAAATGTTTGAAAGTTTTTGCCCTTAGGGTTTTGGGAGTTCAGACTGGTAAATTCTAATTTTAAGAAGGGGAATTTTAAACTCTGGGGTACATTTTAAGGAAGAACTAGGTGAGAAAATGAGCTACCAGGAACATTCATTTAATCAATTTACTTGTGAAAATTACATGAGAAACTGATGATCTGTATTTTATGATATTTTTTCTTTATTTTTGAGGCTGAAGTTCTTTAACAAACTTTTCAGTTATCTATCAAATGTTCCTTCAGATATTTAAGGAATTATAGTGATGATTTTCTCTCTCTCCTTTTTGTCTGAACATGTCCTGTTTAAATTCGCGTTCATTTTCTACCACATAGTACACACTAACCTCTCTGCCTCTATAAAATAAGAATACTGTTGATGTGGATTTACAGATGTCTTTTTCCCGTGTTTATATCACCACCGCTTATTTTGGCACAGTAATGCCACCTTTTATTTACTTAAAGTGCTAAGATTAGGTTTAAAAATCTCATTTATCAGGCCCTTGCTCTTCAAAGAGTAGAAGATGGTAGAAGTTATAACTCCAAGACTGAATGAGTCATGTTTCATCTGTAGACTCAGGGCTGTCTCTTTTAGATTCCTGGCTAATTTCAGGCTTTGCCTCACTTTTATGATTCATCAGCACCTAGCGAAGTATCAGACATACTTGTTTGTAGAGGTGCTTAGAAATTGAAGAAGAGTTGAAGTAAACTTGTCACTCTTTTTTTTTGCTTAGCTTCTTTTAGGTTAGAGGGCTAAGAGTATGACATTAAACTGGAGATAAAAGACTCAATTTAGTGGCTCTAAAGGAGTTAATATGGTTTGCACATTGAAAGCTCTACTAGCTAACAGGTAATATAAGCTTGCTTGGTGATAACTTTTCATTTTAAGAGTAAATATTAAATTGTGTTCAAATCCCACATATTTTGGCCTCATGGACGTATAGGCCCAGTGTTTGCATTACTTTAAGTTATTCTAGAGTAACTAGAAATACCAATTGTTACGTTGAATTTTTCTTTAAAAACATTGGCTTAAATATTTACAAAGCACTGTGCATGTCAAACAAAACATTTCTGGAGACAGATTGCACCTTTCATCCATCTGTTTGGAAGCCTTGATCTAGCATACTCATTACTGGATTCTATCAGTGGTCGTTGGATTGATGAATACCTTTCTGTGCACTGCCTCTACCTTCTGTTTTCTTTTCCTTTTTCCTTTAAGGGCATTTGATGCTGTTGATAAGTCTCCTGTTCTTGAATTTTAACAAAATTACCTTCCTCTACTTCTACTTTTGCACTCCAACATATATAATACCTGCTGATTGCTTCTTACAAAACACTGAAGGCTTTAAAATTAAGAACACTTTTATATCTGACCCTGATTGCTACCTTTAATACTTTCTACCTTGCTGTGAGCTAGCCCATGGGTGCCCTGTAAAAATCTAGTGTCTTTGATCCTCCAACTCCTTTTTCTGGCCTGTTATTTCTGGCTCCCATCCTGCTATTTGGAGTTTTTATTTCTCCCCTTCTGCCATCCCCATCAAGTGAATGCATGTATCAGTCCATAGACATGGACTTAGTACATAGTTTTCTTAGTACATGATTGCCTCTCAGTGCTGCTCCACATTCTAAAACTAGTGGGTGGATTGCCCATATGTGCTATTCTTCCCGGGACAGTAATGGTTCATACCTGTAGCCTGGGAATATTTATTAATAGTGCCCTGTTTCTCTGTGCAAAACTCTGTGTTTTGCTTTGGAGGAAGACTTATGTGGTCACCTGACCCATAAGTCTCCTATAATCATTAAAGAGTTTCCACAGTTGGCAACCTTGCCCAAATCCCAATGCTTAAATAGATTTTAAATGCTTAAAATTTCCTTATTACCCAAGTAAAACAGAACAAATAGACTATAACGCCTATACCCTTTCAACAGCACTTCTTTTCATCAAAATTTTTCATGTATTTTACAAATAAAGCCTATGACACAATGATTTTTTTATTCTTTTTTTTTTGAACGGTGTGAATATGTTTCTGTCTTTCTCTCCCTTATAACAGAATCAGCTTCTGAGGATATGCTGGCTTGTTTTTTAACTAAGGTGGTAAAACAGCAGCAGCTCTTTACCTAAAATATTGCAGTGGGCACCTCTCACCTCACATTTCATTTGTTCAATTATTTATATTTGGTACAATAAAAGAGAAGATAAGGCAGAGATCATGAAAGCATTAAACTACAATGAATTTCTGTATTTTCCTGTTGATATAATCTCTCATTCATCTGCAATTGTACATTCAATTATAAACCACTATCCAGGGAGATTTAGTTCTTGAAAAAAATCTACTAGGGAATATTTATGGGCAAATATATTTCAGTGTTTTATTTCCTGCTTACACTTGATTAAATGAATATGCAGAAGAGGTGTGAGGAATGGTAACACTCCATGATTTTAGGTTTGCTATAGTTTATTTTCCATTGCTCTAGGTTGACAGTGAAGTGTTGTTCATGTTTCTGGACATCAGATTTGAGTTCTTTAGGTTTCTCTTGGGAATTTTGTCTTATGCCTTATTCATACTTCTTTTCATGATTTTACCTTCATTTCTTTCTTTTCTGGTAATTGCCTTCTTATGTGGAATAAGGGAGGGCAAGTATAGTATGGAAATCTCTGTTTGCAAAAGCCCTTAGCAATTACTAACATTCTTAGATAGGTGGATTTTTATTCGCTTTCTTATTTAATAAGGACACAGTCATTTCTATGCTGTGGTGCCTACATATTTTTATTCATCAGTAGCCAAATTAGTGATTATTTTTCTTATCAGTGTTCAACAGGAAGTTTGATTTACTCCACCTCCAATTTAGAAGTTAAACAAATTGTTATAGAGCTTTCAGGTTTTCATACATATCTTATTAAAGAAATAGCTAAAAATACTTAATAAGTAACTGAAAAGTAATTCTCTTCAATTCGACCATTATATTGGATTATATTTCCAGTAAAACTTCTCAAAGAATGGAAATAGGGAAAAATAAAAATCGATCATACATTTGTTAACAAACTAAAATATTTCAGTTTACAAAAGGAAACGGATTGTCATTCTTACAGAAAATTTTGTAAACTTATGGCTTTAATATTCACCATGAATAAAATACAATAAACATAGTTTTTAAGTACAAATATATTTTAAAGATTTGGGGAAGGGTTTTTGTTATGTTAATATAATGAAAAGAAATTATTTTAATATATCTAACAACCATTTTATTTGCAAGTGAAAGACACTTTTTTATTGGACTAGAGATGGTGGATACTGAGTTCAAAACTTCATCTAGTAGTCTCCATCTGGATTTGACTAAAATAGCTTCTTTTTGGCAGAATTTTACATTTTGGGTCTTTGCTTAATCAGATTTGTTTCTTAATATTGCGTTCTTTCATATACTGAATTGATTAATTGGAAAATTTATTTGTGTTTTATATAAATAAGTATGTACTTGGAAATAATGTAGCCTCATTTCATGTTTCTGTAATAATAATGCTATAATGACTCTTGAATATTTTTATTCTCCACAGCTTTTTATAAAAGTATATGTGTTGTGTCAAAGCTACAATAGATGATCTGTACTTGAAAGCCATATCTTAACTTTTTTTGTCATATCCTTGGGGTAACTGACATAGTCTAATTCCCATAGGTATTGTATTTCTGATAAAGCAAGATTTCAAGAACTTAGAATAAACTTTATGAACAAAAATAAAATCGACGTATTAATGTTGCTATTTTATGGAATATTATGATGGTTGCACTTTTAAATTTTAATTACAACGTAGAGATCGGAGTGTTATAAATAAATAAAATGTGGGAAATTTTTAGATTTCTTAAAAAGTTTATTTCCTGATAATGTAACTTAGTAGCTCAGTTTGTAGTGGGTTGGATATTAATGTATTTCTCTCTTTTAAAACCATGTTTTACACGAGGAAAAACAGTAAGTGAGCTTAAAAAAGATCTGACAGATGAGATTGCTTTACCGTGTATTTATCTACTGTCCCCTTCCCCTCATACACATACTCACATGGGGACTTTTACAGTTTAAATGAAAACCATAAAGGTCCCTGGTATAGGTTTGACTTTCCTGCTTCTTAAAAACATATAAACAAACAAATGAAAAAAAATCAACATATCACATTGACCCTTCTTCACGGTAAATTCATCTCCAGTTTCTGCAAGTTTAGAGGACCCTAAGGTCCTGCAATTAATTTAGTCAGTTCTTTCAGTTGCCTGAATTAGCAGGATTTTTGTGATGCCGTATGATAAGAGAGAAGGTATAAATAGTCCTATGATAATATCATTCTCACGGTCATAAAGGGATAGAAGTTCCCTGAGTCAGCATGTTTACAAGGCCCCTCTTCTCACTTGTCTTCCCCTTGTTCCCTCTGATCCCATCAAGCTTGCTGGTGAATCACACAGATTTCTTTTGCAGTCAGAGATCAAGGTTAAAATAGAAATTTGTATTATTGTTTCCAGTGAGATAACATTATATTATTCATTTATTAGGAGCTTTATTTACTGGTGCAGGATCTCAATCCAAAGCATTTTATATACTATATGAAATAGAATGGTTTTCCTTTTCTTTTGCTGTCAATACAATGCAGATTCCATGTCTCTCAGTAAACAGGCAAATCTTAGTGTTTTTAGCATTTTAATCAGTTAAAGTATTGTCACTTAAGATCAGACTTTTGTTGCATGTAAATTAATGTTTTCATTCCTTTCCTATTTTTATAGGGATAGCAAGCATGAGATTGTCATTTGTTGTAGACTTCCTATGTGTCAAGCCTTATGTTTAGTGCTTTGCTGATGTTTTCCAATATATTCCTCACGGTAATCCTATGAGGCAGGCTGTATTATCTCTGTTTGACAGATGAAGGGGCTTTCTTCCAGAAAGGGGAAACAATTTGTTCAAGAGTGCACATTTGACAAGGAAGGTTCCAGTAATTAAACTGGTTTGGTCTTACTCCATTTGTATTGAAGGGAACATTTACAGGCTGTATAAATGTTTTATCTTTCTTTAAGATCTGTCTGTTTACTGAGAGAAATAGAATTTTCACTGGATTAATTTGTTAGGCAACTAAAAAATAAAGCAATTCTATTTCATGTAATATATAAAATATTTTAGATTGGGACTTTATATCAGACTATTAGTAAAGTTTTATCATACTATAGAAAATTGGCTATATATTATACTATAGAAAAATTTTATCATACCATAGAAAACTTCAACTTTTAAAAATGACAGGATTACTTAAGATCACACAAAAAAGACTGCTTCTCTATTTTCATCTTTATCTGTTTCCTTCTTTAAATTTACCTTCTTTGAATATTAATATTTTTTCTACATGTCACTTAAATTCTATGATTTTCAGATTTTTAATCTATAAAATATATGGCACAATCAAATGATCTCCCAGGTCCCTAAAAATCATAGAATTCTATGAGATTGTGGCCACTCAGAGCATGGCAGGGAAGACATCAGTAATATAATATCCTTGTATCCTTCTTTTCTTTCCTGCTTCTGATTGTTATTCATTGGAAATTTTTTCAGAAAGCAACTCTATACCAAGGTGAAAGGAGTTTCTTTCTTGCAAGATAAATAAGACATTTACAGCCTGAA
This sequence comes from Homo sapiens, assembly GCF_000001405.40. NCBI lineage: Eukaryota > Metazoa > Chordata > Mammalia > Primates > Hominidae > Homo > Homo sapiens. Next base: position 128,346,000 of record NC_000006.12, on the reverse strand, counting down.
ATATATACCTTTTACAATATAACTTAAAAAATGGATACAAGAGGTATTAAGAAAAAACACCTACCACTTTCCTTTGTAGTTAACGAAGATTGAGTGCTTCTATTTTGAGGATTAGACATATTTAATTTTAATGGAAATAAGGCTTATACATTTAGATTCATTATCTCACAGCCTTTGGTATAACAGGTAAGGTTTCATTAAACACCTTAATGGGAAACCAGATGTATCAGTGAGAAGGGATACAAATGCATGTAGTATATATTCTCCTTGTATGGTGATTAGCACATATATTATCTCTCCAGCCTGAGTTATGTACTGAAGAGGAATTCTGGACTGCATTGGAGGAGAAATAAATTGAAAAACATTCTTGCTTCTCCTGAAGCTAAGCTTCGCATCATAACCTAATTATTTGTTTCTCAGATGTTGGGCTTTTCTCAAATGTCAGTGATTCAATTAGCCGATACTTATTGATCCCTGACCCCGTCTTTAGTACAATGCTAGATGCTGTGGTTTGAAGTAGTACAGGGTATTGCCATCAGCAAGATGACTTGTCTTCTTGAGGAGATCGTGAACATACTCAGAATAATTAAACAGATGACAGGATGAGAGCAGCTACTGTTTATTTGATACTTACATTATGCCACTCTCAGAGATTTTGTTTAATATATGTAGTGGGAACAAAAGTGCATCTTTTTGCCTGTATCTAAATGTGTAATTCTCTTTGGTGTCAAACCAAAAAAAAGATATATATTCCATATTAAAAAGTGCTTAAAATAGCATTCACTGAAGACTCCCTCAGATGTATGTGTATGAATACATGTATCTATGAATTTATGTTTGAATGTATGTATGATATATAAGTGGAAAAACTTGCTTAGAAAGAACTCTCTCTGACTTCTTAAAGTCCTACATCACATAGTAGTTACTCTGATTTTTGTGCATCTCCACCAAAAAAAAAAAAAAAAAATCACCTGGCTTATACTGAGACCTACTTTCCCCCCCCATTCTCCTACATTCAGGATAATTTTCTTCTGTTCCCCAGGTAACTTTTTACCCTTTATCATATAATCAAATTGTTTTCTCTAGATTAATTAAAAAATTTCCCACCATTTTTTCTTCTGTCTACAGAGGTACCAACAAAAGCTGAGCAGTGCAGACAAAAGTCCTCTTTAGAAGTGAGGGGTGGGCCAGGCACAGTGGCTCATGCCTGTAGTCTCAGCACTTTGGGAGGCTGAGGCAGGCAGATGACTTTAGCCTAGGAGTTCCAAACCAGCCTGGGCAAATGACAAAACCCCATCTTTTCCAAAAATACAAAAAAATTTGTCAGTTTGATGGTGTGTGCCTATAGTCCCAGCTACTTGGGAGACTGAGTTGGGAGGATCACCTGAACCTGGGAGGTCAGGGCTGCAGTGAGCCATGATCGCCATGATCTGCCAGGACAACAGAGGGAGACCTTTAAAAAAAAAATCACGAGGAGTGATTGGAGGGGGTGGATAAAAGACTGAATAATCATAGTCTAATTTTGTTGAATCAGGCTGCATACAGCCTGATTGTACGTTATAGGGTATCATCTTATGTTTTACATTATTTTGATAAACACAGATCTCCAATTGTTAGCGAATTCAGCATAAGAATCCTGATGTAACTTGAGTTGACCTTTAAAAGATGAGTGTGATTTCATTTACTAAATGGTGATGGGAGGGTTTCTGAGAGTGGGAGCAGTATTAAGTGGATGGTGAGAGGATGGCATAAGAAACATATTCACCTTGGTGCTGTTGATCAGGATATAGTCATTTACCCATTTAGAATAGAGAATCCATGTGAGGAAGTTTAGCTTCGTTTTGGGTGAGAAGACCAAGGCAGTATTGCTGAGATACTAGAAGCCAAAGCACGTTCTATCAAATGCTTGGAACACTTGATAGAATAAACATGTTCTATGTATGGCCCCAACATTCCTATAAGGCAGATAGTATTATCTCTCTTTTACAAATAAAGAGCCCAAGTCTATAAAGAGGGAAGTGTTACGAAAATCACTTAACTTATAAGTTCTGATGCCAGGATTTGAACCAAGGTTGATCTGACCCCAGAGTTCACTCTCTTAGCTATAGGCTTAGAAAAACATACAAAATTGCAGATGTTTCTTAGCTTAAGATCTGTCGTGTTTATTTCAGCTGGACTTGGGAGATATAAGGACTTTGGCTTTGTATATTTTGTCAAGCAGCTAAAAATGCAAACAACTCTGTTTCACGTAATTTATGAAATGTTTTTGGATAAAGCATTTAACAGCTGACTTTCTATTTAAATTCCTCATTTGAATGGAGTTTGTTAATAGAACTTTAACTGTGCTATAGAGTTAACCTTTAAGAATTTTTTTTATTTAAATGCATTCATATTCTAGTTCTTTATTTTATTTTTTGTCTTTAAATGCTAGAAAGCCTTGTGATACTCTTATTAATGATGAAAATATTGATTCTTTTTTCTTTTCTTTTTTTTTTTTTTTGAGATGGAGTTTCACTCTTGTTGCCCAGGCTGGAGTGCAATGGTGCGATCTTGGCTCACTGCAACCTCCGCCTTCCAGGTTCAAGCGATTCTCCTGCCTCAGCCTCCAGAGTAGCTGGGATTATAGGCACCCACTGCCACGCCCAGCTAATTTTTGTATTTTTAGTAGAAACAGGGTCTCACCATGTTGGCCAGGCTGGTCTCGAACTCCTGACCTCAGGTGATCCACCTGCCTCAGCCTCCCAAAGTGCTGGGACAGGCGTGAGCCACTGCGCCCGGCTGATTCTTTTTTATTTTCATATAGACATATATATATCATCTGTCTTACTGCGTTACGATATCCAGAACAACATTAAATAAAAAGATAGTAGACATCTTTTGTACATTCTTGATTCTAAAAGAAATGTTTGTGAATTTTCACCACTGAAAGTGTTGACTAATACAGTTTTTGGTAGCTGTACTTTTTCACAATAAGAAAGATTTAATTCAGGCAGTCTCTACCCACCCCACCCAAAAAAGTTTCTTCTTTGAAAATTTTCTGTAATAAACCTGTTCTTTAATTTTTTAATTGTTTTTTTTTAGAAATGAGGCCTTGCTATGTTGCCCAGGCTGGATTCAAACTCCTGGGCTCAAGTGATCCTCCTACCTCAGGCTCTTAAGTAGCTGAGACTACAGGTGTGTGCTACTATGCATGGCTTAAATCTGTTCTTTAGAAAAAAAAATTTGTAGATATTTCTTTTGAATTTATAATACTTTTTCCCTTGGCTCTACCATTTTAATTTTGTTCACAATTTAGATTTTATTTTGTTTTAAAACTGAGAATCAATTTACAATACACTTCTATATAATTTATGAAAATGTATTAGAGATCCAGCACACTGCTATTCAGGGTGGTGATGGGACAGAGGTATAACTACATAATGAGCCTTTTTTTTTTTGTCATAACTGTGTTTAGTTTAAATACTTCAATACTGAGATAAATAACCAGTACCTGGCTTTAATCCTCCTTGGATCTGGCTTAGTAGGCAATTACAATTGACCATCTCCATTCATAATTTTTTGTAGAATTGGCTTTTGGGGCTTTGGTGAGGTAGAGTAGGCACTTATAGAAACCTTGGTCTTTGTAACAAGTAGAAGCTGCCTTCATGTTACTAATTATTATTTAATTTCTATAACTTAAAAATTTTTTTGTGTGTGTGCTGAAACCTAGGATCTATTTTCTCTTCTCTTCTCTTCTCTTTTTTTGTTTGAGATGGAGTCTCACTCTGTCACCCAGGCTTGAGTGCAGTGGTGAGATCTCGGCTCACTGCAACCTCCGCCTCCCGGGCTCAGACGATTCTTCTGCCCCAGCCTCCTGAGTAGCTGGGATTACCAGCATGTGCCACCACACCCAGCTAATTTTTGTATTTTTAGTAAAAACGGGGTTTCATCATGTTGTCCAGGCTGGTCTCGAACTCCTGACCTCAGGTGATCCGCCAGCCTTGGCCTCCTAAAGTGCTGGGATTACAGGCGTGAGCCACTGCGACTGGCCGTATATACCTTCTTATGCCTTCCATTGTTATGTAAATAATTTGAAGTTACTTATCACTAAGATAATTGGCCACATAGCAAAGAGAAATAAGGAAAAATGACTCTTGAGCTGTAGGAATGCAAATATAATTTAAAAATCAAGTCCATGACAAATAAACCTGTATTCTCCAGGCAGTAAGGCCTACGTTGCTGTTCTAGTTGAAACTTAAATGAGATACTAAGCTTTCTGGTAATCAACTTGAAAAGGAATCATACAATTAGTTATTTAATTTTCACTTTACTTTTTTAATGGCAGGAAAGCCTTTCCTAGCATCAAGTTCTAAACCTGCAGGCAAAGACAAAGGCATAGAAAATAAAGTGATGGTTCTTTACATGTTTCAAGGGGGTAAATATCTTGAAGCATCTTTTTGAAAAAATGTTTTTCTTCAGAAAAATTAAAATTATGGATTTTCTTTCACAAAAATTAATTTAGGCCTGTGTACACATAATTTTATTCCAATGTACCTTTTGGACTTAGTCTTTTCTTAATCTACAGTTATTGGTATTGTGTGTGACAAATTCTGTTTGAGTCTGAGTTTATTACTAAGTGAGTGAAGGAAATGCTTTTCAAACTACAATGTGAATGCAGAATTATCTGAGTTACATGAGGCTTTTTGAAAAAATTACATATTTTTAACTTTCTGAGTCTAAAATTAATATACATATACTTAAGATAATTATTTATTAATCATTGAGAAATAATTCAGAGGCATTATTTGCATTTGTGTTTATGTTACATCTGCTAAGTGAAAGGGTGAACTGTATCACATTTTAGAGTACATATAGAAAAAAAATCAAATGTGGCAAATAACACATACCATAAGCATGCAAAATTTATAATAAGCTGTGAGATACTAGCTGACATCATATTGATGTTTTTAAAGCACAGATATTGTGCAGTTCCTGATTTTGTACATATTAACTTGGAAAAGTTTACTAACAATAAATATAGTAAAACAGAGAACTGTTTTTATTAAAGCAGATTTAAACTTTTCCTGTTATTTTGGAATGTACTATTAAATCTATTAGTCTATCAAAAGCGTGGATCAGTGGCTAAAAGTTAATATTAAAGAAAAATAACAAAAATTATGATGACATTAACTCAAATGATGTTTCATTATGATCAAAACCAAAAGAATCAAACCTAAAAGTGAAATGTAAAATATAAAACAAAGAAGTACCTATTTGCCACTCTTAAATCTATTTGCATTTTTGGTTCCACAAAGCATCATTTTATATTAAATAACAAAGGATGTTAATTTAAACTGTATTGATTTTATACATGTGTTGTATGAGTAAACTTATGGTATGTTAATACTCAGATATTTATCTGTGCAGAGTTCAACTTAACACTGAGGTCTGTGAGAAAGTTTTCTTTTTCAAAGCTTGGGATTTTACTCATGTTTGAGAAACATTGAATTAGGAGTTTACCCTTAAACTCTAAACTCTTTCATGCCCATAGTGAATTAACAGAGCATGCTTTCTTGTACATTTAGAGGTTGTTAAAGCTTACCCAGTTGCTGGGTCTGCTAGAATGGGGGGATTCCATAAGGAAATCAGTTTACTGAGACTGGTGTCTGAAAGAAATGTTCATCAACAGAGAAAGTCTTGAAGCCCTGTCTGGTTGCCATGTTTATGCTGTGGGCCATATGGTTATATTCTGAGAGTTTGAACCAGTGAACTCTTAGCTATTTTTAAAAATTTGATAGAGATCCAAGAAATGGTTTACACTTAGACAAAGTGACTTATTTTAGGAGGCTGTTTTAGCCACTGGAGAACTCCAATGCTTCTTGAAGTTCTCAATAAATCTTTTTAGTTTGTCTAAGAATCAGATCCTTAGATTTCTGCGTCTTCTTTTTGCTTAGCTCCTTAACAGCTTGACCCTCTTTCACCACCACTCTCTTTTACTGGTTTTATTTTGGATGGGGGTGGGGTGATGGTAGCAATTCTGACCTTTGGATTTTAGTCCAAATATTGATTCTGGGCAACTAGAACAGTGGCCAAAACTACCTCTCTTACTCACCCTAAGAAACTTGGTTGTGGGACTACAGCTACCTATAAAAGAAGAATCAGATGTCCTGTGGTATTATTGATGTCCCTTGTGGGACCTTTTCTAAGTCTAAATAAGTCCTTAGGGTCAAGCTGTTTCTGGAAGCCTGGCAGAAAGTTTATCTGCAGCAATTTGTCACCATGAGCTTACTTGTTAGACTCTCATTTATTTACTTATGTTCATTTTCTTAGGTACAGAAGGATATTTTTTTTTCTGTGTTCCAGGAAGCAATTTTTGCCAAAGCTACCGTGGGGAGGAAAATTATGATTGTGTTTCAATCACAATTAGTTGCAATTTTGCCTCTCCAGATACATATGTGTGTTGTAGCAGCTTGTCAGTTTTTTCTTACCCCAAACACATTGTCTTTTGAATTGAATGCTGATCAGGATAAATATATAACACACTCAAAGGGGAATTTTGGTCTTATATTTGGGAAAAATACATTAGTAGATGGCTACTCAGATTCAAGATGTGTTTAGTGAGGGTCAAGAGGTGAATATGCTTCAGATACCTGAATTAGTTACATGGGCTTGTTAGTGCAAGATTAAATGGCTTTAATTTAACTGCCGATAGAGTCTGTTGTGGGTTCCTGGAAGTCACCCAAATTGTTAATCACTATTGAAATAACATATTGGTAAAAAATAAGAAAATTTATTAATTTTAAAAGTTAGCTGTGTAAGTTAGAAGCTTAGAATGAATTTTATTTCCCTTGTCCTCTGTAGTATTTTACTGAAAAAAGGTTTGTAATCAGATTGCTACATTCCATGCTCCATAATAAAATACAGAGCAGCATTATTTTGATAAAGTAAATTGACTCTTATATTTTATTTATAAAATATTTAAGATTTTTTTGAAAACTTTTCAAAAGCAAAAAACATAATAGCATTATGGGATTTATATGTGTAAATGCATATGTAGATGATTTACAAATATGTTTGTAGCATCTTTGCTGGGATGTCTCAACAAAATTAATGCCTCCCCTTCTTTAGATAGTATTTGTTTTTGTTTACGGCAGTTTTTCCTATATTTGGTGAATCTCTTGCCTTATGAGTTTTTATAGCCCCAGAAAGAAGTAAAACACTCACCTTTTCAGCCATCCTTAACTAGGACATCAACAGGTGACCAAATCACAATTCAGAATACCTATAAGAACATTGATTAGGAAGCTATTGAGTAAGAGGAGGCAGCATAAAGATTTCCTTCTGCAGAGGGGAAGCATAGACTTCCAGGGGCAGCAAAGCACAGGACCTAGCCTGAGTGTTGGGAGAATGTTGTCTGCACCCAGCAGTAGGTCTCCACTGGTGGATATACTTGAGTTATTATTTGGGCTTCCTAATGTTCTTTAATACTTTTTTCTGGTTGTTTTTGCTGAAAGTGATACAGTGGATTCTGCTGTTTACATTGAAGAACTTGAACTCATCTTTTTCCCAGCCTTGATCTTCATCCAGTGTACCATGGCTCAGGGAATGGCACTGCTATATATTTGGGTGTAGTAACAAGAAATATAGTTGTATATTCTGGATACCTGTCTCTTGTATATGTTATGCATCACCAATTTTGCTGTTTTTACCTCCTATATAGGTCTTGATTGGCTGCTTCACATCACCTCCATCATCTATTACTATAATTAAAAACATTTTTCCTCTATTGACTGCCACAGCTACTATCTTCCTGGTCTCCCATACCTATTTTGCTTACCACCCTATCACTCATATGTTTTATACATTGTGGCCAGAGTTATTTGCCAGAATGAAAATCTGACTTATGATAGCAACCTTCATCTCATTCAGCTTAAATCTTTTCTGTGTTTAACTATAACATTTAAGATAAAGACAAAACTGTTTATCTTTGCCTGCAAGTCCTGCTTGGTCTGTTTACTTCTTTGATCTCCATTGTCATCTTCCCCATTTTCTCCTCTGCAGCCAAACTTTCAGTCTCTTTTATTCATTGTACTTGGCCCTCTTCTAGGTCCTTTGCACAAGTGGTTTATTTTGCCTGAAATGATCTTCCTAATAACTCTCTTTCATTCTTCAGGTCACAGCTCAGACATCACTTTTTCAGAGACTTTCTCACCTTCCTGATGAGGTCATATCTCCCCATTACATGATTTCATAGCCAGACTGTCTTGTGTAGAGGTCATCACAGTTTCATTTGGCACACATTTTGTTGTTGCTTTGATTACTCGTGTGATGCTGCATCCATGCAGAAGAAGCCCCATGAAGGAAAAGTACTGAAATGGTATCTGTTAGAGTATTTCAGATTCATCCTCATGGGTTTTCAATGCAATTTTAACAATATTTACATCACATGATCCTTTTGCTGATAAACTTCTTGTTCACTTTGATAGGTGGCATAATATAGGAGCTAAGGGAGATAAGTTTATTGTTAGGTTCAAACTGAGATCTGAGCAGGTTACTTAACCCTTCTCCACTTCACGTTTTCCTGTACAATATTTAGCACTTTACATATTCAGTAACTTTCTCACTGGAGGATTGGGTAAATTAAATATTTTTACTGTCTTAAGCTATTCTTTTAATTATTTATATGCCAGTAAGTCACCATCAACACTTCCACTGATGGAGTATCAGCTTTCTGTAGATCACTACACAGAAAGGCCTAATGAGAGGTAATAGCCCTTAAGAAGTTTACTGCTGAGCTTGGAAAATTCTACACATTCTAACAAATACAAAGTGGGCAATGTAAATTTGTTTATTAACTAAAAAGTTGTATAATCAGACATAAGAGCTTATGAAGAAGGTAGGAATAAAGGTTCTTAGGGGAGAAAAGAGAATACAAGCTTTGCAAGAAGAAGGGGCACACCAGGCAAAAATGCTTATTTTATTATTATTATGAACCATGAACTGTTAATGAGCTATGAATTCATGCTGGTGGTTCATGGCAAGTTAGCATGGCAAGGTTTTTATGGACCAAGTTTGCGAGGATTTTTGAGCACCAGATGGAATGTATGATTCTTACTTGTGCTTGAGCATGCAGTTAATTGCTTCAACCAATAGAATTGTGTTGTTACTGGTGAATGTGTGTCACCATCACTGAAGCAATCACTACTAGTTCATGGTGTTTGCAGAGTTTAATCCCTGCTTGTAGGATCATTGTAAAGGAAAAGAAGTTTTTGTTTATTTGTTTGTTTAGTTACAGAAACAGTTCTTAGGGAGATACTTGATGGTATTTTAGTTAGAAGAAGAAAATGTTTGAGATATATTCTTGCTTATGGTTATTCTCAAGGGAGAGAAATTTGATCCTGTCTGTATGCTTGAGTTGCATCCATTTAGCTTATGAATGTTAATGAAAGCCTGAAAGTATATCACAATAGTAGATTGAACGATGTGACAGTGAAATTTTTGAAACTATTAAGTTTCTTCTTCCCTCCTGTAAGAGAAAAATTACCTCCCATTTTCCCAGCGCCTTGGGGTAGGGGAAGGACATCTGTGCTTGATTGTTGGTCTGAGATCTAACTGTTACTTCTTTTGGCTGAAGTTATTTTTTATTTTAGTTTCTACAGTACACCCCAGAGGGAAGCTTTAAAAAATTAGTGTGGGAACTAAAACTCTACAATTTCTCAATGTTTGTGTTTACCCATTGAGCCTTAAGTTAGCATTTATGAAAACATTAAAGTACAATTCTCAGTTGCTCTCAGGGCAAAAAAACAAACAAAAAAAAACAAAAAAAAAAACACACTGTTGGAATGGAGGTCACTTGCGTCATGCAGCTTTTCTGGTTATGTTTAAAAGGAATGTTTTGTTGAAGGAATATCTTTGGGTGATTGTATTTGTTAAGACAAAGTTGAATTAATTGTATGCTACAATCAGAGAAGTATTTGCTTGCTCTTCCTTTCCTCACCATTGGTCAATGTGGCATTTCATAATTGACCAGATGTGTTTTGGCTATTTTTTAAATTTTGTTTTTCAAAATAACTGCATTGCTAGCACTGAAAGTAGAATAGCCTATCCCAGAGACCTGGGATATGATTTAATATTATACTTTGCTCAATTATTGGAGACCACTAATTCCATTAAAGCTGCCTTAAGTTAATGTAGACTGAGGGGATTTTACAAGGGTTTCAGGTTTTTTTTTTCTTTAAGTATATATTTTATACCAAAACCTTGAGCTATAGTTGACGATCTTGTGACCAAAAGCAACAGTCTCAAAATTTGAGGAGATGGCACCATTCGCTTTTACTTTTTTATATCCTAGGATCTCAGTTTCTTTTATTATATTTGTATGGTTTATGAAGCTACTGGTGAGATGAAAAATAAAATAACCCTATTTTCTCTACCACCCTGTTTTCCTCTCTTTTCTTTCATCTTCTCAGAACTTAACATTTTAAAGTGTAAGCACTTATTTCATCCCTTTTTCCTTCTACTACTTGAGCTCTTTTCTTCATTTTGCTATGCCCAGTCTCTCATTTTTTTTTTTTTTTTTTGTTATCATTCCCTTTTGCTTTTATTTTCCTTTTCTTGTCTTAGAACCTCTAAGGCAGAACTGTTTCAAACAAGCAGACCGATTTTTGGCTTAGGTGATAGTACTTTGTAAATAAAAAAATGAAAAGATGTTTTCCTTTGACAGTTCCCACTTCCGTAATCCTTGCAACAATCCACTCAAACAGTGCTTTTATTATATCTAAGACATTTATCTGTTCCAGGCCTCAGATTTTCATCAGTAAGATGGTAGAGAGGAGACATAGTGGAAAGTGACAGAACGTGGCTGTTAATTTAGGCCTCTGACTTCAGAGCCTGAATTCTTAACCATTTCTTTTGTTTGTTTGTTTTTTGTTTTTGAGACAGTGTCTCACTCTGTCGCCCAGGCTGAAGTGCAGTGGCATGGCTTTGGCTCAGTGCAAACTTCGCCTCCTGGGTTCAAACGATTCTCCAGCCTCAGCCTCCCGAGTAGCTGGGATTACAGGTGCCCGCCACCACGCCTGGCTAATTTTTGTATTTTTAGTAGAGACAGGGTTTCACCATGTTGGCCAGGCTGGTCTTGAACTCCTGACCTCGTGAACAGTCCTCCTCAGCCCCCAAAGTCCGGGGATTACAGGCGTGAGCCACCGCGCTTGGCCTTAACCATTTCATAAACAGGAATATGCTTTTATTTGGGTGATGGGGGAGATTATATTTTTCCTTCCTTTTGAATATTTCATGAAGTGTCTTTTATTGTATTAAGAACTTCAGTGGACTTAAAGTTTAATAAAGGAAGAAACTTCTTTGGTGGCCAATTGAACTGCCCCTGTGACCTGATGATCCTTGTTCCTGAGAACTGAGTTGAAAAACTTTGTTCAATCTGAATTCTTCTCTAATTGATCATTACTTGCCATTTACTTATTCAGGAGAGCAGTGACCATTGTTACAGTTATAAAATTGAATAGTTATAATTGTTATTAGTTTTGAGTCACAGTAAGGTCTAGTTGTTCTTCATGTACTTCTTGTACTAAAAGTACTTTAGTTCTTCTAGGTTATGTTGTCTGAAAAGTGGGAACTTTCAGAATAATAGACTAGTTGAGTTGGAAGGAAACTTACATCATTCAGTACAGCTACAGGCATACCTTGTTTTATTGTGCTTTGCCTCATTGTACTTTGCAGATATTGTATGTTTTACAAATTGAACATTTTGGAAATTCTCACAGTATTTCATTTTGTGTAACAAAATGTAACATTTTGGTAATTCTCACAATATTTCATACTTGATTATTGTTAATTATATCTGTTATGGTGATCTGTGATCAGTGATCTTTGATGTTACTGTTGTAATTTTTTCATGCACCACGAACAGCTCCCGTATAAGATGGTGAGCTTAACTGATAAATGTTGTATGTATTCTGACTGTTCCACCTACTGGCTGTTCCCGTCTTTCTTCCTCTCCTCAGCCCTCCCTGTTCTCTGAGACACAACAATATTGAAATTAAGCCAATTAGTAACCCTACGGTGGCCCTTTAATTATCAACTTAAAGGAATAACTGCAGGTCTCTCACTTTAAATCAAAAGCTAAAAATGATTAAGCTTAGTGAGGAAGGCATATCAAAGCTGAGATAGGCCAATAGCTGGGCCTCTTGTTCCTGTTAGCCAAGTTTCGAATGCAAAGGAAAAGTTCTTGAAGGAAATTGGAAGTGCTACTCCAGTGAACACCCAGATGATAAGAAAGTGAAACAGCCTTATTGCTGACAGGGAGAAAGTTTTAGTAGTCTGGATAGGAGATTAAACCAGCCACAGCATTCCCTTAAGCCAAAGCCTAATCCAGAGCAAGGCCCTCAACATTGAGGCAAGACCCTCTACTAGCAAAAAGATAATGACTTGCTGAAGGCTCAGATGATTGTTAGCATTTTTTTTAGCAATAAACTATTCTAAAATTAAGGTATATATTTTATATATCTTATATACCTTTTTTTTAGACATGATGCTATTGCACACTTAATGGACTACAGTATTGTATAAACATAACTTTAATATGCAGTGGGAAACAAAAAATAAAAATTTGGTACCTTCAGAAATAATGTGACTACCGAGTAGAATGTTTTGACTTTGAGAATATTCATTTACATAGAAATCATAGATGTGTTGTGCACTCATTCTCTTTAGACCTTCAGTTCTGGTCTTTAATGTTTAACAGTGTTGAAGTATATCCAGACAACAGGTGGGAATTGTTAGCATGATTTTTAGTCTTCAGGCAGTTTCCAGGGAATACAGGCCACACTACCTTCTCTTACCTTTAATTGTTCATTTCAATCTTGGATCTTTTGGAAAGGTGAGTGATGATTACAAAATTGGCCACAGGACAAAGCCTTTATTGCCTTTTGGGTCATGTTACTGATTATTTTCTCTTAAGTTGCTTTTCTTTTTAGCAGCTACTTCTCAAAACTTTTCACTACTATGTAACATAAAAGCTGTGCAGGTTGGATAGCTGTAGGAGAGTGCCATGATTTCAGAAATTGGAAAAATCTTAAAACAAGAGTTCTTAAACTTAGATCAATGAGTCCTTTGAAATTGTTGGTGAAGTAAGTGTGTGTGTTTCTTGGAGTGGGCGTTGAGGCAACAATACTTTAAATTTACTTCAGATTTCAAAGAAAGAGTGAGAGAGGGAGGGTTATAGAGGAATAGGAAGGATAAGACTGAGAAAGAGGCCTGACTCACTTTGGGATGAAAGGGATAGGTAGAGTTGTGAAGGGAAGGGTTAAGAAAGGTTATGAAGGTTAAGTGCCATTAAGTTGGAAGTTTTTAAGTGTACCACCCTTTAACATTGTCATCTCATTTTTAAACTTCGAAAGTATTCTCTTCATACATTTTCTAGTTTTATTTTCTTTACTGTTTGGTGGAAGAAGGAATGAGTACGTCTAAAGGAACAAGTATTGAAGACCCATCTATTCCTCTCGTCAGTGTGCCTTCGCACATCATGGAGGTAGTCTCATTTAGTCCTCACACCGGACCTCAGTGGGGTGGGCACTTCAAGATGAGGAAACAAGACAGAGAGGGGTTAAATTATTTGCCCAGGATAAACAAGTAAATAGATGTGTAGGAAGTAGGGAAAATTGGAGTCCTGGAAGGTACTGGAAAGGAAATCAAAACCTATTATAAAATTAGCCACTTTTAAATAGGAAACAGATGGCACTAATCCTTTTAACTATTTATGACATAGGTTTCCTATGTCATAAAGATGAAACTGGAAATTTTGTTCGTCAAAGTAATGGCCAAGTACTTGTTTTTTGTCTCCTTAAGATGTAGTAGGGGAAGGGGATTAAACTATAAAACAATGCTTGGCCAGGTTTCTAAATCTTAATGTGTAGTGTAGCGGGTAAATTCCATGAGGACACCCACTTCCTAAGAAGGAGAAATTTGCTACTTTCTACTGAAACTTTCATTTTAGTTTTTTTGTGTTGCCTGAAGGTTTTTAGAAGCTATTATCTTAAATCCATACATTTTTCTATTTTCAAATGTAAACTGGCTACCTAGAACAAATACAAAGCACTTCCTCAGAGATCAAGAGAAATTTTGTCATTCGGACTGTGAAGGAAACAGGTTTATATTTTTACAAGGCAATGGGAGGGACATGTCACGGATACTAAAGTTGTTGGAAGTAGACTCCTGCAAAGATGCAAATTCAGTTAATTTGAAGTTTGGGGGACAAGTTTACTTTTTCTAACTTTTTCTGACATTTTGTAATATTTGCCTCATACTGTCTTAGAAACAAACTGTATGATGTAGGGGATAGACCTCATTAGAAGAGAAGCATCCATCTTAAGAAGTAATAGAATGTAAAAGCTCGAAGAATTAAAACTAGACTGTACAAAAAGTGATGGCACTGATGTCCGTCTAACCAAATTAATGGAGTATTTTAGGGTTATTCTCAAGATTGAAAATTTTGCTTATTATCATTTCAAATTTTACTCTTTTTTTTTCTCTTTGACTATCTTTGAAAAAAAAACAATACTTAAAAAAATATTTTTGCTTACCTTCAGTGGAGCTTGCCAAGTTTACAGGTTACACAGTCCCTCTGTTAGGGGCTGGCGAGGCCAAAGAGGTTTCTAATCTTAAAAAGCTTGCACTAGGGTTTTGGGGATGCACAGACAGATATGGTATATTTTGTACATAAAAGAGCATTATGTAAGTGCTATGGGAATGCAGGGCAGGAAACACAAATAGATAGTTGTCCGACTTTTTTATAAAACATCCAACTTCAAACTGAATACTCCAGACCTTGTTCTAGATTTTTGGATGAACAACATACATGAAATCCCAACTTTTCATGGAGTTTTTCAATTAAGTAAACAAATAAATTCAGTAAGTGGAAAGTGCTATAAAGGAAATAATAAAAAGTGATATGTTAGAAAGAACCCTGGAAGGAACTACTTTAACAGACCTAGGAATGCTGCACCAATAGATGAATGATGAAAATCAGCCAGCTGAGGACAGAGCATTTCAAACAGAGGAAGGTCCAGTGCATGGAGACTGAGACAAGCATAAACTTAGGTGTTTTTTTGTTTTGTTTTGTTTTGTTTTTGTTTTTGTTTTTGTTTTTGTTTTTGTTTTTCAGAAAAAAAGCCCATTGTATCTGAAACATCTTGTGTAAGGGAAGAGAGGTGTAAGAAATAATGTTGGAGAGGAAGGCAGGCACCAGATCATGTTGAAGCTGAGGGGTGGGGCTAAAGAGTTTGGATTTTATTCTCAATGCAATGTATGAGAAAGATTTAAAAAAATTAACCTGGCTATGTATCAGAAACGATTGTAGGGCTGCTAGTGTGGAAATCATAAAACTTGCTAGGATTCCATTCTATTTGTCCTCCTGAGAGGTAATAGGAGTTTGGTAAAACTAGTGGATATGAAGAGACGTGAATGGATTGAGGAGAGAGCTTGAAAATAGAAACAATGAGAATTGCTAGTTAATTAAAAGAGGAAAGTGAAGGAAGGGGAAAAATCAAACTGATTCCTAGTTTGATCATTGAGTCCTTAGTTTTAATAATTGGTTATATTTGTTGCCACTTAATCAGATGAAAAAAATAGTGGTAGGAGAAGAGGCTTGAAAAAAGGAAATGAAAAGATGAACGATATGAAAAGGAGGGTAATGGCATTGCCTTCAGCACAAAGGTAATAGCAACAGAAGTACTTAGAGAGATTAATTTTATAACAAAGAAAAAAAATATCCCCGATGGGCTGAGACCCAAATCATGATTTCACTTGTCACTCTTCTTTCTACTTAGAGATCCTGATTATTGCTTCTTAAGCTGTCTGGGCATGAAGCAATATTATTGTATAGTGTCTTTAGTTTTTTTACACCAACAGTTTCTGGCATGTTCTTTGTTACTACTGGGAAAATCTCACTCAATGCCAAGAGCTAGCTGTTTTGCACAGTGCGTTGGTGCTTTGGTAGCTATTCAAGATGGTCTCCAGAACACATAAAAATACTTTTCTTATGAGGATAGAATATTACTTAGTCCTCTGTACTCCTCCGCTCATACATAACAATCTGATTCTCTGATGTTGAGAGACTAGAGTGGAAGAAAGCCCTTTGTGACGGTCAATTTTGTGTGTCAATTAGACTCAGCGATAGGGTGCCCGAATATTAGGTTAAACATTATTTCTAGGGATGTGTGTGTGTGTGTATGTTTCTGGATGTGATTAACATTTGAAATGGTACACTGAGTAAAGCAGATAGCCCTCCCACTGTGGGTGGGCCTCATCCAATCGCTTGAAGTACTGAGATGAATAAGGAGTAAGAAATCCCTCTGTGTCTGACTGTTTACAAGCTGGGACATCAGTCTCCTGCCTTTGGACTTGGACTCAGATTGGAACTTACACCAATGGCTCTCCTGGTTATTGGACTCAGACTTGGACTTGAACTGGAATTTATACCATTGACTGTCCTGTTTCTCAGGCCTTTGGGCTCGGATTGGAATTATACCATCAGCTCTCCTGTCCTGAGTCTGGACTTCTCAGCTTCCACAATCATATGAGTCTATTCCTTGTAATATTGTGTGTGTGTGTGTGTGTGTGTGTGTGTTTATCTATATATTCCTTTTCTCTGGAGAATCCTGACTAATATATCCTTCG
The DNA here is from genome assembly GCF_000001405.40 of Homo sapiens. Taxonomy (NCBI): domain Eukaryota; kingdom Metazoa; phylum Chordata; class Mammalia; order Primates; family Hominidae; genus Homo; species Homo sapiens. Next base: position 128,329,332 of record NC_000006.12, on the reverse strand, counting down.
TACTAGGGTAGAAAATTTCAACTTTTTTCATCTTCATTCTTCAGACATCCAACACTCTGGTGAAGGATTTTGTTTTCTAACTGATTTTATAGAGTACATCTTTATACCCTGCAGAGACTGAATGAGTGAAGTAGACTCAACATAAATAAAAGCACTAATAGTGTTCTCATTAGAGCAGAGCGATAAAAAGATTTATGTATATTAAAATATAGGGTTCTCTACATGTGATCCAAAGATCTCTGTAGACCCTCATACTCTTTCAGGTGATCCATGAGGTCAAAATTGCTTATCAATAACATTGAAATATAGTTTTCCTTTTTTCTCTTTCATTTTCTGATGAATGAATAGAAGAATTTCCCAGAGGTTACATAATGTATGATACTACAACAGATTGAAAGATGAAGTAAAAATGAGAATCTAATTGCCTTCTATTGAGACAGATACTAAAGAGATTTGTAAAAAGTAAAACAATGCTTATTACTTCTTACTATCTTTTTTGTTTATTTTGGGAAATGGTTATTTTTCATGAAAATATAGTAAATTATGAGATCATTGCTAATCTTAAATTATTATTTTTGAGATTTTTCCATTTTAAATTCTAATATGGTCAATATTGATATAACTCAGAAACAAAAGCTGCTTGATATCCTTAGTATCACAAGTATAAAGGGGTCCTGAGACTAAAACATTTGAGAACCTTTGTTCTAATATAAGGTTTCTTATATATACCAGCGTGACTCTGACAAATACATTAAATATGTACTTCCAAACATTATACTCGTTCATTAAATCCTTATGTTTGGAAGCAGCATAAACTAGTTTCATTTGTTTTTCTTTTTGTTGTTGTTTTGACATTTTCTGGTAATTTATCTCACATATAGTTAGAACTAGTGCTGCCTCAATTGTTCATGTTATTAACTAGTGTCTTTGTCTCCTCATTCAATTGGTAATCTAACTAATCAAGTAACAAGTGTTTATTAGACTTCTACTGTATGCAAAGCCCTTGTTAGATAGGGTGCCAGTTATCAATTTATTGCCCCGGAGCTTAAAATTTGTCCTTCATTACCTGCCCTGTCATAGTAGCACTTGACCCTTTAAGCGGTTCTGCTTTACAGCTGGCACAGTGTTAAGCTTTGTCAGTAGAGGGCACTGGAGAGACACTTAAGAAAGAAGGATCATCTATTCTTGGTTGAATTGTGATCCTAAGTTTGTTTTTAGTTGGTGGTACTGCACAGTGGACGGAGCTGTGTGCATGTAGCAGACATAGTCCCTCAGTGAGCTTGTAGCAACAAACCTGGCCTGGTGACTGCCTTGCTGTGGCACACACATACCCCAGGCCTCATGCCACTCTGCTGCAGGGAGAATGTGTCCTGTTTCCCTAGCTTCCCTAGAGCAGGATTGGCTCTGGCCTGAGTGACCCAGCAGACTTTATCTTCCCGTGAGCTGCAACTGCACCTTCTTTAAGGAAATCTGATTCTCAGCAACCTCCCCTGTCTATATTGGTTTCTTTCTTGGGTACTTTGATTGTTCTTTAAGGTTTTCTTCACAGCGTTAAAGTTTCTATCTTCTTATAGGTAGTAATTCTTTATATTACATTTTCACTGTTAAATTTACTGTGTGGCTTCTCTCTTCTGATTGGACTCTGAATAATTCAGGTGCTTTCTAAGAGAACAAAATTACCCTTCTGAGGTTGACAAGAGATATCCCAGTAAATCATTTAAAATTGGCACAAAAGCAATGTATAATTGGGGGCCAGAATCAGACATTTAGAAACTGTGAGACAGTTTGAGGACAGAAAACTGGCATGATGTGTGGAGAAAATAATGAGGGGTCTGTCAGACTGGAGAAGGTGGTTTGTGAAGAGAAGTGGGAGGTAAAATGACCAGTTACTTTGGGATAAGATCATGGAAAGTTGTGAATACTAGGCAAAGAAATTGAAATTTTGCTTTTAGTTTATAGGGCACATTCAACAGATTTTAAATAAGAACTGACAATACAAATATTATGTTAGTGTACTAAAGTATACCAACACATACATATATAAAGGAGTTTTAGAAGAAAGTATGGAAATCTATTTATCATGAATTATTTTCTTTGCTATTGATCCAATTTCCCATGTAAATACCTTATTCATAGAAGTGTAACTTAAAGATAAAAAATAATTAATGTATAAAATCCATAGGGCATTACATATTCATCTATATACTAGATTATGTTATTTTCCTTGCCCATTCTTTTTAGTAAAAACTGTCATTTGTTTTAAGTCTTCTCTGCCTTTCTCTTTTTTAATGAATTGGAATAAGAAGTACTCAATTTTTGTATTGTGTTTTTTGAAATATTTAGTTATTTATAGGATCCTATTTGTATCCTATAAATACAAATAGAATTTATTTTTAAAAGATTTAAAAAACACGCTTGTGTTTATTTACTATTTATCATTATTCATTTGATTTTCCTCTTGTAAGATAGTATTCATGTAGTCTCTGTTTTAATAAAAATGTGCAAATCTAATGCCTATTCATTATAGAACTCTCAGAAACTGTACATATGCAAAAACTTTTTTGAAAACCTAGAAGACAATTACAGCCCACCAGATAATATACCGTTAAGATTTTGCTACATATTTTTCCAGTCATATGTACAAGTGTATGTGTGTGCATATGTGAATATACACACATTTACACAGATATAATTATTTAACACAAATATGTATTTTTCATAAGTGGGTTTAATATTTTATAACCTGCATATTTTACTTAACATATTGTAAATATCTTCCATAAAATGTTTTAAAATAATATTATTCTTAATGACTGCATTATTGTTCATTAAATTGATTTGCTGTAATTTTGCAAATTACTGATTATTGAATATTGAGAATACTTAATTTTTCTCTGTTTTAAATAGTGTAATGAGTTAGGCATCTTTTAAAGCTGTATCTTTTATACATACCTGATGGTTTATTTAGTATACATTTGTAGACATGGAATTCCCAGATCAGAAGGTATGTATCTCTTTTTTTAAAATATACTTTAAGTTCTGAGATACATATGCAGAATGTGCAGGTTTGTTACATAAGTATACATGTGCCATGGTGGTTTGCTGCACTCGTCAACCCGTTGTCTACATTAGGTATTTCTCCTTATGCTCTCCCTCCCCTTGCCTCCCAACAGGCCCTGGTGTGTGTTCCCCTCTCTGTGTCCATGTGTTCTCATTGTTCAGTTCCCACTTATGAGTGAGAAAATGTGGTGTTTGGTTTTCTGTTCTTGTGATAGTTTGCTGAGAATTATGGTTTTCAACTTCATCCATGTCCCTGCAAAGGACATGAACTCATCCTTTTTTATGGCTGCACAGTATTCCATGGTGTTTATGTGCCACATTTTCTTTATCCAGTCTACCATTGATGGACATTTGGGTTGGTTCCAAGTCTTTGCTATTGTGAATAGTGCTGCAGTAAACATACGTGTGCCTGTGTCTTTGTAGCAGAATGATTTATAATCCTTTGGATATATACATAGTAATGGGATTGACACGTCAAATGGTATTTCTAGTTTTAGATCCTTGAGGAATCACCACACTGTCTTCCACAATGGTTGAACTAATTTACACTCCCACCAACAGTGTAAAAACATCCTATTTCTCCACATCCTCTCCAGCATCTGTTTTTTCTTGACTTTTTAATGATCACCATTCTAACTGGCGTGAGATGGTATCTCATTGTGGTTTTGATTTGCATTTCTCTAATGACCAGTGATGATGACCTTTTTTTTTATGTTTGTTGGCCGCATAAATGTCTTCTTTTGAAAAGTGTCTGTTCATATCTTTCACCCACTTTTTGATGGGTTTGTTTTTTTCTTGTAAATTTGTTTAAATTCCTTGTAGATTCTGAATATTATTCCCTTGTCAAATGGATAGATTGTAAAAATTTTTTCCCATTCTGTAGTTTGCCTGTTCACTCTGATGGTAGTTTCTTTTGCTGTGCAGAAGCTCTTTAGTTTAATTAGATCCCATTTGTCAATTTTGGGTTTTGTTGCAATTGCTTTTGATGTTTTATTCATGAATATCTCTTAAAGGTCTTTTATGTCAAATTGCTGTCTATAAAGGTTGCACTTAAAACAAACAAAAAGCATATATAGTTTTCTCTGTGTTGAATGATATATTTGAGAACTCTATTGATCAAGAGACTGTAAGGAATATTTGTAAGGCCACTTTAAAGAAGTTTTAATTAAAAGCTAGTACATTGTATGTGTGGGAACATAGATGTTTTATTAAGCCTTGAGATAACTAAACTCTTGTTAGAAATCTGAGGAATTAGTTAGCTGGTAACAGAACAATCGTAAATAAGCTTAAATTATAACATAAAGTATGAGAGAAGTACATATTGTATAATTTCCCAAGTGTAAGGATTGGGAGCCAGTTATTCTGGGAGACTACAGAAGTGATTTTTAGATGTTGATAAGAATAGCACAGTATCTTCTGTGTTTGGGATGATGGAAGGGAATTTTGTTTCAGACAGGCAGCTTCCTCCCTAGTGCCTACTGGGTAAATTGCCGTTATATCAAGTCAGTAGGCAGAAAGATTTAGATGGCTTTTTGGTGCTAGTGCTTTCTTCCTCCTTTCTGGAACTGTGCAATAAATGCATTATTATTCCAGAGCACTCGGAGAATGTGGCAGTAGTCAGGCATTATTGAAAGAGGGCCATTTAGCGGAAACATTCTATAGAGATGAATTATCAACACTATTTTTCTTTATTATTTAACTTGCTTGAAATGTTGAAATAGTGTAGACAAGCTTTTATTTTGTGACTTTTGTCTTCCTAGTGATCAAATTGATAATGCCTACAAATGAATATACCTTGCCCATCCGGTTTCCCTAATAAGACAGATAATTATTGTAGCTTAAGGGTACAACTGACTGAAAATTCCTAAATGGTCTTTATAGTAAATATTATGCTATATAATTAAAATGTGACACAAAGCATATTTTTACTCCAAAGTTTATTTTATAATAGGAAAAAATGACTATTAGAAAGCCAATAAATCATTTAGAGATTACTACTTTAAAGTTGACATTCAGAAGCCATAATTGATACAGACCTCTAAAAATAATTTAAATGCACTACTGCCATAATATTCCACTGAGGGGAGGGGGTGGAACTGTTATAGTAGTGGAGAAATAGGCTACAGGTTTGTGAAGATGCTGAGGCCCAGTAACAAACACTAGGTAACTTATCCAAGATCTCAGGGCTGGTCCTCGTTGAAAGGAATGATTGGTCTGCTATGCAGTGGCAAATCTGAAAGACATCTTGCCAAATCAACCATTGACTTCAGAATGTGAATATAATAAAGAATAGAAACATCCTGCTTCTATAAATTGGGTTGGGATCCAGGATATCCTTTTTAAAAATAAAGACATAATTTCTCCAAAATACACACGGACAGTTTATTCTATTAATGTGCCGTCTGTGAGACTCAGAAAGAAAGAAAGAGAGAAAAAAAAAAGAATCCTAGCTTACAAGAGAAGATGATAACTAGGAAAAAGAAGTGAACAATAATATCAGCCACTATCACTATGATCTGTTTATTCTGTACTTCGATTATACTGAAGTGTTACAGAAATCTTCCCAAAAGCTCTCAACCAGAGGCTACCTACCACTCAGTGGCAATCGGTCACATTTGAAATTTGGCTTCTCAAATAGTTGACACCATCCTCTCTGCCATGATTTGCATCTGTTGTTGAGGGTTAATTGAACAAGTTAGACTAGTAGTTATTGAGTGGTTAATGTGTCATGGGTACAAATTTTGGGGAGGGAATGCAGAAGATTGATTACTTTTACATGTTGTCAGGAAGAAAGGGTCAAGTGCAACTCTTATAACACTGAGTTTTATAACACTACATCTGATATATTTTGGTTAAAATTACATGCTAGCAAAGAAAAAAGATATTTTACAATAAAATTTGTGTTCCATCTTCTGTGTAATAAATAGGCATATTTGCATTTTTGTGATATGTGTCTTTGTTAAAATCCACAATGACATGAGAACAATTGGTTGTCTTACTGGAGAGTTTTCTGGGACTAAAAGCAGCAGCCCGTTGTTCAAGTCTCATTTTTGTACTTAGTCTCTGTGTGGCCTTTGTCTGCAATGGAAAGTCTATATGTGAGCTATGAGAGTGGGACTCTATGTCCTGTGCCTCCTCATGACAGATAACCAATGAACACTTACTAAGTCAAAGGGATAGAGTAGATTGGTGATTTTAAACTGGGTTTCTTGTAGCTCTACAAGAGTTTAGGGACTGTTACAGAACTGGGGCCAGTAGCAGTGGTGATTAGCTGACACCTTAGTGGGTGAGACTCCAAGTGGGGAAATCTGCTGTGTCCTGATCCTCAGCTCTAGGCATTTTTAACTTTAGCCCTCATACTGACACTACAAAGTGTCCTCATTCCCTGAACTGAGGTTCAAAGTTAGTATGTTACAAATGATCACATAACTTGTATAAATGATGATTTTCCAATACGAAATTAGAAATGGTTCCATTGTTTGCACTCTAAGCACATCTCCCTGCAATAATATTCTGGATAGCGAAAAATAAAGGTGTACCCTTTGTGTAAACCAGGCCAATAATGTATCGCTTTTGTGTATGTGTGTATACATATATATATATATTATATTAAAAGACTTGTGTTCAGTAATACCAGAGATTTAGAGTGAGATCTGGATTTGAACCCAGCTTTGAGTGTTACTAATTGTGCCTCAATTTCCTAATTTGTAAAATAGGATAATAACAGGTTGTTGTGGAGACTAAATGAATTGATACAGAATGTGTACTTTGAACACTGTCTGTTACCTAGTAAGAATTCAGTTCATCTACTTATTTGATTGATGTATTTCTGTGGCTGTGTTCTGGAAAACAGTCTTTTTAACTTAAATTTAATGCTCAGAATGGATTAGCATATTTTTATTGTTATATGTTCCCTTTGCTTATATATCTCTTTAGCATTATTATTTGTAATGTCATTTCAGGTTCCTATATGATAGTGGACTCTTCAGATCACGACCCTGGAGAAAAAGCCAGACTTCAGCTGCCTACAATGAAGGAGAACGACACTCACTGCATTGATTTCAGTTACCTATTATATAGCCAGAAAGGACTGAATCCTGGCACTTTGAACATATTAGTTAGGGTGAATAAAGGACCTCTTGCCAATCCAATTTGGAATGTGACTGGATTCACGGGTAGAGATTGGCTTCGGGCTGAGCTAGCAGTGAGCACCTTTTGGCCCAATGAATATCAGGTAATCATCTGTACTTTTCTGGTGTATGTTTTGATGTCATCAGTTCTCACTATATGTGTAATACATAGATGTAAATATGCATCTCATGGTAATGAGAGATTGCCCTCTTGCCTCCCCCACCCCCATTATTGGGGAAGTGTCATACATAGATATACATATGCATCCCATGGTAATGAGAGATTGCCCCTCTTTCTTCCCCACCCTGTTGATGAGGAAGTGTTTGGAGACATTGGCACAAAACCTTCAAACTAGAGAAAGTATTTCTATGTGTTAAAATAAGTTTAGGTCCAAAATTTGTTGGTGGTTTGACAAAGAGCTACTTATTGACAGATTCTTTCCTACAGCTTTGTTCAGGAAGAAATAGCCTTTTTGAGTTTATTGTAATCTTCAGACTGGACTGATTTACTGACTTTTTGAAAGTAACATTTGGGAAATAAATGTGATGTAGAGTTTCATGAACTATGTTAAGGGGGAGGCATTTTCATTAATTATTTTAATTTTGATTAATTAATTGAATAAATTAAATGACATATAAAAATAAGCCAAAAAGGATAAGTTATTCACAAAGCTTTGGATGTTTGTTTCAGAAATGATTCATTGAATTATGATTAAATCAGACAATCAATAGTGTCAGTACCCACTTTATGATTCTGTGACTGAGTTTATATGCTCTTAACAAAAAAAAGGTTCATTTACTAGTTTGGAGAGTTTGTTCAGTAACCCTCACTATGAGGTTCCGTCCCTGGATGCTGTTATTTCTTTAAAAGGTCAATTTTGTGTTAGACCTTGAGATTTAAACTTTTAAAGGACTTGTTTATTTGTAGCTTATTATAAAGCCTAAAGAGAATACATTTATGTAAAAGTATATTTTATGATGGTCAGCAAGCAATATATAAACTAATAGTTTTATTTCTGCCTTTTAAAAATGAATTATGTCTTTAAGTTAGGTTTGTCTTTATTCTTGAAGGGGAAAAAAGAAATGCTTTGCTTTAATTGCTTTGTCTTGAGTTGAGTTTTCTGTTTTATTAAAAGCCTCCTACATTGTAGGCATGGTTCCACAGGTAAGATTTTCAGTTCAAGGTTGTATGTTTATTGAGTTTTCAATGGATTTTCATTAGATACAAGTTGATTCTATTATTCCGGAGCATAAGGATATTTCTCTTCAGTCAGAGAGAGCCATCTGCTTTTTCAGGGTCCACAGCCCCAGGAGGGCTGCATATATGATATGGTAGGTAGGTGGATGGGAGTGTGTGAAACTAATGCTAGAGCACTTGTTGCAAGATCAGTGGGCTCAACTCTGACAAAAGTGGGTTGATGGCTGTCATCACCAGGTCACTCTCACAATGCATTATCATTGTACTGATTTCATGAGAATCTGTCATAGGAGCTTAACTTAGCACTGGAAAGAAGTTCTGATTCAACAGAGTCAGCCTCCACAAAACAAATTAAAACCCCCAATAAAAATTAATCTAGCACACTCCTTAAAAATATGGGTTTTGAAGTCAGATTGCCTGTATTCAACCCTGTTCACAACTTGTTTCCTGTGTAGATAGTTCTTTAAGGAATCAGACTGTCAGTTGTACTTTAAAACAAGAACAATAACAACATAGAAGTAACTGTTGATAAATCCAGCAAGTAGTATATCTGTGATATATTTCTTTTTCCTCGTAACTACGAAATAACATACATGTAGTTATTTTTTCTAAGTTGTTAAAGATCTATCTTTGAATCATTGATGTTAATAACATTTTCTCATGGCACAGATTACTGTGGTGTTAATTCTACTATTAAGTTACAGTAATTTGAACTGGATTAATAATTCTTTGTTCAGTCTCATTTTGCATGACAAAACCCCCTTCGTTATATGTGCTTGTGGTGTATTTAAGCAAGAAGTACAAAAAGTGCCTGGGTGAGTTCCAGCCTGGCCAGTGACATCATTTTGGAGATGTTTTGTCAGAGAAAATGATGACTAAATAAATACATGGAACCTATGGGTAAATGTCTCATTGTTGCAGATTAAAATTTGAGCCATAGATAATTTCTTAAGTGATTGTTTTGCTCTCACATCTTTTTCCTTAACCTACAAAACTTAATCAATGAGAGCAAACAACAGAGTACTTTTTATTCATGTGCTTAGTGCTCAGTAAATTACTTGTTTGATGTTTTTATCAATTTAATCATTTAGATTATTAGTTGTACCTGTACATTTGTGATTAGAAACAACCAACATAACATAAACTATATTTATGTGCTTTCTTTCTCTTGGAAAGTAACATGAAAAACATTAAATCTCCCATACATTTTGATAGCTTTCAAAGTCAAATCAATACCTGTGAAGTGTTTGGTAAGTGCTGGTTTGCTGGCAAAACACGGTAGAATTTTTTGATTGGTGTTTTAGGTGCTGATGTCTCTATATTTAAAGAGAAACTCAACTGCTTTAAATACCAGATATTGGAGGCCAGTCTTGAGATTCCATCAGGTTCTTAAAGAATATCCCCATTTTCTTTTATTTTGAAAGCATGACATTCTTTTCAAGTTTTTTATTTATTGTAACATCTACTATTAGACACATACTGTGAGGTCACATCATGCTAACTCCTGGGGATACACAGGCAAAGTCCCTTTTCTCATGAAGTTCTCAGCCTAGCTTTGCTCTGTAGAAGATAAAAATGTAAATCAGATGTTTGCTCTGCTCTTAAGGAGGCTAGTCCAGATGGGAAATGCGAGATATACATAGATATAACTTGAAATACCATAGCGATGGTTAAATGACATAAGAGAGGTAAATATAAAATGCAGTGGGGAAAGCAAAAACAAAAGATAGTTTAGTTTCTGAAGTAATTTCAAGTAGAAATGAGACTAGAATTCTTTTGTCGATTCCTCTATTCCTAGATGCTTTCCACTGTACTGTGTATTTTTCTTAAATCACACTTACTTAGAGCCAGCAAATGTAAATTTTGCTTTTTGACATATCATTACAGTGATCCACTAACATATAAGGAACAAACTGTTTTTCACCTATGTGTTCAGAACAATCAATGCCTTTTCAGCTTACTATACTAATTATAGAAATTATCGTATTACATTTGTTTTATTTGCTATGGTTGAAAGATGCTATTCTACGTATTTTATGGGCCACAAATAAGTACTGTAGATTCTTAAATTGATTGCTAAATAGAAGTAAATAGGGAAAATCCCGCAAATCCTTAGGTGTCATCTCCATATTAAATTTCAGCTGAAGATCAGCATACCTCTAAAAGCGTAATTTTCTCCACTCTGGAAATCTGACCTGTCTTGTATTCATAAAACTAAGTTCTGCTTTGGGATTAAATCCATTACCTTCTTACTGAACAGTGAGGTTGTTACTAAATGAGGCAGGCAGACGTATGTAACTTGCAAAACTATTAGTGGAAACCTAATCTACTGTTTTCCATTAACTGGGTGCCCATCATTAATCACAAAAATGATGTGTGATGAAAACTACAGGGGTTTGTCCAGAAATTGGAATGTGATAGTATAGCAGAAAGTGCCTTTTTCTCCCCCAATACATGGAGAAACAAACACAACTTTTGCAATGCATTTTCTTCTTAACATTTTCCATTGGTTTGAAAAAAAATGTAAGAATTGACAGGCATGAGATTTTCTGTTTTTGTCTCCTTTTAAAGGGGTTATATTAATGTATATTATATTGATATTTTGTCAGTAGAAAGATTGTTATACTCCAGAGATTCCACTGGCTTTGGATCTGAAAAGATTGGGGCTTAAACCAAGTGACCATTTTTACTTGAATAAAAAGCCTCTAAAAGATTGATCTTCAGGCACAGAGGCCTGTGTAAGAAGAACATACTCATGAACCATCCATGCAAAGAGTAAAAAGAGGGGATGTCCCTCCTCTGTCATAGCTCTCAGAACTCTTCCAATTTTTTTGCTGATCTGCATTCATCCATATAGAGACCCACTTTAGAAAGACAAGCAGCAGGATTTTTTTTTCTCTAGATATATCATATAGCGGTAACTTCCTGCATAAGCATTGTAAGTGACTCTGCTCATGATCTTGTATAGCAGTGTTGTGGATATTGTTTGTTGTCTATTTATTAGTTATTCTCCTAGCTTTCTTCCATAGTGGCAGGAGTTCCAACCAGCTTACTTGCTTTCCCAGCTTCTTTGTAGGTAAGGATGGCTATATGCGACACAGTTCTGGTCAATTAGGAAGGAAAGTCTGCCAGGAAACTTCTGGGAAAGATGTTCCTCCCTGATAATAAAGAGAGTGTTGTATGAGAACATGGCTCTTGGTGCCATTGTGATCATTTTGTAACTGCGAGGAAGGAAATAGCTGACAAACAGGGTGACAGAAGAAGGCATTCAAGGAGCCTGGGTCCTATTCTCAAAATAATAATAATAATAAAATTATTTAAAGAATTTTTAGATGACTATTCTCCTGTGCAGCCAAAAGCATTGTTATACATCATGTTGTGTCTTAAGCTTTCAAGCAATACTACCTGTCAGCACATACTGTTTGTGGATGGCACATATGAGACACGTGGCAGAATTTAAAAAAATATATATCTACCAATGAATGAAGCAGTTTTTTTTTTTCAATCTATTTGGAGAGAGAAGACTTAAACAGGGCTATAAGACAGTGGATCACTGACTAAACAGGCTAGAAAGGAAGGAAGAAAGATGATCTATTGGGTATCTACTGTGAGTGGGATACTAGGCTGGATACTTTCATGTTTGTCATCTTTTACTTGTATTAATATTTGAACGTGTGCTAAGTAAATGTTTCTTACCTTCATGCACAGTTGAAGTTGTGCTTACGTAGTGGTGGAGCAATATTATTTCCCATTTTTTGTCTTTAGTAAAATAGTATGATTTTTATGAGTTTGGTCTTTAGCTGTATCAGTGACTTCTGAAGTTAGCCACAACTAGATAGACTTATTTTAGTTACGGCAACAGGATTTACCTAACACGGTCATCGTGGCTTATTTTTACACTGGCAAAATACCTTTTATTTGATAGGCTATTAACAAAACATCTTTGCTGCTACTTTTTAATCTTAACGATTCTCTTTGTTGCAAACAGAGTACCCCAAATGGGTTGGAAAGGCCCTCATATTATTATAGTCATTGTTTTCTTGAAACTTAGAATCCTGAAATTAGCCGGGCATGGTGGCGGGTGCCTGTAATCCCAGCTACTCAGGAGGCTGAGGCAGGAGAATCGCTTGAACCAGGAGGCGGAGGTTGCAGTGAGTGGAGATCGCACCACTGCACTCCAGCCTGGGCGACAGCGTGAGACTCTGTCTCAAATTTAAAAAAAAAAAAAAAAAAAAGAAAAAGCTTAGAACCCTGTGAAGGTGACCTCTCTGGTTCCTGATGGTGATTTGCTTTTATTACAAAATGTCTGCTCTACTTTGACTTTAAATAGTTGTTGTTGATTCATTGATGAAACTTATGGTTGTGTAAATAAATTTTAACAGATGAACAAAAGAGCCCTGGTAGTTAACAGAACAATTAATGTAAATCTGTGACAAGCCTCTTTTCATTCTGCTCAGTCATACCTGCTTTTATGTAGGGTGGTGGCAGCTGCCACAGTACCCTTCATTGTTTCTTTTGAGAAATATTTCCATAAATTAGTCCAATTCCCTTTCAGTAACTGATTGAAAAATAATGAGCGGTCAGGAGAAATAAGCATTGTTTGTTCAATGCATGATTTTTTCTTACTTAGGAGTTTGTTTTATCTAAGGGGAATGAGGAAGACAGATGCTAAAAGGAGCAGTGGAAGAGATACCAGTTCTTTGCTTATGTTCTCAACTAGCACTCACTTTGGTTTGCTGAATCTGAAAAAATACATTTCTGATTTCTTGTTTTGCATACTTCTTTATTAATTATTTAGCGTACATTGATCAGGCAGATAAATGTGAGAACCATTTCCGTCTAATCAGTTTAATGATGTTTCTGACAATGCTATACTGTTTCATATAATACATGACAAATAGATAACAATTTAAAATTATTTTTGTCTTCAATTATGTTGTCTGCTGACTTTGATAGTTAATTGGAATTGGTCTAGTTTTTAGGGCTTTCCAGTTTTTGAACAACTTGAATTTTTGTGTGAACTCTGTCCATTTTCATTTCAAAGACTTATTTTTCTTCACTTCAGTGTGTATATAATATGTGAACAAAATATTGGTGTTATAAGGGACAAACAAAAACGAATACGTTTTTTATCTAAAATTTAACTTTTGTGCTGTGGTGATTTCAGTTTCAATTCTTAGAAAACAAATACATTTTTCATTTGAGAGAATGTGGGAAGAAGGAAATATACAGCAAATGTCAGACATTTGTAGTCTTTTCAATTTTATTATTCATTACATAATATTACATAGAATCTAATTATTCTGTTGTTAGTGGGGTTGGAATATAAACGAAAACAAACTTTGGACACTAAATTTTACTCATGTAATCTAGTGGACAATTTATAGTTAATTTTAGCTGTCTTGATTTTCAAAAGGTGTTCTTAAAACTATCATTATAAAACTAGCTACTACATGTTATTTCTGCATTTAGTTATAAATAATCATTGCACACACCACTGGAATTCCCTTATGAGAATTAGATTCTTAATATTCTTTGAATGATCTGTTAAAAAATCATTCTTCTCAGCCCTCTAGAAGCAGTAAATCAGTTCACATTTTATGTTTAAAAATAAGGTCTATAGTCAAATTTATACCAAGTAATAATTCAATAAAATAATAAAGAATGAAAAATGTCTAGTACCTAGAGACAAGGTTTGGTTCAAGCTTAAATATCTTTAGATCCTGGCATTTTGCAACAACATCACAAATATAATAATTAGAAACAGATACCATGGTTCTCTGGGCTTATATTTATTAAAAGACACTTTTGGTTTGGTTGTAAACTTTAGTAATGTAAGGCTTACAAAGAGATGAAGTCAATTTAGCTCCATAAATACCAGGATGAATTTCTGTGTTTTGTTTTTGGTTGTTGTTCCTTTGTTTGTTTGTTTGTTTTTTTCTTTCATTTAACCCCCTCTTTCTATGTCTTGGGGGGTTGGAGTGAGACCCATTGTAAGCAGAACAATAAAGAGAACCAAATAATTGTTTTTCTGATACGTATATTAGACATTGTGACATGAAGTGTGAGAATTAGAAGTAGAAGGTCTCCTTTTTTTTTTTTTTAAATAGTGGTGGAGAAAAAAGTAGAGGCCATTTTGTATATTGGGTAAAGGTTTGGATTAGTTCTCATTTGACCTGTGTTTAATATCCATTATCACATGTTCATGTCCATTCTGTCAAGGCCTCCTTGCTCACTGAGTGACTATGTTGTGGGACTTCTTGAGTTTCAGTCCCTGCAATATGGGATGATAGCTAGTCTACTGTGATTTATTAGGTTCACAAAATTGTCTATTTAAAGCTCTTATTTAAAAATAACAGACACCAACTAGAGCTAGTTAAGTAGAAAAGAGACAGAATTGAAAAGATTTGGGAATCACTCACAGCATTTAAGGGAAGTGGAATTCCCAGCCTGAAGAAGGCATAGGACCCAATTAGATCTGAAGAAAACAGAAACACTTTCTCTCTGAAGGACTGCTGTACTGACTTATTTATTTTATCCATTTGGTGAGTGGTTATTGAGCAACCTAATCCATGCCAGGCACCCTTCTGGGTGCTGGGGTTGGACAGTGCTGAATAAGTTTCAAGGTTCCTATAGTCCCAGGAATTCTACTCTAGGGGTCAGAGCCAGTGGGGGAGAAAATCCAGATAAATAAATGAGAAAAAGATTAGAATACAACAAGTGCTAAAGAAATAATTAAAATTTAAAAAATATGAAAGCAGAAGTCTTAGAAACTGCATTAGACCAGGTGTTCTAGGAAGAACTGTCACCTGGAGATCTGAATGACAAAAACGAACTAGGCATGCAGAGATCAGGGGAAATACCTTAGAGACAGAAAAAAACCAAGGACCTAAATATGGAAGGAAATTGGCATTGCAGAGGGACAGAGACAGATACAGAGGTCAAAGGTTACCTTTTTCAAGATGAGATGGGTAGATTCCAGTTATGTGAGCTTTGCAATCTGAGGAAAGAATCCTAATGCTTTCAGATAATTTTTATCAAGGGACCCTATTTACTCATTCTTAGTCTCATCTTGTACGTGCTTCCCATTTATATTTTTCTTTAGTCTTTTTTACTGTTTACTCACAGCTCTGATTGTGTCTGGTCTTGATAACGGTAATTTCCTATTTTCTCTCACCTTAAAATCTATTATAAGTCAATTACTTGTTGGGAGATGCTAATTTGCTGATATTGAGCTCCTCAGATTTTGCCAGTGTTTCCTTTAAAGTCAAAACACTCAGCCTTTATTTGAGGTCCTTCGTCATTTAGCCTCAGGCAACTACTCTAATCTTTCTACCATTCTTTTTTTTAGGATGTAATATATGTATGTCCTGAAATGGCTTTGTTTCTTCCTTTTCATTGTCCAAGTTCTGTTTGTCCTTTAAGACCCAACTTTATGTCCACTTCTGCCACGTAGCCTTTGCTTAATACCTCTGCACTCAGTGGTCTCTCCCTTCTCCTTGGACGTGTGTTGCCTGTATTGCTTATTAGACATTTTGCTTGTTATATGTATTTCAGGTATTTTTCCTCCAATAGTATTATAGGCCCTCTTTTAAAAAGGTCAGGGTGTCCCATAAAGACAATATAACAATTAGGTGCTTTATATTTCAGAAAGCAATTGTACAAATTTTAAAAAAATCATCCTCACAATAGCACTATGGGGTCACTGGGAAAAGTACAACTATTTTTATTTTAGAGATAAGGGCTGACAGAGGGTAAGTGACTTGCTTTAGGTCTTGTTTCTAGTGAGAATAGAGCTAGCCCTCCTCTCTCTTGTGAAATTCTAGTCCCTGTCTCCTGTGCCAGACTGTATATTGGTGATGATTTTCCAGTCTTGGTGTCAAAAGAAAATTGGCTTGCTGATTAAGTATTCAATGATGGTACAAGAATAAAGTTAGAATTATTTTATATGCATACACTTTCTCAGGGGACTTATTCTTTAATATTATTTGTTAATGTTTCTTTAAAAACACTGAATGGTTTCATGGGTTGTGTATCCAAGAATTGATTGGATGAGGCTGAATACTTCATGGAATGCTCAGAACTTTGGTGAACTGAAGTTTAATTCATTTCCACAACCAAGTGCTAAGTTCTTAGTACATGCTTAGCACTAGTCTGTGTTTAGGGACAAAACCAGCAAAAAAAAAAAATGAAAACAATTTTATACTTTTCCTTAGAGAATATAAAGTCCACTAAGACAATTGCGTATACATCGATAATTTTTAATGGAAAATGATGGTTAAATGAGACTTGGTTATACTATTATCGTTAACTCTATATATGTTTGAAAATGCCATAATTAAACAATGAGGGGAAGAAAGTCTTCTGAGAGAGATAAAACATCCACATTGGCAGCCTTGTATTTTGTGTCATTAAATGTCCAAAGAGTTGTTAGGGTGCAGAAAACAATCTCCAAAATGAAGACCTCCGAAGCAGTTTCAGAAATAAAAGTTTCTCTCTGACCTTCTCCTTCCTTCCTGTTTCTCACTTCTACTCCCCCAAGGCTAGCCACTGAAACTACAGTTGGCTTCCACAGGAACCTCTTCCCCATGGCAGGGCATAGAAACCAGAACCTCTCTTTTTCTTCAAAGCCAGCCATAACACCTAAAAACAACTGCTCTAACTTTCCCCTGCCTTTCTGTGAAGTAACTGGCCATGAAGAAATTATCTGACCTGTCTTATTTGCATGTAGGTCAAAAGACCCGAATACTAGAAAGGGTCCTGCCCTGTACCCAGGAGGAAGAAATGCTGTACAAAGTGGCCAAGAAGAATTTGAACAGACAGGCCTTGCTGGGTTTCTTCACCTCAGTCTACTAGCATTAATTAGATCATACTCTTTATGTGAAATCATATTTCTACATGGGTGTCCATACATCATTGAACCTAAGCATAAAAATGGATTTTTTGCCATATCTTTGGGTCTTCCTTCTGAAGGTTCCTGTGTCGTCTAAACTATGATCAAATAAATTTGTTATGTTTTTCTCTTGTTAACCTGTTTTTGTGATAGGAGTGTTGGTCATGACCCTTAAATGGGAAGGAAAAGGATCAAAATATTAGTACTGTGGAGAAAATAGTACTAATAAAGGATCTCCAAGAAGGAAGAAACACATAGGCTCTGGGGTCCAGTAAAAGTTGATCTGGTACTTGAGAGGCTGAGGCAGGAGGATCGCTTGAACCCAGGAGTTCTAATCCAGCCTGAGCAACATAGCAAGACCCTGTCTCTTAAAAAATTGAGCTACTATGGTGGGCATGAAAATGGTGGGTGTGTAAAGGCAGGAGTAAAAGGCACTTGAGGTTTCCCAATTATAAGGCATAGATAGCAGTCTCAGGTGGTCAGAAATGAGAACGATCATACTGTGTAAGGGGCCAGCCATACTGCTCTCTCTGGCCCACATGGAGGGTCTTGAAATGAGGAGGGAAGTAGTATGTTGAAAAAGTTGTACCTTATTGAGAAGTTTCCAAATCCAGGGTGGGAGATTTTTCTGTCTGACTCCTCGGTGCTTGGACCACTCAGAAGAGGCTAATCAGCAGAACAATGTGATGACAGTGATGATTTTTACAAGTCAATCTTATGACTGAATTCAGCAGATCAAAGGGGCCCATAACACAGCATTTACTGGACATCCACACACTGTACGATTCAAGCCCCATCGGTCTGAACTAGACCTATGAAGTTGCGTTGTTCGCATTTTTAGATGATGACCTGTGGAAAGCAAGGCATATTTTTGTTACTTAGTTCCCTTTCTCTTGGGTAGAGATTTATTTTTTTGTTATGAAAGGTAATCAGGTTTTTGGCTTACAAACTCATATTTTTTAAAAGTCTATTCAAATATTCTTTTGTCAACAGAATTGCTAAATTTTGTTCATTTAAGTTTGTTCTTTCTGCTGGGATCCCGGGGGAACTTTCCCTTATAATAAAAGCTGAAGGATGTCCAGATTATGCTCTTCTCCTCCATCTGCCTGTTAAGTCCTTAATCTCCTACACCTGGGTGTTCTAATCCTTTATTTGCTTTAAGTACCAAGTGGTTCCAAGTCGGACAAGTTCTGTGTCCAATATGCCAAGTAAGATTCATTGTGCCATAGAAGGGCATGCTACTCCCCAAGATCTCCTGGAGAATAAAGTGGGTTGCTGTTCACAAATGGACCTGCTGGTTTTAATGCAGCCCAGTTAATAAATGGCATTCACTCAGCATACAGCCAAGAGTACTCCATTGATTGGCAGCAGGAAGCTCCTTGTTCATGTTGAGAGTTCCTTTTTGCGGTGCCACTTGCCTCTGAGAATTGTCAGTGGGCTGCCTTCACAGTGCAGCAAAAGGTCCTTTCTGCTTTTTCATTGCCATTTGCTTCCCAGTTTGGAGCCAGTTGAGTTATTTAGCTATGGGCCTGAGTTGTGTAAGGTACAGCATTTTTAAATGAGTTTGTTTTTGTGTCTTCCTTGTTCGGAGTTTTTTGTTTGTTTGTTTTTTTGGAAAAACATCCAGCAAAGGATACGGAAGGCAACGTTATCCTGTGCTTCTTAGTTATCACTATGCTAACTGAAATTCAGTGGACTACCCTTGTCAAGAGGTTATGCCGTATATTGAGTTTCAGCCTTGGGTCTCACTCTAGTTCAGAGAGAGCTCATGTTACAGAAACAATCCTCTCACCTCAGCCAATAAATCCTAACAAATCATCTCTACACCCAGTGAGACCATGTATATCTATCAGCTATCTTATGGAGTGACCAGAAATCAGAGAGAAAGAAGGCACAATCTACTTCCCCTGTTATCCAAGTAAAAGCTTAGTCATCTATAACTAACTTAATAAAGCATGTGCTTGTTGGGTAAAGACAGAGTAGCTCACTAAGCTTAGAAAAGAAAGATAAGAGAAAGGCTATTCATTGTCTAGTACCTTTGCATTTCTGATTAGCCTGCATATAAGTGGATGGCATTTTTTTTGTAGGCACCGAGACTGGAACTTTCCATATTATTTTTCAATCTTATTACCTCTACTAGAAAGACAGTGGATAAGGGAGATTACTTAAACCATTTTTTGTGATCATATTGTTGGGAGGGAGTGAACTGGTACCAGGGAGAATTGGAAATTTTCTATAAAAATGGTGTTAATTTATTAGCCATGAGAAGGAGAAATAAAAAAAATCAGAATATCTTAATTCAGAGGGAATGGTTTGGAAAATATGAATTAGAATGACATTTGTACTTCTTATTACAAGCTGGCCACACAACATTTTTTAATTCTTAAGTTTTTTTAAGGTTCTCTCCTTCCATAATATAAAACAAAGAGGCTGATGAGAAGTTATTTCAGCTGCTGAGGTAACAGACTTTGACGGCAGTAACTCCAGTGTGGGGAGGTCAGCAAGCTGCTTTATGTAGCAGCTACCACACTTCAGCATAGCCATTGCCTTGTGTAGGGTCCGAACGTTGGTTGCAGACCAGGACTCCTGCATCTGGTCTGTAATGATTTCCTACTCTCTAGATGATCTGAATTGATTTCTGATTACTCCTGGACTCTAGGCTCCCCCACCCCTCTCTGCCATCAGCTTTGTTCCAGGAAGCCCCATTTATACCCTAACTTTCACTTCCCACTCCTCTTCCAAGAGGAACCATGTCCCTATTAGGAAAAGATTTTGTCCTTGCACCAGGGGTTAAGAGAATTGAGAGTAGGAGAGGTGATGTCTGTACCATGTCTTTTAGTTGGTCTCAGTTTTTAAAAAGGTCTAGTGAATGCTCAGTTGGATTAGACTGTGTGGTAAGTGAAAAAAGAATGAAAAATATTAAATCTTTGAATTAAGAAGTTGTTCTCTAGCAGGGTTGTAATTGATAACCTATTGACTTGACTGTTGAGTGGTGAGACATTTAATATAGAGAATGGCAACCCTATCATTTTTTAGTGCCCAAGATTATAATATTATTTATTTAAAAGTGACATGTAACCTTAACAATGATCTGCCTTCTCCTGAATCTTTGATTCTTTTCTCCAGGCCTACTCCGGTGTACACCACGTGTCCACTGATGCCTACCTGTCTCTTTGCAAATATGTAAAGGTTTCATTCAGCTGCAAAGCTTGGCGAAAGTTTATGAAACTTAAGAAGAATTGATGTACAGAAGGACAGTGAAAAACTTTGCCCTGTCTTTCTGGACATATGTTCTTCATAGCTGGACTTCGTAGGGTGGTTTTTACTTAATGCCTCTAGTTCCTTTCAAATTGTCTCATAACTTGTAACTTGGTTGCTATTCCTTTCATGCGTCGAAAATTGCTGTCTTCTGATGAGATATCTCTGACTTTTCCCAAGTCCTTATTCCCGTTGACTTCCATGTAATATTTGAGATTATTGGACTCTCCTTCCTTCCTTAGATATAAAAGCCTATACTATCCTTTATTTTTTGGTAAACTTTTTTGATCGTTTTTTCTTTTTTCACCTTTTTAAAAAAAATTCCTCTAAATGCAAGCAGTTCGTGTATTTAATTTTCTTTTATTAATATTTATTTTTGGTGAAATATTTTATACATGACTAATCAGGAAATATAAATAATAATAATATATGTATGTTTTATGGAAATCGACTTAATCTTACCAGTACTTCCTAAAAGTTTCTCTCTATTAATCACTTTCCTTCTATCCTAAGGAATGTAGTATTTTGAATTTTTTGTTCATCATTTTGTTTCTTTTTTCTTTAATTTACTTTAAACAAATATTTTGTTTTATACAGTTAACAAATGTTTTATAAATGGTATCATGATTTGTATATTTTTTGGCTACTCGATTTTTTTTTCCCAGTCAATATCCAGGTTTATGTAGTGGTAATCATTTTTTTCAGTGTTGTATAGCATTCTATTTTTGAATAAGCTGAAATTGATTATTCAGTCATTTGTCTATGGATAGTTGGGTTGTTTTCTGGTTTTCTAGTGGTAATATTTTTAAAAATGTTGTTATGAGCATTCATGTACATGTGTATGATATTGCTAAGTAGTGATATTGCTAAGTCATGTGGTTTATGTATTCAACTTGTTGACTCTAAGCTGTTCACCAAAATGACTGAACAATTGGCATTCCAGCTGGCAGTATGCATTTCTATTGATGCATATGCTGAGTAACCCTTGGTATTTATTTGCACATTTTCAGATTATTTTTCCTATTAGGTAAAGATAATATTGTGGTCCAAATTTGAATTTTTCTGACTACCATTGAGGTTGAGCATGTTTTCAAATATCTGATATTTGTGTTTCTTTCCCTTTCATGTTTTCATTTGTGTCTTTTGCTCAGTTATCTATTGGTTTATCTGTTTCTTATCAATTGGGAAGCCTTCTTTTCTGGTCTAGATAGTAATCATTTGACAATAATACATGCTTGTCTTGGCTTGGGTTTATTTTTTCAGTTTCTTATAGTTCTTTGGACAAAAAGCCTTAATTTTAATATTGATTTTTTTTTGATTTTTTTTTTTTTTACTTTACAAATAAAAAAGGAATGACTTTGTTAAGAAGCTCTTCCCAGCACTGAGGTTATTTAATTCTATATTTCTTCTAAAAATTTTATGATTTGCCTTTCCAATTTAAATATTTGATGACTTTGGGTTTGATTTTATATACAGCATAAAGTAGGATATTTATGATACTCTTCCTTAGTGCTGGATTCATGCATATACATTTTTTTCTGTGTTTTTTTCTTTGTTTCTCTGTGTTTGTCTTGTATGTGTGTGTCTATGTGTGTGTGTGTGTATGTATATATCCATATATATATATATATATTTTTTTTTCTTCTGAGCTCTGAGCCTTCTATCTGCCTGCTAGAAATTTCCATGTTGATGTACATCACCTTAAACTAATTATATCTAAAATGGAACCAGTTTCTCACACTTTCTTACTCCCCCTACATCTAACTGGCATCTAGATCCTTTAAACATGTCCTTTGAAATGAGTTTTTATCTGATAGTTTTTATTCCTACTACCACCCTATTTCATGCCATGTGACCTGAACCTCAGACCTCCGAAATGTTTCAAGTATACCTCTTGAATTTCTGTTTTCCCCACACAGATCATGTGCAGCTGACACCATATTAGTATTAATTTTTCTAAAGTATAAATTTTGATTCTCTTAATTTTTTTTCTTTTGAGACAAAATATCACTCTGTTGCCCAGGCTGGAATGCAGTGCTGTGGTCATAGCTCACTGCAGTCTCTAACTCCTGAGCTCAAGTGATCCTCCCTGCCTCAGCCTCCCGAGTGGCTGGGACTACAGGCACATGCCACCACACCCGGCTAATTTTTAAATTTTTTTTTTCAGAGATGCTGTCTGCCTATGTTGACCAAGCTAGCCTTGAACTCCTGGCCTCAAGCTACTCTGGCTTCAACCTCCTGAAATGTTGGGGTTACATGCATGAGCCACCATACCTTGCCGATTCTCTCGAATGAAAGTAACATTATTAATTCCTCTTTGTCATAGTAAAGTGGCTGGTCCCTAAGGCTCTCTCTGTTTCTTGTCTAGCCCCAGTTCTGTTTTATAACATCTGTCTTCTAACTTAGTTTCTCTTTAAATTATCTTGCATTTTTGTTTTCACTTATTAGCTCATTCCATTGTATCCATTGCTCCACTAACTGGCAAATAGAAATCCAATCCATTCTATCATTCTTTTGGCATTCATGATTCACTGAGCTATAACCTTCTTGAATGTTTTTGTTGAAATAAAGGTACAGATTCTTATATTTTCCTTTATTCCCTGGTATGGTTAGGCTCTGTGTCACCACCCAATTCTCATCTTGAATCGTAATCCCCATAATCTCCATGTGCCAAGGGCAGAACAGGTGAAGATAACTGAATCATGGGGATGGTTTCCCCCACGCTGTTCTTGTGATAGTGAGTGAGTTCTCAGGAGATCTGATGGTTTTATAAGAGGCTTCCCCCTTCACTCTGTCCTGCCACCCTGTGAAGAAGATATCTGCTTCGCCTTTGCCTTCTGCCATGATTGTAAATTACCCAGTCTCACGTATTTCTTCATAGCTGTGTTAGAACAAACTAATGCATTCCCTATAGCATCCATCATAATAGCTAGCATATAACACATAATTAATAAATACTGAGGGATTGATTAGTAGAAGGATACTGGTCTTATTCTATGAAATTGTATTTGGGTTCTTCTGGGTGAAATTCTTTTAATAACAATTCATTTGTGTAGTTAAAGTTTAAAGGATGCTATTAATTTTATTATGGCAAAAATGAAACATTTGAGTTTTACTTAGAATAATTGACAGAATCTGTATTTTTCTGAAGATCCAATTTTCAACCTGCATGGATAGCCTTTCTTTCCTAAATTACTTGTTTTTTAAATGTTAACTATAAATGTTTCATTTCTATTTGTTTTCTTGATTTCTTTTCTTTTTGTGTGTTTCTTGACTTTCTCAGCCAGAGAAAAGTAATGCTACCATAGCAATAATACATTTAGATTCTAGTAGACTTGTTTTCTTACATTTCTGTTTTATATAAACAAGGCGAGTCATAGTGAAAGTACCTAGACTAACTATTCAAGCCTGATATGTTTATGGACTCTTTGTGGAAAAAAGGAAACTTTAAATCCTCTAAGCTACTAAAGATGTAGAAGGATAATCCAGTATTATTTGGTGATTCATGTAAAGAAGAAAAATAAAAGAAGGAGAAAAATCTGGTTGAAGCCACCTCTATTAGTCAACTTTATTTCAGATATTAATTAGTCTGCACTAAAATGACAGTGATAAGCCAATAAAATGATGACTTTGAAACGGGAATTCTTCAAAAATCTAGTAAAAAGAGTATCGACTCTTTCTTGTCTTCTTTTTCAAACTTACTGTTTAGCTCATCTTTATAGCATTCAAGAAAAGAATACTTGAGTAGAATAAAGAGCTATTTTTATCTTCAGAAAAAAAATTATTTAAGAAATATGGAAGTAACAAAATAGGCATGCCAGAGAACTGCCATTTGCCACTGCTTTTTGAGCAGCACGGTGGTATATGATCCATTTCTTAAACTGCCATGGTGAGTTAGAGTGCCTTGTTTCTCACAAGTTTTGTTTTATTAAAAAAATAGTTTCTTGTCTTCTTCTCTCTTCTAGGTTTTATCAGTTTGTTAACTGTCTTCCTAGCTGGACTAGGGAGCATGTGCTGATTGTATGTGAAAATGAACTCCTTGGGAATTTAGCGTTCTACTGAATTCTCTTGAACAAATAAATCTGGAGATGCTTTTCTTTGTGCAAAGTTGCATTTCTTTAAACAGGTAATCATCGTTATTAAACTTAGCAATTGGTAGAGTTATATATGTTTTAATTTCAAGGGCTTTAATGATTATTTTCTCTAACAACCAGATTTTAGAGACTCATAAGAAGCCACTTGATTTGCACATATCACACACAGAAAGGGTTCTTAGTGAGCCTTTCCATTCAACTACTTTCAAAAAAACTTAAATGTTTTATGCATTTTACAAATAACTTTTTCTCTTAAAGTCCAACCAAAGGGGTGTTTTGTGTATTTTTATCCTTTACATCCATTGAAATTACCTGTTCTGTATGATATAATGAAACATGGGTACTTATTTAAGCTAAAATATAGTTGCTAAAGTTGGGCCTCCCTGATGTTAAATGCTACCCCCTTCAGTAGTGACATTAATTAAAGAAAACTTGTTAATTTGTGAGTTATTCTAAAATACTTTCTCTCATAAAGAAGCTATGTTTCTCCTTCTAACTAGTATACTTAGGTTTTGCTTGGCAAGACTATGTGGAAAGAGGTCTTATGTCACCCCAGCTTAGCAGTGAAGAGCAGAAGGCACTACTGTGCCTCTCTTGGTCTTTTTAGGTAAACCACAGGCAAAATATGGAGCACATTTCAGAATAATGTTAATGCTCCAAAATTGCATAAGTCCTGGGCTCCAAAATTGCATAAGTCGTGGGGCTGTGACACAACCATCTTCCATGATTGTGTTTCAGTCTGACTGCAGTGTTGCTTTTGTCTTCGTAGGGTAAACTCTGTTGTTTCAACAGGTATCTAGACTTCAAATAATTGTTAAATGAGTGTTGTAATTGAAATAATCAGCCCTTGGAACTGCAATCATTATGAAAATTGTATGCTCTTTAAATTCTATGTAAAAATAGATTGTTTTAAAGAAAAAAAATTCATTTTAAAAACAGAAATGTGCTTGAACAACTTATTTTAATGGAATAAAGTTAAGCAACGAATCTTCATTCCACAGCTTTAACAAGTCTTCCAGCTTAAGGTAATCAACTACAGCAGATATTATTTTAAGATATTGAGGTAGCAAAGAGTCCTATCTACTTAGAGAATGTATGATTTATAATAGAATACCATGCACTAATATTGAACAGCATCAACCCATATGAAATCATTTTATTACAAATATAACCTAGGCAGTAGCATGGAAGAGAACTGATGAGAAATATAGTAGGAGTAATACACTAACGGATATGATCTCCAAATGTTTATTCTCTGTCTTACTTCTCACCTATGGGGCCGCTTTCACTCCCTAAGGGCTTCTCATAGACTGACAAAGACCTCAGCTCCTTAATGCAATGCCAGTAATACGGATTCATAGGAAAACTTCCCAGTGAATCTAGGGGGTAGAGTTTAGTGGAACAAAAAAGGGCGACCAGCTTTGGAAGCTGTAGTTAGGAATGGGGAGACAATAGGCAGAACTGGAGTTAGCCTGCAGATTTAGCGACTGTAGGTCAGAGATGGGGATGCAAAACCTGAAATACTGGTGATGCAGATTGAGTGAAGTCAGTTGATTTCAGAAATGCCTTGGAGATGTAACTGATAGGAGTAGAAGGTTATTGGCATGTGAGTTTAGGGAAGGAAGGCGGACATGTTGCCTGGTTTTCTAATTGTACAAGCGTAGTGAATCGTGATGCCATTTTTTGATACATAAGTTATTTGAGAGGAGGCAGATTATGAGTGTGTATGTTTTGTGTTTGTGTGTGTGTGTATGTGTACACTGTGAGTTGTGGGGTTGAAGATGCTGGTTTAGGTGACTGTGGGCCAGCCATGTGCCATTGGCTCAAAGTTTGAATATTTAAGGGTTAGGAGAAAGATCCTAACTAAGGAGCCGTTAGCATAAAGATACTGACAGAAGTGAGAAGGAGCTAAGCTAGTATTGCCCTGGAAGAATAAACAGAGTATGAAAAGGGTTCATGAATACCAACATTTATGATAGTCTATAGAAGAGCCAGAAAATTGAGCCTGCAAAAGGGGCCAGAGAAGCAACATATAACGAGTTAAGTACAAACCACAATATTGAGTAACAGGAAATTTAAAGGAAGAGAATGTTTCAAGAAAGGAACAGGTAAGACTGACAAATCTTACAGAAATCTCAAAGAAGTTAAAATTTAAAAGATTTATTGACTTTAGCCTAGAAGACTGGTTTTAACTTCTTCCAAATGCATGTTTTGAGTAAATAAACAGAGCAATGGAAGTATGGATAGTTCTGACGCACATGATATTCTGTTTCTTTCCTGGCTTTTTTTTTTTTTTTTTTTTTTTTTTGGAATTGAGTCTTCCTCTGTCGCCCAGGCTGGAGTGCAGTGGTGCGATCTTGGCTCACTGCAAGCTCCGCCTCCTGGGTTCACACCATTCTTATGCCGCAGCCTCCCTAGTAGCTGGGACTACAGGCGCCCGCCACCACACCCAGCTAATTTTGTTTTTGTATTTTTAGTAGAGACGGGGTTTCACCATGTTAGGCAGGATGGTCTCCATCTCCTGACCTCGTGATCCGCCCACCCCGGCCTCCCAAAGTGTTGAGATTACAGGCGTGAGCCACCTCACCCGGCCCGTTTCCTGGCTTTTTATGAAAATGATGTGTTCTTCTGGTTTGTCTTTGGTTAGCTTTTTTGTTTCTTTATTTGTAATTTAGTCTCGGGAACTTAAGATAAAGTTATCTGTATTATCTGCTATTCTTAACAGAAGGCCAATTTTTGAATGTGCTACAAAATAATCTACCTAAAGCAGGCAAGACAATATAAATCATTTTATTTTTGCTTATATAGATCCAGAACATAAATCCCTGAGATAATATCCTCATCCTAAAAGGAAGAGTAAAGTAATATAGCCTTCCAGCTTGGAAGAAAGGCAGTCTAGTTATCAAATAATATATGATCAATGATGATCTCCAACTCTAAAGTAAACTCAAACAGTGTGTATATTCAGATGAATTAAAACCATATATTCATTTAGTATATGTGATAAGTAGATGTGCATTTATAGAATTACTTTCTTCTGAAAAGGCAAAAAGACTCTTTTTATAATGTAAATAAATTAATGTTATTTTAAAAATGAAGATACTATATGCCTGAAGTTTTAATGTACTTTTAAAAATTGGATCAGAGTGTGAAATCAAATGTTAGTGATTAATATTATTATTATTATCGTAACTAATAATATTAATGCATGTGCTTAACAGTTCTCTCAGCTTCTTAAATGTTAAATTTTAAAGCAAATAACAAGTACAATGCAAAATTTACCAACACACCAATGTGATACATACTTTTACCTATTATTTTTTTTTAAAAGAGAGTATTGAAAAATTATCATTTTGGTTTAAGCATTTGAGCAAACAAAATAAAATTTCTGATTTTAAGATTTAAAATAATGTATGAGTAAAAACATTATTTTGGGAAAAATGAATTGTATTAAAAGAAATGCTGAAATTTTTTACAGTTGGACAAATTGCTATATTTTTGTGGCTTTATTAAAAATAGAAATAGTGATATCCACCCTCCATTAGGGGAAACATTCACTTGTTTATTCAAGAAATATTTTTCAAGTGTCTTCTTCATGCCAGGCACTATTTTCAGTACTTAAAATGTAACAATGGGTCAAAGAAACAAGTCTTGACTCTGAAAAAGCTCTCCTGTTGGGGAAGGTGGTTACAAACAATGAACAGCTAACATTATAAGTAAGACTAGATGGTAGTACAGTTATGGGAAAGAAGATAGAGCAGTGTGGTGGGGGTGGGGTGTGTATGTTGAAATCTGGGAGGTAAGGACATATTGTAATTTTTTTTAAATTTTATTTTATTATTATACTTTAAGTTTTAGGGTACATGTGCACAATGTGCAGGTTAGTTACATATGTATACATGTGCCATGCTGGTGTGCTGCACCCATTAACTTGTCATTTAGCATTAGTTATATCTCCTAAAGCTATCCGTCCCCCCTCCCCCCACCCCACAACAGTCCCCATACTGTGATGTTCCCCTTCCTGTGTCCGTGTGTTCTCATTGTTCAGTTCCCACCTATGAGTGAGAATATGCAGTGTTTGGTTTTTTGTTCTTGCGATAGTTTACTGAGAATGATGATTTCCAATTTCATCCATGTCCCTACAAAGGACATGAACTCATCATTTTTTATGGCTGCATAGTATATGTGCCACATTTTCTTAATCCAGTCTATCATTGTTGGACATTTGGGTTGGATCCAAGTCTTTGCTATTGTGAATAATGCCGCAATAAACATACGTGTGTATGTGTCTTTATAGCAGCATGATTTATAGTCCTTTGGGTATATACCCAGTAATGGGATGGCTGGGTCAAATGGTATTTCTAGTTCTAGATCCCTGAGGAATCCCCCCACTGACTTCCACAGGGGTTGAACTAGTTTACAGTCCCACCAAGAGTGTAAAAGTGTTCGTACTTCTCCATATCCTCTCCAGCACCTGTTGTTTCCTGATTTTTTAATGATTGCCATTCTAACTGGTGTGAGATGGTATCTCATTGTGGTTTTGATTTGCATTCCTCTGTTGGCCCGTGATGGTGAGCATTTTTTCACGTGTTTTTGGCTGCATAAATGTCTTCTTTTGAGAAGTGTCTGTTC
Organism: Homo sapiens; assembly: GCF_000001405.40. Taxonomy (NCBI): domain Eukaryota; kingdom Metazoa; phylum Chordata; class Mammalia; order Primates; family Hominidae; genus Homo; species Homo sapiens. The sequence goes on along the minus strand of NC_000006.12, from coordinate 128,300,067 downwards.
ATGTCCTTTGCCCACTTTTTGTTGGGGTTGTTTGTTTTTTTCTTGTAAATTTGTTTGAGTTCATTGTAGATTCTGGATATTAGCCCTTTGTCAGATGAGTAGGTTGCGAAAATTTTCTCCCATTTTGTAGGTTGCCTGTTCACTCTGATGGTAGTTTCTTTTGCTGTGCAGAGGCTCTTTAGTTTAATTAGATCCCATTTGTCAATTTTGGGTTTTGTTGCCATTGCTTTTGGTGTTTTAGACATGAAGTCCTTTCCCATGCCTATGTCCTGAATGGTAATGCCTAGGTTTTCTTCTGGGGTTTTTATGGTTTTAGGTCTAACGTTTAAGTCTTTAATCCATCTTGAATTAATGTTTGTATAAGGTGTAAGGAAGGGATCCAGTTTCAGCTTTCTACATAAGGCTAGCCAGTTTTCCCAGCACCATTTATTAAATAGGGAATCCTTTCCGCATTGCTTGTTTTTCTCAGGTTTGTCAAAGATCAGATAGTTGTAGATATGCGGCATTATTTCTGAGGGCTCTGTTCTGTTCCATTGATCTATATCTCTGTTTTGGTACCAGTACCATGCTGTTTTGGTTACTGTAGCCTTGTAGTATAGTTTGAAGTCAGGTAGCATGATGCCTCCAGCTTTGTTCTTTTGGCTTAGGATTGACTTGGCAGTGCGGGCTCTTTTTTGATTCCATATGAACTTTAAAGTAGTTTTTTCCAATTCTGTGAAGAAAGTCATTGGTAGCTTGATGGGGGATGGCATTGAATCTATAAATTACCTTGGGCAGTATGGCCATTTTCATGATATTGATTCTTCCTACCCATGAGCATGGAATGTTCTTCCATTTGTTTGTATCCTCTTTTATTTCCTTGAGCAGTGGTTTGTAGTTCTCCTTGAAGATATCCTTCACGTCCCTTGTAAGTTGGATTCCTAGGTATTTTATTCTCTTTGAAGCAATTGTGATTGGGAGTTCACTCATGATTTGGCTCTCTGTTTGTCTGTTATTGGTGTATAAGAATGCTTGTGATTTTTGCACATTGATTTTGTATCCTGAGACTTCGCTGAAGTTGCTTATCAGCTTGAGGAGATTTTGGGCTGAGACAGTGGGGTTTTCTAGGTATACAATCATGTCGTCTGCAAACAGGGACAATTTGACTTCCTCTTTTCCTAATTGAATACCCTTTATTTCCTTCTCCTGCCTAATTGCCCTGACCAGAACTTCCAACACTATGTTGAATAGGAGTGGTGAGAGAGGGCATCCCTGTCTTGTGCCAGTTTTCAAAGGAAATGCTTCCAGTTTTTGCCCATTCAGTATGATATTGGCTGTGGGTTTGTCATAGATAGCTCTTATTATTTTGAGATACGTCCCATCAATACCTAATTTATTGAGAGTTTTTAGCATGAAGGGTTATTGAATTTTGTCAACGGCCTTTTCTGCATCTATTGAGATAATCATGTGGTTTTTGTCTTTTGTTCTGTTTATATGCTGGATTACATTTATTGATTTGTGTATATTGAACCAGCCTTGCATCCCAGGGATGAAGCCCACTTGATCATAGTGGATAAGCTTTTTGATGTGCTGCTGGATTCGGTTTGCCAGTATTTTATTGAGGATTTTTGCATCAATGTTCATCAAGGATATTGGTCTTTTTTGGTTGTGTCTCTGCCCGGCTTTGGTATCAGGATGATGCTGGCCTCATAAAATGAGCTACAGAGGATTCCCTCTTTTTCTATTGATTGGAATAGTTTCAGAAGGAATGGTACCAGTTCCTCCTTGTACCTTTGGTAGAATTCGGCTGTGAATCCATCTGGTCCTGGACTCTTTTTGGTTGGTAAGCTATTGATTATTGCCACAATTTCAGAGCCTGTTATTGGTCTATTCAGAGAGTCAACTTCTTCCTGTTTTAGTCTTTGGAGAGTGTGTGTCAAGGAATTTATACGTTTCTTCTAGATTTTCTAGTTTATTTGCTTAGAGGTGTTTGTAGTATTCTCTGATGGTAGTTTGTATTTCTGTGGGATCGATAAAGAGGTGATATCCCCTTTATCATTTTTTATTGCATCTATATGATTCTTCTCTCTTTTCTTCTTTATTTGTCTTGCTAGCAGTCTATCAATTTTGTTGATCCTTTCAAAAAACCAGCTCCTGGATTCATTAATTTTTTGAAGGGCTTTTTATGTCTCTACTTCCTTCAGTTCTGCTCTGATTTTAGTTATTTCTTGCCTTCCGCTAGCTTTTGAATGTGTTTGCTCTTGCTTCTCTAGTTCTTTTAATTGTGATGTTAGGGTGTCAATTTTGGATCTTTCCTGCTTTCTCTTGTGGGCATTTAGTGCTATAAATTTCCCTCTACACACTGCTTTGAATGTGTCCCAGAGATTCTGGTATGCTGTGTCTTTGTTCTCATTGGTTTCAAAGAACATCTTTATTTCTGCCTTCATTTTGTTATGTACCCAGTAGTCATTCAGGAGCAGGTTGTTCAGTTTCCATGTAGTTGAGCGATTTTAAGTGAGTTTCTTAATGCTGAGTTCTAGTTTGATTGCACTGTGGTCTGAGAGACAGTTTGTTATAATTTCTGATCTTTTACATTTGCTGAGGAGAGCTTTACTTCCAACTATGTGGTCAATTTTGGAATAGATGTGGTGTGGTGCTGAAAAAAATGTATATTCTGTTGATTTGGGGTGGAGAGATCTGTAGATGTCTGTTAGGTCTGCCTAGTGCAGAGCTGAGTTCAATTCCTGGGTATCCTTGTTAACTTTCCGTCTCATTGATCTGTCTAATGTTGACAGTGGGGTGTTAAAGTCTCCCATTATTATTGTGTGGGAGTCTAAGTCTCTTTGTAGGTCACTCAGGACTTGCTTTATGAATCTGGGTGCTCCTGTGTTGGGTGCATATATATTTAGGATAGTTAGCTCTTCTTGTTGAATTGATCCCTTTACCATTATGTAATGGCCTTCTTTGTCTCTTTTGATCTTTGTTGGTTTAAAGTCTGTTTTATCCGAGACTAGGATTGCAACCCCTGCCTTTTTTTGTTTTCCATTTGCTTGGTAGATCTTCCTCCATCCTTTTATTTTGAGCCTATGTGTGTCTCTGCACGTGAGATGGGTTTCCTGAATACAGCACACTGATGGGTCTTGACTCTTTATCCGATTTGCCAGTCTGTGTCTTTTAATTGGAGCATTTAGTCCATTTACATTTAAAGTTAATATTGTTATGTGTGAATTTGATCCTGTCATTATGATATTAGCTGGTTATTTTGCTCGTTAGTTGATATAGTTTCTTCCTAGCCTCGATGGTCTTTACAATTTGGCATGATTTTGCAGTGGCTGGTACCGGTTGTTCCTTTCCATGTTTAGGGCTTCCTTCAGGAGCTCTTTTAGGGCAGGCCTGGTGGTGACAAAATCTCTCAGCATTTGCTTGTCTGTAAAGTATTTTATTTCTCCTTCACTTATGAAGCTTAGTTTGGCTGAATATGAAATTCTGGGTTGAAAATTCTTTTCTTTAAGAATGTTGAATATTGGCCCCCACTCTCTTCTGGCTTGTAGAGTTTCTGCCAAGAGATCCGCTGTTAGTCTGATGGGCTTCCCTTTGTGGATAACCCAACCTTTCTCTATGGCTGCCCTTAACATTTTTTCCTTCATTTCAACTTTGGTGAATCTGACAATTATGTGTCTTGGAGTTGCTCTTCTCGAGGAGTATCTTTGTGGCATTCTCTGTGTTTCCTGAATCTGAATGTTGGCCTGCCTTGCTAGGTTGGAATTGAGTAGTCTGAGTGGGCTTCATTGAGTTGATTTTTGAGCAAAGATGTGAAGAAGACGAGGGTATATTCTGAATAGGTATCTACTAGAAGAGCCAGGGTAAAGGCCCTGTGGTGGAAGCATGCCTGTCCATGGGTTGCAAGGAGTCACTGTGGCTAGATGGCAGTGAGCAAGAAGGGGAGAGGAGAAAGAGGAGAAGGAGGTTAAGACAGGGAGGGAATTGAGTCAGGTCACTTTAGAAACTTGTTTTGCTTCGAAGGACTTGCCCTTGACTCAGAGGCCATGGAGAGTCATTGGAAGCTTTTGAGTAGAGAAACTTGCTAGGAACTTGATTTCAGTGATGTTAATCGTTTTTTATGTTCTTTAGAGCACACTCTGTAAGGATGTAAGTCTAAACTTTTCTTTTTTAGCCTTTTCAACAGTAAGCTATACATAAAAGTTACAGTGTAGCCTACTGGCCATGAATAGAAGTGCTATGTGACTTTATGGTGTCCTGAAGTTTAAGGTATATTAGCTCTGCATATGTCCTGTTTCCAGAATCTTAAAAATTTAATTTTGGAGAATCAAGCTTTGTTTAAAATAATCACCTTAATATGTAGATGTGGAAAACTAACTTGCTTAAGTTTATTGAACCGGATTTACCAGAGCTAGAATTAGGGTTTAGGTCTCCTGACTATAAATGAGAATGAGAAGCAAGAACCAAAAAGTATCAACTGTGATCAGATTTGTATTCGGCACTTTACTTATTTTGTACCAAGCTAGGCTCAGTTTCCCCCACTTAAATGACATTGCTGCATCTTTTACACATTTCTTTGACCAGGTGTTAGTAGATCATTGCTTTTACTACTTAGTGTTACTTTTTAATTAGTATGTAAAAAAATCCATCCTCCTTTTCCTCCTTAGCACCAATTTAAAAAAAAATCTTGCTTTGTACTCACTTGAGAAATACTTGCAATCCATTACCAGCCTATGGTTTTTCCGTATCCTGTAACAGAGGTTGGCAAATTACCACCAGCAGGCCAAATCTGTCTTGTGGCTTGTTTGTGTCCACTATCCAATAGTGGTTTTTACACTTTTAAGTGGTTGGAAGGGTAGAAAAGAGAAGAATCATACTTTATGACCTGTTAAAATTATTTTAAAGTTGAAGGACAATAGTTTGAAAGTATTCATATGTTGACACATAGTTTATTGCATAGTTTGTATTTCAAATGTAAATTAATCATATAGTTAAATTTTGAAAGAGAATCACATATTACTGACTTAAGGACTTCCAAACTGTATAATGGAATCACATGTACAATTATGTATCTGTTTATGTGGAAACAGATAAACATATCTGTTTCATACTGTAATTCTAACCATATGTCTTTCTTAATTACTCTTTGTTCCTCAAAGTCTATGGTTTCTTTTTGAGTTGGTCAGCCCTCTGTTCTTTACTCATATTTACAAACTTATCATTATGTCTACATTCATAAGTTATTTAATAAAACTTATTTGAATTTATGATAAAGCAGAAGTAGAATGTATATTATACACATATTATGGAAACTTTGCACTTAGCATGCCTTAAGTGGATAAAAAAGCAAAAATTGGCTTCTTAGCCAATGTGAAATTTAGGTAAATCTTAAACTTTTGTTTTTTACTGCAGATATATTTTTAATTACTATCAGATATACCCTCTGTCTACCAAAATGATAGAGATGAAATGCAATAAACTTTGTATCTTTTCCCAAAACTGTAATGTGGTAAATTAACTTAATAAAAATTTAGTATGAAAAATGCAAGTAAACATTTCCAGACTTCACTAATTGTAAATGGAAACAAGATGCTAGAGTCTGTGAAACCCAAGAGGACTCTAAAGAAGACCAGCTTGGTAATTCAAGTAACAGAAGAGAAATAGATATGAAACAGCATTTCTACTTCAGGGTACACTGGAGAAAGAAAAAAGAAGGACTCCTTTATGCATCATTCCAAGAGAAATAGGGAGAAAAAAACTGTGTTTGAAGGAAAGGCTGTGATTTAATCAATAATGGACACCTTAGAAAGACTGATTCTTAGCACCAGGGTTAGGAATAATAAAATAATCTGCTCATAGAAGGCACAGCAAACATTGATTTCTTCTTTTTAAGAATATTTGTTTATATGATCAAATTTACTAAAATAAACCGTTAATTACAGTGTACATTTAAATAATGTACTTAGTTTACTAATGTATCAAACATAAACATTTTTAATTGTCCTTGTGGAAAAATATGTAATATGATGGAGATGGGGAAGTATAAAAAAAGCAAAGATTAAAAGAAAAAAGAATCATCTACAGCTATAAGCACAAAGGCTCCATCACAGGGATATCAAGCATGTTTCCCTTAGATTCTGTCATATGCGTTACTGTCTGCTTGAGTCCATCTGATCACAATGTATGCACAAGGAAACATGTCTATGATATGATCGTGTGTCTCTTTTGTGCTTTTTGCACCTGAATTGTCTGTACTAGAGAATTGCAAAACAAGTTTGAAATGAATTGTACCTCTTTTCCTCAGTTAGTTTTATTGTTATTGTTATTTAATTGTAGTAAACCTAAGAGCCTGTAATTCAGATAATTCCTGGAAAAGTATTTTGATCAGGCATATTGGTTTGGAATAGGTCTGAGCTTTGCATTCTCTAAAATTTTATTACATGCTTTACTTCTTCCATGAGATACTGGTAAGTGATGTTTGGTATTTCTGATAAGGTCTTAGAAATCCCAGTCCAATTAAATAATAAGGGAGTAAAGGTTTATGGAGGTCTGCAGTAGAGGATCACTATTGCTATGGTTTGAATGTATCCTCTATTAAGAGGGAGGACTTTTAAGAGATGATTAAGTCATGAGGGCACCTGCCTACACAAATGGGTTTAAAGCCCTTATAAAAGGTGTTGGCTTGTGGGGTTTTGTTTTGTTTTGTTTTGCCACTCACCATGTGAAAACACAGCATTTCTCCTCTCTGAGGATGCAGCAACAAGTCACCATCTTGGAAGCAGAGAGCAGCCTTCACCAGACAACCAAACCTGCTAGTGCCTTGATTTTGGACTTCGCAGCTTCTAGAACTGTGAGAAATAAATTTGTTTTAAATTACCCAGTCTCTGGTATTTTGTTATAGCAGCATAAAGTGAACTATGACAAAACAATGGCTACCTCCACTTATTCTATACTGATATATTTATTGCATTATATACTTTGACTTTCATAATAATTGTATGAAGTGAAATATGTTCATTTTATAAAGAAAAAAACTAAAAGCCTGGGTGAAACTTTCTTAACCAGGGTCACAAAGCTAATACACACCAGTTGGCTGTTGAACCCCAAACCATTTCACTATTTGGCTATTCTTTGACCACCAAGACACTTTTCTTTCTTTAACAAAGGTTATTGATGGTCTGTTTGCAAGATAGGCATTCATTTAGGTGTTGGAATAAAAATATAAATTACCCACAGCTGTTGCGCTTGTCTAGCTTCTGTCTTGTATGGGGTGAAAATAATTATAAGTAATTAGTCAATAAATAATTACATTAAAATTCAAATACTATAATGGATATATGTCAATGTACTAGTTAACACAGAGTAGGATTATCTATTACCTGAGACTGGCAAAGAAAGAATTCATAGGACGGATGCCCTATGAACTGCATCCTATTTTTAGGAAAAGAGGAGGAAGGTCATGACAGAGAAAATAACACATATAAATCCACCGAGTTGTGAAAGAAATGTTCTGGGAGTTATATTTCTTTGTGTCTGATGCCTGGGGAAAATAAATCTAAAATAATATCTGAAATAGAAACCAGTATTTCCAAAGGGAAAATACATTATGCTCTAATTTATTCACATATTAATTTTTAGTTTTGATAAAATTGCAATTAGAATAGCAATGGGATTGTTATTTAATATATTTTAAAAATATTCATCTAGGTCAGTATTCTTCAAAGTCTTTTTAAAAAATGCATTTGGACTTTTCTAAATAAATACTATGAGAAGATTTATGTTTACAATATATGGCATAATTTCCATGAGAAATATGTGGAATACAATCAGGAAGTCAGCAATACAGAATTATCTAAAACTTATTCATGTAAGTTTTACTGATATTTGTTTTATTTTTCTATGAGCAAAATAATTTTTCTTTGGGTATCCTCAATTGCTTTTTACAAGTCCATGTGATATATAGTAATCTATCTTATTGATACCTACGGATTTATTTAATTAAAATAGTTTTTTATTGGTAGCTGATGATACCTTCTGCAAAGAATGCCATATTTATCTTTTCATTTCTAACAGTGGCATATTTTATTTCTCTTTCATGATATATTGCATTAGCGTGAACTTCTAAAACTGTAGGTTTTTCTTCAATTGGTTAAAGGAGTTAAAAGTTGTGGTGAGAGAACTTTGCCCTTTTTCTACAACAAGAGTAGTTAAAAACAAATGCCTACCAGGGCCACACTGTAGCATAAATATGTGAACAGGGATGACTGTAAGAACACAGAAAATGGCAGAGCAAGAGAAATTGAGAATGTATTGTGTTAAAACACCATGCCAAACAAACACAACATAAGTTTGCATATGCAAGCTTGATGCAGGTAAAGGACTGATGGAGGTGATCCCAGTTGAGAAAGGGTATAGTACTCCTGAAGAGATTGCTCATTATAACCACAGCAGTGGGAGAAATATCACTGTGCTGTAAGAGCTGCTAAATTATTTGGTATCAATGGGTATTGATTGCAAAACAACATGGACCAATGAAAGTACAGGGATTTTGAATCTGAGTTCAAATTATAACTCAGTTCCTTACTAGTATTGTGATCTTGGACACGTAACTTATAGTATTAGTTTTCTAATTTATCCCATAACAAATTGCCAAAAACTTAGTGGCTTAAAATTACATTTATAATCTTACAGTTCTAGGTCAGTAGCCTGACATGGGTCTCATTGGTCTAAAATCAAGGTGTTGGCAGGAATGTGTTCCCTTTTAGAGGCTCCAGGAAAGAATCTTGGCTTTTGTAGCCTCAGAAGGCCATCTACCCACCTTCCTTAGCTTATGGCCCCTTCTGTCTTCAAGACCAGCGACAGCAGGGTTGAGCCCTTCTCCCATTGAATCCCTCTGACCTCTTCTGTAGCTACATTGCTTCGGAGTCTTATTTTTCTCTTTTACTTTTAAAGACTCTTATGATTACATTGAACCCACCTGGGTAATCCAAGGTTAATGTCACATTTCAAGGTCACCTGACTGGTAACCTTAATTCCTCCTTGCCATGTAACAGCATTCCCACATTCTGGAGATTCATATGTAGGCATTTTTCAAGAAGCCATTTTGTCTACTACATTATCTTTTAATTTCTTTCCTTATTTATAAAATGAGACTGTTCTGAAGATTAACAGCAAAAAAAAGATAAAGTATATTAAATGCCTTGTTTAATACCAGGCATATAGTCAGAATTCAATAAGTGTTATCTGATGTTGTTTCCTGCATTGCTTTTCCTATTACACCCTTAGTTTTTGGCTTATAGTTATCCTCTATTTTTAAAATCAATCTTCAGATATTTTTCAATGATTAAGAGTTTCATTCAGTATGTTGCTTTTACACTGATAAACATACAGGGTATAAGTTTAAATAAGCTTAAAAAATTAAATTGCTAATGTGTAGAATCCTTTAAAGCAGCTCCAGTTCTCTATCCTAGAGAACTGGCCCCTGTTCCCCTAATCTCTACACCAGGGTTTCCCAAGCCTGAGGAGGTATTCTGATGAATGCCTGGAGTACTTGGTAAACTGAAATCTCTGAGCCCCATACCAAGGATTTCTGACACGGTAGGACTGGGGAAAGACCTGAGAATTTGCATTTTTAACAAGTCATCAGTGTATGTCATCAGTGGATACTGATGGCTTTGGTCTGTGACCACAGTTTGAGAACCAGTGCTATAGAAATAATGGGGTTAATTTGGCTTTCTTCACATGTGCAGTTAAGCATATCTTTGTGGGTTTTTTTGGATGCTAGCTCTCCAAATACTGACAAAGTCTGCTTAGTGGTAGAAAATGTCAGTTTTAAGTGGTAATGCGTAAACATTTTTCTTTATCCCAGAATGCAAATCTACCCTCAAAAGCACTGTTATTTGAAGTGAAGCAAATTGTAACCATAGAGTAGATATCAAAACTTGTGTGCCTTTCTAACCAAAGAAGCGCATCTGAACAAGATTCATAGGGAGATTTTGGTTGTTTCCCATCTTTGTTCAGTCAGTTTAGCTGGCTATTTTTCAGTTTTGAAAATTGTAAAAATGGAATGGTTTTCCATCTGATTGTGTTACTGCTTCACAAATCAAGTGTCTTTTAATAATACTGTCCTGAAGTTACTAAATGTAGTGCCATTTTTTGCCACATGACATTTATGCAGTGCAAAGATACTTCATTATTATATAAGGCATGAAAAACAAAGTGTTAAATTAATAATATTGTTTGACACATCCTTGAAATTGTCCTTGAATTATGGTAGTATGAAATACCTAACAATTTGCATCATGTTTAAACTCAGATTGCTTTGATATAGGAATCTAGAATAAGTTTCTGAAACTTATTTCATCTCCATAAAGTATATTACGGTGGCAAAGGTCAAATTTTCTGTATTTATCTATGTGTTAAGAGGCTAAGACTTTAAAAGGAGGAAAAAGAGCCTAGAGATGTCTCACTAAAACCTTCAAATATGTTATTTAAAAGGTATCCCACAGGATCAATTGCTCTTTATTAAAAATATGATTTTTTAAAGAGGTTTAATGTCATTGCATTGATTGAACAACAATAGAGAATCAAATACATTGTTAAAGAAATTTGACCTTTAGGTCATTTAAACTGTAAGTCAGACATTCTATTTCAATACTTTGAACTAAGACTGTACTTAGATTTTATAAATTTGATTTGTGGCTCATTTTCTTGAAGAATAGCACATATAACAAATTGTATTTGGTGTAGTGTTAATAATGATTGAAATCTTAGTAAGACAATATAATTGGACATTTCTGGACCCTGAAACAGACACTGCTTCTAAAACTTTGCTGTGAACAAGAATTTCAAGTCCATTCTAGTGGTTTATAATGTCAGAGTCTTTAAGAATCACCTGGTATGCTTTTCAAACATGCAGGTCCAAGGGCCCTACCACTCAGAAATGATGACTTTCCATATCTTTAGTAGAACTTAGAAATGTTAATTTATAATATATATTTTAGATGGGTCTAATGCAAGTAGTTCAGAGACACCACTTCAAGAAGCACTGGTGCACGCTGTAGCCATAGTGACCATAGATTTGGTGGAAGTAAGAATGGATTGCTGAACATGGGATTCAGATGGAAAATGGAAGAAAGCCAATGCAGTAATAAGAAAGAAGAAAGGTCAGGAGCTTGAGGAAACAATTATACCAAGAGAAGGTATTTCATACTTTTAAATTTAAAAGTGCTAAAGTGGTATTTGCTAATTTTTAAGGAATTCTCAGTTTTCAAAGCTAGGTTCCACTAAATTATATAACATATACTTAATGTTAACTGACTATAGAGTGTGAAGGGGGAGAGTATTTCAAGCATATGAGGATGAATAAACAGTTTTTTCCTAAAAGTATTTGTAATTTAATATAGTAGGTTTCAAATGTTCTTGTTTCATCATTTTTATTTGAGGGGTATCTTACTTGTAATTCTAACATCAAAAGCAGAACCAGATGTCTAAAATCTTTGGTTTGATTTCTAACAGAGCTGAATCCCATGCCCTTTTATCCTCTGTTTCATGTATTCCACACTCTTCTAAAGTAGAGCATTCTTAAAGCATCACTATGGAAATTCTAGGATTCTTCAGCACACAAATTGAAAATGATTATTTTAGAAAGTTCTCAATACAAAATTGAGTATGCAGATAGAGATATTTTCACATGAAATGGGGAAATAATCTAGATTCACTTTTGTATTATTATATCCAAAGCGTATAGATGTAGACTTCAAAAAAATCTGTGAATTAACTGATATAAAATTTAGTATTTAATGTGCTGAAAGCCATGTGTGTATGACAAGAAACGAATCTTGGATAGCATCCATATTTATGAAAGAAATACAAAGAACCCCCAAAATGAGAACAGCCAACGAGTATACAGTGAAATAACTTTCAGTTTTGTGAAAGCTAGTGTAGTCAAGTGTCAAGAAGCAAGCTATCACAGAGCCAGAAATCTGAAGAATAATCTTTGTATTTAATTATACAGTCTGCTTCAATGAGAAAGCCTCCAGTAGAGATTTGAGTGAAGAAGCCATATCTCAGTGGGAAGACAAGTTAGTTGGAGATGATAAAAAATAGAAAGTAGGTAGGGAGTAGAAAATTGGATAAGAAGAGAATGTTTGGACAGTAGCCACAGGATAATCATGATCAGAAGGCTTTTTAAAAAATGAAAGAAACTACTTGAGCATATTTATAAAAGGCTAATGGAAAGGAGTAAATAGAAAGGGGATGTTAAAGATACAGAAGAAATTGATGACAGACGGAATGAGATCCAGGAAAAGCAAATAGTCAAATGCTTAGAGTTGGCCCTGAACAGCTAACGTCAGCTCATCTTCCAAGAATGACGGAAAGGAAGTAACAATAGAGAGGATGCACAGAGGTTTTTAGCTTGGTGACAAGAAGTTAAGGGCAATGGTGTCTAGTTTTGATGATTTGTCTTGATAAAGTTTGAAACCAAAAAGTGGCTATACTGTGGTTTGTGATGTTGAATTTACAGGTAAGAGGAACTTAGATGATCAACTGTGAGGTTGAAGGTAGATAAAAGTTTGGAAGTCCCTCTGAGGTGAAAGAGCAGACAGTGAAAGGAGGTTTTGGATTATCATCACGCTTGGGAGAAACTCTGCTTTTGCTCATGAAAGATTTGCTCATGAAAATGTGGAATACATGAAACAGAGGATAAAAGGGCATGGGATTCAGCTCTGTTAGAAAGATAACCACTGCAGTTGTCTTTCTGAGCAAGAGTTTTCGGACATGGTCTTCAGGGAAGACAGTACTGCTATTCCTGATAGATGAGAAACAAATGAGGTGCCCCCTACGTTCATCCCAATTCACAGCCTCTTGGTAGTATCTGGGCCTGGCAGAGGGAGAGGAACCTAAATAGGATCTAGCACTTTCACTTGATGGGAGGAGACTGAGATCAGAGCTGGGGAAGCTGAGGCAGTGAGACATTGTAGGGCAAGGAACTGGAGAGAAAGAAGATGCACAGAAAGAAACACCTCCAGAGATTAACAGAGGGATCATTTCAAATTGGAATATATATCAGGTAAAACTTTAAGAGGCAGGATAGAAATCCACTGAAAAGCAGTAGGACAAAAAAATTCTCAAAATTCACCCAGATCTGGGAACTAGTTGGCACTCCCATCAGCCAGGCTAGAAAACCTTCATAATACACAAAGTATTGGATAGAGTGTTCAAAAAGATACTGCCTTATTAGTGGGACTAAATTGGCTTTACTCTGAAGGCTACACTAACAAAGCTTTAAATTAATCTTTGTGAGAATTAGATTAATTTACACATAACAGTGTGCACCCCTCAAAAGCTTGATATTCTTTAAAGGAATACAACAATATCCAGCATCAAACAATATAAAATCTGCGTGCAAAGAAGCAGAATAACATGAACTGTAGCTAGTGGTGGGAAACAATCCATGGAAACATACCTGCAAAAGGTAGAGATGACCGGACTAGCAAAGATGTTAAACAGCTATTAAAAATATGTGCTGTGTGCTCAAGAGAGAGGAAAATATGAACATAATAAGGAGAGAAATGGAAGGTACACAAATGAACCAAATGGAACTTCTAGAGATAGTTCCTATACAAATCATAGCAATAGAAATTATTGAAAATGAAACACAAACAGAAAAAAATGTGAAAAAAGATTAATATAAGCTCAGTGCACTGTGGGGCAGTATCAAGTAGTCTGACATGTAATTGGGTTTCACAGCAAAAGAGAAGGAGAACAAAAATATTTGGAAAAGTAATGGCCAAATATTTTCTAAATTTGATGAAAACTATAAACGCACAGTTCGAAGAGCACAATGAACCCCAAGCAGAGTAAATGTAAAGAAAACAACACCATGACGTCACCTAGTAGAGTGGCTGAATACTGGTGTTAGGAGAAAATTTTAAAAGCAGTTAGAGAAAAAAGACAGGATCACCACTGGCTGCTGTGGGGAGGGTGCATAATAGAGGCAGGGCAAGAGCCCAGTCTTTACCCTGGGTTTGGTTACAGAGACAACAGCTTTTAAAAGTAGGTGATTCTGGGTCCCGTACAGAAAGGGATTTAACAACAGTAGGATCTTCCAGAGGGCTCGTGGATCACGGTTCGAACAAGGCAGGGGAAGGAGTCATAAGATTAAGTAGAACTTTCTGGTGCCCAGGATTAAGGATTGAGGTCATAAAGAATGACCTCAATATTTCTAACTTTCCTATGACATTTCTTTCTTATTTATTTATTTATTTATTTTGGAGACTTTTTTTTGAGACAGCGTATTACTCTGTTGCCCAGGCAACAGTGCAGTGTCACAATCTAGGCTCATTGCAAGCCTCCCGGGTTCAAGGAATTCTCCTGTCTCAGCCTCCCAAGCAGCTGGGACGGCAGGCACACGCCACCATGCTCAGCTAATTTTTGTATTTTTAGTAAAGATGGAGTTTCACCAAGCCAGGCTGGTCTCCACCTCCTGACCTTGTGATCCACCTGCCTTGGCCTCCCAAAGTGCTGGGATTACAGGCATGAGCCACCACGCCCAGCCTTTTTTTTTTTTTTTAGACAGAGTCTTGCTCTGTCACCCAGACTGGAGTGCAGTGGTGCAATCTCAGCTCACTGCAACCTAAACCTCCCAGGTTCAAGCGATTCTTCTGTCTCAGCCTCCAAAGTAGCTGGGATTACAAGCACCCGTGACCGTGCCTGGCTAATTTTTGTATTTTTAGTAGAGACAGGGTTTCACCATGTTGGCCAGGCTGGTCTCAAACTCCTGACCTCAGGTGACCCGCCTGCCTTGGCCTCCCAAAGTGCTGGAATTACAGGCGCAAGCCACCACGCCTGGCCTCCTATGACATTTCGATATAACTGGCTCAGATTCTCAGATCATGACCAGCGTGGCCTGAGAACATTAGAATTTGCTACAACATTTGCAAAGGGATGGCAAAAGTCAGTTTTTATCTGTTTTTGTGTAATTTGGGTAAGAAGACAACAGTATTCCTCTTAGTATATTGTGTATGTATAGGAGAGTATTGGTATGTAAACTGAGAAATAATAAGGTCTCCATTTGTTTCATTCAACTTTATATTCTTTTTGTGTAACACAATGCTAGCCCATAACTTGAGACTTAAGGTATTTAATGAACTTCTGTATACTCAGTTTTAATTGGTGGCAGTTCTTTAATACCAGAAACAAATTAAAGTTTTTAAAGTTGACAACAGACCCCACATACTTCCCAGTCAAGCATAGTAAGAATGACATGAAGTTTTATTAAGTAATTGTATAGTAGAGCCCTACAGAAATTTGCACTCTAGTTTCCTTAGCTTTACAGGGAAGGTGACGCTTCTGACCTACTTTGTATGCATTATGAACATTAATTATAAAACATCATGTACTTTAAAAAATGTCCTATAAATGCATCTTTTCTGTAAATATCATGCAGATTTTAAAAAGGAGGTCATCTTGTTTTTGTCTTCCAAACTCCAGTGAAACAGAGAATAACCTTTAGGAGTTTTGCTGCAAAGTAGAAACATTCATTCTTGCATTGGACACTTTTCATTGAGTGAACATTTGAAGCAGGGTACCACATGAGATCGAGTTGTAGAAGAGAGAATTTCTGTCCTCTCAGAACAAACACACATGGGTCAGTATCTATAAACAAATCAGTATGTGAAAAGTATCATGTGATTAGTCCAGGATATGTGCCCTGATTGTGAAGGGTGGCTGGGGGCCAGGGTGCTGAGCATGGAGGTGGAAATCAAATCTACATAATGTGGAAAAGATGACCAGGATGAAAGGCATTTGAATTGTTAGTACTTACCCTGGTGACAGCAGGAGAGAGACATCATAGTCACAGGCATTGGCATTTAAAAGGTGCTTTGGGAATTGAGAGATGGGCATTTTCTGTGAATTACAGAAGTCCAAATTGAGTAGGAGTTGGGCTTTGTTTTGGAACAGAAATTGAGAACATAAGAGGCTGAATGGAGCCAGACTGTGAAGAGCTGTGAATGCCAGCCTAATAAGTTTGAGCTGTATCCAGTTTTTGAAAAAGAGAGAGAGAAACAGAGAGAACCTCAAATTTTAACCTGCAATAAATACCTTCAGAGTCTTGCTTCAGGGAAATTTAATTTTTTGCCATATGTAGGCCACATGGAGTCAGGCAGACTTGTTAGTGGGTCATTGTGGTAGTCTAGGTATAGTGAGCTAATGGCCTAAAAGTGAAATACAATGCAAAAGAAAAATGAAGAATAGATACCAGAAAGATTCTTAGGAACTGGTGATAACATACTACAAATTGAGTGGATCTTTGGCTAAATTGCTGCTTTGTGGCTCCTTTCAAGGGCAGTTTATTTCTAACTACTAAACCTATTTTCTTAATATAATAAATGCTCTTGATTTTAATTTTAGTATGAATATGTGCATTGCTTCTATTTATATTATTTTTCGGTCTGTATACTTGTATCTGAAAATGATAGTTTAGGAATGGTCATATTTTATAGATTGGGCCATTGAAAATTATTTAATTTACCAGACAATGTTTAGGAATTTATAGTGTTAATGACTTACATATAAAAGTTCATGCTTTCTAAAAAGCCCTCTCTTTCCCCCAGCATTATTACTTCTGAGATATGAGAAGGAAGAATTACCTTACATTTGGCTTTATAACTGAGAAATTCTTCTCATACATCAAAAATGTACTAATTGTATTTTGAGCTCTCCTAAATCACTTTTGCTCCTTGGTTTATATATATTTCTGAGTCTTGTTTGTTGACTAGAATGGACTCTATTTCAGAGCTTCTGCTTTTTGTTTCTGTGTCACCTTGTCATTTTCTAAATTGATTGGGGCACCCTTGGGGGAAGTGGTCTGTGAAGGACAAGTGTGCACCAAGGACTCTGTAGGCAGGGCAGGAAAGGAGTGAGCCTTGGGGGCGAGCACAAGTCAAACACAAGCTGGGTTCTTCCTGTCCTCACCTTCCTGGAGAAATCAGGACACTTTGCTGCGGGAAAGCATGACCTGTTTTAACCCTTTGTGGTGGGGGTGTTTTGTTGCAATACTGCTGTGGGAAGGCACCACCCTTTCTTGTTTTCCACATAGGACTCATATATTCATATTTTTTATACTTATTCTGCCCTCTAATCTCTTTCTGCAGCCATCTCATTCATTTTCATCCCAACTACCATTCCGTTTTGTACACTTATAGCTATATTATTGCCTCTTTATCTCACAAGTTGTGGTATGATAAATAAGTGATGTTTGTACACTGTTTTTGCAAAAAAGCTCACAGTGCTTTCTGGGGGTATCTACTAATTAATCTTTACAGAATCCCTATGAGATAGATAGGGCTGGATAGGGTATTCAGCACACAATTCACTAGACCATGCTGTCTCTCTATTATGATAAAGGATTATTATTATGTTAAAATGTTTATACACTGAATACATAAATTTGTAGAGATTGATGTAAACCGAATCCCTTGGCAAAAATATGAACATGCCTGTAGCATAAAATTGCAATTGTGAAGCAGGTTTTATCAACTTCTGGTGTTTAAAGAATTATTCCAGATTTGCACATTAAACCTCTGTTGGATAGCTTGTTTTCGTTATCTTGCCTCTTGGGGAATGACAGGGAGCAGTGAGCTACTGAACTTCTGGGATTTCAGCAAGTGACAAACTCAGATTCTTGATAGCGTTATTTAAAAAGTATAGCAAGCTCCTCTGGCTTGTGTGTGACTCATCTACATGTATATAATAGCTTGATTGACTTATATAATTAGTACTTTTATGTTTATATACTGATAATATTTGTGGAAATCTAGTCAGGTATTTTATGCTTTTGCAGAGTTTGATGTGGATTAGCTGCATTGCCTTTTCTACAAAAGCAAACACCCTGAAGAGTTGTCTCCTTTAGGGAGGGAGCTTCACTCTTTTCAGTCAACAGCCATGTATAGTCCTAAGATGCTTTAGTAGTGTTTCCCCCACCGTAGCATATGGATTCACTGGGGAAAAACACAAATAAACCAGGCAGCAGAAAAGAAAAGCTAGAGAATCAGTTCTTTGCTAATCTTATGCTATCACTTCCTTCTTTTTTTTTCTCTCAATGAGTCCATGTTGCTTTTCTCTCTTTACCTTCCCTTTAATTTCTTTTAGCTGTTGAACATGTCAAAAACTGCAGCTGCTCATGAACTCCTATTTCAGCTAAATACGTAAAGATAGATTAATTCTGATAGGGATTCATGGAAGTTGAAAGAAACTTGAGTTTGTGTATAAGTATATGGCCACTGGCTTGCACCTCTCTGCCTTCTATTAGGATTCCAAGAGAGAGGGATGTAGAGTGGGTTTGGAATTGGTGGGATGGTAAGTGCAGAGATAGGGGGTTTTAATTCCTAGGCACAGGGGGCTCCAGGAAGATAGGAAGTTCTCTAATCACCGAGGTACAGTTCTGCTTCCAGGGAAGGATTTATGGAAAGTAACAAAATATGTATACAGTCCCTGATTCTAGACTACTGAGTGCCAGGCATAGGGGTGTTCTTGGAGGTTTCTAAGACAGAGAATAGGGTGATAAAAGTGAAACAATGGGAAAACTAACTTATCAACTTAAACTCCCTGGTTGGCTCCTGAACTCTCTTCCTTCAGCCTTTGCCCCTTTCACATTCATTTGGAGGAATATTTGAGGGGAGAAAAAGGAGTGCGGGAAGGATAATTATATTCTTCCTAAAATATGCGTAAGATACAGATCATTTTTGGATAAGTGAAACCTAAAAATTGTTTTCTTTACCATTAGACCCTAAAGCTCAATCAGCACCTCCTGCCTTCGCTTTATTTGGAGAAGTCCACATCTGGCTGGCCCTGTTCTCAGATACTGGCCTTGCCTGCTTGGTCTTGGCCTGCCCTTTGATTCCTGACCTGCTCTGCAGGGTTCAGCAGAGTGGATCATGTTACAGGGGTCAGCAGGATATCAAACTGCCTTTCTGTACTGATGTAGAGAAATAGTTACTGCTTTGTGCTATAATATGACCCAATGTTTGCAAATACAGATTTCTTTCTCTTCTATAATCTTCTTAAAGGGTCAAAATAAGAAATCACTATCACCTAGATTTTTTTTTCCTAAAAAGTTTGATTCGATTAACTGGGAAGTTATTTTTTTAAAAATAATTACTCAAAGAATATGCTACAAAAAGTATAAAAATAGACTTTAAAAATATTCGAAGTCCCAAACATCTAACATAACTACAATTAATTTATTAGCATTTTCCAGATTTTTCTAAATATATGTTTCACATACTGTGTGTGCTCTAACATATTCTGTTTGAAAATTTAAATGTTTTAATTGAATATGTTTTCCCACTTTATTTTGATATTGTTTTTGTGAACATAATTTTCAAAGCCTGGAACATATGCTTAAGAAATTATTATAGTTGACCAAGTTATTCTCCTAATGATTCCATACTTTTTCTCTTAAATTTTATATATATCTTTAAAAACACATTTTATATTATTTCCATAAACTTAATTTCCCAAAGGTGCCTTTTGAACACAGAAAGTATGGCCAATGGGCTGTATTGTTAAGTTGCTTTCTGAAAGCATCATGCAAGTTACCTTTGAAGCTTCTGTGTTATTAGATAATAGTATTTTCTTTGATAAACTTTCCTGATAGGATAGTCACAAGGAGGAGAAGGATAGTGATAATTTTCTTGCTACTGAGATCATATAGGAACAGTATTTTAAAATGTATTCACTGACATTGAGAAGCTACTAGGAGCTCATTATTGTGTTAAGTGCCAGCCTCCCAGGGATGAGTATGCAGAACTCTGTCCCTAACTTTACAGGTCCTGAGGAGAGTCTGGCGTAGGATACCTGGTTACCAAGAAGCTTGATGAGTGCTGTCCTGGAGTTTTGAGTTGAGAGCTGGAGGAGGAGATATTAAGTTTGATAAGGAAATAGAGTAGTTTAACTCAAGCTGTGTTTTCAGATTTAGGAGATGGGGAAGAGGTTAATTTTGTTTCTGTTGATATTATTCATACATGCATGAATTTAAAAAATTGATGCTAATAAAGGAAAACATCAAAAACCCTTAACACAATTCATATACACACATGCATGTCCAATGGGTCTGTTCTAGTAAGTCAGTGATTAACAAAGACTTTACTGCCTGATGATAGGCTTTTCCAGGCTGATGGCAACTATTATTTATAAATATGCTGTCATTGAGATGGGAAATGGCTTGGGATGGAATGTGAGGAGTTGTTAATAATAAGGGCGTTAGCTGTGATCCACGAATACTTTCTTCCACTCAGTACATTAAAATTTTGGAGGTAAACATGTAGCAAAAATTGTATGGCTACTTTTGTCAAAATTAAAATAGATAATATTTTAATCTTCACTTTGGGGATACATTATTTGCATTCCCCATTAAGCCTAACTTTCTGAAATAATGCTTCAAAAGACACTTGGTAAGAGTGTTTTCTTCCAGTGGCTTCACGTTAAAAAAGGGAAAAAAGAACGGCTCTTTGGTTAACGTCTGGAGTATATGTCTACTTGGCTTCCAACTTCATTGATCCCTGTTGAAGTAGCTGCTGCCATAACAGATTTACCTGATAAGCAATTCTGCAGTTAGCTGAGGAAAGCCATTCATTGGGGAATGAGTCCAGTTATTTTGTGTTTTTAATTAAAGGTATCTAATGCTGGAGTGCCTGTTGTTTTTCCATTTTCTTAAACATCACAAATCAATATTTTTTTAAACTTCTCTTAATCTAGGGGCTGACTTATGTTAATTTTTTGTTGTTGTTAATTAGAATCAAGCTGTAACACATTCACAGAACAGGCATACATGCTAAACAATTTTTCCAGACATCTTTTTTTTTTTTTTTAATTTAACCTCAGTAGAAATTTGGGGGACTTGTTCTCCCAGGGATTTGTATGATTTCCAGCTCTGTTACAGTCAACTTCTAATGGCTCACAGTCTGAGCCTCTACATAAGTGCTTAGGCTGTATCTCAGAGTGATTAATGACTGAGTAGGAAAGCTAAACACACAGCACTTTGTGAACTAAAGACCAGATCAAACCAGTCTGGATTCTACCCCCATCCCTGGCCTCTTTGCTCAGGACCCCATCCTGGACTGTTATTACTGATTAAAAATCATCTCTCTTTTGATGTCTGAATGTGTTGGAGTGTAACAAGAGCACTGACCTGAAATGAGGAGGTTGGTATTTGAACCGAACTTGAACATTGTCTCTAATACATTTTATCTTATTGGATGTGTCTCATTATCATAGCCTGTTAAGAATTTTTTATAGTAAGTTTTTCAGACAGTGCATTCGATGTTTTTTATAGTCTTGTGTGTTTGAGAAGTATTAGTTAGTTATGTTATCTTTCAAGTGTTTGATAATAATATTAAATAATAAGTAGACTAAATCTAAAGACCAAGCCCAGTGGCCTTGTGCAGGATGGCATCTTTCTGGTTGATAACAATGCATTAGTCAATTTTTTTCCAGTATAGAGGTTAGACTAGTCATAAAGTGACATTACTTTGTTATTATCCAGCTCTCATTTCTGCACCTTGCCCATAAGTGGAGGGTGAGAGATTCTTTCAAATGCTTTATTGAAATGTAGACATATTAAGACCTGGCCAGGTGCAGTGGCTCACGCCTGTAATCCCAGCACTTTGGGAGGCCAAGGTGGGCAGATCACAAAGTCGGGATTTCAAGACCAGTCTGGCAAACAGAGTGAAACACTGTCTCTACTAAAAATACAAAAAATTACCTGGGCGTGGTGGTGTGCACCTGTAATCCCAGCTACTTGGGAGGCTGAGGCAGGAGAATCGCATGAACCCAGGAAGCGGAGGTTGCAAGAAGCTAAGATCACGCCATTGCACTCCAGCCCAGGCTACAGTGCGAGACTCCGTCTCAAATAAATAAATAAATAAATAAATAAATAAATAAATAAATAAATAAATAAAAAACACAAAAACACCTGCATTGTTTCCTTTACCTATTTTTATGGTACTACTAGCTTTTTTGGGAAAAGAGCCAGAAAGTATTCATTTAAAATGTCAATAGAATTTCACCAATAATTTGGAAACACTGATTTGTAGGTTTTTTCTTTTAAAACAAACTCAATTTATTCCATTTAAAAAATATTTGGACTGTATTTGTTCTCATGTTCTCATATCATGCCCATTTTTGTCAGTATTAGCAAATAGCAAATTAGATTATTCAGCCCCTCATTCAACAAACAGTTTTAAGTACCTCAGATGGGCCAGGTACTTCTGCAAATTTTCTCCATACCTTAGGATATTCTTTGTTTGGACTAGAAGACTAGAATTAATTCAAGACAGCTATTCAAACCTAAGCCATTTGCTGAGGTCGATTCATAAATCATGTTAAAATGTTAGTCTAACCTCACATAAATTAATATGCGTCCTTTCCCCAACCTTCACTTCTTTGGCCAGGAGATGAAAGCTCAACATGGACTTCCCACCCCAGGTATTGATCTCCTTTCAGAATCTGCCTCTGTATTACTGTTTCGAGAGTCAGGGTCAGCAGGAATATTGTTTTGGGAGAACAGGTCACATATTGCATTAGAGTAACATATGATTATTTTCTGACCTCTCTTCTCTTTAACTTAATTCTCAGTGTTTTGACAGAGCTCTTGCATGCCTGTTCCCTAATAAAGGACAAAAGACAATCATTTTCTTATGACAGTTTCGTATTTTATCTCAATCTAACAGCAGCATGAATTGATAACTACTTGTACAAGTAATGTTATTTTATTTGGTTCAATGTACTATGACTGACTTTTATTTAAAAGACCCGTTCTGCAAATTACCTTGGTTTATACTTAATAGGTAGTTTTTATAAGCTTAGCTCCAAGTTAAACGTTCAATGTTTGTTTTATTGAATTACTTTCTATATGAACTTGAGTAGACAGCTGTTTTCATGTTAGTGAGACTTTTTTTTTTTTCTTTCAGACTGACACTGTTGTGCCAAGCTATAAGGAGTAGATTCTTCAGGCAGAGGTCACTCATTGTCTTTCAGTTAGAGATTTAGAAAAACTTTTCTAAGCTAGTGCTCCTGTGGTATTGCATGCTACAAAGTGGGGAGGCCCTTTGGGACATGGTCAAGTCTTTTTAAAGATCAAATCCTCAATTTTTGGAAGAGTATATATATCTCATATACACAGTTTCTTAAAATTTAGGGTTTGTTGAGACACATGGAAAAAAATTTAAATGCCACTGTTGAGTAATTTTATGCTGTATACTTTTTCAGGGAATAGTCTTGAACTCATCGGTGCCCACAACTTAGAGAAATAATATTTGGGGAACATTATTTGAAAGATACGCAACTCCTTCTATGTTTCTTCATTTTCTAAAAATCTATCCCCAAATCAAGCCAGATCTACAGAGACTGGCACAAGGAAGAATCAGTTTACCTCCCAATGGAATTGTTTTACTGAATCACATTACACTGGGAGCTGCTTGCTGCATTTATTGCCAGAAAGCTTAAAGCCAGTTTATGGCTCTCTAATAAGAAATATATAAATGTTTATGGTAAACATGTTTGAGCTTTATTTCTGGCTCTAATTGATGGCTTTATTCCCATTTTTCTTTCTTCTTTCTGTCCAGTTTTACACTTCTGGAATTTTCTTGTGGTTAATATATCCTTTCAGCTTCCTTTAGTCTTTTCTAGAATGGAGGCAGAATCTAAATAAACAAATACAAAACATCTGCAGTAGAAAAGGATAATGAGAAAAGAATGATTTTTTCTTTGAACTTCTGTTCTGTGGTCAAAGACAATATTTCTGCTTTCTTAAATAAAATAGCCTGGTAAATGCTATTAGTAGACAAATAAAGAAATTTGTATTTAAATTACTTACAGATACCATAAAACTTTATATGTGTTGCCTCAAGTAGAATCTTATGCTCTTGTTGTTGAATAATTTAGTATATTGGCATTTATAGTTAAGACATCCTATTTTAACATGATTTTAATAGTGAATCACTTAATATTTAATTAAATAGTTAATGTTACCTTATGTGCATACTTAAAATTTTTTTTAAAGTTTACATATATCATCATACTGATAGGAAAAGTCTATAAAGTAGGCAAGGTTTATATATT
The DNA here is from genome assembly GCF_000001405.40 of Homo sapiens. Classification (NCBI taxonomy): domain Eukaryota; kingdom Metazoa; phylum Chordata; class Mammalia; order Primates; family Hominidae; genus Homo; species Homo sapiens. Next base: position 128,275,962 of record NC_000006.12, on the reverse strand, counting down.
ACCCCCATTTAAAAGGCATGGTTGGGTTATGACTTGCCAAAAAACAAAAGGCAAAAAATATATCATGTGGCAAAGAAAAATAAGACATTAAATTTTGAAAGAACCTTATGAGTCAGACATAATTCATCAAGTACAGTTTGCCTTTTAGTTTTATGAAATATTAATACTGAAAGGGACCTTAGAAAGTATTTTGTCCAGCCTTCTGATTTTATGAGTGAAAACAACCAACTAATTTTAGAACATTCAAACAAGTATTAGAACCTCTACTCAATGGAACCATATTTATCCCCTGTATAACTTCAAATAGAGTTGAGTAGTCTAATGTATATTCCCAAATACGAACATTAAGAACTTTAACACCTGGTTCAGTGTTTTGACCCTTTTAACCTCTCATTACTGTAACCATTATTAAAACTAAACTGTACTGTCTTCAGTTAGCAATTGATTAGCTCTTTTTTCTTTAGAGCCAAATAGACCCCAAATGAAAATCTTGCCACAGGCCCTTGAACTCTTTCTTTTACTCTTCCCATGTAACATTATGGAGTTTGCCGGTTGGTTATAAATAGATAAATAAACAAAAACAGAGCCAAACAAATAAATGTAAATAGATTAACATATCAGGGCTCTGAACACTCAGCTTCACATAGAAAAAGGTAAACAAACATAGATAAGTAATATTTGCAGCATTGTTTATAACATAAGAGCTTGAGTCAGAATCCTTTGAGTTCAAATCCTCATTCTCTCTCATTTCCTGTAAGCTTGGTCAAGTGAGTCAGTAACTGTAGCTTTGTGTCTTTATCTGTAAAATAGGGATGATACCTATATCATAAGTGTTATGTTATGATTAAAATGAAAGTGTGTGTTGTACAGTGCTAGTGAAGTATAAGGAAATATGCATGGTAAGTGTTCATTCTAACATTTGGTATATTGCAATCGCACAGATTTATTTTTTTCTTCTCTTTGGAAACAGGAGCATAACTTGCTTATCCTATAATTGAATTATATTATTATAAGGTGTTTTCAAACAGGATTCTATTGAATGATTTTAGTTATCAGACCTCACCAGCACCAAAAAGGCCATTTTAATTTATATTGTTTTTTTGGTTAGCTGAGGCCAGAAATTTGTCTTCTGAATTTTTTCTTGATAATCTAAAATGGTTCAAACAGACATTAATTTTAGCCAGACTTTCACCATTTCAGTTTGTACTCTCCTGTAATCTGGTCTACAAATTAAATATTGAGACAACATACTTGTCACTTTTTGGAGGCATTTCTAAACCATTTGTTTGGATACAGAGTAAAAATACTTTTAAGTTTATTTATATAGTGATCAATGGAACAACCTGAGTTTTTAAATCTGGGTGTGAATGCTGATGATTGCTTCTGTAGATCATTTGCTCAAGGAGCTGTGATATAATTTTAAATTTAATTCATGAAATTGTAGATCCCGGAAAGTAGTTTATTATGAGACGCATAGTAAATTTTAAAATGCCCTCAATAGTATTTTCACAGTATGTTTTTAATAATTACTAAGTTGTCTTCATAGGCCCATAATAGACTTAGCAAAACACTGGTTTATATTTGTAGTTTTCTGAATTTTAGAGAATGTGAGGGTTTTTAAGTGCTGGAAGATGGAATTTAGTTTGTCAGGGAAAAATTCTAGGCAGAGCAAGTAAACCCTGTATTCTGTGTTGTAGGAATGCAGTTCTTTCAGGAAATTTAAGGCAGTAACAACAAAGCAACAATAATTTAGTGTTATAATTTTAAAACCTATTGTTTCTTTGAAGTGGTGGGTCATTATTTAGACTTGCTATTCTATTGGCAAATATTCATTTTAATCATATTGTAAAGGTATAATTTAAATATTTTGAAGAGGAAAAATCTGTACCTTGCATAACAGAGTCTTGATCCTTTAGGGCTGTTAGTCTAGTAGATTCTGTTGTTTTCACTCTTACCATATTAATAAATTCAATGAAATATGTTCATTAATAATAAAAAGGCACATCGCTTATCTCTGTATGTATGTATTTGGTGAAAAGGGGGAGTATAACTTTATAAGAGTTTTCATTTTGCTTGCTGAACAACTAACTGTTTGATTTTGATAGTGAGGAGAAAGCATGTAAAATTCATACTATTCAGGTGCTTTTGAGACATTACAGTGATAAATTGCGACTTATGCACTGACTAATTTTCCATGTATCCTTTACTGGAATGTTTCTTATTAGGAAGTCCATGAGTGTACTCAATGGAGATAACCCTAGACATTTCATTCCTGAATCTCAAATGAAAGGACTCTTGGCCCAGGACACTTACACGTTTTCGTCTGGAGTTCAATCTTGAGGTGATTGTAGCAGAAGATGTTGCATCTTAGACTGTATGTCTGATGGAGTTTTGGAGATTCGGGTTCATAATGTGGGGACAGTGGATCTCAGTAGGTTGTTTAGTTTTGAGCTTCAAAGGCTTGTAAACTCAATTTTACATAGGAAGGAGGATAGATGCTTTTCATAGAATGGGTATAGGACTTTGCAAAGATTAAGTGTCACTGCTTTCTGTAAACAGTTGATAGTTATACAAAATAAAGTCCATCTTTTTTTTTCTTTTTTTATTATACTTTAAGTTCTAGGGTACATGTGCACAAAGTGCAGGTTTGTTACATATGTATACATGTGCCATATTGGTGTGCTGCACCCATTAACTCATCATTTACATTAGGTATTTCTCCTAATGCTATCCCTCCCCACTCCCCCGACCCCGCGACAGGACAGGCCCCAGTGTGTGCTGTTCCCCACCCTGTGTCCAAGTGTTCTCATTGTTCAATTCCTACCTATGAGTGAGAACATGCAGTGTTTGGTTTTCTATCCTTGCGATAGTCAGAATGATGGTTTCTAGCTTCATCCATGTCCCTACAAAGGACATGAACTCATCCTTTTTTATAGCTGCATAGTATTCAATGGTGTATATGTGCCACATTTTCTTAATCCAGTCTATCATTGATGGACATTTGGGTTGGTTCCAAGTCTTTGCTATTGTGAATAGTGCCACAATAAACATACGTGTCCGTGTGTCTTTATAGCAGCATGATTAATAATCCTTCGGGTATATGCTCAGTAATGGGATGGCTGGGTCAAATGGTATTTCTAGTTCTAGATCCTTGAGGAATCACCACACTGTCTTCCACAATGGTTGAACTAGTTTACAGTCCCACCAACAGTGTAAAAGCATTCCTATTTCTCTACATCCTCTCCAGCACCTGTTGTTTCCTGACTTTTTAATGATCGCCATTCTAACTGGTGTGAGATGGCATCTCATTGAGGTTTTGATTTGCATTTCTCTGAGGGCCAGTGATGCTGAGCATTTTTTCACGTGTCTGTTGGCTGCATAAATGTCTTCTTTTGAGAAGCATCTGTTCATATCCTTTGCCCACTTTTTGATGAGATTGTTTGATTTTTTCTTGTAAATTTGTTTAAGTTCTTTGTAGATTCTGGATATTAGCCCTTTGTCAGATGAGTAGATTGTAAAAATTTTTTCCCATTCTGTAAGTTGCCTGTTCACTCTGATGGTAGTTTCTTTTGCTGTGCAGAAGCTCTTTAGTTTAATTAGATCCCATTTGTCAGTTTTGGCTTTTGTTGCCATTGCTTTTGGTGTTTTAGTCATGAGGTCCTTGCCCATGCCTGTGTCCTGAATGGTATTGCCTAGGTTTTCTTCTAGGGTTTTTATGGTTTTAGGTCTAACATTTAAGTCTTTAATCCATCTTGAATTAATTTTTATATAAGGTGTAAGGAAGGAATCCAGTTTCAGCTTTCTCCATATGGCTAGCCAGTTTTTCCAGCACCATTTATTAAATAGGGAATCCTTTCCCCATGTCTTGTTTTTGTTAGGTTTGTCAAAGATCAGATGGTTGTATTGGTTTTAACCTATATTTTAATGACTAATGCATATGTGGATAAATCTGTTACAATCAGTCATGCAGAACTTCATTATAGTTAACACTAAGATCTTTGCTTTAGGAAACTGAATTACTATATTAACGAGTACTATTAATATGATAATTCTTTTAATTTTCTTGATACACTACACAATAAACCTTTCAGTTCAATGTTAATTTTAAGTAAAACTCTTGTTCCAACTCTTCAAAGTAAAGTAAATAAACCAGTCAAATGTGCTAAAGGCACAAGCAGAAGCGTTGGCCAGAGATTATGCATCTATAGTCTTGGAGGAGAACCAAAGATACTATAATCACAATTTGCCAAGTCTGACTAATGACTCCTTCAAAGTTGAGAACACCAGTGTGCTGCTAGGGTTTTGTGAATGCTTTAAACTTTGATTGAGAAGGGGGTCTTCTGAGCTTAGGCCAGGCTGCCAGTAGGGATTTGCACCTGATCAGACCTTTCTTTTTTTTGAGTACTTAATAGCTGCTTCTGCCAGAAAACCAGATCAAAGAATAGCAGGGGAGATTAGTACATTGGTTTTATCAGCCATTTTCCAGCTACAGCTCTTATAAAGCTGATAACAGGATAGGGGTGAATAAAATCATCTGCTTTCAACCTCCCTGCAGTGCTTTCATCTTGATTTAAGAACCAAGGAGGACCATGTCTACAGTGGACACCAGGCCGGTCCCCTCTCCATCCCTGTCAGAGTTTAAAGCACTTAACTAGTAATCACTGCTCTGACTCTGGAGTAGTCAGCTACCATGTTTCCTTTGCTTTTGACTTGGCAACTGCTGTGGCTTCTTTAGCACCTGGTCCTCTGCCAGCCATCTCAGTTACCTTGGATTGACTACAGAAGACTTTTTTGAGGTTTGTATTTCTCCCACTATTATGAAGGCAAACGGTTGCAGCCTCTATCCCCCTCCCTAGGTAGATGACAGAACACATATAGCCTTTTGTCTATCCTTTTTTTTTAATACCTTCAAGGCTACTCTTGATGTTAAGGACCTAAATAAAACAAATCTTACTTGCCCAAAGTGGACAGTCGAAGTAGTCGGAATCATAGCTTTTTAAGATTTTTTTTTTAAGACCTTAGCTATCCAGTTCTGCCCTCTCCTTTTATACAGCATATGTGCAGCTAAAAACAAAGCATTGGTCTCTTAATGCCTGATTGGTACACTGATGTCTCCTTAACCAAATAGTATGCTTGGTCTATTTAAACAGAATGATTCCTGAGATGGTTTTGGCTGAGAAATAAATTAAAATTTTCTGAATAGCATTTTGAAGAAATGTGTACTATCTGAAAAATTTGCAAAAATACATTCTAAAAGTTAAGACTACTGGATGCTGCGTATTGTACATTATCTAAAGACGCATATATAATTGATGTTTCTGACATTGCTAGTATCTGTATTGTATATGGAAAATGCTTGGAATTGAATATGGTGGAATTGCAGTTTTAATGGAATATGCTTACTTTGTAATACATTGACTCTCCTTTTATATTCAATGTGTACTAATTAGTTATGGTCACTGTATGTGTCTTCCTAATGTTAGGGGTTGAAGTATAATAGATTGTAAAATACCTTGACCTTTGAGCCAGTAGAACTCAGTTAAATTTTTATTTGTCACTAATTTAATGAAGCATTTGGAATTCTATTTAAGCTATATGTGTCACTTTTCTCATCCCAGAAAATATGTTGATCCATTTTAGATACTTTCTAAGGTTTCCTCAGTAGGAAAATCCTAGGAGAGGACTTAGAATATAATCTTACTGCTCAAAATGATTATATTTATGCTGATTGCATATTTACATTTTTCTTTTATTTTAATAACACATGGTTGATATTGTTGTAATTTATTGATGTCAAAAACTCTACCAAAATTATAATATAACTATGAGAAAGTATAATCCCCTTTACAGCTATCTTGTTTTATGAAGTGGTTTCCAGGAAACGATCTTAGCCCAAAAGCCAGAACTGCCTATTATGGGATAAGGATAATCGACTAGCAGGTACAATCAGCAGAAAGGAAAGTGAATTTACTTGGTTTAAAGACTTTCTTGCAGTCACAGAAAATGCTAAATTGATTTTGTTTTTCTCCATAGAAAAACTGCAGCACGTTATATAAGAGGAGTTGCTTTGGGAGACTATAATACCTTTTACAGACTAATCAGTGATTTTAGGAAATGTTGTTGTTGGAATTAGCTGGAAACTTTGTAATTGGAATTGACTCAACTTTCATCACAATCTCTCTCTCCTCCTTTTTTTCATATTAAAATCAGCTGATGAATTACATTGTCTCTGTAATGTGTTTCATATCCAGTAACCTTCTCTATTTCCACCAGCATATGGATTTCTATATGCCATTCTCCCAATTAAGTGCCCTCCCCTGTCATCGACATCCAAATGTAGGGCACCCTGCAAGGTGACATTAAATGCATTTTCTTTATACACTTTAACTGACTTTGGAGAATCAAAATCTTTTGCCTCTCTAATTATACCTTTTTTTTTTTTAAATTTATTTTTTTAACCATCCTGTTAGTTAAGATGCCACCCTCTTTTGGGCCTCTCCAGCTTCACCTGACAGTCTCTCCTCTGTGTTTCAGCAGATTTATGTAGCTATCTCTGTCATAGACCATATGATGTCCTCTTGTTACTACCTTTATTTTATCTAGTCTCTGGCTTTTTGGCTGCTGGGATTGTCTTTATTTTAGCTTTGTTACCCATTGCCCTGCAGCAGTGCCTGACATATTACAGATGCTTTCTAAGAGAATTTATCTTCTCTTGATGACAGGATCCATGTATTCTACCCTATCCTGCCTTCTATACACTGCCTTGCACAGTATTGGGCATAAAATTTGGTGTTAAAGTTAAGAATTGCCCCTTAAACCCTTATCATAATTTAAGTACTTAGGTATTCTTGATTTATGCTATGTGTTGTTTTTTGAACTCTTAATGAACATCTTCATTAAGAGTTCATATTTACAATTTATTGGTGGAAAGCCAATGATAAGACTAATAATTATTCCCTTCAGGAATGTTAACCATACAGTTTCTGATTTCCTACCAAGGTAAGAAAAAAGCTTGAAAAGTATCTCTCAATAGAATATTTAAATCCTCTGTGTTTATTTACCTATGTGTTGGTAAACTCATCAAGAAACATTTTAGTTATCTCAGTTTATCTTAAGAGAATATATAGCTAGCAAAGAATAAAATGGTAAGAATGGATTCAATATATTGAAAGTATTTTACTTTAGATGGCTATATTTAAAGGGGACGTAGTACTCCAGATAAAGGACTGATTTAAAGGTAGGTGATCAGGTGACTGTACAGTAATTTTATTAGAGCCATTCTGTTTTAGAGATTGTAAAACAAATGAATTGTTAAAAATAATTTTACTGTTCACTGGGGCACAATGATTATTACAGAATAATGACTTTTTGTTGGCAAGGCAGTTGGGCAAATATAAGTAAACCATTTTACATTTTTCGCCTGTCTTTGATGCTTTGTCTTTCTGAATAAGGACCCCATTCCCAAGAAAGGCGAAATCATAAGCATTTCTAATAGCTCTGTCTTCTTTCATATAAAGTTTAATTAATGGTTCTCTCACTTTTTCTGCATTTTATGTTTCCTCTCACGTAGAAAATATGTCTTTTTGTGCTCAATAATTGATGACCCTTGGAGTTTAGTGACAAATGTGAGTTAATTTAAGTCATCACCATCAATTTAACAAGCACCTCTGGTAATACGTTTTTCACTTTTAAAAAATTGTATCATGAAGCAAAATGTGTTTCTCTGGGAAGCAGCAAAGATTATAAGATAATCACACACCTCTAGGGCATGAGAATGGGAAAGGTTCAGGTAAATGTATCTATTCATTTGACATAATGATTATTTCATAATAACTGAATGCTTCCATTTCAGCCTTCCCCACCGCCACTATCCCATTCCTCCCTATTCTGTTAGTCTGGGAGAAGAATAATATAATTTTTCTTGTGTGCTAAAATATGATGCTGGTAGTTTTATGATGGTTCCGTATATATTTTAGCTGAACTGTACATTTTCTTATAATCACTAGAAAATAAGAATGGTCTCTTAGCCCCAGTAGTTGATGTAATAGTGAAAAGAGATATATCTTGAAGTCTTTTGCTCACGCCTTTCCCAATAAAACTTATCAGATCTCCTTTTTCCAGAAGTCTCCAATTTAAACTCATATTCTGCTGTTACTTACAATTTTGATGTACATTCATGTGTTTGTAGGTTTTTACTGTTTGTAGAATATTTAAGCTAATAGTTAACATTGTACTCAATATTTCAAGTACTGTTACATAGCCACAGTTCCAGGACTGGAGACAAGGGATTGTATATGTTGTTATTGTGAACTGTGGTGTCTTGTGGCTTGTTTAGTCAATTACTCAATATAAACTTTTTTGAGGAAGTTTTTTGGGAATTATTGGTAATAGCCAACTATTGGAGAGGAAGTTACACAGTTTTAAAGAGCATTGGCTTTAGGATCAAATCCAGTTAAAATAAAATCCCAGTGGAATCACTTGCCATCTCTTTCCTTGTACAGCTTATAAAGTGTTTTTATTCTCTATTTTTATTATGGCTATCAGGTACAAAAATAAAAGAGAGATATTTCCCCCCATGGAATACATGGGTTTTAAATGATACAGCAGTCAATAGGTTTTGGTGAAATAATAAATAAGACAGAAGAAATAAGAGAGGACATAAAATAATTCATATTTTGTGGACTCATCTAGTGATTTCTCTTCTTGGTAAATTGGTTGAAAAAATGAGTTACATTTTTGCCTGTTTAAAGATGCATTTATGGCAGGTAGATAAATCACAGACTTTATTCTTTTTTCCATTTACTTCATACTGACTCATCACTGATGCACACCCAGAAAAATAACAAATCAGCATTAATATATGAGCCTTTTTGTTTCTGCTTATTTGTGAAAAACTTAAATATCGAATTAGCATTGAATTAGCTATGTGATTTCATAAGATTTTTATGAGATTAATAACAATGTTCAATATCATAATAAATAAGTTTCCTTACAGTTGATGATTTCTAGAATAAAGTGAGATATAATTTTCACTCAGATTGTTTAGAATTTTTGTTTTTCAGAAATTACTCTTTGCTATATTCCTCCTTCACATCCCACTTCAGTTTTGGTCTTCACTTCCATGCACAAGCCCCGCTGGTTAGGCTAGCTTGAAAACATTGTTTTCAGGAAGCACACAAAAACTTCCGAGTTGAAAGCTGGTTCAGCACAAGTTTGTTTTATTTCTGACTCCCTGTGAGCTTTGCTTGGATTCTTCCCTTTGGCATTGTGTGTGCTTAGATGTGTATTCAGTATCCTGCACTTTTGGACATGTTGCCTTCCATGTTGGTGTTATAGTCTCGTGATTCTATTCTAGGAAAGACCTTAGATTTTGTGGTCCAAGGATGAAAATTCATAGAAGAAGGAATTGTGGTCTGGAGAGAGTAAGTAGCATAATCAAGATTCAAATCAGGCTTGACCTCTAAATTCAGTGTTTCTTAGCAAATTGCACGTAAACTTATTCTTTTAAAACTGCCTAATCCAGTGCTTTTCAGACTTTTTCCACGTTGGTATACTGAGCCTCATTAACCCATCTGTCTGGGTCCCCAGTCACTGCCAGACCACTGGAAAGTGAAGGGAAACAGGTATTTGGTAGACATTTGCTATGTGCCACTGTGCAGCGTTTAGTGATATTGTCAAAAGTTCAAGCAATAGCACTTACTTCTGTGTCCTTTCCCAGCCTCAGGACCTTTTGCTCTTCTAGTAGCTTTAGCCTTGTTTGATTCTTGTTCTGTATCCACAACCTACTGCCGTCCTTCCTGCAAGAAAATGTGTGTGCTAGCTTAGTCACTTCAGTCTGCTATAGCAAAATGCCATAAACTGGATGTCTTATAAACAACAGAAATTGATTTCTCACTGTCCTGGAGGATGGGGAGTCCAAAATCAAGGCACCAACAGACTTGGTGTCTAATGAGGGTCTATTTTCTCGTTCATAGACAGTGCCTACTCACTGTGTTCTCACAGTGCAGAAGAGGCAAGGATCTCTCATGAATAAGGGCACTAATCCCATTCACCAAGGTGGAGTCCGCATGACCTGATCACCTCCCAGAAACCTCACTTCCTAATACCATCGCTTTGGGGATTCAAATTTCAACATAAGAATTTTGGAGTCAAACAGATATTGGACCATGACATGTATGAATTTTTAAATTTTTAATGTCTCTAAAATACACTAAGAAGTAATTAATTAAATGTTGTACCACCTTAGAGATTCAAATGCTTTCAAATTTCAATTCTTAGTTCAGGGCAAAATTTTGAAAGGTAATTCCATTTGATGAGTTCACTTATATATCACACTGCATAGTAAGCAAAATGCAAGAACTGTGGCACCAGACTATCTGGGTTAGAATCTGGTGCTGCCACTGAATAGCTGTGCGACCTTGGGAGAGATACTTACCTTTCTTTGCTTCTATGTCTTCATCAGTAATATTGCCCCTACCTCATAGGGTTGTTACAAGAACCAAATGAATTAATATTTAAAGCAGTTGGAAGAGTTTCTAGTACATGATCAGTATTATCTATGTGTTTGTTAGCAAATGACTAATTAAAAAGTTATTTATATTTATAGTAAATTTTCTTTAAATTGAAAGTTTCAAAAATTAGTTATCTTAGCAGAATGTATGTATATTTGCCACCTCATGTATAATAATCAAATCAGTCCTAAATCATGTAGCTTTTGTGGTGATATGATGATATACGGAGTAGGACAAGGTATATCGGGTAATTGTGTAGATCTTTGAGTGTATTCAAAGTTTGGCTTTTAAGTGAGCTTGTCACTTCGTTTCTCTCAGCTCCATTTTTAGTATCTATAAGATGTGACTATTAAAATCTGTTCTACACACTTGTATTAGTCTGTTTTCACGCTGCTGATAAAGACACACCTGAGACTGGGCAATTTACAAAAGAAAATGCTTTAATGGACTTACAGTTCCAATTGGCTGGAGAAATCTCACAATCATGGCAGAAGGCAAGGAGAAACAAGTCACATCTTACATGGATGGCAGCAGGCAAAGAGAGAGCTTGTGCAGGGAAATTCCCATTTTAAAAATCATCAGATCTCGTGAGATTTATTCACTATCACAAGAACAGCATGGGTAATACCTGCCTCCATGATTCAATTATCTCCCATGAGGTTCCTCCCAGGACACATGGGAATTGTGGGAGTTACAATTCAAGATGAGATTTGGGTGGGGACACAACCAAACCATATTAACACCTAGCAAGTGTTTTATGGGGATCAAATGAAGTAATGTTCATGAATATACTCTGTGAGCCAGGTATGGTGGTGCATGCCTGTAGTCCCAGTTATTCACTGAAGTGGGAGGATTGCTTGAGCCTAGGAGTTTAAGTTTGTAGTGCACTATGATCATGCCTGTGAATAGCCACTGCACTCGAGCCTGGACAACATAGCAAGACCCTGTCTCTAAAAAAATAATAAAATTAAAAATACTTTGTAAACTATAAAGACCTATCCAAAGTAAATATATTCTTAATGATGACGACTTATGTATTTAAAGCACTGTACAGTTTTTTGCATTTGCTGTAAATATATGATGGCAAAATGCTTACCTAGAAGTAACAGAACTGCATGTATTACTGTGTATCTGATATCAATATTTAAAATAGTGGGCTGTTCTTCTTTAAAGAAAAACTTATCTTTGCTTATTTTTAATTTCCTTGTTAGCAGTGGGTGCTTAGTACAATACTCCAAATAATATCACTCCTGAGTTTGGAACAGACATAAGGGAGGCAGGCATCTTCTTCGTTAACTGGACCTACATCAGATGTGGGGAGGACCCCCCATCTTCCTCTGGCTTTTCTTCTTTTGTCATGTTTTAGCTTTGCTGCCAATCTCCACTGATGGGTATGGCTTTTTTCTCATTGTTGGCAGGGTAGTTTGCTTGATGTAGTAGTCTGCTTCATACCAACCTCCTCTATCTTCAAGGACCTCCTTGGAAAGAAACAGCTGTGCTTCTTCTGGAGCAAAGTGGTTCACTACTCTGGCCTTTCCAACGGTGGTGGTCTCTCACTTAGATGCTGCCTGGGAAGCCCTTAGAGTCCCAGTGCCACCTCTACAAGGTACTCTTTCATGTGAAGACAGGAAAACCTCTTCTGTGTCCTCATGACAGCAGAAAAACTCCCATACACTTATCAGGCACACCACTGGTGTGCAAGAGCGGCTTGTACAGACTCTCAAATGCTAACTGTTAAATTTTTAGGAAGTTGTGATCTTGTTGTTAACACAATCATTACTAATTATATTATGTAAGTGATTAATCAAAAAGATTATTTTAGAAACTGTACTAAATATTTAAAATATCACTTTCTTATTATTTTGCTGCATTTTGTTATTACCTGTGCTCCTGATATTGCTTTATATCTGCTGTATTTTTATGGTAGATAATACCGTATAATGGTGTGCTACTGCACATCTCTCCCCACTCCACATTCTTTAACTTCACACTAGTAGCTTGAAATTGGCCATGGTGAGAGCATTTCTACCTCTGAAATCAACAAGTGCCACAAACCATGATCTGTCATTCCCTGCCATTTGTTGAACATTTACCAGCAGACTACTGGGCTCACTGTATTCTGGTCTCTTCTGGTTCTACTGCTACAGGCTACAGCAGCAAGTGTTCCCTCATTAATAGTCTCTATAATGAGAAAGAAATTGCCTCTTCCTTCTTAGGACTTTTTACCAAGTCCTCCCAAGAACTCTGTCATGAAGCATTTATCCAGAAGTCAGTTGCCAGCCACCTCTTCTCATAGGCACCCCAGTCTTGACTGATTCTTCTACAGTCTTCCTTGTGTTTGGCCCAGGGAGCGTTCCTGTGGGGTGAGCACTCGCTTCCCTTCCTTTGTGGAGGCAAGGAAGCTCATCACTATCAGTACTGGACTTCTCTGCCTGGTCCTCAGGGCTCAGTTCAGATCAGCTGGGTGTATGAAGGTGAAAGACTATGGTAGACGTGGGTCTGCCACCTCCCAGCAAACACTCAAGGAAAATTGGCCCAGTTTTTTATGAATTATCTAGAATGTAAAGCACTTAGACTTTTTTTTTTTTTTTTTTGGTTATTGGTTTTGGACCCACCTAAAAATTCTTGGGAAAAAAAAAAAAGAAGTACCATTTAACTTTGTATTATAAAAAAGACTGAAAGGGTATTTCATTTACAAAATTTATTTCACAAAAAAGACTTTTCGTATAAATGCATCACATTAAACAGAAAGGTAGGAATTCCTGATGTCTAAGTGTCTAGTCCTAAACTGATTTTCCAAAGCAACTGAGAGTTTAGTTGGTTTTGGAGACAGTGTCTGTCATTCTCTCCCTCTCCCTCCTTCTTTGCCTTGCCCCCTCCATAGCTCTGTAGTTGGGTCTAGTTTAGGGCTTACCTATATGAAAGATTAAGTAAACACTCTGTTCTTTTCTTTGGGAAGTTAGTGTTGTTTTAGTATGTGGGGAGTCGAACACTCTTTAAAATAACTCATTTCTAGAAAACAAAAAGGCCAAAAATTTAGGATAAGATAACAGATATTGAAGATCAATGATTACATATTAAGTCTGTCAGTGTGATTCTCTTGAGATAAAAAATCCTTTTTTAAGAGAGTATAGTGCATAATATATTTTTGCTTCTATGAACTTATTTGGTTTCAATAATTTAATATTGAGGCTGTCTCACATTTTAAACCTAGGGAGAAAACAGGTTGGAAACTACATAAAATTGGTGTATCAACAGTTTTGAGTTGCAGTTTAACTTTCACTATGCTGCTTAATTTGTCATCCATAAAATTGGGATGAATCCAAACCTGGAAAGTAATATTTGACTGTAATACCAAGCCATACAGCATTGCCTGATCCACATAAAGCACACTTGATCAGTTTTGTCATTTGCACATGTGGAGAGTTTTCTCAGGCTGAGTAACTCCTGGTATTGGATTCTAGGCATAATCATGTCATTCTTGCTTGTTGGTGCCATGAAATAATTAGCCCACCATGTAAGGGCCCAACTTGATGCTGTGCTTAAGAGTAGAGCCTATATTCTTGATTCTTGTGGAATTTGTGTCTTATATGAAAGTTTGCTTGACCCACCAGTTGCTTCTTTTTGCTTTTAACTGTTAATATAGCTCCAAAAGCTATTGCCCAAATTTGTCAAAATTCATATTTAAAAGTTCTGCTGTTCAATGAGCTAGTCACTAGCCAGATGCAATTATTAAAATTAAAATTAAAAATGTATTTATTCATTTGCACTATCCACATTTTAAGTGCTTGATGCCTGCAGGTGGCTGGTTAGTGGCTACTATGTAGACAGATACAGAACATTTTTCTTGTGGCAGACAATTTTGCTGGACAGTTTTGCTCTAGACTGAAGCTCTGCACACAGTACTTCCCCTGTAATAACTATAGACATCTGGCTAGTTTTTACTGTGTTACAAACATTTTGCTAATTCAAGTTTGGAGACAATGGATTTCATAAAGAAATTATAATAAAATATACCTGTCAATGTACAATGTAGTGTTTCACCATATTATGTAATAAAATATCTTAAGTGCTAGTTTGGAAAATTTGCTGTTTTTTGTTATAGTGTTTTTAACATCTTTTGCCCTCTAGAACATTATTCTCAAATTTTAAATCCATATAACTATTGAAAAATCTGTATAAGTATTGATTTCTGCTTTTACATCTTTAATCATATGAACCAAAAGAAATACAACAATGAATCATCTAATATGTTTGAACAAAAATTGATGGGTTTTTCTTTTTTGAAAGTTTTATTTGGAGCACTGAGCTTGGAATATAAAATAAATAAAGACAACATGGAATTTAAATTTGGATGGGTAAAATAGAAAATGAAGTTTAGAGGCTTGATAGATTGACAGATCAAGAGGGGTAAAACAGAAACTATTGCTATATAAGCTCAGGATGAAATACTAAGTAGAGACCTCAGCCTATACATAAAAAGAGATGGAAAAACTAAGAAAATGCATGTTTGTTTTGCAATTTAAATTTTTATTTTCAGATCTTAGAGGACAACTATATCATTAAATGTTAAGCTTGCTAAAGCAGTATTTTTTAGGTGTCTTTAAAGTAACTTACTACAACTTCCTATATTTTTGCAGCATCTTCTAATGTACATGAAAGTTCAGTGAATGTACATGAAAGTTCAGGGACCACATGCTTAAATACTGGAGTTGAACGGAGAACTAAGCTTGTTTTGAAATAATTTTTGTTGTCCCTGCTTCCAAATTTGTTGTGGTAGTGGTTATATGAGTCTTTTATTTATTAGGAGATTAGGAAACTGCTTTCATAAATGGACATTATACAAGCATCTTCAAGAAACATGTTTCGCTTCTCCAGCTCCAATTAGAAAAGCGGTAATCTCCATCCCAGCCTTCTGGATGGCTGGCCTCTCTTCCTAACTTTCTTACCCGAATACCTCTTTATAGGAGGCTTACTACATGCCATTTGCTATGCTAGATATTGTGGGTAGCAATGATAAAGGCCATCTTCTCTATTTTATTTTTGGGCATCCTCAGGGTTAATGCCGTCATCTTTTCCTTCAACAACTGCAGTGGTCTCCTTAACATTGTCTCTGCTTCTGGATCTTGGTCTCCCACAAACCACTTCTCACAGTCATCAAAACAAACTTCTTCAGATCATAATTCAGATTATGTCACTCCTCTGCTATAAGCCTGTTCTGTTACATTTAGAATGAAATCCAATCTTTTAAAAAATAGAATAAAAAAAAATATATTTTAGGAAGCCATGTCATCAGAAGTGTAATCCAGAGAATAATATACTCTATAGGTCTAAAAAAAGATTTTCTAAATTATGCAATTATATTTTGATAAATACTTATAAATATTCAAATACAGACATCAGTAAAATGAAAAGTGAAACTCATTTCACCCATTTCATTCAATTTCTCCCCCAAGATGACTACTGTTAATTGGGTCTATATAGTTTAAGGCCTTTCCTATGAAATTACGTCCATGTTGTACGTTTGCTTTACATATGTTATGGACTGGAAAATGAAAGCAGTTGTGTGGAAGGGTTCTTATGTTACAGAAGGAAGTCACATTTTTTTAGTTTCCTTTTAACTTTCTTTAAATGAAAAGGAAAGAATGTTTTAAGTTATATCTTCAACTGCTAGAAAGGTAGTATACTTAGAATTTTTATGGCCCTTTCCTAGGGATTTATGATTTTCACATAAAAGAATGAAAATTGAACACACACTGAATTATACTTCTAAAACATACTTGAAATTTTTTGCCTCTCTCTATTCGTGTTACTTAACCAGTGCAAACTTACTGTAAGTAACGAAATCATTGAAGAAATACACAGAAAATGAAAGTAATCCATAATCTCACCTTCTGCTTTCTAGAGATGACTCCTAATATTTTGACAGGTGGCACATACATATGCATGTATGTATGTGCATATATGTACATTATATATGTGTGTGTGCATGTGCATATTAAACTTGATATTCAGTGGAATCATAATACATAATGTTTTGGTTTCCTTAATTAGGTTATTGTGAAAAGCTTTCCTCTTCATATTCTATTTTTAAGCAACCTGTCCCAATCTGACAATTTCTCACTCTTAGTTTAGTGGTTTTGAGCTGTGGCATACTGGTGTTCCCTGACAGTGGTATTGCAGGTGTTGAAAAATTTGTAGTGTGATAACCTAGCCTATAGGGTGGAGCCTGGAACTATGACAGTTGTCTTTTTACTTCAAGGTGCCACACAGTTGTTGTCATCTCCTGTTTGTTTTTCATAATATAAAAGCATTTGGGAAGCACTGCTAAAAATCCATGCTTTCCCTGTCTCCCTCCTCAAACATGGACCTCCCCACACTTCTCCCAGCTTCCCTTATTACCTCTCTGAGGCTCTTCTCCTCACAGCAGACTGATCTTTTAAAAACACATGTCAGATATCAGGAACTTAGGAATTCTACCCCATATCCTCCACTGGCTTCTCAATGGAGTCAATAAAATCCAAATCCAGTTATTGGCTAGCTCCACGTTAAATTGTCTTCTGCTCTCTGCCTCCCTCATTCAGCTTTCTGATCGTGGAATGCTCCAAGATCATTCGTATCTCAAAGTCTTTGTGCCTGTCATTCCCTCCGCCTGGAATGGCATTACCTCCATCTTCCCATTCTGGTCTCTACTCATATTTTGCCTTCTCAGAGGCTGACCTAATTACCCCGTCTCTACCCTTCTGTTCGTTAACTCCTTTGCCTCCTTGCCTTAGCACTTTGGTCACTGTTCCATATGCTTGTTTAGTGTCTTTCTTCCATACTAGCCTGTTTTCCATGAAGACATCAACTTTGTTTTATGTTTTTCATCTCTTGTACATATCAGGTGCTCGAGAAATAATTATCTAATGAAAAAGTACATATACAATGAAAAAAGTACATAGCGAAACTAACATTTTTATTCAGTATTTGTTTCCTTTATTTCATTTTCCCAGTGCCTTGGATTTTTCTGGTCAGTTATCTCTAGTGTTAGCATGAGCACTTCAGGAAGAGGTAAGGGAGAGATATTAGCCAGTTAAACCATGCATGATTACTCTGTGATATCAGTTTTATGTAACATATTTTGATCTTTTTAACATAGTCAAATGGATGTTGTAACACTTGCTTGATTTAACATTATATTTTGGTCTTTATTATAGAAATTTTAAGGAATTTCACATAATCACTATTTTCTTATAGAAGAATATAGGGACAAGCAGAATGGTGATTTTCTTAAAGGCCTTATTTCTTAAAGAGAATAAAATTTAGTTTATGTATAAAGAAAATGATTTTATTCTCAGACACTTTCCTCCCTGTGTGTATCCCCTCAAATTATCACATTTAAATAATTCTCAGTGGTCCTAATTGATTTCTGAATAAAATATATTCTGGCCATTTTTCTTTCTCCCAGGATTTATTATGAGCCATGACAATAAAGTTTAGGTCTATTTACAAATCAGAGAACCTTCATATTTTTGAGAACTGGAACTTTGAACTAGATTAGTTGAGTATATCATGTTGGTTTTTTTGGTGACACGCAGTATAGAGAAAATTAAAAATGAATTTCCATCACACCTATCTTTGAAAACTGAATTTAGCTTAAATTGAAAGGGGTGAAAAGTTGGCATTTTATTACATCATTTCACTTATCTTATAAATCTTAGAGTGAAGACAATGTTTATGACATTATTTTAAGTCTGAAATTAAATTTAAGTGAAGCCTTTCTGAGACTTATTTATTTTAAACACTTGTTATTGCATTTTGGATTAAAAAATTACATACACAAATTTGTTTTCCTGAATATATAATGTGTTTGATCTCTCCATAAATATGTATGTTAATATAGCACTAAAATCTAAATCTTTCCACATTATTGTACACGTAGGTATGCAATAAATATTTCTTGATTGGTTGACTAATATCCAAGCATATTTAGGCATACTATTACATGTTTAGGTCTTTCTGATGAGATTCCAGTTCTTGAATCTGGTTGTTGCTACCACACTGACCTTTTTAAGGTGCAAATCACATTATCCCTCATGTAGAACCCTTTAAAGGCATTACAACACCTTCAAAAATAAAATAAAATAAAATGAAAAAAGGCAGACTCCTTTTTGTGGTGTAGAAGTCCATGCAAGATAAGGTCCCAGCTTCCTATCTCCCAGGTGTCTTTTTTTTTTTTTTGGATGGAGTTTCTCTCTGTCTCCCAGGCTGGAGTGCAATGGCGTGATCTGGGCTCACCACAATCTCCGCCTCCCATGTTCAAGCAATTCTCCTGCCTCAGCCTCCCGAGTAGCTGGGATTACAGGCATGTGCCACCATGCCTGGCTAATTTTGTATTTTTAGTAGAGACGGGGTTTCTCCTTGTTGGTCAGTCTGGTCTCGAACTCCCGACCTCATGTGATCCTCCTGCCTCGGCCTCCCAAAGTTCTGGGATTACAGGCATGAGCCACTCCATCTCCCAGGTTTTAATCTCTTCTGTTCTATTCTTCCTAACTAGATGTTCTACAAAATTGCTTGTGCCAATAGCTCATTATATTTCCTCTTGTCAGTCTTTTGCAAATACACCTTATTTGGTCTGTAACGCCCTCTTTTTTTGCAGTGTTTTAAAACTGCTTGGAATCATCTTTTTTTTGAATCATTGTCCGCTTTCCCAGATAGAAAATAGTTTGCCTACAGCCGGGCATGGTTGCTTACGCCTGTAATCCCAGCACTTTGGGAGGCTGAGGCGGGCGGATCACGAGGTCAGGAGATCGAGACCATCCTGACCAACACGGTGAAACCCCGTCTCTACTAAAAATACAAAAATTAGCCAGGTGTGGTGGCATGCAACTGTAATCCCAGTTACTCGGGAGGCTGAGGCAGAAGTGCTTGAACCCGGGAGTTGGAGGTTGCAGTGAGCCAAGATCGCCACTGCACTCCAACCTGGCAACAGAACGAGACTCCATCTCAAAAAAAAAAAAAAATGAAGAACATAGTTTGCCTACTCTTTCTCTTGTTTTACATTATTGCTCTACATATGTCATAGAGGTTTACCTTCTAAAAGGTGTGGCTCTGCCTTTTATCCATCTTCGTATCCCTAGCGGCTAGAATAGTGTGTGCTCACTAAGTGCTGGGTTAATGAAGGATGTTTCAAAGGTCGCTTTCTCTGAAGTCTTGCTGTTTTCCCAGGTGGAGTAATTTTCTCTCTCCCCTGAACTCTCATAGCGTTCTAACTCTGCTTTATCACATATAACTGTGCTATAGTTATTTCCTACCATGCTTATCTCTTCTGCCACATTGTGACTCTCTTGAGGACAGGGACCAAAAATTAGGTATTTCTTTCTGTCAGATATTAGTCCAGCAAATATTAGACACTCCATAAATTTCTTCTTGTTGAATAAATACATGGCTAATTGTTCAAATTTTTAAAAATTGGTATTTTATACAGGCTTATATTTTTGTTTTAGCTGGCTATCTGATAAAGAAAACCTATGAATCTACTTACAGTTTTTTTCTTGAAAAGGAAAAAGTTCTGAAGGAAGAAAACCTATAGGATTGAAACTGTCATGTAACTTTTAGCTCAGCTTGGAGATCAGCCTAGATGAATGGTTCTCACATTTTAGCCTGCATCAGTATCACCTGCAGGAGCTCTGAAACCATGGATCGGTGGGTCCCACCCACAGAGTTTCCAAGAAGTTTCCAGGTGTTGTTGATGCTTTTGTTGCCAGGACCATGTTTTGATAACTTTTGACCTGATCTGTCTTACCAGTATTTTTCAGCCTTCAGCATCTTGATAATTTGTTCATACTTTAATGCCGATATGTGGAGTCAGTGCAAAGGTTAAACAGGTTAAATATCTCCTGATGTCTTTGGCAAAGGCCTTCTGTTTTCATAGACAACATCTAAAATCATTTGAGTGGCTCTTTCAGTCCTCCTAAATCACTTTATGTTAGTTTCTATTCTATACACTCTTTATTAAAGGAGGCACTTGGTCATTATAATGTCTAGTGCTTTCCCTCACTTATGACTAGATACTGCCAATAAAATTAATGCTTTCCCTCGTCTTTTTCACCATCTCCCATATTGTGTTCTCAATGAAGATGAGTTTATCTCTCTCCATCTATCCTTAAAACCTGATTTAGGGCCCGGCATGGTGGCTCACGCCTGTTATCCCAGCACTTTGGGAGGCCGAGGTGGGTGGATCATGAGGTCAGGAGATCGAGCCCATCCTGGCCAACATGGTGAAACCCCGTCTCTACTAAAAATACAAAAATTGGCTGGGCATGGTGGCGGGCGCCTGTAGTCCCAGCTACTCAGGAGGCTGAGGCAGGAGAATCACTTGAACCCAGGAGGCGGAGGTTGTGGTGAGCTGAGATCGCGTCACTGTACTCCAGCCTGGGCGATAGAGCAAGACTCTGGCTCAAGAAAAACAAAACAAAACCCTGATTTTATTCCACTTATTTTGTTTTATATGGGTAACAACATTGGTCTATGAATCAGGCCCATTTTAAAAGTAGAGTTTCAAGCCTTTATAATTGTACAAAAAGTTCCAAGGATTTATTTCTCCCTAGTATTTCTTAATTTCTCTGCTTCAACCCATTTTTACTGATTGTCGGACACCCAGAGAGGTCATAGGTATTCTTCAAAAAGTTTGTGATATGAAAAGGATGTCGTTTCCTTCTTTTTTTTTTGACTAACTTCTGAATAATCTCTGAGTATTCTAGATAAAAATATTTTGCCTTAAAATTTTTAGCAAGATTCTTAAAGTCTTACAGACTTCATCTTTTGCTGATTTATGACACATGAATATTTTCTTAAGCATATCGTCAAAAATTTGAGTTCATCTTCTGCAAAGAATCAAGTGAACCATATACTTTTAATGTCTTCATTTTAAATATATGTTTTAAGAAAAAAGTCAAGACAAATATAGATATGCATATTTGTGTGTTTGCACCCATTATTTTTAGTCGTTCTGGGATATCTTCTAAAGTTCCCTATTATTTTCTCCTGTTGAACCTGACTGTCAAACGTATTGTTTGTTACATCTCTTCGTAAATATTTTTCAATTTCAGCTGGGCTTTTACTAGCTAAAAGCACTAACATCATAAATTATATAATAATATGTAATTATATTTGTGCTATTTAAACGTTATATAGCTAATGATATCACTGTTCTTGACTATTTGTCTTGTAAAATAAAACAGAAAATAAAAGTTCACAGGCGTTCTATCCCTAAATTCAACTAAGAGTACACAAACTAGTTACTCTTACAAACTTTATGTCAAAACCTTTCTCCTCTCCCCTCCAACCATAACTAATTTTTTCAGTAGGGAAAGTTCACAATACTTTTGAAATTACTTAATTCTTAAATCAATATTATGTAAGTAGAGAATTCTCTTTTTACAAGAGGTTTAAACAAAACAATTACTTATTAATATATCTGAATTTGTGATGTGAAAACTCAAGTTTAGCATCTGGCTGAACTTTGTCTGTATGTAGGCTCATCCATTTATCTTATCTCTTCACTCAAAATTAATCATCTGGTTTACTTAAAGGTTGCTTTTCTTTGTAAGTGCATACTGTCATCAGATTTCATCTGTTAATAGATATTTAGTATGATGGTACATGTAGGCTGAACTACTGATTTTAATTTTCTTGAGTTTCATAAGCATAAATTAAAGCTATTGAGAGTTGTTTAAATTTGTTAAGAACAGACTTACTGTGTTAGTTTGAAAGCATTATTTTTCAAATATAGTTGTGCAGGTGAAGTGATCTACTTCTGCTATGTGTAAGATTGGACTGTTGGTGCTGAAATTTAAAAGGTTCTGCTTGTGGATTGTAGGAAGACAAATGGCACATCTCTAGAAGTGAGGAGAAATAGTACTGTAATTCAGTGTCATGTTGATAGAAGTAGAAACCTTCACCAGTCATCTTTTATTTTTGTACCAGACAACTAACTATAAAATATAACCCAGATGGTGGAGCTATGATAGTAAAGATACAGAAATGACATTTTGCTGATGAATTTTCTGCTACTCTTTGCTTCCCCACTTTCAGTTTTATACCAAATCTTTTATGGTGTAGGTTGCTTGCTTATGTATCTAAGGACAGATCCATAGGATGAAAAATGTGTTTAAGGGCATTTTTAGATCTTGGATTATTTCAGTAAACTTTTATTTTCCTCTTTTAATTGCCTTTTTGGTTTTTCCTCTCTTTTTGCTAAACTCATATTCTCACATAAATTAGACTGAGCCATGAATAGTGGGTCCTATTTCAATTTTATTTCTGAGTTTCATATTTAAGGCATTTGGGATGTATTATTATGCTCTGCCTGTCTGTCTGCCTATATTGGAATTGGGAAGCCTCAGAAGAGAGCAGGGGTTTGGCATACCTTATACTGTGGTCTCTAGTCTCAGGCAGCTTCACCACACTTAGGCCCTGAATTGAACTGTAAAAGGAATTATGGAAAGGGGCTTTAGTGATAGGGGTGTCAGACATTAGGAATGAGCAAGGTAGTGAGTTTGTGGTACTGTTTTTGTAGCACAGAAGAGCTAAAAGGTGTATCTGCGATGGCAAAGGTCAGGAAAGGGGCTAACATTTATGAGAAACCTCCTAATTTGTGTATAATATCTTTTAATCTTTACAATGGCCTCATGAGGTCGGAACTGGGACCTGAGTTGAGGTCTGTGGCTCAGAGTTGGGGCTCTGCTGCTGGGAACTGTGGTGTGCACTGTGTTGAGTGGGTGTGCTTGTGTGTGTCTCTGTCTTACCTTGAGGGTCTATGTCAAAACCTTCTTGAGAAAGCAAGTATATAATCCCTTCTACCCCCAGAGCCATTTTAATGATATAGAGAATATGCAGAGAACACAAGAACTTTTTGTGGGTTTATTTTGTTAAAGTTATTCATTCTCAGTTCAGGTTTTGGGTTTGTTTTCAGAAATGAGAAGTATGTCTTAGTCACTTTAAGACTAAGAAGTCATGTGTTTTTGATACATATAAACCTGCGTCAACATCTATTCTAATTAAAAACACCATTGATAATCGTTTACAAGTGCAAGATTTCAGGAATGCAGAATTAATTTAAATAACTAGTGGACTATTATTATAACTTCAACATACTAGCATACACTCTGAAATGATTATTGTTCATTCATTTATTTAGATTTTCTAGATACTTTTAGTGATTACATTAGGGATAGCCAACTCCCTGGGCTAATTTGAAACATAGGAATGTAGTATGCTTGCATATTCATTTCAGTATGGAACTTGTGAAAATCTCCGTCTTTGGGCTTTTCTTTCATACAGGCTACTTTTGTATGAAGTCTGTTAGGTTTTATTTTCTCCTTCTGATCTGTGGTCCTGACTTTTTACAGTTACCTGGACACTGCCATGTGCTTTGACTGATGTTCTGTTGTTTATTAGGCAAAACACAGTATCATTCTTGAAAGGCCTGCAGTTGGTGGATGCTCTAGCTGCTTTTCATGCAACTGCACTCTGGTTATACCTGATGTCATCCCTGTTAGATAATGTGGTAGTCCTTCTCATCATGCAGGCAATTGGTAATGCTAAACCTCAGGATATTTTTGTAATCAAAGCCCTTGTAATTGGATAAATTGATGTTTTATTAAAGAATACCTGGTAACATTATAAATAGTATTAACATTCTAAAATTAACTTGTCACTGTAATATTAATTACAGTGATATATGGATACATAGAATTATGTGGGCACGTGTATATATGTATGTGTGCGTAGATATATGAAAGTGAAAGAATATTTAAACCTATACTGTAGCTCCTGCTGAGTGGCAGATGCTGTAACTATGCAAAAGGCCTGTGTGTATTCAGGTAAGAGAATGTTGGTATTTAGAATCTCTGGAGCCCTAGTTACTCCCTGTAGATAGTAAAATCCTGATGCGAAGTCTTGATAATACTAGTCTTTCTAAGGAACCAGCCATTTTTAATCTCAGGACATCTTAAGGAAAATTATGCATCTATGAGTCATGGAAGTGCTAAGGATAGCTAAAATCTGAAATTACTTAGGGGTTAGATGAAG
Organism: Homo sapiens; assembly: GCF_000001405.40. NCBI lineage: Eukaryota > Metazoa > Chordata > Mammalia > Primates > Hominidae > Homo > Homo sapiens. The sequence goes on along the minus strand of NC_000006.12, from coordinate 128,251,375 downwards.
AATCGATTTGGGCTTGATTATATGTCTTAATTGCCTTCCATATTTAGTTGGCATATAATTAGAACCCCCTCATTACTTTCTCAAGAAACTCGAAAATCAAAGAGTTTACAAATAGTCAAATAATTGACTTTAGCAACTCTAAAGCAAAGAGTATACAAATATTTCCCTTGTTTAGATATTTTATCTATGTATCTTTTTGTGATTGCAGGTATATATCTCCTTCAGGAACTAAGTAAACAAGTAAACAACAAATAGGAAAAGGTTAATAAGAATTCATCAGTTTCAGAGTCTCAAGGCCTTGACTAAAGGCCTTTTCACACTTTAGACTCTTAGAAGTGGACTATTACATGAGTCAATAGGCAAACCAGCCTGTCTTGCAGGGGTCTGACGAAGAGAAGCTCCTTTTCTCTAATATTTGCTGCTGATTCTTAGTTGAGAAACCATAATTCCAAATTGCCAGTGTCTATGAGAGGAGCTACAGTGAGTGACAGTAACTGCTAGTTGTACATTGCACTTTTGGTATCACCTGTCAGTTATGTGTGTCTTCATCTTTATGTATGGATGAAAATAGAATATGCACATTTGAAAAGTAACTAGATTCTAGAATTTTAAGTTTTCATGTAGATACTGGACTTACTCTGTAGAAAATCTTCTGGGGCCTATCAGCAGAAATTTATGCCTTATAGCATTATTTAGCTGTTCAGGGGAGGTTTATGTTTTCATGATTTCTAATATAGCTTGGGAAAATTATCTAGAACTTTCTCAAACAAGTGTCATTGTATTATTTCAACACAATTTTGTGAGTTCAGCAAAAATGAGCTAAATGTCTATTCTCATATTTCCCTTTTAGGTAAAACAGTTAATCCACTGATACTGCATTGTTGTTTTCTGTGACATATTGGGACTCTTTGAGCCCTGACTGTCAACAGGATTCATGTGGTTCAATGATGTTGTGAGGAACATGACAATCCATTGCCCTCAGTGAGTTTATATTTTACTAGAGGAAATAAACATCAAATGTTTACTTAGAGTTAATTATGTAATTATAATCATCATATGTTCATGGCTATAGCCTACAGACACTTTTTCCCAAATATTCTCTAAAAGAGAAGATATTAATTCCCAAGTAACTTAGGTCAATGGGTGGTGTATTAGTTCATTTTCACGCTGCTGATAAAGACATACATGAGACTGGGAAGAAAAATAGGTTTGATAGATTCACAGTTACATGTAGCTAAAGGCCTCATAATCATGGTGGAAGGTGAAAGGCACTTCTTATGTGCCTTGGCAAGAGAGAATGAGAATCAAGCGAAAACGGAAACCTCAAATCTCCTGAAAACCATCAGATCTCGTGAGACTTATTCACTACCATGAGAACAGGATGGGGGAAACTGCCTTCATGATTCAGTTACCTCTCACTGGGTCCCTCCCACAACATGTGGGAATTACAGGAGCTACAATGCAAGATGAGATTTGGGTGGGGGCGCAGCCAAACCATATCATGTGGGAAATGTCTTTGCACCTTCGAGTTTTTTTTTCTTTCAACCACGTCATCATCCTTATTATTACCTTCCACTGGACCTGAAATCATTTTGTTCTACTCATGATGAACTTGGGTACCAGCATAATTTAGAGTTGCTCTCTCCACTTTCAAGGCTCATCGTCTTCCTGACGACATCAGTATATGTGTGGAAAGCGCCTGGATAGTTTTTTCACCTCACCACTTCCAAAGGTCACACCTCTGTTTACTACTCTGGTTACATGGATGTTGTAATATCTCACAACTGTTCTAACTTTATGCATATGTATCATACTTCCCAAGTATAAACCTATCTTCTTCTACTATACTCATTTTGCTTAGATCATCCAGTAACTTCATGGAGAGCTCCAATCCATCAAACCATCTGTCTTTAGCTAGTTCATCAACTTGCTTATCATCAAATGAAATCAAAATTTGATTTCATTGTGATAACTTTTGTTATACAATTGCTGTTTCCATAAACTCTTTACTGACTTTTATTCTATCCACTTTTTCTGGGCTTAAATTAAAAAAAAAATACTGTTTTTTTTTTTTTTTAAATCACACCACATGATAGATTTTGATCACTAGAAATTCAGGGTTATCAATTTCAATTGGGTCCAAATATAACTGGAAATTCTACTACTATATTTTTCTGTTCAGTTATCTTTGTTCTTCTACTCTGTATTTCAACTCCTTTCAATTTTCTCCAGACTTCAACCACTCCTTCTTTTCACTAGCCTATTACTTATAGCTGAGAAAATTGTAGTCATATAATGGAAACTTCTTTGGCTACCAGTCCTAGAAATTACATTTTTATGCATCTTCTCATTTCCTCTTACTATAAAAAAAGGCAGAGAGAGCCTGTCTTACAGCCTGTGATTTGGATTTTATCCTGTTTCACACTAACAGTTATCACTTCTTTCATGTGTATACACAAATACTCGCTACCAAATTGAATTATCCTCAATATCTAAACAAGTTTAAGTGTTTCTTACCTTAAAAGTAATAAGAAAAATTTTTTGAAAGTTGAACCTTTCCTTGATCCCATATCTTTTTCTATCCTTAGTCAAATTTTTCTTTATCCATTCAGACAAACTTCCTATAAAGCATTCTTAACCTTGGTGTCTCTGTGCTTTCACTGTGTTCTTCATTGTCCAATATAGTTTCCACTTCCATTCTTCATACAGACCGCTCTTTCTTTGGGCACTTCTGATCTCAATGGCACAAATAAGGGGCATTTCCAATAACCATTTTATGTAGTATTTGGCCAGTATTGGGTTCCTGACATCTCTTCTCCTTTAGATACTCTTTTATTAATAAGCTTTTGTGATGCCATGTACTTCCATTTTCCTTTTGTAGTTCTATATACTTAAATATATTTTTTTCATTTCCCTCTGTCCTCATTGTAGCCTCATCTTCCTCAATCTTATCAGAGTTGAAAGTATAGGGCAAAGAGAGTGAAAGATTGAGGACACATCTTGTGGAACTACAATGTTTAAGGTTCACATGGTAGAATTCAATTTTATGTGATGATGTTTTATATATATGCACATATATGTAATGTGTATATACACACAGATGTATATAGTCTTGTTATCATTTGTTGAATGTCTACTTTGTGATAGACAGTATTTGAGCTTTAAGGACACAAAGTTAACTACAGTTCCTAAATTGGAGGTCACACCTTGTCATAACAGATAAAGATACATGTGCTTTACTGGTACTCATAGGGTTGGATCTGCAGTGTCATTCTATCTTTGTGTGTGTTACAGATGCCTATTTTATTCGTTACTGAAATTTGGGCATAAATATTTAGAAATAGGTTTTGATTTGGGCACATTTGTTCTTTGAAGGCAGATGTGTGATTTATTCTGAACGTTAGCAAAATTTAATGTTTAAATATTAAAATAAAAAACATGAATTTAAGGAGGTTTATAGGAATAAAATACTAGTTTATTCATGTTTTTCCAAACTGGGATTGGGGGGTTAGGTTTTTAGTGGAGGGAGAAGGGAATGGAAGAAATATAATTTTAGTACATGTGTCTTTTATGGCTATTTTCTGCTCATAAAAGTGGTGCCACTTAACATAGCATGCTTACTGTGTGGCAGGAGATGTGCTAAATGTTTTATGTGCATTATCTCATTTAATCTTCCCTATAAACTTTCCTTTATAGAAGAAGAAATTGAAGTTTTCATTTTACATAAGTTAAAGTTACAGTTAAAGGGTACGAACTAGGCCAGGTGTGGTGGCTCATGCCTGTAATCCCAGCAGTTTGGGAGGCTGAGGCAGGCAGATCACTTGAGGCTAGGAGTTCGAGACCAGCCTAGCCAACATGTTAAAACCCCGTCTCTACAAAAATACAAAAATTAGCCAGGCGTGGTGGCATGTGCCTATAATTCCAACTACTGGGGAGGCTGAAGCACGAGAATTGTTTGAACCTGGGAGGCAGAGGTTAGGGTGAGCCCAGATCATGCCACTGCACTCCAGCCTGTGTGACAGACCAAGAATCTGTCTCATTAAAAAAAAGAAAAAGAATATGAGTTAAATATATATCTGACTTTGGAGCCTGGGCTCTTAACACTATGATATATTGAAAGAATATTAAGGGGAAATTTTTTTCAGATTTTTCTAGTATCTGTAATATCTTGTATTACATATTGCATATATTAATTAATCATTTCACATATACCATTCAGTCTTCACAAGAAACCCGTGATGTACGGAAAGGCAGTATTGTCAAGATGAGACTACAGAGACCCGAGTTAAATATTAATAACTTGCTTGGGTTACACGTGATAGTAGATCCCAGGCTTCCAAACACCCAGTTCAGCTTTCCATTATAGGAGACACTTCCTGTGGATTCATTCAGTTTGCTAGAGGAAAAAGTTGTCCTTGTTCTCTAGGGTTTCCCATCTCCCCCAAGTTTAATTCAACTTTATTTCACTTATTTAGTTAATAATCCAGGACTGTTGCTGGAGTAGCAAAAATTTGATTAGAATCATCACCTTCAGTGTTTCAGGTAATGGAGTGGAGTAAAAATGGCTTAGAAAGCAGAGCCTGTTCATTCTGCTCCCAGGCTGGCCTCCTGGAAGGTTTAAAGTTGACATCTGGTATGGCTTTCATTGCTCTCTTCTTCTGGGAAGCCTGGTTGACTGCTTGACATCAAGCATTAGATCTGACCTGAGCATTAGCCCAAGCACGCTTTGCGTAATTAAGCTATTGAGATTTGTTTTCCCTGACAGGACAGAAGAGCCCTACAAGGTGAGGGCTCTGTTGAAGTGATAAAGCTGATTAGATCTTTAGCAGTAAAGGAATCTGATCTTAGAAATTTCTTCTAGCTCTCGTTAATGAGGCAAAGACAACATTTAGCAGGGAAAATGAGGTCACTAAAAAGAGGAACTTTTTTTTTTTTTAAATAAAGAACCAATTATTTTGCCTCCTTTTAAATCAAGGCCTCAATTTATTGTCCTGAGTAAAGCTCAATTTAAATGAACACATATGAAACTTTTTCTCAGGGGTGTAGTAATCTTGTTTAAAGTACAAGAAGTTAAACAACTCAAGAAAGTGAAGCTAAGATAGACCTAGAAATTAAAATAATTTAATGAATACTGACAACAAAACTGAAATAACCAACAATGATGTGTATTTATTCATTAGAATGTCATTGTTTTCAAAAAAATGATTTTTAAAAACTTTTTTTCTGTAACTTCTCTTTCCTTAAACCACAAACAAGCAAATAAAACTTATTTTCCTAGGATACATTTATACAGACTTCAGGTATTACACTGTTGACAATCACACCTTTTAGTTTAGATAGCACCTTTCTATATGCTGCTATTTAATCCTTAGAAAACTTTTTTTGAAAGCTGTATTATATTCATATTATGGGGTTAAGACTTAGCTCTAAAAGTTTCAAATCTCAAATTTATGTGAATCCTCAAGAATTTGTAAACAAGAGGGCTTGGAGTATAATACAGGGTTTTTTTCACCCCTGAGAAAGTGGTCTGTACCAGAGTTGTCTCAAGTTATACATTATTTAAAGTTTTTAATACTATTTTCTATTTCTTGCTAAGCCCTTGTTCCAGTATTTACAAAATGACATGGGAATTATGTTCCCACCAAATACATTTATGTGAAATGTAAATCATATGCACACACATATTGCACACCCTCCTGTGTTCATAGATGGCCACCCTTCCATCATGAAGCATTCTGCTTACCACAAAGACCCCATCCTCCATCTCACTTTCAGCTTATTCCAGTAAAATCAATTGTCACAAAGGGTAAACTTGGAGTAGAAAAGAAGTAATGCAGGTAGTTTATGATTGGGACAGATGGAAGGGAGATGAGCCATCCATTCCAGCGGCTTACCTTATCTCATTGTTATTGACTTTGAGGTGGTTGTAGTGTGAGAATGGAAAGGGTTTAATGGAACCATGCTGCCATCTTGTCAATATAATGTCTAGTCAGTGTGCTAGTTAAAATGAAATTCATTTTTTAAATTTAAAATTTACTTAACATTTTAGACTTTTAAAGGAAATTTAAACTCTAAAGTCTACTTAAATGAAATACTCTGTGTCTTCTTTTTCTTGAGAAGCAATGTAGTAAAGTTTTCAAAAGCAACCTAGAGGCAGGATGACTCAGGCCATTCCCGGCTTCACCACTTGTTAGCTTTTGTGCCTTGGTTCAATTACTTTTCTTTAAAATGAACATGAAAATAATACCTACCTCGTGTGATTGTAATGAGGATTAAATCAATTTATGTGTGTGTATGTGTGTGACTGTAGCTTGGGACAGTCTACTTTATATAGTAAGTGCTTGACAAATGTAACTTATTATCAGCCCAGTCAATCAAACTTCTCCTCCTCCACCAGAGTAAAAATGTCCTGGCAGAGTTTACCAAATACCTAAGAGCTAACCCCAAGTGATGCTTATTAGTTTCAGTTTCTCTTGACCTCTTTCTTATGTTAGATATTATTTGCCTTTACCTAGGTCTTTTTGGAAAACTCAGCCTCCCAAATTTTCAAGTTGTTGTTCTATTTCTGCAGAACTGCACCAAGCTTTCACAGTTTTCACCTCCTCCTGCTAGAGGTTTTCACCTCCTCCTACTAGAGGTTTTCAGTCTGTACTAAGCTAGAACCATAGCCTGATCTCAGAATTGGCAGATACTCCCATGGGAAAGAATAAAATGGCTGGAGATTATTAGATAACATCAGAGACGCTCTCACCTTCTAAAATGTGTGTGCATCTAGATGCCACTGTTTACACACGTATCTGAAATCTTTAAATTATTGTTATTGTAATATGCCTGGCCTTTCCTAATCCTTTTATTAGGAGTGTTGACCTGCTTGAAACCTCCTGGTACCACCACCCTTTCTTTCTTAACCATTCGATGTTGGCTTTATATCCGCTGGTGGCCTTTTCAGTCTTGACTTTCATTTCCAGTAGTTTTCTTCTCTTATTTATCTTCTTATGCCATCTTACTCACCAATCACTTTAACTTTCAAATTAGTCGCTTATTCCCTTCCATGGAGTTATCTGATATCCTTCGTCAGATAACTTCGAAATTTATACCTTTATTTTACCCTGATAATCTTCTCTTCCAAATCTATCTATCTAGTTATTACTTAAGCATTTTCCACTGTGTGTTATCATAGGCAAATCAAATTTGAAATGTTCAAAACATACTTCATTATTTTCTCCCTCAATTTGTTTCCTTTTCTGTATCACTAGTCCTGAGAAGGAATCCTGACAGCATCATTCACCTAGTAGTCTAAGCCAGAAATCATTGAGTTGTCCTATATTTCACAACTGAGTCAGTAAGTTCTACCTTCTCTGCTTCCTTAGTATTATTTTTATCTTTCCTTTTTCTTCTCATCTCACCATTCCCACTACTTCTAGCATATTGACTTATTTTTTCTCTCCATATCATCTTTCACTTTATAGCCAAATATGTTTCTATTAGACCAATTTGATTATATTCTATTCTTACTTTAAACATCAACTTTCATTACATTTTAAAAAATGCTTTGCAAATACTCCAAAATAATGTATGTATCCCCATGAATAAAGGAATCAAATACAACATTGAAGAGCTGAATGCTAAATCTGTTTTCTCTTGAAAGTCACAGCACACATTATTATTGTTATTTTTTTTTAGAGTCAGGGTCTTGCTCTGTCGCTCAGGCTGGAGTGCGGTGGTGTCATCCTACCTCACTGCAGCCTTGAACTCCTGGGTTCAAGCAATTCTCCCACCTTAGTCTCTTAGTCTGTGAAGTAGCTGATACTATAGGCATGTGTCACCACACCCAGCTAATCTTTTTCTTTTCTTTTCTTTTCTTTTTTTTTTTTTTTTTTTTTTTTTAGCGACAGGCTCTCACTGTGTTCCCTAGGCTGGTCTTGAACTTCTGGGCTCAAGTACTCCTCCTGCCTCAGCCTCCCAAAGTGTTAGGATTATAGGTGTGAGTTACCGCACCCAGCCACAGCACACATTAAAAGAAAGGCCATATCAAGCTTTGCTATTGACTATAACTACAAAACTGTAAAATGAGCTTATATTTAAATCTAGAAACTTTTTTTTTCTTAACATTCTTGGATATAAAACTATTGAGTGCTGTACTCCTGACCTCACCCTCATGGTATTTAAGGCCTTCCATGCCTATGTCTCTAATCTCATCTCTTCCCTTTTGAGCCTTTGTAGCCATAGAGATTATATTTATTTAGTTTTCCAAACATGCCATCCCAATCTTTTTCATTGTATTTGTTCCTTTGGCCTGGAACATCAATAATCTGTTGGTTGACACTCATCCTTGAAAATTCAGCTGTTTAAAACTCAGATTATCTTACTAATGTGTTCAGTGGTTCACATACTGCTTGGCACATAGTAGGTGCTCCATGTATGTTAAGTAAACAACAAAAATGGAAAAAATCAATATGCGAAAGTTTACCTTTAAAGAGATTTTCTATGTCTGCCTATATATTGCCTATTCAGGATATATAACAATACTTGGTAATAACTGCTTAAAAAATTTAAGCTGCTTAACCTCTGTAACGTAATTTTTCTTCAAATTTTATATTTTGATTTGTTTACCTGTACAAGAGTTAGGAAATTACTTACATTATAAGGTTAAATTTTTAATTCTTACTGAACAAAAATTAGATTTACTTTTGCATATATTTAGCTATTCCCCTCCACTGTAGAAATTCCTTGAAAACTATTGTTGTAAATATTTTCTGTTTCTTTTTGACAGGTAATATTTGAAGCTGAAGTCTCAGGAGGGAGAAGTGGTTATATTGCCATTGATGACATCCAAGTACTGAGTTATCCTTGTGGTAGGTTGTGATTAAGAATTGTATTTTTCTATGTCCTTTCCACACTTGCCTTATATTGGCAGTGACTATTGATTGTTTATCACTTGGTTTTTGCTGTCTCTCTTGTTATTGTTAGTCCTAGCCTTCTATTGAGTTTTAAAAGGAAACTGATATCTTTCTAGAGTTTTTGAATCAAATATTTTTCAAACTTGTAACTAATTGTATACCTATTAGGAGATTCTTTTAAATTATTTCATTACTGAGAACAAAATATACATGCAAAGGCAGCTGTTAGTAGGACTTGTTCATTTTTTTGGCATCATTAAATTGTCTAGAAAAACAGAGAAGAATAGCAAATCAGAGTTCAACAGAAAGGAAAATATAAAGAAGCCTCATGAAGTTATTTGATCTGAGTTGAGGGCTGGGGTGAAATGAAGAGAAATAATTAGTTCACCTTATTCCAAATTTAGGACTACTTTTTTTCTCCTCTGTCATAATAAATGTCTGGCTAACTCATGAGGTCAGGAGTTTGAGACCAGTCTGGCCAAAATGGTGAAACCCTATCTCTACTTACAAAAAAAAAAAAAAAAAAATTAGCCAGGCGTGGTGGTGCACACCTGTAATCCCAGCTACTCAGGAGGCTGAGGCAGGACAATCACTTGAACCTGGGAGGTGGAGGTTGCACTGAGCTGAGATTGCACCACTGCACTCCAGCCTGGGCAACCACAGCAAGACTCCGTCTCAAAAAAAAAAAAAAAAAGAAAGCAAACAAAACAAGAAACTCGGTTTATTAATACACAGTTTTGTTATGCCCTTAGAGGCACATTGATTGGTTTTCAGATGGTGTACCTAAATTTGTGTTTACATCACAGTCCATGAAAAACAATTACTGCATGCATTCAGTAGAGCCAGGCAAAAAACAGCTGGCATAAATTCAGACTTTGCCTATATTTCCCAAAAGCAGCATTTTATAGGGCCCGTGAATTCTGGGTTATCTGTTCAGCAATCCTCCCTGAGAAGCATCTATAACACATTGTAAGCAGCAGGCTGGGGCCTCTTGTGAGGGCCAAGACCTGTGCTCCTGCTGAGTGGTTGTCAAACTCTAGTGTGCTTCGGAATCACCTACAGCTGTGGTAAATCACAGATTGCTTGGCTCTTCCCCTGGTTCTGATTGAATAGGTCTGGGGTGGGGCCTGACAATTTGCATTTCTGATTCCAGTGCAGCTGATGTTGCTGGTCTAGAGTTCGTAAATTGAGAACTGCTGCTTTAGTTCATGTTCTAACTCAAGAATTCCTTATTTTAAATCTCTTCCTGAGAGGTAAGTCACTAGAGAAAGATGTAGCCAGTAAGGGTCAGATTATATATACCACGTGGTGGTTGGTAAATTCTAAGAAAAGAGAGAACAAAATCATCTCATTTAAAGTTCAAGCTGCCTTACTAAGTTCTTTCAATCTGTAGTTTAAGAGAGCTGTGTTTTTATCTACTGTTTATTTTTCACTTCTTGAATGATAGGTGTTAAGGAAAGGCTTTCATAAGTGCACAGAAAATGGTGGATTGAGCACAACAGCAGTTTTAGGGTGATACGGCCCTCCATGAACTTTTCTTTTTACTCATGAGCCTTAGCTTTTGCTGTTTATATAAATTTCCTTTCAATGGGAAACATGGATGAGGCTTCAGTTTTAAAAGGTAGTTTCAGAGGATACTTGTCAGTCATAAATCTTACTTATATTTTGACTGCAGTCATTATTTTTGTTAGTCTAATATGGGTATTTATTTTGGATTACTATACTATGGTTATAATGGAATAGAAAAAAAGTTTACCAGTTTAGCTGGTGTTCTTTTTCTGAGAAGCAAAAATATTCCCTTGTTCTTTGAAGTGCTGTAGAGGGTTATAACTATTGATGTTTTTTTTAAAAAAAGATCTAACTGCTTAAAATGTAGCCTAATAAGTTCAATGGCCGTGTCACTGCCAGTAGTTTAGAAATCATTATATGTTTTCATTATATCTTTATATTAGGTTCTGATTTCATGTCAATTTAATCTCTTTTGGTTGCTTTGACTTGTAAGTTTGTAACTGTTTTATTATCATCCATATACAACATGCTATGGCAGCAGTTCAGCAGCAATTGTTGAGTGCTCACTCTGTAGAGAACAATACTCCAGCAATTATGGAACAGTAAGTAATAGAGCTATTGAGAAAAAGAGAACTATGAGAGTCACAGAGGAAATGGTGTCTTCCGGCACAAAAAAAGCCCCTCAGTTTTCTTCTTTCTGATGTTAGTCTTGGCCAAAGGTAAAAACACTAATGATAATATTCAGCTGGAGAAAAGTAACATGGCATATTTTCTTCATGTGAAAACAAATACATTTTTTTTTCCCTTCCTTCACAGATAAATCTCCTCATTTCCTCCGTCTAGGGGATGTAGAGGTGAATGCAGGGCAAAACGCTACATTTCAGTGCATTGCCACAGGGAGAGATGCTGTGCATAACAAGTTATGGCTCCAGGTAAGGCCAAGTTGGCAGCTGAGCTAAAGAGTATACTTTATGTTTTAAAAACATTGCAACAGGACTGTTTGTTGTCTCATCCTTTTGAGTGTGTGTGTGTGTGCGTGTGCACACGCATGTAGTGGGACAGGCTGTCTGCGTGAGTTTAATTACAGATTCATGTTAGAGATTTCCTTTTCTGAAATAAAACACATGAGCAAATAATTAATAAGTATTTTTGTTAGGATCTGGTGAAACACAATTCTCTCTGTTATATTCAAACTGCAAAAAATTCTGTAGATCCATTTGAAATATGAATAAGAATGATATTTTTTCTTATTTAATAATATTTTTAAAACTGAATTTACAAGAGTTAAGTAGGAGCTGTCATACTCTGATAAATTCTTTAAAGTATTTTAAGAAACCCTTGGGAATATTTCAGGAAGTATGAATTGGAAGAGAGCCAATTAAATTTTTGAGTTTGAGGGTTAATCACAGATCTGAGGTGAAGACATTTGCCTTTCACATATTACTTCCTTAATACATTTGTATTTAATTATGATTTAACATACATGTTGGGGAACTGTAAATGGTGCATATAAACAGATTTAAAAGAATCTGAGATAAAACTATAGACTAAGAAATATGCCTTGCCTTCAGAGAATTTATAGAAAGTCTATCTGTCAGTGCTAGGGTGCTAGGGGCTGGGAGGAGCTGAGAGCAGCTCTAAAGCCAGGAAGCTGGACCTAAAACAGATGGCTATTGAGCGAAGTATTTGAAGCTAGATGATGTGTAAGTAATAATATTCTCTGAGCACCTCTATTATTATTTTTTAGGTTCTCTGCATCAGAATGAGGAAAGAGATTTAATAAGTTGTGAATTTTAAATTCATGAGAATGCCAATAGAGACCAAAAAAAAAAAAAAAAAAACAAGATGAGTTTAATTTCTTCAACATAGGCATCATGATTTTTTTTTTACTACATCCTTTAGATAGGTGAAAGTAGTGTTGGGGATAACTATTAGTTTGCAGGTGGTTGTAATAAAGGTTATAATAAATGAATATTGAAATAATACCTTGTATAATGACTGATATGCTGGGTGTTATATTTGTGTTATTTCATCAAGTTCTTCCAGCATTCCAATTGGAGGTTACAACAGGTGTACTTCATATTAATCTAATTATTACTACTTTTATAGCTTATTTGATTTTCAAGTGTCAGGATACCATATTTTGTGTCCAAATATGAAAAGGAGATGAGGGTCCCTTTTTTCTGTGATTATGGTAATTTCTCCTACAGAGATTGAAAAATAGGATAATTTTTCCTGGAAAGCATGTTGTATAATGTGCAACCTGTTTTATCAAATAAATGTCAAGTCAGTTTTCTTATTTCTCTTCCTATGCCTAAATAATAGTTTAAAAATGATTTTAGATATATGTTCTAATCGTTTTGCTAGTGATTTTTTCATTTAGATGGGAACATTAGCTGGCATTTGGCTTTAGTTGTGAGCTATATAGTCTTTTCTTGGAGATCTAGAGGCTCTGTAGGTCTGCCCTTGGTTTTATGCCTCAGGATTTAATGTGACATTGAAATAAAAAGGGTTTTGTATCCTCAGTCACCAGCTGCCTTGTGGCAACAAAGACTTTCTGGACCCTGCTGGTCTGAGTGGGTGGTAGTCCCAATACTGCTCATTTTTTTTTTTTGTTTGCTTTCTATTTTGTAGATAGTCCATTTCATGATGGTTTTAAAAAATGTTCCTCCTGCCATTTTTGTAGCAAAGATGAGAGGTAAAATATTCTATGAAACTTCTATGTTGCTTTCTCCCCTACCTCACCTCTTTTTTTTTTCTTTTCTTTTTTTTTTTTTTTTTGGCGTTTGCTACAGAATGGTGAATTTATGTATTTCTCTTCCACTTTGACATGGACATTGCCTCATTCTTCAGTAGTGTGCATATTCACCTTAATTTATTCAAAAGCTATTTTACCTTTTTCAATAACACCACATCAATTACCTTAACTTATTCACTTACATCAGTCTTCCCCATCTACAAGAAATATTGAAATCTATTAATTACTAAGGGTGTTTTCAAATTAAAATAAAAACTTTTATTATGAAATTATTTAAAAATGAACCAGATAAGATTGATCATTATCTATATATCAATCAATTAGAAGGTGGCAGTGACTTAAAAAACTTGCTCAACTTTTGCCAAAAGTAAAAAAAAACATAATAAAGCAGGAAGAATTCTGGTTCCAAAGTGAATCTACCAGCTAACTCATGCAAACAGATGTCAGATTATTTTCATTTCACGTAGAATAACAGCCTAGAGTTCAAGAAGCTCAGTTCTGAATTCTAACTTTTACTCTAACCCTCCTAAACCTTTTAACCCAGTTAATTGCAGTGGCCTTAGAGATTTCATTTATGTGTTCTGGGCCTCAATTTGCTTATTTATAAAAGGAGATTCTGAATAGACACTAAAATCCCTTCCAGCTGTAAGATGCTAAACTAGGTCTTTACGTTATTTTTGGTGGCTTGAAACATGGCCTTGATAACCTTTTTGTGTGGAAGATGAAAAAGTCTTGTAATTCGTTTTGCATGGGGAAAAATGGTACCTTTAAGTATCATTGTGAGAACAAATGCTCAAAATATCTGCTGCTAGTACTGAGAATGAATGTACTTGAAGCACTCAATGAAAGGTCACTGCAGTCTATCCACAGAGGTAATGGAATAATACAACAGTTGTTATACCTGCCATGGTCAGGTAAAATACCAAATGGCAATCAACTTTATATGTCCTCCAAATAACTTACATTATGTAGTATTGAGCTTCAATTGGCAAAATGTTGTCTAAATATGGGCTAAAGTAACAAAGACTAGAAAAACAGCCAATTTTCTATTTCAAAGGAAAAATGATATACTATAACTCTGTGAAAGGTGTACAGAACACAATGCTTGATCATATTTGATATTTTAAATAATTTGTTATGGAAAAACTGAAAAATTTCTCTCACTTCTGTATTCTTTCTAGGTTATAATTAATATATCAGTCGTTTTTGTTGTCTAAAATAATATACAAATTGAGTAAATTGAAAAATGCAGGGAAAAACACAAACAATGAATTGCCTGAGTTAATCTAGGATAATTTCATAATGCATATCATGGTAGTTCTGAAAGTATCTATAGGGAATGTTCTTTCTTGTAAGAATTGGATTATATAATTGTAGAGTATTTGAAGTAGATCTACCTTCTTGTACATGCTAAATGAACTAATGATACATAAAACAACATCGAATGTTTTTATAAGCCTGAGTGTCAGTAGACTAAAAATATGGTGAAATCATGAGGTTTTCTGGAAAGTAGTTTTTAAAAATATGTTATGCGGTACATTTATGCACTAAAAGAAATTTAGGGTCGGGCGCAGTGGCTCACGCCTGTAATCCCAGCACTTTGGGACGCCGAGGTGGGTGGATCATGAGGTCAGGAGTTGGAGACCAGCCTGGCCAATATAGTGAAACCCTGTCTCTACTAAAAATACAAAAATTAGCCGGGCGTGGTGGTGCGCGCATCTAGTCCCAGCTACTCGGCAGGCTGAGGCAGAAGAATTGCTTGAACCCGGGAGGCGGAGGTTGCAGTGAGCTGAGATCATGCCACTGCACTCCAGCCTGGGTGACAGAGCGAGAATGTGTCTCAAAAAAAAAAAAAAAAAAAAAAAGAAATTTAGAATAAAGTCTTTAGTCACCCTTAGAGAACTTCCAGATTATTTTTCAATTGAGAGCTCAGTGAAGTAGCATGTATTCTGGATATAAACGCATTTTTTGGTTAATGATTTGTAAATTTTTTCCACATGAACAGACATTTTTTAAATCTTCTAAGTTTTAGAACTAAGCCATTTTAATTTTGTAGTAGTGTTCTCCTATCCTTGGGGGATACATTCCAAAAAGCCCAGTGGATGCCTGAAACCACACATAGTACCAAACCCCACATATACTGTTTTTTTCCTATATATACATACCTATGATCAAGTTTAATTAATAAATTAGACACAGTAAGAGATTAACAATAATAAAATAGAGCAATTATAACAATATACTGTAATAAAAGTTATATGAATGTGAGCTCTTGTAGCATATCTTTGTACTTTACTCACCCTCCTTAGGATGAAGTGAAATGATAAAATAACTCATAATGAGAATAAGTGAGGTGAATGACATAGGCAGTGTGATGTAGCATTAGGCTACTATTGTCCTTCTGACAATATGTCAGAAGGAGGTTCATCTGCTTGGGGCTATCCTAGATCATTGAGCCATGACGATTTTGATGGTTGGGATGTCAGAAACACACAATGTCGATGACTAACAAGTGAGGGATGGCACAAGATTTCATCACGCTACTCAGAGTGGAGTGCAATTTAAAACCTATGAATGGTTTATTTCTGAAATTTTTCATTTAAGATTTTCAGACTGTGATTGACAGAAGGTAACTGCAACTGCCCAAAGTGCGACCTTGGATAAGGAAGGATGTCTGTATTCCTGAGGAACGTTCAATGATACGGAATTTGTGATTCATAACTTGAAGCTATGATAAAGCTCTACTTATGGGAAATAAGATCAAAAGTGAAATTATAACATATAATTTATACTGAAATGAAATAATAAAAAGCATTTGGTTATATTCTTGAGAAGTGTCAAATAATTTTCTTACAGGAAAAATAAAAATTAGATTGTACACTTTTATAGGTTAGAAATGTTGGTTATTTTTAAATTTTGAATTTTTTGAATTATTTATTTTCAGTATTATTGAAAATATTTAAAATTCAAAACTTTTAAAAAATATTCAAATATTTCAATATTTGCATGTTTTTAATATTCTTGAATTATTTTTATTTTTTAATATCAAATTATTATCAATACATACTACTTGTACATATTTATGGGGTACATGTGATATTTTTGGAACAAGCATATAATGTGTAATGATCCAATTAGGGTAATTGATGTATCCGTAACCTTGAGTATTTATTATTTCTTTGTGTTAAGGACATTCCAATTCCACTTTTTAAGTTATTTTGAAATATACAATAAATTGTTAACTATAGTCACCCTATGGTGCTACTGAACACTAGATTGTAACTCTTATGAACACTGGATAAAGTGATTGCAGGAAAAAGTGAATATATAAGCAAAAAATGAACATATGGTGTAGCAGTTCCATTCCTAAGTATTTGCCCAAGAGAAATTAAGACATGTGCCCACAAAAAGACTTGTACAAGAATGCCTATAACAGCTTTATTCATAATAACTGATAATTAGAAAAAACCTACATGTCCATGAACAGGATAATAGATAGACAATTTGTGGCTCATTCAAACAATGGAATACTGCTTAGCAATAAAAGAATGAACTGCTGATAATGCAACAGCGTGAATGGATCTCAGCAACATTAGGTTTTGGAAAGAGGACAGACACAAAAAGGTCATATCCTTTATAATTTCATTTACATTAAGTTTCATAAGAAACAAAACTAACCTATGGTGATAGAAATCAGAACACTTGTTGCCTGTGGGGAATAAGGATTAATTGGATGTGGGCAGGGGGAAATTCTCTAGGGTAATGTTAATGTCATATATATTGACTGGGGTCTTGATCTATGAGTGTACAGACATTTGTCAAAGATTAAGATCTGTCCAATTTACTAATTATGTTTACCTGAATAAGACACAAATGAGGAAAAAATGAGTAAGTGACACATTTTATCAAATAACGAACTTACTGGCAGTGCTAATCAAGCCATAGATGGTAATAGCCTACAGGCATTACTTGCGTTTTTATCCATCTTGTCCATTTCAAGTGATTTGATTACATTCAAAGGTAATTTGTAATCATTAGCCTAACTTGAAATAAACATGTTCTGAGTTTCTGCTTTAAGAACACCTTATAACTTGAGGATATGAAAGGGTTGTAACTGGGGTTGGACTGAAAGTTATGCATTAGTATTCTATTATGAAGGTCCAGTATAAGTGGACACCTACAGGGTAAATCAAATAGAGCCTATTGCTGCAACATCTGTCAGACCATATGCTTTGGCTTCAAGTTCGGTGTAGAAACTAAAATACTAATGACTCCATCCATCATTACAGCGCTTGGCAGGCCTGCATCATTGAATTGGGCAGAGAAATTCAACAGTGGAGTTATTGAAAGTAGGGAATTGTGTGGGTAGATTTGGTGGCACCATTTGTTTTGGTGAATTGAAATGAGGCTGTTTAATGTGTGACTGGTAATCCTATGCAGATTGTCATCAAAACTGTGGCAATTGGGCCAATCTGTCAGTAATCGCCGCAGGTGCTGGCACTGTGCCTCCTCCGTGGGCCTGCCAAAACAGGAGAGTCAGCCACCGCTTCGCCCTTGGTGAGGCTCATCATTGCTAGAATAGTGTGATACAGCTAGTTGCTCAGCCAAAGGAAATGTCATTCCTTATGGAGCAACACATAATTTAAGCAATGGCTTGAGAGTACTAATTGGAGAGTGAAATCAGTAAAATGAGATGCAAATTGCTCTCAAAAACAACCAGAGCGAGGCTGACCCCCTACTGTACCAACCGTTCTCAGTGAAGGGGCAGTGAAAGCGGTTGGTCTAAAACTTCTGACCACATAGTGCGTTACCTGTCCAGGCAAATTCCAAAGCCTTGTTCCTGTACTCCATGCAAACATCACCACATGGTAGTGGGAATCTAAAGCATGATTTCTAAACAATTGAGTTAATTGGGAAGCACAAAAATTTTAGCTGATGAAAACATAGCACTACACCATTTCAGAGGCCTAGTAGTTACGGCTCACAGTGCTCTTTCTGATGACCCCATGCTATAGCATTTTTCTATGCTTATTTATATTGCCATTTGGCAAGCCCAGATGTTTGCAGCATATTTAATTTCTGCAAGAGATTTTACTATCCTGACACTATTTATTTTAGGAAAAAAAAGATAATTTTCCACTTATTATAATGAAGGTAAGCTTCCTGAAGAAATTACTGCATGCTTAGGAACTGCAGTTTACAGTAGGCAATTCTTTGGAAACTATTTTGAGAGGAGGTTTTTAAAGTCAACTTGATTAAATACATAATATGTGATCAGCTCACGCTAGGTAACATGCATAAAGAAAAAACAATGCAATGCAATATAATAAAAGTTGCTCTAATGTCTGGACGTGGTCAAAGTTCTGACATTTTCTAGGTAAAAGACTTTAAGAATGGCTGACACACTTCTGAAATATTAAAATAACAAACAGTAGCATATAAGTACCAAAACAGTGAGTAAACTTGAACAATGATGTCAGAATTGCTAAAGGCACATGGCACAAATATATCTTGAGATTTGTAGAAGATTAGGTAAGTGACTTATTTACTACCTTGTAATGTAAGGAATATACAAATGGATTTAATTTCCTCCTTATAGATCCTAAAGTATAATAATGACATGATTTGAAGCTTATGGTGAGAGCTATAAGCTGATTATAAGGGAGAACTTTGTAATTGTAGGGCTGTTGAAAACTACAATGAGCTGCTCCAGGAGGTAGTAAAATTACAATTAGTCCAAGTATCCAAGCATAATCTGGGTAAGCATATGCTAGAGATGTAGAAGACATTTGAGCCTGAGGTTAACTACTTTTTAAGATACTTTTTGCCCTGACATGTGATTCTATAACTGTGTATGGGAAGTCTGTATAGAGTCTAAGGACTGTACTGTTTCAGAGATAAGCGTGAGCAACGCGGACTGGAGTATTTGGTGAAATCATTAGAGAAGACTTGATTGAAACCTTGAAGTGTACATAGTACTTGAATAAGCAAAAGTGGGCATGGTTACTACTGCAGATTCAGAAGGCAGAAAGCACGTCGTGTGTATGTGTGGGGACGTGGGATAGGAACCGAAGGAGAAGGATCTTACTGAAGTGGAAGGTTCACCATGAGGAGTGGAGGTAAATAGAATTTATGGAAAAGTTGGTACTAGACCACGGTGGAGACTGCTGGAAGAGGAAGAGGCTTCTGTTCTCAGTACAGTCATCAGGGAATGAGGGCCTGATTCCGGACAGCGCCATTGGCATTGGAAGATCCATGAGTAGCAAAGGAGAGGACAAATTAAGAAACAAAACGATTTTGGGCCTGGTTTGCACCATTTTATAGAATTTGAGAAGATGTGAGAGTGAAGTAATATAGACAGCTTTGTACATTTTCTCAGAGTTTATTTTTAAAAGACAGTCAATGAGTTTGTTTTTTCAATTTCTAGTTTTGGAGCGCATTTGTCTATTAGAACCATTGTTTTACTTTTTACCTCTTTCTACCTTCATAATTTCATGTAAGTGTTCCTCAGTAGGAGTGAAAAATGAGGAGACATTTCAATTCCTTTTGACTCTTTCTAGCTTTAATAAAAGTTTACCAAGACAATTTGAAGCTTGTCGCCAACTTAAACCTCTGAGTGGCCCAGGTGTCACTGAGGAGAATTAATCTATGGGAAAACTGTTGGTGCCTTCAACCTTGGCTGCTTCTGTAACTTCTGGCTCACAAGACAGGAGTGTGAGGAGTGCAAACCATGTCCCTTGTGCTTTCCTAGTTTCTTGTCACCTGCTCTAAACTTTAGCTGATAGATGAATAGTAGCTTGCTATTTAATTCTAATTTTCTCTGCTTTTGTCTAAGCAGTAGTGATTTTGCCATGTATACACTGGTTTACAGTTAATTCTGATCCACTTAAGAGACCGTGTTCTCTTTCGTAGCTAAGAGCCAACACTCGGCAGTCCTGCTTTTCATTGGGCCATTGGTATATTCTAATTCACAGCATTATCTTCTTTCTGCATAGCTTTATATAAAGAATTCTGCTTATAGGTCTTGAGATAAAGTCACCGATCTCATATCATGGATTATAAGGTTTTTCTTCTGCTTTCTGGCATTTTGGATATGTAATGATGAGCATCAGAAAGTTTAATCATATTTACTTTTTAGAATTGTTAAATACTCCTGAAGTCATTTTGGTTGATTTTATGTGGCTTCCTACCGTAAAGAGATCAATGCCTTGCAGATATAAAGCTTTCTTTTCCTTCTTTAATAATTTATAAACTCTGAATTTAATGTTTACAGATTACATAACTGATCATAAATGAATAATGCGTATAATATTCTTTACCTTCCTTATCTATTCTTGGAACAGGACTATACAAGCCTGGCAGTCATGGAAGTTCAAGGATTGCTTTTTATCGATATCTAGAAATAATTTACTTCTCTTTCTGTGCAAGAACAATATGCTCTCCTGTTTGCAGAGCTGCCCCTTCAGTGTGTTTCTAGGTGTGTCACGTCAAGCACTTTGTAACTTTCCCATTGAGCTCCTGGGATCAGTATTACAACATGGATCACTGGCAGGCCTGGTTTCTTCTTTATGAAAAGTAGTCTGCTAGAAAGATCTAAAATTTACAAAATTATTTTATTGTAAAATAAAACGTAGGTATAGAATACCACACAAAAATAAAAACTATTGTGACTCAATATCGGGTAAACATCACACAGGACAAGAAAGAGAGCTTGCCAGCCATCCCAGAGGTGCCGTCCATGTGCTCTGTGCCAGGCATAACAGAGCTGTCTCCCTGCCTCTACAAATAACCACTCTCATGAATTTTAACCCTTGTAGTTTTTTTGCAGTTATATATGCATCCCTAGACACCATAGTCTTACCAGTTTTTAAAATTAGACATCTTTTTAAGTCACTTTTAATCTGTAGGTTTGTCCTTTATTCCTTTCCTCGCAATTTATCTGTTGAGCCTAGGATGTTTGACTTCTAGCTTCCCCTGTCCACATTTTGCTGATTGCATACTAATGCCCTCTTCAGTTCCACATGTCCCTCTTTCCTCTCCATTTCCTGCAACTTGGCAGCCAGATCCAGGGTCAAGTTTGATCCTTTGGCAACACCATAGGTGGTGTTTGGTATAATAACAGGAGGAACAAAATGTGTCATCTTTCTTTTTGTGATCTTGTCAGTCTCTGATGATTAATGCCTATATTTATTCCTGGGGGTAGAAAACTGTGATATTCTATCATTTTTTTGTGTGTCTTATTTCTTTTGTATTTGTTTAGTTGATGAAAAGATACATACTCCCCCTAATCTACTATTTGGTTACCCAATAACACAATTCATTAAGGAAAGGGAAAATACATGCTCCAATCTTTGCTATATTTACTAGTTTAAAATGAGTTGGTTCCCTATCATCCTGCAAAGATGACTTACTCTTTTTTTCTTTTAATATCATTATACACTCATGGATTTAAATATATTTAATGGAGTTTAATTTGTTGCAATTATTATTTCTATTAAATCTTAAATCGTCCCATATTTGCTTAGTGGGCACCTCTCCAAATTTGCTCCTGATTCTTTTTGATATGATTATAGTAGGCTTTGAGAGCTTCCTTGCTACCTGGTACTGTGAGATGTTTCACTTTCTCCTCTGGATGTGAGATCAGTCATTTTTCAATGATGTCCTGTTTAGTTTTAGTAAGAAATCATATTTCAAGATAACGATGCAGGTTCTGAGAGATACTCATTTCTAGATCGTTTCAGTGAATAGAGCTAAAAAATACATACACATATATTTAATGATAAAATACCTAATGAGTTCATAGGGATATTTCAAGTTGAAGCCTAAAGGTTTTTACTCAATGTTTATCTTATTACAACTTTTCAGTTACATTTTATTTCCACACCGATATTCTTGGTTGTCAGTGACATAAGGAAGGTGGATTTAGAATATATCATAATTATACATTGGTTTTATCTCATTTTATTTTGAAACTTGTACTAAAGCTCCATTGTCAGCATATAGCTATTGCATGGATAATATACTTTCTTCTACTTAGCTCTTATTTAGTCTCACTTCTAAATGTAACTATGTTTTTAATATTCAATATTAGCCCACCTGTCATATCTAGTAATTTTGTACGTCAGAAACACCTTTTTTGCATTTCAAATTCCTTAGGAACTGCTCATGGGAATAGTATTCCCTGAGTTCTTAGATGTTGATAATAGTTTTTTGTGCCCTTGATTCTTAAGTCAATTTCACAGTATATGAAATCTTTCATTCACATTTTCTTTAATTGAGTAACTTAAATAATGTTACTTCATTTTCTTTCACAGACAGAATAGGTACAGTCAGTCACTATAAAGCCTTGGTGTCTGTCTGTACCTATTTTTTCTAGATATGCAAATAATTGTTTCTAATTAATCTTACCAGAATATGTATCACAGTAGGTCACTCTGAGATACTGTCATCAGGTATGTGGTATTTTCTTTCATTATGTAGTTTATAAACTTTTTTTTTATTTTAGAAAATTTTTTGTTGTTGTTGTTGTTTTTGCTTTTTTTTTTTTTTGAGATGGAGTCTCACTCTGTCACCCCAGCTGGAGTGTAGTGGCGCGATCTCCGCTCACTGCAAGCTCCGCCTCCCGGGTTCACGCCATTCTCCTGCCTCAGCCTCCCGAGTAGCTGGAACTACAGGCGCCCACCACCATGCCCAGCTAAATTTTTTTTTTTTTTTTTTTGTATTTTTAGTAGAGATGGGGTTTCACCATGTTCACCAGGATGGTCTCGATCTCCTGTCCTCGTGATCAACCTGCCTCGGCCTCCCAAAGTGTTGGGATTACAGGCGTGAGCCACCGCACCCAGAAGTTTTTTAAAAAACTATGATTTGTAGTACTTTATCTGTACCCTTGATCCTGTAGAGACTTCTGTTTTCTCTGTTTGATCTTTGCCTGTCATCATTGATCACTTTCAAATATTTTTATTCTCCTTATTCTAAACATTAAAAATTACCCCTTTTTCACTCATTATTCAGGAATCATCTGTTGACTTTACTGTAGTTACTCATAATTTCTTTTTTTTCCCTCTCTATTTCTTTCTTTCTTTTTTTTTTTAATTAGACTTTAAGTTCTGGGGTACATGTGCAAAACATACAGGTTTGTTACATAGGTATACACGTGCCATGGTGGTTTGCTGCACTCATCAACCCATCACCTACATTAGGTATTTCTCCTAATGTTCTCTCTCCCCTAGCCCCCTATCCCCTGACAGGCCCCAGTGTGTGATGTTCCCCTCCCTATGTCCATGTGTTCTCATTGTTTGTCTCCCACTTATGAGTGAGAACTCATAATTTCTAGTAATTAATAATGATATTTCTTTAATTTCTAATTTTCCTTAATTGTCATTTCATTTCTGAGTTTTGTTGTTTAAGTTTATATTGTTTCATCTCATGAATCATTTCCGTAATATGTTTTAGCTTATCTTGAAATATTATGTTGCGGTTTTGATCTGTTTTATGGACATATTTTTCTGACTGACTTTCATTGACACTAAGAATTATACTCTGTTCCTTATTTTCTTTTAATCTTACAAAATCTATATGTGGGGTTTGATCTTGATACTTTTAAGTTATTCATTTTTATGTGAAATAAGTTTTCCTGAAGTTTTAAAATGAGGTGGGGTTCAGGAAACTTTACCTGATTTTACAGATTTCCCTCTTCTGTTGCTTTGAGTTATGTTTTAAAATACGGCAGCTTGCCTTTTGGGATTTCTGGGATTTCCCCACTTTTGTCTAGTCCTTCTATTTCCATACTCTCTTATTAGTCAGTCTGTTTTTATGTGGCAGGTTCAGAAAGATTAAAAAACTACGCTACTGCCATCAGCTTCCCAGAATCCCTCAGATCTGGTGGTTTCATTGCATTTGTCTTCTGACTTCACCCACCTTCCCTCTCACTCTATAAATTGCATGGTTTTATAGTTGTGGACTCATATGCATCACGTTTCCACTTTCTACAGTGCCGTTTGAAGCAACCAGCCAATCCCATTATGTTTCTTTGTTTGTTTCTTTGTTCTTGTTTCTTTGTTTGACTAAAATGTTCTAAGGTAGCAAATACATGGTTACCAAAACTTTGCCTTCCATAGATACTTGATTAGGAGTATATCTAAGAGTGATATTTTACATGCCTCTACTGCTGCATCATGTAGTGGACTAGTAGTGTCTTCTTTGCCACTGGCAAGAGAGGTTATAAGTACCTTTAAATCTAATCAGACTGAAAAATAAATTTCAGTAAACCCAGAATCAGAACCAAATCAGAAAGTTCATCCATAAAAATCTGATTCTCTAGAAGCACTTCTGGTCCTAAAATCATCTCTGTCCCTCTGGCCTCAAGAAAGTAAAGCAGAACCAGTAGGAGATAGATATGATTTTATTGAAATATATATATATATATATATATATATATATATATATATGTCTATATAATTATAAGATTACATATAGTAGGATTTTATTTACAAAATTGAAGAGATTTACTGCAAGGAATTGGTTTATGTGCTTGTGCAGATTGGCTAGGCAAGTCTGAAGTCTGTAGGGCAAGCCCTTGGGGAGGGCAGGCTAAAACATGCATGCACAGACTGAAGCTGTTGTTCACTGGTAGAATTTCTTCTACTTCGGAGAAGCCTCACCCCTGGTCTTAAAGCCTTTCAACTGATTCAATCCAGTCCACTCAGACTATCTAGGATAATCTTATTTACTAGATTATGGATTTTAAGTCCATTCACAAAATGCCTTCACAAGGTCACCTAGTTTAGTATTTAATGAAATAACTGGAGATTGTAGCATAGGCAAGTACACACATCAAAAGACTGACACAGTTATCAAACAGATTATTTGCTTAGATATTGTTTGGATTATCATCTTCATAATATTGTGATTATCAGAATTTGCTATGAATACCTTTGCACAGCAATCTCACAGAGTATTCTCATCATCTCTGTTGAATAAGTTGGTACAAATACATATACCCAATGTTAGATGAAAAGGTAGAGATTTGAGAAGTAATGAGAAATTGTTCAGCTCACAAATGGTTACTTCAGGGCTAGAAGCTGGGTATCATCCCCAGCAGACATGGTTCTGTCACTTACACCTGCTCTGTCCGTGTGGCTCCTCTTATTGGTCACCTTTTCTCTCCATTGCAAAGATACTCATGCTTCCTAGGGTGAAACTCTTTTTCTTGTTGAATAGCTGACTTTATATTTTGTTACACTTGATTAATCTGATTCTAGTATTTGCTATCTCCAGCACATCTTTACCCTGCTTTATTTCAGAATTATAATATTCACCACCTCTTTCTCTCTCTGTCAAATGGTATTCATTTACCTTCTTCCATCCTTCCATTGCCAGATAGTCAATAGTTTGAATTTATTGTCATTTCAGCATATTTTTTTTTTCTAGGAGAACACTATTTACTTACTCTAATGAAATAAGTATAATAATTTCTATGGCCATAAATAAGAAACAGTGCTTCTCTCAAAATAATAACATAGTATTTTTTAATTTTAGAAATTTCTAAATTTAAGTTTTCTGTGAAATACTTTCATGTTTTTAAAATTGTCTTTAAAATGATTTCATGTTTTTGGAATTATAGAATTATTTTGTTCTTCAATAATGGTGATTGTGATGATGATAGTATCTTTATCATCCTGTGAGACTGAAAAAAATTCATACAAATCTTATAAAGCAGACAAGCTCTAGTAAGGAACTCTCAGTTCCTTGGGATTAATTTGGCTGGAATGTTGTAAATTTCACGTCAGCCTCACTTGGTCGTAGTTGTGCAAATTCACTTTGGAATTCATTTTGACAACTCATATGCAGTCTTCTTGATGCTGTTCAACAGGGACCTAAATATCAAACATAAGAAAATAGGCTCTTTCTGAGTCCTACAATTTTAAGAAGATGAGAGAATCATATATCATTATGTCAATGACATATGATAGTCAATGATATATGAAAGTCAATGAAGAAATAAATATATAAATAAATGTAATTTGATTATTTTCAAGTCAATAGCCTTGAAATAATCTCGACATGTATTGTCAGTGCAGCTCTTTTTAGTCTGAAATGAAACTGGATTGATTTTATTCCTCAAACTTTGAAAAGAGACTCTGAAGTAAAGTGTAACATATTTTAATTATACCATATTTCTTTTAGGATACTTTCAAGCTGAAAGTAATAGAAAACCAAATGTATTATTTCATTTAACAAAAAGTCCAAAGAGAATTGGGCTCTAGTAATTGTTGGTGTCATTTCAGAGATTTGATAAGTAACTTCCTCTGTCTCTCTGCCTGATATGCCATCCTGAGTGCATCAGCATTTCCCTTAGACTGGACTGCCTTATGGTGATGAATCAGCTCTTCCAGGTTTTGGCATGACAGTAAGAAAAAGCAAAGGGAACCCATTTTCTTATGTCTCCTTAGAAGTGAGGAAACCTTTTTAGAAATAACTTGACCAATTCCTATCATATCTCCTTGGCCAGAATATGGACCGATACCCCATTTTAAAAACATGTCACTGTTAATGGAAAGAAGACTCAGGTTAACCTAGTGTTAATGGCCCAGTGTGTCTCCACGTGTAATATCTTGATGCAGATTTTGATACAATATATCTAAAGTGATCTCTTGACTCTTCATTTGTAACAATCTGCCAGTTGATGCTGATGCTACTGGTCTGTAGACCACATGGCAAGGTGTTTGGTTAATAGCCTGGCTGGTGAAAATAGATGTTGGAGAATCAACCTTTATTACCACTATATTCCACCAGGAATGAAACTTGTCAAATGAATACTGCATGCACTGTGCATGATGAAGCTGACTTAGTATAGTAGAGGAGAGGAGTGATAACATTGAGGATTATAGTGACTTGCCCAGGGTTACTTGGTAAGTGACAAGTTTTATCCAGCAACTTGTATTGGAGACAAAATAAATACAGAAGCCTGAGATGGATTGGAGGGCGGGATGGAAAGCAGGTAAAAAAAGTAGTGCTAGGTTATAATCCCTTGGATCATATATTTGTGTGATTCATTTTTCAGTACTTCTCAGAGGTGGGTATACATTTGCAATGGAGAAATCATATATAAAAACTCAAAGCAGAATAAAGAGCCTATAAAAGGAAAAGTTATTTTTGACTTCTAGAATTTAAATGTTTTCAATTGTTACCTTTAGCTCTAATGAATCGTTGGAAGCCAAGTAAAGAAAGCAATGTCTAATATAGATTATATTAGCCCATTGGAACGATGCCTTGATTAAACCTCAATACTAAATAATCAATTTGTTGGATAGGAACTGTAACCAAAATGAACATAACAGCTTTGGTTTAGTTTAGAGGAAAGTCTGCTGTATTTTAGGTCATCAAACCTAGTTTTGAATTTTAGTCCTGCTAACAGGCTATGTGCATCACATTTCTAATCTTTCTGAACTTTAATTGGATATGACTGTATCAGAAAAGTTCATAAGAGAGAGAAGCCACAGAACCAGTAACAGCTCACATAATATAAGGTACATGGAGGTGCTTATTAAATGATTATTGAAGATAAACCTGAATATTATGACTGTTAATTTTGTTATTTTATTTCAAGAAATAAATATCACATAAGTCTTTTGTACTCATTAATTATATAATATACATCCTATATAAGCATATGTATTTATAGTTATATTAGTATATTAATACACACACATATAAGCATCATGTAATATATCAGCTTGGTGATATCTTGCCTGGATGAGTTTAAGTATACCCCTCAGCCTCTCTGAGTTGTGGTATAATTATTTCTGAAATAGCTTGGTGTCAGTGATCTCTTGGTGTCCTTGAAATTCAATATTTTTGTAACCTCCCTTTATTATTAATTTGGATTGATGATTAATGTGTATTTTATTATAACTTAATAAAAGCCTAAGGAGGATTTATGTGACTCTTGTCTCTAAAATGTTCAGTGAATTTAATTCATTTTAACAAAGTACTTGAGCCACCCGCTAAATAAAGATAATATATATTAAATATTATGGAGGAAAAAATATATATAAATGAGACATGAAACCCTACCTTCAGAATGATTTCAGTATACAAACAGATGAAAAGACATTGATAAATATATCATAGTAGAAAAGATTTAAGATAGAAAAGTCAGTTAATAAGTTTTTATAATCTTTTATAGAGTTTTTGAGGCAGTATCCATGACCCTGTCAGCAGGAGTAGAAAGGGAAGAGTATATATGAGCTGATGGAATGCGAACTTGAGGCAGAGGGGAAGGAGCTAGATACCATAGATCAGGTCACGTGGAAATCAAGTAGGAATGTCTGCAAGTTTTTAATCTCCATTTTTAGATAACACAGACATTTTTCATAAGAACAAATGACCGATTTCTGCAAATGTCAGTAGTTTTAGAATAGTTGATAAGATAGTGCAAATTCAATATTGGCAATGCATAAACAATAGAAAGTTGAAAGAATCTGGAGCCCTTTCAGGCTAGAGAATGTCTCTTTGAAATGACTCCTGTAAAGATAAGGGTCACAAAATGAGGTCTCACTGCCAATGTAGAGGATTGAAGGAGTGAGAGACTGAATTGCACGGGCTGTTATGATTCGAGAGGAAACTGTCACAGCACAGGAACTTGGATGTTGTAAGGTGGTAAGGGAGGCTGTTGGGGATCACTGAGGCCAAAGTGAGTTTGAGGATCAATGGGAATATTCACAGGACTGGGTTAGGGAGGATAATTTGGTCTGTGAATATTCCCAGTGATGGGAATGATATGTGGGCACCCTGCGAATTCCAAAAGTTGAGAGGTGATTGAGTGGGAAAGTGGAAGAGTTGTCTTCAAGTTAGGAACCAGGAAAATGGTAGCTGTCCCTGAAAGAGGGTGTAAGGTACCATAAAATGTACCCTCCTTTGAGATAGTAGTGTTGTGAGAGGAATGCCAATAAAGGTGAAAAGATGGAATAATGATTATTGAGAAGGAAACATTAAGGATACTCAGAATCTCTTCACAAGAGAAGGGTTTTGAAAGGCATAGTGTGAGAAGACTTGAGTGGGTGTGGACATGTGCAAGAGAATTTGGAAGTCAGTACAGGCAGTGGGAATTGGCTAGTCGTGCAGAAGAACTGAGAAATACATATGGCAGGGAGCAAGGAGAGAGTTTGAGAACACACCTGGAGAGATAAGCTAGAGGAAGCCCAGATAAGGTTGTATAACAAAAGTAAGCAGCGTGGTGGGCCTTCCAATTAGGAAGATTGTATGGAAATGATGTGCTAATTGAAAAAAACGCAGTCTGAGGTTTGCATGTATAATTTTTTTTTTTGGTTTATGTGGTTTGTAGGGAAAGAGTTTTGGCTGATTTTATGGATTTATATTTTTGGATATAAGCTGCTTTTTCAGTTCCTTATTATCCAAGGGAATGAGTGGGGGATCTTGCTGCAAAAATCCTGAAATAGGTTGGTAAGCAGAGAAAAATTAACAAAAGTAATGAATAAAAAATAGCAAAATCCTGATTTGGATTTGATGTCCTTAGGTATTTTTGTATGCATATGCAGAAACATATATGTATTTACTACATAATATGCATATGCATGATTTAAGATATGGAGAAAGGTATTTAAAGATACAGTGTATTTGGGATTTAGAAAATTATTATTATTATTATTATTTTTTTTTTTTTTGAGACAGAATCTTGCTCTATCACCCAGGCTGGAGTGCAGTGGCGTGATCTCGGCTCACTGCAAACTCCACCTCCTGGGTTCACACCATTCTCCTGCCTCAGCCTCCCAAGTAGCTGGGATTATAGGCACCCGCCACCGCGCCTGGCTAATTTTTTGTATTTTTAGTACAGACGGGGTTTCACCATGTTAGCCAGGATGGTCTTGATCTCCTGACCTCGTGATCCAGCCGCCTCGGCCTCACAAAGTGCTGGGATTACAGGCGTGAGCCACCGCGCCTGGCCAGGATTTAGAAAATTATTAAAGCAATAGAGTATCCTCTTTATTATTTACTCTAAAAATATAATTTCAAATGTACAAAAAATCATAGAAAACAATAAAATAGCCATTAATGTACCACCACCCTAATTTAATAGAAGTTAACAGTTTATATTTTTGTCTCATGTCATCTTATCCTTAAGGAATTTTTAAATTAACATTTAAACATGCATACATGTAGTACTAATCAGTGGAATGCTGGAACCAATGAGTGCCAGAAATTTGTTAAGTTTTCAGGAACTTTGATATCACACTGATAAACTGAAGTTGCTATAGTGGAGTATTTACACCCCAGAAATGGACAAATACTACAAAATGGCATTTTATGTTTCTTGTTGGAGAACTAACAGTTCCAAATTTTACCAATACATTGCTGGTTTTTCCTTGCCTAGTTTAACTGTCCCATCGTATCTTACTGAATGAATAAAATTCAGTTTATTTATTTGCTACTCAGAAATATTTGGATATTTTCCATATTTCACAATCACAGATAATTTAGAGTTCAACATCTTGTACGTATCTCCTTGATCCCACATACACTGGTGGTTCAAATGTGGAAACCTAGAAGTAGAATTGCCGGGTCCTGAGGTTTATGCATCCTCAACTTTACTAGATAGTAACAAATCATTTTCTAAAGTCACTCTAGCAGTTTACACTTCCAACAGGAATGTTATCATTTTTGTTTCCCATATATAGCCCTATGAAGTGATATTTCAAGTAATATGAAAGATACCAGGGGTAGTTAGAATTTCACCAACAAGAAATGAGGTTGTGGATCATGACCAATTCTTTCTCAGCGTTGTGGGTTTTCTTTGTCCTTTTTGCTGTCTTTGACATATAGAAGTTTTAAAATTTAGATTGACAATCTCATTTCATGGTTGTTAGACATACACTTTCTCTTTTTTATACCCTATTCACTTTTGATTGAGTTATCTTTTTTTCTAATTGCATATAGAAGATCTTTACGTATTCTGGCTATTTATTCCTTGATGGGTATTTCCTTGACAAATGACTTATCACTATTTGTGACTTGTTTTTTCCCCTTTATATATGATGTCTTTGAACATATAGAGGTTATAAATTTTTTATAGTTGAATTTTTTTCAGTCATTTCCTATTAGTTTATACTTATTACTCTTGTCTGGGATATGCTGATATCATAAATATGGCTTCCAGTATTTCATTTTGAAATTTGACAGGTATGCTTTCAAAGTTTAGGCTCTTTTGACTAATTCTCTAAAATGTATAAATTGGCTGTCATTAATGCCAAAGAGAGAGTTGTTTGCAAAGAGTACAGATTTTGGTTTGACTCTAAATTATTCATCATTAGTTTATTATCATTCTGTGGCCAGCACATGCTACACATTTGGAATACAGAGATGCACAGGCAATGCTCTTACTCTTCTGGTGGGGAAAAACATACTACAGCACAGGCAATACAGCATAAGGGCTAAAAGAAGCTTGTATATATTACTCTGAGAGCATGGGGGCAATGAATCATTTGCCTTGGACCCATTAACTCTCCTGTTAATTCATTTACTCTGGTGTAGTAGCAATTTATGGAGAACTGAGAATTACTACCATAGTGTCAGCCCTACACCTTTTAGAGCAGGGGTCCCCAACCCCCAGGCTGCAAACTGGTACTGGTCTGTGGCCTGTCAGGAACAGGGCCACACAGCAGGAGGTGAGCAGTGGGTGAGCAAGCATTGCCACCTGAGCTCTGCCTCCTATCAGATCAGCTGTGGCATTAGATTCTCATAGGAGCACGAACTCTACTGTGAACTGTGAATGCAAGGGATCTAGGCTGTGAGTGCCTGTGAGAATCTAATGCCTGATGATTTGAGGTGGAACAGTTTCATCCTGAAATCATCCCCTCATTGTTCCATAGAAAAATTGTCTTCCAGGAAACTGGTCTTTTGTGCCGAAAAGGTTGAGGACCACTGCTTTCGAGGATACCAGTATTTACTTACATTCTTTTCCTGATTGACAATGGAAAAAAATTGTGGCTCTTTTGCAACAAGAATAATTTATCACAGATATTGCTTGCTAAGATGCTTTATAGATTTATGAAAATAGTAAGAACCTGTTTTTAAAGATTGGTTTCTGTTTGCAGAGACGAAATGGAGAAGATATACCAGTAGCCCAGACTAAGAACATCAATCATAGAAGGTTTGCCGCTTCCTTCAGATTGCAAGAAGTGACAAAAACTGACCAGGATTTGTATCGCTGTGTAACTCAGTCAGAACGAGGTTCCGGTGTGTCCAATTTTGCTCAACTTATTGTGAGAGGTAAGGTGAAATTGTTTTCACTTCACGAAATTGCATGGCTTTATTAGAACAAAAGCAACTCTGTAGATATTTTGATTGATTTTTAAACCATAGTGTTTCTGATGTCAAGTCACTATAAAAAATATATCATCATACAATTTCTCAGAATGTGTGAAGGTGAAATTAAGACTGTAGTTTGTAAAGTTTTTGAAGTTTCTAGTAAGTGTTTGCCATTGAAAGAAATCTATTTTATAATGCTCTAAGTGGACTAAATATATCAAATACCTTATTCCACATTGTCATCACCTCGTTTGTATTTTAACTTTAGATCTAGTTCTTCCCGTTTAAAACAGTTCTGCGGATACTACTTTTCTTTGAAGCATTGTGGCAATGAAGTCAAGGTCCAAGTTTCTATTTCCATATAGTCCTACAAATTTTACTGGTATCAAAACCCAATAGTGAATTTTCACTGATGCATGTCTCTTATAGAATCTTAGAAAGTTAGAACTACCAAACAGTCCTCACTAATATTCTTGGATACTAAAGTTACTAGAAGAATGTCAGGGATTATGACATATCAGTACATATTTGTAGTGAATACTGGAAAAGTACAAGTGCAAAACACATATTACATTCATTTAAGATGTATAGAGTCCCTCTTATATTGTAAGCACTGTTCTAGGTTGTAGATATTGGAGATACGATTGTAAATGTAATACAATGTCCCTACCCACATGGAGCATCATATTGAATTATGTTAGGCAGACTATATAGACAGGTGTTAAAAATGTAGTATCAAGTCATGGTATGGGCTATGAAGGAAAAATAGACACAAAACGATGGAAATTGATATTTTAGTTAAGGTGTTCTGGAACCAGTCTTAAGGTTACCACTCTGAGAAGGTAACAACTGAGCTGAAAGCTTAAAAATAAAAATAGAGACTTCAGCCATATGAAAATCTAGAGGTAAAGCAGCTCCGTTGAGTAGGATATCAAGCATCAATCAATATTGACACAAATGAAAATAATCGTAACCTGTTTAAGTCTCTTCGAGGAGAAGTGTGAGAGACTTTAGCAAAAATATCTAAACTGGGGCTGAGACTGTAAAACTATCATGGAAGGCATTTGCAAGTGAGTTTTCTTTGAGTAAGGATCTGAAGGTTGAGAGAAAGTTGCCCAAGTAGGGGTATGGATGTAGAGTCAGGGGCAAGAGAAAGAAACACCAGCAAGCAGAGAACACAGCACATGCCGAGGCCTACGGGCTGGAAGGAGAATATGAGATATGTCCATATTTTATAATGCTTGGCATCAAATATCTTTTACATATATTATTCAATATTGTCTTGTTTTTAATACTTTAACCTTTGATATTTTTAACGAAAAGAAATTTGAAATTCACACTTTATGATAATTTACCCAGAGCAAATTAAATCTAATGATTGACAGCCAGAATAGAACCCATTGTTTCTTGATTCTTAATGGTGAGCTCATTCTTTTCCACTACAGTTTTCCCTCGCATTACCATTATTGGATGATGCGATCAACCTCTTGTAAACTTTAGTCTTGGAAGACTCTATCACTCATTTTTTAAAAAAACTTTATAGATTAAATACGACTATTTTCAGTGTAACTTGTCTGATGTCTCCGTATTCAGCTCATATCACCTGCACAAGTTCATGAGATCCCAGTTTCAATTAAGAAAATATGATAGTATTTGACTTCCGTATTTAGGCAGAGAAACAATTTATCACATGTTCACACATGCATCTTTGTTAAGTCCCATTCCAGCATCTCTCTCACCTGAGCCTAATTTTGAAAGCCTGAAGGTGTCCTTGGGTAATCTTCAGGGTGATTAATATGCTATGGCTACAGGAACGTGGGCGTGCTATTGAATTATCATGCTCACTGGATCTTCTTTACCATATATGCGTTCACAATTTGCAACCAGTGAAGGAGATGGTATCTTAATAGTGTACCTAGAATGCTTTTGAATAACAGTGATGTATAATACATAGTTATATATGTTCTATATAGTTATCTATACATTTTTTTCCAGAAAAGTCACTCTTGATGTATTTCTCAAAAGATTGTAGAAGACCTGTTTATGCTTTTATCCAGGTGCTCCCTTTATATGTATAGTTTCTTCTTTCATGCGAACATTTTCTGCCTGTTTATTTTAAAAGAGAATCATTTTGTCATTACTGGATCTCTTTTGTTTATCTTAATTGATAAGTAGATTTTATTATTTTATCAAAGCCTGGTTTTCCTTACCTGGAGACAACTACATTACAATGCTCTTCCAGCAGTATTACTTGTTAAATTAATAATTATTTCAATAAAATTTATAAGAAAGAGGATCCTTAAATTTCATTGAAAATTTTGACCTTTTTTTTTTTTTTTTATTTTTCTGAGACAGAATCTCGCTCTGTCACCCAGGTTGGAATGCAGTGGCAGGATCTCGGCTTACTGCCCCCTCTGCCTCCTGGGTTCAAGTGATTCTCGTGCCTCAACCTCCCAAGTAGCTGAGACTACAGATGTGTGCCACCGCACCCAGCTAATTTTTGTATTTTTAATAGAGAGGGGGTTTCTCCATGTTGGCCAGACTGGTCTTGAACTCCTGACCTTGTGATCCATCCGTCTCAGCCTCCCAAAGTGCTGGGATTACAGGCATGAGCCACCACTCCCGGCCTTATTTTTCCTTTTTTTAAAGAAAGTCCTGCCATAAGTTTTGTGATTTTTATGTTGGAAAGGTTGAGTTGAAAGATGATGGCATTTTGAATTTGTTATCCAGAATCTGCTATCATTTTAGAAATATATTTTGATAGTTTTGACAATTTTATTTTTCTTTCAACACACTTTAGGTTGTTCTATATTTAATACGTACAGGTGATACTTTGCTTGCTGTTTTATTTGAAAACCAATACAGAGGAATAAGTTTTCTTGTTTGTAGAGATAACCACCAAATAAATATTACTAACCAAAAACATACTCTCGGGGGTCAGCTGTCTTGGTGTTGAAACAGTGCTGAGAATTAACTGTGCTGACAGGTCCTATCTCTCATTGGCACTTTTAAAGCTGACATCCTGTTACATGGATACAAAAGATGGTAATTTTAAAGGAAATTTTGGGGGCAGTGATATGAATAGTCTTTAATAAGAGCTGGCATGGTATTGCCTGTTGTCAAAGATGACCCAAGGGTAAGAGTTTATTAGTGCATTTTCTCCTAAACTGAAAGTGACAGGGCATGCTTAAGGCTTTTTTGTTGCTGTTTGTTACAAATGAAAATTTCATTGCAGAATTTTCATGCTGAAGAGTATTGATCTATGTTTTCCCACAGCCAGAAGAATAAAAAAAAGTATGGAGAAACAGAAATTACTTTGCTATGACTTTAGCATTGCTTCCTGATCATTTTGAATAACGATAATGTATTCAGCTTATGGAGGCCAATCTCTATTGACAAAGAAGTTTTTATAGAGATGAGATGCAGAGCAGATATTTTTGCTCAGTGTTTTACAAAATTGAAGTGTAAAAAATTTGAAATACAAGTCGAAGTAGTATTTATAAGCTTCAAACTGAATGCACCAAGCTTCAAACTGAAAGCACCAACTTTGTAATCTAATTATGCTACAGATTATTTTGCCAATCCTCACCTCAGCTGTGATCTCCTCCGTCTGTTTCCATCTGTCTAAACCGAAGACCCACTTACATCTCGAACCAGCTGACCTAAGTAAAACTTCTATAAAATTCTCTGATTCCTACACCTCACACTCAATTTCTATTGCAAATTGTTATAGTTTTATATCTATCATTTTTACCTGTGAAACTACAGTTACATTTTAAGTACTTCAGTTTGAAAGCACAGTTTTTGGTTTGTCATTGTTAATGGCTTGAGTTTTAAATTTTAGTGTCAATTACTAGTCATTATCAAAATGCTCTGGACACAGAAGTATTTAGTTAATATTTTAGTCTGTTCCTAATGAATAATAGTGACCTCTAGCTATAAATGGGGGTTAGTATCAATCACTTTACCTAACCTTACTCAGGGTAGTTACCCAACCTTATTCAGAGTTGGTGTTTAACATCATAAGAAATTCAAACAGATGTCATTCCGTTGTAAGACAATATAAACTAGCTTATACATAAGAATATTTACTAATTTTTGTGACTGGGTAGTACAGGATAGGCTTCAGGATTTGTTGATCAAGTCATTAAAGATCCACGTTCTTTCCAATTCTTCACTTTGTAGTCTATGATTTTGGCTTCTATCCTAAGCCAGGCCTACCACCTAGTCTTAGGAGAGAAATATGACTACATGCTTCCTTGGTCTTATCCAGTTAGGGATAAAGAGGGCAGTACCTACCACAACTATCAAAATAATAATAATAATAATAATAATAATGCATCACTGGTTATTGGATAAACAGCTAGTATGTCCAGTAGAGAGCTTTTGTACACAGGACTCCAGAGCGTAAACAGTGTTACTCAGAATTAGTTGTTTATTTTATTCAGATAAGATAGTAACTGAGGAAATAATGTCAAGAGAAGGTACAACTTAATCCTGAAGGACATACAGAGTTTGGAATATGGTACTATTGGAGAAGGGTGTTACCATACTAAGTCAAGTAACAGTATGAATCATAGGTAATCAGTAGGATCGTAGCTTATTTGGTCAATGGTGAACTGTTCATGGAATCACTTGCTTTATGTCAGTTATTTACTATGCATATGAAGAAGGAAAGCATTCAAAACCTATTAGAACTTTTCAGATTCTGCTTTTACTGTAATTGTAGTTTATGTCCTATCAGAGCCTGTCTTGTTCATCTTTGTTTGCTTCAGCACCTAGCACAATATTTACATGAAGAAATTCAGTACTTTTCTCAAAATCAACAAATAAAATTGTTTAGTTGAAATCAGAGGAGTGGGACTGACCCTGGCATATGTAGGGGATGAGCAATGAACCACATATTTCTTCTCACCTACAGATGGAGTCAAGTTTGCTGGCATAAAGGAAGTGATGATGACAATTGTGGTGTCTACACCAGACTCTTTCCTTTGTCAAGTGGGTTATTAAGGGTGACTTTTCAGTTTGGTGTAAATATTTTTCATTTGAAAAATAATATTGATTTGACCAGTATTCTATTCCGGTACTCTAATCTTTTTGTACATAAAATTAAATCTGAATTTTTTTGGTGTTTTTATATAAGAAGCAAGGTTTTGCTAGTTGGTGGCTAAGGGCCATGGAATTTCTAGCTTGAGACCTTTAGCAAGCTGTTTAATACCATGCAGTATTGATTTTTAACTAGTTTCCCTAGCACAGCTTTTAGGCTCATGAATTCATATAAAGATCCTTTTTCTTAATGGTGACTTGAGATCCCTTTTCTTCTATTGTGAAAACTGGTCATCTTGACAGGAAGTTTGGAATTATCTTGGAGAATGTAATTTAAACAGCTATGTTTTCTAAAAACTGAAATATAATGAACATTTCAGAACACACTGAATCACATACTAATTTTACCCCCCAAAACCCCTAAATATTTAAAAAAGCCCATGCAGCCAGTGGATACCAAATGTGTCAAATTTGGAGGAGTCTCCAAATCTCTCATATTTAAAAATTTTACTTTGCTCCCCTTGAGTATGATAAAAGAAACATTTGGAGTCTCCTCTCATTCATATTATCTACTTGTAATTCAGGTGATTCAGTGTTCAAGATGTCTGGTACATATTTAAATTCTAAATGAGCAAAAGAGTGCTAGATGTTCTTATTTCAGATAGTATATTTTGGTGCAACCAGAAACTAGACACTCATTTGAATTGTTCATATAGTCCATTAAACATACATTTTCAAAGCTGAAAAGTATTAAAAAAAAGATAGTATCTATGTTTATTTAAGAGTAGTAGAAAAATTATGGCTTTTAAATCTAATATGAATATTGACTGGGACTTCATATAATTACTGAAACTCTACTTGATCCACTTCTGTACACCATTATGCCAAATACTTTTTTCTATTAATTTTCTCCTTTTCTGAGTTTCCTTATAGCTACTCCATAAGGATAGTAAAGTGCAGCAGTTGTGTTTGTCAGATTGATTTTTTTCATTTTATTTATTTTCTTTCAGTTTGTTTTTAAAATAAAAATGCGATGAGAGTTCTTTCCCTAAAGGTTTCTCAGTTTATTTTCCTAGGCAATTTGTGTGTTGAGTGGGTAGGGTACTGGTCACTGCTCTTTGGAGTAAATATTGGGGGTTTGCTTTTGATGAAGCTTTCGTCTTAAGAATTTGAAAAGGATCAAAGAGGAAGCAGAATCATTTGCATCATTAATAATTATTTGTGCTGAACTCAAGGGAATTTTATTTCAGATTGTTGACAGTAGGCCTGTACACGTTTTCTAAGTTTCAATTCTCTTCTCTTGGAGTTTGTGATAAATGTAATTTGGACCCATTTCCGTCTACCAAGGGACTCCTATCTACTACATGGCCCGAGTGTCTTCGTAGTTTATATTCCCCTATCTGTTAATCATTTTTCTTTCTCTTACCCCAAACCAAAAATAAAGAAACAGTGTCCATTTGAACTAAGATTTTTTAGTCTTTCTGGGTTTATTTGCAACTTCATTGAAAAATCAGCTAGCAGCCTTTATTGAGTTCTTAATGAGGTAATAGGCAAGTGCATATTATGATGTTAAGTATTCAATAAAGACAAATGCCAAAAAAATCGCATACATAGTCTCAGTACTTAAGAATCTCATAATTTAATTCTATAGGAAATGTAGAATTATTGAGTATCATGACACAGAATTTTGACTTAGGTTTTGATTTTAAACTCTGTAAGAATAAAAAATGTTTCCTAACAAATAAAAAATAGTCTACCTATTTTCTAACTGCAATGAAATAGCAACTATTTCATTGAAACCCCTTATTAAGCACTAATTTGGCTTTAAAAAGTTACACTGGGAGAGTCTTATAGAATGTTAATTGAACAGAAGCTCTATAGTTGACAAATTGGAATCAATCAGTGAGGGCAGGGAGATAAATCAGAGTGTTTAGTGGTATAATGAGTAAGGATGGCAATAGAAGTGTTGTAGTGGGACATTACTTCATTAGTTTGAGTTCTTGAGTCTCTCCCACTCTCCCCTCCACTTCATCTTCAAGAGAGTCATTAATAGCAGGGTTCTCTACCACTATATGACTTACAGGTGAGTTTTTGTGTTTAGTCTTGCAGTTAGCATAAATTATTTGCCACTTAAGCAGTACATCTTTTAAAAAGCTAGCTAATATACATTCTGCTGACCAGTAAAGCATGATCAGGAACCTGACTGTTACTAAGAATACAAACATGGAAATATATAGAAAACAAAAAAATGCATAAAATGTTATGTAGAAGCCTTACAAATAAAGCAAATAATAATATGTAATTATTTATTAATGTGTCGATCAAAACCGGCTTGTTCAAAGTTTATGATAGTACCACAGAAATTGCTTGCTTTCCCATCTGGGTTAAGATAAATGATGTTTTCCCTCTTTCTAGGAAATAATATAATCTGACAAGAATTAAAACCAAGTATAAGGTCAACACAAATGAATACAGATAAATAATACTTTGTCACTCCTCAGCATAGATTGTGTTTAGTTCATGATTATTAATTTTTAGAAAAAAAGGGAAATATTGTAACATTTCAGTATTAAAAGTGAGAATTTGGGGACGGAGAGCTGGACAGAAATTAAATAATATGGCAGAAAATATGGCGGCTTTCCTCAAATATAAATATACAACAGTCTCTTCTTGTACAGGCTTTACTTTAGCTCTGATACTTGTTTTTAGAGAAATTATGGCCTATAGATGTGTTCTCATCTCTTACAAGGTATATAAATACAGTGACTTTTACACTTTAGGATATAATTTATCCTTGTTATAGGCACATAACTTTCTTTTGCTCTCCAGTTTCTGTTTTCTGAGCCCTAAACTGAGAAAATATTTTGTTGTTTTTCTTTATTGTTGCTTGATTTGGAGTCATAGATTTAGCTATGATGACACAGAATCTGTCCTTGTATTAAACAACAAAACAGCAAGTAGGTAATTACTTGTACCTTCGTTAGGAAGAAATTTTACCCACCTGGTTATTTACGTATTGCTGATTGCCCCTGGATTTTCATTAGTCTTTTTTATACATATGGAGATACCATGGCTACTCTCATGTTGCCATGCTACCTCCTCCAGCAGCTTCCCTTCACATTAAGGGGGAAAAAAAATCACAGTCCTTTCCTGTTCTAAGTGACCTTAAATGAAATATCCCCTGACTGCCACTCCAAATTTGTTCTTTATCACTCACCTCCTTCCTTGATCCACAGCAGGCAAAGCCAGCTCTTCCGAGTATACTTCTGTCTCTGGGCATTAGACTTCCTGCTCTTTCCACCCTCGCGTATTTTTTCTTGAATAGATGCACGCTTTTACATTCTTATTCCTTTCAGCTTTCTTCTTATTCCCCACCCCCCCTCCCCAAAAATACCTAAAGGCCAAATGGCAATTATTTTCTAGTACAGAAGAGAATTCATTGATTTTGTTTTACTGTTTTTTTTTTTTCCTCCGGAGTTATTTAGGTCAAAGTTTTTGAAAGATCTTTATGTAATGCCTACTATCAGTAAGTATATGCATAACAAGAGAATGGTCTCAAAGATTTTTGTGCTGTTGGAAATGCAGTGAATAGAAATCTGTATGTCTGAAATTTGTTTGTAATATGTATATAAATAGATTCCGTTATTCATATTTTATTGCATAGCCTTTGAATGCCCCACACTTTTCTTTATTCTCACTGCCACCACTTGTCTCTGTCACCATCTTCTCTTTCGTGTACTTCTATAAAAAACCTACTTATTGATCTCCCTCCATGAACGCTTACCTTCTCCAAGGCAGTCTTCACACAGAAGCCAGAGTGACTGTATGACACAGTAAGTCAGAATATGCTCCCCCTGGCACTGGCAGCTTCCTGTTCTTGCGGTATAAATTCCAGCTGCCTCATCACAGCTCCAAGGCCCTGCTTGCTCCTAGGCTTTTAGCTGGGCTCACCCCCTTCAGTCCTTCATAAGACTCTCCTTTGCTCACTAAACTCTAGCAACACTGGTTTTCTTTCACTTGCTTTAACATACCATGATCTCTCATGCCTTAGGGTCTTGGCTTTTTCTAATCACCCTGCTCCTTCAAAATATAACTGCATTCATAACATCTGTCTCCTCCATGAGACTGATGTACTTAGGGACCCCTTTCCTTTTGCTCACTCATGATTGGATCTCTGTAGCCAATACCATGATCAAAGTCTAGCAGGTCTCATCAAATATTGTCAAAAAAACAAAAATAGTGAGGTATAAAGTGCCATATGAATGACATGAATTTAATGTGTAGAATGAGGAGGGCAGCCTCGTGGCTGCCTTTTAATGGTCAGGGGATGTGCTGAGGAGGATGGGAAGTTCCATCGGACTCTTGATGGGTGGGTAGCATTTGGATAGTGGAAGATAAGTAAAGGGCATTCTGGGTAGAGGGACTGGCACTGGAAAACATGTTCTTGTGAACTAGCAGTAAATATTGACTGTAACACAGTGTTTTCCACTGAAAACATCTGAGATGATCCTGAAATTGTACTTTGAGGCCTTACTGTGGAACAATTTGAGTGCCAGACTAAGAAATATAAATGCATTGTGTTATTTAATTTGGGAACCTTTAGGAGTTTTGAAGTAGGTTACTTACATATTATCTGTCTCAGAAAACCAGGATACCAGATGATGTGGAAAATGGCGCGTTTTTAGGGAGTAAGTTAAGGGGGCTCTTACAATTTTAAAAACTTGAGATGATAAGTGATAAGTGTTCCTGGGGGGGGTGGTTATGGTAGAAAGAATGAGTCAAGGATGAGAGATTAGGCAGCAATGTTGTTAAAGCATTGTGTAATGACAGTAGGAGGAGAAGTCAAAGGAGACTTCTAGATTTTTGTTTGGGATATTGGATAAAATGTGGTATTATGGTCAGAGATTTGGAAGCCTTGTAGAAGAACTCATTTGAGAGCATAGATGTTAAGTTTAATTGTAAACTTTCGATTGGGGTGCTAGGAACATATCCAGTTTTAAAATCTTTAGGAATGTGGGTAAGCCTTAAACTAATCATAGGGCATTAAGTAAAGACTCAATACAGGATGAATTGAACAATAGGTGCTTAGTGCATAGAAATTATTTGTATTTCCTAAGTTTCCATTTCATAGCCTTTAGCCTATATTATTGGAATTTTTCATGTTGTTTAACTGTGGATGAAAGCACAGTTTTTTAACTAAATGGAAAATTTAGAAAGAGAAACCAGGCAGTTAAATATGATGTCTTTTTTATTGCTGACATTATCTGCATATAAAAACACATGTAAGATATATCATGTGGAAAGATATCCCCCACTGCTTCATGTAGATTCCTGACTGTATTTTGGTTGTCGGTTAAGTGGAAATCTTTTTCCTCTTCTTTGTAAAACTTTTTACTTCATAGAAATAAAGCAAACTCTCTACAGGCTTCTCTACTTTCTCTTCAGAATTTTATTGCTCCTGATAATAATGCTCCTGGACCTTTTTCCTACATCAATGTTTTAAAGGGTTGGGAGAGGGAATTTTTTTTTTTTTTTTTTGAGGGTGTAGGACTTTTGGCTAACAGCATTTCTCATTCTCAAAGAATGTCATTCACTGTAGTGGGTGGTTTGAAAATATTTACTTAAGGGTAGATAAAGAGTTCCCACCTGACATAATCTTCCTGTGTTAAAATCCCCACTCAATTTGGCATTTCTGTGTACTGTGCAGGATTGCTAAAAAGCAGTTACCATGATCAGACTGGTTGATGCATGGTAAAGATGTAAAGCAGGGTGTTTGGAATTCAACATGGATGGTAGAAATGCGAGATGTCAGAGAAGCCATATATTAAAGAGAATTTGAATTGGAAACTGAATCCCAATCTGCCACCGAGAACATTTTGATCATTTTGATTTATTAAACTTTTATAACAACATTCAGATGGAGCTGAATTAAAACCTTTAGTCTTGGATAGTTTATGGGACACCAACCACTGTGTTACCGGTATCATTTTGAAGGATCTCTTAGCGTCAGTGAAAAGGGGAAAAATGGGTGGGTAAGATACTTAATTTAAAGGAAGTTTTCACTTATATTCTTGCATCTAACTTTAAATCCCTCTTTTGTTTGCATTGTGTCACTTAAACATATTTTATAATTTCAACATATTAGATACCTTAAGGTTTTGAATTTTATTGTGAAACGTTTTTGAAATTCTGATTAATAATTTTCAGATTGAAACACTGCTTTTGTATATATGGTACAGGCTATCTTTTCTTTTTGTGTATATCTGTACACTCAGAGGCATCTGTATCTGTCTATGTTTGTGTTGCTGAGGTTTATAGATAAATATTCAAATAGAAATACTAATGCAATTTTGAAGCCTAACTTGCATGTAAATGAGTGCATTTTCCTAAAACTATTGAATTCTGTACGTCTGATTTTTTAAAAATCAACCATCAGCAATCATGGATAGTCTTTTCTGAACAGTAGCTCCATAATAAAGAGAAGTCAATCACTATTAGAGAAGCACTGTAGGTGAAAGGCACTATAGTTCACACTTGATTTTGTAGCGGGGAGAGGGTACTTAGCTGTGAATCAGGAATGATGCAAAAGATGGATGAGATAGAGTTCAAGGAGCAGTAATGTGAGAGTCCAGGACAATCATTTCAAGCTGTCTCAGCAGTAATGATGGATGGCTTGGTGGTAAGAAGTAATAATACCAGATGATGAAAGATGCATCTCAGCACCTTGAGCCCGAGCACACCATCTACCTGTTGGGGTTCTGGGGCATAATGATTCCTGATTTGCAACCAAAGGGTTTTGCTGCACTTAGCAACCCAGATTTTTGGCAGCTGTGAAGGAAGCAAGTAGCATATCAAACACTCCTTCACATTGTAAATTTAATTACCTCATATTTATGCATAGT
The DNA here is from genome assembly GCF_000001405.40 of Homo sapiens. Taxonomy (NCBI): domain Eukaryota; kingdom Metazoa; phylum Chordata; class Mammalia; order Primates; family Hominidae; genus Homo; species Homo sapiens. The sequence goes on along the minus strand of NC_000006.12, from coordinate 128,206,934 downwards.
AGTTGTTGACAGGAACTTGTAAGCTATGCTAATATGGAAGGTAATTTGTTACCTCCAGAAATCACTTTCCATGTGTCTTCTGATCATTATCATGAAACATGATAAATGATCTAGCCCATGAGGTATAAATGAAAATGAAATAGATAATTGGATTCTATGTCTACATTGTGGCTGGAATAGTCACAGCAATTATAATTGAATTTATCTCATAAAAATGAGTTGGCAATACATCAGTGACCTTTCATCATTTTGTGCCTATGGTATTATATGAAGCTACTTTTGAGATGAACACAAAAAATGTATCATAATTCTTTTTAAAGAGTAATCTCTAACACTTAAATTTTCTATTTTCTTGCCTTATCTGCCTATATATTTTTAAGTATCTAGTTTATCTACAGCGAGTTTTAACAATTAATACTGATAATCCTTTTTTTATACTGAGAATAAAGTGTTTTGTTGTTACCAGTGCCTTGACTGAATGGCTTAGGAACAGTGTAAGACACTCTGATTTTTTTTTTTTTTTTTTTTAATGAACACCCTTTATTATTAGCAGCATGTATCTTTCTGCTGGGTGATGGAAGTGTGCCTTCTTGCTGAATCTGTGTGTTCTCTTTGATTCTTATAATATGTTTCTGATATACTAAAATAAAAGAGTTTGTTTTAAATATCACCAGACTTTTTTCTCTTTACCTTCTCTTTAAGTCACTTTAAATAATAATATTTTATTATTGACATAAAAACCCTATATATTCATTGATTTGATTAACATATTTGAGGATCACCATGTGTTAATTATTGGATTTATTGCTAATAAAATGACTAAGATGCATACTCTTTAGGGGGTTATAGTGCCATATGTAACTATGGTAATATCTAGTTTTCAAATTATAACATAATTTCTTTTTTCTCCACCAGCCTCTTTCCATGAGGGTCCAAGAAGCAAATAAAGCTTCTGTTTATGTTTTTGTATTTCTAACTAAGAAAGTCTATTCCAGATTCAGTTACTAACAACTATATGGAAAATAAGAAGTTATCTGGAAATGTGACTTATCTTTTGAATGAAATATGTCAATAAGCAGGGCATGTCCCTAGGGACATTTTCTCCCACTCTTATATTTTTTAACTTGAATTTTTTTTTTTTTTTTTTTTTTTTTTTTGGTCTGTGATGCAGATTCTCACTGTGTTGTCCAGGCTAGAGTTCAGTGGCACAATCTTGGCTCACTAGAACCTCTGCCTCCCAGGTTCGAGCAACTCTCCTGCCTCCACCTCTCAAGTAACTGGGATTACAGGTGCCCCCCACCACTCCCAATTTTTGTGTATTTTTAATAGAGATGGGGTTTCGCCATATTGGCCATGTTTGGTCTCAAACTCCTGACCTGGACCTCAAACACCATCCTAAGATGGTGATCCACCCATCTTAGCCTCCCAAAATGCTGGGATTATAGGCGTGAGCCACCACGCCTGGCCTTTTCTTGAAATTTCTTCACTTTCTTTCCTTTTGTTTTTCTTCAACTTTTAAGTTCAGGGGTACATGTGCAGGATGTGCAGGTTTGTTACATACATAAATGTGTCCCATGGTGGTTTGCTGCACAGATTGTCCCATCACCTAGGTATTAAGCTCAGAATCCATTAGCCGCTCTTCCTGATGCTCTCCCTCCCCCGCATACTTCCATCCAACAGGCCCCAGTGTGTGTTGTTCCCCTCCATGTATCCATGTGTTCTCATTATTCAGCTATCACTTATAAGTGCGGAATGTGGTGTTTGGTTTTCTGTTCTTGCATTAGTTTGCTGAGGATAATAGCTTCCAAGTCTCTCCATGTCCCTGCAAAGGACATGGTCCAATTCCTTTGTATGGTTGCATGGTATTTCATGGTATACATGTACCACATTTTCTTTATCCAGTGGGTCATTTATGGGCATCTAGGTTGATTGCATGTCTTTGCTATTGCGAATAGTGCTGCAATGAACACACACATGCATGTATCTTTATAAAAGAATGATTCCATTCTTTTGGGTATATACCCAGTAGAGGGATTTCTGGGTCAAATGGTATTTCTGCCTCTAGGTCTCTGAGGAATTGCCACACTGTCTTCCGCAAGGGTTGAGCTAATTTACATTCCAACAGTTTATAAGCATTCCTTTTTCTCCACACCCTTGCCAGCATCTGTTGTTTTTGACTCTTCGATAATCACCATTCTGACTGATATGAGATGGTATCTCTTTGTGGTTTTGATTTGCATTACTCTAATGATCAGTGATGTTGATCTTTTTTTTTTTTCATGTTTGTTGGCTGCCTATATGTCTTCTTTTGAGAAATGTCTGTTCATGTCCTTTGCCTACTTTTTAATGGAGTTGTTTTCTTCTTGTAAATTCGCTTAAGTTCCTTATAAACTCTGGATATTAGACTTTTGTCAGATGGATAGATTGCAAAAATTTTCTCCCATTTTGTAGGTTGTTTGTTCACTCTGATGTTAATTTCTTTTGCTGTGCAGAAGTTCTTTCGTTAGATCCCATTTGTCAATTTTTGCTTTTGTTGAGATTTCTTTTGGTGTCTTCATCATGAAATCTTTATCCATGCCTATGTCCTGAATGGTATTGCCTAGATTTCCTTCTAGGCTTTTTATAGTTTTGAGTTTTACATTTAAGTCTTTAATCATCTTGGGTTAATTTTTGTATATGTTTTAAGGAAGGGGTCCAGTTTCAATTTTCTGCATTTGGCTAGCCAGTTCTCCCAGCACCATTTATTAAATAGGGAATCCTCTCCCCATTGCTTGTTTTTTCAGGTTTGTCAAAGATCAGATGGTTGTAGGTGGATAGTCTTATTTTTGAATTCTCTATTCTGTTCCACTGGTCTATGTGTTTGTTCTTGTATCAATACTATGCTGTTTTGGTTACTGTAGCCTTATACTGTAGCTAGAAGTTGGGTAGTATGATGCCTCCAGCTTTGTTCATTTTGCTTTGGATTGTCTTGGCTATTTAGGATCTTTTTTGGTTCCATATGAATTTTAAAATAGTTTTTTTCTAATTTTATGAGGAACATCAATAGTAGTCTAATGGGAATGCTATTGAATCTATAAATTACTTTAGGCAGTATGGCCATTTTCATGACATTGATTCTTCCTGTCCATGAGCATGGAATGTTTCCCATTTGTTTGTGTCCTCTCTGATTTCTTGGAGGAGTGGTTTGTAGTTTTCCTTGAAGAGGTCTTCCACTTCCCTTGTTAGCTGTATTTCTAGGCATTTTATTCTCTTTGTAGCAATTGTGAATGGGAGTTTACTCAGAATTTGGCTCTGTGCTTGCCTCTTGTTGGGGTATAGGACTGCTAGCAATTTTTTCACATTGATTATCCTGAGACTTTGCTGAAGTTGCTTATCAGCTTAAGAAGCTTTTAGGCTGAGGTGATGGGGTTTTCTAGGTATAGGATCATGTCATCTGCAAATAAAGATAATTCAACTTCCTCTCTTCCTATTCAAATACTCTTTATTTCTTTGTCTTGCCTGATTGCCCTGGCCAGAACTTTCAATACTATGTTGAATAGGAGTGGTGAGAGATGACGTCCTTGTCTTGTACTGGTTTTCAAGGGGAATGCTTCCAGCTTTTGCCCAATCAGCATGATATTGCCGATTTTGCCTGTGGGTTTGTCATATATGGCTGTTACTGTTTTGAAGTCTTTTCCATTGGTTTATTGAGAGTTTTTAACCTGAAGAGATATTGAATTCCATTGAAGTCCTTTTCTGCATCTATTGCGATAATCATGTGTTTTTGTTTTTGTTTTTGTTTTTTTGTCTTTAGTTCTGTTTATGTGATGAATCACATTTATTTATTTGTGTATGTTGAACCAACCTTGCATCCCGGGGAAGAAGCCAACTTGATCATGGTGGATAAGCTTTTTGATATGCTGCTGGATTCGGTTTAACAGTATTTTGTTGAGGATTTTTACATAGATGTTCATTAAGGATGTTGGCCTGAAGTTTTCTTTTGTCTGTTGTATCTCTGTCAAGTTTTGGTATTTAGGATGATGCTGGCCTTATAGAAAGAGGTAGGGAAGAATCCCGCCTTCTTAATTTTTTGGATTAGTTTCCGTAGAAATGGTACCAGCTCTTCTTTGTACCTCTGGTAGAATTCAGCTGTCAATCCATCTGATCCTGGGCTTTATTTTGGTTTGTAGGCTATTTATTAGTGCCTCAATTTCAGAATTTGTCATTGGTCTATCCAGGGATTCTATTTCAAATTCAAATTGAGTTGACTGAACCACAGAGATGGCAACCACCCCTTCCCTGGGGAACTCCGTCCTTCTTAGGTGGACGGAGCCTGTCAGCCTGTCAGCACTGTCTGGCTGGAATTCCAAGCCAGTTGGTCTTAACTTGTGAAGTGCCCTCGAAGTGGGGCCTGCAGAACAACACTGCTTGGCTCCCTGTATTCAGCCCCGCTCCTAGGAGTATGTAGTGACCCTCCCTGGGAATCCCGGGTCCAGAGTATACAAAACTCCTGAGTGTCTGTGTGTACTTAAGTGGTTGCTCTGCTGGGACATCACACAGCTCTGTGTATTGGACCCAAGGCCCTAGTAGCCTGAACTTACAAGGGGATCTCCTGATCTGCAGGTTGCAAATATTTACGGGAGAAGCGTGGTTTCCCCGGGGCAGGGTTACATAATTCCTCACCGCTTCCCCTGGCTGGGAGTGGGGCTTCCTTTGGCTTCATGTCTCCCCGAAGTGGGCCATCGCCCCACCCTGCTTTTCTTCATTTTCCGTGGGTTGAGCTGTTTGCCTAGTCAGTCCCAGTGTGAGAACCTGGATATTTCAGTGGAAGATGCTGAATTCACTCTCTGCCTTCGTTCCTCTCCTTAAGTGCCACAGATGGCATCTGCTTTTATTCGTCCATTTTCCAGGGCCTATATATCAATTTCTTCACTTTCCATACTCATTGGTAGTGATACTCCAACTAATAAGATTATTGTTAATTTTATTAATACTAGTCTTGCTACTTGAAGCAAGTTTTACATAAATATGAATAAGAAACAGATTTGTGAGATTTACCCCTTAAATTTCAATGATTCTTACTACTGTGTTACTGGGGTCATTATCTTGTCTCTAGAAACAATGCATTTCCTTTAAGTTGCTTGACTGCTATTTTTAACTGATTCCTGCCCTAACAAGTAGCATGATAGTTATTACCTACCATTTTATTTAATATTTTTAATTTTTAAAATTTGATTTAGTAAAATATATATATTTTTTAATAGAGATGGGGTCTCACTATGTTTCCCAGGCTATTCTTGAAATCCTGGCTTCAAGCAGTCCTCCCATCTCAGCCTCCCAAAGTGCTGAGATTACACGCATGAGCCGTCACGCCTGGCCAAACCTATCATTTTATAGTAGATTCTCAATACAGGAACAGGAGACGTGTGTTCCTTTCTAAATCAAATGTAGTTTATATTTGAAACTATTTAGGACTACCACACATGTCCTTTTTTTAGATTCTGATGTACTACTGTAAACATACGCACACACTCATGCACACTCACATGTGCATGGATGTGCACTCAACCTTGATTTCAGCATGGCTTTGTTAGAATCTAGGCAGAGCCTGGCATAAGTGTGGTTTATTAAAAGTTAAGAAATTATTCTGCTATTGCTCTTGCATTTTTCTTCTCCTCTTCCCTGAACATTTTTCTTGGATTTTATGTCAAGAATTATGAATTGCCTTTGTAGCGCTAAGAAAATTTTGGAAGTGTTTTCAATGTCTTTAATAATATCATGAGATTCTTTGAGTTTCAGCACTTTCCTGTTTGTAGAAAAAATAAATTACATAGAATTTAATAGCCTATCCTCTTTTAAAGTCATAGTGCTTAGTAATCAAAGAAAGTCCATAAGCACCTATTTTTAATTAATATGAAAATTAAAAACACCTTCCAGGGTAGGCTCAGTAAGGTAGGATCTTTTAATGTCCCAATCATCTTTGATTAAGTCCAATGAAAATTTTGGACTCTCTGTCCCTTCCCTTCCCCTCCCTCCCTCCCTCCCTCCCTCCCTCCCTCCCTCCTTCCCTCCCTTCTTCCTCCTCACCCTCCCCCTCCTCCTCCCCCCCTCCTCCTCATCCTTCTTCTTCTTCTTCTTCTTCTCTCTCTCTTTCTGTCTTTTTTTCTTTTTCAGACCACTCCATTGACTTCTCATTTTCAGCTTGATAAAATAGCATTAGAAAACTTTTATTTATTTATTTTACTTTTGACAGGGTCTCTCTCTGTCACCTAGACTGGTTCACTACAGCCTCAGCCTCCCAGATACAAGCAATCTCACCTCAGCCTCCCAAGTAGCTAAGACGATAGCTGAGCACCACCACACTGGCTATTTTTAATTTTATCTTTATATTTCATAGAGTCAGGAGTCTTGCTGTGTTCCCCAGGCTGGTCTTGAATGCCTGGCCTTAAGTGATCCTCCTGCCTCAGACTCTCAAATTGCTATGATAATAGGTGTGAGCCCTCTGCCTGGCCTAGAAACCTTTAAATGTATGCTGTGGAGGAAGTTTACTCTAATTTGTATCTTAAGTAGGGATGTAATCTAAATGTCTCTTCATGATAAAAGTCAAATCATGAGCTAAATCCCCTTTTAAATGACTCATTTGCAGAGTAGCTCCATTTCTACATTTGCTTACCTTACCTAGAGAGATGTTATTAGATGAGTTCAGAATTTTTCTCTGAACTAACAGTGGCAATGCAGAGTACAAATAATATCAAGACATTAAAGACCTAACTTTGCATGATTCCAGTATAATGTTACATAAAAGAAATATATTCTCATAATAGAGAGATGCTCTGGGAAATGTATGAACCATCATATATAGATGAATTCAAATAAGTAATTCTGAAGAACTTGTAGTTAGAAAGCAGAAAAAAGTTTACTTGATGCCTTTATGTGGTATAATCACATCACAATATATGTAACATACAAAGATGGCTGTAGAACTCCACTGCTCCTTCTAACCTATACTTGATCCATCTCATAGGCAGAAGCATTTGAATGCCTAAACTTTTGCAGATGGCTATTCTTCATGTTTCTTTTGATTTCGGGGATTCTCTTGCTTTAGAAGTCAAAAGATCTGGTACATTGAAGCATTTAAGGAAAAACATAGACGCCCATGTTTGTGATTGATTTAGGAATTTTCAAGAGAAATTTTGAAGGAATTAGATTTTGCCATACATGCTGGCTTTAAATGTTAAATCTCAGGATGAGATTCCACTTCTACTTAGTGGCCCTTGCGGGGGTTGGCCCTTGTGGGAGTTGGTGGATTTTCTGGTTAAGAGTTTAGTTTGTTTCCTCCCTTTCCCTACCCTTTCCCTCCCTCCCTCCCTCCCTCCCTCCCTTCCTTCCTTGATATATTGTAGGCATATGGAAAAGTGTATATTAAACATATAGTTTGATAAATGTATATATAGCTTGTTGAATATTACCAGCACCCCAGAAGTGCTACCTCATTCCATTCTAGTTAATAACCTCTTCCCCCAGAGTAACCACTGTTCTTGGTTTATAACATTAATAAGTAACAGGTATATGGCATCTTACATATGAATAGTTTATACTCTTATCTGGTTTCTCTCATTCAGCATTAAGTTTGTGAAATCTGTATTGCTGCATGTAGCTATGCATCATAGAACATCATTGTTATGAAATCTTGTTGTGTGACTGTGCCACAATTTATTCATTTTTCTGATGATAGACATTTGGTTCTTTTTCACCTTGAGCTATTTACAATAGCAGTATTTGAATATACTACTATATGACTTTTCAGGAACAGATGGGATCATTTTGGGGTAGCACGTACCTGAAAGCGGAATTGCTAGGTCATAGGGTATGCTGATTTTCAGCTCAAGGAGGTACTGGCAAAAAATTTTCTTAATTTCTCATATAATTTATACTCCACCTTGCAAGCATAAAGTTTCACATCTTCACCAACAGTTGACATTATCTTGCTTTCCATTTCTAATTATCTTCTTATGTTAATACTTTTATTTGTTCATAAGTGCATTCATTCAACAAATATTGATTGCACTGAAGACATAAATGTAATTCAAAGGCAAACAATATACAGTCCTTGCCTTCAAGAAAGTCAGTAAGTGAAGAGAGAGGCAAAAAATATAGGTAAATCTCTTACCAGAAAAAGTGCGTTTATTTCAGGCTGAAGAGAGTGTAGTGAGAAAGGTTTTCAGAGGCAGTAATAACTGAACTGAAATTTGAAGATAGATAACTTTGCTAAGTGTATAAATGGCAAAAAGACACTCTAGGAAGTATAGGATAAAGGTGGAATGATTTTTATTATTATACTTTAAGTTCTGGGGTACTTGTGCAGAATGTGCAGTTTTGTTACATAGGTATACACATGCCATGGTGGTTTGCTGCACCCATCAACCCATCACCTACATTAGGTAATTCTCCTAATGCTATCCCTCCCCTAGCCCCCTACCCCCACAACAGGCCATGGTGTATAATGTTCCCCTCCCTGTGTCCATGTGTTCTCGTTGTTCAACTCAAGGTGGGATGATTTTAAGAGAAGAGTTTCCCATGGAAAACACAAGTTGTTAAATGTGAACATATAATTGGACTTGAAGAGTGATAACACATGAGGCTGGACAGATGAGCAGGGGACAGATCATGAAAGGGCAGTGCATTTATTTTAGGAAGTTTGCATCTTTCTCAGAAGTTTACTTTCAGCTGTCTTAATAAGACATAGAGTTCTATTTATCACCTGCTGCATCATAAAACTTAGTGGCATAAAACAATAACCATTTTATAGTGTTCACAGCTTCTGTGGGCTATAAATTTGGGTGATATGTATAGATCACTCCAGTATGATATTTGGGTCCCGAGCTGAGAGTCTCAAATTGAACAGCTAAAGGTGATTTAAACTCCTGGAGGCTAGAATCATCTGGCACAAGTCTGGCACTTGAATTGGGATAATGCCACTGGCTAATTGAAAATTGGAAATGGTGGCACCTAGAACAAGTGTTCTAGGTCTCATTACATCACTTTCTCTGCACTATACTTGTTGAGGCAGGCATGAGGTCTCTCTGGATTGAAGGGGATCCAGCCTCTCAATGCGAGTGCTATCAGAGAATTTGTAGCGCATTTTCAGACCATTGCAGTGACTAATGTTATTTTGTGCCTTTATTTCATGTTCTTTTTGTTGTCTACCGTAATAGTCACAAAAATCTATCTAGTATAGTTTGATTGTCCCCCCTCCCCAGCCATTCTGAGTGTAATTTGAATATCACCTAGGGGACACCTTGGTTTAGAGAGCACAGTCTTAACCATTGATCTCTTTTTCCTCACATAATTGACATTGGTTTTATAAAGAAGAAAATATACAATGAGTACATTTATATCTCTGTTTAACATAATTTGCATTTATATATTAAAATAAATTTTGAAAGTAGATTTCAAAATATCCAGGTACAAATTAGTGCCTTTATAGTTTAAGCAAATTATTATGCTGTATAGTAATGATACATCTAGTATACTTCTCTGATTAATTTCCAAGTTTAGTATCTTGACATTTGTTCAATGTCAGACTTTTAATTTAAAACCTGGACATAGACATTTAAAGATAGCTAATGCATGAGGGGCTTAAAACCCAGATGACAGGTTGATAGGTGCAGCAAACCACCGTGGCACATGTATACCTATGTAACAAACCTGCATGTTCTGCACATGTATCCTGAACTTAAAGTAAATTTTTTAAGCCAAAAAAAAAAAAAAGAAAAAAACAAAAGAGATTAAAAAATGTAATTGTATGGCGCTGGAGCAGGAATTGATACCCTTCAGTTACAATATGGAGATCTCTCAGCTATCAACTTATATTAGTGCATCATTTTACAAAATTTCATACCAAAGAAACATGGTACCTTCTTCTTTTTTCTATAATGTTTAAAATAGTAGCCTTCCTTTCTCAATTCTTTATTCGTCTTACATCCACTGATTGAGGTAATATTTTCAGGAATCTTCAATATCTATGAAAATATTAGTGCCATTTTATGTCTTATGGTTCTTTTCTCCAGCAAATTTTCAGCTGACCTGGCTGAGCGTGGAAAAGGATAGGGAATTTGAAATTTACAGAAAAGAGTATATGAATAGTCTGGATTGGTAGCCATTTTATGTCCTTATTTTTTAAAGGCATGGTATTTATCAAAGTAGACTAGGAAGCTCTCTTGTTACTTAGGAACAGTAGCTGTGAAAGAAGAACCCAACTCCTTAGCTGTGTAATTGCATTACTTGTGCTCTAGAAACTATTTTACTAGCCTGGAAATTTCTCTTGCTGTGCATGTTGGATTATAGAACTAGGACTCCCTTCCAGTATTTCATATTTTGGATGATATGACTTATTTTGATACTATGAATGTCAGATGCCCCATTAAGGTGTGAAAGTGAGTGTGTTCAAGGGGAGTTGAAATAAAAGGTCTTTTGCTGGCTTGGCTGTCACACTGGTATAAAATGTCTTTGAACAGGTAACTATTTTTACATGGTTAAGCATCTTAAAAATATTATTAACTTGTTATTTTATCAGATGGGTCTATAATTATTGCCAACCTTCAGCTTCCATCTATTTATAAAACTAGGTGTGGTGATTTTGATAGCACTTTGATTATTGAGGACAGGTATTTTGGCCCCTAAAGGAATGGTAATAGAATTAGATGATTAAAATATTTTTTCAGAAGTCCTTATAGTAACCATATTGATAGATCTGCTTTAATGCATTCTCTTTTTTCTTCCCCCATCATTAAGCCTACATATTCTCCAATTGCCCATGAAAACCTGCCTTTCTTAGTTGAAAGACTTATTAGAAGTACGTAATAACCTGTCCTCTGGTTCCCAGGTCATGTCTACCTGACTTTTTTATATCATTGCCATCAGGATAGCTTACCTAAAGTCAGTGACTCCATGTAGTGAACTCATTTCTCCTTAAAAGTTCTGTATCTCTTAATCCAATAAGACACATGATTGTTTTTTGTTTAATTCCAAAATTGAGGCTATTTTGGACAATTGCTAATTAATATCATTTGATGTCCCTGAATAAATATATATTGAGAATTTTTACGTTATAAAACTTAGTTGGATCTATATAAGCTAATGACAAATTTTCTTTGCTATGAAGATCTTTAAATAAGTCTCTGAAGATTTATGTTTTTTTGATCCAAAGAGAGGCTTATAACTATGACTGCTTTGGAGTTAGTAGTACATACATGAATCCTGTTATCTAGTGGAATTTTATATATGACTGAGGTCTTGTTCCATTAGTTTTACTATGTCATCACAATTCCTTTTTCGTAAAAAAGTAAATATATTAGTTGTACATACAGGGATATGCCTGGACAAGTCATCGTGACTCTGTACCCTACATAGACATGTAGAAATAATAGGTAGATAATAATTCCCCTGATTAACTTAGGGTAAATAAAGTTTTGCATTTTACCTGACTGGAAACCAGGGTCATTGAGTGGAGGATGCAAGTAGTGTCTCCTGATTTATTGCAGGTCTGAGTCATTACATTTTAAAATGGTCATCAGTTGTTGGTTTCATGTGCTTAATATTGACTTCGTTATTTGGTATTGACTTGAAATGATTACAAAGTATGTATTTATAATATGCTTGTACGTTGTATGTTACAAAGACTCATCACAATGGAGTGTTTAGACCTGGGGAGTAAGTTGGCAAACTTAGATTAGGTTTCGTTACAACTAAGTGTCACAAAAATCTTCTAATTACATAGGTTTCAAATTTCTTAAAATTTGGAATTTAGGCTGATGACATTTTACAAATGTATTTATATTCTAGATGTGGAAGATTCAGGATATTTTTAATAATTTTTTTAAACTATATATACATATCACATATATTTACATATGTGTATGTGTCTGCATATATGTATATTACACACACACATCTATAAATAGAGATTATATTCTCATTATAGAGATTTTGCAGTAGGTTTTTTTTAAAATTGATATCTTGTTTACTGGATTCAGCCATTGTGTCTTAATATGAAATGAATGTGGATAGTGTTATTGTACTCCAAGTCCTTTTGCCTATAATCTAGAATGGAATAATAGCCAGTGCTATATAATCTAGGCATATTCAACAAGTAACTGGGACATATATTGCCATTGACAAACACAGTTCCCTTCCTTTCTCCAACCATATATTTTTTAAAAAGTCTCCTAGCTCTTAAAGGTGACTGATGATGTGGTGAGGTGATCACCTGTTTATGGCCCTAGACTTCAGTGAACTGAACAGAGTTAAAGGCTTTCCTAGTTTTATTGCTGACTTGATTGTTATTCCTGGAATCAACTGGATGTTCTTTTCTTGAAATACTATGAACAGTTTGAGCTCTGACAAAGCTGAAATGAGGTATTAAATGACCATGAGAAAAATCTTCTGTATTTATTAGCTTATGAGTCATTCATAGGGATTCATAACTTTCATCATAACATGGTTTGCCACCATGTTGACTGTAGTACTGAGAGAGGCTTTTGTAAAGTTGTTAAAATTATTGCTATAATTGGCCGGGCGCGGTGGCTCACGCCTGTAATCCCAGCACTTTGGGAGGCTGAGGCGGGTGGATCACGAGGTCAGGAGATCGAGACCATCCTGGCTAACACGGTGAAACCCCGTCTGTACGAAAAATACAGAAAAATTAGCCTGGCATAGTGGCACGCACCTGTAATCCCAGCTACTCGGGAGGCTGAGGCAGGAGAATGGCATGAACCCAGGAGGTGGAGCTTGCAGTGAGCTGAGATCATGCCACTGCACGCTAGCCTGGGCAACAGAGCAAGACTCCGTTTCCTAATAATAATAATAATAATAATAATAATAATAATAATATATATATAAATATTATTGCGATTTATCATTCTAAACCAATTCACTACATGGATATTAATGAAGAGAGTAGTTTTGGACAAAATGAGACGCTACTTTTTAGTTTCCCTATAGTTTGATTATGAGCTAAAGGACACATAAACTTACTTTTTAAAATTCCATCACCTTTTCATCCACCCTAAATATGAACCTAACCTTGTTTTAGTTTCTGCTGACATCTAAAACAGTATGCTGCAGCTGTGCCTTTTTATTTCAAGCAGGTAATAAAGTTATTGCAGCAATGTTTTCAAATCAAGGTGAATAAAACGCCATGGTAATGCATAGGATATAAAATTCAGTATGCAAAATTTGCAGTTTCATTGCTGAAATGATTCTTCTTATTTCAGCACTTTAGGCAGCAGGAAAGAGCCATGTCATAGACATTAAATACTGTAATTCTACAGATCTTGCACTTCAAAAACTGAATACATATCACATGGGGACTTGAGAGACAAAATCATTGTTGAATATGAAGAGCAGCATATTTAGCATCAGAATTTTCTCCTACCCTGAATTAAATTTTTGTTCAAGGGACACACACACACACACACACACAAGTATTAGTACAATTATATACAATTTCTTATTGATCTTGTGTATTCGAATTAGTTTTAAAATATATAAATCGGTGTGTTTTCTTCACATGGAAAATACTTAAAACATTTTAATTGATGTGATTTGTAGAAAAGACAAAAAAAATTAATGCTAGAATTGTAGCTGTGCCTTTTTTTTTTTTTTTTTTTTTTTTCACAAGCTGGATAAATCATTTGATTCCACTTGGTCACTAAGCAGTTGCTTAGAATGTGTTCTTTTGTTCCAGTCAACTAACTCTTTTAATTAAAGAGTAACAATTTGTAGGTGCTATGTATCAGTGTCAGGGCATTTGGCTTGCTACATCGTTCAGAGTGTGAGATGTTACATCTTACTTTTTAAGGGCTTAATGTTAACACCTGAAAATTAAATAAGTAAATAAATAAAGTTTGGGTATTGTGTTCTCCAAGTGTCGATTCTTACATTGAAGTGTACATTTTAAAATGTGGACTAGGTAGAATTTACGTAGTTTTTTCCTTCCTTCCTTCCCTCCTTCCCTCCTTCCCCCTCTCCCTTTCTCCCTTCTTCTCTTCCTCCCTTCCTCCCTTCCTCCCTCTCCTCCCCTCCCCGCTTCCTCCATGCCCTCCCCTCCCCTCCCCTTCCCTTCCCTTCCCTTTTTCTGATATAGGGTCTCATTCTGTTGCCCACACTGGAGTGCAGTAGCGTGATCCTGGTTCACTACAGCTTCAACTTTCCCAGGCTCAGGTGATCTTCCCATCTCAGCCTCCCGAGTAGCTGGGACCACAGCTGCCACCACACCTGGCTAATTTCTGTATTTTTTGTGGAGATGGGGTTTCACCATGTTGCGCAGGCTGGTCTCAAACTCCTGGGCTCGAGCGATTTGCCTTCCTCAGCCTCCTAAAATGCTAGGATTACAGGCATGAGCCACTGCTCCCAGCTGATAAGTTTTTCTTACGGTGGCATGGGTAACTTTTTTTCTTTGGGGCATTGTTAAGGCAGTCATTCATTCTATAATAATAGTATTGAACTTTGTCAGGCGCTAAAAGAAACACTGGGAATGTAATGATGAGAATGTTTTGTGGGCACCTAACAAATTGTATTGAAAAACAAGGATAAAAGAAAAAGCTAAGTCACTCATGGTCCTGGAGTTCCCTGGTCACTGCTATTAACTTTTTGGTATGTTTTCTTTTGCTTTTGGTGGTTGCTGATTTTGTTTTTTCAGGGGTATGCTTTTTACTTTTGAAAGTGAAAACTAATAATCTTTATAACTTGTGTTCTGTTGAGAAGTTACACCATGATTTACCTCCCATTTTCCCATCACTGATTATTTTGATCAAGTTTTTACTTTACTTTTAAGCAAAGACTGAAAGTATCTCCTTATGATAAATTTCCCAAAGTGTTATTACTTTACACATATCTATTTCTTGATACATAAATTATTTTCCAAAAATACTGTTATCAGTTCACTTGCCTGTGAGCAATTCGTGTAGTCACATGCCCATTTCCCTGTGTTTCCCTGGCCACAGTCAAGCCAGTGTGAATAAATGATCACTGCCACAGCCACAGAGCTTGCACTCTCCTCCTCAAAATTCTGCTCCATTGCCCTTTTGAAAAATGGAAATATAAGTGATATAGTTTTAGGTAGGGATACGTGGTAAATTTATTATTTTCAGCATTGTTAAAATTATTTTCTACATTGTTGAGCTGTTCTAGAGGAACCTATTATTGTTTTGGACTAGAGATTTTTTTTTTCGCTTCAGATTTATTAAGTTATGATTAACAAATAAAATTGAATATATTTAAGTTGTACAATGTGGTCTTTTGGTATATGTATACAATTTGAAATAATTATCAAGCTAATTACCATATATTTATCATCTCACCATTTATTTGTGGTGAGAATATTTAATATCTACTCTCATAGAAATGTTGAAATATATAATAAATTATTATTAATTATACTTACCTATATTATAGTTATAGTAGACCTCCAAAACTTATTCATCTGAACAAATTCTGTACACTTTGAACATCTCTCCATTTCCCTACAAACTCCCCGCCCTGCCCCTGCCCTGCCCCGGTGCTCCTGGTAACCACCATTCTACTCTCTGCTTCTATGAGTTCAAGCTTTTTAGATTTCACATATAAGTGAGATCACGCAGTATTTGTCTTTCTGTGCCTGGCTTTTGAATAATTGCCCCCAGTAGGGAGCCACTGGGAGAGAATGAAGAAACTCTGTTTAGCTGAATATAATTAACAGTAATAAAAATATAGTATAAACAAACATATATAATATCCCATTAAATAGATACTTTATTATTTGTAATTCTTTTTTCCCCTTTTATCTAAAGTTTTCTACCTACTTACCACTGTGAAATCATGTGTGCTTATTTCATGGTTCTCAGAAGTTACTCGTGTGTGAAATATTGTAAGCATAGGCATGGGGGCACAGTACACACTCTTTCTTTAGTTCATCATAGCTATATGCAGACACCAATCGAATTTTCATAGAGATGGTAGTAGATAGTGGTAGCTCCTTCTGATTGATACCTACATAGGTACTGGCATAGGGGCCTCAGGTCCCAACATCCAAACTTTGTGATGTCTTAGCATTAACTTTATTTGACCAGTACAAGCTTATGAGCCACCTGAGTAATATGATTTGAAAAAGGTCTCCAGGCCAGGCCTGGTGGCTCACAACTGTAATCCCAGCACTTTGGGAGGCTGAGGTGGGCAGATCACCTGCGGTCTGGAGTTTCAGACCAGCCTGGCCAACATGGTAAAACCCCATCTCTACTAAAAATACAAAAATTAGCTGGGCGTGGTGGCAAGTATCTGTAATCCCAGCTACTTGGGAGGCAGAGGCAGGAGAATTGCTTGACCCTGGGAGGCCAAGGTTGTGGTGAGCCAAGATCACACCACTGCACTCCAGCCTGGATAACAGAGCGAGACTCTGTCAAAAAAAAAAAAAAAAAAAAAAAAAAAAGGTATCTATCACTTGAATTGATGGGTTTAAGAATAGATTTTAACATAATAAAACAAATTTAACTCAATTCTATCAGTGTACAAAGTAAATAAAACTTAATAGTAATTTAGATTAAAAAATTTATAGAATTTGCTGACTGCATTGTGAGCTAAAATATGAGCTAAATTTATGATGAGTTGTTTGGCTTCCCAAGGAACTTGTGAGAACTGAAAATTTGAAGTATCAGAAAAATAACAGTGTGAAATCATGAAAGAATTCTCATAAATATATCTGGGTTGCAGTTTTTAAACTGGCAGTGTAGGAGAAACCTTATTAAATCTAAAATTTTCAAATGTATACTTCTTATTTTAACATCTAAGGAAAAGTTAAATTGTGTTGTTATACATATGATATTAAATGTCCAAATAAATTGCTTCTAAATATGAATAACCTGCTTTCTGTTTGTTATGGGAGCAAAGGTCATCTTTCTATTCATCAGTAATATTAAGTTTCTTGAAATGCTCAAGAATTTATTAAATTATGTTACCAACTTGTTGACATAATTTAAAATCATTTAAAATTATTGTAGGGGTAGCTGATAAATGCCTGAATTAGATGGTCCAATGATGTCTTTCTTCTTCCTCTTAGCCTCCCTCATGTCCATTTACTTGCACTTCTAGTAGGTGATGGGGAAGAAAATTAAACAATGAGAAACACTGTGAATTTGTTGTCTAACAGGAACCAGAACTGGATAAAAATTTTAGTGAGGGAAATTATAAAGAAACAGAGTAAAACTGACTTCAAAGTGATTCTTTCATTTAAGTAAAGAAATGGTAACAAATAAAAAAAATTCCATCTGCAGGGCAAACATTCTAGTGTTGAATGTGTTAATAGAGCAGTGGACTCCTGTAAAACATGATTTTCATCATCTCTGTTTTTCCCTTTTACAAAAAATAGTAAAAAGAAAAATATGGGCCAGGTGTGGTGGCTCACACCTGTAATCCCAGCATTTTGGGAGGCCGAGGTGGGAGGATCACAAGGTCAGGAGTTTGAGACCAGCCTGGCCAATATAGCGAAACCCCGTCTCTACTAAAAAATACAAAAATTAGCCGGGTGTGGTGGCATGCACCTGTAGTCCCGGCTATTTGGGAGGCTGAGGCAGGAGAGTAGCTTGAACCCGGGAGGCAGAGGTTGCAGTGAGCCGAGACTGCTCCATTGCACTCCAGCCTGGGTAACAGATGAGACTCTGTCTCAAAAAAAAAAAAAAAAAAAAAAAGAAAAAGAGTAAAATATGATATATATATAAATTATTAACTCTTAAATAATCTGCTACTCTGGACCCAGCTCAGAAACTTTTGTAGGTGAAGTGTTTTCTGCTCACAAGCTTCCTACCAACTGGAGAAAAAGTGGAGTTGAAATATCTGGCAGGAGGAAGGATGAGATCATAGTCCATGTCTGTGGTAGGCTGAAAAATGCCCCCCAAATAGATTCTAATCCTTGGAACCTGTAATGTTCCTTATATGGAAAAATGATGTTTGCAGGTGTGATTAAGTTAAGGATGTTGAAATGGTGAGAAGATGCTGGATTATACATATGGGGCCTAACTGCAATCACAAGCATCCATATCCATATGGAAGGCAGAGGGAGATTTGACTACAGACAGGAGAGGAGAAGGCATTGTGAACAAATGAAAGGAATTTGGAGGGACAGGAATACCAGCACCACCAGAAGTTAGAAGACTCAATCAACTGATTTTCTCCTAGAGCCTTTATAGGAAGTACGGCCTTCTGACAGCTTGATTTTGACCGAGTGGTACTGATTTCAGATTTCTGGCTTCCAGGACTTGGAGAGAATCTCTGTTGTTTTAAGCCACCAAGTCTGTAGTAATTTGTTGCAGCAGCCATAGGAGAATAATGTAATATCATTGCCTCCTTCTGTAGTGGTAGGACTAATCTTACGATACTTTATGTCAAGGCCCCATTGACAAATAAAACCCTTAGGAAGGAGGTAGGATTGAGAGGTATTTAATTTATCTAATTGGGAAATTAAATGTAGAAGTATTTTTTGCCTTGACATTTACTTTGTTGCTGACTTTTCCTGGATTTATGGCTTCTATTTTTTATTCTGCATTTTATTAGTTAACTGAATTTTGCTAAGTGACACATGTGTTTGTAAAATAACATTATAATAGGAATAACTGAATGGGAGTATTTTTTCATAATGATTTGCTTGATTTCAAGACACTTTTAAAAATTATTTGAAATAAAAATAAAACAATTTGAATATATAATTCGGGTTTTATAATAGGTTCAGTTCTAGAATAATGAATGTAAGTCATTAATTGGAAGTTAATTGGTAACATCGGCAAAGTTTATCTTATATTTTGGGGATTGCATGCTTCATTTGATACCTCCTGTACAACTGGGATTTATTCGCACCTCACTTCTGGGTCTGGTTGTGTATTGTTATGAAGAATATTAATATTGCTGCAGAACGATTACTTGTTCATTTGTGAACTGATTAAAATTCATGCATAATTTATTGAAATGAATAGAAATTTTATAAATAAGCCCCATTGTTATCAAGGGCCTGAAAACAAAATACATATGCTAATATAAAGCTACTTTTTACCTCCAACATAAAAATTTAATATGTAGTGGTATATTAGCCTCATTAATGCTAGATTTTACATCTTAAAATCATGCTGTTAATCAATACATATGCTTTTAAGCCTCTCTTAACATTGCCACATTTCCAAATTTGAGCAATTGCTTTGATGCTGGACTGCCCCCATTTTTGGCCTGACCATGGAAAGTGAGATGTAAAACTGGCCAGAGTGAACTACTACCCTTCTGACCAAGTCTTGACTGATTACATCAAACTTATTTCTTCATATACAAACAACACTAGTGTTGAATATTAATTTTCAGTGTTAAAATGTATATGCTATATGGCAAAACAGAACAAAGCAACCTAGCATCACACAGGGCTTGTTGGTGTATGTAGGAGTTGAGTCTTCAAAAATTCTTCAAATAATGCCTAGTGCACGAATGAATAAATTATAATGTGAAAAAGTTAAATAACATATTTAAGATTACACAGCTATTAATGTGTAAGCATTTTTTTCATATTAGGTTTCCAGACTACAAATTTTTGTTTTCTTTTATATATCACTTCCTTAAAGATAGAAATGTTGGAATTAATGTTGTGCTTTACTGTTTCACTTATTTCTCTTCTTTCTTTCACTTGTTTCTTATGTTGCGGTATGGCTATTTTTTCTTTCCTTCCTCTCTCATCTTTTGCTCTCCTCTTAGGTTTTCTCCTTATTTTCCATAGCAAGAGTGTGCAGAGTTTTGATTGGTGAGATTTACCATTTGATATACTCACATAAGTTCAGGTTTCAGAATATCTATAAATTTATGATTAACCAAGGTTTGTTATATATAATTCACTTGGCATATTGTGACTGTTTATTCTATCCCTACACTGGGGTAGCACCCCAGCGAGATGTGAATTTAGCATTCTTTCCAACTTAAATTAGTTAGTATATGAGCCATCTGGAATGAAAACAAATATTGCACATATGAGGCAACTCAGTTTATTCACAAAATACAGACTGCTTCTTAAAATATGTGCAGCATTTAGGTAATCTCGGAAGACATTTACATTTTTTCTATTATGTTCACTTCTCGATTCAGTTTCATTTTAGTTTAGGGTTTGAGAATATATCAACTTTCTCCCTCTCTACAAAAACTTTTTAAAACTCTGAGTACAAAAGTTGTTAGAGCAGTTGGTAAAATTTCATGGTATGAAATGTCTAGCTCTGTCTTTCATAGTTGATAAGTGAAAATTCTAAACTGTGTTTATTTTATTCAAACTTTTTTCTTTTGTGAATAACTTCTCCGTTGAATTCAGTCGTGAAATTGGAAAGAGTTCACTTACTATGCAATTTTGACTACATATTGTTGAAACAATTTGCAAACTATCAGGAATGGATGTTGTAGTTAAAGTTTGTAAATCATATGTTAACCACTTTTCTATAGAAATTATAAATGTTTGCACTTCATATAGCATATGTTATCATCTTTGATCTTAGTTTTGTTTTTGTTTTAAACATGAGCCCAGTGAATCCCAAGGTCATGTGGTTCTACAAATAATTAGTTTAAAAGTTACTGCCATAATGAGCCATGAATACTTGTGAGGAGTTACTTATGTCCTTCAAGTGATTTTGGACAAAAAATATTGATATTACATTCATTATTTATCAGTCTTCTTTTTGTTTCCTATATAAATTTCAGTTTAAAATAATGAATTCATTGATTTCTTTTTACTATGTCTCCCCTACAATGTTATATGGATACCCAATGTGTAGGACAGCCTAACAATTAATAGCTACTCAATTAATATTTATCATATGAATTTTGAAAGAATCTTCTTGAAAATTACTTTAGCCTGTGTAGCTGTACAGACCAGATAATCTTATTCCTAATTTTAAGGTTATTTGTAATTCAGAGGCTTTTAAGCTAGAAACTATACTTTTATACAATCAGGGTTAAAAAGAAAATCCTGGTCTGCACCTGAACATTCTTGTTTCATTTAAACCTGCATAAGAAGGTAAAACCTGTCTACAGGCCTTATTTGCATTGTATATTTTTCATGCAATGCATTGCCATTGAAACAAAAAATCCAACTAGAAAGATATTGATTATGTGCTCATGACTTCCCTCTATTTGTACCTTCTTCAGTCCACCCCGTACCTGTAGTGGGTTGGACTGAGGGAGCATTTTGTGGTTGTGTTTTAATAGTTTATGTGATTTGCTCCAACTCTTAAAAAAAGTTTTAAATTAATTTTTGAGCAATTACTACTTTATTAACACTTTCTTTAGGTCTTTTGACTTTCCTGAGAAAAGTGAGAAGTGTTCCAGGAATTCAAAGAACTTTATGAGTTATTATCCCTTGTGGAAAGACCATATGAACAGAGCTATAGCTGTTGAGTCCTTCATAAAGTTCGGTGTCTCATTTCAGTCACATTGTTCTAATGAAAGAAAAAAAAAGTGCCTTAATATATCATTCAACTTTTCTGTAAGTACAAATGTTGAAATAATGTTTTCCAAAGTTTCTTTCAAGCAGAATATCTTAAGATATCCAAAATTAAATTATAGTGTGCCTTTGATATTTGAGTTTAATAGTTGGTGAATTGCCTTATCTTATGCTGCTCCCAAAGACCAGTGATGTTTAGTGATTTGTGATTGTGCCTAGGTGTAAATTTAAATTTGTCACACTGTGAGGCAGATTTGTAGAAACAAGTTAGCACCTGGCATCACTTTCTGAGTTCGGTTATGTTATTCTTTCTTCCTTTACTCATCTGTAGAAACTGTGAAGAAGTAACAAGGAAAGCAAAAAGAAAAATACCTCTTGGGCATAGTTTGTGAATGAAATAAATTGTCAAAGATCAACTCTACTCTCTTAGTAGCTAATTAGAGCTATCCATATCTAAATATTTTCTTTTTATTTCCTTTGTATACTGTGACTTTACAAGTTGATCTCCTGAAAAAAAATGTGTTTTTAATACAGGAAAATTATGTTAAAATAGTCATATGCACTTGCAAAATTATATGTTCTTTAAAAGTACAGTTGTCAGATCATGCGTCTTCTAGTTTTCTTTCAAGTATTTATTATGCATTTCTAATAAATGATCCATTAAGCATTTAGGCCTTATTAGACACTAATATATCTTTGTATTATTTTAAATCTTACTAATTGAAGTGCACACTCATCTCTCCTAGAACCGCCAAGACCCATTGCTCCTCCTCAGCTTCTTGGTGTTGGGCCTACATATTTGCTGATCCAACTAAATGCCAACTCGATCATTGGCGATGGTCCTATCATCCTGAAAGAAGTAGAGTACCGAATGACATCAGGATCCTGGACAGAAACCCATGCAGTCAATGCTCCAACTTACAAATTATGGCATTTAGATCCAGATACCGAATATGAGATCCGAGTTCTACTTACAAGACCTGGTGAAGGTGGAACGGGGCTCCCAGGACCTCCACTAATCACCAGAACAAAATGTGCAGGTAAGACTGAGTAGCAGACCTTTTCTACCTTGTGAAGGAATCTAGCATAAGACACATTAATACATGCAGTGTTGAAGGTTCTCATTATTTGATATATGATATAGTCACACTATTAAGAGTTCCAATGAATTACATAAATCATCACCTTGATTATGTCATAATTTGACTGATTTGAGGACATGGGAGTGCTTCTCTATTCTCAAGCCATTATTATTATGAATCTAGAGTCCTTTTTTGGCATGGTAGTTTTGGTGAGCCTGCTACATATTCAGTCCAAAAATCTCTGATAGCTGTAATTGAAAGCATTATTGAGAGAAAAGATCATTTTAGTTCAAGCAAATACCGAATACTTTTTTACTACGTGGAAATTCTCTCCCTCAGTAATTTTGTTACAGTCAGTGTAAAGGCCACATCTTATAATATGGATAAGAAAAGTTACTCTGGACAATGCCTCGTTGAGATAACTATTTTCTTCAGAATGTCCTGTTGTTGAGGATTACCTCAGGAGCTTGACACCCAGCTGCAGAACACAGAGAGATTTTCCTTACACTTTAAGCCTTTCTGTTGCCTTCCTCATGACTAAAACTGAGTAGTGAAAATAATAGTGTATGGAGAAAACACAAAAAAAATGAAAATTAAAAAATTGTATATAACCACACATCCTGGTTCTTTACCATGTTATAATGGGAGGAATTGTTAGCTATTAATTAAAAGCCAATAAAAAGTTTAAATATCTAATTTACTTGACTACATTTTTAGTGTAGTGTTTATTTTGTCTTTTGTTTCTTGAGCATCTGTTTATCATTGACAGTATTGTTGGGCTACCCACCAGGAGTACTGAGCTACCATCCAAGCAAAACCCATTCAGTTACCTGATGTATCGTAGAACATATTTTTTAGTCCAGCATCATATTTATATATCAAAAACTCCTGCTGAAAGATGTTTACTAATAGGAAATTTAACTTCTCAACTATTAGCCTGAGACTTAGATGATAGAGAGTCCAATAATTTGCTGATTGCTGTATATATTTATCTGGTTGTTGAAAAGGAGCTTAAGCTAGAAGATGTTGGGTAAATTTCCATGGCTCAGCCTAAATCTCACAATTTGCTTTTCAAATATTCTGTATGTCTATGTCCTTTCAATCGAGGTCATGTGACAAATTGTTTCTGTGATAGAAGATAAACTTTCTGAGGGAGAGGCAAGTTGACCCCATAATCTCAACTAGTCAGAGAAATCATTTAAAGAGGAAGCAATTTGGAAACTAAAAATTAGTTCACTCTCTATTCCAAAATTAATATCCCATGCTAATGTGAAAAATTGAACTATGGAGTCCATTTTACTAAGAATACTGCATACATGTTTTCTAATAAAATTACACTTTTCTACATATACATACATTTATAATGTACATATAAATTTTAACAATTTTGACAATTTGGTATTCCAGTGATTTCCCTCTTGACTTCCTGTGCCCAAACTACTTTCTTTTAAATATCTCACCTGCTTTATTTTTTTATTTTCGTCAAAATAGGTCTTTAAAAAATTAGCATTACCACACAGTGTATTGTTAATATAATGTAATTTTTGTTTAACTTAGGAATTATTTGAAATTGGTTCCAGATGTGAAAGCCATGGAGATTGCATGTAAATAATATTGTGTTTTGAAGCCAGTTATACTGTGTTAAGTGGATAAAAACATGTTACTGAATATTGATTTATCCCCATACTTATGTTCTGAGTGGACTTTGGACTGTTTAAGTAAAAATATTACTATAAAGTGCTTTGAAGTGTTTTATTCTGAGAATAGCCCTATCTATGTGAGAGGGAATGAGGATAGTTAACTTACACTCATAGCTGCTTTTTTGTCTTGCTCTATTGTCCAGGCTAGAGTGCAGTGGCGTGATCTTGGCTCACTGCAACCTCTGCCTCCTGCGTTCAAGCAATTCTCCTGTCTCAACTTCCCGAGTAGCTGGGATTACAGGCATGCGCTACCATGCCCAGCTAATTTTTGTATTTTTGTAGAGATGGGTTTCACCATGTTGCCCAGGCTGGTCTTGAACTCCTGACCTCAAGTGATCTGCCCGCCTCGGCCTACCAAAGTGCTTGAATTACAGCTGTGAGCTACCGTGCCTGGCCCATAGCTGCTTTCTAACTTATAAATGTCTTGATATTTTGGAATTATACTGTCTTTTTATCTGATTCTTTTTTCTGAGAAACATTTAATTTGTGTATTCTTTGTGGCATAAAATGCTTTCAGGCTCAATCACTTGTAGTTTTACTCCCAACAGTATTAAGTTTATTTGTTTTTAAAACTATCTTTCACATGTAGTGAATTTTTATCACATGTTTATTATAGCTAATTAATGTCCTCATAAGGTATGTCTGCAAGATTTTTGGGGAGGGAAGTACTTATAGACTAGATTTTCAGGTAGACTGCAAATTTGAGAGAAACCATGGTTACTATTTCATCAGGAATGTCTACTAATCTTGCTCTGTTATTAGAAAATAAAGAGAAGCTTATGGAAGTATATATTGTATTAATTTTTAAACAGTCTATAAAAAGAAATGGAACATAATTGATATATAGTATAATTAAATACAGAGTGTTAGTTAGGATTATGATGTATGTTCATCCACTTCCCTTCTTTAAGATCCATTTACCTTTCCCCAAATTTCAGGTCCCCCAGACTTGAAATTACCAATACCACTACTGGCCTCAGCCCAGAAGTTCATATCAACAAAATAGAACACAGTTTATGTTAACTATGATATTAACTGAATTTTAGTACAGATTGCAAAAACTTATAAATGCTTCATAATCTTGGGAAATACCTTTGAGACTCCAAAAATAACCTTTGGAGGAAGTTACCATCTAATTTTGTTAAATTCTGCATGCCTAAATACTGGTTCTATAAGAGGAACTGAATACTAGATTTATAAACCATTCTTTTTTAATTAGGACTGGGACTATTCCATGTTACAGTTGTAGAATTTGCCATTAATATAATCTGATTGAATAAATGTTGATAATTTTAAAGTAGCTATTTTAATAGTCCCTGCATGTTAGACTATGTGGCTGTAAAAATAAGTACCAATCAAAAAGTAAATTACTTACAATTTACTGTTTTTAAAATTCCATTTTAAGGTATTTGAGGCATTGACCTTTTATTTCTGATAATAGTAAATGTTTATTTGATGGAAATCTGTCAATAAATAATTTTCCAGCAAGTCAATACAAAGGTTTTCCTTATTTATAATAAAAAATAAATTTTACATTTTCAAATGTAAATGTAGGTTTTTTTGTGGCCAAGTATGGATTAATGCTAGTGTAGAATCAACATATGAAGTGAATGTATCATGATATTTTATTTTCACACCAATCCTGTGAAATATATTATTTTCTCACTTTTTAGTTGGTAAATTTAAGACTCAGGAAACAAAAACAAAACAGTAACTTGTCCAATATCAGACAGATGGGCCTCAACTCCTTTTCTCAGACTTTTAACGGCCTTAATACTTATTCCTCTTATTCCTATCATAGGTGATTTTTCTCCCTCTTATAATAGTATAGCATGAGTAAATAAAAGCACAACAAGTAAAGTCTGGAAGAGATGTACATTTTAAAAAATAGAGTCTGCATGGCTAACTTATTCTCTGAGAAAATATAGGTTAATATTTGCAACTTCACATTTATTGAAAGCCCAATTGATTAGTGCTTAACTCTCCAATATATGCTGTGTTTTAAATACTTTAAACAGTTAAAGTGTAAAAGTACTTTATCCTTTTCTGAAAATATCCTGTCTGGTTGCCAAAGCTTTTTGTTTGTTTGTTTTCCTTCCAAAGTGCATTATAATCATTTGGTAACTGCAATTAGTTGCTTCAGGGTCTCTGACTTAGGAGAGGTGGTAATTACAGCCTCCAGTGGCTGAAGCCACTGAAGCCTACCTCATGCTTCTCTAGGAACCTGAGGGGTATGATTATTTCGCTGTTACTTTATACTCTGACCCATGCTATTGTTCACATAATGTTTCTTCAGGCACTTCATAAATTTTTAATTTGTCTTAAAAGGGAAGTAATTCAGAAACTCCAGTGAACAATCAGAGAAAGTATGCTTGCTTTTTTTTTTTCTGTGTGTCTATTTCCTCTGGGTATACCATCTGGTATAGAAGCTAGGCAAATACAGTTTCTCTTTCTCTTATTAAATGGAAATAAAATATGCCATCATCAGAAATTGTCTGTGTTGCATGCTTTGGCAATTGCATGTTAAAATTGCTCTTTTAAATTGCCTTCTGCTTCTGGGTAACCCATTGTGGAACTGCTTTATGATTAACTGACATTTTAGCAGCATCTCTCTCATAGGGAAGGTCAATAGTTCAGAGTGTCCAGAACATAATACATTTATGCAGTTGGGAAAACTACTCTCTACTCTTATATTGAAGTTCAATGCTCTTGGCAATTTTCAGTGAAACAGTTAGATCTATGAAGCAGTGAAAAGGAGAGTGTCTTATTTTAAAAGTAAGCATTTACTAAAAATGCATTTTTTTTCTTGTCCCAAATCCAAAATGGAAGGAAAAACAAAACAAAATAATACTCAGGCATATACCAGAAACCACAAAGTGAGAAGTTAAATTTTAGCCTTTAGTCTATAGCATCATCAGCAAAATGGTACCATATATTGATTTTTGCTATGGTTTAAGATAGTTATCAATCACAAAGACTAGTAACCGCTAACACTCAGCCTAGAGGTTGAAACAAAATAAACAACTCTTCTAAGAGTTGGTTCGGTTTCACAATGTAAGGATGACTTACTATTTGATTTAAATTGTTGGCTTATATCAATGCTTGCTTTAAATTTTTTTGAAATGTATGAGCTTCTTATATATGATCTTTATATGGCTTTGTATTGTTTTTGAGCAAGAAATTTAAAAGGCAATGCTATTATTATTATTGAAATAAAAAACAAACTAAAGGTAAAAAGCCACAGGAAAAGTAATGGAAGCAGTTCTTCAATTTTCTTGGGAATGTAAGAATAAAATTTCATTTTAGATTTCCTTTTTGTGAGTAATAACCTAATTTTTGGTTTTTAGATTCTGTAGAGAATACTTCTGTTTGAAAAATATTTATTCAGAAAAAAACTTCTGTTGGCTTCTTTCTTTGTTAACAGTACCGTGTTAATTAATAGGTCTTCAAAGTTATACAACCAATGCCTCACACTTAAGCTCCTAGAAGTCACTAGGGACCAGACCTATAAACAGAATAAATGCAAAGTGAAATGAATAAAATGAGAGCAAACTGCATGTTTTTACCTCCTCGTAAACATTAATGATATTTTTGGGTTTCTGAAAATAGATGGGTTCAGGTGGATCACTGGCTAACTCTAGGCTTGTGGTAGAACTGAGGCTGGCAGGTGAGCTGCAGCTAAGTCTAACATGATCTACCTCTAATGGATAATGTATAGGTAGTCAACACCTATACATTCTGCTAATTTTCAGGTAGACTGCAAATTTGAGAGAAACCATGGTTACTATTTCATCAGGAATGTCTACTAATCTTGCTCTGTTATTAGAAAAGAAAGAGAATATATTATGGATAATAACATAATCTAACATGATTACCTAGTTGTTTGTATGATACAGACTGACATTACTAGATTTGTTTGTAAAAGGATCATCCCATCTCTGGAAGCTAAGGAAGGACTAGAAGCAGAGAGATCATGAAAACATGCATATAGATAGATAGATAGATAGATAGATAGATAGATAGATAGATAGATGTCTTCTCTACAGCATCTTTCTCATTTCAAATCAGAAACAGGAAATCCATAAATTCCTGGAAAATATTATCATTCATAATAATCAGGAAGGTTACTTTTATAAGGGGATTTTAAAGATATGTTATAAGTGAATAACTTTATTGTTTGAATTACTTTTCTTATTCAAATATGTGAATTGTCCAATATTAATACACATGAAAAAAATGGTATAATACATTATATTAGAGGGGAAAATCATGAGAGATTGGAGATAAATTCAAGAGCTACTGTGTATTTGATGAGATGTTTAATTATTTCACAAATTTTAGTGAGGGCCCAAGTTGTACACATCGCCACACGCAGGACTGCAGAAGATAAAACATTGAGAAGACAACATTCCTGCTCTTAAGGAATTGACAGGCTAGTGTTATAACCATAATAAAAATATAATAAATGATACAATAAAAATATAACATACTTCAGTAATCCAAAGAAGAGAGGGATAATATCTGACCAAAAATAATTTTTCCCAAACACTATTAATTTTTCTAAACAGAGTTGGTTTAATGCTTCCGTTGAACAAAGCCATGGCCTTATCCATAATTCCTTACTTGTGAAATAATGCATAAAACAATGTCTAGCCAGTAGTCACCATAAGGATGGTTTGCCTTCCCTCTTTCCTTTCTACTCAGATATAGGAAATCTATATGGACAGATGGAGGTATTAAAATGAAAGATATAGTTCATATTCTAATATATATCATCAAAGTTGTTTGTGTTTTTTTAAACCTCTGGGGTTCATGGGAATATAGAAATGTTATTCTAAATTTCTATGGAAATGGAGAGACAGAGACAGACTGACTTATAAGGTAATCAACACCTATACATTCTGCTAATGGTCTATTATGCTAGGAGTTCCCAGCATAAGAGTCATGAAAGTTGAACAAATATGAAATAGCCTTGCCCAGTACCTTTTGGGTTTCACCTCAGGAGCAGGTTGTACAGTTAGTCATACATCCCAATTCAAGGCACATTTCCTTATAGGTGGTATCATCAGTAGCAGTGTAATTAACTTTACTAATAGAGTTGGGTTGTTTTCACCTTAAAATTGTGTCATCTGACTGACTAGTTGGTGAAAGACATTTGGTAACCAGTGTTAATGACACTGTATTTATTTATTCATAGTACTTTACCACATGCTGAGTCTGTTAACTGTATCATTAAGTACTCTTTTTATTGGCTTTGTTTGTTTTTATTGAATTTTGCATAACTACAATAAATCTTCAGGTAGAAATGATTTGAATAACAGCATCAGTCTCATGAAATGTTCTTTCCCCTCAAGTCCTAGGTTTTTTATTTGATATCAGGAAGTAGAAATGGCTTTAAAAGTAAAATGGTATATTTATAATGTCTTAAATGATGATAACACCAGGAGTATATGATGAAGAAAATGACCTAGATAGAATTTTAAAGATATAGATCTAGGCATCAAACTCTAAGGGATGTGTTAGTCACAAAGACAGGTTCAAGAGATCTAGCCTGTGAGTTTGAGACTTTTCTTTGATGGTGCTATTGGGGTCACTATGAGGTATAGACTTGCTCTTGATTTTCTTTCTCTTTACCTAGAGAATTTACTTCTGTCTTCAATTCTCACACCCTATTCATATCTTTTGTTGAATTGTGATTTCCTTTCTTTGTTTTGAAATATGAAAGAAATCTCTAAATCAGGTTCTGACAGATGGGTATGGATAACCATACCCATCCTAGGTATTATTAGCATTTTGGGGGAGTGTTGGTCATTCTGTGCAATTTCTTGATTGAAAAAAATGATATATGGATGAATCTCATTATTTTCATCATTTAATTTGACTCATTACTACATGGAATCATCAGCTTAGGATCTCACTTTCTGGTCTTCATTGTCTTCCTGCAAGATATGGCCTTATCATGGCTAATAATTGCTGGAGGATAACTCTTCAATCTTCTTTCCTCTCCACCAACCTGAATGTAAACTGCAGAGGGGAAAAAAAGCATGTTCAAAGGAAAAAGCAAATGAGTGAATTCTAATCCCAAGTCTTCTTATTTATAGTAAACTTTGTGAACTCAGTAAAAAATGAACTTCAAAGGGCAGAAATTCATGCCTTTTATGTCACCCTAAGCAAGATCTGTGCAAATTCAGCTGTCACTACATATGATATGGCCTAGAAATCATTGAGTGATGTTCATTTTAATTGTCTCAGCCAAATCATCTCAGTGAAGTTGAGTTTAAAGAACTCATCTTTCATTCTTTGGCTATGTTATTATTTCCCACTTCTACATAGTCCCTCACCACAACAAAATAATAATAAGCAATCATAAAACAGTTTATTATTACCTGTTAATTAAATTATTTTAAGCAGTTGCTATATTCTGTCCTGTTATTCAACCTACCCAAAATTTACTAAAAACCATATTTTTGTTACATATGAACCTATAATACCTTTTGCTAATACAAGGAATATACACACACATATGCATATATATATGTACACACTCTCCTTTTAAGAGGAATTAATTTTAAAAATTTAGATACCACCTTAAAAATTATATTAGTGAAGAATATTAAAGCAGAGTCATTGTTCCAGAGTCCTCTTTCCTGCTTCTCCATCTCTCTCCTCCAGCTAATTTTGCATTTCATGCATGTGTGTGCATTGTGCATGTTTGGATGTTGTGCTTTTATTTGGGGTGGGGGGCAGATACTGATTTAGAGTTTTCTTTCTACAACAGCCAAATCCTTTCTGTTTAGGTGGATAAAATGTGACATGGGTGAACTAGCTATCCTTAAGCTTGATTTCTTTGGAGGGCCCTTGCTGGAAGTCCCATATTCTGTAAAGACTGCATAGAGCTTACGTACCCAAATTATTTTTTTAAATTATGTATATATTAAAATAATACATCAAATGTTGCAACTAGAATTTAGAAAAAAACTCATTATTTTAGAATGTTTACAAAACTATTGTCATTTTTGTCAATGCACTATTATTTTTCTCTGTTCCTGGGAGTATTTTAGTTGTAAAGTACAAAGTATATACAGTTCTATATTCCGCTTATTGTAATTGCCATCATGCCAACCCATTTCCTTTGTTTCTACAGAACATTATCACCATCACTTTAAATGACTGCTTAATATTCTGTTGGATATATATATATATCTGAATGTATGTAACCATTCTTATGTTACTGAAAGTTTGGACTAACTCCCGCTATTGGCCATTGTAAAAGCCGCGGTGAAGATCATGAATGTACCTTTTTTCCACATAACTGAAAAGTTCTTGACAAATACTATTCAACTACTTTTTGAAAGTATTATATCAATGCGCTTTACTGACACCATCAAGGCCAATCATATGGTTTTAGTGCAAGTAAGTGCTTTATAATTAATCAAGTCCAACTCCTTTATTAATCATCATTCTGGGCATTTAGTCTCAATAGGGAAGTGATTTGATCAATATCAAACAGCTATTGTAGGAGAAAAACCAAGACTATCATTTGTATTGCATTTTTAAGCTTTTCTTTTACATGAGTATCTCCTGTATTCTAGACTCTGTCTAAATTACTGGATATTCTAAGATAAAAACTCTGTTCTCTAGCTACTCAAAGTCTAGAGAATTATGATTACAGTAGCTCACAAGTACTGAGTAATTGCTGTGTGTCAGGCACTAGTGTAAACTCATAAATGCAAACTGAGGCTGCCTGAATGCATTTCTGTGTTGAGCTGCCCAGAATGGTTAGAAGGTAGACATGCAGGTTAATAATTAAACCAATAAGCTGTATAATAGATGTGCACAAAACATCTCTAAAATATGAGTATAATTTCATCAAGCAGTCAATCAGTAAAATAGGTGGTTATCTTAAGGTTTGAGAGCCAGTAAAGTCTAGGTTCAAATCTTGCTGTAATCCTTACTGATGTGCAAGTAATTTAATGTAATGTTTCACTTCTTCATCTATAAAATAAAAATCAATAACTGAACCTGCCCAATTTGATACTTTTGAGCTATTTGGGCATGTACTAAAGCTAACAATCAATTTATTAAATTTGCAGGAATTTTGCCAGCTGGTTGTGAAATGATTATTTTGAAATAAATTTATATATATTTACAAGTATATTTTAAACAAAGGAACATGCACTTAAACCTCCTAGTTATTTTAATATATTATACCATTATTTCTATTCTTGAGGTTATTTATGTTTATTTTATCTGTATGTTGGAAACACTATATAATGATCCTCTGATGCTCACTTATTCCTAATTTTTACGCTAGTGGCAACGTTAGAGCACTGAAATTTTAAGTGCTACAAATGAGGGTTTCTTTTCCCTCCCCACTCCTTCTTCTTTCTGGATAGCCACAAACATGTTTACAATATTAAACATTTTTCCTTCACATCAATGGAGATGACTCCTGCAGAGTGCTTACTTAGCACAATGTATGAGACATAAGAAGACCATAGTAAATATTAGCCATTGCTACATTAAAAGTCATTTCATTAAAGATATTTTTCCTCTAATATTTTAAAAACTACAAACATGCAGAAATCTGAAGGAATTATACAGTGAACACTCATATGTCCACCACTATAATTTACCTTTGCTGTATTTGCTATACTAAATGTTGATCTACCTTTACATCTTTTTATTCATCCATCAGTTCATCTTAATTCTTAATTAATACATTAAAATATTTTATGTAAGGGAATACATTTTTTAAAGAATGAATTATTTGAATTTTTATTAGAATGCTTAGAATAATTTGTGTTTTCTAAAGATTTCTCTAATGATAGTTTAAGAAAAGGACTGAAAGGAGATTTCAGAAAGATTAGAAGGCTGCTACTTCAGTCTAAGCAAAAATTGATCAGTACTTGAACCGAAGCAGAGGAGATAAGAATTCCAATGAGGAGACAGGTGTTGAAAGAGATTTGATAGGTAGAATCAGTAGAACTTGGTGACACATTGGAAGTGAATTCTGGCTTGGAACATTAAGGTATAGGGACAGGTTTTAACTTGAAGGGCTCAAACATTGGGGAAAGTTTTAGAAGGCAAATCTCTGTGCTTATTTTTAGAAATGAGGCATTGGGTCAGGCAGTTATTTTCCTGGGTTTATGGTTCATAGAGAGGGCAGACAGCAGGATATACAGATTTAAGTGTCATCA
Source organism: Homo sapiens (assembly GCF_000001405.40). NCBI lineage: Eukaryota > Metazoa > Chordata > Mammalia > Primates > Hominidae > Homo > Homo sapiens. Next base: position 128,173,489 of record NC_000006.12, on the reverse strand, counting down.
CCATTTAATTCCTCTTGCGAGATTCATGAGTATACTATAATTTCCTTGAATTGGAAATTGAAGTAAGTTTCTTTCAACCACATTTTTAGAAATTATGCTCTTGTAGGAAAAATTTCACTGTATATGTTAGTATCTTATTGCATGAACTATTCTGATTACTCAAGCCTCCCTGCTCAAGGGCAGAAACTGGTAATTATTTTACATAGAGATAACTTAAAAATATGTAGCAGATTGTTTTGTGTTCACAAGTATTTAAATTTGTTCAATATGTGATTTATGAACTGTGATCAGTTTGTTGAATTGTGATTTCTGTAGCTGCATTTTAATTGTTCCCCAGAATGGGTAGCTCAGAGCATTATGCTAAGGGCAGAATCAAATGTAGTTTACTGTTGGTTTTTATCATCCAATCCCAGGCATACTTGCAAGTAAGCTAATGTGTGTTGAGCATATTTCTATATTCGTCCCTTTATTGCTCTCTTACTTCTCATTGTCCCTCACCCTAGTGGTTCCTGGTGCTCATATGCTGTATATGCACCCTTCAGATGCCTCCACAGGATGACAGGAGAAGGACCTGAGCATATGGCCCCATGATTAGCAGTGCTGGTGTGCCCATTCTTTGGAATATATTGATATACCTATAGTTCGTGTGTGTGAGAGAATATATATGTATATATGCTAGATATAGAATATATGTCATATACACACGTATGTACACACATATGTACATGTTACACACTTATATGTACGTGTGTATATGTATGTGCATATCATATACATACATATATATCTAGTATATATACATTGATATGCATATATCTATAGTGGGTGTGTATATATATACACATTATATATATACACACACACTATATATATATATCTACATATCAGTATTACTTTGATATCTTACTACAACATCCAATTAGAACAACTTATTTTTAAAATTTTTTATCAAGTTCTACACTTGAGTGCTTTGGTAATGAGCGAAAATAATTACCCTGATTTTTTAAACCCTTGAGTCAGAAGCCTCTGTAGGACAAACTTAAATATTTAGACTTTCCAAGGATTTTCAGTAGCACAGGGGAGATAAAGCACCTATCTCTCTTTCAGTGAAGAGAAGAAAATAAATGTTTCTACCCTTTCAGATTTTACTGGAATGTTATTATAAACTAAAAAGTAGGTCAGCAAGACTGAGTTGTTTTATTAAGAACAGCAGTACAAATATCATCTGAAGAAGATGACTGTACAATTGCCTATTATTAAAACAAAGGTAGGGAAAATTGTTAGTGATTCATTCCCTAAGCTGTTCCAGTCCTTAAGTATGATGCTAATTATCCTGGGTATTAATTTGATTTCTACTTTTTTAGCTGATCTCCTTTATCTCAGTGATAACATTTTTATAATTATAATTTTGTAAATAACCAGTAAGCCCATTTTTAAAGCTCTGCTTAGTCAAATCAGTTATTAGTTGTGTAGTGAAAAGATTTTCAAAACATTCTCCAGAGTTGGTTGATCAATCCCTTATTTTTTAAGAAGACGAGTTAGAAGTGCCTCAATTATGAAATTGGCTCTAAGAGAGTCAAATTTGGAAATCTAAGCTTTTAGAAACATATTTTTGACTGAAACATGTATACATATACTTGTAATAATAAAGTTAAAATGGGGTAAATGTTACCTTTATCTTAAATTTAACATCAAGAATTGATCTAATGAAGAAATTCATCCAGAATTTAAAATATTCTTCTATAAAACAATAGGGCATACTTACAGCCCTTTAATATACAAATCATCAGAAGTCTCTAAATAATAGAGAAATCAATGTCTACTTCATGCAGCACAACAGCAAAACAGAGCTGCTCCCTTATTACAAACAGTACATAATAGTTTAATTTTCATGGGACTAGTAACGCATTTGTTATATCGTGGTTTTTAGTGAGGAATATTGTATATGTCTTCAGTTAAAAATATATTCTCAGCTTGGACAGGTGGTACTTAAAGAGTCTGGAGTGAGAAATGGTTTGGCAGGATAACAAGGCATATTACAAGTGCCTGCCTTGAAAGGTAAGAAAGAGAGTTAGACATTTTCCATTACTACCTACTGTTAAGGTGCTCGCATTATCCCCTAAACAACCTCATGCTTGTGGCAATAATCATGCACTGTCGGTTTTTTGTACTAATATGAAAGTGCGGTTCAATCTTTTTGACAAATACTGCATCATTTCTGGCTTGGTGAATTTTTGTCACTCAAACCTAGTTGATGTGTAAGTAGGTTGTGACATGCTGGCTGAAATGACTTTGGATCCACTGTATTGAAGAAAGTAAAATTTTACTTGAAGTGTTTCTTCTTTCCATTTCTCACTCTTCTCTCTACTCCACCTAGACCTCACTCCTTCCCTGAGTTTAGATTCATCCTACTTCCTTTGTAAGGTACATCATTATACATTATATGGGAGAATTATCTTATAGTGAAACTGAAGGAAGCTTTTCATGGAAATGTGTAATTCGTTTATTATTTTCTAAACTGTGTATTTGCACGTGTATCCATATGCATCACTGCACAATCTAAGTGTTAACAGTTTTTTTTTTTTTGCTTTCTTACTAGGGCTTATGTCTAAAAATGCTAGTTTGCAATATCTATAACACTAGCATTTTAAAGTCATTCATAATCTGTCAATTGATATGAAATATAAACATTCTGCCTTTTTACTTTCATTATTTTAGTGATAAATTTTGTACTGCTTAAATGTTCTCTGCAAGTCTGTGTGGTTTGGAAGGAATTGTCGTTTTAATTTCTTCTTCTTTAGTGACAACATGTGCATCTATTATGGAAAAAAATGAAAGGTAACAACAGTTGTTAATTTAAGAGATGACCATGAATTCTCAGTGCTAGCTCCCAAGGTGGCACTCCTAAGAAAGAGGTCATTTCTCAAGTAAATAATATGCCAGGTAAGATCTGTTTGCATTTTAAATAAAGTGATTGATTTAGGAAATATTACCTTTAGAAAGTGCAAGTTCAAATGAATAGTTTTCTTTAACCCCCCAAATAAGATTATAAAGGAATTACCCATGTCATGAGTTTTTTGTTGTTCTTGTTGTTTTAATCATTGTCTCCTAGTAAAGTAGGCTTTGCTGAGTAAAAACATAGAAATAGACTTATCTATTGATGGATAAGTATAATGGATAGGTATAAATTAAGCGTAGATGTAGAGACAAAGATGTAGCTATCTTCCCTGTCACTTATTTGTGGCCTGCAGGGGAGTTTTAACTCATCCCCAACACTCGGGCTCCCACAGGCAGTATTCAGGATCTGCCTTGGTCTGTTTTGTGGTGTTTGTTTCATGAAGTTTCTTATTAGGCTTTGTGTTATTCAAAATTAAAATTTTACATACGATAGTCCAACTAATAATTTAGGAAATCATATTGCCATTATTAAAACTTGCTCACAGTCTAATTTAAATAAAATCTGAGTAAAAACAAAAGGAAGATGCCTACTATAATTTGAAGATATTCATTCACTAACGTTTCAACATTTATTTTGTCACCATTAATTTATTTTGTTTTTCAAATAAAAAGTAAACTGTATTATCCCATATAGTTCTGGAAAGTGCCTGGTGTTTATCATAAAATTATATATATTATTTGTCTCCATTGTAATAGTGGCCTTAAAATAATACACACACACACACACACACACACACACACACACACATTAAAAAAATAACATATTTAAGTGGGAATTGGAAAGAAATGCTTAACAATAACAAGATGGTTTTATAAATTATGTTATGTCTATGTATTAAGCATTTTTTAGCCATTAAAGTTATTTGTGTAACGTCTTAATCCAATAATGAACATAATACAATGTTAAATGAGAGAATCAAGGTATGATGAAATAACAATAAAAAATACCCTATGTGATACTTGTGGAGATCAGGAAATAATTGTATGGGTAATTTTCTCATCTATTAACTTTATTTCAAGTCATTTCATTGGTAAAAATAAATACTTTTAAAAGAGAAAATTTACCAGAAAGAAAATAAAGAGATTGATCTATAGCAATAAGCATGAATTTAACTAACACATGGCTTACTTAAGCTTCTTTGTTTTTTTTCTTTTAAAAATAGGTTTTTCTAACTTAGGCTTGGGTCTGTTTATTTTTTATTGTATATGTTAAAATATACAATGTGTTTTGACATACATGTAGATGCTGAAATAATTACTATAGTTAAACAAATTTACATATAGCTCACCTTCCATAGTTATCCTTTTGTAGGGTGTCAGAGCACCTGAAATCTACTCTTTTTGCAGTGCTTTCAGTTTACAATAGGATATTATTAACTATAGTCTTCATGCTGTACATTTTTGTCTGTCTACTTAATGTTCCTAACCTGACTGCAAATGTATAGCCTGTAACCGATTCTCCAGATATTCTCCCCCTCCCTGCTCTCTGTTTCTCATTTGACTTCAAGAAAAAAAGATTCCACATTTAAGTGAGGTCACAGTATTTTCTGCCTGTGTCTGGCTTATTTCACTTAGCATAGTGTCCTCCAGGTTTACCCACGATGTCACAAATGTCAGGATTGCCTTTTTTAGGGAAGAATTATGTAGATATATGTCACAATTTCTTTATCCATTTATCCACTGATGGGCATTTAGCTTGTTTTCATATCTTGGCTATTGTGAATAATGCTGTAGTGCAGCGGTCCCCAACCTTATTGGCACCAGGGACCAGTTTCATGGAAGACAGTATTTCCATGGACTGAGGAGGTGGCAGGGGATGGTTTCAGGGTGCAACGCTGCTACCTCAGATCATCAGGCATTAGTTAGATTCTCATAAGGAGCACACAACCTATTTAAAACATTATGCACAGTTCACAATAGGGTTTACGCTCCCATGAGAATCTAATGCCGCCACTTATATGGCAGGAGGTGGTGCTCGGGTGGTGATTCTCCCTTGCCTTCCGCTCACCTCCTGCTGTGCAACCCAGTTTCTAACAGGCTGTGGACCAGTACCAGTGTGTCACTAGGGGTTTGGGGACCTCTGCTGTAGTGAACATGGGAGTACAGATATCTCCACAAGGTGCCAATTGCTGAGTCATATGATAGTTATCCTTTTCATTTTTTGTAGCACCTCAATGCTGTTTTTATAATGGTTGTTCAACTTTCATTTCCACCTGCAAAAGAGAACAAGGGTTCCTTTTCTCTACCACCTCACCAACACTTAGGGCTGTTTATATTTTGAGCAAAGTCCTTTTTCACTTTCATTTCAATCAAAATGCAAGAAAGAATTAAATTGAGCTGCCGCTTATTTGGGAGATGTCACAAGATTTACTTCCTAAGAGTTTGTGAGAAGAACACATTTTCTGGCATTTGCTGTTGATCCAGAAGCATTTTCATTGCAGTGACTTTGTTTGGAGATTTTAACTTCTAAGTACTACTCTTATTTTGCTCTGCTTTTAGGATAATGTTTTAAATAAGATTTTTAAAGTTTCTCAAAACTGAAAACATTTTACCTCAGAGTAGAACTCAGTTAAATTTTTATTTAAAAGTAGGTTTTTGGTAACAGTAAATGTTTTGACAAGTTTTTACTTAATGGTTAATAAAATGCTACTAGGTCAGGTGCAGGAAGTAAAATTAGTCCTAAATTGAATTTGAGGAAGGCATGTAAGTAGAAGTAATATTAAGAAGGTGAATCATCAGTTGTATGATAGAACTGTTACTAATAAATACAACATGTGGTAATTGCAAGAATTAAGTTCATGAAATGTCTATTCAACTTTACAATCTTGCCCTACTAGAGTATTTAGTCATAGGGAACCTTACTGTGGTTGGACTCTGCCTGGCAATGCAGTTTAACTTAAAATTATCTAGGAATTATTTTTATAGGAAATTTTGCTAAAATCCACCTAGTTATATGAAGTATATTACTCTTGAGTAGCAACCAAGTAACTCAAACTGTAATTTAACCCTGTTAATGGAGGGAAGTAATATGGAAATACTAAAATTGACATTTTACAAAGTTGATCCCAGTATATCTCAGATGAAAAAAACTAGAATAATATATAAGAAAACAATTTTATACATTCCTTTTGTTCAATTTAGAAATAAGTCATTACAGATATCTTGCATGGCAAATATTAATGCAATTAACTTTTTTAACTTCTGAGATTATTTTTAATTTAAACTTGTATGTTTAAGATTTATTTTGTTTGTTTAGAGTGCTTGCCAGCAAACGCTGTGTTAATGTAATCTTAACTATTAAAATTGGATTTTTTTTCTGGCTGTGTACATATTTCTGTCATTTTGCTTTCTCATCAACCAGTTAAAATATTTTTTTTTCTGTTCATGTGAGTTTTTCATTTATATTTATGTATAAGGCACAGCACAGGCTGTGTTTCAAGTAAAATATTGGACTGATTTTGAGGGAGTTTTTTTTGTTTCTATCATTTTTAGTCTTTTTGAGGAAGTTGAATATTTTTCCAGAAGTGCTATACTTTATTCCTAGTACTTTCCAGATGATATTGATAACTCCAGGAACACTAGGAAACAGAAAACGTAATATCAATGTTAATTTTATAGAATATAAAATGTTATTCAACTGGCCTTTATTTTATTTACATATTTACATAGGGATATATGTGTAATTTACATCATTCCTAATTTCAAGAATAATTCTAAGTTATTTACTAAAGCACAAAAAGATTTAACAGAAGAATACTAAGTTGATAAGTAATTTTGGGAAAAATAGTGATACTAAAGGTAAAATAAATGAACTTGGGGGATAATGAGAGTAAACAAAAATTTATGTTTATAGAGTTTTGTTACTAGAGGAGAGTCTTATGTTATTAGAAGACACCATAGATTTGATGCTAAATGTACTAGTAATAAAAGCAAAATCTGTATCAATTACTACAGTATTTATTATTTATAATATAGCAGCTAATGCTTACCAGCCACTCATAACATTCTAAAAACTTTGTCCAGCATTTGATACGATTATCTTATTTAATTATTGCAATGACCCTGAGGAGTCCTGATGTTGTTATATTTTACATTTGCAGAAACAGAATCTCAAAGAAGTTAAGTGCCTTTCCTGAGATCACACAGCTATTAGCTGGTTGAGCTGGGAAGTCTGAGTCCAAAATCTATGCTCTTATTCACAGAATAAACATTTTTAAGGGGATAAAATATTAATAAATCAGAAAAGCATACCTTGTCTTAATTCTAAAGATAAGAAAAAAAAATTTTCTGTTGGGATTATGCTTGGTTCAAGGATAAAGTGGAGCCTATCTAGGGGAATGTCCGTAATGCATAACCTTCAGGCAATCCTTGTGAATATCTCTTTGCTCTTTGTTGTTACCAAATTATTTTGTCTTAAGGCTATGAGAAAATTGACTTTCTAAAAGCTGTGTCTCCGATGAACAGTTAATACTAAAGCCAAGGGGAAGACGTACTGGTCAGAATTATAGTAACTTTATCCTTACATATATCTAGAAGAAATACTCTTGTAACTGAGAGCTAAATCTAGAAATTCTTCTGTCATGCAGAATTTTGATAAATGTCCAATGCTATTTTTAGTTTTAAATGTTTTTTACGTATATGTTTTATTTTTGTATCATCTTTCACTTAACTATTGAACTACAGTTGTTCTGTGATATAAACTCTTACAAACAATATAGATTTGGCTTTAGTTTCATTAATTTTTCATAAATGCTTGAGTATTCATAGTACCTTATGAATTTATGATAAATTTATTACAGATTTATTCAGGCAGAGACATATTTGAAAATTTGTAATGAGGAAAAAAAATCATCTTATGAACAGCTCCATAATTTTACTTTCCTAATTGTGTGTACCTTTTGGGTCTATTTTATATTTATTTAAGTTTATATTGGTATTTATATATTCATATAAATACTTATTACATATTTATATAGGAATAATGCGAAGCCATGGTTAACTTCATAATCCAGGGATGCAGGCTTACCAAAAGACTGAGACCTCATCATAGGATAGAATGATTTTCCTTCTCACAATATAAAAAGTAAAGAAAAATAAATTAACCAAAACCTCTCTCATGCAAAAAGAAAACATTATTAACTTTTGGTGAAATTCAGACATCTCTTCCTGTGTGCATACTGTATGTAAAGAGGAAAAAGGGGAAGAATTAATGGTTGGATAAAATAAATGTACACAATATACTTTATATGTATTACTTCCTAATAAAAATTATTTCTTTTTTATATAACAAAATTGGAAACTAAGGTAAAACTGAAATAATTACTGTTGATTAGGGAAAACTTTCCCATCACATGTGTTTCTGTCATTTCTTTTGTTTCTCCCTTGATTTAGGTTTTTTTTAATGCGGTAGGCCAAAGTCTTAGGTGATTTGATATTAGTTTTAGCATAATTTGCACACATAGAATTCACAGAAGATATAATTTCATGCAAACATGTAAACTTTCAACTGTAAAATTTGTATGAAGGACTGTTATGTTTGCTATGATATGGGGAGACCATTTAGTCAATGAGGTCTTTGTACTTCCATTGTGATAATTTAGATAGCTTTTATTTTCTGAAATGTGTTTGAAAATGTGGAAAATATTTTAATATTTCCCTGGTTTTTTTGGCTTTCATGCTAATATATACATACATTCTAATGTATATTATATTCCATATAATGTATATTTTCTGCCATTTTTCAAGTGTTCTTTTCCCCTGGCCTTTCTTCTACCCTCCAATAATTTATTAAATGTTTTTAATCTCCCCCCCCAGCCTGTAATTTAGTTTTGTGCATTTTAAAGCAGTATTGGTTATATGCACTTCAGCAAACCAGTTTATGCCAGCTAAAGATTGAAAAGGAGAAATTAATTTAAGATTTAGTTCTGTGTTTTTTAAAACCTTTTTAAAGATGAAGATATTGATCTTGTATTACTAGTATTGAAGCAAACTCATATTGTTTAGTTCCTTATCATAAGTTAGAGGCGTTGGAGGGTTAAAGTTTTACCAAAGTAAATCATAATAGAACTGGACAATTTAATAGTGATGTCATATACAAAAGCTCAATTAATAATCCTATACAACCAGTAGGTGAAGATTTTATTTTATTAATAAAGCATCTGAAAATGAGCCTAGGGTCATAACTTTTAAGAACTAGGATTATAGGGTCATGCTTTATTCATGAATAGTAGACATGCTTTCTCTATAGTGAGCTAAGCTATACTTCTGAACTTGAATGATTGTCTCAGTGTTACCTTTATCTCAGATTCATCATTCATATTCCTTTTGAAATATCTTTATCTTGGTATAGATATTTATGTGTAAACACAATAGTTGCTATGTAATAGTTTCTGTTTAGCCATTAATTGGAGATACGTAATTAGAGTTGGTGCTGGGGTATCTTCTAGAAGAAAATGAGAAGGAGTGAGGGATTTGGGTGTGTCAAAGGAAGATAATGGAGAGGACTTGAAAGAATTCTTCTAAAATGAGAATTCTTACTATGCATGTCCATGAATTGTATTTAGGCCATAGGAGAACTTGTACAAGAAAATAAAATATGTCCCACTTCACTACTCTCTAATTTAGCATTTCCTTTAATTGCAAATAGTCCACAAACTACAATAGTGTTAGTAGCAACAATGACTTCATCTCCAACAAACATTGCAGATATTCTTATATCACATTACAGATGTTTCAGATAGCTTGGAATATGATTTATTGTTCACTACTTTGAAATTACAATATTTATTAGACTTCCCTCTATTAAATGCGTTGGTAAAGTAATATAGTTATGTATTATAGTTTCTGTTGGAATTCTCTGCATTTTATTTTAAGCATTTTTTAACCTTATTCTCACAAACGGACTAAGCTTCAGTAGACTGCCAAAGGGATCCATAGCATAAAAAATATAAAACCCTAGCTCTAAGAAGTAAGCTAATTCAGCTTTTTATTAACCTTTATTCTATTCCAAATGTGATAACATTTCTCCATTTTATCTGCCACCATGCATAAAGTTATAAGGGAAATTGCAAAATATTTTTCTACCAAGCTACCTATTTTATATTCAGATTATTTTAGTATTAAGTTCATCTTGTAACATGTTTTAGGCTTTGGAAGATTAGCCTTAATGTTTTTATTTGTCAATATAAATTTATATTAAAATACATATTATTAATACTTATTTCTAACATATTATTTATTATTTTCAGTGCACTGTGCTAAGGATTCACCTCCATTATTGCATTCAATTCAGCAACCTCATGAGCTTAGGTTTAATCATGCATTTGTATTTTTATAGAATAAATCTACCCAAGAGAATGGGGAAAATGAAAAATTGTTAACTAATTTAAGCCCATCCCAGTCCAAAACCAGTCGAAACATCTCAATGAAGTAAAGGTAGAATGATAACTGCATTTACAAATATTTCTTGGTAGGAAAAAAGTATTTTATTCTAATAAATAGAAACATGTTAAGCATAATGTTATTCATATTAATAATGAATATTAAACATTAACATTAAGTATTATATATAAAACATTAACATATTAAACATAAATAAGTAGAAAGTTAGGTTTCATTTTGATCTTAATAATTTAAGAGTAACAACTGGCACAGTGTTCAAATAAGTAGCACCTAGAATTGTGCTAATCACATAGAAAAACAGAAAACCCGAAGGCACAAAAGCCTATCAGTGTTGATGTCCACATTGCTGTTTTCCAAGTATTTGACTACCGTCTCTGAGCAAGATTCTCTACAGATCTTATCAATATTTGTAGCTTCCTGCAATTTGTTTTACTACTCAAAGTTTACGATTAATGGACCTCTCCCTAATAGATTTAACTAAGTATGTCTGCTCTTTCTTTCATTAATTGAGCACATGAAGTATGTGACTCATTCTTAAGTTGAAATACTGCCTTCAGCAAGGATTTGACAATCAATTCAATCAATTATTTCTAAATATATTTGGATTTATTGCTTTCATCTCAGGCTCTTTCTGTATATATGAAAAGTGTTAAGACAGTTTTAAGGAGTGCATGAGCTATACCCACATTCTGGCTTTCCCAACACATGCAGACATGGGAAGGCCCAAAAAGAGGTCAGTGTCCTCTCATTTTCTCTTTCATGCACAAATGTATAAACACACGCAAAGACACAGAGGACAAAACAAGATAAAATGGAGTAAATTTAGATTTTAAAAAATGTAAGATTCAGTTCACTGGTAGCTGTATTATATATCATACATTTTTAGCAACACATGTAAGATTTATGTCTTGAATAATATAAAAAAAGGTTCATCTGCTTGTAAAATGTAAGTCTTATAGTTCAACATAATAGATAAACATCAAAACTAGTATCCTCATTAGGTTGTATAATGGTATATTGCCACTTACTGTTATTTAAATGTCATCCCCATTTCCTTTTTGTAGTGCTGATGTTAACCTTGTAAGCTCTAAATTGTCTGGAAGTTAATGGTCTGTTATATGAGTTTCATAGTTCTTAGTGAAAGAATATTAGATTATATTATGCAGTTTGAAATGTAACTTGATCTCTACCTCATAATCATAAGTAATGACATAGTCTTGGTTGAAATTAGGGACGTTTGCTTTTTCTGCTGATGCTGTCCATAGTATAAATGATAATTTTTATTTTTTTGTTTTAAATTGACAAATATGTTTATTTGTCCATTCATTACACCCAAGTTTATGAGGGTTAGAAAAGAGAACAAATATAAGCATATAAGAGTACAGTGTACTTCTTGAAAATCAAACTTTGAAATTTATCTTATTAAAGTTGGTAAATTCAGAAGCATTATATTCTGTCAGCACCCACATATACCCTTGTCTGGCTTTGAGAGAGTTTTATTTTTTTAATTTTATAAGAGTTAAATTTGAATTGGAGCTAATGTAACTGACAAGAGGGAAATAGAAGCAATTGGCTTGCACTAAACAAGTTTGAATGGTTGTTAATGTGAATGACTTTCAGGCAGTGAATGTCAGAGAACAGTAGATTACTTTCTTTACCTCGGGCATTTTAAACCATCTCCTGTGGTAGGATTAACATAATTTCTCTCTCTCTTTCTTGAATCTAGGAAGCAAAGTAATTGGAGTCTGGTAATTTTGGCCTGTGGGTGATGAAGATAAATCATAACAAGCTATGGAATACACATTGACAATTCACATAGGGCTACTAGAACATGAACTTTCAGTAATGCATTAAACAAATATTGTTTCTTTCTGATTTATATTCAAGAAAGCCACAGAACTGTTAATTATGAATGCAGTTATCGTTTGTTATTTTTGACTAAATTCACATGCAAAACAAATTGTTTCAAAATATAAGCTATTGTGTTCTTAAACATGGGCTAAGAAGTTGTATCTTTTATATGATTTTGAGTGATCATATTTGTTTAACCGAAATTATTTGAGATTTTAAAAGAATAGAGGTGGAAGAGAATACAAGACCATCTGGTCTAGCCCCTCTCCTTAAGGCTTATAAATGTATACATCATCTTGAGCAGATGGAGGTGTACTCACCTAAAATTTTATACAAATATAGGTTCTACAGTTCCATTCAATATCTTATTCTTGAATTTGGTCACTAAAGCATTAAAGGATCCTATTTTATATTCAGATTATTTTAGTATTAAGTTCATCTTGTAACATGTTTTAGGCTTTGGAAGATTAGCCTTAATGTTTTTATTTGTCAATATAAATTTATATTAAAATACATATTATTAATACTTATTTCTAACATATTATTTATTATTTGCAGTGCACTGTGCTAAGGATTCACCTCCATTATTACATTCAATTTAGCAACCTCATGAGCTTAGGTTTTGTTGTCTCCATTACAGATTTAGGAAAGCAAGAGTAAGGAAAGTTAAGTAATGTGGCCAAGCACATGGCTAATGAAAAGAGTTGCTATAACTTAAATTTCTGGACTAAACTTTTTCCTACTGATCTACCTCCTCAGTGTTAAGAGTGCAAACTCCTTCTCTCTTAGGGCAAAATTTCTGTCACTTTGTTGTTCATCCACTTTGTATCATCTTATAGTCCTCTTTTCTCAGCTAATGGGAGTATATCTCGTGTTTTTGAAACTTTTGTTCATTATCATCCATACCAGCCATTTTAGAATTTGTTTCCTAATGTCTTCTGATGAAATTTTTAATACCACAAATATGCTGTGTATCTGTTTATGTATGTGTATAAAAAGAGTAGTATTTTTTGTCCCCTCTAAGAATCAGTTTCCCCCTTGGTACTGATATTGCTCCCTTTTAGAATGAATGTAGTTATCACTATTACTGTACATTTTTGATTGCATAAGTACATAATTATTTTTACTTAATATGAAATGTTAATTTGTTAGAGTATGAAAATATTAAAATATCAACAGTAATTGTCCTCTTTTTAAGTTACGTGAGCTTTCCAATGCCCTGAAATGAGAATAATTTTGAAGAAGAATATAGATATCAAGATATAAATGAAGTTTAATTCTTTTATAACAATATGTAATTTGTGCTACTAAAGAAACCTCAGGATGTAAGTAAACATAATCCTGCCCATTTTACCTGTTTTTAGACCTTTTGCTAAATTTTTTGTTTATCCAAATATATGCCATCTTACCATAAATCTGTATTCCTCTCTGTTTTGACATCACAATCTATTGCCATGGAAGTGATTGATAGCTTACATTTATCTTCATGTCTTCAGAGCAGGTTCATAAGGAGACTGTCTGGAAGAAATAGACTTTATTGGTACCAGCACAAGCAGACTTTTAGAGGTCCTGTACAAGTTTACGTCCATCTGTATTTTTTTTTTAAATACAAGAGTTGCAAATTGGTACTTTAGAAAGTGTGAAGACTTTGCTTTTCATTCTGTAATTTCCATTCAAAAACCATATTTGATTATGATTCTTTCTAAAATATTCAAATAATGGGTTTTCCACAACTTTCATACTTTAAATATAAAATGAGCTTACAACCCGTGAGTAGGAAACTGTGGTAATGGAACATATTCAGCTTTATCATGTTATGCAGAAATACAGCAGTTAGGAATGAAACCTCATTGATAGGTTCTTTTACTGGGAAATAAACCAGAAGGTGATGAAAATCACTTGGCATTTTTATATGTAGTTTGTAGAAAGTTCCTAGTCTGGGGCTTTGATCTACTTCATTGGATCAAAAACATAATAAATTGAATCTTGAAACTTGCTATATCCTTTTGGAATTACACCTAATATTGAATTATTCATGTAGATGAAACTGATCATTTAGGTTTCAGAATTTCTTTTTTTCTGTAATGGTTCCAGTTCTTTTTTGCATGAAGTTTTTTGTTGTTGTTGTTTTATACTGAATTTTACAACCCTTCAGATATAAAAGAGGCATTTCTGTACTGTCTCTTGTCACTCAAAACTAATTTTGATTTCATTGACTACCCCATATATGTTCAGAAACTAAAATAATTTCAATATAGTCAATTAATTAAGTGAAGGATTTTTGACCCCTACAATGATTTTGATCTGTATTAGTCTTGAGGAGGTAAGAACTTCAAAAATTATTACCTGTGAGGGAGCCCATGACAACCATCACATTTTCATGTACATACAGAAAAGAATGATACTGTATATAGGAGTAAAGTAGAGGAATTAAACAAGCTTCCTATTCAAATGAAGATTTTTTAAAAAGCTATAACTATTAACTGTTTGATGAAGGTTTTGAAAGGAAACGTGAAGTGGCCACTGTGCAGATATGGTTTGAGTGACTTAACGGGTCAAGTATTTGACAACAGTAATGCTTCCTGTGGTTTTTATATGAAGGAAAAAATGAAAAATAGGAAACAGAAACCAGAAGTTTATGTAAACCTACATAAATTAACTCTTAAATGATTTATTTTATTTTGAAGTGTCTGTGTATTGTGGATGAACCAAACGTTCAGACTTTCTTCCAGTGCTCTTGGCCCTCCTCTATTAAATGTGTGTCTTGTTCCCTTTCCAGCGTACATACAGCTCAGTCAGTAGGAACTAGACAGAGAAGCTGTTCACTTAAAAAGTTGTCATTTCCTTATAGATACTTTCTTTTCTTTATTATTATACTTTAAGTTCTAGGGTACATGTGCACAACGCGCAGGTTTGTTACATATGTATACATGTGCCATGTTGGTGTTCTGCACCCATTAACTCATCATTTACATTAGGTATTTCTCCTAATGCCTTCACTCCCCCCTGCCCCCACCCCACGACAGGCCCCAGTGTGTGATGTTCCTCTCCCTGTGTCCAAGTGTTCTCATTGTTCGATTCCCACCTATGAGTGAGAACTTGCAGCGTTTGGTTTTCTGTCCTTGTGATGTAGAAAGCTGAAACTGGATCCCTTCCTTACACCTTATACAAAAATTAATTCAAGATGGATTAAAGACTTAAATGTTAGACCTAAAACCATAAAAACCCTAGGAGAAAACCTAGGCAATACCATTCAGGACATAGGCATGGGCAAGGACTTCATGTCTAAAACACCAAAAGCAATGGCAACAAAAGCCAAAATTGACAAATGGGATCTAATTAAACTAAAGAGCTTCTGCACAGCTAAAGAAACTACCATCAAAGTGAACAGGCAACCCACAGAATGGGAGAAAATTTTTGCAATCTACCCATCTGACAAAGGGCTAATATCCAGAATCTACAAAGAACTTAAACAGATTTACAAGAAAAAATCAACCCCATCAAAAAGTGGGTGAAGGATATGAACAGACGCTTCTCAAAAGAAGACATTTATGCAGCCAGTAGACACATGAAAAAATGTTCATCATCACTGGCCATCAGAGAAATGCAAATCAAAACCAAAATGAGATACCATCTCACACCAGTTAGAATGGCAATCCTTATAGATACTTTAAATATTATTTTTCTTGAGTATTTATATTTAATGCAACTGGAAAAGAAATAAACTTAGAAATTTAAATGACTGTGGAATGTTTTTAACCATTCACAAGCTGTATAATAATCCATAATAATCCAAAACAAATATCAAGTCACTTTAGTTTTAGAGAAATGTTATTCTTTATAGGTTTGTGGTTTATTTAGTCAACTGTGATGTGCTTCATAATACTGATATAAATATATGTTTAAAAAGATAGTTAAAAATAATCTCATGTATATGTTTTAAGAAATGAGATAATCCTGAGAGTCTTAAAGTATCTTTCCCATTTAAGAAAAAAGTAGAAGCAAGTATTAAAAGGATGCAGTAGTGTTGAAAGACAGTTTATGAAAAATCAATAGCCTATGCTCAGACATGAAAGCTTATTAATTCTCTAGTGGAGTCTGGAACAACTTCCTGTGATCAGACACATTAGTCTCCCTGAAGCAAAAGCAAGAGGGATTATTAAATACTATAAACTGCCTCATCATAGTTCAGAATTTGAATAAACTTTTGGTTTTCAGAGCTTTTATTCCTGATGTTGGACAAATCATGATGGATCTGTAGTAATTCATTTGCATTCTTACGATAAGTTATTATTATACCCATTTTAAAGGCATAGAAACCGAAAGAAAAAGGAGTTGGGTAACTTCTTTTGGGTCACACAGTTATTAAAAGGACTCAGGCAGTCTGACTTTACAAATCGTGTTCTTAAACATGATGCTATACTGCCAGTGTGACAGACATGCATGTATATATACATACAGACACATGTATAAATAAGCATTTAGAACTATTTAGAAGTGGATCCCAAAACTTCTATACATTTATATAATTGCTTTAAATAAAGGTTATTTTCTTAAATAACGATTGTATATTCCTCTCATCTTTTTGTTGCCAGTATGATATGGTTTGGCTCTGTGTCCTCACTGAAATCTCATTGTGAATTGTAATCCCCTCATGTAGGAGGAAGGGCCTGGTGGGAGTTGATTGAATCATGGGGGTGGACTTCCCCATTGCTGTTCTTGTGATAGTAAGTTCTTACAAGATCTGGTTGCTTGTAAGCACATGGCACTTCCACCTTCACTGTCTCTCTCTCTCTCTTGCTCCACCATGGTTAAATGTGCTTACTTCCCCTTCACCTTCTGCCATGATTATAAGTTTCCTGAGGCCTCCAAGCCATGCTTCCTGTTAAGCCTATGCAACTGTGAGTCCATTAAACCTCTTTCCTTGATTAAATTACTGAGTCTCAGGTAGTTCTTTATAGCAATGTGAGAATGGACAAATACCTAGTATGTATTATGCTTTTTATTCTCCAGATTATTATCAAAGCTTGTATTTAGGTGGATATTTAAGAAATTCCATATTTTTTGTTTTTATTTCAGGTCTAATTTATAAAATATTAGCTTATATTGGGAATTTCAACTTTATGACATATAGTTTAAAGAATACATAGATGACCAAACACAAACACTCATGGTAAATCATGAGAAAAAAATGTAGTCAAAACTATAAAATTTAAGTTGTAAGAAACTTGCAATAATTGCTACATCAGCACAGAACTTACGTTTCTTAAACTTGGTGTTTGTACCCTGGAATGGATAGGTGGACAGCAGAATTATGTTTACTGGTGTTCACCACATAAGTTAGGAATGCTTCCCAATATTTTTATTACTGATCTTGCACTTTTTAATTTATCCAAACTTTTGTGACTCTTTGGAGCAATGACTGATACCACATTTGAACCAGGTATATACTAGAGCTTGAAACATCTCATAACACTAGAAAATAAGGAAGGTATCAAAGCTTACTAAAGTTCTGTCACAAGAATTGAGGAGCCAGCTTGAAATCACTACCACTAGCCAGTCTGAGGTAAAATAAAAAGATTGAAACAAAGGAAGTAACTGTAATGGACTGAATCACATAAAATATATTTTAAAATTCTTAATATTAGGTTGGTGCAAAAGTAATTGCAGGTTTTGCCATTAATTTCAATGGCAAAACCTGCAGTTACTTTTACACCAATCTATAGATTATAAAATTGATATCGCTGATAATCTTTGGATGATAGTAGGAAACCAACATATTCTGAAACCTATAGGGAAAGAAATATTTAACACGCCTTTCCTAAATTAACCGTAACTCAAGATAACTAAATAGCTGAAGAGTGAAGCCTCCCTGTATTTATTCCAACTAATGAATAAAGACAAAATGGTAGAATTATAATATTTCCACTGTGCAAAACTTAATAAAATGGATTTAGGTGATGATTTTAATGGCTGTTAATATTCCAAAAAATGGAGCACTGAATATTCTGAGCCTCCTAATAGAAGTATACGACACCTACGAAATATTTTTGCCAAAAATATTCAAGTCTGAATCTTATCAAACTTCTAGTATAACTACCAGTTTACAGGATATTCTGGGCACTGAGAGATGTGTGAATAATACTAAGCAAAGAAATCTAGAATGTAGGACTTTCTATTATATAATGTATAAATATTGCTAGGATGTACTAATACTCTAGTACTAATATTCAGGTTTCTTTAATCACCCAAGTGCTGTGTGAGAATGGGAGAGGAGAGAAAGGACTTACAGATTAAAGAGACTTAAAAGGCTTATCAACCAAAACACAATGTGTGGACATTATTCAGATCCAAATTTGAACAAATCAACTAATATAGTTAATGAATCTAGGTACATGTGGGTTTGTTACATTCTTCTATCTACTTTTCTGTATGTTTAATATTTTCCAAAGTAAACATAAAAATGGAATATAGGTTTGTACCTCTACCTGTATTTTCATCTTTCATCACTATGTAAGTAACAAATTATGAGAATTTATAAAAGCTGGAAATTGGGTTATCATTTTCATTATTTTTGAAATTATCTGTAATTGCATTTTATTTCCTCTTTGATGAAGTAATTCCTTAGGCGAGCCATTAAAAAAAATCTCCCATTGGTTTTGACTGTTGTATTACATGTGATCAAAAATGAGGTAGTGTAATTTGTGCGTTTTTGAAAATTTTTAGTCCTCACTATCCAGGTTAATGTTGATTTTTTTGTTGTTGTTTACAAAGATATATAGACTATTAAAGAAGAAATTTTTATCTAAAATATGGTAGTTTACCATCATTAAACCTTCTTTGTCATTATATTGCTAAAGTCAGCGAGATCATTTTAGGTCGCAGTGATTTTTTTACAGATACTAATGGCTGACACCAATAAAACTGAATTTTGCTCAATTTTTTTCCTAATTTTTTTGCTATTGCCATTCTGATGCTATATGCTTCAGTAGAGATTCATATTTGTTATGCCTTCATTATGAATTGGATTTTCTCTTTTGTCAATATACAAATTCTCAATTTTAATTATTAATATATATCAATTATTTATTAACAGATAAGATGTGACATGCAACTGAGATCACTACATTATTCATAACAATTATGACTCTTAATGTTAAGTCTTAGGAAATAAACCTGTCTTAGCTTTTTCTATCCTTCTTCTTTAATTTTTCTGTCACAATCATGGCCTGCTCTAATCAGAAATCAATTCTTAGCTAAAGAATACATGCTTCTGAATTCCTAAGCTTCCATCATTATTATTGACAGTATTTGTGGAGTTTTACTTTTTTCTTGGGACCATGGAGAGTGAAGCACATTTTGATAAATGGAGGTCTGAACTATACCTTTATACTGGATAGTATAAAAGCCTTTTTAGCTATTTTAATATTTCAGGGGAAAAGACCATTTTGTCTTGGGAAAATTGAATGAACGAATTTTCCATAAAATGAAATGATTAACAAAATCTTGCTGAATTTCATGTTTTTATTTAGCAGGTATTGTATCTAAAACGTTGTCATTGTCTGTCAGAACAGTGTTATAATGCCTTTATCTTAAATTCTTTATAAACTAGCTGATTCTTGAAGGGGAGGGCAGTATATTTGCTTACATTCATTGTTAATTTGAAAGATGGATTTCAAACTGTAGAGCTGCCGTGAAAAATATAATGCTAATTGTAGTTTGAAAAGCCCAGACACCTTCTGATAGTACAGTTTTACACCCAAGTAATTTAAATCAAAATCTGGAAAACACTTTTTTTTCTTTTGATAGCATATATGTAATATGCCTTAATTAATAGGAAAATCCACATGCTGGAGAATGGTGAACATGATTAAATAGATTAAATTACTTTTCTTATACTATGCATTAATAGCTTTCTCAACCATGTCCCAGCGGCTGCAGCACATTGTGCTATACCTTACTGAGGAAATCGCCTGATTTTTTTTTTTAATCAGTCTTCACTATCTTGCCATTTTTTACCATTATCATTCTAACTTAGTGAAATCCTGGTTTTCTCAAGTGTCTAGTCTTTCTTTGATTTTGATTTCACATATCATACACATCAGTTATTTATATTTTATCTTGTTAATCAACTAATTTCTTCACATATTTTATTTTTCTTCCCAAACACATTTTTGTTCAACTTGAAGGCAAAAAGTATCCTTGGTTCTGGATCATTTTCCTCATGGTTCTCAGTTGTAGAGAGGTGGAAGACACATGACAAATTCTAGTTTAACTGGATTCTGTAATTTAAAAAAAGAGGTGTTACAGAGTCAGTCCTGCAGATGTTTGAGTTCCAGACCCTTCCAGGCAGGTCACCAGGTACTGCCTCTAGACTTAGATGATGTCCCCTGATAATTCTGTCACTCTTCTTCCGCAAGTTGCTCCCCCTTTGTGAGTCACATCATATAAATGATATTATTTTAATACTTTCTCTGTCACGATCTGTCCACTCTAAGCAGACCTTATTTATTTTTAATCACCCTTTTGCCACGTGGGTCTGCTTTTTCTCATTCCTTTTCACTTTATCACCGTCTTAGGGGACTTAACTAGCCAAATGGATAACCCATTTCCTTGTTTTTCTGTTTCCATGAGCACCCACACACTGCTCAGACCCTTTGATTTCTAGCATTAAACTTATCAATTCAACCTCTTCCTCCTCACTACATTGATTTTTTTTTTTTCCTACCCAGCCTCATTGCAAAACCCAATTCCTCAGTCTCTCTAAGTTTTTCTCCTTTCCCTACCCTGTCAGGATCTGTTCTTGGACTATTTCACCAGTGTACTCACTCCAGCTAGGGTGCCTCTCCCCTGATATCCCTCGTTTTGTCAGACTTCATTGAATAAATCCCACAATCAATGTGACCTGAAGTCCTGTCACTGTGCTCATTGGTTCTAGTAGACATCTAGTTTACCATCAGTACTTTGGATTCATCTCTTTCCACTTCTTATTTCTGAGAGCAGCTGGTGGCTCTGACGACGTCCCATTCTTTAAAACATCTAACCATTCTCTTAACTCTCAGCTACAAATCTTCCCTTTGATTTTAGTGAGAAAAATCAACGGCATTTAATGTTAACTCCACGATTACTGTTTCTTTCCTCAACAAAACATTTTTTAGAATGTCCTCCCTTCTACCTTCTTCCTGACCTTGTGGCACTTACATCCTATGCCTTTTCAGAGATAATAGCCCCTTCCTAGGTCTCCTTAATCTTTGGTGCTCTGGTCTCTGCAGGGACCTTTTCCATCAAACAATTCATCTTGAAATTTTTATCTTCATTAAAGCAGCCACAAATATTCATATTCTTAAATCTCATCAAGAAAAAAAAACCCTTTAATTTGACCCCAGTTTCCCTGATTATACTCTATTTTATTTTTTCTTCATTAGTGAAAGTTTCAAAGAATTGCCTTTTTATCATTCTTGCCTCTATAGTATTTACTCATTAATCATCTGTTATTCTGTTTCCTTGATCACTCCATTCAAACTTCTTTTTTAGAAGTTTGTAATAACCTTCTAGTAGTTAAATCTAATTTTCCTAAGATACCACGTTCTCTACAGTGGAAGCCTTTGTGTAACGTAAAAGAAGCATAGATTTATAGAATCTTTATTTGAATGTTACTTATATTTATGCTACCTTCTGACAAATAGGTGTGTATATGTGTGTGTGCACACTTTTTTTTTTAAATAACTATCTGATCTGCAGTTTTCATCTATGAAGAATTTATGGTCTTTCCTACTACTTCTTACAGTTGTATGTTTAACTATGTATGGGATCTCTTACCATTTTTAGTGCCTCATATTTAGTAATAATCTACTAAAGAGATGTTTAAAGCTATATAGATAAAGATTAAGGACTGTCTTTAAGAATGCCTTAATTTTTCTCCCCCTTTCTCTCCTACCCTTGACTTAATTTTTTGTGGCAATATACATTCATAAAGTAAAATCTGATAGAGCAATCATATGGGATTTTAAAAATATAGTTCCAAGTACATTACTAATGGACAAAAGGAAAGCTGAAATCCATAAAATGGGGTAAAAAAAACTCCTCCTCCCTTTTTTGAATTTTTAAATTTTTTATTTATCTTGAAATTCTGGTTTAATTTGCAACAGATCTAGAAATTCAAGTCAATTTAACAAACATTTGTTGAATTCAGTAAGGCTTCACAGCCTGAAATATCAATCAAAATTACTTTTTTTTACCTTATATTCCTTTAATATTTTGTTTTAGTCCTACAATCCCCTTGTAACATGATATGCTATATTTGAGTTATTGTCAGTAATAATAACTGACATTTTAAACCATAATTGTCTTTGCCAAATACTATGCATGCTAATCACCTTACATACTTTGACTAATCTTTTATAAAAACATGAAACCCAAAAAAGAACATTTTCATCCTCCTATAATGATGAGTAACACAGAATGTGTAAATAAATTTCCCCAGGTCTGTAGATAGAGCCAGGATTTGACATTAAATCTGTCTTTTTCATAGCGTTGCCCTTCCCTTCTTCAGTAGTTTTATACTTAGACACTTGGGACACCTCAAGGAAAATGCGATATCCAGGAGGAAAGGGATAAACAGATGTTTATATAATATTATAACAGGGCACATTTTCAAAGCATGAATAGCAGTCAGCTGTTTGAAAGTGTCAAGGAAGCAGAGAAGTCTTGACAGAAGGCGTAACATTTGGAATGCCTCTAAAAAGATGAGCAGGGAAGGCCGGGGAGGGAAATGATGGCATATTCCCGAGTGAGGGAACAGTGAGTTCAAAGTGTGGGCCCTTCAGGGTCTGCTGAGGCTAGAATGTAGGACATATACCAATTTATTAGGTTTTACTTGTTTGTTTCATAAACAATGGTAGAGTTATATACCTCCTCTCTTGAATCCAGTTTTGTTGGAACTGTTCATTTATTTAGCCTATTGACCACTATGTATTTGTGTGAGTCAAAAGGAATAAAATCAGAAATGATTTTATGTGATATTAAAAGCTTTAAAAAGCAATACTAAGCCCAGTGCAGTAATTATAGATCTGTGACCCCACCCCCACTCTTACCCCTGGAGTTTTGAGTCTGGTTTACTGCTATATTGATTGTAGCTAAAATCACAACCAGATCCGCTAAACTTCTTGGCATTCCTTTTAACCCAAATTGATACTAATGAATGTCTTAAGACTACATTGTGCCTCCAGCTCATGAGCAAACATTATGTCTGTTTCATCATCCAGTAGAATGATAAGATTCATTTAGGGTTATTGAGGAAGATTCTGTAATTGTAATGAAATCCTGGCATGTTGTAACTCTCAGAACACTGTTCCCCATAGTGAACATCTACAATTAGTTGGAAGTAATCTCAGTTCTAAAGGCCTTCAGCAGTGACTACCTCTTCTCTTACCTATCATTTGCATGCACATAAATCCAATGCTGATTTAGTTTGGCAGGAACAAGGAGGAAGAGAGGAGTGATGAGAGCAATATGAATGGGCTTCCATATATCAAAATAGAAAGTTATATTACAAACATTATATACAGCTTCCATTTATTGAGACCTTACCAAGTGCTAGGTTCTTTACCAAGTACTCTGCATGCAGACCTTATCTATTTTAATTCTCACAACTACCCTGTGATGTATGTATTATTAAGCCCATTGAAAATAAATCAAGAAATAACCTTAGCAAGATTAGGTGTCACACAGTGACTACTAGATTAGAACTGGACTATATGCCTATCTAATTCCAAAGCTGTCTAATGCATGTTAGCAACATTACATTGTGACTGCAATATAACAACTATTCAAAAGTTAAAATATTTTTAAGTCAGACAAATCTAAAACACCATTTTAGTACATTTCAGGTTTAATATATTTATTCTGTTTTAGAATTATCAATATTATTATTATTTCATTAACCATGATATGCCATATTTTCTTTATTATTATTATTATTATACTTTAAGTTCTAGGGTACATGTGCACAATGTGCAGGTTTGTTACATATGTATACATGTGCCATGTTGGTGTGCTGTACCTGTTAACTGGTCATTTACATTAGGGCTATCCCTCCCCCCTCCCCCCACCCCACGACAGGCCCCCGTGTGTGATGTTCCCCACCCTGTGTCCAAGTATTTCCGTAAAGATTTTCTTATTCAATGGCAGTCTACACCATTATATCAAGCAGACTGATTTGGTTCATGGTTCTCTTTGATTAAAATGTATCAGTCATTTATGTAAGATATCGTCAATGAATTCCCCTTGAAATCATGGAAACAGGTAATTAAATTCTGTCATTTTCCCAAACTTTGGCTTTGTTCTTTTCCTGGAAAGGCATAATATGATCCTAGAATAAACCAAGTCTCATTCCCCCAAGGCTAATTAACATGCAAATAAATTTTCTATACACTAGTGTTTTTACTAAGTAAATCATTGTAGCTGGACATATCATTTTTAAGCAGAAATTTTTTTTATTTTTGTATTTTGATAACTCTAAAATGTTTTAAAAGTTTGCAAAGGTAAGAAATGAAAGGCTAATGTATTCTTTTTGTGCAATCAGCCAGTCCTTGGTTTCTGCTCGGATTGGTATATTGAAGAAATGCTAATAGTATATCTGTAACCTGTTAAGGAATATCAAGTCTCTTCAGGAAAGGAATAATAAAATGCTAATGATCAGCATTAACTGTCTGAATTGGAAGGGATTATAGAGGAACATTTCTGTCCTTTTCCTGTCAAAAGAGGATCACCTTCTACAATAATCCCAACCCAGCCATTACTTATACCTTCCAAATTCATGCTGTAGTAGACATTCTTTGAGGGAAGAAGTATATATTATTATTATTACTATCTGGAATTTCATAATGCTTTGCATAGCATTTTACATAATATATGCTAAGTACATTTTTCAATGAATATTTTAAAATTCCAATAATCAGGAATTCTCTACCTCACAAAGCAACCCTTTTTATTTTTAGGCAGCATCTACCTACTTAAGTAAAATGTATTCTCCTCATCCTTCTGGTACCAAATAGCAAAACTCTGATTCTTCTACCATGATGGCCAGCACATACTCATCATTCAAATAAGTTCATCAGTGCCCCTCTTAATATATGACATAGACAAGTGAACTTCACATGCTGTGGTTCAACCAAATATGGGCTGTGATTGTTTTTCACCTCCCTTTTTCTGGTCACTAAGATTATATTCTTGGCAGCCTTATCTTAGCTCAAGTTTAGCAGTCAACTCAAATTCTTCTGTGGTTTTTTTTTCTCCATCACATTACTATCATACAAATTTACCTTTTAACCTTCTCCACAATAAGAAAGAATCTGTACATTTTAAGATTACTGAAACAGGGGAGAAAATAGAGCAGGCAGAAAAGCCTTTGCTTTATTGGTTGGAGAGAAGGAAAGGAGACACTTGTAAACTTATATTAATCATTTTTGGTCCATCAGATACTTTATTTTGCAGAGCACTTCCTCACTTCTCAGTTTTTATTGTTTTGTTTTATCCTGTGTTGTTTTCGTATGATCTATTGTTGAGCCAGGGTATCCTCATATGTACTTGTGTGATAGAGTTTTAAAAACATTTGCAGCAATCTGTGGCCAACCCTCACATCAATGACATGCTGCTGATAGGAAGAAGTCTCTGTATGAGTATTGAAAACACTGAGATTTACTTATTGGATGCATTTTATTTATATGGTTTGATTCTTATTTTTAATGATTTTTTTTCTATTTTACAATTTTAAGGGTAAAAAATGTATAAATATTTGGAAATAGCTACATCCATGGAAGAGAGACACTGATGAATGAGTTTGAATATGAAAATCTGATGGTCTATCCTGAAAGAAGAATTAAAGTTTTGCTATTTAGTACCAAAGGATGATTAATAGTTTTTCTGAAACCATAAAATGCTCCTGGTATCTTCTAATTCCAAGTTAAAAAAACTCTGTAAAATGTTATTGTAGCTATTTAGCTTTAAGCAGATTATTATTTTACCAGAATATTTAAACATTTCTAAATATTGTCATCTTTATTCATAAATGTTTCCAATATCTGTTCATATAATCTCTGTATAAATTTCACATACTATACAGCATGCATTTATATATGGTAACTAATAATATTTACTACTTAGAACACAGTTAGAAATGAATGCAATATTCATTTTGTACAAAGACAATATCTCAGAAGATAACAGGAGAGCAAACTGAGGTAGAAGAATGAGCTAATTAGATTGGAATAAGAGAAATGTTCCCACTTTAGTTCTCCAGTGTCTGTTTTACAGACTATTCATTTATATTAAAACATGTTTCTAAGTGAAGCAATTATATGATACTTACAGATTTTGCAAACAAGATGTGAAATTGTTGAGTATTATACACTGCTCCACAGAATGATTTTAAAGTATTAATTTTGTACCTTGACATGGTGTCTTATGTGATATTTGCAGATTAGAATGCAAATAATAAAGTTTTGCCAAATTGGTATGTATATATATATAAACAGTTTTAAAACAGTATCGTAGGCTGGGCACGGTGGCTCATGCCTGTAATCCCAGCACTTTGGGAGGTTGAGGTGGGCGGATCACGAGGTCAGGAAATCAAACATGGTGAAACCCCATGTCTACTAAAACTACAAAAATTAGCTGGGCGTGGTGGTGTGTGCCTGAAATCCCAGCTACTCGGAAGGCTGAGGCAGGAGAATCGCTTGAACCCAGGAGGCAGAGGTTGCAGTGAACCAAGATCATGCCACAGCACTCCAGCCTGGTGACAGAGCGAGACTCCATCACAAAACACACACACACACACACACACACACACACACACATAAACACACACACACATAAACACACACACAAACAGTATGGTAAAATACAATACCAACAAGCAACAAATTAGGTAAAGAAGTACATTGGAGTTTTGAATTTTAAAATCAGGTTTATTGAAATATATAAAGTAAAATTGATCATGTTAGTATAAATGAGTTTTCATAAATACAGAACATTTTTATTACCCCAAAAAATATTCCTTCATGCCCCTTTGTAGTCAAATATCAATGTCACTAGCCTTTTTCTCTCCCATCCTGCAGTGCCACTGCCAGAAAGGGATTGAACCACTAACCCTGGATCTGCTGGAAGGCCCTGATTTGGCTTATCTAGGGAAAGGGCTGCTTCTAGACCCTTCAACCCCACTTAGCTGTCTAGGGTACTACACCTGACCCAGATGTAAGTGAGATTGCATTTGTACAGAGAAAGATGGAGCTGCCATCAAACCAAATGGAGGAAGAAGCATTTTCCAGAATATAGCTGCTGTTCCCTAAGCAGAGACTTGGAGTCCTGGGAACATGAAGTAATGGGTGCCCACATTATAGTAATTTGATAAAAATCAGTTAATAACTTTCAGTGAGATAGTTAAAAATCATTTTTTAAGATAGAAATGACTTCTTAATATGCTAACTGTAAGATACGTATGTTGTAAGATAATAGAATACACATTATACCTAATGTAATAGAAAATATTCAAGGCATAAATATAATCTGAAAAAGCTTATGGTTAATTTTTTTAGTAAGTAATCTTTTTTGATCATTTTTAACTCCTCAAAACAATACACTTGGCACTGTTGTTTTTAAATCTCAAGAATAAGGACTCAATTATTTCTTCAATTTGTTTTCTTCATATTCTGAATTTCACCTATATATATTTATTTTTTCATGGGGGAGTACACAATAATTCAGTTTTGAAATAAATTAAAATAAACTCAGATCCCTTTGTAAATGAAGGAGCATTAATGTCTTTATTAAACCACATTATTGAAGCAAGATTGACATGTAAAAGCTGTACATTTTAATATACACAACTTTATGAGTTTGGACATAAGAATATACTCATGTACCCATCACCACAATCTATACCATAAATCTCTCCATCAGCTCCACAAGTTTTCTCTCACCATCTACATTATTATTATTATTATTACGTGTGTGTCTGTGTGTGTGTGCGTGTGATAGGAACACAAGAACTACCCTCTTAACAAATTTTTAAGGAACAGTAGTATTACAAATTCACCTCTAGCTTTCTTGAAAGGCAGTGCCTTTTAATTGTTTATGCCTTCATTTCATTAGGAGTTTCTTCTGTCTAAAAGCTTATTCTGATTGATTTTCCCCTAAGCAGCCTAAAACAATTGAAAAATCTTGTTATTGTGTAGCTGTTGGAAAGTCAACTTTGTTTTAAACACCACATCTGACAGTTAAAATTTACTGTCACCACAGTATTGCCCTTCCTGAGAGAGATTTGTTGTTGATTTCCTCCCTAATTTTGGGTCACATGGTAGAGAAGCATTGAACATATGTTATTGTGACAAAATCCACACATGGATATTTATGAAACTATAGAAACCTTTTGCAGTTCTCCAGAAACCTGTGATGATAACATTCTAGTTATCTTTGGTTATATTTTTGGTGCAATATATGCATTTATTCAGTACTATTAAATACCTACTTTGTGGCAAGTATAATTTAAATACTGAGAACTCAGTAGTAAACAAAGTCCTTGTCTTCACAGAATTGTATATTGGAGAACAAGCACTACACAATAATTATATAAGAATGCCATGTGAATTTTAAGTGCTATTGAAAAAAACAGTGCTAGGTGAGGGAATGGAAAATGATGGCAAGATCTTGTTTTGAGAAAGAAGATAAAGTGGTCAGAAACATCAGTCCTCTCTGAGGTGATTACTGAAGTGAAAAAGATAAGAAAGAAGCCATGTGACTCTCTGGGGGAGGAATGTTCCAGCAGAGTAAACAACATGCATTAGACCTGCCATGGGCAATATTTGATGCAGTAGGGCAAGGCAACTCGAAGTGTGCTCACCATGTTGATCATTTATTACAAATATACAACAAGATTTAAAGCAATGTAATGTAATATTTGAATACATTGAACTGGCAATTGATATGAGTTGCATGTCTTTTTTATTTCATTATTTGGTAAGTTATTTTTATTGTATTTTACAAAAGTTTAGGCTCACACTCAATTCAGGGAAGGGGCTTGTCCTTCACTATAGATAATCTGAGAAGCATCATGTTTGAGGAAGGGAAGAGGGCCACCTGGGTGAGTTAGGAAAGAGAAGACCTTGGTTCACTTAGCTGTGGTGGGACAATGAGGATATTCTCTTCTGAATGCAAAAAGAATCAAGCTGGGCTGCTAAAAGTGAGAATGGGATGAAAAGTAATTAAGAGAGGAGATATAAAATAGAGTAAATAGTTCAAGGAAGTAGAGTTTCCTGACTGTGGGGAGCACACACCTCAGGTTTGTAGTCAAAAATTGAATGTGAACTAGTCATTATAGTTATACGTTTGTCATTGTTGTTAAATCCAGCCACTTTCAGCTGTTTTATTACAAGTGCAGAGTAGGCAGAGGATAAAATTTAACTCAGATTTGGGTTTCTCCAGCAAAATATTAAGAGGGGAAAAAATAGCTGAGAGTTTATAAAAGGATGAGATTAGAATGATTCACTTGGAATCTAAGCTGGATAAAGAGTGAAGTGAGGACAGGGGATGGCCAATGAAAGGCCAGCAGACTAGAAGTGCCAATGAGGCCAGTGAATCCCTGAATGGGAGCACTAGAGCCCATGAGCTGAAAGGTAAGGGCAATAACTCTGTGAAAGGGATGCCCAAATTGGTGTTTGGAAATGGTGCAATTATTGGTAATGACTGGGGTGGAAAAGAAGTCATCTCATTGTGGTAATATTCTAAAACACTAATAGAAAGCCTCATTTTCAGACTTAATGCAGGTCACAGTAGTATTATTATAGTACCATGTTTTAGATGAAATTAGTTACCACCAGAAATAAAACATTCATGTATTATGATATTTAGCATTTCAAATCGGATAATTACAAAGGTTTTCAAGTGTTTTTCTTAAGTGAATGTATAGTTCCCTTCCTTTTCTATATATGGTGAGAGGTGAACTTCTTTGGAGAGGAATATGTGGGATGAGTCAAAGTACTGGGAGAATGGAAAGGGTGGGGAGTTGCTGAGTTATTATATTAGTGTCTGCTATCTTGTAGTTCAATGTCAATCTTTTGCTGTTGCCTTTAGCCTCTCTTCTGCCTGGAAGGTGAAAAGAAGGCATTTATGGAGAGATCTACATTATAGAAGAGAAAGGGGAGAAGTGTTATAAGTTTCAGGACCAATCAATTTTAGACAAACTGTTGAATATTTCAATTCCTTTAACATGGATGAATTTTGAAGAGTATTTGAGAAATAAGTCAATATTTTAGATCAAAGGCCATAAATATCTTAGTTATATTACAATAATTTGTAATTATGTGAAGAAACAATGTACCAAATTGTCTCTACTTGGTTTTGGTTTAAAATATAGCATGCCCTATATATGATAGTACCAAAGCTTTCTTTTGTGTGTAGAAATGCATTTTATATGCATGACACCAGGATACTTAGATGATAAGGCATTGCATGAATAGAAGGACAGTCACTCCTTATTAAAATTAATCTTTATTTTTGTTGAAATGTAAGACTTACTGGTATTTTTTTCTTTACACATTCTAATTTTCTTGAGTCCACTTCTTTATTTAAAAAACTTCACATTTTTGCTTTAAATTTTTATCTGTAAGAAATATGTTTGCATTTGGAGGAGACATGTCTGTGAAAACCACACGTGTGTGTGTGTATATATATATTATGTATATATTTTATATATACCCATATATTTTACACACACACACACACATGGGAGAATTTGTTTTCTTAACTTCCAATGGAATGCTATACGGTGCTTCCAATGTTTGACTTGTCTAGCTGAAAGCTATGATGGATTTCTTCATCCTAGATGATATGTATTCCCTTTACTTCATTACACTTAATCTATCTGTGCAAGATCTTATGGCCTGTGGTAGACTTTATACTCTACCAGACAGCTTATCAGTTTCTTTGCAGGCCTCTCAATTTGAATTTTAAGTAAAAATGAATAAATTTGTGTTGCTTGTTGAGACTTTGTTCTGAAAGGCTTCTGCTCTCTGATTCTAGGGTGATAACTAGAGAAAGGAAGGTCATAGATTGTCATTTACAATAGCTGTATTGTATCTATGTGGTCTATGTATATATACACATACATATGCATATACTTGACATATGCATATATGTATGTATATGCACATAGTGAATATATAACTAAATGCACATATACATTAATGTATAATATGTGTTTAAGGAGTAAGAGAGGAGAGCTGGTTGTTGATTATCAGAAATAATTTGATATTTGGAAGGAAGAAAGATTTATCTTAATTTAGATGGGGCAATATATTGTACCATCTGCTGTTTAAAAACGAACAGTCTTATAAAATTGAAAGCAAAACCAGAAAATAATTTAAATATTCTTCTGGCTTCTATATGATGTGAGGATTGAACACATTGCTAAATTCATCCCAGTGGGTCAAAAAGGGCAGTTTGAGAAACCCAAGCCCAAGAGGAAATGGAACAATTTTATAAACAAAGTAAATAAATATAAAATGCTCTTGCTATCAAAATTGAGTTAATACATCTCTAGCTGCTCAAAACAGTTGCTTTAACACATAATGAAGCTGTTTAAAAGATAGTCAAAATGCTATACCTCAGGTTTGCACTCAGATCATTTTTTTTTTATATTGCTTTTGCTGTTGGAGGACTCCATACTCCAAATCTCAACAGGATTTTAGGTGAGGAGTTTTGTTTTGTTTATGCTTTTGTTTTTCTTTCCAAGTTATATGTGAATGACTAAAGTATTCTAAAATCTCCTCACATATTTATGTCTTTTAGAAGAGCTTATTTCACAATGTTCTTTGTAACTTTTATGAAGGTAAAGATATAATGATTCGTTCCGTGTTAATCTATAATATATATTTTTTCTAGTGTTTGTTAAAATATATTATTATTTGTCAATAATTTGTACTGAAATTTTATGTTTCTTGGTCAAGACTGTTCCCCTGACCTTTAAGGAAATTTGTATTACTATAGCAGAATACATTTTTAGTTATACATTTTCAAGGTTTCATTTACAGTACAATAATTTTGAACACTATTTAATAAAATATCAAGCAAAATAAAATAATCCAGATCTTCCTTTGTACTTTAGTTCCATCAAGAATCAACTCTTCCTGTGCATAAATTTTTCTCACCAATGAAGAAATCAAGTTGTGTTTAATAGGTAGTCAAAATTCATTATGTGTAAAGGTGCAAGTTATTAGGTTTACTAGAAGAAAAGAGGGATACAGAGATAGTCTTGAAGCCATAGAAATAATTCTCCCTTATACATGGTACTGAACAAAGTCTTCTACTTTTGTGTAAAAGCAAAATACTGTAGTCCTCCTTCATCTTTGGATAATGAATCCTCCACATTTAAGGGATATTAGATCATTCCTACCAATAAAAAACTATTTATTTAAAATGAAAACTAAGCCTTTGTGTGAATTTAAAAGTATTGTCTAGTGTGAAAACTGAGGAAAAATTAAGTCTGAAAAGTCAACTGCTTATATCTACCTTCTTTATTTTGATCTGGCCTTTTCTTCTGAAAATGTTTATCTGTAAAATGGACATCCTGATGACGACAATGATGATGATAATTCTGAGCATAAATCCAGTAGTTCAAATAATTCACTCTTTCTTGAAAAAAAATTTTTCTATAAATTTTTGGGAAATTACCTACGTACAGATCAGTAGTCAATGTATTCAAATCAATTTTGTTGCAAGAATCAGGGAACTAAAGACACTATAACAATTCAAGCTAGGGATGGACCTGGTAAAGTAGAGGTGTTGTAGACAAGCTCCTGACATTTATTATGAGATATTTGACTACTAAAAAGCATTCCTTGAGGTATTTATTTGAAAGGTAATGCTTCAGATTAAAGGAAAAAATTAATGTTTATATATTTTTTTAATTTTCAAAGGCCACTTGTACAAATTCTCTTTTACCCTTATAGGATTTTAAATACATTCTCCTTAATTTGTTGATCTGACTGTAAGTAATGCCTTATGCTTAGGGTTATTCTTCAGAGTAATGTAAAATAACATGTTCAGCTGTCATAAATGTTATTCATGTAGGTTGCCAGGTATAGAATGAATTCTAAATAATGTGAGTGCTAAGGAGTCTGGAAGCAATGTTGCAACTTGTGTATCTGGATGCAAGATAGGGGTGCAATAGCATTTTATACAGGAGATGGGAAAACATCTTTCTCCATTGCAGAGGAGGAGATGGAATGACAGTGTCTGAGTAGTCCAAGAGTGTTCCCAGCATTTGTTGGCACCCTGCTTTCTGGTGTCTCAATTTTCTTTTTAATTAATCAACACCAGTGATTTGGATTAAAAAAAAATGTTGCTAGTGAAATAAAAGCAAAACCTTGGCACTGTTAAGTATAGAATTGAAACCAAGTTATTAGTATCTGACAGCATTTAGATTGGGAGAAGTAGAACAGAGTCTATTCTCATGGACTCTTCAGTACTGCGTGATTTACTCAGAGCTCCTGGATGTTGATTCTGAAGTCCAGATGACTCATCAGAAACTGGCAATGAAGGGCAACCTGGATTTAGATATGTTTGTACATTCAGATTAGTGTTAGAAAGAGAGAGGCAGAGATTGATGGAGAGAAAAGGGGAAAGGAGAAAAGAGATTTATTGACTTCATTGACTGTAATTAAAAGGAACTCTGATCATTCAAAAGACCTTCCTCAAAGTTTCACACTTCTTTGTTCATGTTAAAACCTGTTTTTGTATCTAGGTTCTCAGTAGGGTACCTTTAAGCAAAAAGAAGAGAGGAGCCCTTTAAACTATAGTTTCATGAAATTTCACTCATTTTATATTAGTGACTTTGTGTGTGTGACATTTTATTCTTAAAATGTCTGAGATAGCTTTTACCTATCGGGCTCTCATCACTTCACAGATGGACTATTGCAGCTACTTTTTTAATACTGTTTTTAACATTCTTGATTCCTGTACTCAGAACCTGCAGAGGTTTACCACTGCTTGCAGGAAGTTCAAATTCTTCATCCAATGTTCTCCATAATGTTGTTCGTTCTCCATAATGTTGTTGTTCTCTGTCCATCTAATTTTGCCTCCCACTGTTTTCTGACCAGATCATAAACTCCTGCTAGACATATTCTCTTTCATTCCTCGCTGTCCTCTGACTTCATGCTATTTTTCTCTAGGCTGCTTTAGCTCACATTATTCTCCCCTACTCTGAACTTTCACTGATAGATTCCACTGTGTGTATTCCTTAATTGCCTATACACCATACTTCATTTTATTCACCCCTCTTGGGGGTGCATAGACCTTGTCATTTTCCTTTGTATGTCCCATGTGACTTGTTTGATGATGAGTAGTGCTGTCTGCAGAGAGAGCACTCAAGTGATTATAGAACATGTCCATTAAGTTTCCCAAATAGAAGACTCTTTATCTCCTATTCTGCCACTCTGAAAACTAAACAGAGGCTGTGAAAGGCTCAGTATTGCTGATGCTGTAAAGACAGGACACCTAGTTGCTTGAAGTCCCAGATGATTGATAGAAATAGTTTTTGTATAAAAAAGTGAAATTGATTAGCAAATTAAATAGGAATAAAGACAAGTGAGGGTGATTTAACTTAATTGAAGAAGAGATTAGAAAAATCAGAGCTGTTTTTAAAAAATAAGAATAAAAAAATCAGTGTGGTGAACACACCAAGGAGACTTTCAGAGGAAGGTTTAGATAAGTCCATAGGACAATAATCTTTAAGGTATAGCAGAAACATTGGACCTTCTTGAATAAGGAATGAAATTGTCACATACATAAATCAGAGTTCAAGAGGATTACCCCATCCTTGTTGATCAGTGCTCAGTAAGCCAGGTTGCACATCTATTTTTTCCCGTTGTGAGACAGGAAATAATTAAAAAGGGAAATAATCAGATTTGTAACTTAATAATATGGTTTGTAAAACTATTTTATATTCATCTGGGGCTGGCCAGAAAGCCATCTCTACTAGGCATGATGAAATTATTCTGACCATTCTCCAGTATTTATAGTGAAAATACATGTTCAGTATCTCTTTTGTTTCATAATATCTAAACAAGAACACGTGGATTATTTCCATCTTTAATTTCGGGACCAGGTATATATTAGCTCTTTTAAGGAAGTGTCATGTGGCACAGGTCCAAATACACATCCTTCCTTGATAATAATAAGTCTTTATTTTTATAAAGCTGTATATTTTGTAAGTCAAATATCTGTGTCTTTCTAAATATGTGCCGGATGTTTACATTTCAAATGGGCAAGAAAAATACCTGATGTGGGATATACCAGTTTTGTGGGGTGAGCTTCATTTATTTATTTATTTGTATTATTACTTGCCATTATTTGAAATAATTCATAAGAGCTATATAAGCTCTTCCTTTACTGCCTGGAATGTTTCATATGACCTACTAAATTTTGCATTACTGTATTATTTTAGCTAGTGGGAACATTTAGTATAATTACTTTGGCTATTCTTTATTAGATTATGAGCCTCCCATTACTTCTAAAAGACTATCTTGGATGCTGTTTGGGTTCAGTAAATAACTATGTATTACTGCAAAGGTATACTGAGATTTCTATTTTAAGTGGTGTCTGGCTAGCAGCCCTGGACACAACCTTCCAAAAATTTCCAGTAAATTGACTATGAAGACACACAAAGAGATATCTGTTCGTAGTATGGATAATATAGACTGATTGTCGCTTACTGCCAGAATTTGAGAGGAATTCTGGAATTGTTTTCCTACATTTAGTTACATAAAATTTCAAAACTATAGCAGTTAAGATAATTTTCTAATGGACACTTGCGTACCCACCTCCTGTATGTTACTATTACCATTTTATCCTACATGCTTATCCCCCACTCCATTGATGGAACTAGATTTTCAAGTGCAATTGGTGGCTTACCTATGTACACTTTTGGAAATAGAGCTAAGTTTGCCCTAAGGCAATAAGTAAAAAGCTGCATGGCTCAAAATAAAAGGTTTCTTTAAACTGGGAACTGGAAGCTACTCATATATTGTATAAATTTTGCTTTTCAAACAAAGCAAACCCCTTCTGCAAGTACCTATCTGTTTTAGTATGTATTCAGAAAGTAATTAAATGAGAAATAGGGAGGAGGGGACATGGTTATATTTTGTCCCCTGCAGAGTATAGCTCTCACAAGTGGAACCCTACAAGCAAAACAGATAGGAAGAGGCTAGGGTAGTGGTTTATGCAGCAGTGTCTAGTTTTGTACACATTCCAGCAGTTCTGAACTTAGTGCACTGGGCTATTGGAGAACAATAAGGTCCACTTCAGAACTGTGGAAGATCCCTAGAGGATAGATTCTGGGGTTTGGATAGAAACCATGTACGTGGACTAGCCATCCAGCTCTGAGCAATGGATTCGGCCATTACAGAAGGGCATATGAAGTGGGCCAAAGAGTGAAGAATGCATTTTCTTTGTTGGCTATCACCCAAGTTAAGTATAGCTCCACCCTTGTCCACAAATACAAAAACAGAAAGAAATAAGATAGTGGTTTTAAAACAATAAAAATACTTCAGAATTATGCTACAACAGTAAAATCCTAATGAAAATACAACTGCATCTACAGTGTTTTGCAGACAGGTACCTAGCCAAGAATTTTATACCAGATTAAGTAAGTCTTCACATGAGAAGGCAACAAAAAGGCATTTTTTAAAAAGCTAAAGTTGAAGAAATATACCCTTATACAACTTCATAAAAAAATATTTGAATCAAAAGTAAGAGCCTAAGGATGCCATTTTATTAAATGAATTATGCATCTTCCCTTACACATTCCGATCCTAGATCACGAAAATTTAGATGGGATGTGTGTTTGATCAGTAAATAGCGCAGCTCAGGGAAGCACCTTAATCCCTATATGTAATGCTTTTCTCAGATGTTTTATTTCTTCATTTTTTGATACCATATGTATTTGTCTGCCTAGGATGCCATAACAAATTAGTACAAACTGGGTGGCTTAAACACCATGGTTCTGGAGGCTGCAAGTCTGAAATCAAAGTGTCAGGAGGTTTGGTTCCTCTTAGGCCTCTCTCCTTGGCTTGCAGATGGCCACTTTATCACTGTGTCCTCACAGTGTTCTTTCCTAAGTGTGTTCACATCCCAGATATCTCTTTCTCTTCTTATGGGACACCAGAGATACTGGAATAGGACCCCACCCTAAAAACCTCATTTAACTTTAATATCTCCAAATGAAGTCACATTCAGAGGTATTAGGAGTTAGGTTACGGCTTCAACGTACGAATTTTGGGGAGACACAGTTCAGCTCATAACATCTTATTCATTGGTATATCTGACGACTTCTTAAAACTCTACCAGATGCTATTCTTTTCTTGTTTTTTTTTATTATTTTTATTTTTATTTTTTTTTATTTTTTGAGTACTTGATCACAATGGCCAACCTCTAAATGTAAACGTGATTGTGGCATTCAGGGTAAACCCAGTGCACATCTCATAGACTTAGCTTCACTGTTATAAATCAACAGCATATGGAATTAGCAGCATTTTGAGGCTCAGAGGGCATAGGGATATCCTAGTGCAGGATTTAGCTAAGAAGGCCTTGTTTCTAAAACAGAGTGAATGGAGCAAAGTGCATGAGAATGCAGTGGAGCAGGCTGGCCATACACCTTTCAGGCTCACTCCCTAGGCTGAATCTCAACCACATTGAAAAACAGTTCTGGGAATCCCCAAGTTTCATATACATGTGATAACAAGGCAAAAGTGAACAGACATTTCTGTTGTACAGGCAGCATAAAGTTGCTTAGACACAACAACTCCTTATATCTAAGGGAGCCAAAGTGAAAGGTGGACCATGGCACAGTGGCTTTACCAAACCACCAGGGAAGAGCACCACTGCTCTTGGGTCCAGCCCTCTCCTTCAACCAGTCCTCCAGCTGGTCAAGAAACATAGTTCAACAGTAGTTCAAGGAATAGTGAGAGTGGAAAAAAGGAAACCCCACATATTTTTTGTGAGCACACATCAATCATGGTTAGACCTTGCCTTATCTAAGACTAAATAGAGAAGAAAACAAAATGTGGTGATATATTAGGGTCCTCCAGAGAAATAGAACTAAATTATTAGGAGAGTGTGTGTGTGTGTGTGTGTGTGTGTGTGTGTGTGTGATTGAATGATTAATTTTAAATTGGTTCACAAGATTGTGAAAGCTGATAAGTCTGAAATCTGCAGGGCGTGCCGGAAATTCTTGCAATAGTGGATGTTGCAATCTTGAGTCTGAAGGCAGTCTAGAGTCAGATTTCTTCCTCTACTAGGGACCTTTGTCTTTTTCTCTTAAGGCCTTCAACTTATTGGATGAGGTTCACCCACGTTATGGAGGGAAATCTGTTAACTCAAAGTCTACTGATTAAGTGATTGATTTGTTTATTTGTTGGTTGGTTTTAAGATAGGGTCTTACTCTGTCACCCAGGCTGGAGTGCAGTGGTACAATCACTGCAGCCTCGACCTCTTGGGCTCAAGCACTCCACCCACTTCAGCCTCTCGAATAGCTGGGACTATAGGTGTGCACCACCATGCCTGGCTAATGTTGGTATTTTTTGTAGAGATGGGATTTTGTCACATCGCCCAGGCTGGTCTTGAACCCCTGAGCTCAAGTGGTCAGCCTGCCTCGGCCTCCCTAAGTGCTGGGATTACAGACATGGTGAGCCACTGTGCCTGGCTCTGCTTAAGTGTTAATCACATCTGCAAAATGCCTTCACTGCACACCCAGTCTAATATTTGACCAAACCCTGGGCACCATAGCCTAGCCAAGCTGACGCATAAAACTATCACAGGTGACTATAAAATGTTCTGAAATTTAAGTTTTGAAAAATACAGTTATCACAAGGCAGAGTAGAACAAGATGTTTAACAAATCTCTCTAGAAAAGATCATTTTTATATCATCAGTAGAATTCAAAAAATACGGGCTCTGAGACAAGAGATAAGACAGACCAAGGAGCAGTTCAAACTCAGGAATAATTTTTAAATATGCGCATGTCCTAAGAAAAGCTATAAATACATAAGTATGTTTGTTTTGTATTATATAGTTGCATTTGACTATGGAAATGGAAATATATCCTTCCTCACAAATATAGTTTATTGCTAATTATTGGTAAATATATTTATTTGATATTGCAATAATAGTATTATTAGACCCACTTAGGGCCAATAAAAGCTCATAGGTTGTCAAAACTGTTTTGTCACTTTGGTTGCAAGGGGCAGAATTTGATTCTTAAAATATTGGAATTTTATATTCTTATTATAAATTTGGGGGAAATAAAAGATAAGGAGTTGCCATAAATATGTGAGGGCCCACAACATCAGTGTATTTCTTGTTGTTTAAAATCTTTCTTTAGGCTAGGTGTAGTGGCTGATGCCTGTAATCCTAGCACGTTGGAAGGCAAGACGAGAAGATCACTTGAGCCCAAGAGTTCGAGAACAGCCTGAGCAACATAGCGAGACCCTGTCTCAGGGGAAAAAAAAAAAAAAGCCTTTCTTTAGTTATTATTTCATTCAGATAGCTATGAAAGTATTTTTGGTTTTTGCTTGCTTGTAGCTTTTCTGTTTTCTACCACACAAAAAATCCAATTTTAATTTTGGGTTTGTGAAATATGTTTTATCAAAATATAAGCCTGATGTTTCTTATCTTCCAAAAAATTTAAAAATATTAGCTCAGATGTAATTTTGATCATAAATGATTAACATGTAAACTTAAATTGAATGTAACCACTTCATATGGATATTTCAAGGTAAAAAATGAAATCTAAAATATCTGCACACTACTTTTAAAATTTTGTCCATAAAAATGAGAAATACCGATTCCTTATATTCTCAAATTTATTTCATCATTTATATATGTCATATATGAAAATGTGTTCTTTTTGATATTTACTTTAGATATCAAAATAATACAAATTTTAAACCTGAAATAAACCGTAGATATCCGTTGTCAGGATTATATCTTATAAGTCACATCATTCTATTCATCTTGTCTAAACTAATATTGTTATATAGTATCACACAAGAAAAAATCAAACTATAAATTAAATGTCAAATTTCTGTTTGTTTT
Organism: Homo sapiens; assembly: GCF_000001405.40. Lineage (NCBI taxonomy): Eukaryota > Metazoa > Chordata > Mammalia > Primates > Hominidae > Homo > Homo sapiens. The sequence goes on along the minus strand of NC_000006.12, from coordinate 128,133,137 downwards.
TCAACATACAGTTTTAAATAGATGTTATTATTCTCTTTCTGTATAAATACCCTGAGCAGAAATTGTCAGCATGCACGTATCTTTTTTATGGTGGAATTTTTGACTAATGAGTTTTTGTTAGAAATGTATCAGTTCTACTTCATTTTATAGTTGAGGTGTTCATATGAGTCAGTCTCAGTAATTTTTGAGTGACTTTCTGTAGAAAGTTGTTCTCTAACTAGAATGGAAGATGCTGACACCTAGATGTTCAAATGGGGCTGATGGAAAAAAATCAGGACAATTTTGTATCTTATATGGGCAACAAAGCATTATAAAAGGACATGAAGGATGGTTTGTCATATCCATTAGTTTTTGCCGTTTTATCTATTAGACTTGCAGTAGCATATGTAGAACACAGGTTGTGTATGGTGGGAATAATTTTGTGGAGGATATTATGAGTATGATATTCACATGCTAAATGAAAGTCAAGTATGCCATAAATTTAACTAATGTCACTTATGTTTTGTTCACATAGTAGTGGTGTCATCAGCGTAATACAGGAAAGATTTACAGTACAGCCCAACATGACTGCTGTTCTCTAGTGTGGGCCCCGGTGGGGAAAGGGAGAATCAGAGGAAGAGACTATTACTGATGGCACTAGTTTTCATTTTTAAAACACACAGCCTGGGCTGGGCGCTGTGGCTTACGCCTATAAGCCCAGCACTTTGGGAGGCCGAGGCGGGCGGATCACGAGGTCAGGAGATCAAGGCCATCCTGGCTAATGGTGAAACCCCATCTCTACTAAAAATACAAAAAATTAGCCGGGCGAGGTGGCGGGTGCCTGTAGTCCCAGCTACTCAGGAGGCTGAGGCAGGAGAATGGCATGAACCCGGCAGGCGGAGTTTGCAGTGAGCCAAGATCGCGCCACTGCACTCCAGCCTGGGTGACAGTGAGACTCCATCTCAAAAAATAAAAATTAAAATTAAAAAATAAAACACACAGCCTGTAACTATTTGACCTTTTGTCTTTTATAGTATTTTAGTGTGCTTTTATTTCATTTTATTTCATTTTACTGAGCATTTTATTTCATAGCTTTAGGTACAAATGTGGAAATTTTAGGAGCAAAGCAGTTTGTAATTATTTGTCTCAAAAAATTGATTTGACCTTTAAAGACATAGTTTTTGTGCATCAATGGGACTAATTTGTTTAAATAGTTTATAAACAAACTATTAACCAGTATGATATTTTTCTTAAAGAGATCAGAGCCAAGAACAATAACAAAAAAGTGATGACTCATTTTTCAACTTTCAATTTATGTTACAAGACATTATCACAGCATTCATTGGCTCTAATTTGACATTAAATAAACACAGTGAAAAAACAATCTTTGAAAAGTTATTCATGCTTTCGTATAAACAGAGAGATGGTGGTTTGGAGATACCCCTTTTAAAACTGAGCCTCGTTAATTTAAAACAAGCACAATGATACAACTGTACTTGACTTGAAGGAGGGCATATTGTTCTGCAGGCGTCCTAATTTTACTTCTGGTCAGAGGGACACTGGAAGATTTTCAGCCAGAACTGCAGTGAGAGATGAATTTTTATTATATGCTGAGATGCTCAGATGCCTGGAAACAGAAAAGAGCTAATTTTACTGTTGAAAAGTAGTTAATAGGCTACCTGTTTCCAAATATGCACCTGCCATCCCCCACCACTACCATCCCAAGTAGATGCAGACTAGAGCATTCATAGTGGTCGTTCATCCGATGTGGCTCCGCATAGATTTTTATTAAGTCAGGCATGGTTTGTGTAGCCCTCCCCGCTCCTGGAACTGATCACCCATGTTTTTTGCTACCAGAGAAGTAGTTTTTCAAGCAACACACAGCTTGTATGTGGAAGATTTCCAAAGTCACAATTGCTTCTTTATCTTCCAGTGACTTTGAAAGAAAGCCATGGCATGAATAGAATGCTCAAAGCTCTGTCCCTGCACAATCTGTAGTCCTTTATTTCAGCTATGCTTTTTACTGCTTCTTGGGAATTGATTTTTCTCTTCAATGTACCACACCCCTTTCAATTCTCTCTCCTTAAAATGGAAAAGAGAAAGAAAATGGTGCACAAGGTGTCTGAGAAGTAGAGCAAAAAGTAGACATGTGTAAATCCATAAGGATATGAAATGGATGGAAAATATAAGACACAAGACAAACAATACTCATTCATGCAACAATAAATTATGTAATTCTGGAGTGGAGGAGCTAGCCCAGAACTTTGCAACATTCAGACCAAATTTCTTAGACTATAATTCAGTTATTCAATTTTTTTTTATATCGGTACTTCCTTATTCCTTAATGTGTCTGTTTTCAGAGCCTTGGGTATCTAAATCAGAGGTGAAATCTCTCCGTTTCTATGCCAAAACCATTCCATTTTCTGGTCAAATAGTCCCTGAGTGTTTAATGTAATTGCCAAATGAATTTTCAAAATATGCCTTGGAGAGTTACAATAAAACATTTTCAAGGCTCACAAGTCTTACGGTGATCAGGATTAGTTTGTTTAACCAGCATTTCCTAAATGAAACCCTTTCACTCGATAATGACTATTTTTATCTCACTACCTTGGATTAATGTGTAGATAGTGGACTGTACAGATTCAAAAGATAAAGGAAAAAAATTTTAGGACTTAGTAAGAGAGGAATATAGGGTTAGGTGAGCAAGGCTTCTAGATTTCTAGCTCGTAACTCAGTGGGACCATTCACTGAATGAGACACTGGAGTATTTTTTTAGGGCTTTCATATATGCCCGGGCAACAAAGTATGTCTCGTATTCTTGATTTGAAGAAAGGCAGGCTTTCTGTTCATTGCAAGAGTTATTATTGAGAGCCTATCCTTTGAGAAAATATAATGTTTGCAGAAATAGATTTGATATTCTAGCTATGTAAAGAAATGAAACTTTAAAATGTGAGATAGAAAAATTATAACCAGAATAATTAGAACAAATTACATTCCACATCAAGGCACCTTACTGTTTAGACTTAAGCAATTATTTAATGTCTGCAGTATTGTCATCTGAAAACATTCTATGACTTAGAGAAAATATACCATATCATAACTCTAACTGTATTATTCTATCTTTTTGCCAAGCAATACAAGCAGAGTAGTACATTCAGAACTGGCAAGATGATTGTCTGAATGTGACATTATCTGATGACACTCAGAAAGCCTTTAAACATAAAAGATATAGAGAAATGCTTCATTGCTTTCCTTGGATGGCATTTTTTCCTTTCAGCCTAAGCAAGATTAATGTTCTCAACTGACATGATGACACATCTAGCTGTGAAATGACAATAAAGTATATACAAAATGGGAGTAGGGACATGCCTAATAAAATGCAATACCTTAATTTTTTTTCTAAATACTATTAGTTTGAGATTGTTCTGAAGGTAATGATGTTCAACTTGTAAATGTGTTGCATATGCCATTATGTTTATACATTCGTCTGTACACACTGTTTTTATTAGGAGTGATATATCACCTCACTTTTGCTTGACTCCTGTATCTCAGAAAAGTGATGGCATTTCTTATTCTCTTCAGTTCTATTTAGCAGACATTTACTGAGTATTCTGTTGTTGTTGTTGAAGGTAGTGTGCAATATGTTTCTAATATGAATGTAACAAAAAGAACCTGAGAATATCAATGAAATTTAGGTGAATACTTAATTCCTGGTGATCAAAGCTAATGGGTGTTCTAATGAAAAAAAGTCTAGCACTATCATGGAATAACAGCAGAATCTGGAGCAATAAGGCAAGAAATAATTTTATTTTTCAGACAAGCCACATTATTAATGAAAACATGCACCACACATGAATAACATTGGAATATTACCTCTTTCTTGAATAGCAGTGATGAGATGGCCTACTCTGAGAGGTACTGAAAAATCAGTTGAGGAGATTATTGAGCTTAAGTGTGTAATAATCAGAATGAAAAGAAATACATGTAGTCAGAATTACAAGCCAACTTAAACAGATAATTGATAAGGCAAATTGTATAATATTCAAAGCAAGAAAGAAGACCTAGAATACATCAAGATCTCTATCTGTACAAATCGTGGTTCACATAAGCAGTATGTGCAATTAGTGGAAATATGTCCTGATGAAATCAATAGGCCTGTTTAGGCCTTACTTTTCAAAATGGGCACTAGTAACATCTTTGATAGAAAGAATTCTTGTTGCAGTACATTGAAGTATTGGTTCATGTCATTTCTGTGCAGCACTCATTTATCATCTGTTTCAAATGAATCTTTTTGGTACTTCATATTAGCTTGTGAACGTACAAAAGTATCCTTCCTATCAAGTAACTCTAGCATTAGAAAAGAATGACTGCCTCTTGAGAGTTGAGTGTATAGCTTGATTTATTCATCTGCAACAGAAAAATTCCTTCAAAAGTTTTTACTGTATCTTAAAATTTTGTTGGAATTCTGTATTCTTTCTTCTGGCATGTTATTGTGATTTCTACCTTAACTCTTTAGAATCCAGAGGAGGTTCACCAGAGTTTTCTTGTGGTTTCTCCTTTTTCCTGTGAATACACAAGTACTCTCTTTTGAGAAGCACAGTATTGTGCAGATTTTGCTCTCAATGAATTGGTCATGATGTGCCAAAATGATGTTCACTCAAAGTGTTCTGGGAATCAAGGGAAGAGAATTGACGGCTGTACCTGTGTCCATTTGAAGGGCAATTTGGATAGGAGTGGTTTTGGTAAACCAATGAGGAAAAAGAAGAGGGTCTTCCAAGCTGAAGCACAGTGCCTATGCTTGTATAAGCAGTGAGGCTGGGAGGGTGGGGTGAGATTCTAAAGAAGATGGAAAGATGACTCGAGATCACCTTGTCTGACTTGCTATGCAAACTACAGATTTTGATCCTCATGTATTACATGTATTACTGATTCTTTAACATTGAAAGCTACTTTAAAAAATGAAATTAGTGTGAAAGTTCAATAAATACTTTATAAAGATATAATTATCTTAAAACTTTATAAAATTTCCTTATAAGCCAGTAAGTGAAAGAGTATTTTGATAAAAGCAAAAACTAAACTTCATTGGTTTTAGATGATAGCAGCCATCATATATTGGCCTTAACTTCTCATTAATTTCTACATTTTGTTTTGGTTTCATGGTGTCTGGAAAATCCTTATTAGTATAAATAATACACATCATTTTAAAAGGGTATATTAATAGTTTATTTTGAAATCACAGGACAGTCTCTTAGTAAGCTGATCCACAGGCTTGAAAGAGGAATAATTGGAAATTATTTTAATGCTGAGTCATTAAGAAAATTTAACTGCTGCTTACCATGCTTACCAGGCAAAGAGTTTAGTTTAGATGGAGTACACCAATCATTATTGAAAGATAATATTTTGAAGTAATCTCAGATATGTCAATATTCTGCTTAGTCAGACATTGAGTTTGTAAATAGCCATTTTTCCTTTAGTTTGCATGCTGCGTCTAAAAGGCAAGTTCTAGTTTCATCAAAGACACTCTCCCTACAGGTAACATTGTGACCTTGCATCAAGAAAGTGAGCTTGTTCAGCTACATAAAATCCTAGGTCATAAGCAGGACAAGACATTGCATCGCTGTTGTAATTGTTTAGGTATAAAGCTAATACAGTGCATATAGGGTCTGTATTGGGAAAACTATAAAACACTGATGAAAGAAATAAAAACACAATAAATGAAGAAGAGATATTCTGTGTTCATGGAATAGAAGATTCAATATTGTTAAGATGTCAGTTCTTCCTAACTTGATCTTAAGATTCAACAAAATCTCAATCTAAGTCCCAGTGTCTATTTTGTAGATAATCAATAAACCAATTCTAAAGTTTATGTAGAAAGGCAAAAGACCTATAATAGCAAACATAGTCGTACTGAAGAAGGAAAACAAAAAGTTGGAGTACTACAGTTAACCAATTTCAGGAATAACTGTTAAGCTACAGTAGTCAAGATAATGTGGTATTGGAGAAATACTAGACATATAGATCAATGAAATATATCAGAAAACCCAGAATAGACATATACAAATATAGTTTACTGCTCTGTAACAAAGACACAAAGATGATCCAATGAAGAAAGTAGTGTCTTTTCAACACTGCAAATTAGCAAAACATCATACCCCTCTAAACCTATTAGAATGACTAATATCCACCAAAAAAAAAAAATGAAAGTACCAGTTGCTAACATGGATGTGACACAAACAGGAATTTTCATTTATTGCTAGTGGCAATGCAAGTTGGTACAGTTACTTTGACATTTCATACAAAATTAAGCATAGTCTTAAGATACTATCCAGCAATCACATTCTTACCTAATTGATTCAAAATCTTATTTCTGGGCTGAGTGCCATGGGTCACCCCTATAACCTCAGCACTTTGGGAGGCCAAGATGGGAGCGTTGCTTGAGCCCAGAAGTTTGAGACCAGCTTGGGCAATATAATGAGACACTGACTCTCCAGATTTTTTTATTTAATTATCCAAGTGTGGAGCTGCACACATATGGTTCCAGCTACCTGGGAGGCTGAGGTGGGAAGATCGCTTGCACCCGGGCAGTTGAGGCTGCAGTGAGCCATGATCATGCCACTGCACTCTAGCCTAGGCCACAGAGGGAGACTCCATATCAAGAAAAACAAAAACAAAAACACTTATTTCTGCAGAAAAGCCTGCATACAAATATGTATAAGCAGCTTTATATAAAATCACCAAAAACTGGAAGCAACCCAAATGCCCTTTGGTAGGCAAACGAATAAAGAAATGGTGGTATATGCACACAGTGGAATACTATTCAATAATAAAAAGGAATAAAAAGAAATGAGCTGTTGCTTGTCTCACTCATAAATGAACAATGAAAACACATGGACACAGGGAGGGGAACATCACACGCTGGGGCCTGTCAGAGAGTTGGGGGCAAGGGAGGGGAGAGCATTAGGACAAATACCTAATGCATGCGGGGCTTAAAACCTAGATGACGGGTTGATAGGTGCAGCCAACCACCATGGTACATGTATACCTATGTAACAAACCTGCATGTTCTGCACATGTATCCCAGAACTTTAAAAAAAAAAAGCCTTAAAATAGCAAAAAAAGAAATTAGCTATCACTTTATACATAAACATGCTTGAGTCTTAAATATATATTGCTCAGTGAAAGGAGTCAGTCTGAAAACGCTAAATATTGTATGATTCAAATAATATAACTATTTTTTAAAACCCCAAAGGCGACTGGGCACAGTGGCTCAGGCCTGTAATCCCAGCACTTTGGAAGGCCGAACTGGGTGGATCATGAGGTCAGGGGTTCGAGACCAGCCTGGCCAGCATGGTGAAACCCTGTCTCTACTAAAAATACAAAAATTAGCCAGGTATGGTGGTGCATCCCTGTAATCACAGCTACTCAGGAGGCCGAGGCAGAAGAATTGCTTGAACCTGGGAGGCGGGGGTTGCAGTGAGCCAAGATTGAGCTACTGCACTCCAGCCTAAGGGACACAGCAAGACTTCATCGAAAAAAAAAAAAAAAAAAAAAAAAAAGAAAAGCCCAAAGGCAAGTGTATTAGTCTGTTCTTGCATTGCTATAAAGAAACACTCAAGACTGGGTAATTTATAACAAAAGAAAGGTTTAATTGGCTCCCAGTTCCACAGGCTGTACTGGAAGTATAGTGGCTTCTGCTTTTGGGGAGGCCTCAGAAAGTTTCCAATCATGGCAGAAGGCAAAAGGGAGGCAGGTGTCTTACATGGCAGGAGCAGGAGCAGGATGGGGGAAGATGCTGTACACTTTTAAACAACCAGATCTCATGAGAACTCACTATCATGAGGACAGTATCACAGGGTATGGTGCTAAACTATTCCTGAGAAACCACCACCATGATCCAATCCCCTCCCACCAGGTCCCACCTCCTACATTGGGGATTACCATTTAACATGAGATTTGGGTGGGGACACAGATTCAAGCTATATCACCAAGTCTGAAGAATTACATGACATTTTTTAAAAGGCAAAACTATAGAGACAATGTATGAGTTAGGATTGTACAGAAAATTTGAAACAATAGAATGTGTCTATTTGTAGAAAGGGATTAATTATAGAAAGCAGCTCATGAAATTATGTCTGCTGGTAAATCCAAAATCTGCAGTTTAGCAGGTTTGAGAACAGGAGAGTCAATGGTAGTTCTAGTTAGAAGGCTGGCAGCCTGGAGACTCAGGAGAGCTGATGGTGCAGTTTCAGTTCAAAGGGCAGCAGGCTCATGACTCATGGAGGAGCCAGTGTTGCAAATGAATTTTTAAGGGCAAATGTTGCAGATAAAATCTGAAGGCAGTCTGCTGGAGAATTTCTTTTTTCCTCCCGGAGGCTGGTCTTTTTGTCTATTCAGGTCTCCAGCTGATTGGATAAGGCCTACCCACATTATGGAGGGCAAAATGATTAAGCATATATTAAATGTTAATATCATCCACAAACAACTTTTAAGTTGACAGAAAAAAAAAATAATAACCATCCCAGAAGATAAAGGGATCAGTGGTTGCCTGAGGTTTGTGGAGGAGAAGAGGTTTGAATAGGTGAGGCACTGAGAGTTTTTTAAGGGCCATGAAACAATGATACTGTAATTGTGGTGTAGTGGATTGACTGATGACCCCCCAAAAGGATGTGTCCACATCCTAATTCCTAGATAATGTGATTACATTACATGGCAGAAATGTGAATATCACCTTATGTAATATCTAATGTGTTAAACAGATATGTTTATATGATTAAGGACTAAGGACAGGTGTGATTAAGAATTAATGAATAGGGCCTCTCATGGTGGCTCACGCCTGTAATCCCAGCACTTTGGGAGGCCGTGGTGGGTGGGTCACCTGAGGTAGATCAGGTGTTTGAGACCAGCCTGGTCAACATGGCGAAACCCTGTCTCTACTAAAAATACAAAAATTAGCTTGTTGTGGTGGTGCATGCCTGTAATCCCAGCTACTGGGGAAGCTGACACAGGAGCATTGCTTGAACCTGGGAGGCGGAGGTTGCAGTGAGCTGAGATGTTGCCACTGAACTTCAGCCTGGGTGACAGACTGAGACTCTGTCTCAAGGAAAAAAAAAAAAAAACAAGTTTTAATGAAGGGATTATTTGGAACTATCTAGGTGGGCTCTAAAAGACTACTTCAGCCAGGTAGTGAAGGTCGGCATCCACAGTGATAAGTCATGTTGTTAGTATACGCTCTTGCTGTGGTATGATGTAAATGGCACTTTACCTCTCTGGTTTCCCTCCCCAAAACTCATAGACTCAGTTTATAATCATGAAAAAAAATTCAGACAAATTCCAATGGAGGGACATTCTGCAGAATACCTAATGACTATTTCGTATTAAAACTGTTAAGGTCCTATAAACATGGGAAGTCTGGTAAACTCACAGAACTTAGAAGATGAAGGAGATATGATGTAATTAATTTTCTTGGTTGGGAACCTGGAACAGAAAGAGGACATTAAGTAAAAACTAAGTAAATCTAAATAAGTCTGAATAAAATGAGTTTAGTTAGTAATAATGTACCAATATTGGTTCATTAATTTTGACAAACATACCATGTTAATGTAAAATGCTAGTAAGAGGAAATGCTATATGGATATATGGGAACTTTGTACTATCTTTGGAAATTTCCTGTAAATGCATAACTATTCTAAAAATTTATTTTTACAAGAGCCTGTGTACATGCAGGCCTGACCTTTAAAAGAAAAAAAAAGTACAAATTTCCTCCTAAGTTGTGTATTAGTTTCCTACAACTGTTTATCAAAGAACCACAAACTGGGTGAATTGAAACAACCTAAGCTTGTTCTATCAAAGTTCTGGAGACCAGAAGCTCAAAAATCAATGTGTCTGCAGTGCCATGCTCTCTCTGAAGTTTCTAGGGACAATGCTCCCTTGCCTTTTTCAGCCTCTGGTGACTCCTGGCTTTCCTTAGCATTTTTGGGCTTCCAGATGCATCACTCCAATCTCTGCTTTCATCTTCTCATGTTCATCTTTCCTATGTTTCTGTTTTCTCCTTTTCAGATTCTTAAAAGGATATTCATCATTGAATTTAGGGCCCACCCAAATCTAATATGATCTTAAGATCCTTAATTACCTCTGCAAAGAGCCTTATTCCAAATAAAGTTCCATTCTGAAGTTCCAGGTGTTGACATCTGTTTCGGGACCCACTATTCCACCCACTTACACCATGCCATATCCATAAAGTGTTCAACCATCTGCATGAACTGGGCAAAAGAAGCCTTCAGAAAAATAATCTACAGTACAATTGAGTATATTATTAGTCTGCCAAGTGTTAGAATTTTCTTAATGATTATAATAATAGGTAATAATTATTGAACTCTTACTGTATGGTATTCACTGATAAGCATGCTCTACATATATTCTCTTTTAATTTTCATACTGCGGTTATCCTTCATTTGTAGGTGATAAAACCAAAGCACTGAGTAGTGAAGAAACTTGCCTAAAGTCATACAGCTGGTAAATTTCCTCCCAGTGTTAACAGCATTTATTGCTATTAAAACTGCTAATAAAATGTGTATCAAACATTTGCAGAAATTCTGAATCCTTCTATGGAACCTGAGGATTCTACTTTAAGGTTTAAAGTCATGAGAGAGAGAGGTTTACATTGAAAGAGTTTTCAGCTCCTTGGTAAGAAGTTTTATCAGTCTCTTTTGCTGAGGGGTTCTTGTGATAGAACTCAATAGTGCTTTTTCAATTTATAGGATTTCAGGTAAGATTCCACCTCCGTTATCCAGCTATCTTCTAATATACTCTTATCTTCTCTATTAAATGTTTCTCTCTGAAAATGATTTACCTTCTTATTCAGGCTTCCTCCTCAGTAGAATAACCCCAAACTCCTCCCCACCCCTATACATGCACACATGTGCTATTTTATCCATTTAACTTGTGTCTTCCCCCAAAGACTTAAAAATTCCTTCTTAATAATGTAAAAACTTATAAACTCTGCTACAAGCATACGTAACATTTCTCGAGGCTATTAAAAATATCTAGATGTCAGGTAAGTGTATATGATGAAGTAAGTGATTCAAATAGAACAATTAACAGATGGCAGCAACAATTATATATTCATATTCCTGGCCAACAGCATTTGGTAGATATAATTACCTTACAGGTGTTAACTGCCCTTTATGGAATGAGACATCTCTGAACACTAGAGAAACATGGTTAACGATGGTCACAAATCAGTAAAAATTCTATATTGACTCATTTTTTTAGACAAGAATCAGAAAGCTAAATTCAGTTTTTGGAGTATAGTGCTAAGTTCAGAAAAAGTGAAACTTAAACAGGAGAGCAGGTGTGGTGTAATCTTCAAGTTGATTGCTGGGATGGGGAAAAAAAAACCCCGCACATTAAAAGACATTTAAAATTCACTCAACATTTGGAAGGTACAGAGTCCAAAAAGGCAATCATTTAGGGAGAAGGAAGCAGCTGTTTTGACTTATTCCTTTGAGTTTCTTTAAATTACCTTAGTTTCATATGCAAAATAGTATTAACATGCTTTTTTCAAACAAAACTTTTCTGTGCAGATAAGTTTGTACTTATGTTTCTTTATAGCCTTTAGATTATTATACTAGAATGAGGATAAAATATAATTTTAATGTTACTGTTTATAATGTTTCAATCATTTGACCAGAAATATTTGAAAACCTGGATAGCCTCACACACACACACACAAATTACATCATTCAAGTGTTGTCATTTTACTTTTATTTTCTCCTGTGAACAGTAAATATTTGTCACTTCCATTTAACATTTGTATCACTTGCAGCTATCTGTCCAGGGAAATATTAAATGACTATCAGTCCCTACTGGGAGTGATATTGTCTGATTAAAACTAAATTTCCTCCCTTCTGTTCTACATTGGAGTCATCTCTAAATCTCTGAATTTAAGCTGTACTCAGCACTATAATTTAAGGCTAATTTATTTTACCTTTATTTTTTAAGTTATGTTTTCAAAGTTTTTGATTTTGTAGTTTTACATAGTAATAGTTTTACAACTATTTTGTAAAGCTCTTGAAGTTCAGCATGCCTCTTCTCAACTCTTATTTATTGCTGAATAATAGTTATTACTCAATAAATATTTTGATTGATTAATAAAAACCTATTTCAAATAACTATTTTCTAAAATTATTTTTTTCTCTTCCAATTCTGAAGGAAAAAAAGGTAATATACAGAAGTGGGTTGTTATGGGGAAACATGTTTATTGTGCTATAGTCCTCTTTTCCCCTGTAATGAAAAGTTAGGTTTTTAGTAGTAGAAATGTCATTTTAGTGAAATATGCCATAATTTTACTTTAGCGTTATATTCCCTATAACAATTGAAATTAAGTACATGTTGAAATACTTCCTTAAAAAAATTTAAACTGGAGTTTAAGTTTTGACTTCTTTGTCTAAGATATTCTCCAACACACCTGATGTTTCATTTTCTTCTTTTTCTTGTGCAGTTAAGAATATTATACTTTTCTGCCTTTATCATGATTAATATTCAATAAGTAAAGAAATTTTTCCATAAGCAATACATACATAAAATACAACCATAAGGAAACACTTTTAATCTTCCCTGGTTTCTGGCTTATGAGTTTGGTAATTCCTTAGCATTTAACCTTTGTCACAAATTGCCATGTGGCAGTGTGTATGCTGTCTTTTTGATAGATTTCCAGTAGTGGGATTACTATATTCAAAATAAAGAGCCTCAAATAGAGATAAACATTTATGTTTCATGATACTCTCGTTTTAGATTGGAAACATTCAGAAGTTTCTGAGGTGAGAATTGTTAAAAGAAGAAAGCTGTCCTACATAGAATACCTTTAAGAATACAATTTTTACATATTATTTGAAACACCAAAATTATTAGTAGTAATATAATATCAATTCTAATCATGTCTATAAGAATAGATTTGCATAGGAAAAACTAGAATTGACATGCAAAAAATTAATATTAGTCGTGCTTGAAAGTAGGATTAAGTTTAAAATTATATAATGATAACAAAATATTATCAAATTGAAAAGTTACAGGGAAATTAGTTAACAACATTTCTTTCAGTTAACTTTTTTTCAGATTTCATTGGATTACAATGGAATACTGAAGAATCAGACTTCTTCCTGAAACACTGAGACTGGAAAAAACATTTAACCTTATTTTTAATACAAAGAGAAGGATAGGAACTATTTTGTGTGGTTGTTGTAGGAACCAAAGAAAATGACACATAAAGCACCTAAATAATTGCCTGGTATATAGCTATTGCTGAATACATCCAAACTTTCCTTAATTTTTAAAATATGTCCATCGGTTCATTTGAAAATAGAGAATATCTAGCATAAATATTTTTGAAGCTATTCTCCTAAGCATTGCAGTTACTGGTTTTCCATTATACTTAACCTTATCATGATATCCTGGAGTTAATGTGAAAGGAGAAGTAACCATGATTGAGAAACCTGTATACAACAGAAGTCTTTCTCTTTTGAGACAAAGCCAATTTGGTCCTTGAGTAAATTTATTTTTTTAGCTATTATTTTATCAGAGACAACTGTAGCTTATTCCTGGAAATAACTGGCAAAGTCAGCAGCACTATTAGAAATAAATCCTTTGAGAAAATATTTTCAAACTTCTATTATATAATTTTGAATTTTTCATTACACCTAAAGAAGTTTGTGAAATATGTTTTAGCAAGAATGTCAATATTCAAAACCTTTTATATTTTAGGAGATGTTTGCATTCTTCATTGGAGAGTAAAATTGGGACTTAAGTAACAATATCTAATACAATTCATTTTGATCTTTGAAATTTAATGTAAAGAAACAGGAATCAAAGGAATGTAAATTTAAAAAAAAAACCAAAAAACACATCCATGGCTTGTGTTGTTTGTTATTTGTTTAGTTATGTTTAAGTTTTTTTAACTTATGTTTTTAGGTATGTTTTTATTACTGGAGAGAATCAAGACCCTGTAAATATACTTTACTAGCTTAGATTCCATTTAATTACTAGATTATATGTTATTTAGCCAATAGGTGAAATTTAAATTTACGCATGTCACTTAGTATCTTCACCTGGCTTTTCAGAAACAGCTGATTTATGCTATTAGAGCATTTAAATAATGTTTCTCACTGTTCTTTTCAAGACTAAATGGAAGCTCACCTGAGAGAAATGCAGTAAATGAAGTCAACTGGCAGATGTTCTATGGGAAAGAAAGTGCTATTGCAGTTTAGACTTCCAGTGTTCAGAACTTCCGAAAAAGTTTTTTACAAGATAAACCTAAGGAAAGTGAATGACCAAGGATTAAGAGGAAAATTTTCTTCTCAGATTAAAACCATAGAATAAATAGGAAGCAGCTGAGAAATGTGTGGCAGATTTCTCAAGTGGAAAAAGGTTAATGTTGGGGTTGCCCTCAGGATCAATTTTAATACTGGTAGCATGAAATCTATTAATGAGTCAGAAGGCAAGCTGGAGATATTTTGCTGATGTCATCATTTTGTCTCATACCAGTAACAAGAATAGATTAAGAACATAGCTAAAAGAAAAACCACATTTTTAAAAAAATTCAGAGGTCATTATAAACACCAAACTCAAAACAGTCCTTTCCAAACATGTGGCTTTCCTGTGTTCATGGTTCAAAGGAAATTGTTAAGGGAAAACTTCTTTAGTTTTATTGTTAATGTAAAAAGTGGTGTGTAAAATTCAGCATTCTTCCTGCTTTTCTGAATTCTACGTCCTGTATTTGTCAGCAGAAGTGGCCATATTAGAGAAAAAATATGTGCATGCATAGTTTCTTCCAAAATTGGGATTGGATGGCTAAGGCAGGTGCCAGGGTATTTGTGCAACACAGACACGCCACCATGTAAGTCCACGGTGACCTAGCTTTGTTCCCATTAGGTGCAAATCATGCTATAGATCCCTTCACCAAAAACTCTGATGGATAGAAGAGCAAATGAAGTTATTTGAGTCATAGGTCACTATGACTATTATGTATTGGTATTATTGTTGTTTGCCTATGAGCATTTCATAATCAAAGAATCTTTGCATGATGAGTGGGTTTCTTGTGTTTTCCATAATGAGGACGACTTCTTGTTGAGTTTGTGCATTTATTGGTTCTTGGATCATGTTTATCCTGTCACAAAAAAATGAATTATAAAATACAAGCATTTTTAACATAACATGGTCCAGGCACAGTGGCTGAAGCCTGTAACCCCAACACTTTGGCCGACGTGGGTGGATTGCCTGAGGTCAGGAGTTCGAGACCAGTCTGGCCAACATGGTAAAACCCCATCTCTACTAAAAATTCAAAACTTAGCTGGGCATGGTGGTGGGCGCCTGTAATCCTAGCTACTTGGGAGGCTGAGGCAGGAGAATCACTTGAACCCAGAAGGCAGAGGTTGCAGTGAGCTGAGATCATGCCACTGTACTCCAGCCTGGGCGACAGAGTAAGACTCCATCTCATAAATACATAAATAATATGAATATTTATATCCTGAAAACTAGGTTGCATAAAAGAAAAGCTGTGCAAATCTTAATTGATAAAAATGAATTAAGCTGGAGACTAAAAAATACAGAAAACTGCAGCATTTAAATACAGCAGATTATAAAATGTTATATTAGGGGAACAACTATTTTTGTTGCCAATGGATTCAAACTTACTAATTTCAGATTCTTCTAAAGTTTATGTCGTGCGATTGTAAATGTTATACTCCTTGCGGAAGCATTACCTAATCAATTTGATTTGCCCCATTGTTATTGAAGATATATTGCTTAGCACTCCAAATTACAATCTCTCTAACACTAACATAGGAAAATGCTTTTCAAACTGGGTTTTACAGAACTTATTTCTTCCTAGAGGAGCTTTAGGGGGTATTGAACGCTGTAATCCATAAATCTGGAATTGACATATCCTTGTTCATCAACATAGATTTGCTATTCCCATTAATTAGTTTATTTTTTATTTTTATTTTTTATTTTTTATTTTTTTGACAGAGTCTTGTTCTGTCTCCCAGGCTGGAGTGCAGTGGTATGATCTCGGCTCACTGCAACCTCCGCCTCCCGGGTTCATGCCATTCTCCTGCCTCCGCCTCCCGAGCAGCTGGGACTACAGGCACCCGCCACCATGCCCTGCTAATTTTTTGTATTTTTAGTAGAGACAGGGTTTCACCATATTAGCCAGGATGGTCTTGATCTCCTGACCTCGTGATCCACACGCCTCGGCCTCCCAAAGTGCTGGGATTACAGGCGTGAGCCACCATGCCCAGCCTATTAGTTTATATATTAATGGGAATATTTTGAAATTAGGTTTCAGTAATGACAATTTTGTCTCTTCATAAATGATTGCTCAACACAAGATCTTTTCTCTACCTGCATTTTACAGATGAATGAATTGAGGCTTAGAAAGATTACATACCTTGCCAATGTTCACCTGGTTATTCGTGGATCCAGATTGGAATATAACAAATTCCACAACTCTCCTCTAATCCACTGCACCATATTGTTGATTGCTGATATAGGTATAGGGATGTGGATTTCCTTTGCAGTCTTAGAAAGAATAGATTATTTTTACCCAAGCTTTGGATTCTTGTCTCTTTGGTTGCACCATGTCTTATCTGCCAAATCTTATCTGTCCCTCTTTGGTTGTGACACATCTTATTGTTGAAAAAATTTTGTGAAGACATCTGATTTTTCCAGAGATATATAGTTATCAATATATTCACATGTATCTGTAGCACGATGTTTTCATAATCCAAGAATAAATCAAATGGCCTGATATTTCAAATAAGGGTCAGATTATATCTGTACTACATTTCAAATATTAAGTATAGATAAAACTAATTAATTCTAAATTAAATAAAGATAAGAAGCATAGAAAATTCATTTCTAAGAGGTTGTAGGTCCTAAATCTAAATTTAGATAATACTGTGTCCCTGTTAACCTTAATCCATCCCTGACCAGTAACTGACATTGTAAATAAAAGGCAGATTAGACCATCAAGTATAGAAGATATAATTAGGAGTATCAAGTGTAACAGAAGTAGAAGAAATCTTGTAAAATGTAACAAATGATTGAGATAAGCTGTGATTTTCACATATAAGCAATAGTCTGTGAGTAGTTTTGGGGAGGAATGTTAAGGAGGGCTTTAGTGAGGATTCAGGGTGAAGTGGAGAGGGTGTTTACTTGTGAATGTATACCGCTCTGTGTGTTGATTTTGCAGATAAAAAACACATTTTCAAGTTAGTGACTAGTATGCATTAAATATGGGAGAGTAAAAGAAGGATGTATTTAATAGGAAATTCACTTATTTTCCATCTGTATCTGATTATCTTAAAATAAGACTTGTTCACTGTAATACCATGTGAACATTAACATTCAGGTTTTAATTATAAGTTATAAACTAATAATAAAATGTATATCATATATTACTTTTTGAAATCCCTTTTATATCTGTTATTCTAAGTCATTTAAACCTTGAAAGCTTGTAATATAGGGATTAGCATTCCCATTTTAATGATGGAAAAAAGCATCTATAAAACTTTAGTGTGAAATTTATCTCTTCACTCCCTTAATTACTCTTATATGGCTTTTATTATATACCACTTGCTTCCTAATTTTATTTTTATGATCAGCTTTTTATAATAAAATCATTACTCTTGTGGCTGTATACCTGTCTATATGTTTTTGACATTCTGTACATTTTTACATAAGTGTCTGTTTCAGTTGTACCAAGGAGACATGTGTGGGAAAGTGGAGAAAGGGTGAGCACTTCCAATTTTATATGTGGCTATAGAAGGTACATTTCCTAGAACACTTGCTACAGAAGTGGGACATTGCTTCTGAATGTCCTACATGTATGAGCCAGAGGATCCTAGGGGACATATGTGTTTGACTTAGAAACCAAGAGTAAATGACTGTGTCCAGTCAGGTATGCTGAGCTGTTCAGGCTGGCTGGAGACCTGTATGATTTTGGGGTATGGTGCTGGGTGCAGTCCAGTAGCTGGAAGTTGGCCAGAATGCCAAGTGCTTGATATATGTCCTGGGATGATTGGCATTACCTTGAATGTGACAGAGAGTAGAGGAGTGACATAATGGGATTGCATTTTAGGAATATCACCCTGGGGGACTGTGTTTTGGTTTAATTTTTTTTTTAATCGCAGAATAAGACACATGTATAAACAAAAGAATGGCTGAAGAAAAACAAAGTCTGTGATACTTACATATATAGCACAAGTTGACATAAATGCCACTTATACCTGCCTTTCTTTTTGCTCCTGGCATGCCTTTATTTCAGTGGCCCCTCTGGGTCTGCTCTGTCTCTGGGTCTTTACTCTGAGCTGTATACCTGTAATATGTTTTGCTCTGTGTCCCCACCCAAATCTCATCTTGAATCATAATCCACATAAGTTGAGGCAGGGACCTGGTGGGAGGTGATTAGTTCTTGGGGGTCGTTTCCTCCAGGCTGTTCTTGTGATAGTGAGTTCTTGCTAGAGCTTTTTTTTTTTTTTTTTGAGACTGAGTCTTACTCTGTCACCCAGGCTGGAGTGCAGTGGCGCGACCTTGGCTCATTGCAACCTCCACCTCCTCCCTGGTTCAAGCAATTCTCTTGCCTCATTCTTCCAAGTAGCTGGGATTACAAGTGCATGCCAACATGTTTGGCTAATTGTTTTGTATTTTTACTAGATACAGGATTTCACCATGTTGGCTAGGCTGGTTTTGAACTCCTGACCTTAGGTGATCCGCCCACCTCCGCCTCTGAAAGTGCTGAGATTACAGGCATGAGCCACCACGCCTGGCCAAGCTGATGCTTTTAAAGTGTGGCACTTCCCCGCTCACTTGCTCTCTCTCTCCTGCCGTCATGTAATACATGCCTTGCCTCCTCTTCACCTTCTGCCATAATTGTAAGTTTCCTGAGGCATTCCCACCCATGCAGCACTGTGAGTCAGTTAAACCTTTTTTCTTCATAAACTACCTAGTCTAAGGTAGTTCTTTACAGCTGTGTGAAAAAGCACTAATACAATCTGGAATACACCCCACAAACCTCTAAGTAATCAACTCCTGCCTCTTAGCCTTCAAAATGCAACTCAAATGGTCTTTCTTCAAGGAAGCCTTACTTGATGCCTTATTATCAATCAAGGCTTTCTTGTTATATGTTGTCATAGTTCTTTACAGTTTTCTTTTATAACATTAATCACAGTTTTACTCAAACACTGTTGGATACCATAAAGATACATTCTGTAATTAAGGATAGTATATATATGTGTGTGCACTTATGTATACATGTGTCCGTGTGTGTATACTTTGTATGTATTTAGAGGACTGTGACTTCTTCCTTGTGAGGTGTTTTTTAAGTACACAGAAGCATTTGTTTACTGGGATTTGAAAATGATCTTGCCAAGGCAGGAGAATTGGTGTTTATATTTACAACTGTCTTTCAATATACACAAGGAATTGGTTCTGGGACCCCCATGGATCACAAAATCTGCAGATGCTCAAGTCCCTTACACAAAATGGTGTAATATTTTCATGTAACCTGAGCATATCCTCCTATATACTTTAAATTTTCTCCACATTATTTATAATACTTATAAAATGTAAATGGTATGTAAATAGTTGTTATACTGTATTTTTATTTGTATTTTTTAATTTTTTTCCAAATATTTTCAACCCATGGTTGGTTGAATCTGTAGATGCAGAACCTGCAGGTATTGAGAACTGACTATATATATGTTATTTTATATATATAATTTCTTATATATATTTATGTAATTTATAATACATGCTTATATTAGAAATTATGTATGTGCACAAAGCAACAACTAACTGTTAACACTGGTATAATTCTTTCAAGTTTTTTTCTTCTGTCTGTGTACATATGTATATTCTATCTGTATACAGTTACTTGGCTCAATACCATAGATACATTTTGTGTCTGTCTTTGTATAACTAATATACTGAGAATTTTCTGGTGTAATTAGAAACAAAGGGAAGGCTGATAGAACTGGAGGCGAAGAGATTAGTTAGGAGGCTATGTCATTCCTCTTGATGAGGTCTCAGAATCGTGAGGATGGATAATTTCAGAGTAACAAATGGCAAGATTTGGAGTTTTATTTGATGTAAGTGTATGGAAGAGAGGAACAACTATCATATGCAGGATGACTCTCAGGTTTGAGTAAGTGAGTAGATGACTGTAGAAGGAAGAATCCTTTGGAAAAAGAGATAGGAAAGATGAATTCAGTTACCGACATGAGTTTGAGTTGCCTGTAAGAAATCAAACTGCATTTACCCAGTTAACCAGGCTATTCTAATTCACCAACAAAGTGAAAGCAAAAGAATATGGCCTCTGAACTCTATGTGCTAAACTATATTTAGCTTCCATGTTCGGAAAGCTTAGTGAATTATTAAGGGGGATTATGACTCCTCTTCCCCTAGAGATATTTTGTAAGTACACACAAGCATTTGTCTGTTGTGTTTTGAAAATGAACTTGCCAAGGCAGGGCAATTGCCAGCCCAGACAACCTGTCAAGAGCTCTTCCAGAGCTCTGAAACTGTGATACACTTAGATTTATGTTTCCTCTGTCACATGCTTTTATTGTACCACAGTTTTCCTAAGTGTTTTCCCTTTGCTGAGCAAATAAGAATTCATTGTAATTTACTAAATTGTGTTCTCTCCATCCTAAAATCAAATGCTGAGATCTCATATTAACATAAAAAGTACTGATGATTCAATACCTTATTTTTCTTTTTAATGTCTTTCCATCCAAGAAAGTTATAATATTCACTTAAAGAAACTGTATCATATGTACTAGCCATGCATGCAGTTTTTACATATTTTTACCTATATTTTCCATTCTCTTTACTAAATTTCTCTGCAGTGTGATTCAAACTAAGTACTGAAGTAAATGCTAGTGTCATTAAAATAAAATACACATTAAGAATGCTATAGTAAAAAGTTTGGATACTAAGTAAAAGTCAGTTTCTAAAATTAACATATTTGTTGAGCAAATCTGTAACTAGCCCTCACAACCAGCTCTCTGTCTTATCAAGATTTAGTTTGCTATTCATGCTCAGACATGGATAGTAAGAGTGGTAATAACATTAGAAGAATAAATTCATGAAAGCTGTAAAACCTTTTTCAGCACCCTCCCCTCCATCTTCACAGGTAAAATTAAGCATTCATTCAATCATAAGTCATTCACAGATACACCTGTTATGTGTTAGATATCATGTTAGGTTCTGGAAATATAAAAATAGAAAAGAAATGAGAAGTGCCCTCACTCCAGTAGTAGAGACAAGCATATAAACTGATCATCTAAAAATGCGAGATCCATACCCATATCACAAAGCATTATAAAGGCATCTAACTGAGCATGGAGAAGATATGGAATCAAATAAAGAATCCTGGAGAGCACCTGAGCTGAGTGATATCAAAGGATAATTAAGAAGAGTTAGCCAGATGGGGTGGTTGGGTGAGAGAGAGTGACTCTCATGGAGGGAGGTGTGTTCCTATAACTTAGAAAACCCAGTTATAGGTACATTTTAAGTAAGCATAAAACTACATTTCCAGATAAAAATGATATTTGTTTCATATCAGAAAAATGATGTAAAATAGCAATTTTTACTGTCATTTGTATGCAGATTTAAGAGGAATATTCTGAGATACAGTTTAAGTTCTACAGCTAGTCTGTTTTTTCTCTTATTCTTTATTTCCTCTAACTTAGTAAATACTTCCATAATTACAGGTCAACAAGAATGATCTCTAGCAGATATTTAGTTACTGGCAGTTCTGGATGTTTGGATCTAGGGTTAAACCAGAAATAGTGAAGAGATGTTTTACTGGAAAGTACTTTTGGCAAACTGTCAGCGTCTAAGTTGGCAAGCATGTCTGACTGAAAAGCTAGAAGGTTAAATGTATTAACTTAGGATATAATGATAAATAGATTTTTACATGGTCTTTGGTTGCATTCAGGAGTTGAAATTTGTTTTCATATTTGGTTATAGCAGTGGATGCATTTTTAAATATGCCTACCGATAGGACATCACTTGCTTTCTCAAAAATATAGAAAACTATTGTGATGTTGTTGTAGATTAGAGTTAAGCTTGCAACAATTGTGTCATTTGAACTGCCGATCCTCACCATCAGACGTGGTGATATGTAGGTCCTGACAGTCAGTAAATTGAAAAGATTGCTGAATTGGACTATTTGGGCACACCACCTGAAATAATTCAAATGGTCTTAAATAGCATTTGTGTCAGCAAGGAATGTGTTAATCTCAACCTTCATTTTGAAAACCCATGTGAGCTTGTTTCCCCTTGAGAGTCAACATACTTCAGTTTGGCAAGGCAGTCTTGCATTCATTCCTCATTTTTTCACTCAATACACTGAAAATATATGGTTATATTCACTGTTTTTGATCATTTTCTTCAACACTGAATCAAGCTCAGACAGTACTGTGCTTGACTCTTGGCTCTTCTCAAATGAATGAAATATCTATATTGACATTTTTTTTTTTTACTTCTATCTTCAAAGTGCCAACTTTCCCTTCTGCATAAATATCTGTGCTCCTCTAGTGTTGAATCCACCTGCATATGTAGTCCTAGCTCTATGGGGTGACTGGTACCAAAAGATATGGAGCCTTTTGCCCTGAAGCTGATTCTGCACATCTATCAAGAGCATATCCTCTGCACATTAATGGCTTGTTCAGCTGTTAAATGAAACGTCGGCTACTACTTCCAAAAGACAGGGATTGATAACTTTTCCACATTGTATGGCTCCTCTACCTTGACATTAGACAATGTCTAGCATTGTTCATTGATGTAGACATTTTGTAAATAGGGTGTCCTGATTCTTTGAGTGCATAATATTTATCATTAATTTTATCAGGGGCCAACTCAAAAGTAGTGTTGATAGGTTGGGCATGGTGGCTCACACCTGTAATCCTAGCATTTTTGGAGACCAAGATGGGAGGACTGCTCGAGGCCAGAAGTTTAAGACCAGTCTGGACAAGATAGTGAGACCCTGTCTCCACAAAAATAAAAATAAGTAGCCCCAAAAAATAAAACAAATCAACATGGTGGTGCATACCTGTAGTATTAGACACTCAGGAGACTGAGGCAGGAGGATTGCTTAAGCCCAGTATTTCCAGATTAAGGTGAGCTATGATTGAGCCATTGATTTCCAGCTAGGGCAACAGAGCAAGAGCCTGTCTCTCCTCCTCCCCCCCCAAAAAAGTAGTGTGTATACACTTGCTTTACTTATGAGAGAATCAATTGAAGTCTCTGTTTTTTCATCCTTTCTCATTTTGGGGGAATAAAATTATCAATTATATCATGGAAAATGTTTTGTTCTTGTTCTATAAACAGTTGTTTGCTTTACTACAGAGGTTACTGGGCTTGTTTTGAAAATGGTGAAAAAGTCAATAGATTTAGCCCACTATTTCAAAATATTTTATTACCAACAGTTCACTGAGCTCTAGGTATGAATGGATCACCAGTATAAGAAAATCCAAGTTTTCAAGTATTTAAGTTGTGCTTCCTTTCTTGTCTTTCTATCACTGCTTGTTCTAGCACAAAGAGATTCACATTATATTTTGACACTGGACTCTGTCGTTATGGTAAGGAGCTAGCTTATGTTCATTACCATTTTTAGTCTTGATGAACCAATTCTGAGACATTGATACCTTTTTAAATTGTTGTCATATAGCAAGAAAAGAGTATTAAGTTTAAAAACACATTTAACATATGTAAATAATGAATACAACTTAAAAATAAGGTAGATAAGACAACTGTATCAGAACAATCCTTGTGCAGGTGTGAGCCATTAATAATGTAACAATTATTAATAATGTATGTGGGTTACATTGAAAATCATAATTAATTTTACATTTCAAACTTTTGAAACTTGTAAAAGGGCAAGTATGACAAGCATAGGACTCATTTAGAAGGCTGATGAGGCTGTTCATTTGCATTTTGCTACTCTAATATTGTTTTACAAGCTATTGTTTTAACAGTATAAATTAAATATAATCATTGACACATGGTAGTTTTTTTTAAATGTTCTTGGAAATTATCATTCTGTTCTGTGTATTATGAGCTAAATGTTTGTGTTCCCCCAAAATCCATATGTTGAAGCCCTCTACTCCATTGAGATGGCATTTGGAGGTCAGAGTTTGGGGAAACAATTAGGTTTAAATGTAGTATAAGGATGCAACACCTGTTATATTAGTGTCCTTATCAGAGAAAGAGATGTGAACTAGCTCATTCTCTGTCGTGTAAGGACAAAAATAGAAGGCAGCTATCTGTAATCTGGAAGAGGTACCTCATCAGAACCTGCCCTTGCTATCACCCCAATCTCAGATTCCCAGCCTCCAGAACTGTGAGAAATATATTTCTGCTCTGGAAACCACCCAGACTATGATAGTTTATGGAAGCCCAAGCAGACCACAACACTGGGAAATTCTTTGTATATCATTACTTACAATTTCCAGATTTTTAAATGTAAACTCTGTGCAGTGTTAAAGAGAATATTGTTTTTGCATCTGTCAAAACTGAATTTGAATTCTGGCCAGGTGAAGACAGGTTATGGCAAGGTACCTCACCAGAGGTACTATCAATACATTATTCAATCCCCTATCAGTAAGTTAGTCAATTTCCTCTTTTGTAAAATTTAGCAAGGGAAATCTGCCATTTAGAGTTCTTATGGGTACTAAATGAAATAATATATATAAAGCTTTTTCCATGGCACATAGTACGTACCTTGTTGCCTCTACTCTCTTTTTCTGCACTAGGTACAATCAACAGTCAAATTTTTTCTTCTTTTGTTATTTTATTGCATTTTTATTGATAATGTCTTAGCTATTTTTTATTCACTAAAATGACTGTATTAGCTTGTTATTTTAGCGTCATATGAGGGAAACACTAAACTTAGTACGATTTTTAAAAAGTCAATACAAACACTAAAACAATGTTGGCACTTAAAGAATGTGCTTTAGGAATAACTAATTCTGAGTGAAATTTGTGTGTGTGTGTGTGTGTGTGTGTGTGTGTGTGTGTGTGTGTGTGTGTTTTGCTATTTAGGGATTTGGTTTGTTTTTGGCATGGCCTGGGACATAATCAAATGGTTGAGAGATCACTTTCTGATCCATGTAAAATTAAAAGCAAATTGCAATGATGAGATGGTTGACAAATGAAAAGAAATATGATTATGTCAAGGAGAAAATAGAGGCCTCTCGTGACACAGTCCTTGGCATGTGCCCATGTAGGGGACTGCTGTCTTGCTCATCAGGAGGTGCCATCTCAATTATACCTCTCCATGTGAATCCTTGTCCAATGATGCAGATCCACTCTGAGAGAGTCAAGTTTTCTATTAGAGACACTTGAAAATCTTCATCTCTCAAATTGTTACAAGTATTATGATTTAATACAGATATTTTTGTTACATTTTTAAAAGAAGTTTGATGACATAGTATGTATGTAACTTAAGGCAAATTGATATACAAACACTTTTTCTTTATTTTAACTTTGATGAAATAACTGATCATTCTTTTACTTAAAATTATATGTTTTTTACTCAAATACAAATAATTTTAAAGACCTTGAAGAAATACAATTTATTTCTCCATCACTTTTTACATTATACAGCTTTGGGCTAGAGGAATTAATACATTATTCTGCTTTAGGGGAAGTGTTTCAAAATATTTTTAAAATATGTATTCCTGGTATACATTATGCCTTGGTGCATCAGAGAATTGAATTATAGTTTTCCTTAGAAAATGTATACAAACAATGTGTTCTCAAAGCATGTAAAAGAAGAAAAGGAAAAGGTGAAACTGTCATACTGTAATTGCTGAGTACCACATTTTCATGATTTTCTTAAGGCCTTCCATTTATGCTATAAATTTCTTCTAAAAACAAACAATTTATATACTTATATATTATATAATACTATATGAGATAAACATGTACTAGCAAGTTATGAGTAGCATCAGTTGTTGAAGTATAATTACATGGATTGCTTAATTTTGGTTATTTATCAGAATGTATTAGTAAATGTCTAGCTATGTTGTCTTGTATTTAAGACAAATCATTCTAATTTCAGAACAATCCAAAAATTAGCCAAGTGGATATTTCTTTAAACCCAGTTTTGAAGAATTTATAGTAAAGTACCTCTGTTAGGCCCTCAGATCATTTATACTTACCAAATTCTTTTTTATTTACCTTTACAAAAAAATACTAAAATATTCCAAGAAAGAATTAAAGTATATTGGAATGTTATAAATAGCTACAGTTTGATCATGACATTTGGGTGCTAGAAATGTGCTTGAGCTCTCATTTATATTGAAGATAAATAAACGACTAAACTTTTTAAACAATTCTCCCCATAGTTTTACATTCAAAAGAATTATTGAAATATTCAGTACTAATGTTAAATGATATATTGAGAATTTCACTTGTAGATAAAAAGACAGTTTGCATTCATGTATGAAAATGAGTGGGTAGGCCCAAGGGATTTGGTTTAGAGGAAAAGCTTTGTGTTTAGCAGCATTGTCTATTCTTTTGTGTAGTTTTCTATATGTCACACTTCTATTAGATTTTAGTGCTTTTTTTTTTCAAGTTAGTTGTTTTTCCTAGCGCTTTACACACACATTTTTTCAAGCACCTGAAAATGGGCAAAGTAATCCAGAAATCATGCTTTTTTCCCAAAATTATTTAGCTTGACATTTTGAAAATCAAAACTCAATGCTTTTATTTTCTACAGAGGGAGTAGAAGATGGATAAACAGCCAAACACTTAATTGGGTTTGGGGAAAGAAAAAGAAACAACAACAAAACTAAACGATTCTTCCCAAAACTCTCAAGGGTTTTATTTTTATAAGTGATAATGCTAGTGGACCACTAATATACAACTACAATAAAGTTAATAACTACATTTTATTCATAAAGTTTGCCAGGTAATTTTCTATGTACTTTCTATTATCGCATCTTATTTTATCCTTAATTCAACTCTATAAGGTAGATACTAGTTTTTTGTTTTTCTCATTTCATAGATTTGGGAAGGATGTCTGTGGATGTTAAGTAACTTGCACTAAGTTACCTGTAGTCTGATTCCACAGCCTGTTCACTAAGGCATTTCATATACATGTATGACCTTTTCAGCAATGGAGAAAAACACATAGAAGCCAGGAAATACTCTTGTGAAACTTGTTCTAGGCTATTATCATAATCGGAGTGGTAAAATTAAAAGCAGTGTACAATGAGACTTGATCTCCAGAATCATAGAACATAAGTGGCATTAAACTCAAGGTAAATGGTAATGACGCAGGCTGTAAAAACTAACTCCTTAGGTCTCCATGTGAATGAAAAAGATGTTTAATGTGCATTAAATGGCAGCATCTGTTCTAGAGTGTAACCTGAAAAAAATCAGTTGTTTATGAATTAAACTTAGTTAGTGCAGGGCATCTGATTTTTAAATGGGAATATCAAGTAACCTAAGACACCAAAGATCTGTTCTTCCTATGCTATGAAAGTAACATCCATTGATTTCAGTAATTTTCTTTCTGTCTTCATGAGTTTTATTTTGATATTTTATGCTCAAAGCCTTTAGATTTCGTAACACCTCCTTTAGGGTAAAATTGTTTAAAGTTAATATATTCATCGCTTTCTTACTCTACACTTAGCACTGAATAAGAAATAAGTGAGGTAAGGCCGGGTGCGGTGGCTCACGCCTGTAATCCCAGCACTTTGGGAGGCTGAGGTGGGCGGATCACAAGGTCAGGAGATCAAGACCATCCTGGCTAACACGGTGAAACCCCGTCTCTACTAAAAATACAAAAAAATAGCAGGGCGTGGTGGCGGGCGCCTGTAGTCCCAGCTACTCCGGAGGCTGAGGCAGCAGAATGGCGCGAACCCGGGAGGCGGAGCTTGCGGTGAGCCGAGATCGTGCCACTGCACTCCAGCCTGGGCGACAGAGCAAGACTCCGTCTCAAAAGAAAAAAAAAAAAAAAAGAAATAAGTGAGGTAATACGTTTCTTGCCCTAGAGAAACTTGCTCTCTAGTTGAGAAAACAAGAGAAGTATTTGAAAGATCAAGAAACAATAAAAGGCAATTAAAAATGAATATCATTAAACTAGTTTGATATTCATGATAGATAAAATGTTTTAAGTACTCTTCAGATTTTCATCTTTATGTTTACACTTTCTTCTGTCCAAGACTTTTCACCTTTGGAACATTTCAAAGTTTCACAATGACCTTTTCCTCTCCTCTCAGTTGATTTCACCAAGTAATTTGACATTTTTGTTATTCTAATTAATATTTTTACTTTGCTTCTTTAGCATTAAACCATGTTAAGGGTTTTTCTAGAGCATTACCCTGGTCAGTTGTTTAAATCTCATTTTATAAAGACATTCAGACATAAGCTTTCGTTGATGGCTTTTCTGTTACCGAAGAGTAACCTTCAATCAGTAAAAATGTGTAGGTCACTTATATGCCAGGAACTTACTGACTAAAGAATACACAATGATCCATTCTATTTATTCAGTCAGTTATTTATCAGCTCAAATATGTATTGAGCAATGATTACGTACCAAGTATTTTAGTATGGAAAGACAGAATATAGGCCGGGCGTGGTGGCTTATGCCTATAATCCCAGAACTTTGGGAGGCCGAGGCAGGCGGATCACGAGGTTAGGAGTTCGAGACCGTCCTGGCTAACACAGTGAAACCCTGTCTCTACTAAAAATACAAAAAGCCCGGCGTAGTGGCCAGTGCCTGTAGTCCCAGCAACTCGGGAGGCTGAGGCAGGAGAATGGCGAGAACCTGGGAGGTGGAGCTTGCAGTGAGCCGAGATCGCACCACTGTACTCCAGCCTGGGTGACAGAGTGAGACTCCGTCTCAAAAAAAGAAAAGGAAAGACAGAATGTAATGAAGTTAAGTAAAATATAAATGATTTTAGATGGCAATAATTGCTTGGGAGAAAAATGAAGAAGTAAATGGATATCAAGGAAAGCTTCATTAAGAAGGTGACATTTGAATAAAGCCTTACAGGAGGCGAGGAAAGGAGACACATGAATATCTGGTAGAATAACATTCTAGGCAGAGAGAAAAGCAGGTACAAAGGCCCTGCTTGGGACAAGAAGCGTAGCTGGCATGTTTGAACGGAGCAAGCAAGGCTGAGTAGTAGGTGCTGAGGTCAGTGCAGGTGAGATGGTGTGGGGAGACACCATCTGCAGGACCTGGCCTTCCACTCCTACTGTGATTCAGATGGGAAGTCACTGGGGGCTTTTTCAGGATCCCTGTAACAAACTGTGGGAAGACAGGTCAAAGAGGAAGCAGGGTTCATTTGATATGGTATGGAGAGTTTCACTGATTGCAGCCCCAGGTGATAATGGCTAAAATGAAATAAATAGCATTGGTGGAAGTCATGGTCAAGTGGACAGATTCTAATCTAAACATCATGCAGGGGGAAAAAAAGAATTGTCTGATGAAAAGGATGTGATGTGTCAGATTGAAGTGGGAGAGTTCTGTGACCCCTATCGCAGGATGTTCAACAGGGGTGTGGCTCACCTGTTCAGCTGAAACCCCTTACAGGAGGGGGAACATGCAGATGGGCAGGTGCAGGAACCAGGGTGAGCACTTTTGGGCTCTAGCCCCACAGTAGCAACTAGGGGTGGGTGCCTGTGACTCCTGAAGCCCCAGTGGGTATGTTACAGTGCTCCTTATCTCTGCCATCTGCAGATGGCTTAAGTGTTAATCAGCTCAGTGCCTTCTTGGTACCCGGGTCTTTGTCTGGTGTCCAGGAAGAATCAGGTCACACAAAGACTTGAAGGATGGTGAATGAGGGGGTTTTATTGAGTGGTAGTGGCTCTCAGCGGGATGTATGGGGACCCGGAAAGGGGGTGGAGTGGGAAGATGATCTTCCCCTGGAGTTTGGCTGTTTCACGGCTGATCTCCTCTCCAGCCTTCCCCAGCCAAGCTCCTCAACATTTAGACACTCCTTGTCTTCTCTCCTTCTCTGCCGCTCCACTCTTCTGTTCCTCTGTTCTTCTGCTCATCTGCTCAAGGAACCTGGGGTTTGGTGTTAATATGGGAAGAGGATAGGGCAGCATGGCAGGCCAAAAGGCAACATTTGGGTGCAAAAACAGGAATACCTGTTTCCATTTAGGGCCACGTGTTTCCAGGCTTGAGGGTGGGGCCTTTGCTGGGGAACTGCCCTCTTCTACCCAGCATTTCCCTGCCTCTTGTCTATATCAAGATGAAGGAAGGCCTTTGGATGATTCTCAGGTTTTTGAACTGAACTGGAGTGACTTTACTGAGATAGGAAAGCTTGGCCAGGGAACATGCTATGGAATCACATTAGCTCGGATTTGGAGATTTTGTTTGAGATACTCATTAGAAAATTAAGTTGAAATATTTGGTAGGTAATTGAATACATGAGTCTGGAGTTCAGGAAGAGGTTTAGCTGGAGATTAACATTCAAAAGTATTTTCCTTCCCCATGCACACTTTCTTCCACCTGGGATGAATGGATATAGTAGTAGATAAATACGGCAATTTGAATAGAAGTTCTTTCCTGTCTAAAATGGCAGGGAAGATTTTCTGCAACCCTATTATTTCTGAAGGTCCTTCATACCCCCTCACTTTACAATGAAAGCATGTAGTCATGTTTTGGAAAAGACCACATTTGTAACTCCTGTGGGGACACGCCCTATTTTTCCTGTCTTAAGACTTTTAAAATTTTATTTACCTCTTTTTTCCAACAGTGCTTTGACTTTATTACATTAAAATAAATTTACCTGCCTGTGGGCCTTCACTTTTATCACACAGTGAGTTATATAAGAAAAGGAGTCATGTCTTATTCACCTTTGAATTCTAAGCAAGTGATCTGGCCTCTGTAATTTCTTGCTAATTATTTGATAAAGATACTTGTTCTTGACATTTAAATGGCTACTAGGCAACTGATCTTGGAGTTTATTCTATATTTTTAAAATCTGCTATATATTGCAAACATATTAGTTGCTTGTTTTAACATTTATTGAGCTCCATTTCTTCAAGACTCAGTTTACATAAACCATTTATCTCTAGAGAGGGCATACGTGTTAATATAGGAGGCCCAAACACCCAAATGAATGGAAGACATGATGCATTAAATGCTTTAATAAAGGTACAGATTAAAACATTATTTATCACATTGTTACTTTGTCAGACTTCCTGACCAAGCTGTCACTGAAAGAATAGTATATTCCAACTCTACATTGAAGTGTTTCAATAGGGAGATCAATAGTGGGGAATGTATTCTGATTAGATGGAATGAAATAGATAATGGTACATATGTTGGACAGTGCTACATTAGTTTTGGTAGCAGATGAATACATTGGCAGGAGTATAGGGCATTGGGAGAATACATGAGATAAAGTGGCACTATGTGTTAGAAGATCTTTGGGCTCTAGGGCAAAGGCATTTTACTGTATTTTGTTCATCCTAGGAAATCTCTAACAATTATTTGGATGTGAACAGGTTATGTAATTAGAACTGTACTTTCAAAGGTCTAGATGAAAAATACACTATGAATATTAATGGTAGCAAGATTTCCTAATAGTTCAGGTGAGAGAAAGTTAGGACCTGAATGAAAGAAAAAGACATAGAATTGCTAGCTATTATATTAAATGATGTATTAAGTAGATGTGGTAACAGATGAGGTACTATGTGGGAAACAGAAGAGCCAATGATGTCTTTAAGGTTTTAGTCTGGAAACTAACATCCTTAATAGAAGCAGGAAGGTTAGAATGAGGTGCTTGTGGAAAATGATGATGAATCTTGTTTTAAACATTATATTAGCATCCAGATGGAAATCCACAGGCAGTTTGAAATTCAGAGCCAGAATTCAAGAGCTAGGTTGGAACTGGTAATTTAGATTTGGATGTAGAAAAAAATGTGAATACTAAGTTAGTATATTCACAGAACAAACATGAAATAATCTCCCAGTTCTTTTACACTTTTACACACTTCTTTGTTTACTATTCTTCTGTGAATATTTATACAGATTAGAACCTTCTACATAATACTTCAAAATGTAGCCCTACCAGGACATATTTATGGAAACAAAGGAAACCAGTCTTCTAGGTTGTCGTTTCTATGTGTTGTTAACATTTTGTGATTTCCTGTGGAATGGAACCCTTTGAAAATAGTAGTAGATTTTAATAGAAAATATCTTAATTAAATACCTTGCATAAAGTATTTGAGACATAAATTACTTTTTTACTTATACAATTTAAGGAGATTTTATTTTCTTCTAAGGCCACTATAAAACACACTGGAACATTTGACTAACCCTGTAGACTGGCTCGAGCCAGTTCATGCTCTAACACTTACTTTTGAATACCTTTTCAAAAGTAAAGAAATGAATTATTTAGGTATATATCAAGAGGAATTTCCTTTTATTTATTTATATTCTATGTGTCTTCATATATAGGAGTTATTCAGCTCTGAGATATAATCAATTAGAATATTGAAAGAGATTTCATAGGAAACAAAGATCAACTAATGTTCAAAAAATTACAAACATGAAAAGAGAAAGGTGAGATTTTGACACTGGAAAATATTAGGCTCCCCTAATGTTTCAGTGTATGGATGTTTATTAAAATTTTTCTGGACAACCTCAGTCCTTAAAATTACTGGACATAAAATATATAGCAGCACTATGAAAGCTTT
The DNA here is from genome assembly GCF_000001405.40 of Homo sapiens. NCBI lineage: Eukaryota > Metazoa > Chordata > Mammalia > Primates > Hominidae > Homo > Homo sapiens. The sequence continues at coordinate 128,100,431 of NC_000006.12, read as the reverse complement.
TAAAGTGAGAATATTCATAAGGCTGAGTTTGCTATGATTTTAATAGTCCCTAAGTTATTTCCTAACTTTCAAATGACCATATTTATTCTAGTAATTTAAAAAAATTTGTCTTCATTCCATTATCTCAAAAAAGATCATGACTCTTCCATTTTAATATGTTCTCAGATTTTCCAGGTAGAAGTGAAGGAGTTCATTATTCTTATCTTTGTCAATTTCCTAATTTACAAATGAGCTGAAGCAATTAATCCTTGCAAGTCGCCTGTATTAATTATAGTCTAAGGCAGGTTTATTTGCAGTTTTGTAATTCTTTTTGTCACATTTTCACTGTGTTTACTATCTCAGCTTGATGCTTGTTGACATGCTGATTCATGTTTTGGTGCACTAGATAGGTTTTATTCATCTAGAGGAATGAGTATAAAGAGGTCACACCTTATAATCACACTAGCATTTCTAGTATGTGCAGGCCATATATCTCCTTTTAATTTAATCTCTGAAAAATGTACAGGGATTTCTGCAGCTAAGCTGTACAAATCAATAAAATTTATAATCAAGGCTGTCTAATCTCTAAACCTAATATAAGACTTCACAACTATTGATTATATGTGAAGGATCTGCAAGCTGTTAATCATGCATGAAGGCATAAAATAAATGGTGGCTTCAGAAAAGGAAATGGACAAATAATCATCAACCCTGCAGTCCTTATCTGTCTCTCTATTCCCTGAAGCAAGCATGTTACCAGACACTTACATTTTATAAAATCAAATGAGGTGTTAAAGTGTGTATCAATAGTCATGCTGACTTTTGTATATTATATCCTGTTTCTATTATAATGTAGAATTGTTCTCTTTATCTTCCAGATGTGTGATGAAAAGCAAATTAGTCTCTCTAATAAGTTTCTAGAAGGAAAGAAGGACCTAAGTTGATGTGTTAAAATCATAATCTTTCTAAGGAACAAAATGAGAAGAACATACTTGGAATATCATTATAATGTAATTGTAATGATTTATTTGGGGGAGGGGAGAAGAGCTCCATGTCACGAGATAGTCTCACTTAAAACTGGGCCCTCTTAGCATTTTATTAACTAGTATACTTCATGATGATTTTACTAGACTGAATTGACTGACCAATTCAAGGGGAGATATAAAATATTTACAAGGGAGTTATGTAGTTGAGAAAAACATGTACTATTTATGCACCTAAGCAGTATTAGAGGGATTTGGATAAAAAAGAAAAAATATATATATATATATATAAATGTATTATTTTCTGTCCTATTCAGTCAAGAGTAAAGAAATTCCAACTAACAGATTCTCTTATATATACCTACAAAATCATATTGACATAAAAAAGTTAAATTTAATCAATGTTATATTGCAGTGCTGGAGGGGTAAGTTACTGGTAACCTACTACAGTTTGTAATAAAGTATTGATATGTCTTATTATTTATAGAATTATTATTCCAATATTTAGTTTATTATTCTCTGTGGGAGTGTAGTGAAGAAATTAACCCCTCCTCAAAGAGCATACAGCAAGCGAAGACAAAAATATATCCATTAAAAGTCGTTTTAAGGCATATACCATACTACCGTGGTATCTGGGACATTTAAGCACTTAATAAGTGTTTTCTATTATTAAAAACAGGATGCTATTTAAGTTCAGCACAACAGATTAGTATAGAAATGCAATTCTTAAATTACTGTACTATTTTAGTGTAGATATCACTGATAGAATCTTCACATAAATATTAAGGTAATTTACCGAATGAAGATATTAGAAATAATGCCTGTTTCAAAATGCTGAGTAACAACTAACCACAAACTCTCATCAGTGGCACAGAGCAGGCACGTATTAATTATACTTGTGGGATGGTTGACTAGTAGCCTCTGATGATCTTGGCTGACTTACATATCCACTGATGGACTGGCTATAGGTTGGCTTCTGCTGGTACGACTCGGGTAACTTGGCTCTGTTCCACATGTATCTCATATTCTAGAAGAGGTATGAGCAAGCAGGAGAACAGAGGACTTTTTGAGATATAGGCTGACAACTAGCACACCCACACTTTTGCCTTATTCTGCTGACCAAAACAAGTCACACAGCAAGGCCAAAATCAAAGCATGGGGAAGCAGACCCCATTTGGTGTGAGCAGTTGCAAAGTCACATGGCAAACAGTGTGACAACAAGAAGAAATGAATAATTGGAATTATTTCAACTGCCACAGAGAACTGGGTTTTTAGGTTTCATTTTCATTAGCTTTTAAGCTTGAAACATATTGAAACTACCTGCTTTATTGTTCAGAAAATAAAAATTTCCAACCATATACTATGGATCAACCACTGTACTTGGCATGCAAAATATTACCTCATTTTTCAGAACAACATAAGAGGTAGGTAATTTATCTTCTTTTAGGGATAAAGGAGGCATTGAAAATCCCCCTTAGAATTTTGTCTTTGCTATGTACAGCTCCTCTAAAGTCACCTTACTTTTTACACTGTATATTATGAAGCAGTGTTTTCCATATTACATTTTTTTAGGGTTGTACACAAATCACTCTACCTTTTTGTGTCTATGATTTATACTGTTGCTAAAAAATTTTATGAAAAATAAAGCTTGATCCTACAGAAGTAGATTATTCTCTTCTTATTTTCTTCTATAAATTAAGAAAATATATTTTTCCAAGTATAGACAGTTACCTATTTTTAAGTTTTATTTAAATAACATGTGAATGTGATGTGCAATATCAGAGATGAATCGAAGTGGATTCATTGATTGTAGTTACATATTTTTCAACAGTCTAATAACATTACCAAAAAATGTTAAGTGAAAGACATTAAAGGGTCTCCAAATTTTCAGTCACCGTCATTTTGGGAATTAGGTCTGATGATAAGACATTTAGTGGGCTTTATCTATCTATTGGTAAAAGAATTATCTTTGCCTTTTTTTCCATGTCACTTGGGTAGTACTGTCCTTTAAAATCAAACAATTTCCTTGGCATTAATGCAGAGAGGATCCAAGTGTTAATTTTATTAAAATTATCTGATAAACTTCAGTAAGAGTGTTGAGAGCAGTGGTGATGACTTGTTTTGTTTTTAATTGATGATGTGCTTAGTGTGGTTCTGATGGCACTGGGTAAATATTACTGTGATTCTGCAGGAGAGCTGAGTGAGCCATCCACCCTCTGTCACTTTATATCCCTCGAGTCCAAGCATGTCATTTCAGCAACACAGCCAGAAAGCCTAAAGAGCTGACAGTTGGCTTGTGATTATTCCTGGACCTGAGGCTCCCTCACGTTACAGTACTAATCAAGTCATCTCACCGACTTATCATTAACTCAATTTGACCCATGGGAGCAGAGATGAAATCTTTTTGGCAAGACTAATGATGCTGTAACATTGAAAAGAAGTGAAATGTAAAACCTTGATTATCCTCAACCCTTTCCATGAGGAAAAGAATAAAAATTACAAAGCACCTAAAGGTAAGAGTAAAAGACAATGTCTTTCAAAGACCTTAAGTTTTCCTTCCCCAAGGTGCAGCACTGTTTTCTTTGCTTTTATTTTTATTTTTTTATTTCACCTTTGTCCAGAAATTTCATCTCAATTCTTTTTTATTTACACTAACAAATATTTTCTCTGGCAGTCAGAAAATTCACTTTTCTTGTATTTGTTTTGATAAATGGAATGAAAGTTCTGTTTTGCAGTCAGCTTCTAAGATTTCTGATGAAAAGGCAGCCAGGAGCACGAAGCTCCTGTCATGCTTCAGCGTTCTTAGTTTGTGTACATCTTTGACAAGAACTTTCTTTTTTTTATTTTTCCTTGGCACGAGCTTTGGGACATCTTCTATTTTTCTCTGACTGACAGCTGCATAATAAGTTTTATCATTAAAAACTGATTCTAGGGAAATATGATCCCTGCCTTCCATTCTCTTATAGATGCTAAAGCTTTTGTTTTCACAACTCTTTCAGAATAACTAGAAATTATCGCTACAAAAAGACAGGGATATTGACCTGTCATGTCCTGAGTTGTTTAGCAAGTGCCAAAAACAAAATTAAATTCCCTTTTATCTGTTATCTAGAACCACGTGTTAAATCATCTTGCTCTTGAGAGGTGACTCAAAGTCAACAGGTTCTTTTTGTTCATGTTGTCTTTACTTTTATTAACCTTTAGAGAATTATTAAGTACTTCTTCATTTTAGCCTATCAAGTTGGGTTAAACATTTAACACATAAGTTATTACAGGCATAAATACCATACTTGATCTATTTAGAATTTAAGTGGGGGCAGTGATATGTTACTTCTTTATTTACCTGCTAATTATGTAATACTGAAGATTTAATATATAAATTTTCTGACATTTCTTTATATTTCATCCTGATTTCATGTAGCCTTTCTCACTGTAACAATTAAGAATTAGGTGCACAATAAAAGGCAAAAAAGAAGTAGGAAAAGTTAGTAAAACTTGCTGATCAACATTTGACAGGGAAGATAAAGAAAACCAGGTAATGTTAACAGTTCCTATTGAATATATGTATTTTTAATTTAACAGTTAACTGTTTTCCTTGGACTTACTGGAAATGAAATAATGGAAGAGAGCTTTATGCCTTTGTTTGTAGATAAGAGCGTATAATAAAATAAGTCAAGATTCATCAGCTAAAGAGTAGAATGGAAGAGCACTGGATTTTACTTCTGGTTCCAGTCCTTTTACCAGCTTCTTAATGTTCTATCTGCACTCCCCCTAGCCCCTGACTTTGTTCTTCAAGTATATGAAAACACACAGGACCTTCAGCCTTCTTAATTCCTCTGCTTAGTCCTATGTCATAGCTTTTTCCCAGTCTGAACTCCCTGATTGATGGGGTGTCCAAGGGAAATAAACAGTCATGTCATGGGTTCTTAGTTTCTGTTTCTGGTTGGGCCAATGAACCCCTTCCTCATCCCTCTTTTCCACTTATCACTAGAAACAGAAACTAAAAACCATGGCTTCAGGCTGCTAAAAGCCTAAAGCAAAACAACAGAACAACAACAAAATGGGGTAGGTTGGACAAGCTTGAGTACACTAAACACAAATTTCAAAAAAGAAAAGTAGAATGACCTGAGAAAGTGACATCATGGTGTTTCTAAAGTTATAAGTTGACAATTTATAAATGTATAAATGTATGGGATACAAAGTGTGTTATAATTTATGAATACAACAGGGAATAGTGAAGTGAAGCTACTTATCCATCACCTCAAACACTTAATATTTTGTGTTTTGAGATCTGGTTTCTGGTACTGACCTCTGCTTTTGACTTAGTGGGTCTTTTTAGAAAAGTCAGCTTTCTTTCATTCAATTCTTTTTTTTTTTATCTGAAAAATGGGGCAGACACTAGATTTTATGCAATTCTCTTTGGCCTCTCTTGTGAATGAATTTGTAACATATGTGCTTAACACCACCTTCCCTTCAAACTCACCTGCCCCCTGTCATGCTCACTAACACATGCTCATCTCTGTTTCTGTTCCGTTTCCCTCTTTCTCCCTCTCTCTCAGAGCATCCTCTTCTCTCCATTTCTCTTTTGCCCTCTCCTTTTTCTTCTTCTCTCTTTTCTCTTACCCTATCCTTATCTATTACCTTCTCTCTTTTTCTTTCTCTTATCTCTGAAAGGATGGGAGTACCCCAACTCCTGACTTAGGTAGACTGATGCCTCCACTTAGACCTCTTTCTCTTCTTAATGCTCTCCAAGTTATCTAAAACACAGAAATCAGTTCAAGTATTGCTCGTATGCCTTGCTTCCCAGCTAGGGACATTGTCAAATTGATCTTTGCCTCCTTAGTTTCTAGTATACTTTTTGGCCAACAGAAAGCAATAAATAAGCAGTAAGAAATTATTGGATCATTTTACCCCCCAATCTGTGTCTCTTCTTGAACTTTCTCTGTTCATTTAAGAGCACCTTAATTTTCTTTGTCATTTGGTATTAACACATTAGCTATATTGTATCCATTCACATAACTCAAATCCAAGTAACCACCAAGTTTTTCAGTTTTCCTTCCACATCAGTAGCCCCTATCCTGCGTGTTCCTGCTGTCCCCCTCCTTACTTAGCCCTAATCTCTCTGCTAACACATCACATTCTTTTGATTTCTCTACATTCAATGTCTCCACAATTGACACAGCCTCCAAATTAATCTTATTAATGTTATTTTACTATGTTAACTTCCTGCTCAGAAACCCTCAATGACTTCTCATGGCCTATCAGGTAAGTTCAGCCTCTTACCATGACATCTAAAGTTTGCCTCATCTTTTCCCAACCAACCTTTCCTGTATTATCTCCTATATGATACTTGTACAGCAACCAAGTGGGATTGCAAATTTTCTCCAACTGTGTTCTACGTTTTTATTCAACTCGTTTCTTCCATTTTTTGTATTATTTATCTAAATGAGGTCTAAAGATCTTGCTTCTATCCATTGAGACCTAACACAAATGTCTACTCCATTTGAAAGGTGGAAGTTATTTCTCCCTCTTGAATTCCTATAGCATTTTTTTCTACTTATATACCACTTGTAAATATATTGTTTATTTTTTTTCTTAGCTTAACATCTTTGATAAACAAATGGAAGCTCCTTGAGGTCTAAGATTATGCTTTATTCACTTTAGTACCTTCTGGAATACTTAGGATAGTACACTGTATATAGTAATAAAATTTCTTTATGTTTCATTATAGATGGATGACTTGATCTAAACATTGAAATATAACCACTCATTGCATGAAGATCACTCGATTACTGTGTTTCTTTTTTCCTTTTTTGTTTTTTGTTTTGTTTTGTTTTTTTGTTTTTTCGTTTTTTTTTTTTTTTTTTTTTTTTTTTGAGAGAGAGTCTCTTGCTCTGTCACCCAGGCTGGAGTGCAGTGGTGCGATCTCGGCTCACTGCAAACTCTGCCTCCAGGGTTCAAGTGATTCTTCTGCCCCAGCCTCCCCAGTAACCAGGACTACAGGCATCCACCACTACACCTGGCTAATTTTTTGTATTTTTAGTAGAGATGGGGTTTCACCATGTTGCTCATGCTGGTCTCGAGCTCCTGAGCTCAGGCCATCTGCCCACCATGGCCTCCCAAACTGCTAGGATTATGGGGGTGAGCCACCATGCCCAGCATCACTTTGTTTCCTTCCAAGTTTCTGATAAAATTTTTGACTACAGCCTTTTCCAATTCTTTCTTTTTACTAGAAATGCAAAAAACAACAAAAAAAGAAATGTTATATAAAATTACAATATATGGAATACCCAATAAAGATTTGAAAAAAGAAAATCGGAAATTGAGGAGGAGCAAGAACATATATCATATTCCAAAACGATTGACAGATAATGAATTCATGAATGTGTTCTCCATTGTTTCACCACCATTATGGTTTTTTATTTGTTATAAATACGATTTACTATCATACCTCTGAGTCACTGACCCTGTAGGTTATATCTTGAAGTTATTTAATACTTATAGTAGCTCTTATGGCCAGCTCATAAATATCAGTGGTTTCCAAACAATATCTTTTTGCTTTCGGTTATTCTATGGCAATTCAAGTAATTATTTTGATTTTAAATGTTAAATTTTTATTTATGTATTTATACCTCAGAAATACAATGCAGTTGTTGGTTAGGTATGAGAAATAATGGATTAAGGTCAATAATTTAGGCAACTTTATTGTTGGAATCTTTGAGAAAAATTTCTTTGAATGGATTTTATAGTAGTAGAACCATCTCAAATCACTGCTGTTTATAAATATTCTAATATAAAAATGCATGTGCATATAGTTATCAGCCCATGTCTAAGTGAATAGTATTCAGAGAAGTTTGTATGCTATAGCACCTTTCACATGTATGTGTATATACACACATATAGATGTACATGTATGTACTGCATATGTGTATATGTATATGTGTGTATCTATACACACAACCCTGAGAAGTTCCCACCTCAGTAAAAACTGAAAAAATTTAAGGTGCATGCCAATTAAGAAAAAAATACAGTTATACAGTAACTCCCTCTGAGTTATTAATTCCACGCAGCTCAAAACAATCAAGTTTTGATTTTTAGTCTGTGTGTGTGTGTTTACTTTGGTTGTTCATATGTTTCTGAGTACTATCCTAAAGTGAGTGCAAAATTATGTCTAAGTCACTATTTTATCAACATCAGGGCCCTTTAAAGCATACATTCAAACTGTGGAAAAAAATGTCAATTTCAAATAACATATTGACTTTGTCAATTCTTAGAAAGCTATTTCTTTCCACAACTCTTTGTTTTTCCATATCAGTTAATAAAGTATTGGTCACTGAAATTATGATTGTGCTTTATATACATTGTGTAGGACTAATAAAGCTACTCTATCCCAATTTTAAATGAGTTTTTAATACAATGAGTGCCAAAGTAAGCAGCATTTAAAGACACCAAAACAAAATTATCACTTAAAGTAAATCCTATCCATTTTCTGCATAACAGATAATAAATAAATCATTTGCCCACTCTTAGATATGTAAGAATTGAGGATGCAGAGCTACTCTGTCTTCTTTACAGTGTGTAAGATGTCTAGGTATGCTTTCAAAATAGTGTTAAAATGCAGAGTAAGTGCGGACTAAATAGACAAAATGAAAAGAACTGGCGTGAGAGAGTGATGACTTAGAAATAGAGAAATTTATACAAGGGGAAAATGTCAGATTTAAAATGAGGGGTGTGTTAAAACAAGTGTATAAGTGCTAGACCTAAAAAAAATAAAAAATTAAAGAATTAGCGGGTTAAATATTTGTGGTGTTTCTCTCATTGCTGTATAGGCATTGTTTGCTCATATACTCTAGGTATTTTCATGGGAAATCTTACTTTCTCATTCTGTATAATTTTAGAACAAGATATGGCTGAATCTTGCCATGGCTACCAAACAGTATCCAGTTGCTACCTAGGAGGCAGCAAAATCACAGTTTATCTGGGAATTTTTAGGATGATCCTAGTTCTCATTGCCTGGTTAGCTGGTGGGCAGTCATAGCAAAGACTGTGTTTTCGGTCTAACTGGACTAAATTGAAAGTATCATCACTTTACTCTTGTGTCTGGTGGGGAAAATCTTAGCATAGAGCTAAACATATAAAACGATTTTTAAAATAATTAGAAAGCCTCGTCTTTCTTCCAACCTGTGGACTTCAGGTAACGTCTGAAATGAAAGTGGTGAAGTTGGGAGTCTGGATGCTGTGAATAGTCATAAGACTGGCAAATAACATTTAAAACCTAAGCATTAGATTCTACCGAAGATAAATTTGCACATATGTAGATTTTTGTAATCTAAGATTTTAAATTAAATGGCCACCAGAGTTCATTTCAGATTGCACATTAAATATATTGAACTAGAATCCCAGTTTGGGCTTGCCATCTGTTTAGCATGCTGATTGTTTTTACAGAACTGTGATTTTAATCTCAAAAACAAAAATTTATGAAAGCCCCCAAGTCAGACTTTTTGTATTATTTTCCCTACTGATTTCCATTTAGCAAGAATTTGACTATCTTTAATGAGTTAAGAGAGGCATCGGAAATCCCTTGACTTTTTTCTTTTTATCAAATCAATGAATTAAAGTTTTTGTTGTGTGTTAGTTTTTTTACTCTGTAGATGTTGCCATGGCCATGAGTTTCATAGAGTAGTTACGTTGATTAAGTTAGATGATTCAAGTTAGTCTTGAATGAGGAAAGAATACACTTGGGAAGCAGTGAAGGATGGATTCTAGTCTTTGGAGTCTTTAGTTCTGCCAGTATTTTCCAGTTGAATGGAAAATTCACCTCCCAGTTTGGTTTGGGTGACAATGAAAGGATTGTTAGACCTGAATGTTTTCTAGAAAAAGACAGAGATCAATAAGGAAAGAAGACAATGTGAATATCTACATATGTTCTTGTAATTTTTCTCCATTGTTTTTTGCTTTGATGAACAACATCATTATAGAAATAATTAATGTTAATTAATATCTGTGTCATTTCTTGTAAATGGTAGTATATTATTGTTACAATTAGAATAATTCGTATACAGCATAGCTTAGTGACATGATAAATGACAGAGTAGAATATGTTGAGTCTTATCCATTTTGATATATTAGCTGATTCACTTGCTCAATAAAGACAAAAGAAAGGCAGAGAATTGGGCAGTAACAACAGCAACAACTATAAATGCATGGCGGCTACATTTTCAGGTTTTTATTTTTCTGCCAAGTTCCTGAGTACCGTGGGTTGTTGACATTTTATATTTCTTTTCTTTTCCTGTTGTTAAATCTTAGTCCCTGATTGAAACCTTCAAGAATAGGATCATGAATAAATAAAGCAAAGGAAAATAAAACATGACTTCCACATTTTCTAGATTTGCATATGCTATATTATACTTGGTGTTTTATTTTTCCAGGATTATTCATGATATAATAGACAGCTGTCTACAACTCTGATTTATTTTTCAGAACCTATGAGAACCCCAAAGACATTAAAGATTGCTGAAATACAGGCAAGACGGATTGCTGTGGACTGGGAATCCTTGGGTTACAACATTACGCGTTGCCACACTTTTAATGTCACTATCTGCTACCATTACTTCCGTGGTCACAACGAGAGCAAGGCAGACTGTTTGGACATGGACCCCAAAGCCCCTCAGCATGTTGTGAACCATCTGCCACCTTATACAAATGTCAGCCTCAAGATGATCCTAACCAATCCAGAGGGAAGGAAGGAGAGTGAAGAGACAATTATTCAAACTGATGAAGATGGTATGCTCATACTTTGCTGTTTAAAAGGGGGGAATTCTCTAACAAGAAAAATGTGATTACTTTAAGATTTTCCTAAGATTGTCCAATACTGAATTGGATTCTGAAATCATCTAAATGTTATTAATGAGATTAACTTTGGAAAAAAATTGCCTTTTACAAAACCTAATATTCTTCAGACAAGCATCCAAATACTAAATGAAATGTGCTTCTGTTGTCCTCTCTTCTTACACAGAAGTGGCAACTACACTAAAAACTTAAATGAAGGGGTTTTTTAAATCAAATGTTCAAAAATAATTTTTACTCTCCATGGCACTATATCAATTGCCTATTGGTAAAATGCACTTGATAAAAAACTTAGGGTTTTTGTATTTTATAAACCAATAGTAGCTGTTTTTATTTTTCTCACATTTGAAAACAACACTGTTGGGCCGGGTGTAGTGGTTCATGCCTGTAATCCCAGCACTTTGGGAGGCCGAGGCAGGTGGATCACCTGAGGTCAAGAGTTCAAGACCAGCCTGGCCAACGTGATGAAACCCTGTCTCTATTAAAAATTCCAAAAATTAACTGGGTGTGGTGGCGGGTGCCTGCCAATCTCAGCTATTCGGGAGGTCAAGGCAGGAGAATCACTTGAACCCAGGGACAGAGGTTACAGAGAGCTGAGATCGCACCATTGCACTCCAGCCTGGGCAACAAGAGCAAAACTCCGTCTCAAGGAAAAAAGGAAACAACACTGTTTATACTGCTTACCCTTTCTATTCATTTTAGATGGTTTTATGTGAGTCTAAATATAAAAGCAAGCAACAGTTCATATCTGTAAGTCTAATATAATGGCCTTTATTAGACATTAGCAAGCTGTTCTTTATGTATCTTGTTGCCATCCAAGTAACTAAACTGTACTTTGTCTAATTTCTGTGTGTTACTTCTTGATAAATAATATGAACAAATATTTATATTAGTATTTTAATGTTCACATACCTGTTATAGCACTACAGTATATTATAATTTGATTGATAATATATTTCCTAATTTAGCAAAAACATATAAAAATATCTGCAAATGATAATCTAATAACAATAAGTCACTCTTTGGATGTAAGATATTTCCTTTCAAAATTTCCTTTTATGAATTAAGGCATGTAGAAAAAAAGTGTGCCATATGGTGAACTGAGGCAAAGCTAAATTAGGAGTCAGTTCTTATCTTTCAATGAAGGGCTTAAATTAAGTGATCTCTGAGGTTCCACCCCCTTCTAAACTTCTTCTTAAGTAGCTTGACAGTAGGGCTACATTTTTTTTCTTTTCTTTTCTTTTTTTTTTTTGAAACAGTCTTACTCTGTCATACAGGCTGGAGTGCAGTGGCTCGACTCGGCTCACTGCAGCCTCCACCTCCCAGGTTCAAGCGATTCTCCTGCCTCAGCCTCCCAAGTAGCTGGGATTACAGGCACCTGCCACCATGCCCTGCTAACTTTTGTATTTTTAATAGAGATGGGGTTTCCCCATCTTAGCCAGGCTGCTCTTGAACTCCTGACATCGAGTGATCCACCCGCCTCCGCCTCCCAAAGTGCTAGGGTTACAGGCGTGAGCCACTGTGCCCAGCGGGGCTACATTTTTATTTGAGTTTCATAAAACAGAATGTTTTTTATAACCACGTATTCCCAAGTTCCCTTAAGTTCTGAATTTTAGATCAGGTGTGTCTTTTGGTGCCTACCTTCTATTAGCTTGCCATAAAAGAGGTTATTATGCCATAGTTTTTACAAATACTTATAATTTCAAACTCTCCCACTCTGAAAGTGGAAATGACCATCATTTCATGTGCCTTGCTGTTTTTGTTGTAATAAGAGAAGTGAGAGCCCTTTAACCACATTTAGCTCAAAATTTGAAGGAAGCAATATAGTTCGGAAACTATACATGGAGTTACTCATGTTCCTAAAATTTCTGAGAATAAACCTAAGACTTATTTAAGACTTATTTATGATGAATGTGCTTTTGTCATGTTTGAGGTAACCAAACATGATTACTTTAGCTATCATGTTTGAACTGGCACCTAATTGAAGTAGCAACAACATTTAAACAACACCCCCTTTCCTAATTAATAAACACACAAATATCCTTATATCTTACCCCTGCCACACACACACACAACTCAATGCATATTTATGCAAGAAAGAATGATTAGGGGTAATTGTTTCATAGGCACATAATAAAAATGAGAAGTCTAACTACAGATTCAATAGCTCCAAAAAATTTCTATCTTTTCTTTTAAAATGGGATAAATGTTATAAGGTCTGTGTCACACTAGGCACTTTGTAGCCCATGTGTTCAGTTATTAAAGTATATTCACATGTTTTATTGCCTACCCTTAAAAAAAAAATCATGTCCTAATTGGTAATGGTAGACTCAGTTACATAGTTTTGTGCTGCTTTAGCCAGTCACTCTCTAGTAATAGAATTCATTTTGATGGTATTTTTGGATATGGTTTGTTAGTTTGCCCTTCTTTCCCACAAACAAAAGAATGCAGCCAGGCTTATATAATCTTTTTCATATTGCATTAAATTTTTAAATGCATTTTTCAGTATAAATATGACTAGACTAATAATCAAGGAATGAGTTGCTTTGGAATTTTAAATTATGCCCTACATTGATCAAACTCATGACTGTACTATTTATCTTATCTAAAATAGTTTTGTAAAAATACAATGACATTAACTATTTTTTGAAATATTTTAAATTCTAATTTTAATATCATTTTCAATCCTAGTTTTATTTTAATCTCTGTTTTGAATAATTTTTCCAGTTTTAATTATATTAAGTTTCGTATTATTATTTCATAGTATTGTCACAAACTAATCCCTTCTACTATGAGCGTAATTTTTTCTTTTTGTTTAATATATAATATTTAATGATTGATACGTAAACTCTTCCATGAAGTATTTGCAAGTAACTCTGTCTTCAAATCAGCATGTGAGCTTCACTTTGTACATAGAATACTTGATGTGTCTTAATGTTCCTGAGCAGGGAAAGAATATCTAAATCATAATCTGTTGTTGGAAAGATCGATGGATTATGATGATCTGATTAAGTCAGTGTTACTAAATTATTGCTGCCCTGTATACATAGAAAAAGAATAAATTATCAGCCACCTAATAAAAGGACATAATTTTATAAAAAGAATTCTGGGACATCCATAAATCATGAGAGCAAAGCTAGAACCATTTCCCGCCAGAACCCTAAGGTAGAATTTCTATTTAATTTATTGCATACACTTTTTAATGGACGAACAGAATTTTCTGTATGAGGTTTTGTTTTCATTTTTTATTCCAGCATTCAAAAAATCAATATTATAAAGTTAGCTCAGCAGAAAAGCCTGGTTTGGGGACATATTTTTGAGACTACAAAGCTATTTTTGAAAGTACATTTATTACATTTTAAAGGCTATAATGCTTATCTAATATAATCTTGCCCCACCCATATTTTATTTCCACTCTCTTTTCCATTTTGAGAGTTATATTATAAAGGACTTTCAAAAAAAGTAGCTGAAATAGCTGTCATATAAGTCTCAGGCAAGGGAACAAAAGTCAGCATTCTGTTTCCATTAAAAGTTGTTGATGTGGAAATGTGAAGTGACATTCCCTGCAATCAGTAGACTGCCATGATAATGGTTTTAGTAACTTCATATAGTATTTACACAAATCATAGGTACAGAGAGACATTTTCTGTCTATAATTGTACACATGATCTTCCTTCAAATGTAGAAAGTTATTGAATCTACTTTGTTTGTGCTCACACCTCACCTCACCTGTTTGTGTGTGTCTTTTAGTTCATCTAAGTATAGTTCCTTCTCTCATCTATGATCATCCAAGTACACGACAAGTAGTATGACACTCTCTTGTCCACAACTTTGCCACAAACTTTTGTCTTACAAATGCAATCTATAGGTACTTGTAGTGAATTCTATTGTCAAAACAGAAAAACTGTAAGAGCATAGAAATACAAAACTTCTAGGGAAGGTACTTCCCAATTCTACTCCTTTTTCAATGTAGAATTATACAAATATTTTAAACCATCCCTATTATTGAACGATGTTCGATAAAATAAATCTATGCCATTTTATGGTATTTGTAGGCTAAATTGTGTTAGGTAAACATAGGCAGTTATTATAATTACAATGCCATCAAATCAACATTTATTCATTAATTGGATATTTTGCTCCCTTTTTCCCCCATTAGCCACCTTCTATGAGAGATACGTAAGGATGAAGAAATATCTTTTCCTTCAATATAATCATAAGTGTATGTCATTTGCATATAATGGAAACAACAGGTACTCTTGCAAGACAAACCAATGCCCATGGCAGCCTTAGCAATAGACACAGATGTGCAGAGGGGCTCTCACTGGCCCTCTGTCTGGATCAGCTGCACAGCCTTGCTGGTACTGTGGAGCAGGGAGAGAGCGGATGCATTCAGTTAACTTCTCTCATAGTCTTCGGCTGACAATGGCTTGAACATATCTTCTAAAGTTTAGTGCTGGCATATTTTCTGTTTATTGTGGGTTTCTTTCCTCAATGTATCAAATTATGTTGCCTGTCTCAGAGGTCATAGTATCATTCATAGTCTCCTTGTAGATTGAAATAAATCCTGCTCTCGTGAGATATCATTCAGAATTTCTTGATGCTCCTAGCCACAATGCAATGTATTTCCCTTGATCCAGTGATTTTTAATTTATTTCAATCCTCACAAAATTGCTATATACTTTGAAACTACATTTCTGGATAATGTCATGTGTGAAGTTCACTGAAACGTTAGATTAAGGGAAAATATTAATTAAAAACTATGCTTGCCCAATATTCAGTTGATATTTTCAAAAAGAAACACATTTTTTAGCCAAGTAGGATAGATACTATATATTTTAAAATATTATCAGAACTAGAAATTGGATATTCATGTGAATAAATAGCAGCTAAGTATTTAAATAAAATATATAAAAGGAAAATACACGATAGCGAAAGAATTTTTTATCTGGTATTTTGTCAATAGAAGCTGGTGCATCATTCAGTGTTGTCATTGTGTATGACCAGTTATATGACATTTGCAAATAAGGACTGAAGCAAAGGCTCTTCAAATATGGTCATAGCTGAGGACACTTCCAAAGTAGTTGTGCAGATCGTTGAGTTCTAAACAAGTCTGACATTATAAACTAGTTTGATTCTTACCTTTGAATAAGTGAATTTCCTTTAAAAGGCTGAAGCAGTGACATTTGAACCTATCCATCTGTAATAACTCTTTAAATATGGTAATAATCAACACTGCCTTTTTAAAATTACAGAACATTTAATACATATAGCTATAAAAGTAAGGTTGGCTATTAATGGACATTTCAATTCATTTTGCTATGTGATTCGGCTTTCCAGACCAAAGAGTGTTAATTATTATCGTAATTTATTATTTATCAACTTTGTTTATGGAGACTCTTTGGGGGATTTGCATAATCTTCAAAAAAATCTTTGGGGAAATACAGCTCTGTTCTTGAAACAAATTACAAATAAGATCCTCACGTTATTAGAGGTATACAACAGAGGAAACTAGACTACATAATTTATGCATCTCTCTAAGGTGATAGAATATTCTTTTGAATAAAAATAACTTTGCATTTCTACATTTTCTGCATCAGAACCTTATAGACTTGCTTTAAATTCTCATATATCGAAGTAAAATCAGAGAACTAGTCATATAGTTTATTTTGTTTTTAAGGACACATTTTTATTTATTTTTCTTTATATTTATTTTTAATCCTGTTTATCTAGCTTATCTGATTTACTTTTTCTGTTTCTAATGTAAGCATTTTCATAACAAAAAATTCATGTGTTTTGTAGTGCCTGGTCCCGTACCAGTAAAATCTCTTCAAGGAACATCCTTTGAAAATAAGATCTTCTTGAACTGGAAAGAACCTTTGGATCCAAATGGAATCATCACTCAATATGAGGTATTGGGAGAACAAGGAAGTTAATTGAAATGTGGATTGAAGGACTAAAAGGAAGAAGAAAGGAAAAGTTAGAGGGAAATATGGAAAAGACGTAAATGAGGATTAGGGGATTAAAATCATTCTCCTTTGTTTTAATTTACAGATTCTTTGATTCCAAAATTAAGCGTCAAAATAAATATTTTGTATGGCATCTAGAATTTTCAAATTCTTAAAAAATGCATGTTTTTTGTTGCTGTTTTGTTGATTTAGGGAAGCAGGATAGTCATTATCAGATTTACGATGGTTATAGTAATAATCACATATTAAAAAACCCTCATTTTCCTTTTTATAAATTTAAGAAACTCCTATCATACTGTGATTTAGGAGAAGCCATTGAATTTCAGTTGTTTCAGAGTAAGGAATAATACCCAAAAAGCAAAATAGATTATAAAGCTGACTTTTCTAGAGCTTCATTTCAACTTTGAATATAAAACATTATCTTTTCAAATATGAGAAACTAAAAAAGAAGAAATGAAAGAATCATTTAAGTTACACAAATGTGTAGTTCTGTTCCTACATAGCGTTGATTAGATCATAAATGCTTAAATTTCTAATGGCTACAGAGTGAATTATGGAAATGAGAATCACTAGTACAATGTTATATTTTGAAACTGTGTTCACATATTTGAATACTATTTACATGAAATTTGTTATATAACTTGAACAAAGTACAGAATATGTTAATAATAATAAAAATTTGTTGAAACACTTTCTGTGTTTCATATGCATTAAAGTATATGGCTATAAGATTTTTTATGTACGCATAATTTATTGTGGTTTTTTTGATGGAAGAAAATAGATGTATATTGATTTGGTCAGCTATAACTCCGGTGTATCTGTAGATAGATGATTGATTGACATATAGACAGAACTTCAGAATGACAGAAATAACAATATCAACATGAGAAAGAAAAGAAGAAAAAAATTACCATTGACTCCACATGGATGCCCTTGCATACTACCTTATTTATACAGAGTTTATTTACAGTTTCTTATGATGGATACTAGATATGTAATAAATGTATTTCTTAAAACAGATCAGCTATAGCAGTATAAGATCATTTGATCCTGCAGTTCCAGTGGCTGGACCTCCCCAGACTGTATCAAATTTATGGAACAGTACACACCATGTCTTTATGCATCTCCACCCTGGAACCACGTACCAGTTTTTCATAAGAGCCAGCACGGTCAAAGGCTTTGGTCCAGCCACAGCCATCAATGTCACCACCAATATCTCAGGTATGCAAATGAATAAATTACAAATAGGATTGATTATGCCATTGGTTTGTAATGGCACATCCTGGAGAATCACATATAAACCAAGTGTAGTTCATCTTGCTTGTTGAACCTTTAATATAGTTATGCATAAATGAAAGCACTTTAAATAATTATTTGAATATGAATTATATGTCCAAACCAAAACACATCTGAAATAGTCACTTTTGATTGACAGTGGTCTTAAAAAAATTATACTAAATCTTTATTAAAAATCTTTCAAAATTCATTATAAATCCTAATAGATCTTATGATACTTTTGAAGAGTTGATAATTATTATGGTGTCAGACCTTTACTCTAAATGAATGTTATCAAAAAAATGGTAGAAGATCCTTTCTCTAGTATTATAGTACTACATACCTTGTTTCTGTTTCATTTTCCCTGACATTATGATAATTTTAAACAAAGATGGGCTTTTCTTTCACACTTAAAAATCTTATATAAATACATATAAGTTTTAAAATGGGAACGTACAGAAGAATTTTAGGTTGATAAAGAAATTAAACTTTACATTCTATTGTAGTCACAGTTGCACAGTTTGTATTTGACTAGATTGTTTACAGAGCTTATTTCTCCTTCAGTCAGATCATCAGTTAAACCTGATTAAATTCTTGCAAGGAGTTAGCTTTGTAGTATGCCCTAAATCTACTAAAGTTTATATAATGTTTTTTCTTATTTAAGATTACTAAAATAAATACATATTGTATATGTAAATGAAGAGTTAAATTTGAAAAATAAATTATTTAAAGGTCAACCACACAATGTAGTAAAGCACAAATTTTGACTTTGTTAATTCTTTTTGTTCATTTGTGTTCATTTTTATTATAGTTCCACATGGCAAATATTAATGATACATCATTAATACCCATAAAATATGTCTTTCATTTTTTTAATCTATACCATTTGCATTAAAAGGAAGACATGTACTTTCCAAATTATTTTGAGTCTAAAATGTTACTTGCAAACGTGTTGAGTATAATACAAACTTTAAAAATTTGTATCATGAATAAAATTAGCTATTCCATTATGAGCTATAATTCCTTGGAAGAGCATTTGATTTATCTTAATATTCCAATAAAAAATTAAAGTATCATCCATTATATTATAAAATAACAATGTTTTAAAATTGCAGTTTTCTTTCCTGAGAACAATTACAAATCATGAATTTAAAATATGTATTGAATCACTTTACCAGAAAATAAGACTTGGTGATGTTACGATGCACTGAGATAGGTTTTCTACCCTCTGGAATTAGCAGCAGTGCTATAATTGAGTAAGATCTTTCAATAGAGACAGCTACAAAATTTATATAAACTAACAAAACTGAGAACATTGAACAAATGTAAATTTTTGAGAGCCATAAATGTTTGTGTGTGTGTGTGTGTATGTCTCTCAAGGCTCAGATACTGTGTTTGTGTTGAACATAAAGTTTATAAAAAAGACCAGAACATCCATCTGATTTTTTCTTTTAATTATTCAACTTCACTTTTACTTGTATTAACCTAAGTGCAATGAGTACTTGATTGTACTTTAAAAACTTGGTTGCAATCACTTTATGTTAAGAACAATTATTAATCACATCTAAGATTAATAAATTTATGGTTAGTGTGGTTCTCATCATTACTTGAACTTTTCAGATAATTTATTGTCAAATTTATTCCCTGAGTCCGGTAATTACATTTCTCAGCATTTAAAAAAATAATTTAAATAACAGTGAAATCAAGTTATTGCAGGCATAACTGTTGGGGGAATTATTTATACATACACATACATTCACATACACACATATACACACATACATACTACATATTGTGCATGTATTAAATTAATATTTGTTGTTTCTGCTTCCTAAAAAACTCTCAGATAATAATTAATCTTCTAATGTCACTGCTCCTTTTCTTCCATCTAGACAGTATTTTAAACAGATTATTGAAATATCTTTCTAAGTGGTATCCCTACCTTCAGACTTACCCATCTTCACTGCATTTCTATATCTATCTTTAATCCACAGATATTTCCTTCTTAAATATTTTCGCAATCTTGTATCTTATAATCAGCGGGATGAAGTCTAAAGATCCACTTGGTGTTGGCATTCAGGGTCCTTCTTTGCATGACTCCTCCCATCCTCTACTTCTCCCCATGAGCCCAAAGTTCCCGGCACAGCCAACGGCTTATAGCTGTTAAAACGTACCATGCCCTTTCATATTTTGTTATCTTCAGATATTCTGCTTCCTTTCTCAGAATTTTAGTTCATCCTTTCTCTTCCTGATGAGTTTTTACCCTTTTTTTAATATTTGGCTTAAACATCATTAGACACCCTGAGCCTTCTGGTTTCATCCCCCCACTGCCAATACTAATGAAAAAAGTGTGACCCCCCACCCCCAGACCATCATCACCAACATCACCTGAGAACTGTCTAGAAATAAACATTGTCAGGTCCCTCCCCAGAAATACTGAATCAGAAACTCTAGGGTAGAGGGGCTATAATCTGTGTGTTAGAAAGCCCTCCAGGTGATTCTGATCTTACAAGTTTGAGAACCACTGTTTTGGCAAATGGTCTTCCACTTTTGGCCACTAACATTTTGCTATAATTTTTTGTTTGTAAGACTCTTACTTTTCATAAAATGTGAATTCCTACTTTTAATTCTAAATATCAGAGACCATGCTTTGTCTTTATATTCATAGCATTTCTCATAAAACTTGGCACATAGTATATATTCAGTAAATGTTCAACGAATGGATAGAGATAATGCACACATTTCATTGAGTATATACTCCTTAAACAGCTTTCTACATGAAAGTCATCCAAAGCTATTTGAGGTAACTCTTTTTCCCCCTCAAGATCCTAGTCCCTAATTAAGCATTATCAAATATTTAAAAAAATTATAAATTTATTCTTTTTAAGAATCTGGCAACTAATGTCCCTGATGAACAAAAGCTAAGATGTCCATTATCATTTACCACACTTCTTGGTATGTTTCTCTTGTGACCAGAGTTGTGAAAAACACATTAGCATAAGAGTACTGTGTCTTTCTACACTATAAGATCATAAACGACACTGTTTCACCAGGTAGCCCTTGACCTCAGCTCTTGCTGTTCATAGCTCCTGATCGCCATATGTGACTCCATAAGCACTACTGCCCAGTCTTCTCAGTTACTACCTTCCCTCCCTCCCATCATTACTCACTTGAAGGTCTCAGGAAACTAAAAGGAAAGCATCTTCACAAAATATTTGGAATGTGTGTCATAAATTGCCAGACGATTATTTAAATTTCCACAGCAAATCTTGGTTTTCTAGCTTTTGATATTTTAAGTTCCCAGAGTTGAAATTCATTTGGAGATGTTATGCTATAAAACAAAATACGTTGTAGATAATTAGGTGAATTTTTTTTTCCTAACTTAAGATTGTCTGTTCATTCTGACCTGTGATATATTACTGTAAATTAATTGAACCTTTTTTATCTCATTAATCACTCATCAGCTCCAACTTTACCTGACTATGAAGGAGTTGATGCCTCTCTCAATGAAACTGCCACCACAATAACTGTATTGTTGAGACCAGCACAAGCCAAAGGTGCTCCTATCAGGTAAGAGGAGAAAACTACAGTAGTTCTGCCTTATCCACAGGTATGTACATCCCAAGATGCCCAAGTATGCCTAAAACCAGAGATGATAACAAACCCTATACAGACTGTACTATGTTTTTTTCTATATATGCAAACCTATGATAAAGTTTAATTTATAAATTAGGCACAGTAAGAGATTCACAACAATCAATAACTAATAATAAAATAGAACAACTATGTATTTTAATAAAAGGTGATTATGTTCTCTCTCAAAATACCTTATTATACTGTACTTACCTATTTTTGGACGAGTTTGATGGTGGGTAATTGAAACACGGGTAACTGAAACTGAGATATGAGAAACTAGGTAGGCAGGGTTGGGGGGTAGTTTTTCTTTTACTGTAAGAGTTAAAGAAAAAGGAGCCAGAAGGTTGCTTAGCAGCTAATAAAGTGGTTCATTTCAAAGATACATTCATTGGAGAATTTCTGTCAGGAGAGTTTTATTTTTGTTTAGTTTAGTTTGGTTTCCTTTGGTTTGTTAGTTTTTCATTTGGACAAAGCCTGCAGATAGACTTGTAGTTAAGAGCAAAATTCTAAGGGCATTTTTGAGATATTCATGCACTGAACCATTCACCTCTCTGTGCAGTTTGACTTAAGAGCATTGGCCTTTTTCCCCCCTCTAGTCCCATTTCATTTCACGTCCTCTCTTGGTATCTATGTTATAAGAGCTTTGAAGATATTTGTCAGAAATAGGATGAGAAAATAACTCCTGTCCAATGCAGTAAATCAGTTATGAATAATTTCATATGAATGATTGAAAAATAAGAAGCTTTGATGAAATAAAAGCAGAATAGTTAGAACACATGAAGCCTTTTTGACCTTTTAATTCCCGAATTGTTCCTTATCAAGTATTCCAGAGTAAATTGAATGTTCAGTTTGCCATTTTCTTTATCTTTTCAACAGTAAAGTCTCATATTATCTAACATCCCCATCTTTCAGAAAATTGTGAGCCATGTGATTTTTAGGAACTAAGTCAAATTGTTACAACCATTTTAATTTCTGCACATTTGTAATCAGATGAATATCCAAAACTTAAACAAGTTTCCATTTGAAACGTGATTTTGTGGACATTTTGTTATCAAACTTCTAATGAGAAATAAATGAAGGCACAGAAATCCACGTAGGCACTTCATAATTGGTTTATATCAAGTCGTTTACATATTCAGTTAAAAATAAAACTAATGTTTGTTCTTTGTGTAAAAGGAATACATTTGACTTCGTGAGCACGTATTAGCCATCCAAATAACCAAAAATAATCCTAGATCACTGGAAATGAAGAAATATTTTTTCTTAATTTAAGAAATGTATTGACAAAAGAATACAAATCATAAAGGGAACTCTTGAGTCTTGTCTGGCTAAAAATCATGAGAACACTATACCAGAGAAAAAGAGTTGGCTGAGGGTGTACTTGTAATATAAACACTTATGAAACACTGGCTACTTGAAAATTCAAAGTACGTATATAGTGCTGTTCATGAATCAATGATCTGTGAGTGAATCTGATTGCTGATCCAAAGTAGAAAGAGAAAATGCCTGCACTCAACATCTTTTCCTATTGACAAGTAATCAGGGTCATTCACATGTTCCTACCTGTGATAAAATTTACTTTTTAGGTGTTCACTTCTGTTACTGGTGCTTAAATCAGCTACCAGCTACTTGCATTTATCTTTTAAGAGTTAGATATTTGGGTGAATTCAACTTTATTTTACGTAAGTTGCAAACACAGCATATTTTTATTATTTTTGCATCACTGTACTATATAATGTAACTTACATTAACTCTTTATTCACTTAATCAATTTTTTCCACAAACATTGATTGATCATTTATTATGCCAGTCACTGTGCAAGGTATTGTAAATCAAAGATAAAATGACCACAACAAAACACAGAATCTTTGCCCAGGTTTGTCATAGACCATCAGAGATGCCTGCAGCCTTGTAAATCATTTGCTCATAGCTGGTGTTCAGGAATTTTGTTAACTCAGTATGTTATTGATACACGTTTTTAAATTTAAAGTCTTTTACTTTATTACCTTTATATAATTTCTAAAGACCAATTAGAAACACTCATCTTTGTATTTGTTGGCAAGATTTTTGACCTTTTCTAGAATTGAGCCAGAGGCTGAGAACTTCAAATTATACATTGTTGGAGATTAGTGCTCAGAAAAATAAATTTAAATCCTGGAATATTACAAGAAGAAGTAATTTAATAATAATATAAACAACAGATTTTTTTTGAAGTGAATGTTACTACCAGGAAAATAAAATCTGCTTTCTAACTGATATGCTAATCCCACCAAGTCCATCTTTAGTTTTTGTAATGACTTACCCAGTTCACCTACAGGTGGGTGCCAGGTGGTGGGACCAGAATGGTCTAGTCAAGTAATCTGGCTTCAGATGAGCCCTGCCTCCTTTACCCTCTGAATCCTTTGTGCTGTCTTTCTTTCCTCTGACCACATTCCTACTTTCAGTCTCCCTACCAGCAACTGTAGCCTTATCGTGAGGCTTATCTGATCCAGTGCCTTAATTTTTTGAAAATGAAGATTCAATTTAATGTAATCATTTTTCCTTACCATTGAATTTATGGTCTGGTATCTCAAATCTTTGATTGGATTCCCATCACTCACTTCAAATGTACTTGAAGCAATTTTACTTTCCACTCAATTTTTTCTTTGTTTATGTCAGTCTGTCAAAATCTCTTCTCTGCTAATGCTTGATGCTATTCTACTCTGTGACCCTTCCCCCTGCCACCCCTGTCACCTTCCCAAATAAACCAGAACTACATATTATCCAACTAAATCTGAGAGCATCCAGGAGTTAGCTTGCTGGCTGTCATAGACCCTAAATACTGGGTTCTGTCCTTCCCTAATTATAGCATTACTAGCCTCTGCCATTTTGCATTTCACCATCTATTCATCCCACCTCCAGTGGAAATATGTATTCTTTCTGCCTGGTCTTCCTAATATCAAACAAACTCCAGTTCTACAGTCCTCTGTCATACCAACTAGAAAATCTTGTTATATAGAGTTTTCGTGTTTAGTTTTATTAGGAAAGCTAAAATCGCCAATGGATTCTATAAATTTGTTGACTCAATAACATTCTATATGTGCCAAGAGCTGAGCTGCATACTTGAAATAGAAATCTACTTAAGGCAATTAGTATGTGCACCCGTGTGAGTGGTAGACTCCTAAATTAATGACTGGTAACAATGCTGTGTGATAAGTGCAATAATAACAGCTAGAAAATGTGGTACTAAAGCTGAATTTGTGAGGAGAGGTAGAAATGAGCATGGCCAAAGGTCACAATGATGCATTTACGAATTGCAGATAGCCTAGGTCATGGAGAGTGAAGGGTCTGTGGGAGAATTGACAGCAGCTGAAGCTGGAGAGACAAAACAGGGAGCAAAGGGAGAGGTTGTTTAGTGCCAGCCCCACAACTGAAGGTGGGCACAAGAAGGACTGTAAGCAGAAGTTACCATGGGCAGTTTTACGTTTTTAGAAAGATCACTCTGATAGAAACATAGAGAATGGACTGGGGATAATCCAGAAGGCTGGAGTAGTCCCTGTGAGAAGTGCTAATGGGCCATTTTAAGAAAGTAGCAATGGAAATGCAGGTAAGACTGTGGCTCCTACATAAGGTTTTAGATCAGTAGGATGTGTAAAGCTTCATGGGAAGGGAGTTTGAGTGGAGACTTTAGGTGAGAGAAGATGGTAGCTTTTATATTTGAAGTGGTAGCAGAGCAAAAAGACATCTCAGAATTCAAGGTTTTGTTTTTTGAGGTTATTAAGTGATAAATATTTTCAGTATTGCTACCCCAAATCAAAAAAGTAATGCTCTCTCTATGAAAAGAGGAGTTATTTTATATATTTTGCCTACCTTACCAATATTTTCACCAAGTTTTAATCTCTAAGAGATCATGGTGTTGTGCTTACATAAGAAGTAATGACCACAGTGAAAAATCCCATTCTGCATAATGCAGCACTAAGTTTCACCAACCACATTGTCCTTCTGTTACCCATTACTGCTTCCCTATGCTAATGTAGAACATGTGCGATGCAGTGCTGGCAAGTGTGGTTCTTTGACGAAATTAATTTTTGATTTTATAATCATTCTAAAAACTGAACATTGTTGCCTGACTTAAGTAGAACTTTGAATCTCCTTACCAACTTTTTGAGATCTATCCTTACAACTGTCATCACTTGACAATCATTACTGTGTTCAAAATGAATATTGTCTACATTTAGAATCAATTCCCTAGAATACATAATTCCTTTTCTTTTCTTTCTAAAAGGTTTCTTCGTAAATGAATTAAAACTCTAACCTGGGAAAATATAATTACAAATTATAATGCATAGAACGTCCCATTTATTAAAAGATTGACCCAATATAGCTGTGTTTTCAAAGAATGAAAATAACAGCAGCATGTTGTAAAAACACAAAATAGTTTCTCTGTGGTGAGACTGTTTATTGTAAAGTTAATAAATGAATATATATTTTATTTCAGCATTTTCCAAATAGAAACTCTACCCATTTTGCGCTGCAGGAAGCTACCCATTCTAAGGTTACTTTGTTTTGTGGAGAACATCTAATTTGCATTTCATAACATTAAGCACCACCTATTTAGTTTGATAATTAAAATATAGTCATGAAATAAAGTCAAAACCACCATTTCTTCCACAGTTAAATTAGGAAAAGAAATTGTCTGATGTTCTAAGTTCACTGATAGCTTAACAGACAAATGTATGTTAGGGTTGCATAGCTTTAAAATCTGGGGCTATCCTCATCCACCTGCAGAATAGTCTGTTTCATTACATAAATTTAAAGATATCAAATAGTTCTAATTTTCCTAACCACTATCCTGACCTAGAGCTTACTTGAATTCCAAATAAAACCATCTTGAAATTTAACTAGAGATGGAAATAATCTTTTTGCCCTCTTTTATGGGCATAAAGGTCATATGGTCCAATTAGATCAAATAGATGTTACTTTAATTTTATGTTTATTCTCTAGAATCATAGTAGGTAGAATCATTATAATTTTTCTAATCAAAAATAGGAGGAAGTATGCCCTTCTTGTTAAATCTTCTTTCTGGCCTCTAGAATCCCAGTCCACAGCTTGCTTATGACCTTGTGAGAAGCCCTGAGCCAGACCTGTCTTAGCTTAGCAACTCTGGAATTCCTGACCCACTGAAGCTGTGAGATAATGTTTGTTGCTTTGAGCTACAGAATTTCAGGGTAATATGTTATGCAGGAAGAGATTATACATGTACCCAAGTAGTATAAATCTTCTCTTTCTTCAGATTTCTGCCCAACGGATACTTTTATCACATAAGGATTTCTTGACCAACCCATATAAAATAGCACTCTGCATTCCCATCATTCCCTCTTTCCCTTAGCCTGCTTTATCTTTCTCTAGAGCACTTATCCCTTCTTAATATGTGTTGGTTTTCTGAATTTATTTTTTTATTTGTGTCTCCCCACTAGAATGTAAACTTCATGAGAACAGAGACTTTTGCTACTATCTTCATTATTTTAACCTCAGTACTTAAAATAATTCATGATATGTAACAGATACTCAATAAATATTTGGTGAACAAATGAACTGGATCTAAAAATATAACAGCCACATTCTGTAGTAAGCTTATCATCTGCTAAAGGAAAGACATATACCTAAAAAACTATTTTTAACAGTATAATATCAAATCATATTTGTAATGTACCATGTTGGTGCATGTAATGTGCTACGGCCACATACTGATGTATCATATAAGCAATAAATATTAGACAGCAATGCTAGGTCTTTTGTTTTTTCCACCCTAGAGTTTTTGAGAATACCATTTATGGTTCTGATAAATGGATCTTTGGCATTATAATTGTCAGTGGGTTAGGAACTAGATTAAACATGCATCCCTGTGATTGTGACTTCTACCCCCATGTCATCCTTCAGTCATCCTCATCTTAAAAATTACTCCATTGCCTTTAGAAGACAGAGTACTGAGGAATGAAGATAGTTCAAGAAGCCTTCATGGCAGAAGTAGAAAAACTAGACAAGAAAGGCAGAAATTCTTGACTGTATGTTTAGTATATTTGGGTAACAATGGTCATACCAGCTTCGAATGGAAAATAAATATCAGGAGATAAAACAAGAATGGAGATATAAGGTAAGGAATGTGGTAATTTATCAACCCCAGCGTAAAAAGTACAGAGTTTGACTTTGAATTTGACTGTACTTCAAATTTTAATGTTGCTATTATCCTGGGCTAGTGATATGTAATACATGAGATATTAAACACTTTATTATAAAACAGGTTTTGTATTAGCTGATTTTGCCAACTATAAGCTAATGTAAATGTTCTGAGCACATTTAAGTTAGGCTAGGCTAAGCTATGCTGTTCAGTGGGTTAGATGTATTATATTCATTTCAATTTACAATATTTTCAACTTGTAATGGGTTTATTGGGACATAACCCCATCATAAGTTGAGAAACCTCCATATAATGTAGTAAAATATGTCATTTTAATTTTTTAAAAAATAAGGAAGTCACATTTTGTGTATTGAATGATTAATGATACCAATATATTGATTTAACCTAATTACAGAAATATTTTTGAAGTTTATTAAAAGGAATGGGGAATATATTAACTATGGGTAGAGTGATTAAAAATATTATGATGACTTTGGAATAGTTTTAATTACTAAAGTACTGAGCTCACCTAATATTTAGATCTAGCTAGAGTTTAGTTCCATTAGGTAATTAGACAACCAGAAGAATGAAGAAGCACAATCCCATTTCATGTAATTAGTCAACTCACTTCTAATGCGATTTCTTATTTCTTATTTCATCTTTTAATTAATTTGTATTGATAAATAAGAAAATAACAAGGACAGAAACAGATTTAAAAATTGGAAATGTGGTTAGAGAACAGCCTTTCAGATTGAACAATGAAGGAAAGATAGTTTCTTTTAAACATGGACTAGTGTGACTTTTTGTTATTTTTATAGCTGTTTTTCACTAAATGTAAATACTTCTTAAAGACTCACCATGATTACAATTGATTTCTGTGTGAGTTATAAAAATGCCTCTTCAATGGGCATGAAAAAAGGTAGAAATAGATGCACAAAGTGATGCATCCAGAAAGACACTGACTAAAGACTGAGCCCAACTAAGGAGAGTAAAATGCCACTAGAGAATTTTGAGGGATACTGGTACAAGGAAAGATACTTTTCATATTTTCAGTATCTTGAAAAGGTAGCATGCTGCAGAGGTCCAGAACAGAAAGACAGCAGTACAGCAGACAGGTGTATATCAAGATTTTAAACTGAAACGGGTATTTCTGGGTGATGTTATAGAAAAGTAGTACAATTTCAGTTTCGTTTGGGTGTAAAAGCAAAAGGGAGTATGAGAGATGACTTTAAAAGACTCTGAAGATCTACTTCTGGGTAGCTGTCCCAGTCACTTTAAATGCTTACCATGGACAGTCACAGGTTCCTAAGTGAACAGAGTTGAAAAGAAAGTATACATTTTAGTTTTGTTGTCGTTTTAAACTGTATCAAACTTGAGAGGGGCAGAAAGCATTCTAAAGATGGTAGAACACTAGAAGTTTCAGTAAATAAAAGTGAATATAAGGTCCGTGAAAGGCAGGTGTTTTTTTTTTAACCTCTCTATCCTCAGAGCCTGCATGATACCTGTTAAATATATAATTGTTGAATGAAAATGAGTTAATGGATACAATGTCACAGGAAGAAAGGTAAATGAGAAAATTCTTACTCTTCAAATAATGCTCGGGATTTTTCAGGTGAAAAATGTACTTTCATGGAGAAAGAAAAAGAGTATCTTAGATATGTCCTAAGCAAAAATATCAACAGAAAAGGCAAAAGCAATGTATTCATTTCATAAACACTTAAACGTCCATTATCCTATTTGAAACCACATATTCCAGTGTGGTTTCAAATAGGATAATGGGCGTTTAAGTAAGTATAATATGTGAAAATGTAATGGCTATTGTATCAGCTTTTGGAGTTAAACATATTTGGGATTAAAAATATCTAGAAACTGGGGTGAATGTTATATCATGAAGACATTTCTCCTGGTATGAGTGGTGGTAGAGTGGGAGGGTTATAGAGTGCGGTGACCAGGTTATCTCCAACTAGCGTTCCATCTAATGTTACTCATTGCACAAAGAATGTTTTAGAAAGTATGCTTGGAAGCCAGTTCTCAGAAGTCTTTTTGTATTTATGTGTCTTAGTTTGCTCAGGCTGCTATTACAAAATACTAGGTGGCTTAAACAAGAAATATTTCTCACAGTTCTGGAGACTGGGAAGTCCAAGATCCAGGTGCTCTCGGATTTGGTTCTTGGTGAGGGCCCCTCTTCTAAACCTAATTATTTTCCAAAGGCCCCCTCTCCAAATACTATCACTTTGAGAATTAGGGTTTTAACATGAATTTTGGGGGAGGGGGCACAAATATTCAGTTGGTAACACTGTAGTATAAAGTAGAGAATGAACAAAGTGAGGTTCCTGGTTTAAGTTTTAAGGGGAGCTCTATTCTTCTGCCTCAGTTTCAATAGTAACAGAAATATAATACTTCATTTCTGTAATGACCATTCAAAGAATAAATGAATAATATTGGTAGAGAAAAGATATATAAGATTAAAGTGCATGGCACTGTAATTTATATTTGTATATAAATTATGTGGAAATCATTTTCTTAATTCTTTATGAAACAAGCATGTTACTTGTATTTTAGAACTTATAAAATTGAAATAATTTATCTTTCATTTTAATTGAGAGTAGGGCCAAATCTGAAAGTTCAACCCAAGGCATTGATTTTTATTTTCTATGGGACCATACTTAAGGCTCTTTCCCAAAGAGCCTATTGCACCTTTTCTTCCTTTACTCTTCTCCAACACTGGCAATTTACTTTGCTCCTCACAGATCTAGATAGACAAGCTGTCTTGCATGAAGTATCCTTAATTTGTAATGTAGAATCTCTGTCAATGTAATAGAATTAGTTAAGATTGAATGTTCACTAGATTTTGTGTTTTTTTTTCTAGAGGTATGGGATAATTAATGAAGAATCTATTTTTAAGGATTAGATTAATGATTAACAAGGATAGGTAATTATTATTATTCTTTAGGGCAAGAATATAAGGTTACATTTGTTTGGAGAGCATGTATGAGGGAGTTTATATGCATATGTGGATGTATCCACAGGACATGCAAATGTATAATATACAAATATGAATTATAAATTTAAAATAAAACATAGCATATGTCAGCTATGATCATTCTCGTCTTTCTCCAGGGCTATGCGTATGTATTTTCTATATCTTAAAATTGACAAATGCCTGCTCCATGGATGCCTCAGAGACCATGCATCTTGTCAGTAGCATTCTTAGAAGCTTAGCAACCAACTTGGCAGAGGTATAGGGAATGATGCAGCACATATAATTTGAAATAACATAGACTTCTGCCTTGCTTGCTCAAATCACAATTTCTAACATTAATACAAGTTCTGTTATCTTTTTAGAGGAAACAAGATGGATATGAACCTACTGATTTATTAGCAATATTTTAATGGAAAATGGGAGCTTAAATAACTAGGAAGAAAAGAAAATCTGTAATTTATCAATTAAATTATGATTTAACTCTTTCTTTTGATGTCCTTTTGTTTAATCTATGAAGATCTTTTATTTGTAGGCATAAGAGTTTATATTAAATTAGAATTTTATGCCAGAGTCTAAACTGTTTTAATTTTCATAGATGCATGTTCAGTGTATCTCTCTCTCTCCTCTCTCTCTCTGTCTCTCTTTCTCCCTCCCCCTCTCCTCCCCACTCCCCTCTACCTACCCACCTCTTTCTTTTTCATGGAAGTCTTTTAAAGAATGTATTCTGTTCCTCCTGGAGATCCATTGAATATCAATATGCAGCCCTGCATACAATTTATGTTCAACTTACCTAAGATACCACATATATTTTTCCAGAATTTTTAGGAATTTTAAAACATTTTAAAATATATTTATAATGTATAAAATATATTATAATAATAATGTCAACTTTCATGGTAATATTTTACCTGAAAAAATTTTAACGTAAAGAATTTTCTACTAAAAAAGAATATTGTTAATATACCAGCTTCAGAGTTGTTAAAAAATATTGTTAGATATCCGGGGGATCTTTATTTTAAATTTGCCTTGTTTTTCTTTTTGTTTTTTTCTCTCCTTTGTAAAGTAATTGCAATTATAGAAAAGTTTTAAGACTTAAAGATATCAGAAGGTTTAGGTTAGAGCTTTAATAGGCCAAATGCCATCTGTTTCTACAATTTGTAACATTTTATTATTAACAACTCCAGAAGAAGGAGGCGGTCTATTTCGGTTGTGAGGACAGATTTCTGTCCATCTGTGCCCGTATTGCCGCATGTCACTTGTATTTTAGATCTACATAGCTCTGAGCCAGTGTAGATGCCATGGCAAGGTCAAGAGGTGGAGAAGCCTGTCAGTACATTCTGTCTCTGAGGCTGTGACAACCACAAATGGGTGCTTCTAGCACCGCCCTGAGGCAGTCATTCTGTTAGACCTTGGAGCTGGACTTTCTGTAATATCATTTCAAGGGAAAATGTTAACTTTAAACATTTAAAAATATCAGACAAAGAACTGAATCTATGATGTGTCTTTGGTTAATGTCAGAATCCTTATTAGGGTGGCTCATTCCTCAACATTTAAAAATGTTGAAAGTCCTACGGTGATTGTTCTTCTTTTTATCAGTTTCTTTGTAACTACAGTGATGTTAGGGACAGCAGCATCTATATGGATTTTTCATTTTATTGCGAAATAGCTGAAAAGAGTATACCAGGTTAAGACTAACTTTAAATACTTTGAAATGTGGTGTGTTAATAGTCAACCCCTTAAAAAAAATCTTAGTATCTTAAATCTCTAAATATGTGTGTATATATATGTGTGTTCTTTTTTTCTTTTCCCCAAAGTGCTTATCAGATTGTTGTGGAAGAACTGCACCCACACCGAACCAAGAGAGAAGCCGGAGCCATGGAATGCTACCAGGTTCCTGTCACATACCAAAATGCCATGAGTGGGGGTGCACCGTATTACTTTGCTGCAGAACTCCCCCCGGGAAACCTACCTGAGCCTGCCCCGTTCACTGTGGGTGACAATCGGACCTACCAAGGCTTTTGGAACCCTCCTTTGGCTCCGCGCAAAGGATACAACATCTATTTCCAGGCGATGAGCAGTGTGGAGAAGGTGAGCTTCCTCCAGGATTTGCTTTTTCCCTGCTTTGAAGAAAAGCTGAAGTCAAATTTTATGAATACTCAGTAGCATCCGTCAAGAAAAAAAAAAAGAAAAAGAAAATTTGCATGTAGGGGGTTCTGTTCTCAACAGTGTGCGCAGTTTTGGGGCTACAGTAGGGCTGAGGCCGCACGCCAGTTCCATTTCACAGGGTTCCTGTTTCCTAGTAACTGCTTCTACTCGAGCCTTCCTCAGGAAAGCCCACAATAGCAATTGAGAGTAAAATGATTTGAAAACGTGGGTGTGCTGCTGCTGGGACTCCACCCTCAGTAACGATCAGGCATTGTTCTGTCTTCCTTGCTCAGTGGTGGCACACTTCAAGAGATTAAATTTACTGCAGGATAAACAGAATGCGTGTTCCACAGCAGGCTAATAAAACCTTATAAACTTTTCAGGGTTTTCAAGCCAAATAGTAAATAACATGTAACAATCCTCTGATTACAAAGTAATAGGGCGCCTGTGGTATATCTGACTGAACCTAAACAAAAGGCAGCCTGGCGATGACTGGCTGCTGAGCCATTACAGAAGGCTGCTCTCTGTTTCCCTGGTTGCCCCTCCTTTTCCCATTTTGGACACAGTTGTTTTTGAACACTGCTGCTGATCCCAAATGAATATTGAAGAGGAAAACACAACAGGACATTAGAAACGACCGGCAGTTCCGTATGTGGGAAAACAACCTGGCCTTTCATGCCTCATGCTGTTCTCTTTGGAAGATTTTCTTTCCTAAAACTTATTTTTATTTATTTATTTATTTATTTATTTATTTATTTATTGGCAGACAGAGATAGAGGGAAGACAAATGTTGAGGATAGAAATTTTCACAATTTAAAATCCAATAGAATGATGACATTTTAATAGACTTGAAGCCGTATAGGAAATTGCTGGGTTTATGTAATTGAGTCCCTAAGGTGAGCACCTGGGAGTGATACATGATATACAATTACATCAGTCATATTATATCTTAAAGAGTTTAATTGGAAGACATAACAATCCTTTTGCATTTCTGCAGGGGCCGTGAGAGCTTTGGGTATTGATTGGCTGCTTTTGAATCAAAGCTTTGTTGTTTGCTTGCCTGTATGCTTGGCTTGTAGGTAGCAAAGAAAAAGGCCACAGCATCTTCTAAGATGTGCTCCAGAGTCAGAGGCTGCTCATGGTTGAAGATGCTCTTCTCGTTTACCTTTAAAGAACTGAGGTCTTTAGAGAGTAGTCCAGTGTCCACTTTCTGCCTACATATCATTCCATACCACTGTTACAACTGGGCTACTATAAAAACAGAACACAATGGAAGTTATTAGTCCATTCTGGGTATAATATAGCATTGAGTAGGAAGCATAGTTTTGTGTGAGGGTTTTGATCTTTAGAGAGGTTCCAAATTAACTTTGGTTATTTGGTCTATTATACCAGAGGAGTGTTAATGAATGTCTGTTACTTATAAAGGATTTTCTCTGCATTCTTTAAAGCTTTTTGATATGAATTTTCTCTTCCAATTGTTAATATATCTGCACTGTGGTTTAATCAAAGTACAGAATAGCAACAATATATTTCACAGTTATCTTGGCAAAGAGTTTTAAAGTTGATGTGACTTCTACAAGTAGAGATTGGTAATGCCATTAGAAAGTTAAACAGCAATTGCTTTTAAGAAATGAAAATCCTTTGGGGCCTTTATGGGAATGTGAAATAATCTCTTGCAGGTTACCATGAAGGTCTCAGGCCACAAGTAATAGAAGTGCAACATTTTATTTTTAATTACTAATTCCCCCCTCACTGCTTTATTTTAATTTAAAAATAAAAAAATAAAAAATGCTTAAGTGGAAATTGTAAACTCTTTTATAAATTATCAACATATAGAACTACTCAAGATAGAGTTATAAATGCATCTTGCAAACAGATCGCCTCTGGTTTGTTCACTGGCTTTGATACCTTTTCTCACCTCTTGTGTATTCAGGGATGTACGCTGACTCAATTAAGTCCTAGAGGAGGAAGAGTGGGGCCAAAAGTAGCTGGCAGGGACATGTGTCTCCTACTGCCACCTGACAGCGTTAAAAATAATCATATTTTTTCTTGTCCTTTCCTACTGCTTCTACTTTGTATACCCGCTCTGTCTAGCAAGAGGAGGAAAATTATGTATGCTGAGAAACATTTAACTCCTAATAGCTAAATTAAAAGAAAGAAAGAACAGATAAATTACACCATAACTATGATGTAATGTTTTGATGATCTTTCTAACTGCTATCATTTAGCTTTTTAGTCATGCTAGGATCCAGATGAAAGTATGTAATGTTCAGCTTTGGTCTCAGTCTACAGTTCTCAGATGAAAATTAAATTTATATTTGGAACTGTTTTTATTAGCTTTGCAAGTACATTTTTCTGATAGTTTACGAAGCACTATACATGAAAATAGAATGCTATACTACTTGTCACAAACTAACCTGTTTCATTGCAAGGTAAAAACAAATATTTACATCTCTATAAAAACTAAAATATTTTTCAAAGTTCTTACTTTAGATTTTTAAGTATCCCTAGGGGGGCATATTTTTTAAAGTTTTCTTAATATTAAAATTCTGTTGTTTATAATCCCTTTTTATGACCCCAGATGGATCTTCATAATAATTATAGTTTATGAAACAGGAAACATTATCTGTACATTGACTCTTTTTTTTTTCATTTTTACTCTATCAGGAAACTAAAACCCAGTGCGTACGCATTGCTACAAAAGGTAAGAGGTTTGCTTTTTTTGCTTGTTTTAACTACTCTCACCCCCTTTCTAAAATGGAAGGACTTTGTTCCCTGCTTCAGGGCTAAATATGACATTTCTGTTATAGTTAGTTCTGTGACTCATGTGGGTGTCTTTAACAACTAATGGGGTGCTACTTCCCATCCTCTAGTACTTGACTGAAGGAATCTTGTTATGATAACAGGAAAGATCTAGAAAACCTTAGAAGGGCTTATTTCTGCCATTTAGTGTCTGAAAAATCTTGTGCTGCTGATCAACCAATATCTTAGGAAAGCGTCAGCAATAGCAGATGAAAATAGCAAGTTGCTTGTTTAAAAACCTCTATTACTTTCCATTGTAGACAATCAAACATAAAAAGAACCAAGCTAATTCATGTTTACATAAGATTATAGGGATAGAGATTAGTCCATATCTTCATCAGTAGTGCAGTTAGCTTGAAGATCATTTACTTTTTTTAAAACTTATTCTGAGAAACCAGATCTGTGATGGCTAGCTCATAACCAGGGCAATTCCTGCTGACCTGGCATATTATGGCTTAGCTGCCTAGTTTCTTTGACAAGAGAAAACATTTGCATCTTTGAATGAATATTTAGAGTTCCAAGTGGGGGAAAGTCTCCTACATTCTCTGTGTTTTTAATTCTTCATTTAAGAGTTACTTGATTGTGCCAACAAAGAATAAATTGCTACTTGGTGTATTCTAGCAAGAGAAACATGAAAAAGCTGTCTGCATGCAGACGTGGGCCTCCTCAAAGGGTTGGTTCTTGGGGTGGTTTGCTGCCGGAATTAGTAGCAGACCCACATTTGTGTCCAGTAGTTGATTCATTTGGGGTAAAAATCAATGGCCATATTCTGTTTGTACTGGCATCTTTCCTTTCATCAGTTTTCTCCATCTAATCATCAGTCTGCTCAATCAGCATTTGTGCTTTACTCCTGATTTGTAAGGCAATAAAGAAAGACTTTCTCTTTGACGCTTGTGAATAATAAAGAAGCTTTATGGAAGAGAAAAAAATATACTTTTTCAATTCACTTATGAAGATTCCTTTTGGTAGTTTTTATTTAAAAAAGCAATTCTTAAAGAGAAAATATACACAGATACATACGATGTATAAGGATTTTATTTTAAAAATTTAGCTTACTGATCAGGAACGAGAGTTGAAATTTTTAAAAGATAATAGAAGAAAGCATTTAGGTCTATATCACCTGTGTTTTTCCAGATTTAAAGTAGAACCAAAATTGTAAAAGTGTCCCACATTGACCTCTGAAGTTCTTTAGATATGTCATGCTATGTTTCTGTAACTGAGAAATGGTAGCTATATATTACCCTAACATAACTTTTTTATTCAGTTATTTCATTATTTGCTCTTGCCTGAGATGTTTGTGTCCTTTTATCGCTCTCTCGATACAAATTTAAAAAAATGACAAATATCACATGATATTTAAACTATAGGAGGATTGAGATCCTGGAAACAGTCTTACCATGTGGCATAGAATAATTGACAGAAACTTTGAAGTGGTAAAAAATAGTCCATTATTTGTCTAATAATCCAGCTCTGCTACACTTCTGGATCTCAGGAATGCAGTGTGGTGTGGTGTAGTGAGTAAGAGAAAGGACTCTGGCCTTACACTATCTGAGTTCAAATATTGACTGTGTCCCTTAGGAATTTTTTAGTATTGAGAAACTTATGTAAACCCTCATTCCAAAAATTAAATAATAGAGTACCTACACCTTCTTATTGTTGTGAGGATTAAAATAACATATATAGGCCAGACACGGTGGCTCCTGGCACTTTGCAACGCCAAAGTGGGAGGATAGCTTGAGGCCAAGAGTTTGATATCAGCTTGGGCAAAATAGCAAGACCCTGTTTCTACTGAAAATTTAAAAAAAAAAAAAATGTTAGCCAGGCTTGATGGAGCTCACCTGTGGTCCCAGGTACTTGGGAGGCTGAAGCGAGAGCATCGCTTAAGCCCAGAAGTTCCAGTTTACGTTGAGCTATGATCGTGCCACTGTACTCCTGGGTGACAGAGTGAGACCCTGTCTCTAAAATAATAAAATAAAATATATATGAAGTGCTTAAATAGTGCTTAACATATTATAAACAGTACATGTGTTAACTATCTTATCATTATGCTAATAATTTTGTACTTAAGAGGGACATAACTTATGTTAGACAGTTATGAATGAAATATGTATAAAAACAAATCTAAATTTTCGTGATCGAGATTGCTAGGACAGGGGAGAAACTAAGGGTTTTTTGTTCGCTTGTTTTTTAATGTTTCTGCCCTGGTCTAATATATTTTCTTCTCTGAACCTTTAGCATTTTTCCACATATGAAAAGCTAACCCTGTTTCTACAAAAACTAAAAAAAATGAGCCAGGCATGGTGACTTGTGCCTGTAGCTCCAGCTACTTGGAAGATGGGAAGATTGCTTCAGCCTAGGAATTTGAGGCTGCAGTGAGCTATGATTGTACCACTGCACTCCAGCCTGGGTGACAGAGTGAGACTATGTCTCAAAAGGAAAAAAAAAAGAAAAGAAAAGAAATGAAAAAGAAAAACTACCACATTTGTTAAAGTAACATCAACTTATTGCCTGACTACATTTTAAACTAACATGCAAGTATGGTCAGCTTTGGTGTGAAATTTTTCAATATGAAAATAAAAAGTTTTCTGACAGGGCGTTTTGAAGAAACATTTAATAGTCAAAATGGCATAATCATATGACTGGGAAGAGGCATGAAGGAACCTTCTGGTGAAGGAGTGGTTCAGTATTTCACAGGTGCATATGTAGGTAAAAATCTGTCCAACTGTACATTTAAAATGTGTGCACTTTACTCTTATAAATTTGTGTGTGGATATATAGGTAGATAGGTAAAGTATTTCCCAATATAAAAAAATGAATTATACATTAAAAATTGCATGGCCAGAGTTAGAAACAGCACTGAGAATATTATAGAGGAGTCTCTGGAGTTTGAAAGGCTCACCTTGCTAGCTTCAGTGAAGGTTTCCTTCTATCAGACGAGGTGCATCTTCAGTACATAAGCCACTTTCAGTGAGAAGGACAACCCTGCCCAGGAATCCCTGGGCTGAATGAAAAGGGTCTAGAAAGGACCTTTCTTGGTCCTGGATGACTCCTATGGGCAAGTCTTGTGTTTCAGCTGCCCTACAGTCAGACCCTCCCCTGCCTCCCAACCCCCACCCCCTTTCCAGTGTCAGTTGTGAGTACTGAAGAGCTAGAAC
The DNA here is from genome assembly GCF_000001405.40 of Homo sapiens. NCBI lineage: Eukaryota > Metazoa > Chordata > Mammalia > Primates > Hominidae > Homo > Homo sapiens. The sequence continues at coordinate 128,061,504 of NC_000006.12, read as the reverse complement.
CTTGCTAGAACCTTGCTTTCCTAATATCCTTTGTATTTAGATCAATTTTGCTGAAAAGAACTTAGTTCTCTGGAAAATCTGGTGTCCCTCCATAAGACATTCCAGTTTGCAGTGTGTCCTTTTACCACACAAATTTTCTGTTCAGGCCATATGCAACAGTCTGTTGCTTTTTTTCTCATTTTTTTGAAAACTTAAAACATTCCAAATGTAGTCTGGGACAAAGTACCTTGAACAAAGTGTGTGTTTCTCTCACTCACTCTCTCTCTGGAAATTATTTTCACATCCCCTTTATTTTAGAAAAAGTTGTATTTTGTATGGAGAAGCCAGAGTTCATTGTTACATGTTAGTATCATATTTATAATAGAAAATAAAACATTTTACTAAAACAAAAAAAAATTATTTAGCCAAATTTGAAGCTCTGATTTAATAGTCTTATACATCACTATATGCCAGGGACAAATACAGAGTGAGAGTCATATTAGATACAATAAATATTTGTTGAGTTGGTAATTGAATTTGAACAAAACGTAAGGTAGATGCTTCTGCTTTCACGTTTAATCAAACAGGTTACAGTACTGTCTGCAATTATGAAAAGTATCAGAGCAATATGTGAGTTAAGACAAATTTATTAAATAACTAGAGTTGTTTTTATTTCTTTAACTGTGCATTTATATTGTGATATATATTTCATATTCTAATATAGAATACTTTTGCCAAAGCTAAGACTTTATTTTAGTAACAAAGCAGTCAGTTAAAAATATAATCTATAAACTAATGTGAATTAAATTAAATTTAATCCTAGTCTGTGTCTATATCAGTTTTATTCAAATGAGTTTTCTTCAGCTGAATTCTGTGATAGGAAGACAGTTTAGCTCAAATTGTCTTTTCATTGTAATCACTGCTATTCTTATGACCATATTCTATAGCTTCTTTGCTTTCCTGGTACTCACATTTCAATGTGAAGGACCTATTCAAATGAATTAACCAGAATGAATGAGTTGATATATTAGAGCACAGAGTCCAAAGAGAATCTAGCTATTATTACTTCTTATAATAAGTCTTAAATTCGGGATACAGGACATTATAATGAGAGATTAAAATTCTATCAAGTGTCTTAAGGATGGACATAACTAAGTAGCATAAGAATGTACCATGTTTTGCTAATGAGAAACTCTGACTTCATTGGTGGATGTCTTTAAATTTTACAGTCAAAGTAGAAATAATAGCTCTGAATATTTTTATAGTTCTCAAGCATAAGATCAGAACTAGAAATTAAAAAGGAGTAACACATACAATTTTCAACATTCATCTTTTCCCAGCATTTTGAATTATTCTTAAAGTTGGCGACAGTTCACCATTACTACTGTATATCTGGAATACCCTGTGTCTAACTGATTTCATCTTAATTCACTTCACATTGGACCCCGGAACCTCTCTCTCTGCTCTCATTGCTAGTATAAGTAGACTCTTCTCCACCATGTTCCTAGAGAAATAGCCAAGTCACCGAAACAGAAAAGATATGAGTTGAGGACCTTCAAGGGTGCATGATCACTGTTTTCATCCCAACCCCAAGTTAGATGGAAGTTAAATATTTCTTTGCTTTAAAAGTTACAAACTATTATTGTTTGCATATGGAGTATTACTAGTCTAATAATTTTTGACAGAATGATAACTGGGATGCTAGGATATAGAGAGAAATGGAAAAAAATAGAACGGACCTGAAGATGATTCAAGCATTTTGCTTTTATGGAAATTAAACTGTTTTATGAGAAGATTTCTGACCTATTACCCTCTCTTTCCTGAGGAGCCTGTTGCAGGTACCTTACATTTATGGCCACGTCTACGGGAGAGAAGTGATGACATTCATTCATAAACTGATCAAACTGTCAGTGTTAACTGTGGAAAGGATAGAGTTTCTAACCTAATTTGTAATGCTGTAATCACATACTTAGAAGAGACTGGAAAAACATAAATTGGTACAACCTAAGGGAACTAACTTATAATCCATTTCAGCAAAAAATTCAAAAGGTAGGTGGTTATATCATCAATATTCAAAAATCAATAGTGTAGCAGCAACAAAACAGTATTTTAAGATGTTGTCATTTATAATGTATCTCTAAAAATTAGTGTAGGAATATATCTGGTGAAAGATAGATTACATCTCTACACTGAACACTACAAAATCTTATTGAGAGAAATTAAACAATACCTAAATTAATGGGATGGCACACCATGTTCATGGATTAGAAGATTCAATATTGGTGAAATGTCAGTGCTCCTACATTAATGTGTAGATTTAAAGCAATCAAAATCCCAATTTTGTTAAAAAAATTAACAATCTGATTCTAAAGACAAAATGGAAATGCAAAAGAATAAGAATATGCAAGGCTACTCTTAAAATACAGTTCCTGGATGTTATCAAGGCCAATATAAAGTTAGAGTAATTAAGACAGTGTGGTAATAGCACAAGAATAAAAATTATGACCAGTGAAAGAGAAACTCCAGTAATAGATGCACACACACGTTCACCATTTTTTATGACAAAGGTAAAACTGTAGGGAAGAGGGGAAAAGGTACCCTTTTCAATAAATGACAGTTTTTCCATATCTATATGGAAGACATTATATCTTGACCCCTAACTCACACTATATAAAAAAATACAGCTACATATAAGAGTTATAACAGTATAGTTTTTAGAAGAATATAGAACATATTTTATGATGTTACAATAGTCAAAGATTGACTCCACCATCCTCCACCAGAAAAAAAAAATTTAAACAATTTTTTAAAAAAATAATAGGCAAGGATTTTTTAGACAGGAGATAGAAATATGCTAAACAAAAAGGAATAAATGATAAATTCTACTTAAGACCTCTTTCCTGTCAAAAGATGCCATTATGAGAGTAAAATAGAATTTACAGAGGAGAAAAGATACTTGTAATAAATATATCTGAAATAAGGCATATCAAAAACATATTTAAAAACTATTAAAACTAGTGAGGAGACAAGAGACAATCCATTAGAAAATGGAGAAAACACTTGAGCACTTAAGAGAGAAGGAAATACAAAATGATCAATTAACCTATGAAATGGTGCTCAACAGGAAAATACAAATTGAAACCACAATGTGATTCCACTACACCTATACCAAAATTAGTAAAATGAAAAAGTGTAGAAAATACCAAGTCTTAAGAAGGATGTAAAATAACTGGAAATCTCCTACCATCCTGCTGGTGGGGGTATAAATTTGCACAACCACTTTGGAAAACTGTCTAGCAACATGGACTGAAAGTAAACCCATGTCCCAACAATTCCATTCCTGGGATACTCACCAAAGAAATATGTATGTTAATACACCCAAAAACATGTAGTACAAAATTTATAGCAGCACTGTTTATAAAAGCAACAAACTGGAAATAACCCAGCAACAACCAGTAGTAGATTGGATAAGTAAGTTGGGCATATTCACATAATGCCATGCTCTAAAGCAAAGAATGCAAACTATGACTACACAAAATAATATACATAAGTATAACCAACATTATTTGAGTAAAAGGCAGACAACAAAGAATATACACTTTATTGTTTAATTTGTAAAAAAGAGGTAAAATAACTAATAAAAGTTAAAAGGTATGCAGTACCTATATAGATGTATTATGATTTAAATATTATATTATCTAGATATGTATCTGTCTCAGGGGTTCCCGAGACTACCCTCAGATTCGGTGATTCACAAGGAGGACTCAGTCATCCTGTGAGTTGTCCTGTTCTCATGGCTACGACTTATTACAGTGAAAGGATACAAAGCAGAATAAGGACAGGGAGAAGTCACATGGACAAAGTTCAGAGGAAGCCAGGTGCAAGCTTCCAAGAGCCTCTTCCTATGGAATCACACAGGACATGCTTAATTTCTCCAGGATGGAATTGGGACAGCACATGTGAAATGCTGTCTATCAAGAAAGCTTATTAGAGACTCGGTTCCTAAGGTTTTTAGTGGGAACTGGTCACATGGACCCCTTCTTGCTATCATCTGCCAAGATTCCCTTCTCCCAGAAGGAAACTAGACTTTTAGCATAAAGCACATTATTTGCACAATTTAGGCACAATGAACCACTCTTCTCAGGGAATGATGGGAAACCTCCCAAATCCGAGTTCCCGGACATCAGTCCAAGGTCAACTTTGCAAGCCGCCCTTTCCAAGAATTTCAGTCTTAGTCCTGCTACGTTAACTCTTTTCTGTACAATATCTATATCAAGTGTCTCAAGGGCTAGTTAAAAGAATATTTGAAGAAATTAGAGAAAATTCCAAAAATTATACATACAATTAAGGAAGTAGAAAATTGGATGTAGAAAAATAATTAGAAAATTAATCATTATTGACACTAAGAGAGAAATCTGAGGGATAATTTAAGGACTTCCTTTAGATAATGAGTTATGACATAAGATAAAGTCACCCATAGCCTGTATCTCCCCCAAATCCTTCCCTAAGTAGAGAATATGGGCCTACTTTATTTGAAACACTTCTGAAAAGTATTTCTTGAAAACACTCTTTAGAACCTTCTAAGAAATGACAGCTCATTTAGTCATTTGCCATTCAGATTGTATACCAGCTTATATAATACCTTGATTCATTAATTATTTGCTGAACAATCCTAAAAATTATGTTTATCCATTACCCATTCATACTTTTACTATCTTTCTACACCCAATATGTATGCAGTTCAGGTTTTCAAACTCTTACTTGAGTAAAAAGGGAGAACAGGTATTTAAAAGCATATTTCTAGCCAGGCGCCGTGGCTCACACCTGTAATCCCAGCACTTTGGGAGGCCGAGGCAGGTGTATCACAAGGTCAGGACTTCGAGACCAGCCTGGCCAACATAGCGAAACCCCATCTCTACTAAAAATACAAAAAATTAGCTGGGTGTGGTGGCGGGCACCTGTAATCCCAGCTACTTGGGAGGCTGAGACAGGAGAAGAGCTTGAACCCGGGAGGCGGAGGTTGCAGTGGGCCAAGATCACACCACTGCACTCCAGCCCGGGAGATAGTGAGAGACTCCATCTCAAAAAAAAAAAAAGAAAAGCATATTTCAGGTATGTTCAGGTATGGATAAAGAAAACAACAGAAAGATTAAGGAATAAAAATACATGATGACGTGAGGTCTTTGAATTGTGGTGGTAAGTAGATATAGCATTGAACAGAAGTTTAAGTAAGTATAGAAATCTGACCTTAGGCCCCTTAAAAACCTGACCTTAGGCCCTTCTCATTGACTACTTCTTAACCGTTAGCTATGTGCTGAATAAAAGCTGGAAAACCAGAGAAATTAAAGAGGAAAGAGGGAGGGGAAAACAAAGTGGAAGCTTCACAGAGGCATCCACAGGTCATTCCAAAACCATAGTATTATGCTCACTATTAGCAACAATCTAAATGAAGAAAAGGAGAAGAAAGGAAAAGAAAGGCCACATTGCCGGGGCTTACACAAGTCTAATTCCAAGATTTAAAAAAAAAAAAAAAAAGAAAAGAAAAAGAAAAAAAAGCGCTTATGTTCTGAATAATGGACACTTCTGGTAAGGGAGCCAGAAAAAATTTAAAGACACTTTAAGCATGGCCAGACATGGTGGCTCATGCCTGTAATCCTAGTGCTTTGGGAAGCCAAGGCAAGAGATCCCTTCAAGCCAGGAGTTTGAGATCAACCTGTGCAACACAGTGAGACCCAATCTCTACAAAATAACTTTTAAAATTAGCTGGGCATGGTGGCACACACTTATAGTCACAATTACTTGGGAGGCTGAAGCAGGGTGATCATTTGAGCCCAGGAGTTCGAGGCAGCAGTAAGCCATGATCACTCCACTGCGCTCCAGCTTGGGCAACAGAGCAAGACCCTGTCTGTAAAACAAAACAAAACAAAACAAAAAACAATAAGCAATGGAGGAAATGTTTAGGCAATAATCATGGCGAATACAAAGACATTAAGAAAATGAAGAGGAGATAGAAAAAAAATGTATAAATGAAAAAGGACACTGCTAAGGAATTTAGTAACCCCAAATTCATGAATGGTTATAATCCAATAGAAAAAATATATCCAACTCTACACCATTACTTAGGTCTTAAGCATATTTAAATTATAAATATCAAAACAAGTATCACAGGGCCAGTTCATTTATATACATTGGTTGTAGATCATTTTCAGGTTAAACTACCCCTTTTTAATTTTTGCTATTATTTTAGTATGTTTTTCTTATTCTTTGAGTCCTTTAGAAAGTGCTTTGAGGGCTGTTTACTGGAAAAAGTGAATTCAAATTGCTCTTTGTCAAAATAAACTTTGTAACTTTTCAGTTTTCTAAAGATAATGATCAAATTTGACTTTTTAATGAAATAGTTTCTTAAAATTGAAAGTGCCAAAAAACTTTCAAATATATGGAAAGAGAAAGATGGATGTGATAGGATTTTTTTAACTCTCTTATGTTTAAAGTTATTTATTTCTTTATTAAATCAAACAACTCAGGGGTTTAATTTGGATAGAAATAAAAGTCATACAGTCACCACCACAGCCTTTTAGAAACATGGAATCCTAGGATCAGGGAAGTTAAGGGTCTATTTAAAGTGTCATTTCATATCCTCATGACCTGTGGCAAAGCAGGATTATAAGCTGGTCCTCCTGACCCCTAGTCCGTGGTTCATTCTTCTCTGTGCTAAGTGTTCTCCATGGTCAAGGCTCTCTGAGGGTAGGGATATGAAATTAAACATGAATGAATCTGTCTTCAAGGAGTTTGTATTCTTTTAAGTAATATGTGAAACTTAAGTAAAGTATGATACAAATGTGCTATGTTCAAAGGAAAAAAGACAAAGTGGCTGGAAAAGTGTAGTGAGCAATGCTTGTGTCCCACTGCAAATAGCATTAGCCTTGGATTCAGACTAGATTCTAGATTCAAATCCCCCCTCTGCTATTTATTGGCTATTAGGATTTGAACAAGTCATCTGAACTCTCTGTGCTGATGTTTTCTTACTGTATATAAAATGGAATTGGAGTTGAAAATTATTAATTTTCAGAACTAACAAAAGAGCAGAAATAATAGATGTGAAATTTCTAGTAAAGTACATGTGAGACATTTTTAATACATACTTATAATTCATTGCTATTATTACTATTACTCATAATTGCTTATGGTGGAGAAGCTAAGAGAAGAATTTTATGGAGGAAGTAACATTAAATCTTACTTTCCAAGATGGACATTATTTTGACAGTTGGAAATGAAAGGGAAGATGATCCAATTAGAAGTAATTAGGTAGAACAAAAGCTATAGGACTGGAAAACATGCTTTACATCTAAAGAATAAAAGTTTTCTGTCTCATTCATATCAATGCAGGGAAATAAAAGCTGGAAAGTTTATGTTGGTATTGGACAGCATCTTGAATTCAAACTGCATTGTAAAGGCAACAGCAAATCACTGAAAGTTTTTGAAGTGAAAGCAAGTTAATCCCAGCTATATGTAACATTTTGGGTTAAAAAAAATCTCAATAGCATATATGTTAGATTGATGCAGTTAAATAGTAGAGGTGAAGAAACAAGCTGAAAGCCTGGTGTAGCTCTTTTTTCTCAGCCTTTTCTCTTTTCTTCCCTTTTTTTCCTTAAAAATTCATCTCACAACCATTGGGGTGGGGCAGAGCATGGTAGGACCCACACCAGTGAGAGATGAAAGCAGCAGCAGTGGTCCCACAGACCTTGTCAGAGCCTGAGTCGGATGGAGGAGGCAGTCTCACAGAGTATCAGCCTCGTGTGGCATTTCAGAAGTCAGTTAGATTCAGAAGCTTGTCTTCATGGGGACGGTGGGTGGCACAACCCCATGTGGGAAGTCAGAGCTTGAGCAGGGAGTAGAGTGTCCACATGTGGAGGTGAACTGTTGGGGTTTTGGAGCCCAACTAGGGTGAGTAGAACATCAACACAGTAGGCAATCCACCTTGGGAAATCAGAGCCCAAGTGTGGTGAAAAGGGGACTTGTCAGGGACGCATAGCATGGTGTGAGGTATCAGAATCCAAACAAGATGAAGAGCTTGGGGGTGGGGAGTCAGACTCTGAGGGAGGTTAAGAGGGTGTCCACGCAAGAGGGTGGCCCATACAGCATGTCAGAGCCTTATCAGTCTAGGTGTGTGAACTTCCAGGCAGAGGTTGATCATGTGCCGGTTGCCTGAGTCTGCATGGAGTGAGGAGCACAGCCGCACAGGGAAGGAGGTGACAGCAGAGATGGCAGAGATTACGTGTGTGGCAGGGTGTGGGGGTGCAGGGAGAAAGTTAAAAAACACAGGTGAAACTGTGTGTATAGGGGTGTGTGTGTGTGTGTGTGTGTGTGTGTGTGTGTTCCATACACATAGTCCACTGAGACAGCCTGGGAGCAACAACATACTGATGGAAAATATGCCTAATATCCAGATGTTGGTGTCTAAATACCATTATCCAATAAAAGTACCTGGGGCTCTTTGGATAAATGGCTCATTCCAGGGCTGGAACAAGGAAAGTACAACATGAAACTAGATTATTATTATTATTTGCCAGAAAGCGCTAAAAAAATAATGAGGGCATAGCAAGAGGACACAATTGCCAACCTCAAGGGGGCCCCTCATTGGCTGAACTAGAGGCCTATTACTTGAGAATCAAAATAAAGATGGTGATTGATTATAACACTGAATAAAATAGGAAAGCACAAGTCCTTACTGATATAAATAGAGAAAGATGGATGAGAAACCAGGTATTTACATAGTTTCAAAGTAGCTCCCAAAAACTTAATAATTATAAAAGGGTACAGATTAACCTCACATTGGAAGAGCCTAGCAGATGCTTTGACCAAATGATGAAGGTGAACAGTATCCATGTTGGGAAAGACATTATGGTTTCCCACTAGGATGCAAGAAAAGCACAGCATCACTTTTGTGATATTCCAACCAAAGATGTATATCCTTAATCTAAACATTTAAAATATCAGACAAATCCAAATTGAGGATATTCTACAACATAACTGAGCTATAATTTTCAAAAACGTAAGGCCTTGAAAGTGAAGGGAAGGCTGGACTGCGCAGGCTGAAGGGGACCAAAGAGATATAGCAACTAAATATAACTAATTAGATCATTTAGATACAAAGAACATCATTAGGACAATTGGGAATTTTGAATGGGATCTGAAGTTTAGACAGTAGTTAATTTTCTTAAGTTTGAACGTCATTTTGTGATCTATAGGAAAATGTCCTTGTTTATGGGAAATACTAAAGTATTCTGGATAATGGAGGCATCAGGGCAGTCACTTACTCTTCATGCTTAGTAAAGTGAAAACAAGGGAGTAGTGTATTTGCAAATTTTCTGTAACTTTGTGTGTTTTTCCAACATATAAGTGAATTTTAAAGCTGTTATACTAAAATATGGGGAGCAGATGAGTGATTACATTAAAGAATAAGAAATAAGGATATGGAGGATATGATGGTGGAGTACAAGTTAACATGTCTTGGTGTGTATCTGCTGTGAACAAGGAAGCTGAAGACTTAAATATGATGCTGAACTTCTGTCCTGAGCCAACCACACTAGGAAGATGTGATGTCAGTCACAGAGACAGAAAACACTAGAAACAAAGGCTGAGATTAAAAAAAAAATGATTTATGCCATTTTGGAAAAGCCAAGTGTAGGGTACCAAAAAATAGCTAACATAAATGTAATTGGAAAAACTAGAAATAAAAGTGTGGAGAATGTCTGGAACTAGAGAACTTAGAACTTGGGAGTGGTAAAAACATATGAACAAGATAATATAGAAAGATGAGGAGAGCTCCTTGCAGGATACCCATCTTGAGACAGTAGGAGGAAGAAAGTGAGGTAGGAGAGAAGCTAGAATAGAAGCAACCGGATCGAAAGATGCATAACCAGTGGAGTGCCTTGTCACAACACTGACGAAAGGAAGATATACCAAGAAGGGGCTTATAAACGATAGTTAATATTTTAAGCAGCATGGAAAGCTCAAATAAAATAGGATGAGAAGAGGCAACTGGGTTTGCAAACTGGGATGTCTATGGTTGAGTTTAGAAAAGGGAGCATTCAATTAGAGTGACTGGGCAAAAAGATAGCGAATAGAAGCAAGACTTTAGCATGAACTGGAGCTGAGAAAATAAAGTGGTTGGGGAGACTTTCTTTTCCAGAAATACATTACTGATAAAAAGGAGATTGCTAGGACTTTAATTTAGGAAAGAATTATTAAGCATGGTAGAGACTGGAGCATATTTTATTTATCAGAGGAAACCTACCAATGGAGCAAAAAATATTGAATATATATAAGAAAGAATACATTTCTAGAGGAAGTAGGCAGTGATATAATTGAACAAATGCAGAAACATATCTTTTAAAACAATAGGGAATAATTGAACCTGTGAGGGCAAATGGACAAGTGACACCAACAGAAAAAATTGAGAAGTGTATTAGATTATCCATTTAAACAAATTAAATGAAGTCCTGTGCAGAGAGTACAAGTATCAGATGTGGAACAAGAGACCAGGAAATTTTTAAAAGTTTGAAAATTCTTGAAGAACAATGTGAAAGAATTTAAATCTAAGAACAATTAGCATACATACTGAAATAACATCATTTTGAAAATTTTTCAGCGTGTAAAAATCATTCTAAAAAATTCCTAGTATCGGCTGTATGCCATGACTCGTGCCTGTAATCCCAACACTTTGGGAGGCAGAGGAAGGAGGATTGCTTGAGCCCAGGAGTTCAAGATCAGCCTGGGCAATATAACAAGACCTATTTCTATAAAAACTTAAACTAAAAATTAAAAATGCTTAGTGTAATAGTTTGTTTCCTGCCTTGTATCTCTGGTGGCAGCCAGCACATAAAGAGAATAAAGACCTTGGCTTGACTATTAAACATATGAATTAAATAATCAGCATCATAATGTTTAAAATAAATAGTCATGTGGTTACATATTATGATGCAAGAGAAGAGATATCCTGGGAGTTATGTTCATTGCAGTTGAGACAAATAAAGTCACTGAGAAGATATGCTTCAAGAATGGAGTGGAAGAGTTTATCTCAATTGTACTAGAAATCAAGAAAGGCTTTCCATTTATAAAATAGCCTATTCAAAACCAGAATTGTTCTAAAATATGAAACGGAATTTGGTTAGCTGTATATTTGAAAGCAAAAAGGAGAATACGTCTCAAGGAAGGTGTCTGTGATACATTAAGAACATGGAGCAACACTAGAGAGTCACTTGTACAATGAGACAGGATCATTGTGCAACTTGCATGCTCACTGTCTTTAGGTTCAGTTCTCTCTACTGAAAAAATACTGTTTGAGATTGTTTGATATTGATTTGCTCTATCTATTTTTTTTTTTCTTGAGGCGGAATTTCACTGTTGTTGCCCAGGCTGGAGTTCAATGGCGTGATCTCCGCTCACCACAACCTCCACCTCCTGGGTTCAAGCAATTCTCCTGCCTCGGCCTCTGAAGTAGCTGGGATTACAGGCATGCGCCACCATGCCCTGCTAATTTTGTATTTTTAGTAGAGATGGCGTTTCTCCGGGTTGGTCAGGCTGGTCTTGAACTCCCGACCTCAGGTGCTCCACCCGCTTTGGCCTCCCAAAGTGCTGGGATTACAGGCGTGAGCCACCGCACCTGGCCTATCTTTGTATATGTAATTTATAAAGTGCCCTAATTCATTATACCCTCATGCACGCACACAAGTATTTGTAAATTAGCAGCTAAGAATTTTGTGCCATGATGCCATCAAGAATTTATACTGCGATTATTTGTTTCTTAAGGAAACTATCGTAACAAGTAACATTTTTATGGTTAGATTTAAATGTGCTGAATCATGCAAATATATAAATTATATTAAAATTTACTTAAAGAATCTTTAAAAGTATTTCACTAGAAATATGCTTTATCCATATTAAACTAACAAAAGAGGCATTTCAATTGAATTTTTATTTTATATTATTTAATAATATTTAGCATATTATGTCATTTAAAATTTTCTCAATATGTAAATAGTTATTTGTGGAACCATGTACTTGTTTACATAAAATTATTCTTAAAGTAAAGCAAGCGGGCATTGATAAGAAATCAAGATGCTGAATAATCCTTAGACTAAAACTAAGAAACAAAACCAATGGTATGGGAAATTGCAAGTATTGTAATCTGTTTATGTAAGTAGTTTATATTTTGAAACTACTTTGGTTGTATCTAATTTTCCCATCCTGTGAACTTCTGGATTTTTTAGAACAAACCTTGTTACTTAGCATTTAGTTTTGGCAGAAGTTTGTATGTTAGTCAAATCTATTTCTTAAAAAACCTGACATTTCCATAGATAAAAGCTATGAAATCTGATAGAATGGAAAAATTTCTAATATAGGTAAATTTATTTGAACATAGTATTTATGGTGAAAGAGGTTTTTTTTAATTTAATAATGTTTCTTGTCTATTCATGAGCCATTTTTTGATTTCTGATTTCATTTGGATATCAATATTTCTATAGCAAATATTTATTTTATGTCCATAGTATACCAGACAGTGTTGTAGGCCCTGGGGATAGAAAAGTGAATAGAGTAAAGCCTTTGCTTTTATGGAACTTAAATTCTAGTTGAAGGAAATAGACCAAACACAAACAAATAAGTACAGTCATTCCTTAGTATCCAAGGAGGACTGGTCCCGGGACCCCGAGGATACCAAAATCAGTTATGCTCAAGTCCCTGATATGAAAAGGCATAGTGTTTGCCTGTAACCTATGTACATCCTTCTGTATACTTAATCTCTAGATTACTTATAATACCAAATACAGTGTAAGTCTGTGGTTGTTTGACTCTTCGGATGCAGAACCCATGAATGCAGAGGGCTGACTGTATGTGGCATGGCAAATGGTGATAAATCCTTTGAAGAAAAATAAAGGGTCTGGGGATAGGAAATACTGGAAGAATGTGTCTAGGGCATTACTACTTTATATACAGTTATCAGAGAAAGTCTCGCTGGTGAGGTAATGTTTCAGCAGAAACCTGAAGGGAATGAGGGCATCACCCATGTAGGGCAGGAGCATTAGAGGCAGAGGGAACATATGCGGAACCTTGAGGAGAATTTTTCCTTATCTGCTCAGAGAAGGTGGGTCAAATCCAGGGGATGAGCTAGAATGTTCTAAATCAGCTCTTCTCAAAGTTAAGCTTAAGTCAGAATCACTTGGGGGCTTGTTAAGCAGATTGCTGGGCCTCAACTCCACAGTTTCTAAATCACTGGGCCTGGAAAGAGGCCCAAGAATTTGCATTTCTAATGAGTTTACCCCTGACACTGCTGGTCAGGTCAACAACTGGTCTAAGCAAGTCCCATTCACCCTCTGCCAGTGATTGGTTTAGCGTCGTAGATGTAATCCTATCTTGGCATGAGAGATCTAAGGCTACATCTTCTTAGAACGTAGGACTTCAAAGAAATGTTTTCCTTCCTGATTTATAAACAGAGAGGTGGGAAGGACAACCCCCAACTCATCCCTTTTACCTAGGGGCATTGTTTTATCAGGATATGGTGTTCAGAAAGTTGAGCCATATTGTCTAAACAAATTAGCCAACTCAGAGCCCTAACAACCATGAGGTTCTCAGATATCCATTGCTGGACTTCCTTAATTTTAGATATCTGTATTTGAAAAAAAAAAAGTCATTATGGAAATCACTACTAGTAGGTAATCTGTTATTTGCAGCATATAGTGTTTGAACTGATATTAAGTTTTTATTTTCCCTTAGGAATTTTAGTAAAAATAGTGGCTAGTTTCCAATATGTAGTGTAAAGGTTCAGGTATTTCACAAATGATTGCAAGAAAGCACTTAAAGTTCATGTAACCTAATCATTACCATGATATTTTTAAAATAGTGAATCTCTTTCTTGGTGTCAGTCTAAAATACCAGAAAACACTTTGACTGCCTTGCCATAGGTACTTTGGTGGAACTTATCTTCACTGGCACCAGATATAGCTGGAAATCAGTAACAGACAGTATCCCTAGAAGCCATGGAAAGAAAAAAATTCCAAAAGCTAAGGTATACATGTGGGCATTCATTTTTCATTTGTTTGATAAACCTAAAGTTGATGTATAATTACTAAAGATTCATATAGTCTGGAGTTTACCTCTTCATTTTGTATGTTTATATCCTGGGAATGTCTAAGTCAGATTATTATTTACTCAGAATATTACTTATGGTAAGCAATGATGATATAAGTCCTTCCTCACTCCCTCTAAAAATCTTTGACTTCAGTGCTAGCTTGCACTTTAAACATGTATTCCAATATTAAGAAACAATCACTTGTTACAAAAGAGTAGAAGTACATGCAAGATTTTATCCAAAATCCAAATGCATAAGACATACCAGCACTGATCATGTTTTGTCTAATTTCTCCATTCTTCTTTCTTTTGTGGTCTATTCACTAATTACTTGATGAAGAATTTGTTTTTTTAAAAGCATTTTCTTCATAATCTTAATTTTGTCTGATGCTGCCTTTGTCAAATCTTTCATTGGTGCCCTTTTCTCTGTGCAGATGGATGAAATGCTTTTGTAAGTGACAGACATTCAAAAATAACAAACATGAGAAGAAAAAGAACAGTTTATCTGTCAAGAAGTTACAGTAAAACTGTGGAAGCTCCATTTGGTTGTACTCCATGCGTTTAGAAACTTTTTGACTGAATTCATTTCCATTAGAGTCACCACTGGTGAACTTGAACAACTCCACAATCTCCACTCTTAAATTGCACTCTTGTGTTTCATCCCTCACAGAATTTACAAAAGTGGAGGGTGGTTTAAAAGCAAGGGTTTAAAAAAATCTATATTTAAATGGGCTTCAGGGCCTGAAATCCTAGTCTTAATTTCTTAAATTGTACTAAGATGTTTTATTTTTAGTCTGCTGCACGTTGAAGGAAATAGGAAAACATTAGCAATAAATTTTCAGATACTTTTTTACCACTTTTTTTTAAAGGGATGGAAGTTAGGATCAACTGTGGTAGATTCGCCTAGCCATTCAGAAACTTTGGGCAGGGATGTGGCTTTTCTTGGTCCCTAGGATGGAATTAGCCTGGGGAAAGCTGCTAGCCCTTCTGAAAACTTGTAATCAGTGAGCAGAATTTTGTAGTTTTTCCTCTGAGTGCCTGAGCACTCTTGCTGATAATCACACTCTTTTCTCCTGCAAGGGAGCAAGTGTGTATCATTCTTCCTGCCTGTTGGATCTATGCACAAGTTGTCAAAAATTAATCTGATTTAAGGTTTTTCTTTTCCTGAACTCAGAAGGGAGGAAATTACAGAAAAGTATATTAGTAATAGAGTAATAGACTATAGCCTGAGGGAAATGAAAGCATATCTAAGCGAAGCCAAGCCAGGAACAAGTACAATTTTAATGAAAAATCAATGTTTCATGACTTAGAACTGACTTTTGTTAGGCACTAATATTTCCTGCTTTTCTGTCAACATCCTTATCATTATAAATTCTTTTTTGTTTCAATATAAAGGTACTAAAAAATTAACAGCTAATAGATTATTTTCAACCTGTTTGCAAGGCTAAAGTCTCTCTTTGCCTTTGAAAAACTGGAGTAGAATAAAAATGTTATATTACCACAATGGATTTAAAGGCTAACGAGTGGTCAAATTGTTAATTATTCAGAAATTTCTTATTGAAATGAAGAACTGTCTGGATGGACTGGACTGTAAAGTTCATGAGGGTATGGGTATCAACCTCCTTATAATTGTGTGTGCCTGATATTTAAAAGATATGTATTAATCTCTTTGGAATGGCTGAATTAATTAATATTGTTATTCAGAATATTATTTAGTACAATAATTCATAATTATTCTTTTCAATGCCCTGAAGATGTATCAGTGTTTTTTCCTGCCATATTTTAATTTTATTGACATAATTTAGAAACAATGTGGAGTGGTCATTTTTCTTTTAATCTAATACAGAAAAAGATAAAATGTTTATGAATAGAAGTTCTGCCTTTGCTTTTGCTCCTGTCCCCACATACCCTCTTAGAATGGACAAAATACAGGAAGAAAACTTTTACCTGAGTTCTTAATTTTATTACATCTTACATTAATTTTCACCTTTTTGTGAGAAAAATAGGTTTAAAAAGTAGTTGATTTTTTAACCTTGCCTCCACCTACTAGATGGAGAGTATTGTCATTACTGTAAATAGAGGAAAGAAATGATATAGAAGCCCATGACTTCAAGAAGTTTATGGTCCAACTCATGACACATAAACAGATCTGAAAAAAGTAAAGTCTAGGTAAAATACCTCAAAAATGTGTGTGTGTAATATAAGTATGTATACTATACGTAAGTATTCTACTAAAGAGATAGGAAGTTTTCAAGAACAGCGATGATGACTTGTGGAAAATTTCTGAGAAGTCATTAATTCTCATCTACATCTTAAGAAGTCAGCTGAACTTTCAACTGGGACTGGGTGTAAGCAGAGGCAGAAAAGTTGTAACAGACAGGCTATATGAGGATTTTCCCCAACAAATTTATTCATTTATTCAACAAAAAATTTTAAACACTCCCTGTGTACCAGGCATGATTCTAGATGACAGCATTAAAATGGTAAACAAGACATATCACTTCAAGGAGCTTATATTTCAGATGGGGAAACCAACTATATGTATACTATATATATATACACACACACATATATACAAATTAAGTAATCAAGATAGTTTTGAAGTTTTGATACATAATTCAGTGAAGAAAAAAAGAGCAGTATAATGTGATTTTGAGTGAGTTTCCTGAGTAAAACTAATTTTGAAAGGATTTCGGATAAATCCTCACTGAGTTGATGTTTCAGCTGAGACTTAAATGGAAAAAAAAAAATTAGCCTGTCTTATAAGTTGCCAGAAGAGCTTACCAAGGAGAAGGAACAGCAGATGCAAAGGCCTTGATGTTGGAACAAACTTTAGATATTCAAGGAATAGAAAGGATCATGAAGGCCTGGTAAACCATGGTAGAGAATTTGTGTTTTAAGTGTGAAGGAGAGCCACTGGAGCATATAAACAGGGAATCATGATTTGATCTGTGCTTTTAAGGATCACTCTGGATACTCCATGGAGAAGAGATTGTAAGCTCCTCAGAGTGTGTTTAGAGCACATACTGCTACAATGGTGGCTAAGACTAAGGGAGTGGAAGTGGCATGAGAGAGAAATGGGTGTATTTAATACTTTTAGATACAGATATATAGTACTTGTTGATAGATTAAATGTAATGTAGGAAGGAAAATAAAATGAAGAATGATAGGTTTTTGGCATGTGCGACTAAGTGGATGAGTTTGCTATTTCATTTGGTTTTGTGACATTGTGCAAAAAATAAGCTCTTTGAAATCTAAGTAAGTTGAAATCTATGACTTCTTTCCCAGATAGGATGAGGATTGAAAATGTTGGATTTGATATAGTAGAAAAATATGTTGTTATTAGAAAATAGAATTATCAAATTTTCCAGTTTGAGTTACTTAGCATTATATATTCCAAATATTTTCCTAGTTTCTTTTGTAGGCATTTTAGGGATTTCAAAAGCATTTGCCCTACTTTTGTAATAAACTATTTTTAAAATTAAAAAACAGTGCTTAAATACACAAATGTGTCATATACAGAATACTAAAAAATATGGTCCCTTAAATTTTGCCATAAAGTTTCTTTATTCCTGAACAGATGTAAAAAAAAAGTTTTCTTCTAATTCTTTTATATGTATAACTTGAAATTGCAATGTTAGTTACTGAGATGATAGTGTGTAATAACATTCAGATTCTATATATTGATAACATGCAAACAAATAGTACATTAAATAGTTTCTATAATATCACATCTATCTTTCTCTTTTTTTTTTGCCCCTTCAAGCAACAAAATGCATTATTTTTAACCCTATGCAACCATCTTTCTTAACCTTTGGTTTCAAATTTAGAACACTTCTTTTCACTGATTGGCTTTATAGTATGATATTGGTCATAAGTGAATTTAAACTTATAAAGTTATTAATAAAATAGTTATACTCCATTTCATATTTCTTTTTCAAAATGATTTCATACTAAAAAGTTTGGAATCCTTGACCTAAGTCAATGCCCTCTTCCTATGGATGAGAAGACTGATGTTTATTGATGATTTGATTTTCTGAGGCAGTACAGACAGTTGAAAGTGTGGGAACAGAAATCAATTCCCTCTACTTTTTTCAATGCACCACATTTATTTCACACTGTCCATGTAGAATCATCAGTTAAAATGATCATATATGTTCAATCCCTATTTTCATATCAACAAGAATAATATGAGTATATAATTACCAGAGGTCTATCGTAATAATTTCTCTAATGTGTTTAAAGAACAAGCCAGAGATTTTTATTTGATAGAGTATACTGATAGCATCAAACTGAGGATGCCATTTGTTTATTAGGGAGAATTTTATAATTTAGAGTTTTTTTCAAATAATATCAACAGTAAAGTCTAAATTACTTATTGCCTTTAATTCTAGGAATGTCGCATTAAGTGACTAATGAAACGGAAATAACTACTGCCCATGTAACTTCATAAATGCCCTTCATAGACATTTATGTCAGAGCAAAGATGGCAAAATACTTGATAATGACATTATCTCCCCCTCACAACCTTTATTTTAATGCTGTCAATCAAAACTGAGCCAGTTAACATTTCTAGAGAATAATATTTTATCAAATAGATAAGTTATTTGTAATCATGATAATTCTTGGTTGGGGCCTCTGTGATAGGCTGAATAATGTCCCCCCACAAAGATGTCTACATCTAATCCCCAGATGCTGTAAAGATGTTAATTTCCTTGGAAAAAGAGAATTTGCAGTTGTGATTAAGTTAAGGATCTTGAGATGGAAAAGTTATTCTGCATTTTCCAGGTAGATCGAGTGTAATCACAAGAGTGCTGATACATGTGAGGTAGCAGAATCAAAGGCAGAGAAGGGATGTGATGACAGAAGCAAAAGTGGGAATGGCCTGCTTTGAAGAAGACTGGGGCCATGAGCCAAGGAATTCAGGCAGCCTCTAGAAACTGGAAAAATCAAGAAAACAGATTATCTCCCTTGAGTCTGTAGAAAAAGAAAGCCCTGCCAACACCTTGATTTTAGTCCCATAAGACTCATTTATGACTTCTGATCTCTCAAATATATAAAATATAAATTTGTGTTGTTTTAACCCACAAATTTGCTATAACTTGTTATAGCACTTATACCTAATGAATACAAATTCTGGCACCTGCAAGTGTGGTCTTACTGTAATTGATATCTAAAAACATGAAAATGACTTTGGAATCGGACAGTGGGCAGAAGCTTGGAAGAATTTTGAGGCATATGATACGCGGCCTAGGTTGCCTTCAACAGACTGTTAGAAATACGAATGTTAAAGTGTGTGTGGCAAAGGTGCAGAAGAAAATAAAGGACATATTGGAAACTGGAGGAGAGGGGTTTCTTCTTAGGTGGCAGAAATTTAGCTGAATTGTGCAGTTCTGGGGAAAGCCAAATTTATAAGTTATCAATTTGGATATGAGGTAAGGTGATTTCCAAGCAATGTTGAAGGTGTAGCCTTTCCAGACACACACACAAATGTATATTATATATACACACTTTTATAAAACTATATATATAGCTATATATACACAGACAACACACAAATGTGTATTACATATATATACACTTTTATAAAACTATAGATATATAAAACTGTATATCTACACATACACAGTCACACATATACACACATATATATACATATATAATATATAATTTGTTGATATTATCATCTATATGTAGTGGCAGTTCAAACTTCACTTTGATTATGAAGTAGCAAATGCTACAGAAAAGTCTTAAGTATTTTTATACTTAGCAATTAAAAACAGACCTTTATATTGAATCTCTACATGAAAAGGATTACATTAGTTTTATTGCAGTATTATGGTAATATGATTTCTGCCTCTTTTTTCTATATTTATCCAATTGCAGGGAAAAAGTATTAAAATCCAGTTTGGCCTCATTGAAGCACATTTGCAGAGTGTTATAGAGCATTGGTTTATGACTATTGCCCTATTATAGACAAACAAAGTATTCTTTATCCTTTATCAGTGTAGTGACTGAAATTATGAATTCCATTCAGTTTTTAATGAAATGTGGATTACTTCAAAGATTATCTATCTGATTTAATAAATGCATTAGAGTAGAAAGTTAATTGGATCTTTCTTGAATGAATGGTGACCACTATGTGTGATTCATAGGAGGGAAAGATAGAATATGATATTCTTTGAGTTTGTTTTATGTGTTTAAAACTTTTAGGTTAGAAAATCAATTTTTGTGTGATCGGTTTTCTCAAATAAATTATGTAACCCCTATTGATCTTACAAAAATCATGGAGAAATTTTAATTCATTTTAAAATAAAAATATCTTAAATTTTGTAAAAATGGGTTATTAAAAAATGCCATATACTGAAACACATGTGTAGTTTATTGTGTTTTTAGTTTGCAGGCAGAGAAAATGAATTTTACCCCAAACATCAGCATAGTTCTAGATTTGCCACCTCCTGTTTTTGACACAGATCTCAACTGAGCTTCTAATTTTGGAATCTTGTTCCAGTTCTTATATTTCCTATTCTGTATTCAAGAGCTCATTCTGTATTAACTGGTAAAGAGGTTATCATTTCTGCTTGGTTTATGTAGACACTCTATATTCTTCATTGTTTAACAAAATATAGAAATTCAGGTGCTTGCAAATATGATGGTAGAGGTGACAAAGTGATACTCATCACATTTTGTATATCGTTAGTAGTGGCAGGAAGAGCCTTACAGTATGAGTATTACTAACCCTTACGTACAAATACAGATTATCTTTTCGTTAACAATGTTACTCTTTCTGAGAGATGTTCATGTGAGAGATGTTCCATATTTTCAATTCAAACAATCTTGTAATTGCTGGCTGCTGCTGTTGTTCACAGCACTTGGCTTTGCATCTGTGCCTCTTACAATTCCAGTCTTGCCCTTTGTTTGAGGAAACTTCCTGGTTCTTGTATACCTCCTGCTTTCTTGATCTATTTGCTGCTGTTTCCCAGGTGAAAACCCAACTGGGCTATGCATCTGAGGTAGGGATGGTTTCACTGTCCTAGCACATCTTTCCTCTATTCACCCTGATCACCATCATCTTGGTTTTGACTCTTATTTAAAAAAAATAAAATAAATAAAACTGCTTTGTATTATGCAGCTATTATTTTTCTGACAAGTTCAGCCACTGTGGAGACAGTTTGAAGTAAATGTGGCTCATTGTTGGTGGTCTAAGAATGTCTAAAGACTAGAGCAAATAAGAAAATGTTAATAGAGAGAAGGAAAACAGAGGATAAAAATTGAAGTTCCTAAGAAGTATGTAGCTAAAATTTCGCCTTATCTAATTCAGGCATTTTCTCTTGGCTTTCCCAGCACAGTACTTCTTAGCGATGATAACAACAGCAACCACTTTATTAATTTGCTTTTTTTAAATTTAGAATTCACATCATCATGGTAACAACAACCATCCCTTGAATATGTCTTTGTTAGTTGCTTAATTTGCTACACCTAACTCTTCCACCAGGCGCTAAATATTGGGACTATTGGCCATCCATTCAGAAAGTATTATGTGCTTCCTGTCTGTAATGCACTAAATCAGACATTGTGCTCCAAAGAAGAGGGTTGTAGGAGGGAAGGCATCACACCTGTATGCAGTTACTATGCAGAGCAGGCTTGGGATAAAAATAGACATTGGCCACATCTGTGTTAAATCATGAGCTGTGACCCTTCTCATGACAGTTCCCCAGCTCTGCTAAGACACGTTCTTTGGAAGAAGTTGCTTCACTTTTCATTTGGGTAGAATATTTACAGTCCAAGTAATAGATTTCCTATAATTTAGAATTTACTAATACTTCCTTTAAACAAGTATATGATTATCCAAAATGTATATAGGCTTTTTTGATTCCAGTTTTATAAAACAAATCACTAATCCAATGTTGTGTTTTAAATAGAAACTTTGCTGTATGTAATTTCAGTTGGCATTCGTTATATATTTACTTAATGTGGGCATTTCTTTTCAGACTTATTTATGAACATAGACCCTATCTGTATTTCTACGTCTACCTGAGTATAGAAAAATACACTGTTTTTTAAATTGTTATCCTAAAATAGTGGTCTGAAGCTTGCATTTTTGAACTTAAAATAGTGTCTTGGACTTATTTTCAAGTAAGAAAATATAAGTATTCCATAGCATGAGTATATGTTTAATCCTTCCTATACTGATGACCATTTAGTTTATTCAGATTTCTTGGGATTACATGCAATGATGCAATTAACATCCTTGGTTAAGATCTTTACATTCTCTGTTATAGGATAAATTCCTAGAAGCAATATTGTCAGGTCATATAATATGTATACATTTTAAATAATTACAGCCAAATCACCCTCAGAATAATTATACAAATTTACATTCCAAACAATATGTTAGAATACCTATTTCTCCATATCCTTATCACTACTAATTAGTGCCAGTCTTTAAAAGTTTCGCTTATGTGATGGGCAGATATGGTTAACATTTTGTGATGTTTCATCATAACATGATTCAGTTAATGATAACACTGCTTGTTGTAAAATTGTTGCATGAAGAATGAAGAGACAGTTGTAAAATTGTTGCATGAAGAATGAAGAGACAAACGCAGTTAACTGTTCAACTTGTGTGGTGCATTTTGTTGCACTTTGAAAAATGAAAAAAATCAAACATTTAAAGTTTTTTTATTGATGGCTGCTCCTTAAGAAAAGCCTGGAAATACTTTAGTTTGCTTTGGAATGTCTTTAAGTGCATAGTGGTCCTGTCGCATTTCCTGAGCTGCAGTAGATTCTAAATCATCTTGATTTAAGATAGGCTTTTTTGTAATCACTGACAGTCTCTGATTTCAGAATTCTGCAGACATTGTCATTGAGTGGAGCAGTATCTCTAGAAGTTATAAGAACTGTACTTTTTGCTCTTAATAAAAAGTAAAGTGTGTCAAAATAATCAAAGTGGAAGAAAGCATATGTAACAGCCATACAAATAAATTGAGATTCATTAGATAAGCTAGTTGGTAGAGGCAAATGTGAAGAATATTTTTAAATTCACTACTAAGATAATTTTTTTAAAAAATGTTAACTTAAAGTTGCTATTTTTAAAATTTGCATAATGCTTTGAAGAATGACAGTAAGACAAATGTCATCACAATCATAAAAAATGTGTATAAAGTACATTAGTATTTTAAATTTCTCCTAGAAAAAAAAATTGCTGCATCTCTTCCAAGATATATAACCAAGTTAGAAAAAAAAGTTAGATAAATATGCGTATTACCAGTTAAGTTCAGTTTGACTTCTGCTTACCAGATGTTTTGATAGAAGTCTTTTTCAGTGTTCACTATGATGCCTGTTTCTCACATTGCTGTGAAACATCTAAGCTATATATACTGTTTTTTGATAAATAACATATGGTTTTGAAAATCAGTGTTAAAACCACATGAAAATTTTTAAAGTGAAAAATTCAGTTTTACTCTCAATATAATAATTGTTTTAAAAATCTTTAAAAAATAATGTTAAATTTCACCATGATATGTACAGCTGTCTAAGGAGTCTATTACAGGGACAAATAGAAGAATGTTATACATTGCTCAACTCAGGATTACTTCCTTTTTTTTAGTTTTAGAAGAATTCAGTTTTAGATTTAACCAAATAACCAGTAATGTATACATCTCCCTGATCTGTTGTCATGAGCACAAAATTTATTTACTGACATGATGCTAAGAGGTTTTCTGCAGATACTCCAAATCTGACTGGGTTTTGCTCCATTTTTCTTTCACTAATCAAGACTTCAGTGAAATAAATACATAGTAAAATTCTAATAATGCTAGACTTATTTCCCAAATGTCTTGATGTTAAGTGAATAATAAACTCCAGATCTGATTTTGTAAATATTATTTTAAGATATGCATTCTTAAATCTTGATAGGCAGATGTTCTAGGAGGCTCCAAGAGAGCTCAATTGGGTAACTCTCTCAGAGGACTGACTTGCTCCATATTTGCATCATACTTTTGTGTGGTTTCATTCACAGGCACAGTTGCCCATCGTGCAGGATATCATTAAATGACCTAAATTAACTTTTCTGCAGGAAGTGGAGGAATCTCAGGATAGGAGAATCCAGTTTTAAATACCCCTGAGACTTAAATTGATTCAGTCTTAATCTGGGATGACTCAAATGACTTAGTATATAATGTCTCTTGTTTCTCTAAAAGAGAGTCTCTCAATGACAGAGGCCTAAGTCTGGAGATCAAGTATGTAGTCCTGTTGACTGAGAACAGGCAGAAAAATCTGATTAATCCAAAGGAAAAAGGCGAGGGAGGTGGCAGCACAGTGAACAGATTTGCACCCAAGCACAACTAAAAGAATGAGTTAGGGAGGGCGGGGAGCGGCGGCTTGTGGCTGTAATCCCAGTACTTTGGGAGGCCAAGGCAGGCAAATCACCTGAGGTCAGGAGTTCAAGAGCATTCTGGCCAACGTGGTGAAACCCTATCTGTACTAAAGATACAAAAATTAGCTGGGCATGGTGGTGCATGCCAGTAATCCCAGCTACTCCAGAGACTGAGGCAGGAAAATCAATTCAACCCGGGAGGCAGAGGTTGCAGCCGAGATCGCACCATTGCACTCCAGCCTGGGTAACAAGAGCGAAGCTCCATCTTAAAAAAAAAAAAGGAGGGAGGAGACGGAAAGAAATCAGTTCGTTTATTTTCAAAATGATCAAGGATGAATGGTAGGTTCCTTTACAATTTTTGATGTATCTATTTTTTTACCAACTCTTTATTTTCTTTATTTATTTCAGTATTTTAGTTTATTAAGTACTTGCAGTGTTATTAAACATAGACTGAAGAATGGAAATATGAGTAAGATATGTGTATTAATTTTAGGACACTCACATCGTAGTACTTGTCCATGTTCCTTTTTTTGCCTTTTTCCATTGATGAAGGTTATCTTCTCTCTTGCTCATGGCTAATAATTATCACTTTTTCTCTTAACAAATTATTTTATTGTTGTTATCATTTCTTACCTACAAAGTTACTATTCTCTGTACAACTCTGTTGCTAGCAACCATCTTACAATTTGGTTATCCATAAGACCAAATTTTGTCTCTAAAACATCTCCTGGGTGTAGCTGCTCCCATGAAGACAATATAGCTACAATGGAGTATGAATCCATATAAAACTCAGTAGTCTTATTGGGCTCATTCTCTCACAGCCCTGGGAGAAGCCTTGGTTGCCTGTGTCTCTTTCTCATATTTTGAGGCATGCTTATGGAACAGAGGTTTCCCAACCCTATTCAGACCCCAAATATAACAACTGTTTGTAAGACCCTCTGTACTATGAAAAAGAAAAATCCATTCCATTCCATTTACCAACATACGTAATTTCAAAAGATAACCAAAGTTACCTAACTTTAATATTAAAAAGAGCTAAAGGAACTAAAACATATGCTTATTGCCTAAACTGTTGAACACAACCACATTAGAAGACAGAAAGAATACTCTGATGTTTGCCACTATTCTGAGAATCACCAAATGCAACTACTAATTATGCAGACTGTCCTGTAGATCTCAGGATGTCTATCAGCCCTGCCCTTTCCCACTAAATATTATAGAGTCTTAATCTAACTGGGAGACCCAAGTGTCCCTACACATTTCCTAGATGCCTCCAGAAGGCACTATCTGCTATACTGAGAACCATTGCTATAGAACTTTACCTTCAATATCACTTCTTATTTGTAATGTCTGTCCCTGGTGGCTCTGTAGAAGATTTTGCTCTCAATCTTCCATGAGCAAATAGAAACTTGGAATTTTTTTTTCTGTTTCCTAAAATAGAATACAGATATGTCCACACTTGGAAATATGATATATTTTTATGAGTATATCTTCAAGTGGCAGATCATAAGGTGAAATCCCAACTTGCCTTATATTGTATCATTACCATGTTGTCGTTTTGTGTCCAGATGACATTGGCAGTAAGCAGCGAAGGATTCAGTAATGTTTTGATAAAAAGAGCATTAATGTAATTATTTATTTATTTATTTATTTTGAGACAGAGTTTCACTCTTGTCACCCAGGCTGGAGTGCAGTGGCACAATCTCAGCTCACTGCAACCTCTGCCTCCCAGTTTCAAGCGATTCTCCCACCTCAGCCTCCCAAGTAGCTGAGATTACAGGCACTTGCTACAACGCCTGGATAATTTTGTATTTTTTGTAGAGCCGGGATTTCAACATGTTGGCCAGGCTGGTCTTGAACTCCTGACCTCAAGTGATCTGCCCGCCTCGGCCTCTCAAAGGGCTGCCAGGCTTGAGCCACCGTGCCCAGCCAATGTAATTGTTTTTAATCTGCATCATCTTTTGAATAAAAAGACATTTTAAATATCAGAAAATGACCACTGTCTAAATTTTCTTTAACCAGCATAAATGGATGTAAACTAAGTAGTTTGCAAATTTTCATGTCTGTTTCACTTTTATCTTTCTCCTTGGTAATATGTTTTCTGACATTGCTGTGAAACATTTCATATTACTTAAAATGTGTATCTTTAACAGATTTTTCACTTTTCAGTTTAAACATTTCACACAATCCACACGTATTTATTAAGGACTTATATACTTGACATAACACCAATTGATGTTTCAGTCATCAAATCTTGAACACCTACTTCTGATTGTCTAACCCTTCTTTTTCAAATTAACAACAAAACAAACCAAAACAACTGTCTCATACAACTACTCCATTCTCCAAAGAGAAGTTGTAAATTATAAAACTTTAACAGTCTTATTTTTTCTTTGATGGCCTACTTAATAAATCTAAAGGGACTATAGGTTTACAACCTTGGAGTGTTGCTTTTGATTTTTTTCCCCCTGTATCAGTCCCTAAACCAAAACATTTACAGTACTGTGTATATTTAATAATTTTGTACTGACTGCATGAAGATATAAATGTGTGAATGAATACAGCTTGTTAAACATGCAAGTATATTTCTTCAAAGAAGAGTTTACGGATTCTTTTTCCTTAGCAAAGGGAAGTTGTATTAAACATTGTGGTGGTTGAAATGCTGCTAATCAAAAATTGGTCATCGATTTGAATACATCTTATAGCTTTTCTATCATGTTGTTGGTTTATTTCTGAAAACACAAGGGAGAAGTTGATTGGGCTGCCTTAGCTGCCTTTTTCTATGGTGACAGGTGTTTAGACTTTAATCCCTCTAACTGTGCACATAGATGTTTCTGGTGAAAAGAATGTACTGCCCTTTGTATAAAAAACATAATAATGATAATAATGTAAGTTTGAGAACGGTTTAGTCTACACAGTTATTGACAAGAGGTACAGCTTGTACTGGAGGACCAGTCTGGATTCAAGAAGATGGTCCTAAGTGTACCGAAGTATATCTTTTCGTATGAAGATATAAAGAATAGAAATATGAGTGGTATTTGAGGTGTCCGCATCCTCTTTGGCACTCAGAGGACTCTAATCAAACCCAATGTTGTGTACTGAACTATTCCTGACTTGTGAAATTCATCTTTTATCCCCTACTTTAACTTTTTTTTTTTGAGACAAGGTCTCATTCTGTTACCCAGGCTAGAGTGTTATAGCTAACTACAGCTTCCACCTGGGCCCAAGAAATACTCCCCCCTCAGTCTCTCAGGTAGCTGGAACCACAGACACAAGCCATCACACTCAGCTAATTAAACAATTTTATTTTTTGTAGAAACTAGATCTCTCTACGTAGCCCAGGCTGATCTCAAACTCCTGGGCTCAAGCAATCCTCTCACCCTGGCCTCTCAAAGTGCTGGGATCACAGGCATGCACCACTGTGCTCAGCTACCCCAATTTTACCTTTTAAACACAAAAGCTTTCATTAAATGTAAAGCCACCATTTCCTTTGACTTTCAAATCCATGTATCAGTAAAATAAAACAAAAATTTATTTGAATGCAATAATAGCAGACATATGCTGTTCTAAAATCCTCAGAAATCTGGCAGTGGAAACTGTGAAGATAGTTATGATCTCATGAAGTTTGAATATAGTCCTAAACTCTTTGGAATGAGAGATTTGTCAGCTGGATTTTCATGCTCTAAATCTGACTTCAATAACTTTCACTTTCTGCCAAGATGTATCCATTATACCTCAGTATCTCCTGATATTCTCCAATAAAATCCACTGTCAAATTAAAAGCTTAGTTCTGTCGTTTGTGCCAGGCCCCAAGTGCTACCCTTATATTCCAAAATCAGTAGCGCTTTTTCCAAGTTATTACTCAGGGAGTATAACCAACTAGAAAAAAATTTAGAAATACTAGAAGCATGTTCTCCTAGATTTCCTACATCTATCCCTACCAACTTCCCAAAGAGCCCTGTAGTATCTTCACCTACCTTCCTATCAGCTATTCAGACATAAAAACAGCTGCTTTCTTCCTGGGAAGATCACGTAATTTAGAACTGGCTTGGGGTGTACCTCTGGGTTACCAAAAATGATTTTTTAAAAATATCTGTCATTCAAGAAAATAAGATCTGGGGTCAGGTCCAGGCAATATTGTCCTGAGGGTGCTTTTCTTCTTCTCGTGGCTGATATTCCCGCAGTGACATATGATATAATATGCACTAAGCTGATACTGCTTCAGTAACCATGTCTGTGTCTGTGACAGGTGCTACTGACTCCTTTCTTCATGTTATTGATCTAAAATATTTTTTAAAATGTAGAATCTACAAAACCCTGGAGGCCTTTCATCCTTGGAAGCTGGAATTATTGCATCTTTTCATCCTTCTTAAAGAGGGGAATGTTTTCACCCTTACAGTTAAGTTGACAGTTCATATGCGATGTTTACTTGACTTTTTATATCTGGTTACAATAAATGTATAGGCTGTTAACACATAATAAATAATGACTCATATATTTGATTTAAAATTTCCTGGATTATCTATAATCAGAATTTAGAATTTCTCTCCTAGAAGTGTGGCGAGCTGAAGCTATTAGAGCTGTGGCCTTTACAATCCTTTAACGGAATAACCCATCTCCTGTTGCTGATCTGAACCGCATAACTGGCTAAACTAGTGCAGGCAGCATGATTCTTCACACACAACCAGATGCCAGAAAGAAGAAAACCACAAAGGGGCTGAAAAACACAGCATAGAGCCCAGAAGCAAGAGGGTAAGGTGGGGCAGAAACCAACCAGCAGTGATTGGAAGGGAAGATTAAGTCAGGAGGCAGGGCTCAAAGGGCATCTGAAGGTGAGAGGCAGCAGCCCGAGGATGCCTCAGGAGTCTGCGTTGTACAAGAAGCTGGACATTAGAGATAGGTCGCAGGTCAAAATCAGATAGAATTTTGCGATCAGAGCAGACACAGCAAACCAGAAGCACTTGAACTGTTCAAATAGCACCTTCTTTCCACAGCAAGTCCTTGCTGTTGTGACTGCGAATACACTGGTCCACTGAAGCCTGTGACACTTGCAATTTGGGAGCTTATCACAGCCGGAGGACCCTGACACAGGGTGAGGGTGCAGGAAAGACAGGACATGAGATTGAGGATGCTGACTCAGACAGGTCACTGGACCGTTCCAGTGTTTTTCTTACAGGGAAAGAGTGTAGGAGGCAGTGCATCTCTTTGTCTTTGTCACTTAACTTTTGGTGTTCTTTAAACTGTTCTAAATTAGTTCAAGATCTACAAATTGAAGGCTAAAGAAGGGAGGATAAATAAAGCCCAGCCCAAGCAGTTTTGATTGTAGAAACATTTGGAAGTATTTGGGTTGTTAGGGGAAAGGAGCATAGCTGATTTTTTTTAAATTGATTTGGAGTTTGGTTATTTGTCATTTACTCATTAGTTACTTTCCTCCCCAACAATAACAACAAAAGATAATTACCATAGTCTGTTCTTACATGAAACACTGAGAAATTTTATGTAGACATTGAAATTACTTCATCAGTTTCTTCTGTGAATGATTCATTTCACATTTCCCAGTCTTATGTAAATTACTCTGCAGCATTTATATAGCATTAGTGTCATGCAATTTGTATCATTATTGAACATTTATTTTCTTTTCAAACAAAGTGCAAAGTGCCAGAGGATGGGAAGTATATCTTTAGCTGCAGTTTGAAAGAAAATGTACCAAGCTTGGTGTCGGATGACCTGGGTTCTACAAAGCAGTCGTGTACGTTTAGCCAAATCACCTGTTCAAATCTAGGTTGCCCAAACTATAAATGCACTTGAATGAGTGATTTTTCAAGAATGTGGGGCAAAATGAAGTCAGAGCATTCAAGGCTGTGGTATCTTATTTCTGTTTCAGCTACTGTGTCTGTGCTCTCAGTGTTTCATATATTGGGTCCCTACGTATGATTTTATTTTTTAAATTTCTACTGCTAATAAAAGTTTCACAGATGTGATAGTGTCCAGTATTTCTTTCAAATTTGAAGTTTCATTTGATTTAATCATTTTATCTATCATGTCATTTAGTGTAATTTTTGAACCTAGTAAGTGTCTAATAAATATTTGCTGGGGAAAAAAATGAATGCTATGGTTCAATCATGCAATACTCAGATGTTCGTAACCATTTCCATGTGAAAAGTTTAGTATAGGCTGTAGAGAATGACATTTTAGACTTTTGAGGGGAATTATTTTTATGTCAGCTTGAAATTCTTCTTGAACTTGATTTCTGACTTGGGGGAAAAAAAGCAAGCCTGATGTGCACAAGCTTTATACAGAGAATCAACTGTTTTTAAAAGAATAATCCAGCTGCTATCTGATCAGCCAGGTAGGAGTTGTTCTGTGGAAATGAAGAAGCCCTCCATTTTCAGTCAGAGTCACGCATATAAAGGCTTTGATAAGATTAAAATAATCCAAGAATGCAATTTCAAGATGCACAGCTAGAAACAGCAACTAAGAAATATCCATATCTTACAGGACACAGCTAAGGGAAGAGTCAGGTTTTAAGGACCGTCTACAGATAATGTCAGGATGTACAGATAAATATGAGCAACTGCTGATTGAGCTAGAAACACTGCTGGTTAAGTTATAAATCTTATGATTTTTACCCTTCAAAATGCCTCTTTCCTTGCTGCTTTATATTTTTTTAAAGAGCGGAGTATGTTGTCACTTGGAGGTTGTGCTGCTTTCCTGTGACTTTAGTCACCTTTGGTGCCCTGGCCAGATCCCTTTTACCAAGCCTGTAAAATGCCCAGTTTCCGTCAGTGTTAGCTGCTATTGGCTCACAGCCCCCACTTCTCTTCAGAATCACTTGTAGCTGAAAAACATTTACTTTGCCAAACCTTATGTGCCCATCTCCCAGCACTATCAGCTCATATCTGATGACTAACTGACATGGGGAATACAAAAAGCCAGTGCCCTCACTTCATTAGGTCAACTCTGGGGCAATTCATGCTCTAGTGCTCCCCGTGACATCAGGCTGAAGTTAGACTTATGCTAATACCACATTCTCACTTAGCTGCTTTCCCTTTCCTACCCTACTTTCCTCTCTCCTTTTCATCTGACAACACTCCCTTAATAAATCATGTGCATCCAAATCCTTGTCTTAGGCTCTGCTTCTAGGGAACCTAAGCAGTGATATTTTTGAGAGTATAGATTCTTTCTTCTTTTATCTTTCATCCTCAATCTCCAGCACATCTGGATCATGATGCTTTACAAGTATTTTGAAGAGTAAGCAAAGTAAGAAATTTGGCCTTCATTTGGTGTGTTAGTTAGTCCTTGCATTGCTATAAAGTAATATGTGAGGCTGGATTATTATTATTATTATTATTATTATTATTATTATTATTATTATTATTATTTTGAGATGGAATCTCACTCTGTCACCCAGGCTGGAGTGCATTGGCACTACAACCTCTGCTTCTTAGGTTCAAGTGATTTTTCTGCCTCGCCTCCCCAGTAGCTCGGATTACAGGTGCCCGCCACCCTGTCCAGCTAATTTTTGTATTTTTAGTAGTGATCGGGTTTCACCATGTTAGCCAAGCTGGTCTTGAACTCAAATGATCCACCTGCCTCAGCCTCCCAGAGTGCTGGGATTACAGGTGTGAGCCACTGCATGCAGTCAGAGACTGGGTAGTTTATAAAGAGAAGAGGTTTAAATGGTTCATGGTTCTGCAGGCTGTAGAGGAAGCGTAGTGCTGGCATCTGCTTCTGGTGAGGGCCTCAGGGAGCTTACAATCATGGCAGAAGGTGAAGGGGAACCATGTATCACTTGGCAAGAGAGGGAGACAGGAGAGGGAAGGTCCACACTCTTTAAACAACCAGATCTCACAAGAACACTCATTACTGTGAGGATGGCACCAAGGCATTCGTGAGAGAGCCAACCCCCAAAACCAAAAACCTCCCACCAAGTCCCATCTCCAGCATTGGGGAATACATCTCAGCATGAGATTTGGAGGGCACAAACACCCAAACTGTATCAGTTGATCAAGAACTGACCATGGAAGATGGATAGTTGAAGTCACAAGCAGTCCAGCACAATTCTAACCTTACCATGAATCTGAATTCTTAGCTCACTAAAGATTTAGGAACAGAATTGGGGAGTAGAATTATGGTCATGTAAAAATAGAGTCCGTTTAACATCCTAACCTTAAATCAGAAACCATCAAAGCATCATATCAACAAAAAAATTGTTTTCACTTATGAAAAATATGAATATTAACACAATTTTGTTGCACACTTACTCTCTGCCATATGTCTTACACTAGGCATTGAGAAAATACTAAAAATACATAGGATATGTTCCATGCTCTCAAGAAGTTGTGAATTGTGAAAGAACCTGATAGTTGAAGTAATAATTTCATGCAGTGTGCCTAAACATGAAATAGAATTCCATACAAAGTGACATTTAAATAGGTAGAAAAACCAGAGACCATATCCACACTGGTAACAGCATGGGCAGAGGTTTGCAGTTAGACATGAAAGTTAATGCAGTGTTCAAGAATATACTGAGGAGTTAGTAAGAAATTAGGCTAAAATGTATGTTGATACAGATATGAGAAAGGGCTGTAAGACTCAAGATTCACTTTATCTTGAGGGCAGGGTGGCAGCTATCAACAGTGCTAAAGCACTTTCTCTTCCACTTTAAAAATTAAAACAGTGTGGTAACCTTAAAAGGTGTTCTGAAACAATATTCTAAGCAACTGTTATCACTTTTGCTTTTTCCTTTTTTTTATCAGGTGCTTACTTAAACATTTCTCATAATTGCAAAGATTGTGACTTGTAATTATTTGTAGTTACTATTTTACCATGAGCTTTACCCACATTTTTATGTGTTTTAATTTTAAGTGGCTAAATATTATTATAAATAGTGTGTGCAGTATAATTTATATTCGTCATTTTCATTTTCCCTGAAATCTTTGTAGGCTATTAAGAAGAACAATGATAGGATCATATTTAAGTTTTAGAAAAATGACACCTTAAAAGCTGCAGGTAGATTAGGATGAGTAGGACTTGGAGTCAGAAACTTCAATAAGGGAGTGGCTGCAATATAGACTAGGAAAGAGGTGATACCAACCTGTCAGTGTCCTCATCGGTAAAAGAAGATACAGCTGGGCACAGTGGCTTATGCCTGTAATCCCAGCACTCTGGGAGGCCAAGGTGGGCGGATCACTTGAGGCCAGGAGTACGCACCAACTTGGCCAACAGAGTGAAACCCCGTCTCTACTAAAAACAAAAATTAGTCAGGCACAGTGGCACACGCCTGTAGTCCCAGCTACTCGGGTGGCTGAGGTAGGAGAATTGCTTGAACCCAGGAGAAGGTTGCAGTAACCTGAGATGGCTCCACTGCACTCCAGACTCGGTGACAGAGCAAGACTCTGTCTCAAAGGAAAAAAAAAACATACAACAAGCCTCATAAGTGCTTGTGAAAGCTAATTGAAATAATATATTAAAAGAGTTTGGCATTTAGAAAGCTCTGAAACGATCATTCATTTAACAGAGGAAGCTATGAACATTTTTTTTTTAAAGGTCAGTTTGACTTTTAGGCACCTGATTTCCTGAAGGACTCTTTGAACTCTTTGAATGTGGGTACTGTTTTATGCATTTTCATGTGATAACTAAACAGCCTGATTTACATTCTTGCCCAATATACGTATTTCTTCAAATAATGAACTAATGAATTCCCGGGCAATAAATACCTTTTGGTTAAATGGACAAACAGTTCTGTTCAGTGGGAAACATGCTAGTAGAGTCTGCTTTTAAAGGAATTGCTGTATGCAGTATTCTAAGAAATAATGAGGAAGTATTTTTACTTCAAAATACTTTGATCATAATATGATGATAGGTATTTTCTTCTCTTGCCTGTGAAAGTGTGTGTTAGGTATGTACATTATGGGGCCAAACTAGTGATTGTTGCTAATTAGGATATATGTGGCGCATTCTATCAAGAATCCCAGTTTTCTGGGCACTGTGAGCTGTAAGTCAAGTCATAAAAAGGAGTGAATTGTCTTTTTCATATATAGCACTGAAATTGACTGGAGTTAATTATTTAATGCCTACCTCCCCTACTAGACTACAGGCTGTGTCACACACCTCCCTCAGCATCTAGCACAGCAAATGGATTTAGTAATATTTATTGAATAGATTAAGAAATACAGAGTGAATAAAATAGGACACTGGTTGGAGTGTTGGGTCAACCACAATTTTGGTGTGATATATTCTACATATCACAGTGAGAAGGAAAATGATATAAAATGAATAATATCCTCCTTAAAGTACTATACAAAAAGAATACTTCTTATATTTTTTCAAGATGATGTAATCTTGTCAAATATATAATATGTTGCATGCCAGTGCTTTCTTAATCCTTAATAGTAATACCAGTAATTGTATATTAAGTTCCTGCTATGTGTCAAATACTTCTAGGTACTTTAAATGTATATTCAGTAATCTTCAGAACAAGCCTAGAGAGCAGAATTTAGTTATTTCATTGTAAAGATGAGAAAAGTGGGTCTCAAAAAAAGCAGATAACTTGTCCCAGATCACACAGTAGTTTTTCTTGGTACCTGGAGTGATTTTCATCCCTCTTTCAAATACAACCCTTTGGCTATTGGGAAGTAGCTATTACAACTGTATTTTTTCTTTAACTTGATGTAAGGGAAAGACCACTTTACACATATACAAATAGGAGAAAGTTTTGCCAGACCTTCTGCAGCTAGTATTTACATGAGTGAGTAGAGAATTGTAAGAGGTTCTGGTAGCAGTAAAAACAAATTACAAACAACGGAACATGAAGAGAAGATGTTGTCTACCAACATCTGTCAAATATGGCAGATGATCTTCTTTGTCTTATTTTGTTCAATACCACTCAATATCATCACTTAGGCCTCTCTCTCTTACTGTTTAGATCTCTTGGGATTCTCTTAATTTTTTAAAGCCTATACCTTGAAAAATTCTGTTTAAAAATACATTGGAAAGCATATAGATTTTAGTAGGCTGAATAATGGCTACTGGAAGATACCAGGTCCTAATCCCAATAAGCTGTAAATGTTATCTTTTAGGGAAAAGCGGTCTTTGCAAATGTGATTAAGTAAAGGATCTTGACAAGGTAGATTATACTGGATTAACAGTGTGGGCCCTAAATCCAGTTACATGTATTCTTATAAGAGCAAAGCAGAGGAAGATTTGACAGAGGAGAAGTCAATGTGACCACAGAGGTAGAGACTGGAGTCATGTAACCCCAAGTCAAGGAATGCCAGCAGCACTGGTAGCTGGAAAAGGCAAGGAATGAGTTCTCTTCTAGAGCCTCAGCAGCGAGGGTAACCCTACTGACACCTTGATTTTGGCCCAGTGATACTGCTTTGGGGCCCTCTAGTTCCCAGAACTGTAAGAGAATAAATATGTGTGGTTTTTAGCCATCAAGTGTGTGGCAGTTTTCTGCAGTGGCCTTGAGAAACTAATACAGACATAGAAAATTATTTTATGACTTTTTCTTTTAGATGCAGTTGTTAAGTCAGCATTTGATCTTATTTGAGCTAGATAGAACCAGGGTTTTCTAATCTACAAACTATTGATTTTCATCTTGATTTAAATGTGTTTACTTATTCTTCCTCTATAAGGTAGGACAATTTTGCAAAAGATGTATAAGAATGTGTGTCTCCTTTCAGGTTCAGCTGAAATAATCTTCATATAACAAAAGTTAGAGAAAACAATCTGTCTGAGCCAGAGACTTCGTTATATGAATTCATACAAACTAATGAAGGAATACAAAACTTGGCCTCACAGGGAGAGAGTGGAGTGTCTTATGCAAATCTTTGTTGTCAGCCACATTCCTACATGCAGAATGCAAAAACCATGTTTCAGTTTGTTGAGGATTTGGAAATAGCTTGAGATAATCTTAATTTAAAAGGACTGGCAAATTCTTTCAGCTTTGTAGAATTTATTCCACATATGTCAAAGACAAACTTGTTGTACTGCAAAATAAACTAGTACTGTGTGATCTTAGTTGAAAAGGTAAATATTACAATTTACATTCTATTCTCTCATATTCATTCTTTTGGTACATGTTAATAAATTGCAAAACTATATTGCTGAAAAATCTAATGATCCTGAAAAATCTAATGATAAATTCTAGCAATTATCAGTGATTACAATATAGGCCTGGTTTGTTGTTGTTGTTGTTTTTGTTTTTGAAAAGGAATCTTGCTCTGTTACTCAGGCTGGAGTGCAGTGCCACGATCTCGGCTCACTGCAACCTCTGCCTCCCAGG
Source organism: Homo sapiens (assembly GCF_000001405.40). Taxonomy (NCBI): domain Eukaryota; kingdom Metazoa; phylum Chordata; class Mammalia; order Primates; family Hominidae; genus Homo; species Homo sapiens. The sequence goes on along the minus strand of NC_000006.12, from coordinate 128,024,731 downwards.
AGGTTGCAATTCTCCTGTCTCAGCCTCCCAGGTAGCTGGGATTATAGGTGCCTGCCACCATGCCCAGCTAATTTTTTGTATTTTTAGTAGAGATGGGGTTTCACCATGTTGGCCAGGCTGGTCTTGAACTCCTGACCTCAAGTGATCTGCCTGCCTCAGCCTCTCAAAGTGCTGGGATTACAGGCGTGAGCCACCATGCCTGGCCATAGGTCTCATTTTGTACACTAAGAAAATGTCAAATTACTAATTTTCATACTTAGTGCTAAATTTACATTTATCATAAATGTAAACATGTAATAGAGAACCAGTAATTTTTTATTTTCCTTAAAAATGATCCTGGTAAATAAGAGAATTGATTCATAAGATCATGGTTTGTTGATGCCATAGCAACATAATCTTATATTGAGAACATCATCTGTTACAATGCAAGTAGTTGTGGCCATGTGCCTAGAATAGACTTAGTTATTAAAGTACATTGTGATATGATAGAATAAGATTTGTCCAGATGTTTACAGAGCTCTTACAAGGAATTATTTTAGTCTGTTTCTAAATTATTTTAGTGTGTTCATCTGGGTTGAAATGTTATGTGCTTAAAGGATTGAGTTACTGTGATGACTTGGAATATTTAAGTAGCTTTGAATTGTGCGGGTATGTTAAATGCCTGTTTGGGAAAGAAAAATAATATGAGTGAACAGAGATTAAAATTTGTGAATTATCTGATTGCCCTAGAGATGTCTCTATTTGAGTTTAAAATAAGAGATTGGCCTGGTGTGGTGGCTCATGCCTGTAATCCCAGCACTTTGGGAGGCCAAGGCAGGCAGATTGCTTGAACCCAGGAGTTCAAGACAAACCTGGACAACATGGAGGCACCTCACCTCTACCAAAAAAAAAAAAAAGAAAGAAAGAAAACATTAGCCAGGCATAGTGGCATGTCCCTATAGTCCCAGCTACTCCAGAGGCTAAGCTGGGAGGATCGCTTGAGCCCAGGTGGGTGAGGCTGCACTGAGCCAAGATAGCTCCATTGCACTCTAGCCCTGGAGACAGAGTGAGACCCTGTCTCAAAAAAATAAAATAAAATAAGAGATCGAATAGTTCTGTTTTAAAATAGTCTAGGTGAGAAATGATAGTTTGGTTTTTTTTGTTTTAATCATATTGTTTAAAAGAATACTTCCCAGCAGAGTTTTATTGGGAAACCACACCAAAATAAGGAACATGCTGGGGGCAAATTCAGTGGTGAACATAAATCTGAATGTTAAGAAGACAAAGGAGGCAACACCAGCTCCAGGGCAGAAGGAGAGTTGAGAAAGTTAGGAGGGGCTGACACTACCAATCTAGCATCCAGAGAGGTTTGATGAAGAAAATTTGACTTTAGGGAGTTGTGAATTTAAGATCAGAAGTGATTTATGCGTAGAAAATGATTTCTGTCATTTCACCTGATTCTTGTAACTTCAGCTTGAAGTTTCTAATTTCAAGAAAATTAGAAATCACTCGTCAGCTAAGATTTGGGGAAAACTGTTAATAGTCACATGTGATGTTATTAACAATTTATTGGATAGCTTTATCGATCCTGTTTCTCAAATTATACTTGGTTTTACAGATTTTAGCCTTTGGTTTGACTCTTCTTTTGCCCCATTTTTCTTGGCTGCTCCAGCTCCACTGCTGAGTTCACTACAGGTCAGAGAACTGTTCAGTATTTTTAAAGCAGAAAATGCGGTGAGGATGGGATTTTGTAATGTAAGTTTTTAATCTCCGTATCTGAGCATTTTGGTTCGTGCAGTGATCCCAAGTAGCTGAGATGAGGCAGGCTCCAGTATCTTAACCTACTAAGTATGTGTAAACTTGATAGAGAACACAATTTTCCTTTAAATATCTTAGCTCTCTAGTCTCTCAAATTGTGAAAACATATTGGGGGCAGATTGTGAAAGAAATATGTTCATAAAATATAAATTCAGTGATATCCATGGAAAGAGCAAACTCAGAGTGAGGCAGATGGAAGAGGAATAACTTGGATCATCCAGGTGGGTTAGGTGTTCCAGGAAATACTGAGGACCCCCAGCCAGCTGTTTGATCTGGCAATACTGGAGGACGGTGCCTCAGCGATCCCTTCAAAATCAATGAAGATTTTTCCTTTACTCCGTAAGCTGGGGGTCATTGACAGTAGTTGGACTCATTTGGAGTGAGGTGCATAGAAACTGGCTTTTAGGAATTCAAAACTCTCATGGAATATGTGAACCACTTGGATTCAGTGGATTTGAAAATAATCGAAAAAGTAAATATACTAAAGGTCAAGGAAAAATGAAGTCACTTGCTTAAAGGCTGCTGAGTATTAGATTTTAAGAGAAGAAACGTAAGGGACCAAAAGTTTTCATGGCAAAAAGACAAAACAAGCACCCCTCTGTCCCCCGACCTTCCAGCCCCGCTACCAACACACGCAGTGTTTTATGAAGTGGTCGCAGGAGAATCTGAAGCAGCCATAAAGAAGAAAGGAGTATGAGAGATCCAACTGTGCCACTAACAGGCACTTAATTTCTTCTGAGAACTAATTTATACCAACTACTCTAGCTTTTCAAATAGCAAGCAAAAGCCAATTTGCATTTACATTGTAAAACTCTGTTTTCCAAACAGTGGCGTACAGAGTGTTGGTGGTCAAATCTCTAATGTAAGCGAGGGATTTGGGGATCAAATATTTCCTGAATTGTTACTCTTTGCTAGAGAGTCAAGATAGGCGCTGGTATGTACCCTCCAAGAAGAAATAAATGGAAAACACACACAGGAAACAAACCTTTATAAGCTTTCTTCAACATTATCTCATATAATTCTTAGAATATATATAAAAGAATATTACTACTACATTTTATAGACAAAGAAACTGAGATTCAAGTTATGTAACTTCCCCAACTCTATACATTGGTGAATGGTCACTTCAGAAAGCCTTGCTCCTTCTAAAACTCCAGCCTACCTCTATTAGGCTGTGATTTAAAGTTCAAATGAGAAACACAGCCAACAAGTGCAGAGAAATTCCGAAGTCCCTTGGGGGATTGAGGGCTGGAAAAGGCTTTGTGGAAGAGATGAAACTTTCTTTCTTTTTTTTTGAGACGGAGTCTCGCTCTGATACCCAGGCTGGAGTGCAGTGGCACAATCTCCGCTCACTGCAAGCTCCGCCTCCCGGGTTCACACCATTCTCCTGCCTCAGCCTCCCTCCCGAGTAGCTGGGACTACAGGCGCCCACCACCACGCCCGGCTAATTTTTTGTATTTTTAGTAGAGACAGGGTTTCACCGTGTTAGCCAGGATGGTCTCCATCTCCTGACCTCGTGATCCACCAGCCTCGGCCTCCCAGAGTGCTGGGATTACAGGCGTGAGCCACTGCGCCCGGCTGAAGAGATGAAACTTTCTTATCAAAAGGGTCCAATTTAGACAAGGGAAGATGTTGAGTATAAAAAGGTTGATTATCTAGAATTGGACAATCTATAGCCCACTGAAGTATTTTGGGTGTGTTTGTTAGATACTTTGAGAATTAGAAATTGTGAAATGTAGTTATTAGAAAATTTTAGACAGCCAAGAACCATTTAAAAATAAGGCTCCCATCTTTTCATTCATTCACTCAAGGCCAAAAAATATTTTAGGATTAAAAACCAATCTCAAACTCTAAAATATTTATTAATAATTTAGACTTTATACTAAATTATCTTGGAAAAGCTAGAGCTCAACTAAAATCATTTTTTAAATCTGGTTCATCTGTTTAATATTAAGGCAGTCTCTAATTTAGTAAATAAACACCTCTAAAAATTGTAGTGCAACCTCTATTAACGTGATTTAAACCATGTTGTGTATTCTCCTGAGATATGCCAGATTAAGGAATTATCGAAGCCTTGGTGGAAAATGACCTACTCAAAATGAAAATGGAATTCATAACTAAAAGCATCCCAAAAAACAGCTAGTCTTAACCCTTCATTTCGTAAATAAGCAGAGTGGGAATAGGTTTAAAATGTCGACCATCTTTACTATTTTAGATCACATCACGTTCTTATAATTTGAGCACTAGTAAAGGTTTTATTTGTTTTCTATTTCTTTCTCTAATATTCAAATGTGATTTTGTTCCTGTTTGTGCTTTGAATGGCATGTTTGGATGACTGTCCCAGATCTGGCATTCTGAGATTGTACCACTAAAAATGTCAAGTGCATTTGCCTTTTAATTACATACAGTACCTGGATTTTAATATTTTAGATTTTTCCCTGAAGAAGAGACTTTTCTGGTCCTGTAGTTTGTGGGAGGGAAAAAAATATCACTGACATTATCATGAAGCTTTTTCCCCCAACGTCTCCATATATCCACATTTATCATTTCAGAACAATTTCATTTTGGGTCAGGTTTAGTTGTTCTGTAGCTTACTTTGCTATAAACACTATGTTTAAATATATAATTCCGCACTGTTTGTTTGTACTTCTTTCTCTTATTTCCCATTAATGTTCAGCTCAGCTTGTTTTACTCTTAATAGGCCATTACTACTTGGATGTCACATATGTAATAATCAGTATGTGGAAGGTATAGTTTCTTGTGATTTACACTCCTTTCCTTCCTTTACCTTTGGCATAAATGTGAACCAGCTCATTACTTTCCAGGGTATTTCTTTTTTTACTTCCCCAAATTAAATTTTAATTTCATCCTATTGTTATTCTCTGATTTTTATTATTTCAGGTGGGCAAAAAAGTCTTATTTGTCAATGAAACAACTCCATAACCACTGAACTCCCTTTTGCACCTACTACATAGACAAGGTACTTAAAGCATTTTTGCTTTTGAGATGATACAGTTCCTCAACTTAAAAAAACCCACACCATCTACCTCCGTGTCTTCTTCAGAAAGGTCTTCTCTCAGCTCCAAATCTAACACAGTCACCAAGGCACTCCACCTTGTCCTTCTATTTTAATTCTCAGTATGGAAGTCCTCACTATCAGGTGATCCTTGTTTACTTGTCTATTGTTTACTAGACAACACAGGGATGTAAACTGCACGAGAGTGGAGATATTCTCTGTTTTGTTCAGTGATGATTCTTCAAACCCTAGAAGTGTGCCAGGTACATGCCAGGGACAACAAATAATTCATTTAATTAATGAAAGGAAGGAAACAAAAAAGTAAATGTTTTCTTTGTGTGTTTAAGATGGGGCATGGAACATGTATTTTTTTTTTTTCTTTTTGCTTCTAAGGCTTCCTCTCAGAACCCTCCCAGATTCCATTCATTTGTCTATCCATTTAAGTCTGCTTTTATTTGTCCCCAAAAGAATGTGACTGACTGCCAATTTATGTGTATTTATATCTCCCCAGCTTTTCCTTTCTTTTTGTTAGGTAGTAGTTGAGGTTGACACCTCTATTGTATCCCCCACCTCACCCCCATGTTTTGAAAAGGCAGTGTTAAACATTACTCCTAATATAGGCAGCTTAATCACATTTCTCCCAAGTGAAAGTGCCAGATGGGAGTCAGAAAGCATAGGCTATATTTTTAATTATGTCAGAAGTTAATACTAGAACTATTAAAAAGCCACTTTCCTCTCCTGAGATTGTCTTTCTTTATTTGAAAACTGGAGTTGGACTTTTTTTGTTGAATGATTCTAAGAAATGTTTTAGATTGTCAAGAAATCAGATACAAATTCATCCCCCTGTGGAGGAGCCCTATCTGTGCCTCTTCTGTAATACCAGTAGCCATGGTATGTATTGCAGTATGATGCTAATAAGTACAGTCATTTGAGTACTTACCATATTCTTCTTCTAGTTTATACGCTCTCTAAAGGAAGAACACTTGTTCATCTTTCTGGTTTTTTAGCCTAGTACAATGTTTTGTACCCATCAGATAATTCAACAAATACGTACTAAATGATAAACAATAACAGATTCTTATCTCTGTTTTTTTTAGAAAGTAGACTTCCCTCCATCTAATGCTGCTTCTGTGATGCTATAATATTTATGGTGCAGAAATCTAGATTTAGAAAGAGAACTTTATTCGAATCTGTTTATACATTCCCTAATACTTACTGAGGCTTTATGAAGTACCAGATATTGTCCTTAGCACTTTACATGTTTCAATACATTTAATCTTTGAGTCAATCTAGAAGGTAGACTCAATCTCCATTTTACCAATAAGAAGTGAGGAGCAGTGGTTAACTTACCTAAGGTCAACTTGTGGCAAAGCTGGAATTCAAACTCTGATTAATGGTTTTGTTTTATCAAAAAAAAAAAAAATTAAGGCCACCTGACAAGAATGTTCACTATTAGTGTTTTTCCAGAGATGTTGAAGCTCTTTACCAACTGATGCTATGAAAAGCAGAATTTTTCTCTTAAAGAATGTTTTAGATTTTATAAATTAGTTCAGTTAACCCTAGCATTAATGTATTTGTTTCAAAAAAAGTTTAAAACTTTAAGCAGTATATTATAGTTGATAAATGCTCTTATATAAGTAGCATACCTTGACAAATTATGAGCATTTTTAATATGTTACCTATTCATTGGGCAAATATATATTAAAAGTTTATAATGTATTGGTAACTATGTAAAAATCATTAGCCATAAAGACATGAATGAGATTATATCTTTGCCCTTGATTCGCTCCAGACCTAGTGTGAGTTGTAGACTTGCTGAGAAATATTTGCAATACAATTTTTATTTGGGTTATGGGAAAATGATTAACTGGTATTTAGAGGTGAGAGGGTAGTTAAGGGAAAGGTGTTAGGAACACTAAAGAACATAAAAGCCCATGATCCCACTTCCCATTTTGGAAGCCTGGCAAATTAGGTTCTCAGAGGACCTCTGCAGAACAGTCCTACCCTGGATAGGACACATCTGTGGATACATTGCTGGACTTACAGTGGCTGGTGGAGATATCTCAGGACTCACTATTCTGCCAAATATATATATATATATATATATATATATATACACATATATATTTATTTATATATGTATAAATATTTATATATGTATATATATTTATTTATATATTATATATATAGAGAGAGAGAGAGAGAAGGAGAGAGAGAGAGAGTGAGAGCGAGCTGAAAACAGTGAGCAACAGGCAGAAAGAGAGGTTGGTAATACCTGAAGGGGGATGCTAAAACTATATTGCCCTTGAGACTTTTATCTTCAGACTGGTAATAAGAGTGTTGCCTAGCCTGGGACTCCCATATGGAGCTGGCAGAGGTGGTCTGAGGTCTGAGACACCTCATAGCTACTGGTAGGAGATGTAAATTATCTTTGAGATGAAAGCATGATCAATTTAGGCCTGCAGGGTTCCCACAGGCTAACATAAAGCAATTAACTCACAATCAAAGGTCACCAAGCATTCTTGAAAGTAACTCACTTTCAAGAGTGAGAGTTAGCAGAAACAACAGATGTAAATCCTCAAAAAAACTGCAGGTATTGGGATTGTCAAATACAAATAGCCTTGTACAAAATCTCTAAAGAAATAAAGTGCAAATCATAAAGATTAACAAGATGCTATCAGGAATAACTAAACAAAGATCCGTTTACGAAGAACCAAATGGAACTTGTAGGAAGGGAAAGCATAATTGTTCAAATTTAAAAATAACTCTTTGGATGGACTTAGTAGCAGATTTGGCAAAATGAAGAGATAATTTATTAGCTAGAATTTAAATCTGAAGAAGTTACCCAGAACAAAACATAAAAAAGAGCTAAGATGCTCAAGAAGAAAAGAACTAGGCCTGGGAATATCTCCATAATATATACAATATGTTACAGAACTATAGTAGTTGAAATCATTTACTGTCAGCACAGAATAATATGTTTCCTCTAAGAATAAAATGGAAAATCCAGAAAGTGACTCATGTACTTAACGTAATTTTGATATAGGACAGAAGTGGCTGTGTAGATCATTGGATCAATTCAAAAGTTATGCACAGGTAACTGGATATGTATGTGGGGACGGAGGAGGACCTGAAACAACTTTCTACTATACATCTTGGACTCTTTTAAAACTTTCAAATAAAAAAGAGGATTTTTGAAAAACTCAGCTTTGAAGGAGCTTCTTAAACAATAGGCCCTAACCATAAAAAAAAAGATTGATATATTTGACTTCATTAAAATTAATAACTGTTATTCATACCATAAGTAAAGTAAGAAGAAAAGCAACTGATGGCTTTCAGGGCACATTACCCCAAAATATGGCACCTTGGCATACTGAATATTTTAACCTGAAAAAAGTTGGAGAAAGTGACAAAAACAGGAAGATCTCTCTGACCTTCCCTTGAAGCAGATCATAAGACCCTCATATGAGAAGTGTCCTCCTTATAGCTAGGGGGGAAAATAAAAAGCACCTTTCTTTCCGAAGATAAGGGACACATAGAAGAATCTGAACAAACAGGCCTTGCTAAGTTTTCTGCAGTTTACTATACTTAGCTCATACTCTTCGCCCTATCATAGTCCTTTATAACGTCACCCTTCATCAAACCTGCTATAAAAACACTCGGGTTTAACTGTTGCATTAGTTCTTCATTTCCTTATGAAGTCTACCATGACTTGTAAAACTTATATTAATAAATTTGTATTTTTCTCTTCTTAATCTGTCTTTTGTAATAGGGGTCCTAGCCATGAACTTTTAACATCTTGAAAGGATGGTTTTCATCCCTTATACAGTCTGATAGGAGAAGATATTTGTAATACAAATTTCAGTCAAAGCTATATACTGAGCATTTCAGAGAAAAAAACAGGTAGAGATATTTCAGGTATCTCAAAAGGTCATTTTAGTAGTAATCAAATATGTATTACATTTCATTTTCTACTACTGAAGTGACAAAAATCAAGAAGGCTGATAATACAAAGTGGTAAGATATAATTTAAATGGGGTTGGCATACGCTGCTGGTGGGTATGTAAATTGGTAATAGTTTGGTATTATCTTGTAAAGCTGAATATTTACAATCTTTGTTTTATCAAAATGGGATGGATAAAACTCAGGGACCACAGTTTGCCAACTCCTAAAATAAAGAGTATTTGAGAAATGGTGAAAGGATTTTAATGATAAGAGTATATGAATGAAAGTGTCTCAGAAGATGAGGTTGAAAATGTTGATTGGCACCTGCTTGTGAAAGGCCGTATGTGTCATAACTTTTGCCTTTTCCTCTTGAATGTAAAGCAGTGAAGTCATTTCTTCGCATTTACCTTTTAGAAAACTCATCCAACTAGTAATATGTAGGATAAATCTGAGGTAGCCAACATGGGAAGCAGGAGGACTAGTGAAAAAACAAGATTGGGTCTTGAAGGCAGTCGAAGGTGGGGTGGAGAATTCAGAACCAATTTCAGAGAGAACTAAGCAGATAGAATCAACTGTGTTTAAGAAGTAAGACAGTGCACTAACGCTCTATTTTACCTAATTGAATGAATTTAGTGGGAAGCTTGATGAAAAATTAATATGCACATTAAAACATTTCTTCTTCATTACTATGAAACAAAATAATATTTTACTTTTTTTACCATTATATACATTCCTAAAATATACTTATTTTATTGCTTTCTTAAAAAGTATTTCTGTCACTTCAGAATTTTGTACAGCATTTTGAACTGTGTTTTTAAAACCAAAACAAATTTAGAGACTCTAAGACTAGAAGGAGATGCCTTAAGCAGTGTAAAATTAATTTTCAATATCTGCAGTATTAATCTGTAATTTTATTTCTTAGTTGTTTAAAGTCTTCATAGACTTTTGCACTATTTTCCACATCAGAAATCTTTGGATCACGTCCATATCATTATTAAAGGAGAATAAATTATTTTCCAACTACTGTTAAAGCACGTGGCATTTAGCTGCTCTCTTTTCTCACCAGTAAAATCTCTGGTAGACCCTGTTTTAGTCAGTGATCTAATACTGGGCAAGTTTCATAAGATCACATGCAATGAGGAAGCCAAATTACTTCAAAAGATCATTGAGTTAAATAATACATACTTCAAGACACCCATAAGGTTTAGGTGTCCAGTGTGGCAGCCTGTGTAATAAATAACATGTGCTTTACAAAACCTGTCATTGTATATTTATATAATAGGCAGCTAAGATTTTTTAAAAGCTGTTTTTCAGTAATTTCATTTTTCCTATTCATAGTTTTTCATTTCTATGTAATGGACCCAAAGAACTGACATCTAGATTATCTCTACCTAGAGCAGCAGCGTCTACTACTATTTCTACTATCCCATGTGTTTTAGTTTACAAAAACCTTTCACACCATTATGTTACTTGGTATTCCTAAAAGCTACACAAGATGGGTAATGTTATTAATTTTTTTTATAGATGAAGGCATTCACTCTAAAAGATTCTCACTTGCTCATTGTCACACAACAGATAAGAGAACAAACTAAGAATCAAAACAGGGTCTTGCTGATCCAATCCCTTGTGCTTTCAGTGACACTGGACTTTTCTTGCACATTGGTTTGGTGATAGGTGGTGACAGATGGTGGAAATGGTTAGCTCTATAAAGGAATGTAACAAAGGGGCTTGAAATTTCCAGAGACAACTCAGAAATGTTTGTTATCAAGTTCATCTTATGTTAATGTCCACAACAGTAAGAGATATGTCTGATCAGAGACATCCTTGTGTTTTTTAAGGAGATAACTGATTTTCTATATGCCAGTGCAACCTAGCTTAGGCAGGCTTAGTGGTGGTCTTTCATTTATTCAACTAATATTTTCTGTTCTGTTGCTCCTTTTTAGGTCCTACTAGAAATTCAATGGTGAGCAAAATAAATATGGTTTTTGCTTTCATGGGCTTTACCTTAACAGCAATGGGAAGCTATTGGAGGGCTCTAATCAGTGAAGTGATATGATACAGTTGAAATCCTAGAAAATACCGTGTGCTACAATGTGGGTTTTGAGGTGGAACAGGCAGACAGTATATTCAGAGATTTAACATAGGTGGCTGCTGTGTGATCTGCCTGAGAGGATACTGATCTGAATGAAGGTAGTAGCAGTGGGGATGGGAAAAGTGATGACAAAGAATATTTAGGAAGTAGTAATTTTGTAACTAATTGTGTGAGAAAGTGACTGTGCATTCCAGTTTGCCCAAGATAATTCCAGTTTTTGTTTTCCTTCAAAAGCATCCCAATTTGGATGATAAATGTTAATCCTAGAGATAAGGAAAGTGGAGGATTCAAGAATGATGCATAGGTTTCTGGCTTGAAGAACTGTATGGATAGTTTTGCCATTTACTGAAAGGGGATACACTAGAAAAAGAACTGGCATGAGATAAGATTATGAGTTCGGGTTGGACATGGTGTGCTTAAGGTGACTGTCATACATTGACGTGAAGACATATTAATCACATGACTCCATGGGTCAGGAATTCGGGTTGCAACTTTTGGTCAGAGATATATCGATTAGAGAGTGATCAGTTATCAGGATGGTAACTAAAGAGATGAAAATGGATAAGATCACCAAGCCAGAAAGTATGGAACACAGTGTCAAGAGGCATAGGTCCCTGAGGAACTCAAAGGGGCACCTATTTTTAAGGGATGAGCAAACAAAAATCTGGAAAGGAGAGACCAGAGTCCTCAGAAAACTAGGAGGTACCCAAGTTCATGGAAGTCCCAGGAAAAGGGTGTTCCAAGAAAGAGGGAGTAGACAGGAATGTCACATGCTATTAAGAGGTCACATAAAATAAGACTAGAAAAGTACACATTGAATTCAGAAACTTGCAAGTCATTAGAAACATTGGTTATGGTGGTTTGGTGTGGATGGGGGACATAAGCCTGCCGGTAGGATTTTAAAGAATGATTGGGAAGTGAGTGGGAACAGTTTCTCAGATCTATAACTGAAAAAGAAAGAAAGCACTAATGAAATGCCGGGAGGATTTGCAGAATTTGAGTGACAATAATGTCTCTGAAGACACCATAAGATTACTTAATACATTGTACTTACAGGCTTCTATCTCTAATGTCCATTATGAAAGTAGAAGAATTAGTTTGCCTAATCACAGCTATTAAGATAGTTTTAATTTTTTAGGTAAATTTGTGTGACTTTAAAGCTATTTCATTTTTAAGTAGTGGGAGCAAGGACACAATTGATCAAGTCACTTTAGCTATTTTTACCCCCCAAAATGCATCCTAGAAATTTGCTCAATAAAAATAAAATTGTGCCTTAGTTTTTTTTCTCGTTGTACAAAGAATTATGCTTCTCTTGGCTTCTGAACACTGGGGATTCCTTATATGCTCTTTGGCAGATAAAAAAAATGGTAAAGATTTATGGCCAAGGAAAGCATTTCTGAAAAAGGTGCTCCACATTGTCTTTGTGTATGTGCAGAAATTATAAACAGAACTCAGGGGCACCACCACTATAATAGCTTTTTGCTCTCTTTGAAGAAAATGGAAAATGCTGACTTAGGGGCTACTGCTTGTATTTCCTTTAATGAATCTTCTAAGCTTGAATGATTTTAAATAGGATATTTATGTTCCTCGGTTATAGCAAGCCAAGTACTTAAAAAAATACATGTGATTAAAATATCCAAACTAATAAATATATACAGACATATTTAGTAAAAACTACTGTTCATAGTAGTAATAGTAATGATAGTAATAAATGCCACAGCTAAAGACTTTGAGGAGAATTCACAGTCAAGGAAAACAACCACCAAATCACATGTATTTGGAGAATTTGATTAGACTTCTATACTTAAGTTTAATAATTATGTTGAAGATTAGTGAACAACTCTTGGCACAAGAATTGTCTTGACAGACAGGCAGCCTTACCCAACTCAAATAAATAACTTAATGGGCTTTTTTTTCTTTATTAACCACTTGGTAAATGTGAATTGAAGTCTAGTTTTTAACAAAGACATATAGATTATGACTTTATTATCTCTGATTTGCATAATAGATTATGAAAGTCTCAATGCTTTGTACTCTTGGTATACCTGCAAGCGTTTTAGTTTCTATCTATGTTAAAAAAATTACTTTCAGATTTGGCTTTTTATTTCTGGAAATATGTTTACATGAATTCATTAACCTATCTATATTACTTGTAAGATCTTAAAAATGTCTTCATCCCCTGAGTTTGAAATTGTTTTACCCATCACCCTCATGTCAGTTCTGTTATTTTATTACTAAACCTAGGTAATAGTATTAAAGCTGCTGTTCTTACTTCATGATGATAGTTTATATTTGCACCTACATACATTATATATATTATATTTGTACCCATATACATTATCTGCTTCTGGTAGGGATTAGCAGCTCTGAAGATTTTTGTAAAATGTAGCATATGCGACTCATAATAAAATATATTTAGAAAATTATACCATAATAGCATGTATTTTATTTAATTAAACTGTTATGAAAAATACTGACCTCATTAAGCAAGAACTGCTCTTCCAGAGAATTTTCAGAAACATTTAATTCTATAACTCAGATATGTCAGAAAATCACTAAGGGATCATTATCATTAGCCCCTGAAAGCCAAGTGTCTCATAGAACCTGAAGAAAGTAGTCTTTGATTAGTGAATAATGATGATTTGTTGCATGGACTAAAGCTTTTTTTCTAGAGATTTCTACATCAAACTTCTGTTTCTCTTCCTATTTGAAGTAGTATCTGTGGCAAACCAATGTAATTTGAGTTACAAGCAATGACTATGTTCCTTTTAGGTTTTTTCATTCAACTTTGTAATATATTCCACCTGTTTTCAATATCTACATATATAGAGATATAGATATATGTATATATTTCTAACGTCGCCCTGGAAAGGAAAAGATCTCTAACATATTTACTACATGTTTTGGTAAATTCAACCATAAAATAATTTGAAAGCCTTAAGGTATCTCTGTTCATAATTATGAGGTTAGAAATTCCCTACAGCCGGAATATATGGAAAGTGTCAAGTCAGAAAGGGAATCTCCCTTAGTTTCCCAAAATACACCAGCCAAAGCCTTGCTTTTTCTGCTTGAGAATAATAGTTAGTGAATCTAGTCTATGGAGAAGTTTTTATGCAATTGAAATAAGATAAATTAAGACAGTTATAGTGAATTGTTTTACAAAGTTAACTGTTCTGACGCTTTTATTTGAGCTATGTCTTTCTCACCAGTTTAGCTTTAAATTACCATTTTATATAATGATATTTACATTAGATATATTTATTCTTTCAGATTTCTTACTTTGAGAAATTAATAGTTAACCTCAACAGTCTCCTTTTGGCAGAATCTGTGGCTGTTGGGAAAAGTGGAGCAGATACTTGGATGTATAGAACTATGGGTTGCGGGGAGGGGGATAGAGAAGCCAAGAGGAGAAGGTAAAGAAGAAAGGATCAGAATGTAGACAAATGGTTGATTTTTAAGAGCTGATTAACAGATTGTCCACTGGAAAGGCATGAGGTTAGGTTTAGAGATTTCTTTGCGTATCTGTTCATGTGGACACCATCTCTTGACTCCAAGTGCAAGGTGCTGTGTTGGGTGCTTCAAGGCAATTTCCCAAATGTGTCTAATCCTGAGAATCACCTGGACTCTTGTTACACCAATTTTTAGCAGTAGGAGCCATGGATCTGGAGACATTGAGAAATTTTGTGTTAAAAGACAGAAGATATAGTAGATTTTTTCTTTGCTCTTGAGCAATTTATAAACTATCCTTATCTTTGTAAGCCTCAGTTCCTTTATCGATAAAGTGTAGATAATAATACTTTCCTTGTCAATTTTCAAGGTAAATGAGGTAAAAGGAAAATGTCCTCAGAGAGTTACTGGGGCTTGTAAAAGGGTTAAAGTTGGTAATTTTAATTGATTGTGTGTATGATGAGTAGTCAGATGGTTTTGAGAAAGAAAGGAAGTTAGGGCATACAAAGAAGTTTTTAAAAATAATCATCTTCTCAAAGTTGTTTCCCAACTTTATTATCTGGGTTTTATTTAATAAAAGAATTTGAAATATTCCTTGGTGTGTCTGTTTTTCTTTGCCTATTCTTCTCTTGTGCCAACTCAACTATTCATCTCAAATTATATATATTAAATCATAAACACATGCTTCTAACAGTTATATTAGGCATTTATTTAACCTAACCCCTTCTGTCCCAGACAAGTACCATTAATACTGCCTTAAAGCACCAAGCATACCACCTGGCATTTGAGTCAAGAAGCATTTGCTGAATTGACTGATAAACCTCTAAATCTGACCCCATCTCTTTCCAATGTACTAGTTGCTAGACAACCTTATGTTCGGACTTTCAAGGACACTTGGGGAAAACTAGTTCATCATTCTCTTTGATATTTATTGTGGAGGTTTGTTTTATTTTTTGTGTTAACAAAACCTCTTGTCAGAAAGATTTCCTTACCTCAACCCTAAATCTCGTATTGTATTTTAGCATGCTTCTGTATTTACATTGTGGGATTATTTTTATTAATATACAATAAACAAGTTGTGTTTCTTGGAGGTAATTACTGGGAATAATTTTTTTCTGTGATTATTAGCTTCTTTCAGTAACTGATTTTTTTTTTTATCCATTTAGCAGCAGCAACAGAAGAACCAGAAGTGATCCCAGATCCCGCCAAGCAGACAGACAGAGTGGTGAAAATAGCAGGAATTAGTGCTGGAATTTTGGTGTTCATCCTCCTTCTCCTAGTTGTCATATTAATTGTAAAAAAGAGGTAAGGCCTAATATTGTCCTGTCCCACTCACTTACCATTTATGTCACTGGTTTTAAAAACCTGTTTTTCTCAAGATCCTTTAAATTAGAACAAACAACAGGAAGAAAATTTTAATTTTAACAATGTTGTCAGCACCTGAGTCTATTGGACATGCTTTCTAATAAATTCTTATTTGGTTATTTGCAGTTTAATTTTGGATATAAACATATGCTTTTTGTTAAGTTGACCTAGAAATTAATATCCGAATTTAAATGTCTCAAATGCAAAGGTACTTGAGATCATTTATCTTATATTTGAAGTGTTATTATTAACAATGGCAAAATATGGATTTATTGTGATACTTGGGCTGTGGTCTAGGAATTATTTTGTGCTCTTTTTCTGTATTTTTCTACTTCTTGGCTACAAATAAGATATGAGAAGAATATAAACATTATTTAGTAAAATTGTACATTAAATATTCATTGACTAAAAATTTTAGCCTTTTAAAATAGAGAGTAAATTGTTTTAATTGAACATTAACTTTTTATACTATATCAACTAATATCACCATCTTCTGACGTTACTTGAAGATACTGAGACCTACTGGAATTTAAACTGAGCTTTGCTCTGGAGACCAAAGTATATTCCTGATGAAAAGCATTTCAAAGTACACAGTTTTTATAATATGAGCTATTGTACATTATATAAAATGCCATAAATCTGTAAGGCATTGTCTTGGAAACTAATATAGCACTCTAATCCTTCCCATCATGTATTTGGGTTAATGCTACAATTTGGAAGGACTTTTAAAAAAAATATTTATAAGCAAAAGTACAGTCCTAAAATAGTTTGGTGTATAGAAGTGGTTGTGATCAGTGAATTCTATTGAAAAATATAATAAGTGATGTTGCTTATATTACATTAAATTATCTAGTTTACTATTATAGTTATTTTATACTTGAAATAAAGCATTAACATTATAGATAAGACTCATACTACATGTTTTAATGATTCCATCAGAGTTTATTTTAATATATTGCCTCTTTACGATTATCCCCTGGAGATATATATGTTGGAGAAGACACATCTGCATTAGAAACATTAGGTATGCATTATAGTGTTTTGTGTTAAATTAGCTACATACGTGCTTTCCCCAAATAGTGCTTTCTCTTGCTGTTGTCTCCCTCTGTGGTTGGAAAATACATCATATGTGAGGCAAAAGTTTTAAGTATTTTAGCAATAAAAATTTGCCAGTAAAGATCAATAAAAATCACCAAATGTAACCTTCAGACCTTATGTCTCTGTTTAGTTTAAATTTGTATTTGGAGACTTAAGTAAACAATTTAGAGAGTAAAGTTAACTAAACATTGCTTCACAATGTTCTGGTCACTTCAGATTGGATGTAAACATGAAAGTGGCTTCTGATTATATCCTCATTCAGCTAGAATTGGGCTAAACTATTCAGTTTTATTTGTTATTTATTTGAAAACATTCATTTGTCTTGATAACTCTCCCTATCCAGGCCTCTGATTTAGCAATAATGAAAAAATTGAAAAATTAACCTCCTAAAGTATGCTAAAACCATCACTAAGCAAGATTTTGGGGGAAGGTAAAATGCTCTGACAGCTCTCTAAAATTGTGTAATATGACAACTTGATTTTCTGGTTCATATATTAAATGGTTAAGTTAATGAGCCTCTCTATTAAAATATTTAACATTTGAGCTTTCATAATTATGCTTTGATTGTCTTTTGATAGAAAGTATGCTAGGGCTTTTGCTTCTGTTCCTCACCATCACCTTTATACCCAGGAAAAGCTGCACTTTTAAAGATAGACCAGGTTTCATTATTTAGATATGTTACCTTCTAATATATAGTATTTATATCTACATTACTTGAATTTCTTACTTACCAAAGCAATTTTGTAATGACTTTTACTCATATGTAGCGTGTCACACATGTACCATGTATGCTTTAATCACAAGTATGTTTATCATACATATAAAAAAGTATAGATATAGCAGCATTGCATTGGATATTATCATCAAGTATAGCTTAAAACTATTAATATAAAATGTTTCCCTTTTAATATATAAATTTATAATAAAAATAATGGAAAAGGAAATTACTTTAGCCTCTTATCTACATTTTAGTGGGAAATTGTTAAGTTTGATTTTATCCCTCACTGGGATGAATACATGTAGATATATTTCTTATGCGGAAAACAGTTCCATGTCTTTTTGGTTGTTTTGCAAAAGAATGGTGTATAATTCAATTGAGTAAAGTTTTACAGCTAAGGATATGTATAAAGTAAGTTTTTAGGCTAAGAAAAGGGATATTGCATCTTTCAAAACGCAATGTCATTTTTTAATTTAATCGCTATTCAATTATTTCCAAATGTATGCCATTTTTTCATTGGTTGTGTATTATATTTTACATGCACAGCATGAACACATTAATAACTCAAACATAAATTTGAAATTATGTTTCAATACAGTAAATGTTTGTGTATGATATCATGTTCACATGCATCTACTGTAGAAGTATCTGTGTATATATAGTATATGGTATATATGTATATTCACATAACATATGTATATACCTATGTACCATTAAGATATAATAACTTGTTTGTAGAAATTTAGGTGTTATTCTGTATATATGATATATTAACATAATAGATCTTTATGTTTTGTATCTAAAGAAAAATAATCTATATAGTACACAAGTTCTATGCACAGCTGTTCCATCTGTCATATTTAGATAATGGATGATATTATGCTTAACTGCATGTTGAAAATACACAATCCATTTAATTTTTCAATATTTTGGCAATAAGAAATACCAGCATGTTATTTTTTCCAAATTATGTATTTTAAATTTTATTTTTATATTGCATATCTGTCTGTTTAATTGCATGGCAAAAAAAACTAACAATGCATGAGCAAATTGAAATGCAAAGCAAAAAAAACATGAATTTTATTTTATTTTATTTTATTTTTTAACGCACATTTTTCTGCTTTATTGAATGTGACAGAGTCACGCTTTTCATTCACCATTGCTTCTCTTTTTCCACTGTCTGTGATTTGCTTGCCAGGAGGAGCTACTATTCTTACTCCTACTACCTGTAAGTAGAAAATGGGTGATGTACAACTTTACGTGTGTTAAGGATGCAGTATCCCTTTTCAAAAACAAAACAGAATGCTTGCAATTTTGGTGACATTTCAAAAAAAAAGTTTTTTCAGACTCTAAAACTATAAACTTTATCTATCACCTATTTTGCCAATCTTTTTAAAAAGGGATATTGTATTTCTGTATGTCCAGCTACTTTTAATTTAGTTATAATTTCCATAAGTAGCTTTAGTCTAGAGCCAAAAACATAATTTATTTACTAAAGTTAAACCTGTACCTTATCTTAGCAATATGGCACTTCACTCATCTGGTAAATGTCTGTTTTAATTTGGTGGCTACAGTAAAACAGACTTGAAAAGTTAGTCATGTTATTTCTAAAAGGAACTAAAAGTTGATCAAAAGAATTAATTACCCAGGAGTATCAAAACTTGGCTTTAGCTTGAATATTTATTGAATTACTCTAGTAAGGAGGTATTTATTTTGCTTTTAATAAATATAATTATATTTTATGATATTTAAGAGAACAGGAAATGATGAGAGATTTGGATTGACAGCTTGAATATTGAAATATGCATCTGACAAAATACTTTTATAGCAAGGAGCAAATATAATTGTTTGAATGTCAAACTTAATTCCTGAAATTGTGACCAGTGCTTGGGGTTTCTAAACCATGTTTGTAACATTATCCTCGGGCTCACCTGGACTATTTATTGCTGGTGTTAACTCTCCTGCAAGCCTCAAACACTAAGGATGCCCTTTTGTATTTGCCTTGGCAGCAAACTTGCTAAAAAACGCAAAGATGCCATGGGGAATACCCGGCAGGAGATGACTCACATGGTGAATGCAATGGATCGAAGTTATGCTGATCAGAGCACTCTGCATGCAGAAGATCCTCTTTCCATCACCTTCATGGACCAACATAACTTTAGTCCAAGATGTAAGTTTTTCATTAAAATTTTAATAAATGATGTTACAACTCATTTCACTTTGAATTCTACACGATACCTTTTGAGTAATGAGAGAGAGTAGGAAAGTGAGGGGAGAAGCAGCTAGAAAGAAGAGAAAGAGATGGAGAATATTATGGAATTTACAAGAAGGATTCTCATCAAGATTGATACTGGATTTAGTTTAACTTCAAACTCTATGAATTTTATTACTGTATCACAAGGGATATTCCAAACATATACCACTCAGTCCATAGCACGTGTCATTGCTTTAAGTGGAAATACACGATTGCCTACAAAAAGTTAGTTCATGTCAGAATTTATAATTCTTTTTCCATTTGCATCTTCCTTTGTGTAAGATGAAAGTCTCTTTTGCGATAAGAGGAAACAGTAATTCTTTTTGGGAATTATTGACATAGGTAAAATCATTGCATTAAAGTAGTATATTGTAGACTCCTGGAAAATTGCAATACTAAAAAGTTAACTCAGGGAAACATTAGTCTACATGCTCTTAAGTATCTGGTGTGAAGTCCAAAAGTATACTTGAATTGGGGGTTTTGCAAGGCATAGTGAAATTCATCCATCCATCTGTCTTGAAAATTCCTAATGTTGGTCTATGAAGGCAAGGCTTTTAAAATATTTCCGCTGAAGTACCATTTAAAAGCAGATGATTTTAATAATTACCCCAGAATCAATATTACTGTTTATTTTCAAATTTCATATGAATGTTATATTCTGTTCTATAGTGCATCTGTTTAAGTTAATTAAATTTAAGTGAAATTGCCTAACTTTGTTTCTTCAAATCCTCAAGTAAAACTGATGCTTGAGGCAGGCAAATCAGGTATATCTCTTGAGTATACTGGCCTTGTATAACTTGGGCCTTATGGCATTTGGCTCAGATCGCAGAGATATGCTCACCCCGGTTTGGAAAACATGGGTATAAGCAAAGAAACAATATAAGTATTATCTCCTGTACAAACTATGAACATATGTAATAGTAAGATTGAAAACAAAGTATTTGTAGGTTGTATGCTTGTATGTAAAGAGGGAAGTTTTTTTCTGAATTGTTCAGCTTGGAGAAATTTTTCAGTAACTATTGGATCTAAAATGAAGCCCATCATTTTCTATGTATATATGTATACCAAATTAGTAGTTAAGGATGCTATACATGAGTCATTTTGGAATTTAGTTATAATCATGACAGGGCCTTTCAGATCTATTTTATTTTTATTTCACTATAGATAAATGATAGAGAAAAATGTAAAATACTATTACTGTTGAAAGTAAGTTTTGCGGAAAATAAAGATGTATCATCTCTTTAACTACTTAATTTAATATTTAATCAATTAAGGTTTTGAAAGCATTCATGCCTCCCAAACTTGTCTATCTATTGCCTACCTTAGGGCCTTATTTGAAAGTTTGAATTCAGCAGTGTAACTATAAATATCCACTTATGAACTTAGAGAAAGGATTAAATCTATTTCCCACAGATAACTGAAAAAAATTATTTGGAATGAATATGAGATAATTATTTCTTTAAATACCTTACACTTGATAGATCTAAAATACATGGGTTTTTTTTTCTTTAATTTTTTAATGTCAAGTTTAATCTTCTGGCTTTTTAAATTAAACAGAGTTCTGAACCATAATTATAGATACACCTCTCTTGATGTTTAGATATAACCCAAGCTGAGAGAGAAAATTTTACATTTGCAGAATACAGTAATCTGAGAAAGTTTAATAATTATATTTCTTAAGAAAGCATAAATCTATTTTAAAGAAAAAAGATTTTAAAAAACAATTTTAGAGCAATATATTCCTTCATGAGCTTTGTTTTCCTGCAGTGCCCAATGATCCACTTGTACCGACTGCTGTGTTAGGTGAGGCCCTAAATCTTTATCATCTTTTCATTGCATGGATCACACCTCCTTGCATGGGTTTGCCCACATAGAGATTATTTACAGTGCAGGAGGCAGCTTGATTTTGAAAATAGACAGCCATGGTATTATCAAAGAGAGCAACTGTGTTCAACCCAATATCAGATCTAGTGGATTTCAAATTAGCAAGGCATGCTATTTAATGTATTCTTCAATTCTTGGTTGTTAGATTTGGAGCAAAAGTACATGGCCCTTAATGTCTGACTAATATTAATGTGTCAAAATTAGTAGAATGAAGCCAAATGCATACATCTCAGGGTGCAATGTTGCCTGAATAACTAGTTTATATGTAAAAGTCTACCTAATGGAAAGGGATGTTTCTAAATCCTCCCAATTTATAACCACGAAAGAACAAATTTACAAGTAAATATTAGGATTATGTGCATTTGCTCTAGCTTTTGTCTTTATTAAGAATGTTTTAATGTAGGTAAAGTTGCTAAAATCTTGATGTGGGGTTTGACATTCTACATGAACCTTACCTGATAAGTAATGTTATCTTTCAAGAAATTTAGAACAAGCTACTTGGGTTACCACTGTATAACATCTAAGACAATGCTATTACTAATGACAATTAACGCTTTTACAGATGTAAAATTATATTAATTTTTAAACCTACCTATATATTTAAGAATGGAATGGGTTTCATTTTTCATTTCACTTTGTACCCTGTTCCTTGACTAATTATACACCAATGATTAGTAATCAGCTTGCCTGTATGTTTACAGGTTCCATATCAATTTTACCAGCGTTTCTAGTTAAGCTTTAACCAAAGAAATATGGAAACTATCAAATAAATATATCTTGTAAATTCCCAAATGTCATGTTTGTTATTTATATTTAACATTTCTTGTGAACAAAAAACTTTAACTTATATTTTATGCTTGTATTTTTGTTATACATACAATCAATGTTCAATTGCATTTTTAAAATATTTTGGAACAACACAACTAACTCAGTTATGTAAAATATACCTCTTATTTACTAAAATAAATATTTAAAATTATAATTTTATAATTACTATAAAGGATATATATTCTAAAATAATCTGAAAAGTCAATGTTCTTCATCTCTACTTGCACTCTCCCTTTGATGTCCACCAATAATGGTTAGGAAGTGAACTGGGGATTTGCCCCAGGGAGTGGTCTTATCACACAGGGAGGAGCCATAAATCATGATCACTGGGGATCATTAAGGATACATCAGATGCCTCTGAAAATGTCATCTTCTGCTAAGCACTGTAGAATGCTGTCAGTATAAAGTTAATAAATAAATTTCAATTAAAATATTGAGAACTAATTGGAAAAAAATTAGTTGCCTAAATGTTAAAAGTTTCCTTACAATAATTTTCTACACATATGTAAAGTCCAAGTCTCGGTCCTCCTGTGGATTTACAATATGAACTCATAAAAATACCTTACATCTTTGTTTTCCCATCTATAAAACAGTATAATAATTCCTACCATACCTTTTTCATGGGGTTTTATTATAAAGAGAAAATTAGATGATGTGTATGAGTTTTATAAACTGTAATAATTATCATAGTAATTTTCCCTGTGAAAAAGGATATTCATGTTTAAGGAAAGCTAGATTTAACACAATAGAGTCATAAAGTCTAGTTATATAAACATTCATTACACATTTTATTTAATTTTGAAAGTCAAGCTGGTTTTAAAAATATATTGGCATTCTTTAAAAGCTAAATATCTCATTAATCATATTAGATGTAGAAATGATTTGTTGTATTTTTCATCATTCTTAGGATTGTGGTCTTTAGAGTTTTGCATCCAATCATTTTTGTATTTATAATGCAGTTTCTGAAATCACTTCAAATATTGCTTAATGCTAATACTTACTGATTTAAAAGGGCTTAGAAACTTTTCATACTGATTCGTATTTTTGGTTTTTGTGTTTTACTGCTTCATTGGGTTTAAGTTCCTATAACAGGTAAGTGTATTGCAAAGAACTCTAGAAAACCTTTCAATCAAGGATATATTTCAAGTTATTATTCTTAAATGTATAATAAGGATAATGATTAGTACGTGTACCCTCACTACTAGTCACATTATTAGGTGGTTTAATGAGGTGGAAATGTATTGAGATTAATAATGCATATGTGATTATTTTAAAGACCTTACTGCTCATTGTACTACTGTATTAAAGCTTAATGCAAAACAAAAGGCACTGTCTATTTTATATTGGGACACAATCATCTGTAAGATTTGGAATATGGGTGAATTCTGTGTTTCTCACTGAGCCTTTTTCAATTGTAAATATTCTGCTACTCCAGCAGGTAAAAGTGAGCTCTGGGGCTGCTCCACTGAGCCCTGGCTACCTTCTTCCAGCTTGAGTGATTGCATTTTGCCTCTCTGACGTTATCTGTTCTCTTTACTTCTCATCCTTAACTGTATATTCTGTGGCAGTGCCCAAATCAATTGCTTCTGAATTTAATTTTTCTGGGGAGATGTATTTATTCTTTATGTCGGTCTGTTGATTGTAATATTTTAATAGAAGTAGATCCATTGACTTTGGTCGCATAGTGAGAACAGGAAACTCTCATGAATCATGTTTGTTAGCCAATGTTTTTGTGTAGAGGGGTGGGCAAAATCTGAGTAAAAGACATGAATTCACTTGAGTGGTTAGGTCACAACAGAATCTATCAGGGATTTTTTGATTCAGTGTATTTTTAGGAATGAATGCTACAAAAAGAGCATTCAGCTTAATAAGAGGGAGTAAAGATAAATGCAATCAAGCTAAATTACAGAGGCACACAAATCTGATTGTAGGGTTCTTTTTTTTTTCCCTTCTCCAGGAAGAAAAAATGTTTATCATGGGGACAACAATTCATTTTTTGCTATATCCTATTTGTAGAGTTGGTGATAGAACAGGCAAATGTACTAGCACTTGAAATATGTTTATCTGTTAATTAAATATCATTCTCTACAGTATGCATTATCATTAAAAAAAAAGTTCCCCTAAGAGTGTATTTTCTCTTCTGTTAATGAGTATGACGGTATAATGCTTTTCAAAGTAACACCCCTTAAAACATTTGTTTTTTTTTTTAAGTGGTAAGTTTAAATGTGATAAATATGAGCATGCTTCTCGTTGTAATGTTTAGTACTTCGGTCATTAAAGTACTGTTTATTCTTCATAGGCAAAAATGTTCTTGTTCTTTTCTTCCTTCTTATGACAGAAAAAGAATTTAAAGTTTCTTTTCTTTTTAAGCTAATAACACAATTGGGAAGGGACTTACGCTTAATTGTGAGTGGTCAGGGATTCAGTTGACTTTTTAATTCATTCATTGGAATATTTATTGAGTTACTGTTATGCATCAGGCACTAGGAATAGAAAGAAAAATATTCTGTCTCTGTACTGGGTGTTCAGAATTTAGTGAGGAAAATAGCCAAGTAGATAAATCATTAAAATATAGAGCAAGTGAAATGACATGTAAAAATGAATAAGAGGTCATGGGAACATAAAGAAGGAGCTTTGTAACTCAACCTGGAGGGGCCAGAAAAGACTTCCAGGGGAGGAACCCACATTTTGCTCCAGAAGCGCGCCCTGATTTCTCTCGCAGCGTGGCCAAGAGACTCAAAATACATTTGCAATAAAAACAATAACAGTAATAAGTCAAGGCGGCAGAGGTTGAATATAAATGCACGTGTAGTCTGGCTAGCAGACAGAGTGGCATCAGGGGGTGATCATGTGGAATGCCCATGTTTCCCAGTGCAGAGTGTGTTGTGGTAAAAAGCCCCAGAGAATAGGGCCACGAGAACAAGAAGAGCAGCCCTTTGGGGATGGGTCACCTAGATCGGGTATCTCTGAGGGAGGTTGGGATATGGTTGGGAAGGAGTTTGGTCGACTTAATAGACCATGAAAACACCTCCACTTGACAGCTGGGTCCTCTGGTCCCACTCTATACTGCTATGACTACAGATGCAAGAAAAACAACTCAGCAAAATTTCCCGCTTAAGCTTTTAAAAGGTCTATCAGATGTCTCCCTGCATCTCACAGTGTCTGTTGTCTTGCTGATATACACATAATATACTCTCACCTGAAACCTTGAGTTTTGTCTTTGGGGATACTGTCTAGGCCTATACTGTATGATATTTCTTTCCCAGAATTCCTCTTGTTATCAGAAAGATCTTAAGGTCTTAAAATCTTCATTGCATAGATACATATATTAAACAAGATAACTTTGTCTCTTTTTTAATCTTCTGAAATCTGAAAAATGCCAGATGAGAACCACAGTGCTACAGCAGAGTCCAGTCGCCTTCTAGACGTACCTCGCTACCTCTGTGAGGGGACGGAATCCCCTTACCAGACAGGACAGCTGCATCCAGCCATCAGGGTAGCTGATTTACTGCAGCACATTAATCTCATGAAGACATCAGACAGCTATGGGTTCAAAGAGGAATATGAGGTGAATAAGTTTTGATACTGTATTGAATTTGATTTTTAACTATGATACTCAGTGGAATTTAGCATTTTTTTCCCTCTCTTTAACACAACAAGGAGGGGATTGTTCTATAGGCTCTCTAATCTAGTGTTTATGAGTGTACAACCAAGTGTGTGTACCTGGGAATGGGAAGGGAATGGGGAAAAAAGCACTTCCCAGAGATATATGAGTCTAAATTTATTACAAGAATCTTTAATGTTGGATTCCGTAATTTATTTTACTATGGTATTAAAAAAAAACACTTTGCGTATCTCCCCATGCAAAAATCAAGTAGCAATACACTTTGGGTCCCATTGTTCCATTGCAGATTCTATCATTTGAATGAATCAAGTAGCAGGTACTTCTCTGCCCCTTTTTTTGTTGACCTTATGGTTGAGAAATCAGATGAAGCTTTGTGCTCTAAATATACTACTTGCCACTCTCAGTTTAATTTTATGGATTATTGGTTGAGGGTGGCTGAGAAAAAAAATAGAGCACTGCAAATCTAGTAAACAACACTGAGAAGCCAAAAGAAGGCAGTGGGAAATTCTTCTTCCAACCTTATTTCCCCTTCCTACTCAAACCAAAATACCAGGACTTATCTCACAAAGGCAATGATTTAAAACCAAACATTCCAACAAACATAATATAGCAAAAGGAAAATAGTTCCTTTGCCACCCTTCACTTACTGAGAAATACCAATCTGGGGCATGGAAGGAAGCCAGTCCACTACCCATGAACACATCACAGTATGCACACATTTAAAGTGAAAGAATCCAAGTAATATTTTGCTTTGAAAAGGCCATCCAAAATACATCCAATTTCATGAAGAATCTTTTAAACTCCATATTTTATCTATGGATTACCTGTATACCTTAAATTAGGAGTGTTAATTATCTCTGAATTTTGAAAGTTGATTTTAGATATATGCCAGAAACACTGCCGTGGTAACAAAATAAGTACAAGGAATTAGACTATTCTGCCAGAGCTGGTTCTTTTTGTTCATTTCATGTGTACTCCTGTGTACCTTGCTTCAAAGACCACTGGGCTCTTTGAAGACCCCGTTTCCTGTGTTGAGCAAAGTTTAAGTTCTTTTGCAAAATGAAATTTACACCCGTTTTAAATTGCTGCATATAGTAATTAAACTAGTCAACAAATTCTTCTGTTCCCAGATTCTTGAAGAAGGGGACTCTATTTTAATTTTTATATGGTCCCTTGTTGTGAAGACTCACTCTTTTTCATGATCTTCAAAGAAACTCAGATGCGATGTATTGCACACAATTTAATGAATAATTATGGAGGGAAGCAGGTTTTCTTTCTACTGTTATAAATGCTAAATGATGCACACTTGAAAGATACTCATTAAAAGCTTTTTTGCAGTTTTGATGCATTATCATTCAATACGTTTTGAAAAGAATGATACTTTGCTACTTCTACTTCTCATTATAGTGATCTTAATTTTAAAATACTTTCAAGGTCCATTTTTTTTCTCTAAAGTTATTTTTTTGTCTTTAATTTGACCTGAATCCAATTTAAGATGAACAAGTATGAATCCAACAAAGCGGCTTTGAGGTCTGAGAATGAAACTTGTTTACTACTGTAGGACTGCTTTCCTCTCTGAGAAAGTGGTTTTTACTATTTGGGGCTTCAGAACAGATAAACCTGATTTTTAAAAAGGAATTAAATTCAGTCTGCTTATTCGTTTTGTTTTCCCAGAGCTTTTTTGAAGGACAGTCAGCATCTTGGGATGTAGCTAAAAAAGATCAAAATAGAGCAAAAAACCGATATGGAAACATTATAGCATGTAAGTTCCCATTCAATTCTTGGTGAATGTAAATATTATATGCTTATATGGTTTTAAACTTTAAGAAAAATCCCAGAGAGTGGTGTGTCTGTTTATGAAGTAATCTATTTAATATTAAAACAGCATTTACAATCAGGCTTGAGGGCTCATGCCTGTAATCCCAGCACTTTGGGAGGCCAAGGCAGGTGGATCACCTGAGGTCAGGAGGTTGAGACCAGCCTGGCCAACATGGCAAAACTCTATTTCTACTAAAAATACAAAAATCAGCTGGCTTGGTGGCACGCACCTGTAATCCTGGTTAATCAGGATGCTAAGGAAAGAGAATTGCTTGAACCCAGGAGGTTGAGGTTGCAGCGAGCAGAGACTGCATTACTGCACTCCAGCCTGGGCGACAAAGCGAGACTCTGTCTCAAAAAACAACAACAACAAACAAAAACAACATTGGCTATTAGCAGTGATTCTGAAATTGTCATCATCCTCATTAATTAAATTGACTCAGCCACTTCACCCTGTGGAGATAACTTGCTGTTTGATTTCATGTTTGTACATAAATGCATGGGGTATTACTGAACAGCTGAGACTATCAGGATAATGAAAAAGTAAGATCTTTTCAGTTATAAATTGTTTTAACACTTCCATCAAACATATTCAAGATTGGGGTGTTATTCTTTCCACGTGCCTTTAATTCTTACTTGGAGCCACTGTCTAAACTCCAGTTGTTCGATATTATTTATCGTTAGGGACTTCCTCCTGAGTAAGTCCTCAAGATATACACGGGATAATAAAGTCATTATCAGACAAAACCACAGGATCAGTAAAGAAAGTAGCAGATAGTTTAACTTGTAACTAGCTGCTGATTTACCTAGACCACTCTGCTCTGAATTTAAATTATTTTAAAGTATCTTATGAATAGCTCAAAATCTAACCTTGATTCTCAGGGAGTAAGAAACTGAGAGCGGGAATTCAAAATTCACTTTTTAATTCTGTGGCTCATTTGCTGTAAAGTGCAGAAGAAAAGGATCCAACCCGTTTAAAGTCATGACTAAAAAGCAAAATTAGAAGTTAAGTCTAGTTCAGTTATGTAGACAATTCTATGACTCAAATGATTACTTACCAGACAATTTCATGTCTCCTAAACACTAACTATGAAGGTTCAAGTCAGTGAAGCTTAAGTCACACAATATTATAAGTGTAATAGCAAGGTTCACTAACATTCTTATATTTCTTCAAAGGACTGATTTGGTAGTAGTATACTATGGATAGACTATGGGCAACCACTGAATTCTTTAGTCTCTACCAATGACATTGTCTCAGAACAGGGGGAAAATTTAACAGCTTATATTTATTATTTTAAAATTTTAGATGATCACTCCAGAGTGATTTTGCAACCCGTAGAGGATGATCCTTCCTCAGATTATATTAATGCCAACTATATTGATGTAAGTATTTTTATAGTTAAGTATGTCTACTTTATTGGCTTATATATATGAACCTTTTTGCTTATTACCTATAAAGTGATTGCTAGCTTTTTAAAATATAAAAGTACAAACTGTACACTTTTCCTTGTTCTGCGTCCTAGTACTTACTGACATTGTTGTGCTTTCTTTCACACCTGACTTTGGTTTGGGCTGTAGATTTGGCTGTACAGGGATGTAAGTACCACTATATGTAAATAACAGCACCCTATTATAAATACAAACATTCTTAATTACAGTTATTACTAACGCTCTGTTACTACTAGTTATTTCTGCATGCTTCACCTAATTAGCTTCATACAATATATCTCTGTTCGTTTTTTTGTAATTCTTTCACATGCGTAAAGATCTATTTTACCACCTTCCCTTTTCTTGTGTAGAAAAACAGGACCATTTTTAGCTTTGACAGTTTATTATGTACTCGAGTTTTATTTGTTGATGATTTCTGTTTCTGGCTTTTATTCTTACCCTTCCCTAAACATATGTGAGAAGCTGGATAGTATGATGTGTATTAGTGTTACTGAAATTTTACTTTTTACATTTGACTTCTGACGTTAAAATGAGTAGGGAGACTATTTTGTGATGTGTTGTATTGGCTTTTAAAGTAATAAAATTACTCAGGCAAAATAATTACTAAATTTCAATTGTAAAATACACATATCACACATATATATCGAATCACAGAAATGAAAAAGGTTGCTTTGATCATATATTTCACTGTTAAATTTTGATTACATACATATCTACATGGAAATTCTTTATTTAAAGGAAGTAATTATCAAACAAAATATAGAATATTCTTAAAGGGCAATATATTACATTACCTATAAGGAAGACCTGGTTCATAATCACCCTGGAGATCTTGGGAATGTTACTTCTCTCTCTGTACCTCAGTTTCCTTATCTTTGCAGTGGGGATAATAATAACAGTACTAACCTCATCACTTTGTTGTGAGAATTCAATGAAGTAATGCATGTTGAGCATTTTGCCCAATGCCTAGCATATATTTAGCACTCTTTAAACTTCAACTATTTTTTTTACAATTAAAATCTAGGTGTGCTATAATTAAATTGATTCACAATATGTATAATTATAAGACAAAAGGTGGAGGTATTAAGAATGGTAGCATATGTATACTTCTATAGACCTAAAAGGTATGAAACCTAGGACCCAACATTTTATAATTTCCATAAATAGGAAATAATTTTCATTACATTTATTAGGTTCACATTTTAGAGTTATGAATTGTCATTATGTATTTAGTTGAACTAATATATTTTATAAAGCATAGTATATGAGTATATGAGTTCAATTTCTGATCATAATCTTACTCTTATTCATTATATAAATTTATCAAACATCATTATGTAAAACTAAGCTAATGGTCTAATTTTTAGAATAAAAAAATCAACAGTTCTATGACAAATTTGTAATTGTTCTTACCTATTTAGTTTAACCTGGGTTTTCTGCCAGGACTTGTACACTGGAGCCTTGTTATAAAATTATTTCATGGTTCATATGGTAGGACTGTATTTTAAATAAGACTTGTTATCTAGTCTTTCTGTTAAGACCCCAGTGTATTTTGGTCTATTTCTATACAATTTCATAATTTTCCCTCTCCCATTAGTTCATTATATGTAAACGATATGAGTATATACTTCTGCAATTGGTATTTTTTTTAAGAAGTGGAAATGAAATACTTATAAAGCTTGGAAAAATTTTTCCATAAAACATTGTGCTATTTTCCATAAAACATTGTGGTATATTAAAAATTTGAAATCTTCCAAATTTGCAATAACGTAATACTCATGCTATTAAATTTTAGGTTGGAGATCTCAGTTCACATGTATTTATATGTGTATTGAGTTGCCCACACCAGTATGTGGACAAATTGTACCACAGACTTTTACTAAGGCTCATTGGTAAATATGCAACAAATTCAGAACTTAGGATCATATCATCAACATTTTTACAACTTATGCTTTGTTGTTATTCAAACCAATTGAAAGCAACTAAAAATCTATTCCTCCTCAACAGAACTTTTAGCACACTGAAAAAAAAAATACTAAATTTTTGCTCAAGATAAGATGCATTTTTAAAAATTCTTCTTTCCCTATATATATGTGTGTATCTATAATTATGTGTGTGTAAATTAACATTGTGAGCACGCACAAAATAGTTTTTGCATATCCCTGAATGTGTTGTAGAACAGGAATATTCTCTAAAAATCTCAGCAGGACTTTGATTGGATGCACACATGCATTGTCCAGCTCTAACATTGGAATGTTCTGTTATTTTTTTATGGTTCTAATATGTCCTCGTCCATTTGTAATGCAGTGTGTTGTACTTTTGGATGATAAAATGAGAATTAATATTTTTAAACACTATTTTACCAGGAATGAATGACTAAACATTTACATGAAGGCATAAACATTTTAGTGAAACCAAACAAAATCTATGAGGTTATTCCATGGCAAACAAAAATCAATTATACAATATATATTCTAATCAGAGCCTTTAAAATATTTAATTTTTGTTTTATGTTTACCTTTCAGATAACATAGGTTTGAGAAGTGAACTATGTGTTCACTACTCATTTCTGGACTTTTTATTATAACTTAATCTTAACAGGTGGTTGTCTTCATCTTTTTATGCCTTCATTCATTTATTTCTGATATTGATGTAAAATGATAACTAATTTGTTCTCTTATTTTAGGGCTACCAGAGACCAAGTCATTACATTGCAACCCAAGGTAAAACTTTGCCTTGTTAAATGTTATAGAAAAAACAAACTTGCTTATTCATCTATGTGGTGGTTTTTATTATTTTTTAAATTTTATCTTAGTAACAAAAAAATCAGCCCTTCTGATTAACACTGCTCCTTACTCATTTGTATAGTACAAATTTATTGTGTGTGTAAAGCTTATATAAATTTAAGCTTGATTTACTTTTAATTAAAAGTGAAAGAAAAGCTGGTAGTGGTTATTATGATTTGATCCTTGTTACACAGATAGGTCAGAGCACTAGTCAATAGTGCCAGTCAGAGGAATTACTCATTTTTGAGGAAAGGAAAAAGAAGTCTCATATAAGAGGCCTGTCTTCTTGCAGCAAGTTTGTTAGTAGTACCCAAGACCAATATTGTTATAATGAGCTGTTATACTGAGCAATTTTTTGACGAGTCAAGACTGAGACAAAACAAAGAGATGGAATTTAGTCAAGTTAATTCTTCATGGAATATAATAAGACAGTAGAGAGATCTTGTTATAGTGGTACACTGGGGAGTAAAAGTATCCAAATAACAACAACAAAAAAAGCATCTGTAGTTATCTCTCTAAATTGACTACTGGCCCTCAGAAGAGAAACCTGTACATCTTTTTTATATAAAAGGAAAGTAAAACAAAAGCTAGGTTTACTCTTTTAACAGGGGTCATTTTTCTGTGTTTTCACATATCTTTGGAGTAATTGAGTTCAGTTGTGTACTCTTTAAAGTTAGAAAGATCGACCATAGTGGTGAACAATATTCAGTTTTATGGTATTCGGTAGAGAACAGCCCAGCACATGCTTTTGCAGTTTGGAGATATTATGATAAGATTAGGATATGTCCTTACGTGTAAGGATATGTTTTTATTGATCCCTAAACATGCACTATTTATAAATAGTGGGCACTTATTTAATTGGTAATATATGCTGTCTGGTTGATGGTGGTATAAGAGTTCTATTTTTTACACATATTTGAAGATGCATTAAAGTGACTTAGTGACAAATATAAATACCCAAGAAACTAGTGATAGTTTCTTCTAAATTGGGAAGTGTAGAGGGCAAATTGAAAAAAAAAAAAAAAAAACTTGTATATGCCTGTGTTTTTGCCTATTGTGGGAATTTAGATATGAACTGAATTTAAGTATTTTCAGTGACATTTTGTGTTAGACCTTTTTTGGAATTACTTAGTTTACTCTGCTTCTTATCTTAGCTAAACTTCTTACTAACTACAAAATTCCTTTGATAACATAATATTCAAATTAATTTCTTTGTAGGTCCCGTTCATGAAACAGTGTATGATTTCTGGAGGATGATTTGGCAAGAACAATCTGCTTGCATTGTGATGGTTACAAATTTAGTTGAGGTTGGCCGGGTAAGAGGAAGAAAAAGAATTTTTTTGTCATAAAAATGAACATAGTTGAGAAGCAACATGTAAGACACTCAAAATAGAATATCATCCAATTGTTTAAAAAAAATTATAGGCACAACATTTTAGTTGAGTACTTCTAAGTAGACCTTGACTGGCTGAAAAATTATTTGATTTCTCATTGAGTAATAAAATAAGCTTTAATTTTGTACTGGAATCTAACTGCATTATCAGGCTTGTATATTTTTTGTGAGACTATATAAACTCTGTTTATTGTATAATAGATTTTTTTCTCATTTATAGATTTTTAAACTGAGTTTTAATTGTGACAAGGAGTTATTGCTGGAATTAAATCACCTTGGCTAATTAGTATTATATATTCAGGTCTGTCTATATATTCTTTTTGTCACTTAGGTTAAATGCTATAAATATTGGCCTGATGATACTGAAGTTTATGGTGACTTCAAAGTAACGTGTGTAGAAATGGAACCACTTGCTGAATATGTAGTTAGGACATTCACCCTGGAAAGGGTAAGTACTCTAAAATTCTATTTTAAAAAGTGATATCAAAACTGCTTTTTCTCTTAAAATCTTTGCCAAGTTCTGTTTTGATGATGCTATAAAATCCATTCATTCATGTATTCATTCCACAAATGTTTATTTGAGAGTTTACTATGTGCCAGACATGTTTCTAAACCTTGGGACACATGTTAAAATCGCCTCGTGTGGATCTTAGAGCCGATTGAATTAAGACAGCAATAAAAATAAATAAATCAACTAATATATCATACATCATGACAAGTGATATAGAGAAAAATAATGTTGGGGAAGGAAGTAGGGAATATTATTTAGGCAGGGTAAGAAATGGTTTACAATTCTGAAAGGATGATCAAAGAAAAACTCATTGTTGAGAAAGTAATATGAGTAGAGACCTGAAATAAGTGAGGGAGTGACGGGTTATGTCCAGGGCAATAATGTTTCTGACAGAGGGGAGAGTCATTTCAGAAGCCTAGAGGCATGTGTAAAGCTGTTAGAATGCCAGACAGTCACCAGGCCAAGATGTGCAGATATCCATAAGTGAAGGGGAAAGAAATACAAAATGAAGGCAGAGAAATCACAAAATTGGATAAGTGGTGCCTTGTAGGCCATGATGATTTTAGTTCATACTAAAATTGAGTTAGGCTGCCATTGTAGGGTTTGTGAGCTCAGGGATAACATGGTCTGAATTTTATTTCTAAAAGGATCACTCCAAGTGTTACATTGCAAAGAATAACGTAAGGTGGCTGGTGTAGTAGACTAAAGTGAAATATAGTAACAGTGAAATACATTTTGTGGTAAAGCTTGGTAGATTTGACCACACAAAATTGTGAAATTACCTGTGGCACAAAAAAATATCAAAGGTACATACAGACAGAAGAACCTTGCGATTGTTTATTAATGTCCTTAATTTATAATGTTAATACCAGTAGAAGAAAAAAAAAAAAACTAGAATCTCTGAAGAAACACAATTGTTAACAAGCCTATTAAAAATGTTTAACCTAGTGTACTTATATACCATTTTGTCCTTCCAAATCAGCAAGAACTTTAAAAAAGAATAATCCTCATTGATTGTTAGAGTATGTTGAAACATATTTTTATACATTACTGATCATAGTTAAATCGCTACAAACCTTCTTTAAATCAATAAAACAGTATATCTCCAGAGCTTTAAAATGTTTATGTCCTTTGAGAAGTTAACTTTCATGAATCTCTCCTAAGGAATTTATTTAAAATACAATGACTTCATTTATAGTATTAAAAACTTATAGATAACCATAAATGCCCAACAATAGAGAAATAATTGCATAGTATTTTATAAAAATACTTGTGAGTTATCCTACCAACATGAAAAAATTAGGCAAAATATTAAGTTGAAATAGCATTATACAGAACAACATAATCATGATTATTGTAACTGTAAAATATGTATGAAAATTTCTTAGACAAATCAAGTAGAATAAAATAAGCAATTGATATGGGAGATTTCAGAAAGAACCATTAAGCTTGATTTAATGAATAACTAGCTCATATTATTAAAAAAGAAATGTGGAATATGCAGTCTCTTAAGTTCATACAAGTCTTGTAAAAATCAATGATGAACTTAGTAATAAGGAAAACCTGAATACATAACAAAAAGTTGAGATATTGCCAAAATCCAATAGAAAGCAATGATGACAAACTGCTGACCAGTGACCCCAGAAATTAGCCTATTAGAAGTCACCAAATCCTCTTCTGAATAATCCTTGAATGATTTCCTCAAAACTAAAATTATATTATATAGATCAATAGTTTTACATCAAAATTTACCTCATTATTCTGTAAGAAAAATTTATACTCATAAGTGATTTCTGTTTTGAAATGTGCTCTGAAATCATGTGAAAAATTATAACATTGGAAAATCAGAAAAAGTAGAATAGAACAAAGGAAAAATTAAATATAAAAAAGAAACAAATGAGAAAAAAGAAAAAGCTTGTTTATTGAAAAGATCAATAAAGTAATTAAACCACTATTAATTCTAAATGAGGTACAATGAAAATATACAATATTAGAAAACACAGAGGGACATAGCCATTATACTTGCTATTAGAAAAGCTATGGAAAATATTATGTATAAACTTAAAAATATAACTTTTAGTCTAGGACACGGATTTTCTGACAAATGCTGATTCTCAAAAATTAGGTCACAAAGATTTAGAAGCATGAATAGATGGTAGAAGAAAATAGGATGATTGTTATTATCATTAAAATTGCACTATGGTTTTAAAGTTAAAGTTCCTTTATACTTTAAGGAATAGCTAATATCTATGTTTTAAAAGTTAGCATAATGTACTTGGAAGGCTGAGGCAAGAGAATCATCCGAGTTGGGAAAGCAGAGGTTGCAGTGAGCCAAGATGGCGCCACTGCACTCCAGCCTGGGCGACAGAGGGAGACACTGTCTCAAAAAAAAAAAAAAAAAAAAAGGTTAGCATAATGATGATAACAGAATCAGATAAAGATAGCATTCTCTGGAGCTCTCATTCCCTCTTTCATGATGTCTTTCTTCTCTCTCTTCCTCTCTTCCCCCTCTTCCTCTCTTCCCCATGCACACACATATTGCAGACCAATTTCATTCAAGAACATGAAAAAATTCAAAATAAGATATTGAAAATTTGGATCTAGTAGTGAATTAAGAAAATATCACTACATGACCTATTATTTTTTCCCTAAGAATGCAAGAATATTTCAACTGTAGTGGGAAATCTTAACAGGATATTTCATTATGTCAGTACATTAAAGTACCAAAACTGTATGACTTTAATAGATTAATGCATTTAATTTTATTTTCAAAATATTTATAGTAATACTCTAATTAGGGAAATTAAGAGGCATCCTAAACATGATAAAGGTGATTCAACAATACCTAGTAGCAGCCATGTTAAGGAATGAAGAACTAACGACTATTCATTTATCATAAAAAACTAGTATAAAGATTATATTACTGCTTCTACAATCATGAATGTTATGTGGATAATCAGTGTCACTAATATTAAACATTTTTGGAAGTTTTAGCAAATGAAATAAGGCAGCAAGAGGAATAAACTGTGTAACTACTAGAAAAGACAAATTATTTTAAGATGAAAGGATTTATACCAAGAAAAGTATGGATAATATTTTTAAATGGGATGTATAAACATTTATTTAAATGACCAAATCTGCATAAATATTCATGAGTTATAGCTTGTCTTTATATTAGTGATAAACAGAAGTAAGAAAATATTACTAAATAATCTTTAAAAATACAAAGTGCCAAAATATCTCAGAATATATTTAATAAGAACGATATAGTTCCTGATTTAATAAAAACACAAAAGTGTACTTACGGATACGCATAATATGTGAATGAGTGGAGACATGCACCATGTTCCAGAATATGGGAGTACTTGATATTAATATCACTGTATGGATTTAATACAATCCTATTTGGAAAATCATTGGATTTTTTTTTCTTGTTATTTAGAACAAGAAAATGGGGGGGGTTGTTTTTTTAACCACATATTTGAAAATCATTCAGAAAAATTAAAAAAAAAATCAGGGAATAGGTGCTGACATATGAAAATGTACTAAAAAGAGCAAACCCTATACATGTAATAGAAAGATAAAGGGAGCAAGGCCTATTAAGCAACTCCAATAAAAGAATTAATATAGAAGGAGTAAAGTATTACCTAAAATCAGGCCATGAAACAATTTTTGACCTTCCTCACTAGAGTTGAAAAGTAGCAAAAGGTGATTTTCCATTGGGGTGATTCCATGGTGATGCTTATCATTGTGATTGTTACAGTTATTTATTGATGATCCCTGCTTTGTGTAGGGTATTGTGCTAGGAATTGGAATTAAGAAAACCTTTAAGAAATGATCACTAACTTCCAAGGTTTTGGTGGTATTGGTTTGTATAAGATTGAATCTAAAGATAAACTGTTTTTCTCAGTTTTGTTTATTTCATGTAATGTGTCTACCTTTTCTGATTGAACAAGTGAGATTGATAGTTCACAGATAGTTCACAGTAGAATTTGAATTATATAGATTATAGTGGGATTTTTTTTCCTTTTGCTACAAATGTGAGTTCTTAAAAATAAATTCGGCAATATTTCATCTATACCTTCCAAGCTGTGCTACCTCAGTCTACAGACTTCTTCTAAAAAAAGGAAGGAAAAAGCTTTGAAATGTGCATTTACAGGGTTCTCTTAAATTAACCCAATAGGAGAGCAGCACAACAGCAGATGCTTCACTTCTTTCATTTTGTATTTTTGTTACTATAAATAATACTGCGCTGAATTATTTCACAGAGCTAAGAAAAATAGTTTGCCCAAAGAACAGTTTAGCTGCCTGTATATTTTCACAAGCCAATCTAGAGCAGCACTGTCCTGGAAAATCCCTACATGCTATGCTTCAAAACCATTTTCAACATGGATAAGCAAGGCATTAAAATCTCTTTGTGAGGTGAGAAGCTGGAAAGTTGCTTTTATACACCACTTGAGAACTCAATGCATTGGGTCAATGGGGCAGCATTTTAGCTTTCCCATTTCCTTCTTTTCCCCTAATAATTTAATGTGTTGTCACTCCCAGCAAGAAACAAGCTGTCAAAGTAAATAAAATTTACCCAGACTTTTAGAACTGAGCAAGACTTATAATTTTCTTTCTTTGGCAGTTGTCTGACAATAAAGGTAAGCTCCTAGTCCATGTTAGGCCTTCATTTTATTATATTTTTTTTTTAAGAAAAGGCATAGTCTTTCGTAAAGGTTTTATTGTTATCATTGTCAGTTGGGTCTGTACCCATAATTGTGTTTAATGGCTTTATTTTGGCCATTAAAATGGCTTTTGAAAACATTTCTTTCCATCTTTGCACAGAGGGGGTACAATGAAATCCGTGAAGTTAAACAGTTCCATTTCACGGGCTGGCCTGACCATGGAGTGCCCTACCATGCTACAGGGCTGCTTTCCTTTATCCGGCGAGTCAAGTTATCAAACCCTCCCAGTGCTGGCCCCATCGTTGTACATTGCAGGTAAGTGGTGGTCCAAATGGTATTGACTGTATGCAATCAGCTTTTTTTAGAGTATCAAGACAAGGCTTTTGAGCACAAAAACTAATGTGTGCTTACGAAGTTCCAGCTTGCTTGTATTATAGATAAAGTAAAACAGCAATAAAATAAAAGTTGGCTGTAAGTAGTCTATAAAACAGGAACTTAAGAAATACATACATTCATCCTAATGCGTGTAGTGTTATCCACAATTTAAAGTATAGAAACTCTGCCTTTTAATGGCAACATCTGTGTTTTTTGTTTTTATCACTTTTGCAAATCCCATATTGTATAGAATGCTAGGTTGAAATAGACATTTCTTGCCAATCTAGAAAATTCCCAATAGAATTCCAGCTTTAAAACTAAATTTCAGACATACAGAGTTACTAAATGGCCTAAATTGCAAGGATTTGTGCTGCAAAACAGCTATTTAAAAATTTTTTTTAAAGAATTCACATTAGAGGACCTTGAAAACTGCATCAGTGAGATTCAGCAAATATATGCCAAAAAACACGAGCATTATATCCAGACTTTCTTCTGATTAGAAACTTCTCTTAAAACAAGCATTTAGAGATACTAAAAGCAAATTACATGGCCTCATTTTGAGGTGTGACCAGAAAAATAAGTACTGAATCTGAAAAGCGTTTCCTAAATGATGCTGCACACCATTCTCATACGCTCTTCCCTCCAAGCTACATAATAGGTTGTACCTAAGCATTTTTTGCTTTCTGAAAATCCAACCTATTCAGGATTTAAATAACCATGTATAAAAGAGGGGAAAAAAAGCAGAGAATGAAGTAAAGGTAAAACGTCCCATAGGATCAGATACTATGTACCCTGAAAACAAAAAAAACTTCCTTTCAATCCTCCTCATGAAATCTGATGTACTCTTAAATTACATTCCTGTCTCCAACTCTGGGAACAGTGATTGAGAAGATGGTAGGGGACAAAGATAAATAGAGATAGCCACAATATCTTTTGCTTAAATTTCTAAAAGAACAGTGAGTTTAAGAGAAGTGACCAAATCTGAATAACAAGGAAATAATGTTACTAGCCTATCTAAGCACTTAGAAAATGAGATAAATAGGTTTTCAACTTAAGAATTTCTTGATTTATCAGAGAGGTTTACTTTCTTATGAATTGCTTGCTTCAGAAATGCTCCAAGATTCTCAGATACTCTCTTGAAACAGAAGTGTCATTTTCCACCTACACTGAAGCATCTCTGGACTACAAAGTGAATTCCCCACTCCCCGCAAAAAATCCTTATTTTGTTTTCCCCATTGACTTCTATATATAAAATTGGAGAAACATTCCCCAGCTGCAAAATAATCACAGTATATTACAATTAAAGGACACAAAATATGGTGAGATAGAGGAATACATTTTAGTGTTCTGTACCACTGTAGGATGAGTCTGGTAAATGATAATGTTTAGTTTGAGAGAGCTAGAAGGAAGATACTGAATGTTCACAACATAAATGATACATGTTTGAGAGGACGCATATGCCAATCACCCTTTTCTGATCACTCTACATTATGTGTATTAAAATATCACTATGTACCCAAGAATATATACATTATTATTTGCCAATTAAAGACTAAAATATAATTTTTTAAAAGTATTTTTAAAAATTAACTTTAGAATTAAATACAGTAAGATAGCGGCTAGCCTTTTGATTTGCTGGGAATCATATTCTACACCTAATAATTCATTTTCATTTCTCTTCAGATCATGATTCAAATAGTCTTTACACTGTTACTCTCCTCCCCTTTGATAACCGTCATTCTCTTGCCCACCCCCACCATTTGCATTTCCTGTGAAGCGTGGCTCCTCAGATTTCCCGTTTAAAGTTTTGGGAATTAATTTTCTTTTGCCTTGGTATTTACAAGAGGTGAAGACAGTGAGTGAGCCAACATTCTCACATTGTTGCCAGAGGACACACAACTAGATGAATCTAAAAATATTCAATCTTGAGTTAAATTTTGAAGCGTGAATCTGCCACTTGATCAATTCTATGAACTTGAAATTATGTGTATTAAATTTACATAAAATGAAAATTGTGAGAGAGGTGTGGAACTTAAACAGTGTTATTTTCAATTTGAAAATAATTTAGAACTCTTGTTCCAATCTTTAGTTTATACCAAAGCAGATACTCTGCATGAAGCTATTTGTACATTAATAAGCTTTTACACAGCAGGGACAAGTGCTGTGCCTTGCAGTTTGTTAAATCAATTTGATTCTACCTATCTGACAGTGGAAAAAGTCCTTATTTAAGGTTATGAAGACTAACATGCTTCTTACAATTCATTAAATTTAATTGTTTTTCAGTGCTGGTGCTGGACGAACTGGCTGCTACATTGTGATTGACATCATGCTAGACATGGCTGAAAGAGAGGGTGTTGTTGATATTTACAATTGTGTCAAAGCCTTAAGATCTCGGCGTATTAATATGGTCCAGACAGAGGTATGTAGATTTACCTGTAGTGGACTTTTTTTTATTTTTTATTTTTTTTGCAAACAAAGAGTAGATGTCTCTCATATATACTCTACTCAACCGAAAGAGATGTTTTTCATGTGTAATCAATATTAGCTGAGTCATATAGAAAAATATTGGTGTTTTAATTCATATTTCCATATAGAGAAAATTTTCTGTATTTCCTAACTTTGATGACAGAAAAGTGATACTAAAACTAGTACAAAATTTTCTTTTTCATTCTTTTGGTAGGAACAGTACATTTTTATTCATGATGCCATTTTAGAAGCCTGCTTATGTGGAGAAACTGCCATACCTGTCTGTGAATTTAAAGCTGCATATTTTGATATGATTAGAATAGACTCCCAGACTAACTCTTCACATCTCAAGGATGAATTTCAGGTATTAACTATTTCTAAAACCTCTTTTGTGACTTACTACAATTTGTTCTGGGCGCTAGGAATCCTTTCAAGGAAGGTCTTTCAAGTCAAATTTATAACCTTTGATCCTGTTTTAAATACAATACGTATCTCTTTCATTATACATATTATATAGTCACTTTTCTATTGATGAATTTATATCTACTATATCCAAAATGACAAATAAGTTCAGACTTAGGGAAGAGCAAAGGGGAAAGGTATCATAAAAGTCAAAAATTAGGCCAGGCGCAGTGGCTCATGCCTGCAATCCCAGCACTTTGGGAGGCCGAGGCGGGTGGATCACGAGGTCAGGAGATCGAGACCATCCTGGCTAACACGGTGAAACCCCGTCTCTACTAAAAAGACAAAAAAAATTAGCCAGGCATGGTGGCGGGTGCCTGTAGTCCCAGCTACTCGGGAGGCTGAGGCAGGAGAATGGCGTGAACCTGGCAGGCGGAGCTTGCAGTGAGCCGAGATTGCACCACTGCACTCCAGCATGGGCAACAGAGCGAGACTCCGTCTCAGAAAAAAAAAAGAAATAATAACAAGTCAAAATGAGTGGTGATTTGTGTGTATTTAGTGTGTATTTATAGCCTTTTTTTCATGCAGTCATACAGATTTTGACCTGGGTCACTCACAATGTGATGAGATCAAGCACATTAATTATAACTGAGTCTGGGTTCAGTGGCAGCTCACACCTATAATCCTAGCACTTTGGGATGCCAAGGCAGGCAGATCTTGAGGTCAGCAGTTCAAGACCAGCCTGGCCAACATGGCAAAACCTCATCTCTACAAAAAATATAAAAAATAGCCGGGTGTGGTGGTGCATGCCTGTAGTCCCAGCTACTCAGGAGGTTGAGATGGGAGGATTGCTTGACCCTGGAAGTTTGCTTAACCCTGGAAGGCTGTGGTGAGCCAAGATATTGCCACTGCACTCCAACCTGGGCAACAGAGTAAGACCCTGTCTCAAAAATAATAATAGTAATAATAATAATAAATGAAGTTTGTAGTACATGTTATTTCAAAATAGCCCTAAATGTTTTCACTGCCCTTAAAACACCCCTGAAGGTGGGTGAAAATAAAATCAAGGGCAGAGACCAAATTCTTTGATTGTTGATCCAGTGCTCTTTCCAACATGCCATAGCTTATCTTCAAATATGGCAAGCCCAGATGTTACTACAAATGATACCGTTTCCCAGTGTGATGAAGGGTCATTATCATAATGGACTGCCCGATTGCATTTTCTTTGGTTAAGGCAATGCATTTTGCAGGTAGCAGTGTTGTTTAGCGTACCTTTTCCTTTTAAGAAGAGGAGCCCTGAACAATGTGTGTCTTGTTTCTTTGTCACTTCTCAGGCTTCATTAGCTTTAACTACAAGGTCTATCAGCCTGTCATAGTAGCAAATGCCATTGCCTCGCACAAATCCTTCACTTTCTACTTGGCCTTCTAAATTCCTGATGGATCTGTGTTATACTGTTAAATGGGTCACACTGTC
Source organism: Homo sapiens (assembly GCF_000001405.40). Taxonomy (NCBI): domain Eukaryota; kingdom Metazoa; phylum Chordata; class Mammalia; order Primates; family Hominidae; genus Homo; species Homo sapiens. The sequence continues at coordinate 127,981,318 of NC_000006.12, read as the reverse complement.
TTTTAACCTGGGTTCTCTTTTCTTTTTAGACTCTGAATTCAGTCACCCCTCGACTACAAGCTGAAGACTGCAGTATAGCGTGCCTGCCAAGGAACCATGACAAGAACCGTTTCATGGACATGCTGCCACCTGACAGATGTCTGCCTTTTTTAATTACAATTGATGGGGAGAGCAGTAACTACATCAATGCTGCTCTTATGGACGTAAGAGACTGCCCTCTTTGTTAGTGTAGAGTGTTGTGGAAAGCTACATAATGCAACTGAACACTGGCTAGTTTTCTTTTCGAGGAAATTAAAATAACCTAAAAAGGAAAAGTGGAAACTTTTATTGAAACACATTTTTTTGGAAAATGATTTTAGGTTTTCCCTATAGAGATTCTTAAGAACTGTCATTTTTATAGCTTTATTGTAGATTTGGAGCTTGATTGTCAATTATTATATTCATGTAGTAAATATTGCAAGTTATAAATTTCATCTTAATTATTTTCAGAAAAGAAAATCATGCCTTATCTATTTTGAATATAATTAGAAATGAATTTTTTAAATCACAGAATGCCAAATCCTACAAAAATCATGTTAATTTGGGAAATTTTTATTTCTGACATTTAATGTTTCAATAATTTACAATTAATTTGTTGGCCATTAATCAATAAGGACTATTATAAGTAACTAGAGAGGGGATGGATGGTATTATGTTAACACATCCATCATAATGAAAGAACAATCTTGCCCCATTCTAAAATCTTAAATTGCAGGGTGTTATATAGCCCATAGACAGAACAATATGGAAAGAAAGTTTTCTGTTTTAGTTTTTGGTTTTTTTTTTTTTAGACAGAGTCTCACTCTGTCGCCCAGGCTGGAGTGCAGTGGCATGATCTCAGCTCACTGCAACCTCCGCCTCCCAGGTTCAAGCAATTCTCCTGCCTCAGACTCTTGAGTAACTTGGAATACAGGAGCGTGCTCTACCACACCCCGCTTATTTTGTTTGTTTGTTGTTGTTTTTGTTTTTGAGACAGAGTTTCGCTCTTGTTGCCCAGGCTGGAGTGCAATGGCACAATCTCGGCTCACTGCAACCTCTGCTTCCCAGGTTCAAGCGATTCTCCTGCCTTTGCCTCCCAAGTAGCTGGGACTACAGGCATGCACCACCATGCACGGCTAATTTTTTGTATTTAGTAGAGATGGGGTTTCACCATGTTGGTCAGATTGGTATTGAACTCCTGACCTCAGGTGATCCACCTGCCTCGGCCCCCCAAAGTACTGGGATTACAGGCGTAAGCCACCGTGCCGGGCCTTTTTTGTATTTTTAGTAGAGATGAGATTTCACCACATTGGCCAGGCTGGTCTCAAACTCCTGACCTCATGATCCGCCCACCTTGGCCTCCCAAGGAAAGAAAGTTTTAAATTATGACTTTGGCCACTTTACTTTGATTATGTTGGAAAGAAGCAAGAAAGCTATCATGGTTTATAATCTTTTTAAACAGTTTACTGCCTTCATTTCTAGCTTTTGCCCTTTCTCCTATGAAACCATATCAAGGAGAAATTAGAAGCCACGGTTCATTTCTTTCTGACTATAACAGGCTTTCTAAGTTATTGTTCCTGTTAAGCCCACATTCTGTTTCTACGAGTAGTCTTCACCAGTTACTTTACTCTTTTTGGTGCTGCAAAGCGGAATAGTCTAAAGGCAGGCTCTCGTCCTTGCTGTGGTCACTCTTGCCTGTGAAAAGCTCTCATCCTTGCTGTGATCGGAGTCTTGCCTGGCCATTAATCACATCCACTGAAATCACATTAAATCCTAATTATACCTTTTCTTTTTATATTAGGTGTCTGGAAAGGCAAATATACTAAATAGAGAGATGGCATACAATACTTTTTCATTTCTGCATCTAAATATGGAATAAAAAAAGGATGTGTGAACAAGAAAAGGAGAAAATAATAATATTTAGAAAAGCATTGATGCCTTTGAATTTTTTGCCATTGGCATCTTTGTCAAATTTTTCTCAATGTCCAGATTGTCTCCTTTTCTTTTCTTTTTTCTTTTTCTTTTTGAGACAAGCTCTCACTCTGTAGCACAGGCTGGAGTGTCGTGCATGATCACAGATGACTGCAGCCTCAATCTCCTGGGCTCAAGTGGTCCTCCCACCTCAGCCTACCAAGTAGCTAGAACTAAGGTGTATGCCATCATGCCCAGCTAATTTTTTTTTTATTATTTTTTGTAAAGATGGGGTCTTGCTTTCTTGTCCAAGCTTGTCTTTTTTTCTGTATGAAAGTTGAAGCTTGTAATCCACCTGCTCTTACTGTCTGCTTAATCCCCTGTGATTCAAAAAAAAGACATTTCATAGTTAAAGCTGTTCTGGGGATTTAGTAGTGCAAATGAACCGTTGGAGAAGTAAAGCTGGTTTGATTTACAAGAACAGGGTTTATTGTTCACTTCTTTCTCCCTACCCTTTATCCCCATCATTAGTACCCTTTTGCCAGGTCTATGAGGGATTAGGAGCTAGGGCCAAGAATTCTGTAATTTCAAAGCCTTACATATGTTCCTGCATTTAGAGGGAAAAAGAATAGGAAGTCTTCAGTCTTCTCCTCTCTTATCAGCTCCTCCTCATGCATATCCCCTCCCCTGTGGCTCAAAAAATGAGTAGATAGCCGTCAGTCTGCTTTGACTTACCTTTGCATGGAGCAGACATTTGATTGGAAGAAGAGCTTCCTTTCTTCTAACTTTTCTCATTGTATTAGTTCATTCTCACACTGCTAATAAAAACATACCTGAGACTGGGTAATTTATAAAGGAAAGAGTTTTAATTGACTCACAGTTCCACAGGGCTGGGGAGGCCTCAGGATCCCTGCAATTATGGCCGAAGGGGAAGCAAACCCGTCCTTCTTCTCATGGTGGCAGGAAGGGGAAGGAGTGCCAAGCAAAGGGGGAAGCCCCTTATAAAACCACCAGATGTCATGAGAACTCACTCACTATCTGGAGAACAGCATGGGGGAAACTGCCTGCATGATTCAATTATCTCCACCTGGTCCTGCCCTTGACATGTGGGGATTATTACAATTCTAGGTGAGATTTGGGTGGGGACACAGAGCCAAACAATATGACTCATGAACCTTCCTGCCTTTCTTAGGAGACACTCATCCCAGCTGCACGTGTAACTTGGTAAGGTTTTGAGGTCATTTAGAAGTAGCCAGGTAAATTATTATTGTCATCTACTCAGATTTATCCTGCAGTCTTCAGCCAACGCTGAATGCCATGGTTGGTAGCATTTCCCAAATGGTGGTAGCATCAGTGAAGTCCAAGAACCAGTTCCTGTGCTGATGTTAAGATTCTTGAAGGACTTAAATAGTAGTATGATACAAATGAGTTACAAGATCATTGAAAATTTTTGTCAGCATTAGGGAACTCTATAATCTACTAATTATTATTATTATTATTGCAAATAATTAGTTTAAATCAAATGGCAATTGTCCAGTCCAGATAAATATTGTTTTTACTACTTCTCCCTTTGGAAAGAGATAATATATTGTGTTCTAATCAAGGAGGACTTGGTTAACAAGGAGCTATCTCCCCGCTTATGTGGGGACAGGAAATATATTGCTGTTATGCTTTGGTGCTTCAGGATCTTAAATGGTTGAGACTGTCATTATGACCTTTGATATATGTTAGAAATGCCCAGGAAGCTGTGGAAGGTGGATTGTCTGCAAGATGTGCAGAATATCCTGGTAGTGTCCACATAATGTAAAAGCACAAGTGTTTGAGCTACTTGTGGTTTTTCTTATTTGGAGTGGAGAAGAGTAAAACAATTTTACTTGCACGCACACACACTATACACATACCCAGATGATTGATAGACATACCAGGGGTTTTGTGCTTACTTTGCCTTCAGCCTCTCAGAGACTGATTACGTTTGGAAAATTGAAATAGCCCAACAGGAACCTTACAGAGGATGTTAACCTCAGAAGCTTTTTAGTTTCTTCTTTTGTATTTGTCCTGTATTTACGTCTTTCAGTAAAGTAAAAACTCAGTTATTGACTTGAATTGCTTTGGAAGCATTGAAGTCTTCCACCAAATTGATTCATTACTGTACTAATTCAGTTCATTCCAGTGGTCTGAATCTCCTATTCCATGGTTTAATCATCACTCTGGCTCCTTCTGCATATGAAGCTATTGCATCTTACTGGTCCTACATTGAAGTGTATTGTATCTGTTTGTACAACCGATCATACATTTTAAGTTTTTATATTTCTCCATCTACCTTGTTTCTTCACAGAGCTACAGGCAACCAGCTGCTTTCATCGTCACACAATACCCTCTGCCAAACACTGTAAAAGACTTCTGGAGATTAGTGTATGATTATGGCTGTACCTCCATTGTGATGTTAAACGAAGTCGACTTGTCCCAGGTTAATGGCTATGGATTGCTTTTATGTACTTATATACAACTTAATAGAGTAGTAATGAATTGCTAAAATCTGCTTTATACTCTCCTAACTAGAAAAAATAATACTCTTTTTTTTTTTCTTTCAAAACGTTCATCATTTAGGGCTGCCCTCAGTACTGGCCAGAGGAAGGGATGCTACGATATGGCCCCATCCAAGTGGAATGTATGTCTTGTTCAATGGACTGTGATGTGATCAACCGGATTTTTAGGATATGCAATCTAACAAGAGTAAGTCACTATCGGATCCTTTGAGCTGATCTAGAATAGGTCAGTCATAACCAAGATGTGGTATAATTTTATTCAGACAACAGGGAGACTACAATTAATAAGCACTATATCATCCACCTCAAAGCTAGTAACCATCTTATGCCTTAGTACTCGAATAAAAATACAGGAAAACAGAAATGCTGGAAGCTAGGTTTTTCGGTCAGTCACTAGACTAGCATATTCTCTCAGGAAATACAGATGCACTGGCTCAGTCAAGTTGGACAGCCTAGGCCTGGCCTCTGAGTGTATGTAGACTTATCTTAAGGATGACTGCATGTTTTATTAGTATTGACATCCAGCCCAGAAATGGCATGTGATAAAAAAAATAAGAACATTGCAATAACAATAATGACAGAGAAACTGTACTGCAGGAGGAAAGAGACATGTTGGATCAACCATTATAGAAGGGTTCCATGTCACTGTTCCAAGTTCATTATTGATTATCCTACCTGCAATTTCATCTTCCTAAACGTCTCAACCTATGGCTCTAAGCAGATCTAAAGGTAGAACCAGTGCTGCTACCACCATGCCTTTTCCCAGCAGCAAAGTAGTAACTGTATCGTCTTTCTCTGACTCCTCATTTGCTTTCCACTACATGACAAATTCAATGTGGGTGGGGAAGATCTTAAAAAAAAAAGTGCTAATAAAGCCCGGGCACAGTGCCTCATGCCTGTAATTCCAGCACTTTGGGAGGCCAAGGCGGGCAGATCATAAGGTCAGGAGTTCAAGACCAGCCTGGCAACGTGGTGAAACCCCATCTCTACTAAAAATACAAAAATTAGCTGGACATGGTGGTGGCATGCCTGTAGTCCCAGCTAGTGGGGAGGCTGAGGCAGCAGAATCATTTGAACCCGGGAGGCAGAAGTTGTAGTGAGCTGAGATCACGCCACTGCACCCCAGGCTGTATAGAGCGAGACTTCGTCCCCCAAAAAAAGATATTAATAAAAACAATTTAGATTATGTAACCAAATAACAAGCAGAATTGGAAAAGAAAACATTAGTAACTTTCATGAAATTAAGCTCTTTTTAGAGAGAAACATTACTCTGTTTTTTAAAGCACCAGCTCTGTGGGTATGTATTTTAAGTGTGTGATTAGGATTATCATGTTTCAGTGTCTCTCATATCAAAATGACTACGTGTGTGTCTGGTTAATAAGTCTATATGTATATAACTATGAGCAGGGAATGGAATCATATCGACTCCTATTGCTCATTTCAGTGGAGAAAAAAAGGATAACTTCAATCATCTCATAATATTCATGCATATCTTAGATGTTAATTTAAATGGAATCTCATTATGTCTGCACATCTGTTACATTATGGTTCTAGTAATATTTGAGTTGGAAAAAAACAGAACTGCTGAAGACAGTAAGGCTTGTCTGTTAATTGAGCAGTTTATGTGAAAAATATTCTAGGAACAGGAACTGAAATGTTATATTTTTGTCAGCATATTTATTTATTTGTTTGCTTACTTATTGAACTGCCTCTGTATTTGGTATTCTGGTCCTTATTAGTACATGATTTTTTTTCTGTTCTCACTCTCATCATTTAATATATTTAATATATTTAACTGCATCAAACATTTAACATGTACCAACAAGTTTGTAGAGTACTAAGTAGGGCTTGTAATCTACCAAAAGATGCATGGGCTCTTGCCAATCTGATATGATTTACTCATATATTACATATTCTTCCTGATATTTTTATTTCAAGGTTTAAGGTTTTGATTCATTCTTTCAACACTACTACTTTTGGGGAAGTATTATGCAAAGTTCTACTGATACAGAGTGTAGGAAAAAAAGATTTCCGTGTACTTAAGGAATCTTTATTTTTTTCAGGAAGAAAAGCATTACATGAAAATTGTATAATCCTTTTTGTATAAAAGTGATGCATTTTACAGTGAAAGAGTAAAGAATATAGAGTGTTTAACTGGGTGATCTGACATAACTGTGTGATCAGAGATGACCTCTTTGCGATAGTAGTATTTAAGCCAAAATTTAATGAATCAATAGAAATTAGTTGGGGGTTGATGTAACCCACCATCCTGGTTTGCCCAGGGCAGGAGCTTTCCCAAGACACACAGCCTTCAGTGCTAAGACCAGAGAAGTCCCAGGCCAACCTGGGACAAGTTGGTCATTCTATTTGGGATTGAGAAGACCAAGCAAGGAAGAAGTATTCAAGGCAAAGGGTACATACAGTATATGCAAAGTCCCCAAGGCAAGAAGAGACTTGATATATGGATTAAAAGAAGACAAAGAGAAGGTTGAAGAAGGGGGTGGAGCCAGATCACATAAGTTTTTTTAAGCCATGACAACAATTTGGATTTTATGCTAAGATCATTTGAAAATCATTAAAGCAGGAAATGACAAGATTGTATCTGCAGTTCAAAATAATCATGATGCCTATAGTAAGAATGGACTGGAAGGAGATCAAAGTTTATTCAGGGAGATCAGCTAGGAGGTAATTATCAGAACCTGTGACTAGTAGTGTATTGATGTCAGTGGTGATAAAGAGAAGGCAATGAATCTGAAAGTTATTTAGGAAATGTAATCGTAGTAATGAATTACTGGATACATAGTGCGAGGGAGAAACAGGTATAAAGGATGATTGCCATGTTTCCTGCTGTTGTCACTTAGAATGTTTTTTTACTAGCATGTACATATTGAGGATTTATATCAGCTAGACTCAATCCAGTGTAGATGCCATTTGTATTGTAAATTATATGCACCTTTTACTTTTTAGTAAAAATTGTAGTCCCAGCGTATTTACATAAAAACACTTCCCTCTACAGCCACAGGAAGGTTATCTGATGGTGCAACAGTTTCAGTACCTAGGATGGGCTTCTCATCGAGAAGTGCCTGGATCCAAAAGGTCATTCTTGAAACTGATACTTCAGGTGGAAAAGTGGCAGGAGGAATGCGAGGAAGGGGAAGGCCGGACGATTATCCACTGCCTGTGAGTAGGGCAGCTCAGCCTGTCATTCATGGGGCCTTGGTGCTTATTTTCTCATTTTCAATGTTAAAGACTATCTGGCTTGCATCTTATGGACCTCCCATAGATGTTATTTTTAAACAGTCTTCCTGTCTCATGAGTCTATAATTAACTACTAAGTTTATTTTGTATATTTTCTAAATATTGATTATTATATAGCTATATTATTTAAACTCTTTGGAACACTACTCGTAACAACTTCTGATTTACACAGTTTACAAATATATCAGAATCTCAAAGTCTAGATTGCAGCAATCTATGCCTATAGCATTTTCCTGAGTATAAGCTACTGATCTAATTTCATCCTCAAGTTTTCTCCTCTCTGCCTTGTACACATATAAAGCAAAATTAAGACACAAATGGAAAACAATTAAAACTACAATGTCTTATTTTCCCAAACATATATGATGGTGTGACCTGTGGTCACTTGGTGCTGCTATCTAAAATGCCTTTGCTTTCTTTGCTTTCAGAAATGGTGGCGGGCGAAGTGGCATGTTCTGTGCTATAGGCATCGTTGTTGAAATGGTGAAACGGCAAAATGTTGTCGATGTTTTCCATGCAGTAAAGACACTGAGGAACAGCAAGCCAAACATGGTGGAAGCCCCGGTGAGTCACAGAATCTTAGATTTGGAAGGCATCTTAGAGATTAGTTAGTCATATACCTACTTATTGATTTGACTTCATACACACATAGGGAATCAGATGTGAAAATGAGACGTTGTGGGGACTTTCCTGCCTAATTAATACATTGCTGAGCATCCCCCTCTACCCACAGACACTTAATCACGTATTGCATAAACTGCTAATCATGAAACTATTTTCATTTAATTTGGGAAATTTGTAGGATTTTTTTTCTGTTATAGCCAAAAAATATTTGCTGCAGTAAACTTTGGTAAATGGTCCTATAAGAAGAATAAATCCTATATCAAGGCTGTATGTCTAAGGGATATAGGTTTCATCAGTACCTTAGACACCCAGTATTTTTAAAAGGCAATGAAATTTAGTTTTGTCATTATCTATAATTATTCATTCATTTTCTGATCAAATTGTAAATGGTTAAACTATCATGGTTAAGTTTTCAGCTTTTACCAACTGTAGAGGGCAGTTCATATCATGCTACTTGAGCTTGTCAAGGCTCGTAAAGTCAGAACATAGCTTACAAAATAAGAGCTGATAGGTATGTGTGTGTGTGACAGTTCATCTAGGTGAAGCTGTATGCAGAGTAAGAAAGAAAGTTACACTTATCTAACACATTTTACTTCTAACGAGAGATATCTGTGGGTTACACATATGTATGTGCATGGTGGGATCAGGTTGGGAGCAGCTGTGTAGTGTATGCTCACAGAAAAGTAAACCAGAAAAACCAAGGCATCATTGTTGCTTGCCCTACATTTATCAAGATGATCAGATAACTAGAATGAGCAATTCAATAAACCTTTAAAGTATTTCACCACTTCCTGCTCATGGATTGCTCGCACAAGAGTTGCGTTGCTTCCTGAGACAAAATCTGAAGACTTAGGTTTGTACTGTTTCACTTTTACAAGCGGTACCAGACTTCCACCCTTTCTACAGGTGTCCTCAAACTCCCTACACCACCTCATTTCCCTGGGTTGTTGCAGCTGTCTACACAAGATTACATTGGTTTTGATTGGGGTGCTGGCTATGGAGATGAGAAAGGGGGGATGAATCGGAGGGATTTTTGAGGGAGAACTCTCAGATCGTCTTAGCAACTAAATGAATAGTGGTTATGTCTCTAAACTTTGCGATTTGAAGATTTCTTGATGTAAACTCTGCCTCCATTTTTCAGGTCAAGTCTTAAAATCATCAGTGGGATCATTTCTGACTTCAGAATTCAACTTTTACCTTCAAATTTAACTGATTTCCCACCTTTTTTAATTAAAAAAAAAATCTATGGTTAAACTGTGCCATTCTGGGACCTTCCAAAAAGTTACTATTTTCCTTTACATTCATGTCCCGTGAATCCTGAACACCCCACCCTCTGATTTGTGTTTAATCAGTGTTGATGATTAGTTTAGTGAGCTGTGGAGTTGAGCTGAGGAGTTTGGTGAGGAGATTTAGAGTGAAGGCAATATTGCTGGAGACTGCTTAAAGAGACATAACTATTTCTAGGCACATTTTGGTTCCTTGAATGCACTCGCCACAGTGGTAGGTGAATTTGAATCATAACTACTTGGTGAATAGTGTTGGAATGATAAAGACCTCTTAAGGAAAGTTTTATTACCCTAGTTTATTGCTGGAGACACCTCGAACTTCTATTCCAAAATAATATGCATTTTAGACTGTTCTCCAGCCTGAATTTTACCCACTTGAATGAACTGAGTTGGGAATTTTTAAATGAATTGCATATTATAAGTAATAGTTTATGATATGGTCTCTGAATTTTTCTAAATTCTTATTATGGAGCAAGTCCATAGATGGGCTTAGAGGAAAGGCAGTTTTAACTCAAAAATTTTATTGCCAATATGTTGTCTTAAACATATAAAGGCAGCAGAAATACATTTTCAGGTATAAGTAGGCTCAAAATTTAAGGATCACTAACCATTCTTGAAAAATTTGCTTAAATACTCTGATGGACAAAAACAGTGTCAAAAATTAAGAACTTGAAATTGCATAAATGGCTGTTTAAAATGGCTGGCTTTTTTTTTCTCAAGGAAATCATCTGAAATATATGGAGAAAAACATTTGCAGTTTATCACTGTAGCATTATAAAATAGAGAAAAAAATAAAAGCAACTTAATAGTCAAACAATACATATATTTGATTTTTATGTGGTATTAAAAGATGTTAAATAACATGGAAAAAGAATTGTAACAATGTTAAATTTTAAAAGTTACATTTAAAATTATATTTTGAAATATACATAGTTATATTTATTCTAAGATAATTATTTCAACCATGCACAAAAAGAACTGAGGCAAACTAAGGTGATATTTTAACAATTTCTTCTGATGATAGAATTATAGCTCTTTTTCTCATTCTTTATGTTTGTTCAGAATGTGTATATTCTTTATATTTGTACAGAATTGTTCTGTAATGATCAAATATTACTATTATAAACAGATAAAAAATTATAGATATTTAAAAAATTGATAGAAAATATGCGGCAAAGATAAAATGTCTTTTTAAGATAAATTTCCTTTTTCTTAAATGGATCATTAGACTCAAGTATAAAATATGTATGCCTAGATATTAATCTCATATATAGAAAAAATAAATTGTAATCCTTGAGTAATCTAAATTGGTTGTCAAGTTTCATTTGGTAACTGTTATTCAACATTAGTCTCTTTCTTAAGTTTTCTCACTCTTTGTGTTTTGACATCTTTCAGGAGCAATACCGTTTCTGCTATGATGTAGCTTTGGAGTACCTGGAATCATCTTAGTTGGGTGAGACTCTTTAAAGTGCATCCATGAAGAAACCTGTCCATCTATTGAGCCAGCAGCTGTTGTACCTGTTACACTTGTGCAGAAAGATTTTAATGTGGGGGGTGGGAGACTTTTACATTTGAGAGGTAAAAGTATTTTTTTTATGAAGTTGTGTATCTTAATAAAAAGGACTGAATTAGTTTTTATTACTATATTAAAGCATCAACATTTCATGCCACATAAATTATATTTAATAAGAACCAGATTGAAATGAGAACGTATTGGTGTTTGTACAGTGAACATGCCACCTTTTTTCTCATGGTTTCAGTAGAGCAGCTACCACATGTTGCATGAGTTCATACTTTCTACGTGGCATTTTTCTCCCTTTCTAAAATGAAAGCTGATGAATCTTAAAAGGAAGAAGAAAAGAAAAGCTGTGCAAATTCATAGTAAAGTTCGTTTTTTATATGTTTCCAGTGTAGCAGATCTCTATATAAATATATAAATATATATAACTGGCTTATTTTCTTTTAATGTGCAATGATGGCTGGATCATTTAAAGTTCTTTTTAGAAAATAACATAAGCCAAAGACTCAAGTGTAAATATGTCTATATGGAGAAAGCACATTATATTTATTGGTTACTTACATTCCTTTTTTGATGGCTAAAATACTACCACCACACAATCATCTTTTTTTTCCTGAAGAAAGCTTTTTCTTTAGCTAAAATCAATTGTAAACGATTTTTGTAGATTATTTTTTGTATGTTTTAGTGTAAGTAGAAGATAAACTTTTTATTCATAAACCAGGAAGCAATGTTCTTTATAGTGATTCTCTTGTGTACATGCTTGTGAATTAAATTTGTGTAAAATCCCTTGGCAATTGGGTCTTTTAATATAGGACCAAATTAAAACATTTTGCTGAATATGTATAGTTTTTCACAATTTCATTAGGTAAATAATGGTTTGGTGATCATACATGAGAAATGTACACATTAAAAGGCCTTGCTGACAACTTGCACAATGTTGAACATAGCCTTTAAGCATCATTTAAATTTTAAAGGAATGGAGTTTTTCAGCCTGTGGCCCAGCACTGGTCAAGAAAACAAGATGGCAACATATATGCTTTCAGGGTCAAATTTGAGCAAACTGTAAACTGTCAGGGTGATAAAATGTTTCTCTTGATGTTTACATGCACAAGCTTTGCGTTCTGACTATAAAAAGTGTGAACAAATCAATGCCAGATTCCTGTTTTGCGCATTGTCATGGGATTCTTAAGTGAACCTTTCTAAATGTGGTCTTGTTCACATGCTCCACGTAGCTGTAACTTCACATCATCAGCTTGCAGTTTGTAATTGACTAAAGCATTCCAGTGTCCTCTTTCTAGATTGCCAGCTCATGACATGGTGCTTATAAAGATTTAATTAAAGTAAGAATGAAATAAAGTTTTTATAATTATAACAGTTATTGTTTGCACATCATTTTTTCCTCTTAATGTTTATGCATTCACCACTAAATGAGTAGCTTATTCCTATACTCGTTGATACAAGTAGGCCACAAAAACTCTATTTAAAGAGTAAAACTGATTTCCAACCTCTAGTTTCTTTTATTTTTATTTTCTTAATTTAATGCCAAAATGTCCAGTAGGTGGAGATGGAAAAGGCCAGGAGATTGACATCATTTTTTGTTTGTTGGTTTCTATATTTATCCATGTATGTAATACACATTTTCCATTTGTGTTTGTCACTATCCATTTATATAATACACATCTTACTTTTTTCTTATAACCAACATGACAAATGGTACTTATGATCCCTATTTTACAGATGATGAAATGGAAGCTAATGAGAAGGTACATGATTTGTCAACAGATTCATTCCTACTTAGCAGCTATGTCTTTACCACTAAACACATTGTTTCCCAAATGTCACAAAGATAGACAAAAAAATTTAGAATTTCATTTCTATTGTTCCTCATTAATCAATTTTCTCTTAAAGTATTATTATCATAATGGACATCTTCAATCTCCCATTTGCTATGTACTTTATTAGAAAATGCGTGACTTTTTAAAAAATTCAGATAAAGCAAACTTTTCTTAGGAAAGCTGATTTTCATTTAAACATGGAGGCATTTAACAAAAAAAAATCCACAAACTCGCCCAAGATTTTTTTTACCCGGTAATGTTTATTATGTTATCCTATAGAAGATTCTGTTTCACTGTGTGACACTGACTTCATTTCTGCTCATGACTGCACCACACACCAGCAAAGTTATCATGAGCACAACTGTCCACAAAGCTCAGAGGTCTGTGCAGCCTCTGTAATTCAAAGAACAAGAGTTCTCTTTCTTTGTAACAGGAAATTGAAATATCATGCTTGCTTTGTTTGGGCACCACAGAAGCCACTTGATCAGGAGACAATGGAAGAGGGGTTGCCTGTTGCTCTCAAAACTCATATTCAAAAGCTCATATCTTATACCCTTAAGGGCTCCCTAAGTAGTCTTGTGCATGACTATGTTCTCCGACACCCCCAGCCATGTCCCTCTGGGCGGATGTCCTGGTGCTGGCTGGGGGTGGGGTCCTCTTCCACTGGCACAGCTCTACATGCTTTTCATAGTTTAGGGCTTCCTATTCCTAATTTAGTTATTCCTTAAATGGCTGTCATGTCGTTGAATTTTACAGACCCCCTTTCTATAACTATCACTAAGGAGATGTTGGAAGTGTGTGGGCCAGAGACACACCAGCAACTGGGAATTTTTGAGTTTTAAAACCATTCTTGGAAATAAGTGTTATCTCTCTTAGAGTTGTCTCCTAGCCTTTTCTAATACTTAGGCTTTGGAGTCTGTATTAGTCAGGATTCTCTAGAGAGACAGAACTAATAGGATAAATATATAAAGGAGTTTATTAAGTGTTAACTTACATGATCACAAGGTCCCACAATAGGCTGTCTGCAAGCTTGAGGAGGAGGAGAGCCAGTCTGAGTTTCAAAATGGAAGAACTTGGAGTCAGATGTTCAAGGGCAGGAAGCATCCAGCACAGGCGAAAGATGTAGGCAGGGAGATTAGGCCAGTCTTGCCTTTTCACGTTTTTCTGCCTGCTTTATATTTGCTGGCAGCTGATTAGATTGTCCCCACCAGATTAAGGGTGGATCTGCCTTCCCCAGCCCACTGACTCAAATGTTAACCTCTTTTGGCAACACATAGACACACCCAGGATTAATACTTTGTATCCTTCAATCCAATCAAGTTGACACTCAGTATTAACCATCAGTCTTTAGATAAAGGTGTTGCTGTGTTGCAGCCAAATGATCTCTGACATTGAAAGATAAACAAAAGGGGAGATATTTTTTGCCTGGACATGGAGAGGCTGCATGTTTATCTCCACACTGATGTGCTGATGTGCTCATTCAGTATTCATATTACCACAAGAATCTCTTGAGTTCCAGGCATTCATGTCGTAAACTTGGAAGTCAGACACCAAAGGCTGCTCCTTCTCATATCTACTCTCCTTCCAGAAAATGGTGTAAGGCAAGAGGTTCTTAGCACCTGAACTTAATAGATACCAGTAAATACTAAAATGCAGAAGAGCAGGGGCTGATTGTAGCTCAACTGAAAATATGAGGTGGGCAGTCTACTAGCTTTGGAAGACCACCTTTGAGATTTGCCTTTTTTTTTTTTTTTGAGATGGAGTTTCGCTTTTGTCGCCCAGGCTGGAGTGCAATGGTGCGATCTTGGCTCACTGCAACCTCCACCTCCCAGGTTCAGGCGATTCTCCTGCCCCAGCCTCCCAAGTAGCTGGGATTACAGGCACCTGCCACCGCGTCCCACTAATTTTTGTATTTTTAGCAGAGACGGGGGTTTGCCATGTTGGCCAGGCTGGTCTTGAACTCCTGACATCAGGGGATCCACCCGTCTTGGCCTCCCAAAGTGCTGGGATTACAGGTGTGAGCCACCATGCCCAGAGATTTGCCTAACTTTCATAGGGGAGTGACAATTCAGCATTTATATTTAATTTCTGTGCACTTTGGCAAGCATTCTTTTTAATAACAAAATAGCCAGAAATCAATAATCCATCACATACCCTGGGTATAATATGTAATATTTACCTTATAAAATGTTTCCATAGGCAGAGACTCCACATCCTTCCTAGACTTATTTCAGTGTTTTAGTAAACACCCCTACTTAGTGTAGAGTCTATGTGCCATTTCATTCAACACTGAGTGAAGCTAGAAGGCGGCTGGCTGTGCCTCCCTTAATCATTTCTACTTACATATTATTTCATAGCCTCACAGCTTAGGGAGGTTTGGAGTAGAAGAGATACCTGAATTTGTTCACAACTCCAGTCTGTTCAAGCAGTCTGCAGAGTATTCGAGTATTATTATATCTCTCTGAAACTAAAAGGAAAGGCTACTTTAAGTAGCTATAAGTGGCTTTTTGGAATATAAATTGGCCAAAAATCAATGGAAATGTGGTAGATATATATGACACTTCTGAACTTCCAGCTTCCTCCAAAGTGAATTGAAATGCTAGCTAACCTGGAAGATAACGAACAACACAGAGACCCTGTTGTTATCAAATCCGGAAAGACACCAATGGAGAGTTTCTAAATCATTGAAGCAAACGTAGGTCACTATGGAATATCTGAAAGCTCCTTCTTTAATGTTAAGACTATGTTGAAACTAATCAACTACATCGGAATAAATCAGCACTCAATTTTCTGTGTTAGATGTTAAGTATTGTCGATCATTTAATACAATTGGCAAGTCCATCATCATGAGATGTTATCTGTCATAAAATGCCTTCCTTCTCATGTTCTCTGGGCAGATTTGATTAGTCTTTTAGGATATATTAGTCTTGATTCCGTCAGGAATATGTAGCACTTAGGCCATAAGAATCCAACCCTCAGTACTTAGATATAATCTATGCAGTCTATTCAGATATAGAATATGAAGAACAGGAATGTCTAAATTGAGTCACCAATGACTTCTTTTCTTGTTTTTATATTTACTTTATTTTATTTTATTTCTTGAGACAAAGTCTCACTCCATCTCCCAGGCTGGAGTGCAGTGGCGTGATCTCAGCTCACTGCAACCTCTGCCTCCTGAGTTCAAGTGATTCTCCTGCCTCAGCCTCCCGAGTAGCTGGGATTACAGGTGTGCGCCACCACACCTGGCTAATTTTTGTATTTTTAGTAGAGACGGGGTTTCACCTTGTTGGCCAGGCTGGTCTCAAACTCCTGACCTCGTGATCCACCCACCTCGGCCTCCCAAAGTGCTAGGATTATAGGCATGAGCCACCATGCCTGGCCTCTTTTCTTAAATAGAAATTAGAACGTACATGCATTTAGACAATGCTGCATGGTTGGGGAGACAAAATCTAACTGAGAAAGTAGAGAAAAATATGAATGTCATGGCATCCACCTACTATTTGTTGAGAAAAGAGTTGGAAATTCATGCCTGCAAGGCCAGCAGGGACCATGAGTGTGGGAAGTGAGCCATGTATATTTAAGAATGGTCACTCAGGTCATATTATTACAATGAACGTCCTTAGCTTGTGTGTTTCCTAATAGGAATATTTTTCATCTCTACAAGAAAATTCTGCCTCCTAGTTTTATTAAAACACATGTTCCTATTGATTAATCTTGCATTTTCCCACTGTTGATTCAAAAATGGATACTAGATATTCTGCCATATTCAGCTGTACTGTAAGAAACACAAAAAAATGTGAGTGATAATAAATGGTACCTGCTGTTTGACATGGGGACAAAAGGGAGCAATGTGGGGAGGGCTGCCCCCACTGGGACTCGAAAGCACATGCAACACCTGCAGCAGCACTACCTTCCTGCAGCCTTTGCTGCACAGGAATATGGACCCAAGCATGGCCCATTTCCCAAGAGAATGTAGAAATCAAAATGTTTAGATTAATTTAGAAACTTTTCCGAATGTTGGTAACCAATTAAGTTTAGAAATACAGATGAAAACAAACCTCTGGCCCAATTCTGTGCAGAACAAACCAACCCTGTCTGAAGGCTACACTTGCTGTGGTTGTGTAAGAGCTTCAGGCTCCCAGTCTGTGACCTCCATTATGGAATAACTGGTTTTACTGTTTTAACTTTTTTAAATCATTTAAAAGAAATATGAGTTTTAGCTGTCTTAAAATAGCCATCATAACTGTTTTCCATACATGTTCTTTTTTCCTATTTGCCTTGTTTCCTTACATATTTTTCTGTTTTAAAAATACATGTAGATGAATCTTGACTCCTAAGATAAAAACAAAACAACAACAAAAACAAGATCAGCTTCTCTTTCTGCTCCTTTGTACCTGGACTAAATTCAGAAGAGCATGTTTCAGAAAATAATTCACACATTTTACCTAGTAAGCACTCCCCAAAATGATGAGTAGGAGATAATTCTTCTGGAAATAATAATACTGAGAACTCAAAAGGGGAGCAGTTGTTCTGTGAGCCGTGGGACAGCCAGAACGATTTTAGTCACAAGTGCAGAATAGCATCTGTGGAAGCATCGCATTTCCAGATTGTGATGATGCCTGCTGACTTCCATGGCAGGTGTAAAGCAGTGTGGGCTGTTGCCAGCTCACAATGGGAACCTGAACTCTAGTTCTACAAATCTAATTACCTGAAGCACAGTCAGCAGACCAAAATTGATTTCACCTTCATGTTATATTCTTGGAATGATAAAGTATGTATTCATTAATTTGACTTATTTTTCAACGTCAAGTTTTTTATTGCCTGTGATCAAATGTGATCATTGAGGAAAAAGAATCTCATTTTCTCGTAAGAAATTAGAGGATTGATATTTTTCTCATGAAATTATAGAATATTAGAGGGACATTAGAAATTATCTAATCCTATGCCCTTGTTGTTAAGGTTAAGAAATTAAAACCTAGTGAAGTCATATGTCTATCTGAAGAGGGCCATCCCGTAAATAGTTTAAGCTTTGCAGGCTATTGGCTTATGTTACCTTGTTGCCAGGAGACCTTCCCTTGAAGATTTGCTGAAGAAGGTCTTCAAACAGGAAGTAAATGATAGAAGAAGGAATTTTCAAGTATCAGGAAAGGAGAAAGAACAATGGATAGTAGAATTATGGGTACCTACAAAAACATTATTTACATGTATTTGTCTCATAGGTCGTTTTTGATGATTGAAACAAAAAAATTCCAACACCATCTGAAACTCAATAAAATGATAGTTAAAAGTGGGAAAGGAAAGACATCTAAGTAGAAGTAAGATTTTTATACTTCACTCGACATGGTAAAATATTGATACCACTAGATTGTAACACATCACATGTTACAGGATAATCATCAAAGAAACCACTGAGAAAAGTATATGAAAAAATATGCTCAAATGCACTATAAGTGAATCAGGATGGAATCCTAAAACATGTTCACATAACCCAAAGGAAGGTAAGGAAAGAGAAACAGATGAATAAGAACCAGAGAAAATAAACAGAAAACAAATAAATGACAGTTGCTAAACTATCAATAATTACTTTAAAAGTTTTTTTTAAAAAGCCAATAAAACATATAATTTGACAGACTGCATAAAAGCCAACTACAAAGAACATGACCCACCTATATAATATGTATAAGAATATCAGTTCATATTCAATGAAATGGGTAGGTTGAGAGTAAAGGGAAGGAAAATGGTGTATGTATACCATGCAAACAGTGAATTTAAAAAATCATGAGTAGCTATAGTAATATCTGCTAAAGTAGACTCATGCAAAAATAAAATTACTGCAGACATAGAGGGTGATTAACTAATGATAAAAGGATCAATCCACAAGGAAGACATAATAGTGCTAACTATACATACCAAAACACAGAGTCCCCAAATGCGTGAATCAAAAACTGATAGAGATGAAATTAGAGAAATCTACAATTATGGTTGGAAACTTCAAATACCCACTTTCTGCAACTGGTAGAATTACTAGACAGAAAATCCACAAAGATATAGAAATCTACAATACAATCAATCACCAGATCTAATTGATGAAATATAGAATACTCAACAACAGCAGAATACACTTTATTCCAGTTCCTATGGAACATTTACCAAGATAAATTATGTCATGGACCATAACACAAACCTCAACAAAACACATTTAAAATAATTCTGTAGAGTATGGTCTTTGGCCATAAAGATATCAAACTAGAATTAAATAACAGAAAGACAGTAGGAAAGTCTCTAAACACATGGTAATTAAGCTATACTCTACCAAGTATTTCATGAGTCAAGGAAAAAGTTTCAAAGGAAACTTTTTAGAACAGAACTGGAAGAACTGTAAGTATCAAAATTTCTGAGAGACACCTGAAGTAGTCCTGAGCAGGAAATTTATAGCATTAAATGCTTACGTTTGAAGTGATGGAAGCTCTCAAATCAATTACCTAAGAACCTATCTCATGAAAACACAAAAAGAAGAAGGAAAACAAAAGCAAACAGAAGGAAGGAAATAATAAAGATAAGAGCAGAAATCAATGGCAATGAAAATAATAAAACATTAGAGAATATCAATAAAAAAATTCCAAAATATTAATAAAATCGATAAATCTCTAACAAGACAGACAAAAATTAAGAGAAAAAAATAAGTATCAAGATTGAAACAGAACATCATTATAGATACTGCACACATTAAAAAGATAGTTGAGCCAGCAATCCCATTACAGCAACCCCATTATGCCCAAAAGAACATAAATCATTCTGCCAAAAAGACACATGCACTTGTATGTTCATCCTTATGCTATTCACAATAGCAAAGACATGGATTCAACTCAGGGGCCCATCAATGATAGCTTGGATAAAGATAATGTGGTACATACACATGATGGAATACCATGCAGCCACAAAAAAAGGATGAAATTATGTCCTTTGCAGCAAAATGAATGGAGCTTAAGGCCATAATTCTAAGCAAATTAAGGCAGGAACAGAAGACCAAATACCACATGCTCTCACTCATAAATGGGAGCTAGAGTACACATGGACATAAATACAAGAACAATAGACGCTGTGGAGTACTAGAGAATGGGGGGCGGGGCGTTACAAAACTATCAGGTACTATGCTCGCTTTTTGGGTGACAGTATCTGTACTCCAAACTTCAGCACCACAGAATATTCCCATTTAACAAACCTGAACATACACCTACTGTATCTAAAATAGAAGTCGAAATTTAAAAAAAGATAGAGAATACTGCAAAAAAACTTTATATTAAAAAATTGGACAATTTACAAAAAAAAGAGAGCAAATTTCTGAAATACTACTAACTGTTAAAACGCAACTAAGATAAAATTGATATTCTGGAAAATACGGAAAATAAAAGCAACCCAATAAAAGCAGTACCATTAAAGAAACTGAATTTATAATTTAAAAATCTCAAAAAAGAAATATCTGAGCTTAGATTGTTTCATTGGAAATTTCTAATAAACATGTAAAGAATTAGCACTGATTCTACACAATCTTTTCCAAGAAAATAGAAGAGGAGGAAACACTTTTGGACTTCCAAGATCTGGACAGGAAAGCACATAGATTGCAGCTTTGCAGAGGACCCAGCTAAGGCATGCCTAGACTTCCTATCCACAGAAAGTGTGAGATCATATATGTATATTGTTTTTTAAGTCTCTGAGTTTGTGGTAATTCATTACATTGCATGGAAAACTAATACAAGAGGGAGTGAAAGTGGAAAAAATATAATTAATGTATATAAAAATATACACTACAAACAATGAAGAAAATACACATGGCTCCTATAATCCTCATTTCTGTAACGGGGCCATGAGACCATGGTTCGTATTTATGGTTTCCCTTTTATGGGATACAGGCCCATTGCCCCATTGCCCTCAACCAGCACCTGAGAGTGAGATAACCCAAATCTTAATATCTGAAGCATCTAGAACCGCTTTTATTGGGCTGCTTTTATTTCCTGTTAACCATTAGTACTAGACATGAAAATACAGAGACGTTTCTCCAGTTTCCTGTGGCTACTATAACAAGTTACCACTAACTTGGTGGCTTCAAACAATGAAACTTTATCCTCTCACGGTTCTGGAGGCCAGAAATCAGACATCACGGTATTGGCATAGTTGATTCCTTTTTGAAGCTCTTAGGGAAAATCTGTCCCATGCTTCTCTCCAAGACTCTTTGGCTGCCGGTGACCTTTGGCATTCTTTGGATCTTTAACATTCTTGACTTGTAGATGTATCACCCTAATCTATGCCTCCACCTTCTCATGGACTACTCCTCTGCATTTCTCCTCTTCTGATCCATGTCTTCTTCAAAGACACCTGTCATCAGATTTAGGGCTCACCCTGATAATTCAGGATGATCTCATTTCAAGATCCTTACTTTAATTAAAAGTGCAAAAAAGAAAAAACCCTTTTTCCAAATAATATTACATTCACAGGTCTAGAAAGCCACATCTTTTCGGGATTGGGGGTGGGGAGCACCATTCAAGCCACAACAGAGGTGCTCCAGAAAAGCCCTTGAATTCTAAACAGTTATCCTGGCCCCAGCAACCGTGTACTTGACAATTAGTAGCAATCACCCAATCAGTACAAAAACCCGACACCCCTGTCCACTCCCATGTCTATTGGTCTATTGTTTAACTCAAAAGGAGCCTTGAAGCCCAGCCGGCAGAGTCAACTTCCAGCTCAATGAAACCATTACTGGGTCCTCTGAGAAATAAAATTTCAAGATCAATAAAGCCAAAATGTCAGAGAAGGAAAGCAGAAAACTGTGATTGCTTCATTGGCTGTAATATTGAGAAGAACCTCTACTACTTTCATTCCTTGTTTCAGCTGCCTGTATCACTGGTCCAGTCAACCAGGGCCAGGAAGCACAGGCACAGCCATGTGAGGGATCCATCTGGATCCAGGAAGCCACCATTTCTAGGAAGCCAGGGATACACATGCACATGTGTGTGTATGTTCAGATACACGCTTCTAACATATTTCCAAAGATATGCCCCACTACATGTATGATGCACCAGATCATCCAACGATATCCAATATAAAATTAAAAAATTTTTGAACCACCCTCCAGTGGTAGATGATCTAAATAAATAAATCTCATGTATTGAATCTAGAGAAAAAAATATTTTGTAACCTTTAACCCCTGAGTCCATAATCTCTTTTTCAAATGGAGAAAGTACCCTTTTGCAGTATAGTCCTTTTCTTACTACTGGGGTATTAGGTTAGTGCAAAAGTAATTGTGGTTTTGGACCATGAATTTTAAATCATTATAACTAGGCTCAAATACATCTTTATTAATCAAAATCAGAACCATTATAATCAACACATTTTTGCCAATGATAAATAAGTTTGTTTATTCTGGTAGTATAAAAATCTGTAGTGGAAAGCATTTTCTGCATCCTGCTGGTTGTGGAAGTGTTTTCCCTGCATAAAGTTGTTGAGATGTTTGAAGAACAGGTAGTCGGTTGGCAAGAGGTCAGGTGAATATGTCGGATGAGGCAAAACTTCGTAGCCCAATTCATTCAACTTTTGAAGCACTGGTTGTTTGATGTGCGGTTGGGCATTATCATGAGAATTTGGCCTTTTCTGTTGACCAATGTCGGCTGCAGGCATTGCAGTTTTCGGTGCATCTAATTGATTTACTGAGCATACTTCTTAGATGTGATGGTTTTGCTGGGATTCCGAAAGCTGTAGTGGATCAGACTGGCAGCAGGCCACCAAACAGTGCCCATGATCTTCTTTTGGTGCAAGAAGCTTTGGAGTTTCTTTTTGGTCCAATCACTGAGCTGGTTTTCTCCAGTTGTCATATACAATCCACTTTTTATCGCATGTCACAATCCGATCAAGAAATAGTTCATTGTTGTTGCATAGAATAAGAGAAGATGATACCTCAAAACGATGATTTTTTTTATTTTCACTCAGCTCATGAGGCACCCACTTATTGAGCTTTTTCACCTTTCCAATTTGCTTCAAATGCCGAACGACGTAGAATGGCCAACATTGAGTTCTTCAGCAACTTCCCATGTAGTTGTAAAAGGATCTGCTTCAATGATTGCTCTCAGTTGGTGGATGTCAACTTCCAATGGCCAGCTACTACACTCCTCATCTTCAAAGCTTTCTTCTCCTTGGCAAAACTTCTTGAACCCCCACTGCGCTGTATGTTCATTAGCAGTGCCCGAACGAAATGCGTTGTGGATGTTGCAAGCTGTCTCTGCTGCTTTACGACCAATACTGAACTCAAATAAAAAATCGCTCAGATTTGCTTTTTGTCTAACATCATTTCCATAGTCTAAAATAAATAGCAAGTAAAAGTCATTAGCAAAAAAAGAAAAAAACATAAAGCCAGAAATGCCCATTAAAATGATGTATGATATAACCACATTTATTTAAGAATGTATTCCAATATCAAATGGCAAGTTCTAACAATGCAAAAACCTCAATTACATTTGCACCAACCTAACAGAAGTATGCAAAGGAAAGGGAATATGAAACAGTGTTTAAATCAAAATCTTGTGCTGTCTAAAACAATGCCCATGGAAATAAATCCAGAGAAGGAAAGCAGAAAGACCAACAAAATATATACTTCAAATAAACAAGACAAATGTTGGATAGTAATATGTGCTAAGCAGAGTGATTTCAAAAATGGTGATGTTTCGACAAGTGACCTGGATCTCCTAAAAGAATAAGGGAAAGGATTCTTTCAATCCACGGCCCTAAAATAGGAAGAGGTTGGATGTGTATAGGAAAGAGCAAGTGGCTAGTAAGGCTGGAGCACACTGACAGTGGTACATGAGGTCAGTGAAAGTGGTCCACAGTGTCCGGAGTTTGCAAGCCAGAGCCAGGATTTTGAATATATTATTCATCACTGTCTTTCATTCTCTACATCCTCACACTGCATAATCCAGAGCTTAATGCATTGCATTGCACATGGTAAGTTTCAATAAATGTTTATTAGACATAGTTTAAGCCAGGCCTAGAATCCATGCTTCCTTCTTCTCCTGTGTTTTCCCCACTACATCATACAGTGTTTCTGCTTCTGAAAAAGCAGACAAATAAATGAAACCCCAAGGCATCGGCTCCTGGGAACTTTCCAGGATTATCCTTTGAGTACACTGGATAGCTCATTCCCCTAAGTACTTTGGCACTTCATTTACAGTATTCCTGAATTCAATGAGCAGTTTAGTAAGTAAATTGACTCAGGACCATGAGAAACAAAAAATAAATCTGGGCCTAAGGAGACTATGGCATGCATCCAGTTCAATATCACGGATTGAACATAAACAAAATCTTCTTCCATTCCAGTCCAAACGCATAAATGATAACAACATACAAACATACTTTATAAATATAGAGCTTACTGTGAAAACTAGAAAGATAAATCTCATAAATCAGAAATAGAGAGGCTTTTCCAAAAAAGAAAAATGGAGAAAGCCATAGTAGTGAGCGGGGGCTGAAACTGTGTGACCTGGGGGGTACCAGAGAAGATGGGAGAGAATAGAGCCAAACTGTGTCTGCACAGCTGGGGCCTGAAGGACACCAGCCAGGAAACAAATAGATGCCCTTGACTGAAAGATCGAGATGTACTGAGTCATCCATCTGTACCCGTCAGAGCTGGATAGCCTCGAAGCATGTCACTCATCTTGGGTTAAGAGTCCTGAGAATGTACTAGACTTCCAGCACTGCCATTACAATGTATTGCGGACTGGGTGGCTTAAAACAACAGAAATTTATTTTTTCAGTTCTTAGAGGCTAGAAGTTTGAAATCAAGGTATTGGCAAGGCCATTTTCCCTCTGAAACCTGTAGGGGGAGAATCTTTCCTTGCCTCTTCCTAGCTTCCAATCCTTGGCATTCCTGGCTTGTAGCCACATCACTCCAATCTCTGCCCCCATCTTCACATGCTGTTCTCCCAATGTCTCTTCTCCTCTTATGATATTAGTCATACTGCACAGTGATATGTCATACATAGTATCACCTCGTTTTAACTTAACTAGTAGTATATGGAATGACTCTGTTTCCAAATAAGGTCACCTTCTAAGGTGCTGAGGATTCAGACAACATATATTTTTGGAGGACACAGCCCAACCCACAACATACAGCAATATAAAACACACCCAGCCAAATTATTCAAGTTGTGAGGGTAGAATGGGGATATTTTCAGATATATTCAACCCATAACACTAATGTATACAGAACTGCATTCCCAGCTGCAAGAACATCTTTTTCCTCCATATTTATATATCCATAAAATATGGTTTTACTGGATTTTAAATGTTATGTAAATGTTAGACTGTGGGTACCCTGCTGCTGCTTACTGTTTTTCTCTTAATATGTTTTTGAGATTTATTTACATTGGAAATCTAGTTCATTTTAAAAATTACTGTATGATATTTGATTGTGGAGATATAACCTGTTTTATCAAAACTTTCTCTTATGTATGAATGAATGTTATTCTCTATTTGCCTCTTAAGCATCAGTCTCTGCCCTTCTCTACTTGGCTCTCTGTTATGGGAGGCTAACTTCTTGAATCTGCATCACCCGGGGTCCCTTGCTTTCTGCCTTAGAGTTGGTTTGGCCAAGGCAAGGCACCAACAAAAGACCAGCTGGTGGGAGGAAAGGGAGGTGGTACATTCCCCATACTGGTCCACATTTTTTATAATGGCTGCAATTCCTCTATCAATGTCCTGGGAGGGAGCCATTTGCCCCATAACTTCAGCCCTCCAGGTTCCAGTAACACTGCTTTATTCTTGTCTCCATTCAGGCCCAGGGATGATAACTTATAGCTTTGTTACTTCTTGGGTGCTTTACCAACCCTTATTGGTACTACTGTAAATAGTCTTTTCAACAACAACAACAACAACAAAAATCCCTCAATTAACTATTTGAGTATGCCATCAATTTCCTGCTGAACTCTTGACTTATACTGTAATTGGTTCCAGAAGTTCCCCTAAAACACAGTTCATCAAATCGTATATGGAGTTGAGTCACTTATATATTTGATGAGTTGCATAGACAGACTTTTTGCCCTGGGGAAATTGAAACCTGGAAATCTGAGGCAAGAAATGGCTGGTACCTTTACTAAAACACATCAGCTTCTGGCATGCAATATGAACCTACTGACCTAGCAAATGCTTTCTTTTTAGTTTCCATCAGTAACTATAACCTGTAACACCTCACCTTTGCCCAGAGGGTCAGCAGTACAACTTTGCTGTCTTTTATCAAGACAATATCTGATCTCTGTCATGTTGAGGTCTAGACTAGAGCAGTGATCCTCAAAGTGTCATCTGTGAACTGGTTTCTGGTCCATGTTTCTTATTTATCCCCAATGAATTAGGAAGTTTGCACCAGAATGTGAACTATACCACTAAGCACACCGTTTGGCTCAGCTGACAATTTTTTTCTTAGAAAGACTTTTTTGATGAAGGAGTAGTGCATTGATTTATTTTCTGGTGGAAGCTCCTTACCTCACTGTTGCAGGCACGTACTTTGAATAGCTGCTTCCTGGTCTAGAGGGAGCTTGATTATCTTGACACCCAGTAGAATGCCATGTTGGAGCATATTAATTTTACCATGTCATCAGGAAGAAACTAACAACCTGATGCCTTAGGAAGACAAACACATGACCAAGGAAGGGAGACAAACCATGTGAAAGTTCATAGACTTGTGATCATATGAAGTTTCTAGTGTGACAATGCTGTGAAAATGGCAGAATATTCCTTTTCAAATTAGAAACAAGTTGTCTCACTTTGCACAGTCCACAAAAGAAAGAGCTCTAGCATTCAGTATGTCTCATTGAAACTGGGACGCGACAAATTCCATATTTGGATATACTACTCTGGCCCAACCACCAGGTAACCTATACAGCTACCTGTTCCAAGGGATATTTAGAGCAAGGTGGGGTTATGCAGCAGGTCCAGGCTTCTGTGCAAGCTGACCCATCACTTAGACCTGTGACCCAGCAAAGTGAATTGTACTTGAAGTATTTGTGGCAGAAAGGGATAAAATCTGTTGCCAGCAACAATGACATCACCAGACCGCTGAGGTTTTAGAGTAAGGCTAATTCCTCTTCTTCAAACTACTATCCTCCATTGGTAAGGCTGCTTTTAGTTTGTTTCTTGGCCCTGGTGGAAAAGAAGCAGATGATGGTGGTATGGAACACCAGCGATATAGGTATGGAGCTACCATTAAGAACTGAGTGCTATCTGACCCATAGAATTACGAAGTGGGATGTGTGCAGCCGTTTTTCGTGATTAAATGTAACTTATACATATGAATATAAGACTGAATTTGAAAATGTGAAGAAACCACAAGTATATTTCAGGAGTGGTGGCTCAGAATCCTCTAGCATCTGCTCCTGCTCTTCACCTCCTCTTCCTGAACTCACATCTATGATACCATTGAGATGATAAAACAATTGTAGTTTTGTTAGTTAGGTACAAGACCCTTCTTGTTTTGCAGGGTCTAGACAAAGGGTTGGCAAACAACTGCCTATGGGCCAAATCTAACCTGCCACCTGTTTGTCCTGATCACAAATTAATAATTTTTACATTTTAAAATGGTTTAGCGGGGCCAGGCGCAGTGGCTCATACCTGTAATCCCAGTACTTTGGGAGGCCAAAGTGGGTGGATTGTCTGAGGTCAGGAGTTCAAGACCAGTCTGGCCAACATGGTGAAACCCCGTCTCTACTAAAAACACAAAAAATTAGCCGGACATGGTTGCAGGCACTTGTAATCCCAGCTACTCGGGAGGCTGAGACAGGAGAATTGCTTGAACCTGGGAGGTGGAGGTTGCAGTGAGCCGAGATCATGCCACTGCACTCCAGCCTGGGCAACAGAGAAAGGCCTCAGCTCAAAAAAAAAAAGAAAGAAAAAAAAAAGGTTTTGGGGAAGAATCAAATGAAAACTA
The DNA here is from genome assembly GCF_000001405.40 of Homo sapiens. Taxonomy (NCBI): domain Eukaryota; kingdom Metazoa; phylum Chordata; class Mammalia; order Primates; family Hominidae; genus Homo; species Homo sapiens. The sequence continues at coordinate 127,953,359 of NC_000006.12, read as the reverse complement.
GGAGTTTGTAATGTGTAATCATTATCCAAAACTCAAATGTTAGTGTGGGTGCAATCTATACTACAATAGCTAAAGCCTAAAATATTGACTATCTGGCTTTTTATAGAAATGTTTGTCAAACTTGTTCTAGAAGCTGCCGAACTACATTGCCTAAAATGCTTACCAGCAGATTAGATTCTGGTAATGAGAGAGGTTTGCAAGAGATTTAGAAGGAAGAAAAGAAGCAGAAGGTAGTAATCTCCTACGGCGTGTAAGAGAACTGCATGGGCTTTGGCAGATGGCTCATAGGAGGTTTTGCCAGCAGCTTTTAGGCCTTAGCTTACAAATTCACCACAGAGGCTCAGCCCAGATCACAAATGACTCCTGCACTTTATGGGCTCCTGAATTCTGATGTCAGTTTCCTCCCAGGCTTTGCTCTTCCTCCCTTCCAAAGTCTTGTGTAAGTCTTACATTCCTATATTTAGTCCCTTCCTCCTCGACATACCTAAAGTGGGGTATGTCTTTTTTTTTTTTTTTTTCAGTTGGAGTCTTGCTCTGTTGCCAGGCTAGAGTGCAGTGGTGCTATCTCGGCTCACTGCAACCTCCACTTCCTGGGTTCAAGCGATTCCCCTGCCTCAGCCTCCTGAGTAGCTGAGACTAGTGGCGCACGTCACCACACCCAGTTAATTTTTTGTATTTTAGTAGAGATGGGGTTTCACCATGTTGGCCAGGATGGACTCGATCTGCTAACCTCGTGATCCACCCGCCTCGGCCTCCCAAAGTGCTGGGATTCCAGGTGTGAGCCACCACGCCTGGCCTAAAGTGGGTATGTCTTATTTATTTATTTATTTATTTTTGAGATATGGTCTCACTCTGTTGTCCAGGCTGGAGTGCAGTGGCATGAACATGGCTCACTGCAGCATCGACCTCCTGTGCTCAAACAATCCTCCCACCTCAGCCTCCTGAGTAGCTGGGACCACAGGTGCAGGCCACCATGCCCCACTAATTTTTTGTATTATTTGTAGAGATGGGGTTTCGCTGTGTTGCCCAGGTTGGTCTCACACTCCTGGGTTCAAGCGATCCACCTGCCTCGGCCTCCTAAAGTGCTAGGATTACAGATGTGAGTCACCATGCTTGTCATAAAGTGCCTATTTCTGATTTTCTACCCAAACCTTGACTAAGTTAATAAGAAAAGCACTAAATAAGAAATACAGGGTAACTAGAACATAGCTACAGCTATAAGCAGAATTATGGGTTCTGTGAGAGCACGTAATGGAATTCTTACCTATTCTGGGAAATAGGGTAAAGTTTCCCTGAGGAAGTGAAAACTGATATTAGATCTGAAAGAATATGAGGAAGCTCTTGCAAAAGACTAGAGCTTCCAGGACAGAGGCAATGTAAGAAGTATGAGGAAAGGTATCCAAATAACCCTTTGGCAGGAAGAACGTCGGTGCTACAAAGAGAAAAATGTGAATGGGACTGAAACTCAGAAAGCAATGTGCCAGAGAAAGCTGGAGTTGGACAGAGAAGCTGTCCCATACAGGACCTTCCAAGCTGTGGGAGGGATTATGGTCTTTCTCCCATAAGCGATTGGGGGCCCACCACTCTGTTTTTCTCTCTGTTGGTCATACAAAACTTCATCACAGATGTTATAAGAGATGGGGCTTGACTAATAGGTGGAAGAGCCATGAGAGAGGAGAGTACTACAAAAAATGGACGAGATATAAATTGTATACCAATCAGTTTAGCAGGATCAGAGTGGAGATTCATTTAAAGACAAAGCACAAAGGACCTAACATTGACAGGAGTTTGGACTTTATTTTGTTAATGAAAAGTTATCCAGGCAACCAAAAAGGACACTTTTCTGGAGACTTTTTTCTGTGGTAGAACTTAAACTGAAACATCAAACTTGAATTAAGACTGAGAAATACTGTTGGTGTTTGTTAATGATTGTGTTTTGTGGTTCTTGAAGTGAGACAAAGGCTTAAAAGTACAGGAAATTGGTGGCTTTGGTAAAGTAAAAACTGAATTGTTTCATATTAAAAGAGGCCATTGCAAGGTTTGTCTTTATGCTATTGCTGTAGCAATAGAGGAACTAGATCATGGCACTTTTGAAGAGTAGATGAGAAAATGCCAGGTCTCCTCAGCTGTGCCTGCAGGTACCCAGGTCTGGCAATCTTAGGAAAAAGGCAAAGGAAAGAGGGTTCAGTGGAATTTGACACCAGGCCTTCAGGAGACATGAAAGAATCATTTAAACATGAGTTTAAAAGTACTATTTATTGTCCGAGAAAGAATAACATCACGTATACATTTATAATGGCTAGGTAAGAAAAAAAGGAAGTATTATTCTAGCAGAGTTGGCAAATGTTGCAGGTTAGCTTCCCCAAAAAGAGACCCGGAAATGGAGATTAGCATGCAGGCAGTGTGTTGGGTAGTGTTCCTGAGAACTACACACATGCCAGTTGAGGGAAGCAGGATTGAGCAGAAGGAGTTTAACCACCAGGCAGTTCTAACAAGTCTCGGGTGCCTCTTCAGGGTTGCCTCCATTGAGGCAGAGGCCAGGCCTTTGTATCGCTCCATGAACCGGTCATTGGCTGCAGCCTACCCAGAGGCAAAGGACAGAACCTTAAATGAGGAAGCTTCCACCAACCATGGGTGATATCTGGAGGGGCATTCAGCTAAGTGCTGTCAGTAGTCAACAATTCTGGCAGCTGGATGATGGGTGCATGGCCTTAAAGAAAGTTGTGTGTCTAACGCTATAGCGTTCACTACAGTTCACTCCTGTGTGTCTCTGGATCTTTTACTTCATATAATGTAGTGAATTCACCCTGTCTGGAGGCAGCTCCTACAAGATTATGGTTGGTCTCTACCACCAGGGAAACATACAAGAGGAAGATTAACAGTACAAACTACAAACTCCGGTGCTGTGGCTAATTTCAAGGATATTTATCATTTTAAGTTTGCTTCACCCTTAACTAGCTCCTCTGCTTGTCTTGATGGCTCACGTGGTTGAGTGATGCAGACCTTCGTCCAAGAGGAGTGAGAGCTCCTAATCCCCATGTATTTCTCAAGCACAGCTGCTATACTTGACTATTACCTGTTAATAGTGGACACCAACAGATACGCCAGTGCATCACTTTGATGCCAAATGAATCCTTCCCTGCCCACATTGTATACCATCAGCCTTGTCTCCCCCTGAAGATCAGGATCAATTATACCTGCAAGGATGTTGACATTGTTCTTTTCCCACCAAGCTCTAGGTATAAAGAGACTAAGGTAACCAGAGGTCAACTTTGACTTAATGTTTAATGGGACTCTCACTTTGTCCTTTGGTGGGAGGGAGTGTTCCTAAATCTCTAAAGCTAAAAGAGCCTAGAGTTAAAGGTACAGAATACAAACTTCCAAGTAAGTCACTCAGCTTGATGATCATTGAGGCCACTCTTACTTTCACCCCTTGGTTCCTGTTGCAATGTATTTACATATGGGGAGCACAACACAATATAATGAATATCAATGTGTTAAGTGTCTCATCATGAAAGATAGTGCCCTATTATCCAAGTTGGTGCCTCATCTTTACATCCAAACTGGTGCTGCATCTGTACTTTTAATAAGCTACTCTATCACTCCATCATCTGATGGTTTCTGGGTAGTATAGAAAGTAAGAGGACAAGTGAATCCCGTGACCATGAGCTTGCTGATGAACTTCCTTTGCTTTAAAATAGTTCCTTTGGTTTTATTTACTGTTACATGGGATCTGTATTGGTGGATCAAAACTCTATAAACCTTTGGAGAATGGTACTGGTTAAAGCCCTTCAAGCAGAAAAGGTAACCCATACCCAGAATAACTGTTGATTCCAATCAACATAAATCACTGGTTATTCTAGCATAGATGAAATCCAATGTACTGAACTTGCAACCACCTGTCAGTGGCTGTCACCCCAGCCATTTGGCAGTGGCTAAGAACAGAAGCTGTGTAAACATCGATTAGCTGTATAATTCTGTCCACTCGGTTTCGGTGGATATTCTCTAGTTTTAATATGCAATATGCTTTCTCTGATAATTCTACCCACATATATCTTCCCCAAATCTCCTTGTCTGCAATCTTACAATTTTTTTTTTCATTCCAGGGCCCCAAGCAAAGATCCAAGCCACTGGTCATTATCCATGAATCCATGCATATATGTCTACTTATATTTTCCTGCAAAGTGCATGACCAGAGGCACTGCCCAAAACTTTACTGAGTGCTATAATTTCTTCTTCTAGCCACTGTCTTTCAAGGCCACCACTAAGTGGGCCTGCAGTAGAATAGCAGTCTATTGTCAACGTGCACCCATGTGCTGAACTAACCAATTTATGAACTTTGCATGGCCCTCTGCCTCCTGTGTCAGCTGGCCATAAAAGACTTCTCTCATTTACTATAGCTGTTTGATGAGAGAAGGGTACTGGTGCAGCAGTAGTGGATGGCACAGACTTCTGAACTATTCGATTGTGCAGTTGACTTCACTACTGTTGCTTGCTCCAAGTGATACCAATTCCATTTTACAATGGATTGATTACTGCTAGGTCTGATTGACCCTATGACTTGGTGGGTCTGAGATAACCCAACTCAAGGTGGGTAGTTCTGTCACTGTGCATCCAGGTTCAGATGCTCCATTTCTACCAGGACCCAGTCAAAAACCAACATCTATTTTTAGAATGATGCTCAATCATCTAAACATCAGACAATATGGAGATGTTTAGAACCCATACTGTTGCTCCAGAACCCATACTGTTACTCTTCTATTTGGTGGTACCCTAAATGCCATATGGCATCTTTCCCAACACAGATAACTTTAACATAAGAAGGTCTGCCAGATCGAAGGGCCCAAGCAGCAGGAATGCTTGTATGCACGGCAGCTCGGAACTGTTGCAGTGCCCTTTCCTGCTCTGGACCCCGTTTAAAGTCAGTAACCTTCCTTATCAGTAAATGGGATGATATAGTTTTCCCAAGTATGGCATATATACTGCCTCCAGAATTGGGAGAGTTCTGCTAGGCATTACACATCCTTCTACTTTAGCGGCTCAAAATGCAATTCTTAGTTCTCTAATTTGGACAGTTCTTTGTTCTTTATATTTGTATGTCTCAGTCTGACCCACCGCTACACTCTTTTTTTTTCCTTCAAAATGATGGTCATGACAGGATTCCAACCAGTCCCTGTCTCTTTTTTTTTTTTTTTTATGAGACAGAGTCTGGCTCCGTTGCCAGGCTGGAGTGCCGTGGTGCAGTCTTGGCTCACTGCAACCTCCACCTCCCCAGTTCAAGTGATTCTCCTGCCTCAGCCTCCCAAGTAGCTGGGAATACAGGCATCTGCCACCACGCCTAGCTAATTTTTGTATTTTTAGTAGAGACAGGGTTTCACCATGTTGGCCAGGATGGTCTCGATCTCTTGACCTCGTGATCCACCCTCCTTGGCCTCTCAAATTGCTGGGATTACAGGTGGGAGCCACTGCACCCGGCCTGCCTCTTAAACTCTTAAAATCTTTACTGATGTGGCATGTCACTGATTCTTTGTAGAGTTTCTCTGCTGCCATCAGAAGTGATTGTTTCTTACCAAAGCCTACGATGTATTTGCCATTTCTTGTTCATCAGGTCTAATTAGCAGTTTTTCATTGAATTGAAAGAATTCTTTTTTTTTTTGGAAATGTCCAAATGTGCAGGTTGCTTCCAGCTATATTACAACAGAGTGTCAGAAATACTGCAGCTCCAGGGCAAGATCACAAATAGATGCTATTGCTTATCTCATGTGAATGTGAACTACTTTAGGTCCTCTTCCCTGATAGAAATGAAAATAACAAATTTGCTAGGTCAATGGCTATATACCATGTTCCCAAGTCCATGTTAATTTGTGCTAGTAAAGATAATATATCTGAAATGCCAATTTTAATTGGAGTTGCTGCTTAATTGAGTTTGCAGTAACCACCGTTACCAAGAGGATGTATCTGGTTTCTCTAGGTGCCAGATTGGTAAATGAAATGGAGATATGTTAAGGTGCATTTTCTAGGTGTCTAAAGGTAACATTACTGTATGCCATTTCCCCAAATTGCAATTTTAAACATTTTAATGAGATATAATTAACATATCATACTATTCACCTATTTAAACTGCATAACTCAATGTGTTTTAGTACACTCATTGAGTTGGGCAATATTAGTCTTGACTTACTCTCTTGTGAGGAAGTTTCAGAGAAATCCCCTTGATTTCCCCCCACTACACATAGTTCTCATCTCACAGATCAAGAAACCAATGTGGAGCTTTTCCAGCCACCAAGATATCCATTGAATCGGACATTTGGAGACTAGAGAAATGACTACAGGATGTGTCCATGGAATAAGTGATCTCACTGTGAGTTGGATCTGGGACAGGACTACACTTAACATCTTACTCCCATACCCATCACTCTAATGAGGGTAGGGAATGTGGATACTTCCTACAGTCCTCTAATATTTTGAGTATTCTCGTTTTTCTGATGTACAGGTACTTGAGCAAATGGTAGTGGTTCCTTTTGGAGAGGGACCGGGGAAACTATTATCTGTATACCTGCCATGGTGCTGCAGGTTCCTTTCTCATGGTCAATCAGCCTCTCCTTCAGTCAGTGATTTCAGATCTAAGAACTAGCTTAGGTCTGGAAACTGAGTAGAGAATTGTGACTTGTTTTCAGGGTAGACTATGAACTCTAACATGGTATTTTTTAGCTCTTTAATTCTTTCCTTCACCATTCATTCTGGCAGTTTCCACTTCACTTAGTATGAGTCATCACTTTTTCCAAGCATCCTAGGGCCAGTCTAGCAGTATAAGAGTACCATCTTCCAGGGTTCCTGCCAGTGTATTAAATCTTATGTCGGAGAGTGATCCCATATGATAAACATGTCCTTGCCTAGTTTCGCATTCCATCCCTCTTGTTATAGTGCTCTCAAGATTCAGGTTCATATGTAATCTCCCAACTACAACCCATACATGTTGCCTAGGTCCTTTGATAGCTTTGGTATATAATGACTTTCTTCCCTTAGAAGGCCCTGCACTTTCCTGGCCTGGTTATGGCTAGGGATTATGGATTGGGTTATAACCCAATCCCAGTTATTTTTCTAGCAGTCAGTAGAGAAAGTGGTGCTATATCTTGAGTAGAGAAACTGGTGTCTTTCAATCAAAAATCTATACATTGTCTTCAAAATAAGGGGAGAGTGATGGTTATTAAGGGTGAGAAGTGAGACATTTCTGCAGTCTTTGGGTTCCGAGGATTATTGAAATTCAGGATCTTTTAGTACATTGTCCCAGGAGTTCCCATTCCAAGTTTCAGGGTCCCCCCGTTTCTCAATCAGTGCTTTGACCTTGGCATATCAGACCTGACAGGGTTGAGAATGCAACCTACTCTGGAGCAGGTTCTCTTATAATTAATTACTGGGTCTCATGCTCAGCCTTTTGTACTCTGTAGCTGATGGAAATGAGAGCCTCTATGTGATGTCAAGGAAACTCTTGGGCTTTACCATTTTACCTTATGTTGGTGATTAATCACCTTCATCTTTCCACTGTCTTTTTCCAATATGTCATGTGTCTCATCAGTAACTATCTGATCCTATCATTCTTATAATTATTATTTTCCCCAAGTATCTAAAAATCTTAATATATTACACCTGCCAGTGAATTACATTTCATAAGTATCTCATCCCCATTCATCACTGGTATAAGTTTTACTCATACTGCAAACATGTGCCAGGGGCTGTGAGTGCTTCATCTACCTCCAATGATGGTGTCCTTATTACCATACGACCCACAGCGAATCTAGCTCTAAAATCACATTTATGGGGTTTGCTTCCTATGGACATTCCCAGAACCAACTCTCTTATGTTGGATTCCCCAGAAAACAGACTCCAGGACTCTGGGATTTAGGTGCAGATTTATTTACAGGGCATTTACTAGAGACCAACACAAGTAAGGGATGAGGGAGGCAAGATTGGGCAGAAGATAAAATTGAACTGCAATGAATTGCACCAGAGGCTTCAACTGATCCTGTGGAGATTCCTGTAACTGGGATAGCCCTTCATGATTGTCTCTATTGAGTCAGGGGATCAAGATCTTTGTACCACAACTCTGACTACTCATTAAATTCAAGCAGCCTTCAAGGAAATGTCTTAATCTTGACTGAGGCAACTTCTTTCAACCAACAACAATTCCTAGAGATACACTCAACTGGAAGCCATTGGCAGTAACACTCCTGGCAGCTTAGGGAGCTAATGCATTAGTTCTGAACACTAAACATTTATATCAACTAGTGTGTTACTAAAGTAATAATCAAAAACATGACACAATATATATTCAAGCTTTTGGATAAGAAAAATATGCGGAAATATGTATTATTGTAAAATTGGTATTACAAGAAGTAAGTGTAAAGATAAAAGAACAGACACACCAAATCTTTGGGGCCAGTCCAACTTTAATGATTAATATTTTCCCTCCAGCTAAATTTGACTTTAAAGGAATCCCTGCCCACCATACTGTGTTTGAAAACCCAGAAGAGACAGGCATTGAGAATTTTATAATAATGTTATAATCAACTTTGGGCAGAGGAAATTTTTCAAAACTGACACCTCTGGCATTAGGAGTCTTGGGCTCTTAAGGAAACACAAGGGAGTAACTCTCTTATAATTTCATCTCAACTTTTGAAGAATTTGGGCTAGTTTTGTTTTGCCACTTAAGACGTCTCATTTACATAAATATAAGAGGAACCATAGACTAAATCCTGTCTGCCACCTACTAGCTGATAACAATTTTCTTAATCTCTTCATGCCTCAGTTTCCTCTTCTGTAAAATAGGAATAATAATGAACCTACCTCATGAGTTTGTTGTGAGAATTAAAAAGTAAAACACAGTACTTTTTTACTAGACTGGCATAGCTCAGTCAATGATGGTCATTATTTCGCATTTATGGAGATGTTTTACTGTACCTTCATATACAGTCTTGGTAATCTTATGGTCTCTTAGCAGATACATATGATATTAACTGTGTCTTCTCTGTTAAGTTGTTCTTTGCTGTATATTTCAGATTTCACATATAACTATTGAAGCAGATGCAACATTGAGATTAAGTGTGGAGTCTGTGTCCAAAATAGTTCATTTGTGCCAGGACTGACACCAGAAATCTAGATCCTTGGTATCAAGCTAGAAAACTGGACTTCCCAGCTCAGATTTTGCAATATCTTAGTGTTTTTAAAGATCATGAGGATTATTTTATATTCCTTTGTAATTATTTATTTTATAATGCATTTAAGTCTATATAGTATGAGCATCATCATTATAACTTGTTTATAGAGTAATTTAATCTTAGGGTAAAAGTGAGAAAAATTTTTCCGCCTGCTTTTAACACGTTTGTTTTGATCTTGCCTTCTTCATCCCTTCATTATGTAATATCTGGAACAGACAGATAGCTTAGATTTCTGATAACTTTCAATTAAAAGAAATTCTAAAAAGAGCTCTATACCTTTCAGAAAAGACTACAACAAATTGATTTAAATATTAAACTAGTTAAAAGCAACTGTCTTCTCTATCCCACCTCATGCTGACTGTGGGGTTTGTGGCCTTGCATTTGGTGGAGGGTCCATTCATTTATCCTCCCTCCTTCCTACCTGACTTAAAAGAAATCTGAAGCAGCATAATAGAGAGAAGAGATTAGAAACAAGATTGTAAATGTTTTATTTATTTTTACTTCATTGGTCTTGCTATTTTGTTTTCCCTTGGCTACCAACAGCCGATAGGCTGTCAATGCGTGCTTTGGGGCAGACATCCAAATGCCAGCTTGTATCACATTTAGATCCTTGGAGGACTTGTGGGGACTTCTGCACAGCACGGATTTCTGATATTGATGATGTCTTCTCTGGCTGACTTCTGGTCATGCCTAACTCAGATCCAGCCCCTGGGAGTTTTTCCCATGGTCTCTACCTGCTGACCTTCCATTGACCCAGCAGTCCACCTTAATAAACAGAGGCCTTCAAAATGGATTAATCCTGGCTCTGTCATGGCAAATTGTTGAAAGTGGTAGCCAAGTATGGCTCCCTGTCTTCAAGTTCTGCCATCAGGGGCCGCTTCAGCTATCAGTTTAACTCTAGCATTATGCAGTGGGAGGCAGATATCTCATTCTACGGTCATGCATGCTCCCAAACTTCAGAGGACACCAGTGAAGCTACTGAGAATTCTCTCACAGCACTTCATCTTGGTGCAGTGAGCTAGAGCTTGTCTGTGAGTTTCTGAAGCTCAGCAAGTATAGGAGAAAGATGGGTCTTCTCTGGATTGTTCTCTTGGGCAGCATAATCCTTGGAAGGGGGTTGGGGGAAGGAATAGGGAAGATGAGAAAAGGCAAAAGCCACAGTCCTCTTTACCAATCTACTAATCACTACCTGAAAAGACAACATAGCTCTTTACTTTCCAAATTCCTAGTCTTCCCTTTATATACTTTGGATGCAGGTATTTTTCTGATGATGGTGATATGGTTTGGCTGTGTCCCCACCTAAATCTCATCTTGAATTCCCACTTGTTAAGGGAGGGGCCAGGTGGGAGGTAATTGAATCATGGGGTCAAGTGTTTTCCATGCTGTTCTTGTGATAGTGATGAGTCTCACGAGATCTGATAGTTTTAAAAAGGGGAGTTTCCCTCCACAAGCTCTCTCTCTTTGCCTGTTTCCATCCATGTAAGATGTGACTTTTGCTCCTCCTTGGCTTCCACCGTGATCATGAGGCCTCCCCAGCCACATGGAACTGTAAGTCCACTAACCCTCTTTCTTTTGTAAATTTCCCAGTCTAGGGTATGTCTTTATCAGCAGTGTGGAAACGGACTAATAAAGATGGTAAGACTGATATACCTTCCAAAAAGTTTTACAGAGATGTGTATATTGGCCCTGCTTTAGAATGAGTGGGTTCCTACCATTTATAGTTTATAACTTTGATAATTGTATTGGTAATTTAGCCAAAATTATGTAAAATCAAGAAAGGTCCAGTTTATCTGTGGAGGACATTGGCTAATTTAACCTTTTTCTTTAATCTTCTCATTTTTTAAAAAAGGAACAGCAGTAGTACCTATGGTTGTTGTGAAGCTTAAACGAAGTAATCCATGCAAAACCCATAGCTGTTTAGCACAGTTTTTACAACATAGTAAGAATTCAATCAGTGTTAGCTACCATTATATAATATGGTACATTTATTTAACCAAACATAACTTTTGATAAATATACATATATATTAATTCATCTAGTTAACATAGATTTACAAAACACTTAACTGTTGTAACAACTTTGGGAGGAGTAATGAATTTAAAGAGATAGTTCCTTGAAGCTTATATTTTAGAGGAGAGAGTCAACTAGTAAACCATAATGTAAGAATATAATATATCAGACAAAGACACATGCTATGGAGAAAAATAAAGCAGGGAGGGTAGGTCAAAAGTTTGGAGATGTGCTGCTATTTTAAGTGATGGAAGAACTCACTGATGAGGTGACATTTGAGCAGAGATGGGAGGTAGAGAATATTATTCAGCGTGTCAGCAGAAAATGTGTTCATTAAATTCAGTAGTACAGCCTTCAAAAGTTAAGTACTATTTGTAACTCAAACAGGTAACTAAGCCTTATACTGAATGAAGAAAAATTATCTTAAGTTGGGTAAATTAATTCAGTTTTTCAGATGGTTTATACTATATACATAAGTTAACACATAACATAACAATACATAACATAATTTTCTTGCTTCTTAGCATGCTTTGTGATATTTTGTTGAAAGTCAAATATGAAGTAATAGAAACTGAGGGAAATAGGACTTTAATGTGAGGCTCTCTGTTAATCTGGCTAGGAGTCGAGCTGTGTTTAATGTTTGCTATAGTTGTAGGTGCCACACCTTTAGATTCCTCCCGTGTCCTTGTTTTTATATTTCTATTGTTTCTGAGCCTCCCTAAGAACGCTTCCTTAGATAGGAGCCGCACATTGCAGCTCTTTGTTCTGTAATCTCTTGTGATCATACTGAAGTTCTGTTGGTGTGGCAGTAAGGTGTGAGCGAGGGGAGGTGGACTATAATCTTATGATTAAATCTCAGTTTTTCAGACTGTGTCCCTGGGCTTTGACCTTCACAAATGTTTCCTGGCTTTCTTCTTTTCCACTGATGTGGAACAAGAAGACTAGAAGGAGCTAAAGTCAGATAAATTCCCTTCCTCTTAACTGGGATAAGGCTCTGGGAAAGTCTTTCCCCTTGGTGGGGAGTATGTCTTTGTTAAAAAGAATACCCTAAGTGTATTTCTAATGGTTACATTTCTTCCTCCCCATATCAGAACCAGGATGGGATATTTTTTGGCTCTTCACTGTAGAAACCCGATAAGGTTTCTGGAGGTAAAACCCATTAAACTACAGGGGCAAGATCTTAGTTGTAAAGTAATTATTAATTAAAGTATAGTTTACATACAGATATTTAGAAATCATAAATGTATAGGTCAATAAATTTTCATGAAGAGAGAAAAAAAAAAAAAAAAAAACATGTAACGAGCAACCTGATGAAAAAGTAGAATGTTGGTAAAAATCCCAGAACTTCATTCATGAGCACTTCTAGTCATTACCCTCTCCAAGGTAACTATTATCCTAATTTCTAACAGCATAGCTTACTTTTGCCTGTTTTGAGCTTTATATAAATAAAATCAAATAAGAGAAATTCCTTTTTTGTTGGCTACTTTCAATCAACATAATTTTGGTGAAGGTAAGCTGTGCTATTGCATCTTGAAGTAGTTCATTCCTCCTCATTACTGCATAGGATTTCATTGGATAAATATAATGTAATTTGTCCATTCTATTGTGATGAACATTTGGACCATTTCTTGTTTTTTGTCTATTAAGAATAGTATTGCTCAAAAAATTAGCAGGGCGTGGTGGCAGGCCCTTGTAGTCCCAGCTACTCGGGAAGCTGAGGCAGGAGAATGGCATGAACCCAGGAGGCGGAGCTTGCAGTGAGCCGAGAGCACGCCACTGCACTCCAGCCTGGGCGACAGAGCGAGACTCCATCTCAAAAAAAAAAAAAATAATAATAATATTGCTATGCACTAGAGTACATGTCTTTTCATAAGCATATGTAGTCGTTTCTGCTAAAGGTTACGCTGAGTATATACCTAGGTGTGGAATATACATGTTTGCCATTAGTAAATAATGAGGGCCAAACAGATTTGCAAAGTGGCTGTAATACTTCAAACACCCCTGAGCAGCATATGAATTTTAATCACCCTGCGCACTCAACAATACTTGGTATTGTGTCTTTTTCAGTTTAGCCATTGTGGTGTGGAAAAAGCAGTCAATACAATTAAAAACTTATCTGTTTTTAAGAAGAAAATAAACAGCTGTAAATGTGCTTTAACCAGGAGGCTATGGGGTTAAAAACAAAAAACAAAAAACAAAAAAACCAAAACCCAAAAAACATGAGAGTTAGTTGCCTTAGGATCACAACACTCACAGAAATAGTGAGTCAGCAAAATGAAATCTGTTAATTATAAGTGTTAGTTCTGGGCAGTCCTGAACTCCAAATTTTGTCTCTCTAGCACTTTCATCTTTTCAAAAGTGTTTTAGGTTCTCTGCCTCCTCCCAGTTGGCCTCTCGTTGTGCTCTAAAATTTGGCAAATGCCCTGAAGGAAATATCTGTTTTCCTTCTTTTCAGTATCTCAGATCCTCAAGTTCTATGTGTCTTAGTAATTCTCCAGAGCCTTCAAAAAGTATGTTACTTATTTATTTAATCCAGACGATTCTAGTTTTTCTGAGTGGAAGAACTGGTTTGCCCTAAGCTAAGCTATCACACAGCTTGTGTATGTGACAGAAGTGAACACGGAAGTCTTATTTGATGAGCTTTTATTTATTTTTTCCTAGGACAACTTACAATGGCTTTTCTGAAAGAAAGAGGTTACTATGATCTTGTTTGCTTTGTTTTTTAGAGAAAAAATTCTAGCCATAATAATCTCCAAAGATTATATTTCCTCTAAAGTAGAATCAATATAGAATTAAGGTATTCTGAGATGTGTAGATTTCCCACTCTAAATAAAGTATGATGAATTCATACTTACAGCTTTCGGTATAACCCATTCTCAGAAGAGTTAAGGACCGCACTTATAATCCACAGTATACATCAAACACTCTGAGTCCATCTACGATTTAGTAGAAAGGCAGATGGATAAATACGTTGACATTGTTTTGCCATCCACAAACATATCACTAAATGTATTTCTGAAAGTGTTGAAAAGAGAAGAGCATACTGTAATTTTATGAATTGTAACTACTGTATTTGTGTTGAGAGCTGATGGGGGAAAAGAAGAAAATAAACAGCTGTAAATGTGCTTTAACCAGGAGGCTGTGGGGTTAAAAAAAAAAAAAAAAAAAAGCAAAACCCCAAAAAACATGAGAGTTAGTTGCCTTAGGATCACAACACTCACAGAAATAGTGAGTCAGCAAAATGAAAACAAGATGACTCATCAGGAGGAAGGAAATAATGAACAGATATAGGATTTTTTTGTTTTTCTAGTTTTACATTTTTCCAAATACTTTGGAATTTAAACAAATAAAATCTACTCAAAGGGTAAAGATATCTTCTATATTTCTTTAAAAAGTCAAATATCACACATTGCTATTCTAAGTTCCTGTCTCTAACCATAATTAGCAGTTGCTGAAAATTTAAAACATGCTATGCTAAAACATAAAATAATCTATAGGATTCACAATTTAAGAAAAAAAAAGGATCTGGTACTGCAAAAGAACTTGTAGGGGTTTTGTCCTTTTTTCCTTGATCAAAATGTTACATATAGGAGACATTCATTATCAGTGGTCCATAGGAGAATTATATATTGTTCTCCTCTCTTGACCTTGGCAATACTCCTTTTTTTGCCCTTCATAAAAAAGTAACTCTGCTCCTTATGGAATAAATATTTAATGCTACTATTTATTTTTCTGTGCCTGCATCATTGGGTGAGGAGTATCTATTACACATGGGGATGTGATTAAAGCTTAATGGTCTAGCAGGTGCCTACCCTCGTCAAGAACTCTCTTTATGTGCCCAGGAATCTTTTTATGTAGCCATCCTGTGCACCCCCAGATCTCAGAGCTGGTACTAACACCCAAGTGCATATTCTGAAGTTGGGAAATGACCTGCACCCACCACACTGTCAGTTTCTGAGGCGCTCTGGCACTTTCTAGGTCACTAGGCCTGAGAATTGGTGTCAGAAACAGAGGGAAGGCTTTTCTCCTACAGCCCAGGAGAGATGGGTCTTTAAAGAGAGAAATCCCCTCCCACTTCCTCAGTGTGGAATCAGGGAAGTTCAAGGCCAAAACTGTTTTAGGCTCAAAAGGCTAAAGCATTTGTAAAATTATAATACTAAAGCACTGTCATTGCATAATATGTTGTGTACAGTGAAAAATAGGTGATAGTAACAGTGAGTATTTGAGTACCTTAGCTTGTGCAACAGACATGACATAGGAATCATTATTAACCCCATTTTACAGATGAGAAAATAGGGACACAGAGATGCTAAGTAAATTGTGTAAGATCATAGAAAGCAGAAGAATTGCTCATAGTAAATAATTAGCAGTGCTGATGGTCAAGTTCAGAGAGTCTGGTTGGATTAATCAATTTCCACTATTCTGATGGCTGCTAGTGCAGATATTTCCAGCATCACGAGAAGGGATAAGCCCACCCCTCCAGAGACAGTCTGTCAAAGAACTCCATGCAAAAACTGGCCAGGGCTGTGAGGGGTACAGCTCTTTAGGTGCATTTACTCTCCCGGAATGCGAGTCTGCTCTTGGTCAGCTCTTGTTCCAGTTTTTCCAATTCACAAATCAAAATCTATTTTCTTTTCTTTTCCTCCAAGCCAAACCACTGCTTCTGTTTCTTGTGGTAATTTTATTTTAGAGACTCGATTGCTCTTCCCTGTGACAAAACCTTAAGCAGGGCTTCCTTTGCCTTTTCCAAAAGGTTTTCTTATTTTATAATTTTCTCACTGAATGGAATTCAAAAGATGATGCAGTGAGCAACTAGTTGTAACATGATACTGATGATGATGACGATGGTGGTGGTGGTGATGTTGATGATGATTTCTGCTACAACAGAGTTTTGAACCAATTCATAGTATTTAACATTCCAGATATAATAGTATCAGTCTCTTCTCTCTGTTTTGAGCTGTAACTCAATAAAATAGTAGTAAACATAATTACATGGGGCTTGGATAGATGAATTTGAAGTTTATTCTGGTTGTAGAGGAAAGAAAAGTGTTAACTTCTAAGTCGCCAAAGAGCTACGCAAAGCTCTTGTTGCTTCATATTTGCTGCACACACCATGTGCTAAATGTTTTCTTGCCACACAAATCTTCCCTGCTCAAGTACTCCTAAGAACACTTGATGGCTGTTTTCATGCCATGGGCATTTTTTGGGTGCCCATATATGTTACATATAGTGTTGGGAGACACAAACATGAATAAAGCAGAGTCTACAAGGAGCACTTTTGACCTGTCTGGGTATTAGTCTGTGAGTCTATGGGTGGGAGATGTCTAATAAAGAACAAGATCCCTCCCTTAACTAAATTTCATCTAACAAATGAAGACATACATACCAAAAAGTGAGATCCCTGATTTTCAATAGTTAGCCAAAAAGCATCTAGGTTTAACAGCTAAAAGTATTTTGAGATGTAGAGTTTCCAAATAAATATATCTAGTTAAATTTGAATTTCGTATAAACAATGAACAATTTTTATTTTACTTTGTTTTATTTTGTTTTTGAGACAGAGTCTTGCTCTGTTGCTCAGGCTGGAGTGCAATGGCACGGTCTCAGCTCACTGCAACCTCCGCCTCCTGGGTTCAAGCCATTCTCCTGCCTCAGCTTCCCAAGAAACTGGGACTACAGGCATGTGCCACCATGTCCAGCTGCTTTGTATTTTTAATAGAAATGGGGTCTCACCAAGTTGGCCAGGCTGGTCTCGAACTCCTGACCTCAAGTGATCCACCTGCCTTGGCCTCCCAAAGTGCTGGGATTACAGACGTGAGCCACTGCACCCAGACAACAATTTTTTATTTTTACTTACCAAATTTGCCCACCCTAATAAGGTGAATATGTGTGCTATTTTCTGTTTATGTTAAATTGCATTGTTTTTGAAGAAGCAATGACATAGTTGAAAGAGAATGAGGTTTGGAATGAACCAGATATGAGTTAAATCTGACTTTATCAGTTATTTGCTAGGTGGCAATGGAAAAGTAATTTGACTCTCTGAAGCTCAATTTTTTTTATAGAAATGGTAATGATTACACTTGAGGGTGGTTTAAATGGCTTATTAATAATATATAAAAATGACTAGCATTGTTACCCGAACTGTATGACTTCTACTGGCCAGTGGTAATAATCATTAATAATGACTAGCATTTATTTAACACTGCATCTTATGGAGTGTAAATGTATTATCCATTTCATTCTCACTACGACTTCTTAAGTTAGATAAATATTTTATTTATTGAAGATGGGATAGGATTTGAACCCACTCATAATGTCTCCCCTCTACATACTATTTAGAAACATAGCCTACATATTATAGACCAGATAATTATAGTCATAGTCTAGATATTATAATATAAAATATATAAAGTAAAATATATATAAGTAATAAGCAGACATGAGCTAGGGCCTTGCTTTTCAGACTAATACATTGGAATAGAACTCTCTAGAAAAATTTGATAGACATAATGGCTCTTGGCACTGCCTTTGGGTCAAATTAGCATATTCTTGTTAGCTGTTTTCATCCAAATATTTATTCTCCACTCAACAGGGTTTACCTGTGAAAGTTTAATCTTTAATTTTTTCCTTTCCCTAAATGCTTAAAGTGATTGTAGTCTTCGGCTTCCATTTTATTTTTAGGACATCTACATCATAGGTAGAATGATCCCATTATTTTTCCTCATAGCCATCATAACCAGAACAAGTTTCCCTGAATTCTGATATCTTCATCAATACTTCCATCTCAGACTCTCAATTGTCCCCATCCCAGAGAAATTGCTTTTTAAAAATCACACAAATTATTTAAACCTTCTCACTGCTTCCTAGTGAGGAGTGGAGGGAAATTTGGGACATGAACAGGGGCATAATGAGAGTGTAGAAAGCACCAGGACTTTAAATGTTAAAATCAACAAAATATGCAAAATGCCTTGAGGCAATGTAATATCACTGTCTCACAGAAGGCACAAAATTACTAAGAGAAATTTAAATGATGTGCTGGAGAATGTCAACTACATTTGGAATGGAGCTTTGGATTTTTATAGGAATTGAATACACATTTCAGTCATTAAAATGAAACACTCTGAAATTGTTTCAGATTGAACTTTACATAGGCCGAGGAAGAAATTACAATTAAATATATAATGCCAAGTTTATAATTTATGAAATGAGCCATGGGGCTTTCTGAGAAAGGAAGTAAAATACTAAGTTTGTCTCCAGAACCCCTTCCATTCCTAGGGTATCAAAGTTTTGGACCACAGTTGCCCCTTTAAAATCTTATGGGGATGATGTGGAGATGATCTTCACAGGCTTCTAGAAGGCGAAGTATAACCGAAAGCAAACAGATACTAACTCTTTGCCGGGATCTGGTTTTGGGTGTTCTTTCTTATTTGCCCGGAAACAAAAATCATGATCCCTCTGCTTCACCACACCCTCACTGCTGGGGTTACCTCGAGCTTCACTTGGTTACCACATTCTGCTTTTCTACTTCTGATCTTATTGTGTTTCTCTTTTGCTGATTATACTTCCCTTCAGATAGAGGTATCTTGTTTCTAACTTAAGCTCATTTCTTTGCTTCTTTAAGTGATGATTTGAATGTGGCATTCTTGACCTTGGTTGAACCACCCAAACAGCAAGAGGGGCCTAGACCCTTTCTGGGGAGTCTCATGAGACATCCACTCATGAACTGGGCCTCTGTAGCTCCTGTTTAGAGAATTCTGTAGCTCCTGTTTAGAGATGCATAATATCTCAAAGATAAGCAAACAAACAGCAGGGTTCATCACCTCTTTTTGCTCTCCAGATAGTAAGGGCTTCAAGATTGACAAACAAGAATAACTCAGCGAACCCCATTTGCCACCTCCAAATATCTCTAGATTCTAATCTTCATGTTTTTTCATATCATGTTTAATAATACAACAGACAACAATTAGAGTTTTTCTTTAACTGTGGAAAGTGACTACTTCTTTCAGTTTAAAAAAAAGCGTAACTTAGTCATAATTATGACATTAGAATCTGGGTAAATGAGACAATGGCCTTGCTTCTGAAAAAGCTTAGTTTTTTCTATGCCTCTTCCTTTTTTTCAGTCCTGTCATTCTCTTCTCACACCTCTGAGACTCAGTATATTCATTTATCATTGCTTTGCTCTAACAGGGAGAATTAGAATATTCTATCAAAGTAATTTAACAACATAGGAATTCACATGATGCAAGAAGTACAGTGACAGGCAAGCCAGGATTGGTACAGCAACTCTATGATGTCAACAGTACTCAGTTCCTTCCATAATTGCTTTTCTTTTAAATACGTTTTTAATTTTGGAATAGTTTTAGTTTTGCAGAAAAATTGCAAAGATAGTGCAGAGGATGCTCATATACTTCACATCCAATTCCTCCTGTTGTTAATGTATTATGTTAGTATGCACATTTGTCACAACTGAAAAAAAAATTGATACATCAGTATTATTATATTGTATTTGGATTATCTTAGTTGTTTCCTAATGTCCTATTAGAGTTCCAGGATACCATATTACACTTACTTTGTCATTTTTTTTAGATGTACAAAATTTTTGATGATCTTGAAAGTTTTGAGGAGCACTGGTCCAGAATTTTATAGATTGTTCCTCAATAGTGATTTGTCTGATGTTCTTCTCATTATTAGACTGGAGTTATGGAATTTTGGGAGGAAGACTACAGAGGTAAAGTGCTATTCACATCATATCATATTCATAGTGGCAGGAGGCAGACAAATGTGTAGGCAGATGGGGCGGGTCCCCAGTGAACCTTGACCTTCAAGCTGAAGACAGTTTAAAGCCTGAAAACCAAGCCATGAGTCAAATCCACAGACCAGATTGAGAAACTCTCTTCCCATTTGGCTTGCTTTCCTCTGATTGATCTTCACCCTTCACCTATTTTACATATACCTACCTTTCCCTAATTAATTTTTTACACTGCCATGGCCACCTTTGAATGGCGCCTTTGTTTTAGCCTTTTTTGCATACTCACAAACGAATTAGCATGCACTTCCCATTCTGAGTCCATAAAAGCCCTGGCCCAGGCACAAGGAGAGTGAGACCACCCAACTTCGAGTTGGGGCCAACCCTCGTGTCCTCTCTACACTGAGAGCTGTTTTGCTGCTCAATAAAACTATTCTCCACCTTCCTCACCCTTTAATTGTTAGTGTAAACTTATTCTTCTTGGACATGGGACAAGAACTTGGGACCCATCAAATGCAGGGGGCTGAGTGTGCAGTTGCAGTGGCCACGCGATTTGCATTAGAGTGCAAGCCAGGTGCAGCCCAGTGGCCTGAGTAGACTGGGCATCTCCAGCAATGAAACTGGGCCCAAGGAGGGCCTGGGCAGAGGTTTTGTCAGCTGGAGGTCTCCAGAAGGGAAAGTGGCCAAGAAAAATCCTGCATCAATATCAGTGGTACATGCTATCCACATGACTTATCACTTTTTGATGTTGACTTTGATTACCTGATTAAGGTAGTGTTTGCTAAGCTTCTCAACTGGAAAGCTAAATTTTTCCCACCTTTCCGTACTGTACCCTTTGGAAGGAAGTCATTATGCACATGTCACATGTAAAGTGTGAGGAATTAAGGTCCATCTCCTTGAAGGGGTCAATATCCATATAAAATATTTGGAATTCTCCTGCCTGGGATATTTGTCTATTTTCCCTTATTTATTTATTTATTTATTTATTTATTCAATCATTTCTTTATCTCAGTATGGACTCATGAATATTTGGTTTTGTTTATATATATATATTTTTTATCATACTTTAAGTTCTAGGGTACATGTGCACAATGTGCAGGTTTGTTACATATGTATACATGTGCCATGTTGGTGTGCTGCACCCATTAACTCATCATTTACATTAGGTATATCTCCTAATGCTATCCCTCCCCCTCCCCCCACCCCACAACAGGCCCTGGTGTGTAATGTTCCTCTTCCTGTGTCCAAGTGTTCTCATTGTTCAATTCCCACCTATGAGTGAGAACATGTGGTGTTTGGTTTTTTGTCCTTGCGATAGTTTGCTGAGAATGATGGTTTCCAGCTTCATCCATGTCCCTACAAAGGACATGAACTCATCATTTTTTATGGCTGCATAGTATTCAATGGTGTGTATGTGCCACATTTTCTTAATCCAGTCTATCATTGTTGGACATTTGGGTTGGTTCCAACTCTTTGCTATTGTGAATAGTGCCACAATAAACATACATGTGCATGTGTCTTTATAGCAGCATGTTTTATAATCCTTTGGGTATATACCCAGTAATGGGATGGCTGGGTCAAATGGTATTTCTAGTTCTAGATCCCTGAGGAATCCCCACACTGACTTCCACAATGGTTGAACTAGTTGACAGTCCCACCAACAGTGTAAAAGTGTTCCTATTTCCCCACATCCTCTCCAACACCTGTTGTTTCCTGACTTTTTAATGATCACCATTCTAACTGGTGTGAGATGGTATCTCATTGTGGTTCTGATTTGCATTTCTCTGATGGCCAGTGATGATGGGCATTTTTTCATGTGTCTGTTGACTGCATAAATGTCTTCTTTTGAGAAGTGTCTGTTCATATCCTTTGCCCACTTTTTGATGGGATTGTTTGTTTTTTTCTTGTAAATTTGTTTGAGTTCTTTGTAGATTCTGGATATTAGCCCTTTGTCAGATGAGTAGATTGCAAAAATTTTCTCCCATTCTGTAGGTTGCCTGTTCATTCTGATGGTAGTTTCTTTTGCTGTGCAGAAGCTCTTTAGTTTAATTAGATCCCATTTGTCAATTTTGGCTTTTGTTGCCATTGCTTTTGGTGTTTTAGACATGAAGTCCTTGCCCATGCCTTTGTCCTCAATGGTGTTGCCTAGGTATTCTTCTAGGGTTTTATGGTTTTAGGTCTAAGGTTTAAGTCTTTAATCCATCTTGAATTGATTTTTGTATAAGGTGTAAGGAAGGGATCCAGTTTCAGCTTTCTACATATGGCTAGCCAGTTTTCCCAGCACCATTTATTAAATAGGGAATCCTTTCTCCATTGCTTGTTTTTGTCAGGTTTGTCAAAGATCAGATAGTTGTAGATATGCAGCATTATTTCTGAGGGCTCTATTCTGTTCCATTGATCTATATCTCTGTTTTGGTACCAGTACCATGCTGTTTTGGTTACTGTAACCTTGTAGTATAGTTTGAAGTCAGGTAGTGTGATGCCTCCAGCTTTGTTCTTTTGGCTTAGGATTGACTTGGCAATGTGGACTCTTTTTCAGTTCCATATAAACTTTAAAGTAGTTTTTTCCAATTCTGTGAAGAAAGTCATTGGTAGCTTGATGGGGATGGCATTGAATCTGTAAATTACCTTGGGCAGTATGGCCATTTTCACGATATTGATTCTTCCTACCCATGAGCATGGAATGTTCTTCCATTTGTTTGTATCCTCTTTTATTTCCTTGAGCAGTGGTTTGTAGTTCTCCTTGAAGAGGTCCTTCACATCCCTTGTAAGTTGGATTCCTAGGTATTTTATTCTCTTTGAAGCAATTGTGAATGGGAGTTCACTCATGATTTGGCTCTCTGTTTGTCTGTTGTTGGTGTATAAGAATGCTTCTGATTTTTGTACATTGATTTTGTATCCTGAGACTTTGCTGAAGTTGTTTATCAGCTTAAGGAGATTTTGGGCTGTGATAATGGGGTTTTCTAGATATACAATCATGTCATCTGCAAAGAGGGACAATTTGACTTTCTCTTTTCCTAATTGAATACCCTTTATTTCCTTCTCCTGCCTAATTGCCCTGGCCAGAACTTCCAACACTATGTTGAATAGGAGTGGTGAGAGAGGGCATCCCTGTCTTGTGCCAGTTTTCAAAGGGAATGCTTCCAGTTTTTGCCCATTCAGTATGATATTGGCTGTGGGTTTGTCATAAATAGCTCTTATTATTTTGAGATACGTCCCATCAATACCTAATTTATTGAGAGTTTTTAGCATGAAGGGCTGTTGAATTTTGTCAAAGGCCTTTTCTGCGTCTATTGAGATAATCATGTGGTTTTTGTCTTTGGTTCTGTTTATTCGCTGGATTACATTTATTGATTTGTGTATATTGAACCAGCCTTGCATCCCAGGGATGAAGCCCACTTGATCATGGTGGATAAGCTTTTTGATGTGCTGCTGGATTCGGTTTGCCAGTATCTTATTGAGGATTTTTGCATCAATGTTCATCAGGGATATTGGTCTAAAATTCTCTTTCTTTGTTGTGTCTCTGCCAGGCTTTGGTATCAGGATGATGCTGGCCTCATAAAATGAGTTAGGGAGGATTCCTTCTTTTTCTATTGATTGGAATAGTTTCAGAAGGAATGGTACCAGCTCCTCCTTGTACCTCTGGTAGAATTTGGACTTTTTCTGGTTAGTAGGCTGTTAATTATTGCCTCAGTTTCAGAGCCTGTTATTGGTCTATTCAGAGATTCAACTTCTTTCTGGTTTAGTCTTGGGAGGGTGTATGTGTCCAGGAGTTTATCCATTTCTTCTAGACTTTCTAGTTTATTTGCATAGAGGTGTTTATAGTATTCTCTGATAGTAGTTTGTATTTCCTTGGGATCGGTGGTGGTATCCCCTTTATCATTTTTTATTGCATCTATTTGATTCTTCTCTCTTTTCTTCTTTATTAGTCTTGCTAGCAGTCTATCAATTTTGTTGATCTTTTCAAAAAACCAGCTCCTGGATTCATTGATTTTTTTGAAGGGTTCTTTGTGTCTCTATCTCCTTCAGTTCTGCTCTGATCTTAGTTATTTCTTGCCTTCTGCTAGCTTTTGAATGTGTTTGCTCTTGCTTCTCTAGTTCTTTTAATTGTGATGTTAGGGTGTCAATTTTAGATCTTTCCTGCTTTCTCCTGTGGGCATTTAGTGCTATAAATTTCCCTCTACACACTGCTTTAGCTGTGTCCCAGAGATTCTGGTATGTTGTGTCTTTGTTCTCATTGGTTTCAAAGAACATCTTTCTTTCTGCCTTCATTTCGTTATGTACCCAGTAGAATGACTACTGAATGCAGGAGCAGGTTGTTCAGTTTCCATGTAGTTGAGTGGTTATGAGTGAGTTTCTTATTCCTGAGTTCTAGTTTGATTGCACTGTGGTCTGAGAGACAGTTTGTTATAATTTCTGTTCTTTTACATTTGCTGAGGAGTGCTTTACTTCCGAATATGTGGCCATTTTGGAATAAGTGCGGTGTGGTGCTGAGAAGAATGTATATTCTGTTGATTTGGGGTGGAGAGTTCTGTAGATGCCTATTAGGTCTGCTTGGTGCAGAGCTGAGTTCCATTCCTGGATATCCTTATTAACTTTCTGTCTCGTTGATCTGTGTAATATTGACAGTGGGGTGTAAAAGTCTCCTATTATTATTATGTGGGAGTCTAAGTCTCTTTGTAGGTCTCTAAGGACTTGCTTTATAAATCTGAGTGCTCCTGTATTTGGTGTATATATATTTAGGATAGTTAGCTCTTCTTGTTGAATTGATCCCTTTACCATTATGTGATGGCCTTCTTTGTCTCTTTTGATCTTTGTTGGCTTAAAGTCTGTTTTATCAGAGACTAGGATTGCAATGCCTGCCTTTTTTTGTTTTCCATTTGCTTGGTAGATCTTCCTCCATCCCTTTATTTTGAGCCTATGTGTGTCTCTGCACATGAGATGGGTTTCCTGAATACAGCACACTGATGGGTCTTGACTCTTTATCCAATTTGCCAGTCTGTTTCTTTTAATTGGAGCATTTAGTCCATTTACTTTTAAGGTTAATATTGTTATGTGTGAATTTGATCCTGTCATTATGATGTTAGCTGGTTATTTTGCTCATTAGTTGATGCAGTTTCTTCCTAGCATCAATGGTCCTTACAACTTGGCATGTTTTTGCAGTGGCTGGTACAATTTCTTCCTTTCCACTTTCCATGTTTAGTGCTTCCTTCAGGAACTCTTTTAGGGCAGGCCTGGTGGTGACAAAATCTCTCAGCATTTGCTTATCTGTAAAGGATTTTATTTCTCCTTCACTTATGAAGCTTAGTTTGGCTGGATATGAAATTCTGTGTTGAAAATTCTTTTCTTTAAGAATGTTGAATATTGGCCCCCACTCTCTTCTGGCTTGTAGAGTTTCTGCCAAGAGATCCGCTATTTGTCTGATGGGCTTTCCTTTGTGGGTAACGCAACCTTTCTCTCTGGCTGCCCTTAACATTTTTTCCTTCATTTCAACTTTGGTGAATCTGACAGTTATGTGTCTTAGAGTGGCTCTTCTCGAGGAATATCTTTGTGGCATTTTCTGTGTTTCCTGAATTTGAATGTTGGCCTGCCTAGCTATGTTGGGGAAGTTCTCCTTGATAATATCCTGCAGAGTGTTTTCCAACTTGGTTCCATTCTTCCTGTCACTTTCAGGTACACCAATCGACATAGATTTGGTCTTTTCACGTAGTCCCATATTTCTTGGAGGCTTTGTTCATTTCTTTTTATTCTTTTTTCTCTAAACTTCTCTTCTCACTTCATTTCATTCATTTGATCTTCAATCACTGATACCCTTTCTTCCAGTGGATCAAATTGACTACTGAAGCTTGTGCATTCATCATGTAGTTCTTGTGCCATTGTTTTCGGCTCCTTCAGGTCATTTAAGGACTTCTCTACATTGGTTATTCTAGTTAGCCATTTGTCTAACCTTTTTTCAAGGTTTTTTAACTTCTTTGCGATGGGTTCGAACTTCCCCCTTTAGCTCAGAGAAGTTTGATTGTCTGAAGCCTTCTTCTCTCAACTCATCAGAGTCATTCTCCGTCCAGCTTTGCTCCATTGCTGGTGAGGAGCTGTGTTCCTTTGGAGGAGGAGAGGCACTCTGATTTTTAGAATTTTCAGTTTTTCTGCTCTGTTTTTTCCCCATCTTTGTGTTTTTATCTACCTTTGGTCTTTGATGATCGTGACGTACAGATGGGGTTTTGGTGTGGATGTCCTTTTGGTTTGTTAGTTTTCCTTCTAACAGTCAGGACCCTCAGCTGCAGGTCTGTTGGAGTTTGCTGGAGGTCCACTCCAGACCCTGTTTGCCTGGGTATCAGCAGCGGAGGCCGCAGAACAGTGAATATTGCTGAACAGCAATGTTGCTGCCTGATCATTCCTCTGGAAGTTTCGTCTGAGAGGGGTACCCAGCCATGTGAGTTGTCAGTCTGCCCCTACTAGGGGGTGCCTCCCAGTTAGGCTACTCAGGGGTCAGGAACCCACTTGAGAAGGCAGTCTGTCCGTTCTCAGATCTCAAACTCCATGAAGGGAGAACCAGTACTCACTTCAAAGCTGTCTGACAGGGACGTTTAAGTCTGCAGAGGTTTCTTCTGCCTTTTGTTTGGCTATGTCCTGCCCACAGAGGTGGAGTCTACTGAGGCAGCACGCCTCCTTGAGCTGTGGTGGGGTCCACCCAGTTCAAGCTTCCTGGCCACTTTGTTTACCTACTCAAGCCTCAGCAATGGCGGGCGCCCCTTCCCCAGCCTCGTTGCCACCTTGCAGTTTGACCTCAGACTGCTGTGCTAGCAATGAGCGAGGCTCTGTGGGCGTGGGACCCTCTGAGCCATGCGCGGGATATAATCTCCTGGTGTGCTGTTTGCTAAGACCATTGGAAAAGCGCAGTATTAGGGTGGGAGTGACCCAATTTTCCAGGTGCTGTCTGTCACAGCTTTGCTTGGCTAGGAAAGGGAATTCCCTGACCCCTTGTGCTTCCTGAGTGAAGTAATGCCTTGCCCTGCTTCAGCTCATGCTCAGTGCACTGCACCCACTGTCCTGCACCCACTGTCTGATAAGCCCCAGTGAGATGAACCCGGTACCTCAGTTGGAAATGCAGAAATCACCCGTCTTCTGTGTTCCTCATGCTGGGAGCTGTATAGACTGGAGCTGTTCCTATTCGGCCATCTTGGAACTGCCCCCGGACTCATGAATATTTTGTACATAGGGTTATAATCTAATACTATGTTATTAAGTTTTTGCTCCAAATTTTTCCAGATTTCGCCAGTGAGACTCTTTCAGTTGGGTCCTATGTATTATTGACATACTTCATCAATGTTTGTGTGTGCTTTGTTTTGTTTGTTTTTTCAAATATTTCCTTTCTGGCATTACAGAATACTCCAGGCTTCTTGTACATTTCTTATCCTAGTCCTAAAAGCAACCATTTCTCCAAAGAACCCTTGTTCTTTTGGAGAATGGTGTTAGTAACCAAGATCTGAAGCCTAGATGTGCTCATTGCTACTGGGGTGTTCTTGTTTGTAGGCCTTTTCAGATGTCAGGGCAAAAAATAATATATGCATATATAGCATCCCATATGCACACACACATTTATAAATATTTTTGTGTGTATCTGCATATATTAAGCTAAACATGAGTCCATAAAGATATTACCAAATGAATCATTATACTTTCCTCCCCTTGCTTATCTCTAGCTTCCTACTCCAACATTGAGAAACCTGGTTCCTACCATCTGCCATCTATTTACTTAATTGTTCAATACCAGTATACATGTGTAACAATAACAGATTTGTTAAGCAACACCTCTATGAGAAACAACTTTACCTTCAAGAGTATAGTGCTTATATGCAGTTCCTTTTGCTTTTAGTCTTACACAATCCACTCATTTCCAAAGTTATTTAGGTCAGTACATTTTCCCCCTTCAGTGACAGTTGTTTTATACCATTATTCGTTTTTGCCATCCTTAGCATATGGGTTTGTATTTATGACTGCAGGATGGTTGTTCCATTTCCTGGTCTTACATTACTTATTCTTGTCAAGAACAAGAAGGAGTGAAAAACTAGAAGTTTTTGTCAAAGAAATTTTATCTTTAAAAAAGTTTTCTAAGAATTGCCATGCAGTATTATCCACTTACCTCACATTGTCTAGAGTTGGGTCACATGGCTACCTGCAGAGCAATCATTGAGAAATAGGCAGGAAGTAAGATTTTGTTAATAGGTTTAGGGCAGCCAATTAGCAGTGTCTGCTACAGTTACTCTAAAAGAGTGGAGGTCATGGGAATAACATTCACTCCTTCCTTCACTTAACAAATAATGTGTCTCAGCTATATGTTAGGCAATATTCTAAATGGTAGGTAGAAGAGTAAATATTCTTTCATGACACATATAATCTAATTTAGGAGGAGACCAAAAATGAAGTGAACAAATTAATAATTTCAAATTGTCATGCATACTATGAAGAAAATAAAATGCAGTAATGAAACAGTGACTGAGGTGGATGTGAGATATGAGCAGATGGCATTAAAGAGTGGTCAGAGAAAGTCTTTTTAAGAAGATACCCTTTGAATTTGGTACGAATGATAAAGAGAAGTCAACAGCAGGAGGATCTACATGAAGATATTTCCATTCCAAAGGGAAAATGAATGAAAACCCCCAAGCTAGGAAAGCACTTGGTTTGTTCAAAAAACACAAGCTAGTTGAGTAAAGCTAGATAAGCGTGAACAAGAAAGAGAGCCACATGAGATGGGGTTACAGTGTGACTCACAGCCAGATCATGTAACACCTTTAGACCATGAAAAAGAATTAAGATTTTATTTCAACTGCAAGGCAAAAACTTGGAAGGTTTTAAGCAGGAAGATAAGTGACATAACTTCCATTCTAAATGATTACTCTGTGGGCTGTATGAAGAATAGATTTTATGGAGGCAAGTATGGAAGCTGGGAGAATAGATAGGAGTTTGCCAGAGAAAAGATCATAGTTATGTGGACTAAGGAAGTAGGAGAGAAAATGAGAAGTATTAGGCTTCAGTTTATATTTTAGAAGTTGAATGGGCTGTAGTTTCTAATGCTTTGCATATGGAGTAAAAAGAAAACTTGGTTGGTAATGCTGTTGAGATAAGGAAGGCTGGGTAGTCAGGTATCTGTTGCTACCCAAAAGTGTGTCTTTCACCTACTACTTTATTATCTCACATTGTTTCTGTGGGACAGAAATTCATGAAGGGCTTGAAGGGGATGTCCTGGCTCAGGGTCTTTCATGTGGTTGCATGCAGTCAAATGGTGGCTGGAGCTAAAGCAGTTGAGACTAACTAGCTCTCTCTCTCTCTCTTTCCATAAGGACTTAGGAATTCTCCATGTGATCTCTCTGTGTGGGCTAGTTTGGACTTCCTCCCAGTATGGCAACCTTAGTATAGTCAACCTGCTTCATAGAACAGTTTAGGCTTTCAATGAACAGGATTGAAGAGGAAAACCTTGTATCACCTACACTCAGAAGTCACTCGATGTCATTTCTACATCATTCTATTGGTTTTAAGTGAGTTTGTGAGTTAGAGTTACAAGCCCACCTAGATTCACAAAAAGACAAATCAGACCTCTCCTCTTGATGGAAGGTGGTAGTACTGTATAAGAGCAAATGGAATGAAATATATCCTTGCGGTCATCTTTGAAAAGTATAGTCTGCCACAGAGCGACCTCTGACCTCTATTTACATCTCTCCTACATGCAAAATACACTCATCCTCCCTCCCAAGACCTACCAAAATTCTCATCCCATTACAGCATCATGCTTCGGCTCAAAGGTCAGGATCTCTTCATTTAAATCAGGTTCACTGGCAATTAAAGATTGTCATGTGTTTGGATTTGGTCCCTTAAATACTGCTCTCTGCCTGAAAACCTATGAGCCAAAGAGAGGTCTTCTCTTCCCCACGTAGACCCAATGTACAGTGGTGGAACCGGTGTACAAGAGCTGCAGTGGACACTCCCACTCAAAGAGGGGGCAAAAGGGAGGCACACAGCTGTCACTGATCTGTGGCAATTCTGGAATCTAGCCAGACACACAATTACAGTTCTTTGATTAGATTTTATTTCTACTTCCTGTGAGTTCTTCTTTATGTGGCTTGGTCCTCTACCTAGGCTCCTGTTTCTATCTTTGGAGTCATCTTTCCTCTTCTAATTAAAGTCTCTTGTGTTTGCTGTTGATTAGTTTTCTCTTCCTGCTTTCTGCCTTTAGAAGTTTCAGAATCCAATGGCCTCTTTTAATTTTGAATTTTCTCTAATACAATTCTTAAAATTGTGTAGGTTTTCTGTGCATTAATTTACGATTTATCTCATTTGCCAAAAGCCATACCCACATATCTCTTTCGGATACACCCTTTTCTATTTTGGATTTACCTGTGAGACTGCTGAGGGGCAATGCTTTTATGATTCTTAAAAACCCTTTTGTTTAATTGAAAAGATCCATGAGGCATGCCCTTAAGGCCCTTTGGATCCTTTTTGTCTGTCTGAAAAGTGTTTTGAGGGTCCGCTTTAACTCTTTCTGATAATCTCATAGTCACATTTTGGATTTGATTTTTGGCCTGAGACACATTCTTATTTTGGAAAATTTTGCGAGCTGAAAAGACTACTTTTGGGATCTTTGCAAATTCTTCAAATTCAATTCAAACTGAATAATTTGTTTTTTAGTTCATGTCTTTCTTTTCATTTTATTATAGGTGGCTGGAAGAAACTAGGCAGCCATCTCAACATTGCCTGGAAATCTCCTTAGATAGATCATCCAGTTCGTTAGATACATTTTCTATTTTCCATGTTACCTCAGATGACAGCTCTGCTTAGGTTTCTCTCACCGCATGAAAGGATCTCTTTTCCTTAACCTTCTGATATCATCTTCTCACTTTCCTCCAGGTTTTGACTGACAGCCTCCTTGAGACCTTTTAAAATTCTGCTAAGTTTTTCTCCAGGCCCTTTAGGCTTTTGTTAATAGTTCACAGGTTTCTTCCAGCTTTTGCCTGATCCCAAACCCAAAGTCGTGTATTTTTGATGTATATTATGGCACTCCACTTTCAGTTCCGGTTATCTATATCTGCATAACAATTTATGATCAAAATGATAACAATTATTTTGTTACCTCATGGTTTCAGCCAGTCTGGAATTGGGGAAGGATTTGACTATGTAGTTCTAGCTGTGGGTTTTATAAGTTGCAGTCAGACGGCGACGGAAGCTGGAACAGAGGGCTGCACCTCTCCGTGGCTCTTCATGTAGTCTTAGTGTTTCTCCATTGGTTTCCTTGTGTGCTTTAGTCTGGGCTTTCTTGCAGCATGGTGGCTGCAGGGCAGTTGAACTGCTGCAATTGCAGTTCAGAGATCCAGTGTGGGAGTTCAAGCAAGTGAGAAAGAGGATGAATTAATTGCTTGTAATCATTGAGCCTCAGAAGTTGTCCAGCATCATATCTGCTACATTTGATTGGTGTCAAGTGTGTCATAAGTCTACATAGATTCAAGGAGAGGAAAATTATATTTCATCCCTTGATGGAGAAGGGAAAGGGCAGAAAGGGACAATTTCATTTGGTATATCTGTGATTAGCACAGGAAGTCTTTGTTGGCCAGCTGCGGTGGCTCATGCCTGTAATCCCGGCACTTGGGAGGCTGAGGTGGGTGGATTACCTGAGGTCAGGAGTTTGAGACCAGCCTGGTCAACATGTCAAAACCCTGTCTCTACTAAAAATACAAAAATTAGCTGGGTGTGTTGGCAAGTGCCTGTAATCTCAGCTACTCAGGAGGCTGAGGCAGGAGAGTTGCCTGAACCTGGGAGGCAGAGGTTGCAGTGAGCCGAGATCGCGCCACTGCCCTTCAGCCTGGGCAATAGAGCAAGACTCCATCTCAAAAAAAAAAAGAAAAAGTCTTTGTTAGCATGCAAAGATACAGAGGTGGTGGACCTGCTGAAAAAGGCAGCTCAGGGTCCTCTGAGAAGACGACCTCTCGGCTGCCTGGGAATACACATTAGAGATAATTTCTGTAGTAAAATACACATAGCATAAAATTTCCCATTTAAATGCACAATTCAGTGGTATTTTACATTCACAATGTTGTCCAACCACCACCACTCTCCAACAGATAATTATTTTTGGGGGAGGACAGGGTTCAGGAAAAGCTGAACCACGTTCAACCACAGAAAGAAACCACAGCTCCCGAAGAGAAACTGGAATAAGATGGGGAAATGATTTGGGACTGGGGGCCTGCCCTTAGTGCAGGGTTGGGGAGGACTTGTTCTGGCCATTATGCATTGCTAAGGAACCCTGCCCTTAGCAGCCACAATGGCACAATGACGCCAGGCCATCTCTGTGCAGTGGGAAAGCATTGATTGCTGGGATCAGGACCAATTTTTCACAGTGACGCTTTGCAGCAGAGGCCAAAGCAATGAAGATCATGGGCTGTTTAAATTTCTCAGTTCTCTTTTAGTACGAAGGTTGGCTTTCCTATGCTTAAGTAAACAGTTTTTTTGCTGAGAGTAAATCATGTGAAACAAAATGGTCTTCTTTCTAATCAGGTGATAATCAGTTGAAAAAATAAAGTGAATATGACCATATTTTCTCTAATGTTTTATAACTAATCATACTGGATGCTTGTAGTTAGGAATGAGTATACTGATCTTCAAAAAATAGAGAAATTTGACTTTGAATTTACCTTTCGATTTAACATATTCTGAATAACTGTGTTACTGGGATGGGGTTATTATATTTCTGACTCCCAGTAACTCAGACATTAGAAGAGATAAGGAAAGTGACAAACCTGTTTTTATTCTAGTATTATAATTCTTCGCTGTCACGAAAGCCAGGCTGTTTTGCTTCCTTTCTGTAAGAAATTGTCAGTTGATAGGCAAAACTTCAAGAATAATTAAAGAAATAGGATAGGTACATTCCCTTGGGAAAATCAATCTTCTGTAAATGTATTCAAATGAATTCAGTATCCTTTCCTTTTAATAGTGCTTATCTAGGTGAAAACATTTATTTTAGATTTTGTTATGGCACCCAGAAAACTATGATGCCTCTTTAAAAATAAATTATAGGGTAAAAGTCACAGAGGAGGATGATTGAAAAGAAAAAGTCTCAGGAACATTCCCTGTGTGTCTCCCTCTGTCTTCTGTGCACTCAAAGCATGGCAAATCAATCTCAGAACACTTCCTGTTACCTGAGACTCTCTTGAAGTGTCTTCGTAAATGTTTAATGCATCCCTATCTCTTATTCAGTATGCCAGGAGGAGAGAGATTTGTTTTTGGCAGGGGTTGGCTTTGGTAAATGCCACAGGTTAATTCACAGGTTCTGTTGCATCTGTGTAAATTGGGAAGATTTGACAGCTGCGCCCAAAATACTGGCCATTCTCTTTGGGAAGCCAGACTTTGACACTTGGTTTAAGGCAAAATGAATGTCAATTTGTCGTTTACCTCACCTCCTCCACAAAAACACTAAAAGATTGTTTTTATCAATATAAAGATCCCTGCTTTGAGAATCCTCGAAGCCATAGTGTATGTGTTTTGAACTGGAGATGGGATGGCAGAGTTGTTTAGAGGACTAACATGAGACTAGAGATACTGATAGCTACTACCCTGCAAAGGTTTACCATGGACTGGTGCACTATGGATGTATGCTATCTCATTTAACTCTCACAGCATTCATAAGCACTTGTAAATTGTTCATTCATAAATTGTATCTCCCGTGGGGAACATACAATTACTATCTTTTTTTTTAAAGATGAGAAAGCCAAGACTTGGAGAGTTTATTAGTATTATTTTATTCTTTGTAAAAACAGCTTTATTGAGACATAATTCATGTATCACAAAATTCATCCATCTAAAATGTATAATCAATGATTCTTCTTATGTTCACAGAGCTGTGCAAGCATCACCACAATCAATTTGAGAATATTTTCATCACAGGAAAAAGAAACACCATAACCATTAGTAGTGATCCCTCCCTCCCCAACTATCCTCTTCTCCCTATCCCATCCCACACACTCACCCCAGATTAACGTTTTTAGATTCCACATATAAATGAGATCATGGGGTATTTGTTTTTCTGTGCCTGGCTTATTTCTGTTAGCACAATGTTCTGACTTGGAGAGTTTAAATGACTTGCTGAGGGTCTGCCTAGTGAGGTGCAGAGCTGGGACTATATGGCTTCATCGTCTAGGACTCTACCTACTACAACATATCATGTTGTAAAACAAGCAGACAGGAGGGAAAATGGAATTAGTGAGTTTTTGTGCAGCTACTCATCAACCTCATTTAGTACCTATTTATTTAGAGCAATTTACCATTTAGTAAAACATGGAAGGAGTTAGATTTGCATAGCTGATTTTATATAGTTGCCCTCAAGGTGGAGAGTAAAGGAAAGTAGCAGTTGCTCAACACTAAAGTCAAAAGGTTTGGATTTCACTTTCAGCTCTATTACAAACTAGCTGAGTGAATGTGGGGGAGCTACTTAGGCTCTTTCATGACATACAGAGAAAACAAAAAAAGAAAGATGGAGACAGCACACTTCAAGTTCCAGAAGGCTTTCAATTTGTGGTTCCAGTTTTTACCTGATCCACAACAGCATGCTTGCCTTTAAACAATTCTGAACTCTTGTAATAATTTTAATCTTTAGGTTAAATAACTGGAATTGGTTGCTGTTATTTCCAGCTAGCATTGCAGGAAATACTGAATCTGGTACAACATGGGTTTAACCACATCAAAATTTAGAAGCCCCACCCACTTTGTAGACACAACAGGTTCACAGATAAAGTGTTCTGCAGACTCAAGGTTTATACTTACAATTACGAGATTTATATTTGCATTAGTCTCTTTGGCTGGTGGGTAGGGGTGAGAGGCTCTTCCTGGATCCCTTATTTTCTACAGGAGAGGAGGAAAACACCTGGGATGCTCCAGTGCTCTTACGCAGATAATGATCATTAACATCAGCCTCTCTGATCAAAGGTACAGCTCTTTGTGGGATAATATCTCTTGCATAAGATTTTATGGGCCAGGGCTATCTCTAATTATTTATATACTCTCAGGGTTTTCTTGCTTTAAATGGTCAGTTATAAAGACTTAGCCTAGAAGAAAATTTCTCTGAAAAATATTAGTTACCAGCAGGGTCAAGTTGATAATCCTTAAATTATCTTTCTTTAGGATTAGAATGCTAATTGCAGGCACGCATTATGCCTGGGTTTGTTTATTTTTAATGTTGCAAGTCTGTGCCTTGGAGCCTTCAGTGTTTAGTTATTAATGGGCCACTCTCTATGCTGGGATTAGGACCTATCCAAGAATATAGCTAAAGAAGAATGACTTCCAAATTTACTCTAATTGTACATGATTCTTAAAAATCAATACTTATCCTTGCAATGAGGACTTTTACTACAGTGTATTGATTAGGGCTCTCTCAGATAAGAGTGAAATAAGCTGACATATGCAAATGTAAGTAGAAAGGATAAATTTATTAGAAACCTATTATATCTCATGGAATCCAAGGAAATGCTGAACCACTAGACTCTTAGAATGAGGAAGTCAGGGAAAGTAACAGCTTCCTCGGAAGCAGGAATTTGTGGCTAGTTCTTCAGAAGTTTTATCTTTAATGACACAATTTCTGATTTCCAGTATATCTTTTAGTTCAAATTCTAAATTTCTGGGGAAGAGAATGTGATTGGCCCTGCTTGTTTCAGGTGTTGGTCTCTCTTCAACTAACCATGGTCTTGAAAGTGATCAGATGATATAACTGTGGCTGAAAGGGACATCCCTGCTGATTACTCCAAGAGAAGGAGAATTCTCATGACTAGGAGCTGGGCAGATAGATTAAAAGTACCTAAAACAATGGTCATCAAGAGGAACTTTGACACAAGGAAGCACTTCTCACTGCTGATTTTGGAGTTAATGTGAAAGGCTAGGTTCAGTAATCACACATTCCAGATTCTACTGCCCCGGTTCCTGTCCTGTTTTCAGCATCCTATCAATTCTGTATATCTTATTCATCCAATAAATTCCCCACATTTCTTTAATTATTGTTGATTTATGTAGCTTGCAACCAAAGGATCCTAATTGATATAGAAGTTGTTACTAGAAGCATCTATTGCCTGCCTACCGACCCAAAATGTAACTGGGGGACTGACTCCATTCTGCTCTCCTTGACTTCCACCTACATCTCAGGTTGTGTTGAGGACCAACCCATTTTGTAATCTTTCTGCTATAGTTTGTGAGACTCGGGAAGATCTTAGCAACTGAATAATCCAGTACTTTGTCAAGCTTAGTTTTCTGTGGAAATACAACTCTTAAAAGCTTTTTTGGTTTGTTTTTCTCCATTCCCTTTTTCTAGACCCTATAGACTAAATTTTAACATCAATGCTTTTGCAAAAGCAAACTCTTTGATTCTAGTCCTAATCTTGAAGTTTCTGATGCTTGTCAGTGGACTTGAGCCTAAGTGTACTGTCCATTAACATAATAGCTTCTATTGTGATTTTGCCATTACTTTTAGTGTGTTTTTAAAACTACAACAACTTTTGCACCAGCCTAATAGCTTGTCCTCTGACTCAAAGCAATCGGAAATAATTCCCTGGTAGTACATTATTTGAGGTCCTTGGCTGTGAGCAACAGAAACCGACTCTGGCTTAAGCAAAAAGGAAATTTATTTTATGGATATTAGAGAGTTCACTGGCTCTGCCAGAATATGGAGGTATGAGATTTAGAATCTAACAGCACAGCAAGCAGTAATTCACTATTTTGTCTGAGCATTGTCAGCCACTGAAATGAATAAATTCTATCCATTTTATTTTTCTTACTCTCTTTGTCTTACTGTACCCATTTAAGTTTCCCACAGAAAGGATACAGTTCTAGCTTTGATCATGCCCCTCTTAAACCAGGCAGAAGGACCTCTGTGTCAACCATTGCAGTGAACAGAGGTTGGGATAGGAAGGCACCATTAATCATCTTCACCTTATCCCAGGCAGAATTCCAGTTGCCTCTCTGCCATGACAGGAGGAACCACAAACAAAAATTGGGGTTTGATGGAGGACAGTGGTGGGGACTGGGTGGGCAGTGACTTTTTATTGTAATATAGCTATAATTGTTTTCAATAAAAGTATTTTATTATAAATATATATGTGCATATATACATATACATACATATCTATATAATTATTTCTAACTCATTCCCTAGGTTTATTTTTTTCATAGATATATTTAATTATAATATAAAAAAATTAAACTTTTTCTAACTCCTTCTCTAGGTCTCGTAATATAAAATCATATTTTTAATTAAACAAATATAGGGTTAATTTTGTAACTTTGGGCAGACTTGCATTGCCCAAAAAATAGAAAGTTCTGACACCTAGTTTTAGGGGGAAAAAACAAATTTGCTCATTCTTTTTTCTTTTATTATTAGTTTTGAGACGGAGTGGTGCTCTGTCACCAAGGCTGGATTGTGGTGGCACAATCTCGGCTCACTGCAACCTCTGCCTCCTGAGTTCAAACGATTCTCCTGCCTCAGCCTCCCGAGTAGCTGGGATTACAGGCGTGTGCCACCACGCCTGACTAATTTTTGTATTTTTAGTAGAGACGGGGTTTCGTCATGTTGGGCAGGCTGGTCTCGAACTTCTGACCTCTGGTGATCCACCCACCTTGGCCTCCCAAAGTGCTGGGATTACAGGCGTGAGCCACCACACCCAGCTGCTCATTCTTTTTTCTCATGTGCTTCTACCCGAGAAGTTTCTTTTCTGGCACAATTGGTATTAAAGGTTTATGTGTAGCTCAAGTTCTCTCTCTCTCTCTCTCTCTCTCTCTCTCTCTTTCTCTCTGACCCTCTCTCTCCCCACCCCTAGCCCCCTCCTGCCCCAAGCAGAGTACAGAGCCCATCATCTTTATTTGCCCTGCCTTTACTTAGTAAGTATGACCAAATCAGGGCCGAATAGCAATAGGCCCGAACAAGGCCTGTGAAATCTGTGAATGTTCCTAAGTGTAGAATCTGGAAATTCAACTCTTTCAGCTGTCAATACCAAGCCACAAACTTAGGGGACAGTGGTTGGAAGCTCCAATTTTAGCCCATAATTACATATATGGTCTTTAGCGCATGATTATATGTATGTTCTTTAGCCTAGTTGTACCAAAACAAACAAACAAACAACAACAAAATGATACTATACTGTCATCATTTTGCTTCTATGTCTGTTTTCAATTTTGTTTTTTTTCCAAAGGGGAAGTATGATAAACCTCCTTCCACACCCCAGTAAAAGCTTCAAAAGTGTTTTCTGTGGTTCTTCTAAAAGTAAATTTCCTAAAAATAGGACAAAAATGGATCCATCAATGACGAACTGTTACAATGGGACCTCAATCTGTGTAAGATTAAAATTATATAAACTTGATTCTAAAAATGGTTCAATATCAATAAGTAGCAGCTTTTCAGATTCACTAGTAATGTGTAAAATCAGGTCAAAGTGTGTTTCTGGTCAATTACTGTTGTGATAACCATAGCAGGCACACATAAAATATTTTACTTGGCACTTTATCTGTAATATTACTTTGTTTCAAACAAAATAGAACTTTATGAAGATTATATAGTTACCTCCTGGCTCTACTGTAGAAAAGCATGTAACTTTACTGTAAAGTGGGAACAAAGGCGGCAAATGTCATTTACATACATTTGAAAGTTCCTTTCATTCCTTATATTAATGTTTGGTCAACGATGGACTACATATGTGATGGTAGTCCCTTAAGATTATAATACCATGTTTACACTGTGCCTTTTTCTATGTTTAGATATGTCTAGACACAAAAACACCACTGTGTTACAGTTGCCTACATCATTCAGACAGTAACATGCTATACAGGCTTGTAGCCTAGGAGCAATAGGCTATACCTGATGGCCTAGGTGTGCAGTAAAAGTACACACCTAGGTTTGTGTAAGCACACTCTATGATTAACGCAACAATGAAATTGCCTGAGGATGCATTTCTCAGAACATATCTCATTGTTAAGTGACACATGACTATGTTTCATAATGAAATCGTCCCTTAGGAATTTACAAAGTGGCAAGAAAAAGAAAAACTATGTTTTTCTTAGTATCTTCACAGACATGCGTTTCCAGGAGAGCAATACAGGTTGAGCATTTCTGATCTGCAAATCCAAAAATCCAAAATGCTCCAAAATCTGAAACTTTTTGAGCACCAACATGACAACACAGTGGAAAATTACAAGTCTAGCCTCATGTTGAAGTCAAAACTCATTCAAAACTTTGTTTCATGCACAAAATTATTAAAAATATTGTATAAAATTACATTCAGGTTATGTGTATAAGGTGTCTACAAAACATAAATAAACTTTGTATTTAAACTTGGGCCCCATCCCCAAGATATTTCATTATGTATATGGAAATATTCCAAAATCTTAAAAGAATCTGAATCATTTTTTGTCCCAAGCATATCAGATAAATTCTCAACCTGTATAAGACTTGGCCTCCACCATTTTATGTGCTGTTTGCTAAGGAGTTTAGGAGCAATATTTTCTCCCAATTAAGTTCTAGCAAGCACACAGTCCTTGATCATCATTTCCAATCAATACTGGTATTCTAAAATAGAGTACTTGTGATTGAATTCTAATGCATGAGCTGTAAAATGTTATACAAGAGAAAAATATTCAGCTTATTTATGAAGTTCATATTTACTTCAAATACAGATTAAATAATGCTTTGGTGATTAAAAGCCTGAATTTACAGTTTACTTCAACGGAGAAATCTCTCAGTGAGACAAACACTCTAACATTGGCCTGTGTCCAGGTCTGGTCATGATTCTATTCTGTCATCTTGGGGAGGAGAAGGTAAGAATGTAGGTAGAATTTAACCTGGTTCAGGTTCAGATTATTCAATTAAATACAACAAATATGTCAAGTCCATTCATTTGTTTTTTTTGAAAACATTTCTTAGCATAGTGCTGGTGAAGGTATTTGGAGCTATTGAGTGCATCCAATCAAAGTAGACCCAAATCTCCTTTCCCTAAATGTAGAATTCAGGAACAAAGGAAAAAGCATGCAAATGGACACATAAAAAATATTCAGCGAATGGAAACTGAAAAGGAAGAGAGAATTGTGAAAATAATATAAAGATTAGAAAAGGCTTCATAGAGGTAAAGGAACTAGAACTTAAGTGATGAGTATAAGAGACTTTTTTTTTCCATCCAGTATCTATTTCCTCTTTTA
Organism: Homo sapiens; assembly: GCF_000001405.40. Lineage (NCBI taxonomy): Eukaryota > Metazoa > Chordata > Mammalia > Primates > Hominidae > Homo > Homo sapiens. Next base: position 127,913,186 of record NC_000006.12, on the reverse strand, counting down.
TGAGGGATTACTTGATGCTCTGCTCTATGTCCAGGCATTTCATGTCCAATGTCGTAATGGTCCTGTGACCTAATCTGGCCAGCAGAGCATTACGTTCACTTGGCCACTGATGTCATTCAGGCATGGAAAAATATCCTAGTCAGACCCCTGAGAAAAGTAATTCATAACAATCTTTTCTCACTGCATTAGGGATACAGATCTGGAAGAGCAAGTCATCCACTTTGCTTAGACGAGAAGATTCATGGTAGAAGCATTGGAATTCAGGCTAAGATCTGGAGGTTTTAACTTCAACATGAAAGCAGTTGGACTTTGTAAGGCAAAACAAACAACATTTGGCCTACAGGCACTATTATAAAATACAAACAGGTATACAAAATTTGTCATATTTTCAGGAAGATTATAGATTTTCCTCTTACATTTGCTTAACACCTTTAAACTTTTTTCAGTTGTGTATTATGTGTATTAATAATTTAAGTTAGGCCATAGAAGTAGGTCATATTCCAGATTAAGAGGTTTGAGAATTCTCAAAGACAGGTTTGGGTTTCTCATGGCACTTCTCAGACCAATTCTGGTTACAAGTCATCCCTGGGTCTAAAATAATATGGAAGCTTGGAAATAACAAGGTAACTTACACAGATCTTCAATTATCTCAGCCTACATATGTGACTCAGAACTTGAGTAAGATGCAGATTGACTTCCAAATTTCTTCCCAAAGTTAACTCAGCCTGCTCCCAGGAATGAACAAGGACAGCTTGGAGGTTAGAAGCAAGATGGAGTTAGTCAAATCTCTTTCACTGTCTCAGTTACAATTTTGCAATAGCAGTTTCGGCCTCATCTGAAACAAGGCAAGTTCCCTCCACTTATGAGCCTGTAAAATCAAAGGCAATTTAGTTACTTCCTAGGTACTATGGGGGTAGAAACATTGAGTAAACACACCTATTTTAAATGGGAGAAATTGGCCAAAACAAAGGGGTTACAGGTCTCATGCAAGTCTAAAATCCAATAGGGCAGTCATTAAACCTTAAAGTTCCAAAATGATTTCCTTTGACACCATGTCTCACATCCAGATCATGCTGATGCAAGAGGTGGGTTCCTGTAGCCTTGGGTAGTTCTGCCCCATGACTTTGCAGGGTACTTCCCATCTTCTGGCTGCTTTCACCAGCTGCAAACCCATAACCCAAGGTGAACCATGAGAAAAACATCAGACAAACTGAAATTGAGGCACATTCTACACAATATCTGTGGCTTTTCTAGGTGTGTGTTGCAAGCTGTTGGTGGATCTACCATTCTGGGGTCTGAAGGACAATGGCCCCCTTCTTATAGCTCCACTAGGCAGTGTCCCAGTGGGGACTCTGTGTGGGGGCTCCCTCCCTTCTGCACTGCCCTAGCAAAGTTCTCCATAAGGCTTCTGCCTCCACGGTAAACTTCTGCCTGGACATCCTGGCATTTCCATACATCCTTTGAAATGTAGGCAGAGGTTCCCAAACCCCACAACTGGAGTGGAAGGATAGAAATAAGCCAAGGAGGAAGGCTAGAATGAACCATGTAGTATTGGATTAGAGTAGGCAATATCAGTATGAACTTACGTTTACATTCTTATGTAAATACAGATGAATACATGTAGAAATATTTATATGTGTGTGTATACAGTGATCAAAGCTGAAACAATTTGAGCACAAAATAAGTTTTAAAAGCAGTATCAGATTATAACTTAAAGTATAAAATATATATCCATGGATAGGTATAAAATATTCATGGATATATATAATATATATATCCATAAACCCATGCTGATATAAATAAACTCATGATTAAATAAATAAATAAATAAATAAATGAAGGAGAAGACAGAAATATCTCCTTTAAAATTCTCCAAATTATTTACGTAGATATTCCTCCCTCAAGGAGCTACAGTGTAAGTTCCTCCCCTTTAAGTGTAGGCTACACTTAATGACTTGTTTTCATGGAGAACAGTGTGAAAAGAGGGGAAAGGTAACAATACTGTGGAGAAACTTGGCAAACACTACCTTAGTCAGATAAAGTTAACATTATCAGTGATAGATTATGTTGATAGTCTATAATTTTGATATGACAGAATGAGAACTAATTTACCTCTGTGGTCTTCCTCCCCAAACCCATAACCCAAGGTGAACCATGAGAAAAACATCAGACAGACTGAAATTGAGGCACATTCTACAAAATGCCTAACCAGTATCCCTCAAATTGTCAAGGTCATCAGAAACAAGGAATGTCTGAGAAACTACCACAGCTCCCAGGAGCCTAGGGAGACATAATGGCCAAAGGCAATGGGGTATCCTGAATGGGATCCTAAAAAGGAAAAATGACGTTAGCAAAATCTAATAAAATTTTAGTGAAGTATGAAGTTTAGCTAATAATAATAATATCTCAATATTGGCTTCTACATTGTGACAAATGCACCATCATAATGTAAAGTGTTAAAATAAAGGAAACAGGTGTTTGTATGGGTATACAGGAAATCTCTGTACTATCTCTGCAACTTTTCTATGATTCTATAACCTATTCTCAAATAATTATTTTAAAAAATTATGGTTGCTGTATTTTATAAACTCCATTTCAAATGTACAGTCATCTAATTATCTTCCCTAAGGCATGGTGATAGTAGAAACAGATTCTCCATTTCCTGGCTCTATTCAGAGAGCTTTATTCTGGAAATAACGTTGTGGGAATGGATAAAAATATTCAATTACTTTTGAATACTTGCTATCAGAAAACAATACTTACGTAATGAGATTGTAACTGTTTATAGCAAGAATTTTCTTCCCTAATAACAAATTCTTAAAGATAAATATGTAATTCCTAAGAATGAAATAAATACATCTTCTAAGACAATGAGCTTACAAAATGATGAGGCTTGTTGCAATGCTCTCAGAGTTTAATTGGAAAAAAGAGACACTGAGAAGGTAGTCTGAACTATGACTGTAATTCTTTATAAAAAAACATCATCTATAACAAGCCTTTTACTTAGTCTTAGCTAGTTTATATATTTAAAAAGGAAATTAGATGCACTAGAAAATAATGAAAGCTAAAGCTATTATTTTTCTATAAAGTGAATCTATAAATCTCTTCTGTTGCTACCTTTTCAATCCCTTTGAGATTTTTTTTTACTGAGAGTTTCTCAAGAGATTAAATTTTGTGGGTAAGTGTAATAGTTCCTGCCCAGGTTTTTCTGTTACTGGATCTATGACTTTTCCAACTTTGAAAATTATCTCAGGCAAATTGTGTATCATTATCTTAGTTTGTAAAATAGGAGTACTTTTGAGAAACAAAATGTCCTCAACCATGTATTGCTGATGTATCAAGTGAACAAAGTAGGTTCTTCAGGTTTTTAAAACACTGTGGAAATAAGAATCCTGACCAACCTGCACCCATCACCATTCTCCTTTGTGTGTGTATAGTTGTTGTTTTATGTTTATGTGTTTGTTTTTGTTGCCATCTCTATTACTTTTCCCAGTAATTCATTTGACTGGGACTGTTAAATATACTGTTAATATTACAAAGCTTTGGTTACCAAGTGTATTAGTCTGTTCTCATGCTGCTATAAGGATACCCAGGACTAGCTAATTTATAAAGGAAAGAGGTTTAATTGATTCACAGTTCCACAGGGCTGGGGAAGCCTCAGGAAACTTACAATCATGGTGGAAGGCAAAGCAAACATGTCCTTCTTCACATGGCAGTATGAAGGAGAATGAGTGCCAAGTGAAGGGGGAAGCTCCTTATAAAACCATCAGATCTCGTGAGAACTCACTCACTATCATGAGAACAGGATGATGAAACTGCCCCCATGATTCAACTGTCTCTACCTGGTCCCACTCTTGACATGTGGGTATTATTACAATTCAAGGTGAGTCTTAGGTGGGGACACAGAATCAAACCATATCACCGAGTAACTTCCCCGACTCAGTCTAGTGGCACCAGGTGAAAAAAAGTTATTTGTAACTCACAGTTTCATGTATACATTTGTCAGGTTAAGCAAATGGTCTGTTGCCCAATAAACTAACTTGGGTTAAATAAATACATATCCTAAGTTGAATTTACTAAACTAGATAATTTGTATTTAATGCATATTTTAATATTTTATTTTTGTAATATATATACTTAATATATTATTTAATTTTTAGGTCTGAAATCTAAAAGGAAAGTTGATTTTTTGTAAGCAATTGGCAACTTATCAGTGCTTAATTTGTAATAGATAACTATTTTAAATGTTTTAAGCTCTACTTTTAATAATACAGGACTGAATTGTTTCTGTGAGGCTCTAAAATGTTAGCACATCAAAACGCAAATGGCATCTTTGAGTTTCTCTCAGTTATAAGAGATAACAAATGTGAAAAAAAAAGAGAAAAGAGAAAAGAGCTGTTAAAGTGGGCATACCCTTTCTACAGACATATTGCAGTTAAGCTTTTCACAAATGCTATATAAAAGTCAGAGGAAAATGTTAGAGTTACATCACAGGACCTCCACCATTTAAAGGGAAGAACTGGAAAATCTCTTATGAATATAAGGGCTTCATTTTTTATTTCATGGTTCTGAGGAAAGGTTGAGTCCTACAGCAAGGGAAAATGTCAGGGCATAATTCATACGGTAACACCAACATTCACATTGCACTTTGCAAGACATTTCAACCTGTGCTCCTGTTCTGTGGCACCGAGCAGTAGGCAGAACTGCGTGTAAAAAAATACGCAGATCGACTCAGTTGAGTCAAGTCTCCTCATGGTGAGCAGGCTCATCTACTTGACTGCTTTTTACCCTTTAAGATTAATCTGAGGAACACTCTTCCTGGGGAGACCCCTTCCTAATTCTTGAAGTTCCTGAACTGTATACATTGGATTGTGATTCTTAACTTGTGGGCATGGTCAGCTAAAATGTAATGTCTCTAAGGGCTTATATTCTCAGTGCCTTGTATAATGACAAGCATAGAGGAAGAGTTCAGTGGTTTGCTGAAAGGACAATTAAACATTAATTTAGAAAAAAGGATGATCAAAAAAGAAACTTACATGGGAAGAAACATGAATCCTACATTGAGTTTTATTCAAAAGGAAACTAAAAGTGCCGGGAGGCAGGAGCTTCTTTGAAAACCAGGTGGTGATGAATGAACACATTCATAGGCGGTTGCATTTTGCATGTTGCATTTTGACAAAACAAATTGTTGTGTATAGTAGGATTTTATTTTCTTTCAAGGTTATTAAAATAATTCATATTCATTCTTATAAATTAAGAATGAAACCCCGTCTTTACTAAAAATATAAAAAATTAGCTGGGTGCTGCAACAGAGCAAGATTCCATCTCAAAAAAATAAAATAAAATAAAATAAAAAGAAGAATGTACATATGGTTGGAGACAGAAGAGAATGGTGATCAAGGTATTTCAAATGGAAGCCATTTATGGCACTGGGAACATTTTTGGTGGGTGTACTATGATTTTGTTTATCACATACCCATTCCTTCTCTTTTGGGTAATTAGCTCACTTATTTCCCTTTGATATATCTCCTCTTCCAACACTTTTTGTGATTTAGCTGAGACAACTGCCTAATAAAATCCAAAGTAGAGCCCGTGAACCTGAAATTATGGGAAATTAGCATATTTCATTTTCTAGTCATAATGATTGGCTGAGACATATACATGTGAGCCAAGTTTGATCAATCACAGTTTATCCTGGGACTTTTCCAGGTATAACTAGGAGAAGGTAGTCTCTTCCATTGCACTTGAATCTATGAGATACAAATCTTGAGCTGCCAGGTGTCACACAACAGCAGGATATCCCTGAAATGTCGCTCATGCAAAAAAAAAAAAAAAAAAAAAAAAAAAAATCCGAGCCTAATGCCCTAATGGTATTGTATGATTCCCCAGAGCAAGCTTATTTTGTAGGTAGAAATGCTGTAAACCTTTCAATGACGAACCAATAAATGGCACCTTTTGGTTAATCCAAAATCACAGGAGTGATTCCTATAAGCCTAATTTTTTCTTCTTTAGAAATAACCAATGAAAAGAAAGTTTCAGAGAATGAATGATTTAGATACCAGTCAGAATAATCTCTAAGATTTCTTCGTTTTTGTTTTTTTCCGATACTATCTACTTGGAGATAAGGGTTTATTCTTTACTCAAAGAAATATTACATTGCACTGAAATATTATAATATAGTTTTAAGCCTCTACTGCTGAAGCTTATTTCTCTGCTTGTGAATTTTTTTTTTTGTTTTTTAACATTCAGACAGTTCTACTTACTTTTTAGGAAAGCAGCTATAGAGAATCTAACAAACGAATTGGTATTTTACGTAAAGTTTGCTTTGAGCCATTTTTCTTTTCTTTTTCTTTTCAACAATACTTCTCTTGGGATAGAAATCATTGGCAATAATGATACTAACTATAATTTAATCATCATTTCATAGCCAAGTCCTTCTCTGTTCTTTAGCAGAAATTTTAAAAAGATGTGTTAAGTAGTAGCAAGACTGGTGTGAGGACAATATTTTTTTTCCAACAGGAACTTCCCTGTTTGAATTATTAGGGTAATGTGAAATGCATTTTCTTTTCTTTTCTCCTCCTTTTTTTGGTCATTAAAGTAATAAATGCTTCAGTTGATGGTATAAATAAATCTTTGTGTGTATCTGATTATATCTAAATGTGAAATTGCTACATCAAATTGATTTCAAGATAGATCACAACAGTTTGTAATATAGATGAGTGACTAAACATTGCACCATTAACAGTATGAATTTTATGAAATAAATATTTGCTTTTTCTGTCAGGTTGGTTTTTACTCTGATTCCATTCATTTGGTCAATTTTGCTTTAGATATTTTGAAGGTATATTATTGAAAGCTGTGAATTTTCTTTAAGAATTGGTCACCCTTTCATTATTAAACAAATAACCTTATTATCTTTTATAATCCTTCTTGTCTTTAAATCTAATTGATGTAATATTGATGTAGTTTCATGAGCTTTCTTTTGCTTAATGTCTTATGGTATTTATTTTCCCATTTTTTCATCTTTAGACTTTCTATAAACTTATAACTAAATTGTATATTTTTAAGTAGATTTATGTGTTTAAATGTTATCTGCCAACATTAGTTTATTACTTGAACTATTAAACTATTTAATTTTTATTTGTAAAAATTATTTCATTTAAATTATTTAATTTAAATTACATTTAAATTATTTCATTTAATTACATTTAAATTATTTCATTTAAATGTAATTATTTCATTTAAATTATTTTAAGAGTATAATTGAGTTTATGTATACCATCATAATGTTTGCTAGCAATTTTGAGGTTCTTTTTCTTTTCTTTCTCGTCTTTTTTGGATTAATTAATTTTATCATTCATTTACCATTTTTAGTGGCTTTCCTAGAAATTACATGTGTTTTTATTTATTTAACTCTGATATTAAACATCACTTTTGCAACTTCTCTAGAAGGCTAATGCTTTAGAACATTTTAACTTCATTATCAGTTTTGCTTTTGCATTACTGCTATATTTTACAATATATTGCATGAACTATATATAGTGCAGATATATTCAAAACTCCACAAGCCATTAATTATTGTTTTGGGAACTCAATATATTCAGTTCACTGACATATTCACCCTCTTCATTCCTTCCTGTGGTCTTGACTTTCTGTCTGAGATCATTTTACTTTCGCCTGCAGAACACCCTTTATAGTATTTCTTTTAGTGAGAGTTTACTGGTGATGAATTTTCTTAGTTTTTGTTTGTCTGAAAATGTCTTTATTTTGCTGTTGCTTTCATGCGTCTCTGGATTTAGAATATCAAGTTGGTAGTTGGTTTCTTTCAGCATTTTAATGATGGTATTCCATTGTGTTCTACCCTTATTGGTTTTTGTTAGTAAGTCAGCTATCATCTTATTGGTGATCCTTTGAAAGTGACAATTTCTTTTCTTCAGAGTGCATTTAAGATATTCTCTTTGACTTTGGCTTTTTAACGTTTTAGTATGATGTTCCTTAGTGTGCCTTCTTTTGCATTTATCCTCCTTGGTGGTGTTGGCAAGGCTTGAATCTATGGATTGATGCCTTTTTCAACTTTGGAAAATCTTCAGCTATTATCTCTTAAAATATTTCTTCTCCCACTATTATTTCTCCTCTCACGTTGGGACTCAGTTTACATATAAGATCTTTCCACTATGGCTGAAATATCTCTCTGCAGAGACACAGAGATAGATAGATAGAGAGAGAGAGAGTGAGAGAGAAAGAGAGAGAGCAGATATTTCCTACGCTCCCATTTCCAGTTCAACAATCCTCTCTTACTGTATGTCCCATTTGCTGTTAAAACCAATTATTGAATTTTTAATTTCAGTTACTGTATTTTTTAACTCTAGAATTTTCATCCGATACTTTCTATAGATGGCAGTTCTTTTCTCCTTCTTGTCTTCTAGTTTTGAACATGTTTATCAAAATTATCTTAAATTGCAGGACTAATAATTCCAATATCGGAATTACCCCATGAGTTTGTTTCTGTGGTCTCCCTTCTCTCTGTCTTTCTCTGTCCTGTCTTCTGGCATTCCCATTCATTTCATACTTAATTATAGATGTTGTATTTTTAAATATTACAGAAGTTCTGGCTGCTTTTCCTCAACAGGAGGATTTACATTTGCTTCTATCTGGCAGCAAGAATAGGGGCAGACCACTTTAATCCAATGAGGGATTGAGCTAATTTTAGTCTAAGCTTCAGTTTTTGTAAAGCTAGTTCTATTTATAGGCAACCCTTTCTCTTAGGAAGCAGCCTTCAGGAGCCCCAACTGAGAACACAGGCATTTGTTGTGACTCCTGCTCCCTCCTTGGCTGGCCCTGGCTTCCCAGTTCTGCAAGACTGCTGAAAGCACTCCTTGGCTTCTTCAGCTTCCTACCAACCATGCTCTTGTTTGTGTCTCATACAATCAACCCTGTACTGCTTTCAATGAGCAAAAAAATTTTAAGGGGAAAAAGTGGTGCTGAGCAATACCTTTCTCTGACTTTTCCTGGAGGAATTGCTACTTCCCAAAGTCCAATTTATTTTGGTCTCTTTTGCTATGTGAAACTGCCAAAAACTCAACTCAGGTTCTCTCCTCCTGAGCCACCAGTTTTTGCCTTCTCAGACTCTCTCTTGGTGCCAGTTACTAACCCATAAAAGCCTTGAGGGAAAAGAAGTGCAGAATATGGAGTTCCTCTAATGGTTCTGCTCTGCTTTACAGGATCTTGGCCTCTCATGTTCTGCACCCTGACAGCTCTCTTGTTTCTTAAAACAGCTTTTTTAAAAAGTATACAGCTCTTCTAGGTGCCTTTGGTAGAAAACGTGGTCAGATACAAGCTCATAGCCAGAAATAGAAGTCTTTGAATATTTTTATTTTGCATATTGACTAACAAGTGGCCTTTACCCACCTAAGCCATTGTTTATTTGAAGGATGTGCTTTTTTTTTTTTCTATTTTGTTCAAACTCCTTTTTGATTTACAGGAGTATTTCATAAGTTAGTTGTCAAATATATTATTAGTTTTTTCCTTCAATTACTACTCAGAAATAGTTATTTTCTTACCCTTTTCCAGACATTTTCCTATTTTTCCCCTCTGGTTTATTTTTATTTAAATTTAATTTTAAAATGTATCTAACTTTAATTTCATTGCATGGAAAGTTAGGGAAATTTTCTCCCCAATTATTTAACAACCATTTGTTGAATAAAACATTCTTTCCCACTGCCTTGGAATTTCACCTTTTTCAAATAGTAAATTATTATATACAGTCTAGTTTTTTTTTTAAAATTCTCGTTAATCTATTATTACACCTATAACATGCTGTTCTAATGACCAAACTTCAATAATTCATTTTACTTGATGATTCAAGTACTCTTGAACTCATTGCTCTTCTTTGTCAACCTTAACTTGGCTGCTCACATCAGGATTTTTTTGCCTGTGTGTCAGAAGTGATTACGATCTGGTCTAAAGCAGTAGCAGTGGGGATATAGAGCAAAGACAGAGTGAGTGGTACTGAGTATTGCCATCTATAGGGCCTGATGGATTTAACGGCTAGAGAAAAAAAATGGCATCTCACATGATTCTAAGCCTTCCGGCTTGGGAAACTAAGAGAATAGCAGTGTCATTAATTAAGACTGAGAATACGAAGATGATTATCACAGAGAGAGCGTCATCTGTCGCGAGAGCAGAAGCAGATGGAGCCTAGGTAATTGTAAGAGATTGGTGATACGAAATGGCTGTTTGGCTAGTAGGATAGAAATTTGACTTGGGAATATTAAAAAAATAAGTGATATCCAGCTTGCATTAGATATCAAATGAAATGTATTGTGGCATCAGTTCTAACGGATTCATAATTTTTAAGGAGCAGTCCACAGAAGCCTCTTTCATGTATTCATCCACATGAAATACACTACTAGGCTGTAAACTGTGGGGAGGGGTATGGAAGGCAGACAGATCAAGGGTAGGACATTTTTGGACAAAAAAGTTGCCAGTGAGGAATTTGAATCTAATGATAGTAAACCTGTTGATGTGGTCAATCGTAAATTCTACTTTTATAAAGAAAGAAATGAAGCTGGACTGATTATTGAAAATGTCAAATAGGATTACAAAGAGTTGAAACAGTTTTATAAGCTCCATATCAAAACTAGGCAGTTTTTATCTTTCTAGGTCATTTACATGATGGCCATGGTAGAACTGAGATGTCCCCTGACCCTCTGTATGTGGCTATGCTCTCTGCAGCCTAAGGCCAAAACAGTTAATAGATAAGTGCCTGGGTTTGGTTACTAAAGAAAACGTGTAGATTCCTGTCATCTTTCAAGTGTATACATACCAACCAGTATTCTTTATTTTTTTTTTTTTTTTTTTTTGAGACAGAGTCTTGCTGTGTCATTCAGCCTGGAATGCAGTGGCATGTTCACAACTCACTGTAGCCTCAAACTCCAGGGCTCAAGTGATCCTCCTTCCTCAGCCTCCTCACAGCTGGGACTACAGGCATGTGCCACCATGCCTGGCTAATTTTTTAATTTTTTTGTAGAGACAAAGTCTCACTATGTTGCCCAGGCTGGTTTTGAATTCTTGGGCTCAAGCAATTCTCCTACCTCAGCCTCCTAAAGTGCTGGGACTACAGGTATGAGCCACCGTACCCAGCCTCAACCAATATTCTTCTACTTTACCTTAAAGAGACTTAGGAACTACCACCTTTAATTGTATATATTTTAAATATTGTTTCAGTTACATGCAAAAAATAGAGAGGGGCAGGATTTTGAAGAGATCAATGTTCATGAGTTTTCTCCTGCTTCCTTTGGTGCTGATCATTTCCCCTCCTAAATTTCAACAATAAGATCAGAATTGTGGAATTGTGAACTTGGAAGAAATTATAAAATTTATTGGACTCTTCTACTTCATCTCCATTTAGTAAATAAAACAAATGAAAATCAGAGAAGACAAGGCTGACGTTAGCCTGTAAATCAAAAGCAGAACTAAACCCAGAAAATGCAGGTTTCCTGACAAGTAATTTTAATACTTTCTACTATAGTGTAGAGATTAGAAAACTCATTTTAATGTACTTTGTTAATTTACTGTATCATTTTGCATATTCTATCCCTACCCTACCCTCCTTTAAGATTCAGCAAAATTTTTAATGTGGAAGAATAAAAAGTGGTTTCAATACTCTCTCCAGAGTATAGTATCAGAATTCTAAAAAGAGCTGACGCAAAGCACTTTTATTACCAATTTTAATGTAAAGGCACTGACAGTATGCAAATAAGGCACAAAGCCAAGCTTTAGAAATGAACTAGAGAGATAATGAATTCACATGGTGCCATTTTTAAGATTAGACTTTAGTCCTATATTCCTGTTCTTTGTTGGTGGGCAAGCCACAAGCAACTCTGACCTCAGTTTTGCTACCATAGTAGATGCACACCTGGATTAACAAAGGACAGAATGCGCTACTTAGCACGTCTCATTTTTTGGGCAGTGTCTGTTCACCCCACCCCCATCCTGTTCAACTTCAATGTCAGAAGGAAATGAAGCCACAATGTGAACAAAAAGAGCTATAACATTTTTTGTCTCCTGCTTCCCCCCTCCCTCTTCATTGTCCTCCCCACATAGAGCTACTCCACCCCACTCTGGCTGTAGTGTGACATTCCTGCCTGCCTGAGGAAGAAATGGTGAGCAGGGGCTGCAATTGCAGACAAGTGTCACCCAGAAGCCACAAGTTTCTGTGAGCACCAGGTCTACAAACTACCCAAGGCATAGCAATGGCATTATCACTGGAAGAATTCGTCCACTCCCTTGACCTCAGGACCCTACCCAGGGTTCTAGAAATCCAGGCAGGCATCTATCTTGAAGGTAAGCACTCTCCAATACCTTTACTGGCTAGAACATTCTTGTAAAGTATACATTTTTGAAAATTGGAGGGGGGGAATTTTAACAGCAAATATGTGAGTTCTGGTAAAGGAAAGGCGATCACAAAAGAAAGTAATGAACTGACCAACGAATCGTCAAAAGCCAATGGTGTTGGAGAGGGGAGAAACTAGACAGGACTCTGGGACAGACAGAAATAAGGAATTGAGTGAAGCTTCTTGAGCTTTCTGTAGGCCTTGAATGGTGAACTATTTCTGCCTTTGCTTTGAAATTGGTTGTAATCAAGAATAATAAATTTAGTTATCAATATTTATGTTTCCACAATATAAAAAATAAAATTTAGCTTGCTAAAACAAAAGCAACTATCAAAGGCACAGTGTTTAGAAAGAAGTATTTCCAAATATTTCCCAAACTTTTAGCTCCTAAATGTTGCTTATACCAATGTTTTTCTCACTCTGTAGTGGCCTAACTCCAAATTCCTTAAATAATGAAAATTTTAATTTGAAGGTATAGAAATTATTGCTACAAGATAATTTTTAAAAATTGATGTTGAAACTCAGAGTTCAATTAAACTTATTGAATAATAAGATAGTGAGTTTTGGTGTAACTCACTATGTTAATTCAGGTGAAAGAACATTATAACCTCCAATATACAACCTAGAATCTTTACATGGTTAGTTTGAATACATAGAATACAATTAATAATTCTGTAGGTGTATTTCTGGCCTCAAGAGTGGTAGAATTGAAGCAGTTGTAGAAACAGATCAAGACAAAACTACCAGGAAAATAACTTAACTGTTGGTAGGCAGGTCTTTCTTGTTCGTAGACAAAATAATGTATTACATATTATGTTGCAAAGTAAAAGAAAGATTAACACGTCAGCTCCAGTTTTTATATATATTATATATATATATATATATATAAAATATACACACACATACTTGCAGGTGATGAATTGATATGGGCTGTTATCAGCTTAGTGTACAGTTTTATTTAACTAATTTGTAAGTTGATTTTTGGAATCAGACTATGTTTTGCCGTGTATAATCATATTATCAATGTCTCTATTTCTAAGCCAGCCCCAAATCATTTTTTGTCTCATGGTTTGTGTTTTTTAGGCTTTACGTAAAAAGTCTTTCTTTATGTCTACTTTAAAAAGATATTTTCCTATGTTGTTTTTATCAACTTTACGGTTTCATATTTTGCATTTAGTTTTTAGTCTATTTGGAGGACAATGTTATGAATTGTACAGGGATCCAATTTTAGTTTTCTCTATACAGTTCACCTGATTTCCAGGTACCATTTGCTAAGCTGACAATCTTTCCGCCATTGATTTTTGTTGCCTCCTTCAAATCATATTATATGTTCACCTCTGTATCAGTCTGTCTCTAAAATATCTCTTCTATTCCATTAGTTTATTTTTTTTCTTAGCTGCCCCCAAACACACTATTTTTGTAACTATGGCCTTGCAATACATGTTAATATAGAAATGATGTATAGACCAATCCCTTGTTTTCAATCCTTTTTTCCTAAATTGGCTTAGATATTCATAGACTTTAAAAATGTTTTTATAGATACATAATATATATACATATTTATGGGATACATGTGATATTTTGATACAGTGTGTAATAATCAAGTCAGAGTAATGGGGATATTATTCATTGCCTCAAACTTTTACCATTTCTTCATGTTAGGAACATTCCAATTCCACTACTCTAGTTGTTTTGAAATATACAGTAAATTATTTTTAGCTATAGTCACCCTATTGTACTACCAAACACTAGATCTTATTCCTTTTAACTGTGTTTCTGTACCCATTAATCAACCAACCCCTCTCTATCCCCCTCCCACTACCCTTCCCAGCACCTGGTAGCCATCATTCTACTCTCTATCTCCATGATATCAATTTTTTTAGCTCCCACAAATTAATGAGAACATGTGATATTTGTCTTTCTGTGCCTGGCTTATTTCACTTAACCTAATGTCCTTCAGTTCTATCCATGTTGTTGCAAATGACAGGATTTCATTCTTTTTTATGGCTGAATAATATTCCACATTTTATTTGTCTATTCATCTGTTGATGGACATTTAAGTTGATTTCATATTTTGGCTATTGTAAAAACATGTGAATGCAGGTATCTGTAATATATTGATATCTTTTCTTTTGAATATATATCCAGCAGTGGGATTACTAGGTTGTAAGTAGTTCTATTTTTGTGTGTGTGTGTGTGTGAAAACTTCACACTGTTTCTCATAGTGACTGTACTGATACACATTCCCATCGAGTATAAACGTTCCCTTTTCTCCACATCCTCTCAAACATCCATTATTTTTTATCTTTTTGATAAAAGCTATTTTAACTGAAGTGAGATAATATCTCATAACTTTTTCAATGAGTTTTTATTAAATCAATTGATTCTATAAGAAATCTAACTGGGATTTTTATTGGATTTATTGATTTGGTAGATTAAGTTGGAAAGAATTGACATTCTATATTGTTTTAAGAAAGAATGTAGTGTCCCTCTATGTGTCCAGACCATCTTCTTCATACCTTATTATTTTACTACTATGTTTTACTTCAATTAAGAGGGAAAAAACTAAATACCTTGATCATTTTCACAGTGTAAACACATTCATGTAACTGCCACCCTGGTCCAGAAATAGAAAATTCCAAGTATTCCAGAAGCCCTATCCTGTGCTCTTTCTCAGTCATTATATACTATCTCCCTCAAGTGTAACCACTATCATGACTTTTGTCCATTTATGACCCTTACATAAATGGAAAATTACAGTATGTATTCTTTTCTGGTTGGTATATCTGTTTAACATTATATTTGTGAAACTAATCCATGCTGTTTTATATATAGTTCATTCATTTTCAGTGTATGTTATTCCATTAGATGAATATACTACAATTTATGTATTAATTCTACTGCCAATAGGCATTTGGATTATTTCTGGCTTGGAGTTTCCAGTAATTTTGTCATGAAAATTCTTGTACATGTGTGCCTACGTGTATATGCATTAAGTAGGGCATAAAAGTAAGTAGGATTACTATGTCATATTGTGTGTGTACATTCACCCTTGGAAGCTAATGAAAAGCAAGTTTCTTAAGTAACCCAATTTACTTTCCTACAAGCAGTATATTTGTGTTCCAATTAACTCATATGCTTAGTAACACGATATTATCAGTCTTCTTAATTTTAGTCATTCTGGCAAGAGTATAGTGGTAGCTCATGGTTTTAGTTTTCATCTCCTTGATGACTAATAAGATTGAGCACCTTTTCATATATTTCTTGGATTTTTGGAAATACTCTTTTTTGCAGAGGTGGTTTATATTTCTTGCTCATTTTTCTGTTGAATTTTATACATTTTTGTTATTGATTTGATGGAGTTTATGTGTATATATATATTTGGGATATTTACTCTTTGTCAATTTTCTGTGTTGCAAATTACTTTCTTAGTCTATAGTTTCATATTTTATTTTCAAAATTGTGTCTTTTAATGGACGAAAGTTTTCCACTTTCGTGTTAGTGTAGTCAGTTTATATTTTCCTTTTTCTGTGTTGTCAACAATTTTTTTCTTTACCCTAAGTTCATGAAAATATGTATTATCTTCTAGAAATCCTATTGTTTACCCTCACCTTCAGATCTGTAGTCTATCTGGGTTTATGTTTTTGTATATGGTTTGAAGTTGAGAGCAATATTTATTTTTCTCTTCTACAGAGTCAATTGGTGCAGTGACATTTATTGAAAAGCTGCCTTTTCTCTATCATCTTACTCTGTTAACCTTACTCAGAAATAGTGTCCATACATGCCTGGGTCTTTTCCC
This sequence comes from Homo sapiens, assembly GCF_000001405.40. NCBI lineage: Eukaryota > Metazoa > Chordata > Mammalia > Primates > Hominidae > Homo > Homo sapiens. The sequence goes on along the minus strand of NC_000006.12, from coordinate 127,896,992 downwards.
TTTTATGCTGTTCTATTCATCTACTTGCTATCCTTACATCAATTTTTCCTGTCTTAAATAATGTGGATATGCAATATCTAATATATACTTTCTATTAGATTATATTTAATAATATGCTACAGAGCCATGGTTCTCAAACTTGGTTGTGAAATAAAAATACCTGGATTGATTTTAAAATATAAATGCCTAGGTTTCTCCTCAAGAGGTAAAGATTTAATTATGTAAAAGGTAAGGCATCACCATCAGTTTTTGAAAATCTTCCTGATGATTATAACACACAGCCAAATTTGATAACTACTGCTTTAGAACAAGTTCTCTCAATTTATTATTCCTCTTTAAGTTTAGCACTTTGAATTTTCACATACATTTTAGAATTAACTTATCAACTTCCTCAAAAGTCCTCCTGGAATTTTGATTAGCTGTGCTTTGGTTTGGAGAAAATTGGCATCATTTTAAATTAAGTCTTCTGACCCACTAATCTGGTATAGCTCTTTAGTTATTTAAGTCTATTTCATTTCTGTCAATAACATTTTATAATTTTTTGTACAGATCTTGTATTTTTTCAGATTTATTCTTAGTTATTTGATTTTTTCATGCCATTTTAAATGGTATTTTTAAAATCATTTTCTCTTTGTTGTACTTATTGAATTTTAAGAATATATCTTTAACATTTTGTATATGTTATGTGTACATTTGCATTGTCTGTGAATATTGATGGATTTTGCTTCTACTATAATACTGAATAGAGGTAATGATAAAAAAAAGATCTCTGTATTTCATTCATGACCACTGAGAGCAATTTTCAGTAATCCACCATTCATGATGTTTGTTTTAGGTTAAATTAGTTCTAGTTTTCTAACAGGTTTTAAAAACTTGAATATATATTTGACATTTATCAAATATTCTTTTTGTAACTTTTATGATAATTACATAGTTTTTTTTACATTAAAAAGTGTTAAACATGCTTTTAATTGTGGAACACAACCAATGGGGTCATATTTCACTGAATTTGGCTTACTATTTTTTTTTGTTAGAATGTTTGTATCTCTTTTAGGGAATAATATTGGCTTATAGTTTTTATTTTTTTGTAATATCCTAGCCAGGCTTTATTATCAAGTTAGTTGAACTTACGGAACTTCTTGGTTGGAGTCTTTTGTTATTTTCCTAAAGATTTTATGTAACTTTGGTGTTATCGCTTATTTAAATATTTAGTAGAATTTTCAATGAAGGCCTCCTGAGCTGAGATTTCTAATATAGAAATGTTTTAAATTATGACTTCAATTTTTTAATAGTAAAGTCTTTTTATCCATGAGCATAGTTTATCTCTCATTTAAACAAGAGAATAAAATATCTTCTACATAATTTATCACAGTTTAAAAAAGTGTCTCTATAGAGTTCTTATGTATCCTAGGCTAGTTCCTAGAATGCACACACACATACTTATATCATGTGTATATATATATTGCTATATTGAGATCGTATTTTGTCTGTTTTCCCATTGATTGTCTCTGAAGTGAAGAAATGCAGTTAAATACGATTAGTAATATTTATAAATTCCCTTGTTAATTCTAATAGTTTATATTTTTTATTTCACTGGTTTTCTTAAATAGACATTAATGTCAGAAACATCAAGTTGTGTCTCTTTCTTACCACAAATGTTTTTTCTTACCTTTTTATTACAGGCTAGAGCCTTCAGTATTATATCAAGCAATAGTGGAAATCCTTGTCTTATTCCTAGTCATAAAGAAAATCATCTAAAGTTCCTTGTTAATATATTATGTACTAAATTTTGGTGTTTAACCTTTACTCAACTAAGGAAGTTCCCAACTATTCTTTGCTTTCTAGGAGTTTTCCGAATAAATAGGTATTGAGCTTATTAAGATAATAATGTGATTTACTTTCTTTAGTGTGTTTATGTGAGTTAACTTTAAAGATTTTTCAAATGTTGGAGGATCCTTTCATATAAATATATGTATTATATATACATTTTTTTCATATAAATATATATATTCATATAAATATATGTATTTTCAAAAAGTATATACTTTTTGAAATACAATGTAGGAATTTGATATTATATTTAGGATTTTTACATTTAATCATAATTAAAATGAGCCCATAGACTTATTCATTTTAGATTTAAGATAACATTAGCTTCCGAAAATGAGTTACATAAATTTTGCTATTTCTGTTTTCTGAGATAATTTTCTAAAAGTAGGTTTAACATCTTCTTAAAAATTTGTTAGAGTGCTCCTGGATGACCTACTAAACATGGAATTTTTTTGAAAAGAAGCTAGAATTTGGTTTTGTTAATATTCTCTATGTTTTGTTTCTTTTATTTTTTCTGATTCAGTCTCGTTTATTTTCTTGTTTGTCTGTTTTCTCTCTTGCTACTTTTCCAGCCTCCTATGTTGAATCGGCAGCCATGTTTAATACTTTGCTTCTTGATAAATGTGTTTTAAACTATTATTTTTTTCTAAGTATTTTTAACTGTTTCCTATAACTTTTGCCATGTAGCATTTTCATTATTCCTCAGATCTAATTATAATGTATTTCTTTTTAAATCCAGTAGCTATTAATTTTGTTTATTTAGTGATCATATAAGATTTTATTTGCTATCCTTTTGCTTTTAATTAATAATTTCATTGTATTTTGTTCGAGATTGATAGTCTTTATTTGGAATTGGTTGTGGTTTCCTTTACTTTGTGGTATGAAACATGTTCTACTTTGGAAATGCTTCCTGTGTGCTAAAAAAAAGTATGCTTTGTTTTTTGTTATAACACCTCTCTTTATATGCCAAATAGCTTGAGTTTTTATTTGTTTTGTTCAAATTATTTCTCTCACTGCTTATTTTTCATATGCTTAATCTCTCATTTACTTTATCTGTTGTACATCTATCTGGTTCACTCTTCATTTCTGTCTTTTATTTCATCAAAATTTTTTTGAGGTTCAGTTGTTCCATGTGCCTATGTTAGAGAGTTACATCTTTTTACTGTATTATTATCCTTTTTCCTTGATGATTTTTTTTCTTTAGGTTCTATTTTTTTAGAAAATGTTACTATTCCAGCTTTCTTTTGGTATATCATTTTCTAAGCATTTGTTTCCAATATTTTGGGGTTCTATTTTTTGTTTTATGTGGAAGGAAACATATTCTTTGTCCTCTTTCTGCCTTTTGTCTCAGTTCAGGCAGTGGAGCCAGATTCCACCCGTCCTGTGGTGATGATGACTCTGTGACAAATTTTGGGGGATGGGAGGTTTAAGGAAATTTGAAAGAGGCTGATGTCAAATCATGTGAGGTTCTGTAGTATTGGATTGAATACTCGCCGTTGACAACCACAGTGATAATAGGGAGAATGTTCATCACAAGAACATGTTGCTCAAGCATTTATTATTTTAGGAGCCGTATCGATGTGAAGCGTTTATGCCCTATTGATGTGAAGCACAGAATTGTGGGTTATAAACTCAGGACTCTGCCTCTTGGATAAGTTATAAATGAGAGGTGATTCCATGGTCAACTTAAAACATTGAACATTTGTCCTTTGTTACAAAAAATAGGTTTTATCACAACCTTGAGGTATGATGTGAAGATTAATTGAGCTATGGCATATAAAGAATTTAGCAAAATGACTGGCTGAGATCAATCTTTCAGTAAATCATAACTATTATTATTATTACCTTAATGCTGGTATATTGTAAAGAAACTGGTCAATTATTTCAAAAATTAAAACAAAACTGATTTGAATTTTTCTACTGTTACATATACCAACATAAATTGAATATGAAGAAAAATAGTAAAAAGTAAAACATTAACAATAAAACCATTTAAAGAAACCACATAAAAATGTGAAACTGAAACTTTACAAAGTGAAAAAATTAAATTTATAAAATAAAAAGCTTCCTTATTCCAAAAAAACCCAAACTACATAAATGTGGAAGAAAGACTAACTCTACACAAGGGGAATATTTACATAATATAGAGCAAACAGACTATAAATATCCTGAATGTATAAGGAATTACTAAATAACAATAAACAAAAGTGAATATAAAGATGTAAAAGGCAGTTCACATACCATACTAATATTAAAAAATTCAAATCTACTATCAACAATGCTAATGAAACAATAAATCATTATTTCTCTTTCAGGTCACTGGTATTAAAAGATTCACAAAAGTTATTGTAGGCATGAATGTGTGGAAAGGAGCCGAGGCACACTTGGTAATGTGTAAACGGTTACAGACTTTCGAGGTTGCAACTGGGTAATATTTATCTACAGAGAAAAATGTTTATAAACATCCAATCACTAGAAATTAATTTTAAAATACAATTACAAAAAGCAAAATAATGATTATATTAGAATGCTCATAGAAGCATGTTTTATAGAAAAATGTTAAGCGAGCCTAGAATGGAATAGCTTACATACATCCTAATAATGCATTATCAGGCATTGTCAAAGGGTCTAGAATTACAGTTGGGAAAAAAAGTAAAGCCCTCCCCTCTCGGAGCTTATATTCTAGTAAATGGGACAAATGACAAACCTAGATTTAGAATATATACAAGTGTCATGAAGCACTGACTGGAGAGTAAAGCAAGGTGAGGTGAAAGGTGATCTTTTGATAGGGTGACCGGGGCAGATTATCTCTGATGAAATTTGAGCAGGGACCTGAATAAACTGAGGAAATAAGCCTTGCCCACATCTGGAAGAACATCCCTGCTGAGGACAGAACAAGTGCAAACTACTGAAGAGCTTGCTTGGTCTGGATAAGAAACAGGGAGCAGCCCAGTGGTGCTGAAGGCAAGGAATTGGGGGAAGGATGGTGGGAGAAAGACTGAGGCGTGGGCAGGCCCAGACCTTGTAGGCCTTGAAGGCCAGAGTGACACTGAATGTGGTACAGAGTGGGGCTGGGAAACCCGTAGGACCTGTAAACTAATGTGGTCAGGGAAGGCCACTCTGAAGAAATGATTTTGGAGCAGAGACTTGAATATTGAGAAGGAATCAGCCAAGGAAAGATCTAGGTTCTGGAGTGTTCCAGAGTGAACAGACAGTGCAGACATCTGGGGACCAAAAGGAGCTTTGTCTGTTTGAGGAAGAGAAAACATATCCCTGTACCTTGAGCACATATAAAGCAGGGAGAAGAACATATGAGAAGAGGTTTAAGGAGTGGGCAAGAGCATTTCAAGGAGTTTGGGTTTTATGAGACGCCAATGACCAGTTTGAGCAGCAGACTGACAAGACCTGATTGCCATTTGAGGAAGATCACTGGCTATTTTGGGGAGAACAGGCATTAGTGAGGCAAAAGTGGAATGATATATTAGGAGACTGCAATAATCTAGAGGAGAGTTGATGGTGCCTTGATTTAGTGTGAAGAGAAAGGAACAGTTCAAGAGATGCTTTGGAGGTAGAAATGTCAGGACTTTCTTTTTCTTTGTTTCTTTCTTTTTTTTTTTTTTTTTTGTTGAGCTGGAGTCTCTTTCTGTCACCCAGACTGGAATGTAGTGGCGCAATCTCAGCTCACTGCAACCTCCACCTCCCGGATTCAAGCGATTTTCCTGTCTCAGTCTCACGAGTAGCTGGGACTACAGGTGCCCGCCACCAGGCCTGGTTAATTATTTTTTCGCATTTTTAGTAGGGACAGGATTTCACCATATTGATCAGGCTGGTCTTGAACTCCTGACCTCAGGTGATCCATCTGCCTTGGCCTCCCAAACTGCTGGGATTACAGGTGTGAGCCACCGCGCCTGGCCGAAATGTAAGGACTTTCTAATGGATTTGAAATTGAGGTGAGAAAATGAAAAGACTAAAGGATGAATTCAAGATTTTGGCCTAAACCACTGGGTAAATGTTTGTGTATTTGACAGAGTCATGAAGACCAGGGGAAGATGAGATTTTAGTGAGAAAAACAAAAGTTTTGTTTTGGACATATTAAATATAAATATCTATTACTCAGCCAAGTGGATATTTCAAGTTAGGCAATTAAAAATCCAACTTGGGCACAGAGGATGCTTGTGGTTGGAATGCCCTATCCATTACCTAATTGATCAGGACTTTATTTGATCAAAAACCTCATCAATTTAAAAAAAGAGGATGCCGCTTTCCATACATGTATTTCTCTATTGATATTTATATTCCTTCCAAAGCATACATAATAATAAAATTATAAAAAAGAAAGATAAAATTGATAATATACAATTTTAATTTTTGTTAATAATATACACTATTTTTCTCACAAAAGCTGTTAATTCTATTGTAACAACTAGCTAGTTTTTAAATTAATATATAATAATTGTACATATTTATGGGGTACATGTAATATTTTGATTCATACATACAGCGTGATCAAGTTAGAGTAATTAGGATACTGTTCACCTCAAACATTGATCATTTCTTTGTTTTGGGACTATTCCAAATTTTTTCTTCCAGTTATTTTGAAATAGACAATAAGTTATTATTCACTATGATCACCCTACTGTGCTATTGAACACTAGGCTTTATTCCTTCTAGCTAACTGTATTTCTGTATCCATTAACCAATCTCACTTCACCCCCTTCTCCCCGCTACCCTTTCTAGCCTCTGGTAACCACCATTCTACTCTCTTCCCTCCATGAGATCAATATTTTTAGCTACCACATATGAATGAGAATAAAACATATTAACTATCAATCTATTTTTAGCAGAAGTCATGTTACTGAAAATTATTGAAAATACTACATGTTTTTATTACTGAATACTGTTTTGGAAAATGCTGATTATCATGTGACCCAGTGATTCGAATGGTTCTAATTAATTTATTTTAGTGCTTGTTTTGAATGACAGCTATTGAAGATACCTCATCAAGGTCCAATATACATTGTATGTAATCTACTCATACAGCAGGTTTATCATTAATATTTGTGGCTATCACTCTGTGAAATAATCTTCATAAATTTCATGTTGTGAAATAATCTTCCTAAATCTGATTTTGGCAGTTTCATTAGATAGCAGTTGTACGCAGACAATGACAAGATTGTGCTAATAGAAGACGTGTCACTCTATCATTTTCTTCTTGATAGGGCCTGCAATCTTTAATTCTCAAATGTCTGTGTTGGCATCTTGTGACGTTATGTCTATTTTGTGAGAGTGAGTATAGATAGAATTAGATTATAACAATTCTTAAATCAACTTAACTTCACCTGCATTATGTTGTAGTATATTGAAAGTAAATGAATGAATTAAAACAATTCCTTTAACTCATTTTTTGAAATTCCCAATCTATCTTAGTATGTGACTTACCATACATGTCATATGACTATCCGATGCAGAGATAAATTAGGATTTTTAATATTAAATACTAGCAACCTTGAAATTAACTAATATAACTCTTTCTGTTAAATATTAGTATAGTTTAGTTTTCTTATTTGTTTTATGTGGAAATGAATACGAAGTTCTACTATTTTCCACTTTAACCTCATATCTTGTAATACTCTTTGGAATATGTGGCCCAATTTAGAGATCCCTGCAAGGAGCTAACACAATTGATGTTATGAGTCCCTCTCAGATTAAAGCTGTGGATAATTATGTATGACATATGCCATAGATAAATTGACTTGTGCTATCTTGTCCTCTTCAGTTCTTTAAGTGAGCAGTTTATAACCAAAGAACAAATCTGAGGAAAAAAATGGTGTTCATCTATTCCACTTTTCCACCTCTTTTGAGTACATGGTATGCTTGTACTTCCCAACCCTTTTGTGGTCACATGATCACATGACTTGTATTGGCAAATGTACTGAGAACAAAAATAATATGTATAATTTGGAACAGATACTTTAAGAACCAGTTCATAATTAAACATATTTCATCATGGTAGACTATGTCAAAATGAAATCTTCAATAGCCTATGTTGCTAAGTGACTATAATTAGCAGAGAACATGTCCTCATCCACCTGTACCTGACATGTAGTGAAATAAGAAATATACTTTATTGTTTAATCTCTGAGATTTTGAAGTTGTTATCTTAATATAAGCTACACTTCTCTCACTGATACAATAAATTATTTTTATTATGACTGGAACTGAAGTTATTATCAACTTCAAAAAATTCAAAACCAGGCATATTCTAAAGAGAGTCATATAATGTCAGGGAAGTTACTTGGGTAATAATGCTACCACATGTTCATAAGAAAGTGATTTTATCACTCTATTCAGGAAGCATCTGTTGCTTCTTTAACTACTCTTCATATTGCTAACATTACCATTTACCCCTGTTGACTTTGTATATGTAGCCATTTTGGTGTTGATTTAAAAATTTGGCAAAAAACAAAATTGGTTTGCATTATGATCTCTTTTGAAGAGCTGGATATTAATTTTTTTTTGCTTTAGAAAAACACATGTGCATGGTTGGTAATTTTATAAATGCAGAAATGCATAATTACCCATAATGCCACCAAACAGAGAGAAATATGGTTAACATTTTGATGTATTCTGTTATAATTTTTATAAAAATATGAATTAACTTTCAAGAAAAGAAAATTGATGCCCAAATTCCTTTTCCCCATGCTTTATAGGGAACCCCATAATTTCCCACAACTTCCATTTATCCCCTTAGTTCAAGCCATCATAATTTACTGCTAAGATTATCAAAATCTCCTAAATGCTCTTCCTTCTTTCATTTCTAAAATCTATTCTCAACATAGCATCTAGAATCATGGATGTCAGATTATGTCACTCCTCTGTTAAAAACCCTCCATTTTTTCTCAAAATAAAAATCTTATATGGGTAATAAGTCCCCACATTGTCTCCATGTTGCATTATTTATCTGAGTTTATTGCTTATTAATCTGCTTCTCCTCCTAGCCATACTAGCCACTTCACTGTTCCTCAAATTTGGGGATATTCTCCTGCCTTAAAGCTTTGTTCACACTTTTCATCTGGAAAACTCTTCTTCAGGACATCGACTTGACTAACTCCCTTCTCTACGAGGTTTACCCCAGCTGCCTCTTTATTCTTGCAATTTTTCTACTCCCCTTTCCCTGGATTCCCTGTCTTCCATATTCCGGTCTTCATTTTCCTCTGTACTGAAGCACCTAGCTCTTTCTTACGTATAAGTTAGGTATAGCATGTTTTTATGTCCTCTCTTATTAGATTTTTCTTACAGTTTTATCAAGGTATAATTTATATACCATAAAATTCAACCACTATAAGTATACAACTGAATGGTTTTAAGTAAATTGATAGAGTTGTATAATCATCATCGATTTAAGACCATTTTCATCATCTTAAAGAATTAGCCTGGGTTCTTTGCCATTAATCTCTATGGGCATTTCTAGCCCTAGGCAACAACTGATCTGCTTTCTGTCTATAAATTTGCCTTCTATAGACATTTCATATAAAGTAAGTCATACAATATGCAGTCTTTTTTATCTGGCTTCTCTCACTTAGTATGTGTTTGTGGTTCATCTATATTGTAGCATACATCAGTATTTTGTTCCTTTTTATTGGTAAATAGTATTTTATTGTATGGATATACCACATTTCGTTTAACACCAGTTGATGGACACTCAGATTGTTTCATGATTGCAAGTATTATGAATAATATGTCATTTTACATTTTTACCATTAATGTATAAGGATCCCAGTTTCTTAACATCCACGCTAAGACTTGGTATTTTCTCCCTTTATAGCCAGTGGTATCTCATTGTAGTTTTAATTTGCATTTCCTTAATGACAACTAATGTTGAGTACTTTTTCTTATGCTTATTAGCAGTTTATTTGTCCTCTTTGATCACATGTCTCTTCAAATCATTCACCCATTTTTAATTGTGTTGTCTTCCTTTTACTGAGTTATAAGAATTCTTTTTTTATTCTGGATATTTGATTTGCAAATATATTAGATATACAATTTGTACATATTTTCTTTCCTTTGTGGCTTGTGGTTTCATTTTGTTTATGTTGCCTTTGAAGCAAAAAGTTTTACATTTTGATGAAATCCAATGTATTTTTTGGGGGGGGAGGTAGGGGAGGGCTCATGCTTTTGGTATCATGTTACCTAACCTGAGAGCACAAAACTTTTCTCCACTGTTTTTCTGTTGGGGGTCCCCAAGATGACCCTCACTAATTCTCTAGAAGAACTCGAACTACATAAGCTATTATACTCATGGTTATGATTTATTCCAGAGAAAAGATAGTCAGCAAAGGAAAACAGCAGTATAGGGCAGAGTTCAGGAGAAACCAAACATGAGCTGTCAGTTATCCTCTCCCAGTGGAGACATATGGACAGTGCTTAAATCTCTTAACAATGATGCGTGACAACATTTACAAAGTAGTTTCAACCAGAGAAGTTCATCTATACTTTCATGTCCGAGGTTTTTTTGTGTGGAAAGCCTCATAAACATGGAGTGCCCATGGGACTGACCTCAGCTACTCAGTCTCCAGCCCCTACAAATGTCAGACTTATACAGTGTGGTCCAGGACCCCAAGTGAACAAAAACAGGAATTTACCAGAAGTCATGTTGTTAGCATAAACTTTCTGGTATGGCCCAATGTTCCAGATACACAAAAACACTTTTATGCTTCAAGGACTGTCAAGAGCTAATTCTTTCTTTGGAATATATGAGGGTTGAGTACTCCAAGTCCATGGAATTAACCCTTTGCTGCATGGTTTTATTTTGGGAGAGTTTTCTCTCTTATCTTTGGGTCTATAATCCATTTTGAGTTAGCCTGAATTTTCTTGATTTGTAAATCCAACTAATGGAAAAACTAAACCTAACTATGAATCCATTTACAAAGCATGCTGGGAATGACTCAGGTAGAAAAGGCTGTCTCTACTTGGGAGAAGTGAGGGAGTTAACCAAAGAAATGTCTGGGTGAATGGTGTTTCAAGTTGAGGGAAACCTCTTTACCAAAATGTTATGGTAGGAAGGTGTTGGGATGTTATAGGAAAAGTGAGAAACCAATGAGCCTGGAAGGAGGGGGAGAGTGATCAGAAACGATATGAGAGACAAAATGGTGGAGAACCACATATGGCTCTTTTGGACATTGCAATGTCCAATGGGGAAACTGTAGATACCAAAGTAAATCAGCCAAAACCACCTAATCTAGTGGTAGAACTTTTTTCTTAACTATGAATTTAGAGAGCATGAGCCACTAATTTTTACCATTTATCAAAAAGAAAAATGTTGATGAAGCCACACACACATTTGTAAAAGTCAAAGCATAGTTGTGTTTAACTCAGCCCAAAAGTATGATGCTCAAAAGTGTTTCTTGTAACAATTTGTAAATGCCAAGAAGTTGTCATTCCCTTCTTCAGAGTTAAGATTTTTAAGTACTGTATTTTGGATGTATTAAATATTATACTATTTCTTGTTCCTGCAAAAAATATGTTAAAATCATGGAAATTATTCCCTAGTATTGTTTATCTATCTCCCTTCATTTCTTCCTTTTCTTTCTTCTTCTTTCCTTCTTTAGTTTCTTCTAGAAAATGAATGAAGTATGACCTTTACCCTTAAAAATTCCAAAGACTAGTAAAAGTAGATAGTTTTTTTTATTTTTTATCAGTATTTATAATACAATGTGAAAGGTGCTCTGTCATAAACTGTTTGAGAACACTGGGGAGAGTATAACTCACCACTCAGAAAAGTCAGAGAAAGCTTAACAAGAAGTAGTAATAATTTTGCTAGGACTTGAAGCCCAAATAGAAGATAACCTGGTAACTAAGAAACTTTCAGAATGAGAGAAAATTGTTTAGAAGGTTATGCAAGTTTTAAAGCTCAAAAGGGGGTTCAGAAACTTCTCAGGGAATAGTAGAAAATCAGGTCATTTGTGGTCATATTTTAAATGGCTTTTGAATAATAATGAGGATTTTGAATTTCTAATCAATAGGCAACTACAAAAATACATTATTTTTATAATATGTGTTATGGACTGAATGTATTCTCCCCCACTCCAATTTATATGTTGAAACCCTAGTGTGACTGCATTAGAAGATGGGGCCTCTAAGGAAGTGATTAGGTTAAAGGAGGTAACACAGGTGAGGCCCTGATCTGATAGGATTAGGGTCCTTATAAGAAGAGATACAGAAAGCTCTCTGTAAACATGCACACATGCGTGTGTGCACACATACACACATGCAATGAAGAAAGGCCATGTGAGGCCAGGTGAGCACAGAGAGAAGGCGTCAGTATGCATGCCAAGAAGAGAGGCCTCACCAGAAACTGAATCAACCAGAACCTTGATCTTGAACTTCTGGTCTACAGAATTATGAGAAAATAAATTCCTATTATTTAAACTACCCAGTCTATGGTATTTTGTTACGGCAGTACGAGGCAAAAAGTCATCTCAGATGAGTATATTAGACATCCATTGTAGTAGACATTTACTAGAAGTGTATGAGAAAGAGATAACAGCAAGGGGTTAATAGCAGCTGTGCAGACAGAAACCATGTTCCTTTTGGGTAGAATATTCTGAACTTGACAGCTTATGAAAGGCAGTGAGCAAGAGGGGGAGTTGAAGAGTCTAGACTAGTAGTATGGTAGATGATAAAAACATTAATTGAAAGAGTAACTAAAAGAGGGGGTGCCTAATTCAGTTATATTCCAATGAGTTTGAGGCCTTTATAGGACATTCACATGCAAATGAACATTAGATAGCTGAAAATGCACATCTAAAGCAAAAGGAATGGTAGAGTTGTCAGGGCTGACATTATGGATTTGCAAATGAGTGAAAGAAATCTTGTGGTTTTAAGGATTGTCCTATTGTCCATGTGCCACATGGGAAGAAATACTTGGGTCCCAAAGAACACCAACATGGGAAGTATGGACAAAGTGCAGCCTGTAAAGCAAAACAAACAAACCAAACAACTAGTCTCCATGTTGGAAGAGAAGCAGCAGAGTGTAGGGTAGTTTGTTGATGAAAAGAAATGGCATAGAGCACCAGATTGAGAGAATGTCAGGAATAAATGTTTGGTTTTGTCAGGTGATTTGTAGTAGGGTATTAATGATTATTAAAACTGTACCTATTGAAGGCTTGCTATGGACCGGGCAGTGTGCCATGTTCTTTTTTTATATAAATTTGGGTGTGTAAGCACATATAATATATATATAACACAGATGCTCCTCAATTTGTGATGGTGTTGTGTCCTGTAACTGTAAACTGAAAATATCATAAATCAAAACTGCATTTAACACACCTAACCTACTAAACATTATAACGTAGCCTAGCCTACCTTAAATGTGCTCAGAACCCTCACATTAGCCTACAGTTGGGCAAAATAATTGAGCACAAATCTTATTTTATAATAAAATGTTGAATATCTCATGTAACACATTGATACTGTACTGAAAATGAAAAACAGAATGGCTGTATTGAGTACTTGAAGTATGGTTTCTACTGAATAGGTACTACTTTCACATCATCATAAAGTCAAAAAATTGCTAAGTCAAACCAAGTATGGGAGTCTGTATATATATTTTATATGTGTATGTCTATACATAAATATGTGAATCTATATAATGCAACATATGTAATTAAATAATTTGTATGTTTGGCTACATGTAAATTTAGTGTTCATATGTATATATATACACATATATATTTACTTTTATTTAAATTAGTTAATTTATTATATTTATAAAGATATTTAGCCCTTGAAGATCTCTTGTGAGATTATTAATATTATTTGCATTTTTTTAGGGTCTCCTGTTTGTCATATCACCAACCTCTGCTATAGGGATAAAACTTACAGTAAACTTTATTATTGCTCTGCTCTACTGAAGAGTTTAAATGAGAAATCTTATAGGAAATGCTATCATCATAGAACCAACAATGTCTTGTAAGATATTTTATGACAATTTATTGATGGCATTTTGGCTACACAAATTTAGTTGTTGAAGTAAACATGCATAAGAAATCACTAGTAGTAACTACGTTTGTCTTGTCTTTTAATAACATTACTAATTGCAATTTGATAAATATGACATTGAAAAATTAACTCTACAACTGATTGAATAAGTATGTTGAATAATGATGCTTAGTGAATTATGTATTATATGAACATGACTCTTATGGATCTGATGCATCTGAGAGTTCATACAGCAAAAATCATGCCTACTTTAATGCCCATATAATTATTTTATGGCTAAATGAATTTAATTTTTTCGGGCTCAAATAAACCAAGCAGTGATGTGGTAGTAAAATCAGGGCAAATTTGAAAATCACAGTATTGTATTCTACTCGCATGTATTCATATTTCACAGGTTTTAAATACTTAGACAAAACAAAAGCTTTTTTTTAAGTTCTTAAAATTTACAACATTTATATTTTTTCATTAGACTCAAGTGGAATGAAATTAAAGTCTAATGAAATATGGCCTATCACATTTAAAAAAAATAATTTCAACTAAATGGAAAGAGAGCACCAGTATTTTTCTACATGAGCTTGTATTTGTAAAGATTCATTGAAGACAAACATTACGTTTCTAAAGTAGAATTTTTTTACATGTTTACATGTAGATAGGCAGGACAACCTAAACTCACACATGTTGGAAACTGTAAACTTTCTATATCTAAGCTTGTAAAGTATGTAAAATTTATTATATCCTGAAACTTAAAACATTTAAATAAGTTTAAATTTTCTCTATTTGTGTCAATTTTATATGGTTGGGCACTAAAATGACTGTCAGAATAGAATCTGGAAACCTTAAATGTTCAATTTCACATTAGCCTACAGTTGGGCAAAATAATTGAGCACAAATCTTATTTTATAATAAAATGTTGAATATCTCATGTAACACATTGATACTGTACTGAAAATGAAAAACAGAATGGCTGTATTGGGTACTTGAAGTATGGTTTCTACTGAATAGGTACTACTTTCACATCATCATAAAGTTAAAAAATTGCTAAGTCAAACCAAGTATGGGAGTCTATGCAAAGATAGTAATTTTAGCTACATACTTAAAAAGATAATCTTGTTTGAAGAGTTTTTTTTTTCTTTAAAAACTTGGAGACCATTTTTTTTTTTTTTTTGCTGTATAAGATGACACTTCAGCTACTATATAACTTGTCTACTGGAATGCCTTCAAGGAATATATAGTAGAAGTCAATAAAAAGTTAACCTTTTAGTGTAGCCATTATATTTTTAAAAATAAAGATAAAAATGTGAAGTTTAAGAATGTAAATTTGAAGTTTAAAAGTTTAGTGCATTTTTGTATATGTGCTTGAATGGAACACATTTCTCCCTAAAATTTAGCTTAAGCTTAAGCAGGCCTTATTGTAGAAAAAAGCCCTAAAACAGGTGCATTAAAAACAAGCAAATAAACTTAGATAAAAGCAATGCCAGTTGTATTATTTTCAAAAGCTGTAGAGGAAAATAACTGCCAGAAAACTTTTTGTGTTATTTACTTAAGTGAAGATGTGCCAAAATGTGGACATTTTTGTACAATGGAGTATGAGATTTACATTTATAATAGAGTGTTCATACTTAAAGATAACTAAGTTCTTTGTTGTTAAGTACCAATTTTGACTATGCAATACAAAGTTACAAAATGGAGTACTGGCAAATGTTTTTTCCTATAATCCTATAAATATAGATTATGTATGTACTTCCTTCATTTTGTAAGTATAAACAAGTAATGAGCAAGAGATTAAGTAAAATTTTATTTTTTATTATCTGCTAGATTTTCAAATTCTGTGAAATGAAAATTTTGGTTAAAGATATTAATTGGCTAAATTCATTTTTAACAAGTACAAATTATTGGTCAATTATTTAACTTTAAAACATTCACTAAAGAAAAATAAAAAGCAAGACTTACTTTAAGATTAGTAGTTTTATGGTTTTGTATATTATGATACTGGTAGATTTTGTTAGGCACTGCTAAATGACCAGTGAATAAGTGTTGAGATGGGAAAGAAAGTGACTTCAAGTTAGTGTGCAAAAAAAGATGATAAAACTTGGATTTTAGAAATGTCTGCTTTGATGCAATAGTCAAGTTCTTGAATTTAAAAACTTTACATTTTACTTGGAACATCTAATTTGTTTCACACTCAATAAATACTTGGAATCATCGCGTCTTTTAAAACTAAGATTTTAACAAAAGTTGTGAAATGAAATGTCTTTAAATGAAATACTTTTTCACAGGAAATAAAACTTTTTACATGGAAATGGTCAGTCATTACTTAAAAATACTTTTTTGTTGTTATTTTAAAAATAACTTATTAGGACAAGTTTTTTGGGAGGCAATTTTCAGCTACTCTACATAAACAGATTAGCTGTCTGATTTTCTGGTTCTTACAAAAAATAGATAGGACTCAAGAGGTTTTTTGTCTACATTAGAAGGGTTGGTTTTAGTGATTCAGCATTTATGTCAGTTAAGGAAAGAACACCTGCCCCATAAACAATGTGTGAATTCTAACCTTCTAACCACAGACCAAAGTGCTTTTTTTTTTTTTTTTTAATTTGTCTTTTGGCATCAGGAAAAGCTTAAAACATATTCAAAAAAGTTTTTTTTTTTTCCTCAGGACTCCTGAAATCAAATCATGTGAGTTCAGAAATAACTGTTCATTAGCAGAAACCACCCTGATTTTTAAAATGACTAACAGTTGTCCTAACCCATCTATCTAAACACAGCATATATATTTATTCCAGTAATTAAATAAAGATCAGCAGCTATTTGGCTTGCTCAAAGAGTTTATGGAATTTTGAAATAATGGTAATTTGAACTAATCTTAGATGAGATACAGGCTTGCCCTCCATTTTTCCCTCCCTTCCATCCTCCTTTTAACTTTAGACAAATGAGATTGGATAATTTTAATGTACTGTTTGACGCAAATTTACTTTGAGCACCTGTTGTATGCTGTGGTGAAACATGATGCATGGAAAAGGGGAACATATAAAATAAAAGCCCCAGCCATCAAATTTTTCATTCAAAGAAAAGATACATAATATAATTAGAGGATAATAATAGAGATGGCACCTAAAAAGTGGCAGATCAACTGTACATGCATTGCATGCCTAAAAAATGGAGGAAAACGGCATGGCTGTAACCTGCGTGACTGGGCTACACCCGGGGGAGGAGTCTGGGCAGGGTGGGCTTCGCAGCTGGGAGGAAATCAGGTGCCCGAGGTGGGGGCGCATTTCCCGGAGCTGGTAGGGAAAATACCAAACTGTGGAAGTGGCCTAGGCAGCCGGGTTGTAAATAGTTGAAGACCAGCTTGGTTAGGATCCAGTCCAGCAGCTCCAGCTCACGGAAGGCCAGAGGCAGCTTCTCCATCCTTCTTCCCCGACTGCACTAAGTCCTCGTTTTTTTTCTTTCTTTTTCTACACCCTGCCCGCAAATAATTTGCTCATTTTTTAAAAAAGCAATATTCTACATTTCTGGTAAATCTGTTCTTTTTTTTTTTTCAGAGTGACACAGCATTCTAGATCACTGAAACTAATCTCATTTTACAGAGACATTTACACACATTTTTAGAAAATTATTTCAGCCATTATCAATAAAGAGAAGAATAAAACTTTCTTTTCATATTAACAGGAGCAACAATTATCTTTCTTCATGATACTTAAATATAAGGAAACAGATAATCAATGAGTAAATGAATGTCCAAGAATATTCATTTATCCAGCTGACACTCTTTGAGTGGCTACCTAATACCTGTCAGGATGCTGAATTTGGAGCAATAAAGATCACACAATCATCATGGCCCTAACTCTCAAAAAAGTCCAAGCCTCTTGCAGAGTTAGACATAAGAGTTACAAAGGCATTTTAAGATATGCTATTTGTTAACATATGCTCAACAGGTTAGAGGATCATTCCTGGATTGATATTGTTTCTGTCAACAATAATTAGAACACCGAAATTTTCATGTAATATACCTCAGAGAACATTTTCCTCTGTGCATTAGAAATAGCATTCTTTTGAAAAAGATTTTTTTTCCTAAATTGACATCTAGCAAATTACTTCTTATTGTAACAGAGGCTTTACCATTTAAATTAGTATTTTAATCCACAAAGATATAAACAAGAATACAATTTTTAATTTCTGCTGTTAAGAAATTTCTCTTCTTACTAGAAACAATAAGCAATTCATTAAAAACCTGACAGTGGAAATTAACTACTGATAGATGCCATTCATCTGACAAGTGACCTATAGCATTTTATTTTTACTGCTGGGCTTCATGCTAGTTGCTTTTCTAATTCAGATCCCTTTGAAAGACAAAGCAGAATTATTCAAGAAAGCATCATGTTTTTAGAAAACCACAGGCTCACTGCTCAGTAATATTCAGAAATTTCTATTTATTAATTTATTGAGAAGTATTAATCTCATCTTATTTATTAAGAGTCACTAGAAAAAAATTCATGCCAACCTTTCTGGAGAAAATGACTTTTGGTCCCAACTGACCAGAATCCATTTTGTCATTCACCTTAATTTGGTTATTTTTGGTCGATACTCATAGCCTTCAGTTCTTGAAAGTAGATGATAGCTATCAGTCTCTTACCCCATAAACCTGAAGGCCTAGTACAACCAAAAAAAGTCTAACATCAAATTTTGCCAAATGTAAAAAGCATTTTTTTTTTGCAAATAGATATAATAACAGCTATATGGCCACGTGTCAGCTTGATGTAGTCCCAGCTGTCTTTTGAAGCTGTCTGACAGTACCTTGCCTGAAAAGTTCATTAGAGACTTCTGCAACTGTGTTTCAGCAGCAGGATTCAGCTACCCTTCTAGTTAGAATCAGGTAACAAAACTGTTTTGAATCAGCTGCTGAGCTGGAACGGTAGAGCATAGGGCCCATGTTGGGTTCACAAGATTCTTATACCACTTTGCAAGAACAGGAATGCCTATGTTATATTTGCAACTAATGAACACATTTTGAACACCACTGATTTCACCCATGAAGCAGCCTTACTAAAAACCATTATTCTAATTAACAAAGCCTGTATTAATAGGAAACAAAAGCATGTGATATTTGCGGTAGTTGTTTTAAGAGCATGGACCTTTGATTAGTCTTTGCATGTTGTGTAGCCACCCTGGGTTTTATTTCTGATTAGTGTATCTCAAATGAGAACTAGCATTTTCCTGATCCTTTCCCTGTGGTTAAAACTCTTGAACAGATGCATACAGGCATACTTCATTTTTTTTTGTGCTTCACAAGTAAATATTGCTTTTTCTTTTTTAACAAATTGAAGGATTGTGGCACACCTGTATCGAGCAATTCTATTGGCACCATTTTCCACCAATGTGTTCTCCCTTTGTGTCTCTGTGCCACATTTTGGTAATTCTTGCAGTATTTCAAACTTTTTCATTAGTATATTTGTTGTAATCATCTGCAATCAATGATCTTTGATGCTACTATTGTTATTGTTTTGGGGCACCACGAACAGTGAGCATATAAGATGGAAAATTTAATAAATGTTGTGTGTCCAACTGCTCCCTCGACCAGCCATTTCTTCCCCATCTCTTCCTCTCCTTGTGTCTGCCTATTCCCTGAGACACAACAATATCGAAATTAGGCAAATTAATAACCCTATGCTGGCCTCTTAAATGTTCAAGTGAAAGGAAGAGTCATACTCTCTCACTTTCAATCAAAAGCTAGAAATGATTAAGCTTAGTGTGGAAGGAACGTCAAAAGCCAATATAGGCTAAAGGCTAGGCTTCTTGTGCCAAGCAGTTAGTCAAGCTGTTATTGTAAAGGAAAAGTTCTTGAAGGAAATTAAATGTACTACTCCAGTGAATATATGAATGATAAGAAAGAAAAACAGCCTTATTGCTGATAAGAAAGTTTTAGTGGTGTGAATAGAAGATCACATCAGCCACAACATTCTCTTAGCCAAATCCTAATTCAGATCAAGGCCGTCAACATCAAGGCAGGACCCTCTACCAGCAAAAAGATTATGACTCTCTGAAGACTCAGAGGATTGTTAGCAGTTTTTAGCAACACATTGGTTTTAAATTAAGGTATATACATTATTTTTTAGACATAATTCTATTGGATACTTAATAGACTACAGTATACTGTAAATATAATTTTTATATGCACTGAGAAACCAAAAAATTTGTGTGACTTGCCTTATTGTAATATTCATTTATTGCAGTGGTCTAGAACCAAATCTGCAATATCTCTGAGATATGCCTAGATGTATTTCATTATCTAGCTGAAGTATTTTAAGTAAATTATAAGGGTATTATAATAATCTTAAAAATTTATTTCCACGTATGTCCAAGATGCTCTATTGTCACTCTGAGTGGAGGCAGATCTAGCCATAGTTAATTGCTTTCGTTTAGTTTTGTTTTCACACTATATCTTTAACTAACTCTTAAATCCATATGCTATTCTAAGTTGATTTATGTTGTCTCCTGACTTTCCTTTACCTGCTTAATATGCTACAATATTTGCAAACCTAACCAAACTTTGCAATTTACTAAGGAACTTTAAAATACTGCATATTTGTGGGTTTCACCATGGAGAATCTGGTTGAGAATTTTGGAAGATAACCCAAGAATCTGTATTTTAAAACTTTCCCCATTCTAAGACAGTCTGTATGCAAACAATTGTTGAAAAGGAATTAGACAGGACCATCTCTGTTTAAGGATGACCATTTGATGTAAGAAACAATATATCAAGAACTGAACTCTTTGCTTCCTTCCCTATTTTTCTGCATCAATGAATCTTAGTGCCCTATCATTCTCCTAATACCCCAGCACCTCAATCTGGAAGTCAGTTCGATCTTATTTTTTTCACTTGAAATTCACTAGTGCCAGTGCCTGCTGGTGGATCATTTTGATATTTGCAGCTGTCATCTTATTTAGACGCTTGTGCATGCCTGGTTCACTCTGTAACACATTTCATTGCCTGTAGTGTCTCTTGCCACTCTGTGACAACTGAGGAAAAATTTCTTACAATAACAATGCTATATTGCCTGCATTTCCAATATATTCTTCTTGAGTTTTCTCCAATCACTGAATTTTTATTTTGTAATCAGATCATGTAGGAAAACATTGGATGTCAGATAATCGGTTAACACATTAATTTGTTTAAATCTTAAAAGTGGTATTTTTACTTTCTGGAATGCCCTTTCTATCAATATTAATAACCAGACATCCAGACTGACCTCATTTAGCTATAATCACATGTCAACTATGTAGAGGATTATACTTCGATTTGTTTGTTGCTAACTTCATCGGCATGAGAGGACAATCAAGGTGACACATGACACATAGATGACCAAATTACCAAAGCTCTGAAACAGTCTACCAATGGCAAAACTGCAGCTCTCATTTTTGTTTTTAATCTTTTTATACCACTGTGCTGTTCAATACAGTAGTCACTAGTCCTATGTGGCTCTTTAAGTTTAAATTAAGTAAAAGTAAATGTATGTAAAACTTGAGTTCCTCCGTTACATTAGTTACATTTAAGTGCTCAAGAGCCTCACGTGGCTATTAGCTGCAGTATTGGGCAGCTCAGATTATATTTCCAACATTGCAGAAAGTTTTACTGGATAGTTCCACTGTGGAGTCCCTCTGGAAGTCTCAAGGTGGGAAGAGACTCACATTTCCAATATCAACAAACCTACTCGCCTTTCTCCCTGCTATGTTGACTTCCCTAATGGCTTTCTGCAGTTTGGGGGTTTCTACATTGTGTTGAGGCTTCTTCTACTACTTCACCTTGTATGCACATGCTTCTGTGTTTGACAAAGACTTTCTCTGTCACTGGTGTCAAAAGTTGCACACATACACACATTTATTTAAGTTAAACAAAATAAACTCTTTATTTTGAGATGAATGCAGATTCATATGCAGTTGTAAGAAATAATACAAAGAGATCCCATGTATCTTTTACTCCAGTGGTTCCCAAATTTTTGGGACCAGGGACTGGTTTCGTGAAAGACAATTTTTCCATTGATTGCAGGGGCAGAGGTTTTGGGGATGTTTCAAGTACACACTACATTTATCATCAGATTATTAGATTCTTATAAGGAGCACACAACCTAGATCCCCTGCATGCATGCACAGTTCACAATAGGGTTTCTGCTCCTAGGAGAATCTAATGCCCGCTGATCTGATGAAAGGTGAAGCTCAGCTTTGCTGGCTGTTCAGCTGCTCACCTCCTGCTGTGCGGCCAGCACCAGTCTGTGGCCCAGGGGTTGCAGACCCCTGCTTTACTCAACTTCCCTCAATGATAAGGTCTTACAAAACTGTAATACAATATTACAACCAGGATATTGACATTGTTACAGTCAAGAGACAAAATATTTATATCATCACATCACCCATGTTGCTTTTTTATAGCCATACCTTCTTCTTAACTCCTTTCAAATTTAAGTTCAGAATCCATTTTGAGTCAATATTTGTGTGTGTATAATGTGAAGTTTAGTACACTTGACTCTTGAACAAATGGTTTGAATTTTGTGGGTCCACTTATATGCAGATTTTTAAAAATAAATATATTGGAGATTTTTTTGGAGATTTGAAACAATTTGAAAAAACTCACAACGTAGCCTAGAAATATTTAAGATAAAAACTAAGAAAATTAGGTATGTCATGAATCCATACAATATATGTAGCTACTAATCTATTTTATCGTATACTACCATAAAATATACACAAATCTATTATAAAAAGTTAACATTTTTCAAAACTTGCACATGCCTTTACAGACTGTTTATGGTGCTAGTCACAGTTGAGAGAAAGGTAAACACATGTAACAGATGCAGTGTTAAATCACAACTACATAAAATTAACTATAGTAATATTGTTCTACCATAATAATTTTGTAGCCCTGTTCTGTTGCTATTGTGATGAGCTCAAGTGTTGGAAGCATCCAATTAAAACACCCTGTTACACTAATCATCTCCTTTTGAGTACTCATCCTCTCCTACAAATTGTGAATTGCAGTAAAAAGTGAGCTCATTCTCGTGTACAAACGTTCCATCATAGTGCTATACCGTAAACCTTGAAAACAGCATGAGACCTACAAAGTGCTACTAATGATGCTATTGGTATTCCCAAAAAGTAAACAAAAGTCATAACATTGCAAGAAAAAGTTGAATTCCTTGATATGTACCATAGATTGAGGTCTGCAGCCATGGCTGCCCACCATTTCAGACAGATCTTATAAACAAATGATGTAAACTTATGGTATCAATAAATGCAATACTATGAATGCATTTTCTATTCCTTATGATTTTCTTAGTGACATTTTCTTTTCGCTAGCTTATTTTATTGTAAAAATACGGTATGTAATACACATAACATACAAAATATGTGTTAATTGACTTTATGTTATTGGGAATGCTTCCAGTCAACAGTAGCCTATTAGTAGTTAAGTTTTGGGAAAGACAGATGCTGTAACATGGATTTTTGACTGCACAAGGCCAGTGCCCTTAACCCCTACATTGTTTAAGGGTAACCAGTACTAGGTTAATTATTTTAATTTTATGGATGTCCAATTTTTCCAGTACTTTGTTGTTGTTCTTTAAAAAGCTTGCTTTTGAATTGCTTTTGCAAATTTGTCAAAAATCAGATGGGCTTATTTCTGTGGCGCTGTTTTTGGGGGAGTACATTTTCTTCCTTTAATACGTATATCTATTCCTCTGCCACTAACTATACAGTTCTGATTACTGTAGTTAAATAATATGTCTTGACTTGGGTAGTTGAATTCCTACCTCCTTTGGTCTTCTTTTACGAAATTGTTTTAGCGTGTCTAGTTCCTTTGTCTTTCCATATGCAATTCAGAATGATCTCATCTATACCTACAAAAAATTTACAAAAATGTTGATAAGAATTGCATTGACCTGTATATCAATTTGAGGAAAATTGACATCTTTACGTTGTTGAGACTTTCAATGAATGAAAACAGTATGTCTTTCCATTCCATTTGTTAAGATCATTAATTTCTCACATCAACATCTTTTAGTTTTCAGCATACAAGTTCTGTACATGTTCTATTACACTGATGACTAAGTATTTCATTTTTTGAGCAATCACAAATATTTTATTTTGAATTTCATTATCCACAGGTTCATAGCTAGTTTCAGAAATAAAACTGATTTTTGAATATTATTCTAGTATTCTACAACTTTGGTGAACTCACTTAATAGTTCTAATAGTGTTTTGTTTTGTTTTTTTAGATTCCTTTGGATTTTCTGTGTAGATAATTATGTCATTTGGAAACAGGGACTGTTTTATTTTTTCCTTTCCAAGGTGTATGATTTTTATTTTATTTTCTTGCTTTATTGCACTGGCTAAAATTTCTAGGACTATTTGCATAAGAGTGGTTAGAGTGGATAGCCTGGACTTGTTTCTGATCTTAGGGAGAAAACATTCAGGTTTTGACCACCAAGTATAATTTTATCTGTAAAGTTTTTGTTTTTGTTTTGCTTGTTTGTTTTATAGATTATCCTTACCAATTTAAGCAATTTCTCTGTACTCCTAGTTTTTCTGAGAGTTTTTTGTTTTTTTCTTTTGAGACAGAGTCTCACTCTGTCACCCAGGCTGCAGTGCAGTGGCGCAATCTCGGCTCACTGCAACCTCTGCTTACTGGGTTTCCTGCCTCAGCCTCCTGAGTAACTGGGATTACAGGTGTCTGCCATTGTGCCCGGCTAATTTTTGTCTTTTTAGTAGAGATGGAGTTTCACCATATTGGCCAGGCTGGTCTCAAACTCCTGGCTTCAAGTGATCCACCTGCTTCGGTCTCACAAAGTGCTGGGATTACAGGTGTGAGCCACCACTCCCAGCGTAAGAGTTTGTTTTTTAAATAAATAGGTGTAAAATTTTGTTAAATGATTTTTCTGCATCAACTGAAATGATCATTTGCACCTGCTGCCATACCTTTTTTTAGCCTGTTAATGTAGTAGATTACATTGATTGCTTTGTTGATATTGATCCAGCCTTGTATTCCTGGCATTAACCACACTTGGTCATGGTGTATAATTCTTTTTATATATTGCTAGATTCTATTTGCTAAATTTCTGTGAAGGATTTTTGTCTATATTAATGAATTGGTTTATTTTATTTATTTGTTTATTTTTTTGATGTGTGCTGTCTGTCTGGTTTGGGTATAATGGCAATACTAGCTTCACTAGCTAAATTGGTGAGTATTCCCCCTTCCATGTTCTGAAAGAGATTATCTAGAATTGTTGAAAATATTTCCTTAGAAGTTTGGCAGATTGTTTCCAGTGAAACAATCAGGGCCTGGAGATTTCTTTTTTGGGAGTTTTATAATATGAATTAAATTTCCTTAATAGTTATCGGACTGAACAAGTTATCTATTTCATACTGGATGAGAAGTAGTATATTTTGTTGGTTTTTTCTCTTTTGGAGGAACTGGTTTATTTCAACTAAATTGTCAAATTATGTGGTAAAATTGATTCCCTTATTACATTTTTGATGTCTGAATGTTCTGTAGTGCTATCCTCTTATTGATAATTTGTGTCTTTTCTCATTTTTTCTTTTTCAGAGTTGCTAGTATTTTATCAATTTTATTGATATTTTCAAAGAATCTTCTCTTTGCTTCATTGATTTTCTTTATTTTTTTCTGTTTCTTTTTCCATATTCTTGAATTATGAGCTTAGATTACTGATTTGAGGCTATTGCTCTTTTCTAATATCACCATTCAGTGCTAAAAGTTATCCTCTCAGTACTGCCTTAGCTATGTCCTACAACTTTGATATGTTGTATTTTCATTTTTATTAAGTTCAGTGTGTGTATATAAATATATGTATGTGTATGTGTATGTATATAGGTATAAATATGTATTATATGCATATATAAAATTTTTTTTCTTATTTTTGCCTCATGGATTATTTGGAGGTGTTGTGTTTCATTTTCAAGTGTTTGGGGAATTTCTTGGTATCTTTCTGTTATTGATTTTTAGTTTAATTCATTGTGGTCATAGAATATTATGATTCAATTATTTTAAATTTGTTGAGATTTGTTTTATGGCACAGGATATCTCAGCATATGTTATTGTGGGTACTTGAAACCAATGTGTATTTTGCTGTTGTTAGGTAAAGTGTTCTATAAAGGAAGATTTGATTATGTTGTTTGATGATGTTGTGGAGTTCTTCTATATCCTTACAGGTAATCTGTCTAGTTCTTCTATCAGTTGTTGAAAGAGGGGTGTTGAAGACTCCAACTGTAATTGTTGATTTGTCTATTTCTCTTTTTAGTTAGAGCAGTTTCTGCTTTACATATTTCTCAGCCCTGTTCTTTGGTTGATGTATACATATTTGGGATTCCTTATCTTCCTGGTAGATTGACACTTTTATCATTATGTAATGTTTTTCTCTGCCTCTAGTAATTTCATTTGCTCTAAATTTTACTTCATTTGGTATTGATATTGCTGCTTCTGCTTTCTGTTGATAAATATTCACATGATATATCATTTTCCATCCATCTTCTTTCAATCTACCTATTTCATTTGAAGTGAGTCATAGCATGTCTTTGGGTTATGTTTTTTAATCCACTCTACCAATCTTTGTTTTTAAAAAAACGTATTTAAATCAGGTACGTTTAATGTAACTATTGATATGGCAAAGCTTACATCTCCTGTTTTATTTTTAATTTTCTGTTTGTTCTCTGTTTTTTGTTTCTTTGACACTGCTACAGCAGGAAGCAGTGTCTCATTATTGCCAAGTAGGATAAAAATCCCAGGTTTCTCTTTCAGGCTCTGTGACACTTTAGGAAGTGAGGATTCTTATTATGTGAAATGGGAGTGCTGACCCCTCACTATGACTTCATTGACACTAGCCATGTTGGGAGGGGTACGAGCATTGCCTTATTACTGGGCCTCTCTTGGCCACCCCTTACATCATGCGGCTGGGAAGTGCCTGATTGTGCTGGGCACAAGTCCCTGATTTTTCAGTAGATCCTCTGACATCACCTCAGTGGGAAGGAGAAAGGACATATCAGTGCTTACGAATGGGAGTGGAAGTCCAGGCTCTCCTCCTGATTTCCCTGACAGGGGTTGGGGAACTGTTATTGCCTTCAAAAGATGTAAGACCCAGCTCTTTACTCTGCCTTTTCTGACACCACCCAAGCAAAAAATGGGGGAGTGACTTGTTACAGCCTGGCAAAGAGCGAGGCCTAAGTTCTCTATTCAGCCTTTATTGGTGTGGGTGGGCATAGAGACAATGGTGTTTTGTTTTGCTTTGTTTTGTTCTGTTTTTCTGTGATGTTTGGCTAGATTAGAATGGTTATTGCTTAACAGGTTTTCTGTTGTTGTTGTATAGGATGTTCCTTTCCTAGCCCTTTGGCTAAAGAGAACAGGCTTTTGTTGAGGGTTTTCTTGGTCTGTGTCCACTGGCATTTCCAGGTTGTCAGCTTTTTCAGCTTCAAATCTGGAACATATGATGGTAGGAAAATGTATGTCTACTCCATCTTCCCAGAAATGAAAGTCCTAGCTGAAGCCTTTGAATAAAACTTTACTGTAAGTTTGAGATTAATATGCCTGGAACTCCGCAAATACAGACAGCCCCCAACTTAGTAGTTTGATTTACGATGGTGCAAAAGCAGAATGCATTTAGTAGAAAATGTACTTTTAATTTTGGTCTTCTCCTGGTCCCACAATATGTAGTGTGATACTCTCTTTGGATGTCGGGCAGTGGCAGTGAGCTGCCACTCCCAGTCAGTTACATGATCATGAAGGCAAACAACTGATACTCTATAGTGCACTGTGTTGCTAGATGATTTTACCCAGCTGTGGGGTGCTTTACGCGTTCTGAGCATGTCTAAGGTAGTTTAGGCTAAGCTATGATGTTCAATAGGTTATATGTATTAAGTGCATTTTCAACTTAAGATATTTTTAACTTATGATGGGTTTATTTGGATGTAACCCTATGGTAAGTTGAGGAACATCAATACTTGTTGACTAGCTTAATAAATATCAATACTCATTGAATAGTTTAATAAATATCATACATATATACTTCAGAACCCAGAAGCTTAGACCCTTTCTTTTAATGTCTTGCAATGTTCATTCATAGTTATTATCACTTTGCAATCGTATATTTGTATAATTATTTGATTAATATATTTTCTTCTAACACATTAAAATTTCATAAAGGTTCAGAAAACATCATTTGCTCACCAATATATCAGTAGTACATAGCACTGTTATTCTGTTTGGCATATATCATATATTTAATTAATTAGTTGCATAGATTTTTAAAAGTCAACACATAAGCAAATGAAGTTTATGTATTTTTCATGGATCCTCTCTGAAAAGCTAGATTCTACCCTTGCCTGGTATAATAGTTACTTCTCAGCCAACCACTATATGAAAAACAACAGCTTATCGTCTCCATTAAGAGTGCTCCTGAACCATTCCTCTCAACCCTTTAAATTATGACAGATACATCTATACACAATATGAATATTTGTTTGGCACACTGGGAATAAATAGACAAGGCAGCTTGTAGCCAGATATCACCAGCCAAAGCTATGAGTCATCCCATATCCACCTGAGCTGGTCACTTTAAGCAATGAGAAATTCAATATGTTGGCACATCTGTAACCAATTTGTGGCACACCAGAGTTCATTTGTGGAAGGTTGGGAAATGCTGATCTTGAAGGTGTCTTTATCCCCAATCTAAGTCCATCTTCTCCATTCCTTTTTTCTTTTCCTCAGAAATATTGGCAAAGAAAATACCAATTTTTATTAAGGGAAAACAAAGCCCCATCCATAGGAGGACACTGCCCTGCATCTTGATCAAGACAATCCCACCAGCATATGATAGTATTGTATTACACTGGATTATTCAGTCTTAAACATCATGTAAAATAATAATGGTAAAATAATAATAGTTGATATTTATTAAGCCCTAAATAGATGCCAGGGGCGGGGCTATGCACGTAAAATAATTTTATTTGATGCTCAAAAAAGCCATTTGAGGTAATATTATTTTCCTTATGTTAAAGATAACGAAGTTGAGGCACTATCTTTATTTTACAGGTGAAGTAATTACCTGAGGTCACAAATCTATTAAATGGAGATTCTGGATTTGAACTTGACTGTAGAGAAGGCATTCTCATCTGTGACTTTTAACTAGTTAAATGCCTAGGAATGAATGAAGAAAGAAAATTGTGTGTGTGTGTGTGTGTGTTTAATAGTAATTCCTTCAGTGGAGATAAACATCAGTCTTGAAATTTCATTCTACAGTCTCAGACTCAGCAACAGACCTCTTAACTTTGGTGTTTCAAATAAAAATATACATTTTTCCTCGATAAGACAATGTAAAATTTACAGGCATAGCATAGTCTAATTTAAATAATGAAATATACATGCCTTTCCCTCACCTTTTAGGTTAGGCACTGTTAGCTGTTCGCTAACTATATCTGTTCTCCGTTTCTTCTGTAGTATCAGAGTTTCAGCTAAAGATGATATTGTGTAGCTTTCTTGAATCTTAATGTGGCCACTTGATTAAGTTTGGGCCAATAGGTTGTGAGGTGTTTCATGTGTCAAATATCTATTGCAGCTACTAAAATGAATGGAATGTTTTCTCTTCTCCATTTCTCTTTCTCACTAGCTGAAATTCAGACTTGATGGTAGGAGATAGAGCAGTCATCTTAGAACGTAAGATGGGAGATCTGTTGAAGAAAGCAACATAAAAAGTCCTAGATCCTATGATAATTCAATAGAAACCTTGTCTACTTCTCACTAGATTGCTGGTTGAGAGAGAGAAATAAGCATTTTCTTTTGTTGTTTAAGCAACTGTTTGGGGATTTATTTTAGCAGTGGAACTAGGTTTTTCTTTGGTGGGGATGAGTTCATAACCAACTCTTCTATCTACTACTTTGTATCCCAAATAATCAAACATATCAGTTGATATTATAGAGAAATTACTTGCCTAAGTACAGCTGCATTCAAATCAATTGTCTCAAAGTTTTCCCAAGAATACAATGGCTTATATAACTAAAAGAATTCTTTAGGATTTTCCCCCTAGAAGAAAGAAAGGAACAGTCTTTAGAAAAGAGTACCTACATCTCCTTTTCTATAGCACAGAAAACTTTTTTCTTTCTTGGCTACTGAGTTCTATCAAAAGTAAAAAATAAATAAATAAATAAATAAATAAATAAAATAAAAATAAAAATCTTAGTAGCCTTAGCCAAAGCTCTTTGTGCCTGGCATTAGTGTCTACTAGCTTATCAGTTTTTGTTCTTTATATATTTGTGTGTCCCTTCTGTCTCCAGCTACCTAGAATGTAAGTTTCTCAAGAAAAGGGATCTTTTGGCTTTTATTGGTTATTTCTTTGTGTGTATATCTTTTGATAATATCTGGTTTTGTGCTCTGAAATGGATAATATTAGATCTTCAGTAGATGATAGAAATTGTTCAATAAGAGTGATTATTGAGTATTTTTAAATATTATATCTCTCAGTTCAATTTGTTATGAAACTTTATGCATTGGTTTCAAACATACGGAAATATGGGGAGAGTGAGCTCATCCACCAAAGGGCAATTTAATTTTTTAGAATCTTTAGAATTTATTTATTTTAAAATTTCTCAGTGACTCTTTTGAGCATAAAGTTTTAAAATATTTGTCATTCTTCAAAGTAAATGATAATGAAATTCTATCTGTTTTGGACTTGATCTGCTAAGAAAAGCATTCAAAGAGAAAATTTGACTGCAAAAATAAACTATTAAGTAGCATAACTATACAATGATGTACATCAGTATTTGTTTTAGAATTTTTAGTTATTGAATAAAACTATAGACACTATATGTAGCTAGCTTATACTGAATAGTGCACTTTATAAATGAATATGATAAAATTTAATGTATTTTAAGAACAAACTAAATCATTAATCTATCTTTATTCTTTCGATTAAAGACTTCAATAAAACAGAAAACGAAGGAAGAAAAAGCAAAGCTAAAAAAGATATAAGGAAGAAAATCTAAAGTATAAATCAAGTACAATATTTTACAAATATAAGGAGTGTGAGTTACAACACTGCATTTCCACCCAAATGTAAATATTGGAGATTTTCCTCATATTATCAATGCATTTCTGGGACTCCAGGATTCCATTCTGTTACAAATGATTAACCTTATTGAAAAGAACATTCAAATGCTGTGCAACTAATATGAGACTGATACAATTTTTTCACTTAAGTAAAAACCTCACTGCCAAATAAACATAAAATGAATGTGCAAATGATTTTTAACTCATTAAGTGAGGGAATCATTGAGGTGTTAAATCCAGTTCAAACACACATGCATACACACAAGCAAAAGTAAAATCAGAAATGCCAAAATGAATTACAGTATAGTTAAACCTGATTATCAACCTCAAACATATAATGTTAGTGTATCTTTTCTACAAGGCATAGATCAATTACATATCTACTGGAAAAAATCATTTTATTGCAGTGGAAAATAATTGTTTATATTACTATGGATAATAATTTACATTTCTATTAATTTTCTACAAGGCAGTATAAGCTGTATACCTCTGTAGAATCAGATAATTCCCAAAATGTCTGCTAGACAATATCTAGCTCTCTACTGAGAGGATATGTAGTAATCTTTTTTGTACTTTTCAAGTCTTGGACAACTTTTTTCCTGACAAGCTTTAACAAAGTCTTGAAACATGATATTTAGTAAAGGGTTAACTCAGCAGGCTTTGGGTGTTCAAACTTTATGTACATTCCAAAGAAAGGACTGGTCTTGACTGGCTCCTTAGAGATACCTTATAAACCCTTGGATCATCCTGTCCAATGAGTGTTTTGTATACTTTGGACCTTTGGCCACTCTAACATCTGTTAGCATGGATAGCTCATGCTAACAAGGTGATTTTTGGTGGATGTCTGTTTTTTTAGTTTTGTTTGTTTTGTTTTTCACCTGAGGTCCTTGGCCACACTGTATGAGTTTGACCTCTAAGGGGGTGCTGCATATTTAGTAGTTAAGGTCAGTTGTGTGTGCACTCCATGCCTTTGTGATCAACCTCCAGTAAAATCCCAGGACCCCAAGGCTCAGGTAAACTTTCCTTGTTAGCAACAGTTTGTACATGTTGTCACTCATCACTGCTGGGAGAATGATGCCCTGTCCATGTGACTCCACTGGGAGAGGACAATTGGAAACCTGTGCCTGATTTCTCTTGGGCTCTGCCCTATGCACCTTTTTCACTGGCTCATTTTAATCTGTATTGTTTCTCTGAGTAAACTGTAACCATGAGTATAACAGCTTTTCTGACTTCTATGAGTCCTAATCAATCATTAACCTGAGAGTGGATATGCGGACCTTTGATACATATGGATAAACATAATTTTGCTGGACGTTCAGGTAAGTGTTGATGGAGGCCTTCAACAAACAGAACTGAGAGGCTGAGACACTGATCTTGTATCTTCAGGTTGATTTAGTATTTGTTAGGATGGTCATTTGTCATAATCTACAGTGACCGCTTCCTGAATCTGATCACAGGGGATGCTGAGTAGGGTATTTATAGAAATCTCTGGACTTCTGCACATGGTGTCTTCAAATCAGGCCCAACTCATCTTCTCCAGGATGCCTCTCTATTGAACTCACCTCTCTGCTTCCCTGGCACTCTCCCAGAAGATAGTCTAAGATTATTTTATTCCCTTTCAAACTAACTGCAAAGCATAAATTCTATGACCTTCCTCAAGACCTGGCTTTTACTTCTCTCAATAAGAAACAGCTCTTGTAAATCAAAAGCTTTGATTTTAAAACTTTTTTTTCTGATCTGGCACAAAGAGTAGATTTTGGAAGTAAAACACAGTATGCTTTATTTTTTCTCTTTGTACTAAAAAAAAATCCCAATTTTTTTTCAGCAGGGTGGTAAATTCCTTTATGTCATGCACTGTGCCCCCCTTGGTCTATAATCTACTATAGATCATCTTTCATTATTTGACTCTTATATTCATATGAAAAGATTTTGACAATTATGAAAAATATTGTTCAATTTTAATAAAGCCTATCTTGTCAAGACAATTATCTCCCTAAGTCTTCAAAATGTCTTTGAGTCTCAGAGCTAAACAATGACTAAAACTTCCTTTCTTTCCTGGGGAAATAATCCTTATGTCTTGGCTTTAATGGTAGAAGGGACACAGGGGAAGAATCCAGCTATTGATAAGGTATTATTTCCCTACATTTGCTGCTCAAATTTAAGACATTTGTACTTTTTCTACTGTAGGTTTTACTTTGACCATTGATTGGCAAAGCCAAATATTGCTAGTGTGAAACGGCTGGTTATTCCTCACACAAAGATTTTTAGTTTTCTGGCAGGCAACTTCCTTTGGACATCTCTGACAGCTACTATTTAGTCTTTCCTGGAACACTTAAGTACACATATTTTTGAGAAGCAGGATTCCATGTTCCACAACTCCAAGGATGCCATTCACATCCATGTAAGTTGTGGTTCCGGTAGTTTTATAATGGGCAACCTATGCAGTAAACAGTGGCCCTGAATACACTCCAATTGTTTGACAGCTTTGTTTGTTAGAAAGAACAGCTGTCTTCAAACATGTTAAGGCTTCTACGTAGAAGAGTTAAAATAATTGTTTTCTGTATGATTTCAAAGGCTAAACAACTGTTCTAGTGTGTACATCCCAGATAAGCACAGATAAAGGTTAATAAAATGAAGAAATTTTTAACAGTAAGAGCTGCTCAAAAGTAAAGCAGATCACCTTAAGATAAATGGAATTCCACCACTGAAGATGTTCAAATAAAATTTGGACACCTGCTTGATACAGATACTGTATGGGGACTCAGTTATCATAATACATTAATAGGATAAAAGAGTATTTAAATTTTCCTGCTGAGATGCAATGATTCGAGAGATCGTCAAAGTTGCTAGCACTTAGAGATGTAAATGAAATTCAAACTCATTTTATAACTGCCATTGGGTTATATACAATTGTGATTATTATCAAGTTAGAGTTTTATGCCTCAATTCAGACAGCTGACCTGGAATAAATGATTGAATGAGGGGTTCTGTATTCTTCTGCCAGATTTCATTTGACTAAGCCTTTGGGAGTAAATTAGCCCAATTTAAGGATTAAAATCTTTAAAAATATTAGCCAAGGGTGCTTAAAGAAAGCAAGATAAGTCATAGTGCTGGACTGGGCTGGGCATAATTAATACCTGGCATGCCATCTTCAACTGATGGATAGTCACCTAGAACTCGATGTTGAGGATTATTAGGTCATATCTGGATTCAACTCAAAATATACCTTGTATGATTAGTGATGAGAGGGACAAATGGTAGAATATACTGCACATATTTGCTGTCTCTGTCATGGAGACTACTCGGTATGTTATTTAGGTAGAATGCATAGAATTCATCTCCTGGGGCTGGGTGGGGTGGCTGACACCTGTAATCTCAGCACTTTGGGAGGCCGAGGTGGGTGGATCACTTGAAGTCAGGAGTTCAAGACTAGCCTGGCCAACAAGGTGAAACCCTGTCTCTACTAAAAATACAAAAATTATCTGGGCGTGGTGGTGAGTGCCTGTAATCCCAGCTACTTGGCAGGGTGAAGTAGGAGAATCACTTGAATGTAGGAGGTGGAGGTTGCAATGAGCAGAGTTTGCGCCACTGCACTCCAGCCTGGGCAACAGAGCAAAAAAAAAAAAAAAAAAAAAATTTACTCCCTAGGAGATTTCACCTGCTTATGGCTTTGGAACTGAGCTGTATAGGTCCAGCAACTCAAAGCATCCATGGTCAATTAGGATCAGCATTAACTCATACAACTCAGAAGAATATAAGGTAGAAATCAGAATGCCAGTACAATAACTTGCAATTAGAATTATTACTGTCAAGTTGATTAAAATTCCTGTGTCTTTTAGCTAGGGCACTCAGGCTGCTGTGTCATTGAGATAGATGAGTTAATAATACTAATTAAGACTTTGTGTATTAGGTTATAACTTTCCTTTTTCAGGATGTTGAAATTTTACTCTAACTTTCTAACTCCTTGAGACTACATCCTTGTTCCCTGCCTTGACTGTGATCATATGTTTGCACTTAATTCCTTCTGGAAGTGCTTCCAAAACTATCCGTGGTGAAGACCTAATTCATTTTCCTTTTCTGATCCATCATGAATTAGTACTTTGATAAAATACAATAAAAATGAGTTATAAAAATAAAATTTTAAAATGCACAATATAAGCACAATTTCAATTAATGACCTCCAAATGTCTTATTAAAAATTTTAAGCCTTTACTCTCAATTTCCTTTCTTTCTTTCTTTTTTTTCTTTTCTTTCTTTTCTTTTTTTTTTTTTTTTTTTTTTGAGATGGAGTCTTACTGTGTCACCCAGGCTGGAGTGCAGTGGTGCAATCTCAGCTCACTGCAACCTTCACCTCCTGGGTTCAAGTGATTCTCCTGCCTCAGCCTCCCCAGGTAGCTGGGATTACAGGCACCCACCACCATGACCGGCTAATTTTTGTATTTTTAGTAGAGACAGGTTTCACCATGTTGGCCAGGCTGGTCTTGAACTCCTAAACTCAGGTGATCCACCCACCTTGGCCTCCCAAAGTGCTGGGCTTACAGGCGTGAGCCACTGTGCCCAGTCTTTACTCTCAATTTCTAAACTATAATTCACAAGCAGAATAGCTAATGGAGTGTTTAATTAATGCTAACAAAGTTAGGGAAATAGATAATAACATGAAGCTTTATTTTGTATGTATTGTGCGAACACACTGTAATCCATTAGGGTCCCTGTATAATCAATGCAGTCAGTACATTTGTATTCATTAAATGGAAATAGAGAACAAGTTTATGGTTTTAAATGGCTATAGATGTCTATATTAAATTTATTTAACATTTAAGATATAAAATGTAGGCAGAGATGTTGATGTGTATAAAATGTACTTGAAACCAAGTCCTTCCTAAAACAATAAGCCAACTCCCAAAGCAATATTGTTTATACATGAAATTATGATATTATTTATGTCATTTTGAGGGTAAAAAT
Source organism: Homo sapiens (assembly GCF_000001405.40). Lineage (NCBI taxonomy): Eukaryota > Metazoa > Chordata > Mammalia > Primates > Hominidae > Homo > Homo sapiens. The sequence goes on along the minus strand of NC_000006.12, from coordinate 127,861,102 downwards.
TTGGGTGAAATATGGGAAATATTTGATCAATAATAGTATCAGAAGATGCACAGTCACTGATTTGTTCCACAATCATAGATAAGTGTTCTGTGGATACACAGGAGGGATATTTATTTCATACACACACCCTCAAATCCCTTTGCTCTGATAATGTTTACTCAATGAGCCACAATGATGACTTCTATCATGACAACCACTTGTAAGCCCTCTTAGTACAGTTTTATTTAATCTATTAAATTAATAAATTTACCATTAAACAAATACGTTTTTAGCTAATGCACGAAACAGTGATTTATTCTTCTTCTATCACTGAAACTTAGTCACCTGAATTTCTTACACATCACTCAGAGTGACTGAAATGTTGTTCTTTTCTGGGTTTTGGTCCTAGTACTTATTTAATCTGATTTTATTTATTTATTTATTTATTTTTGGCTCTCAGGCCCCAGCATTTCCAATCTGTAGGAACTTTTATTGCTTCCCCATGTTCAGATGTTTTAAGTAAGACTCACCAACATTTCCTACAGTCTTTTGCATATTTCAGTCTTTAGGCTTGACTTCCTGGATAATACTTAAACCCCCAATTCACGAGAAAAATCCTATATTCTTAGAGGTTAGGGAGATTTTACCTTAGTTCTTAGCACAGCCATAACTTTTCTTATTATGTAATCCCAATGCCTTGCCTTCTTAATACTGATATTTTGGGGATGAGAGAGTCTCTATGGCCTGGAAAGATCATTTCCTAGCATTTCTCAGATGTACCTTTAGTGCTATATCTAGTGTCCAACTGGGAGTATCCACCCTTAGTAAAGCTGAAAGCTTGCTTTTTCGTGTCTACTTATATGTACCCTGCATTAAAATATCATGCTCACTTATTTTTAGACACATTCTTCATAGAGTGGGAATGACATTGTCTCTGCCTTACAGGAAATGCAGACCATCTCTTTGTGGAAGACTGGCCATATAAATGTCTATTGCAACCATGGCCTCTTTTGAACTTCATTCCTGTGGTCGCCTATCTAGAGGTTCATTTGGAAAATTGAATTTATCACCATAATGGTCTCAATGCCACATCAACTGCCATGTCTAGGTACACAATTGCCAATAAAATAGTTTTACACTTAAACATTTCCTTTAGAGGGATGCTCCTTCTTGATAATTTGTGCTATCCTGAAGCAAAAAATAATCACACCTATTTATAATGAGCAAAGTTGCATCTCCACTGGCAACCCCAGTGGATATGGTTCTATCAGACACTATCAGCCATACTTTGCAGATATAATTTCCTAGCTTATAAAAATATATCTCAGATGGTCACATGAGCTCCCTCTTTATGCAAACTTAACTAGTAGAGATTCATATTATAGAACCACTACCCTCATTACTCCTTGTCTAGAGAATTCACAACATAGTCAGCTTGTATATACTTCACTTGTATATTTGATATCAAACATACCAAATAAAGATATAACCCATGCAAAAACCTTTGACTTGACCATGCTTTAAACTCCTTATGTAGAAGGACCACTATTATGTTCACAACAATTAATTGTCATTTTACAATGACACAAAATTATAACAACATTCACTAATCATCTAATAAGTGATAAAAAAAACTGTTTTACTAGCTGTGGGGGAGGTATACATATAGTTAAGATAATGTCTCTTCTCTAGGAAATCATAATAAATTGCAAAATATACATAACACTCCAATTGAAAGAGTGATAATAATCACATAAGGCTTTAATGGAGATACGCATGAAGTGCTATCAGAGCACAGAGGAGAGAATTAATTCTTACTTAGGTGTAGGGATCAAGGAAGGCTTTGAAGAAAATGATAAATATGGGCTGAAGCTTTGGAATTGGTTGGACTTTGACAAGTTAATAAGGATGTAAAGGGATGGGTGGCCTGGTGTAGTGGCAGGGGGTGGTAGGGCAGGCAGTAATGGAGGGAGAGTGCATTTGAGTAAAGGGGAGAAACATCCAATGCAGTTTCCTATTTGCTGACTGTCACACGTTTTTAACTTTGTAGGGAAGATGGAAGAAAATCTATTGAACCAATTGTTTTGGCTGTTCTGATGTGATCACAGCATTGCTTATATGGATTGTCAAACAAGGGATGAGCTCATAAAAGGATATTAATGTGTCGTTTTTATTGAGCAAAGTAGCATTACAGAAAAGGTGATTTCAAAGGCACATGGCTCTTTCATTACAGCCTTCAGGGGCAATGTTTGATCACTGAAAACAGGCTGCTTTGTTCCAGCTTTCTCTGATGTTTGGCATTATTCTGAATACATATGCTTTGACTTGGATAGAATCAGTCTGTAAAGATTTAATAGATTCGAGATTTGCTTATTCAAAATACATGTTTTATGGTTAAAATGAAATGAAAGCCATTTTAATATGTATGTCTATATATACACAGATATATTTCAGACACATATCTCAGCAATTTTTTTAAAAGCAATTACACATATTATGTGTTTGTTTTGAGATAATGAAAGTTGGATATTTTTAAAATTCACCATTTTAACTTATCAAGAAGGAAAAAATATATTTTAAGACACATTATATTGGTGATAATAAAATACAAGATTTCCAGTTTTAGCGACTTAAGCTTTGCTATATGTCCCTGTCACCTATCATAGACATAACTTTCTAGCTTTCTAGTGCTGGACATCTCTGAACACTTTCTTTATTAAAAATGAGTTAACAGCTTTCTTGGTTGAAGAACATTGGAAGTCACGAAATATTAAAGAGAAATTACAAAAGATTATTATTTACATGATAGTCTTTTCCTTATGTGACTGAAAGAAGTGAGCTTTTTTCTTCCAAAAGGAAAGACTTGCTTGGAAAAAGACCTGAAGAGTCAAAAGCTTTTCTTGTGGTGACCAAGACTCATGAAATTTCTTTTTATAGAATTCTCTGGCTTCTATTCCATGTGAATTGATATGAAATCTCACATAAATTTATCTTTTTATTTTGAATTCCAATTGAACCTTTAAAAGAAAGATGACATTCCAACTCAGCCAATTTGATATACATTACATTTACAATTAGATAATCAGTGCACTGAAATTAAGCCCAACAGACTTCAGCTGAAATGGGCTACGTTAGATTATGTTCCATTTAATATGACAAAGAAAAATTTTACTATTTGCTTCTTTACTTAAAAGCCTTCCCTTTCCCTCTCTCCACTTATAACATCCTCTAACTCAATGATGCCCAGTGCTTTCTCTGCTTAACACATTTTCCCCTCTATGTTAGTTTTGCAACAATTTCAAACAGAGACTATATTGTTATCCATTTGTTGCCTAGGCCAATGTTTGCAAACCTTAATGTCCTTATAAATCATCTAGGGATCTTGTTAAAAACACAGGTTCTGATTCAGTAGGTCTGGGGTCTAAGATTCTAACAAGCTCTCAGGTGATGTGGTGGACCAAGGTTTGTATAGCAAACACTTAGAGTACAAATGACCTGTCCTTAAATGTGTTTTTGGACCATGATAACTGGAAATGTAGATTCTGTGACTTTGTGGTTGCTTCATACTTTAAATTGCTTTTTTATTTATTGATAATGAATCAATAATGAATGCTCTGAACCATCAGGACTCCCTCTACTTCCCTAGTCTCTGTTTTTACCACTTCCTCCTTCTTACTTACATTTTAGACATAACAAAGTACTTGAAGTTTCCAGAATGTATCAGGCTCTTTCACATCTCAGTGCCTTTTCAAATACTATTTCCTCTGCCTGTCCTGGTGTCCTGTGACTCTTCCTTTAAAACTCAAATCTGCAGTCATCTCCTCCAGGAATCCTTCTCTAATCTCTTTTTCATGTAATTGCATAATTAAATGCCTTCAGTATACTCCCACATTGCCCTGTATTTCCTTTATTACACCCTTCTCCTAATCTGTTGCAATTGTCTGCTTAATTGTTCTTTCCCTTCAAGACAATGCTTCTGGGGGGAATGAATAATGCATTTTATCTCTGATTCCTATTGCCAATCGCCAACATAGTAGGTTTTTTTTTTTAATCAAAGTTTGCTGAATGAATGAACAGGGGAAGTTGATGTGTTGTAGTCATACAAGAAAGTAATGCAATATTTCTTCTCATGAAGTTTAAAATTGAATTGGGAGTCATAAAAACTGAAACTCATAAAAAATTAAGTATAGGGTGAGATAATACTAAAGATATAAAATGTTAGTATGTGATTAATTGCCAAATGAGGATCATAGCAAATAACCATTCAGAGTCAATTGGGGGAAAAATGTCACTGTGGATTTATTAGTATTTTTAATACCTCAATTTGTTCCACAAAGGACTTGAGCCTGCTGATAACATTAAGCATTAAAGTTAACGAAAATATGAGCACATATGTAGTTAAGGGAATAGTATGAGACAAGGAGAGGGTTATGGAAATATGTACCGGAAGCTTGAGGAATGGATAGACTATCCTTAATATGTATTCTTTAGATGTATTCTTCTTGTCTGCAAAAATGCTTCTTGCTCAGATAAGGACAGTAATGTGGGTGTGCTGGATTTTCATACCCACTCTGCCTGGGAAGCTGACTTCTGTGGGGACATTAGTAGCTCGCTTGTCCTCTGGCTTCTGGCAGAATTTGGCTAATGGGATGCCTATGGAGAAGAGTGAGGTCAGGACATTTATTTTCTTTGGTTGCCTAGAACTGGCTGTGCCTCTTTTTAAAGATGGCCCCTATGATAAACTTCCTGAAATTATTCTAATTTGAGTGTGCCCTGTTACCTATTGGGACTCTGATATGACCTCAGAGTTGTTGTTTAGAGCTAGATTGGATACCAGGCTTACTAACTTTTCTGGCAACCATCAATACCATAAAAATGTTCTAGGTGCATGCTACATATCAGGAACAATTCTATGAGGAGGTGGTTCTACACAGAAAAATTCAGAAAACAAACAAGCAAACCTAAAACGCTGTGCTCATATACTTCACATGTAGTATGGCAAAGACAACGTAAATCATCTTGGAAGTCAGGAAAAACTGATATATATAAAAGCTCACAGCTCTATAATGTTTATTTATACTTGCCTTAAGTTAGTGTTGAATTGTAAAGCAATAATATGCCAGAGATATAGTTTTTGGGTTGTTTCCTTTTCACTGGGGGTAGATTATCCAGAATTTTTGCCTCTGCTCTTGGCTGTTGTTCATCTTGTGGTTATTTTACTCCTCACTGTCCTTCCATCAGGGAATATTAAAGGAAAATAAGTGAATGAAAACTTAGCTGTAGCATCTATGATAAAAGGTTTGTCAAGAAGACGATTGAAATACTGACTAAAATGAAGCTTTTCAGTTTATCTGGGTTGGTCTGCCCCCTATCGCCACAAAGATACTCAGAATGGTTTCTAGCTTGTCAAAAACCAAGAGATAAAAATGGGCAAAAAGTTTTACTTTCATGCTAATGAAGAGAACCAGATCTAATAAATAAATATGACCCTCTTAATGTGAAGCCCTGGTGTGCAGACCCTCTTTTTCATCTCCAATTGTATGACAACCTTGTTTGCAGTTGTTATTTAGATCATTTTTGAGTCATATGAGCTTAATTTTGTGACCCAGCAAAAACAGATCATAAATCTCAGTAGTGGAAGATACGTTTGTAGTTTGACCATGGTAAGATGAGCTGAGGGTGCTGAGGAAATCATAAATTCAATTTACAAAAATAACAAAAATAAGATTTATTTATATTTGGCCCAGTGAATAAAGTGAAAATCTAATATTTTTCTGGTCTATGCTGTACATTTTGCCAAGCTTGATTAAATTCCTGTTTAGCAGGTAGCTAAGAGAGGAACTGAATTAAAACACTTTATATTAAGCTTTTGAGTCTACTTTGTTTTTCACTGTTTTCTTTTTAAAAAGCTGTTTTAACTTTTCTTTCCTTTTAGGCTCTATTTATGAAATGTTTGGAAATGAATGCTGTTTTTCAACAGGAGAAGTGATTAAAATTACTGGTCTCAAAGTTAAGAAGATCATAGCTGAAATTTGTGAGCAGATTGAAGGTTGTGAGTCTCTACAGCCATTTGAACTGCCTATGAATTTTCCAGGTACAGCACATTGCAACCACTTATCATTTGTACAACTATATTGTTATTAATATGTATATATACACAACCAAAAACAAGAAAAAAATGGTCTGTTTTTCACTCTAGGATAATGGGGGGGAAAATCCGGAATTGTTATAGTTTGATCATTTTAAGAACGAATGGAAAGCAACTATTTTCTCCTTTTTTAAAGTGAAAGATGTTTATCTTGTACTTAAGAATTAATCTCTTTGGTTAACAAACATTTAGTGAGTTCCAACTATATACACACCACTAGTTGTGCTAAATAATGAGAACCAAGAAATCAAAGATATATTTTCATAAATTCTGTAGAACTAAGTAACATCATTTAAGCCTATCTACCCTCTTTGCTATTCCTACTGTCATTACTCTAGCTCCTTGGATCACCGTTGACCTTGCCTGTCTAATATTACTGAAAAGTCGGCCTGGTCTTTTTTATCTAATTGACTCTACTCAGCCCTCCAAAACTAGCTCAAATATCATGCCATCTAGAAGACTTTTGCTGACCCTCTAACCTAATCTAGATTTCTCTTTTATGTTCCCATAGTATGTTGGGCCTCATAACATACACCTCACTGGATAGTCATTGATGACTTTCTCATTTGCCATATTTTTTACACTAGGGGTTGGCAGACTTTTTCTATAAAGAGCCAAATAGTAAATCTTTTAGGTTTTGTGGCCAGAGGGTCTCTGTCACACCTATTTCACTATGCTATTTATGTGGTAGCACGAAAGCAGCTCTGGATAATACATAAACCAATGAGCATGGCTATGGCTCAATAAAACTTTATTTACAAAAACAGGTGACAAGCAGGATTTGACTCATCTACTGTAGTTTGCTGACCTCTGCTGTAGACTAAAACTCCTTGACATAAAATATGAACATGTGACTTTGTATTTCTGATACCAAGCACAATTTCTGGCACAGAGTGTGTGCTCAGGAATTGTTAACTGAATGAATGAATGAATGACCAGTGGAAGAGAAAAATCTCATAAATCTTAACAATATGATGTGTTTCATGGTTTGATGGAAGTATACTTGTGTTCTTTGTGGGGCTTGAAAAGGAATATCAGACTATAGTTGGTTGTGTTTCAGAACAGGGATTCTGCAGCCATTGTACTTGAATCCCAGCTCTGCCACTTCTTAGCTGAATAACTTTGACAAGTTATTTACCCTCCTTTCATGTAAAATGGGAATAATAATACTGTCTATCTCCTAGTGTTATTGGGAGGGCTACGTATTGAAATATATTTAGTGTTTAGAAAGGTACATGGCATATAGAAAGGTGCATAAAAAAGTGTCAGCTTTTGTTACCATTATTAAGATATTATTACTGTCATTGGAGGAGTCAGGAAAAGCTTTTTAGGGAATGTTTTAATTGGGCTGAGGTTGGAAGAATGAAAATATATTAGCTATATTGAAGTGAGGATTTTTTCAAGTGCTCTAGTATTCAGTCCCCTTTCAAATGAAACTTTCCACATTGTTCAATTCTATTTCTTTCTTACTCATCTTTTATAACAATGATTCTCAAATTTGGCTGCACATTAGAATCACTTAGGGAGCTTTAAAAAATTCTGATGTTCAGGCCACTTACATGAGATATTCTGATTTGTTTGCTCTGTGGCAAAGTCTGGTCATCAAGGTTTCTTAAAGCTCCCAGTGTGATACTAATGAGCAGCCAGTGTTGAGAACCATTACTTTATAAGATGCCTCTCTTAAGTACTCTAATTAGATGTAACAATTCCCTTTTTAAATCACTATAGTTTTTCGTGCCTTAATCATTGCATTTATCACATTTTGCATGTAATTGAGGCTATTTGTGTACTTGTCTGACTACCACCATCTGTCTAATAGATCACAAGTTTGCTGAGGCAGAATCTGAATCTTATTTATTACAATAATCCCCATGGTATTTAGAAAAAGATGCACATAATAAATATTTAGTAAGTTAAAATGACTAGAATCTTTGGTAGAAGGAATTTTTCTTATTAGAATAGTGAAAACACTTAGTTTTTGGCTAACAGTTTAATTTGGGGAGTTGCTATTTAGAATATTCTTTTGAACTTCCAATTAGCATGATAATCTTGCATCTATTAAGTGACAATTTGAAAATGATGTTTATAAAACAGTTTTATTGTAAAGGACAGAGTGAAAATGGAAAGGTAAAGTGATTGGCACTGGTCAGGGTATAGTTTCTTTCTTCAAAGAGAACTCCTAGATAATGATGAAAGGGATCCCAGATACAGGGATAATTCTTCTACATCAGCACTAAGGAGAAAGATAGAAATCAAAGATACTAATGTTATTCAAAAATTTTAATAGCAGCATCTCTTTATTTATACTATTTTAAAACTATTTAAGTTCCCAATTAGATTTTTGACTTAAAAAGTCAAATGGTATTTTAAAACATTCTTCCTCATTTGTAAATTTCCCAAAATTTCCTTTTGCTATTGATTTCTAATTTTATTCTATTATAGTCAGATGACATATTTTGTATGACTCAATCCTTTTAAATGTATTGAGACTTGTTTTTTTTGGACTAATATATGATCTAGAGTATGTTCTGTATTCACTTGAGAAGAATATATTTTCTATTTTTGTTGGGTAAGTGTTCTACAGATGTCTGTTGGTTTATGTGTATTGTTCAAGTCTTCTATTTCTTTGTGTATCTTCTTTCTAGTTTTAGTCATTGTTGAAAGTGAAGTGTTGATGTTTCCAGCTACTATTGTTGAATTGTTTATTTTCCCTTCAATTCTGTCAGCTTTTGCTTCATGTATTTGCAGGCTCTGATGGTAGGGGTATATGTATTTGTAATTGTTATCTCTTGTTGATGGAGTGACCCTTTTATCATTATATAATATTCTTTGACTCTAGTAGCAATTTTTGTTTTAAAGTCTATTTTGTCTGGTATTAGTATAGTCACTCCAGTTTTCTTTCAGTTAATATTTGCAAGGTCTCTCATCTTTTATTCTTTTACTTTCAAACTACAGACAGTCCCCGACGTATGATGACATGATTATAATTTTTCAGCTTTACCATGATGCAAAAGCAATATGCATTCCATAGAAAGCATACATCAAATTTTGAATTTTGCTTTTACTAACTGCAGGCTAATGTAAGTGTTCTGAGCACATTTAAGGTAGGTTGTGTTTTCAACTCCTTTGGGTAAATACCAAGGAGTGTGATTATTGGACTGTATAGTAAGAGTATGTTTAGTTTAAAGAAACTGCCAAACTATATTCCAAAGTAGCTGTACAATTTTGCATTCCCAAAAACAATAAATGAGAGTTTCTTTTGTTCCACATCCTCACCAGCATTTTGCTTTGTCAATATTTTGGATTTTGGACATTTTATAAGTAGACGCCTATGGTATATCATTGTTTTAATTTGCAATGCCCTGATGGCATGTATTCAGGATATGCTTCTCATATGCTTGTTTGCTATCAGTACATCTTCTTTGGTGAGGTGTCTGTTCAAGTCTTTTGCTCATTTTTTTAAAAATTGAGTTCTTGTTTTTCTTGTTATGTTTTAAGAATTCTTTACATATTTGGGGTAACAGTCTTTATCAGATTTGACTCTTGCAAATATTTTCTCCCATTCCGTGGCCTGTCTTCTCATTCTTTTGAGAGATTCCAAGGCTGTCTTTGATTTTCAACCATTTGATCATCACATGTCTAGGCATGAATCTTTGAGTTTAGTCTACTTGAAGTGTATTAAGTTTCTTGAATGTGTAGATTGTTTTTCATCAAATTTTGAAAGTTTTTGCCATTTTTTAAAAATATATTCTTTCTATACCTCTCTCTCTCTGCTCTCCTTTTAGGAATCCTATTATTCTTATATTCTTATGCTTTAAGGTGACCCATAGGTGTTTGAGACTTTGTTCTTTTCTTTATACTTTTTTTCCTCTGCCCCTGAATGTATAATCTCAATTGCATTTTCTTCACATTTGATTTACGTTATCTATTTGGTAAGATATTATTCTCATACTTTTGTTCTAGTTATGTAGACACGATTTTCTTTAGTTCTTTGTATATATTTTAAATAGCTAATTTAAGTTTTTCTTCTCTAGTAAGTCTGATATCTGGGCTTTCTTAGAGACAGGTTATGTTATTATTATTATTATTATTTCCATAGATTCAGGGTTACAAGTAGTTTTTGATTACATGGATAAGTTCTTTAGTGGTGATTTCTGAGATTTTAGTGCACCCACCAACAAAGCAGTGAACACTCTACCCAATATGTAGTCTTTTAATCCCTCACCCCCTTCCAACCTTCCCCGCTAAGTCCCCAAATTCCATTTATCACTCTTATGCCTTTGTGTCCTCATAGCTTAGCTCCTACTTGTAAGTGAGAAAATATGATATTTTGTTTTTCATTCCTGAGTTATTGCAGTTAAAATAATTGCATCCAACTCCATCCAAGTTGCTGCAAAAGACATTATTTCATTTCTTTTTACAGATGAGTAATATTCCATGGTGTATATATACTACATTTTTTAATCCATTTGTTGGTTGATGGACAGTTAGGTCAGTTCCATATCTTTGCAATTGTGAATTGTGCTGTTATAAACATGTGTATGCATGTGTCTTTTTCATACAATGACTTTTTTTCCTTTGAGTAGATATGCAGTAATGGAATTGCCAGATTGTTCTACTTTTGGTTATTTAAGGACTCTCCATACTGTTTTCCATAGTGGTTGTACTAATTTATATTCTCACCAGCAGTCTAAAAGTGTTTCCTTTTCATGAGATTTATGCCAACATCTATCATCTATTGTTTTTTGACTTTTTTATTATGGCTATTCTTTCAGGAGTAAGGTGGTATCTCATTGTGGTTTTAATTTGCATTTCCCTGATTATTAGTTATGTTGGGCATTTTTCATATGTTTGTTGTTCATATGTGTATAGTCTTTTGAGAAATAGCTGTTCATGTCATTTGCCCACTTGTTGGTGGGATTATTAGTTTTCTTCTTGCTTATTTGTTTGAGTTCCTTATAGATTCTAGATACTAGTCCTTGGTTGGATGCATAGTTTGCAAATATTTTCTCCCACTTTGTGGGTTGTCTGTTTACTCTGCTGCTTATTTCTTTTGCTGTGTGGAAACTCTTCAGTTTAATTAGGTCCCATTTATTTATTTTTGTGGCATTTGCTTTTGGTGTCTTAGTCATGAATTATTTGCCTAAGCTCATTTCCAGAATAATTTTTCTGATGTTATCTTCCAAAACTTTATGGTTTCAGGTCTTATATATCAACCTTTGACCCATCTTGAGTTGATTTTTGTATAACATGAGAAATGGGGATCAAGTTTCATTCTTGTACATGTGGCTTGACAGTTTTTCTAGCACCATTTATTGAATATTATATTGTTTCCCTAATTTACGTTTTTGTATGCTTTGTTGATGATCACCTGACTGTAAGTATGTGGCTTTATTTTTGGGTTCTGTATTCTGTTCCATTGGTCTATGTGCATATTTTCATACAAGTACTATGTTGTTTTGGTGACTATAGCCTTGTAGTATAATTTGAAATTCTGTGAAGAAAGTCATTGGTAGCTTGATGGGGATGGCATCTACTTTAAAGTTCATATGGTACCAAAAAAGAGCCCGCATTGCCAAGTCAATCCTAAGCCAAAAGAACAAAGCTGGAGGCATCACGCTACCTGACTTCAAACTATACTACAAGGCTACAGTAACCAAAACAGCATGGGACTGGTACCAAAACAGTGATATAGACCAATGGAACGGAACAGAGCCTTCAGAAATAATGCCGCATATCTACAACTATCTGATCTTTGACAAACCTGACAAAAACAAGAAATGGGGAAAGGATTCCCTATTTAATAAATGGTGCTGGGAAAACTGGCTAGCCATATGTAGAAAGCTGAAACTGGATCCCTTCCTTACACCTTATACAAAAATTAATTCAAGATGGAGTAAAGACTTAAATGTTAGACCTAAAACCATAAAAACCCTAGAAGAAAACCTAGGCAATATCATTCAGGACATAGGCATGGGCAAGGACTTCATGTCTAAAACAACAAAAGCAATGGCAACAAAAGCCAAAATTGACAAATGGGATCTAATTAAACTAAAGAGCTTCTGCACAGCAAAAGAAACTACCATCAGAGTGAACAGGGAACCGACAAAATGGGAGGAAATTTTTGCAATCTACTCATCTGACAAAGGGCTAATATGCAGAATCTACGATGAATTCAAACAAATTTACAAGAAAAAAACAAACAATCCCATCAAAAAGTGGGCAAGGGATATGAACAGACACTTCTCAAAAGAAGACATTTATGCAGTCAACAGACATGTGAAAAAATGTTCATCATCACTGGCCATCAGAGGAATGCAAATCAAAACCACAATGAGATACCATCTCACACCAGTTAGAATGGCGATCATTAAAAAGTCAGGAAACAACAGGGGCTGGAGAGGATGTGGAGAAATAGGAACACTTTTACACTGTTGGTGGGACTGTAAACTAGTTCAACCATTGTGGAAGACAGTGTGGCGATTCTTCAGGGATCTAGAACTAGAAATACCATTTGACCCAGCCATCTCATTACTGGGTATATACCCAAAGGATTATAAATCATGCTGCTATAAAGACATATGCACACGTATGTTTATTGCAGCACTATTCACAAGAGCAAAGAGTTGGAACCAACCCAAATGTCCAACAATGGTAGACTGGATTAAGAAAATGTGGCACATATACACCATGGAATACTATGCAGCTATAAAAAATGATGAGTTCATGTCCTTTGTAGGGACATGGATGAAGCTGGAAACCATCATTCTCAGCAAACTATCACAAGGACAAAAAAACCAAACACCGCATGTTCTCATTCATAGGTGGGAATTGAACAATGAGAACACATGGACACAGGAAGGGGAACATCACACACACACCGGGGCCTGTTGTGGGGTGGGGGGGAGGGGGGAGGGATAGCATTAGGAGATATACCTAATGTTAAATGACGAGTTAATGGGTGCAGCACACCAACATGGCACACGTGTACATATGTAACCAACCTGCACATTGTGCACATGTACCCTAAAACTTAAAGTATAATAAAATAATAATGATAATAATAATAATAATAATAATAATAATTTGAAATTGAGTAACGTGATCCCTCCAGATCTGTTCTTTTTGGTTAGTATTGCTTTGGCTCTGTGGGCTCTTTTTGGTTCCATAAAAATTTTAGGATTGCTTTTTCTAATTCTGTAAAGAATGATGCTGGTATTTTGATGGGAATTGCATTGAATCCGTAGATTCCTTTGGGCAGTGTGGTCATTTTCACAATATTGACTCTTCCCATCTGTGAGCATGGGATGTGTTTCCATTTGTTTGTGTTACTGATGATTTCTTTCAGCAGTGTGTTTTAGTTTTTCTTATAAAGTTCTTTCACCTCCTTGGTTAAAATATAAGGTTGGTTTTTGTTTTTGTTTAGGTTTCTTTTGCAGCTATTGTGAAGGGATTGCGTTCTTGATTTGATTCTCAGTTTGGTCATTGTTGATTTAAAGCAGTGCTACTGATTTGTGTACATTGATTTTGTAACCTGAGACTTTGCTAAATTTGTTTATCAGATCTGGGAGCTTTTTGGATGAGTCTTTAGGTTTTTCTAGATGTACGATGATATCATTGGCAAATATCAACAGTTTGACTTCCTCTTTTCCAATTTGGATGCCCTTTATTTCTTTCTCTGGTCTAATTGCTGTGGCTAGGACTTCCAGTACTATGTTAAAGAGAAGTGGTGAAAGTTGGCATCCTTGTCTTATTCCAGTTCTCAGTGGGAATGCTTTCAACTTTTCCCCATTCAGTATGATGTTGGCTGTGGGTTTGTCATATGTGGCTTTTATTACTTTGAGCTAAGTCCCTTCTATACCTATTTTTTTGAGCGTTTCTATCATAAAGAGATGCTGAATTTTATCAAATGCTTTTTCCGCATCTATTGAGACAATTATGTGATTTCTGTTTTTAATTCTGTTTATGTGATGTATCACATTTATTTACTTGGGTTAAACTATCTCTGCATCCCTGGGATGAAACTCATGTGATAATGATGTATTATCTTTTTGATTTGCTATTAGATTTAGTTAGCTAATATTTAGTTGAGGATTTTTGCAACTATATTCAGGGATTTTTGTCTGTAGCTTTCTTTTTTTTTGTTAAGGCCTTTCCTGGTTTGGGTGTTAGGATGATACTGGCTACATAGAATGTTTAGGGAGGATTCTATGTTTCTCTATTTTTTTGGAATAGTTTCAGTAGGATTGGTTGTAATTCTTCTTGGAATGTCTAGTAGAATTCAGCTGTGAATCTATCTGGCCCTGGGCTTTTTTTGGTTGGCAATTTTTAAATTACTGGTTCAATCTCACTGCTTGTTATTGGTCTGCTCATGGTTTCCATTTCTTTGTGATTTAATCTAGGAGGATTGTATGCTTCCAGGTATTTATCCAATTCCTCTAGATTTTCTAGTTTGTTCACATAAAGGTGTTCATAGCAGTTTTGAATGATATTTTGTATTTATGTGGTATTGGTTGTAATATCTCCAATTTCATTTCTAATTGAGCTTATTTAAATCTTCTCTCTTTTTTTCTTGGTGAATCTCACTCTGCAGGAACAGCTTCTATTGATTGCTTGCCCTCTCCCACTGTGTACAGGTCATACTTTCTTGTTCCTTTGCCTTCTCATAATTTTTGTTTGAAACTGGATGTTTTAAATGCTATAATGTGGCAATTGTATAATCAAATTGTTTCCTTTTTCCAGGGCTTGCTGTTATTGGTAGTTGTTTGTTTAGTGAATTTTCTGAACTAAATCTGTAAAGTCTGCATTCTCCATCATGTGTGGCCACAGAAGTCCCTGCTTAGTTAGCTTAGTGGACAACTGATGTCTGAACAGAGATTTACTTACACAGTTGAAACCATGTTTTCAGTATGTGTTGAAGGGCTCTGTTGTTCATTTGGGAACATTCTGTCAACACTCAGTCAGGTAATTGAAAATTCTAGCTTAGCCTTGAATTTGGGCTCAGGTAGAGCCTCAGTTAGCCAGAATTGAGAGGTGAGGGCTTTTGTGGGTCTTTCTTGCGTATGCAAACAGTCCTGGGCATGTGTTTAAAATTACTCATGTGACTTTCTGGATTCTTAGGAATATGTTGGAACTTTTCAATTTTTTTTATGGAAATCTCATTTCCCAGCTATTCTTTTTAAGTTTTTGGGTTAGCCTATTATTTTTTTTCCCATCACTGCAGGTAGCCACAAAAGTTAAACAATTTTCTTTTATTATTTTTGGCAAGTGCTCTGAGAAAAGCCTTTCCCCAATAATGAGTTCAAAATGAGATCAAAGAGACAACCATGCAAGTGTGATCTTCCAGAGAGCCACCAGATATGTCAAATAATAACAATTCTCTGGGATTGAGCTTTGAAGATACTTCAACCTCTTACTGCTTTCTCCTATGACTGTCAAGTTGATTATTTTTTCGTGATTACAGGTTGTTAGTTTTCAAGGTTACTGTGGACCTGAGTGTCGGGGAGGAGAGAATGGGAATACAAGTTAAAGTGCCACAAAGTTTGCTGTTCTTACCAAGATTCAGCCATTTTTCTTCAATAAATGCTTCCCAGGTTGCTCCAATTATTTGGTTAATTTTTCGACTTTTGAAAAAAATTGACCTGCTCTTCTGTATTAAAGTATGTAAACTCATATATCCTCAAATTTATCCAATAATTTAAAAGTATTGAAGATGACAATACCTTGGCAAGAGTGCCCAGAATTACTTCTTTGTAAATAAAGAAAATCTACTGAGGAAAGATACCCAGCCTTTGACCAATAAACATAGCTTTGTAGATGCAGCTTCAGCAAATGCAAGCTCAAGAAAAAGTCAAGAGGGTAAAGATTTGCAGAGTTTGACAAGCACACTTTCAGGGGATATACTGGAGCCTTTTTTTTTTTTACTAAAATTTGAATGGGGATCTGAACTCCAAATATATGCACCACTGGTTTCATCCTATATTAATATTTTATTTCCATATGTCTCTTTTGACACCTCAAAAATGTTCAATTATTTTAAAAGAAATAATAAGCAATCATTTCAGTAATGAATGAAACAAAACATACTGCTTTTAGAAAACACTCTTTCTAGCTGAAGTATTTTATGAGCTAGAAAACATGCCAATCTTGCCAAAAGCAACAAAAATATATCCTATTCGGTAGTTGATTACATTATCTCCATAGATTGGTAAATCATGTCATGTGTGGTTTATAGTGAAGTTCCAAATTTCTGGATTACCTCCTGGAAAGATTTGTCCCTCTTTCAGAGTGTTATGGAGCATGAATAATAAACATATTCTCTTAGTCATGAGAAATAGCCTGAGAGTGTTTCAATACCATTTTTATGAAGAACATAGATTTTTTTTTTTCCCAAACAGCAAGTTCACATTTTCTCCAAATGATATGGTGAAGGAAGACTGTAGTTGCATCTATAAAACCACCCTTAAAATTATAAGGCCAGATAAAGACATTTTTCTGTTTTAATATTTAGACTATACTCTATGAATTTTGTTGCTGTATAGGAATTTTGTTTCGGGAGGTAGCAGACATGAAGGAAATGTTTGAGATGGAACATCCTCTACTACCCTTTACCCTATCCTGTCCATAACACACACTCAAATGAAGATACCAAAGATGTACCAGACATTGTTCTTAATATTTTTACATATAAAACTTTTCTAAACACTTTTATGTATATATAAATTACTAATTGAATTCAGACTTTACAGATGAGAAAACAGAATCACCAAGTAATTTGCCCCAAATCACATAGCAAGTGGTTACGCTGAGTCTGCCCTAGCACTGTCCAATAAAAATATAATATGAACCTCATATGTGATTTCAAATGTTCAATATCCACATTTACTACTTACATATATCTGCATAGTAAGTTGTGTCTAAATTTGGCAACTTAAAACAACATTTCTCACATAATTTATGAGGTTGAGGAATCGGGAGTGCTTTAGATGCTATAGTTCTGCCTCAGGGTCTTTCATGGAGTTGCAGTGAAGCCGTAGGCAGGGAATGGAGTCTCTGAAGATTTGACTGTGATTTGGAGATCTATTATCAAGTTCATTCACATGGCTGTTCTGGGAGGCTTCAATTCTTTACCACATGGTCCTCTCCATAGGGTTCTCACTGACTTAGTGGTCTGAGAGTGGAAACAAGCCCAAGACTGAAACCAGTCTTCTATGGCCTAATCTCAGAAGTGACATACCATCACTTCTACCATACCCTTTTGATCACACAGATCAATGCTAGTGCAATCTGGGAGGGCACTGAACAAGGGTGTGACTACCAGGAGGGAGAAATAACTGGGCACCATCTTGGAGGCTACCTAGCACAGATATCTTTCTTTAAAAATTAAAGAAAGGTGACATTAATTTTAATATGTTTTATTTAAAATGTGTATCTAGGATATTATACTTTCAACAACTTATTGATATAAAATTATCGAAATATTTTACATCTTTTCATGCTAACCCTTTAAAATCTGATATATATTTTCCACTTATAGTACATCTCAATTTAGACTGTCCAAATTCAAGTAGCCACATTTCAAGTGCTCAGCACAATGGCTACGTTAATGGTACAGTATTGGAAATAACAGATATGAACAGTATGTATAGGTCCAGATTTGTGTTCTGAAGCACTTCTTGCTTAATCATAGAAAAAAAAAAAGAGGTGATATTTTTGTCAATCAACGTTAATGCCATAATAAGGAATTTTTCTACTATATGCAGTAGCATTGTAATGTTAAAAAGATTTGAACTAATATCACTCCTAGAACAAGAGGAAACAGAAATTTTTAGATGAATGTTAGAAAATTTACTAAATTCACTAAATAGAAAATTTCTTTCATATGTTTCATAGATTTAAACCATGTATTAAAAACAAGCTTTGGGACGTGCTTCCTACTTAAATTAATTTCTACCAGATAAAAGGATTTCATCTATCAAGTTGTCAGGAAACTCTTAAGTAGCCAGGAAGCTACTAGGGTGATACCACCCTTCCATGAATTACATCACTAAGGAGACAGTGAGCCCGAGTTGCACAGCAGGCAGGATAAACTTCATGTCTCAGAGGTTGTCTTTGACCCCCAAGACCCCCAAAGTGACACAGGGGGTTGCTGAACACATAATTGGGGAACCCTGAGCTTACAAACCCCAAATAAGGGGTTGCTGGCGAACTGCCAACTTTTGCCCTCCAAGAAAAATTATATTTATTACCTTGGAATGTAAAATAATTCCTTTGAGGTGAGGAGAAAGACTTTTCTATCCTAGAATGTCTCTGGGGAGGGAGACATTCTCTTATCATTTTTATACTAGTTGAAAAGAAACCTGCTACCTCTAGCTCCCAAGGCGTATAGAAATGCTACGGAGAATTCTCTTCCAACATGACTATATCCCTTAAGCCGTAAGACTTAAAAAAATCATTTTTATTGGACATGTGAAAAATTCAGAAAAGTATTAAAATAACTGATGACAGAAATTGAATTAATAGAATTGTTTCTGTAAGAAATTAATTAAGGCTAAATGGCTAAAATTTATAAAATCTGCTCCTTTATGCCTGGGTACCAAATATGTGATACATTAACATTGTTAATTCTAACACATTAACAATGACCATTGTTTCATTTGGAGAATTATATACTCCATTAACAGAAAATATGTATTACATTCAATCGTCATTCATTGTATTTTCATCTACTATTGAAATGATCAATCTTTCATCTTTATTTTATTATTGTAGCTGATTTTTTTATTTGATTAAAATATAAGTTTCTAAAGGACCTGATAGGAAAATTATTATGCAAAAAATATATACATTTGCTAGCTTTAAATAACCTTTCCATCTTCTGTTTTTTAGGGACTTTTGTTAAAAGAAGCAAGGAATGTAAGTCAGAAGTTGCTACTGTTTTTCCATCTGGATGTTATGATAAAACATGACTCAGAGCAGCCCTAAATAGAGCTCCTGCCTTTTAGATAATTCGCTATCCAAGGAATCAGGGGCTATTTTTCCAAATTTTCTGGGTCAACTTCTCTTAAGGTACTATTTCCCACTGTGCTCACTTAAGCAAAGTAAACTCAGCTGTGTCTACCTTACAACATCTTTTCTTTGACAAAAAGGGGTATTTTGTATAAACTATGCAAGAAAATGTGAATTAATCAGCATGCAAAAGAAATTCAGGCTTTTAAAATAATTTTAAGATCTATTTCTTGGTCTATTTTTTTTTCTCTTGCTTTTTAGTTCATGATCAGATTATTTCTCTGCATCCTTGGTCTTTGGATAACTACCATGTATATTAGCCAAAAGACAAACAGCTTTTGCAGTTCTAGGTTAAAATGATTCTGTTACTCATCTATGTGCATTGTAATATCAGATCAGAATTCTGTCAGAAAGATCATTTTAAAGGAGGCTGTTCCACAGCTGGTGCTGTTCTATAAGTTTTCTTGGTATTAATGTTTTATCTCCATCTTCTAAAATCTATCTCATCACTCATTGTCCTTACCATCCGTCTTTCTTACCGGCACAATTCTAAAAGCTTTTTATGATGCTACCTTAACAGTACCAGCAGGGAAGGATTCTCATGAGAGGAACTAGATTGCCCTTAAACAATTGGATCTTCTGTTTCTTGCATCTTAACTGAACGTTGGTAGAGAACATTTCTATAATTATACACAGTTACATTTTGGGGATTTAGAGGTTTTGCCACTGGAATGCAAGCAGAGTTTCCCTATACTTCCTGACCCCCAACATGCCATATATGGCAGCCTCCCCCACCATCAATGTACAACACTAGAGTGGTACATTTGTTGCAAGTAGTGAACCTTCATTGACACATCATCTTCACTCAAAGTTCACAGTTTATATTTGGGTTCATTTTTGGTGTTGTACATTCTATGGGTTTTGATAAATGTAGAATGACACATATCCACTTTGATAGTGTCATACAAAATAGTTTCACCACCCTAAAAATCCTTTGTGCTCCGCCTACTCATTCCCCTCTCTCCTCTAATCCGTGGTAACCACTGATCCTTTTCCTGTCTCCATATTTTGCCTTTTTCAGAGCGTCATATAGTTGGAATCATATAGTATGTAGCCTTTAAAGATTGACTTCTTTCACCTACTAATACATATTTAAGGTTCTTACATGGCTTTTCATGATGTAATAAGTCATTTATTTTTAGTGCTGAGTAATATTTCATTGTCTGGATGTACCACAGTTTATCCATTCACCTACTGAAGGGCATAGTTATTACTTCCAAGCCTTGGCAATTACGAATAAGGCTGCTATAAACATTCATGTGCAGGATTTTGTGTGAAGATAAAGAACCCGAGTTTTTAAAGCTATAAGATGTATTTATTTTTCTGTTTTACAAGTAACACATGCATGTTGTAGAAAATTAGAAAATGGGAGAAAATTCAGGAAAGTAAATAAAACTCACTATAATATCATCACCAGACTCATCTAGCATTAATATTAGATACATTTGTTTCTGTTGTTTTCCAGTACATTGTACACATGCATACATATAGACACATGTTTTAGCATAATGGGAAAAAATCTTATTCTGAGGACTTGCCTGTGTCATTAAATATTCTTCAAGGCATAATTTTTATTTTCTAGGTAATAGTCCCTCACATGCATATTCCATAATGTATTCAATCCATCCTGAACATGGCCATTTATACAATTTGTACTGTGATGAACAGCCTTTTAAACTAACATTTTGTCTGCATTTCTGATTATTATAATAATCTTATATACATAGAAGTAAAAATGTTTTTAAAGATCTGATACATATTGTCAATCACATTTCATAAAGGCTCTGCTAATTTGCATTCCAACTAGGAACTTTTGAGGGGGCCAATCTAACTGCTTTTTTGAGGGTGTGACTTAACTGTTTGTCTTTCCCATCTCATTTTTTTGAGTTAATAGCATTATAACAATTTCCACATAACAACATTCACCTGATTAAAATATACAATTTAATGGCTTTTAGTGTCCCTGTCTCCATTTTTTTAGAAACATGAAATTTTAAATCTTCAACATCCTTGAAAATGGCAGGGCCTGACAGACCTGGCAGAGGGTCACACTGTCAACGATGCCCTGTAGTCAGGTAGGGGAACCAAGATGTGCAGTGCTTAGGTGAGTCATGCAAGGGAAGAGTTGTTCTTATAAGGGTGTTTGTTTTGACCTATTTAACTTCTTTCTAGAATTGCGAGTAAGTAAATATGGCCAGAAATTAATGAATTAAAAGACTTTTAGAAATGAGTTGTTAATTGGCTGGGCATAGTGGCTCATGCCTGTAATCCCAGCTCTTTGAAAGGCTTAGGTGGGAGGATGGCATGAACCCAGGAGTTCGAGGCCGCAGTGATCTGTGACTCCACCACTACACTCCAGCCTGGGTGAAAGCAAGACTCCATCTCAAACAAATTGAAAATTAAAAAAAGAGGTGGTAATCATTATTTGCAAATAGTAACATTACCCTGTAAAACAGAGTATCAAATGAGACAAAATATTGAAACTTGGTAAGATGACAAGATGAACAAATATGTAAAACAACTGTATGTACATAAAGGAATATATTCTTACATATAAGAATACATATAGTTATAATTTTCCATTTATAAACACTTAGAATATATAGGGGTAACATATTTTATAACTAACTCATTTATTTACTTAAAAAGTATTATACAAGTTTACTTATTTATTAAAAAATAGACGTGCTTGAATCAGAAAACTGAATATTATAAATATATCAATTACATATGAATTAATTTATGTTCAACATAATGCAGAATAAAATTTCCATATTATAATCATAATTATTACTATGTTGCCTCTTGAGAGAGTAATTGTAAAAATCACTTGGGAGAATAAACAAGTGAACATATTCAAGCAAATATTTTAAAAATAGGATAATGAGGGAGTACTTGTCCTGCCAACATTAATGTCTGATACAAAGTTATAATAAATGGTACTATATGTTGCTTACAGAAAATCAAAAACTGCATCAATAAATTACTTTTACAATAGTGGTACTAGTTGTTATAGAAGCGTCACAGCAATGTTTTTAATTTGACTCTAGTGCCATGCACTTAAGCATTTGTTTATAGCTCAGAAACAGACTTTAATGCAGAGTATTATTTGCTGTTTGATAAAGTTTTTACTGCACATCTGGGTTTAAAGGAAGAATTATTTAGTAAATTGTTCTAGTATAGTTAATAATGTAGCAAACAGTAGATCAAATTGGATCATCAACATTATACCATAGCAAAAGAAATTTGAAATAGATGAAAACATCACATTTTAAGGAAAACTATCTTATGTCTATATTTGAAACAACTTTCAAGTTGCAAATATAATAGAAAACCATAAGGAAACAATATATTTGAATACATAAAATGAAACTTTCTGTCATAAAGTAAAAAAATGAGGAAGAAATGTTTAATAGCAAAGGAAGATAACTCAATTTTTAAAAGACTAAATGTCACTGAAATGGAAAACAGAAAAATCAATAAATATTCTAGTAGAACACTAATAGGAAAATGGACAAAGCTTAGAAGAAATTCAAATGGTTTATAATTGTGTAGAAATTAGTTTGTACTAACACAATAACAACTTTTCCACCTATATAGGTATCTAAGCTTTTGCATTTATGAAGTTGGGAAAAATATTGTCAAAGGGTCACTCTTAAACCTAACTGAGGAGTGTATCCTTCCTGAAAATAAATTTTGTAATAGATTGAGTAGCTTCTTTGAAAATACATGTAATATATTTTGAATTCCATCTACATCTTATGCATGTACAGAGATAATTATTGATGACACAGGTACATTTAGTCTTGGTTCTGCCATCCTGGAACCAGTACTGTGCTGAGAAAAGAGCCTTTATAATGTTTAAAGCTTTAACTCAGTGCTTCCACTTGTCGAATCAACTCCAAAGAAATAATCATTTTAGAATTATTTGTAATAGGAAAATAATAGAATCAACTTAAATGCCCAACAGTGAGGAATCGGGTAAATCATGATACATTCCTTACAACATATTATTCATCTATTAACAACTATATTTGTGAAAAATATTGTAAAGCATGAGGTTTATTCGGTTCAGTATTAAATGAGACAAGTAGGAGTCAAATGAAGTGTCTATAGTAGAGTTTCGACATTGTTTAAAACATTTTTATCTCTCTGTATATATATCAAGTTAAAAAATGTCAGAATTTTAAAAGCAGCTGTTTCAGTCCAGTGAGAATGAGTGATTTTAATTTTATTTTAAATTTGTTAAAATTTTTTTGAGAATATATATAGATATATATATATGCATACATATATACACATACTACACACACATGCACACAGAAACACAAACACACAAATAGAAATTTAGGCTGGGTTCCTTGGTGTGTTTTAGTGCTTTGATTTAACAATTTCCTCATATATAAAGTAGAGAAAACATTAATAGCATTTATCTTACAAAATTCTTCAGAGGATCAAATAAATTAAATGAGGAGATTAGCTTACGACAGACCATGGCACATAACATGTACTCAACAACAGTGTTAATATTGTTTTTCTCATTATTATTATCTTTTAAAAATTTTGGGGGGGCTCCTCTGTTTCATGAGCCCCGGCATGGGTAGGCCTTGAATTTTCTCATTGCAGCTCTATTCTTCCTATTATGAGGTAACTTCCTTCTGGCTTTTTGCAGTAGTTGGTCTATTATTCTTAGTTTTTGATGATATGGTAAGTTTTCATCGTTTTCTATCATTTTCTGTGTCTTTTTGTGTATACTTTATATTGGAAGGTCAGGGACGGCCATATCCAGGGCTGCCAGACAGCCAGCATTTAAACTCCTCTTAATCAAACACAAACCTTGGAAAACCCCAATTTGTTTATCTTCAGTGTCTAAAGTGATCAACAATAGCAGCTCCAAATGCTGTGCTCTTTCCTGGAAGTGACTGTCTGGGTCAATCTCTGAATAGTTTTGAGGCAGTTCCATAGGAGTTACTTGCACGAGACCCCCCAGTGCTCTGAAGAAATTCATCTCAGAGCTGTTCAGGTGTTCGTGCTGACCAGGTACCAGGTCAAAGCTTCCAGAGAGGACCGTCAGGGGCCAGTAAGCTCCTGTCCAAGTCAAATCCACTGGGAGAGTTGTGGGTTAGCCAGTTCATGAGCCCAGTGCTGATTTTAGGCAGGATTTTCAAATTCATGCTGTTGAAGTTAGTTTTATTGCCTAGTAATATGGAACCAAAAGAATGTGTTTAGAGAGAAAATGCTCCTTTTTATATACTGGTGAATTTAGAAAAACAAAAATTCAGTTTTCTTTATTGTGCAAATCAAAATCTATTTAAATCCTAAGCCCTGACATTCATTTAATACTTATGGTTACATTGGGAAATTATAGCTCTTTCTAATTTGAATTTAATGTAAACTGATTTTTAATTGTTTTGTATAACCATGGGTAACAGATTTTTTTGAACACTGCATGATAAAAATCAGCAAATATGTCAGACAAAGCACAATGTTACAAGGAAACACCACAGCATATGTTGACAGTTATAGAAGAATTGCTGCTGTTTTCACCCTTCACACCAGAATAATTTCTTCAATATTTACCTCCCATGTGTAGAGAGAGAAACATATGGGGCTTTACATAATCATAAGCATAAACAGGTGGCTACTTAGGTACATTTAATTTGCAGGCAACATCAATACTGAACAACACAATCAGCTCCACATGGCTCCCAAACTCTTTCTACTAACATTCCATTAACAAAATTAAGATCATTAAAATAGAGGGAGGGTATAGTCCTCCCTCAACTGGCTTCAGCTACCTTTCAGAGTCATGAATAAAACACTTTTTCAAAAATGCCTTGGCATTTTGCTGTTTTCTTTGTTCAAGGGAACTTCAGTAACTGTGTATAATGTATACCTTGTGAATAACAACGAGCAGCATAATATTTGCATTTAAAATGTGCTTACATCTTTTATTCTCCCTCTAATCTGCTCATTATGGGCATAAAATTATGATGGTTAAATTCTAAGTAATTTATCAAAGCATGGGGTCGGACAAGCTCCTCAAAGCAACCTGGAAATATTTCTCCAAAGGCAGTCCACCTAAAGAGGTCACCTGAGGCTCATTTCCATATTCAAACATGCTGGTGAAATCTGTGGAAATTATCATTCCTGGAAATTTTTGCTCAATCTGTGCCAGATGCTGAGCTGTAGATTCCATATATTTTGTTATCTCGATTTTGATCCAGGCTAGAATATCTAATTTGTCCTCGTTGGCATTGAAATTACATAGGTACCAATTTTTCTGACCTTATAACCATCCTACAATGGCTTAGAATCCCAGGGTAAAGGCAAATGAGGAGACTTAATAACCACTATGTTTTTAATCATTTGGTGCTTACTAGCTGTTAAGTACTACCTAATCATGTTACCTGTATTAGCTTATTTAATCACCACAATGACTTTATGTGGTAGATGATATAATTTTTCTCATTTTATGAAAAATGAAATTGTAGCCCTGAGACTTTAAATTCTGAAGTATACATGTTAAGGAAGGGGCTGAGGCCAGAATTAAAACCCAGGCTAATAGGAATTGTCAAGCCATAATCTTAACCACCCCACTCTAGTTGTGTTCCCTTTATCCTGAAAGTTCTACTGCCCAAAATCACCTAGGGCCTGGGAATCCTGAAAATTCTACCTAAAATCACCTAGGGCTAGGAACAGCAAATATGTGGTATTGTGAAGATCCTCTTAACAATGCTTTGTGAGAGGTTTGGGGGTGCCTAAGGTCTGTGGAGGTTCTTTCTAGCCCTGATACCTCTATGTGTCTTCTCAAAACACAAGGAACAGTGCTCTGCAGAACTAATGAGCATCTAGGGAGCTGTGTTGCCATCAAGGTTATGAAAATAACAATTTCTCACATTCTCTCTCCTCATCGTAGGTCTATTACTCACTCTCGCTGCCTGGGAGAGAGAAAGTTTTAACATGAACAAGTGTATGTATGACGTGCGGCACATTTATTAATAAGCTGTGACTACAATAAAGCTTTAGGCCTAGATATCAGATTATATCATTTGATCTTAAGAGCTAACATTATTAATATGTAATTTGTTAAGCATCCCAAATGTGTTAGGTTTTGCAGTCACTCCTTTCAAGGAGTTTAAATGTTACTGGGAAAGTTTATTTGTTTTCCCCATGCAATGGTTGAACCAAAGAGGTAAAAATGAATTGAAAGATTTTATGATATATTCTTTTACCTCTGCAGGTAAAAGCAATATGAAAAACTATTAATAGCTACTGCAGACAGTTTCAATTCAATTATTATTATTATTACTATTATTGTTTTGTGATGGAGTCTCACTCTGTTGCCCAGGCTGGAGTGCAGTGACATGTTCTTTGCTCACTACAACCTTCATCTCCTAGGTTCAAGCGATTCTCCTACCTCAGCCTTCTTAGCAGCTGGGACTACAGGCACGCACCACCACGCCCAGCTTTTTTTTTTTTTTTTTTTTGTATTTTTAGTGGAGACGGGGTTTCATCATGTTGGCCAGGCTGGCCTTGAACTCCTGACCTCAAATGATTTGTCCCCGCTTGGCCTCCCAAAGTACTGGGATTACAGGCGTGACTCACCACGCCTGGCCCCAAATCAATTATTAATGTAAAGACATTTGAACACAGGCATTCTATAGTCTCACTTAGTTTCCCTCAACATTTTAAGAAACTTCCTCACCATCTTAGACATATGTTCTGCCCTCCCAAATACTCAGTTAAATTACTGTGTATCATTTCTTTATCACACACTTTAACTTCCCCCACATTGCTTATTTCTGCTCTTGAAGACTCTTCTTTGAAGATTGTTGGAGTCACTCATTAGTTGATGATGTTCAGTGATCTATAATTGACACCAAAATCTGGAGACTCTTCTCAGTTCAGACTATTATTATTTTATATTCCAATACTTTGAGGATTTTGAACTTTTTGCTTTGATAGATTTATAGAATATACCAACTTAAACATCCTTGTTATTATATATTTGTCATATATATTTCTCATTTCACATGTTTCTTGTGGCTTTTCTATCACTGTGTTACATTCCCAAGACAAATTTTAGGTTGGTATATTCTACAAATGTATATTTTTTAAGACTACCCCAAATCCAGTGTTTCCATTAGAAGTTCTAGCTCAAGTATCTCTATTCATCTTTAGATTGAAATGGTGTGCATGAAATAACCTATCAAAGCCTTCAAAGTAGGACCAGAGATTATTATTGTTCTTCTCACACCATGGCATCTGGGGAAGGCTGATCCATGTAAAGAGAGGGCTGGCTGGTGAGACCCATAAACATGTTATTCTCATGAGCAATGTCCTTGTAAGTCATACATGCAACAGGGAGGCAAGACTGGCTTGGTGGCAGGATGCAAACCTTGGATGTCAAAGCTCAGATTGAGATTCCAGAGCTATGACTACCAGTTGTAAAAATTGTAACTATTTTCATATCCCCCTATAGTAATAATATTTCTTTCATTGTCCTCAAAAGATTATTGTAAGGATAAAGGATGCATATGAAAAAGTTTTCAAACTTGTAAATTTCTAAACAAATTTCAGTTGTTGCAATTACTGTTAATAACAACTGCAAATCATTAAGAATGGGTTAAAAATATAAACTCACTCAAAACCTAAGATTCAAGGAAAAGACTTGAAAGACTACATTCATTTATTAATTAATTTTTAGCAGGTCAATCTATTACATTTCCCATGATTTATGTTAGTTAAGTGACGTGTTTTTTTTAATGAACAATGTCTCCTAATTCAAAAATAACAATAAAATTTATTTTGAGAACTAACAGGCCAGGTGTGATGGCTCACACCTGTAATCCCAGCACTTTGGGAGGCTGAGGCGGGCAGATCACCTGAGGTCAGGAGTTCAAGACCAGCTTGGCCAACATGGCGAAACCCTGTCTCTATTAAAAATACAAAAATTAACTGAGTATGGTGGTGCACACCTGTAATCCCAGCTACTCAGGAGGCTGAGGCAGGAGAATCACTTGAACCTGGGAGTCGGAGTTTGCAGTGAGCCGAAATTGTACCACTGCACTCCAGCCTGGGAGACAGAGCAAGACTCCATCTCAAAAAAAAAAAAAAAAAAAAAAAAGATCTGACAATCCTAGGTGGAAATAGACATCTATTTTCATGTGTTAACTTGTTTTATAAAGGTTGCATATTGGCTTATTTTAATAACTTGATTACTCAAGTCTTGGAATGTGTCTTGTCTTTCTTTGGAAGAATAACAAAGCATATTTTTCCCAGTATAAAACGATTGTACACTTTGAGAAAAAGATGAAAAAAAAGTTGGTCACATTTAGATCTAATCAGTCCCAGTGGTGCTTTAGTTTATATTTAACTTTCTTCATTGTGAAACTGAAATTCCAATATGGCATCATATTAAAACAACAACTACAACATGTCCTAGTTTTTATGGCTTTCAATGGCTGTTTTTAAAAAGGAATGATTTGGATTGGCTGCAATAGTATATGAAGAGATAAGTTAATCAAATATTTTTCCTATATTGTGCCACTTTAGTATGCTAAACTGTGTACTTCATCATCTTTTAAGGAAAAGCACAGATTCACAGACACATTTTTCTTGCAATAGAGACATCCAGCAAGACAGCTCTGAATAGTGTGATTAACTGAAATAATGATGACCTTTAGGGTTTTAGCCTTTTCCTACTTCATAATATTTTAGGTCTGTTATTACCTTAGGTGAGCTCTATTCCCCAAGAAAGATGACACCAAATTAATTCTTCTGTGACTTATGTCATCGATATAGCTAGGATAAAAATAAAACTATGTGTCTCTACCTTTTATGAGATTTTAGGTACGCATTTTTTAAAAACTTATTTCACAATAACTGCTGAATTTTCTATACCCTCATAATGATTGTGGACTCTTAGAAATAAATCTTCACACACAGACAAATGAGATTAAACACACACAGGCACGCGCACACACACACAAATTCATTTACTGTGGTGAATTCAAGAACACTATTTTATTGAACTCTCCCTGATACAGGATATAATAAAATGAGAAATCCCTTCAAAGTAAATGTGTCTTTCCCTTATTTTAGTCAAGCACAGCATACAGTGAGTGAACACTATTCTATTTCTAAAAGTTTTTAGGATAGGTTGCATTTGCTACCTTGCTCATTCCTGCCAAGATTGCATCAGTCACAGTTTTTCAGGAAGTTTATATCTAAAAATCACCAAAATTCCTTTTGTTTGTATGAGTAAAAATGACTTCAAAAATAACTGATTAAAATAATCTTTGAACAGTAACCAAAAATATACAAAAATGACACTATAATTGGCTAAAAATGATTTGATATATAGATGAATTTCACTGGAATACACTTGTTGACAAAATAATAAATGACTTTTTGAAGCTATATAATTTTACTAAGTTTTTAAAAATACACTATCTTCTTAGAGCATGCTAGTATATAATATTATTAATTACTTTTGGGTTAAGAAAGCAATTAACTAATTTCTTCTTTGTCCTCATTTTCTCTGGAATTTATTAAAATCTATTCAGTAAATGCATTTCTGAAAGTGATACAAAGCAGTTGCTCCCATAAAATAAAAATAAAATAAATCAAACAGAACCACTTAGACATACAATGTACAAAAATCTGTATCTTAAGTAGTAAAATTTTATTGTAGTAGTTGGTTATCTTGATGGAGACAACATTTCAAATACTGAAATTAGTGAAATAGATATCAATGAAATAGTAAAAATAGTGCAGTTTTCTAATGGAAAAATTAGAGAAGTAATGAGAGAAAATGAGAAGAACAATTGACATATAGTCAAGAGCAGTCAGTCCAGAACAACTACAGAACCTGGTATTTTCAAGGAGGGTTATGTGATATATTATGTTGTGATTTATTAATGTGTGTTTTCCACAAGGGTTTTATAATCAAAGAAATTTGGTAAATTCTGCATCTCATATTCTTCTCTTGAGAGTCATGGTGTATTTAAAGTTTCTGAGAAGTCTTACATTATTTGGACCTATGCACATACTTTTTCACTGTGGTAAAATACACATAAAATTAACTTTACCATTTTAAAGTGTACAGTTCAGTGGCTTTAAGTACATTTGGAATATTGTGCAACCATCACTGCTATCTATCTAGTCCAAGCTATATAGCTTTTATTTTTTATTTTTTATTTTTTATTTTTTTTTGAGAGACAGAGTCTCACTCTGTTGCCCAGGCTGGAGTGCAGTGGAGTGATCGTGGCTCACTACAACCTCTACCTCCTGAGCTCAATCAATCCTGTCACCTCAGCCTCCCAAGTAGCTGGGACTGAAGGTGCACGCCAATATACCCAGCTAATTTTTGTATTCTTTGTGTAGATGGGGTTTTGCCACATTGCCAAAGTTGGTCTCAAACTCCTGGCCTCAAGTGACCCTCCCACCTCAGCCTCCCAAAGTTCTGGGATTGCAGGCCCAGCTATATAGCTTTTAATCATGAATGTGACTACAAATCAGTTCCCTTTGGGAATATCTTTTAATTTTAGTGTGTCTAGAGAATATATTCATAAAAAAGCTGACCAAATCCAATCTTCTCATTTTAAAAATAAAAAATTTAAAATGTGACTGAGAAGTAAGATGCCTTGCTTGGGATCACAAAGTAGTTGGAACAGAGCCAGTGTCATCCAGATTTCCCATTTCCAAGAACAGTTTCTTTTCTATTTCAAGGTATTTTCCCCTTGTCTCCATTTGTATTGTCTGGTCTTATGATCTAGTGATCTATAAGCAATACTTCATAATTTTACCTAGAAGAACTCTGGATTAAAATAAGCATCTCTAATCTTTAAAAAGATATCACTTTAAAAATGTATGCAGTACTTGTGTTGTAACTCTCTCCTTGTGATTTTCTTGTGAGAACTTTCATTGTAAGAACTCTCTTTTTAATTCACGTAATTCTGTTCTTAGGTCTTTTTAAGATTGTGGCTGATAAAACTCCATACCTTACTATGGAAGAAATCACAAGGACCATTCATATTGGACCAAGTAGACTAGGGCATCCTTGCTTCTATCATCAGAAGGATATAAAACTAGAGAACCTCATCATAAAGCAGGGTGAGCAAATCATGCTCAACTCAGTTGAAGAGATTGATGGAGAAATAATGGTGAGCTGTGCAGTAGCAAGGAATCATCAAACTCACTCATTTAATTTGCCTTTGTCACAAGAAGGAGAATTCTACGAGTGTGAAGATGAACGTATTTACACTCTAAAGGAGATTGTTGAATGGAAGATTCCTAAGAACAGAACAAGAACTGTAAACCTTACAGATTTTTCAAATAAGTGGGACTCAACGAATCCATTTCCTAAAGACTTTTATGGTACCCTGATTCTCAAGCCTGTTTATGAAATTCAAGGTGTGATGAAATGTGAGTATCCACTGAGAATGATGTTCTATGAGCATGAGCATTATGGGGTTTGGGAAAGAAAGATTTTAGAGCCTGAAGAATGGGAGTCTGTCTTTATTTCAACTATTGAGCCTGTGAGAGTTAGATTCCTCATCAATCAATAAGCAAACCATATATTTGCTCAAAAGATCATATTGAATAATGAATATACAAGTATGTTGTAAATTGTATGGTGCTATTCACATATGAGGTGCTATAACTATCAGGAACAGACAGATCAAACTACTAATTTATTTTTATTACTGCCAGTTAAATATGACTAGAAAAGAGCTACTTTTAAAAAATAGAACATATTTAGTTAGAATGAGGCTTTCTTGTATGGAGGTGGTCAACAAAAGAGGTAAATATGCAAAGTTTCCTTGATGCATCCCTTACTTCTATTTTTCTGACAGTCTTTTTCTTTTTCCAGCCATCCATTATTGGCTGTAAATCTCTACTAACCCAGAGCCCCTCTGTCTTAAGGGAAAATTATATGACAAATTAATTCACACATAGGCGTGGTGTTTTTGTTTGTTTGTTTTTTTGTTTTGAGACAGAGTCTTGCTCTGTTGCCAGGCTGGAGTGCAGTGATTCTCCTGCCTCAGCCTCCCAAGTAGCTGGGACTACAGGCACCCGCCACCATGTTCAGCTAATTTTTTTGTACTTTTAGTAGAGACAGGGTTTCACCATGTTGGCCAGGATGGTCTCGATCTCTTGACCTCGTGATCGGCCCACGTCACCTCCCAAAGTGCTGGGATTACAGGTGTGAGCCATCGCGCCCGGCCCGGCGTGTTTTAATATGCAATCTTCATAGAATTATTTGCATTTTGAAATACGAATATCTGGAGAGAGCATTGTTACTTCAAAGGTGTTAATACCTTGAATTTTCAGGATTATGACACGTGAGTAGGATGGATAGTAAAGAGTTCTGAACTTGGAGTCCTAGATTCTAACTCTGGGTCAATAACTTAATAGGTGTTGGTTTTCAGTGCACCATTTAAACTCCCTGTTTATGCAAAGAAAATGATGATACTCTTTTGCCTACCTTTTCAAGTAGTTTTGAGTTTTTAGTATTACAAAAAATTGAGGCAATGGCAAATTGTAGACCCCACATTAATGTCTGTTAGCGATCCCCAAATGTGCAGTTGAGATGAGTAATTGAGATTTCTTTGATTTTTATAAATAATAGATAGTATTTTCTCATTTTAAAATTTGTTATTTTCTACAACTATTGGCATCTCCTGCCTATCGCATAGTTACAAATGAGGGTAAACCCAGAACCTAAGCACATGGATAAAGTGGTTACAACATTTAATAAATTAGGAAGCAAGAAAAACTACTCCGAGGAAATGGCATTTAAATGGAAGGCTCAAAGGATGCATAGGAGGTAATCAGGCAAAGAAGAAAGGAACAAGGTTGGAGAAGGCAGGAGTGGTATTGGGGAAGCAGGTGAGGAAGGGATGGGAGCTCTAGTGTAGTTGGTGTGAGAAAAAAACGGAGAGGGCAGGTTGAAACAAATATGAACACATGCAATGGGGAGTGGAATCAATCATGGAGGGTCTTGAAGTATATACTAAGAGGCTAAAATGTGTCATAAGGGCAAATCAGTAAAGTGCTTTAAGCAGGGAGAGAAGAACAGAGGAGAGTAGTGAGGCCAGCTGAGTGCCAGGGTACAGGAAATTTATACAGTAGAGACATCAATGGGAAAGACAGAGAATCATAGTTGGGCTTGATGGGTATTTAAGAAGTACAGAGAGCAAAATGTGAAGATCTATTGGAAGGGGAAAAAAGCCAAACTTGTTCCCAGCCTCCTGGCTTGATCTACTGGATGGAAGTGCAGTCTATTGAATGTAATCATCATCAGATCAGGGGATATTAACATATTTGTTTAGGTAGGACTTAACTGTGAATTTATGTTAACCAAGACCGAGAAGAAAGCCCTTGGTTGAAATAATACCGTTTACAAAATGTTTTAGTCTAATTCCCATTCTTTAATGCTATTTAAATTAAATTCCCATTTTAATTATACTGGATCGTTAATTTCATAGGGATTATTTTAAACATAGTTCTTATTGTATAGCAATTTCAGGACAGATACTGCCTGAGACTGGATTGCATGTGTATTGACTGCAGAATATTCCTTGGAAATAGAGGAGGGGTGTCTTATCACAAATACCTAATTTAAAGTATTTGTATTGTTGTAGGCATTTTTGCCCTGCATATAAAATGTAGACCATGTTTTGAATCCATTGTGGTTGTTTTACATGATTCTTTCTTAAATTGAAGATTCAAAATTGCCTTGACGTCAAGAAAAAGAGTAGGTCTGAGCAGGGAATTGGAAGTTTTCTAGAAACCTTAGGGGAAAGAGCAAGATGAAAAATACTGAGAACTACAGGGAGCCATGTTTGCTGAAAAGAGAACATAACAAATAAATAGAGATAAGAGAGAATATAAGATATTCTACTCCTATTACTAGTTTTTAATTATTAATGTGAATATTTGGGCTTCAAAAAAAAAATAAAAATGTTTAAATGAAGTATTTGTTTCTGGAAACTTGGCCAAAATCTCTGTCATAGGTCTGAACCCCCCAACCCTCATCACACATTTAATGATTTAGAAAAAATTATCCCTCTTTGGAAAATAGATACACATAACAGTGCAAACTTCAAACTACTAGTCTTATGTAAGTCACATCATGATGTGTATTGTGCCTTTCTCAGGAAGACAAAATTCATATTAGCATAGTAAATGGAATACATAATATTTGCAAATGAAAAAATTGAGTGAGCTATTTATATTTGCCTCTGAAAGAGAGAGGTCTTGACCATTAAAACTTTTAAAATAGTGTCATGTTTTGACATATAGATTGATAATTATTTCTTCCCTGAGTGAAAATTTCAGAGTTGTATAACTCTCTTTCTTTTTTGAAAAAATCTCAATGCCTCTCAAATTTGGGAGGTATGGTTTTAGCCCAGATATGTAAAAAATTAATTCATTTTATAAGCAAAGGGCTGAAATCACACAAGTGAAAAGTAGTATCAGAACAGTTGTATCTGCATATTGTATAATCAGTGATACATGAATAGCAGAAAAATAACACTTTGGTCTTTAGAATACTGAGACTTCCTCTTTCTCTCATTTAATTTTTAAAAATAATTTTAATGTTTATCAAAGTCCAAAAAGTCAAATAGTGAAAAGAATTATAACAATGTTATCAGCAAACCTTTATGCCCTTGACACGAGGGCCAAATTTTCCTCATATTCTGCTCTTCTGAGGTAATGCCTTTAAATATTTTTCCCCTACTTTCTGGCACATATCTAAATAATAAAGGAATATTGCTCTTTTTCAAGTCATCAACTTTAAGATAGTAACTATTGACTTTCACATATGACAATGAAGACTTAATTCTCTTATATTCCTACTTCCCCTTCCCTATATTCTCAGTATATTATAAGTTATGGCTAAGCATTAATATTTTCATTATTGTGACAATTCACTGCTCAACCAAGTGGTGTATAACGAGTATAATTCCATTTCTCCATAACTGTTTTTCTGCGATGACGACCTTATCGTTTTCTTTGCTTGATTTTCTTCAATTTTATCCTAAGTCTTAGAGCATTCTTCAACTCTATAAAAAAAGGCCACTCAGTGTAATTTTTCAAAGAACCCAAACTATCAGGAAGGCTACCTTTTCTATTAATTTATTTTCCTGAATGTATTCCTTTGTAACTCTTCGTTCTCATGTTCCAATTGGAATTGCTTATTTTTGAGACCAACTGCATAGGTGCTGCCCTGGGAATTCCATTTAAAATAATCCTGGTGATTCCCTGTTGACTTGTGTCTGTGTTGACTAGCTATTTCTGAAATCAAATAACTCCCTCTATCTTGACTTTCTTCCAATTTTTATGCAGGCCAACCTTCCCTTGCTTCCTGAGAACGGTGCATGAATGTTTGAAAAATATTCTATACACATATAAGATTGATAGTTTGGCTACTTACAGAATTCCAGGTTGAGAATAAATTCCCCTCAGAATTTTGAAAACTTTACTCCCTTATCTTCCACCATCCTGTATCGTCTTGGAGAGATTATACGTGGTATTCTGAAGTTTCACAGTAATGTGACTTGGGGTGGGTCTGTTCTTTCTTAGTGATGACAGTTTTCAATCTGAATATTTAGGTGCTTCATATTTGGAACAATTTCTCTGATAATGTCCACTCAATTATATTTTCTCTTCTCTCTGTCTTTAATTTCAAATCTCATACTGAAATTCCCATACTGATCTTCTAGGGCCTTTTTTCTTTTCTATTTTATATCTTTTTGTCTTTTGTTTACCTCCAGGGAAAATTTTCATAACTACATTTCCAACTGTTTTAATGAATTTTTAATTTTCGTTATCATATTTTTAATTTCCAAGAGTTATTTCTTACATCATTTTACATATTTTACACTGTTCTTGTTTTTAAAATACATCTTATTTCTCTGAGAATATTTCAGTTAGTTTTGTTTGTTTGTTTGTTTGTTTGTTTGTTTTGAGACGGAGTCTCCCTCTGTCGCCCAGGCTGGAGTGCAGTGGCGCAATCTCCGCTCACTGCAAGCTCCGCCTCCTGGGTTCACGCCATTCTCCTGCCTCAGCCTGTCAAGTAGCTGGGACTACAGGCGCCTGCCACCCGGTGGCTCACGCCTGCAATCCCAGCACTTTGGGGGGCCGAGGCGGGCGGATCACGAGGTCAGGAGATCGAGACCATCCTGACTAACACGGTGAAACCCCGTCTCTCTCAAAAATATTTTAGATAGTTTTTTTAAGTTTTCAAGCGTTCACTGCAAAATATCTTCCTCTTTTGGGGTTCTTTTTTTTTTAAGTTTTGGTGTATCATTTCTTATTAAATGTTTTTATCAAATGCTTTGTGATTACTTGTAATATGTTCATATTTACAGGGGTCAGTTGAAACAAAAATGTACAAGTAAGGCACTGTTTCTATATAAGCTCTGTGTTTATGAATTTTAGATATTATCCTGCCAACTTTTTCACTGCAGCATTCCTCAAATTTAGGTTTTGTGAGTCTTTCCTTTTTGAGTTCAGTTTCACCTAAGAAGAATCTTTGTGGTATCTTCTGGGGATTATGAAACTATTGGAGCTACGTGGGGACAGAGCTAAAGATCTCACCACTCCCACTTACAGATTTATAATTAACTCCTTCACTTTCAGTTCCACGCTTCCCTCCTGCTCACCTATGTCTGGTTTCGGAGGTTCTGAGATCCTGTATATACTGTTTCCTGCAGAGGGAGAGGTGGAAGAAGTGGTCACCTATCTCCCCTAGATTAGAGTGGAGACCTGGGTTTAACCATTCTTCAGACATTTGAATAATCCCTGTGTTTTTAGCCTCCTGGCTTCACCTTGCTTTCCAGGGGTCTTATGTCTCCAAATTCTATCTTTGGAGGTCTTATGGGACAACAACAGTTCATTTTTCTTTGGATTTTGCCTCCTCAGGCACATAGGCACTCCTTTTTCTATTCTGTCAAGTAATTTATCATTCTTCCCTCTGATTTCTGTCTTCATTTAGATTAAGGATTGCAGATATCTTTTAGATTCATTGAACCTTTTTTAAAAAACTTTCTTTTTTGACTTCTTACCCCTGTGGTAAATTTGATGGGAGAAAGGATTGAAAAGGTATAATTTTAGCCCTAAACCTCACTACCTAATTAAATTAGTTCTAGCCCAGAGTTTTGCCTGGATCTATTATAATCTCTCAAAGGACTGGTTGCTACTCCTGCTAAATGATAATAAGTATAATTTATAAATTTAATATATTTAGTAAAACACAATTTTCATTAGTTTATAAAAATATCACATTAATTTCTTATGTATGTATTTGTATCTTCTCAGTGCTTGAGATAGAGTAAATGTTCCATAAGCATTCAATAAATCAAGTACATGAAAGAATGAATAAAGCAAGTAACACATTGTTTATGCGTGTATATTTATGTTTCACAGTACAAAGCTCCTCTTTAGGTAACAAGGGGGTTTTCTCACTCACTATATCCAGATTTGACTTATTATGATGACATATTTATGAGTTCAATAGCTAAGGAAAATATGAACTTCATGGTACCAAAGTTTATATCATTTATATTCATATAACAGGTTCAATTTTTGTTAGTGATGCTTTTCGCAATGTGTCCATGAAAATACTACGACAACATGACATTTAGAACCAGTAGATACTCTAGTCAGCTCCCATTTCATTTTGTTCCTTTAGGCTGCAGTCTTATTGCTAATAGAAATATCATGCAGCTAGCAGAGGAAGGTACCTATTTTGTATTATGTATATATTTATTTTTACATTACCAACTATTAATGCCTTGTTAGGATTTTCCAGAGAAAAAGAATATCTATGTGTGCTAAATATACCTAATTATACATTAATATATACAGTGTTTATTTGTATATAAAACAAATTGTATGTAAATAAAAATATTTGTTTATTTTAAGGAATTGGCTCATGCAAGTATGGGAGTTGAAAAGATCTAAATCTGTAGGACAGGCTGCACAGGCTCAAAACTCAGGCAAAAGTTAATGCTGCAGTTTTGAGGGAGAATTTCCTTTTCTCTGGGAATTCTCAGTTTTTGCTCTTAAGACCACCAAC
Source organism: Homo sapiens (assembly GCF_000001405.40). NCBI lineage: Eukaryota > Metazoa > Chordata > Mammalia > Primates > Hominidae > Homo > Homo sapiens. The sequence continues at coordinate 127,822,811 of NC_000006.12, read as the reverse complement.
TGATTAGATGAGGCCCACCTAAATCATGGAAGGTAACATCCTTTACTGAAAGTCAACTGATTGTAGATGACAGCTACATGAACAAAATACCTTCACAGCATCACCTAGGTTAGTGTTTGAATAAATAACTAGGTAATATAGCCTAAGCAAGTTGATATGTAAAACTAACCATTACAAACATCAATGGGATACATGTTAAAAGTGTCTAAAAAAGTGTTTATTTGCTTTTCTTAGATTTTATGGACTAAATTAAAATGTAAAAGTCAAAGTAGTGTTACAAATAAACTCATATCAAATGCAAGTGTATTCATTTTAAATAACTCTCAGTTTCTCAGTGAGGATTATGATTATTTTTTCTAAGAGTTACAGAGCCGTTCAAAAGGCTCTCTTTGTTTAGAAATATGGACAGCAGATGAACCAGAGGAGAACCAGGTAAGAAAATAGAAATTCACAGTATAGCTTTCCTTAAGTTGAAATAAAGTTAAATAAATTTAAAAAAATAATTTGCAGAATATCCATAAAGAAAATTGAGATCAAATGAATGAACTGTAAAGCAAATTTTAATTTAAAAGTCTGGAACAAGGCAGAGCTCAGAAATTTTTAGTAAATCTAATAACTGCCCTATAATAAGGATTGTAATGCAATGCAAATATGTAACTAAACAATTCATTGAGTGGGTGAGAGATGAAGATGAAGTTCATACTTTTGAGAAAAACAACTGTAGTCTTAGAAAGTAAATGACAAAGATTAAACAGTAAAAATGTCTAACAAATATAGAGATTATTATTATTAAATAATAATGGAGGAACTAGAAGTTGGGAGAAATTGTAGCACTAGAATTTATAAAATTTCTTTGGAGAAAAATATGTAGAAACCATCATCTTGTCCTCAAGTCTTGAATAAGAGTGTCTCAGCAGATTTCCATCCCTGTACTAATTTAGGTCCAATTGCAAAGGATTGGTTCTCACTTAGTGAGTTGAGACCAAGAGTGTTCTAGAATTGAATATTAAATATCCAGGGAAACATATGTTGCCCATCACCAACCAAGCTTAAAGGTAACTCTTTATTTTCTCTTTAAAGACAATTTTAGTGGTGTCCCCTAAATTCAAACTTAGTTAAGAGGGTTGTTACAGTGGCAAATATAGAAAAGCACCACATTATGATTAGCATTCACCCTGTGAAGGGACTTTCCCTGAAAGAACTTAGTGAAACAACTCAGCAACATAAAGAAGTAACCTGTTACTCTTTCAGAAAAAATGGAATGGAAATTGTTTTTCACAGGAGCTCCCTTTGGATAACAAGAAAACATACCCAGCAAGGATAATTCATATTCACTCACAAAGAAATTCTGGGAAGTCTAAACTAAAGTTTGATAAGTACATAATGTTTTTACTTTGGTTTAGTTTGGAACAGAAAAACTTGTAATACAAACCTCCAGGAATGTTTCTCAGTCTCATGCTCTCAGGTGTTGCCTTCTTATCTAACATTTTAGAGTCAAAAAGAACTTTTTTGGAAAATGACATTTTCTAATTTAGCTTGTACTCTTTGGTCTTTTTTGGGGGAGGAAATTCCATTTTCCCAATTGTAAAATAACAAATGCTTGTTTAAAAAATTTATCTCTCTCTCTCTCTCTCTCTCACACACACAGACACACACACACATGATTAGAGCTATATATACCACAATATAAGCCGTTGTTGTCTAAAATTTTATAAATCTATAAAAGATTCTAATTGTTTTTCCTCTCTTATATTTTAAAATATTTCTATAAAAGCATGCAACTTTTTGTTTTATAAGAAAAACAACACTATAAGTGTTGGTGTCTTTATCTTTCTCTAGGAGAGATTCTTAGATATAATATTTGCCATAAAAATTAATGAAACCTATTTCAGTTTAAAAACTTGAGGATGTCATTGCCAAATTCTAGGTAACCTTAAGCAAATAATGAGTTTTTATTTTAACTTTTGACTGTGGAAAACTTAAAACATATAAAAAAATCAACAGAATAGTATAAAAAAAGCTTTCATTTTAATGTATTAGCAGACATGAGAGAGTAATATAAAAATTCAAAGTTCATGCAAAAATAATGAGGCAGATTGGGTTGCCAGTAAATTGGATGTCTATGGGCTTCATGGCACTTAGTATAGAAAGAAAGGTAGACTCCCTGATTTCAATCTCTTCTCCCATTGAGTTATCAGATAATCTGCCAAATTCCTAATTGTAATTTGGTCTTTCTTAATCTGAAATATTTTGGATTTCCTCCTGAAGTAGTTATACATTCCTCAGCCTGGCATTCAAAGTGTCAATTCATTTCCATAGTGCTTCTTTCAGTGAGTCTCCTGTCCAGTCCCTGTGCTCTCATTTAAAATCCTGAGATGCTGGATTTCTTTTTAATTACTGACTATTCTCAATTTCCCTTCTTATCATTGATCACGGTGTCCTTGCCATCTGGATTATACCCTCTCCTATTCTATCTTAGCCTGTAATTTCTTTTCATTCTTAAAGTCTCATGTTGTGGCCATGCCTTTCATAAAATGTCTTTATCCTCATCATCAAATTAAATATGCTATTTTTCCCCTTCTTTTTCTGCCTACTGTAATTTTAATTGAGGCTTTTATGTGATTCCACTTTCTCTTTTCTCTTAGCATATCAATTATACTGTAAAAAACATTTTTAGTTGTTACCCTAGAGTTTGTAATATATATTTACAACTAATATAGGTCACTTTCAAATAGCACAAATAACGTCATGAGTACTGCAGTTACCTTATAAGAAAATATTCCCCATTCCTCCCTCCTCTCTCTTAAAACAGTACTGTCATTCATTTCACTTATCTGTGTGCTATAATCATCCAAAATATTGCTACAATTATTAGTTTTAACAGACTGTTTTCTGTTAGATCAATTAAGAATACGAAAAATAAAACGTTTTATTCTGCCTTCATTTATTCTCCAGCACTCTTCCTTTCTGTGTGTACATCTGAGTTTCCTACCTTTAACATTTTTCTTTTCTCTGAAGAATTTTTTTAGAAATATTTCTTGCAAGGTAGGTGAACTGGTGACAAATTCCCTGAATTGTTACTCACATAAGTAAGTCTTTATTTCTCCTTTACTTTTGAAGGATGATTTCACTGGATGCAGAATTCTAGGTTGGTGGGTTTTTTCCAACTCTTTAAATTTGTCACTCCATTCTCTTCTTGCTTGCATGGTTTCCAAAGAAAAGTCCACTGTAAATGTTGTGTTTTTCCTCTATAGATAAGGTGTTTTTGCTCCTCTGGTTCAAGTTTTTGCTTTGTCTTTGATTTGAAGAAGCCTGAATATGATACTCTTCAATATAGATTTTTTTTGGTATTTATCCTGCTTAATGTTTTGAAGCTGCATTTATTTTGGAAAATTCTCAGTCTTGTTAATGCAAATGTTTCTTTTACCACTGTATTCTCCTTCTGGTATACCCAGGACATACATGTTACATCTTTTGCAGTTGTCTTACATTTCTTGGATATTATATTATGTTCTATTTTTTTCATTTCTTTTTCTTTTTTGGTTTGGTAAGTTTTTAATTGACATATCTTCAAGCTCATTGATTCTTTCCTCAGCAGTGCCCAGTGTAATGAGAAACCCACCAAAGACTTTATTTCTGTTTCTGTGTTTTTAATTTCTTTCTTTTTTTTTTTTTTTTTTTTTTTTTTTTTTTAGACAGAGTCTCACTCTTTCACCCAGGCTGGAGTGCAGTGGCATGATCTTGGGTCACTGCAACCTCCACCTCCCGGGTTCAGGCAATTCTCCTGTCTCAGCCTCCATAGTACCTGGGACTACGGGTGCATGCCACCATGCGCCTGGCTAATTTTTGTATTTTTATTAGAGATGGGGTTTCACCATGTTAGCCAGGATGGTCTCGATCTCCTGACCTTGTGATCTGCCTGCCTCAGCCTCCCAAAGTCCTGGGATTACAGGCGTGAGCCACCGCACCTGGTCCTGTGTTTTTAATTTCTATCATTGCCTTTCAGTTTTCCCCTAGAGTTTCCATCTCTTTGCTTACATCACCCATCTTTCCCTACATGTTGTCCCCTTTTTCCATTATACTCCTTAGCATTATTATTAAATTTTAAGTTCCTGGTCTAGTAATTCCCAAATATGTGCTATATCTGAATCTGGCTTTGATGCTTGATTTGTCTCTTCAGAGTGTGCTTTTTTGCCTTATAATATATGTTGTAGTTTTTTTTTTTTTTTGAAAGCCAGACATGATGTTTCAGGTAAAATAAACTGTGATAAATTGTCTTAACTTGATATATTACGTTTATCTATCTAGAAGTTAGGCTGTGTTTATAGTTTACTATAATGGTAGGTGTCAGAGGCTACATTTTCATGTAGTGCTTTCTTTTGTCTGCCCTGTTGACTTTAGTCTCTAGAGACTCCTTCTTAGGTATGGTCTTAAATGCCATTCTTTGAGTTGTAGTTTCCTGTTATTATACAGGAGCACTGTTGATGTGGTCGTATGTTATGGAGGGGGGATTTCTATAATTTATGATTAGGTTTCAGTTATTAGTGAGCCTGTGTCTCTAGGCTGTGACCTTCACAAGTGTTTCTCAGCTTTTTTGTCCCCTTTGGGAGAGATAGAATGGCTAGTGGAGGCTTGAGTTGGGTGTTCCCTTTCCTTTATGTAGAAGTACAGAGAAGGTTGGAGTTGGGTATTGCTTTTTCCCCACATAGAATATTAGAGGTGGCTTGGTTGGGTAATTCCCTTCCCCCATGATAGTTAGTCTCTGGTAAAGCACAAGTTGGTTAGGCTGTGCTAAAATAGTTTTCCTTGAGGACAGGCATTTTTTAAGGAGAACAGAATGCTCTGGGTATGTTTCAGAATAGTTGCTTCTTCTCTCACCCTGCCAGAAGCACAAGGAAATTTGTCTCATCTTCACCCTGAGAACCTGGATGGGCCCCTGAAAGTAAGACTCAGAAAAGTGTGGGAGGCCCTCCTAAACATACTCCCCAACCCTAGGAGTTTTATCTCTTAAACAATTCTACCTTTAGTCCCCAGTTACCCTTCTATTCTTCCAGGTGCTGCCTCCAGCAGTCGTTTTTGCCCCCAGTGAGCTATGACTGTTTGTATTTGCCTACCTGTCTAGTTTTTGGGGTGGTGGTTTGCCCTGTGACCTCAATTCTCTGGTGAATCTAAGAAGAGTTGTTGATTTTCACTGCATCTGCTATTTCCTTGTATTGAATCTTCTCTTTAGGCATCTATATCATGATTTTGCCTAATCTTTTTTATTAAAAAAACTTGGATGAAAATATTTTACTTTGCTCATATATTTATACCTTGATCTCTCTATTATGTTGAAGACATTAAATACAAGTATTTATTGCATTGAACAGGCCATTGTTTAAGTGAAACTGCAACCTTAAGAGAAGTGTCTTAAATAAAATATACAATAGCTGCTATGAATAGTAGCAGGAGTTTTAACATAGAAAACTTTTTTTTCCAGTGAAATTTTATATAGAATATATTTACTGAATTGCTTCCTTTAGTGGTCACTCATGGACTTTGTTCTGGCAATTATTTTTTATTCATTAATTCATTTATTGAGTATCTACTATACGCCAGGTGCCACTCTAGACATTCTAGACATTGATGAAGAAAACAATGAAAGCCTCCCACCTCTGGGAAGGCATATGTTTCAGTTTAGGGAAACAAAAATAGAAAATGTTCATAATATAAATTAACAAGTTATATGGAATGATAGAAGGTGAAGGGTGACATGAAATAGAGAAATAGAAAAGGGCAAATAGAAGAGAAGATTGCAATTTTAAATAGTGCATTTAGAGTAGGTCTCACTGCCGAGATGATATTTAAGCAGACTTGAAGAAGAAGAGGAGTTGGCTGTGAACATATCTGGCTGAAGTATGTAACAGGCAGAGGAAACAGGCTGTGCAAAGATCTGACTGACAATGAGGAGGTCCGGGAGACAGCGGGGAGTTAGAGTGAGACAAAGGAGTAGCAGATGAGACCCAGGTGGTGCCAGGGGCCAGGTAAGGACTTTGGCTTTTATACTAAGTGAAAGGACTGACACTGTAGGCTTATAAACAGAAGACAGACATAAATTATTTAGCATCTAAAAATAATATTTGCTTTCCCTATTGAGACTTGACTGCAAGGATACCGGTTAGAAAGCCACTGCAACAATCCAGGCAAAAGACAATGTAGCTTAGATCAGGATAGTCCTGATGTAAGATATTTCAGGTGTTAAAAAAGAGAAAAGCTAAGGATGTCTCTGAGATTTATGGACTGAACTGAAAGAAAAGAGTTTCCAATAGCTGAGTCTGGGAAGACAGCATATAGCTTAGGTTTTGGAGGAAGATTAGATTTCAGTTTAAGCATGTTAATTTTGAGACATCTATTAGATGTCCAAGTGGAGATCTGAAGTAGACATACTGCATTCAGGAAAATGTTTTGGCTGGAGCTATACTTTGGGTAGTCATCAGCATAAAGATGATATTTAAAGACATGAGACCACTTAAGATCAGTGTAGGCGTGGGTGTAGATAGAGGGAAAAAGAGAACCAAGACACCCTAAAAGGTGTGTGTGAGGGGTGGGTGGTGTATAGGGAGAAGAAATCAGCAAAACTGAGAAGAATCACAAGTGACATAAGGGGAAAGCAAGTGAGAAAAATGTATCAAAGAGGAGGGAGTCTAATCCACTTTGTCAAATGCTGCTGAGATCTTAAGTAAAATAAGATAGGCTAGCATCATTTCAGTGGATTTAGGCACAGAAGTATTGAAGATAGGTCAGTAATTGAATACAAAAAATTTAAGAGTTCGGATAACATGGCCTGTAGGGTTTCTCCAGCAGCAATAAAGTCCTCCAATGCATTAAAGCTATTCCCAGCCCACAGCACCCACCATGTACAAAGACAGATTGGGATCTAGCTTGTATTGAAACTGATGTTCTGGTGGATCAATTCTGAGTTCTCAGGAAGTCCTTGATGGCATCTATTCTACTAATCTCTAGCTCTTCCCTAGACTTGAGGAATAGCATGAGCCTATCTAGAGCTAGCTCTAGAATTCTTAAACCTAGCTCATTTTGATTCAAACAACCAGAATTTTAGTTTCTAAACTTACCTTGAGGTTCAGGGAAGCCAGTAGGTATAATGTTAAAAGTTAGTGCATGCTAAACTTTATAACATAACTTATTAATGTAAGAAGTGCTCTTTCAACCCTCCTTTTTTTTCTAAAAATTAAAAATCTTTACAATTTTGCAGATCTTTAGCCTATAGGCAACCACTGATTTTTTATTTTTTTTACAAGAAAATAATACTTTTTCCTTGCTGCATCTTCAGAAACTCTATAATTACACAGGACATATAAGTAATACATAAATCACACAGGTTTTTTGATGCTGCATAAACAGTTAATAATATTAAAAGTAATATATGTAATGTTTTATAAGAGGATATTCTGTCTTCTAAATATTCCAAATTGTTCATTTTCAAAAGCATGGAAGGAAGAAAAAAATGACGGAAGGGTGGCTGGAGATATTGAAAATCAATGCCATATCATGAAAATGCTATAAAATTTATGTTAGTAAATTATCAAGAAAATATAGACTATTATAATACCCTGTTAATATTAACACATAACTTTATTATTTTTTTTTATTTTTATGTTTTGAGACAGGGTCTCACTCTGTCACCCAAGCTGAAATGCAGTGGGTATGATCATGGTTCACTGCAACATTTGCTTCTCAGGCTCAAGCGATCTTCCCACCTCAGTCTCCTGAGTAGCTGGGACATGCCACCAGATTCAGCTAATTTTTTCTAATTTTTGTACAGAGACAAGGTCTCACTATATTGCCCAGGCTAGTCTCGAACTCCTGGGCTGAAGCAGTCCTCCCACCTTAGCCTCCCAAAATGCTGGGATTACAGGCATAAGACACAGTGCCTGGCCAATACATAAGTTTATTAATTCAGGACCATTTATAATGATAAGATGTTGGGTGGTATATGAGGAACAGGTAAATAAATGCAGGACAATATTTTAAGCATCTCTGTAGTCTCAAAGGAAGACTCGTGAGACAGTGGATGATTGGAAAAAATACAGATATCCATTAACCCCAGTGACGCATGAGGCAATGAATACATTGGTGAGTACTCACCAGCATACCTAGGGCTCTTGAATGGCTCCTCTGATTGTGACCCACTCTGCACCACTCCTTTGGTAGGCAGGTATAATATAACACCAGTGGAGAAAGAAAGAACTTTGACATTGGAAAAATATTGCATCTTGGTATTTATTTTCGCATATTAATCTCAAGTAGCTTGTATCTTAGGATTTTGCAATATTGTTTCAACTCACAGGATATGATTTGGTATAAAGGTTTGTTTTGGGTCAAAACTGTCTTCTATGATAATTTGATATATAAAGTCTGGCCCTCAAGAATATGACTTAAAATGACCTAATAATTTATAAACCTTCATATAAAATTTATGAACACATTTACATACATATTCACACACATATCTATATTCATGTATGTTATGGATGATAAAAGTATAAATATAAGCACAGGAATATTTAACATGAGAATCAGGACAGTGATCGTACGTCAGTAGAAGTGAGGATATGATTTTGAGGAGGTTCCCTAGAGCTCCAAGGTACTGGCTAATGTCCGCTTCTTAAACTGAGTATGGGCTTATGCGTGTTGGTTTTATATTCAATCTCTTTCATCTTAAAATTTGAAAAAAGGAAAATCACACATAAGAAATGATATATGATGATCATCTGAGTTCTTTATTTTGTAAAAGAAATTTATTTATGGCATCAGGAGAGTATCTCACAGCAAACGTTTTGAAGTACAAAAATATCATAGTGATTTATTTTTTCTTTTTAGTTCGAAAAGATATAATCCGCATCCTCCCCAGTCTAGATGTCGAAGTCAAAGACATCACTGATTCTTACGATGCTAACTGGTTTCTTCAGCTGTTATCAACAGAAGATCTTTTTGAAATGACTAGTAAAGAGTTCCCCATAGTGACTGAAGTCATAGAAGCACCTGAAGGAAACCACCTGCCCCAAAGCATTTTACAGCCTGGGAAAACCATTGTGATCCACAAAAAGTACCAGGCATCAAGAATCTTAGCTTCAGAAATTAGAAGCAATTTTCCTAAAAGACACTTCTTGATCCCCACTAGCTATAAAGGCAAGTTCAAGCGGCGACCGAGGGAGTTCCCAACGGCCTATGACCTAGAGATCGCTAAGAGTGAAAAGGAGCCTCTTCACGTGGTGGCCACCAAAGCGTTTCATTCCCCTCATGACAAGCTGTCATCCGTATCTGTTGGGGACCAGTTTCTGGTGCATCAGTCAGAGACGACTGAAGTCCTCTGTGAGGGAATAAAAAAAGTGGTGAATGTTCTGGCCTGTGAAAAAATCCTCAAAAAGTCCTATGAGGCTGCGCTGCTCCCTTTGTACATGGAAGGAGGTTTTGTAGAGGTGATTCATGATAAGAAACAGTACCCGATTTCTGAGCTCTGTAAACAGTTCCGTTTGCCCTTCAATGTGAAGGTGTCTGTCAGGGATCTTTCCATTGAAGAGGACGTGTTGGCTGCCACACCAGGACTGCAGTTGGAGGAGGACATTACAGACTCTTACCTACTCATAAGTGACTTTGCCAACCCCACGGAGTGCTGGGAAATTCCTGTGGGCCGCTTGAATATGACTGTTCAGTTAGTTAGTAATTTCTCTAGGGATGCAGAACCATTTCTAGTCAGGACTCTGGTAGAAGAGATCACTGAAGAGCAATATTACATGATGCGGAGATATGAAAGCTCAGCCTCACATCCCCCACCTCGCCCTCCGAAACACCCCTCAGTAGAGGAAACAAAGTTAACCCTGCTAACCTTAGCAGAAGAAAGGACGGTAGACCTGCCCAAGTCTCCCAAGGTAAGGCTATGGTTTTGCAATGTTTTCTCTGGAGTGTGTTCCTTCAGGCAATTTGTTTCAAGTCTTTTCTGAGTGTGTTTTGCTTACTTTTCTTTCTTTCATGCCATATTTGCAATGAGCTTTTCTGATGTGCAGTAGATGAATGAACATCAACAGTGTGTAAGCTGTTGCAGCGTTTTATATTTTGATGTGGCATGAAGTTTAATATTGAATTGGAAATAGCAGAGATGACATTTGGATATGATGACCCAAATTGCCTTTTCAGTGGGTTTTGGTAATTAAGAATATTTTATAAAGTGCCTTAGAAGCAAACCTCTTTTATTTTAGAAGTTCTGTTAATTTTTTTTTCTAAGTAAAATTTAATACCTCATCCAGGAAATTAACATACAGTAAACTCCCTTCTTCTGGGGATGGGGGGTTACTGGTAGCATGCATCTATAGCACATGTCTTCATTTTGTTTTATGTGCAGAAAGATGTAAAAATATCTTGGCAGAACAGTGTGTGAGAATGTGAGCATCTGCCCACATTCTGCTTATCTTAGAATCGTAATCTTTAACAGCTCTATTGAAAAACAAAATCAATAAAATTGGAGACAGTATGAAATCATTACAGAATCAACAACTCCATAACCACTCTAAAGATTTTGGAGGGTGATTCAGCTTCATTTCCACTTGAGGTCTTTGCCTCTTGAAAACTGCCTTCTGGCTGCCTGCAAAGCGCTTGCCCTTACACCATGATGTGTAGGTCGTTTATCCAGACGTGGTTCTGTGGTGTGTGGAAGGAGTGCATTCTGGTCTGGCAGATGTTGTACTTGCAGCTTGGGGAAACAAAGCAATTAGTAAAACAAAGAGAGGCTGTGTTTACTCTCTATGCTTAGAAATAATAGCAGCCTTAGGCTTCAAGTATATGGATATGGAAATACTTTTATTTCTACATCTCAGATATTGCATTCTGATTGTAGCTAGGGAAATCCAGTAAGGATCTCCAAAAGCATCTTTAGAAAAAGATAAAACCAGCAGAAATTTTCTTCCCAGACAAACAGTTTTGAAAGAGTCATTTGATATAATACAATGATTTCCAAATAATGTTGATTAACGTGTTGCTATTGTTTTGAAGGGTATCTTTGGCTTCTCCCATTTAACATATTTTTATTACTGAACTGAATAGTGAGAAATGAAATGAGAAATGAAATGTCTTCTTTGTGTTTTAGTGGTAGGCAGAATAATTTCCCCCTCACTCAAATATTTATATGCCTAAATTCCCAGAACCTATGAATATGTTACTTTGCATGGCAAAAGAGACTTTGCACATGTGCTTAAAATTAAGGACATCAAGATGAGATTATCTTGGATTATCCAGGTGGGTCCAATTTAATCACAAGAGTCCTTACAAGAACCTTTCCAGATAAGATCAGGGTTAGAGGGACATGTAACTATGTAAGAATGGTCAGAGATCCAACATTGCTGCATTTGAAGATGGAGGAAAGGAATCATGAACTAAGCAACACAAATGGCCTCTAGAAGCCAGAGAAGACAAGGAATCAGATTCTTTCCCAGAGTCTCCAGGAAGGAGTGCAGCTGACAACACTGGTTTTAGCTAGTGGGACCCACGTCAGCTACTAACCTATAGGACTGTAAAATAATAAATTTGTATTATTTAAGCCACTAAGTTGATAATAATTTATTATAGTAACAATAGAAAGATAATATAAGACATCAAGTTGAGAAGGAGGAATACTTAAAAACCATAGACAGTCAAATCTATATGCAAGTCACTACCTGTTTTGCTGGAAACTTTTTGTTGTTGTTGTTGTTGGTTTTTTTTGTTGTTGTTTGTTTGTTTTTGCTTTAAATGAATTTATTAGCACATGTACCCATAGAGCACTTAAGGGTACAGCTAAGCTTCAGGAATAATTGGAACCAGGATCTTGAAAACAGCCTAAGTTGTTTTTACTTTTCATTACATATTGGCTTTCTTTTCCCAGGCAAACTTTCTCAGTTTTTTTTTTTTCCAGCCTACTGCTAAGAGTTCCTGCATCTCACGTCTCATTTTTTCATCCCTAGAGAAGAAGATAATCTCTTTGGCTCAAAATTTAAAAATGAAAGGGCCTTGATTGGATTAATGCCCATCTCCTGACTCAACTAATTTATTGCTTACTCCAACTAGAGGCACGATTGGAGGGTATCTGTTTGCGCTATTATAACATAATACCACAGACTCAGTAATTCATAAAGAACAGAAATTTATTGTTTTAGAGCTCTGGAGGCTGGAAAGTCCAAGATCAAAATGCCAGCAGGCTCCATCTCTGGTTCTGAGATGGCCTCTTATTGTTCCATTTACTGGAGAGAAGGAATGTTGTGTTGTCACAAAGCAGAAGTGGGGGAACTCTTTCCCCAAGCCCTTTTCTTAGCAGCATTAATCCATTAATGAGGGCTCTGCCCACATAATAAAAACACATCTCATTAGGACCCACCTTCCAACAATGTTGTGTTGGTGATTAAGTTTCCAGCATATGAATTTTGGAGGGAATAAAATATTTAAACCATAGCAGTTGGGAGGAGAATGAGGTGTGGTTGCCTCTAGTATCTAGCAATACAGAATTGCAGGATGTGAAGATATGGAGATACAAATAATAGATGTCCACTACCATCAGAAAGAAAGCACTCATAGGGAAAAAAAAAGGTTAAAATTTTTAAAAATTGTCCTTTGCCAGGCATTAAATGAAAATGATCTAAGTGTTTTATTAGGAGAGAAACTCACAGAACAACATTACGCCTAGACTACTAAACTGAAGTGAATGAAATCTTTGACTAAACCTGTACATGTAGGATTCCAGATACTTAATAATTCCTAGCTGTTTTTTTACTGGTCAGACCCCACATGGAGTCTTGGTGTTCAATTCTGAGTCTCACTCTAGAGACTTTTAACTGGAGTTTGTAAGGAGCTGTTAAAGATGTTAAGAGGTTCTGGAGCCATTTTCATTTGAGGAATAGTTGAAGACATTGAGTGATAATCTAAAATTGGAAGACTTGATACTAGATGATATTAGTTATTTTATACATTTAAATAGTTGCTTTGTGGCAGAGTGCAGACTTATATTCCATTATGACATCTTCAACACTGGGTGAAAGTTAAAGGGAGGACAAATTTGGTGTAATATGTTGGAACAGGTTTCTTCTCCCCAAAATGTTTATAGTAGAAGATAGGAAATCATGTCAGTGATATTGTCAGGGAATCCCTGCTTTGGTTGAGAATTTATCAGACAGTTGAGAAGAGTCTACAGTTCTTTGTTTATGAATAGTTCCTTTAATTCTAGTGTGATAGATAAAGCATTATATTTTCTCTGAAATCACTTTAAAATGTCAGAGGATGCTACAATTCACCTGTATTTAGACCTACTAACCTCCTTATTTTCAGCGATTATTTTTTACCATGAAGGCAGGAATCTGCTTAATACATTGTTTATAGAATGTAAACAGAAGCTCTTTCAGTTTCTTCATAATCTACTCCAAAAATTTTGCAAATATTTCTTATTCTCACAAAGTCATCCTTTCATATATTCCTTTTATGTTTCTTTTGATATTTACATGAAGTCTCTTCTATCATGTGTGCTTTTGAAGAACATTTTTTATACTTCATAGGTAGGAATCAGCCATTAAAAAACAGCCTCTAAGATTATGGATTATATATGGAATATTGCTTTAAATTTGGATAACAAATAGTAAGAGTTATTCAGAGTTTAAATATTCAAACTCATTTAGCTCATTAAAATGTGGTTTTACATGCACAGAGAAGAGTCCTAGATGCTTCATTATATGAATTTACTTTTGCCTTCCCAATGGATCATTAACTTTACTAAATCATTTCTTGCATTAAGTAACAGACAGATGTATGGGCAATCTAAGAGTAAGAATCTAAAATTCACCCTGCATTAGCCAAATTAACCTATAGCAGGTATCTGCGGTTGGTTATGAACACTACAAGCTCATCTAAAATGTTTGGAAATTAAGAATATATGAGGACAGGTTACAGGAACTAGGAGAAATAGAAAGAATTGTTTTCCAAGGTAAGATTGGCAACTGTTCTCCAGCTTTAGCAATACCTAAAAAGAAAAAAAAATAGATTGGTGTAGAAACTTTAGAATTATAATTTCAGTTTGGGCAGGGACACGAGTGGGGGTATGGTTACCAACAGGATTATAGCCTACTTCAAGACCTATGAGATTTTATGTGAAATAATATTATAGTTGTTCTTTAAATGTGTTAGTTAACTGTTTATAAGGATAATGTATGGAATCTAAACAAAGGAGTGGGAATAGGCCAGGGGAATCCTCAAAATTTTCTTTAGGTTTATGACATAATGCAGAAATAATGTCTTTAGGATCTGTGCATCTGAATTTTAATCTGATGGAAACAATATTATAAAGTGACTAAATAAATGAAGCTGGGCCTGAAATTGTGTTCTAAATAGAAATGTTGTCAGGTAGATTCTCCTTCCTTGAAGGTTGGTTTGTATGTTAGAAGTGGTTTCAGATAGTTCAGAAGAACATATACTCACTGGGGTTTTTGCCTGTCGTGGATATATATAGCTACGACTCCTGAGTGCCACACAGGAGAAATGCAACTTCTGTATTCTGATGAAAGGGTCTATAACAAGACAGAAAACAAACCTTTGGTTGAAAGATGAGATATTCCATGTCTTCAGAGACTGCAGCTGGGACCAGAAATCTTGTATTTCACTAACTCTGTTTGGCCATTTAATGCCCAAGTGTCCACTTTGCTGCCTGAGTTTCTAGATTTCTGTCGGACAAGAACACCCATAGGAGACATTAAGGCAAAGAGCAAGGGAGGCAGTAATGGCAAGGTACTGTGAAATGAGCAGAAAAAAATCCTGCACCAGAATTAGAGTGAGGGCTGAAAAAGGCAGAAGGAAAGCAATGGTTCCTGGGGAGTGCACAGAGAACACTTCAGCAGCTGCTGCTGGTGCTAAATTGTCACTTCTGATCTGGTTTGACAGTTACAGTGGCTGAAATGTGTTAGAGAAATCCACGTTACTGGGCTAAATCTAGATCATTAGAGAGTAGTATTATACCCACTTGTTTGTTATCAATAGGGTTTGGTCACAAACAATGTGACTTGTTTTTGTTTTTGTTAACCTGATGTAGTATAAATACATTAAGAGTGTTTGAATTTGTAGCTGACTCTGAGCTTCTGAACACTCACACCTTTCTACTCATGGTAGGTCCTTTTCGTGTAATATAGAAGCTGTAGTACTGATTTCCCTCTGAATAGGGAAGATTACTGTTAGAGAGTTTTTCAAAGACCCAACACAATGAAGATAGAATACGGACATATTTAAATATTGGGTTTTTGAATCTGAAAATAAGAGAAATAAAGGAAACTTTTGAACTTCCTTTAAAAAATTGACAAATTTTGACTGTGAGATACAATTTTAGCTTTTTTGACTGTGAGATACAATTTTAGCTTTTTTGACTGTGAGATACAATTTTAGCTTTTTTTTTTTTAATGAATTCTCACTCTGTTGCCTAGGCTGGAGTGCAATGGCGTGATCTTGGCTCGCTGCAACCTCTGCCTCCCGGGTTCAAGCAATTCTCTGCCTCAGCCTCCCACGTAGCTGGGATTACAGGCACCCCCCACCACGTCCAGGTAATTTTTGTATTTTTAGTAGAGATGGGGTTTCACCATCTTGGCCAGGCTGGTCTTGAACTCCTGACCTTGTGATCCACCCACCTGGGCCTCCCAAAGTGCTGGGATTACAGGCATGAGCCACTGCACCTAGCCAATGTTAGCATTTTTTTGGTAGCTATTTGAGCTTTCCTTAGAGTAAGACATGTACAGATTAATAAATCATGGTTTTTGAGTTGCCAGAGGTCTGTTGTCTAGTAAATGGCATGGGCTATAAACAGACAACTAAAGAAGTGAAAAAGACGGGAGAAGAGGGCAAAGGATGAATAAAGGAAGTGCTGGGTTGAAAGTTAGCCAAACTTGAGTTATAGCTGAAACCTCGAAGGTACAAATCTGTGCCCAATGGCACATACGGAATATTTACAAGCTCTTTTTGTGCTTCTGGAATGGGAGAGGAGTGATCTGAATTTTAGTTTTGCTCTAGGCATGACATGTACTGTGTTGATACTTCTATCTGGATAGCTGAGTTGGTATAATTGAGTTTTAAATGAAAAGGAATTGGTTAAACTAAAATATTCGCAAATATCACCTGATTTTAGGGAAATTTCAAGAAACAATGAACAAGTCTTCATACTAATAATAAAATACTGATTTTCTCTGGATAATTTATGGCTAAAGAACATGGTTTTCATTATGGCATGATTGAAGTACACTTTCAATTGGAAATATGTGAAGAAACTAAAATTTTGGCCCTCTCTGAACTTTTTAACAACTGAGAATGTTCTCACCTGGGGGCAATGATGAAAAACATTAGCTAATACTGTCCCCCACTCCTTATCTATAGTGTCAAGAACAAAAATACCACCAAATATGTGATGTCATATTTTCGGTGTTACTGAGTATTACTTTTTTAGCAGAAAAAAATGTGAATTTATAAAATTTATTTATTTTCTCAATAGATTAGCAAAAAGCTTGAGCAAATTTGGACTAAATTATTTTGCACTAGATTTCTGGCCTTTAAGAAAATTAGAATAGTTTTCATTTACTAAAATGTCCACTACATGGAAATTCCTGTTTGAAATGATAGCAATAACAGAAAAATGATCAGTTCATTGCACAGTATGTATTAAGTGAGAGCATTTGAATTGCCAATTTCCTATAATCTCTATAGAAATTTTAGTGCCTGTAATCACTAAAATTGAGTGTGGGCTCACTAGATATTTATGTTCCTTTCCTTGAGCTTATTACCTTCAGTTTTTCTTTAAAAAAAAAAATCAAAAGAGCAGTTGAAGAAAAGTAGAGGAGATAAGTTCCAGTTGGCTATGCAGTTTTGAAACAGATTTGTCTGAATTTTCCATTACTATATTTGTCAATTGTGAATTTATTTTAGAATAAAACCTTGCCTAAAAATAAATTGATAACACATAAGCTATATATTTGAGCAAATAAGTTTTGCTACAATTCCCCAGTTCCTTGCAAGTTAACCATTACTTTTAATCTTCGGTGATGTTTTCATTGATATCAGACCTACATCAATAAATATATTTATGCTTTGCTTCCCAAACCAAATTTTCCTGGATAAATATTAGGACAGAAAATGAGCACAAGATGGCTATGAAAGAATGCAATAAAATAGGCTTCCAAAAATCAGTATTTTTTCCCAAACTTTGAAAAGTAAAAAACGTAAGAAGAAAAAGATTTGTCTTAGAAATAGAAGAGAGTAGAAAGTGAAAATGAACTTTAAATTTAAGAGACCGGAGGGCCCATAAATACTTTAAAAATTCATAGACAAAGAAAAGATTCATGCATGCGTTATTTAAGGAAAAACTCTCAGCAAACCTTTTATAGCCGTAAACTTTCTCATACACTTTGTCCAGAATCTAACTTCAGTATAATCATGATGTCTTAGAAACTTTCTAAGCAATACTTAATTAAGATACACTTCTAATAGGACAAGTTGCTTTTAGCCTCTTTGTAAGAGGTTAAAATATCTCTAATGCTCTCATTTGAGATATTTACCATTGGTCTCCTTTGAGATATTTACCACAAGCCAATTACACAGACGATTTTAGATCTCATGAGAACAAAATAAGAGAGAATTCTATAAAATCAGAAGGCTGTTGACTACAAAATTAGACAAACAAGAATCAAACTGTACATTAAAGGCCACAAGAAATGTATAATAAATCCACTGTTATTTATGAAGGTGCACACAAAATTAAAAAGGCTGATTATAAAATTATGAAGTCACACAATATATAAAAGGAATAAATATTTGTTTTTTTTAGTGTAACTGAAAAGATACCAATATTATTCTGACTTGTGACATTACGCTCATTCAGATCACTAAACTTTACATACCATTTGTCCTTAATAAAAGTTTGTTGTTGTTATCAAATGCTTTTAAAAGTTGTAATTAATGTCTTAAAAGTATGCAATTACCAGTTGTGAAATAGGATAAAACACAAAGTCATGTAAGACGTGTTTTCTCAATTGTTATCCAAGGCTGAGAACCACCCTATCCAAGCTATTCTCTTCATTGGTTCTGATTTCAGCTTTTCTCCTGAGGTAAAATCATTTCTGTATTTTCCATTCATACTAGACTCTGCTTCAACCAAATTCTCACAATGTTGTCAGACATCTTGTGTTCAATAATAAAATATCCAAAGGTCTATGATCCAGACTGATCTCAATCTTTTGTAATAAAAACACCAGCTGCTCATTACTGAGCTGGCGCTATACCAGGTGCTTACATGTATTAATCTCTTATTTAATCTTCCACATTGCTCCATGAGATGGATGCTGTGATCATCTCTATTTTGCAGATAAGGTAATTTAGGCTAAGGGGTATATAAGGTGTGTCATGGTTACCAATGATACTCAGGTTGCCAGATTTTATGGTCAATCCTCAGTCCTCATATTATTTGAATACTAGGTACTATTTGGCACAGTTAAACACTACCTACTTTTTAAAATCCTTTCTTAGAATTCTGCAATATTATGCCTTCCTGATTTCTTTATACTGTAGTGGTTGTATTTTTCTCTCATCTTTTTTGGTAGCTCTTCTCTGATCTCCCTTAACTCTTAATGTTCAAGTGCCTTTGAGCTCAGTCTTTGGTCTCTTTTCTATATATGTCTACTTTTAAAATTCCTATCCACACACACAAATTTCTTATTTTATGCATATAAAATGGCTGTCAGTAGAATTATTCATGTATATGGATTCATAAAGGAAAGCAACCAGAAATGGTGTCATATTTTTCTGTTAAAATCTGCTTAAATATGTGTAAATGTCATTTTTTAAGGAGAGTTCAGCTCCTGGGAGATGCTAGCTGTATCACTATGTCTGTTCTGTAGCAGTTACAGTTTTCAACTATACCTCTGGAAGAGATTGAAGGTCAGGGAAAGTGATCAGGTAAGGAAAGAGCCTTCCTACCGACATGCTATTCTGATGAATGTAGGCTTATCATGCTTAGGACTTTTCTTTCCTGATCCACTGATGTGAAGAAAGTTGAGAATATCTTGAACTCTCTATGAGACATTACAACTTTAGCTGATGAACTTTGGCATCAGCAAAAACTCTTTAGTAACAATTCAGGATTTAGCTGAAATAAGTTTCAGGAAGTAGAACTAAGAATAGGAGTAGAACTTAGGACTATTAATTTGAATACCATATTGAGTAGGTGATAATATAAGATCCAGAGAGAATATGAAGTCTTCTCTTCATTAAGGTAGATAGGGATGTATAACAGGAAAAGATTAATAAAGGGTTAATGTGTTCAGGAGCACAGAATAATGAACACTTTAATAATAAGCAAAGAAAAATTTAGAAAAAAAAGAAAGCAGATCAGTGTTTTCCTAGAGAGATAAGTAGGCATAACACTGCCTACTCAATGACAAATGACAAGAGGAACATTTTCGGGTGATGAAAAGGTTCTAAAACTGGATTATGATAATGGTTGCACAGATCTATAAATGTATTAAAATCATAGCGCTGTACACTTAAAATCATCAATCATACCTGAATACAGCCATTAAAATATTCTAATTATAGCATAGATAATCAATTCAAACAGAGGCAGGGAGACCAGTTAGGAAGCTAAAACAATAATATAAGAGAGAGGATGCCTGCCTCTGTGAATGGAAGACACATATTCAAGAGAATTTTAGCATATGGTAGGTGTAGGATGTATGGTTGATAAATTGTAGAAAATAAGAAAGGTACAAGATAAGGAAAGTATCCAGATTTCTAACATAAGCATCAGAATGGATGGTGGTGAAATTGATTAAAACACATTCAGAAAATTCATTAAAATAAAAAACACAGAACATAGGTAGAAGAATAGCACATTATTCAGGGTTCTCCACAGGGACAGAACATTTCCCTTTCCACAATGCACAGTTACCCTGGTAAAAGGCTAGAGGTCTCCTTGGGGAAGGATGGGAGAAAGATTCACTGCATGAATTGTCGGTAATGTAGTGGGGTCCTTCCACAAGGAGTCCTGGCCTCCCCTTCATTCAAGGGGTTCTGGGTCTGTAAACTGGCTCAAGTCTGGAAATTGATTGAAGGGCCATGATTCTCTATTTTTTATAACTCAAATTAGTCTTTTGCCCATTCGACCTAGAAGTTTTCTGTTTGTATAATTTAAGTAGGAATGCAGTAGGCTTCCTATCAAATTCACTTCTAGGAACACTGTGATTAATTAGCCAATGCCAGAGCTCTACACACATCAGATTATTCTGATTGCCTCTTTGCCTCTGCTGTCCATTATGGTAGCTACGCCCACCTTTGCTTTGATGTTCAGTGCTGCCACTTGGCCCCTGCCACCTCAGGATCCAATTATTCCTACTACATTTAAATTTTGTAGTTGAGTGACAGTGGTTCCCTCGTTAGATCTGACATACAGAAAAGCGCAATTACAGGGCTCTTCAGAGATGCAGGTGCTGCCCTCATAAATCTATTTTGCAAGGCATTGGTCAAGGGTATATCTTCTGGACCCTCCCAGCTGGGATGAGTAGGTCTAAAGTGACTAATCCACTCCACCATCCCAATCTCCCTAAGCCTTTGGATCTTTTCCTTTACATTAAACCAAGGAAGATCAGGCATTTCCAACTTGCTCACAGTGGGCCATCTTTTAATCTATATTTCACCTAACCAAGCAAATAAACTCTTAGAACCTTTTTTAACTCCCCGAACTGCAACATTAAATGCAGAGTTCCTACTTAGTGGGCCCAAATCAACAAATTCAGGGTGATCCAACTGTATGTTCCTTCCACCATTATCCCACACCCTTAATATCCATTCCCATGCCTGTTCTCCAGATTTCTCTTTATATAAATTAGAGAACTCAAGCAGTTCTTTTCCCGTGTAGTGCATCTCCTCATGGGTCACACTCTCAACCTCACCTCTAGCGCCCCACCAGGACTTTTGTCTAGTTGTAGGTCTAGAAGCACACAGGGGTGTTGGGGGTGGCTCCTGAGCAGAATCAACATTATCTTGCCTGGCAACCGCCTCAGGGGAGGCCATCACCGTTGCCTCAGGCAGCGCAGGGTTTATCTCCTCAGACAAAGGTGGAAAGGCTGATGGCAGCATGGGTTGAGGAGGGGATGTTGTCACTACTGGGGATGGGGAAGCTGTTTCTTCTGGCAAAAAAGCAAAAAAGGTTCATGAGAGTTTCGAAACTCAGTGTCTCCAGCTTCTTCAGGGTCCTCCCACTCGTCCTCATTCCAAGTTGCAGGGTCCCATTCTTTTCCAGTCAATACCCTCACTTTAACAGTAGACACCTGGCAAGGGTGTGCATGTACCTTTTGTTGCAGGTCAGCCACTCACATGATAAGAGCTTGTGTCTATTTTTCCACAATTTCAGCTCTTTCTGTACAGGAGACTCAGGGCAATCTTAGCAGATCTGAGGCTTGATATCTGCTTCTGAAGCCAGGAGATAGAATCCTCGATTTCATTCATCACTTTGCCCACTGAACTTAGGAGCAACCAAGGAGCTTCATTATATTCTCTACGTATGGTCAAAGGTTCCTTGGTTCTCCACATATGGTCAAAGGTATTATGTATAGAGTCACTAAACTCCTTGCCTCTCATGAGCATGTATCAGGAATGTCAAATGCATTTATTTTGCATAACTCTCTAAACAGTTCATGCCAAGGACTCAGTGTTCTCCACACTATTAGAAGTAGAGTCCTTAGCATTTTTTGATCTAATCATATTATGCAGCCAACTCCAGAAACCCCAAAACCAACGAAAGAACTTCATCCTTAATATTCTGTTCCTCTTCCTCTAGAACCACTCCTGTTACCAAAATCTATATTAGTCAGGGTTCTCTACAGGGACAGAACTAATGGAATATAGGTCCCACAATAGGCCATCTTCAGGCTGAGGAGCAAGGAGAGCCAGTCCAATTCCAAAACTGAAGAACTTGGAGTCCGATGTTCAAGGGCAGGAAGCATCCAGCACAGGAGAAAGATGTAGGCTGGGAAGCTAGGTCAGTCTCCCCTTTCCCATTTTTCTGCCTCCTTATATTCTGCTGCACTCTAAGCTGATTTGATTGTGTCCACTCAGATTAAGGGTGGGTCTGCCTTTCCCAGCCCACTGACTCAAACGTTAACCTCCTTTGGCAACACCCTCACAGACACACCCAGAATGAATACTTTGTGTCCTTCAATCCAATCAAGTTAACACTCAGTATTAACCAACGCAGATGGTTTTACAGAAGCAAGGTTACAGTTTAGTTTGGTTTGAAATTTCTGAGTTGAGATGCCTAGTATGATGTTTACCATGGGTCTGTACTTTAGGAAAGAAATCTAAGCTAGGGATGATGATTCAAGTGTCAACAAATATGTGATAAATAATGTCCTTTGAGAAGGTGAGATGAAGCTAGAGTGGGTAGCCCATGAGAGAAGAAGATGGAATTTTTTTTCTGAGGAAGTCCAAAATATAAGGAACAAAGGAAATATATTAAAAAATCTAAAATATAAGAACCAGAGGGCTTTATTAGCTGAGTGCCAACAATGAATCAGTCACTATTCTGTTTTCTACATGCATCAACTCATTTAGTCCTCATACAAAACTAGTGAAATTAATTCCCTAATTATTATTATCCCAATTTTACAGATGAGAAAAAGCTCATCAACAATGGATAACTTTCCAAGACCACATGTATGGATTATTGCTTTTCAGGTATAAATAATGAACAACATTTTAAGGGACTCAGTACTATGAAGAACGTTTGTGATTTTAGAATCAAAATTCAAGCCATGGCTAATTGATGCTTTTTTCCCCTAATAAAAATTGTGAACATCATTATGACTAAATTGGTCACTTATAACTTGTCAAGGAAAAATTTTCTGAAATACATCATCCTCAATTGGCTCCTTCTTCGGGAATATGACTTGTTATCATGGTATGGGTAAAGGATGGTAGAGAATCAAGAACTACAAATAATGTACAAATGTGAGATCTCTATCTCTATCAATTGCACTTATTTAATTGGCCAGAGAAAATCATAGTCCGTGTGTATGTTCGAGTGTGAAAGTGTAACCTTCCCTTAAGCCTGAAAGTAGAGGGAAACTGGGTACTAGTGAACAATATAAGAACTATTACATGGTCCAGAAAGAAAAGAAAGAAGGAAAGAAAGAAAAAAAGAAAGAAAGAAAGAAAGAAAGAAAGAAAGATAGAAAGAAAGAAAGAAAGAAAGAGAAAGAAAGAAAGAAAGATTACCAATGGGGTTCTCATTTCTTATCTTTGCAAATGCCACCACCATCTACTGACTTGCCTAAACCAAATATGTAGGAACAGTCCTTCCTTTTTTATTCCTGTTTGCATTTGTCAATCATCAAATCCTGTAGATTCTATTTCTTTGACATCTCTTGAATATATATACTTCCTTACTTCAGGTCTTCATCATTTCTTGTCTGGATTATTGAGACCATCTCTTAACTAGTCTTTTTGTTTTTGATCACCACACTTAAATTTATTATCCACATTACTGACAATTTGATAATTCTAAAAAGAAAATCTTACCATGTATCTCTCTTGCTGAGAACGTGTTGTGGCTTTCTTTTCAATAGTTTATCGCCTGTCCATTATTTATTTCTCAAGCCTTTCTACCTTCATACCTTGCCTCACGTTTATACATTTAGTATTTGGCTATATTAAATTTTTGCAGCCTGCAAATACTTTATTCTCTTCTGAGTCTTTAATTTTTCTTTTTTCTTTCTTTTTTTTTTTTTTTTTGAGACGGAGTCTCGCTCTGTCGCCCAGGCTGGACTGCAGTGGCACAATCTCAGCTCACTGCAAGCTCCGCCTCCCGGGTTCACGCCATTCTCCTGCCTCAGCCTCCCGAGTAGCTGGGACTACAGGCGCCCGCCACCACGCCCAGCTAATTTTTTGTATTTTTTTAGTAGAGACAGGGTTTCACCGTTTTAGCCAGGATGGTCTCGATCTCCTGACCTCGTGATCCGCCCGCCTCGGCCTCCCAAAGTGCTGGGATTACAGGCGTGAGCCACCGCGCCCGGCCGTCTTTAATTTTTCAATTGGAATTTTGTTACTTTTTTAAACAACCATTTATTGGGGGCTCACTAACATTTAAGTAACTAAATAGTTCTCATTCAATTCTTTCCATATCCCTATGAGTGTTATTAATATTCCCAAGACATGAACACTGAAGCTCAGAGAATAATTATGAATCTTATTTTAAATGTGTGATCATAGTTCATGAAAGATCTGAAGAAAGAGAACTACTACTCAGAGTGTAAGCTAGAATTCGAAACCATCCTTTATTTAGACCAGCGTGGCACATGTATACATATGTAACTAACCTGCACAATGTGCACATGTACCCTAAAACTTAAAGTATAATAATAAAAGAAAAAAAAAATTCTGTTTCTTAACTACTTAGTCATTTTCAGTGATCTTTTATTTTTTTGAACTAATATCACAACTTTAAAATAAGATCCACTGTTATGTGTTTGCATATAAATATACACTTGTGGTTTTAAGAGTAAGGCACGCTATTTTAGAAAAGAGAAAAATGAAAGAGGAAAATAAAATCAGGAGCACTTTCATCATATTAATATTTTGTACTGTCAATATTATATTTCCGTTATTCATACACATATAGACTCAGACACACATACGTGCATGATTCTGTATTCATCTGTGTCTGTGATAAAGTGACGTATGAACACATATGCGTATGTACACATGTGTGTAGTCTAACAGATTGTTTCACTGACTCTTCATCCTGGGAACCCAAAGCATGAGAAACCAAAGCCTGAGAACAAAATGCCTGTGAACCCCCACATTTTAAAGTGAGCTGCAGAACTGTGTATGCAGGACTTGGAAGGTGAAGGTCCTATAATTGATGCCAGCAGTATTAGCTAGTCTCCCATCTTGGAAGCAAGGAGCAAGTGTTCTTTAAGTGCTTTTCTTTCACCTCAGATAAATTAGAGAAACATTGAGAAGTTAGCAAAATAAAGAGAGAAGATTGTTTTACAGATGGTTGTTAACCATATCCTGTGAATTTTTAGTCCCTGGCATTATGGGTAAGAGATGTTGGGTTCTTCTCCCTCACTTCAAGTTATGTGATGGGATCTTCAGGTGATCCATTTGGAGGTCTTGCCAATGAGCTGTAGGAGTTGGAAGAAAATAGGAGCTGGCCTTTGACCCATATCTGCAAAATCTAAAGGTAAGAGGCTGTGACTAGAGCTTCCCTTTGCCTGGGGTAAGTTATTTTGAAAGAAAACTGCACTTATGTCAATAGCAGAATGAAGGTGTGGGTTCTCTGAAGACAAGGTGTGAACTTGAGAGATTGAAAGGGACCTTGACTAGTGCATATATTTCCTGGAGTAGAAGCACTGAGGGTGGTAGTGGTACATTCTTAGCCTTAGTCAAAGAAACTTGTGTGGTTCTCAATGGGATGGTTTCCCATTAGTCTGAAGAAGTGACCTATGAAAAAAAGGGTTAGTTTTTGACTCCTGCCATTTCAACATTATAAAGATATTAGTGATTCAAGAGTGTATATCCTTTCTTCTTATTCCACTTTCTCCCAAGGCCCTAAGCTGGAGAAGTCAAAAAAGAAAGGTTAGTGCACGGATGCAGGAGTTGAAGAGAGCACATCATTAAGCAGCCAAACATACTTGCTTCTCTTCTGTAGACTTAAAAAACTCAAGTGGGATTAAGCTACAGCAGGAAGAAGCCTTGACTTAGAGAAGGATTCTGAGCTTTGTTAGTATGCTAAACTGAGCTGGAGTCAAGTGGATTTTTATGAACCATGTACTCACTAAAGACTATGGGATTTCCCCATGATTTTATGCAGAGTTAGAATAACCACTAGTTCACAGAGATTTGAAGGGATATAAAACAGTGAGAATCAAGGTGGCTCTTGTGTAGACACTATAAAGTTCAGCTTACTCAATAAATTGCTGATGAGTATGCATGTATATGTGTTCTGCATACCAAACATGGGTATATACTGTATATACCCATGTATTTATGTGTGCGTGTCTATACATATTAGTGTTTCTGTGTACGTATGTGCAATGCAATTATCTCCAGTCATTCTTTGAATGTCAAATTTTGCTTTAATATCTAAGTAAAATCAAATAAGCTCTCAATTTCATATAGTTTTGGCAATGCTTCCTCCATTATTTCCAAAAAGTTATGTGGGATCTTTATGTTTTCTCCTTTTGTCTCCTTTGCTTTCTTGCTCATCACTCTTCTTTAGTTTTCAATCACCTTGGATCACTTCAATACAGGCATTCCGACTGCATAAGGTTGATCTGGTCTTTAGTGCCTCAAGCTATCAATTAAATTTGTCCTTTTTTATTTTTTAAGGAACCACTAAAAACGCACTTGTAGGTGAACATAAATTTGCTGAAGGTTTGGTGATAATGGCTAGGAACAGGAAGTAAAAGTTCTAATCCCTAATTTCTGATGGCCCTTAACTCTAAACCTTAACCCACTTCAAGGTTTTTCATCTCACAAAATCAATGCTTTTCTACCCAGGATCAACCCACATTAGTTTTTTGCTTAATAATGATCATAATAATAATAAATCAAATGCATTAAAATGCTCATTCTCATATTTAGTTCTATACTTTTAATCTTAGAAAGGTTAACTTGCCTTGAAATCAGATCCACTATAATGTATTCTAAATTTTTATTTTCTTATTTAACTTTTTAATCTGTGAAAAAATTTATTTTGCATATAGTATGGAGTGAGGATCAAACTATTTTCACAAATGGTTAGTGTATTTCCCCAGTACCACATATTGACTAAACAATCCTTTACCTGTCTTTTCTGGAAGCAGTTTCTCAACTTTTTACTCTGTGTCTTTGATTTACCTAATTGTCTTAAACCAGTATCAGTTACTTACAATGTAGGACTTTCTAGTACTTCCTAATATGGATATGTATTAGGTTGGCGCAAAAGCAATTTCAGTGTCAAGAACTGCAATTACTTTTGCACCAACTTAATTTTTTTCTTCTTCTTCTTAGTATTAATCTTTTTCTTATCAGTAATTACTTAGATTCTCAGCTTCCTGTACTTTCAAATGAGCCTGTAAAACACTTTATTAACTTCTAAAAAAAGTCTGGTGGCCGGGCGCGGTGGCTCACGCCTGTAATCCCAGCACTTTGGGAGGCCGAGGCGGGCAGATCACGAGGTCAGGAGATCGAGACCGTCCTGGCTAACAAGGTGAAACCCCATCTTTACTAAAAATACAAAAAATTAGCCGGGTGTGGTGGCAGGCACCTGTAGTCTCAGCGACTCAGGAGGCTGAGGCAGGAGAATGGCATGAACCCATGAGGCAGAGCTTGCAGTGAGCCGAGATCGTGCCACTGCACTCCAGCCTGGGTGACAGAGCAAGACTCCATCTCAAAAAATAATAATAATAATAATACAAATCTGGTGAGATTTTTGATTGCAATTATATTAAGCATATTAATTTGGGAGAATTTGAATTTTTATGATACTTGGTTTTCCGATCTTGGCAAATGGTTTTCTATTCTATTTAGCTAAATCTTCTCATGAAAGCCATGTGTATGTTTCTAACAATTTCTGGTGTACTTCTGACATATCTATAAACTCGTGGGAGATATCAGGTCATCTCCTTGAGCATTAGGAACTTTCAATGCTATGGAACTGTCTATGGTACAGAATTTATATTCTCACATCTGAATAAAACCAAAGATTATGTATTTTAACATGATGAACATCTGCTTTCCGTCAAGTCTTTCTTTCTGCAAATATCTGTTGGTTATTATATTTTACATACTGTTTTTTTGTGTTACATTTTCATCAGTAATAAAACACCTCCGTAAATGGTCTGATACTCCTCTTAATGTTTACTTTGTCTTGGAAGTAAATGATACAGCTAAATGATCAGGTAAATGTTAGAGCATTAAGAGTGCTATAAAAATAGAGCAAGAGGTAAGGACTAAGAGTTTAAGGGGTGTAGAATAATTTTTGAAAGAATATCAAGGTGTACCTTACTGAGAAGATGACATTTGTACAAAGACATGAATTGGTAAGATGAGATGTGCATAGTGAGAGGAAATGTTCCAGACAGAGGAAAGAGATAATAAACACATTAAGGCAGGACTGTGTCTAATGTGTTCAAGACAGGCAGAGACAGGCATAGTGGCACAGTCCCAGCTACTCAGGGTGCTGAAGTAGAAGACCAGCATGGACAACATACTAAGACCCTGTATTAAATAAAAATGATTCAACCAGCAGGTCAGAAGGCTGAAATATTGCGACTGAAACTGATAAAAGGAGATGACATCAGAGAGGAAATTTGGGAAGCAGATTGTGTAGGTCCTTGAGGTTGTTGTAGTAATCTTGGCTTAATTTTTCATGAAAGATGAAACAATTAGAGAATTGAGTGGAGAAATGACATAAACTGACTTACATCTTAAAGGGCTCATTTTGGCTTTTGTGTTGAGGTTAGACACTAGTGGAGCAAGAATGGAAACAGAAAGTCCAGTTAGAAGAACATTGCCGTCTTAATATTGCTATGGGCTAGGAAGATAGCAATGGAGATAATAAGAAATGGTTAATTCTACATCTGCTTTAAGTGCAAAGCCAAAAGTGTTTCTTTCTGGTTGCATTTTCCCTCTTACTCTCATTAAGTAATCTTCATTTTATAACTTCTCCAATTCTGACTTAAAATTTAGCTTATTTCTACCTGGGTTCTGTTATTAACAGAATGATCTTCTTTTAGGCTTTAAATACGATGCTTTTTTGGGGGAAAATGTTGAAAGTTTAATCTGGAGTTAGATAACTATAGTGGGAAAGCCAACAACAACTTTATCTGGAAATTTGGAGAATATGGTTCTCGCCCTGGCTCTGTAAATAGTTTGCTCTGTGGTCTGGGATAATCTTAGTGTCCTTGCTTATAAAATGAGGTTAGAGTAAATGATCAGTACTATTTCTTCTAGTTAAATATTCTATCAATCTGTGATTCTGTACTTATGCACTGGCCAGTTAAGTGTTGAATAATACATTTTAAACAAAAAAATTCAGTTGAGTTCCTTGAAATATCTACAGGTTGCTTTGCTATAGCTGAAAAATTTTAAAGACAGGAAACAGGAAAGACCCCAAGTGAGCCTGCGGTATTTTGAGGGATGGTAGTCTTCTTGGTGCATTCCCTGTTTCTTTGTCCTTGGCACCCAAATAGAAGTCCTTGTCTGTAATGCTTGATTTCATGGGGCCTGCTTTCTCTTCTTAATCCTGCATGTAGTAGAAACTTGGTTCCTGTTTTTATCTTTTCTTACCTTCTCTGGGAGGATTTTCCCAGGAACTGCCTCTGTTCAGAATCACAACTCCTCCACTTCAGTCCTGCACTTCCAAAACCTGATTTACTGTGGTTGTGTCATTCTATCAGATATGCACATGGAGGTTCCCCACCAGCTTTTTAATCCATTTGATCTTAAAGTTTTCCCTTATTTGTCACTCTTGTTGAGATTCCTCTTCATGGCTGCCAAATCCGTCCCAATGTTTCCTCAACTGGGACCCATTGTCTGCTTGTAGCTTGTCCCTGTTCTCTCCAGGATCACACAATGCTTTTGATTCTGTGCAATAGTGCAGACTATTCCTTCCTGAAACTAACTCAATTTGTTTTCGAACAAATATCACAATATTGTTTCCCTTATTTCAAGGGGTTACATTTGTGACTCTATTTGCCGTTGAGAAATGAGAATTTAGATGTTGAGAGGCTGTGGAATGAAAGGTGGAAATGGCTTGTTTTTGCAAATGGAAAGAAATCTACCCCCATTTAGCTAAAAGCACAAGACTTTTCTAATCAAGCATTTGACATCATGACCAGGCTTGGGAAAAAGTGTACCTGTTCACTTATAATTGGTTCTGCTCACAGAAGTGCTTTCTCATTGTCTGTGCAGCTACAGGAAATATGGTTAGTAAAAGCACATCTCAGCCTGATTGAAGCTGTTCTTTAAAGCTCTGCCAGACCATGCTGCAAAACTGTTATTTCCTATTATGAAAACTAAATCTCGAATCATGGTTAAAAGGCAGTCTGTTTTGGGGAGAGTGGCCTGTATAGGCAGGCAGTAATTCAGATTTGATTGGCAACATGAGTTTTTCAGGGAATGGTTAAAAATGAGGAGCATTTTGAAGGCCAGAAACACAATCCCAAATGATGATTCTCAGAATTTTCCTAACATCAGGTTATTGGTAAACCATATTACAAAATTTTAAAATCATCTCTTTCCCAGAAACTATAATAATAAAACATAATGGTTTTCTGTATTTCTATTTGACCCATGTAACAGAACCCTGTGAGATAGGTATCATTATCACCATTTTATAGCTGAGAAAACTCACCCAAAGTTCCAAGGTTTACAGTGTCTTGGCCGTCCTGTCTCTCTGGTCTCTTGCCAACAGAACACGGGTACTTATGGTCCCATGATGCCTGCTGTAAAAGCTATTTAAGAGTATCTTTTTCAACTTCACTGTGCTTTATTTCCTTACGTGAATACCATGTTTACTGTTTCTATCATTGACAGAGCAATACTGATGGCAGCGGCGGCCCACCTTGAGTGGCCGCTGCATGACACTGGCTACAATGGGGGAGGCACAGCCAGGGCTGAGTGCTCCATA
This sequence comes from Homo sapiens, assembly GCF_000001405.40. Classification (NCBI taxonomy): domain Eukaryota; kingdom Metazoa; phylum Chordata; class Mammalia; order Primates; family Hominidae; genus Homo; species Homo sapiens. The sequence continues at coordinate 127,792,105 of NC_000006.12, read as the reverse complement.
GAACTGGTGGGAGCCGGGAACAGGTGGAAGCCATGCCCCCTTCCAAGTTGGAGGAGCTGGAGCCCTGCCCTCCCAGGGGCAGCTGTGGCAGAGCAGCCAGCTGTGGACTCAGGCATCACTGCACTCTCAGGGCCCCAGGAAACACCCTTGCCCCTTCAGGCTCAAAAGTGCCTGCTCTCGCTGCCTGACCTCTGCCCATTCCCAGTGCCCACTCCAATTTCAGAGCAAAGTTGTGGCCAAGCCTGGGGGCTGTCACGACTCGGCTGGGTGTGTGCACGCTTGGGGCAGCACTGAAACACCAGCCCCCTATCACCTCAGCCTCCTCCAGATTTTGGGTGCTCACAAACATGGGAGGGAGGGTGAGGTGGGGGCTAAGGGTGGCTCAGCGCAGTCTTGCAGGCACCACTTGGCACAAAGAGCCAGGGCACCATAGGCACCATGGAGAGCAGGTTAATGGTGGTAGGATGCAAACAGGCTCCTGGGCAGAAAGGAGCAGATCCCCAGTAAAGCCCCATCTTCAGGCCAGGGACGGCCTGAAGCCTGCCGGAGGGCTGCCATGGAGTGAGAACTTAATGGAGCTTGCTCTGGGGCCTCCCATGACTGCTCACGGGCCGATCAGCACCTACTTTCTCCCCTCTTAAGCCCATAAAAATCTTGGACTCAGCCAGACTTGAGCAGATGATGGGATGGCCTGCCTACAGAAAGGAACTACCCATTGTGGGTCTCCTGTCTCCTGAGAGCTGAGTGGACAACGGGACAATCAGCCTGCAGAAAGGAGCTACCCACTGTGGGTCTCCTTTCTGCTGACAGCTGAACAGATATTGGGATGACCTGCCTATGGAGAGGAGCTAACCACTGTGGGTCTCCTCTGAGCTGTTCTGTTGCTCAATAAAGTACCTCTTCACCTTGCTCACCCTCTACTTGTCTGCATAACTCATTCTTCCTGGATGCAGTACAAGAACTTGGGACCTGCCGAATGGTGGGGCTGAAAGAGATGTAACACAAACAGGGCTGAAATACACCCCCTGCTTGCCACATGGCAGGCAACAAGAAAAAGATAAGAAAGAAGGAGAGAAGAGTTTCAGCCCTTCAGACAACCCAGACCTGGGAGCACCCTGAGCCAGGGCTGTGATGCCCTTTTTGGGGTTCTGTGGTTCCTGGCATCTCCAAGTTTCTGGGTGCCACCACATTCCCTGGTGCCAGCCATGGAAGCTACTTGCAGTGTGCCTCATCCAGCCACAGCCTTGCAGGGAGCTGGTGCCTGGCACTGCCCACCCTGCTGCAGCCAGAGTGCCTGGCTGTGGGCAGTGGCTGGACCCCATGCTTGCTCATTCACACAATCCTCACCGCTCTGTGCCTGGCTCACCCTTGGCAGGCATGGGATCCAGGTTTGTCACGCAAGCTGAGTTCAGGCTGCCAGGCCGAGTGGGCACATCAAGCACAGTGGGCCAAAGCAAAATTCAGACAAAGGCACCACCGACCACAGAGGTTTCTGGACAGAAAAGCGACACCTGAAGGATCCTATGAGAAGAGCATCTTCCTTACAGAATGCTTGTAAAGACAAAATTGGCAGAAATAATGTATGTCAAAAAATATATATCAAAAGAAAATTAAGATGACCTCACATAAAAGATAATTTAATTTTCTTGTTTCATATGTAAATGTCATTATTTAAAATAAAGTTGTTTCTTCTAAGTGAAAGGAATTGTGATCAGGTATATCAATAAAAAGTTTAGAAGAAAGTGCATTTTTATTTTCATTCAACAATTGTGTTGCTGAAACTGTTGGAGAGACACAGGTTTATACCAGTTTCCTAGCTGTCTCTATAGTTCTGTGTGCTATAGCTCACAGCTTGGTTTAGCTGGTTTGGCCATAATTGGTGTATAGGAATGCTTGTGATTTTTGCACATTGATTTTGTATCCTGAGATTTACTGAAGTTGCTTATCAGCTTAAGGACATTTTGGGATGAGACAATGGGGTTTTCTAAATATTCAATCATGTCATCTGCAAACAGAGACAATTTGGCTTTCTCTCTTCCTGTCTGAGTACGCTTTATATCTTTCTCTTGCTCGATTGCCCTGGCCAGAACTTCCAATACTATGTTGGATAGGAGTGGTGAGACAGGGCATCCTTGTCTTGTGCTGGTTTTCAAAGGGAATACTTCCAGCTTTTGCCCATGCAATATGATATTGGCTGTGGGTTTGTCATAAATGGCTCTTATTATTTTGAGATATGTTCCATCAATACCTAGTTTACTGAGAGTTTTTAGCATGAAGGGGTGTTGAGTTATATCGAGGGCCTTTTTTTGCATCTACTGAGAGAATCATGTGTTTTTTGTCATTGGTTCTGTTTATGTGATTGATTACGTTTATTGATTTGCGTGTGTTGAACCAGCCTTGCATCCCAGGGATGAAGCCGACTTGATGGTGGTGGATAAGCTTTTTGATATGCTGCTGGATTTGGTTTGCCAGTATTATGTTGAGGATTTTTGTATTGATGTTCATCAGGAATATTGGCCTGAAATTTTCTTTTTTTGTTGTTTTTCTGCCAGGTTTTGGTATCAGGATGATGCTGGTCTCTGAAACTGAGTTAGGAAGAAGTCCCTCTTTTTCTATTGTTTGGAATAGTTTCATAAAGAATGGTACCAGCTCTTCTTTGTACCTCTAGTAGAATTCAGCTGTGAATCCATCTGGTCCTAGGCTTTTTTTGATTGGTAAGCTATTAATTACTGCCTTAATTTCAGAACCTGTAATCGATCTATTCAGGGATTCAACTTCTTCCTGGTTTAGTCTTGGGAGGGTGTATGTGTCCAGGAATTTATCAATTTCTTCTAGATTTTCTAGTTTATTTGCATAGAGGTGTTTATAGTATTCTCTGATAGTAGTTTGTATTTTTATGGGATGAGTGGAGATATCCCCTTTATCATTTTTTATTGTGTCTATTTGATTCTTCTCTCTTCTTTATTAGTCTGGCTAGTGGTCTATCTATTTTGTTAATCTTTTCAAAAAATCAGCTCCTGTATTAATTGATTTTTTGAAGGGTTTTTCATGTCTCTGTCTTCTTCAGTTCTGCTCTGATCTTAGTTATTTCTTGTCTTATGCTAGCTTTTGAACTTGTTTGCTCATGCTTCTCTAGTTCTTTTAATTGTGATGTTACGGTGTCGATTTTACATCTTTCTTGCTTTCTCCTGTGGGCATTTAGTCCTATAAATTTCACTCTAAACACTACTTTAGCTGTGTCCCAGAGATTATGGTATGTTTTTACTATATTAAGGTAAATAAAGTTCATTGTATTTATGTAATATTTTGTCTTCCTGGAGAGTAGGGAGGGGTTAGTGAGGATTAAATGAAATAGCCTTGTCTGAGTAGAATTTATACACTGTAATAATGTATTGCCTCTTTAATGATGAAAGAAATAATCTCTGCTGATGTGATCATTTTTGTTGTGCCTTTTCAAGAAAATATATGGGGCTAAAATGTTAAAATAACTTATTTTCAAGTAGAGTACTATAATCTGAAAATACAATTGAGTACCTTCTTACTGTCCGTAAATGAATACTCTCAAAAGTTCTGATAGTTTTAATTAAGGTAATAATTATGAATGTCATTCATTTGTTTAATGAAAATGTCAATATTGGCAAATAAAGCATTTTAATTTTTTCCTGTGGGATAAGAAGCTTCCTTTGTATTCATCCCTCAACCTTTCATTATTCAATACCAAAAGCTGTAGAGTAAATCAGGGAAAGTCACTAGGTTGGTGTCAATCCCTGGATTTGATTATTGAGAGGCAATTCTCCATGAAATATTTTCAGATTACCACACAGTCCAATCTTTTTGAGGAAAGACCACTGGCAAACTTGGTTAAAGTAGGGTTGAATAGCAAATGTATCTTGGAAGATAGAGATAGTAGGTTGCTTCAGAGAGGTTTAGAGACGTCTCCCCTGTAAACATTTGCTAACATCGCAAAATAAAAGACTCTCCCTCACCTGAGGAAAGGATGGGTCAATGTGCCAGCCAAACTCCAAGTGTCATAGTTTGTGAGTCCATGGTGGTATACTCAACTCTTGTCTGTGCAGGATAACATTAGTCTCTCATAGCCTTCTCAGTGCTAAGATGCTCTGTGAATATTCAACTATCTGTTTTCTAATCTAGACACTTTGTGTTTATTACCAGAAGAGCATCTATTTATCTATCTATCTATCTATCTATCTATCTATCTATCTATATCTATCTATCTATCTATCTATCTATCTATATCTGTCTATCTCTATCTATCTATCTATCTATCTATCTATCTATCTACCTATCACTGTGGCAGGCTGACTTTTTAGCTTATAAATATAGTTAGTAGACTTAATTTTAGATAATACAGATGTCATTCCTTTATTAACCTCATGCCATGCTGATGTTTGTAATGATGAGAAACGAGAATCATTTTATGGTATCGTTTATCAAGATATTGTATATATCATGTGTTCTCTATGATACATTCAAAAAACAGATCCCAGTAATAATATGTTTACAGTATGGAGTTCTTTACACACACATACTTTCAGGACAGTTGAGATAGAGAGATAAAAGCATTTCCCTGGTGCCAGTGGTAGGTTTGAATTTCTTTGAAACATATCAAGATAAGGTGATGCCATGCAAAGAACATGGTGACATGGGTGCAGCAGAGTGTCAGCTAGGAGCAGACTAGATTCATCTTGGCGGACCTAGTGGACTAGTGATATCTGAGGCCTTTTATGTGCATGAGTAGATCTATGCAAGTTTTCCAGCTAAAGGAAGAAGGTGATGTGTGCATGTGTTTGTGTGTGTGTGTGTGTGTGCGTGCACACATGTGCATGCTAGAGTGCAGGAAAGAGACAAAGATAAACAGGAAAGTTGGGAAAATTTAGAATATATTAAAAAAAACCCTATATCTTGCTTCCTGTTTGCCACAATTAGCATCACAGCCTCTGGAAGATGCAATGGTTAATAATTGCTGCTGATTCTTTGATATGGCTTTTCCTGGGGACAGTAGGGAGTCAGCTTGAGTAAAGACAAATCCTAGAAAGGGTGCTTTTTCAGGGAGATTCCTAACAGCTAACATAGTGGCAATGCTCTTGGAATCGAGTTTTTTTAGGAGCTCCAAACCCAGTGTCCCCCTCTTTGGTGGTTGCAAAGTTGCTTTTTCTCACAGCTACTGTGATTGCAAGGCTGCTGGTTTTCAAGTCTGTCATGCAGCTGAGAAGAATTGCTATAGGACAATTCAAAACGTCACAAAGCTCACATTCTTATCAAGATTTAGTCACTTTTCTTAAAAAAAAGATTTCTTTTTCGTTAATTTCTAGAGTTCTGCAAAAGTTGATTCTGACAAATTTTGCTAGTGGTCATTGCCTTTATGCTGAAATAGATTTTCAGAAGTCCTTAGCCTGCCATTTCTAACTGTTGGTCTTGGGCAAATTATTTAATCTCCCTTTTTCTCAATTTTCTAGTTCATAAAACAAGCATAGTAACATGCCCTAGAGAATTGTTGTGAGGCTTAAGAAAGCTCATTCAAGAAAACCACTTAGAATAGTACTTGGTACCTAATGAATACTCAACCAACACTGGCTGTCAGTATCAGTATATTCATTTTAAATACTTAAGTTTAGATATAAACAAACCTACCTTTTATTTTTCCCAAATTTTGGTTCTATGCTCACTTTTTATTTTTCTGAATTGGTTTATCTGGCTACAAAGTTTTACAGATTCTATTTCACAACGTTTCAGACCATAGCAGTTGATAATGTTTTACATTCCATTACACAGACTATTCCCTGAAGCTTTTTGGAACAATAACAGATGGCCAAGCTGTTGAAGATATTATGATTCTACTTACTGTTCAAATATGTAGGCTAGAACAGGGTAATTTTGCTTTCTGTTACCTGAGAAAAATAAGAATGCCACATTTATTTATGTACTTTTATCCATGTGGTTTATAAAATTTCACTTTTTGAGAGGATTGTCCCAGGGTGCAAATAGTGCAAAATATCTTATTGAATACCTAGAGCTATCAAAGTCATTAATGTTTTATAAAATATTCAAACTTTTAATAATAAATAAAGCTGCTTCCTAAAAAGATCTCCTACTAAGAGGGAGTACATATGAGAAGATGAGGTACTTTCAGTGCCTTAAATGTCAGCAAACTTGAGCCTGTCAGAAAAAGAAAATGGGAATTTCATAAATTGGTATAATATGTAATTACAATGGCTAATTCAAAATATTTAACAATAATTAATTATGAAAAATAAGTAGTCTTTTGCCCTCTTTTCTAAATGCTATTAATATTATTTATGATAATATTAAGCATAGTACTCATATAATGAGTCACTTCATTAAAGATATTCTTAGGTTTTTTTGGTCTATATTTGTAGTATTCTTAAGGCTCTGATTTTTGAATAAGGAGGAAAAGATGGCTAACCTGGTTCACCAGTTGTTCTTTAACTTTAAAAGTGAACTGAGATATTTTAACGATTATATTTTTATAATCCTTTTATATGGTAAAGATTAAACCAAATAAGATCTAAAGAAGATAAATATAGTCCACACAGAACTCTCTAGTTAAATGTATCAATCTGGAGAAAGTATTGTTTTTTTTTTTTTAAATTTTATTATTATTATACTTTAAGTTTTAGGGTACATGTGCACAACGTGCAGGTTTGTTACATATGTATACATGTGCCATGTTGGTGTGCTGCAGAAAGTATTGTTTCTTAAGGATCAAAATTTCAATTCAGTTTTATGCAATTGTTCCTGTATACCATGGATATCAGATAGATAGAAAGACAGATAGATAGATGACAGGTAGATAGGTGATAAATAGATAGATGATAGATAGATAGATAGATAGATAGATAGATAAGATAGATAATAGGTAGGTAGGTAGATAATAGATTAGGTAGGTAGACAATAGGTAGGTAGATAATAGATTAGGTAGGTAGACAATAGGTAGGTAGATAATAGATTAGGTAGGTAGATAGATGACAGGTAAGTAGGTAGATAGATGATAGGTAGATAGATAAGTAGGTAGGTAGGTAGGTAGAAAGATATTGATAGGTAGATAGATAGATAGATAATAGATAGATAGATAGATAGATAGATAGATAGATAGATAGATAGATAGATAGATAGTGTGACTGCCTTTGCTATCTGAAGATTTAGAATTAGAATGCCTGTATAGATAAACCTTATGAAAGTTAGGGCTCTTTCAGTTGTTAGAGATAGAAATCTCCTCTCAAACAGGCCTAAGTTTTTTTAAAAAGTACCCATGTGTACATATAATCTGAGAAGTCCAGGGGTTGAGCTCTTTCAGAAGTGCTGGATTAAAGAGCTCACCACAGACTCCATCTCAGCTCTACCTCATCTGGGTAGTACATTCACAGTTCCATTACAGTGCTCAGTATCTTCAGAGCCATGACATTAAAAAACAAAAGAAACATTTCTGCTTCAGCAGTGACTCAAACAGAAGCCACAGAACTGAGTTTTGTTTCCCCTGATTGGCCTGCTTTGTGTCGTGTATGAATCCCTGAATTGTGTGTGTGTGAGAGGATTTAATGTGCTGATGGACCAGTCAAGATTACACATTTGTTCTGGAGATAGGTATGTACTTCATTCAGTTCAGGCAGACTGAGAAGCAAGAGGGATATAGCCTAAATGAGAGTCTGGACTTTGCTGGAAAAAAGGGAATTTTTTTTTTACATATACTTTAAGTTCTGGGATACATCTGCAAAACATGCAGGTTTGTTACATAGGTATACATGTGTCATAGTGATCTGCTGCACCCATCAGCCCATCATCTACATTAGGTATTCTCCTAATGCTATCCCTCCCCTAGCCCTCCACTCACCAACAGGCCCTGGTGTGTGATGTTCCCCTCCGTCTGTCCATGTGTTCTCATTGTTCAACTCCCACTTATGAGTGACAATATGCGGTGTTTGGTTTTCTTTTCCTGTATTAGTTTGCTGAGAATGATGGTTTCCAGCTTCATCCATGTCCCTGCAAAGGACATGAACTCATCCTTTTGTATGTCTGCATAGTATTCCATGGTGTATATGTGCCACATTTTCTTTATCCAGTCTACCATCGATGGGCATTTGGGTTGGTTCCAAGTCTTTTCTATTGTGAACAGTGCTGCAATAAACATACGTGTGCATGTGCCTTTATAATAGAATGATTTATAATCCTTTGGGTATATACCCAGTAATGGGATTGCTGGGTCAAATGGTATTTCAGGTTCTAGATCCTTGAGGAATCGCCACACTGTCTTCCACAATGGTTGAACTAATTTACATTCCCAACAACAGTGTAACAGTGTTCGTATTTCTCCACATCCTCTCCAGCATCTGTTGTTTCCTGACTTTTTAATGATCGCCATTCTAACTGGTGTGAGATGGTATGTCATTGTGGTTTTGATTTGCATTTCTCTAATCACCATTGATGATGAGCTTTTGTTCATATGTTTTTTTGGCTGCATAAATGTCTTCTTTTGAGAAGTATCTGTTCATATCCTTTACCCAGTTTTTGATGGGGTTGTTTGATTTTTCTTGTAAATTTGTTTAAGTTCCTTGTAGATTCTGGATATTAGCTCTTTGTCAGATGGATTGCAACAATTTTCTCCCATTCTGTAAGTTGCCTATTCACTCTAATGATAGTTTATTTTGCTGTGCAGAAGTTCTTTGGTTTAATTAGATCCCATTTGTCAATTTTGGCTTTTGTTGCCATTGGTTTTGGTGTTTTAGTCATGAAGTCGTTGCCCATGCCTATGTCCTGAATGGTATTGCCTAGCTTTTCTTCTGGCATTTTTAAGGTTTTAGGTCTAATATTTAAGTCTTTAATCCATGTTGAGTTAATTTTTGTATGAAGTGTAAGGAATGGGTCCAGTTTCAATTTTCTGCATATGGCTAGCCAGTTTTCCCAACACCAGTTATTAAATAGGGAATCCTTTCCCCATTGCTTATTTTTGTCAGGTTTGTCAAAGATCAGATGGTTGTAGATGTGTGGCATTATTTCTGAGGCCTCTGTTCTGTTCCATTGGTCTATATCTCTGTTTTGGTCCTAGTACCATGCTGTTCTGGTTACTATAGCCTTGTAGTATACTTTGAAGTCAGGTAGCATCATACCTCCAGCTTTGCTCTTTTTGCTTAGGATTGTTTTGGCTATGTAGGTTCTATTTTGGTTCCATATGAAATTTAAAGTAGTTTTTTCTAATTCTGTGAAGAAAATCCATGGTAGCTTGATGGGAGTAGCATTGAGTCTATAAATCACTTTGGGCAGTATGGCCATTTTTACGATATTGATTCTTCCTATCCATGAGCATGGAAGAGGAGGTGGAGTATGGCCAAATAGGAACAGCTCAAGTCTACAGCTCCCAGCGAGATCTACGCAGAAGGTGGGTGATTTCTGTATTTCCAACTGAGGAACCCCACTCATCTCACTGGGGCTGATTAGACAGTGGGTGCAGCCCATGGAGGGCAAGCCAAAGCAGGGCGGGGCATTGCCTCACCAGGGAAGTGCAAGGGGTCAGGGAACTCCCTTCCCTAGCCAAGGGAAGCTGTGAGGAACTGTGTCATGAGGAATGGTGCATTCCGGCCCAGATACTATGCTTTTCCCATGGTCTTCGCAACCCACAGACTAGGATATTCCCTTGGGTGCCTACACCACTAGGGCCCTGGGTTTCAAGCACAAAACTGGGCAGCTGTTTGGGCAGACACTGAGCTAGCTGCAGGAGTTTTTTTTCCTACCCCAGTGGAACCTGGAATGCCAGTGAGACAGAACTGTTCACTCCCCTGGAATGAGGGCTGAAGCCAGGGAGCCAAGTGGTCTAGCTCAGTGCATCCCACCCCCATGGAGCCCAAAAAGGTAACATCCACTGGCTTGAAATTCTCGCTACCAGCACAGCAGTCTAAAGTTGACTTGGGAGCTTGTACTTGGTGCAGGGAGGGGTGTCCACCATTACCAAGGCTTGAGTAGGCGGTTTTCCCCTAACAATGTAAACAAAGCCACCGGGAAGGGAAGTTCAAACTGGGTGGAGCACACTGCAGCTTGGCAAAGCTGCTGTAGCCAGACTGCCTCTATAGATTGCTTCTCTTTGGGCAGAGCTTCAGCAGATTTAAACATTCCTGCCTGCTGGCTCTGAAGAGAGCAGCAAATCTCCCCACACAGTGCTTCAGCTCTGCTAAGGGACAGACTGCCTCCTCAAGTGGATACCTGATCCCAGTGGCACCTGACTGGGAGACACCTCCTGGGAGGGGTCGACAGACACCTCATACAGGAGAGCTCCAGCTGGAATCTGGCTGGTGCTCCTCTGGGACAAAGCTTCCAGAGGAAGGAACAGGCAACAATCTTTCCTGTTCTGCAGCCTCCACTGGTGATACCCAGGCAAACAGGGTCTGGAGTGGACCTCCAGCAAACTCCAGCAGACCTGCAGCAGAGGGGCCTGACTGTTAGAAGGAAAAATAACAAACAGAAAGGAATAGCATCAGCATCAAGAAAAAGGATGTCCAGACACAGAAACCCCATCCAAAGGTCACCAACATCAAAGACAAAAGATAGATAAATCCACAAAGAAGGGGAGAAATCAGCACAAAAAGGCTGAAAATTCCAAAAACCAGAACACTTCTTCTCCAAAAGATCACAACTCCTCACCAGTAAGGGAACAAAACTGGATGGAGAATGAGTTTGACGAATTGACAGAAGTAGGCTTCAGAAGGTGGGTAATAACAAACTCCTCCAAGCTAAAGGAGCATGTTTTAACCCCATGCAAGGAAGCTAAGAACCTTGAAAAAAGGTTAGATGAATTGCTAACTAGAATAACCACTTGAGAGAAGAACATGATGACCTGATGGAGCTGAAAAACACGGCACAAGAACTTTGTGAAGCATACACAAGTATCAATAACCAAACCGATCAAGCAGAAGAAAGGATATCAGAGATTGAAGATTAACTTAATGAAATAAGCTTGAAGACAAGATTAGAGAGAAAAGAATGAAAAGGAACAAACAAAGCCTCCAAGAAATATAGGACTATGTGAAAAGACCAATCATACATTTGATTGGTGTACCTGAAAGTGACGGAAAGAATGGAACCAAGTTGGAAAACACACTTCAGGATATTATTCAGGAGAACTTCCCCAACCTAGCAAGACAGGCCAACATTCAGATTCAGGAAATACAGAGAACACCACAAAGACACTCCTCGAGAAGAGCAACCCCAAGACACATAATTGTCAGATTCGCCAAGGTTGAAATGAAGGAAAAAATATTTAGAGCAACCAGAAAGGTTGGGTTACCCACAAAGAGAAGCCTATCAGACTAACAGTGGATTTCTCTGCAGAAACCCTATAAGCCAGAAGAGAGTAGGGGCCAATATTCAACATTCTTAAAGAAAAGAATTTTCAACCCAGAATTTCACATCTAGCCAAACTAAGCTTCATAAGTGAAGGAGAAATAAAATCCTTTACAGACAAGCAAATGCTGAGAGATTTTGTCACCACCAGGCCTGCCTTACAAGAATTCCTGAAGGAAGCACTAAATATGGGAAGGAAAAACTGGTACCAGCCACTGCAAAAACATACCAAATTGTAAAGACCATCAACACTATGAAGAAACTGCGTCAACTAATTGGCAAAATAACTAGCTGGCATCATAATTACAGGATCTAATTTACACATAACAATATTAACCTTAAATATAAATGGGCTAAATGCCCCAATTAAAAGACACAGACTGGCAAATTGGGTAGAGTAAAGACCCATCGGTGTGCTGTATTCAGGAGACCCATCTCCTGTGCAGAGACACATGGGCTCAAAATAAAGGGATGGAAGAATATTTACCAAGCAAAGAGAAAGAAAAATAAAAAGCAGGGCCTGCAAACATAGTCTCTGATAAAACAGACTTTAAACCAACAAAGATCAAAAAAGACAAAGAAAGGCATTACATAATGGTAAAGCGATCAATGAAACAAAAAGAGCTACTATCCTAAATATATATGCACCCAATACAGGATCACCCAGATTCATAAAGCAAGTTCTTAGAGACCTACAAAGAGACTTAGACTCCCACACAATAATATTGGGAGACTTTAACACTCTGCTGCCCATATTAGACAGATCAACAAGACAGAAAATTAACAAGGATATGCAGGGGAGATAAATTTTTGATAGAAAAAGTTATGGAAGAAATATACCTTTAGAGCTGTTCTTTATGAAACAGAAATTTTTGAACTATTAGGAAAATTGAAGCTATATAAAACAGTATAATTAGAACATTAAGCTTTACAGGTGGTCTCTTCTAAATGTCTCTTACTGGTGGAGCAACTAAAGGCCAAGAGAGGTTATGAAATTTTTCCTATATTTCACAGCTTTAACTCATTTGATTTGCAGATTGACAAGCTCCACTATTTTTGATAAAAATGAATTTTGAGCTTCAATTCATACCCGTATTATAGCACTTCCTACACCACATTAGAAATACTATTTCTCATTGGAGCTCTTCAATTCAGAGACAGTGTTTTATTCTGTGCAATATAGTATATTTTTCAGTGACTTAAAATTTTATTTGGTAAATGAATGAGCAAAATAAAATGAGGGAAGTAATGAGTAATGATTAACTCTACCTGATTGGCAAATCCAGAAGACTATGTTAATCTAACTATCTCTTCTCCAATATTGACTTGAAAAACCTACTTGTATGTCTCTGTCTCTGGAAAATAATGCATAAATTCAAACTCGTTGTTAACTCACTGAGAGATTTGAGGAGGTTGTGATGTTAAAGGGAAGGTGTCTGAAGTTAAACTCTATTTAAGGATATATTTTATCATTGTTTAATGCCTAAAGAAGGATCAGTCAGGGAGAAGGGCTTTTAATTCCTTCTGAAAGATGATAAAGTCAAAAGTAAGTGAGATCAGGCACTTAGAGGAACACGTTGAACCCTGAATGTGCTCAGTAACTACCTTTTTGACAGATTGACTGATCATCACATGTAGGCAGTCTGTAGTTTCAGTTTTCTGCAGAAATTTTCTTTCATGGAATCTTTGCCTATGTTTCTCAGGAGAGAGATAATGTTGTAACAACTGACTATGTACATCCTGCAGATATAACACATGAAGTTGCTCCTGAATTAGATGAATCTGCTTCTGTGCAGTATAATAAAATTAGCATCATAAAATGAAAACCCGGGTTCAAGCAACCCAATAGGTATTATTTCTTTATTCTCCAATTCCTTCCATTTTTTTAGCAAAAAAAAAAAAAAAAATTCCACTTGAGTGACTTTTAGGACTAGACTTTAATAAACACTTCAGTATAGTCGAACTGGATGAAGTACTGTCATATATAACTTACTAAAAATAAAATACAAAACTGCACACATAAGGAAAATGAAACATTATGCCCTGGGAACTTCCTTTTAATGAACACATGGCTTATATATGACAAAAAAGATCAGATCACTGTCGTGGTATACCTTAGGATGTCTGCCTGCTTTAAATGGGCTGGCAAATCTAAAAGAGTTAAACATGAGAAATTTTCAAATTTATCCAATAAGTAGATTCCCTGAAAGAGGCGGCGTCTATAATCACATTAAATGTAAATGGGTAAGCACTTCAATAAAAGGCAGAAATTGTTAGACTGAATAAAAGGAATTAAGACCCAACTACATGTTGTCTACAGATAATGTATTTTAATTATAAAAACACATGTTGATAGTAAAAGAATGGAAACAGATGTTCGTTGATTATATATAAATCTACCATTGAGAAGGAGGAAAACTAGCTCATTTAAAAAATCCAATTCAGTTCCAAATTCATTTCCTATATTCTGTGCTATAGGGAAGATTGTCAGAAGGCATCTTTCTTTTTATATTTGCTTCTGTTTGTTAGATAGTACTGACTGATTTGCTACTTCTGAGCATTGGTTTTGAAATATACATACACACACATATAATTCCACCAGCATTTGCTCAAAAATTCCTTCAGCACTGAGACTGCATTGAGATTTCTACACTCAGTTTAGGTATATCTTCAATTAACCAAATTCTGGAAACCAACCCAGTAGTGTTTCTGCATTTGTACATTTGTCAATGTACATTTGTCAAGGTCCAGCCTTTGTAATAGTAAGTAGAACAGCATTCCTACAATCTTGATTGTGCAAAGAGTAGATTCTTGTGATTCATATATTGGGGAACCTAGTCACCCCTCTGGAAACAATTATAGAACTCTGGATGTCTATGGCCTTTCCATATGTACTCTAATCTGAAAAAGCAATCTTTAGCAAATCATTCTATTCAGAGAACCCAAATGGTGTTTTAAAAATAATAAACAAATAACCACTCTTTTTATCATATAAATAATTATTAATTGAATATGGAAGTCTGAAAGAACGTAAAGATAACTGAGCACAGTGGTGTTTGTCCATTATCTGGTAAGCAGCCCTTGCTTTCCAGCTCTCAGTCCAGCACTAAAAATAGTTTCCATAGTCTAAAAGAGTAATTAGCATGCTATTCCCAGATAGCCAAAATTGTCTTTTTAATTAACAATATAATTGTTTGAATAAAGACTTAGTCCTTATTAGGCTATGTAGTGATATGACAAATCTTTTCTCTGTCTTGTATTTTCAGCCCTGGAAATTTTCATTGAAAAATGTGCTTTCCTGAATGTAATGTCTCAGGTATTATTATGAAGAATGGCCTATATATCAAAGTGGCATAATATTATTTGAAACATCTCTGCCACAAATTACAAACCAATATTGTAAACCTAAAGCAACCTCTAAAAGTAGATAAATGAGGTAACACTAATAAGATAATTGTGTAGATAAAACAAAATCTGAAAATATTTGCAATTAATGTAAGGCAGGAAATAAGCAAAAAAGTAAAAATGAAACAAACAGAAAAAAAAAAAACCCAAGGTGTTAAATTTAAACTCAAACACATCAATAACCACTTTAATGTAGATGGGTAAATACTCCAATTTAAAAGCAGAAATTTTCAACGTAAATAAAAAATACTCAACTGTATGCTGTCTACAGAAAATGTATTGTAAATATAAAAATGCAGAAAAGTTAAAAGAATGGGAAAATATATATATATAATTGTAACATTGTTCAAAAGAAAGCTGGAGAGGCCATATAAAATGGACTTTAGGGCAAGGAATATTACCAGATATAAAGGCGGAAATTTTATAACAATAATGATCAATTCATCAAGAAGATATCACATTTCTTATATGTGTATGCAACTAATAAGAGAATGTTAAGATACATGAAATAAAAACCTATTAATGTAAACAAATAAACAGGGAAATTCACAATTACAGTTGAAACAGAACATTCACCAAGAAGTATAACCAATATCTATGTTAGTTATCTATTGTTGCATAAAAAATTTTACCAAAACTTAATAAGTATAAACAGCAAACATTCATTATGGCACAGTTTCTGTGAGTCAAGAATCTGGGAGCAGCTTAACTCGGTGGTTCTAGCTATGGGTCTTTTATGATGCTACCTCAGTCAATGTGTCAGCTGGGGCTACATTCATCAAAATTGCTGACTCAGAGGGGTTCTACTTTCAAAGTAATTCACCCGCCTTGGGGCAGGCCCCAGATGCTCTGATCCAGGTCAGTCACATGAGCCTCTGCACAGAGCTGTCTCTCAAAATGGCAGCTGGCTTCCCCCAAGAATGAGAGGTCCAAGAAAGAGTATCTAAGACAGAAGCTGTAGTCATTTTATAACCTAATTTCAGAGATGAGATTCCATCACATCTGCTTTATTCTATTTCCTAGAAGCTAGTCACTAAATCCGCCTACAATCAAAGTCAGGGGTTACACAAGGACCTAAATGCAGGAGCCAGTGATTACAGGTGGAACATCTTAAAAACTGCCTACCACAGAATATATCCTGGAGCATAAAAAACAGTCTTGACAAATTTAGAAGCATAGACAAATTATGGACATACATTCATTGATGAATGAATTGATTGGAAATAAATAACAAAAAGTTATACAGAAAAAGTCCCCCGTTATTTGGCATTTGTTCAATATACTTTTAAAGAATACATGGGTCAAAGACAAAAATCACAAGGAAAATTAGAAAACAATTTAAACCAGTTGAAAAGAAAACACAACATTCTATTGAAAATGAAAACAAAAGTGCCAATCTGAGAGAAAATGTTAGAGATACATATATCTGGCAAAGTGCTTGTATTTGTAATACACTAAAAAAACCCTTGACAGCTTGACAATAAGACAAATAAATGATTAAAAAGAGAGAGAAAGGTTTGAACAACCATTTTACAAAAAAGCATAAATGACTCTCAAAAGCATTATGCTTAGCCAAAGAAGCCAGATATTAAAGAGTAAATACTGTATCATTTCATTTATATTAAATTACAGAAAGGCAAAACAGAAGATCGTTTTTTGCCAGGGGTGGGGAACATTCACTGCAAAAAAAAAAAAAGCATGAAATAATTTTTGGTGGTGATGGGAAAAAATTCAGGGAATGAGGTCAAACCCAGAGTGCTGCCAGTAAAATCTGTGGCCTCAGGCTCACAATCAAACCAAAGCTATGGTTGTAATTTGGTTGAGATTTCAGGAAATTGTGGAAGAGTGTCTCATTTTCCTCTCAGCAGAAATTGCTTCTAAGAATTTTAAGGACAAGACTCTTTGGCCCTCTCTGCTGTGAGGGTCTTCACAAGTAACCCCAAATAGAGAAAGACTCTACTCAGAGAAATAGGTGGACGTCACTTTTGTCTAATGAATTGGATTATAATTTGTACACAAGTCCACATATTTTAAAAGGAATTATAATAGCCTGGACTGAAAGGAACAGACACTGCTCAAAACATAAAAACACTTTTGCGTCCCCAACTTCTTATGGGCAGAAAGCAGGCTAAGAACACTATGCAGCTGCAAACATATGTCATTAAAGAGTTCATGGTGTGCTGCCAGGCGTCAAGAAGAACCACCCCAGGGAACATATATGGGTCCTAATCAACATATGCCCTGCCTCCTGAGCCAGGTGAAATGGTAGGTAGCTTGTTCCTACTGGATCTCAGAATTTTCTCATCCCAGTGACTACAATGTCACTCACATTGTCCTGCCTCTTTTTAAGTGGAGGTATGTATTGTGGTTCTCTTGATCATGTCTCCTCATCGTAAGGTGGAAATGTGTGGGCATATAGCTGGTTTCTTTATTTGATGGTCTTCTGATCAAGAGGAAGTTCCACCCTCACCCTACTAGCCTCAATCTATTTGCTTTAGAAGCCAGTTGCTAAATACAGCAGCTTGACTTGATTTACATGATGAGATTCTGAACTTAAAGTATAATACTGATGGTGATGAGATTTGGGGGTTTAGGCAGATTGGTAAGTGTTATTTTGAAAGTGAGAGGAAAATGCATCATCCTTGGCTAGCGGACTAAGTGTGGTAGCTACTCTCCAAAAATAGCCCCAATGAACCAGCTCTCCTAGTCGCTAAGTTCTACCATAGTACATATGTGCTATCTCTGTGATTTGCTTTAAGCAATTAGATGTAGTACAAGTGTTTCTGGGCCAGTTTCTGGTGTAAGCCGTAAGAAGGCCTGGTAGGTTCTGGCCGGGCGCAGTGGCTCACGCCTGTAATCCCAGCACTTTGGGAGGCCGAGACATGTGGATCATGGGGTCAGGAGATCGAGACCATCCTGGCTAACACGGTGAAACCCCGTCTGTACTAAAAATACAAAAAATTAGCTGGGCATGGTGGCTGGCGCCCTTAGTCCCAGCTACTCGGGAGGCTGAGGCAGGAGAATGGTGTGAACCCGGGAGGCGGAGCTTGCAGTGAGCGGAGATGGCGCCACTGCACTCCAGCCTGGGCGACAGAGCGAGACTCCGTCTCAAAGAAAAATAAAAATTAAAATTAAAAAATTAAGAAGGACTGGTAGGTTCTGCTTTGCTTTTTAGGATAGCTCCACGCTGCCATGTAAAAATGTTGGCTATTTTGTTGGAGAGTCGATTTGGAGATGCAGTTGTCACAGCATCCCAGCAGCTGAGCTGAGATACTCAGCTTTCTTCACCAAAGTGCCAGGCGTGTAGTGAGCCATCTTGGATATAGCAGACCCAGTTGGCATCACATGGAGTTGGGCCTAGTTGATTCACAGAATGGTGGAGACAATAAAATTATCTCGTTTTAAATTATTAAGTTTTGCAGTGATTTGTTATTCAGCAATAGATAACTGGGCCTCTAATATAAGCCATTAACTGTATGAGACCATAAGATTATACTAAATACAAATGAATAAATTTGCTATTTTTTATTTTCTTACTTTGAATTTTAACTAACCTTAAATTTTTTTCTCTGTCATAAATTTATTTTCGGTAGCCACCAATATTAGAGCTTTGTACAGTTGTTGCTATATTGATTATATACTTTAGGTTTTTTGGCTTCTTTATTAAGGTTGCTTTTTTCAAAGTTAAGTGACAGTTTAAGTCATTTATAGATCTTGGCAGCAAAGAAGATACCAGATGTCACATATGTGATGAAAATATCCACAATCTTTTTGTTGTCATGAAAATATATTTTTAAAATCCTTTAACAGAAATTTAGATATGTAGTAGCTTATCAGTCATAGGAAAACAGATAATTTTTTAAATACATAAAGTACTTTTTAGATTTCTAAATGTTTTTAACAGCGTTCTAATTTTAATGGTAAAAACTGGATAAAAACGTTCAAATACTCTCTAAAAATGTAAATTCTTCTTTTAGAAGTTTCTAGCATTAGAATTTGGCATATTAGCCATGCTGTAATATATCTGGAGTCTTTGTGATGATCAAAATGGTGATTCTTTAATAAGCTGGTACTCTAAAAACTTTCTGATAGGTCTCAATGCTTCCATATCAGTTTAATTATATGAGACTGTTATAAAGAGCTACGTTCTTTGTCTTACTCCCCAAGGAAGTACATTCCAGGGCATAATTCTATTCTCTTATCAGCAAAATCTTGGGATTATCTCTAGCTTCTAAATTATTTTTCTATCCTCAAAATCATGCAAAAAGTTACTTAGATGCTTTAGGTACTTAGTTTGAGTCAGCATATCTTTACATGCGTACAGACATTGCATTTTGGAACTTATCCAGTGCTATCAAGTTGATTTAACATAACCATTTTTATGCTAAGTAGGTCATGACTGGCAGAGCCAAGAGAAGTCTAATAAACAAATGTTAATATTCTATAGAGTAATAATTCTTTTAAGACTGAGCTGCCCCCAAACGCCCTCAAAATGAAAAGAATAAACCTCTAAATTATCCACCAGAATTTCTTACATTTTCAGACTTTTCTGGGAGTATAAACATCATAATAATATCGGATTTGAGAGATATTTGTTTTCTTTTAAGGGAAGAGCCATCAGAATTAGAATCTGTTGGCAAGCATGCCTACTAAATAGGTTGAGTGTGTAGTCTTTGGCAAGACAGAAACAAGAAGATATGTGAGTGCTTCTGACTGTACAAAAATGAAGTATCACATCCAAATTCTTTCTAGAGGATAACACCAAGACCTTGATTTTTAAGCAATTAAACTTGAAAGGAAATGCTTTTTTAGCTCAGATGCTAGAACTTTTCCTTAAAAATGAAGATTCTGAAAAGTGGACAAATGATCCTGTTTCCCCATTGTATGTTGAGGAGAAACATACAATAAATAGAAAATTTACAGAAATCTAAATAACCAATAAATACACAAAGGCCTACCTAATCTCACTAAAATTCAAGAATATTCAAAATTTATTTTAATTCACCAGGGGCAAAAATGAAAAAAATATTTTAATTAAGCAGAGAGTGTGAGAAAAATAATTATCTTGTGCCTTGTATGTGTACTTTTTGACCTAGCAATTCCACTTAACATTATCTGTCTTATTAAAAAAAAAACCATATGTGCATTCATGAGAATAATCATTGTTGCACTATCTCACATAATTAACACATGGAAGAAATCTAGATATCTATTAATAGGAGGATGATTAAATAAATCAGAAAAACCCATACTATAAAGCATTTTAGAAGAATGCGGCAGAGACAGATTTAAATATACTGAAATAAAGGTGCCCAAGATATATTATTAAGTAAAAAAGCAAGTTACAAAACAAACTACAGTCTTCCATTTTTTAAAAACATAAAACTAAATCGTACATTTCCATATGATCATATATGCCTTATGATATATGTATATGGTGTGATGCACATGTGCCATACTGATTGCAGTAACCCTTGGGGAAGGAAGAGGAAGATATAGTGGGCTAAGGGCTATTCATATAATAACTTTGTAATTATGGAGAAGTAAAAAGGATGGGGGAAAGTTCGTAGTGTAACTTGAAATAATCCCATCTTTGGTTTTAAACAATCAATGCTTAAGTGAATTGTAATTAATGATTTTCACAGTTCTAACTTCCAACTTGACATTGGTATTTTCTATAGAATATAAAGGTAATTTTTCAAAGATCAGAATGTTGTAGATGTGTGGTGTTATTTCTGAGGCTTCTGTTCTGTTCCATTGGTCTATATATCTGTTTTGGTACCAGTATCATGCTGTTTTGGTTACTGTAGCCTTGTAGTATAGTTTGACGTCAGGTAGTGTGATGCCTCCAGCTTTCTTCTTTTTGCTTAGGATTGTCTTGGCAATATGGGCTCTTTTTTGGTTCCATATGAACTTTAAAGTAGTTTTTTTCAGTTCTGTGAAGAAAATCATTGGTAGCTTAATGGGGATGGCATTGAATCTATAAATTACCTTGAGCAGTATGGCCATTTTCATGATACTGATTCTTCCTATCCATGAGCATGGAATGTTCTTCCATTTGTTTGTGTCCTCTTTTATTTCATTGAGCAGTGGTTTGTAGTTCTTGAAGAGGTTCTTCACATCCCTTGTAAGTTTGATTCCTAGGTATTTTATTCTTTTTGTAGCAATTGTGAATGGGAGTTCACTCATGATTTGGTTCTTTGTCTGTTATTAGAGTACAGGAATGCATGTGATTTTTGCAGTGATTTTGTATCCTGAGACTTTGCTGAAGTTGCTTATCAGCATAAGGAGATTTTGGGCTGAGACAATGGGGTTTTCTAAATATACAATCATGTCATCTACAAACAGGGACAATTTGACTTCCTCTTTTCCTAATTGAATACCCTTTATTTCTTTCTCTTGCCTGATTGAACTGATCTTTGACAAACCTAACAAAAACAAGCAATAGAGAAAGGATTCCCTATTTAATAAATGGTTCTGGGAAAACTGGCTAGCCATATGGAGAAAGCTGAAACTGGATCCCTTCCTTATACCTTATACAAAATTTAATTCAAGATGGATTAAAGACTTAAATGTTAGACTTAAAACCACAAAAACCATAGAAGAAAACCTAGGCAATACCATTCAGGACACAGGCATGGGCAAGGACTTCATGGGCAAAACACCAAAAGCAATGGCAACAAAAGCCAAAATTGACAAATGGGATCTAATTAAAGAGCTTCTGCACAGCAAAAGAAACTATCATTAGAGTGAACAGGCAACCTACAGAATGGGAGAAAATTTTTGCAATCTACCCCTGTGACAAAGGGCTAATATCCAGAATCTACAAAGAACTTAAACAAATTTACAGGAAAAAAATCAAACAACCCCATCAAAAAGTGGGCAAAGGATATGAACAGACACTTCTCAGAAGAAGACATTTATGCAACCAAAAGACACATGAAAAAATGCTCACCATCACTGGCCATTAGAAAAATGCAAATCAAAACCACAATGAGATACCATCTCACACCAGTCAGAATGGTGATCATTAAAAAGTCAGGAAACAATAGGTGCTGGAGACGATGTGGAGAAATACGAATGCTTTTACACCGTTGGTGGGACTGTAAACTAGTTCAGCCATTATGGAAGACAGTGTGGCAATTCCTCAAGGATCTAGAACTAGAAATACCATTTGGCCCAGTGATCCCATTACTGGGTATATACCCAAAGGATTATAAATCATGCTGTTATAAAGACACATGCACACATATGTTTATTGTGGGACTATTCACAATAGCAACGACTTGGAACCAACTCAAATGTCCATCAATGATAGACCGGATTAAGAAAATGTGGCAAATATACACCATGGAATACTATGTATCCATAAAAAAGGGTGAGTTCATGTCCTTTGTAGGGACATGGATGAAGCTGGAAACCATCATTCTGAGCAAACTATCACAAGGACAGGAAACCAAACACCACATGTTCTCACTCATAGGTGGGAAATGAACAGTGAGAACACTTGGACACAGGGTGGGGAACATCACACACTGTCATGGGGTTGGAGGATGGGGGAGGGGTAGCGTCAGGAGAAATACCTAATGCAAATGACAGCTTAATGGGTGCAGCAAACCAACATGGCACATGTATACATATG
Source organism: Homo sapiens (assembly GCF_000001405.40). Classification (NCBI taxonomy): domain Eukaryota; kingdom Metazoa; phylum Chordata; class Mammalia; order Primates; family Hominidae; genus Homo; species Homo sapiens. The sequence goes on along the minus strand of NC_000006.12, from coordinate 127,769,691 downwards.
TAACAAACCTGCACGTTGTGCACATGTACCCTAGAATTTAAAGTATAAATATATATATATGTAAGCATATAAAGGTAATTTTTAAGGGCCTTTGTCTAATGGAGCAGAAATAAAACTTTCATAAGCCAGAACAACAAGCATGACTGGCCGTAGAGAACAATGCCTGACTGCTTAAGCTTTGTGACTTTCAGCGTGTTGCTTCGTCTGTGCCACTCTCTCTTCACTTGTAAAATGAGGGATGAAATGTATTTAGTAAGTGCCTGGGAAAAAGCAAAGAACATATTGTAGGACAACACTTAATGCACTGCCAAGCAAGATACTAAAAACAAAAAAAAAAAACAAAAAAAAACTGGTCTATTTTCATTTGTTCACAATAAACACAACAATCTTAGAAGTTTAATGCAACTCCTTCAATGACTGACTAGAACAATGTGAAGAAAACCAAGGAGAACCAATTCAAATGACTTACACAATTAAATGGCATCTTAAAAATGTTTGATTAAAGTCTGTTTCTTTCTTCTTCGCATCTTTCATTTGAAGTGTGGATTTAAGAAATCAAAAAAATGGACCCAAGTATAATTAATGTTTCATATTCCTGCAGAGTCCAAAGTTGACCAGAATCCAGCCAGCCAGCTAGCAAAGGAAGTTTACAAAGTAAATACGAAATGAACATTGTCTTTTGGTGATGTGTTTGAAACACTGCAACATTTGCATTTTAGATTAAGCTCAACACTATGTTGTCTCAGGTTGTAAGATCATCAGTGTTGATCTTCAGGATAAACAGGAAAGATTGATTACGTGCACTAAGAGCTAAGAACAGGGAAGCCAAAAGGATTAGAGCCTGTTCATCGAAAGCAAAGCCAATATTTAAAAGGTGATACTTTTGCATACATCATCCAGCTACATCGAGGTAACTGCACAAAGCATGAGAGTAACTTGGGAACTTTTGTTTACAAACATTTTAATTTTTGGAAAATATTAAATACCTGATCTAAATAACTGTCTGAATGCATAAGTAATTCAGCTAATTGTGCTGTCTGATTTCAATAACTTGAATTTAAAAAATATAATTAATAATATTTGAAGGTCTGTTTCACACGTTGCCTCTATTCTTTTATAAAAGAAATTTTCCTTTTTTATTTTTGGAGGAAAAGGCATACATATTTTAAAAGGAAGCATTGATTAGCATCTCTATTCTATTGTTTTTGTTGCGAAGTACTGTTTCTTTTTAGGTGAGCCAACTCTCCCTTCAGACTAGAAAACTGATGATGAAGCAAAAATATTTACACTTTGAAGTCAGAAGGAACAGCTTGTGGGGTTGACAGAGGCAAGGGGAGGGAAATGTGCTTGGAGTTGTTAACAAATCCGGAAACACAGTGTGGCATTTAAGTTAGTTAGAAGGGAGGGAAGCTGAATCCCTGAAATACAAATAAGGTTAGTTAACATTTATTTTACTCTGAAAGTACACTTCTTCAATTAAAGAAGTATCATGTTGTTCATTAATTTATAATCTGTGTGAATTAAAAATTATTAAATATCTAGCCTCAGATGTAAATTGTGTGTTTATGTGCATGTGGGTGTATAGTTCAGAGAAAGTGATTGTAAGAAGAAAGGGAAAGATGTATTAATGAATATTTTGGAGGGCCTCTATCATAAATCATTAATAACTACTCATGAAAGACTGTATCAGACCCACGGAACAAATAGTCAACATGCCCCATAAGGACTTTAGATCCACTATGGACCACATATATACAGTGGTCTCATAAGATTATAATGAAGCTGAAAAACTTGTTTCACCTAGTGAGGTCGTAGCTGTCATAACTTTGTAGTGCAACACATTACTCACTTGTTGTGGTGGTGCTGGTTTAAATAAACCTACTGCATTGGTGGTTGTATAAAAGTATAGTACATATAATTATGTATATAAAACTCGATAATGATAAGAAATGACAATATCAATGGTTTATAATATACATTTTATCATTATTCTAGAGTATATTCCTTCTACTTATTAAAAAAAGTTTACTGTAAAACAATCTCAGGTAGGTCCTTTTGGAAGTATTCCAAACAAAGGCATTGTTACCAAAGGAGTTGACAACTTCATGTGCACTACCCCTGAAGTCCAGTGGGACAAGACGTGGAGGTCGAAGACAGTGATGTTGATGACCATGACCCTGTGTAGGCCTATGTTTATGTGTGCTCTTGGGTCTTAGTTAAATAGTAAAAGTAAAAATAAAAATAAAAATTTTAAACATTGAAAAAAAAGCTTATAGAACAAGGATATAAAGAAAATATTTGGCCTGGTGTGGTGGCTCACGTCTGTAATCCCAGCACTTTGGGAGGCCAAGGCTGGCAGATCACTTGAGGTCAGGAGTTTGAGACCAGCCTGGCCAACATGGTGAAACAGTGCCTTTACTAAAATACAAAAAATTAGCTGAGTGTGATGGTGCACATTTGTAATCCCAGCTACTTGGGAGGTTGAGGCAGGAGAATCACTTGAACCCGGGAGGTGGAGCTTGTAGTGAGTCAAGATCGTGCCACTGCACTCCAGCCTGGGTGACAGAGCGAGACTCCATCTCCAAAAAAAAACAAAAAAAAAGAAAATATTTTTGTACATCTGTACAGCATATTTGCATTTTAAGTTATGTTATTAACAAAAGAGTCAAAAAATTAAAACATTTATAAAGTAATAAAGTTACGGTAAGCTAAGTTTAATTTATTATTGAAGAAAGAAATTTTTTTAATACACTGAATGTAGCCAAAGTTTACAGTGTTTATAAAGCCTACAGTAGAATACGGTAATGTCCTAGGCCTTCATAGTCACTCACACTATTCACTCACTGACTCATCCAAAGCAACTTCCAGTCCTTCAAATTTCATTCATAGTAAGTGCCTTATATTGATGTACAATTTTTAATCTTTTATATCATATTTTTACTGTATCTTTTCTATTTTATATATGTTTAAGTACAAAAATACTTACCATTGTGTTACCACTGCCTAGAGTATTCAGTACAGGAACATAATATACATACAGGTTTATAGCCCAGGAACAATAGGCTATCCCATTTAGCCTAGGTGTGTAGTAGGCTGTACCATCTATGTTTCTGTAAGTGTACTCTGTGGTGCTTGCACAATGACAAAATTGACTAACGATGCATTTCTCAGAAAGTATTCCTGTCATTCAGTGATGTGTGACTTAAGTGAGGAAGAAAATTATGTTATATAGAAGTAGAATACAAAGGAGGCTAACTCTGATAACTCATTATTTGTATCAAAAGTATCATCAAATTAAACATGTTTAAAAAACAAAGATTTTCAAATGCTACTTAATAGTTCATGCTTCATATTTCATTCAACAAAACTGTTGGTTACAACATCAATCAGGCAAAAAGGATACATGGAATGTGCGAAATTCACTTTGGGGATTTCTGGTATGCATTAAAAAGATGTAAAGATATAAGCAGCTATTAAGGGAGGTAAGACTGCAATATAATGGACCTGACTGATGATGATTCAGAGTTTGTTAGAATTGTGATATTAAGGCACCATGGACAGAGAATATTAGACAGCGATTTCAAATATATACTGTCAATTGAAAGTCAGGAGTGCAGATGCTTTGAATTTGGGGTGCTAAATTTTGATCTGTTTGCTTCTACATTAGCCACTAGCCACTCAATAAAGTATTGCTCTAGGTTGAGAATCAATAAAAATTTAAGAATAATTGAACATTTTTTCCAAGGAATGTTGTATTGATCAACTAGCATTCAAATACATGTATGCACCGATTATTGACTATGATATGTTCTGAGAAATGCATCATTAGGCAATTTCATTGTGTAAATATTATAGAGTGTACTTAAGCAAACTTAAGATGGTATAGCCTACTACACATCTAGGCTATATGGTATGACCTATTGCTTCTAAGCTACAAACCTGTACATTATGTTATTGTACTGAATACTGGAGGCAATTGTAACACAGTGGTAAGTATTGTGTATCTAAACTTATCTAAACATAAAAAGGCACATTAAAGATACAGTATTATAATCTTATGGAATCACCATTGTATGTGTGGTTCTTTGACTGAAATGTAATGTGGCACATGACTGTATACCCGATCAGTTCAATTTTGATTAAATAGCTCGAGTAGTAGTTCCTTACATTTGGCATTACAAATTTCTTTTCATTATTTACAAACAGTCTTCATTTGCAATAACTGGTAATAATTCATAATTTACCACAACTGAAATTGAATCTCTATGCTTCACAGCTAGTGACCTGGTATCAGCTTCCTCATCCATTTTTCCTAGTTGAAAATTCATCCCAATTTGGGCTTTTATTGTTCTCTCTTTATCATCTTCCATGCAGCTACATTCATGACACGATGCAAACTTTGTTGCATTGTGAAATACTTCCCAGACAGTAGGCAACCAATAAAGTTGGTGAGCAATAAAGAGGTGGAAGAAAATAACAATTCTTATCTCTCAAATGACTTTATATACGATTTTGGCTTTGTGTTATTAGAACCATTAAGAGTCTGAAGAGACCTTTCATATATTTTTTTATTCTGCATTACTGAATTTTTAAGAAAGAAATTATGTGCTATAATAGTGTTCTTGACTTTGAGAATTCTTGAAAGTCTCAACGGGTATCCCTGGAGAATGTAAGGGTCTCCTGTAATAAGATTAGATTTATGAGAGACTTGTAGTTTATATGAAGCTTTCAAATTCACAGTTAATGAGGTTTCCCTGGTGGTGGCTCATACAAATGAAGATGTCAGAACAAAATGAAGCATAAACTCCTACTGCAATTGGGGGGTCTAATTTCATGATAATGTGGAAAGAGAGAGAGAGCAAAACATATAACAACATTTATGTTAATCTTCAGGAAAAGCAGAGTTAAAATAACTTCTAGATATTTTAAGTAATAGATAAGAAAATAAAGATACTCAAAAATCTAATGATAGATAGGAAAAAGGAATGGGAGGACAATACCCAAACTGTTCTTGAGCCATAGTCTGGTTATCAATGACTGCCAGTGCTTTAGGGTAATACCAGCATGCAACACCTGTCTTGGATCAATGTTATTACCAACTGCATTATTTTAGGAAATAAGGCCTGAAATAGTCAAGGAGTGGATAAGGAGAGGTGTTTGTAGCCTAGTGTCCCATTTAGGCCTTCTCTGCAGCTATGATATCTCTGTATAAACTTAAGAAACATTTTCTTTTATATTTTATTCTTATTGATTATAGGAGTCTGCTGCAGACATGCATTTCCTAACCACTTTTTAATGTTTTAATGTTTCTTTAGTATTAATTCTATACCAAAATTAAATGGACGTTACTATAGTAAAAAAAAAATGCCTCAAGATTATAGAGTTCAACAAAATGAAAGAGAAAGAGAAGCTAAATTTTGGCAAATGACTGTGGAAAAAAATACAGAAAATGGGTTTCACCTTATTTAGTCTCTACCTCATGGGGTTTTATAAGTATTAAATGGGATAAAGTTTGTGCAATGCCAGGTACCTAGTAAACACTCAGTAAATATTGCCAATCATAAAGCCTTCTATTACCAATTTTCTGATACGAAATATCTTGCACACTTTCCTGTGTCTTTCTTTCTAAACTTGGGATAAATTTCATGATACTCTCATTTGTTTCTTCCTTAACTACATCTAATTAAACCAGATTTTAGGAATCTATAAGTTATATGCCCTCTCTGAATGATCTCTTCGATAGTAATATAATGTGAGCCACAATTTTGAGTCATATATGTAATTAAAATTTTCCTAGTAACTGTATCAAAAAAGCAAAAAGAAACAGGGAAAAACTTCTTTGAGTGATATACTTTAGCATGATATTTACAAAATATCATCAGTTTCATTGATTTACATGTAATCAATGTAAAATTATTAGACAAAACTTACTTTTACATTTTAAAAATCTAGTACTTATATTATACACATCTCAGTTCAGACTATCCACATTTCAATAATTCAATAGCTACCTGGTCAATGTAGTTTTATATGAAGAGAAAATGAAGTTTACAATAAAGAAAATTATCTCTAGTTACATATTTTCAATCATTTGCAAGTGGATAAGGTAACTTTTTTCATGGATCATGATAAGTAAGGAGAGTAGAAAAGCTAGGACAAAGACCTTTTTTTTGGTTTGTTTTTGTTTTAAATCACTTCTAATTATAACCTACTTTGTTACGCAGAAGTCTAGAGTTGGGCAGAAACACCTGTCTCAAACAGCCATCAATTCTTTGGAGTATTCAAAATTAACTTTTGTTTGGGATGATGTTAGTTAGTTAATCTAGTCATAGCCACAACACGAATATTGATTTTTGATGATTCAATGAGATAATGCACACAAAAGCATTCTGTAAGTTATACAGCACTATAAATGCATAGTGAGGATCAAGACTATTTTAATCACATAGAGAATTCATTGGTGAGTGCACCTAAATTAAAATATAATGCTTTCCCTTTCCTTTCTAAATTGACCTTTCCCTGTACAAGTTATTCATGGAAATCAGACACATTCTTTTCTTTCTTAAACTCTTAGGTCTCAAGCTAATAGGTAAGAGAGTAAACCCTGGTTGGGATTAATTTTTCAAAGGGAATACTTAAAAGCATTCCCTTTGTCTTTCCTTTCATTTCCCCAATCCAATTATTTCATACTTATATAATGGTTGTATGGGTCTCCAATTATCTATCTTTTTTTTTCAGTGCAGATAAACAGCTGATTAAATCTTTCTTTGATTTTTATGAAATGTAGTAACTTGGTAGACAACACTGAATGTATTACTTCTGTGTATGTAGCCTAGAAATACTTAGAACAATGGCAGCAAAAGCAGGTAATGCAAGGGAGATGATAGAAATGAGAAATTAAAGCAAGGTCAATGCCAATTCCATAGGCTAATTATAGTTTTCAGTGCATTATGAGTATTGAAAACTGTTTAGATTGAGTAGAGGAAATAATGGAGATGGTGACAGTTATTTTAATTAATTAGAGTGGCCAGGGAATGAAGTGAGCAAGACAATCATGTCTACTTCTGAGAGAAGAACCTTTCCAGGTGGAGGGGACTGACAATGCAAAGACCTTGAAGTAATAAGTTTCTTGTCATGGCTGGAATAGAGATGAATGGTAGTATATTTTATCTGAGAGCTGGCAGAGAGCCAGAGTGCATAAGGAATGATAAGCGCTTTAGATTTCTTTTCTGAGTAAGACAGGATGCCAACAGAGGATTCATTTTTGTATTTGTTATTGTTTCAGTTCTGGTAAGAAGACATGAGATCTATCATTGTAACAAATTTTTACCTATACAATATAATATTGTTGAATATAGATACCATATTGTATACAATATCTTTAGAGCTTATTCATCTTCCTTGACTGAAACTTAATTTGTCACTCCTCATTTCACTGTCTTCCCACCTGACAACCACCATCCCTTTCTGGGATTCTATGAATTTGCCTAGTTTTAGATACATCATATAATAGAATCGTGATATATTTATCTTTCTATAACTGGCATATTTCAATTAGCATAATGTCTTCCAATTCATACATGTTGTCACATACTGCAGAATTTCCTTCTTTTTTAAAAAATCTGAATAGTATCCCCTTGTATGTATAGCGTACATTTTCTTTATCCATTCATTAATCAGTAGACATTCAGGGTGTTTCCACATCTTGATTATTGTGAATACAACTGCAACGAACATAGAAGTGCTCCTATCAATTTGAGATACCGATTTCAGTTCTTTTGGATAAAAAACTCAGAAGTAGGATTGCTGGATCATATGGTAGTTCTATTTTTAATTTTTTGAGAGTCTCCATACTGTTTTCCATAATGGCTGTGCTATTGGCACTCTGGGTTCTTGTAATCTCCCAGGATAGAAATAAAGAGAGATCACTAGACATAGCAGCAAAGAGAAAGAGAAAGATTTATTTCACTTGTGCACAAGGAAGTCAGCACTACAAAAAGAAAAGGGTGGGCTGCTCCCTGAGAGTAGTATGTGCATTAGTTTTATAGGTCCTTTCTATAGGGAAGGGTTTCATCAGGTCCTGTATAGCAGGGGTTTCTCTAGTGCTTGTTCAGTGGCCTTATGCACTTCTTAATACATTGCATGGAAGATATGCAGTTTAAATCTCCACCCCTGGGTATGATTTTTAGCATTAAAATGAGGAAGGGGTAACTGTGAGTTGAAGTTCAAGTCTATCTTCACATGTGGAGTCCCAGGGAAGTCCCTAGCCCCCTAAAGCAGGAACCTGTAATTAATAGCTTCTTGGGTCTTTATTTGATGATTAGCTAGAAGTTAGGTCAGCTATAGCTTGAGTGAGAGGCATTTTTTCTTTTTCTCTAAACCACATCAAAATCAGAAGCCTGCCAGCTTGCCTGTCTCAGCTGTACCTTTGCATTTCCACCAAGAGTGTGCCAATGTTCCCTTTTCTTCACATCCTTGCCAACACTTGGCTTTTGATTTTTTGGTAATAACCATCCTGACAGGTGTGAGATGTTATCTCATTGTGGTCATAATTTGCATTTCCTTGTATGTTTTCTTGGGAGAAATGTCTCCTTAAGTCCTTAGTCCATTTTTAATCAGTTTTTTGGATATTAACCCTTATCAGGTATATGATTTGCAAACATTTTCTCCCATTCTATAGGTTGTCTTATTATTTTGTCAATTGTTTCCTTTGTTGTGCAGAAGCTTTTTTAGTTTGACATAGACCCATTTATTTTTGTTTTTGCTGACTGTACTTTTGGTGTCATATACATGAAATAATTGCTAAGACCAATATCAATAAGCTTTTCTAATATGTTTTATTCTAGGAGTTTTAAAGCTTCAGTTCTTACATTTATGTCTAGAAGAATTTTCTTTTTTTTCTCCCTCTCTTTTAAGAGACAGGGTCTCACTCTGTTATACAGGATGCAGTGCAGTGGCATGATCATAGTTCACTGCAACCTTTAACTCCTGGTCCCAAATCATCCTCCGGGCCTCAGCCACTCTAGTACCTAGAGATGCACCACCATGCCTGGCTAGTTTTTAATTTTTTGTAGAGATAGAGTATTGCTATGTTTCCCTGGCTGTTCTTGAACTCCTAGCCTCAAGTAGTCCTCCCACCCAAGCCTCCCAAAGTGCTGAGATTTCAGGTGGAGCCACTATGCTGAGCTTGGAAGATTTTAAATTGTTAAAATATTCATACTACCCAAAATGAAATACAGATTTAATGTAATACCTATCAAAATTTCAATGGAAGTTTGTACAGAAATAGAAAAAATAATTCTGAAAGTCATATGAAACCATGAAGGCCATGAATAGTCAAATCACTATTGAGAAAGAATAAAGCTGGAGGCAACATATTTCCTGATTTCAAAATATATTACAAATCTACAATAATCAAAACAGTATGGTTCTGTTATAAAGGCAGACATATAGCCCAATGGAACAGAATACAAAGCCCAAAAGTAAATCTACACATATATGGTCAACGTATCTTTGATAAGGATGACAAGAATACATAATAAGGAAGAATTATCTGTTCAACAAATAGTGTTGAGAAAACTAGAAATCCACATGCAAAAAAAAAAAAAGAGATTCGATTCTTAGCTTACACTATACATCAATATTGACTCAAAATGAATGAGAAACTTAGACATAAGACTTGACACTGTAAAAATCATAGGGTTTTCAGTTGGGAAGCTACATAATCTAATTTACATTTCAGAATGATCCCTTTGGTTACCCTATGAACAAGAGATTATAAAGGGATCAAGAGAAAGAAAGAGAGAGAGAGAGGAAGGAAGGAAGGAAGGAAGGAGGGAGGGAGGGAGGGAGGGAGGGAGGGAAGGAGGGAAGGAATGAGGAAAGGAGGGAAAGAAAGGAGGGAAGGAAGGAAGGAAAGAAGGAAGAAAGAAGAAAAGGAAAATAAACAACATACGAAAAACCTTTTAAATAATCCTGTGAAGAGGGAGTGGTGACTTGGACTAGGGATGTAGCGATAGATGTGATGAGATGTGGTTACATGCTGGATGTGTTTGAAGACAGAGTCAACGTAATTCAATGATGAATATATGTGAGATAAAGTGTTAAGGTTGACTCTAAGGTTATTAACATGTGCAGCTGGGAGAACAAATTTTCCACTTACTGCGATGAGGAAGACTGGTGTGGAAATATGTTTGAGGAGAAGTGAATAATTAAGTTTTGGAAATATTAAATTTGAAATTAAACATTCATACCCTTTGAACACCCAACTTCACCCCTTGGAGGGTAGTTGAATATATTCAATTTATATGAGTCCAGTGATTAGGGAAGAGGTTACAGTCAGAGATGTATATTTTGGTGTCATCAGCCTACATATTTGTGAATATGGACTGAGCAAACCTCAAAATTTACCTATAAGTGTTATTCATTGATTAATTTGCTTAACATTTTTGAGAGCATTGTGCTGTGTTCTAAAAGTTTAGTATATGCAATTTTCTTATAATCAAGCATCTTTATTTAAAAGTATTACTTCATTCCCCTGTATAAATTTATGCTTAAATAGCAAACTCCTCTTCTTTACTAATTAAAATAAAGGTACTCTTCTTGAGTTCTGAAAACACAACCAATTTCTGTATGTAATACACAGCCATTTCAAAATAGAATATCTAATATGACTGTCTTGTAATATAATTCTTTCCAGACTTCTTGACATGTCTAGCATTGAGTTCTGCTGGTTAACTATTTTGTAAGTTCATAAATTGTGCATAATACTGCACCAATTACCTAAGTAACTGGCTTAAATTACACAATTTTGGACTCAAAAGTCTTGTAAACTTTTATTATAATTCTGATTGTGTTACTTGCCCAACAAAGAAACAGTTTCTTTTTCACAAAATGATCCAATAATTCTTTCTTTCTTTCATGTGATTACCTGTATCACCTGTAGTTCGTTTATTCTTCTACATACTCTAAACATTTTTGTATTAAATCACACAATTAGAAATCTTGATATGCATACACATATTTATATAGTTGCCTTCTTGTGAAAGATCTTTTACTTTTTTCAACTTTAATGTTACACCTTTAGCTTACATTAAGTCACTTTTTTATCTTTCTGCTATAGGGAATTTGACATTTCTGCCTTTCTTTTTCCATTCAAGACATATTTCATTCAAGAAATATGTATTGGGCACCTATGAGGCATTAGGGCTATTCTTTTACTGTAGTATTAAATATTTATAATATATATTATATATGTTATATATATAATATATATTTATTATAAGGTAATTGTTAAGGAATGGGTTTTTCATTATTACAAGGTATTTTCATAAATTCTTCCAGTTAAGCCATGTTTCTCTAAGAAATTGATCCGTTTGTGGGTTTAAGTGTAGAAATTGATTATGTATTTCCTCTTTTGGGATACTAGGAAGTTCAGAACCCAATTTACAGTCCAACTCTATCAACCATAAAACATCTTATGATTTGATATTTGTATACTCCCTCCTTTTAAATTACATCTTATTTTTATTCTATTCTTAATTCTTTATTTTTGTAATCTGTTAATTTTATGTATAATTTTTAACCAGTTCAAATCTCTTTTGTTATGAACATGTATAAGTATATAAATATATATTGTTATATACATATATGTGTATTTGTATATAACATATATCTATGTGTGTGGGTGTGTGTATATATACATATTCGTATGTGAATATAATTTATCTATCTATATTTATGTATGTATGTACCTATCAATCTATAGAGAATAATTATTGTCTAAATATGTACTGCCCTTTATTACCTGATCGCTCTCTACCAGGTAATTCCTGAAGATAATATTCTTAGCTATACTGATATTAGACTTGTCTATATGACTTGACTTGGCCAATAAAATGTGATATATGGGCCGGGCATGGTGGTTCATGCCTGTAATCCCAGCACTTTGGGAGGCCGAGGCGGGCCAATCACGAGGTCAGGAGATCGAGACCATCCTGGCTAACAAGGTGAAACCCCGTCTCTACTAAAAAATACGAAAATCTAGCCGGGCGTGGTGGCGGGCGCCTGTAGTCCCAGCTAATCGGGAGGCTGAGGCAGGAGAATGGCGTGAACCCGGGAGGCAGAGCTTGCAGTGAGCCGAGATAGCGCCACTGCACTCCAGCCTGGGCGACAAAGCGAGACTCCGTCTCAAAAAAGAAAAAAAAAAAAGTGACATGTGTGACATGTATCACTTTCACTTACATATATATATATGTAAATATAGTCTACGTCTATAGCTATCTGCCATTTATGTATGCACGGGTGAATTAAATTCTTTTTACATATAAAGTACTTAAACATATTAGTATCTCTAGAGATTATCACATTTTTAGTACATTTTTGTCTATTCAAGAAAAAATTTGTATATTTACCCAAGGCTTAGATACATTGCCAGTACTTCAACAATACTTGCAGAAATCCGTGGCATAATACGCTGTAGATGGTGACTAATACGGCCACTAGCCACTTGGGGCTTCTAACATTTAAATTAGCTAAAATTAAAATTTTACTTATTTATTTGAACTAGTTACGTTTCAAGAGTTTAATGACCACATGTGGCTAGTGTAATGGAGAAACAGATATAGAACATTTTTATCGTCAGAGAAAGTTCTACTGAAAAACTTTATTATGGAATAAAAGAATTGTTTTTTTACTTGAAGTACAGATATTTTTGATTTTCTACTTTTTTCTAAAATAAGTGATTTTTTATTATGTACAATGCTAATTTATTATTTTTGCCACCAAATCACAAATTGACAGAAATGTTCTAATGAGAAAATATATAAATTGAAAAGTCATAAGTTGTCCATTTATCAGAAAAAACAATCCCAGATTAATTGTGGTAGCATTTTTTATTAGGATATAAATAATTGGCTGGCAAACTAGTTGCATTTTGGAGTTCAAATTGACATTACTGCAGCCTCATAAAAGCTAAGCAATGAACCACTCTGATGAAACTCACTTTTGGAATTAATTTGACCTGCATATTAAAATACTAGAAAGACGTAATCCTTCTAGGCTGTATTTCTTCAGCTATGTACAGTAGCTGTCATATTCGTAAACAGCTAATAATTAGTGAAAAATAATAGATGATGCAGCTGAGTGACAGAGGACTTTCAGGAAAAAAAAGCTTCAGTTCAAAGTACCAAAATGGTTTCTGTAATGGTTTTTTACATTGATCGTTTTCATCACTTTATTATTATCCTATCAAAAGTAGCGTTTAGAGGAAATATGTATACAGCCACCTTGAATAAAATTGAATTTGGTCATGGAAGCATTCTGTTAGAGACTATCATACAAACTACTGTTTCCATCTTTTTTGCTGCTGCAAAAAAGTGAAATTGATTAGAAATGACATTAGGTATAGTAAAATTGGCCCATGATTTTATAGTTGAATTTGTGGCATTGATCTACAGATTAAGGAGATGTTTGTGTTCTACCGTTTTTACCTGACAGCCTTGTATAATTATACTTGTAACATAATGCAAATGAGTACTTACTTGCATACCAATACTTTTACATGTAGATTTTTAGAAAATTAAACAGTGTTAAAATAAAATTTCTGGGTTTTTTGGTTTTGGGTTTTTTGTTTTGTTTTGTTTTTTGTTTTTTGTGTTTTTTTTTGAGATGGAGTCTCACTCTGTGGCCCAGGCTGGAGTGCGGTGGTGTGATCTCAGCTGACTGCAATTTCTGCCTCCTGGGTTCAAGCAATTCTTCTTTCTCAGTCTCCTGAGTAGCTGGGAGTACAGCCATGCACCACCATGCTGGGCTAATTTTTGTATTTTTAGTAGAGACAGGGTTTCTCCATTTTGGCCAGGCTGGTCTTGAACTCCTGACCTCAAGTGATCTGCCCGCCTCCCAAAGTGCTGGTGTCACAAGTGTGAGCCACTGCGTTCAACTGAAATTCCTAATTTTTTAAAGACCATGATGATAAACCCTTTTTTATAAAAACAAAAAGGTTGCTAAATGACACACTTTGATTACATGGATCCTCTTCTGTGCTTGAATGGGTTAGGGTTGAAAATTGCTAAAGTATGGAGAATGAGAATGTTGCTCTTTTCTACTGTTACTTTAATTGTGCAAAATGTTTATACAACACAGAATTAAAACTTATAGTAAAGTTGATAGCAAAATAAAAAAAATCTTTAAAAATGATGCCTTGATATGCCAGATGGTTACTTCAAGCATTCTGTAGGGTAATTTAAAAAAAAATGTATATTTTGGATCAAAATGTGAAATGTTAACCATTTTATTGGAAGCTTCACAATTCTTGTTCATTGATTCTTCTGTTGTTTTCTCAGCAGAAATCCAAAGCTTCTTTAGGCTGGGAAGCCAAACTAACCAATCCCTAACAAGAACTTTTAATTTAAAAGTATTTAAGCATTTTTTAAATACAGGGATTCAATGCCTAGCATGGGCTGTAGCCACCAATTTTGTCTTCAAATCTAATCTATGATGATGACACTAAAGCTAGATATAGTGCAAGAGCATTATATTATTTTGGAACACGTGTTCTGTAGATGCTGGCGGTTTTCAAAAAAAGATGCCTTGTATACAGCAGACCAAGATTTTTATTTAAAGAATTTACCCTAATAATAAGCTGCCAAATAGTTTTTAAAGGAGGGTTTAAAAAAAAAAGAATGAATGTGACGGAGCTTTATGCTAATTCTTGTCTGATTTCTTGGGAAAGTTCTCCAATGCATTGCAATAATTTCTAGAAATGCAACCTTCTGTACATATTTTGTGTGAATATTATGAATATCCATTAAATGATCAATAGATAATTTATAGACAGTTTATTCATTGAACCGTTGCCACCATTCACCCTTTGCTCATCTGTTTTTATTGTCTCCACTGCTGTCCCCAAATCTCTTTGTAGCCTGATACCCAGAATGCATTGCTGTCCTCCTTTTTCCTTATATTAACTCCTCTTTTTTATACCTCTATCATGACTCTTAGGGTTATTTTCTCATTAATTTAAGGCAATTCCCTAACAACTATTATTAGTTTGAAGATGAGCACATGATCCAAGTTTGCCCTGTGAAACCGAATGGAGGAAATTATATTATTTCATCGAGGGAGAGTTTCCCTGTGTTCCAGTGTATATGATCAAAGAAGCATTTTGCTGAGTTGTTTCTGGTAGCAATCTTGTGACTATGAGAGGAATTGACCAATGGACAAAACTGTCATGCCAAGAATGGCAGAGTGGTGAGAGAGTAAGAATCTGGGTCCATCACAGTATCATCAGGCCACAGCAGCCTGAGTTTCAACTGTAAACATATTTCACAATTTGACCATAAGAATTATGTACTAAATATGAGTTCGTTTGAAAATATTATTTGTGTTAAAGCTCAGCTACATTAAAGCAACTGCTGTGGAAGAGGCTGGAAACCTAGACACATGGTTGAGAATGCTTTGTAGAAAAAGTCTCCAAAAGCCCTTTATCCAAATGTAGAAATACAACCCTTTTGTAAGTTGTGACTACTTGTATAATGTATGTTTTGTAAAGCATTTAAAAAATGTGAAATAAATATTAAGCAACTTCTTTAAGATAATTTATTGAGGTATGATTGACATGTAAAAATCTGCACATATTCAATGTATACAGCTCAATGAGTTGAGGATAAGTATAAACCCATAAAACCATCACCACCATTAAGGCCATAGATATATATTTGTCACTTCCCAAAGTTTCTTCTGGCCTCTATATTATTATTATCATCATCATCATCATCATTTATTGTTGTTATTATTATTATAAGATCTATCCTCTTAGAAATTTTTAAATATAAGAATACAGTGTTGTTAGCTATAGGCACTATGTTGTACAGTAGACCTTCAGAACATAACTTGCAAAATGAAACTTTGTATCCTTTGACCACCACCTCCCCACTTCACCCTCCCATCAGCCCCTGGCAATCAACATTCTATTATAGTCTATATTCTATTATATTCCAAAACATATATGTTAAAATGTTTTGTTAACAGCTTTGTTTTTCCTTTACAAGATTGATTTAGCTTTTCAGGGTCATTTGTGCTTCCATATAAATTTTAGGATTGCTTTTTTTCTATTTCTGTGAAAACTTTCTTCTATTTCTTCTAATACATTAATGTAGATATCTTTTAATTTATTTTTGCCTTTGTCAATGTCTTTCAATAATGCTTTATAGATTTTAGTGTACAGATCTTTCACATACTTGGTTAATTTTATTCTTAAGTATTTTTATTATTTTTGATGCTATTGTAAGAGGGATTGTTTTATTAATTTCTATTTCAGAAAGCTCATTGCTAGTGTATAGAAATGAGATTGATTTTTGTATATTGATTTTGTATCCACGTATTTACTGAATTTATTTACTAGTTCTAACAGTGTTTTAATGGAGTCTTTACAGTCCCTGTTCTTGATCTTAGAAGAAAAGCTTTCAGCTTTTTACTCTTGAGTATGATGTTAGCTGTGGGCTTGTCATATGTGATCTGTATTATATTGAGGTATGTTCCTTTTACACCTAATTAATGAGTTTTTTAAATCATGATGGGATGTTAGATTTTGGCAAATGCTTTTCTGAATCTATGGAGATGATTATGTGATTTTTAATCATCATTCCATTAATGTGGTGTATCATATTTATTGATTTGCATATGTTGAAGCATCCTTGCATGCCAGGGGAAAATCTTGCTCATAGTGAATGATTTTTAAAATATGTTATTGAATTCGGTTTGCTAATATTTTGTTGACAATTTTTACACTTATCAGGTATATTGGCCTGTGGTTTTCTATTTTTTGGGTTCTTGTCTGACTTTGGTAACAGAGTAATACTGGTCTTGTAAAATAAGTTTGAAAATATTTCTTTCTCTTTAATTTTTTAGAAGAGTTTGAGAAGAATTGGTGTTCATTTTTCTTTAAATGTTTGGTAAAATTCACCAGTAAAGCCTTCAGGTCCTAGACATTTCTTTGTTGAGAGGTTTTGATTACTAATTCAATCTTCTTACTCATAATTGGTTGGCTCAAGTTTTCTATTTTCTTCATGATTGGGTCTTGGTAGTTTGCATGTTTCTAGGAGGGCAAGCATAAATTTGATGTCTCTAGGAATAAATCTCTTTCTTCTTGGTTTACCAATATGTTGGTGTATATTTGTTCATCATAGTCCATTGTGATCTTTTGTATTTTTGTGGTATCACTTGTAATGCTCTCTCTTTAATTTATATTTATTTTTATTTGAGTCTTCTTTTTTCTTAGTTACTCTAGCTAAAGGTTTGCTAATTTTATTTTTCCAAAAAAAAAAAAAACTCTTCGTTTCATTACTCTTTCCTACTTTTTTGTCTCTATTTTATTTATTTCTGTTCTAATTCATTTCCTCCCCTCTGTTAACTTTGGGCTTGTCTTATTCTTCTTTTCTAGTTCCTCGAGGTGTAAATTTAGGTTGTATATGCAAATCTTTCTCTTTTTTAATGTAGGTATTTACTGTGATAACTTTTCCTTTTAGAATGGCTTTTGCTGCATCCTATAAGTTTGGATATGTTGTGTTTTCATTTTTGTTTGTCCCAAGACACGTTTTGATATCCCTTTTGATTTCTTTTCTGACCTATTGGCTGTTCAATAGTGGTCCATTTAATCTTCTTGTTTCTAATTTCATACCATTGTGATTAAAGAAGATACCTGATATGATGTCAATCTTCTTAAATTTATTAAGACTTGTTTTGTGGTCTAATATATGACCTATTTTGGAGAATGATACATGTGTGATTGTGAAAAATACATATTTTGCTGCTGTTGGATGGAAGGTTCTGAATATTACTGTTAGATCATTTTGGTCTATAGTTGTTTCAGTTCACTATTCTCTTACTGATTTTCTGTCTGGATAATAAATCCATTGTTGAAAGTGCAGTATTAGAGTCCCCTAACATTAGTGTATTGTTGTCTATTTATCCCTTCAGTTCTGTTCTTTTTTATATAGTTCAGTATTTGTTTTATATAGTTAGGTGCTCAGATGTTGGGTGCATGTATATTTACAATTGTTATAATCTCTCAATAAATTTACACTTTTATTTTTATTGATGGTCTTCTTTGTCTCCTGTGATAATTTTTGACTTAAAGTCTGTTTTGTCTCATATAAAGTATTGCCACCACTTCTACATTCTTTTGGTTACTGTTTGCATGGAATATCTTTCTTTGATTACTTCACTTTGTCCTTAAAGCTGAAGTGAGTTCTTCTATTCCTTTGATCTGCCTTTCTTTGTGATTGATTATTTTTATAGTAAGATGCTTTCCTTCCTTTCTCTTTATTTTTGTGTATCTGCTAAAGGTTTTTCTTTGTTATTACTATGAGACTTACGTAAAAGATCTTGTAGTTATAACAGTCTATTTTAAGCTGATAACAACGAAGTTTGATCACAAAGAAAAACTCTACATTTTTACTTCTTCCCCCGACACACATTTTATGTTATTGATGTCACTATTTATGACTTTCATTCTGTGTTTCTATTAACAATTTATTATAGCTATAGTTACTTTTAATACTTTTGTTTTTTAACTTTTATACAAGAGTTAAAAGTTATTCGTGTACCTCCACTGTAACATAAATATTTTAGATTTGACTATACCCTTACCTTTACCAGTGAGTTTAATACTGTCATATTTTCATGTTGCTAATTAGCATTCTTTCATTTCACCTTGAATACTTCCCTTCAGTATGTCTTGTAAGGTCGAGAGATGATAAGATCTCTCAACTTTTGTTTGCCTGGGAAAGTATTTCTTTTTTTTCCTGAAGGGCAGCTTTTCCTGGTGAAATATTCTTGGCTGACAATGTTTTCAGCACTTGGAATATATAATCTTACTCTCCTGGCCTGTAGGGTTTCTGCTAAGAAATCCACTGATAGTCTTATGAATGTTCTTTTATATGTCACAAGGATTTTCTCTTGTTTAAGCAGCTTCTTTATTCTACTTTAATGTTCTCAAAACCTTGAACTATTAATTTAAAATTGCATCAGCAATTATGTAGTCAGTGTTAGAACAAGCAGATTTTTGCTGTCTTAAATCAGGTAAAAAGTTCTAGTTTGACTATGTTTTGTGCCATTGTTATGGAATCCAAATACATACCTTTACTAAAAAAAATAGCTCTTGTATTAATAATGCATTGACTTCCTGGCTTCAAATTTATGATCAGGCATGGATTAAACTGTGCCTATAATTAGTGAGTTGGTTCGTGTTTTCTTTTTCAAATTGATCATACAACATATTGTATGAGATATGTATAAAAATAAATGAAATCAGTGCTTGTAATGTCTACATGAGGGGACATTTTACTTATAGGCCAAGACGATGAAAAAAAAACATGCCTGACTCAATAAAATGAAATGCAAACCATATCATTTTCTTGTTTTTTGTTGCACTCAAGGGAAAATATCTTTTCTCAGCCACAGGTGGCCAGAATATGTTATTAATTAGAGTAGAAATATCAGTAATTTTTCTCACTTCTGTAAGGACAGCCTTCTCATTACAACCTAGGTACAACAAAGTTAGTTGATTGAGACCTGCACAGAGGTGTGATAATGCCTCTGTAATAACAATGATTATAATGAATCCATTGACATTTAATTTGTTAGAGTATGTCTGATAAGCCTTTCTAATTGATCTAGGATGCAGTGTCCCCATTCTATACAGAAATGAGCAGTGGTTAGGAATGACTTTTTATTAATTCCTGAGAAAAGATCAAGCAAAGTGCCTGTCTATTAATACCTTGTTCTACTCGAAAATCCTAATCTACTCCTATATTCTATAAAACTCATGACATGGTGTTTTTGTGGTCAATGGAGCTAGCAGTAATTCTCTAGGATGTATTTTGCTCTAATAAACTTTCAGTTCAGCTATATGTCCAGGAGATAAGGCCTGTTTTATGGCTTAAACTTCATCTTCAATCTAGTAAGGTCCAGAAACACTTAACCCTATGGCCCAGTAATGATTTGTCAGGGTCTTATAGAATAAGATTATTTAATTGGGGTCTTCACCACCTTTCACAAATTCTCTAAAAAGTCACTGGCCCTGTCATAGCATCTATTTCAGACTTACCTGTAAGTTTACTGTTACATTAGGGATGCCACATCCTATGAAGGCATACAGCACACACAGCAAAAATTGTAAAGGAGAAATGAAAATGTGATAGAACATTTTTAAAAATAAATATGACCATTCTTTTCTGCTCCAAATTTTCTTTCAAAATAAGCTGCTGATGTGCAATACTTCATATCTGGTTTCATGAAGACTTTCCTTCCCCGCTAACGTGACATAGAAAGCATCAATCCTGTGGTTTTAATAAATATTGAGCTCAGTTTCTTTGCTTACAGTCAGTTTATAATCACCACATATCTTTATGCACTTGTCAGATTTGAAAAATGTATACAAAGGAAGTTATACTCTGAAGGCCATAGCTGTAACAATAAGCGGCTTTTTCAGATAAAAGAAAAATAGCTTTCACCATACAGAGAGCTCTAGATCCAAAAGGCATAATATCCTCATGGCTGAATCAAGTTTTACTATGAGATTTTTGCCAAAGGCAATATTCTGGCATACAAAATTGTTATAGAGGCCATTCATGAAGAATTGTGGAATGTTAAACTAAATGAGACCTTAAAGTTCATCTTATCCCACTCCCTCATTTATAGATATACTGTGAGTTCCTGACACACTGTCTAATCTAATATCAATAAAAGTTCAGAATGGAACTAAGATGGGTGCTCACATCTTCTGGCTTTTAATCCAGGGCTGCTTTCACTATTAAATAATTTGAGGTATGAATATCAAATTTTAACTCAATAAAGCATCTAAATAGTATATAATTATATTATTATAGGTTAACCTGGAAATTGAGTTTCTGAGAGATTGTGACTTTCTCAAGGTTTTGTAGTAGTGGTAACAGAACTGAGATTAAAAACTTTAAAGTCTTGTTTTTTGATTCCCATTTTGCTAAAGTATTCATGATACCTCCATTTGGCTATCAGATCTTGAGTATGTGTGTTGGTAAAGCAGAGCCTTTGTTACGATTTAACTGTCTCCTCCAGTATTCATGTGTTGGAAGTTTCATCTCTGGTGTGATGGTATTAGGAGGTGGAGACTTTAAGAGGTGATTAGGTCATTAAGAGGAAGTACTACTGCTCTTGCAGGACTGGGTTAATTTTCTTAAGAGTGAGTGAGTTCTTGATCTCATGGGACTGGATTAGTTGCAGTGAGAGTGGATTGTTATAAAGTGAGACTACCTCTGGTGTTTTGCCCCTTTTCACACGTGCCCACTTCCCCCTTTCCACTTCTTCTCCATGTTTTGCCACAGCATGAAGCCATCACCAGAAGCTGACCAGATGCAGCCACTCGTTTTTAGACTTCCCAGACTCCTGAACCATGAGCCAGAATAAAACTCTCTCCTTTCTAAATTATCCAGTCTCAGGTACTGTTATAGCAACAGAAAATGGCATTCTTCAAGTGAATAAACTCAAATGGATGTAACCCACCTAATAGAGGCAAGCTATTGTCCTAACAGCAGCAGATTCTGCCAGCCATTAGCTCCACTTCAGCATCATTGCTAATTGCAAAAAACAAAGTGGAAAAAATTGAGTGTCTTCTTGCATGTGCTATCTTCATAACATGTAACATTTTTTGAGACCATTTTCATTTTCAACAGTTGTTATGGTTTCCTTGGAAGTTTATTCTTTTATTCCTTTCTTCATTTACAGTTAACTTGCTTTTTGTGCAAAAGTGTATGTGTGTGTTGTAAGGATGTTTCAGAAAAAAAGAAAAGTCTAAAAGAGAATGGGAGAAAATCAGGGAAACACACATAATAAATGAAAGTAAGATACAGATTTATTATGTCAGTTAAATATCCTTTGGCTGGCCTGTGAAGAATATTTAGTGTGAATTATGAACACTATCTTCTTTTGATGCTAACATTACATATTATCCCACTATATTTTTAAAAATAACTTTATCTTATGAGTAGTCTTTTATGCAAAAATGATTATCATGGGAAAAGATTTTTTAAAAGGATAAACAAACATGAACATAAACTTCCCTGTAATTCAATAGATGGTTAATTACCTTAACAATTTTGATGAATCTTCTTTCAGTTTCTTTCCCTCTGCTCAATCTGATTTGTAATTCACTCTTTTCAATTACTTTAATATAAATTTAACATTGTCTAGGCATAATAAATTTTATAGATATGTTGTAAATATATCTATAATTCATATCTACATCTATAATATATGATAAATCTATATCTATAATATATAATATAATATTATATTATATATCTATAATTGTATCTATATATTATATAGATATAGATATTTATAATTATATACCATTAACAGATAGATATCTCTATATGTAATATAGAGATAGCTATAATTATAGATAGCTATAATATGCATATAATGTGCATATAATATAATATGCAGATATGATAGATATCTGTAATTATAGATATCTATAATTATATATAATATAATTATAGATATCTATATACAATTATATATAATATAATTATAGATATCTATATATAATTATATATAATATAATTATAGATATCTATATACAATTATATATAATATAATTATAGATATCTATAATTATATCTATATATAATTATATATAATATAATTATAGATATCTATATATAATTATATATAATATAATTATAGATATCTATATATAATTATATATAATATAATTATAGATATCTATATATAATTATATATAATATAATTATATAATAATATATAATTATATATAATATAATTATATAATAATATATAATTATATATAATATAATTATATAATAATATATAATTATATATAATATAATTATATAATAATATATAATTATATATAATATAATTATATAATAATATATAATTATATATAATATAATTATATAATAATATATAATTATAGATCTCTACAATATAAAATAAAATATATGTATAACAAATCTATATTGAATATATAATCAATCTTATTCATCATTTATTGTTTCTAATCTAATTTTTTAGTATTAAAAACAATAACAATATATAGTGTACCCTTGTTAAATCTTTTAGCACATCGTTGATTTGTTACTTGATATAAATAACTAGATCATATTACCAAATTTGTGATTGAATAATCTTAACTCAGTTGAATTAAATTTTAAAGTTAATATTAATCAAATATTTCTTGTGCATTTATTTTGTGCAAAGCACTGTGCTAGATACTATAGGAATATAGTAAAGAGCAGTGTCTGTGTGGCAGATTGCTAATAGTTTCCTAATTGTTCTTTGCTTCCTCCTTAGTAGTATAGAATCCCTGATTTTTAGGGTATGGCTTCTAGCATAAATACTGTCTTTCACAGCATCTCTTGCAGCTTACCCTGGACAGCCTACCTCTATTATATTTTTCAGTGAAACAGAAATTGAATATCTTCATTAAGCCATTAATATTTTGGGTTTTCTTTCAAACTTAATGTTATATAATAGATAATTATTCCTTGGAAGTAGAACAAGTCAAAGAAATACTTGGGAAGACGAGGAGAAATAGCTGGGTATAAACTGAGTTGGAAACAAATAGTTTCAATGTTCTAAACATGCGTACTAATATCAAACAATTTATGCTCTAAAGCTTATTCTAGTAGTATGAATAATCTTTGAGAATTCTACTCATATTTATAAATCAAGGAGAATAGGTTTAAACAATAAGTTAAAAACTTTTCCCTTTAAGTAAACATAATGTGTTAAATTCTTCAAAGCAAGAGAATTCACAGGTATGATTCTCACCTTAATAGAAACCAAGCAGGTCTTTTGTGAGTGCACATATTCTGTAGAGTAACCAGATTTTTGAACATGTATAGCAATTAGCTAATTATCTGTGTTCCACAATTACAGAACTAAAACAAAAAACAAAAATAAAGACTAATGATAGAAGATTGAACTGGTGTGGATGTTATTTCACTCATCTTTCTGTCAGGAAACAACCTATAGTCTCACAAATTTTTTTCCATTGCACTAAAGAGAACATAGTTAAATATGTTGAAATAGAACTGGACCCCAAATTCACCCACAGGGCATAATACCAATATATTATGTTGATAGCAACAGACCAGTACTTGTAGTTTGATATCGTAGTACAGGTACATTGTAATGCCATATCCATACTGTTATTTGCTCTTTCCATGTAAAATTATAGCATAAAGATATTTATAAACATCATATGTCAACTTTTTTGATGTCTTTAAGTATCTACCTTATGAATTCACCACAATTTCCCTATTCTGCATTATTTGGGCATTTTGATTGTCAATTTAATGGTTGTTTCTAATTTTTCTCTATAAAGCATTTTAGATTTAAGATTAATTGCTTAGGCATATTTTCCACCAGTAGAATTATTGGTCAAGTGTTCAGTCATATTTAAAGTCCTTGAAACACATTTTCAAAATGCTTTCCATAAGGGTTGGGAAATAATTTAAGGTCCTCAAAGTTAGATTTGTATCAACTTGTCTGATTGTTTTGTGGCATTAAAGAGAGTATTGTTTAAATATCTCTAAGCTCAGGAGCCATGTTGACATAAGTTCCATTGTTTCATTTCTTTTTTCTTTTGGCAACTTTTTTGAGATATAATTGATATACAATAAAACTGTACATATTTAAGGTATACCATTTGAAGAGTCTGGATATACATAAGTAAACACCCTTGATATTACAATTATATCTCAATCAAGGTGATAAACATATTCATCACCTCCAAAAGTCTCCTTGAATCTTTTTGCTAATGTGTGTGTGTGTGTGTGTATGTGTGTGTAAGTACACTTGACATGGGATCTACCCTTTTAAATCTGTAAATGCACAGGATTGTATCGTTAACCACAGGCACTATATTGTAGAGCATATATCTATAATTTACCCATCTTGCATGACTGTAACTTTATATTCATTGAACAAGAACACCTCATGTCTCCTCTTATCCCCTTGCAATCAGTATTCTTTTTCTTGTTTTCACAAGTTTGACCATTTTAGATACCTCATGTAAGTGGAATCATGCAGTATTTGTCCTTCTGTGACTGACTTATTTCATTAAGTGTGATGCCTTCCAGGTCCATCCATGTTGTCACAAATGATAAGATTTCCTTCTTTTTAAAGGCTGAATAATATTTCATTGTATGAATATATCCCATTTTCTTTCTTAATTCTTCTGTCGATGGACATATGGATTGTCCCCCAATCTGACTATTGTGAATAATGCTGCAATGAACATGGAAGTGCAGATGTCACTGTTAGTCTTCACTCATTATTTTCAATTGTACATTTCTTGGAGGTGATGCAGTATGAAGAGCCTGGGGGTAACATAAGGATATTAAGAGAGGCTGAGGAATTGACAGAGACAAAATGATCAAGAAGAGACTATAAAAGACACATGTTGTTTCCACCAAAAATTTCCAAAGAATAAACCCCTCTTTAACATCCTGAACAAAGTGGCCAGACTCTGGTAAACCCAATAAAGACAGTTGAAGATTCTGCAACTCACTGGAGAATAATTTCCTGGTGCAGTCAATAAACAGTCTGTTCTAGGGTCAACACTGATCCTTGTACCTGATACCAGATGTTGAAAATTTGGTCAACATTTATTCAATACTTAATAAAAGTCTTATTTCCAGATTTCAGTTTTTTGTCTTTACTATCTACTTTTCCTAGACAAAAAACATTTTAAAGGATAATATATTTTATTGTTCAAAGTAAAATTAGTGAGTCGCACTTTAACCTAGGGAAATACCTGTAGTCATAACATGGAAATGACTAGAAAAACAGACTTGCTTTTTACTATTTATATATTGTATTCAACAGAAATAATTCCTAATAAATGATTCGCATTTATGATGCATTGTGTACCTCAGGAATTTGGGATAAGATTTATAAAAGAATTTGTTTTAATCATCATCCTTTTCATCATCACACATATGTGAAGCAGCCTGGGGGCACAATAAGATGTCTATAGTTTTGTTTGAATTCAGCATCTGCCTGCAAAGCTAATACCATAGCAACTAAAAAACCACTTGTACATTTTTCTTAAAAGACTCTATCCTAAGAAACCCTTTATACTCCCATTACATTTAAGGACTGAATGGTGTATCCTCTGAACATCACCATTCTGTCTTACTCTTTTTCCAGAGATCTCATTCTCTTACTCCCCTTAAACACCAGTCATATTTCTAAATGAACTTTCTCCCTTCATTTCATTCACATCTGTAAATTTCTGAATGTCAAGCAGACTTTTTCATTTAACTTGGCTTTGCGTGGGAGAAAAATTGAGGGTGATGGCATTTTCCTAGGCTTAGGCTTCGTATCTGGCATGTTTTATGCCCAGAAGAGTAGCAGTCAAGTGATAAAATTAAGGGGCTCTAATGCAAAACCATCACTGTATCTGAGATATCATTATTTTAACCTGGACAAGACAGTCACCTAGTGATGTTTTTGCCTTTTGGTGTTCTTTGGACCAATTTCTTATTAGGTTGCTTGCCCTTCTCAGGAGAATAGCCCATTTTCTCTCTCACCTTTCTTTAATGAATCACCTTTTATGTGCTATATATTATTTCTAAAATAATTTATTCTTCTATATGTTGGTCTTTTTAATAAATGATTTTTGCAAAATCCAAGAAGGAATATTCTTCATATTCTTTTTTATTCATGGTAAAATATACATAATACAAATTTCTACCATTTTAACAATATTTAAAGGTATACAGTTACAGTGTATTAAGGCCATTCACATTGTTATGGAACCATCACCACCATCTCCATCTCCAGAACATTTTTATCTTCCCAAACTAAAATCTGTACCCCTTAAATAATAACTTTTTATTTCTCCCCCACCCCCAGCCCCTGACAACCACCATTCTACTTTCCATCTCTATGAATTTGACTACTCTAGGTATCTCATGTAAGTGACATCATAACAATCTTTGACCTTTTGTGTCTGGTGTATTTCACTTACTATAATGTCTTTAGGGTTCATTCATGTTGTAGCATGTGTTAGAATTACTTTCCTTTTTAAGTCTGAATAATATCCCATTGTATCTATGTAAAATATTTTGTTTATCCATTCATCCATGAATGGTCATTTGGGTTGCTTCCACATTTTAGCTGTTGTGAATAATACTACTGTGAACATTAGTTACAAATATCTGTTAGAGTCTCTGCTTTTAGGTTTTTTTTAAATATACATAAGCAGAAGCAGAGTTACTACATCATTTGGTGATTCTATCTTTGTTTTGTTTTGTTTTTTTGTTTTTTTGTTTGTTTTTTTGTTTGTTTTTTTTTTTTTTTAAGCAGAGTCTCACTCTGTCACTCAGGCTGGAGTGCAGTGGCATGATCTCCGCTCACTGCAACCTCTGCCTCCTGGGTTCAAGTGATTCTCTTGCCTCAGCCTCCCAAGTAGCTGGGACTACAGGCACACACCACCATGCCCAGCTAATCTTTTTGCATTTTTTGATAGAGACGGGGTTTCACCATGTTGGCCAGGCTGTCCTCAAAACTCCTGACATCAGGTGATCTGCCTACCTCAGCCTCTCAAATTGCTGGGATTACAGGTGTGAGCCACCATACTCAGCCTGGTGATTCTGTGTTTAATTTCTTGACAGACCTTCATACTGTTTTCCACAATGGCTCATATCCTCCTTGCCCACTCTCCCTGTATTTCATGTGATCCTCTTGACTGTTCCACCTAGAATGTGTTTAAATTGTTTTCACTTGTTCTGTAGCAATATCTTTTATCATTTTCGCTACTGCCAGTTGCTTGGGACCAACTGTCACCTAATGGATTTTAATGGTTCCTTCTCTTATATCTAGCCTGAGCAGCCTCATGTAACCTTGACCCATTATTTTGGCCAGCCAGTAGCTGTTACTCTTATATTGCAGATTAAGAAATTAATTTGATCTCTGTTATGAGAATAAGCTGATGCAGCAAAGGATTTACTGAAAGGCAGTGTAACCATAAATGACTTCCACAGGTCACTTAGATAACTGAAGAAATCAAAGTTTCTAAATACCTAGTTGAACACTTTCTGCTGTGCGTCTGGATTTTTGTGTGCTTCAAACCTTAATTCATTCTGAAGCTGTCATATATCCTTAGTCGGTTTATTCTCCTCCTTTGGTTTATTTTTGCATCTTTATTTTGTTATGGAGTGTGGTACATAATATATCTAGCAATTTTTTCCTCCTTCTATGATTCTAAGTCTATAATATTGCAAATAAAATTTGATAAGCAACATCAAACAATGCTGTTCTATCAGCTATTTTCAAGATCAGAAGAGACATCAAGAAAAATAAAAATAATTATTTAATTTTAAATGAGGTACACACCATTATTTGACCCTTAAAAGTTATTGAAAATGCACCAGAAAACTTAACATCAAGTTTAAAGGAAATGGTAAGCTTACGCATAGGTTTATAACTTATGGGTTGTGAACTGCTAGCTTTTGCTGCTTCTGTGCCTATAAACCACATATTTGCTGAGAAATAGTAAAGTTGGATACTATGTTTGAATATTTAAAACAGAATTTCCTACAGAGCTACAGTATTTGTAGGGTTTTACTGGGTTCTAATAGATGTTATCTATAAAATTTAAGTACTTTTCAGGTGTGGGGAAGTAAATGTGCAAATGTTTCTCTGTGTATGATGGAGGGTAAGAGAGAAGTGGAAATATTTTCAAACATTATTACAAGAGCAAAATTTTTAAGAAGCTTTTTGAATTTTAGAGCACTTACTGGTAATATAAAAAATATATGTCACAAAATGTCCCCTAAATTTTTATTTCTTTTTACTTAAGAAAAGATAGTAGTAAGTGGTTTATAGTTTATATAGCGGAGTTCTAGTGACTCGTAAATGCTCTCTGGAGGTATAATGCTATGTTCATCACAGATTGCTTGAATATATAAATTCTCTTCTTCTCCACAGCTATTTGTAAGCACATACTAGCTTTATTTTCGGATAGCTAAAGAAAAAAATGGCCGTTATTTACGTTCTCATGTCGTCCAAAGCATGTCAGCAAAACAAGCCTGGACTTATATATGGTCACCCTTTTTGATGACATTGGGAAGTTTCAGGCCAGTTAAGAACCACTTTCAGGAGAACCAGTTGGACTGACTATGCAGTTGAGTTTGATTAAATCACATTTGTTGCATTTTAAAAATAATCACAGTTTGAATTTTACATCCAATAAAGTTTTTTTTAGCAACATTTAAATCCACTAGAGGCTATCTACCAGGGGTCACAAACGGGTAACTTCAGCCATAGAATCAGTCACAAATATGATCCTTAGTTTTTTCTCCATTCTCTATCTTGAGTCCTGCTTCATGGGCTCTGAAGGTGTTTGAGTTTCCAGCACTTAATTTCACGGGGATTTTAAATGATTTTAAATGTCCTTTGTTCCCACCTGCCCAGAAAAGACCTACAAAGCAGGAAAAAAAAATCAATTAGGTTCCTGTTGCCACTGCTCTAATTAATTTCCTCCTTCTTTCCCTGGAGGAATCAGGGGAGAATTATTTCTACCTCAAGGTCCAGGGCTCTCTTCTCCAATGGCTCTTTTCCAACCCTGTCCTTACATGCCCGTGGGTACAGCCAGAGATGATTCTGGAGAAAATTGACATGGGCACTGGCCAATCAGAGCCCAGTTATTGAGAATGGATGCATGTCTGCTCTTCAACAGTGCACGCCAGCGAATGTCAGCCCTGCAGTTAATGGTATTAAGAACCACTCTGTATTTTTGACTATTCATAGTGGAACCTTAGACAGGAATATCAGAAAAGTAGCAAATTGCGGATTCATACCAAATCTCATTTAAGTGACATGCTTGCCACGATTTGTTACGGTACAGCATTAAATAGGCTACTCTGTTTCACATGATCACCTCCTCCTCCCAACTGGCTGGTTCTTCATTTATTCTGAGCCCTCAAAGGCAGCTGGAAATAATTTCTTTCCTTTTTCTTTTTCTTCTTTTTACGAGAAGGAGTCTCGCTCTGTCGCCCAGGCTAGCGTGCAGTGGTGCTATCTCGGCTCACAGTAAGCTCGCCTCCCGGGTTCACACCATTCTCCTGCCTCAGCCTCCCTAGCAGCTGCGACTACAGGCGCCCGCCACCACACCCGGCTAATTTTTTGTATTTTTAGTAGAGATGGTCTACTTTAGCCAGGATGGTCTCAATCTCCTGACCTCGTTATCCGCCTGCCTTGGCCTCCCAAAGTGCTGGGATTACAAGTGTGAGCCACTGGGCCTGGCCTAGAAATAATTTCTTATTTTTTTTCCCATAATTTCTTCACTCTTGCTCTCTGTCTCTCTCTCAACTCTTTGTTCCTTGGAATTGAAATTCATTTTTTATCTTGGGCTTCTTATTCACTTTCTGACCTAGTTCCCAAATGCTTCTCTTTTGACTCTTCTTGAATATTCTTTTATATGGCAAAACATGTGATTAAGGATCTTGAGAAGGGGTGTTTGTCATGGAGTGGTGGGTGGACTGTGAATGCCATCACAATATTCTTAGAAGAGAGAGGCTGAGGGAGTTTAGATGCACACAAGCACAGAAAAGTCAATGTGAAGATGAAGACAGGGCTTGCAATGGTGCAGCCATGAGCAAAGGAATACCAAACTTCTGACCTCCAGAACTTTTAAAGAATATATATATTTTTAATTAGGCCACCCTGTTTGTGGTAATTGGCTATAACAGCCCTAGGAAACTAATATAATACACCGGACTTACCAAGGAATTAACTTGGAATTATCAGCTATGGACATAGCGGTTCATATCAATATGAATATTTATATATATTCCAGGCATTTTGAAATTGTACAGAAATGTCCTAGACAGAAAACCTCTCATGAGTTATTTAACTGATTAATTCACCACTTATGTCTCAAGGGCTAAACGGAAATTTCCAAGGTTATCAAGTAGAAAGACTTCCAAGAGCACACCATCTAGCCAGACAGACTTGAAAATAAGCAAAGTCAGGGCTTACTCAGGGAATTACAAAGCAAAGCATAGAAGGGGAGGGGTGAAATGGAGTTGCAGAATAATCGTCAAGGTCGTAGGTAGTAGTCTGGAATTTACAATGTGGGCAATAGCAATGGAGTTATAGAGGAGTTAGAGAAGTTAAATTGACAACTCTAGTTGTATATGAAAAACCTTGTAACTCTTTGCTATTGTAATAAGATAGAACTTTCTCAGTTTCAACTGCCCTAAACCACACTAAGGCCTTTCCATGTTGCTTTGTTTGCCTAAATAATTTGGCCTCAAATTCTCCAGCCATAGAAAATATTCCTTTTCTATGCATGATTGTATCCACATATGCTACATTATTTGGCAATTGGATTACAGTCTGATTCTCTGTGGATCACAGTGAATTTTGCTCTGGGTAATGAGTATTTTTTTACTTAAATTTATACTGAATTCTTGCTTTATATTATGCATATTAAAATGGCTTATACCCTCTAGAATTACAGCATACTATATTATTGAGTGGGAGTGAGGGGAGAGAATGAGACCTTAGGCCAGGGTAGGATTTACCCGTAGCTTTGTTCAACAGCTCATGCTTCTATTAGTTATAAGTAGAACAAAACCAAGGTAAGAAGGATAGAGGCCCACTCCAGATGTATCTCCCTGAGTCACCATCATGCCCTTCCTTGAAGTCTCTTTCCCTAAAGCCCCGCCCTTTTCCCTGCACAAGCACGTTGTATAAAGTATAAACAGTATCTAAGATTATGTGAATTCCTGTCTTGAAAAAGCCATCCACTAATACTGATCCATGTCAGGGGTATGAATTTGTTAGAGGTACAAATTAAAAATAAGTTAAAAAACACATTAAGGTTCTCTCTAGTAGTAAAGAGGGAGTTGATTAATTCTCAGTTGTTTATGACTCCTGAATGCAAATGTCACTCATCATTGTGATAAGATTTTTATTCTTGAATTAGTTTATGATATATTTGTGCCCATGTAGTGAGTAAAATCCTCAAATATAACATGTTAGGCAAGATCTCAGGGAAATATGTATTAAAAAAGGTAAAATTAAATGTATTTACATAGCTCTTTGCCAAGAAAATGAAAATGTTTTAAGTAAATATTCCAGGAGCTAAGATTAGATGAGAATACTTGAGATATGGGTGGCATTTGAATACTTACTTGGCTCTGCTTTAAGAAACACAATACTCTGAAACATTCACTAGTGCATTTACCAGCCTCTTGGAGTCCTGAGCATCAAGAAAAGGTGCCAACTGTGATCTTGAGAGGCTCAACTTAAGCCTGGAGTTTATGTAAATAGCCTTTGTCCTGAAGATATATGTATGACTTGAAAAAATAAAAACCTCTGTCCATGGAAGTCTCTTTTCAAATGACAGACATTTAATCCTAAAGCCATGAAATCCTGGCAGATTTCCCATATTCAAACTAAGTGCATAGATATAATGACACTGCTTCCTCAGCCAGGAGTAGCTACACTCTGAAAGGTAGTTGCCAAGAGCCAGGGAAGACTGCCATCTGGTGGGAATATATAATTACTACCAAAACACAAGTCACAGTCTCCTGGTTGCTTTATTAAGGTATTTGTTTACAGTCTAACTTTAAAGGCAACAGTGAAATGAAAATTTAAACCAAACACTACAGGCATCAAATGAACAACATTTTAACTCATAACTAATAGTTATTATTGTTTTAGAAATTTTATCCTATTATTTTGTTATTTTACCTTTTCTATGACATGTCAAGGAGAAGCAGACAAATATTTTTTCTTTTTTTTTTTTTTTTGATCATTTGGTTTTCCTTTACTTATGTCATAGTTTTCAAAACTGGGATAATCCTTCTTGTTACAAAAAGGGCAATATGATGCGCACCTCAGACTACATTAGGAGATAGAAGAATATAGAGAAATTAATTAAATGGCAAATAATGAAAGTAATCCAAACATAGATCTGAAAATGATGAGTCTTTAGCCTAGACTCCAATTTGATTTGCATTTGAGGATATTGTTTAATCCTTTTGTACTTGATAGATTTATGGTTCCTCTATGAGCTGGGTGTCACCTTGGCAAATGATAATGCTAGATCACATACTTGCATAGAAATTTTAATGTACTTAAAGTGCTTATGTGATCCGGGGGCTAGATCTGGGTGTTAGAAAACCATATCAATAAATACTCAGCTCTTAAATTTCCCCTATTATCAATTTTATTCCCTACTTATCTAAATTTCACTCCCTTCAAAGTGAATGTGGGAGTGGGTTGAAACATTTTCTGCAGAGTTTCAGATGCTATATATATGTTTGTGTTTGTCTGTGTGTGTGAGAGAGACAACTATACTTCATATTAAATATTTTCTCAGTATAAATTTGTCTCTCCACTGAATTTATAAATTATATATAATAAAAACAATTTTCTCTAAATATACAATTTTAAACATGTATCACTAAAACCCCAAAAGGAAATGAAATGTCTAAATGTTTTGTTCTTGACTAAGTGAGAATTTCAGATATAGGTAAAAAAGACAACTGGGCCAAACATCCTTCTCTCTTTCACTCCCTACAATTCACCAAGCACAAAATCCGTGATGGATGGTAAACTTGCCCACACTGAAACATGTGGTCAGTGTTAGTGCCCACCAGCAAATCCTTCCAGATTCATATGACTGGATTTACTTATGATGATTTGCTTAACAAAAGTAATTTATGTAGTTTCATGAATGCTTTCAGGATTTGGAGCTGAAAATCCTCAAAAAGAGCATATACTAGCTGATTTCCCTGATGTTCCCTGATGTTGGAAGAATCATTGATCATCATTAAATAAATAAATATACCTGTTCCAACATCTTGTAGCAGGTGGCACAGAGTTGACCATGTGTGAAAAAAATTCATCATCCACTAATTCTGACCTGCAAATTCAGAAGAACTGCCCTGGCAACTGTCATTCCAGGGCTTTCTGAAGTTGTAAACACACATGGCAGATTGTTCCTGTTCTGTAGTACCTGGGCTTCTTGATCGCAGTGTCAGCTGATTCAGAAGTTGTTCTTCCAGGTTCCTCTCATGATCCACAATGTTGACTTTGAAAACACCATGTATCCTCTATTTAAAAGCTAAAAATCCCAAACATATAACCCCAATATGCAATCAATATTAAATAAAAATCACGTGCATCCAAATCATCTGCTAACTATGGATTCTCTTTTCACTGAAAGTCATTGCTCCTTTTAGATATAGTATGAAGTTCAGGAAAGCTGAAGTTGCTACAAAAGATACAGACTAATGCTTTCTGTCAACATACACACACAGACACACACACACACACACGCACACACGCCCCTATTTGTAACAGATTTAGTCTTTAATTATCAAGATGTTTCTGAGAGCAAGTTACAAAGGTTAGACGCCCCGCATTCATTTGCTCAGTCTTGTTGTTAGATTGCCACCTTAGTCCCTGTCTATTCCTTGCAATAATGTCTAAACTATAGGTTCTGTTTTAGCTTCCAGAGTAGTACAGAATCAAGTCTCTAAAATTTTCGTCTGCTGAGACTATAGATCTAACAATATCATCCTAATCTAGTAATGATCTTCAATTTTGACTTTAGAAGGGAGAGATTATTTAAGAAACAATATCTTAATTCCTGAACTCCAGTATATATATATATACACACACATATACACACACACATATATGTATATATATACATACACACACACACACACACACACACATATATATATATATATATTTTTTTTTTTTTTTTTTTTTTTTTTTTTGAGACAGAGCCTTGCTCTATCGCCCAGGCTGGAATGCAATGGTGTAATCTCGGCTCATTGCAACCTCAGCCTCTCGGGTTCAAGCGATTCTCCTGCCTCAGTCTCCTGAGTAGCTGGGACTACGGCGCGTGCCACCACACCCGGCTAATTTTTTGTATTTTTAGTAGAGAGGGGGTTTCACCATGTTAGCCAGGATGGTCTTGATCTCCAGGCTTCGTGATCGGCCTGCCTCGGCCTCCCAAAGTGCTAGGATTACAGGCGTGAGCCACAGCGCTCGGCCTCCATTTTTTATGCACCCTCACGTCTTACACAAGCAAATTATTGTCTTGATTTCAAGACTTAGACCAAACGTTTTCTTACAAAAAATTTCAAGAATACACAAAAAGCAAGAGAATAGCATAATGAACCTCCAGGTACTCATTACCTGACTTCATCAACCGTTAACTCAGGACCAATTTTGCTTCATTCATATTCCTCATTCTTCGCCCCCATTGGATTTTTTGGAAAACAAAACAAAACAAATATCATTTCACATGATTTAATCAGCAAATTCTTCAGCAAATCCCTACTCTAAAATGTAGGGATTATTTAAAACAATATAGTGTCACACCTGAAAACTTATCAAGTAAAGATTCAAATCTGTATGGTTGTCTCATAAATGTTTTCTTACAGTCTCAATCAGGATCTACATAATGTGCATATGTTGCAATTGTTGATCTTTTAAAATCTTCTTTAATCTATAGGTTTCCTCCTATTTTTTTTCTCAATTTGTTGGAGAAACTGTATTTGTTTTATAGAGTTTACCACAGCATGAATGTTGCAGATTGTATTCCTACGGACACAAGTGAACAGGAGTAGAAATGATTTTCCTTTTGCCAGTTACATACAGCCACTCATGCAGAAACTGGAATTAACTGGTAATATTTTAATGCCCTTTGTTGTTTTCCAAACATCTCCTATTACTAGATTCCTTACACTTTATGGGATTTTCTTATTTATCCGTTTCTTTTCTGTTTACTACATGTCATATATACTAGATATAGTCTTTTCTAGACATCATGTGTTCTAGGATTGTTTTGTCTGTGAGCGGTCTTCCTCCCAAAACGTTCTTCTGTCTTATTTTCCTGAGAATTGACAGTTAAATCTTGAGGCCTGATAGATTCAGATTTGATATTTTAGGAAGATTACTCCATAGAGAGTGTGATGTATTTTCATCAGGAGTTACCTGAAGTCTGGTTGTTTCTTTCTTTCTCGTAAAGCTGGTACCTGTTTATAATCATTGTTAACTCAAAGTTAATGGGCAGTTGTGGCTACTGGATCTTGTTTTTACTTTCCAGAGACTGAGTGTCTCTGAGGCTGGAACCCCCACCTAGGGGTGCACAGTGGCACCCTTGATGTCAGCGAATTGTTAGGCTGCAGATTCAATGAACCTGGTTAAGTTCTTTGAACATTGTATTAACTAGTTTAAACAAAACCAAATCTCACAAGATGGACAAGCAATTTTTAGAATTACTGAAAACAACCTGCGGATTAAAGATCACTAGAAACAACATTAAGGAAGTGAAAACGCAAGGTACAAAGCAGAGGAAGCTATTTGCAAAATAGATAAGGGATACCAAAAAAAATTTGTGTTCAGAATATATAAAGAAATGTTATCAGTCAATACAAAAATACAAATAGCACAATAGACAAAGTGGGCAAAAACTCAAATAGTTACTTCACAAATTAGGTATTTCACAATAAGTACTTCCAATGAGCAATATAACATTGAAAAGTTATTTAATCTCATCAGTCATCTGGGAAATGCAAATTAAACCAATGAGGAGATAACACGAACAACACCAAATCCACTAGAATGGTTAAATAGACTGAGAGTACCAAGTCTTAGCAAGAATATGGAGAAACTGCTACTTCACATACCCGTGTAGAGAGTGTATTACTCTGGGAAACTGCAGGCTCTACTATAGCTGTCATGTGACCCAGCACTGACATGTCTACAGCAACGTATTCATATGTGCACCGAATAGAAATGTGTGACACGTGCACAAAAAGACATGAACAGGAATATTCACAACAGCATTATTTGTAACAGCTAATACTTGGAAATTACTCAAATATTCTTCAGTAGTAGAGTAAGTAAATGCATTTTGGTTTATCCATACAATGGAATGATGCTATGGATATAAAGAAGGAAGCCAGACACAAAAGAATATGTTATATGATTCAAAGCATACAAAGTTCCCAAATGGGGAGAAAATTAAACTATGATACTAGGTGTCAGAATGAGGGCTAGCTTTGGGGGAAAGGCACTGGAAATGTGATTAGGTTGAGGCATGAAGGAGCTGCTGGGATTACTAATATTCTATTTCCAGATCTGGGTAATGGTTGCATGGTACATTCAATTTATATCAAGTCATTGAGCTGTGTCCTTAGTATTTGTGCATTTCATGAAAGTATTATATACTATTGTAAATAAAATATTGTACTTATAAGCAAAAGAGAACCATTTTTAAAAACCTGACAGTTTTCACACTTCTGGTATTAGGAGGAAAAAAATACAGATGAATGAACCATACCCATCAAAATGTAAGGCAAAAATTTGAAATCCTAAAAATGATTGAAATGAAAATTTACAAACACTCATAGTGACAAAAAACTTCGCCATGTTATGTGATATTAGCCACTGGGAAAATGAAACCATAATGATTAACAATATATTTTAAAACTGAGCAACGAGAATATGAAGATACTTGTCTATAGTTTTTCAGCACTGTATAAAATTATGGTATACTCAATCCAATACTGCGTAACATTTAAGATTCACCAAAATTAATGTTAACTCTTACGAGTTAAAAAAAAAAATGGCCAGGCAAGGTGGCTCACGCTTGTAACCCCAGCACTTTGGGAGGCCGAGGTGAGCGGATCATGAGGTCAGGAGATTGAGACCATCCTGGCTAACAGGGTGAAACCCCATCTCTACTAAAAAAAAAAAAAAAAAAAAAAATTAGCCGGGCATGGTGGCATGCACCTGTAATCCCAGCTACTCGGGAACCTGAGGCAGGAGAATCGCTTGAACCTGGCAAGCAGAGGTTGCAGTGAGCCAAGATCGCGCCGCTGCACTCTAGCCTGGGCGACAGAGCGAGACTCCATCTCAAAAAAAAAAAAAAAAAAAAAGTAGCAATAAAGAAAAAGCTACCTATTATGGAAGTACAATGGTTCTTCCAAAATACGGTGAAAATCACATGAACAATACGGTGACAAATTAGAACCTTTTTTTTTTTTTCTGAAAATGCCCTTGACAAATGCTTAGAAAAAAAAATGCCGAAGATTTCAATATGCTAATACATGTCACAGCTTAGAATAATGCCTGACACTTAGTAAGCACAAAATAAATGTTAGCTGTTATTATAGTTTGTATGAACAAATGACTCAGTTGAGGGAGATTTTTCTATAAGTTGCATGAGAGTTCTGTTTTTTTTTCCCCGACATATCTGTTTATTATATTTACGTGATTATGTTTCAATAATGAAATACACAAAGAAGCATTTTTTATGCATTGGAGAAGCCATTATTCTGTCCCTTAATGACTTCTTTAGTGAAAGCATTTCTTTATGGATAAGTTAAGTAAGTACAACCACTGATACAGTAGCTGCATTGTCCAGAATTTTTAAAGTGTTTCTTGAAAAAGCCTGGAAAAATAAATTCACATATGAAATCCCCAGTGTCATTATAGAAATGTTATTGCAGCAAAGAAATTATAACCAGAGGTTCACTGAATTCTGCAGGATGTACTAAATATGCCTAATTTATAGAAGCAAAGTTTTAAAAATACAGTGGGACCCTCATGATACTCTGTGAGAAGGGGAATGACTATGGCATTGTTTTGCATCATCTAAAAATTTGCTAATCATCTCATGAAAGAATACTTTTCACAAAATTAAAGATGTATTAGTATTAAGTTTTATTTTACGAAATGGTGAGCATTCAAATTTGCCTACCTCATCCAGGATAAGTGCCTGTTGGTAGCCAGGAACACACACATACACACTTGAGCTGGCCCTTTAGTTAAAAGATAAAAACATAACTTTAGTAAAAGAATCATTCTATGGAGAATATTTTGAAAATGGATTGTTTTGGAATATTTTTGATGTTATATGCTTTCATTGCTGAAAACAGTGTGCAACCTATGAAGCCTCTCATGTTGTAAACCTTAAAAACATGGAAGCAAAATTTCTGAATTTTGATAAAATCTTCCAAAGAATTGCAGTGAATTTTAAACTCAATAATAAAAACATTAAATGATTAAATATATTATCTCAAATCTTCCTTCTTTCCTTCCTCCTTCCCTCCCTCCCTTCCTTCTTTTTCATTTCTTTCTTTCTTTCTTCTTTCTGTCTCTTTCTCTTTCTTTCTTTCTTTCGTTTGTTCTCTTCCTGCCTCCCTCCCTCCCTCCCTTCTTTCCTTCCTTCCTTCCTTTTCTTTCTTTCTCTTTCTCTTCTCTTGTCTTCTCTTTTCTTCTCTTCTCTTCTTTTCTTTTCTTTTCTTTTTTTCTCTTTTCTTTTCTTTTCTTTTCTTTTCTTTTCTTTTCTTTATTTCCTATAGATACAGGGTCTGTCTCTGTTGCCCAGGCCTGGACTGCAGTGGCACAATCACAGCTCACTACAGCCTTGAACTCCTAGACTAAAGCAATCCTCCAGCCTCAGCTTCCTGAGTAGCTGGGACTACAGGCACCCACCACCACTCCTGGCTTTTTATTTATTTATTAGAAACAGGGGCTCACTATATTGCTCAGGCTTGTCTCAAACTCCTGGCCTGAAGTGATTCTCCTGCCTCAACTTCCCAAAGCGCAGGGATTACAGACATGAGCCACCATGCTCAGCCAGTTTATCTTTTAAAAATAATTTGACATCAAGGTAGATCAAAATGTATTAGCCATTTTTAACAAATCTTTGCAAAATTGGTAGATATTTTTGAAACCTATGCATCATGACTTAGAGTGATTAACAATATACTTTTCCTGTTTGGATCCATATACCTTTGTGGCATTTCATTTTCAGTGGTGACAGCCATGAAAACTCATTACTCGAATGAACTTAATTATAAAGCAAACAATTGAGGGAACAAAAGGAGCAGTAAGCGGATTGCTCTTGTTAAAGTTTGGCAGAAAAATGAATGAGGCAATGGAAGAGGAGAGTCGGAGAATACATGAGAGGTTGGAAGAATGATTGATTAAGTATGTCATGGGAAGAGTGGAAGAGAAAGGGTCATATTCCAAGGGGGAGGCACTCACATTGGAAAAAGGACTGGACATTTTGTGAGTCAGTAAGAAACAGAAGAAATCAAGTGTTGTTTCTAAGGAAAGAGGAGAGCTATGGGAATTGATTTCAGATGGCCACCATCTCAATGAATTAAGTGGTTGAGTAACATTCTAAAATGAGGAATGCTGGATTTCCACTGTGAGCTTTGATAAAAGAGAAAAAGGCTTGAAATATCTTCCATAGACCTCTCGAAAGGAAGGGAAGCAGAGATCCTTGGAAAAACTGAGCAACACTGAGGAACCACATGTCACCAGGTAACATGAATGTATGTCAGAAACAAGTAGAAAATTTCAAGTTTTTTTTTCTTTTAAACCAGCAATGAGCTTGCTACCTCTGGGGATGAGTGAAGAGAGAGAGAGAGAGAGAGAGAGAGAGAGAGAGAGAGAGAGAGAGAGAGAGAGAGAGAGAGAATAAATTGGTAAAGGGAGTAGAATGGAAATTGAGGATCTGATATCTGATAGCCACAGTGAGAAAGTTGTTAATATGCAGGTTTTAAAGCCTCTTGGATAGGGAAACAAGTGAGGCAAGGAAGAAGCCAATAGGTAAAAATAAATGAAAAAGTGAGAGGGGGGTTCAAGTGTATTTGAAGATACA
Organism: Homo sapiens; assembly: GCF_000001405.40. Taxonomy (NCBI): domain Eukaryota; kingdom Metazoa; phylum Chordata; class Mammalia; order Primates; family Hominidae; genus Homo; species Homo sapiens. The sequence continues at coordinate 127,728,956 of NC_000006.12, read as the reverse complement.
AATGTAATCAAATAAAAAGATGTTTTTAATTCAGATCTTTGCTCAAATATAATGAAAAATCTTCTCATTTAAATCTTTGCTCAAATGTCAAACTATCTAAAATTGCAACCTTCTTGCCCTACTTTACCTTGTCTATCCGCTTCTCTGTTTCATTTTTTTCCATTGAACTCATTCTATGTATTTTCCTGATGTATTTGTTATTGGTTCTTCCTCCCGGCCACCTCACCCCCAATCCCAACTCACACACACAGGATGTAAACACAAGGAGGGCAGGGAATTCTTTGCCTCTTCTTTCTTAGTACCATATCCCCAATACCTTTACCTTTGCATAGTTGTTGCTCATTGCATACTTGCTGAATTAATGACTGATCATACAACAATGGAAAGGGAATGAGTTGGTATAAATTAACTAAATATTTATCTTTTATGTTAATATTTGAAAGCTAGTAATTTAAGCTGGTAAGTCACGATGTGCAAAGCAAGTGTTACAGATGTAGCCTCCAGCAAAACTAAAAAGCAGAAATAGTAAGAAAGAAGTTGCTTTGGGGGATTGGAAATATTGGGACAAGAGGCTTTTGCTTTCCCTTCTAACTCTTCTGCACTGTTTGATTTATTACAACGTGAATGTATTGCTTTTGATGAAAAATAAAACCAAAACAACGCCCCCAAAAAATAAGACCTAGAGGGAAGAGCAGTGTTAGAAGCAGCAAGTGAGAGCACAGAGGAGAGTGTTAGAATCCAAGATCGTGAGGATGGAGAAATTCTGACGAACAATGAGGTCCATGTTCTGATTGTACTTACAAGAGGCTAAAAAAGACTAAAAAGAAGTTCAACAGTGGTGTGAATATTAAGGTCTGTTGATGTCATGTTTGGAGAGGGAAAGCAAACAGGATAACATGAGCTAGAGGCCATTCTGAGCAAAATGGAGAGGGATCCTGAAGATGAAGAGCCATGCCTGGATCTATAGAAATTTCAAAAAAGTGTTGGTTGGTGGTGCCAGACAATGCTCCTTAAAAGAGGGATCAGAAATAGAGCTTGTGAATTAGAGGAGGTCAGAAGAGCAGCCTTTTATGGGAAGGGGTTTCAAAGAAATGGTGCCAGGCTTAAGTTGAGCTGAGGAGATAGAAAGCAGGCTCCAAGGACCACATCCTATGTGGGGCACCTATTCACAACAGAGCATGCATTTTATATTTTAGCAACACTTTGGTAGCAAGAATGCCATTTGATAATTTATATACAGTAATTTGAAGGCTTGAAGAAATAGTGAGATGAGTCATACTCATCAAAATCATTTCTAGCTCAAATAATAATACAGCAATGTTTTAAATCAGATTGCCAGGACATTTACCTTTTAAAGACTCATGTGAAAGCCTGTATTTTAATACTCAGAAGGCTAAGATGATTTCAAAGGTAATTTTTAATAAATGAGTTGAGAATAATTTTCCTAGATACAGACAGACCTATTATAAAGTACACCACAGTTCCCATCTGTCATCTGCAGCAACTGTCGCCCTGCTGGACACTGTTCAAATGCTATTCATATGTCCACTAATTCAAAACTAATTTCACCAAAAGCTCATCTAACAAAAAATGTGTCACATAGTTGATTCCACTGTAATTTCTGTTTTCATAATTTAAAATAAGATTAATTTTCCTGCCCTTTGGCTACAGATTACACTTACAGACTCTAAGAGTTATGATTTCCCATTAAAATAGGAGCTATGAAAGTTATGACAATAATCATGCAAATTAATTACTTCCAAATTTTCAGGAAGACAAAATAAGGAAGAAGATTTATCTCTACACAAAGAGCTACTCCAGTGTGCATTACATCAGCATTTTGAGTAAGCCAACTTTGGCATTTTGAAGAGGAGGCACTTGCCATAGCGTCTCTAAAATCGCAAATTATTTTGCATGATTGTCCAATATCTGGAGTGACAAGGCTGACATCTTTGAGAGTAGAAGGAATTTTTATCTCCTTAAAATGCAATTATTAAGAATAATAATTGTACAGATTAGCTGTCTATTCAGACCTCATTTTAAAGTAAGAAGTGTTTGCTAAGCCTTGCTTCAAATCTTCATTTCGTCTTTGGCTAAATTCACAGAACGTTAGAGTAGCAAGAAGCACATTGATTTGAGCTTGATGGAAGTATGTGAAGAGGTTCTCCACCTAAGTATTGTAGATGAAAATTCTTCAACTCATTTCAATCAAAGTATGTGATTATATTGAGTTCTTCCCGCATCCATGAACTAGTATTTGATTTTTTCCAAGAGTGTGATTAAATCAACATAAATCAAGATGGTGGGACTTCTAGATATCAAATTACCTAGATCCCAGTTTTCATCAGGGAAAATAGAGGAAGATGCAAGTGAAATCTATATCTGAAATATGAGTACTGTTAATCTCTTACTTTAATGCTTGACATATTCTTGAAACATATCTTGAAAGTGAAGTATAAAATAATCTTAATAGTAATGAAGAATTTCTTTCCCACAGGACACAGTAAGATCTTTGATATATGATATGTGAGATGATTTCTAATCAGTTACAGCAAGGGTGGTTTTTCTTGGGTCTAGTCCCAGCCAGTCCAGGAAGAAGAAGAGGTCTTTGTAGGATTGAGATGGGGTGCTGTCTTCTCTTATTAGAGCAACTAGGGAAATAGATTCAGGCATCTTTCTTTTCCATAGGGCTACTGTCTGTCCTCCGACCCAAGAAAAGTTCAGGGTAGATACCAACTCTTTTAAATGTCTGACTTTCTGGAGGTACTTGGAATAAGCACAAAAGAAAGATTCTGTCCCTCTTGTTAACCACTATTGGGCCCAAGAATGTCTTAGTGTCAAGCCACTTGCAAACACCTGTGACTGCTGGTGAAGTTCCTGATCAACTGCCAGCCCAGACCAAGCCAGCAAGGTCACATTTGAATAAGAAGGTGTGAATGGTCCAGGGAGGAGGAGCACTAACAAAGGAGGGTAAGTGATGCCAGCAAGGACTCTCACCTGGGAAGGTCACAGCTTAAAGCTCCAGGAGGAGCAGAAAAGGGGAAATGAGCTTCTGATGAGCTGATGAACCAAGTCCTGCCAAACACAGGCTTGAGCAAACCCTCTGTAAACAACGTAAGGCTGCAAGGTACAGGAAAGGGTCAAAAGATAGCATGTCTTTGGGATAGGGCTGAACAAGCTCAGAAGCATCTCTTTGAATTGGTATAAAGAAGACATTCTGTGCAGAAAGGGCAGTTTGAGTATGTATGGATCATTGTAGAAAACCTCAGAATATTGCCCAAAAGAAATGACTGTCTATATGGATGATCAGTTTTAGATTATTTTTCACAGTTTACATTCTTGCTTTTTAAAAAAATATTTGCCTCTATCATATTATGGACCTTTATAATGCACAATGATGAATTAATTAGTTTTTATAAAAAACACTTGATCATCTTCTAAATTATTTATGGTGATTCAACTATATAACAAACAGAAGAGAACACACTCACAGACACACACACACAGACACACACACACACACACAGTAGGAGACAGATTACATACAGAATGCATTTCTACAATGATAATTTGCATATTCCCAGCAAGCCTGTATTTGATGTGATTCGATTTTTATTCTCTTTTATTTATGTATAGTCTCTGAATTATTGTCATTGTTCTTATTTTAAGTAGAATTTAATTCTCTGGAAGAAAGTTAGTTAATGAGAGATTTCTTCTCAAATATCACTTGAAATTTCTTCACTTAAGTGTACTTTCTGAAGTGAAAAAGTACAGGCAGTGGAAAGTAGCAGTGTTTATATAAGCAGAGAGGGAGGTTGCTTTTTTTAGTCAGGAGAGGATTGATTTTTTTACAAAGTAAAAAGTAAAGTACATTATCTAGGATACTTCAAGTTGCTTTAAATATGAGTGATGTTTAGTCCCTGGCTAAGAGAGGTCCTTTGTAGCTCTCTAAAGAAAAACAAGCCCATTTGCCCTTGGGGAGAAGGGGCACAAATAAATACAATCATGAACTAGGAATCTGAATAAATTGAAAAAGTATGATTTTATTCAACGGCATGGCCTTAGGTATGAGATGAAAGATAGATTTGAAGAGCTCTTTCCAATTTTTTTTTGTGGACATCTTGGTTAACTTTTTTTGGTAATATTTATTTGTTCCTTTCTTTGTTTGTGAGACAAATATTCAGTACATTATAATTTCATCATTACCTTTAGCAGGAACATTAAAAACAACATGCAAAATACAAGCCAAGAATAACATAAAAATAATTTAATAGTCATTTCAAATTAGCAGACAGGATTGTAATGATTCATTTCTAATAACAAGTTAAATGGAAATTACATAGAATAAACAGAACCTTATTTTTTGAAGTACGACTACAGCGTGGTCACAGAGGACTGATGCATGGCAGTTCAAATTTATCTATGTTCCTCTCCATTCTTTGCAAACATTTTAATTTCTCATTTTCCTCTGGACCCAACCTTCAGGTTGAAGACTTGACATCACAGAAGCAGGATCTGACAGAGGATTTTATTTCTCCAGTTGTTGTCAGGCCACATTCTCATGCCTAGGGTAATAGGGGCCACTGTGTTTACACACTTAGTTCTCAATTCTCACTTTCTCTAACATAACAATTCTCAGATTTATAACTTCCATAGATAGATGACCAATGTAATTTGATTCAGAGCTATATGGGATACTGTATGAATACAGTTCTGCATGATTTCTGTAATGAGTTTATTTAAAAGCACAGGATTTGAAATATGTGTTTTTTATGGATAAAACAAAGTAAAATGTAACTGCATTTTATCTACCAATATATAATGTAAGCAGTACTGTTAGGAGTGATGATATACACAAACTTGCTTATGCATGTGAGTGTGACTATATACTGGCCACTGATAACTGGCTAAAGAAAAAGTCATAAAAATTAAGTCATGTTTTATTCATGAATTTTCCTATTTATTTAATATGTAGTTATTTAATGCCTATTATATTTAAAACCCTGAGATGAGAGCTCAAGACAGTGAACAGGGCATGCATAGTTTTTACTTTCAGGGAGTTTTATTTTAGCCAGGGAGATAGACATTAAACATGAAAACAGCTATTATTTGATTGTAATTATAAAAATTGCATTATAGTAGAAGTACAAGGTGCACAAAGACTAGAAAATAGGGTGCTGGCTAAGGTTTATACAGTGAGTGACACTTGCAGGAACCCAGGACTTCTTAATATTAAGGGGGAAATTTTACTAAGAATGCCCTAGGCAAACAGAATAGCCAAGCCTTCAGACAGGAAGGAAGAGTGATGAGATTGTGGACCTGAAAGGACATTAGAATTAGAGTCCAGAGTGCTTACTAAGGCATGCAAGCTCCTGCCTCTCTACACCTCATCTCATTTCATAAATCTCTACCTCCCCGCTGGAGTCATAAACATACAGGTGGTAGATCAAGCTACATGATTGCTGAAATTATCTAGGAATGGAAAAAAGAAAACTGGGAGAATAACAGAACCTTGAGACCTCTTGACACGCAATGTTTGGGTAAAGAAGGATACTCCAGCAAAGGAGACTAAGAATAAGCACTCAGAGTGGAAGGAGGAACATCAGAAACCAAAAGAAGGAGGTGACCAGACATGTCAGATGCTGCTGAGAGGTAAAACAAGTTGAAGTCTGGCAGGTAAAACAAGTTGAAGTCTTCCAGATTGAAGTTTCTGAGCAGCAATGGATGCTGGACAGAGAATAAAGGAAAAAGAGCAAAGGGGTGATGGATATAGAGAAAGTAGAGGGATCAGTGGATCTCAGATCCCAGTGAGGTCCACAAATAGCCTTGGCAGAAACTGTGGAAAAAGCAGTCTTGGAGAAGGAGATTTGGCTGGAGTGGAGAGAATAAACTTGAGGATAGGAGATGAAGAGAAAGAGGAACATACTTAATATTGGAGGTGGAAACATTTCAGCTGATGATAGACTTCAGATGTGATCTTGGGACTGAAAGCATGAGGTAGAAAAAATGAGAAGTTCATTTGTAGTAAGGAGATCCAGGGATGAATCAGACAGAATGTTTATGTAGATATGGATATTGTCCAAGATCATAGCGATGCTGAGGCTAGAAAAGACAAAAGTCTGGGTGTCAAAGCCTTTTTATGAAAAATGCATGGATATTAGTAGATAGATGATACCAACAAGAAGGGAGACGGCACACAGTTAGACGACAGGAATATCAAAGTAGCAGACATGTTTTGCAAGGAGGTAAGGTTGCAACGGACAACACTCAGAGAAGGGGATCCTCCAACTTAAGGGTAACAGGGATGAGGAAGAATAAGCAGGCAGTATCATTCACAGAAGAAGAGGTGTCTTCAAAGAAGAATGAGATTTTCGTCAGGGTAAGAAGGTAGAGACAATATTCAGAAAAGAAGTTGAACAGGTAGTGAAGTTTGCAAACCATAAAGCAAAGTTATCAAGGCATGGTGGAAGAATTTGAGAAATAGGAAAGGGGAGAGGGAAGAGAGAGAATTGAGGGTTAGTGGAGGGCAGTTGGGCAATTAAGAATGAAACACTGTAGGAATTTTATTGTAGCAGAAAAGAGATGCCAGGGTATAATGTGCAGACCCAGGGAACTAGAAGGAGGGGCTAAGTAAACAAGGAAGAGCGAGTGTGGCAAGGTCAGCAACTTAAGAGACACCTACCTCCCTTTACGTTAGGACCTGGGAACAGCAGCCTGGCTATAATATGTAATGTAAAAGAGAAGCTGGAAAATCTGACAGGGGTTGCTTAAGAAGAGACTCCACTGTGGGAACTGTTTCCAGGAAAATGAGGCTCTTAATTACTGAAACACTAATATGTTTATAAAATGTCCAGTGTGCCAGAGGTTTGCACCAGGAAGCACAGAACCTTTACAATACAGAACCTATTCTGATGAAGGGGCTATTTTCTCTCTCAGGTTTTCACAACAATCCTTTTATGAGTAAATAAACTCAGCATTTCTTTTATTTTCAGTCTGGAATATATTAGAATATACACAACTTGCATGAATTCTTAACTTTCCCTCAATGTTTTAATATTTTCAATTGAATTTGGTATGAACAAACATGAAGCTTATTCCTTCTTTGATCTATTGCATTGCTCAGTTCTGAGAAACTGTGATTTAATACTCATGTCATAACTTGAAATAATAATATACTTTTCAAAGGTATGTAATTCAGAATCAGGAAAGTAGTTGGATGCTGAAATCTGCTTCTTTCCAAAAACTACATGATAATAGAGGCCTGACAATAAATTTTAAAAATTACAGTGATGGGCTTATATTTTTGTGGACTGTGGAGGAGCTAAAAATAAACAAGTGGGGTGGTTTAGTTCTAGTTGATACCAACATCCAAACTGATCTTTTGAGCTGTCTTTTGTAGTATTGCTAGGATCCCTTCCTTGGTCATTAGAAAAGGAATTGAGAAATATCTACAAATGACTTACCACACTCTATTTTAATTATCTGCATAAGCAATGTAAGAAATTGTGTTTGAATAATTTGGAGTCTGAGAGAATGTCATGTTATATTTGTATTCTCACACCACATCCATTATCTGGGATACTATAGATAGACGGTGGTTGAATGTACCAGTTATCCGTCAGCATACAATGCTGCATAACCACCAGAAAAACATAATGGCATACAACCAAAATCACATTCATTTAGTTCATGAAGCTGTGGAATTCATCTGACTTGAGCTGGTCTCAGATGATCTAGACTGGTTTCACCCAAACGTCTGGGGCTCCTCTGGCTGTTGTTTGCTTCAGCTTGGACAACTGGGGTGACCTAACTCTGCCCATCTCATGTTCAATCTGCAGCCAGCTAGTCTAGGCATAGCCTCATGGCATAGTGGAAGTTAAGGAATGAGCAAAAACAATTGTGCAAGCCTCTTTCAAGCCTCTGTGTCAATATCCTATTGGGCCAGAAGAAGCCACATTGATAGGCCAAAAGTCAGAGTAGGAGGGCCCTGCAAAATTCTATAGAAAGGACATGGATACAGAGATGGGTGAAGAATGAGGGCTATCCATACATCCAGTCCACCACATTAAAAATCTTAAGAAATCAATCATGAAGAACACTGTCCAAAGTTCAGGATTCATATCGTAAGGCTCAGCACTGTTCATTTTGTTAACTCAAGTGAATTATTTAATCATTCTAAAGCCTAATTTCCTTATTGGCCTTTCTCAAGCTTTAAAAGTGGTTGATTTTATAAAATCAAGCTTTTAATGAATTTCATGCAATATATGGTCTACAGGAGAAACTTTACAGGAAAGTTGTCCATTATACTATCCTTTAGTGAGCCAACATGGCTAGCCTGAATGGCCATAATTGATTAGCTAATATTTACGCTGAGAATCTTCACATATTCTGTAATCTTATTCAATTTGACAAACTTCTAGTCTGGACTTGGGTATGAATTAATTAAGTACTGGAAGTTTAATTTCCAATTGAAGTCTTCACTTTTTGTTCCCATCTGATGATTCTTTGAAGCATACAGTGTGTCAGTATAATGTCAAATGCTGTGACATCTCTTACATGTGAGATGAGTTATAGGGACCATTGATGCTGTGCCTTAATAATTCATTGTTATGATGAATTATTACTCTGAAATTGACTAAAGGAGCTTTGTCAAATTTGCATAATGCTGATTAAAAATGTGGTTTAATTTATAGTAGATGTTATGATTTGTTTTATATAAAGAGTACAGATGATACAGAAATGAAATCTGCTTTTGATTATATAATATGTAATTATGTAATATATAATGAAGTGCTGGATTAGTTAACTATAATAATAAAAACTAAGTAAAAATTTTCTAAATGAAAAATATTTTATAAGCTTCACAAGAAGAAAGTAATATACACAAATAGTCTTTGCAGATGGTTTTCTATGCCTAAAATGACTTCTTATTCTAGTTACTTAGATTGCTTCAAAAATTGTACACCTCAGTTTCCAAAATATATTGATGAACATATAATTTGTAGCTTGCTTTGACATGTCAAATGTTCTGTTTCAGACATACAGAAATGAATTGCCATGTGATAAATCTTTCATATCTCTATGAAGCATTTATTTTGGACTGATAATTTACTTGTGACCTGTGTCATTTCAGCGTCATCACGTAGACATAACCAAGAAACTTCACCCAAATCAAGCTGGCCTGGATTCAAAAGTACTGATTGGTAGTCAGAATGATTTGGTGGATGAAGAGAAAGAAAGGAGCAACCGTGGGGCCACAGCAATAGCAGGTACTGATGTGACTATAGGTCAGTTAAACCACGGTGGTTTAACTGTCCACATGACAAAGGTGCAATGGACAGATTCTTACTATTATTTTATTTGGAATATATGACTCAGCCCAAGTGATCACCCTGCTCTGCCAATCACATTGAAATGAAGATTTATGTGAAGCATGATATTGAACACTCACAATAATAATAGTAATGTTTATTGTTTTCCACTATTAGATTTTTCACCTCATTTATGGTTTTCATGGCAATGAAATATTTCAAGATTACTTGTATTGTTGTGATAATAATATTTTTGCTGGAACAATGAACAAGAAGAATTACTGTCTTGAAAAGAGGTTAAAATAATTGAGATGTTTTAAATTTAAAGAAGCGTCAGATAAGTCACTGAATGCAAGCTTGAATTATGATGGTTTAGTTTATAGAGATTGTGATCTGATATTTTTCATCTCTACTGAGTGCAAAACAAAAGCAAACGGACTTGTGGAGGAGTTGATAGCATTCAATTAAGCTACCCAGACTAACTTCCATATGGCAGAAATTTGGGATGAGCTAGCAAGGGAAATAAGAAGTTTGTTTCTTGCCAATATTTTAGACACACCAAACCCCCTCAATTTCTATTACACTTTATCTTTGAAACTTCACATTTAGTTCATACAAAAATTGAAACTGTAATTATTCTTAAGCATACGGTTTGCTCCTTTCTCCTCCTTATTTGGTTTTGTAGCTAGCATGCTTTCTTCTCCAAGGACATATAAAAGTCAAAATACTAGATAAAGTCTCTGAAGTGTTTCTGCTCCAAACCCTGTCTGCACAATCTGGGTTCTTTCATGTAGTTAGCTTACTGGCTTCTGACACTCCTATAAAAAAGTCCCATAGAGCTTTTCTTATTACCTTTTCATTGACTCTCTCCGAGAGAGAAAAATGAAATTCTGTAAAGGGCTTTGAAAATCACGCATATTGCAATTCCTCCAAATTTCTAATACTAATCAAGTATGACTATAAAAGAAACAACCACTGCAGTGAAAATTGCTGCAGCGCATTGAGTCTCAAGCCATTATTAATTCATTGGAACTTGTTTTTCTTTCTTTCTTTAAGATTGTGGATTCTAAAAAGTACCAGATAACACAATTCCTGAGATCAAAGTTTTTGTTTCAATCAGAGGGAAACATTATCTAATCTTCTCTTGTATGTGAATCTTTCTGGGATGGTACAGCAGTAGTCCCAGCTTTGTGCCTTGAGTGAGTAGTACAGCGTATGTTACAGACCAGAGCAGCACCTGCTTTGAACGTATTACTTGTAAGTGATGATTTTAGGGACAAAGATGACCTGGAATTAAAGCAGTGGTTCTAGGCAAGTGAGACCCCCTAACTTCATTCAAGAGAGTAAAATGGAATCTCCTTTCCTAGATCAATTTGATTTTAACATGCATTTATTTAGAAATTACCCAGTATGAACATCTTGGCAATATTTTTATTTGCTTTCCCATTTGTAAATGCAATAATTACAGTATTTCTTCCTTATGGATTATAATTGTGTGATAATTCTATATATAAAAATACAAAAGTAGAGCAAAAATATAATTTTTCAAACTTTATTTTCATCTTATATAATATAGTATATGTTCTTCATTTCCAAAAAAAAGACTCACTGGAGCCATACTTAACATTTACCATACTTCATATGGATAGCTCATGGAATATGTAGTAGCCTTCTTTGAGTTCAGGATGGGTAGAGCAGGCCTTTTCTGAGCTTTCTCCTCTTTCTAATGCTTAGACATAAGTCAGTCATTTCCTAAATTCTCTTTGACGAGAGTAACAGTTGCAGAGACTTTGTAGCATATCACTGACTTAAAAAAAAAAAAAGCCTAATTAAGATAGGGGTGCTGCTTTGCTTTTCTAATGTTGCTCTTTCAGGATACCCAGACCTAATTCTTTCAGTTACATGGGGTGGAACCTTTTCAAATATGTATCTAATAATTGTACTAAGGAAACTAGTTATCTTGGTATTCAATGTCAACAACTGAAATTTTGCTGTGAATGACTGAACACGAATTGTGTAATAAGACTCTATTCCAGCCAAGAGTACGGTAAAACCTCACTCAGGATCAGTGCTGTCAGCCACTGATGTCTTCACTAAGAAACTGATGAAAACATTTCACCAGATTCTAGATGACCTTCTTCTGTGGGTCCTTGATTCACTCTTGTTGCTTAGTGATGCCCATGCCTTATTTTAAGAACATTATTATTAATTCTACATGTTATTTTATCCATAAATTACTTAAAAAAAAGTTCTCTGAAAGTAGGATGATTAAGTGATAGAATGATAAAGTGCAGACCTTCAGAGGCTGAACTGAGATTTCTGGGTTTACATTTTGGCTCCCCCATTAGGTAGCTATATACCATGAGCAATTAGTTATTTAAGACTATTCCTTTATTTGTAAAATTGAGTTACTAGTAGTGCTATACCATGTGCTTTTTTTTTTTGAAGATTATATTAGATCAAATAGGTAAAAGTTAGTAGAGTACATAATAAGCTACAATGAAGTCAGGCTATAATAATTAACTACTGAATCTTTATGAATTGATTGCTAAGGAAAACTTTGTTTTCCTATGATACGCTCTGTAAATTGCTGGCTGTGGCGACTTGATGTTATGGATCTTTCAGTCTCTGAGTTTCTGTCTGCATTTTTTGCCTTTGAGAGCAGTATGCTCTTGGAAATGTTATAGCCTTTGTGAATGCTATGAACATGGAGGGGGTGAGAAACCCTTTTTGATGATGTCACTGATTCCTCAGAGTAAAAGAAACACTCCAATTGTGTAGAGACATGGATGCCCTGACGCTCTCTAATGGACTCTTTCCCCATCTTACTTCAGCAGCAATAGCTAAGGAGGAACACAGGGCTTCAATGTTTATTCAGCTTAAGGTCTATTTTTAGTAATAACATGTGTTAAGTGGAAATGTTTTCATTGAACTATTTGTTGCATCCAGTTCCCTGGGTTGATTTACATGTGGAAAGTTGATTGGAAAGTGCTCCCAGGAACAGCGCTTGAGGCAGAGTCCCAGAAGCAGGTCTGGGCAGAGGGAAAAATTGAATCATGATACAGTCACAACAAAGACCTCAACTGATCCCATAGGGAGATCTGGAGCTGGCATGGTTCTTCAGGGTTGTCCTGAATTAGGGGGTGGGGAACAGACCTTTATACCCCCTGCATCAAACAATCATTGGATGCAGCTGTCCCTGAGAAGGGTCTATGGTTATGGGCAATGTGGCTTTTTTTCAGCCAAGGGCGCAGCCATTTGGTACAAGAGGATGATTATTTAGTTCTGAGGAGGATCTGATTATTATGTGGGTCACTCATTAATTGCTGCCATTGCTTCCGGTTATCTTCCTGGCTAAACAGGGGGCCATTTTCCTTTTTCTTCCTTATGTCTCTCTAGAAACTCAAATCACTGCCAGGAAGGATGACCTTTTAAATATGCTTATTTGTTTTTGTCCTACATAAACATAAATGTTTTCTAATAAGCAAATGTTATACTCTCCTGATCCATATTTTCTAATGTAATTTTCTTCCTATTGTAGCTTTGACTATGTTCTTCGAATTTTCCCTACAACTTTACACTAAATCTGTGTCACTGCTTGTCCTTCATAAATTAGACTAGTCAAGTAGTAAGACAAACCCTGGGCTAGAAAATGAAACCCAAGGCACTCCAAGTTTGAGTCCCAGTTCTGCCACAACCTAGATGCATAGCATTTCAGAAGCCATTTCATTTCTCTGAGCTTGACTTTCTCCATCAAAATAGTGGGTATACCAGATAATCTGTATGCCCTGTCAGTTCTGAAAGCCTGTGATCCTCTGGCTTACTCTGAGTTAGAACATTGAAACTGTTGGACTCAAATGGTCTTATTTCTAAGTGAGACTCACATACAGGTGATTCACCCTGTCTAAGATCCTACTTAGTTTGGGAATTTAAACAGGTCAGAAAAAAACAAACTCCCTGGGAAAGCTCTCCTCTTAGGCCAAGGTGGAAGCTAGAGAATAAAGAATTATTCTGTAGCTTTAGTTTAATCTAAATGTTTAGTGTAAACCTCAGATCCTATTTGTATCGTGGAAAATAAAACCTAAGTAGTTTCCTATCAGGACCATTTTGAGGATTAGACAAGTCAGAGGTTCTATATTAAAGACCTTAATTGAAAGGCTGATTATATGGGATCAAGAGTTAGGTAGTTTAGATCATAAAGCACATTGTTGTTTCTTAATTTTAATGAAGAAACACCTCAATAATTCAATGTTATTCTAAGTAGTGTTCTAAGTGCAAAAATTACTTTTATTCCAAAGTCTAGAAAACCTGTTATTTAAAATATCGTATAATTTTTAACCAATGATTTAAAAATCTGTCCTTTCATCTTTATATTTAACATCAATGTAGATTTCTTATAATATAAACAGAATAACGATATTAGTAGAATTTATTTTACACTTCTAGATAAGGCTATTTTAGTTTGGAAATACTGACACCCTAAAGAAAAATGTTATAGGATTGCTCTTCATTTTATAGCAACCTATCTCCCTCTTCTCAGAAGATTTAAATGTTTAAGAATGTGCTGCAAGGAGAACCCACAGTCATTTCATTCTTTGAACAATTCTGAAATATCATTTCCTATTAGGAAGTTGTGTGAGCACTGACAACCTGGCCCCTCTTCTTCCCTAGAGATTAATTTATTTCCTGCAGTGTTTGCTCTTCATGGAAATCTTACTCGCAAGCCTTCACCAATGGGAGATCTCATCAGCAGAATGCTAATTATGAAGGCAAAACCGTGTACCATATTGAGAGGGAAAAACAGTTCTCTAGGCAAAGCAACCTTTTTCTTTTCTTTTTACTCTGCTCTCTGCTCCATCTATGGTTGAACAGAAATATTAACCCCTGGGAAACTATTCCATGAGGTGCTGGGGGATGGTAGAAAGTGCAAGTTTTGCAATGAGACAGACCCAAGACTAAGCTCTAATTCAAAGAATGTCACATTTGTTTGTGATTTTGTTTTCTTATCTTTAAAATTAGAATAAAAATACTTATCTTACAGGAAAGTTCTTGTGCTTTAAAATATCGCTTAATGTGTATGTTAAAAATACATATTCTTGGGATCTATTCTCTAGAGCAGAGCTGGGAAACCATCATGGCCTATGGGTAAAATATTAATAGGTCCCATTGCCTGATTTTTTATGGCTGGGGTGGCAGGAATGTTTGATTTTTCATTTTCAAATGTTAAGGAATATTTAAAAATAATATTTTTGACATGTAAAAATTTTATAAATTTCAAATTTTAATATCTATGAATAAAGTTTTATTGGAACACATCTACACTTATTTAAACATTGTCTATGACTGCTTTAGTGTTCTATCAGCACAGTCAAGTAATGGTAACAGATATTTACTGTCTAGCCCTTTAGTGAAAAAGTATGATTCAGGTATACCACGGGGATGTGTTTCAATGTATCTCAGGTGAGTCTGCTGTAGGGGTTCTATGGATCACACTTTGAAAAATAATGCACTAGAAGAATTGTGAACAACCTTTCATTTCTTCTCACTTATCACACCACTCTACCAGAAAGTCTGATTGGCTTTATCTTCAAAGAACATCGGAATATGCCCATTTTTTTTTCCATGGCTACTGCTACCAACCAAGTCTAAGCTATCTGCTGCTATCAACCACTGTCTCTCATCTGGATTCTTGCACTTGCTTTCTAACTAGTCTATTTGCTCGTACACATGGCCCATAGTGTCCATTCCCAACACAACAGCCAGAGTAAGTGTATAATAATCTTAAGCCAGATTGTGTAACTCCTCTCCTCAATATCCTCCAGTGGCCTCTCTACTTCTCCTTTCTCACTACTCTGGATATGTTGGCCTCATAGCTGTTTCTCAAAAACCCTAGGAGAGCTCCATCCTCAAGGCTGGCACAGACTATTTTATCTAAATGGCATAATCTTTCCCCAGAGATCCATGTGGCTTTCAGATTCACTTCCTTTAGGTCTTTATTCAATGGTTACCTTCTTAGTTATCACCTTATTTTAAAACTATAACCCTCCTGTCTGGCACTATCTGCCTCCTTTGTGCTCTCTAACATATTTTGCAGTGTCCTTTTTATTTTGATTATTGGTCACCTACTCCACATAAGGTCACTATGAAGGCAGGGATTTTTTATCAGTTTGCTCTATCCTTAGGTTATAGGAAAGTGTCTGGCTCATAAGAGGTTCACAGTAAGTATTTCTTGAATACAAAAATGAACCCCAGACTCCTATCTTGTGCTTGACAGATTATGTGTGGATTCTATCAAACATTTTCTGTATGCAAAAACAGTTGCTGGAGTACACATAGAAGACTCATCTCTGAAACATGATACAATACTCACTTAATCACTTCAAATGAGAGGGGAAATAAAGCAGCTATTAACTTGTATTATTTGTTTGTTCAGTCTCAGCCAACAATTTGATGACAAAAGATACAAAGGAAAGGGAAGTTAATGGTGGGTAAAAATATGAAAACATGAATGAAAATCCTGTTGAAACTGTTCAGAAGAGACTCCAAGAAACCACAATCAAGTTGCATCCTAAAAGAGGTAGATGGTTCATGGCAGGTTTGAGTGTTCACCATCACATTGAGCAATTTCAGGGGACTGGCACTCAAAGTTTCCCAAAAGTGACAAGGGAACAGCTTTCCTTCAAATTAACACTTTAGGAAACATCAGGTTTATAAGAGAATGTAAATTACTTTTAGACATACTTCAGCTTGATTCCTCTAAAATATAACGAAATTGAAATTTTCTTTCACTTTAACCTTCTTATTCTAATAATTACCCATGTAATTTTATGCTTATAACTTCATTTTGTAAGTTATTATTAAAAAGATGTAATTCTGACCATTGAAGGACACTTATTTAGCCTGTATTTTTGAGAAAGAAAAGCAAAAAGCAAAATGAAACTCCATTCTATGTCTACTCTTCTATGAATGAAATAATTTACTTGATCTCCAAGGAAACTTGTCTACATGATTCCAAATACCTCAGTTAGTCTGATCAACTGAGTAATTGGTTCAGTGAATATCCATTTCAACATGAGAATCATCACCTCTTTATTGAACTTGTGACATTTCCAAAAGGAGTAGGTGAATGCCAAAAAGATAAAGACTTTAAATCAATTTGGATTTTAGAACCTAAATTATTGTCAGAAAAACATTTCTTGCACATTTTGAGATTTCCTGAAAGGTAGTATGCAAGAAACACAGTTTCTATTCAATGTGGAATCTCCTGCTCTGTCAACTAGAGCTTGCCACCAGAGCATAGATGTAATTTAGAGGACCACTGCACTGGGTGAAGATTGGGTTAGATCAGGCAGGGTGAGCTGACGTATAAGGTCTCTTCTAAAACTAAGATTGTTTAAATCCCAGTTTTTTATTTGGAAATAATCTAATTATTTTAATTACCTCAACTCCCATTTTTCTGCTTAACTGTGTACTATCTTAAATCAGCTTATTGACAAGGGAGAGTTGGACAAATAACTGTCAAGATGACAGATTGAACTTTCAAACTGCATGCTTATAATAGTTTTATGTGACTCTGAGATGGCAATGGCAAGTGATATTTCTGTAGCACTTTACATTTTACAAAGTAATTGCAAGCTCATTATTTCATTTGGTATTTCCTCAACTCTCTATGATTCAGTTATTATAATGAAAACTTATCCACTGATAAGGAAATGGAATTCAGAGATTCCTCAAAATACACAGCCAGTTAAGTTGTAGACTCAGGAATCAGACTTAGGTCTTCAGTTTCCAATTCTCTGTACTACAATTCATTTATTTCATTTTCCTTCATCCCATCCCCCTGCTCCCTAAGAAAAGCAGCACTGTAAGGAAGAAATATTGCTGTTATTCCTTTTTATAGATAAAGTCACAAAGATAGTAAATGATAGAAGTGGGAATTAAATCTGGGCATACTGCCTAAAAATCTTGTGTTCTTATATCTAAAATGTATATTCTACAGTATATGGTTTTATTACTGTTTGTCATATAAGAAAGATCTAAAAAGCTAAAGGCAGCCATTGAGGACAGTGGATCATGAGGAGAGGGAAGGAAATCTAGGAGAGTATGCAATCCAGGTTCTCTTCACCATCAACCCACTGACCACTCCAGCTCCCAGTCCCAGTTAACACTGATGGAAATGTTGACAGAGGAAAGTAAATTCAGATGATTAGGGAAATTACCAAGGTATGTGGAGAAATCGCTCTTCTTTCTCCTTTGACATTACCTTTCTTCCTTCTCAAGTAGTCTGTGACCTCCTCAGGAGCCACAGAACTGCATATTTTGTTTCTGTGTTTCACACACATCATGAAAATCGCTGAGATAGTGAGATAATTTTAGTCTTTTTACATTTATTGACATATTCTATCTTTGCAACTATTCCATTCAATAGGCATTATTCTCCTCCTTCTCCTTTAAAAAAAAATGAGAAAATGAGGCATATAAAGGTTAGTAACCTAAAGTAAATTACTTTAGGTTATACAGCTAGTGTTACAGAAAAATAATTCAAAGAAGAAAAGAAGAGAGGAAGCAGGAAGAAAAAAAAGAAGAAAGTGAGGGAAAGTGGGAGAGGAGAAGAAGGGAAGGAAAACAAATGGAAGGAAGGAGGAAGGAAGGAAGGGAGGGAGGGAGGGAGGAAGGAAAGAAGGAAGGGAGGGAGGGAGGGAAGGAGGGAGGGAGGCAGGCAGTTATAGGCTATTGAGTGCTCAGAAGGAAGACCAACAGAGACTTTCTCTCCAGGTCCTGGCAGTTAGCACTTAACTAACCTCTAATACAATAGAAGCAGGGGAGGGTCAGAGAGATTTCTGGTTTTCTGTTCCTCTTGACCACTTGTAGTGCTTACTTTTAGGGCTTCTTTTAATTACCCATCCATCGCGCTCCATAAAGCCATAGTAGAAAGGAATAAAGTGTCTTGCCTGAAGATAGGCACAATTCCTATTCGTAGCGTAGCTTGCTTTATTTGAGAGTCTGACATGATGTTGTCTCAATGCCAGGTATGTGTACATGTTAACTAGGAGCTTTAGATAGTACAGCTTATGCTGGAGGCCTGTTGATTTTTCTTCAGTTTAACAATTATTAGGTACCTTTTTCCTCCTCTGTAGTTCTTAGAACTCCAATAGGCTTGCATTCTATTCAGGAGGCATAGTGCCACAGCCAAAGCCTGTTGAGTCTGGAAACAGACATTTTTAGACACAATCAGCTTCATCTTCTTACTAGCTATGTGATTGCTGGGCAGGTCTCAACTTCACTGAGGCCTCAGTTTTCTACCTTACATTACCCATATGATAGAGTTGTTATAAGGATGAACTGAAACGCAAAGAAAAGCATTTTGTCCACGGAAAAACACTTTATACATGTAAGCTATTATCTCCTACCTCATACAAGTATCTACCTTGTTTCTGAAGAGTGAAAAGCTTACTTTCTTCTGTTTCTTTTTTTTTTTTCTTTATTTTGCTGGCTCTTTCTGCTTTGCTTCCAACCGTTTCTCAAAAACCATATGCATGTGAGTGTCGACAGTATTTGAAAGCAGGCAGTTTCCTTTCTGGTTATTTTCAATACTTATTTCTGATAAACCCTTCTTTTTTTATTTATAGAAACATTCAAAAATGAAAAACATCAAAAATAACAAGATGTGACAGAAGCCACTTAGGCAGCAAACATAAATGTTGCAGTGAAAAAAGAAGCTAGCCTTCTAGCTGAAAAACGAGTATTCCCCAATGGACTCCAGAAGAAACTTGATTCATCGCTGCAAAGGAAAGAACAACCTTAAAACTTTTAACAGATAAAACTTACAGAAACCTATGATATAGAATTCATATAGTCTATTCTGTTGTGTCTAAATCTGTAGGCATTGTGTTGTTGTTCTTTAGGACGTATTTATTTAACTTGCACATTTTTTCAGATTCTTATTTCTACTACCAACAACTAAGTAATTGGGAAATAATTCTGTATTTCAGTTTCTGAGTAAAACCAGTCTGAAATAGGATAAAAGCCACCAAATATTTTCTTTTTTTTCCAGAATTTGTTTTGCCATTTTTTAGTGCTATCATCATTCCTAACAAGACTAACTTACAGAAAAATAATTATATCTGACTGATTTAAAATGTTCAGGTTTCTTATCCAAATCCCTTGGAACTATGGAAAGGAGTTTGATTTCACATTCACAGTGTATTTACAAAATACGCTGTGTCATAAATATGTTTGAATTCCAACAGCCAAAGCCATTGAGAGTCATAGGAGTTTTCCATAACCTTCTCTTCTATGACCCAACAACAAGCTCATGACTGAAATTTCACCAGATTTCTGAGACGATGTCTTAATATTCTATGTGCTATGTACCAGATAATTCTTTAGATGAATGTTTCTTAGGATTGTAGGAAAATTATCTAGTTAATCATAATATTTGATGGAAAGAAAAAGACAATAAAATTGTAATATAATAAATTTGGCTGACAAGAAACCAAAGTGATTCTTAATTAGTATACATCAGAATGATGCTCTTATAGTTGTACCATCTATAAAAATTACTTTAAGGGCTCTCACATTTTAATAATTTATCTTATTATGTATTAAGTATACAGGAACAATATTATTTTTCCTTTAACAAAATGAAGAGACAGGCTATCTGGTTAATGTTACATAGGAATTTAATAGTAATGCTTGAACTTCATCCATAGATCATACTCTGTACAAAATTTGTTAGCTAACATCCTATCTCATAATTATTTTATGTTTTGTGGAGAAATTTGTTGATTTTGTACCAAAGTGTTTCTGAAGACAATAAATTGTGAGTCAACTTTAGAACAAAAAAAATTAGAGTTTTTTCAATGTTTATATTCTGATTAAGCTTACTTTACCTTACATTTTTTCTAAGTAACAATGAATCCTGATTTCTAGTGTCCTAAAAATTGCTTAGTGATTTGATTGTGGTAATATCATTTCTTATCTACAATGTCTAAAGTTTTATGGGACAGTTTTTCTTTTATTTATTTTGCCTGTTTGTGCAGATAAGAACAGAAACTTTTCTAAGACCCACATTTGGTTATTGAAGGCCACAGCGAATCTTAACCTAACAGCCTTGACAAACTGCACCATAGGTGTTTTTAGACTCATATAATTTGTTATTTTTCAAACAATAGTGAATAATTAATATTTTTGTTTGGAATTTGAGAACAATTAAATTTGTACTTTTAGTAACTACCATTCTTTGATTAGAAAATTAAGAGAATGCATATCTTACTTTGGTTGTAAATTATCAAGGGCTTTCTAATAGAAATCATATATAACATTTCTAAATATAAGTCCTTTCACATACTGTGTTTCCAGTTGTCTTGATATTGAAAAGTGTAATAAACTTCATGCTCACCTATTGGAGATTTGGGAAGGTTGAAAATAAACTTCCTAATTTTTATTTGTATGTGTTCTCTTCTATGTTTAACTCTAGAATAACTATCTTCCTGTAACGATTAAGTTAAAATATTCTTTAACTAGAATTGAAATAAATTGTTCACTAAGGAGGGGGCTGCTTGTGCTAAAAAAGCCATGAGGAGGGAGATTGTCCTCCCTGCCCTCTCCATCCCCTATGGACTTACAGTGCTGAGCTCAGTCATAATGACCAAATTTCACAGCATGGCCAAGCTGCATAGATAGGTGCCAAAACTACCAATTATTAATATTGGCCTCTTCCTAATTGAATCAGTCAAGCAGTTTTGGAAAAGGCTGTCAGAAAGGAGTGAGAAATGGAAAGAGGAAAATGTGATTGTTGAGATGGGCTAGCTCAACTCTTACATCCAGGATTTTAATAGAAAAACTCTTTAAGATTAGAGTCAACATATAATGAGACTTTTAGGTGTTTAACCAAAGGTTCTTGGTTCAAGTTGCCTCTAAAAGGAAGATGATAACATGTAAAACGCTGGGGAGAGTCAGAATTAGGATCTAATTATAACCCCGGTAGGCTGGACTACTAAAAATGAAATCCAATAGAATAAAAATATTCTTTTGATTTTACCATGAAAATATTTCCACAACTATAACACTTCTGACTGCTTCTACTTCTACTGCTGTGGTCCAAACTTCAGTCATCTCTGTTGGATTATTGCAAAAACCCTGTAACAATTCTTCCTGTTCCTGCCCTTGCTACCTATCAATCTATTCTGATTGTGAGAACCAGAATGATCTCATTAAAATATGTGCTATTATTACACACCACAGTCATGTCCTACCTCATTCAGAGTAAAAGCCAAAATTCCTAAAATGATCTAGAAAGGTGTGCACAATACATTCCCATTCTCTCTCTGTACTCTTCCTATTCGTTTTGCTCAAGTCATGCTGACCTTCCCATTTGATATGGTTTGGATGTGTCCCCATCTAAATCTCGTCTTGAATTGTAGTTCCCATAATCCCCATGTGTCATGGGAGGGACCTGGTGGGAGGTAATTGAGTCATGGGGACAGTTTCCCCCATGCTGTTCCCCTGATAGTGAGTGAGTTCTCATGAGATCTGATGGCTTTTATAAAGGCTTTTTCCACTTTTGCTTGGCACTTCTTGCTGCCACCATGTGAAGAAGGACGTGTTTGCTTCCCCTTCTGCCATGATTATAAATTTCCTGAGGCCTCCCCAGCCATGCTGAACTGTGAGTCAATTAAACCTATTTCCTTTATAAATTACCCAGTCTTGGGTATACCTTTATTAGCAGTGTAAGAATGGACTAATACACCATTATTCATCAACCATGCCAGGGCTATTCCTACCCTGAGGCCTTTGCATTTGCTGTTCTCCCTGCCTGGAACACTTTTTGCTCTCCTCTCCACACAGGTCACTCCCTTACTTCCTTTAGGCTTTATCCACATATTACCTTCTCAATGTGCCTTGCTCTGGCCACCCTATCTCAAACTGTAACCTCAACTCTTATTGGTCTTTCTATCTCCTTCCCTGCCTTAATTTTCTCCATAATAGTTTATTCTATCTAACAAGCTATATCTTTTACATGTCTTGTTTCTTTTCTGTCTCCTTTACACTAGACTGTAAACCCCCTGAAGGCAGGATTTCTTATTGGTTTCTGCACTACACCCAGACACTTAGAATAGTGTCTGGCATATATCTGGCACTCAATATGTGTTTGCTGAATGAACTGATTAAAGTTAGGAATATGAGAACTCAAGCCAGACTGCCCAGGTCTGAATACTGACTCCCTGTTTACTGGGTTGCCTTGGATAAGTTTGTGAGCCTCCTTCTGCTTCAAATTCCTACATATATGTAAAATAGGGACTAAAATAGACTCTACATTGTAGAGTTGTTGTGATAATTTGATGAATGTATAGATGTAAAGTGCTTGGAGCTTTGTCTGAGAAAAAGTAAGTCCTCAATGCATTTATGTGTTTTTATTTTATAATATATATATGTTCTAAATTATATATAAAATATTACATCAAGGTTTTTTAGTTTTGGAGTCTTGCATCTTTTCTTCTTTGAGTTTTCTTTCTTTCCCACTTCCACTCTTATGTGCCATGACAAATACTCATCTAGTCCTTGTTATCTTAGCTCAGGTTCCCTAGAAGCACAGGTTAAGGGGGAAGATACTCGTTCAGTGGTTTATTGGAGTGTTCTTAGGAGAAATCTGTATGGAAGTGGAAGAAGTCAGCAGGATAGGAGAAGGATCTAGATAAATACATGGTTTCATAAGAACTCCAACCTAATCTTTCCAGCCTGATCCTAAGGGTACCCTGGAGCATGGATTATACTACTGTGTTGATCCCTCAGCTGAACCTTCAAAAATTTGTTCCAAATCCAAGAGGCCAGCAGGTTCCAAATTGTGTACCCTATGATACAACAAATGAGTCCCATAGGTATATCCCACTGTTGCATCTCCCTTGTGACAAATTGTGTCACCTGGTCTGAGATGATATTACACAGGATATCATGTTGGGAGAACAGAAATTCTGTGACCCCTCTGTGGCGGTGCTGGCTGAGGCACTGTGGAAAGGAAAAGTAAACTAATACCTGGAGTATATTTCAATTTCAGTTATGAGAAAGCATAGATTCTTCTTGGATGAAAGGGATTCAGTGTAATAAAATTCTTACCAACTGACTAGGTTGTTTCTTCAATGGATGGTAACTTATCAGGGAGAGGGCCAAACACCATTGGTCTTTGTGACAGGCAAATTGAAGCTTCAACAGTAACAGTAACTAGATCAGCCTTTGTGAGAAATGGTTCATGCTGTTGGCCCATGACTTACAGTAATATCTGCCATCATGGTTACTCCACTCATGAGTCCATTGTGCAAGTACTGGGGTGAATAAGGACAGAGACTAGTTGATATCTACTGATTAAGTCAACATGTCTAATTGATTTTATAGTACAGATGTTCTGTGATGAACACCAATTTGCTATATAAAATTTTCATACCTTTTCCCCATTTTCATAGGTGTAGTCATCCTCTTCTGCAGGTATTTTTATCCATGATATTCAACTCTATCTGAATCCAAGTATTTGACTAACCAGCTAAGTCATTTGCTATTAAAGCCACTTGCCAAGGAGTTTATGTTTATCTTGATTGCAGGCCATTTTTCCCTTTACACACAAAGTGGACAACCAGATGCATGCAACTCTGTCCACTGGGAGGATTTCACTTCACCATTGTCTTTCAGACCCACTCCTAAGTGAGGCTCTAGTGCAACAGTAATCCATTTGGGCCTCTGCTAATATACTAAGTTGACCCATACATGAATGGATCCACTTCATTTTATTAGTTGTTTACAGAGAACCTCACCATGAGCTCTGGAAGTGTAAGCCGAATAAAAAGTGCAGGTACAACAATGTGGGTGAGTGCCTTGTGTGCTTCATCAGTCACTCATTGGCACAGCTCATTTGTATCATCTGGACCTGCTCCACCCCAGTCTTGTATGTGCTGCTTCTATCTTGCAAAGTGCTGCTGCTGGGCTTACTTGATCTTATGAATTCCTGTGTCTGATAGCAACTAGCTCAAGAGGGCAGTTTCAGTCATATGATTATACAATGTTCTATTGTCATATATCAGTCTCCTACTTGGTAAAGTAGCATGTTGGCAGCAGCTTTTCAAATATTGTGTAGTTCTGTGATAAAATGTCATGGCCATGTTCCAAGGATTGCACAGTAATTCTCCTATTGGAGCTTGCCAGAGGTTTCATACACTATCTTTATCTATTAGACGCCCATCAGCTATATATCTAGATACCCATAGTACCACAGATCTTTCAAGTAATATGGCAGAGGTGCAAGTTTGCTGTAACCACAGACTTGACCTCCCATATCAGCCCGCCTTCCTCCTGGCCCCATACAAAACTGTCAGTCATTTGCGTTACCTCATACATGATTCAGAGCAGTATATTCAAGTGTGGCATATGCTGCCTATCCAACCCCAAAAGCCTTACTAAATGCTGTCTTAGTGGAAAGAGGTGTAAAGGACATGCTATGGTCTAAATGTCGGTGTCTTCCAAAATTCATATGTTGGAAACCAATACTCAATGTGATAATATTAAAAGACGGGCCTTTTAAGAAGTAATTAAGTCATGATGGCTCTATTCTCAGGGACAGGATTGGTTCTCTTACAAAAGAGGTTGAAGGGAGTGTCCTTGCTCCCTCCTGCCATGTAAGGATGCAGCAAGAGGTGCCATCTTTGAAACAAAGCAAGCCCTGACCAGACCTCAAATCTTCTGGTACCTTGATCTTAGACTTCTTAGCCTCCATAATGGTGAGCAATAAATTTCTGTTCTTTATAAATTACCCAGTCTGAGGTATTTTGTCACAGCAGCCCAGAACAAATATAGTGCAATAACCTGTTCTTTGTCTGAGGAGATATCCTAGCTTCCTTAGCTCACCAGAATCTTAAAATTTTTATCCATATGACCACATCTTGTATTTTTGCAAGGTTTAGTTTATTATTTATTCTGTTATTAATGTGCCAAAGTGTTAATAAAGAATGAGAGCTAGATACATACCCTTTTAGGTGACTAGCAAGGTACTTAAGCTATGGGGCCCTAGTCCCTGTAGTTTGTGTTTGCTGATGTGACCCTCATTCAACATATTCTTGTCATTTCTTGAGAACAGTGCAATGATTGGGTACACAGGAAGCTGCAGCTTGGTGTCTGAGCCCTCCAGGATTTTCTTGCCCCACATAGTACTTGCTATCTGCTTCATACCCTTATTAAAGCTAAGTAAACTTAGTGTTTGGTTTACTTATTGTTTCTTGTATCTTTGATTGACAATGTGAAATTAAAACTCATTCTAGCCGGGCGCGGTGTCTCACGCCTGTAATCCCAGCACTTTGGGAGGCCAAGGCGGGCGGATCACGAGGTCAGGAGATCGAGACCATCCCGGCTAAAACGGTGAAACCCCGTCTCTACTAAAAATACAAAAAATTAGCCGGGCGTAGTGGCGGGCGCCTGTAGTCCCAGCTACTCGAGAGGCTGAGGCAGGAGAATGGCGTGAACCCGGGAGGCGGAGCTTGCAGTGAGCCGAGATCCCGCCACTGCACTCCAGCCTGGGCGACAGAGCGAGACTCCGTCTCAAAAAAAAAAAAAAAAAAAAAAAAAAAAAACTCATTCTAAAGGTCTTGTTTTTGCAACGTTACAAAATAAACATAAAGTGCTAGAAATGATAAATATGGTTTGGCTGTGTCCCTACCCAAATCTCATCTTGAATTCCCACGTGTTGTGTGTGTTGAATCATGGGGGCAGGTCTTTCCCATGCTGTTCTCGTGAGAGTGAATACGTCTCACAAGATCTGATGGTTTTAAAAAGTAGAGTTTCCCTGCACAAGCTCTCTTCTCTTGTCTGCCACTATGTGAGATGTGCCTTTCACCTTCTGCCATGATTGTGAAGCCTCCACAGCCACATGGAACTGTAAATCCAATAAACCACTTTCTTTTGTAACTTGCCCAGTCTCGGGTATGTCTTTATCAGCAGAGTGAAAATGGACTAATACAATGATTAATATGATAGCTAAAAAAAAAAAAAACAGGTTAGACACAATAGAAGAGAAAGTTGCTGAGATGGTAGACCTTAATTAATTACCCAGAATGCAGCAAGAAAAGACAGGACAGTGGAAAAGAGGTGTTAAAAAACACTGAGAAGAGTTTAAGAAGGCAGAATATTTACTTAATTAGAGTAAGAGCACGAGAAATTCAGAGAGTGATGCAAGGCAGAAGTGAAGTAATATTCAAAGAGATGATGTCTGAGACCTTTCCAGGAATAACAAATAATACAAAATTTCAGATTTAGGAAATACAGCAGCATATTTCAAGAAGAATAAAGAAGTAATTTCCTTACAACTCATGGTGAAATTTCAGAAGGAGGATATAAAATAGGACTTGGACATCAATTGGACAAACAGTTGACTTTTGTAAGCCTAATACAACAGCTGGAAGATGGGGTGACAAGGGAAAAAGCTCTCCAGTGAGAACTGTTAATCCAGTTAAAAGATTTTCAAAAATAAGAATAAAAAACTTCTTATAGATGAACAAAAACAGAGGGGCTTACAGTCAATTGAATTCTTGGTAAAAGGATATCTAAAGGGTATACTCTAAGAAAGAAAATAAGTCCAGAAAAAAAAATCCGAGAATCAAGAATGAGTAGGATATTAAAAAATAATTACAGACTGGAAGATATTTACAATATATAAGTCCAATAAAAAATGGTATCCAGAAGGTATAAAAGCCTGCTTCAAATCATTAAGTAAAATTCAGACAAGCTAATTTTAAGGAAGGGTAAAGAACTTAAGCAGGCACTTCATAAAAGAGGATATTCGAAAGGATAATGAACATAAAAATCTGCTCAAAATCACAGCAATCTTTAGGCAAATGCAAATTAAAACTACAACAAGATATATCATTATAAACCTACCAGATGGCTAAAAGTTTTTTTCAAAAAATGAACGTTTTGAAGAAACTATGGAGCAGCCAGAACTCTCACATATTACTGGTGGGAGTTCAAATTGATAAATCTATTTGGAAAACTGTTTGGCACTGTCTCCTAAAGCTAAACATACACCTACCCTATGACCCAGAATGTCTATTTGTGTAAATCCAACAAAACCAAATATAAACTAATTTAGCTACCAATAAGACATGTACAATGATGTTCCTAATAACTTTATTCAAAGTAGTTTCAAACTGGAAGCAACCCATGCCCAGGAGTAGTAGAATAGGCAAACACATTGTAGTGTAACCACGCGATGGAAACTGATGTAGCAATGAAAAAGGATAAACTACACAAAAATGCAACAGCTTGGATGTTTTTTGAAAACCAGAATCATAAAAATTAGATACAGAATAGTATTTACTGTATGAATCATCAAAATTAGACACAAAATAGTATTTACTATATGATTCTGTTTATATAAATATTAAGAAAAGGCAACAGTGCTTTATGGTAATAGAAAGAAGTATGATGTTTGCATTTGATTTGGTTATGACTGGCTGGGGAGGCACAAAAGTGGTCTCTGGGGTGATGAGAATGTTCCATATATTAATCTGTGTTATGGTTATATCAAAATATACATAGGTTTTGATTAATGAAGGTTTGCACTATAGAATTACGCACTTCACTGCCTTTGTGTAATAAAGCAACAGAACGGTAAGCACAAGTTTGAAAATAGTACTTATCCTGGGGTACCCTGGGGTAAAGTTTGAGGAGAGATTGGGGATGAGAGCCTAACGGACTTAAAGTGTATTGACAATGTTATATTTCTGATTGTATACGTAGTACATGTTTTACACATATAAATATTTTATATATACAAAAATAAGTGGAGGAAAAACGACATAAGGGAAACATTGCTATTTGATCTGGCCAAAAAAGAATGCAGACATTCAGCAAACCTCCCATAAAATACATATTAGAATCCCCTGTGTGCAGTTTATTTCATCAGATATAATGTTGTTAGGCACATACTTTAGCTCTGCTATCTTGCTAGAATGCATTTTTTCCATTGGGATGATCTCATAAATATTTTCTTATATTTATCTCACATGCTAATAAAAGATAAGAAGTACATTTTCTTCAGCATGTTCCTTAAAATGTCCCAAATCATTTTGTTAAAAATAAATGTTTTCTACATTGTATATCAAGTTCTTGTCTTTTGCAGTATTCAAAGTAAAATCTGAACTTTTTAGTGCATGTTATCAAAGTACTTGAGGTACTTAATGCATATGATATTTATACTTTTTTAGACATAACCCTGACGTTTAATTTTTTTTTTGTTTTTGTGCATTCTGAGGAAATCTCAAGCTGGGCTGAATATTTCCAATTCATGGAAAGATACATGAAGAGTTCTTATTTCTAAGTAAGAGATTAGTAGTGAAATACTAGCAAAAATATTTATTTATAGTGCTCATAGGCTAATTAGACTAAATAGCACACTGTTAGAGGAAGACTACTCTAATGTTTTCCTTCTCCCATTACATGAAAATAATTAACTTTGTCTAAATAATTCTCATTTAGAATAGGTTTTCATTTTTATTATGATTGAAACTTGAATCATAAATATGTATATAAATATTAAATACAAGTTCTTCATCAAAAATGTGATTCGCAAATATTTTTACTTGATCGGTGGTTTATCTTTTCATTTTCTTAAAATAGTCTGTTAAAACACAGTTCTTAATTTTAATGGAGTTTGATTTATAATTTTATTTTATGGATCATGTTTGTGTGTCATATTTAAAAAAATATTTGCCCAACACAAGTCATGAAGAGTTTCTATTGCATTTTCTTCTAAAATTTTTAGATTTTACATTTAGGTATATGATCTGTTTGAGTTAATATTTATGTATGGTATGAGGAGGCATGGTTGTAAAGATGCTTTTTTTATTCTTCCTGCCTTTATTTTTGCTTTCCTTTTTTCCCCAAATAGATATTTAAGCTTTCCATCACTATTCGTTAAACAGACTTCTTTTTTCTATTGAATGGCTTTTGCAAGTTGATTGAAATCCAATTAATCATGTACAGTTCGGTTTATTTCTGATATCTCTGTTCTATCAATCTCTTTTCTAGACATGTGGACTAGTTCTTGTAATATGGTGGCACTTTTTAGACTTAAGAAGAGTGAAGAGAGTGGGGAATGTTTAGTGGAAGAACGTATCCTGTGAAATTCAGGAGCCACATCATCTAGTATGTACAATGTACTTTTCACCCTAGCTTTTAATTATTTACTTTTGTCAAAAACCTTCAATGAAGTGTATTGAAATATTACATCTGAGATGTTACTTAATTAAATAATGTATGGAAGAAGAGCGGCCTACACTTAGTGAGAAGTTATACAAACATAGAAACCACACACAGCCAAAAAAGATGGTTATGACACTGCAAAATGTGACAGTAGAAGATCTGAAGTAGTAGACAGATTTACTGTGATGAGAAATAAATTAGATAAATTTGTGGATCACATAGGCACTTTTAAGACATCCCCTCCTCCCAAAGACTTGGGGAGGGAGACCTTGAAAGAGACTAGATTTCCTATTGATCCTGTGAGAAGAGAAGTCTAACTCTTTTTTATTGGATTATAATAAGGAAGGAATATCCTAGAAATATGAAGAGAGTGGAGATACTAGGTTTGTACCAAACTTTGGCCTTTTTAAAAAAAATGTATCAGCTGCAAAACTTAAGGCTGTGGAATTTCTAGACTCTAGAATTATCTCCTTAAATTTTAATTAATTCTCCAGATAAAAGTGAAAAATTAACAACAGTATAGCAACTAGTCAAAATACTTTTAAATTATCTGGTGTGATTTTTTTTAAGCCATACAATTTAGGAACTCACAAAATGAAGAAATACATTTCCAAATTAATAACTTAGTAGAGAAATTTCTTTCTATTTTCTGGGCCTGGGTGGGGACTTCTACCCATTAGGAATTTTGTTGTATCTTTTCAGTCAATATGTAGTATATAGCTTCTAGGAAATATGTCAAACCACACCCACAACAGGAGAATAGGTCCTGTATGATTGTTTCATCTGAGTGAATATGCTGTTGCTTGTTCATAGTCAATTGAATTAAGGATAAACATTATAACAGGAGGAGAAAACTCACAGGTTTTTTCAGCCAGAAAGAGTAACCTTCCTTATAGACTTGTGTAATATACTACAATTTTAATATGGCCTCTGAAACAATGGATATTAACGAAAGAGGGCATATTCTCCTATTGTCCTTACATTCTTCCTAAAAGACAGCAAACCTGGCCTTGACCTCACAGCTGTATGGACCAACATTCTTATCTTGTCCATAATGTAGTTCAAAGATTATATGCACTAATGTTATAAAATTCTGGTGAGTCAGGTGGTGTACTCTATTTTCCATATCAAGATTAAAAGTTTTAAAAACCTAAACATTGTTAAAAAATCATCTGAACATTATTTTAAAAGGTTTTGCCTATTCACAATAGGTTGTCAAAGACTATCATTAAAAATTTCATAAGATCAAGTTATCAATAACAACCATAAATGATTCAATTAAGTTGAATGGCTATTTTTAAATTTTCTCAGAAATTTATAATTATCTCACAAAATCTATGTAATTACCAATTATGAAAGCAAAATCATTAATTGGCGAGTTGTATAGAGCAACATTAATTTAAATTGTAAAAGGTCAGATAATAGCATTCTACCAAACATACATAAGCCCAGGATACTATACATGGAGGAGTAACTTGATTTTGACAAAATTAGTTTTAAATCTACTGTTTCTTGATAACTTATAAAATAAACAAATAAAATATATAGTAGAATGGATATTGATAATTTTTAAGGAGAAACATTAATACAGGAAAGGGGCTCTAGAAGTGGCAGTGCTATTCAGATATGCAGTAAAAGCCTTAAAGAAAATGAACATTTCATTAAAATCCTGAGGAAGTGATCACAGTAGTCATATGAACATCTGGAGAGAGAATACCAAGGCATTGAGATTAACAATTGCAAAAGACTTGAAGTCAAAACATACATGACATGTTCAGTGGGACCAAGGGGTTCTTGAATTGGAGAATAGCTAGGGAAAAAAGTAAGAAAAGTAGAGAAAACTAGAAAATAGGGAGCTTTGGAGGTAACATTAAGGAATTTAGTTTTTCATTGAATGAGATGGGAGTCACTGGAGGGTTTTGAGAAACTGATGGTTTCTTATTTTCCTAGAACTGTTATGCCTATTGCTTGAGGGTACAATATACGTGAGGAAGAGCAGAAGAAGCAATATCAGTGAGGGGGCTAATGCAACAATCCTTCAGAGATGACAGTTGCCGGAATCCAGGTGGTAAGAATGAGAATCAAATTTTGTACGTATTTTGGAAAGGTAGAACTATTAGAATTTGTGGAAGGCATGGATATAGTTGTGGGAAATAGAGAGGAGTCAAGGATGACTTGAAGAATTTTGGTCCATTCAAATGGAGTTACCATTGACTATAATAAAGAATAGTGCAGGAAGTGCTGATTTGGGAATTATTCTCAGAGGCTCAGTTTTGGACACATTAATTTTTGTATGCCTTTTAGCCCTCACGCAATTGCATATATGAGTCGGGAGAGGGGTCTAGGCTGTAGACACAAATTTTAGAGTAGTATACACATACATGTACGTGTATGTGTGTGTGGGCGCATGTGTTATCATATATTTTGAGTTGAATTGTGCGTGTCCAAAATCATATATTGAAGCCTTCACATCCAGTGCCTCAGAATGTGACTGTATTTGGGATAGATGTAATTAAGGTAAAAAGGGTAAGATGGGCCCAATCCAGTAGATTGGTGCCTTTATAAGAAAAGGAAATTTGGACATTAGACATACACATGCACAGAGGAAAGACTATGTAAAGACAGAGAGAAAGCTATCTACAATCTATGGAGGGCAGTCTAAAAAAATAAAAAATAAAAACCAAAGCAAAACAAATCACAAAACTCTGCTAACACTGTGATCTCAGACTCCTTGCCTCCAGAACTCTTAGAAAATAAATCTCTGTTATTCAAACCCCCCAGGAAATGGTATTTTGTTTTTTGTTATGATAGCCTTAGCAATCTAATACAGATTTTGATACTGAGAGTGGGATGCCAACTGTAAAAATAACAATAAGTGTGGAAGTGGCTTTGGAAATGGGTAACGAGTAGAGGCTGGAAGACTGATGATGCCATGTTAGAAAAAGCTTAGCTTGCCTTAAAGAAACAGTTGGTGGAAATACGGACATTAAAAGTGCTACTGTGGGGCCGGGTGCGGTGGCTCACACCTGTAATCCCAGCACTTTAAGAGGCCAAGGTGGGCAGTTCTCTTGAGGTCAAGAGTTCAAGACCAGACTGGCCAACAAGGCAAAACCCCATTTCTACTAAAAATATAAAAATTAGCTGGGCATGGTGGTACATGCCTGTAATCCCAGCTACTTGGGAGTTTGAGGCAGGATAATTTCTTGAACCAGGAGGTAGAAGTTGCAGTGAGCCGAGATCACGCCACTGCACTCCAGCCTGGGCAACACAGCAAGACTCTGTCTCAAAAAAAAAAAAAAATTAAAAAGTGCTACTGTGAAACCTTAGGTGGAAATGAGAAATATGTTTTGGACACTGGAGCAAAGTCAATACCTATTATACAGTGGCAAAGAACATGACTGAATTGTGCTCTAGTGTTTTATGAAAGGTAGAACTTGTGATTAACCCAGGTCTTTAGCTGAGGTGATTTCTAAGCAAACTTTTGAAAGTGTGGCCAGGTTTCTTTTTGATGCTTATGGTAAAATGCAAGAGAAGAGAGATACATCAAAGGATCATTAAGAATAAAGGAGTCAAAACTTGAGATTTAGAAAATTATCAGTTTATTCATATGGCCAAAAAATGAGAAAGCTTCTTCTGAACAGAAAACAAGGGTGTGACTGGTCATTCATTTCATAAAGAAATTATGAATGTGACACATGGATTGAATCAACGATCTCACCAGAAGGCAAGAATAGAGATGTGATTATCCAGGAAAAATATGTGGAGGGCACTCTTGTCTGATGGCTTGGATCCCTATGAAGTCAACAAGGTTATTTTTGAGAATTTTATATCAGCAGAAAAACTGCCAGCTTGGAGTAAAAGGGACAGTGATGGGAGAGAGTGAAGGAAAGCCACCAGACTTCTGAGATTCCATAGGATGGGCCAATTGGGGTATCTGGCTGAAAATCTGTGCTATTCTTCAAGAAAAGAGAAAAATGACTCCAAAGGTGGGACTGCCACTATTACCATGGGCTCAGAGTCTCAGGCCTGGGTGACAGGGCTGTCTCTTCTCCAGTTTCAGAGGGTGGGGCCACCACCTTGGTTTCAGCAGGCCAGGCTGCCATTATCCAGGGCCAAGGGAGCAAAATTGCCACCCCAGATGCCCTGGGGGGCAGGCTCACCTCCCCAGTGGGTCCTGAAGACAAAGAATTGAAACAAAAGGGATTATCCTTGACCCTTAAAATATACTGGAATTTGCCCTGGTAGGTTTTGGACTTGCCTGGGACCTCTGACCCCTTTCTTCTTTCTGATTTATCCCTTTTGGAAATGGGATGTTTATTGTATGCCAGCCCTACCATTGCATTTAGTAAGTTGATAACTTTTGCAGTTCTATAGGTTCAGGCTGAAGAGGAATTTTGCCTGAGGATAATCATAGCTTGATTCTCACTATGCCTGATTTAGATGATATTTAGATGAACTTTTAGACTTGGATTCAATACTGGAATGGGTTAAATATTTTGAGCTATTGGGAAAGAACTCATATATTTTGCATGTGAAGAGGACATGAATTTTGGAGGGCCAGAGAGTTGGAGGGTTTTGGGTTGAATTGTGGCCATCCAAAATTAACATGTTAAAGTCCTAAACTTAGTACTTTAGAATGTGACTGTATTTGGAGAAAGGTCCTTTAAGGAGGTAATTAAAGTGAGGTTATATGGCGGGCTACAATCCAATATGATTAATGTCCTTATAAGAAGAGGAAATTTGGACATGGGAATATGAGCACACAGAGGAAAAACCATGTGAAGACAGAGGGAGAAGATGGCCATCCACAAAGCAAGGAGAAAGGCCTCAAAGAAACCACCTCTGCCAACACCTTGATTTCAACTTCTTGTCTCCAGAACTGTGAGAAAATAAATTTCTGTTATTTAAGCCATTCAGTATGTGTACTTTGTTATGGCAGCACTAATAAACTAACACCATGTATTTGTACATATGGTATTGAAATAAACTCACACACATATGTACGTGTATACAGATAGTCCTTCCTTGCACAGTTCCAATATGTACAGATTTCAATTACCATGATTTAGTTAAATAATACCAAATAATAGTAATTCCCCAACAACGCAGTTCAAATTTTAGTTTTCACAGTATATTAACTGAGTAACAGAGTAAAGTACAAATGTTGCTGCTAGCTTTTCAGACCGTAAATGCTTATGTAAATAACATGGATACATTGTGATCAGTGGCCAATGATGTAACTTCTTTTAAAGTTTGTTAGTGAATGTTCACTGCACATCTGTAATTCAGTTCCCACAGACAGCAAAGCATTTTGTTATGTTGCTTCCTGGTCTCCTACTGAAAAACCCACCTGACATTTTATAAAAGTGAATAATCCAAAGAGGGAATTAAAGAAGTCAACATACATAAAAGTGCAGCAAAAAAACAAAAAGTAACACCAGCAGGGAAATGTGAGTCAAATATGAATGGAGTTATGGGAAAATAGCTGCCATTAAGAGACTCTAATTACACAGCCAGAGGAACTTAGTGAAGTTCCCACTTAATGACATGCATAAGGAAAGTGGTTCTGACAAAAAGGACAAAGATGTTGAAGACGAGGTGGTGGTAACAGCACAAATACTTCACTTGAAAGAAATTCTCTAAGATATTTCACATCATTGGAAGATACAATGTTGGCATCTGATACAAACTTAGAAAGGAGTATGACAATTCTTCCTCTGTATTTTACAATACATGATGTAGATATGTAGATGTATAGTCATACATATATATAAATGATGGTTAAAATTTAAACTACATAGTCAAGTTTTAAAATATTTTTAAACTAATTAAATTTAATTAAAATAAAAAGTTAATGTTTATACATAGGACTTAATGTAGATAAGGGTTTTGAAATTAAAACATTTATACTTTCAATTTCAAAGCACACATATACAACGAGAGAAACAAAAATAATAAAATAAAAAATGGGTAAAGTACACAAACTCATAAGTTAATCAAATTGACATTTAAGTATCATATTTCATCTATCATAGAAGCACAGATTTAAAGCTTTCCTAAACTGAGTGTGGGTGTGCAGAAACAGGAACTTAATGTGTTTCTTGGTGAGAATATAAAGTAAAACAAAATTGTTGAGTGCAATTTGACAATATCGATTAAAAAATATTTACCTTTTAACTCAGCAGTTTCATTTCCAGGAATTTATTCTAGGTTATCATCACAAATTAGGCCATGAAAAATAAACACAGATGGGCACTGTTTTAAATAGTGCAAAATTGCAAACAATCTAAATAACGATTGATATGTGGTACTATCCGACACACAAACAGACAGATGGGTAAAATGAGGGACAGTGGAGTTGTGAGTAGTATGTTCTCATTTATTAAGTGTGTGTCTGTGAGTGCCTGTGTGTGTGTGTGTGTGTGTGTGCATGCGTTTATGTACCAAAAAGTATAAAAGTGCCCTTTCTTGCTGTGGGCCTAAAGTATGGAGGTATATATAGTTTAACTTTTTGACAATAAATATACTTTCAAAAAGAACTAAGGACCAATGTTATACCTATATTAAACAGTATTGCCAAAATAGGAAACGAATAATTATTGACCATTTGAGAAGGCTTCAAGGAAAGGGAACGTGTCAGTTTAGACCAGTTAGTGTGCCAGACACAGTCAACAGCTTCTTCTCATCTTACTTACTTGGGAAGGGTGTACTATTCTATCATAATGAGGAGACATTACCCTTAATGTATTATTGCCTTTAAATATGTCTCAAATTCATCTACTTCTCTCCATCTCTTTCTTGCCTTTATGTGGACTCCTCTGTCATTATCTTCTGTTACACCTTAATCTGGATAGTAACCAACAGAGTTTGAATATTTCCTTTGTGAACTCTGCAAGTTTCATCAAAGCAGACACCAACATTCCTTCTTCTCCTCTACCACTATAGTACATATTGTACACTAGTGTATCTTCAGTATTGTGAATAATGGTTTGCATATATTTTTACTGAGTTCTTGGTGTTTAGGCTGTTTGTATCATCTGTTTGATATCAACAGCACCACATCGTAGGTGCAAAATGTATGATTTTTGAATGAATAAATCTCTAATGCTATATACATTTATTTTGTAATACCACTTCTAACTTAGATTTTTATCTTAAGCCTTATCTTTAATTGTGGAGGTTTCAAAACATTTCCAAGCATTGTGTATTTGTTCCTTTCATGTTTAGCACAGTTTTATTACCTTTGAAACCTGTTACATCTTTCCCAACTAGACCATAACTCCATGAAAGCAATGTCCTACCTGTTTTGTTCTCCAGTCCTACAAGTACCTGAGAGAATAGTTGAATAAATGTGTAAAATGAAAATGTTTGTTCACTGATGAGTAAGAGTCATGCTTGACCAGTGGAGCATCTTTCAAGATAACAGATGACACTTGTAGGGAGCCAGGGGTCACCTCCAACCCCCCTTTTAACTCTTAATAGGTTCTTCAGCTGGATGGAGAAACCAGATTGACACCAGGCAGGTTGATAAGAGAAAAGCATACAAATTTTATTAGTTTTACATGCACATGGGGTTCTTCACAAGAGAGGGAAGTCAAAAGAAGTGGCCAAAGCAAGATGCCTTGATACTTTTTAGACATAGAGTGATAGATTTGAGAAGAAATGATAGGACAAAGAAAATCTGGCTACAGTGGTAAAAATTTTCCAGGGGAGTTACTAAGAAATACATGGGAAAGTGTAAAACAGGTGAAGGATGAGGATTACTTCATTAATTATGTTTATTTAGGTCCACTGTAGCCTTCAATTCCAAGTCTCTGGTGATACGGGCTATTTTCTGACCCTGATATGGAGAGAGTACCCCTTCCAGAGGAATCTTTATTGTTTGCTGCAGGTAGAAAGAGATAGGTCAGCTCAGCCTTTCTGAAATTATTTCTCTAATGTTTTTAACTCAGAATAATCAACATACCAAGTAGGCATATTTGGGGATGGCACATTGTTCACTCCTTTACTCTGAAGTTATGTCTTTTCAGGGCTTGCAAAACAATGACAGGACTAAAAAAATGCTGATATTGTAAAAAACTTTTTTTCCCAGACTATAGATTTTGTGTATATAATGAGTTGATAAACTCTGAGAACATCAATTTTTAGTCAGATTTGGTCAAATTCAAATTTACCTTGGTCACTTACTACTTGTGTGATCACAGGAGCAGGACTTCATTCCATTATCTATTAAATGGGGGACAAAGACACCTGCCAGTAGAATTGTCATGGAGATGAAGGATAATGATGGATGCACATGAAGCACAACCCAGTGCCTGGCACTTGAAAGGTGCATAAACGTCATTAGTCTCTTTCTTCCATTTCCCCTCCTGCATTTTTGCTTATAATCCTTGTGTATTTAGTATCCATGTAACATACTATCAGCATGTGAAATAGATAATTTTTAGAGCATTTGAATGATGTTAGTAGAAATCACCCATTTCCTGACAGTTTTTAATCTGCATTCAACTTTTGATTATTTATTTGCAGATTGGTCATGAGAATCATAAAAACTCCTGGCTACCTTTCTTTTGCCACCAAGTAATTATTACCTATTATCATTTTTTAACCATGTGTATAAACCTCACTGTCATGTGCTTTCAAGGATGGAAAACTGTTGTGCTTATAACTCAATTTCAAACAAATGAATAAAATAAATATTTGTTCAAAATCCATGTCAATATTATCAGTTAAAATAATACAGTTTTCCATAATAGTTCCAAAATATCAACTGAACATTTAATATTGAAATTGATAAAATTAAGTCCAGTCCCCTAAATGTGGCAAAATCACAACCCTTCTTAAGACAAATAAAGCAGCTGAACACTGTCTTAGATAAGTTTTATTCAATGTATTAAATTCTATCAGAAATTGAACGCAATTATAAACAACAGTATATGTGTTGTATGTTTACAACACATATACATTGAAACTGATGTTTAGTTTAAGTTTTTTGTTTTTTTTTCACATGTGGTTTTTACTTAATTCAAAATATCTGCCAAGCCTTGGAATGCAAGTTAATTCCAAGCAACAATGAAAATGAAGACAGGGGTTGATCATGAGCATGACCACTAGATGCTGCTAGTTGTCTAGTTTATAAATCTAAGCAGTTGCATTTCTCAAAAGCTTGCTTCTCCCTTTTTTTACCACTGTTTTTCAAACACAATATAGAATTCAATTCTAAGGTTCAGTTAAGTTGGAGCATATAGAAAGTTAACATTTGTAATATTCAAGTTTAAAAAAATTGCTTCTAACTTCACTCAATCTCTTTTTCTTTACATCCTAAAAGGTAGTAACATCCAAGTCTAAAATATAGTTATGTCACAAAAATAACCACATCTCCTTGTAATTACATTATTGTTATAATAAGCTGTCATCAGATTTTTTAACAATGGGCAATTTAACTCTTGTCGTTCATGGACAGTTAATTGCTTTACTTTGATTCTTCTCTGAAAGTGTTTGTAATCAGCTACAGTTTAAAATTGCCTTATCTTCAAGGACATTCATGAAAAAGACTCTGACAGGTACTCTGAAATACAGATTGCTGCTGATAACTTTGTGATCTTATCATTGGACTGGGTAAGAATTTTTAAAACTCTAATGAAAAACCTAATGGCTTCATGCAACAGCTGTAACAAGATCAAGCAAAATAAGAATTGCATGATGTTCATTCTGCTGAGGATAATGTTTTTTGACTTTCTATTCAAAATTTTGGAGGTTCTTAAATGTTTTATTTTCCTGAACTAAGGAAATTTTAAATTTTTTCTTAAGCTATCTATAGCATATTGGTAACATACGCTTTTGTAAACAGAATTAAAATATTTACCTTTTCTCCCTACCTGATTCTTCCAGAATTCACAAAGCTACTTGTTGATTTTCTTATTTCTTGGCAATACAGTGAATTGCAAAAGTTCAATAAGACTCTGTTTTCTTTATAACAGGACAGAATTGGAAATACCGGTTATATTACTAAGACTCTGACTGGGATACTATATTTGAGAAGATACAAAGAACATCTAGCTTCAAAGATTCTCAGCCTCATAGTGGCTCTCACTTCCTGGCAGGCCCAGGAACCTCAGGATATTTTGGAGAGCCCAAGACAAGAGGAATTCACTAAAATCTATAGGTATTGCAGGCAAAGTTTGATGATGAGTCCTTGGCTTGACATTATAGCTTTGAGAGGCTTTTAAAAGACAAATCTGATATTTCTTATAAAAAGATTCAGGAAAGTAAACT
The DNA here is from genome assembly GCF_000001405.40 of Homo sapiens. NCBI lineage: Eukaryota > Metazoa > Chordata > Mammalia > Primates > Hominidae > Homo > Homo sapiens. Next base: position 127,689,132 of record NC_000006.12, on the reverse strand, counting down.
TAAAGGGGCCAACAACAGCCAAGCTGAGAGGTAAATCAGGAAGGCAATCCCATTCACAATTGCCACTAAAAGAATAAAATACCTAGGAATACAGGTAACCAGTAAGGTAAAAGATCTCTACAATGAGAATTACAAAACATGGCTCAAAGAATCAGAAAAGACAAAGAAATAGAAAAGCATCCCATGCTCATGGAGAGGATGAATCAATATTATCAAAATTGCATACTGCTCAAAGCAATTTATATATTCAATGCTATTCCTATCAAACTACCAATGACATTCTTCATAGAACTAGGAAAAACTATTTTAAAATTCATATGGAACCAAAAAAAAAAAAGCCTGAATAGTCAAGGCAATCATAAACAAAAAGAACAAAGCTGGATGCATCATGTTACCTGACTTCAAACCATACTACAGGCTACAGTAACCAAAGCAGCATGGTACTGGTACAAAAACAGGCACACAGACCAGTAGAACAGAATAGAGAGCCCAGAAATCAGGCTGCACACCTACAGCCATCTGATCTTCAACAATGCTAAACAAATAAGCAATGGTAAAAGATTTCCTATTCAGTAAATGGTGCTGGGATAACTGGCTAGCCATGTGCAGAAGATTGAAGCTGTACCCCTTCCTTACACCATATACAAAAATCATATCAAGATGGATTAAAGACTTAAATGTAAAAAGCAAAATTGTAAACTCTTGGAAGACAACCTAGGCAATACCATCCTGGACACAGGAATGGGCAAAGATTTTATGACAAAGACATTGAAAGCAATCTTAACAAAACCAAAAATTGACAAATGGGATCTAATTAAACTTAAGAGCTTCTGCACAACAAAAGAAATTATTAGGAGAGTAAACAGTTAATCTACAAAATGGGATAAAATATTTGCAAACTATGCATCTGACAAAGGTCAGATTTATAAGAAACATAATCAAATTTACAAGAAAAACAAACAATCCCATTAAAAAGTGGGCAAAGGACATGAACAGACACTTCTCAAAATAAGACATACATGTGGCTGACAAGCTTATGAAAAACAGCTCAATATCACTGAGAATTAGAGAAATGCAAATCAAAGCCACAGTGAGATACCATCTCACACCAGTCAGAATGGCTATTGTTAGAAAGTCATAAAATAACAGATGCTGGTGAGGTTGCGGAGAAAAGGAAACACTTAGATACTGATGGTGGGAGTGTAAATTAGCTCAACAATTGTGGAAAGGAGAATGGCGATCCTCCAAAGGGCTAAAAGCAGAACTACCATTAAGCCCAGCAATCCCTTTACTGGGTGTATACCCAGAGGAATATAAATCATTCTACCATAAAGGCACATGCACGTGAATGCTCACTGCAGCACTATTCACAATAGCAAAGACATGGAATCAACCTAAATGTCCATCGATGACACATTGGATAAAGAAAATGTGGTACATATACATCATGGAATACTATACAGCCATGAAAAAGAACAAGATCATGTTTTGAAGGAGCATGGATGGAGCACGAGGCTATTATCTTTAGCAAATTAACACAGGAATAGAATACCAAATAACACATATTCTCACTTATAAGTGAGAGCTGAATGATGAGAACTCATGAATACAAAGAAGGGAAAAACAGAACCTGGGGTCTACTTGAGGGTGGAGGGTGGGAGGAGGGAGAGGAGAAGAAAATGTAACTATTGGGTACTAGGCTTAATACCTGGCTCATGAAATAATCTGTAAAACAAACCGCTGTGACACAAGTTTACTTATATAGCATGTACCCCTAAACCTAAAACAAGTTTAAAAAAAAAAAAAATAAGGATTTGCTTCATAGTTGTATCAGAAGTCTTCAACGTGAAAAAGGGGCCTATATTGTCAATCACTATTTTTGCTGTGCTTACATAATCAGGCAAAGTATGATGAGAGTAAATTTATTTTTATAAACAAATTAGTCTTACTTTGATTAACTCAGGTAGAAATTGGGGTGACTATAGAGATAAAAAGTACGTTTCTAAAAAAACTATAGTATACTTGTTATTGGATTATAGCTCTATTCATTGTTTGTTTATTTGTTTATTTATTTATTTATTTTGAGAAAGAGTCTCACTCTGTCACCCAGGCTGGAGTGCAGTGGTGCGATCTCAGCTCACTGCAACCTCTGCCTCCCAGGCTTAAGCGATTTGCTTACCTCAGCTTCCTGAGTAGCTGGGATTACAGGTGCCCGCCATCACATCTGGCTAATTTTTGTATTTTTAGTAGAGATGGGGTGTTGCCATGTTGGCCAGGCTGGTCTTGAACTCCTGAGCTCAGGTAATCTGCTCATCTCAGACTCCCAAAGTGCTGGGATGACAGGCGTGAGCCACCAAGCCTGGCTGTTTTTGAATTTTTATTATCTACCTGTAGATTGGACTGGATCCTCAAACTTTTCTTGTTCCCTTCAATATCTGGCTTCCACTAGTGACAAGAACAGTTCTGTTCTTGAAGCCCTATAATCTGGAGCCCGACAAGTCAACATCATTTTCTAGGGGCAACTTTGTGCCTTGAGAGTTCACTGAAATGACAAATGCCACAACCAGAGACCTTCATACTGCAAACAGGATGAGAAGTTGACAACTTCAAGTTGTGGACAGCTTTTCCCAAGACATAAGAATAAGATTCATCATCATGAGACTCTTACCCCTCTTAATTATTTTCCTTTCCTATGTTTCCCTCTTTTGCTTGGAAGTATAATACTGTCATTAAAGTCTCACAATTAGTAGCTTCTGTGGGTAACTTGAGGGAGTGTTGAATCTCTCATGCCAAACCCAAATCTTTACATTATGTAAGAGATCCTTTAGTCCACCCATGAGCTCACTTTAGCAACATTCCTAACATAACTGCTCAAATTGCACTACTGCTCCCTTTTATGGGATCAGATTCTAGACCTATTTGTTCTCACTCTGTGTTTTAATTTAACCTAGTCATGGAATACTAAATAATACTTTCCTGAAATTAGCATATTTGCAGCAACCAATTAGAAAGGGCCCATTTGACCTAAGCCAGTGTAATTATGAAGTCCTCTTTGCTTTAACTCTTAAAAGCAACTGAAGTAATCTTATGTTAACCAATCTGTTTTTGTTTTTTATCCCGTTTACTTGTCCCAACCTTATAAAAATCAACAGTGCTGCCATGCCCAGAGCAGCACTTCATCTATTTTATGGAATGAGATGCTATAATGAATGAGAACTCAGGAAGAGAACCCATAAAGTTGTTTATGAACTTCTGGGCTGACTTCAACCTGCATATGCATGAATCTGGTTCTAGTCAGCATACCAAAGAGTTTGGAGAACTGAGCTAATGCATAGGTTATTATATAGGTCCCAGACTGACAACTGAGTAGTGTACACAAGGGACAAATCCAAATAGTACTGAGCCACTGCAAAAACTTTGAAATTGAACTGAAGCAGTAACTATATGCTATAGAAGATGGGTAGAAATTTGCAGCCTGAACTTTTGTTTTAACAAGTAGATTGCCTGCAAAACCAAAAATATCAACATTTTCCATAGGATTTAAGTAAAACCCAGAGTCCTATAACATAATAATCAAAATATCCAGGATACGATAGAAAATATATATGTGAAGAGAGATGAAAATGTCAACTTTGATGGGAAAATACAATCAACAGATGCCTACAATCAGATGATGTAGATGTTGGAATTATCTGACAGGGATATTAAAGCAGCTATTTTTAAATTGCTCAAATGTATAATCATGAACATTTTTAACAAATAAAAATAAAATATATAAATTGAAATTATAAAATGGAGATATATATATATAGTGATAGAAGTAAAATACTTGAAGAATAAACTTAATAGCAGAGAATGGAATTGACTAAAGAAAGAGCAAAGAAATTATCCATATGAAAAATAGAAAGAAAAAACTTGAAAATTCTATACATCTGTTTCAGAAAGCAGAAGACAGGCAAACATTTACCAACCTATTTTATAAGTGTAACATTACCCTGATGCTAAAACCAGACCAAAAAAAAGGCAAACCAACAAACCCACAGACCAATATGCCTCCTGAATTTTGATTTTAAAGATTCTCAATCAGGTATTATCAAATGGAATTCAGCAATATATAAGAGGAAAAATATATCACTACAAAGGGAGGTTTCGTGAGCATACAAAGCTGGTTTGATATTTAAAATTAGTCAATGTAATTCACATTAAAATATACATTCCATAAGATTATATAAATTAATGCAGATTAAGCATGTGATAAAATGCAAACTCTATTTATCACTTAGAAACTTTCAGCAAACTAGGAATAGAAGGAAACTTCATCAACTTGATTAGAAGGCATTATAAAAACCCTACAGTTAACATTATACTTACTGGTGAAAGACTGAATGGTTTCCTTCTGCAATCAGAATACAGTAGTGAAAAGACCTACAGAAAAACAGAAATGAAAGTGCTCCTCCTCACAGACAACCTGATTGTCTACACACAAAATCTCAGTTTTCCATTAAGAAAATGCATATACAAACTATGATAAGTACCACTGCACACCTGTTAGAACGGCTAAAATACTGACAGTATCAAGTGTTGACAAGGATGTGGAAGATCTGGAACTCTCATACATAGCAGCAGGAATGCAAACTGATAGAGCAATTGTTTTGGGTTGAATTGTGTGCACCCCCAAAAAATTTATACTTCGAAATCCTAGCCCCTAATATCTCAGAATGTGACTGTATTTGGAAATGAAGTCGTTACAAATGTAATTAGTTAATATGAGATCATACTGGAGCACAATTTGTCCTTAATCCAATACAGCTAATCTCCTTACAAAGAGGAGAAATGTCCACACAATTCATGTCTTTATAGGTGAGTGAGTTTCTTGTACTAGCCTATAGTTGGGTCTTTTCTTTTAAATCAGTTCAACCACATCATGTCTTTTAATTGGGGACTTCAACTTTGATTTGTTTACTTCAAGGTTATTATTGATGAGTAAGGACTTCCTACTGTCATTTCATCACTTGTTTTCTGGATGTTTTGTAGATCCTTTCTTCCTTTTTTCTTCTCTTACAGTTTTCCTTTGTGGTTAAGTGATTTTCTCTAGTAGTATGCTTTGGTTCTGTGCTATTTATTTTTAGTGTATCATCTATTGTAGATGTTTGCTTTGCTGTTATCATGAGGCTTACAAAAATCATCTTATAGTTAGAACAGGTTATTTTAAGCTGAATGACATCTTTAGTTGCAAGCAAAGAAAAGAAACAAAACCAAACTCTACACTTAACATCATTTCCCCCCCACATTTTCACTTTTTGAGGTCTCAATTAACGTTATTTTATATTTCCTATCTCTTAATCAATTGCAGTTATTATTGTTATTTATTAATAGTTTTGTCTTAGTTTTCATACTAAAGATGTATGTGGTTTACACACCACAATTTCAGTATTAGAATATTTGAATTTGTCCTTATACTTTTACTAGTGAGTTTTATACCTTCAGATGTTTTCTTGTTACATATTAGCACCCTTTTCTTTCAAACTGAGGAACTCCTTTTGACATTTCTTATGAGATAGATCTGGTTTTGATCAATTCCCTCAAATTTGTTTGCCTGAAAAAATCTTTATCTATCCTTTATGTTTGAAGAATAGCTTTGCTGGGCACAGTATTTTAGTTTGCAATATTTTCCTTCAGCACTGTGAATGTATTGTCCCACTCTCTCCTGGCCCTGAGGGTTTATGCTGAGAAATCTGCTGAAAACCCCATGGGGGTCTCTGTTGAATATAATACGTTTCTTTTTTCTTGCCACTTTCAATATTCTTTTTTGTCTCTGATTTTTAATAATTTTATTATGATGTGCCTTGGGGAATTTCTCTTTGGGTTGAGTCTTATTGGTGACTTCGGAGCATCTTGTACCTGGATGCTGTCGTCTTCTTCCAGATTTGAGAATTTTCAGCTGTTTTTTTCTTCTCAAATACGCTTTATAGGCCTTTTTCTTTCTTGTGTCTTTTGGGAACTCCTATTATGCGAAGGTTAGTTTGTTTGACGGTATCCAATAAGTCCCATAAGCCTTCTTCACTTTTTAAAATTCTTTCTTTTTGCTCCTCTAATTAGATAATTTCATATGTTCTGTCTTTGACCTCACTGATTCTTTGTTCTGTTTGATCAAGTCCGTTTTCTGAAGCTTTCTATTAAGTTTTGAGTACAGTTATTGTATTATTTATTTCTGGGATTTATATTTGTTTTTTAAATTGTTTTTATTTCTTTGTCAATTTCTCATTTTCTTGTCTCAATATATCTTGTCACCTTCAATTTTGGGGGATTGGTTGCTGGAGCTTTATTGGTTTCTTTTGGTGGCGTCATTTTTCTGATTTTTCACAATCCTGTGTCCTTACATTGGTATCTGTGCATTTGAGGACATGGCCACCTCTTCAGCTTTCGCAGGTGTTCTTTGAGTGTTAAACCTTTACTACTTAATATCAGAATTTAATTGCTGGCCTGTTGTTGCCCTGTTCTGGGGAGAATGTACAGTTCACACCACAAGTTAATTGCTACACTGCAACTTAAAGCTGCAGTGGTTTCTGGGTCTGAGAAAGACTTAAGCAAGCACCAGAGCTTAATTGTAACATTTTAAATGTTTCTTGGTCAGGAAAAGGCTCCATAGGAGCACCTGAGATAATTGGGGAATCTGGCCAGGGACTTAGGCCTTCCCATGGATAATGCCCTAACAGTGCTATGGCATAACCAATCTCCTCTGCGTGACAGCTCCACTAATTGGAGCACAGAGTAGCCATCATGATCTGTGGGATGGTCACTGTGATCAGCATCCTGTTCCTTGTCTCATGTTTACCCTAAGTGGTTCAGCTCTTCCATGGGACAGGGCCAAAGCGTGCTTTCTGTGAAGACTGCCAGAGCAGCGGGGAGATCAGACTTTCACCTCCAATTCCCTCCTCCCACCTTGGAATTCCTGGGTTCAGAAATTTCTCTGTGAGTGGTATTTTGCTGCTGTGAAGCAGGGAGTGGCAGAGTCTAAAATGACCATTCCTCTTGAGGTCACAGTTTTTCTTGCCTCTGTCGGCCCAGGGGGTTTCTCCTCCAAGTTACGGTGAATCCAGGGTGGCATCCTTGTCTTTTAATAGTTGTTAATTGTACATCTGTGTGTTTGAGTGATCCCAGGATCTTTTGTTCCACTGACTTTCTATTGTCACTTCTTGGTTACTCTTAATGCTCTGCTTTCATGATAAATGCTTTATCAGAATTTAAAAAACCTTTAGTGATTTTTGTAGATAACGTATTCTATCTTCACATACAAGTTTATAAAGAAATTCAACAAAACAGAAACAGGAACTATAAACCAAAAGAAAAAAATTGATAATAAAATATGTATTTTAATGCATAAAATGCTTGGCACAATTTAAAAATGATATTAAGGCAGATAATTGCACTTGTAAGTCAAACCCTGTGACTGAAAATTATAAATAAATTCTAATAAAATTGTGTGTTTTTTACCAATAGAAATAATGTGGACAGCATTGCTTTAGGTGATATTATTTATCAAAATGATGAAAAACAACAGAATTTTAAACAAAATTATACAGAAATTTTCTTTGAAGTAGATGGTAATTATACTTACAGAAAATCAAATAATAAAGTAATCCCTCAATATACTTGGTGAATTGGTTCCAGGACCACCCACATATACCAAACTCCATGCTTACTCAAATCCCACAGTCTGACCTGCTAAATCTGTGTATACAAAAAGCTGATCGTCCATACATGAAGATTTCACATCCTGTGTATAATATATTTTCAGTTACCTTTGGATGAAAAAAATCGGCATATAAGTAAGTCCAGTCCATTCAAACGCATGTTGTTCAAGGGTTAACTGCATATTTAACGTGCAAAAGTACTGTATATACATATACAGGTTTTTAAAAATCTTTACGCATGTCCAGTAGGTATTCTTTTGCAACTCATAGAGAACGTAGAAAAAATATTTTTGTTTTATGGGAGAGGCCTTTGTATTGTATTTATTGCATCATTTCATCCCTCCATATGCCAAATTTCATTAGTACACTTCAGTTATTTGCAATTTTATTTTTGCCTCCTCCAGACCATAAAAATTTATAGACAGTGGAAATATTATAATCTTTTCCTACCCTTTTCTAGCCTCCTGACTGTATTCATGTTCTCCTGTCTGAGGAGCTCATGATTAAGTGAACCTGTTGATTGTTAGGTTGTCTAAGTTATCTAGAACAATTAAGGATTGAACACATTCCTGAACTCTGAATCAAATTTCTGTTTGCATTTTTTGAGCTTTAGAAAAATAATTATAGCAGTCAACCTGGCTCTAGAGAAAGGTACAAATTCATCCTCCCTGGACCTGAACTGTATATTTGTAATTGTATAAGGATGCTCTATTTGCTATTAATAAAATCTTGAGGATAAGATAAATTCTTGAGAGATGAAGAAAAGTGCCATAAAGAATAGGAGTGTAAACTGCTTGTGAAGATAAAGAGCAAATAGAAAAGAGTTTCTTTTAAAAAATTTAGAATAAAATAGACAGATTTTTAGAGAGATTATTTTGAACTCACCATCAGCTGACTGTTATTGTTGAATGTTTTTCATTATTTTTCTAGAGTCCCTTGTATTCATTTTGGAAAACCAGATATTCTCCCAATTTAGACCTTGTTACTATAAATATATATTTTTAAATTTTTTCATTTGCTTATCATGGCTCTGCTTCTATCTTTTTCCCTTGGACAGCTAATATGTTGAAAAAAAATACAGAACAACCTAGGGCAAAACAAAAAATACCCACATCATTATTTTTTATATTTAGATGAAAGAAAGTGAAAGCAAAACAAATAGTTAAAAAAAAAAAAACAGCAAACTACTTAACAGATGATGTACCCCCAAACCAAAACTTCTAATTATTTATATAAAAATCTGGGTCTAATAAAATATTTATCATAAGTAATATTTTGGAAGTATACCTCCAAATCAAAAGGTGTAATTACTTTAAATATGAACCTATTAGGTTACAAACACTAGGATAACATAATTAGCAACAAGAACTCAATTAAACTAGCCAGATCTCAAATCATTATTGAGGCAGACACAGGAGAAAGCAGGTCTGAAGGATAAATGGAATTAGAATGAAGTTTTCTTTCCTTGGTAACAAAGCTCTTGGTAATCTGACTCCCACCTCCTTTCTACAATCAAATTTTATAAATTCTCAGTTGCCCTAAAGGTACTCATCCTTTCCTAGACCTATAAATTTGTTTGTTTATTACTTAGTTGTGAACACTACTAAAAAAAAGTCTGTTTTTTAAAATTGTACTTTAAGTTCTGAGATACATGTGTAGAACATGCGGGTTTGTTACATAGGTATACACGTGCCATGGTGGTTTGCTGCACCCATCAACCTGTCTTCTACATTAGGTATTTTTCCTAAGGTTATCCCTCCCCTAGCCCCCTACCCCTTAACCAACACAAAACTCTCTTTTAAAAACAAATATTTTTAGGAATGTGAAGGGAGGCAAGATGGCCAACTAGATGCAGCCAGTAGGAACATCTTCCACTGAGGGACTGGGACATTGGGAAGACTGGCACACTCCAAGCAAATTTTTGGAGAGAAGGCACTGAGAGTGGTTGGGGAGAGGACACAGATGCTGGACTGAAAGAGAGGAAGTGGGAACCCCGCCCAGGGCTACTGCCTACCAGGGCAGTAGTAATGAAGGTACTCAATGTAAAGAGATAAAGAGAAATCTACCCAGCAAGAAGAAATCAGAAAAAAGCAGGGATTGCTATTTTAATTTCGGACAAAACAGACTTTAAACCAGCAAAGATCAAAAAAGACAAGGAAGGGCATTACATAATGGTAAATGGCTCAATTCAACGAAAACACGAATTATCCTAAATATATATGCCCCCAACACGGGACCACCCAGATTCATAAAGCAAGTTCTTACACACCAATGAAGATACTTAGATAAATACACAATAATAGTGGAAGAATTCAACAACCCATTGACAGTGTTAGACAGATCATTGGGGCAGAAAACTAACAAACATATTTAGGAACTCAACACTTGACCAAATGCACCTAACAGGTATCTATGGAACTCTCCATCTCAAAACAAAAGAGTATACATTCTTCTCATCTGCACATGGATCATACTCTAAAATTGACTACACAATCAAACATAAAACAATCCTCAGCATCAGCAAATTCAAAAAATTAAAATCATACCAACTGCACTCTTGGTCCACAGCACAATAAAATAGAGATCAATAATAAGAAAATTACTCAAAATCATACAGTTACATGGAGACTAAACAACCTGCTCCTGAATGACTTCTGGGTAAATAATGAAATTAAGACAGAAATCAAGAAATATTTTGGAAAAATAAGAAGAAAGATACAACATACAAGAATCTCTGTGACACAGCTAAAGCAGTATTAACAGAGAAATATATAGCACTAAACACCCACATCAAAAGGTTTAAAAGATCTCAAATGAACAACCTAACATTACAACTAGAGGAACTAGAGAAACAAGAGCATAACAACACCAAAGCTAGCAGAAGACAAGAAATAATCAAAGTCAGAGCTTAACTGAAGGACATTGAGAAACAAAAAACTACACAAAAGATCAATAAATCCATGAGTTGGTTTTCTGAAAGAATTAATAACATAGATCAATAGCTAGACTAATAAAGAAAATAAGAGAGAAGATCCAAATAAACGCAATCAGAAATGACAAAGGAGACATTACTACTGACCCCATAGAAATACAAAAATCCCTCAGAGGCAACTAGGAACAACTCTATGCACACAAGCTAGAAAACCTAGAAGAAATGTATACATTCCTGGAAGCATACAACCTCCCAAGATGGAAACAGGAAGAAATTAAATCCCCAAAAAGACCGATAATGATATTGGTATTTTCAGGGATCTGAAATTGAATTAATAATAAATAGCCTGCCAACCAAAAACTAAAAACAAACAAACAAACACCCCAGAACCAGACAGATTCACAGATGAATTATACCAGTTGTACAAAGAAGAGCTGGTATCATTCCTATTGGAACTATTCCAAAAAAATTGAGGCGGAGGAATTTCTCTGTAACTTATTCTATAAAGTTAACATCATCCTGATAGCAAAACCTGACAGAGACACAACAAAAGCAGAAAACTTCAGGCAAATATTCTCGCTGAACATAGATGCAAAAGCTCCAACAAAATACTAGCAAACCAAATCCAGCAGCGTGTAAAAAAATCCACAATGATCAAGTAGGTTTTATCCCTAGGAAACAAGGTTGGTTCAACATACACAAATCAATAAATGTGATTCATCATGTAAATAGAACCAAAACACACACACACACACAAACACATGATTTACTCAAGAAATGCTGAAAAGGTTTTTAATAAAAATCCATATTCCTTCATATTAAAAACCTTCAACAAACTAGGCTTTGAAGGAATATTCTTCAAAATAATAAGAGCCATCTATGATAAACCTATCACCATCATACTGAATGGACAAAAGCTGGCTGCATTCCCCTTGAGAACTAGAACAATACCAGGATGTCCAGTCTCATCACTTCTATTTAACATAGTACTGGAAGTCCTAAACTTCAGCAAAGTTTTGGGATACAAAATAAATGTATAAAAATTAGTAGCAATCCTATACACCAACAATGTCCAAGCTGAGAGCCAAATCAAGATCACAATCCCATTCACAATAGCCATGGAAGGATAAAATACCTAGGAATACTGCTAACCAGGGAAGTGAAAATCTCTAGAATGAGAATTACAAAACACTGCTGAAAGAAATCAAAGATGAAAAAACAAATATAAAAACATTCAAGTCATAGATAGGAAGAATCAATATTATTAAAATGCCCATACTACCCAAAGAAATTTACATATTAAATGCTATTCCTATCAAACTACCAATGACATTCTTCACAAAATTAGAATGAACTATTTAAAAATGATATGGAACTGAAAAAGAGCTCAAATACCCAAGACAATCCTCAGCAAAATGAACAAATCTAGAGGCATTACATTACCTGACTTCAAACTATACTACAAGTTTACAGTAACCAAAACAGCAAGGTACTGGTACAAAAACAGACACACAGACCAATGGAACAAAGTAGAGAGCCCAGAAATATTGTTGCACCCCTACAGTCATCTGATCTTCAACAAAGTAGGCAAAAACAAGCAATTGTAAAAGGACTCACTATTCAATAAATGATGCTGATGATTCAATAAATGAAAACTGGCTAGCCGTATGCAGAAGATTGAAACTGGACCCCTTCCTTACACCATATACAAAAATCAACTCAAGATGAATTTAAAACATAAGTGTGAAACCCAAAACTATAAAAACCCTGGGAAATATCCTAGGATATGCCATTCTGGACAGAAGATCTGGCAAATAGTTCATGATGCCACTGCCAAAAGCAATTGCAACAAAAAAATTGACAAATGGGACTTAATTCAACTGAAGAGTCTCTGCACAGCAAAAGAAACTATCAACAGAGTAAATGTACAAAGTATAGAATGGGAGAAAGTATTTGTGAACTATACATCAAACAAAGTTCTAATATCCAGAATCTATTAGGAACTTAAACAAATTAACAAGCAAAAAAACAAGCAGCCCCATTTAAAAAGACATGAATGGACACTTCTCAAAAGAATACCACACACAGCTAACAAGCATATGAAGAAAGTGTTCAGCATCAAAAATCATTAAAGAAATGCAACTCAAAACCACAGTGTGATACCATCTCACACCAGTCAAAATGGCTATCAACAAAAAGTCAAAAAATGACAGAAGCTGGTGAGGTTGCAGAGAAAATGGAATACTTATACACTGCTGGTGGGAAGGTTAATTACTTCAGTCATTGTGTAAACCAGTGTGGTGATTTCTCAAAGAACTTAAAGTAGAATTACCGTTCAACTCAGCAATCATATTATTGGGTATATACCCAAAGGAGAGAAATCATTCTGCCATAAAGACACATGCACACATGTGTTCATCAAAGCACTATTCACAATAGCAAAGACATGGAACTAACCTAAATGCCTATCAACAATAGACTGCATTAAAAAAATGTGGTCCATTGTCCCATGGAATACTACACAGCCATAACAAAGAACAAGATCATGTCTTTGCAGGAAAATGAATGGAGCTACAGGCCATTATCCTAAGCGAATTAACAAAGGAACAGAAAAGTGAGAACTGCATGTTCTCACTTACAAGTGGGAGCTAAACACTGATTACACATGGGCACAAAGAAGGGAAAAACAGACACTAAGGCCTACTTGAGGTTGGATGAGGGGCGAGGGTGAGAATTGGAAAACTACCTATCAGATACTAAGCTTATTACATGGATGGTGAAATAATCTGCACACCAAACCCCCATGACACAGAGTTTACCAATCACAAACCCACACATGTATTCTTGAACCTAAATGCCAAAAAAATTATAGTTACTTTTATCATGAAGTAAAATTCTTATAAGCTACCTACATACAATTTAAAATAAATTAATAAAATCTTTTAATGGAAACATAGAAAAGAAATCAAAATAATAACAAAATGTAATGTGTATTTTAACATGTTAATGCTGAAGCACAACCACGCAGGACAAGACATGATAAGACATATTTATACCTAATAAGTAAGGTCACATAAATATAACAGCGGCAAATGCAGAATCATACAAGCATACTTTTACTGAAAATCATATACAAAGTATGCTTTTACTGCAGTTAAAAATGCCATCAATGGCTTTTCTACTGGGGATATTATTTTCCAAAATGATAAAAACTCATTATCCAACAAAGTATTGTAATGATCTTCCTTTAAATTACCTCATATTGTTATTTATACAAAATCAAATGAATATCAAAAGTATAAAAGATAATTCTAGTTTAATGGAATTAAGAATAAGACTCAGATAATTACCTATTTGCACCTGCATGAGTGCTTGGGTGAACATGAATATGTGACAATTTTATTTGTGTGACTTATTTGCATATCTCTGGATCTTTCGCCTTAACCCCCACACTAAATATCAGTAGTGTCTCATCCTAGGGAAGAGCAGAACTCTAAGAGAAGATCCCCTTCTCTGCAAGCCTATGTGAGATCTGAATTGGAAAATGCTAATTTACTTTCCTCCCCACTGCTTGTATTATGTTCCCAGACTATCCTGTATTCACCTGCATGGAAGCATTTATCACATAAGCCATGTTCACTTATCATATTTTAGTTTCCTAAACTGGATAGAGCTTTACTTGAAACCAACCCAATACTCCCATAGATTGTTATTTTGGATAAACATAGACATTAACCCTTCTGCTGTTGAAGCTTGAAACCTGTATTTGTTTTATCTGAGTTTCTTCCTCAGGAAAAGACCTTCAGGCTTCTCAAAAAAAGTATTAAAGAATTGAAGCTCACCTAATCACAGCACCAGATGCCTCTTTGCCCCTCCATAGTTCCAGTTTTATTACACAATGTTACATTTCTTCCATGCTATATAAACCTCTTGTTTTAGTTAGTCAGGGAGATGGATTTGAGACTTGAGCTCCTATCTCCTTGGCTGCAGTACCCGATTAAAGAGTTCTTCTTTGGCAATACTTGTCATCTCAGTGATTGGCTTTCTGTGCAGTGAGCAGCAGGACCTAGACCAAACCCCTGGTGTTTTGGTAACACACTTAGTAGGACTACGTATTCTTCATTTTTATATTATCTGACACAGTGTCTACCTATCTTATAATAAGCAATCAATAAATGTTGGCTCAATTATTGAAACAGTATTATTAAACAAATGGAGGCATTTAAAAGGCAATGTAATAGAAGTAAATTTGCCAGTTCCTCAGGCAAGAACTTTTCAGCTAATTCCTCTTGGCCGGAATCTGGTATTCTTTTTGACAAACAGTTTTGTTTTTGTGAACAGTATTGATAGAACTTGAGCAAATGGTTCACATTGACCAAATCAAAAAACAAGCACACATTAAAATGCCACCTAATTTTAAACAGAGAACAGATTATTTATTTACAATAGAGAAGTCAATGTGGATGTATACTCATGTCTTCTGGACAGGGCATTTTGTGCCTGTAGAGAAATCTACTGCAAAAGCCAAATTTCTCTATTAACATAGAATCAGCAAAAGCAAATTGAACTTCGGGCTTGTGTCATGAAACTCAGGTTTGAGTGTTATCGGTTCTTTAAAGATATCTTAATAAGATTATCACATTTCTCTGGCTTATTTGGAATAGGAAACACTGATTTTTAAAAATATTCTATGCATAGTTCCTTTTTTGTTACCACAATCCTTTCAACTATAACGTTTTCTTTTTATTTCTGGAACATGGTATATAATTAATTGTATATTATATAGCGTTGAGGTGGTGAGACTTTCTATTAAGATAATTTTTCTAAATAGAGAATGGGTTGTTTGGGTATGTATGGGTTTTACCATTGAGTCTTAGGATACATTTTGAATCACATTTTTTACTATCAAAGTTGTTTACTAATCACCAAAAATTACTTGATCACTAATAGTATGTGAGGTGCTCTACTAAATGCTTCCATTCTCCTCCAACAGTCTCTTATGTGTTAGAGCCCAGCAATATTGGTGCAGTTTCCTCAAGAAAATTTGAATGATTTTAACACCAGAATGCTTGGTTGGGGAAGACTTTGGCATTTTGGTCGTTTGTAGCCAAGAGAAGACAGAGCTGATATGGTTGTTTGGAAATCCTATTATAACAGAGATAATTAATTTTATATATTATTTTCTCTTTGATGAATAATAGTTCCCAAGAAGCACACTTTTATTGAGTGTGATTTTCCAGGTAAAATTGGTTATAATAGGCATTTTAAAAATTACACTTCTGTGCACTTTTTAATGTTTACTAATTATCTCTGGTCAGATAAGCATTTAGAAAAAATAAGATGGCATCACAAATTTCTCGCCAGTGTCATTTTAATTAATGCCTTTTTATTATAGTTTAAATAAATATATTACACCAGTGAGATTGTAAAACTTGTGTTTCATGTATAAAACTGTTTAAGAGGGAAGGTGGAGCCAAGAGGGTCGAATAGGAACAGCTCCAGTCTAGAGCTCCCAGAGTGAGCGACGCAGAAGATGAGTGATTTCTGCATTTCCAACTGAGCTTTGAAGAGAGTAGTGGTTCTCCCAGCATGCAGCAGCTGGAGATCTGAGAACGGACAGACTGCCTCCTCAAGTAGGTCCCTGACTCCCGAGTAGCCTAACTGGGAGGCACCCCCCAGCAGGGGCAGACTGACACCTCACACGGCTGGGTACTCCTCTGAGACAAAACTTCCAAAGGAAAGATCAGGCAGCAACATTTGCTGCTCACCAGTATCCGCTGTTCTGCAGCCTCCGCTGCTGACACCCAGGAAAACAGGGTCTGGAGTGGACCTCCAGCAGACTCCAACAGACCTGCAGCTGAGGATCCTGACTGTTAGAAGGAAAACTAACAAACAGAAACGACATCCACACCAAAACCCCATCTGTACGTCACCATCATCGAAGACTAAAGGTAGATAAAACCACAAAGATGGGGAAAAAACAGAGCAGAAAAACTGGAAACTCTAAAAATCGGAGCGCCTCTCCTCCTCCAAAGGAACACAGCTCCTCACCAGCAACGGAACAAAGCTGGATGGAGAATGACTTTGACGAGTTGAGAGAAGGCTTCAGACGATCAAACTACTCCGAGCTAAAGGAGGAAGTTCGAACCCATGGCAAAGAAGTTAAAAACCTTGAAAAAAAATTAGACGAATGGCTAACTAGAATAACCAATGCAGAGAAGTCCTTAAAGGACCTGATGGAGCTGAAAACCAAGGCACGAGAACTACGTGACAAATGCACAGCCTCAGTAGCCAATTCGATTAACTGGAAGAAAGGGTATCAGTGACGGAAGATGAAATTAATGAAATGAAGTGAGAAGAAAAGTTTAGAGGAAAAAGAATAAAAAGAAATGAACAAAGCCTCCAAGAAATATGTGACTATGTGAAAAGACCAAATCTACGTCTGATTGGTGTACCTGAAAGTGACGGGGAGAATGGAACCAAGTTGGAAAACACTCTGCACAATATTATCCAGAACTTCGCCAATCTAGCAAGGCAGGCCAACATTCAAATTCAGGAAATACAGAGAACACCACAAAGATACTCCTCGAGAAGAGCAACTCCAAGACACATAATTGTCAGATTCACCAAAGTTGAAAATGAAGGAAAAAATGTTAAGGGCAGCCAGAGAGAAAGATCGGGTTACCCACAAAGGGAAGCCCAACAGACTAACAGCTGATCTCTTGGCAGGAACTCTACAAGCCAGAAGAGAGTGGGGGCCAATATTCAACATTCTTAAAGAAAAGAATTTTCAACACAGAATTTCATATCCAGCCAAACTAAGATTCATAAGTGAAGGAGAAACAAAATCCTTTACAGACAAGCAAATGCTGAGAGATTGTGTCACCACCAGGCCTGCCCTAAAAGAGCTCCTGAAGAAAGCACTAAACATGGAAAGGAACAACAGGTACCAGCCACTGCAAAAACATGCCAAATTGTAAAGACAATCAAGGCTAGGAAGAAACTGCATCAACTAACGAGCAAAATAACCAGCTAACATTATAATGACAGGATTGAATTCATACATAACAATATTAACCTTAAATGTAAATGGGCTAAATGCTCCATTTAAAAGACACAGACTGGCAAATTGGATAAAGAGTCAAGACCCATCAGTGTGCTGTATTCAGGAAACCCATCTCACATTCAGAGACACACATAGGCTCAAAATAAAGGAATGGAGGAAGATCTACCAAGCAAATGGAAAACAAAAAAAGGCAGGCATTGCAATCCTAGTCTCTGATAAAACAGACTTTAAACCAACAAAGATCAAAAGAGACAAAGAAGGCCATTACATAATGGTAAAGAGATCAATTCAACAAGAAGAGCTAACTATCCTAAATGTATATACACCCAATACAGGAGCACCCAGATTCATAAAGCAAGTCCTTAGAGACACACAAAGCGACTTAAACTCCCACACGATAATAATGAGAGACTTTAACACCACACTGTCAACATTAGACAGATCAACGAGACAGAAAGTTAACAAGGATATCCAGGAATTGAACTCAGCTCTGCATCAAGCGGACCTAATAGACATCTACAGAACTCTCCACCCCAAATCAACAGAATATACATTCTCAGCACCATACCGCACTTATTCCAAAATTGACCACATAGTTGAAAGTAAAGCACTCCTCAGCAAATGTAAAAGAACAGAAATTATAACAAACTATCTCTCAGACCACAGTGCAATGAAACTAGAACTCAGGATTAAGAAACTCACTCAAAACCTCTCAACTACATGGAAATTGAACAACCTGCTCCTGAATGACTACTAGGTACATAACGAAATGAAGGCAGAAACAAAGATGTTCTTTGAAACCAACGAGAACAAAGACACAACATACCAGAATTTCTGGGACACATTCAAAGCAGTGTGTAGAGGGAAATTTATAGCACTAAATGCCCACAAGAGAAAGCAGGAAAGATCTAAAATTGACACCCTAACATCACAATTAAAAGAACTAGAGAAGCAAGGGAAAACACATTCAAAAGCTAGCAGAAGGCAAGAAATAACTAAGATCAGAGCAGAACCGAAGGAAATAGAGACACAAAAAACCCTTCAAAAAAATCAATGAATCCAGGAGCTGGTTTTTTGAAAAGATCAACAAAATTGATAGACTGCTAGCAAGACTAATAAAGAAGAAAAGAGAGAAGAATCAAATAGATGCAATAAAAAATGACAAAGGGGATATCACCACCGATCCCACAGAAATACAAACTACCATCAGAGAATACTATAAACACCTCTATGCAAATAAACTAGAAAATCTAGAAGAAATGGATAAACTCCTGGACACACACACCCTCCCAAGACTAAACCAGGAAGAAGTTGAATCTCTGAATGGACCAATAACAGGCTCTGAAATTCAGGCAATAATTAATAGCTTACCAACCAAAAAAAGTCCAGGACCAGATGGATTCACAGCCGAATTCTACCAGAGGTACAAGGAGGAGCTGGTACCATTCCTTCTGAAACTATTCCAATCAATAGAAAAAGAGGGAGTCCTCTCTAACTCATTTTATGAAACCAGCATCATCCTGATACCAAAGCCTGGCAGAGACACAACAAAAAAAGAGAATTTTAGACCAATATCCCTGATGAACATTGATGCAAAAATCCTCAATAAAATACTGGCAAACCGAATCCAGCAGCACATCAAAAAGCTTATCCACCATGATCAAGTGGGCTTCATCCCTGGGATGCAAGGTTGGTTCAACATACGAAAATCAATAAATGTAATCCAGCATATAAACAGAACCAACGACAAAATCCATATGATTATTTCAATAGATGCAGAAAAGGCCTTTGACAAAATTCAACAACACTTCATGCTAAAAACTCTCAATAAATTAGGTATTGATGGGACGTATCTCAAAATAATAAGAGCTAACTATGATAAACCCACAACCAATATCATACTGAATGGGCAAAAACTGGAAGCATTCCCTTTGAAAACTGGTACAAGACAGCGATGCCCTCTCTCACCACTCCTATTCAACATAGTGTTGGAAGTTCTGGCCAGGGCAATCAGGCAGGAGAAGGAAATAAAGGGTACTCAATTAGGAAAAGAGGAAGTCAGATTGTCCCTGTTTGCAGATGACATGATTGTATATCTAGAAAACCCCATTGTCTCAGCCCAAAATCTCCTTAAGCTGATAGGCAACTTCAGCAAAGTCTCAGGATACAAAATCAATGTGCAAAAATCACAAGCATTCTTATACACCAATAACAGACAAACAGAGACAAATCATGAGTGAACTCCCATTCACAGTTGCTTCAAAGAGAATATAATACCTAGGAATCCAACTTACAAAGGACATGAAGGACCTCTTCAAGAAGAACTACAAACCACTGCTCAGTGAAATAAAAGAGGATACAAACAAGTGGAAGAACATTCCATGCTCATGGGTAGGAAGAATCAATATCGTGAAAATGGCCATACTGCCCAAGGTAATTTATAGATTCAAGGCCATCCCCATCAAGCTACCAATGACTTTCTTCACAGAATTGGAAAAAACTACTTTAAAGTTCATATGGAACCAAAAAAGGGCCTGCATTGCCAAGTCAATCCTAAGCCAAAAGAACAAAGCTGGAGGCATCATGCTACCTGACTTCAAATTATACTACAAGGCTACAGTAACCAAAACAGCATGGTACTGGTACCAAAACAGAGTTATAGACCAATGGAACAGAACAGAGCCCTCAGAAATAATACCACATATCTACAACCATCTGATCTTTGACAAACGTGACAACTACAAGAAATGGGGAAAGGATTCCCTATTTAATAAATGGTGCTGGGAAAACTGGCTAGCCATATGTAGAAAGCTGAAACTGGATGCCTTCCTTACACCTTATACAAAAATTAATTCAAGATGGATTAAAGACTTAAATGTTAGACCTGAAACCATAAAAACCCTAGAAGAAAACCTATGCAACACCATTGAGGACATAGGCATGGACAAGGACTTCATGTCTAAAACACCAAAAGCAATGGCAACAAAAGCCAAAATTGACAAATGGGATCTAATTAAACTAAAGAGCTTCTGCACAGCAAAAGAAACTACCATCAGTGTGAACAGGCAGCCTACAGAATGGGAGAAGATTTTTGCAATCTACTCATCTGACAAAGGGCTAATATCCAGAATCTACAATGAACTCAAATTTACAAGAAAAAAACAAACAACCCCATCAAAAAGTGGGCGAAGGATATGAACAGACACTTCTCAAAAGAAGACATTTATGCAGCCAAAAGACGCATGAAAAAATGCCCATCATCACTGGCCATCAGAGAAATGCAAATCAAAACCACAATGAGATACCATCTCACACCAGCTAGAATGGCGATCATTAAAAAGTCAGGAAACAACAGGTGCTGGAGAGGATGTGGAGAAATAGGAACACTTTTACACTGTTGTTGGGACTGCAAACTAGTTCAACCATTGTGGAAGTCAGTGTGGGGATTCCTCAGGGATCTAGAACTAGAAATACCATTTGACCCAGCCATCCCATTACTGGGTATATACCCAAAGGATTATAAATCATGCTGCTATAAGGACACATGCATACCTATGTTTATTGTGGCACTATTCACAATAGCAAAGACTTGGAACCAACCCAAATGTCCATCAATGATAAACTGGATTAAGAAAATGTGACACATATACACCATGGAATACTATGCAGCCATAAAAAAGGATGAGTTCATGTCCTTTGTAGGGACATGGATGAAGCTGGAAACCATCATTCTCAGCAAACTATCACAAGGACAAAAAACCAAACACCGCATGTTCTCACTCATAGGTGGGAATTGAACAATGAGAACACATGGACACAGGAAGGGGAACATCACACACCGGGGCCTGTTGTGGGGTGGGGGGAGGGGGGAGGGATAGCATTAGATGATATACCTAATGTTAAATGATGAGTTAATGGGTGCAGCACACCAGCATGGCACATGTATACATATGTAACTAACATGCATGTTGTGCACATGTACCTTAAAACTTAAAGTATAATAAAAAAAAATTTTTCCATAAAAAAAAGGAATCCAAATAAGACATGAGGCAAAAGAATTCAAAAGCCACATTGTATCCTAGGCTGAAATTCACTAACCTATTATATCTAGTATCTCATTTCCAGCTTTATTGGCCAATATAGCTCACCAAAGACTATATAAAAAAAAATCAAAGGGAAGAATAAAATAGAATCCCCAGTTGTAAATAACGGTGTTATTTCAAAACTCACCTAGTATTACTCCAGAAGCTTTCTACTTACCTATGCAGAATTCCCTTGCCATTCTTTAACTCTTTTCTGGCAAGCATTTAGTATTCAGGAATGAGAGACCTTTCATTAAAGAGGCTCTATCTGAAGCTCTAGGAGTGTGCCTATCAACAATTTAAATGACTAAAAGTTTCAACTGGTAGTCAATCTAGTTTGCCTGTGAACTCTTATCTCCTTTCTTAGATTTTTGGACTGTGGTAACATCTCTGAACTTGTAATTACTAAAGTAGTTAAATTATTTGATCCATGTTTAATATGATATGAGATTTCATATCATCCACTTACTCTCTATCTAGAATGCACTTTATGAGCACACGTCCTCTTTTAGGCAGGCGTCAGAATATTAACTTCGCCTTAGATATTCTTTTTCTTAAGGTCAGAAGTGATCTGATAAAGAAAACTTTAGGAAAAATATGTCTTCCTTGCTCTCCATGTAGGAGTTACTGACTTCTCTTTCTCTGAAGAATTCAGACTAACACAGATGTAAAGCCTGAATTTTCAGCCAGGCTTTGTGAATAGACCTTCTGGAAGGGCTACAGTGAATGGCTCAAGAGCTTCTTTCCAGGTTTAGTAGGCTAAGAGGCTGTGTCATTTAATTGTAGGAGGGAATAAAGGGAAAAAGTAGAAAAGAAAGGTAATAAAAAAGATGAAAAGATAAACTTGAAAGGGAGAAATTAATATTAATAGTGTTACTCTGTAGGCCATAGACAGCAGCTCTAAAATTATTAGTTGTAATAGGTTATAAACTGGAAAATAAACACTTAATAAATTTTAAAAGTGATCTCATGCTCCAATTAGAGAAATTGACATCAGTCTTGCATAATACAATTTGATAATGTAGTTAATCATGAGCCAAACCTTTTGAAGACTAATCAATTTAAGCTACGATCTTCATTTCCAAAGATAAAAGATGACAGAATAGAAGGTTACCATACTTACAAAGATTCCTTGGTGAAAATTGTAAATACACTTTATTAATAAATGAAAAAGTTATTTTCTGAAATACTGTAGAAATCATTCAAATCCAAATTCAACAACTGAAGCTGACAGAGAGAAGTGCACAATTAATCTCATACTTGAGATACATTGTCTTACATGTCACTGAACCTTGACATTCCAGCATCAATGTTTGCTCCATGTTCTTTCTATAGTAAAGGTGTGCATCCTCATCTGCTTGTACACAGACATGCCTATAATATTGACAACTTTTTAATTACAAATACCTAAGTATAACTAATATGATGTTGAGAATCGATGTCAAAATAAAATTACAATACATGTAGTTGCTAATCTTATCCATTCCTTAGATTATTGTGTATAATTATTTTGGTTGCCTGTCCAAAAATAAGTTTATTCTTAAAACCTTTGTTTTGACACTTGACAAGGAATTTTTCTTCACACATTCACATTACAAATTAATCAGGCTTGAGTGAAAGAACTTGCAATTATGAGGACAGATATGATTTGTTTCTCATCTCAACATTCATAATAAGTAGTTAACTGTACAAGTTAATCATTGGTCAGAATCATTGAAGGGTACCCGGTACAAATATTGCTGGAAATTAAGGGACCTAAATTATAGCTTACAGTCACAGATATTGAAAATATACAAATGCCATAGACAGAAGCTCTAAGTGGGTTTTTAAATATTCAATAGAGTGGAATTCATGTTTTAGTGCATTCCAGTCATCTAAAATAATCACAGTGCTCTACCTGAAAACACTTTTTGGACATATTCATAGTTTGCTGGAGGGATGCATAGCTTTCCTCTATAGATTAATAGAAGACAAGTCTATACTCTGAAGGTGGTAAATTATCTCAGCAGGAAATTCCTGAAAAATACAGAATCAAGTACATCAAAGCATTATATAAAAACTAAAACTTAGAAGTGGGCTATCAAAGATGATTTTTTCACTATTTAAATTAAAGGATTGGGTAAAATGAAGAATTCTGCAAGTACAATTAATTTATTCCTCAAGCAAGTGAATGGAATACATTAAATGTGGGAAAGTACAGTAAATCTGGGAGAGCCAGAAATTGTTCTAAATCAAGGCTCTAGTTTGGATGCAGATACACACACATGATTCAAAGTTTGATATCAGAAGTATACAAACCTATCTACTTGCAGATCAAATATTAATCATGTACTAGATCTTTTTCCCATTCAGACAGGAAATTCAGAAGATGATTCTCACAGGTGGAGAAGTTTATCTAACAATTAAGTCATCCTGTAATCAATAGTCAATAAATGTCCCTCAGGTTTCTGATATTGGTATATCTGAAGAGCTGAACTAATTTTGTACTATCTTGCTCTGCGTTATCAGATTCTTTGAAGATTCTGACTTCCTTTCCAAACAGTTTACATAATATTTCCAAGATTTGTAACTTACTGTATACACTTTATCGTATTTCAGCTGACCACTGTCCTTTGAACTACATGCTTATTTTTGGTCTAAAACTCTTTAGTTGGGTCTTTTTCTATGTATCTATATTGTCCTATCATTTCTGGTTCCTCCTAGGCATTGATTATTCTCGGATCTACCTGTTTCTCCTTCTTCTGTAGATAATGTTGGCTGTCAAGGTTGTAATTCTATACCTTCTGTCAATTATTCTTTGCCTCCTGTGCTCCTAGGTCAATTGTCAGAAAAGGGTTGTGATGATCAATCCTGCCATCAAGGAGAAGCTGAAATATCCATCGATACAAAGTGTTAGGTCAAGGACACACAGGATAGATAAGACTTTAAAGGAATGCTCATCCATCATTCATAAAGCTGGTAAAGCACTAGGAAAGTCAAAGCAATGAAATGTCAGAGCGCGTTGCTAAGGAATGCAAACCTAACTCATGGATGTCAATTGGCTTCAGCCAGGAAATTCCCAGTACACATCTACTTGAAGCAAGATACTCTTTCAGGCCTCTGGCAAGTGAAAATATTAATCACTATAAATTTAGGCTCTCTGGGCTCTACTCATTCTTTAATTTAATATGAAGGCCATCAAACTAAGTAAATAGTTGTGGTAAATTCGGACAAGTATGATCAAACGACTGAATGGGAAAAATTGTTTTTTGACTGGGCAATTAATTCAAGATACATAAAGAGTTTGCGAGTGTAGTTCGTGAGTGCATTAAAAGACCTATTGCTTGAACAAAGAGGACATTGACCACAAAAGCAGCTGCCCTCCCCTGCTTACCGGGGTCCCTGTACCTTGAATAACCATCCTTTTGCATTCTCCACAGTAACTACTCCAGTCTTTCTTCAATCTCAATCACTCGTGTTTGTCTAACATTTGTCAGATGCCTTCAATTCCAACTACCTGGAGACACACAGAGTATCAGAAGGAAATACCCTCCTTTGGTCCCCATCCACCACTGAGGCACAAGAGAGCACCTCTGCCTTCTTCCTCCTGGAGGAAGAGATGTAGCTCGTTACCTCAGGGCTTTTGATCACAGACTGGTGCATCGTCAGTCTCTCTTTTTCTCCTGCCTGTTTCCTTTAAGCCTACAAACATGCCCAGATTTTTACAACTCAATATAAACAGTCTAGGTTAATTGTGACTAATTTATGATCACATTATCATTCTAGAATATGGTGAGGTACATAATGAAAGCATTGCCATCCACATCAAGTATCTAAAATCAAAACCAGGTTTTACCACTCACTGGTTGTTTGGCTTTGATCAATATACCCCCAATAAGCTTCAATTTCACTACCTATATAAACAAGGGCAATAATTATCCATTTCATAAAGTAGATTTATTACTTGTAAAGCATCTAATATTGTGTCCCAAACATGCAAACACACACCATCCTCCTTAACCCAAATAACATTCAACTTGAAACGAAAACAGAATTGTGGCTACATTAAAAATCATAACATAGTATGCATTCTCTCTCTCTCTCTTTCTCTCTCTCTCTCTCTCTGTGTGTGTGTGTGTGTGTGTGTGTGTGTCTTTTTCTTTGAAGAAAAATGAAACATGATGAAGTTAAGTGACTTGACCTGTTTATCAATTAGGAATAGGTTCACCAGCTAAAAGGAGCTTGAAAAATATTGTTTTAAACAAAATAGAATCTTCTATTACTAAAATAAATTCCCAAGTAGGCAGTCCATAGCTTTAGAAATTTCTTGGGCTCAGGTTACTTCTATTTTGCTGCTCTGATACATTTGTTTTTGCCAACTCATGATCCAAGATAGGACCAGTTGGCTTTCCCCATACAATGTTTTCTTTCCAATGAACAAGGAGAAAGAAGGAGCAAAGAAGAGCCAAGAATTCCCTCCAAGGAGGTTTCAGAAGCTTCCACCCAAGACTTATGCTTACATTTTATTGGACAGCATTTAGATCATAACCTTGGTTACCTGCAAACTAGACTTAATAATATAATCTTTATTCCAGGCTTTCATATGCATGTTAAAAATTCAGAATGAGACTACCAAGAAAGAAGGGGATGGCAGAGATTAGGATAAGTAGGTAGAAATCTGTACTACAGTCAGTATGACACGTGAATTATTTTAAATTATTCTTTTAAAGATTGCTTTGGAAGTTCTAATTTATTTCTTTATGACCCTAAGTAACTACTTAGAAATACATGCAGTGTTAATGTTTTGAGTTTTGACATTTGTGATATCTTAATTATTTTAGTTTACTTTTAAACTGTTATGTTTCCATTTTTTATAGAGATTCCAAAGAAAACTGAGAAGAAATAGCCCTACATATTACACTAAATGTTCATATGTATTTGGGTTTTTCCCCTGGATGTTTTCTTCTATTTTACTACTTGTATTCTTTCCTAATACCACATCACTGTAAATAGTGAGGCTTTATAATACGCTTTAAAATAGGTTAGATCAGCACTCTCATTTCCTTCATCTTTGGAGTTTTTCTGACTATTCTTCCTCACTTATTTTTCCAGACAAAATGTAAAATCTGCTTGAAAAAAAATAGTGCTCTAAAAAATCCCATTGGTATACTTATGGAGATTATATTACATTTTACTTACTCCTGGGAGTGGTAATATTTTGATGATGTCTCCCTATCCAAAAGCTTGCTGTAATTTTCAATTCATTTTTATATTCTGCTTAGGTTTATTCCTCAATATTTTAACTTTTATGTTAGTATTATAAGCATAATTCTATTCTATCTTAATATTTCCTAATAGGTCATTAATGTTATGTAGGGGAAGTGTTCATTTCTCCGTATTGATTTAGTCTAAATAATTTACCTGTATTTTCTTTGTTGGTGTGATAGTTTTAATTTGTTTTTCTTGGATATCCCAGGCATACAACCATATCAGTTATTAATAATGATAATCTAACCTCTTCCTTCCAGTTTTATTCCAATGTTTTATCTCATGTAATTTAACTGGTTAGTATCGCTAAATCAATGCTAAACTAAAGAACAGATAACTCTTCATATAATTCTGATTTAAATATACTTCTAAATTAACAGAAAATTTATTCTCTTGGTTCAAAGTATAACAGCATTATCTAACCTTTTCTTTTAGATTGAGATATCTGAGAAATTGAATTCATATATAGGAGGTTGTTGGGTAAACACTGTGACACACTCAAAACATTAGAATTCCCTTGACAGATATTTCATGTGGAACATGTCACAAGCTCAGCAGTTTTGCTAGTCACCTATGAAACATAGATTTTTTTAGTAAGGATATTAGTGCTTTCAGGATATATTACACATTAGTGAGGAAACTGGTTTAGTTGTTTGTAAGAGGGATTCAAAATAACAATGTTCTAAATAAGATAGAAGATTTTTTCTCCCTCAGATAAAACTCATATGTAGAAAATCAGCCATCACTCTTGGCTCCATAACCTTCTGGGAGCCATGCAACCTCCAGCTGTCCTCTCTGCCAGTCCCAAAATGATGGCCTTTTCATTAGGGTAAAGAGAGAGTTTCAGTCATCACACCCACAGTCTAAGTAAGACATCACTCTGATAGGCTGCCTTTGTCCAGTATAAGTAGGAACCAATCATTGTTTTAATATTACTTATATTCCTAAAGAATCTTCTGTCACTACACCAATTGTCTCATTTTCTTTTTCTTTGTATCAGAACTGTTTTATTTATTTTTTTATTATACTTTAATTTCTAGGGTACATGTGCACAATGTGCAGGCTTGTTACATAGGTATACATGTGCCATGTTGGTTTGCTGCACCCATCAACTCGTCATTTACATTAGGTATTTCTCCTATGCTATCCCTGCCTCATACCCCCCACGCCCCGACAGGTCCTGGTGTGTGATGTTCCCCGCCCTGTGTCCGTGCATTCTCATTGTTCAACTCTTGCCTATGAGGGAGAACGTCCAGTGTTTGGTTTTCTGTCTTCGGGATAGATTGCTCAGAATGATGGTTTCCAGCTTCATCCACGTCCCTGCAAAGGACATGAACTTATCCTTCTTTATGGCCGCATAGTATTCCATGGTGTATATGTGCCACATTTTCCTAATTGATGAACACTTGGGTTGGTTCCAAGTCTTTGCTAATGTGAATTGTGCTGCAATAAACATACATGTGCATGTGTCTTTATAGTAGCATTATTTATAATCCTTTGGGTATATACTGAGTAATGGGATCACTGGGTCACAAGACAGACCTATTAAAACATTCCAGGGACATAAGAATGAAGTAAATGCTATCAAATGGGACCCAACTGGCAATCTCCTGGCCTCTTGTTCTGATGACATGACTTTAAAGATATGGAGTATGAAACAAGACAATTGTGTCCATGATTTGCAAGCACATAATAAAGAAATTTATCCTATCAAATGGAGTCCAACAGGACTTCATCCACATCCCTGCAAAGGACATGAATTTATCCTTGTCCTGCTTTATTAGGAGGGATTTCAATATCTCCATCCACTTCCATCGTATCAGTATGATTATTTGCTATAATATGTGCTCCATTCTCCTCCCCATTTGCTGTGTTTTCTGCATTTTTTTTTTTTTTTTTTTTTTTTTTTTTTTTTGCAGATCCTTGTTGGTTGGCTGTGGCAGCTGCTGCCTGTTGCTGTTTAAGCTTATCGCTATAAGCTTGTTGTCTTGTTTGTACTACATCAGGCATTAAGGCGTCTATCAGGGACAGACTCATTGGTCGACCATCAAAGAAAGTACCATCCTCATTAATACTAACTTCTGCTTCTACATACTGTAGACCTTTCTGGATGATAGAAATCAATGCAGCAGGTGGGACGAGGGCACCATTTATATTGGACTGACTGATACGGCTTTCTATACCGAAGGTAAATGCTGAATGAGAAGCCTGTGTACAGTGTAGCTTTCAGTCCTGATGGCCGGTATCTGGCCAGCAATTCTTTTGACAAATGTGTACACATCTGGAACACACAGACAGGTGCTCTAGTTCACACTGTAGGGGAACAGATGGAATTTTTGAAGTTTGCTGGAATGCCGCAGGAGACAAAGTTGGAGCCAGTGCATCAGATGGTTCAGTTTGTGTATTAGACTTTCGGAAATAGCGCTACTAGTTGGAAGCCATGGACCAACTATGAATGTGTACATAGCCAAAATGACTGTCCCTGACCCACGTACTGCTATAGTCCCACTTGAACCATGGCCAGTCGACTACAGCCAAATCTAAAAGAAATATAGGCTGGGCGCAGAGGCTCATGCTTGTAATCCCAGCACTTTGGGAGACAGAGGCAGACGGATCAAGGGTCAGGAGTTCGAGACAAGCCTGGCCAATATGGTGAAACCCTGTCTCTTCTAAAAATACAAAAATTAGCCGGGCATGGTGGTGCGTGCCTGTAGTCCCAGCTACTCGGGAGGCTGAGACAGGAGAATCGCTTGAACCTGGGAGGCGGAGGTTGCAGTGAGCAGAGATTGTGCCACTGCACTCCAGACTAGGCAACAGAGCGAGACTCCTTCTCAAAAAAAAAAAAGAAAAGAAAAGAAAAACAGAAAGAAATATATACATACAATGTATATAAACAAAATTGCACCCTGAAGATGACAGTTTTGTCACAGCTTGTGAATTCTGTTCACCAAGTGCTGGAATCTAATCTACTGTGCCCCTAAAATAGCATTTAGAAGTTTTGGATATGAAAAACAGAAGAGAGAAAAATACACATTATAAAAGCAGAACATACATGTACCAGTTTTTGGATACCACCTGACAGCCTCGTTTCTCCCCTTTGAATCCGCAGACACCAAGGATTATATTCTTTTTTCCCTTCAGTAGTGAGCAGTTTGTATGTACAGAGAAAATGGACACAAAAACTTGCAGTGGTAGTTTGTTCTTGCTTTAAAATTTTGTTTTTGGTTTAGATTATGGGTGCATGAAGTAAGGGAATGAATCAGTTTCTTGTTTATATTTTTTCAGCTTTTAAACAACAAAAAATTCTTTAAAATATTTTAATGCATTCTTTTGAAGAGGTAGATGTTTGGTACATTTTATGGCTCCCAGAGCACATATTCAATTGGTGCATGTTGTGGAAGGGAGAATTGGAAATTAAATGAAAACATGACTTTGGTCATGTCAGTCTGTAAGACACATCCATAAAAGGTGTATTATGTTCTGTTGGTTTTGGTTCTTTGTTTGTTTGTTTTTTCTTTTTAGGCGATGTGGCATAAATGCAATAGTTTCTTTTGGGGGACATATTTCTACCAATTAAAGACTAGAAGGGCACAAAATGTTGTTGTTGTTGTTTTAATTACCATAGAGAAAATACCTTTTTAAAAAATTGGCTGGATGCAGTGGCTCACACCTATAATCCCAGCACTTTGGGAGGCCAAGGCGGGTGAATCACCTGAGGTCAGGAGTTCTTGACCAGCCTGGCCAAGATGGTGAAACACCATCTCTACCAAAAATACAAAAATTAGCCAGGCGCAGTGGCGGGCGCCTGTAATCCCAGCTACTCAGGAGGCTGAGGCAGGAGAATCGCTTGAACCCGGGAGGCGGAGGTTGCAGTGAGCAGAGATCGCGCCACTGCACTCCAGCCTGGGTGACAGAGCGAGACGCCAACTCAAAAAAAAAAAAAAAAAAAAAAAAAAAAAAAAAAAAACCACTTCTGATGTTTTGTAGCCATAAATAAATTATGGTAAAAATGTGCACTATTGTGAAAAGGAGCAAAGTAGTTTTGGGTTTTTTGTTGTTTGTTTGTTTGTTTGTTTGTTTTGCTTTTTTTTTGAGAGATTGAAATGTTTCTGGGTAAGGATTCGCTTCTCGAATTGTCTATCATTCTGTGTAGAAGCTTAAATATGTAATGTAACCAAACTCCACTATTAGAAATCTCTCATGTTGTTTTCTTTATACAAAGCAAGATAACGGCATATAACACTTCCATTACATGGCAAAATGTTTGCTACCTTAGTTTAAAAAACAATCTCTAAAACAAAAGACTTGCTTCAAGGTGTTTTTAAATAGCAGTGATTGCGATTTTTTTTTTTATGAAAGTATAATTGCACTAACCTTCTGCCTGCTGCTCTGATTCTGCACTTGTGATACTTGTGACTACATTTTTTCAAATATAGATAGATTTAAGCAGCTAATTTTTGTTTCAGTATCACTACTTTATCATGTCTTTTACTCTGTTTATAATATCAAGTATTTTCTTAAAGACATAGACATTAAATTAAACCTCTTGTTCTCATGCAACTAAGAGTAACATATACAGACAAACGATTGCATGAGGCCATGTTTATAAGTGTGACTAATAAGGCTTGTCATGATTAGTATAATCCAGGTATGTCATCTCTAAAGAGAAAGGTCATCAAATTTATATCTCAAAGATTTTAATCAAGGAATTCCTTATTGTTGAGCTTGGCAAATTAATAACACTATTTCTGTCATGAATTATTTTGAGGCCTTTTAGTACTAAAGTTTAAGTAGAAACTGGCTTAACCCAAGGAATGCAACTTTGATTTTCAGCAATTGTTGCTTTGCTATTTTTACAAAACAGCATTGATTGAAGCAACTCTTGGTTTTACCAAGGTAGGGTAGCATTTGCTATTGGTAGAGATTATAAATACACTTAATTTCACAATACATTGTTATATGTATCCCAGTTGTTGTTAGTGGGGACTATGATACCGTAATAATATTTTTAAAAATTTACATACAGGCCTGGCGCGGTGGCTCATGCCTGTAATCCCAGCACTTTGGGAGGCCAAGGTGGGCAGATCACGAGGTCAGGTGTTGGAGACCAGCCTGGCCAACATAGTGAAACCCCGTCTCTACTAAAAATACAAAAATTAGCCGGGTGAGGTGGCATGCGCCTGTAGTCCCAGCTACTCAGGAAGCTGAGGCAGGAGAATCGCTTGAACCCAGGAGGCGGAGGTTGCAGTGAGCCGAGACCACACCATTGCACTCCAGCCTGGATGACAGAGTGAGACTCCATCTCAAAAAAAAAAAAAAATTTGCATCAGTAGAGGCAGTCATTCACGATGGTTTTGTGCCAGCTCTTTTTAGGGTTTTGAATCACATTAGAGATATTTAGAACTTCTTAACCTGTGACTTCTGTAGGAAACCTAATATGCTGAATATCTGGCACTTGAATTCCTGCTTTTATTGCTAGAGGTCCACATCTGTGGTTGATCTCTGTTATTGTTTAAAAATTAAAATTAAAATTAAAAAAAATCTGTGCAAGAATTTTGAAATGTGGTCCCAGCAATAGACCCAAATGTTTTGAGTATCTTTTAAGTTGCATTTTCCTTTAGCAATGCATTTGTCAATTGCACTGAATTTAAACCTGAAAGTCAGAGGTGATTATTGACAGTACTTTTGTATTTTTATATGGACAATTTATTCGTTTGCATTCAGTTATTGACTTTTCCCCAGCTGATCAAAAGATAGTCAAGAAATTCTGCAATATAGCTGCCAAAAGAGACAGCTACATTTTTATTATATTGTCATCTTTTTTTTTTTTCCTGTAGCTATTTTACTTAAGCATAGTAGCCACAATAGGACATACAAAAGGACATATAAAAGACTATAAATACAGAGCTTTATCATCCTGACGTCTTGGGTCTTTTAAGTATACGCTTTTCTGAAAGGCATCCATCTGGTAGGCTTGGGTTCTTCATGAGCATACGATTGTTTATTTTTGCTGCTGTTCTCAACCTCATCATTGCCTGTTGATGTGCCAAGATGCTGCTCCAATAGATAGAAATAAGATTGTCTCTAATTTGAGCAGTAACACGATTGCAAGAGATGAAGTTTCACACCTTGTAAATTTCTGTATTTGGGATTCTCGCTCATTTTTCCACCTGTGTTTTTCTGAGAACTTATTTCTGATGATCAATTGAATCCAGTAGTTTTTGTTTGCTATTCATTGTTGTATAAGCTACTGTAAGAAACTTACAAGGAAAAATAGAAGGGAAAACTTGAATGAATACTAATTGATTAAAATGAAATAAAGAAAGAGTAGCTGCTACTTTTAAACAACATAAAGGAATATCTTTTTTCGCCTTCATGTAGGAAATCCCATAAGTTCTTATATTTGTTCCAATCCCTATTTCCTGCCATTGACCAGGTAACATCATTGACTTTCAAAAGACTTTTAAACTGGTAACTCTTAACTTCCTAATAGATATTAGAGTGTATTGAATTGTTTTAATTATTCTCTAGGTAAGTATGTTTTAGGATTAAATACCTTTTACAGATACTGAAAGTGACTCCTCTTGTGGTGTAAAAAACAAATTATGGTGCAAAAAGTAATCACTAGATTGAATTACCTGAAGGTATTTTTGCTTTTTGACATATGAAAATGTCAAGAGAAAGGCCAAAGATCTGTAGTTTTTCACTTATAAAACACTCCTTTTTTCCTTAAACTTCTTTCTGTCAAATTAGATTTAATGAGAGAGTACTCTTTTTAAGGAGCTATCAGTTTATGTAGAATGATTTTGTTAAGAGTAATGTAAACTATTATTGAGTAGAGGCCTAAAGGGCACTGTGCATTTTTGCTATTTAAAGGAATCACAAATGACCATAATTAAGTGAGCAAAAATGACAAGTTTTACTAGATAAGTAGACAAATAAATCTCAAATGCAGTGCTACAATTTTCATTATCTTCAGCACATTGTACATTTCTACAGAACCTGTTATTATTCTCACATGCTAAGGATGGTACTTGCATATGGTGAATTACTGTTGACAGTTTCCGCAGAAATCCTATTTCAGTGGACCAACATTGTGGCATGGCAGCAAATGCCAACATTTTGTGGCATAGCAGCAAATCTACAAGACACCCTGGTTAGTTTTTTGTTTTGTTTTCTTTGTTTTTTCCCCCTTCTCCTGAATCAGCAGGGATGGAAGGAGGGTAGGCAAGTTATGAATTACTGCTTCTAGTAGTAGCTCTGAAGTGTCACATTTAATATCAATTTTTTAAAACATGATTCTAGTTAAATGTAGAAGAGAGAAAAAAGAGAAAGTGTTCACTTTTTGAATACACTGATTTAGAAATGTGATGTCTTATATCAGTAGTTCTGAGGTATTGATAGCTTTCTTTATTTCTGCCTTTACGTTAACAGTGTTGAAGCAGGGTAAATAACTAGGGCATTTTTTTTTTCTAGTGAGCTGTTTCGTGATGTTTTCTTTAGAATTTCTGGGTAAGTTCAGGAAAATATTCTGCATGTTGTATCTAGTCTGATGTACTTATCCATCTCATTACAAACAAAAACACGCAGACTGCATTTCGTACCACTGTAATCCTTGAATACAGAAGTAAATTTTCTTCTTTCCTGACTTTGACATTGTAGCTATACTGTTTTCATTTTTATTTTTACAAATCTTTGAGTCTAATTCTTTGAGCCTACCTATAGCACTGGATTAAAATGTCTGCATCATTTCTTTAGTTATCCTGTTAACTTTAAAACTGTTGCAAAAGTTTAAACCAGCCCATGACAGTTTTTTGTACATGTTAAAGAAATTCATTGATCAGTTTTCGTGATTATTGTATAAGGAAGACTGATATAGATGTTCTATGCTGTCCTGGACCATGTTAATTATGCTTATGATGTATTTTGGTTCCACATCACAATGATTTGTCCCCAGGGACCCTTTTATCCTTTCTAGGTACATTTTCGTTGTTGTTGTTGTGTTGTTGCAGTTTCCCTTTGAGAAAGAAAATCTTAAAAATCAACTGAAACAGAAAAGACACAATTTTAAAAACAGGCAAAAGACATGAAAAGGAAATTTGTAAAATAGATATTCAAATGCTACTTTAACATGAAAAAATGCTCAACTTTATTGTTTTACAATATGTGACAATTCATACAGTCTATCGTCAACCAGGGAAGCACACTCAAGCCCAGTGTGTCCAGAGTTTCTATTGGAGGTAAGTCAAATAGGTATGATTGACTTCCTGGGTACTTGACCTGAACCTCCAGCCCCTGCACAGGTCTGGCTGGTACTGCATGAACCAAGGCCCACTCCATAAATTATATTGTTCACACAGACTGTATGGGGTGCCCAAGGCCCCAAGTAAACAAAGACACTCTTATCAGGCACAATATTCCAAGAGCTTAGATGTTGCCTCTTAATAGCCAGGTATAAATAAAAATAAAATTTCAACACCCTCTAATTTTTTTTTACTTTTAATTTCAGGGGTACATAGGTAGGATGCACAGGTTCGTTACATAGGTAAACATGTGTCATGGAGTTTGTTGTATAGATTATTTCATCATCCAGGTATTAAGCCTAGTATCTATTAGTTATTTTCATGATCTTCTCCCTCCCCCACCTCTCCTCCTTCTGGTAGGCCCCAGTGTGTGTCGTTCTTCTCTATGTGTCCATGTGTTCTCATCATTTAGCTCTCACTTACAAGTGAAAACATGTGGTATTTGGTTTTCTCTTCCAGCATTAGTTTGCTAAGGATAATTGCCTCCAGCTCCATCCATTTTC
The DNA here is from genome assembly GCF_000001405.40 of Homo sapiens. Taxonomy (NCBI): domain Eukaryota; kingdom Metazoa; phylum Chordata; class Mammalia; order Primates; family Hominidae; genus Homo; species Homo sapiens. The sequence continues at coordinate 127,653,305 of NC_000006.12, read as the reverse complement.
CTGCAAAGGACATGATCTCATTCATTTTTATGGCTGCATAGTATTCTGTAGTGTATACGTATCACATTTTCTTTATCCAGTCCACCACTGATGGGCATTTAGGTTGATTCCATGTCTTTACTATTGTGAATAGTGCTGCAATGAACATAAACATGCATGTGTCTTTATAATAGAATGATTTATATTCCTTTGGGTATGTACCCAGCATATTAGTCCATTTTCATGCTACTGATAATGACATACCCAAGATGGGAAGAAAAAGAGGTTTACTTGGACATACAGTTCCATATGGCTGGGGAGGCCTCAGAATCTGGTGGGAGGTGAAAGGCACTTCTTACAGTGTGGCAGCAAGAGAGAATGAGGAAGAAGCAAAAGCAGAAACCCCTGACAAATCCATCAGATCTCATGAGACATTTTCACTATCATGAGATTAGCATGAGAAAGACCAGCCCTCATGATTCAATTGCTTCCCCCTGGGTCCCTCTCACAATATGTGGGAATTCTGGGAGATACAATTCAAGTTGAGATTTGAATGGAAACATAGCCAAACCGTATCTCTCAGTAATGGAATTGCTGGGTCCAATGGTATTTCTGTCTTTAGGTCTTTGAGGAATCACCACACTGTCTTCAACGATGGTTGAACCAATTTAATTTACACTTCCACCAACAGTGTATGTGTTCTTTTCCTCCACAACCTCCCCAGCATCTGCTATTTTTTGACTTTTTATTAATAGCCATTCTGACTGGTGTGAGAAGGTATCTCATGGTGGCTTTGATTTAAATTTCTCTAATAATCAGTGATGTTGAGCTTTGTTTACATAATTATTGGCTCCATATATGTCTTCTTTTGAAAACTGTCTATTCATGTCTTTTGCCCACTTTTTAATAGGGTTGTTTGATTTTCTCTTGTAAATTTGTTTGAGTTCCTTATAGATGCTGGATATTAGACCTTTGTCAGATGCATAGTTTGCAAATATTTTCTCACATTTTGTAGGTTGCCTGTTTACTCTGTTAATCATTTCTTTTGCTGTGCAGAAGCTCTTAAGTTTAATTAGATCCCATTTGTCAATTTTTGCTTTTGTTGAGGTTGCACCAGGTGTCTTTGTCATAAAATCTTTACCCATTCTTATGTCCAGGATGGTATTACCTAGGTTGTCTTCCAGGATTGTTATAGTTTTGGGTTTTACATTTAAGTCTTTAATCCATCTTTAGTTGATTTTTGTATATGGTGTAAGAAAGGGGTCTAACTTCAATCTTTTGCATATGGCTAGCCTGTTATCCCAGCACCGTTTATTGAATAGGAAGTCTTCACTCCATTGCTTGTTTTTGTCAGTTTTGTTAAAGATCAGATGGTTGTAGGTGTCTGGCCTTATTTCTGGGTTCTCTATTCTGTTCTATTGGTCTATGTGCCTGCCCTTGTACCAGTACCATGCTGTTTTGGTTACTGTAGCCCTATAGTATAGTCTGAGGTCAAGTAGTGCGATGCCTCTGGCTTTGTTCTTTTTGCTTAGGATTGCCTTGGCTAACTGTATTCCTTGGAAATAAATTAACAGAGACTTGTGCTTCATCCCTCCCTAAGCAGAATGTCCATGGTAATTATTAACTTACACCAGATTTCTTTACACATAGGTTAACAACCTATATCAGATCTCCTAGTAAACAAGTGGCTGAATAACAGAGATTCAGTCTATAAAAATGCTTTTTATTCAGATGGCATGCACCAGGACAGTTATTGCAAATAAACATAACGCTTATGGATTTCTGAGGCAGAGCTGGTGATGGGAGTTAATCATATAGGCATTTCTTTATCTGTGTAAGTAACAAAGCATAAAGCTGGGGAGCCCCAAAACTGAAATTGATGTCTTTGAAAACAATGTATTTGCATATATTCTTCAGAAATGTCTGTTAATCCAAGTTGAAACTGCACATTACTTTAGGGAAAAAAAAGACAATTAGGATGCAGTGTATGAATAACTCCCTGTCATCTAAAACTAAATTCTGTCCATGTCTACTTCTGGCTTGAATCCTTAAAATCATTAGTTAAGATTGAGGTTGGAAAATTTTATGATTCATGTGAATTTGCTTTGACATTGTGTTAACATATTCATAATAAGAGAAATGCAAATGAATACTAGGATACCATTTCTCTGCTCTAAAATTAGCAAAAAGATGGACAACTTAAAAGCGTTATTACTGGTGCAGAGAAAAATATTACAACCCTTGCAGGAGAATTCAGCCATATATAACAAACCAACATATACCCTCATCTTTTAAACTTAATTTTTCAATAATTATAGATTTATAGTAAAGTGAAAAGAAATAATACAGGGAGTTCACGTGTACCCTTTCACCTATACTTTCCCAATGTCACCATTTTACATTATCAACATCAGACTGTTGACATTGGTTCACTACCAAAATCAAGATATTAAATACTTAACCATCCATTACCACAAGACTTCCTCATCCTACCTACTTATATCCACACCCACCCTACATCCCACCCTGAGCCCTGGCAATAACTAATATGTACTTCATGGCAATACTTAAGCTATTTCACAAGTGTTATGTAAATGAAAACATGCAACCTGTTTCCTTTTGATATTAGCCTTTTTTGCCATTAAAAACAATTTCCTTAAGGTTCATTCAAGTTGCTGCGTGTATTAATGGTTCATTCCCTTTTATTTCTGAGTTTATGCCATAGATATACCACCTTTGCTTAATTATTCAACCACCGAAGCACATTTGGGCTTCTGAGTACTACAAATTAAGGTGCTGTGAATATCTATTCGTAATTTTCTGAGGGAAAATAAGTTATTTCTCTGAGATGTATGCCTAAGAGGGTAATTGCCAGGTCATATGGTAGGTCCATTTTAGTTTATAAATAACCTCCAAATTATTTCTCACAGTTGATGTACCACATATGAGTGACACTCTCCCCACATCCACACTAGTGTTTGTGTTATCATTATTGCTTTTATTTTAGCCATTCTGATGAGCATTAGTCATATCTTATTGTGGTTTTAGTTTTTATTTCTTCAATGGCCAATGATGTTACACATCTTTGCATGTGCTTATTTGGCATCAGTATCTCTTCTATCAAATGTCTGTTTATGTCTTTTTCTCATCTTCTAATTGGATTGTTTATTGCTGAGTTTTGAGAAATCTTAATATATTCTAGATATTTTGTTGGATATGTGGTTTGCAAATATTTTCTCACAGTCGTCAGCTTATCTTTCCATTTTTTTAACAAACTCTTTCACAGAGTGAATTTTTTAAATTTTCCAGATGTCCGATCAATTTTCCTTTTACATGTTATACTTTTGGAGTCATGTCTAAGACCTCTTCACCTAGTTCTAGGTGCCCAAGATTTTAACCTATTTATTTTCTAGAATTTCATAGTTTTATATTTTATATTTACATTCCTTATGTACTTTGAGTTAGTTCTGGTAGAAGATTGTATTATAGAGTTAGTCGAGACTCTTTTTGCCTAAGGATGTCTAACTGCTCCAGCACCATTTATTTAAAAAGCAATTTCTCTTGCATTAAATTGCTTTTGCAACTTGGTCAAAAACTCATTCAGCATATTTGTGAGGATATATTTCTGGTTTTCCTATTCTGTTCCATTTATCTATGTGTCTATTACTCCAATAGTACCACACTATCTGGATTACTGTGTCTATATAGTATGTTAAGAAGAATGATTTCTCTCACTTTATTCTCCTAGAATAGTGCTATTCTAGGGTCTTCATTTTTCACATAAATTTTATAAGATTGCTTTTGTAAAGAAAAACCCTTACTGAAATACAGATAGAAGAAATATGTTAAATCTATAGATAAATTAAAAGAGAATGTACATCCTTATTATATTGAGTTTTTCAAACTATAAATATGGTGCCTAGAAGTATTTATGTTTTCTTTCATTTCTGTCATCAACTTTTTAATTTTCATCATCAAGATCCTTTGTATGTTTTCTAAGATTTATTTTTTTTTATTTTTTTCTGGAAACCAAGTCTATTTATTTATTTATGTATTATATTGATTCATGATATATGTACATATTTTGGGGGTATATGTGATATTTTGATACATTTGCATAATATATAATTTTCAAATAAGATTAATTTTTATATCCATCACATTAAACATTTAACTTTCCTTTATGCTGAAAACATACAAATTATTTTCTTCTAGCTATTACGAAATATATAATAGATTAGTGTTTCCTATAGTCACTCTACTTATTTATCAAATAATAGGTCTTATTTCTTCTATCTAACTGAATTTTTGTACCCATTAATCAACTTCTTTTCAATCCCCTGATTCCCTACCCTTCCTAACCTATGGTAACCATCAATCTACCCTCTGACTTCATGTGATTCACTTTTTAAGCTCTTGCATATGAGTGAAAACATGTGATGTTCATCTTCCTGTTCCTGGCTTGTTTCGCTTAACAAAGTGCCTCCTGTTCCATCCATGTTGCTGGAAATTATAGGGTTTCACTTTTCTTATAGCTGAATATTATTCTATTGTGTATTTATATGTATTGGTTGTGTGTAACTGTCCAAATCTCATCTCAATTTGTATCCCTACATGTCAGGGGAGGGTACTGGTGGGAGATGATTGGATCATGGGAGCTGTATTAGTCCATTCTCACACTGCTATAAGGCCATACCTGAAACTAGGTAATTTATAAAGGAAAGAGGTTTAACTGACTCACAGTTCCACAGGGCTGGGGAGGCCTCAGGAAACTTACAATCATGGCAGAAGGGGAAGCAAACACGTCCTTCTTCACAAGGTGGCAGGAGAGAGAAGAATGAGAACCAAGCAAATGGGGAAGCCCCTCATAAAACCATCAGATCTCATGAGAATTTACTCACTATCATGAGAATAGCATGGGGGAAACCACCCCCCATTATTCAAGTACCTCCCACTGGGTTCCTCCCATGACATGTGGGGATTATGAAAACTACAATTCAAGATGAGACTTGTGTGGGGACACAGCCAAACCATATCAGGGATGGATTTCTCCCTTGCTGTTCTCATGATAGTGCATTCTCACAAGATCTGATGGTGTAAAAGTGTGTGACTTATCTCTCCTTCTCTCTCTCTCTCTCTCTCTCTCTCCAACTTCACCATAGTAAGATGTGCATGCTTCCCTTTTGCTTTCCATCATGATTATCAGTTTCTGAGAACTCTCAGCTGTGCTTTCTGTTAAGCCTGTGGAACTGTGGGTCAACTAAACTTCTTTTCTTCATAAATTACCCGGTCTCAGGTAGTTCTTTATAGCAGTGTGAGAGCAGACTGATACATGTGTATATACCACATTTTCTCTATCTATTCACTTACTTATGGGTACTAGGTTGATTCCATATTTTGATTATTTGAATAGTGTCACAATAAACATTGGAGTGGATATATCTCTTTGATATATTTCTTTCTTTTCTTTTAGATATATACCTGATAGTGGAATTGTTGTATCCTATAGTAGTTCTATATTTAATTTTTTAAGTAATTTCCATACTGTTTTCCATAATGGCTGTACTAGTTTATATTCCCACCAATCGTATACAAAGGTCCCCTTTTTTCCACATCCTTGCCAGCATTTGTTATTACCTATCTTTTTGATAAAAGCAGTTTTGACTGAGGTGAGATGACATTTCATTGTGGTTTTGATTTTTATTTCTCAGACTATTAGTGATGCTGAGCACTTTTTCACATATCCGTCTGCCATTTGCATGTCTTCTGAGAAATGTCTATACTGATCTTTCGTTCATATTAAAATTGAATTATTGGTTCTTTTGCTACTGAGTTGTTTGGGTTCTTTTTATATTCTGATAATTTATCCCTTATCATATGGGTAATTTGCAAATATTTTCTCCCATTCTGTGGGTTACCTCTTCATTTTGTTGATTGTTTCCTTTGCTGTGCAGATGCTTTTCAGCTTGATGTAATCTTATTTGTTTGTTTTTGCTTTCGTTGCCTGTGATTTTGAGGTCTTATTGAAAATACCTTTACACAGACCAATGTTCTAGGGCATTTCCCCAGTGTTTCCTTTTACTACTTTTATCGTTTCCAGTCTTAGATTTAAGTCTTTAATCAATTTTTATTTGATTTTTGTGTATGGTGACAGATAGGTGTCTAATCTTATTCTTTTGCATATGGATGTGCAGTTTTCCCAGAACCATTTATTGAAAAGTGTGTCTTATTTCCAATGTACAATGCTTGAAGGCTTTCTCAGTAATGATTTGATCCTAAATGTATGGATTTGGTTCTGGGTTTTCTATTATGTTCCATTGGTCTATGTCTGTTTTTATGCTGGTACCATGGTGTTTTGGTTACTGTAGCTCTGTAGTATATTTTAAAGTCAGGCAGTGTGATGCCTCCAACTTTGGTCTTTTTTCAGGATTTCTTAGGCTATTTGGAGGCTTTAGTGACTCCGTGTAAATTTTAGAATTATTTTTTCTATTTCTGTGAAGAACGTCATTGGTATTTTGACAGAGATTGCATTGAATTTGCTTTGATACTGACATTTTAACAATATTAATTCTTAAAATCCATTAGCATGAAATGTTTTTCCATTTTCCTGTGTCCTCTTCATTTCTTTCATCAATGTTTTATAGTTGCCATGTAAAGATCTTCCATTTCTCTGGTTAAATTTATTCCTAAGTATTTTACTTTTTTTGCTATTATAAATGGAATTGTTTTCTTAATTTCTTTTTCAGTTGCTGGTGTATATAAATGCTACTGATTTTTGTATGTTAATTTTATATCCTCCAACTTTACTGAATTTGTTTAACAACTCTAACAGTGTTTGGTGATGCATTTAGAGTTCTCTAAATGTAGTGTCATCTGTGAACAAGGATCTTTTAACTTCTTCTTCTCCAGTTTCAATGCCCTTTATTGTTTCTGTTGCTTGATTGCTCTGACTAGGACTTATAGTATTATGTTGAATAAACATGGTGAAAGTGAATGTCCTTATCTTGTTCCAGAGCTTAGAGGCATTCCCCATTCAGTATGATGTTAGCTGTGGGGTTGTCATATATGCCTTTATTGTTTTGAAGTATATTCCTTCTATACCCATTTTGTTGAGTACTTTTTATCATAAAGAGATGCTGAATTTTATCAAATGGTTTTTCAACACCTGTTGAAATGAATATATGGTTTTTGTCCTTGGTTCTGTTAATGTGATATATCATGTTTATTAATTTGCATACATTGAACCATTCTTGCATCCTTGGAATGAATCCCACTTGATTATGATAAATTATCCTTTTAATGTGTTGTTGAATTCAGTTTGCTAGTACTTCTTTGAGAATAGTTGCATCTATGTTCATCTGGGATATTGGTCTGTAGTTTTCTTTTTTGGTTGTCGCCTTGTCTGGTTTTGGTATTGGGGTAATTCTGCCTTTTAGAATGAATTTGAAAGTATTGTCACTTCTTCAATTTTTTCAAGTTGTTTCAATAGAATTCATATTAATTCTTTTTTAAGTGTTTAACAGAATTCAGCAGTGAAACTATCAGGTTCTAAGCTGATCTTTGATGAGAAAATTTTTTACTGATTCAATCTTGTAAATCACATTTGGTCTGTTTTCTATTTCTTCTTGATTCAATCTTGGTATTTTGTATGTGTGCAAGAATTTATCCACTGAGTCTAGGTTTTCCGAAGTGTTAGTGTATAGTTGTTCGTAATAGCCTCTAAAGATTCCTTGTATTTATGTGGTATCAGTTGTTATGCTTGCTTTTTTATTCCTGATCTTATTTATTTGAGTCTTCTCTTTTTTTCTTAGTCTAGAAAAAGGTTTGTCTATTTTGTATATCTTTTCAAAAACCCAACTTTTTGTTTTGTTGATTTGGGGGGTTCTTTTGGTCTCGCTTTCATTTATTTCTGCTGTAATATTTATTATTTCTTCCCTTCTAGTATCACTGGGGTTAGTTTATTTTTGTTTTTCTAGTTCCTTGAGATATATCATTAGGTAATTTATTTGAAACCTTACTACTATTTTATATAGGCACATATTGATATAAACTTCCCTCTTCCCTATTCTGTATCCCACAGATTTTAGTATATTGTATTTCTATATTCATTTGTTTCAAGAATTTTTTTAATTTTTAAATTAATTTATTCATTTATCCTTTGGTCCTTCAGGAGCACGTTGTTTAATTTCTTCAGGAGCATGTTGTGTAGTTTACAAGCCTTCTCTTGTTATTGATGTCTAGTTTTATTCCATTCTTGTCTGAGAAGATAATTGATATAGTTTTGACTTTTTTGAATTTGTTGAGACTTGTTTTGTGATCAAATATACTGCCTGCTCTAAAGCATGTTTCATGTGCTGATGAGAAGACTGCACATTCTACAATAATTGAGTGAAATGTTCTGAAAATGTCAGTTAGGCCCATTTGGTCAACTATGTAGTTTAATTCTGCTGTTTTTTGTCGATTTTTCTGTTTAGATAATTTGTCCATTAATGAAAGTGGGGTGTTGAAGTCTCAACAATTATTGTATTGCAACTCATCTTTCTCTTTAGATCAATTAATGCTCATTTTATATACTTGAGTGTTACTGTGTTGGGTATATAGATATTTATAGTTGTTATATCCTCTTGCTGAGTTGACCTCTTTTTTAAAAGAGTGTTGTTTGTTTGTTTTTACAGTCTTTGATTTGTTGTCTATTTTATCTTATATAAATATAGCTATTCCTGCTCTTTTTTGGTTTCCATTTGCATAGGATATCTTTTTCCATTCCTTCAAGTTCAGTCTATGTGTGTTTTTACAGGTGAAGTGGGCTTCTTATAAGCAGCATATAATTGGATTTTGTTTCTTTATGCATTCATTTATTCTATATCTTTTCATTGGAGAATTTATTTCTTTTATATCAATGTTAATATTGATAAGTAAGGACTTACTGCCGCCATTTGTGGCATGTTTTCTGGTTGTTTTGTAATTCCTCTTTTCTTTTCTTGCTGTCATGCTTTGTGCTTACGTGATTTTCTTTGGTAGTATGTTTTAATTTATTGTTTTTATTTTTAGTGCATTTTTTATAGGTTTTAGCTTTGTGGTAGCCATCAGGCTTGCAAAAATCTTATAATTATAACAAGTTATTTTAAAGAGATGGCAACTTATCTTTTATCACAAAGAAAATAATAGAAATAAAGGAAAAATGACAAACTCTACCCTTTAACTTCATTCCCCCCACATTTTTACTTTTGTTGTTTCAATTGAAATATTTTTATCCTGACTATCTCTTAACAGGTTGCTGTAGCACCTATTGGTTTTGGTAGATTTGTCTTTTAGTCTTCATACTAGAGTTCATTGGATTACATACCAAAATCTTGTTACAGTATTCTGAGCTTGTCTTTGTACTTATTTATGAGGGGGGTTTATGCCTTTTTATGTTTTATTTTTGTATGTCAGTCTTTTTCCTTTCAAACTGAAAAATTCTCTCTATGATTTCTAGTAATACAGGTCTGTTGTGATCAATTTTCTTAGTTTTTGTTTATTTTGAAAAAAACTATATTTCTTCTTCATGTTTGAAAGATAACTTTTCAGGGTATAATATTCTCAGTAGGCATTTTTTTTTTTTTTACTGTTTTGAATATGTCATCCTCCTCCCTCTTGGCCTATATGATTTTTACTGAAAAATCTGTTGCCAAATTGGAGCTTCTTTATACATTTATGCTTATTTCCTTTGGCTGTCTTTAGGATCCCCTTTTACCCTAGACCTTTGAGAATTTTATTGCATGACTTGGAGTAGTCTTACTTGGGTTTAATCTGTTTGGTGATCTCTGACCTTTGCATACCTGAATATTTATATCTTCCTAAAGTTTTGGAAAGTTTTATATTATTATTTCATTGAATAAGCTTTCTATCTTTTTCTTTTTCTCAGATCCCCCTTAAATATCAATAATTTTTAGATTTTCTTTTAAGGTAGTTTTTTTATATCTTGTGGGTGACAGAGCAGGAGCACCATCATTTCGGACACCATCATTTCGGACAAACACCACCATTTTAAGCTCCAGCTCCCTTTCTAGCCTCATGCACTTCAAGGAAATCACTTCTCTTCCAACTACAAGCAGCCAGAAAGAGCAGACAGTAAAACACAGATGAGGCTGCTTGGGCACGAAGGGAGGTGTGGGGAATGTCTCTTGGGTAACTGCGAAACCTCACCCTCATACAACGGGCCCCAGTAAAACAGTGGGCCTTAATAATCACATTCCTTTCCCTTCAGGTGCACTAAGATAGGGAAGCTAAAAGCAGACCCTGCAGGTATGCCTTCAGCTGCAGGGATGTATGGGAACAGACACACAACTCTCCCTCCCAGATAAGCACAACAAAGACACAAAAGAGACACAGAAGCAGTCCAAGCCTCTGATAAGCTCTCCTACCCTAAATCCTTAAAAACTCTTAGTAAGAGAGTGGGCACGACCTAACTCAGCCAGACGCCCCTCTCAGGTTTGTTTTCTCTAAAATAAACCTGTCCTTGACTGTGGAGCAACTTTTTGTTTCTTTCCTCTTTCTTTAATTCTTAACAGTGGGCATTTTTCATTCCTTTTCATTCTTTTTTTTTCTCTCTCTCACAAACTGTGTGTTTTCCAATTGCCTGTCTTTGACTTCACTGATTCTTTTCTCTGCATGATTTATTCTACTGTTAAAAGCCCCTAATGAACTTTTTAGTTAAGCAAATATACCTCTAAGTTCTAGGATTTCTGTTTGATTTTTAAAAATTATTTCAAATTCTTCATTGAATTTCTCTGATAAATTTTTGAATTGCTTATTTGTGTTATTTTGGAGATTTCTGAGTTTCCTTAAAAACTGCTATTTTGAATTCCTGATTGGAGAGTTTATCTATTGCCTTCTTGTTGGGGTTGATCACTGGCTCCTTTCTTTGTCTGTTTGAGGAGGTCATGGTTCACCATTTGCTAGTGTTGTTTCTTGTGGATATATATATATATATATATATGTCTTTGCATTGAAGAATTAGTTATTAATTCTACTCTATCTGGCTTGTTTGGGTTTTTATTGAGTATGTTTGCTTAGATATTTATTTGCGATGTAGCTGTTCAGTATCTTTTTGCTGGGTCACTACCTCCTTTCCAGCACTAGATGGCATTTTAGCCCAGATTTGCCTTTTCGGCACTAACGAAGTTCAGAGTGCTGCCTGTCCTGGATGGGGAAGGTCCCAAAGAGAATACCCTGGCATCCTGGCAGTGTAGGAAGGCTGACTAAAAGTTCATGCTCAGGAGACCCACGTGTACCCGCTAAAGCACTGTGCTGCTGAACAGCTACTCTGATTTGGCATCTCCTTTGGCCTCGATACAGAGCAGTGTTTTTCACCTGTGGATGCTAGTCCCATCTCTCCGCTTTGTCTCTAGCTGTCCTCAGGAATTTTTCTCCCTTTGGGCATTTGTGATGTTTCCAACGGTTTGAGGAGGGACGGGTCTTCTGCCAAGGAACCCAAGATGGTGGGGAAGCTGGTTGTCCCCCTTGATCTCACGTTTTCCTGTATAGTAATCATGAGTCAGGGAGAAATTTTCCTTGGGTTTTGTGCCTGGCAGACCAAGGAACAGGGATCTCAAATGTAAATGTCTGATTTTTTTTTCACCCTCTGCACAGAGTTTTTTTTCATTTCTCTGTCGACCCAGGAACTGTCTCATTTTCATATTTGAGTTCTGGAATATTGCTGATGATAATCTTAGTGCCGTATTTTTTTTTAGGTTTTCTGTCAAGGGAAAGTGAAGCCAGCTTGCTTCTACTCTGCCATTTTGGTGACATCACTCCTGTTTTATAAGATTTAAATCTAAGTATTTCAGTTTCTTTAAAGTTACTAAAAATAGTCCTATTTTTAAAATTTTAATATCCATTTGTCAGCGTATAGAAATGCAATTAATGTTTTTTCATTCTGTATCCTGAGGAATTTTCTTATTGATTTCTGGCTTACTTCATTATGGTCAGAGAACATACTCTTTATGATTTTAATTTTTTAGGTTTGTTAAGGTATGTCTTATTGTTCAGGATATACTCTATCTTTGTGAGTGTTCTACGGACACTTAAAACAATTTTGTATTCAGCTGCTTTTGGGTGAAGTGCTCTATAAATGTCCATTAGATATTGAAGCATTTTTAAGATGGCTGTTTTAAAATCCTTAGCGGATAATTTCAACATCTGATTCATCTGCATATTGACATCTGTTGAATGTCATCTCTCATTCAAATTGTGATTTGTCTCACTTTTAGTATGCCAAATGATTTTGATTGTATCTTGGACATTTTGGTTATTATGCTTGATCCTGTGTAAATCCCTGGATCCTATATAAATTTTCTATCATAGTACACGGTAGCCTTGTTTAGCATATAGGTTCTGGTATACTTTTGCGGGACTCAGTTCCAATGGCAGTTTAGTTTTCTCAGCGCTTACAATGTTATTCTGTTCTGGTTCTTCTGATGTTATTGAGCTCTCACTCAATGTCTGCTGGAACCATCTATGTGGGCAGAAATCACTTCTCTGGGCCACCTGTTGACCTTCTAGTGGGGTGAAATTTGCAGGTATGGAGGGCAGGGAATGAAGGTCACCTACACTGCTGACCTGTAGGCAGATGACACGACTCTCTGATGCCTAGGTTGTAGAGTGGAAGCTAGAATGGCCTAGGGTTTCCTTCTGTGCTGCTGCCACTCCTGCCAATGCATTAGACTGCCTACAGGTGCTCAGGTTGTGGAATGGGAGCTGGGTTCCCTACTAGTTCTCTGCTGATCTTCCACTTTTCTGTCCTTTGGCCAGAAAGGGCAATTTTTCTTGGTGTTCTTGTGTATTCCTATTGACAGTTCCAGGTTGCAGACCTCTCTGGTGCCCAATCAAGGATTATATTAGAGATAAAAGAAAACCCAGAGAACCATTTATGATGACATTTATAAAGTCTCAAGGTCTCTAGCCAGTCTTTATGTATCTATTTCTCCTCATTCAGAGTCCTGTCATCACTGTAGAATAGTCTCTAGGGAATGTAGTTGCATTTAAAGGGGAAAAGCAGAGAAATGTGAGTCTAGACCATTTTATTTCAGAACTACACATCCTATGCAATCATCTTTTGAACCAGCAATCTCTCATCTGGGAATTCACCTTAAAAATACATCTGCTATGAAATATGGGGGGGGGGTGGTTATTCATTGTGATATTACTTGTATTTGAAATGTGTTTGATAATTTTGAATCGCCACATATAGGGTATTGGTTGAATTAACTACTGAATATCCACACAGAGGAATGCTATGTAGTTAGTAAAAACAAACAAACAAACAAACAAAAATTTAAAGATGACAAATATCTCTAAGAGGACATACATAGTAATTTCCCAGGAAAAAAAATAAGTGAAAAAAATCTGGGTACCAAGGAATATATATAGTATTCTAACTTTTCTGGAAGAAATTAGGAACAAATAAGGGATAAATAAATATGGAGAATCAGGTAGAGTAAATATAAATGTAGATATACTTATTTTTAAAAAGCACACACAACAAGCCAACAAACAGAAAATGCAGGATGGATTAACGAGAAACTATTTAATTAGTTGCCCATCGGTGTGAGTGAAAATGGGTTGGGAAGGGACAGCGAAAGGAATGAAACGGCATATTTTTTCATATAACTTTGCATTTGAAATGCTAATATTTTACATTAAAAATGTAATTATATAAAAATAGGTTAAAAAGCCAAAAATTGAGATTGCCTTTGATGGAAGATTTCACAATTAGTAGTAGTTTCATTACTGTGTTTATATTATCTTTATTTGATTTTATAGCAGACATTACAACCAAAGTGAAAGAAGCTTTGTGCCTGCATTGTATGACATGCTCAACCATTTCATGTTCTGGAAGAGTACAGTGATATCCTTAAATAATTATTTGGCTACTTCTGCTTCAGTGTCAGTATAATTCAATAACATCATTATTTCATACAATTTTACAAAGCATTGACTTTATTTTCTGAGGTAAATTCAATATATTGAGAAATATATTGAATTGGTCAATAAATATTAGCCAGTCCTTCCAAGGCTAATGTCTTTACCCAATACAAGTGCCAAGGAAATAAAGTTTTATTTTAAGAATTATGGAACTGGTATGTAACAAGGAGACCTAATGAACATAAAGGCCTATTTTGGAAAGTCTGAATGTAGCCATTTTCTATAAAACAATTAACTTAGAACTGAAAATTACAGTTTAGGTAACATGCATTAAATATACAAGGTTGTATAAGATTAACTTACATATCTACAGTTCTAAATGTGATTAGATAATTAAGTAGCTTGGAATAATACAGGAGAAAAAAAAACCTCTGTGGGAGAACATTTCTTTCAAGTCTTCTCTTTTTGAAAATAGTGTCTACACTTTAGAATTAGTAGAGATTTGTTTTGGAACAAAAACATCATAAATCTAAAGCTAAAAATGGCATTCATGAAATAAGGGACCTTCACCACCACCCCCCAGAAAACAGTATCGGAAGAAAGAAACCAATGATAAAATGAGTTCTTCTGTGGAAAAGATAGAGGAGGAGATCCTGTGAGGACACCTGAGCTGTCATTGCATCTGGGCCTGTCAAGGGAATGCTCTGACACCCAGTATAATTCCCATTTGTAGGCTGTCTTGGCATGGAGAAGAGGAATATCTGAACTTCTTAGATATGATTCCGGAGAAGCCGAAACATAAGGTCCACTTTGAACAATAAACAACTCCCCTAAAGAGGACACTTGCCTACTCCTAGGAGAGTTTTTGACCCTGGGCCCAGGGGTGAGCAAATGGGAAGGTGGAATGTTAGTTTGGACATTTTCAAAATTTCATTATCATTCAACAGCACAATACATGGGCTTCCCTTTTTTAAGTGGTTGATTTTACTTCATATTTAACTGAGTTGAGCTCTATGGCATAAACAGAAAATCAAAACAGCATTAAAAATTAGGAAAATCGTCCACAAAAATATTTTTCAACACTGTGTTAACACTCAAAGACAAGATAAAGACCATAAGTACAAAGATAGCTGAGAAAAAAGAGTGACAACCATGGGCTGAGATAATCGTGGAAGGGAGTGGGGCCAAAGAGCTTGCTGGGTGTATTGCTAGAATAATATTTACAAAGATGGCGATAGCAACAGGGTATATTGGGAACAAGTTGCCAGGCTGGCAGGAGAATTAAAATGTGAAACAGTAATGAGTGGTGAATTTGAAAAAAAAAGTCAGTTAGGGCCAGTTTAAGAGATATCTTCAAAGTTAGACTGAGGAGTTTTGACTGGGTGCTTAGGCAATATGGTTTGGTTTAGCAGCAAGGGCCTGCTGCTTGCACAATACTTAAGCAACTTAAATGTTTGCTTCTTGCCTCCTTAGAAGAGGTTTTTTTTTAAGCTTTATTAATGTATCATAAACATATAATAAACTGCACATTTTAAAACGTATTATTTGGTACGTTTTAATTATATATATGGCCTGGAACACATCACCTCAGTAACAACCATATACACATTAAAAAATTTCTCTCTTCCTGTTTGTATTCTTTTTCTCTTCCTCTTTGTATTCTTTTTCTCTTCCTCTTTGTATTCTTTTTCTCTTTATATTCTCATCTTCAGGAACTTCCCTACCTCCTCTGTCTATTTTCCCCTGTCCCCACCATTCCCACACTGCTCCGACCACTCGCCACACCCCACTTCCTAGCTTCACAGGCAACCATATATCTGATTTTTAATCACTGCAAATTAGACTGCATTAACTAGAATTTTCATATCAACAGCTACATACTCTTTTTTTTCTGGTTTATTTCAGTAACCATAATTATTTTGAGATTCATCCATCTGATTGCATATGTCAATAGTTCATTCCCTTTTATTGCTTAGCAGAAAAGTTTTTTAAAATAAAAGTAACCCATAAAGAAATAAACAGAATGAACTAAAGGGAAGAGTTTGAAATTGAGAAGGCATATGTGAGAGAAAAAGACAGGAAGAGAGAAAGAAATGTTGGGGGTATGGGTCACAAGTAACTTATGCCAGGGAATAATATAATTAAAAAATAAGTTAAACTCAAGGCAAGAATTTAGGTTTTAATAGCAATAAATATAGCATAAATTGTGTTCTTGACAAAAATAGTAGGACAATATACAGCTTTTGATACAGTTTATTGAGATAGATGTATTGTTTTCCATGGGAAGACAAGAAAATATCTTCTGAGAATAAGACAACAGGAGATAGGTTCATGTTAGCTATAAAGGAGAAGTGCGGAAGATATCAAAAAGAGTAATAAAACTATTTCACCAAAGAAACAAGAAAAGAAAAGACACCAGAAAGTGTATAAAGCAGCCTTGCTTGGCTATCAATATCAAGAGCTCAGTCTCAGGCATGCTCAGTTGGAGATGGCTTGGAATCACCAATAGAAGAGCTCTGTGGGAATTTAACAAAAATGGAACTGGAGTACAGTGAGGACTCAAGGCATAAGATACAGAAGTCAGCGACATACAGCAGTTCTTAGATGAGTATAATGGGCGAACATTCTCAGAGCATGAGTGGCTTTAAAAGGAGAGAGTCTCAGAAGCAGATATAAAACACTCCCAATGAGACAAAACCTAAGAACTAAAAGAGGGATGCTTTACATAACTGAATATGATGACAGCTTTAAAAAGGAATATTGATTTTGGGAAATGTAAATCTTTTAACAGACTTCTCCATATCTTTACTGTTGGCCACCAAGAGTAACCAAGTGAGAAATTCAAGTAAGAAAGTAAAAGGGAAACAAAATAGAATTATGAGGAACAGACAGGTGGACTGGTGAAAAGAAAGGAAACATTGAGTGTAAGGGAGGGGAATGAGAAGGAAGAAAGCTTGAATATTGCAGAAAAAGGTGGTTTGGAGAAAAGAAGGGAATGTCCCCAGTCAGTGCATAAGGACTAGACAGGAGAGGCTGGAGGGGCAAAGGAAGAGTCAAAACACTACAGGGAGCTGGAGAAAAGAGGAGGGTAGCAAGAGCAGAGAGAATGTGCCAGGTATGAAAATGGTTGACAGAGAGAGAGAGAGAGAGATGGGCACAGGGTCATAAGATAGCTGAAGGGACATACTATGTGGGAAGTGTACATAGAAGTTACCAGAGTTAAATATGGAATGAACCAGGAAGGGAAGTTTTGAAACTAGGAGGTAAGAGAGAATTTCAGAAAGAAAGGGGGATAAGATAGAATAATGACTAATATTTATGGAGTATGTGTTCACTGCACTGACTACTTTCCATGTTTATCATCATTTAACACTTCCCGATCTTCATGAGTTAATTATTTTTAGTATTCCTTGTACGTAGATTAAAAAATTGAAGCTTACAGAAGTTACTTATCCAGCATCACACAATAGATAAGTAATGAATAGGGATTTGATTTTAGGCAAAGTATAGATCCTGTTTAATGTGCATGAATATTGACTCCTAACTCTGAGTCAGTGAAGAGAGGAAAAGTTAGTGAACAGAAAACCAAACACCTCATGTTCTTACTCATAAGTGGGAGTTTAACAATGATAACACATGAACACAGGGAGGGGAATATCACACACCAGGGCCTGTCAGGGGGTGGGGGGCTAGGGGAGGAATAGCATGAGTTGAAATACCTAATGTAGGTGACGGGTTGATGGGTGCAGCAAACCACCATGGCACGTGTATACCTACATAACAAAACTGCACGTTCTGCACATGTACCCCAGAACTTAAAGTATAATAATAATAAAAAAAGAGAGAACAGCTACAGAGGTTAAGCAAATTAAGACCGAGAAGAGGGAGTAGAGAGTAGGAATGTTATAAGAAATGAAAGAATAAGAATGGCAGATGGGAAGTCAAAGTCACGAAGGAAAGAAAGTGATGAGAAATAACAATTTTTCAGAGAATACGAATTTCCTTATTTTTGAAAAAAAAAAGCATCTAGTTAAGTTTTTGTGTATTCAGGTTAGAAATGGCCTAATAACTATGAGTCTGCATATTCTCTCTACTAGGCAGATTAGCTGGTCTCACCCAAACGACAGATGGTGGCCATGACTCTGGGGATCATCTGTGCATCTCCATGAACAGTTGGGGGACTGGTGAGATTAATGCTTTAATAATAAACTTTGAATTGATTACCTTTTCACAAATGACTAAATCAATCTAAAATGCC
Source organism: Homo sapiens (assembly GCF_000001405.40). Taxonomy (NCBI): domain Eukaryota; kingdom Metazoa; phylum Chordata; class Mammalia; order Primates; family Hominidae; genus Homo; species Homo sapiens. The sequence continues at coordinate 127,635,160 of NC_000006.12, read as the reverse complement.
ATTTTTCGAAACCAAAACAAAAACCAGAATTAGTTCTTTTACAAAAGCAATCTGTTTGACCTAAATCTTCTGACCCTAAAACCTAAATGTTTTGAAATGTTATTAGATGCATATTTTTAAAATCTACTAATCAGTGTATCCAATTATTGAAATGCCATTTGAAAGAAACTAGTAACCTCAAACCTTGCTTTAGATGCTTAAGACCGAAGTAGGAATTTATCTCATGTTATAAAATAAAACTTTGTTTACAAGAAAAACATCTAGATAAATAGCAGAAATATTTTAAAGACATATCAGACTTTCAAATTTGGAAAAAATACCTTCTGATAAAAGAAAAGTATAGCACTCTATAGAGTTACTAATTTTTTTTCCTTTTTACATTTTGTGCTTTGGAATTTAATTAGTATTTAAATTTTCAGTGCAGTTGTTATCTATGTTTTAAAATAATATATCTACAACATAAATCAATTTTGCTTTATGAAAGTTGGGTTTTTAAGGAAAGCATATTTGAGTTCCAAATGATCCTCAAGGAAATTTCTAACAAAATCTTCTTTTTAACTTCTATTTTACCTTAGGGGTACAAGTGCAGGTTTGTTACATAGGTGAACTTGTGCATAGGAATTTGTTGTACAGACCATTTCATCACCCAGGTATCAAGCCTAGCATCCATTAATTACTTTTCCCAATCTTCTCTCTCCTCCCCTCCCATCCTCTGAAAGGCCCCAGGGTGTGTTGTGTTGTTCCTCTCTCTGTGTCCACATGTTCTCATCATTTAGGTTCCACTTATAAGTGAGGACATGTGGTATTTGGTTTTCTCTTCCTGTGTTAATTTGTTAAGGATAAGTGCCCAGAGCTATTGCTTAAGTTTTACTACATGTTTCTAAATCTGTGGAGTTTACTTTTGTGATAGATTTCTTTACTTCAAAAACAACCTCTTTTCTATAGTAATAATATGAAGAATAACTTTGTTTATACAGACTTTAATTATTATCTTTCTGCTGTATCTTGCTGTGATCGACTCTGGCATAATGGGGATATCATCAGACAATGTCGTCCTTCTACCACCATCTAAGGATCAGATGAATTTTTGTTATAATGTTTCTAGCTGTAATTCATCCTTTCCAGAAACAATACAAATGTGGCATGAATTTTACCAAGTTTTTCTCTAATATTTTTATTAATAACCTTTGAAGGTAGCCAGATAATTTTGTATAATACTTTATGTATAATTTTAAAGCATTGAACAATATGTTCCCAAAAAATAATTCCTAATATGAAAATGTGTATTATGATGCTAGCAGTATTAATATGAGTAGATTGCCACATGACATCGTATCTTATTAGCACCTTTGTTTCCAATATGTATTGAGGCAGTCCTATGCACTCTTCTCACATCAAATAAATTATACACAGACATGTGAACACAGAGAAATTATGGCTTAATGTTGTAGAAAATGTTCTGGTTAATCCTAACTTTGGGTCAATGGATTAATAACTTATATAGAAATATAATTATGGAATAGATTGTGATGAATTTGATCAACTTATTTCAACTGTCTTCATAGGCAATTACATATGAGTTGCTTGAAATGATCATTTGACAATCAGAATCAAATATTGATGTTCAAAGTCAAATGTCATGGGTGGAAGAGTAAATGACCAAAGATAAAGTTTCCCTTTAGAGAACTTACTCATTATATTGTATGTGGTTAGATCAAATTTTGTTACTTTTCCCACTCCTGTCCCCATTTCTGACTCTTACTGCTTTATAGAAAGCTCATTGCATGATAGGAGAAAAACAAATAAACAAATGGAATACTAAAGCTCTAGTTCTGAACAATATAAAATTATGAGTATTTCAAAAACCAACCCTTACTTGGTTTATTCCTTTCAAATGCATTCAGTGTTGCTTGTAATTAGTATAACTAATATTAAGCTCTCCACGAAGCATTAGGCATTATATTCTTCATATCCTAACTCTTACAAACAATTTTCTCCTCTCATTTAGAATGTTGAAAAATTTATATTTATAAACAATTGATTTTCAGGAAGAGAGATGGTAATAATTGTTTAATATTAATAACATTTTCCTTCTTGGATAGCATGTAAAGTCACCATCTAGTAGCTCTGATGACCTGTTGAAGTACTTAGGGACTGCACATGTCTCAACCCTGAAGGCTGCTCATAAAATTTTTCACAATAGGTAAGAATAAGCCCAAAGTGATTTTGTTTCAATGTGGTAACAATCTTTCCATCATATGCTATGTTTTCTATTGAAATCTTTTTCAATTTACTTATTTACCAAGATGTCAACCGTGGGCAGTACTATGATAAAAGGAAAACTGACAAGAAAACGTTTTACTGGATAAAGTTCAAAACATATTTTTTAAGTAGGCAGGTAAAAATGTGAAAAATAGGTTTGTACCATGAAGCGTAGAAAAATTAAAAACAATCAAACAAAATTTAACCAGAAGAAGAAGGAGAGGGTTTTTTTTTTAAAGATATGTCTTAACATGAACTGGCATGTCCGTAAACCAAAAGGATGTAGTGACAAGTAATACAGGATCTCTACATCATTTTTATCAAAGAATACGGTTTGTTTACCACATATTTGGAAGAAAATATTTAGGACACATCTTTTTTATTACACCAGATAGATAAAAACAATGTCAAAATACTCTGTGTTTTATAATGAATGTAGTAAATACAACTCTGCCATCCAGAGTGAGACATGGGGTAGAAAGAAAGAAAGAATGGGTGACTCGTTTAAAAACATATATAAACAGAGGCATATATTTTTGAAGAGTTCTTGTTAAATATCTACTGTTATATTTCCCACTGACCTCATATCCAATTGAGATGAATAAATCAGAGACGGGAGACACATTGCCTTGCATGTTTTCTCTCTTTATGTTGCTTCACGGCCTGATATTTTTATGAGATGATGGAAGAGTTCATCCCCTTGGTATATCTGTCTGATAAATTAGGATCATAACCATCATAACAACTTATTGGTAGAGTGAGAATTGTCAACATCAAGATGGCAACTGAGAGCAAGTCATTAGAATCATAGAAAATAGTTTCAAAAATACTGTTTTTTCATTTGTGGATTTTCCCAGTCACATACAAAACTAAACTTCTTTAGAAAATAGCAACTTTTCCATAATAAAACTGTTTTAGTTTTATAAAATAAAAAGTCAACACTGAATTTATTGCTTCCTACCAAAAGGGTCAGAGACAGTCTCTTTGAGCTCCAAAGTCTGAATTATTCTGTATGTTGATCATAATGTTTGGGTATAATTTTTATCTTTCTGAAATATTGTAAGGTGCTTTTTTCCACAAAGTTTCTTAAATTTCAAGCAGTTGTGACTTGCTATGTTATTTTTCATTCATTTTGTGGAGCACATAGTCTATCTAAAACTCCATTATCTCTGTTTCATTATTGGAATTCCTATTATTTCTATGTTGAATCTCCTGCACAATAGATCTAATTTTTATAGTTTTTATTTATCTTATTTTCCACATTTTTGCTTTTTGCACTTCCTATCTAATTTCCTCCACTTTGTCTTCTAATCTCTTTGCTGAGGGTTACTTACTATACTATTTCTATGATTTCATTGAGTTAAGATAAACGAAGTTGATCTTCAATGAATCCTCTTATTGTATCTTCTCACTGCTTTTTCTTTGCAATAAATTTTCTCACCTCTCTGCGAATATTAGAATTTTTTTTTTTTTTTTGAGACGGAGTCTCGCTCTGTCACCCAGGCTGGAGTGCAGTGTAATTTTTGTATTTTTAGTAGAGACGGGGTTTCACCATCTTGGCCAGGCTTGTCTTGAACTCCTGACCTCGTGATCCACCCACCTCGGCCTCCCAAAGTGCTGGGATTACAGGCATGAGCCACTGCACACGGCCAATATTATAATATTAAACACGGTTGCTTATCCTACAGTATATTCTAAGTGGCTTTTTCATTTGCTTTGTGTAATTTGTCTTATTCATGGTATCTCTTATTCAAGATACCATTCTTAACTACCTTGTAATCTTTGTCATATATAGGTATTTAAAATTGGGGCAGTAAGGAGCTAATTTGAAACTCTGTGGATATGACTAATGCTTGCTTACTGCTGTACAGCAGAGCACATGACTGGGCAATTTAATTGGTTAATTCCTGTTTTATTAAGTGTATGCCTATCTTCTCAAGCTGGTTGAATTTACCAGAAATTTTCCATGTTATGCTTCAAGAGAGAAGGCGTGGCTTGCAGCATTTTAAGAGTCTAGTGAGAGAAGAATATTGGAGGTCTGAGTATCCAGTATGCAGGTCTTCACTTAAGATCTCTGTTTTCAGCATGGTGTACTGTTGCCTTCATTTGCGCTCAGTTTACTAGAGTTCAGAAACTCTCTCCTTTGTCTTGTCGATAATTAACTCATCACTGTGTGAAGGATCAGAGGTAATCTTTGAATCTGCCTATTTCTTTATCAGCCTTTCAAGCAACAGTTCCCGTTTTCAGGAATAAACCTTTCACTCCAATTTCCAGAAGTGCTTGTAATCAAACACACAATTGTTGGGAGAATTCTACACAGTATACAGTGTTAGCTTTCCCCATTGCTAGTTTAGGATTCAGACTTCTTGGATCTGCTAAATCCTTTGCTACTCATCCGTTTGATTTCCAAAATGTTATAGCTGCCTCTCCAAATGTACTCACAGTATTATTGCTTCTGATATGGTAAGGGGGAAAAAAGAAATGCGTGTATTCAAATGCCCAACTTTACATGAAAGATCCTCTGTCATTTTCATACTTAAGAATATATACTAAAATTTATGTAATAGTAATATTTTTGAAATATGAATAAGTGTATGAAGTTATTTAGTATTAGTTTTGCTTAAAATATCACCAGAATTTTACTTCACTGAAAAACAGTTGTCCTGACAAGGAGAATCCTTCCAAAGGTATCCCTTAATGGAAGGAAGGTATTTTGCATGTTAATACTATAAAAATATCAAAATCCTGATAATGAGTATTGTGGTTTATAATCTTAGAAGGCCTTATATGGATATTTATTAAAATATTAATCATTCTTTGATATAAAATAATTTTATAGAATTTAAGATTATTTCCATTAAGGGTCAGGCAAATCTGCATAATGAATCTTGAATTATCGGACATGTGAAATCTCTTATTAGTTTTCCAGTTGTAAAATGGGAATACTAGCAGCACCTAACTTGTGAGGTTGTTTTGAGCAATATATATAGCATTTATAACATAACACCTACAGTATAATAAGAAATCAATACAAAATAGCTTCTATTATTTTAAGAGGAAATAAGGTAGCAGTTAAGTATAAGACTCTGGAACCAGAACATCTAGTCTTAGATCCTGGATTGGCATATTATAGAAAATTGGATAATTGTTTCTTGTGATTCCATTTCTTCATCTATTAATATATTTTTTTAATCTGGTTGGTGCTTCCATAATAGCAGAGTGGGGATATCCCTAAATTCACTCTTCCATAAAAGCAACAAAGCACTAACAAAAATTATCAAAATAAACATTTTAATAATTATTGGAATTAGCCAATGGTTTATATCAATCAAAAACTGTCAAAAACGTTTATTCAAAGAAATGATGAATGTAGGTAAGAACATGGTCTGTGGTATTTTAAGTTGGCTTATCTCACTCCACTTTACCCAGCTCTGCAATAGCCTTGAAAACCAGCTCCTTGCAACTCCTGTAGCTTTGCAGCCATCAAAAGGGCATATTTGTGTTTGGAGCTTCTTTAAAAGCCCTATCTGTAAGCAATTTAGAGTCACTTTTTAACCTGTCTTACAGCTACCCAGAAGAATTCCCTTCTCAGGATGTGGTAGTTATTTGAACTACTCATTCTGTGGGAAAACCCTTATACCCAAGGTATTTGTAAAAAGATACAATTAGCATCAATTTTTTTTAAACCTCAGCTACCTGAGACTGCCATAGCGGCTGGGGGAAACAAGAGATGAGCTAAAAGCTTAAAAGGGCAATCTGTGATATAATATGTCCATAGAGAACTTGGAAAGCTCTGAAATATTCCTGGGGATCTATTAGGCCACTCACATGAGCAGGACTGTGGACAAAGCTAGGCAAGAACTGAGAAAGCTCAAATCTCCCACCTCTGGCTGACCTTGAGGCCCTGAACAAGTGAAAAGTAAAGGCTAAGGCAAGGATGCAAAAGGCCTTGAAGGCCATATACAGTGCATATGTAGAAGTAGTCCAGGCAAGTTACTAAGTTACTAAGCAAACAATGACAAATGAACCAAGCAACAAATCCTGGTGAGAGGGAGTATCTGATTTTCAGAGTTGCTACTTTATATTTTCTGAAATGAAATGAAATGGGAAGTGTTAGGAAAAAGATAAAAGAAACGTGAAGAACTGGAAAACTATTTTGCACACGTGTATGTGTGTGTGTGCGCGCGCGCGAGCGCGCGCACACACACACACACACACACACACTAGTCAATTGAAAGTTTTCCTGAGTGGGACCAGATGATGGACTTACTAGATAAAATTTTTAAATTTGCTAATATGAACATACATATAGAAATAGCTTGGGTGTAATAGTTCATGCCTGTAATCCCTGCCTCAGGAACCTGAGGCAGGAGAATCACATGAGCCTAGGAGTTTGAGGCCAACCTGGGCAATATAACAAGATACCATGACTAAAAATGCTTTTAAAAAAAAGAAAGAAAGAAAAGAAACCATGTCTAAGGAATTAGAAAAAAAGCATGAAAACTTACAACATCTTACCAGATAGAGAATATCATTAAACAGATATAATCTATAGAAAAAAATAGAAATTCAGAAATTGAAAAGTGTAATAGCTAAATGAATAATCCAAGGGGGTGATACGCAAAAGCAGATTTAAGCTAGCAGGAGAAAAGAATCACTGAACTTGAATAAAGGTAAATTGAGATTATACAGTTAGAGACACAGAAAGAAAAAAAGAATGACGAAAAATAAACAGAGTTTCACAGATCCATAAGAAATCATCAAGCACATGAGATATACATAATGAGATTCCCAGAAGTAAGGGTAGAGAAAAAAGGGAAGAAATAATATTTGAAAAAAAATAGCAAGAAACTTTTCAAACTTAATTTAGAAACATTAATCTATATATCCAAGAAGCTCAGTGAACTCTAAATAAGATAAACTCAACAAGAGCCACACTTAGACAAATTGTAGTCAAAGTGTCCAAAGACAAAGAGAGAATCTGATAAGCAGAAAGAGAAAAATGACCCTCATGTACAAGGAATCCTCAGTAAGTTTAGGAGTTGATTTCTCATCAGAAACCATGGAAGCCAGGAGACCTACTGGAAGTGCTGTAAGGAAAAGACTGTCAATGAAGAATTATATATCCTGTAAAACTATTCTTTAAAAATGGAGAAATTAAGATATTTGCAGATGAACAAATACTGAAAGAATTTATTAGCAGACATACTTTCAAGAAATAATAAAAGATGTTTTTCAGGCTGAAATGAAAGAACGCTAAATGGTAACTCAAATTCACATGATGAAATAAACAGTACTAACAAAGGAGTTACATAGGTAAATATAAAATAGATTGTAAATATATAGTATCATGTCACTTTTCTTCTCTATTTTATTTGAAATACAACTGCATAAAGCAATAATTATAAAATTGTTCTGATGGGTTTATAATGTAGAACGATGTAATTAGCATGACTATAATAGCACGAGAGAGAAACAGGAGTGGTACTATATTGTAGCAAGGTTTATGTAAACTATTGAAAGAAGTTGGTATTAATCTGAAATACGTTGTTTCAAGTTGAGGTGGTAGTTGTAATCCCATCAGCTAAGAGCAATAGCAAAGCAGACTAAAATGTATATAGTAAAATAAACCACAAGGTAATTAAAAAGTTACACTAGAAAGTATTTGTTTACCACAAAAGAAGGCAGTAACAAAGGAAAATAGAAGCAAAGACATAAGACAAAAGAACAAATAGCAAAATGGTAACATTATACCAAATATCATATCAAAATAAGACAAAGGCATCACAAGAAAAAAATTCTACAGACCTACATTTCTTGTGAATATAGATGTAAAAACTCTCAACACAATATTGGTAAACAGAATCAAACTATATATAAAAATGATTATAAACCATCACCAATAGGATTCATTCCAAGAATGCATGTTGGTTTAGCATCTGATAATCAATATGTATAGTATACATATTAAAAGAATAAAGCACGAAAACCACATGATCATCACGTAGACACGGCAAAAGCCTTTGACAAAACCCAACACATTTTTATGATTAAAAAACAAAAACACTCAAAAACGTAGGAATAGAGCAGTGTCTCACCTTGATAAAGGGCATGTAGAAAGCCCCAGCTAACAATGATAAGGGTGCAACACTGAATTTTTCCCCTGTAAGATGAGAAACAAGACAAGATTCTCCACTGTTGCCACTCAGCATTGTATGGAAGGGTCTACTGAGGGAGATTAGGTAAGAAAAGATAAAAAAGCATCCAAGTTGGAAAAGATAAAATAATACTTTCTCTGTTTCTCAAAGAAATCCACTAAAAAACTATTGGAGTTAATAAATGAGTTCATTGACCCAGCAGAATGAAAGATCAACATACAGAAATCAATTGTATTTCTATACACTACAATGAAAAAAAAATTCTAAAATAAAACTAAGAAAACGGATACATTTTTAACAGTATCAAGAGGAAAAAAATCACAGGAATAAATTTAACAGAAAGAAATTCAAAACTTAGATACCCTGAAAAAATATGAGATATTGTTGAAAGAAATTACAGATCCATTTAAAGTGGAAGACTTTCTGTGTTCATGGATTGGAAGACTTAATATTGTTAAGTTGGAAATTCTCCCTAAATTGATCCACAGATTCTATGCAATCCCTATTAATCTCTTAGTACAAAACTACAGTAATCAAGACATACAAGTAATCAACTGTGGTAAGGGCATAATAATAGAGACATAGATTAATGGAATAAAATTGAGAGACCAGATATAAACGCTTAGATTTGTGGTCACTTGATTTTTAACAAGGGGGCAAGACAATTCAGTGGGTAAGATTAGTCTTTAATGGAAATGGATTAGTCTTCTAAAAATCCATATGCTAATGAATGAAGTTTGTCTTCTACGACACAACAAAATTAACTTAAAATGCATTATAAACCTAAATGTTAGAGCTAGAACTATAAAACTTTTAGAAAAAATTTTTTGACTTAGGGTTAGACATGTTTTTTCTAAGATGTGACACTAAAAGCACAAAGGACAAAAAAATAGAATGAACTTCATGAAGTGTTTAAAAATTTGGTGCTGCAAAAGTTACTATTGAAAAAGTTAAGGATAGTACACAGGATGGGAGAAAATATTTACAAATCATATATCTGATAAGGGACTTGTATTTAAAATATATTTTAAAACTCTTACAACTCAGTGATATAAAAAAATTTAAATAGAAAAAGGAGATTTGAACAAGTATTTCTCCAAAGAAGATATGCAAATGGCCAGTAAGTACATAGATATTCAAAATCATTGGTCGAAATCATTAGTCATTAAGGACATATAAATCAAAACCACAATGAGCTACTACTTTACAACCACTAGAATGGCTAAAGTTTAAAAGACAGTAACAACTGTTTTTATTTTTTATATTTTGTTCCTCAAATCTTCTCTTTCTTAAACCTAAGAATTGGTTATGATGCTTTGATAAGAGTGTGAAGTTCTAACCAATTTTTCTGTAATCCAGGACAGGCTTCATAATTTCATACTCTGTACTCCCATAACTCCATGGGAACCACATATATACAAGTGTGTTTCTTTCACAGTGTTGACCAGAGGATATGTTCTAATTGCTTTTTGAATCAATAACAACTAGCCCCCTATGTCTGTAATACGTAGAGTAACACCAAGGGAAGTCTAACAAACCATATAATTTCCATAATAGGCCTTGAAGGACATAGGACATAATGAGCAAAATGAGAGATGGAAATCATTTTGGAGGGAACAAGCATGCTGCAAAACAGCAAGCTGTTTACATGCTCAGAAGATTGATTGGAACAGGTGGTGCAGATTGTATAGATGTAAAACTGTTCACTACAAACATAAAATTAAAATTTATTCCTCAATAAGATGAGAGGAGCTGGCTTTCTAGCATAATTCATGAGGAAAAAAATACCAAACCACCTAAAAATCAAGAAAAGCTATTCTAATTTATTTCATTTTCAGTGGTCACCTGACATAAAAATCATCTCTTCTTCAAGAGATGTCCAAATCCAGCAGAAGTTTTGCCTCATCACCTTTGATCTTCATCTTCACATTTTAAAATAGTATTTGGTCACATTTCAGAGTACATGCAAGGATAACATGCTTGAAAAGGGAAAAACATTTGGCTAAAAATTACAAAATTTCTGGGATGGTAATTTCCAAGTTTAAAATTCTAGTAATGTCTCTTCACATTTTCAAACCTAGGGGCTAAAATCAACAGCAAGTTTATACAATTTGTATTCTAAAAAGTAGAATAAGGTAGCTTTTGGACAGATTATCCGTTTTGAAAATTGAATTGGCAAAACTCTGAGTAGACTAATTTTAAATGCATACTTTTACCCTACATTTCTATTAGGTTAAAATATTATTTTAAGCAAGAAGCAGATCGTAAAAGAAACTGGGTTTTATCTGTGGATTATTTAGCTCCAACACGCTTTCCTACAACTTTGATTAGAATGAATGAATTCCAGAAGGACCTGGCACCACGAATACTTGTTAGTGGAGATAAAGCCCACTTCATCGGTGACTTTTCCAACTTTCAGAACATAGTCTTGCTTGCTGTAAATTTCCTGCACAAAGTGCATAAGCATACAGGTAAGAGACACAGATAATTTATTTTCTGTAAATTCTATATGTTGTGTTGATATCTTAGCTGACGGGATAGCCTTGGAATCAGAATTATAAATTATTATGATAGGCTGTTTAAAGAAGGAAATGTTAAGTTCCTATAGTTATCTGTTTCAAGGTTTTAACAATAATTCTTGCGGGTTTATGATAGGTTTCATATAATGGGCTTATAGTATAGACCCTTCCTGACTTGGCATGTACTTTTCTACAGGGTTCTTGTGCAAATACAGCTGATCAATATCACAGCATGTTAATCTGGCAAAGAGATAATGGGAATTTTTACTTCTTTCCTGGACAAGTTTTATTTTATTTTATTCTACTTCATTCCTTATTTTTAAATGAAAAATATAATAAGCAAAACAATGACACTCCCCATGACTAACAGAACCACACAATAAATTCTGTTTTGTGACTTTCCTCATCCAGTTCTCCTGATTGCACGCATAAAAACAAAAATAAAAAACCCTCAAAATTCTGGTCTTAGAAAAGGTTACATTTCTCCAAAATTTACAAATTATTTATAGAAAACACAAAAGAAAGAACATAATAATAAACTTGAAAGTTACTTTCATTAGATTCTCCAGATATCATTCACTCCTTTCTCTATTGAGGGAATAAAATATGTGTGTGTATGTGGTATGTGTGCATGTGTATAATTTCTATTCCCTAAAGCAAAATTTAGAAATAAGGTATGAGTCAAAATTAAAATGAATATATTGTACATTAAATTTAACAGTTGTGTGTATTACTTAGCGCAAAATTTGCTGTTTTAATAAATAAACCTTCAAATGTTAATGGCATAACTCATTAGGATTCTTTTCCTGGCTCACATAATTATGCATGATGTTTACCCAATTTGCAGGAGACTTTCTTCCATGGTAATTCTGGGACTTAGGACCCTTCTATTTGTGGTTCCACCAGTCTTCACAGCTTCACTATTGCATGCCACCTGCAAAACATAAATGGAGTTAGAGCGGTTGAAGGAGGGAGCCCATCTTTTAAAGGCCCCAGGACCAGAAGTGCTCGAGAATTCTGTATCTTTCCTTCTTACAGATTGACGGATCAATCCACCCTCACTTCTTCTACTCAAAATTCATACCATTACTAAATACTTTTTCCCCGTATTTTAATAACATTTCATTTTATGACTATAAGTTTACTTATTTCAAAAATATATTCTATATATGATACCACAAATTTAATTGCTACAGAAAGTTATTAAATGCAAATAAAACTTACCATCTCCGTCATCACCTCCTAACCTTCATACGTTGATTCTTGACTAATAAATATTTTTTATGTTTTGGGCTCACTCTTACAAAAAATCTTATATGCATTAATGAACGTAAATAAGAGGATAAATAATTTGATAAAAACTTTTGTGTTTGCATAAAATAAATTATATATATGGCACTGCTCTGTGCTATAATTTTTTCATTAACCATGTATCTTTGAGATATTAGTAAGTTGGCAAATATTTACACATATCATTCTCATAAATGATACATAACTTTCTATTGAATGGACTTATATTTTTCCACTTTGAGGCAATGGAAATTGTCATTTAATGTGTACTTTTGTTAGCTTAACTTGTTGGAATAATGACACAGTAAAATACTAAAAATGAGTTCATGGATCAGGTATTGCCAAGTGGCAATTAAAGACTATGCTATAGTTTATGTGCTTGACAAAACAAAAACAAATGACAAAACAATGCAAACTGTATATTAAGATTTATACATCTACATAGATATCAAAAAATAGTATTAGCAAACTAACTTGCACACAGTTATCTTAATTTGCAACAATCTAAAATGTGAAAAAAGGGCACTTCATTGTTTACAGGTTTTCTTTTATTTAATCATCACTGTATTTATCATCTTTTGTTCCTTTTAGTTACGTATGAATCTCATCAATTTGAATTTTAAGGCATAATATATAATTTAAAAGAGCAAAACACTTTATGTTTTATTACAGAATGTATATGAATATATATTAATTTGATACTAATTACGTTGAATTTTGTTGTAAACAATTTCAACATTTGGGATCAAAATAGAAATTTTTCCTACAACATTTAAATAAATTTACCATTTTTCTAGAAACATTGTTCTCACCATATGGAAAACTTTAATGAAGTTAACAGTTGCAAGAAAACTTTTTCTAGCAATTTTGGAATTTATCCTTCACTTTTCAAATTAAACACTTCTAGAAATCTATAATGAAATAAAACTCCACAAAGGTAATTTATTGAGGAACAATACTCACAAAAATTTGTCCTTGGCTTTTCATGTCTAGGTAATTTTGTCATTATTTATGCCTGTATTTTAAAATTAAAACTGATGTTGCTGTTAATTTGCACAATTAATAATTATTGAGTTAACATCAATAATAAGTAAAATGCTTACTATCCAATGTTGATTCAATTGGATAACTCACAAGTGCTGATAAATTAATAAAGTCGTAAAACCTAATTGGGCCTTGGGGTGTTATTCTGCCTAAATTAATTTCATGAAATTTGGAGGAATAGATTTTATGGTCATGAGTCAAAAGGCACATTTTAAATAAAAATTTGTATGATGAACTTGGCTTCTAAAACTTAAAAATGAACTGTTAGTTTAGAACATACTACTGATTTATCAATATTTTGAGAGATGGTCAGTGATGCAGGATTTTTTGCACCTTAGTTCAGCTAAAATCTGGGTTCTTGTCTCACGACCAGGAAGAGTTAGGCATGCAGACACATTGAAGGGTTAGGAGAGTGGATTTATTAGGTGAAAAGAAAACTCTCAAAAAAGAGAGGGGTCCTGCCCGCAGGTTTTCCACCTCACAAAACTGAATACCGGAACACCACACACAAGCTGAAAAGGCCCAGCTCCTCCCCAACATAAAGCAAGAATTCCTGGTGGCTCCACTTATTCTCCCAGTGCATATGCGGGCCCTTAGTCTAAGCCACTCCACATTGATTTATTTCCCTTACTGAGCATAAGTTAAGGGATGGAATTTTTCACCATGGGTATGTTAGGCGAGTCCCTTGTGCACAATGACCTGGGCGGCATTTGGCTGCCTTCTGCCTGTATCATCAGTTATCTCAAAGTTCTAAAAATTATGTTATGAATATCTGCTTTTTTAACACATATTTTTTTGGAGTACTTCAGAGTCACAGAGGGCAAAATTTCTCTCCATTAGGAAGAGACAGTGTCCACTGACAAAAAGGTAGCTCTTCCTCTTGCTTGTCTTCTTGGTAACTTTCTTTCAATAGCTATTACAAAGCTTGTTTACACAGGTTTACAGAGAGCCCTAAGCACAGGCAAAATATGCTAACAAACTATTTGGAAAAAATAAAAGGGTAAATTGAGCCTGACAGTAAATAGTGTGGTAAAATAATACAAGTGTTGATGTCAGAAAGACGAGTTTGCATTAATGTTCTGCCATTTTCCACGTGGTGTCAGCTGGTTAAACCTAAGCAACTTAGAAAATTTGCCTGTAGTTCAACATACTTATTGAAAAAACATTATTGAAGAGTCCACAAGATTTTGATTATAAAAAATTACTAGTTCAATAATCAGAAGGTAGTGAGCATCCAATGTAACACATACCATATAGTAATTGTTACACAGAGTACACGTTTGATGAACAAAATACCAATAAGATAACTGTGTTGAATCAAAAATCAGTTATTACTATAGCGTTCAACTCTAGGAATCAAAGAACATGAAACACTCATATCAAATTATAGCAACTTCACTGTTAATAGAAACCTAATGACTTTTAAACATTTGTATTAGTTTCCTTTCGCTGCTATAACAACTTAACACTCACTTGGAAGCTTAAAACAACACACATTCAATATATTACAGTTCTGGAGATCCTAAGTCTAAAATGGGTTCAGTGGATGAAAATCAAAAAGTTGATGAGGTTAAGATACTGCTGGAGGCTTGAGAGAAGAATCAATTCTCTTGCTTTCTGTGGCCTCTAGAGGCCATGATCATTCTTTGGCTTATGATTTCTTTCCTCAAAGCCAGTAGAAAACATCTTCAGATTTTTCTCTAATTCTGACTTTATTGCCTCTCATTTTTCACTTATAAGGACTACCATGATTATAATTGGCCAACCCAAATTATCCAGGATAATCTCCCCCTACAATATTTAACTTAATCACATCTGCAAAGTTTTTTTCGCTATGTAAGTTAACATACCATGTGTTCTGGGTATTTAGGCATAGATATCTTTTGGGGACCATTATTGCTGCTGCCAAACTATTCGTAAGATTATCTCTGCTTGGTGTATATTCAAGGATAGATATAAGAAAATAAATGGTACTTTAGTACTTGCACTGTAATAAACATATGATAAATTTCAGTGTGTCTCATTACAAAGTAATATTCAGTTGAGTCTTAAACAACACAGGTTTGAACTGCATGGGTTCACTTGTATGCAGATTTTCTTCCACCTTAGTCATCTCTGAGACAGAAAGACTAATACCTCTTCTTCCTCTTTCTCCTCAACCTACTCAACATGAAGACGATGAGGAAGAAGACCTTAAGATGATCCGCTTCCACTTAACGAATAGCAAATATATTTTCTCTTCTTTGTGATTTTCTTAATAACATTTTTTTCTTCAGCTTACTTTATTATAAAAATACACCATATAAAACATACACATATAAGATACAAAATATGTGTTAATCAACCGTTCATGTTATTGATAAGGCTTCTGGTCAACAATAGGCTATAGTATTAAGCTTGGGGGAGTCAAAAGTTACACATAGGTTTTGACTGCAGGGGGTCTAGCAACCCTGACCCCATGTTGTTCAAGGTCAACAGTATGTGTTTTCTACTTATGGCTTTAAGACAATAGGAATTGTTCTTTTTGTATTGGAAATGGTAGTTGGCAGTATCTAAATTAGTAATTAAATTAAATTAAAGATTACAGTAATTTAGTTTCATGAAGTGAATAAGTAAAGCAAATTAGGAAACAAAAGGAGAGAATTTATGCGAAGATTACAATAATATTGCATGGAAACAACAGGATGAAAGAGCAAATAGTTTTCACTGGATATTATAACCAAAAGCTGAAAAATCATCAGGAACCAAAATAAAATACTCTTTATATTTCTCGAGCTTCATGAAAATTCATTTTCACTTCTCTCTGTGCATTGTGTTTATTCTTCCCCTGATATATATATGTGCATGTGGTTCATCATTTCTGCCCAAAGTTCTAGAGTCCACATCAGTTTATGAGTTATGGGCTCACAGCCCAAAAATGACGCATCATTTTCAAAACACAAATGCCCTGGAGATACGTTTGTTCTGGTAGAATGTAGCCTCTGAATTAGTTTCCCTATGTTTGGTGTGCACACCACACTGGCTCCAATGAGCTGTGGAGAAGAACTAACACTCATATAGTCACAGACTAGAAAAATCGACCGTAATGCCCCACTTTATTCAGAGAATCTATGGACTGTTTTCAGGAGGAATATGCAAACTGAATAATTATGTCCAAACTGTTCACAGATGCCCATCCACACCTGAGGTTCAAATCAAATAATGAAAAATTATGAAGTGAATTATTTGTTTGGACAAATTATTTTTTAAACTTTATAATGAGAGTTACATTTATAGGACATATAGCCTAAAAATCCATGAAAGATGAGTTTTTTATTTTTATTTTTTTTATTTTTTTTTAATTTTTTTTTTATTATACTTTAAGTTTTAGGGTACATGTGCACATTGTGCAGGTTAGTTACATATGTATACATGTGCCATGCTGGTGCGCTGCACCCACTAACGTGTCATCTAGCATTAGGTATATCTCCCAATGCTATCCCTCCCCCCTCCCCCGACCCCACCACAGTCCCCAGAGTGTGATATTCCCCTTCCTGTGTCCTTGTGATCTCATTGTTCAATTCCCACCTATGCGTGAGAATATGCGGTGTTTGGTTTTTTGTTCTTGCCATAGTTTACTGAGAATGATGGTTTCCAATTTCATCCATGTCCCTACAAAGGACATGAACTCATCATTTTTTATGGCTGCATAGTATTCCATGGTGTATATGTGCCACATTTTCTTAATCCAGTCTATCATTGTTGGACATTTGGGTTGGTTCCAAGTCTTTGCTATTGTGAATAATGCCGCAATAAACATATGTGTGCATGTGTCTTTATAGCAGCATGATTTATAATCCTTTGGGTATATACCCAGTAATGGGATGGCTGGGTCAAATGGTATTTCTAGTTCTAGATCCCTGAGGAATCGCCACACTGACTTCCACAATGGTTGAACTAGTTGACAGTCCCACCAACAGTGTAAAAGTGTTCCTATTTCTCCACATCCTCTCCAGCACCTGTTGTTTCCTGACTTTTTAATGATTGCCATTCTAACTGGTGTGAGATGATATCTCATAGTGGTTTTGATTTGCATTTCTCTGATGGCCAGTGATGATGAGCATTTTTTCATGTGTTTTTTGGCTGCATAAATGTCTTCTTTTGAGAAGTGTCTGTTCATGTCCTTCGCCCACTTTTTGATGGGGTTGTTTGTTTTTTTCTTGTAAATTTGTTTGAGTTCATTGTAGATTCTGGATATTAGCCCTTTGTCAGATGAGTAGGTTGCGAAAATTTGGCCATACTGCCCAAGGTAATTTACAGATTCAATGCCATCCCCATCAAGCTACCAATGACTTTCTTCACAGAATTGGAAAAAACTACTTTAAAGTTCATATGGAACCAAAAAAGAGCCCGCATCGCCAAGTCAATCCTAAGCCAAAAGAACAAAGCTGGAGGCATCACACTACCTGACTTCAAACTATACTACAAGGCTACAGTAACCAAAACAGCATGGTACTGGTACCAAAACAGAGATATAGATCAATGGAACAGAACAGAGCCCTCAGAAATAATGCCGCATATCTACAACTATCTGATCTTTGACAAACCTGAGAAAAACAAGCAATGGGGAAAGGATTCCCTATTTAATAAATGGTGCTGGGAAAACTGGCTAGCCATATGTAGAAAGATGAAACTGGATCCCTTCCTTACACCTTATACAAAAATCAATTCAAGATGGATTAAAGATTTAAACATTAGACCTAAAACCATAAAAACCCTAGAAGAAAACCTAGGCATTACCATTCAGGACATAGGCGTGGGCAAGGACTTCATGTCCAAAACACCAAAAGCAATGGCAACAAAAGCCAAAATTGACAAATGGGATCTAATTAAACTAAAGAGCTTCTGCACAGCAAAAGAAACTACCATCAGAGTGAACAGGCAACCTACAACATGGGAGAAAATTTTCGAAAGATGAGTTTTTTAAAAATGCTTTTTATGTGTCTTGTATTCTGATATTTGAACTATTATTTTCAGAAAATTAAATTTCTAAGTAGAAAATTTTAGAGACTGGAATTCTCACAAAATTAATCTCCTAATTATCCTGTCTTTATGTTTACAGCTATCTTATGCTTACAGTATATAATTGAGTCTTAATTTTTTTATCCAAACAATCACAGACTTTAACTTGTATGTTTAACTCATTTATGTTTAATCTAATTTTATATGTTTAGATTGAATCTAACAACAACAAAGAGGTATGTCCCTTTATTATCGCCTTCTCTCTTTTTGCCTTGTTTTGCAATGAGTACTTTTTATTATTTCCTTTTATCTAAATAGCTTGCTGTCATTCCGGTCACTTTAAAAACACATATTGGTTGTCTATGGATTGCAGCATTTTACTTTTATATATGGAACATTTTACTTTTACTTTTGCATAGGAAATAAACATATTGCTATCATATTTGCTTTACATAGTCAATGGCCTTTAAAATTATAAGTATGTGAGCTTTATATTTACTTTGCTTTTTATTATATCTAGCATTCTTCAGTTTTTTCAGTTTTTGTCTGGTACTAAATTTCTTTTTCCTGAAGAAATTCTAACATTTTCTTGTAACATGTTTATGCAAGAAGCAAATTATTCGTTTTGTTTTTGATATTGATGATGTTCATGGTAGCAGTTGTGGTGGTGTTTGCATTGTTTTTTTACTGAAAAAGTATTTCTCATTAAATTTTTCTTCTTTTTTTAGTACACAGGTTTTACTCTATAGTCTAGTGCTGTCTATAGTTTCTGATGAGATATCTGTTGAAACACTATCACTTATTTTGTGTAATTTGTCTTTTGTTAACCTTTAATGCTTTCTTTTTATCTTTAGATGATGTCAGTTTGAGTATGATATACCTAGTTATGTTGGGAGAAGATATTTATCCTGATGGGTGTTCTCCAAGGTTCCTAGCTCTGGGGGATTAGAATCTTTCCTTATTTTTAGAAAAGTATCTTTATCAATTTTTCTTAATATTTCTGCCCTATTTTATCTCCTTTCTTCTTCTGAGATTTAAATTATACAAATGTTAAATTGTTTGATATTATCTTACAGATCCTTTGTTCTCTGTTCTGGTTTTGTACTATTTTTTTCTCTTTGGTTTTATTTTGAATAATTTCTATTGACCTGTCTTTGAGTTCAATGATCTTTCCTCAGCTATGTAAAGTCTGCTGATGAGCTCATTAAAGACATTTTTCACCTCTATTACTGTTTGAGGGTCTTACTATTAACTTCTGACATTTCTTTGTGATTCTCTCTGATAGTTTTTATATCTCTGTTGAAATTTTCCATTTATTCATCCTGCTATCTACCTTTTCCACTAAAACCTTTAATATTTTAATCATAGCTAATTTCAATTCTCTGCCAGACAGTTTCAACATCTGGGTCATATATGACTTTGATTCTGCTGATTTTTTTTGTCTCTTGACAGTAGGTTATTAATTTTTTTAACGTTTTTATGTGACACATAATTTTTGGTTGAAAGCCAGTCAACACATGTAGAACAGTAAAAACCATGGTAAAGAATATTTATGCTTGTAAGGGGCAGGTGTCTTATTCTGATGGGCTTTTAGTTTGGAAGGGGTGAGAAAATCTTGTGGAGATTCGAGCTGGCTTTGTGTTTTGCTGCTATTATTACTCTCAGTGCCTCACTAGCTTAATCTGTCTCTCATGTTATTTGATGCTTAGGGTGAAATCTAGCTTGCTGGAAGATTGTTCTAACACTCATTTTCCACCCTCAGCTTCAGATTTTTTCTGCATCAGCCTGTGCCTCAGTGAGGGTCTCTCTCCATGGTGTTTCCTCTTCTCCCAATGTTAGAAGGTTGTTACTTGTTATTTGATGCTTGCTGGCCTGGAGTAGGTAGTCAGGGTCATCCTCTGTTTTCTTGTTCATCTTCAGTTCTATTACTTCATCCTCAGTCATAGTCAGGCTCTATATATCACTAGTTCTCCAACCCAGGACTTTATCAGTGACTGTGTTTCCTTCTGGAGGTGCAGGATTTCCAATTATCTGAATTCTGTTTGGCTTCCTGCCCCTCCACCAGGGTTAGGATTTTTCTTTTCCTGTACCCTTTTCCCAGATGAAGTAGGGCAATTGGACTTGCTACCTTATTATGAGCAGCTTAAATACTTTGTACCATCGAGGAGATGTGGGGAGAATTATCTAGGTGGGGTGCACCATTTCAGCTTTTTTCTCTTCCTCCATGTCTACACCAAGAAGGAAGCTTTTTTAGTTCCCCACATGTCTCTGAACTTTCCAGCAAATATCTAGTAAGGTCCACAGAGAGGAACATTCTACTATTATTTTAAGAAGTGATTTTATGTGTGTGGCTCTGTCATGCTGTTTCCTCATGCTAGCTCACACTCAGCAGTATTCCCTCCAGAGCTCCCTGCTAAGTTGGCTGAGGTCTTGTAGGGCTGCACCACAGTTCAACTTGTGCCTTTGTCCAATTCTACTTCTTTCCCCCTCTTCCTTCCAGGGTGTCAATCTCTATAAATATATCGTGCACCGAACTCCATCTCAGTATATAAATCCAAAATACCCAACTCAAAATGTTTTCAGAATTTAAATTTTAAATTTTTAACTTATTTTCCATTTTTAATACGGCTGAATAAAAACATATTTGCCTATTCTATTTCATAAACAAAATGAACCGGACTAAAAAAATTAATAAAATTTATAAATCAAATCACTTAGCACAGATGCTTCTTGAGGGGTTATGTCCCAAGAAATCCATTATAAGTTGAAAATACTGTAAGTCAAAAATGCATTTAACCGAACTTACCTAACAACATAGCTTAGCCTAGCCTACCTTAAACATGCTCAGAACACTTACATTAGCATACAGCTGGGCAAAATCATCTAACACAAAGTTTATTTGATAATAAAGTATTGAATACTATACACAGATGGGCATTTTCTAGACATTATGGGATGCAAAAACAGAATACAATATTTAATAAACTGAATACTGGTAACATAGTACACGGTAGAATGTCAGCTGTTTACCCTTGTGATTGTGTGACTGACTGGGAACTGAGGCTCGCTGCCACTGACCCCCATCAGGCAAGACTATAGCACCATATATCACTAGCCCAAGAAAATATCAAAATTCAAAGTATGGTTTCTATTGAACATGTATCTCTTTTGCACCATCGTAAAGTTGAAAAATCTTAAATCAAGCCATCATAAGTTGAAGACGATCTGTCTAAGAAAGGGATCTAAGGGACTGAAAATTAAATAAGGCAGAGAGAAAGTAACTAAAAAAGAAGCAAGGAAGAAAGAAGTAAGGAAGGAAGCAAAAAGAATGATTTATTTTTTGTATCAATGAAATTATTATTAACTGTCAATTGCAGGAAAAATCTCTGGACACTCACTGATACCATATGTATCAGGGAGATAAGAACTAAATAAGAAAACACAGCTAGGCAAACTTATTAAATGTTACAGAATTCAGACTTGTCTTTCATCAAGTCATTAATTTAGGAATTTATTGATTGATTGATCAATCAATTAAAATACACATTCATTGAATGCTACAATGTGACTCTAATGACAATGGTTTTGTGGGGAAAACAAATGAATAATACATGATCCCTTGGTTTATAGTTTAATAAAGAAGGGAGATTAGACAGAAAGCTGTTTTTAATATTTTGAATATATTTTACACATAAGAAACTTTATCCCATTTAATCTGGAAAATATTCTTTATTCAATAAATACTAGTTTGTACTTCCTTTGTGAGACACACTGTCTTAGGCCCTAGTTATATTGTACCAGGAAAAAAAAAAAGTTAGAAATCTGTGACCTCATTGAGGTTATACTCCCATGAAAGACTTAGTAAATATGCGATGCTAAGGGAAAAACAATTTAAAGAAAAGCAACAAGAAATACTAGAAGATATTGAACACCTTCAATTTTAAAAGGTTTGTTAGTGAGGTCTTGCTGGGGATAGTTATTTCAGCAGAGATGTGAAGGAAGAGAGGGAAGGAGCCAGGAAGATAACTGGAGTAAGATTATTTGAGGCAAAGAGGAAGAGGAAGCACAGCAGTTGGAAATTAGGAGTTGATCTGGCTTCTTCAGCAAGATGATTGAACAAGGCAAAAATAAATAGGAGATGTAATGAGAGCAATAGGTTTGGGTAGGCCCTTGTAATCCATTGTAAGAACATTTTTTTCAACCTTGGAATAGAATGGAGAACATAGAGAAGGCTTTTGAGCAGAGGAGTGACCAAATCCAGCTTCTCTGTTGAGACTGAACTATAGAGGTAATAGCAGAACAATATTTTAACTACAGTTATACTGTATGTTTTATTTATATCTGTATTAATATTGTATATTATTATTTGTTATCGCTTATGTCCCATATTTGTTACTTATATTTGTTATATTTCTTTATATTTAATATGTTTATATGTTATACATGTATTGTTATATTCTATATATTATGTATATGTATTATAGATGTATTTGCATGTGTATTTATATATTATATAGCATAAATATGTATTGTAGATGTATATGTGGAAGATACTTTGAATCTATCCTGTTTCTCATCAAAATTTAAAACATTCATTTATTTATTTATATCTCTCTATTCATGTTTTTCATTTTATTCAGTGGATTTCCATGCTTTATTATTTATTTTGATACTCCATTGTTTCAGTCTTGGCCAGTGGAAGCTCCCTTTGACAATATATCCATCTATTTTTGAACACTTCATTGCTTTCAGGCACAAGAATGTATCTTAAGCTTATTTTATCCTTTACCTCTCTTATCCCTAGAATTATCCATTTCTCTAAGGCACTTTTGTTTCATTTATTGAAAAATAATATTTTGAAGAAGTCAAGGCCTGAGTGGTAGATTTGTTTATGACTTTTGGGATATTCCTGCTCATATTCATGCATCCCTCTCAGTAGATGCATCTACTCACCTCTATATCCATCTATCTATGTGTCTACCATTATCTATTTAGAACACATCATCTATCTAATTTATGTATATTGCAAATTATGAGTTCACACCAATATTGCTAATTCCAATCCAATAGCACAGCAATTACTTTAGTTATCACACTTTTCAATGTTTGAATCTTCCTTCTCTAACAGTGAAAGAATGTGGCTTCCATTTGCTTTGAATATGTACTTGTTTAATTTTTCTGTATATAATTCCATCCATCATCTGTGCCATAACCTCCTCATCTGTATGGATGCCTTCTCACCCATCTTTTTGGGCTCCAATATCTTGTAGTACATGGCCTCTATCGCTGAATTTCCTCTTCACTCTGCTTGCCCTCTGACTCCCCATGCTGGGCCTCCCCTCTCTGGCAATGCCTTCCGGTCCAGGTTTATACTCTGTTTTCCTACATGGCCTCCCCTTTTGTGAGCACAACTTCTTCACCCTGCTTAGGCTCTGGATCTCCATGTTTTGTCACCATGACTCCCTTCCCACAATTTTTTACTTTTGTCTACCAAATAAATTTTTCACTGAATTGTTCAGAAAAAGTAGTGAAGAAGTGGGAAGTGGGAAGTGAAGAAAAAGAATTATCATGGAATCACTTATAACATCCTTCTTCCTGTTATACCCTATACCTGATCCATAAAGAAACTATGTTGGTACTACATTCAAATATCCAGAATACAACCACTCATCACCATTTCTTCTATGGTCAAAGGTAACACTATGTTTGTCCTGGATTCCATAGATATTCCTTTAGAAAACTTGGAAATGCTGGACCACTCTCAGAAAGGGAGAAGTTGACAGGTTAAAGCTCATTTAGGAGAGATAACATTGTTGTGTATGAGGATTTAAGTGTGCACCTGTGATTTATTGATAGGTTTTTATTTGTGCTTTTTAATTATTTTGGAACCACAATACTCTATTACAATGATTTAGAGAAGGGTGAATGAACTCAAACTTTGTACTTTCATAAAAGATTTATAACCTCCTGGCAGCTGTGATTGTATCCCTTGAAACACTGAAAAGGAAACAAAGTCCCATATATTGCCCAATTGACCATACAGTTTGGACAATCTGTCTGCTATCTATTCCCATCAGCCCTCTGTCCTCTTACAGAATTTCTTCATAATGTACAAAAATTATTTCATACTTATGTATGTATATATATATGTAATTTCAAGTATCATTATTTCATATATATGTAATTTCTAGCAGGAAAGAAGATGCCTCTGGATCAGAGAACAGACCATTTATTACTGACAGATTGCCTTAGCATCCGTTTCCCATGCTTCAGTTTTCATGGGTTAATGCAATAAATGATGTTCACTCTCGCATGCAGTAGCATTGCCTCACAGCAGATGAACCCTAAAGTAAGACTTGGAACATATATGGAGCAGCTGGTGTATCATTCTATTCTGCATGGGTGCATGCGAGAGACAAAGGTGGGAGAGAGAGAGAAACAAAATGAGAGACATCTCATCCTTCTTACCTTTACTCTAGAGGGTGGGGTGAGTGATCGCTACTCTGTACTGTAAACAAGTGATTCCAGTAGGGATAAGAGTTGAACTACTCTCTGGAGCAGTGTGCTACCTAACATCCAAGTCATGTTTGTCTTTAAGTCATCCTTTAATAGATACACCAACTGCCTCTGGACTGTGAAGAAACAAAAATATTCATGGAGAATTATTTTCTAAGCACTTCTTCACTCAATAAAAATACCACACAAATTAACTTTTATTTTAGGTATGTAAAACTCAGAAATGTGAAACTTAAATAGGAAAAATAAAATTAATGAGCTCAAAGGACAATAAGAAGAGCTGGAAGTAGTTGTTTTCTGTGGAACAATTACTTTAGAGCCTCTAACTGTGTCTATTGCTTCAGTTGTCTTCCTTCAATACATTTCCAAGTGCCTCTTGCATACCAGTATTTGGGATAGAACAAGTTATATGGAAGGACCAGCTGTATGTATAAATAAAAAATGTGCTCCAACCTTTATGCCACATCCTTCATAAAATCTTCCCTTAATTCTGCTGCTATGCCAAACCTAGAGATATCACTGTCTTATCCAAACTTTGATAATTTGTAACCTATACTTTTCTTAAGGAAATATCCCTAAGAATATTAAGATATTTTCTAAAAATATCTGCCTAAAAATGAAAATTTTTATTTATTCATGATAATTACATAAGTTTTATGCTTAACAGATATTCAGTAAACAGTTTTTTTAAAAAATGAAAAGTTATACAATGTATCATTTCCAAGAGCAGTGAACAATAAAATGAAGCTTTCTGTTGAATTCAGAATGATAGGATAACGTGTTCTTAGATAGGCCAAGCTGAGTTCTAAATATCAGTGTTGTCACTATTGTCTAAAAGACTTCAAAGGCACAGGTCAGCAAGCTATGGGCCTAATCTTGTCCACTTGTAAATAAAGTTTTATTGGAACTTGGCCACATCCATAAGTTTACATCTTGTCTATTTCTGGTTTTGGGATACAATAATAGAGTTGCCCACCAAAAAGCAGAATATTTACTATCTGGCCCTTTACAAAAAAGGTTTGCCACTTCTGCTGTAAGTCAGTGTTAGTAAAAACGTGATAATTGATGATAAAAACAACAAATTTTTCACTGCCCTGCTAATATAACATAACCCTTCTTATGCCAATGACGGGGTTTACTGACATTAAAATAGTGTATTCTTCTTTAGTGGTTTCTAGCATTGCTTATGTGTTTGGTTCTTCTCTATGTAATTATTTTTAAAATTACAATAAGAAGTCAACTTGAGGACAAAATTCTTCTATTACATATTCAAATTACTTGCTTTCATTAGAGATTAAATTTTTATAGTCATCCTTTGTTAAACATCTCAAAGACAGAGCTCTTTTCCACCTTGTTCATTATCGTAGGACAGTACTGATACAGCACCAGGAATGAGGTCACTGCTCAAAAAATATCTGTTGAATTAGGTGTGAGGCTTGGACAGAGTTTTCTGAAAACTCATTGTGACTAGAACAAAAACAAAGCACAGGCATCCAGGGAAGGGCTGGGCCCACAAATCAGGTTGTAGTGCAGAGGTTCTGAATTAACCATCTCCTCTGCATCAAGCCTAAATCCTCTGGGCCTCACTGTGCTATGACTAATTTAAACAGGCTTTTGGCCTGCTTCCTGCAGGTGCAACTTGACAGTTTAATTTCAGTCACTCGTTATACCTCTTACCTACTTCCCTGGGTATGTATGCCTCTGTTGCTCTGTCAGGCATCTGCTAGAATCTGTTTGGTATTCAGGCTTGTCCAACCAGAATGGCTGGATAGGTTCTACACAGACACCTCTGATCTGAAATTACACCTAGTATTTAATTTAGAGAGGTATATCTGTGTGATGATACAGAAAGTCCAGTTGCACTAGAAGAATAATTTATTACTTACATTTCCTGAGAGAAGGGATCATGCCACACCTGAGAGAAGGGAACAGGGCCACAAAGGAAATGTGAGGATGGTCAAGAGGCAGATGACAGGAGCAAGGAGAAGGCAAAGGCCAGAGCCTTTATGTGAGATTTCCACAAAGAAGGCAGAGCGAACAGTGTAGGATTGGCCAGTTTGAACAATTCTGGCAAGCTCAGAACTATAAGGATGTTCTCTTGTTGCCTGGTACCTGGCCTTAGAAGGAGGAAAACATTGGCTTGGTGCTTGAGAGTCACATCAGAACATAAGTGGGGATGGCCTTGAAATGGCCTGTCTGCATTTGAAAGCCACATTTCAGGCTAGCTGTCTAACACTCTTGGAAATTCGCTAGCCCTGGAAGGTGCAGTTACTTCCCAGGTCTGGAAGGCTTCCAAGAGATTTATTATAAACGTGATCTTCCCTTTTTAGATCTATCAACTATCTATTAACTATCCATCAACTGTCTATGTATCATCACCTACTTATCTGTAATTTATTTCATTTTAAAAATAGTTGTATAAAGCTCCATCACATAAATACGTCATTATTTATTTAACCATTAATTCATTAATGAACATTCAGTAAAGTTGCTGCAAAATATCTTTCCTGTGTAAGCTATAATACGATGGGTCTTTTTACATCTTTAAATTGTGTTATTAAAAGTGGAATGACTGAATAGAGTTTACGAAATTTATTTTGGTATAAAGCTGAGAAAAAGATACACCTTTCTTTCTTTTTCCTAATATTTAGTCAATGAACCCAATTACATAAATGTAATAATCCTTTCCCCCCATTGTTCCAAAGTACATTTATCATATACTATTTTTAAAAAACAAAAAATCTATCTCTAGATTATTTTTTCATCCAGAAATACTGTTTTTCAAATTCTACTCCAATGAGCTAGTAATCTGTCCATCTTGTGCATCACTCAGTGCTCGCATGTCTAAAGATTGTGGCTATATGACAAATTTTAGTATCTGTTTAGAGAAGCCCCATCCTGGTTTGGGGGGTTTTTTTAAGAGAAAAACTCCTGGGTTTTCTTATAGGCTTATTAATCTACACTGGGGAGCATCCAACTTTTTGTAATGTTTAAGTAAAATTACAAGTTAAGTAATATTTTAAGTTTTGTAGCCCATTAGGTTTCTATCAACTAATCTACCCAGCTTTTGTAGGGCAAAAAGCAATAGACAATATGTTAGTGAATGCGCATGGTATGGTTCAGTAAAATTTTATTTTTGAGAACAGGTGGTGGACTGGATTTGGCCCAGGGCCATAGATTGCCATCCCCTGATCTAGATAAAATTTACAATATATTGGCCAAGTATAACATATACTTTTATTGGCTCATATCAGCCCCATCATTAAAACTCTTACTCTTTTTCCCTTTTCCTCATCAAGTTATATGTCAGCTTTCATGATCTGGTTAACAACCACCTTAACAGTCTTATTTATAACAATTTCTGCACATAGACTTAGACATGTCAAAATACTTCTTATAATTTATTATCTTTTGTATTGCCACACTTTTGCACAAATTATTTTCTTTTCAAAAATGCTATTTCTGGCTGGCAGGCAAAGCAAAATGGCAGAGTAGATCTCTCCAGCCATCTTACTCCCACAGGAACATCAATTTGAACCACTATCCACAAGAACCTTCACAAGAGGTAAGGGAACCTGAACATGTGAGTGAGATTATGAAGCCCCCTGGACTGCAAAAATGAATAAAATTGTGGTGGGATAGTAAATTGGTTCTCTGTGATCATGATGCTTGTCCTCCACAAGCCATTATGGAAACACATGCAGAAAATCCCCCTGGACTCACAGTTTCTACAGTGAAAAAGTGAGCTGGATGGAGGTGAACAGTAGGCTTCCTCACTATCCTGGGTTCCTCAGTGAGAGATTCACTCTGCATCAGCCCGCAGGGAGAATCACAAGTACTGATGCAGGGCTGAACCACCAGAAGTCAGTTCGCGTCAAAGGGAGGGGTGGGGCTAGGGGCAGCCAGCAGTGGAACTTGGCAGTGGCTCACCATCCCTGCCAGAAGAGACCCCACACCAGAGAGGCTGTTTATGGGTGCCACACTGTGGGAAGCACAGTCCACAGATGCTCTGGAATCTAGAGGCTGACTGGCTCTCCCACATGGCCCTGAGAGCCCTCCATAAATCTATCAGCCCATCCAGCTGGAACAGCTTTAGTGGTGGAGTCATTGTGAGTTTTGTTTCTAACCTGGTCATCAGGTGCCCTCTAGTGCTTAAATAGAATACAATAGCCAGTTTGCTCAGAATTTCTCAACAAGCCCACTGAAATAGTAAGGTCACAAATTCAGACATTGAAAACTAGATGAAGAAAAAGTGCTGACAAAACACACACACACACACACACACACACACACACACACAAAACATACAACCAAGAATACTGTGCTTAGCAAAAGTATATTTCGGAAAAGTAAGAGAAATAAAAAAAATTCCCAAACAAAAAAGCCGAGGAAATTTATTGCAACCAGGCCTGCCTTATAAGAAATACTAAATGAAGTTCTTCACACTGAAACCAAAAAATGCTAATGTTTAGCACAATAACATCTGAAGATATAAAGCAAATTCAGAATATTCTAACAAGACAATCGTGGAACATGAACCATTTACATCCATCATAGGAAGGCTGAAAGACAAAACAAATGAAAATAATAATTACAAAACTTTGCTAAGAGATAAGAAATATAAAAAGATATAAATTAAGACATCAAAAATGCAAAATGTGGGGAGGTAATGGAACTAAAAAGTAAAGTGGATTTCTTCTTATGATCAAAATTAAATTGCTATCAATTCAAAATAACCTGTTATAGCCATGTTTTTAGTAAGCCTTGTATTAATCAAAAAACAAAAGCATTTAATAGATACATTAAAAATAGCCAGATCAAAACATGCTAATAGAGAAAATCACTTAATCACAAAGGAATACAGTAAGAGAAAAAGAAACAAAGATTCTACAAAACACATAACACAGAAAACACATAACAACATAGCAAAAGCAAGCCGTCACCCATCAATAATGATGCTTAATATAGATGAATTAAATTATCTAATTAAAAGACATATAATTGCTCAATGGATTAAAAAATAAGACCCAACTTCATGCTGCCTACAGAGATGCACTTTACCTGTAAGTGAATGCACAGACTGAAAACGAACGGATGGAGAAAAATATTCCATGCAAATGGAAATCAAAAGAAAGCAGGAGTAGCTATACCTATATCAGATAAAATAGACCTCAAGTTAAAACTATAAGAAGAGACAAACAAGGCCATTATATAATTATAAAGAGGTCAATACAAATAAGAAGATATAACAATCATAACTATATATATGCACTTAACATTGGGGCACCTAAATATATAAAGCAAACATTAATAGATCTAAAGAGGGAGATAGACAGCAATACAGTAACAGTAGGGAACTTCAGTATCCAACTTTTAGCAGTAAACAGATCGTCTAGACAGATAATCAACAAAGGAATATCAGATTCAAACTGCACTCAAGATCAAATGGACCTACCAGACATTTACAGAACATCCAACAGCTATAGAAATTCACATTCTTCTCAGCTGCAAAGGGAACATTCTCTAGGACAGACCACATGTTATGCCATGGTAAAACAAGTTTTTACAAATTAAAAAAAAATCAAAATCGTATCAATTTACCTTTTCTGACAATAGTGGTATAAAACTAGAAATTAACAACAGGAAATTCTTTGAAAACTGTACAAATACATGGAAATTAAACATGCTCCTAAAAAACAACAGGTCAATGAAGAAATTAAAGGAGAATTCTAAAATATTATTGAGATAAATGAAAATGGAAATACAGTATACTAAAACTTAAGGGAAATAGCAAAATTAGTTTTTAGAGGGAAAATTATAGTAATAAACATCTACATCCAAAAAGAAGAAATGTCTCAAATAAACTAACAGAACACCTCAAGAAACTAAAAAAGCAAGAACAAACTAAGCCCAAATTTAGTAGAGGAAAAAAATAATAAAGATCAAAGCACAGGCCAGGCGCAGTGGCTCACTATGATCCCAGCACTTTGGGAGGCTGAGGAGGGTGGATCGCGAGGTCAGGAGATCGAGACCATCCTGGCTAACACAGTGAAACCCCGTCTCTACTAAAAATACAAAAAATTAGCCGGCGTGATGGCAGGTGCCTGTAGTCCCAGCTAGTCGGGAAGCTGAGGCAGGAGAATGGTGTGAACTCGGGAGGCAGAGCTTGCAGTGAGCCGAGATTGCACCACTGCACTCCAGCCTGGGTGACAGAGTGAGACTCAGTCTCAAAAAAAAAAAAAAAAAAGATCAAAGCACAGATAAGTAAAATAGAGACAAATAGTATAAAATATCAATGAAACAAAGATTTGTTTTTTTGAAAAGATAAAAAATCAACAAATCTTTAGCCAGTCTAAGAAAAAATGAAAGACGTCTCAAATAGATAAAATTAGAGATGAAAAATAAAGCATTACAACTGATACCACAAAAATACAAAAGATCATAAGAACCTACTATGAATAATTATACATCAGAAATTTGAAAAAAAAACTGGAAGAAAGGAATAAACTCCTGGACACGTAAAACCTATCAAGACTGAATCAAAAAGAAATAGAAAATCTGAACAGACAAATAAGAAGTTACAAGATTGAAGCAATAATAAAAAGTCTCCCCATCAAAGAAAAGTTCGGGATGTGATGGCTTCACTGTTGAATTCTGCAAAATGTGTAAGAAGAACTAATATCAATACTTCAGCAATGATTCCAAAATAAGTGAAAAAGAGTAAACTCTCCTAATTCATTCTAAGGGGCCAGTATGGCCCTGATTCCAAAACTAGACCAGGACACAACAAAAAGATAAAACTACAGACCAATATTCCTGATAAACATAGCTGCAAAAAATCCTTGATAAAATACTAGAAATCAGGATTCAACTCCACATTAAAAAGATTATTTACCATGATCCAGTGGGATTCATCCAATAAATATATTGATGCTTTAATATACACAAGTCAATAAATGTGATATATTACATTAACAGAACAAAGGATTCAAAACACATAATCATCTCAAAAGATGCAGAAAAAGCATCTGACAAAAGTCAATATCTCTTCATTATAAAAATCTCTCAACAAATTAGGTATAAAAGAAACATACCCCAACATGATAAAGCAATCTACCCATTCTGGTCTCCCAAAGTGCCAAGATTACTGGCATGAGCCGCTGCTCCCAGCCTTATTCTTCAAGCTTTCAGAGTTCTTTATATATTAGAAATATTTGCCATTTAAACATGGTCTGTGTTTGGAATATTCTGAATATTTTATCCCAGATAAATTATATTCTGTCTTTGTTTATGCTGTTTTTGTGATGCAAAGTTTTTCATTGTTATGTGATCAAATCAATTATTTTTTACTGCCTATAGGTTTTGACTTAACCTCAGAAGGCCTGTGCTCCAACGAAAGTTAAAGAGGAATTCACCCATGCTTTCTCCAAGTACTTTTATATTGTGCTTTTTGTTTTCTGTTTTGTACACTTACATCCCTTCCTTTTTGCCTTTCTCCTCTCATAGAAGTTATGCTTTTGGAAAACCGTCACTTAAAATTGCCTTTCCCTTTAAATAAAACTTGTCCTTTTAAATAAAGTTCTTCCCTTTAAGTCACAGGTCTGGCCCTTTAAGATGCTCTACTTTGAAATCTGTCTTCTACAATTGTGCTCTGATGTGCTCTGATCTGCCTATTATATGTTAGCATGTTTAGAATGGATTTCTGGTGGTTTAGAAATAATCTTTCTGGTGGATTTAATCTTTCACTCCATCCCACACTCAGACCCCTTTGCAAGTGTCTCTCTCTCCTGAGTCCTCATCTGCAGTTTTTCTCAGTCCCCCCTTGCTTGTTAAGATGAAGTGAAAGTCAGTGGGACTGGGGCACTGGTATCTGTTGATTTTTCTCCTTTTAATCCAAGTTATTAGCTGTTTCAGCATTGTCTGTCTTCAAGTAATAATGAAGGTTTAGTTGTGTATAGACATTTCACATGGGTTGGGAACATTTGGAGAGTGTTTATTACACTGCCTCTATTATCTACAGATAATAAAAAATCATCTGTATGTTTGTGAATTCAACAAAATTTATTCATGGTCCTGGCTCATCAAAGATACTTTTCCTGCTCTACCAATAGAACAGGTATCCATATCTAAACACAATTATTGTGACAATTTCTGCTTTTTGTGGATGCCTACTACATGTGGGGAGAATCAATACTGATAGAGACAGGAGGCAGCTAAGGGTCCCCCGGTGAAACCCCACCCTCAAGCCTAAAACAGCCTGAAGGCTGAAAAAAACCAGCCTGTTGGTCCAGAGAATCATAACATTGTGCTTTAAATCTCTAACATATTTAGCAGGCTTCCCAAAATGAAACTTTGGTTTCAAAATTGTCTTTCCTAATGTCTGGCTTTTGGAGGCTTCACAGTGCCCCTGGAGTATCCAAAAGGGAGGTACATATTTAGGTAAATGGGATTGCCAAAAAGGTGTTCAATCTTCTTTTTTTGTGAATAATACTAATATATGCTCCAAAATTGTATGGGATTTCAAAAATTCTAATGTCTAAAATACATGCTATCAATCATAATTAAGGTAGTTATGTTAAATTATTGTAAATCACAGAGATAACCAAACTTCATTGTCAAATGTGTTTCTAACTGTAACTACCTTGGACATTTTGTTATTCACAGACAATTGTTGCCATATTTTAATCCTTTTTAAAAGATGGTTTATAACAAGCTATAGAAATTTGACAGGTGCTCTCAAATATAGGTTTCTGATAACTTTGGAAATTGTGACATTGGAATAAAGGAAAGATGTACAGGACTCATGAACATCAAGCAAAATAAGCTAACTGAATGGACTGAACTCAGAAAACTGAAGCAATCTCTTTGACATTTGCTTGTAATACTGCTGATCCTTGTTTTGTTTTTCAGAGTCCAGTATACTCCTGTGAACAAAACTTGGAACGTGTTTGTTTCTCTCTGCCTTTTTCCTCTATAGTCTGGAAATTAGTTGTGAATATTCTTAACTCACAGCAATATAGTTGTTTGCATCAGTGCAATAAGAATTCATTTTCTTTTGCAACAGGATGCAATTGGAGAAACTGGTTGTTTTACTAAGGTTTTGACTGGAAGGGTTTGCTTCCCTTTAAAGAGTCAAGCTTAACTTGCAGAGCTGATAAAAGCCCCTTGGGAAAAACTGGCCTCATACTCTTCTCTACACAGTCCCTGTATAGGGTTCCTGACCTGCAGTCAGTAAAGAATGTCACTTTCTAACAGACCCAGGAGTTCCAAGTTTATCTTGGGACCTTAAGGGAAGAGGATCACCCAAATCACAGGTATTTGAAGATACAAATCCATGGCTGTGCTTCACTTTAAAAGGTCTTATCTGACATTCTTTGTGGAACAGAGTCCCATCAAAGCCAATCTAAAATGCCTATTTAGAGATAATTATTCTTGCTGCACTTTGTGCAAATAGTCAGGCCAAGTATAAGACTAAAGACTATTTTGCAAACAACTCAGTCCTTTCATGATTTTTTTTAACAAAACTGAGGACTGGAGAGACAGAAATTATGTTTTGAAACTTATCATATATTTGTCATTAAATTCTAAACTCATTAGCTCATTAGTTTTTTTAAGTTTTTGCCTACATTTTAGACTAACCCTGCTTGTTCTTGTGAACCAACCAGTGATCTCCAGCTGCAGCTCAGAAGAAACAAAAGGGAATGGGTAATATAAAAATCTGGATCAATATTCTAGTTATGAGCAATTATCCTGCAAATTCTGCCAGGTGATGGGAATGAATAGGGTGCCCATAACCCAGAGGATTCCTTTTTGGGAAAGTAAAACAAAGGGAGCTAATCAAAGCCAAGCACAATGCACTGAAATCTTAGCAAGCATAACTATAGCCACCAGTTATCTGGGCATGTCATAAGATATCCTTTTCTCTCCCTTGCTGGAGGAAGACTCAATTCCACAGCTTCACTTTAGCATTTGGCTTATGATAAGGAGTCCTTGCAACCCCCACAAGACAGATTTTTGTACCAAACTCAATTCCAAGCTTTGGATCAAAGCCCTAGAATAGAAAACTGGATCTAAGGGATCCGGAAACAGATGATAACAGAGGTTAAAAGGCACAACACAGGTGAGCATGACTGATTCCCTCCAATTAAGCCTAGCTTCTCATTCCATGGATAAAGGTCACGCTAATATCCATGGCATAAATGAGGTCTAGGGAATTCAAGGCTACTGACAGCAGGGATGATAGCGCATACATGGGTAAGAGCAGATACTCCCATCCCCTAGGCCCCCCTGTTAACATGGTTGAAAGCCACTTTAACACCCATGGGTGGCACCCTGTTGTGGTCACCAAGACTCGAGAACATAAGGACAGAGGAAAGAAAGAGGAAAGTCTCATTTTCCCTCTCCATGTGCCCTGGGTATGTGCTAGGAAAAGAAAGGAACCAGGGACACCTGCTCCCCTCTTTCTAGAGAGTAGCCATTAATCTTTAGTCTGTACCCCTTTTGAATACATCCTGAACCCCTGGGACTCCTCTGAAAAAATTCCTTCTTCTTTCCTTTATTTTCATCTATCCCTTTCACCGATAGATAATCATGTCTCCAAACTACAGGACACTCCCCTCAGATGCATCCTCCAAAATGGGAAGAGTTAATTTCCCAAACCTTAAACTGGTTGGCTTAGAATTGGGCTCCAGGGAAGAGAACCCAGAAGCCTAACATGCTGACAAAAGGGTAAAAGTTTTTTTTACTGGTCAGGCTTTTGGCATCCCCTCTCATTGTGCAAACTGGTTAAAAGGCCTCCGGATTTTTGAGCTGTCCTTACCCCTCCCTTATTCCATTTCTATATATGTTTTCTAATAACCCACTTTGTCTCTTCTCACCTTCAGGCCATCAAACTCCAAACCATCATGCAACCAAAGCCTTTGTCTATGGCTCCTTTTGCCAGAAACCCTTAGGTAGGCCTCTGAGGAAGCTCTGACTGCCATTTCCCTAAAATAGCGCCCCCTGTCAGCAGGAAGCAGTGAGGATCTGTCTTTATCCTTATCCTTGTTTTTTTAATTTAATTTAATTTAATTTAATTTTTTATTATACTTTAAGTTTTAGGGTACATGTGCTCATTGTGCAGGTTAGTCACATATGTATACATGTGCCATGCTGGTGTGCTGCACCCACTAACTCGTCATCTAGCATTAGGTATATCTCCCAATGCTATCCCTCTCCCCTCCCCCCACCCCACAACAGTCCCCAGAGTGTGATATTCCCCTTCCTGTGTCCATGTGATCTCATTGTTCAATTCCCACCTATGAGTGAGAATATGCGGTGTTTGGTTTTCTGTTCTTGCGATAGTTTACTGAGAATGATGATTTCCAATTTCATCCATGTCCCTACAAAGGACATGAACTCATCAATTTTTATGGCGGCATAGTATTCCATGGTGTATATGTGCCACATTTTCTTAATCCAGTCTATCATTGTTGGACATTTGGGTTGGTTCCAAGTCTTTGCTATTGTGAATAATGCCACAATAAACATATGTGTGCATGTGTCTTTATAGCAGCATGATTTATAGTCCTTTGGGTATATACCCAGTAATGGGATGGCTGGGTCAAATGGTATTTCTAGTTCTAGATCCCTGAGGAATCGCCACACTGACTTCCACAATGCTTGAACTAGTTTACAGTCCCACCAACAGTGTAAAAGTGTTCCTATTTCTCCACATCCTCTCCAGCACCTGTTGTTTCCTGACTTTTTAATGATTGCCATTCTAACTGGTGTGAGATGGTATCTCATTGTGGTTTTGATTTGCATTTCTCTGATGGCCAGTGATGATGAGCATTTTTTCATGTGTTTTTTGGCTGCATAAATGTCTTCTTTTGAGAAGTGTCGGTTCATGTCCTTCATCCACTTTTTGATGGGGTTGTTTGTTTTTTTCTTGTAAATTTGTTTGAGTTCATTGTAGATTCTGGATATTAGCCCTTTGTCAGATGAGTAGGTTGTGAAAATTTTCTCCCATTCTGTATGTTGCCTGTTCACTCTGATGGTAGTTTCTTTTGCTGTGCAGAAGCTCTTTAGTTTAATTAGATCCCATTTGTCAATTTTGTCTTTTGCTGCCATTGCTTTTGGTGTTTTAGAGATGAAGTCCTTTCCCATGCCTATGTCCTGAATGGTAATGGCTAGGTTTTCTTCTAGGGTTTTTATGGTTTTAGGTCTAACGTTTAAGTCTTTAATCCATCTTGAATTGATTTTTGTATAAGGTGTAAGGAAGGGATCCAGTTTCAGCTTTGTACATATGGCTAGCCACTTTTCCCAGCACCATTTATTAAATAGGGAATCCTTTCCCCATTGCTTGTTTT
Organism: Homo sapiens; assembly: GCF_000001405.40. Classification (NCBI taxonomy): domain Eukaryota; kingdom Metazoa; phylum Chordata; class Mammalia; order Primates; family Hominidae; genus Homo; species Homo sapiens. The sequence continues at coordinate 127,598,020 of NC_000006.12, read as the reverse complement.
TCTCAGGTTTGTCAAAGATCAGATAGTTGTAGATATGTGGCATTATTTCTGAGGGCTCTGTTCTGTTCCATTGATCTATATCTCTGTTTTGGTACGAGTACCATGCTGTTTTGGTTACTGTAGCCTTGTAGTATAGTTTGAAGTCAGGTAGTGTGATGCCTCCAGCTTTTTTCTTTTGGCTTAGGATTGACATGGCAATGTGGGCTCTTTTTTGGTGCCACATGAACTTTAAAGTAGTTTTTTCCAATTCTGTGAAGAAAGTCATTGGTAGCTTTATGGGGATGGCATTGAATCTGTAAATTACCTTGGGCAGTATGGCCATTTTCACAATATTGATTCTTCCTACCCATGAGCATGGAATGTTCTTCCATTTGTTTGTATCCTCTTTTATTTCCTTGAGCAGTGGTTTGTAGTTCTCCTTGAAGAGGTCCTTCACATCCCTTGTAAGTTGGATTCCTAGGTATTTTATTCTCTTTGAAGCAATTGTGAATGGGAGTTCACTCATGATTTGGCTCTCTGTTTGTCTGTTATTGGTGTATAAGAATGCTTGTGATTTTTGTACATTGATTTTGTATCCTGAGACTTTGCTGAAGTTGCTTATCAGCTTAAGGAGATTTGGGCTGAGACAATGGGGTTTTCTAGATATACAATCATGTCGTCTGCAAACAGGGACAATTTGACTTCCTCTTTTCCTAATTGAATACCCTTTATTTCCTTCTCCTGCCTAATTGCCCTGGCCAGAACTTCCAATACTATGTTGAATAGGAGTGGTGAGAGAGGGCATCCCTGTCTTGTGCCAGTTTTCAAAGGGAATGCTTCCAGTTTTTGCCAATTCAGTATGATATTGGCTGTGGGTTTGTCATAGATAGCTCTTATTATTTTGAAATACATCCCATCAATACCTAATTTATTGAGAGTTTTTAGCATGAAGGGTTGTTGAATTTTGTCAAAGGCTTTTTCTGCATCTATTGAGATAATCATGTGGTTTTTGTCTTTGGCTCTGTTTATATGCTGGATTACATTTATTGATTTGCATATATTGAACCAGCCTTGCATCCCAGGGATGAAGCCCACTTGATCATGGTGGATTAGCTTTTTGATGTGCTGCTGGATTCGTTTTGCTAGTATTTTATTGAGGATTTTTGCATCAATGTTCATCAAGGATATTGGTCTAAAATTCTCTTTTTTGGTTGTCTCTGCCAGGCTTTGGTATCAGAATGATGCTGCCATCATAAAATGAGTTAGGGAGGATTCCCTCTTTTTCTATTGATTGGAATAGTTTCAGAAGGAATGGTACCAGTTCCTCCTTGTACCTCTGGTAGAATTCGGCTGTGAATCCATCTGGTCCTGGACTCTTTTTGGTTGGTAAGCTATTGATTATTGCCACAATTTCAGCTCCTGTTATTGGTCTATTCGGAGATTCAATTTCTTCCTGGTTTAGTCTTGGGAGAGTGTATGTGTCGAGAAATTTATCCATTTCTTCTAGATTTTCTAGTTTATTTGCATAGAGGTGTTTGTAGTATTCTCTGATGGTAGTTTGTATTTCTGTGGGATCGGTGGTGATATCCCCTTTATCATTTTTTATTGCATCTATTTGATTCTTCTCTTTTTTTCTTTATTAGTCTTGCTAGCAGTCTATCAATTTTGTTGATCCTTTCAAAAAACCAGCTCCTGGATTCATTAATTTTTTGAAGGGTTTTTTGTGTCTCTATTTCCTTCAGTTCTGCTCTGATTTTAGTTATTTCTTGCCTTCTGCTAGCTTTTGAATGTGTTTGCTCTTGCTTTTCTAGTTCTTTTAATTGTGATGTTAGGGTGTCAATTTTGGATCTTTCCTGCTTTCTCTTGTGGGCATTTAGTGCTATAAATTTCCCTCTACACACTGCTTTGAATGTGTCCCAGAGATTCTGGTATGTTGTGTCTTTGTTCTCGTTGGTTTCAAAGAACATCTTTATTTCTGCCTTCATTTCGTTATGTACCCAGTAGTCATTCAGGAGCAGGTTGTTCAGTTTCCATGTAGTTGAGTGGTTTTGAGTGAGATTCTTAATCCTGAGTTCTAGTTTGATTGCACTGTTGTCTAAGAGATAGTTTGTTATAATCTCTGTTCTTTTACATTTGCTGAGGAGAGCTTTACTTCCAAGTATGTGGTCAATTTTGGAATAGGTGTGGTAGGGTGCTGAAAAAAATGTATATTCTGTTGATTTGGGGTGGAGAGTTCTGTAGATGTCTATTAGGTCCGCTTGGTGCAGAGCTGAGTTCAATTCCTGGGTATCCTTGTTGACTTTCTGTCTCGTTGATCTGTCTAATGTTGACAGTGGGGTGTTAAAGTCTCCCATTACTAATGTGTGGGAGTCTAAGTCTCTTCGTAGGTCACTCAGGACTTGCTTTATGAATCTGGATGCTCCTGCATTGGGTGCATATATACTTAGGATAGTTAGTTCTTCTTGTTGAATTGATCCCTTTACCACTATGTAATGGCCTTCTTTGTCTCTTTTGATCTTTGTTGGTTTAAAGTCTGTTTTATCAGAGACTAGGATTGCAACCCCTGCCTTTTTTTGTTTTCCATTTGCTTGGTAGATCTTCCTCCATCCTTTTATTTTGAGCCTATGTGTGTCTCTGCACATGAGATGGGTTTCCTGAATACAGCACACTGATGGGTCTTGACTCTTTATCCAATTTGCCAGTCTGTGTCTTTTAATTGGAGCATTTAGTCCATTTACCTTTAAAGTTAATATTGTTATGTGTGAATTTGATCCTGTCATTATGTTGTTAGCTGGTTATTTTGCTCGTTAGTTGATGCAGTTTCTTCCTAGTCTCGATGGTCTTTACATTTTGGCATGATTTTGTAGCAGCTGGTACCGGTTGTTCCTTTCCATGTTTAGCGCTTCCTTCAGGAGCTCTTTTAGGGCAGGCCTGGTGGTGACAAAATCTCTCAGCATTTGCTTGTCTGTAAAGTATTTTATTTCTCCTTCACTTATGAAGCTTAGTTTGGCTGGATATGAAATTCTGGGTTGAAAATTCTTTTCTTGAAGAATGTTGAATATTGGCCCCCACTCTCTTCTGGCTTGTAGGGTTTCTGCCGAGAGATCCGCTGTTAGTTTGATGGGCTTCCCTTTGAGGGTAACCCGACCTTTCTCTCTGGCTGCCCTTAACATTTTTTCCTTCATTGCAACTTTGGTGAATCTGATAATTATGTGTCTTGGAGTTGCTCTTCTCGAGGAGTATCTTTGTGGCGTTCTCTGTATTTCCTGAATCTGAACGTTGGCCTGCCTTGCTAGATTGGGGAAGTGCTCCTGGATAATATCCTGCAGAGTGTTTTCCAACTTGGTTCCATTCTCCCCATCACTTTCAGGTACACCAATCAGACGTAGATTTGGTCTTTTCACATAGTCCCATATTTCTTGGAGGCTTTGCTCATTTCTTTTTATTCTTTTTTCTCTAAACTTCCCTTCTCGCTTCATTTCATTCATTTCATCTTCCATTGCTGATATCCTTTCTTCCAGTTGATTGCATCGGCTCCTGAGGCTTCTGCATTCTTCACGTAGTTCTCGAGCCTTGGTTTTCAGCTCCATCAGCTCCTTTAAGCACTTCTCTGTATTGGTTATTCTAGTTATACATTTTCCAAATTTTTTCAAAGTTTTCAACTTCTTTGCCTTTGGTTTGAATGTCCTCCCGTAGCTCAGAGTAATTTGATCGTCTGAAGCCTTCTTCTCTCAGCTCGTCAAAGTCATTCTCCATCCAGCTTTGTTCCGTTGCTGGTGAGGAACTGTGTTCCTTTGGAGAAGGAGAGGCGCTCTGCTTTTTAGAGTTTCCAGTTTTTCTGTTCTGTTTTTTCCCCATCTTTGTAGTTTTATCTACTTTTGGTCTTTGATGATGGTGATGTACAGATGTGTTTTTGGTGTGGATGTCCTTTCTGTTAGTTTTCCTTCTAACAGACAGGACCCTCAGCTGCAGGTCTGTTGCAATACCCTGCCGTGAGAGGTGTCAGTGTGCCCCTGCTGGGGGGGTGCCTCCCAGTTAGGCTGCTCGGGGGTCAGGGGTCAGGGACCCACTTGAGGAGGCAGTCTGCCTGTTCTCAGATCTCCAGCTGCGTGCTGGGAGAACCACTGCTCTCTTCAAAGCTGTCAGATAGGGACATTTAAGTCTGCAGAGGTTACTGCTGTCTTTTTGTTTGTCTGTGCCCTGCCCCCAGAGGTGGAGCCTACAGAGGCAGGCAGGCCTCCTTGAGCTGTGGTGGGCTCCACCCAGTTCGAGCTTCCCAGCTGCTTTGTTTACCTAAGCAAGCCTGGGCAATGGCGGGCGCCCCTCCCCCAGCCTCGCTGCCGCCTTGCAGTTTGATCTCAGACTGCTGTGCTAGCAATCAGTGAGACTCCGTGGGCGTAGGAGCCTCCGAGCCACGTGCGGGATAGAATCTCGTGGTGCACCGGTTTTTAAGCCAGTCGGAAAAGCGCAATATTCGGGTGGGAGTGACCCGATTTTCCGGGTGCCTCCGTCACCCCTTTCTTTGACTAGGAAAGGGAACTCCCTGACCCCTTGCGCTTCCCGAGTGAGGCAATGCCTCGCCCTGCTTCGGCTCGCGCACGGTGCATGCACCCACTGACCTGCGCCCACTGTCTGGCACTCCCTAGTGAGATGAACCCGGTACCTCAGATGGAAATGCAGAAATCACCCGTCTTCTGCGTCGCTCACGCTGGGAGCTGTAGACCAGAGCTGTTCCTATTCGGCCATCTTCTATCCTTATCCTTACCCTTATCCTTATTCTAAGGGCAGTTAGAAGGGGGAATGATACAGATGGAAGCAGCCAAAGGTTTCCCTAGTGAAGCCCCACCCTCAAGCCTAAAACAGCTCAAAGGCTGAAAAACCAGACTGCTGGTCCCGGAGAATCTCCAATCGTCCTGAGCTCTAGGGTGACAGGGTGGAGCCTTGGGAAGTTCATGCTGTTTGCAGGGGTAGGAGCCTGGCCTCTCCTTTTCCTGTGTGGTAACCTGGGATTCAATCTGTGAGATGGGGGTCTGTTAACAGGAACCCCTCTGTTTTGCTGAGTTTTTTCCTTTTCACCCAGTAAATTCCATTCCCCCTCCCCCTTCAAAGTGTCTGCAAGCTTAATCTTTCCTGGTCATGTGACAGGAACACGGTTTTTTTCTGCAACTCGAGCCACCATTGTATTTATGTTTTTATTGACTCCCCAAAATAATCTAGCAATGTAGGTTTTATAATCTTAACTCTAACAATAAGTAAACTGAAGCACAGACAGTGCTAGAAAAATGGCCCAAGGTCAACTCAACCGGCAAACCGGAGTTGAGTTTTCTGTTTGTTTGTTTGTTTGTTTGTTTTTGAGACAGAGTCACTCTGTTGCCCAGGCTGGAGTGCAGTGGTGCGATCTCAGCTCACTGCAACCTCTGCCTCCAGGGCTCAAGCAATTCTTCTTCCTCAACCTCCCAAGTAGCCGGGATTATAGGCACACACCACCACGCCCAGCTAATTTTTGTATTTTTAGTAGAGATGGAGTTTCACCATGTTGGCCAGGCTGGTCTCAAACTCTTGACCTCAAGTGATCTGCCCGCCTTATCCTCCCAAAGTGCTGGGATTACATGCATGAACCACCACGCCCAGCCATTGCTGAGATTTAAACTACATCTTTCCTAATCCAGTACCCATATATTCAAACCAATTTGTCCAATTTCATTTTCCAACAGTTAGTGGGTAGATTTAGTATGTGAATGAGGACCCGGGAAAACTTTCATATGAAAGCTTCGTGTCAGCTCTAGAAATCACCACCTCCTGGCCAGTGTATTCTCACTTATTAATTATATATTTTATATATAATGAATTCATTATCAAGTGTGGGTGAAAGGAGGGGAACTCTATCATGTAATTGCTGTAAACTTGTGGTCAGCAAAAACACAGAGAAAACTGACACATGAGTTAGTGTATTCTACTTTCCAGGTCAGTTTTATGAATTTTAAAAATTTGAACTGCCTGTCAGTATTTTATTTCAAAATGATCTGGATTTTGGTTATAAATCAGCAATATATATTAGTCTAAATGTCATGAAATTTGATGATAGGATAACAACAAAAGAGCTACACAAGTTTAATATGTTTGTTAATTTCTCAGTTATTTTTTGGTAGCATAATGCAATATCCTTTTATCTTAAACATTTTAATCATTAATGAATTTTAAAATCATGAGCAAAATAATCATTATTTTAACTTGAATGCATTTAATTTAAGTTTTTAATACATGTACAAGATCTTAACAAATAAGCATAAATCAAAAATATCAGAAAGAATAAACTACATGGTCATGATGACATTAATTTTTTGAAATTACTGATTGTCAAGTTCGAGTTTTTCATTTTTAATTCATTAATCATTTCCTGAAGTTTGAAGTTAAATGTTTCAGGAGTTATTTCCATAACTTCTAGAGCTAGATTCCGAATGATCTCTATATACATTAGATTTTTCTGTACAAAGATAACCTGTAAAAGATACAAAATGATTACATGTAAACTCTTGCAAATTTTTTAAAGTACCTTTTGGCAATATATGGCTCATAATTTTATTTCATTTCCTTTCTACTAATTTAATGGTAAAATCATAAATTATACAAAGAAAAGTAAGCATGGCATGTCATTCATAGAATTATTGGCAATACCATTTGGCAATACCTGACTTACCAACTTTACTTCACGTTCTTTCTATGAATTTGGTGATAAAATAATAAATTATGCAAGAAAAATATATATAAAATGTCATTGTTATATTATTGGCAATAACTAATAATAACACTATATATCTATTAAACAGAATAAATTGGATCAACTCATTTTTGGGAAAAAGCTCCAAGAAAAATTTTCACAGAATGAAGAAGACTTGGTCTGCTACTGATTGTGTGAAGGGAAGCTGCCTACTGACAGAGAATGCTGCACTAGAACCAAAGGAAAAACTTCAATTGTATGAAGTCTATAAAGTGTTTGGATGTTTTTGTTACTCTAACTGATGCAGAGGTTTTTTTTAAACATAGGTTTAATTTATTCATGTTTAATTTACTCCATTTTTATCTTTCAGACTTGATGTTTTTGCTTTGAAAAACGTTTTAAATTTGGCTCAATGCTTCAGTTCATGTATGGCAAATGGGAATGATATAGTCACTTTCAAACTGGTAGATAAAGAACCCTCTGTTTTTTTTACCTCACTAGAAGATCCAGCATTTGAAGGGCTAGAATAAAACCCTTCTTCCATGACTAATAGTATTGGATCAAGGGAACTCAAGTAAGCCAAATTGCTAGTAATTTCATTAATCATGGCAGGTTTTCTTTTGAAATGTCTTCATTTTCTTTAAATATAAGAGCAAAGTAGAAAGTTTTTTTTTTTAAATGATCTGATGAGCAAAATAAGGAATATATATCGGTATGTAGAACAAAACAAAAGTGTTTCAGTTGGTTTGCCAACTTCAAGTTTCAACATGGTCTCCAGATGAAAGGACAGACCATGAGTAAGAAGATTAAAATGTGTGCTCATTAAATGGTTCTATATATCAAGAGTGATTATTGCTAAAGAAATAGAATGGATACCCACAGGGAAATCTTTATTTTTGGAGTGCTGTAATGTTTATATCACTGATTTAATTATTATTTCTTCCTCTATTTGTTCAACATAATACTGATTTTTAAAAGTATCCTTTTAAGGTTCTTACCTATAGATTTATCCACATTGTCAAGCATATTTAGAAGAACCAGGACTACATTCTGAAAAGCAGTAAAGTCACTGATGAAAGGGGCTACATCAGTATTAAGAAGAATTCGTGGTGGCATGCCCTTCTGGAACTTATATGATCTAATCAAGGTTGTAGGAAAGAGGACTGCAGCTAAATGATCCACAGCCAGTACCCAACTTCTCTCAAAATGCGCTTCTGCTTTAGAATAATAATCATATCTAAAAGACAAACGGAAAAGTATTTAATTATAATTAGTCACCTCAGAAGTTCAAGCTCATTGCCTTCAGAAAATATTGGTTCTTGCCAACAAACTAAATTCATAATTTTATAATTTAGAAAATAGGCTTGATATTGTGATGACTTTATTCCATCCCTCAGGAGGTGTGAAGTTGGCTCATTAAAATTCTAAATCTAGGAAGAATCATCTCACTAATTGTTTACATTTTACATTGCATTTTATCTTCTTTAATTCAGCACATTATACTTGAATACCACCTAATAACCAAAAGTAAGGCATTTTTAAATCATACTCTTTGCCAATGTAGAGATAAATATCAAAGGTCTAAAGCAAAATTTTTGCTAGACTCAAATATCCTTTGTGAAACTGTTGATTTCTTAAAGCCAGGGATCCCAGAAACATTGAGATTTCTAGAAAAATAATATCTAGATCTAAATTGTAAATAATTGGCATTCTTCTACCACAGGAAGCCTCAGGTAGAAAAAAAGCCTCTGTAATTGTTAGAAAAGACTCTGTAATTATTAGAAAAGCCTCTGTAACTATTTGTCCCCATAATAGGTGAGAAAGTTTAGTTTCTCCTAAGAAATGGGGACAAATAATTACAATGGAAAGATTAAAGTTATATTCAGTAGTTTTAGAACTATAAAAGTCATGTCTTCTGTTTCTATGAGCTGTCTAAGCATGCTAAACAACTTGTAGTTTTGCAAACAGACTTGTTCTCCCTGAGACATTGTGTACTCACCATGTGGTTCAGCAGGTACATTCTGTTTCAAGTCTCATCATAGATATTACCTTCTTCACAAAGGTGAAGGGCATTCCAGCCCACCTGAGGTGGAATCTACCACTTTCTTCTCTTCTATATTCCCATAACACTATATCATCCACATATTTGAAGGATTTTTTTCTCTAGTTATATTCTATTATCATGTCTAGAAATTCGATTATCTGATTTTATTTTGACAGCAACATAGAAAAGATACATTAAACAGAAGGTACTTGCATTATGCTTGTTGAGATTAAATAAACTATAACATAACCCAGATAATACCTGTTATCTGTTTGATTCCTATGCTTGTGGGATCCTCCCTGCCCTATACTTGGAAGTGGTAGGGTGGGCAGAGTTGGATTGTCGATGACAGAAGTGTTTGGTCGGGATTCAATGCCCCTTAATACATTACAGTCACCTACCAAGCAAAGATGAAAGGAAATATGAAGTCATAAAGATTTTGAGCAAGGGCCACAGAGGTCTAGTAACAATGTACTAAACAAATTGGAAGTAAGTCAGAATCACTGGGAGAGAAGAGATGAGTGCACCAGTTCAATACACAGAAATCACAAGAGCAGTGAAGAAATTCAATAATAAACTCTTCAAATGCATCAGTTGAATGATTTGTTGGTCAGTTCACCTAATGATCAGATAGAATGTGGTCACCAAAGAAAGAATTAAAGTACACTTGAAATGATTCACATAAAGTTGAAACACAGGCATACATAAGTCAGCCAATCTGAGGATACAGAGCCACAGAGTTTTATTTGAGTATATGCAAGCTACAAAATATACAGTACTGTCTCAAGTAAATACTCCTTAATATATATTTGCCTAAAGAAAGTAACTTGATGAGCTTTTAGGGTTGTTTCACAGCATGCAATAGATTGTAACCATGGCCCCAGTTGTTCTCCAATCCCTACAATTCTGTCTTCTGCTATGTAACTTTCATTACCAGTTCTTCCTAAATTAAGTGATAGGCAGAAATTCCCACTCCTGACTCAGTCATGTAACTTGACTTAAAAAATACAATATTAACGATTTTGACATAGCATAAACTTGAAATACATTTTCACAATTTGGTTATTCTTTCTTGCAATTCTGCCATCATTATGGAAAACAACCAGGCTTGTCTGATGTAGAATGAGACGGGGAACAGAGCTGAGCTTCCCCAGTCATCCCTGCTGGAGCCAATCAAAATCAGCCAACATGAGAGTGAACCCAGGAAAGATCAGCAGAGCAGCATATCTAAACCCCAGACATCTGAGCAATAAACACAGTTGTACAACACTGAGGTTTAGTGATTGTTGATTGGGCTGCTTTCTTTCAAACAAAGCTAACTTAACTCAGAGCCTCACACATAGTAAATTGCAGGGCCCTGTTTTAAACCCTGTCAATTTGCCTTTAAAATCCATGTTCTTTACTACTGCTTTTTGTCATGGTGATAATAGTTACTTTATATTGAATATTTCTCATATGCCAGCAGTACGTTAAGCATAACCTATGGATTTCTTAATTAATCCTCAAAATTGCCCTATGTGGCATGTACTATTGTTATTGCTATTTTAAAAATAAGAAAATTGAGTTTCTCCTTGTTTGAACTCCTAGGTCAAATGAGCCAGGATTTAAAACTCAGGTCTGTGGAACTTCAAAGCAAAACATCTTAATTTGTACATTATTACTTCATTTCAAGGAACAATCATTAGCCTTGAATCTTGTAATATGAATTCATAGACCTTGACAAAGCAGAGACCTCATAAACAGGTAGATTAACAAATCAGAGCACATAAGCAGGTATTTGAAATCTTCCAAAATAATCATATTAAAAGATTTACCTTTTGCCAATATAAGCCTTTGAAAATATTCAAATTGCCTGAGGAACTATTATTAAACTTTCAGTGAGGTGAATTAATAGAAAACATGTATTTTTAGCTTTCTTAATAGTGCACCTATATATAAATTTATCCATAACACAATATTTTATTATATTCTGAACTGATCCCAATTAAAGAGACAATAGAAGGGAATTTTTAGGTAAAAGAGTTTTTTAGTAAAAATGCTGTTTTTAACAAATACTTGTACTTTTGCAACCTAACAAATCTCCATAAAAATGACACAAGAAATAAAATCAGAACACGTGGGGAACAACAAGATTTTGGAAGCTGAAAATTGAAAAGAACTAGTTGAAAAGATTTAATAGAATCAAGAAAATTAAATTCTAAGTAAACAGAGAGGAAAATAGAAAAATAATGCTGATATAATTTGTAGAATTCTCCTCGATTTAAGTCTTAGTAATACCTTCTGGGTAAAAGGAGATTGCTAAAATCAGGGAGATTAAAAGACTTTAAAGAAGCAATCATATACAAAGATTTCCTTCCAGATTTCAAATAGTAGGTAACTGCCACTCCTTGCCCTGGAAAGGGTAGAACAGAGGGTCCTTGAACTGTGTGAACTAAACATGGTTGAAGGTAGGAACACCACCTTGGAAACAGGATATAAGTGTAAATGATATACTGAATGCAAAGACACTCTCCCCTTGCTTCTTCCTTCTCTCTTGACTTCAATAATACTAACAGCCAGGCCTTCACTTCTGAAGCAGGTGACTGAAAGAGTCTCTTCTGGAAACTGGGTGAGCTCAAGAGAAAAGACTTGAAGTTATTGGAACCATAGTGTTGAGACAGCCAAATGCCTAGGCAGATAAAAAGGGGTCCCCAGAGATCCTCCAACCTTCCCCACAAGTGTTTACCTCAGATGCTTTTGTGCAGATGAGGAAACATGCCCAGGGCCTTGTCTGAGCATGCCCGCATGCTCACTGGCAGCATGGGGTGGAGCCACAGGGAATTTGCACCTTACACAGGGGAGGAGCCTGCTCTCTTCAGCTCGAGTGGTGGCCTGTTGTTCAAACTGTGAGGTAGGAAACCTGCTAGCAGGACTCTCTTGGTTTGCTGAGAATTATTTTTCCTTTTTCCTTTTTGCCCCATAAATTCCATTCCCCTCACCCTTCGAAGCGTCTGTGTGCCTGACTTTTCCTGTCAGTGTGCCTGACTGAAAGTCTGTGTGCCTGACTTTTCCTTTGCTTTTTGGGACTGTTAATAAACATATTTTGTGCCACACTGACAAATTTACCATGAGAAAACACGTGCTTCTAGAAAGTATAATTCATAGATTTATCAGTCTACAGATTACTGGCACAACAGTTCACAATTGCTTGTTTCCTAGTGTTCACTGGAAATTTAGGTTAATATGAGTTAAGATTCTTAATTATATATAATTGAAATCACTAGAAATAAGGAAAACAAAGCTATATGCAAGTAGACAGGTAAAATGTGCTTTTGGTAAGAAAAGCTATAATATATGAGGATATTTCGTTTTGTTCAAGAAACAGAAGAGCAAATTTTATCCGGGTATGGAATGACAGGTTGTTCCAAAATGAGAAGAGAGGAAGTATAGGACAAAAACTGAATGTATAAGAAAGTTATAAAAGGTGTGTGAAAGATAAATCTTGTGAAAAAAAATTTTGTGTTGATCAAGTTGGCTAAAATTAGAAGAGAATTATTTATACGTTTTTCTAAAAATCAAGCATTAATATCAAAGGTACACTGATGCAAAACTAGAATTTGTTTCCCTGTGTTAAGCCAAGGTTTTCTTGGAGTATTAGTCTGTTCTTAGTATGACACTGTGAAAAGTTTTTCTTTACCCTTGAAGTAATTGTCCTACAAAACAAAGATTCCACATTTTACTAAGATAATTTCCTGTGCTTCATGTTGTCTTCATTAGGTTTTTTGATCATTTAAACAACTGAGTCCTCTCTATAAAAGATCGAAGGTTTTTCTATAACTATGTAATTTTTCTGCATTTGCCTTTAAAGTCTTTAAATTATCACTCTGATTAAAATGGATGACTATTATTTCCAAGTGATCTGTGATCCTATTTTGATCAAGTATTTTAAACCTTTGATATTTTTGGCAAGCTTCCAAAAAATCAAATTCTAAATCAAGTATTTTTATTGACCTCAAATTAATTTTGGGGCTTTGCAGATGGGCCTTTGGGACATCTCAAAAGGATATCCGTCCTTACAAAAAGAGAGATGTTAAAGTAATTGGGCCTATTTGATAAATAATATGGAAAGCATTGTCAAATAATAAGTAATGTTAAACCTTCTTTAAGTTGTATTTGTATGGATGTGTTATTAATATATGTTCCAGAAATTTTATGAAATTCCTAGAAATCTGATCATCCCATTGGACCGAATGAGAGTTCCCAGAACTGTTAGGAAGAGATTGATTGATTCATAAAACTTCTAACCCAACATCAAGTAGAACAAGAATTAATTGATTACTAAGAAAATGCTTTGGCAGATTTTCATGCTATGTCAGCCAGAACTGAAATTGTTTAGATAAGCAGTTTGAACAAATATCATGAGGTTGACTCAAGTCAAATTACCTATGATAACCTATTTAATAAGCAAGCTATTGACCTGATTTGGAAATACAAAACTGACTTTTTTTTTTTTTTTTGGAGATGGAGTCTCACTCTGTCACCCAGTCCCCAATCTCTGGAGTGCAGTGGTGCAATCTCAGCTCACTGCAACCTCTGCCTCCCGGGTTCAAGCAATTCTTCTGCCTCAGCCTCCCAAGTAGCTGGTACTACAGGCCTGCAACACCACGCCTGGCTAATTTCTGTATTTTTACTAGAGACGGGGTTTCCCATATTGGCCAGGCTGGTCTTGAACTCCTGACCTCGTGATCTGCCTGCATTGGCATCCCAAAGTGCTGGGTGTGCCAGCCAAAACTGACATTTAAAAAAATATAAATTCAATGTTAAATATGGACTCATGGAAAGCACAGATGGCTTCCTAGTCCTTCCTGGGTCCTAAAAGCTTCCATTATTAAAAACTCTATACTCATCATGGAAGAGATAAAATAATCCAAACTATGAGGAAAATATTGGTGGAGTGACTATTCTGAAATGCCTTATCACTAATATTTGGTTTGTTAAACTGATAATGCTGGTAAGGCAATAAAAACCTCAAGTGATATATTTTTGGCACATGCTGGATCATTTGAACACCTACAGACATATTTAATTCAATTGCCACCTTCAGTGCATATTTTCTGGTTTTATAAGTGCTTTTCTATGCGAGAAGGCAAATGCTATAACAATAGTGAAAAGGTTATTAGAAAATGTCCTTATAGGGCATTCCTGGAAACATCTCTAGCAATATAGGCACTCATTTTATCAGAAAAGTTGTAAAACAGTTTAAAAAGGTATTACAAACAAAATGGCATTAGAAAAAGTTAATAGAATTTGTTGGATTGCATTGGTCAAAGGTCCTACTGATTGACAGCAATCAAATCCACTCCTATAGGAAAAGACAGATTGACTCTTTATGAAATAGTTTTTGGAAGGACTATGTCTCTAATAATAAAATCTCATATATCTCATGTTCTTCTAAACTCTGATATGACTCAAAATTATGAGGCTTCAATGCATTTTGCCAAAGCATATTTTCACCAGATAAAAGAAGCCCTTTGCAGCCCACCAGCTGATAACAACCAGATTTTCCATGTTCTAGAACCTAGAGATCAGTTCTTTTGGAAACGACACCAAAGAAAGACTGCCTTTGAACTCCATCAGAAGGTACCACACCAAGCTCTTTTTTGCAGCACAACTTCAGGGATTTGAGTCTTGGATCCACATTTCTCAACTCAAGAGAGCCCCTCCAGACCCCTGGGACTGTACACCCATCGGAGATCTCCAGGTAAAGCTTACTAGGAACGTTTTTTTTCCCCAGAAGAAGATGGCATCCTTGATGTAGACAGCTTTCCCAAGATCATGAATAAAGTCTTTTCTCCTCTGTCAACATGAAGTCTTTTCTCCTTTTCCTTTTTGGCCCATGTTTCTTTTCTGTCTACACATGGCAATATAATGTGATAATGAAGATTTCATACTCAATTACTTCTGCATGGAACTTAACTGAGTATTGCATATGTCATGTTAAACCTAAATCCTCACATGATCTTAGAGATACTCTGGTTCACCCTGTAAGAAATTTCACTGATATTCCATGTGCAATATCTAGTTCTTTCTAAACAGCTAGACTTTTAGATTCAAATATTCAGATTGCCTGTTTAAATCTAACAGTAGGCAAAACCTATAATGAGAGTATGGTAATTAAATTAAGCCAGAATTGAATTTGAAAAACAAAAGGAAGATAATTCGACGTTTGTAGGCAAATTTATAACCCTAATCCTTTAGTTGCTAGTATCTTCTAACCATACAATGATTAAAAAATGAGGCCTTAGACAAATATTACTAATGCTGACTCATAATGCTGACTCATAACGCACAAGGCATCTCACACAGGAGACTATCTGTAGGGTTCTTCCAGAATATATTTTTATTTGTGGAGGATTTAACAACCAACCATATATGTGGGCAAATCCATGTCTCAATAATTACAAAATAAGGAGCCACCGACAATTAAGGGATTCCAAGAGTACTCCTGTCACTCCATAACTAATTGGAAACTGGATATTGGTCTGCAACTCTTAATTTGAACTATGGAATAAAGAGGAATTTACCAGCAGGTATGAATTCTTCTTAATGGGTATTGTTGGGTAAAAAATTCCTTCCCTGGCTTTGTATAAATGTAAAGGAGGTTATGCTTAGAAATACGTCTCATACATTAGTTACTACAGCTGACTCTACTGCAAAGGCTACAATTGGCCAGCAAACTTCTTTAGATTTTCTTGCTAAAGGCATATTAGGTAACCGGATTGCTTTGGACTACCTTTAGGGAGGAATATGTGCGCTAGCTAACACTCCCTCCTGTACTTAAGTAAATTCATCAGGTAGGGTAGAAGCTCAGTTGTAAGAAATCAACAAACAAGCCAATTGGTTAAAACAAGTAGATTTTTCTTCTGGCTTATTATTTATATATTTGATTTATGTTGGTTCAATTCATTGAGGTTCCTTCTGTCTCTTAGTATCAGCCTCCTGACAGCCATCATAATAGTTTCCCTGGTGCACCTTAACCTCCCCAGAGTCTTAAATCCTCTTATGCAGCTATTCATTCTATGTCAAATGGTCTCATTAAAATTAGAATAATGAAAACATAAAGAGAACATAAATAATCAGTCAACTGTCCTGATTTGTGAACTGTGAATTCCATACTGATACCAAATAAGTCAATGATGAAAGTGACAGAGAGTGATGTCAATGCCCAAGGTTTTGGTCAACCTCTCAAAATTGAGAGGCAGACCAAAAGGTGGGGAATTGTTAAATTAAGTTTGGCCTAAAATTGCCACGATATGTAGCAAACTGCAACTTAATGTAGTTTGTAAACAAACTGCAACCAAACTTAAGAGTATTTTCTTGTAACAAATATGGGTCTCAGCCAATCATGGCAGCTGAGCTTCAGCCAATCACAGGCTGCCAACTGATCAAACCATGCCTATACAAGGCAAATTTCTCACCACACTATGTCCAAATGAGGCAAATCTGAGCTGTAACCAATCAAGGTGTTTCCATATGTCACTTTCTTTTTCTGTCTATAAATACTGCCTGCCCACATCACTGGGTGAAGCTCTCTGAACCTCTACTGGTTCAGGATGATGCTGATTAATGAATCATTCATTGCTTAAGTGAATTCTGCTACATTTATCTTATCTATAGTTTTTCTTGTAACAGTGTCTATGATTAAATAATAAAGGTCATCTACATATTTATATTATATTTTGTTTTCTACATTTAGGAAAATGTATTGTCTGTTGCTTTTTTTTTTGTTTTTTCATGCAAGGCTTTTTTTTCTCAAAATTTTCCCCTTCTTCATAAAACACTTTTTTAAGCCTGATCATGTTAAAATATTTACACATCCTCACTATAATCTCCAATGGTTAGGCTTATTATTTAATATAAAGATTGAAAAACACTCTAGAAGAAGAAGAAAAATATATAAATAATGCCCAAAATTATTTATCATATTAAATAGAGATACTTTAAAGATTCATTCTTACCTGTCTTCAAAACTTTTGATATTATCTGCCAAGGTTGAAGTGTGTGCAGCCCATAAGTACTTCAACAGATCATCAAACTTACTAAAAGGTGACTGCAAATACTAAGGTAAAGAGGTCAAATTTATTAATATTTGAGCAACTATAAAATCCTTCTCCCTGAAATTTAGTCATGTTCAGATATATTTTAGCAATATTGTACATAAAAGAAGAATTTTATTTCTAAGAAAAAGTATGTATATGGCCTTAATGCCTAACACTCTTTAAATAACACAAAAATATTCATTAGTTTTAATAATAGCATATGCATCTATAAGTATTGAACTTCAAGTATTTTCAGAGTTTATATTTTATACCGATCAGGCCTTTATTTTTTCCTGTTAACACTGTTAAAATTACCATAAAATCGTGAGTAACAAAAATATCTTCTTAAAATGTTTCATTAGATCTAAACTAATGCAATAATCTACTAAAGTACTAGTAAATATATCTTTTCTTCATTGATTTTAGTCAAATTTCTTCCAATATCCTAGTGGACATGAAGACTCAATTAATCAGAATAGCTTATTAATCATTCAGCAAAATATCCTGTATGCTCACCATTTTTGTATAATGTATTTGAGGCAAGAAGAATGGATAGATTTATGTTAATGCTGTATTGAGGCAGTAGGTGTTAATGACTCATAACACTCTACAATATACTATTAATATATCATGCATAGCAATTTACATCTGCATACTAAGGAAAATATTATGTAATGCACAAAAAAATCCTAGACGAAATTATATGACAAAATAAACTCTCTTCCTATCTCGTAAGAGTATAAAGAAGGAACCTGGTAAAAGGTGTTCCACTTGTTCATTGTCTCAGGGAAGGATGAACGACAGCTAGAAACATCATAACAAAACTTCCTCTCATTCTTGGGTGGGGGCAAAAGCCTGACTTGGTCTGATGATATCCCCATTACACCAGAATCAACCGCAGCAAGAAAGGGTAATGAAGACAGAAAATAATTCAAATCTGTAAGAACAAAAGATTTACTATTACTACAAGCACTAACAAATTTCAAAGAGGATATTTTTAAGGAAGGCATAAGTCATAAAAAAATTCACAGACCCAGAAACATTATAAAAGCTAACCATTAGGAAAAAAATATTGAACAAAAATCCCCCTAAGGATCAAATATATAACTTTGATTGCATTTCTGTTAATAACCTTATAGTCATAAATATATAACATATTGGCTAAAGTAGTTGACTATATTTTAAAACAAAAAGTAATTTTAATGGATATCATAATATTCATTTTTTCAAAGCATTAAGTAAGAATGGAAGAAAGCTATCAACTTTTCCACAAAATGGTACAAAACCTCTCATTACGGTTTTATTGTGAATTGTACTTGTATTTTTCTCTAAAATATTTTAACATGATTATAGCTTTGGTAAATGAATGTTTTCTATTTTATACACATAAGTTTAATTTGTAATCATGATATCACTAAATTTTTATCTTATTTTATCCTTTAAAGCACAAATTTTGGGTAAGTTTTGACAATAGACCATTAGACTGACAATCAAACATGACTATTTTCACATTTTAAAAAATTTTACCTATATATCACCTATTCCAGCAGACTCAGACATTTTCATTAGTTGGATATTAGGCTTATACTGATTTCCACTAGAAATCAGTGATGTAGAATATTTCATCCTAGACAGGCATTTGTGAATGGAATCCTATGCCACAGTGTAGCAGGCTAATCCTCCAAACTACTAAACCAATCTAAGAATAACAAACTCTGAATTCTAGATCTGTGGCCACTACTATTCGCGAGTCTTTTAAAAGAACTAGGGGTAGTAAGTGGAAAATGCTTAAGGATACATATGATGTGTGTTGCCCTGAAAAAGTGAAATTTAATGTGGTCGTGTTTCTAACTATTGAGAAATACCTCTAAGGATTTGTGGTATAAATTGTTTTCATTACTAAAGCATAAAATTAAATGAAAGAATTAGAAAATACCTTCTGGTTATTTTAGCATTAAGTATATGATTAAAGCCTGAGATTACTGATTGGTATAATGAATTGCAGTAGGTATTAATCTCTGGCATGTTTATGGGTTTCAATATTAACCACATCTGGTCTGAGCAAAATGAAAAAGCATCATTTGTCTTGATGTCTCACTTCTCATCGTTCCTTATTCTGGAGATTCTTTGTCATCAGTTGGACCTCCCACCTAACTACCAGAGCTGGCCCCTCAGAGGCCACTGCTTTTGCAGAACCTTGTTTTCGTCCTTCTGTGAAAAGCTGGATATGTCCTAAGGAATCATTATTGACATTGTGGCTCTTAAATCCCTTAAAGTGACCTAAAGGCCATAAGGTACACGGTGAAATAGATTCCTTTTTAAAATAGGAACAGGATTATTTTAGTTCTGTCTCTGTCCCTAAGATTTTAGGTTTGAATGCTTTCTTTCAGGAAAGGTTAATATCTATTTTGCCACTTAAACGAACATACCAGCCCACCAACTGTCCACAGAGATGCACATATGATCTCCAGATTCATAGCCACAGTTTGTCCTTCGGGTTGGATCAGCTAATCTGCCTGGAGGAGAGAGGATGCACAGTCGTATTTATTATACGCATTTTGAAACTGGCTGTAACTATTGCTTAACCACATAGATTTTGTTTGTAGATACAAAAGCATTTATTTCTGAATGATATGTGTTTGTATTCCCATCATTCTTTTTTTATCTTTTATTTTTTAGTTTCTAATTTCTTTCCTTTTCCTTAACAACACAGTTTTCTACTTTTGAGTTATAGGTCCTAAATATTATTTACTTTTGTAAGGATACTCTCTTCTATTTCCTCCTCTACCTTCTAATCGAAACTATGAAGCAATATGCATACAGATGAAAAGAGATGGTCGAGAGTCAAAACAAACCCCTGCTCTACCACTTACTAGCTTGACTTTATCTAAATAACCTCTAATGCCTTAGTTTTCTCATCTATGACATGGGGATAATAATATTAACTACATTATAAGGTTGTGATGTGAGGTGAGAAAAAGCACCAAAGGTGTTTCACCTGTAATATGCATTATGTAAATATTAGAAAATAATCATTGTTTTTCTTCCAAATGAAATTGCTCTTTTCTTAACCTCTCTCTCACACACAATAATTTCTTTATTGGCTGTGTCATCAGCAGGGAGTGGGCAACAGGCACCACTCTTTCTCATGAGCTTCTATCAACCAGAACAAAAGTATCTTTCAATTCATGTATATTTTATCCCAAAATGTAACTTCTGTCTATACACTGTAAGGTACCTTATTTCCAAGAGGAAGCAAACATTTTACAGAGAAAGATCTTCATGAACAATGTGATGCTTCTTTATAACCTCATATCATAATTAGAACTTCAAGAAATTCAAACTAATTGGACATCACTTTGTATATCCCCTTGACTGTTTTGTTCATCTCATTGCTTAGAAAGGAGTGTGGCACTTAGTAGAACTTCAACAAATATTTGTGAAATGCTCAATAGATGAGATGTGATGTCTTTTCACAGTTGATAACTATGTCTTATGCCTCATTGAAGCTTCTAATAATAACACACAACCCACAAAAGAAGGATTTGTGGATAAGGAGAAGGATAGGTAGAAAAACAATGATTATAAGGGAAAAGAGAACAAGATAAAGAATCAATTTTTAAAAACATAGTAGGGTATATACAGAGTCCAATTTCCCAAATACTTCATAGGTCTATCGGTAGATCATTACAATGAAAACAAGAGTCATTCTTACCTGTCCTATATTGCCAGCCATACTGCAGAGGCAACCCCCATAAAATATTCTGTTCATTATCTGGTGCAAATTTTGCAAAATACCTGGCTGTCTGATTCAATATGATTTTATACATCCCCATTCTCTCAAGGTATACCCAGGGATTAATAATGTACATGCTGTTCTCCACCCTGTAGTCACTGAGCTGACCAGGACTCTCCTTCCACAGAGGGGGCTCTGTCTCTGAGAGATTGGAAGTCCCTGCTAAGGAAGCAGAAAAGGAACCAACTAGTACACAAACCCAGGAAGGAAGAAAAGCCATTGTGCCAGAGCTGGGGATTGCGATCGTAGCAGGGCTTTTATTGGAGAATGGAAGAGGAAGTCATGATATTTGCTAACCTCACAGCATATCAACACTTTGCTTTTTTGTTTTCCTGGATAGGGTGAAAATGTAGAAGAAATTGATGTATTAGCTAACATT
This sequence comes from Homo sapiens, assembly GCF_000001405.40. Lineage (NCBI taxonomy): Eukaryota > Metazoa > Chordata > Mammalia > Primates > Hominidae > Homo > Homo sapiens. The sequence goes on along the minus strand of NC_000006.12, from coordinate 127,577,026 downwards.
TAGGACAATTAAATTTCCCAGACTCTTCAGCGTCAGAATACTGTGTCAGAACCTAAATACAAGGTTAGGCTTGTTTATAATGTATTAGATAAAACTATTTATCAACAAAAACCTTCCAGAAGTTTCCCAGGCTGCATTGTGATTACAAAATACATCACAAATGGCTTTAGAATGCTTCCCTCTAATAAAAATACTTTAACATATTTCATGGAAAATATTAAATAGCTGGAGATGGAAATACTAGGATTTATAATAATCTTCAAATGTGTACTAAAAATATGTGTGATCCAGTTGTAATACAATGTTCTGCTTCAAGAAAGAAGCTTAAAGAATATCTAATTAGCTCAATTCAATAATGAAAGTCAGCCTGCTGGAACAAAACCTGCTAGTTAATTCTTAATATCTATTTTTCATTCTTTATTAGTAAAAGAATCGTAGAATTTTAGCTGGGAATATGGTCTCCCAGAATTAAGGCTAAATTTCCAATTTGCTTTACACAAGCAACCATGTGACTAAGTGTGGACCACAGAGACATAAATAGAAATAGTATCCACAATTTCTGGAACATGTCCTAAAATGAAGGGCACATGTCAATTCCTCTTCCCTTCCTCCATGTTGTGGCTTGGATTATTGATGTGATGATTGAAATTCAATTCTGACCCCTAAACGCAAGGCACTATCTTAGGGATGACAGAATGCAAAGCTGGAGGTGGCTTGAGTCCCAGAGGGCTGTGGAGCCATGAGATGTCCTTGAATTCCTATATCTGAGTTTTACCTGAGCAAGAAACACCCCACTCTCTTGTTTCAACCACTGTTATTGAAGTTTTATTCACACATAGTAAAAATTCTTGCCTTATTAATAGGTAATGCATCTGAAAATCTCAATTATTTACACAATTAGATGCATATGCTTCATAGTAGGTCACTGGTACTGCTTGTTCCTGGCATGGTCCACATTAAACATCCTACAGCATGATTCCACTCTTTTTTCCTGTCATATTATTTACCCAATAGCCATTTGATAATTAATAAATTTTCCAGATATATTAATATAAAAGGGAATGGTAGGAATTGCTACTATAGATCAAGAATGCAATCATTCTGGAAATTTTAAAAGTATATTAAATGTTTATAAGAATATATACGTGAATATGTACTGTAAGATGTGTTACTCTAAAACCAAATGCCAGATTGTTCTCAATGGAGAAATCTTAAGAGCACTCCTTTAAGGTCAGAAATAAAATAAAAATGACCACCAGCATTATAATCATTTAACTTTTCTTTGAGGATACCAAACAATAAAGTTAGTAAAGATAAATAAATTAGAGGTATAAAATTGAGAATGAAGATGTGCTAGTACTTTCCCTTATAGATGATATGACAGTGTTCAGAAAACATAAGAGAATAAACTAGAAGGGTAACTACAAAGAAAAAATTTACTAAAGTGGTTAAGAACTAAATTACTATATATAAATCAATAGCTTTTATATATAAAAGCAATTGGGAAATATAATAGGTGAAAATGGAAGAAAAGTCCTCATTTTATTGTCAACAAAAGGGCCAACATATAAATGTATAATTATGGTAGATCTGTTTGGAAAAATCTCTAAGACTACAAAAAAATTGAACAGTTTTAAAGTCATACAATGTTTCTCAATAGACTCAACATTATCAACATGTTAATTTATAAATTTGTACAATAAATGAGAAATATTAACAGGATTTTTAGATGTGCTTTCTGGAAAGATTTTTAGGACTGAGGCTAAAATTTGCCTAAAAAATAAATTATGAAGAAAATACAAAAACTCTAATAATAATGGATAATAATAGTGAAAGGAAACTTTCCATAACAGATATTAGAAGATTATTATAAGCCCTCAAAAATTAAAGTAACACACCACAGTCATTGATGTAATAGTGTGACCAGTTACAGGTTAAATAAAACAGAAATATTGAACTATATTAGAGAAAGATTTTAAATGAAGACCAAAATACAAATGAGAATTTAAAGAGGAGCTATACTGGAACTAGATCTAGACATTGCTTCTATGTCCACTAGTGGAGTAGTTATTGGAATCCCATATACAGTGGGAAAAAAGTAAGAGCACATCTTGATGGAAAGATATTTGTTAAGGATATAAAAGAAATAATGTCAATAGTAGAATCTGGATCTTCTCATGCAAAAATTATTAATAGAAGAGGAAATAAGTTAGACGCTTACAAATAAACCTCAAATGAACATCAAACATATCACGGCATGCACTGATAGTTACATAACGTGATATTCACTCTTCTCTTATTTCTTTGTAAGAACACCCTTAATCCTTAGCACAACAGAGTCTTCCTGGAATAGAGATTATATTATTTAGTCTCACTGCTAGATGTAGCTACTTGATAAAGCTGTGGCCAAATTGTTAAGTTGCAGCTTTCAAGGAATCTCCTTTATACCTTGTCCTTTATTCTTTGTTATTTCTTCCTCTGCTGGCTGGAATGTAAATGTAACTAGAGACTGATGCTGTCTTAGATTATGAAGGAGCAAGAAAAGGTAGGAGAACAATAAAATAGAAGACTTTTGGTTTCTAGTCTCTACAGCTCTAGATTGTCTACTTCTGATTGCTGTCTCTATGAAAGAAATAAAATTTTAACTTAAGGCAATTTTTTTTTATGGATTTGTACTGCTTGGAGAACCTAATCTGAACAGACATTCTAATTTTGTCTTTCAACATTTCTGTGCCCATTTTTTCTTAACTATAAAGTAGAAATAGTTTTACTGCTCCTAAATCCACTAATTATAACTTCTTTTCAAGGTAAGTTTGTGATATTTGAAAAGATAATTAGTATTAGATACTGGATAGACAATTATATGTTTGAGTCACACACATACAATTACTCAAACTTGAAAAGATCAATGTGAAATAAATATTAGTATCCTAATTTACCAATAATAAAACTAAGACTTATCAGGGTTAAGGACTTACCCAAAATCACATACAGGTCCCAGATGAGAAAGCCTAATTTTGATCCCAGGCCTGCCTGATGTCAAAGCCAGGGCACTTGTAGGCTATGTTGTATTGTGCCACAAAATAATGATGCAAATAATATTACAGGGAAATTTTAACTTAATTAAGAGAAGAAATTGTGTTCAAAAAAATCTGCATTTTATGGCACTTGAAGCTATTTTATTCATTTTCCTAGAATGCTGATTGCAAGTGTATATTTAGATGGCCTTGTTGAGGCAACTGTCAGGAGATTGAAGACAGGGGATCTGTAATGTCAACTTAAGCTTGTTACTAGCAATGTGAATTTGAGGACCCTAAATTTACTCCTCTACAAAAAGAGAATAGTAAAACCATTATTTCTTATTACACAGAGGAATGGGAAAAACCTAAATAAGAAGATGTAGGCAAAAGGAGTAAAAGAGTACAAAACTATGTAAACATTTTTAAAGCCTTTCATTAAAATTAAACAACCACTCTGGAATATGTTTGATCCATTTCTATATTCTTTTTAATATGCACCTTGACTTATCAATGATTTGGTTATATTATTGAATTAGTTCAGTGCAGTCATCATCCTGTTCCTTTTCCCATCCTCAATAACAGTAGAAAAGCTTAGATTCTTTTGTTTGCAAAACACACAGCTCATGGCCACACATGTAGAGTGGTAAGAATCAAAAACTTTTTAAAAAATTGACAAAAAGAAAAGCTATGGTTAACTTTCCTAACATAAAAACAATTCTTGGCAAATATTCCAAAATACTTAACTGGCTGACACTTAAGAAGAAGTATTATCTTACAGTTAATTTGGGGAGTTATATTACCTGTATTTATACAAACATTTTAGTATATTAGAGTAATTATATTTTTCCTGATTAAATATCCTATGGGTATACTGTTTTCTCTGAAAGTGGTTCCTATTTACTCCAGTGTAAAAGGATTTTCACGCTTTTCCTTATGATGAAATATTGAGAATGAAAGCAAAAAAGAAACCACCAAGATGACATCTTCCTTGGAACAAGGATATGAATGTATTTGAAAATCACAGACTATGAAGCATATTTATCAGATAATATAAAATATGCTACACATGAAGACAAAGATATTTACTGAATTCCTTGATGTAATACAGGTTATGCATTACCTTTTTGTCAGGTCTAGAGTCACAACATGGAATATAACTAGATAAGTGATTTTAAAATATTGTACTAGAGATATGATTTAAAATCTTCATTGAAAGATAAATCAGGCCAACGTGTTACTCTGATTATCTGTAATTTTTCCCCTTTGAGAGAGGACACTGTCAGATGTGCAACTTGGTAAAGGAGGGAAAAGAAGGGGAAGTCACCAGATAATACAACTAAGAGCTGATGAGATGAGGGGTTTTACTGTGTGCTGCCCCAAACACCTGGATCCTGATAATTACCCAGAAAAAATTCAAAATATATTGATTCAGACAGTTAAGGAGAGACATGATTGTGGAAAAAGTAAGTACAGATTTGATAGAGATTTATTAAGGCAACTGTGTTTATATCAACGCTGTAGGCTTTACTAGTTCATTCTTCCTGTGTCCTTTCTTCAGATATTCCTAAACTGACCCCATTCAAGATAACCATAATCTTAGCAAGCAATGATACGTCATAATAGAAATTGGAAAATATATATGAATAAAATGAAAAAATATCCTTAAAAGATATTTTGGGGGAAAATGGGGAAATAAGACAATCAAAATACAAACAATTTATATCACAAGAGAAACTGTACTAGAAGACAGAAAAAGAGTTCAGACACAATGAGATCACAGGGGCACAGGGAGGAGAACATCACACACCAGGGCCTGTCGGCGGGTAGAGGGCTAGGGGAGGGATAGCATTAGGAAGAATACCTAATGTAGATGACAGGCCGATGGGTGCAGCAAACCACCATGGCCCATGTATACCTATGTAACAAACCTGCACATTCTGCACAGAATGTATCCCAGAACTTAAAGTATAACAAAAAATAAATAATAAATAAAAATTAATAAAAAAGAAAAAGAGTTCAGACAATAATTACCTATCATCTCAGAAATTATGAACAATAAAAATCACTAAGATGAAGTGTTCCAAAACAGTGATATAAGCTCTTGAAAAACTTGAAACTATCAGAAACGATGATAAATAGACTTGAAGGGCTCTAGAGATGAAGAGAATATAAAATAGTTACAGGAAACAACAAAAGTGGCAATTATAAATGATATAAATAATGTCAGGTACTTAATATTCTATCCTGAAGAAATCACTCAAAATGAAATAGAAAAGGATAAATACTGGAAATAGACATGACAATTATTTAAAAGTTTATACACATAGGGAAAGAAGAGGACCAATACACATAATTTTTCTTTCCTATCTGAAGAAGAGAGTAAAAAAAATGTTGAATAAAAAAATGCAAGGAAGATTTCCTGAAATAAAGAACTTCTTGACTTGGCAGCAAAAAAAAAGAAAAAGAAAAAGAAAAAAAAAGATGCTGAATAGCCTGCACTGAACCATATCCTGGTGACATTACTGAACATAATAGATGAAGACAGAGTAAATGGAATTCAGGCAAAGTAAACAAGTCACATACAAAGACAGAATAAACAGGGTCATTCATATTTTGCCACAGCAATACTCAATACTAAAAGATAGAGTAATTTCTGCAGAGACCATTGAGAAAACAAGTATCTCCTATGAGTTTTATTATAATAGCAATCCCCAAAATTTCTCTGGAAAATTATGTCACATTGAAAGGATTATGAGTAAGAAATCCACTGAACTCTTCAGATAAAGCACTGGGAGGTAGAAGAAAATGAAGCAATACTTACAAAATCCTGAGGAGCTAGAACTAGCTAGCTAGAACTAGAATTGAATATCCAGCCAAACTGCCAGGTGTGGGGCTAAAATAGAAATATTTCTGATATGCAAGATCTCAAAAAATGTTCTTCCTCTTAAACTTTCACTGGAAACTCCTGGAATATAAGTTCTACCAAATAAACAGGCAAACCAAGAAAGGGTAAAACACTGAGTTTGAGAAACAGGAAATGTGAAACAGAAAAGAGGGGAATTCCCATGATATTCATAAAGGGAAGATTGAGATGGAGAGAGCAATCATATTATGAATCATGAGGATGGGGGATTCAAGAAAGAGCACTTTCAAAAATATTAAATAAAACATACATTACCTGATGACTTTGACGATACTGGAAAAAGTTTTAGAGCT